>NC_000007.14:2740242-5240242 GCF_000001405.40 Homo sapiens
TTGTATGCTCCCAGAATTCCCATGTGGAAGCCCTACCTGCAGTGTGATGGTATTTGGAGATGGGGACTTTGGGAGGTGACTGAAGGTAGGGACCTCATGATACGATAGTGCCTTCATAAGAAGAGACCGGAGAGCTCTCCCTCTCACTCCGTCCTATGTGAGGCACCAGGACACAGTGAGAAGCTGGCCGTCTGCAAGCGAGGAAGACAGCCCTCCCTCACCAGAACCTGATGGTGCTGCCACCCAGATCCTCAATTTCCAATCTCCAGAGCTGTGAGAAAATTAATTTCTGTTGTTTAACCCACCCAGTCAGAGTATTTTGTTATGGCAGCTTGAGCCGACAAATATAATTATGAACTTGTGGATTTTCATCTGTCAGAGGCAAAGATGGTGAAATGTAAACAACATGTTAATACTGGGCAATGGGTTTATGAGTATCTGTTGGGCTCATTCTTAAACAGTTTCATAAGATGTTTAATAGTTCAAATTATAGATTCAGCCCTTAAAACTACAGATTTAGGGCTCGCCGCGGTGACTCATGCCTATAATCCCAGCACTTTGGGAGGCCGAGGCGGACGGATCACGAGGTCGAGAGATCTAGACCATCCTGACTAGCATGGTGAAACCCTGCCTCTACTAAAAATACAAAAAAATTAGTCGGGCGTGGTGGCAGGTGCCTGTAGTCCCAGCTACTCAGGAAGCTAAGGCAGAAGAATGGTGTGAACCCGGGAGGCAGAGCTTGCAGTGAGCTGAGATCGGGCCACTGCACTCCTGCCTGGGCGACAGAGCGAGACTCCGTCTCAAAACAAACAAACAAACAAACAAACAAATAATCAAACAAAAAACCACTATAGATTTAGATTCTTCATTTGTATCACAGGGATCATCATAGAAAAATGAGCTAGAAAGAAATTTTACAGTATGTTTTAAGGTATTCCCCTGCCTCTAGATAAAAAGCACCTAGACTAGGTGTGGCGGCACGCACACCTGTGGTCTCAGCTACCTGGGAGGCTGAGGTGGGAGGATCACTTGAGCCCAGGAGGTTGAGGATGCAGTGAGCCATGATTGCGCCACTGCACTCAGGCCTGGGCAACAGAGTGAGACACTGTCTCTTAAAAAAAACCCAAAAACCTAAATAACAGGGCTAGGGGTGGGGAGAGCTCACCCAGTTTCCAGAGGCTTCCACCACAGAATCTCTAAAACCCAGCAAGTGCGGCACCAGGCATGTCACAGTTGGACTGCCTGTTAGCTTTCTACTTTTTGGGGAAATTCACAGCAGAATTCCAGCCTTTGTAGTAGCCAGAACCCAAATTCCAAGTCTCTTTGGGGCTAGGACAGAGGTATGTGTGAAAAGTTGCAAGAATAGTACAAAGAGCTCATACAGTCTTTCTCTAGATTCACCTGTTCACATCTTCTCTCATTTGCTTTATCCTTCGCTCGCTCTCTTTCAATACACAGACTTTTAAAAATCCGTCATCATTTGAGAGCAAGTTGTTTACCCCTAACAACTTCAGAGGGTATGTCCTAAGAATGAGGACACCTGCTTCTACAACCACGGCAACTTCAGGTGCTGCTTCAGGAGAACGCCGCAAGGATAAGAGTATTCATCTAGGATGACTGTCTCATAATTACCACGTATTAGACACCGAGGTTTATCTAATATATACAGATACAGCATTATAAGACCATTTCCCTCCTCTAGCACAGAATTTAGTATATTACTTACATGTAGTTATCATGCCTCTTTAGTTTCATTTAATCTGAAACACTTGAATTTTTTTATTTTTTTATTTTTTTGAGATGGAGTCTCACCCTGTTGCCCAGGCTAGAGTGCAGTGGGGCGATCTCAGCTCACTGCAGCCTCCGCCTCCCAGGTTCAAGAGATTCTCCTGCCTCAGCCACCCGAGTAGCTGGGATTACAGAGGTGCACCACCATACCTGGCTAATTTTTGTATTTTTACTACAGACAGGGTTTTGCCCCATTTTGGCCAGGCTGGTCTTGAACTTAAGTGATCTGCCCGCCTCAGCCTCCCAAAGTGCTGGGATTACAGGTGTGAGCCACCACGCCCAGCCTACACTGAGATTTTTGAAGAAGAGGGCTGCCTCCCACGGCCCTTGGGGTTTTTGCGATGTCTCCAGTGTTTAACATGACAGTTTCGAGATGATTTTCCAGTCAGTGCCACTCCATGCTTGCTGGTCTGTGAGTGACATTCCACTGTCAACAAGAGCCCTGCTCCTGTTTATCTCATCGCTGTCCACATGGACTCACAGACGCTGTCATTTTCCAGGGGCTGTAATTCATCTCTGTCCTCGCTTACTTTGGTGCTCAAAGTGAAGAAAGCACTGAGTCTCGCCGGCCCTTTGCGTTTCCATATTAGTTCTAAAGTCAGCTGTCAATGTCTACCCTCCCTGTCCCCGCAAACACCTGCAGAGTTTTGATTTTGAATGAGGCCTTTAATTCCTCTTGGTAATGCTTATAAATTTTCTGTACACAGGTGATGCACATCTTCCCTTAGATTTATTCTCAGGTATGTAATCTTTTATGGTGCTTCTTAAATGGCATCTTTAAACATTTCCCATTTTATAATCCTTTGTTGCTAGTGAATAGAAATACAACTGATTTCTGTATATTGGCTTGTGCCTAGTCACCCTGCTAAGCTCTGTATTCATTCTAATAATAGACCTGTAGGTTCTTCTCAATTTTCCAGGTGCACACTCACATCACCTGTGAGCCACAGGCATGGTGGTGTGTGGCAACAACAACATTCAGACAGAAAGCCTACCATCTTTTTGGCCAGGAGAACAAGAGGACAGAGCTGGGGCAACCAGGACTGCCAAGGGGTAAGGTGGGAACACTCCAAAAAGAAAAGAGTCAGTGAGGGAGACCTCAAGTTCTGTGCATAAACTTTGCCTAAGAGCCTGGCTGGCCCCTGAACCGTATATATGGGGGCAAACTGAAAGGGGTCTCTGCTGTGATCTAAGCAACCACCAGCACAGGCATGACCAAGTTGGCAGTTTGGGTCTCACCAAGTTAAATGTCTGCTAAAGCAAAAATATCAACATTAGATGGATGAACAGAACAGGATTTAAGTCTTAAAACGACATCCATAATACCCAAGATATAATTAAATTATTCAAAATATGGAAGATATTCATCATCAGGGGCAAAAACAATCAGAAGTTATCAACTCAAATATCCCAGATACTGGGATGGCTTGACACAGACTTTAAAGCAGCTATTATAATTAGGCTCAATTAGGTTAAAAATGCTCATGTTGAATAAAGATACACAAAATCTTATCAGAGGTCAGGGAGGATCCAAGATGGCCGAATAGGAACAGCTCCGGTCTACAGCTCCCAGCGTGAGCAATGCAGAAGACGGGTGATTTCTGCATTTCCAACTGAGGTACCGGGTTCATCTCACTGGGGTGTGCCAGACAGTGGGCGCAGCGCACTGTGCGCGAGCCGAAGCAGGGCGAGGCACTGCCTCACTCGGGAAGCGCAAGGGGTCAGGGAATTCCCTTTCCTACTCAAAGAAAGGGGTGACACATAGCACCTGGAAAATTGGGTCACTCCCACCCTAACACTGCACTTTCCCAACAGGCTTAAAAAACGGCACACCAGATTACATCCCGCACCTGGCTCGGAGGGTCCTACACCCAAGGAGTCTTGCTCATTGCTAGCACAGCAGTCTGAGATCAAACTGCAAGGCAGCAGCGAGGCTGGGGGAGGGGTACCCACCATTGCCGAGACTTGATTAGGTAAACAAAGCAGCCGGGAAGCTCAAACTGGGTGGAGCCCACCACAGCTCAAGGAGGCCTGCCTGCCTCTGTAGGTTCCCCCTCTGGGGGCAGGGCACAGACAAACAAAAAGACAGCAGTAACCTCTGCAGACTTAAATGTCCCCGTCTGACAGCTTTGAAGAGAGTAGTGGTTCTCCCAGCACGCAGCTGGAGATCTGAGAACGGGCAGACTGCCTCCTCAAGTGGGTCCCTGACCCTGAGTAGCCTAACTGGGAGGCACCCCCCAGTAGGGGCGGACTGACACCTCACACGGCCGGGTACTCCTCTGAGACAAAACTTCCAGAGGAACGATCAGGCAGCAGCATTTGTGGGTCACCAATATCCGCTGTTCTGCAGCCACCGCTGCTGATACCCAAGCAAACAGGGTCTGGAGTGGACCTCTAGCAAACTCCAACAGACCTGCAGCTGAGGGTCCTGTCTGTTAGAAGGAAAACTAACAAACAGGAAGGACATCCACACCAAAAACCCATCTGTACGTCACCATCATCAAAGACCAAAGGTAGAAAAGACCACAAAGATGGGGAAAAAACAGAGCAGAAAAACTGGAAACTCTAAAAATCAGAGCACCTCTCCTCCTCCAAAGGAACGCAGCTCCTCACCAGCAACGGAACAAAGCTGGATGGACAATGACTTTGACGAGTTGAGAAAAGAAGGCTTCAGACAATCAAACTACTCTGAGCTACAGGAGGAAGTTCGAACCAATGGCAAAGAAGTTAAAAACTTTGAAAAAAAATTAGACAAATGGATAACTAGAATAACCAATGCAGAGAAGTCCTTAAAGGACCTGATGGAGCTGAAAACCAAGGCATGAGAACTACCTGAGGAATGCAGAAGCCTCAGGAGCCGATGCGATGAACTGGAAGAAAGGGTATAAGTGATGGAAGACAAAATGAATGAAATGAAGTGAGAAGAGAAGCTTAGAGAAAAAAGAATAAAAAGAAACGAACAAGGCCTCCAAGAAATATGGGACTATGTGAAAAGACCAAATCTACATCTGATTGGTGTACCTGAAAGTGACAGGGAGAATGGAACCAAGTTGGAAAACACTCTGCAGGATATTATCCAGGAAAACTTCCCCAATCTAGCAAGGCAGGCCAACATTCAAAATCAGGAAATACAGAGAACACCACAAAGATACTCCTTGAGAAAGGCAACTCCAAGACACATAATTGTCAGATTCACCAAAGTTGAAATGAAGGAAAAAATGTTAAGGGCAGCCAGAGAGAAAGGTCAGGTTACCCACAAAGGGAAGCCCATCAGACTAACAGCTGATCTCTTGGCAGAAACTCTGCAAGCCAGAAGAGAGTGGGGGCCAATATTCAACATTCTTAAAGAAAATAATTTTCAACCCAGAATTTCATATCCAGCCAAACTAAGCTTCATAAGTGAAGGAGAAATAAAATACTTTACAGACAAGCAAATGCTGAGAGATTTTGTCACCACCAGGCCTGCCCTAAAAGAACTCCTGAAGGAAGTGCTAAACATGGAAAGGAGCAACTGGTACCAGCCACTGCAATAACATACCAAATTGTAAAGACCATCAAGGCTAGGAAAAAACTGCATCAACTAACGAGCAAAATAGCCAGCTGACATCATAATGACAGGATCAAATTCACACATAACAATATTAACTTTGAATGTAAATGGGCTAAATGCTCCAATTAAAAGACACAGACTGGCAAATTGGATAAAGAGTCAAGACCCATCAGTGTGCTGTATTCAGGAAACCCATCTCACGTGCAGAGACACACATAGGCTCAAAATAAAGGGATGCAGGAAGATCTACCAAGCAAATGGAAAACAGAAAAACGCAGGGGTTGCAATCCTAGTCTCTGATAAAACAGACTTTAAACCAACAAAGATCAAAAGAGACAAAGAAGGCCATTACATAATGGTAAAGCGATCAATTCAACAAGAAGAGCTAACTATCCTAAATATATATGCAAACAATACAGGAGCACTCAGATTCATAAAGCAAGTCCTGAGTGACCTACAAAGAGACTCAGACTCCCACACAATAATAATGGGAGACTTTAACACCCCACTGTCAACATTAGACAGATCAACGAGACAGAAAGTTAACAAGGATACCCAGGAATTGAATTCAGCTCTGCACCAAGCAGACCTAATAGACATCTACGGAACTCTCCACCCCAAATCAACAGAATATACATTCTTTTCAGCACCACACCACACCTATTCCAAAATTGACCACTTGATAGTTGGAAGTAAAGCACTCCTCAGCAAATGTAAAAGAACAGAAATTATAACAAACTGTCTCTCAGACCACAGTGCAATCAAACTAGAACTCAGGATTAAGAAATCAAAACCGCTCAACTACATGGAAACTGAACAACCTGCTCCTAAATGACTACTGGGTACATAATGAAATGAAGGCAGAAATAAAGATGTTCTTTGAAACCAACGAGAACAAAGACACAACATACCAGAATCTCTGGGACACATTCAAAGCAGTGTGTAGAGGGAAATTTATAGCACTAAATGCCCACAAGAGAAAGCAGGAAAAATCTAAAATTGACACCCTAACATCACAACTAAAAGAACTAGAAAAGCAAGAACAAACACATTCAAAAGCCAGCAGAAGGCAAGAAATAACTAAGATCAGAGCAGAACTGAAGGAAATAGAGACACAAAAAACCCTTCAAAAAATTAATGAATCCAGGAGCTGGTTTTTTGAAAAGATCAACAAAACTGATAGACCGCTAGCAAGACTAATAAAGAAGAAAAGAGAGAAGAATCAAATAGATGCAATAAAAAATGATAAAGGGGATATCATCACCAATCCCACAGAAATACAAACTACCATCAGAGAATACTATCAACACCTCTACGCAAATAAACTAGAAAATCTAGAAGAAATGGATAAATTCCTCGACACATACATCCTCCCAAGACTAAACCAGGAAGAAGTTGAATCTCTGAATAGACCAATAACAGGCTCTGAAATTGAGGCAATAATCAATAGCTTACCAACCAAAAAAAGTCCAGGAGCAGATGGATTCAACAGCCGAATTCTACCAGAGGTACAAGGAGGAGCTGGCACCATTCCTTCTGAAACTATTCCAATCAATAGAAAAAGAGGGAATCCTCCCTAACTCATTTTATGAGGCCAGCATCATCCTGATACCAAAGCCTGGCAGAGACACAACCAAAAAAGAGAATTTTAGACCAATATCCTTGATGAACATTGATGCAAAAATCCTCAATAAAATACTGGAAAAGCAAACCCAGCAGCACATCAAAAAGCTTATCCACCATGATCAAGTTGGGCTTCATCCCTGGGATGCAAGGCTGGTTCAACATATGCAAATCAATAAATGTAATCCAGTATATAAACAGAACCAAAGACAAAAACCACATGACTATCTCAGTAGATGCAGAAAAGGCCTTTGACAAAATTCAACAACCTTCATGCTAAAAACTCTCAACAAATTAGGTATTGATGGGACGTATCTCAAAATAATAAGAGCTATCTATGACAAACCCACAGCCAATATCATACTGAATGGGCAAAAACTGGAAGCATTCCCTTTGAAAACTGGCACAAGACAGGGATGCCCTCTCTCACCACTCCTATTCAATATAGTGTTGGAAGTCCTAGGCAGGGCAATCAGGCAGGAGAAGGAAATAAAGGGTATTCAATTAGGAAAAGAGGAAGTCAAATTGTCCCTGTTTGCAGACGACATGATTGTATATTATCTAGAAAACCCCATCATCTCAGCCCAAAATCTCCTTAAGCTGATAAGCAACTTCAGGATATAAAATCAATGTACAAAAATTACAAGCATTCTTATACACCAATAACAGACAAACAGCCAAATCATGAGTGAACTCCCATTCACAATTGCTTCAAAGAGAATAAAATACCTAGGAATCCAACTTACAAGGGATGTGAAGGACCTCTTCAAGGAGAACTACAAACCACTGCTCAAGGAAATAAAAGAGGATACAAACAAATGGAAGAACATTCCATGCTCATGGGTAGGAAGAATCGATATCATGAAAATGGCCATACTGCCCAAGGTAATTTATAGATTCAATGCCATCCCCATCAAGCTACCAATGACTTTCTTCACAGAATTGGAAAAAACTACTTTAAAGTTCATATGGAACCAAAAAAGAGCCTGCATCGCCAAGTCAATCCTAAGCCAAAAGAACAAAGCTGGAGGCATCACGCTACCTGACTTCAAACTATACTACAAGGCTACAGTAACCAAAACAGCATGGTACTGGTACCAAAACAGACACATAGACCAATGGAACAGAACAGAGCCCTCAGAAATAATGCTGCATATCTACAACTATCTGATCTTTGACAAACCTGACAGAAACAAGCAATGGGGAAAGGATTCCCTATTTAATAAATGGTGCTGGGAAAACTGGCTAGCCATATGTAGAAAGCTGAAACTGGATCCCTTCCTTACACCTTACACAAAAATTAATTCAAGATGGATTAAAGACTTAAATGTTAGACCTAAAACCATAAAAACCCTAGAAGAAAACCTAGGCAATACCATTCAGGACATAGGCATGGGCAAGGACTTCATGTCTAAAACACCAAAAGCAATGGCAACAAAAGCCAAAATTGACAAATGGGATCTAATTAAACTAAAGAGTTTCTGCACAGCAAAAGAAACTACCATCAGCATGAACAGGCAACCTACAGAATGGGAGAAAATTTTTGCAACCTACTCATCTGACAAAGGGCTAATATCCAGAATCTACAATGAACTCAAACAAATTTACAAGAAAAAAACAAACAACCCCATCAAAAAGTGGGCAAAGGACATGAACAGACACTTCTCAAAAAAAGACATTTATGCAGCCAAAAGACACATGAAAAAATGCTCATCATCACTGGCCATCAGAGAAATGCAAATCAAAACCACAATGAGATGCCATTTCACACCAGTTAGAATGGTGATCATTAAAAAGTCAGGAAACAACAGGTGCTGGAGAGGATGTGGAGAAATAGGAACACTTTTACACTGTTGGTGGGACTGTAAACTAGTTCAACCATTGTGGAAGTCAGTGTGGCGATTCCTCAGGGATCTAGAACTAGAAATACCATTGGACCCAGCCATCCCATTACTGGGTATATACCCAAAGGATTATAAATCATGCTGCTATAAAGACACATGCACACGTGTGTTTATTGCGGCACTATTCACAATAGCAAAGACTTGGAACCAACCCAAATGTCCAACAATGATAGACTGGATTAAGAAAATGTGCCACATATACACCATGGAATACTATGGAGCCATAAAAAATGATGAGTTCTTGTCCTTTGTAGGGACATGGATGAAACTAGAAACCATCATTGTCAGCAAACTATTGCAAGGACAAAAAACCAAACACCCCATGTTCTCACTCATAGGTGGGAACTGAACAATGACAACACATGGACACGGGAAGGGGAACATCACACACCGGGGACTATTGTGGGGTAGGGGGAGGGGGGAGGGATAGCATTAGGAGATATACCTAATGCTAAATGACGAGTTAATGGGTGCAGCACACCAACATGGCACATGTATACATATGTAACAAACCTGCACGTTGTGCACATGTACCCTAGAACTTAAAGTATAATAATAATAAAATAAAAAAAAAGAAAATCTTATCAGATACACAAAAAACATAGTGGAAAACAAATGGAAATTTTAGAACTAAAACACACAACATCTGAAATTTTAAAATTTACTGGATGAACTTAATAAGAGACTGGGGATGAGAGAGGAAAGAATCAGTGACCACTGAAATTAGATTAATAGAGATGACCCAATGATCCAATCTCAAAAAGAGAAAAAAGATAAAGAATGAGGTGCAGGCATCTTTGGGGCAATTCCTAAAGGCCTAATACACAAGTAGTTGGAATCTCACAGAAGAGAACAAAGAGAGTGGGGCAGAGAATGTTTTTAGAAGCAGAAAACTTTCCAAATTTGGTGAAAGACATAAATTTACAGATTTCAAGAAGCTCCACAAATTCCAAATATGATAAGTATGAAGAAACTCATAGCAAGGATGCTATACCACACACTTCTGAATAATCCACAGGTCAAAGAAGTCAGACTCTCCGGTCTGACATGTAAAGGGCCTGGAAGTCGTCACTCCCATCCTCACAGCAGCGACACCGGCAAGGAGAACAAACTGCAAGTCCCAGCTCTGCTTAGACCCATCAGAGAGCTGAGATCACAGGACACACTGCTGCCCCCAAACTGCAGAGGCAGACAGGCAAATGCAGAGAATCGCAGTTTACCAGGAACAGAAGATGATGCCAGAGCCTGCAACTGATAGGTTATGCCTGGCTTTTAAGAAAAAATACTGGAGTCCCCTCCTTATCCTCAGGGGACACATGCTGAGACCTCAGTGGATGCCTGAAGCCTTGAATAATACCCAACCTTATCTATATTGTTTTTCCCTTTACACATGTACCTATGGTCAAGTTTAATTGATAAGTTAGGCAGAGTAAGGTTAACAATAAAACAGAACAATTGTAACAACACACTGTAATAAAGTTATGTGAATGTGGTCTCTCAAAGTGTCTCACTGTACTGTATTCATCCCCTTTTGGACCACGGTTGACTGCGGGTAACTGAAACCATGGAAGGTGAAGCCACGGACACGGGGGACTATTGGACAGGCATGTTAACAGACACACACACAGTGTGAAGAGCAAGGGGGACTATCGGACAGGCATGTCCCATAGTGTGAAGAAACACAGTGTGAAGTTACAAAGTGAGGCCTCAGAACCAGATTCGGATATGGCGAAAGTTTTAGAGTTATCAGCTTGGGAACTGAAATAACTGATTAATATGAGGGTGCGAATGGAAAGGTGGACAGATGGGAACAGAAGCGAGAGATATGCACACTCCAGGAGTGGTACCCAGACATGCCAAAATCAAGAAGAATTCACAATGTACATCAGAAAGTATTTTGAACTTCAAGACAATGTTAAAATATCAACACTTTTATCTTGAGATGTTGCCACTACAGCATTTCGGGGAGAAATCTGTTGCTTTACATGCTTATATTAGGGCCGGGCCCGGGGGCACACACTTGTAACCCCAGCACTTTAGGAGGCTGAGGCAGGTGGACTGGTTGAGGTCAGGAGTTCAAGACCTGGGCAACATGGTAAAACCCCATCTTCTCAAAAAAAACCCCAAAGTTAGCCGAGTATGTTGGCACATGCTTGTAGTCCCAGCTACTCAGCAGGGGGAGCTGAGGTGGGAGGATCACTTCAACCCAGAAGGCCGAGGCTGCAGTGAGCCAAGACTGCACCACTGCAATCCAGTATAGGCAACAGAGCAAGACCGTTTCAAAGAAAAAAGAAAAAAAAAAAAAACAGCTTATAGAAGAGAAAAAATGATCAAAAATCACTGACCAAAGGTACCACCTCAAAGAGCTTAATGAAGAGCTCTTTAAACTCAAGGTAAGCAGGAGAAAGAAAATAACAAAGATGAGATAACAATGAAATGGAAAATGAATTTTGCAATAGAAACAATTAACAAGGCCAAATGTTGGTTCTTTAAAAATGTCAACAGAACTGATAACCTCCTAAGGGAATTAAGAAAAAGAAAAAACAAATCTCCAGTATCAGGAATGAAAAAGTTATACTATAGCTCCGTCAAACATTGACAGGTATTAAGAGAATGTTCCAAACAACTTTATGCTAACAGATTGGACATCTTATACGAAATGGACAAATTGCTTTAAAAAATTTAATTTCCCAAAACGGATACTGTATGAAATAGAAAATTTGAACAGCCTTTAAAAGACTGGATTTGTTCTAAAACAACAACAAAACTTCCCCAAAGGAAAACTCCAGGCCTAGATGACCTCACTATCAAACACGTAAAGAAGAAATAACACTAACGAACGTGAACTTTTTCAGAAAATCAAAGAGGAAGAAATAATTTCCAACTCCTTTTATGAGGCCAGCATCATCCTGGTACCCACACCGACAAGATTATCAAAAAAGAAAAATTACAGACCAACTCTCCCCTTGAAAAGACACAATATCTTTAACAAAACTTTAGCAATTTAAACCTAACTACATAAAAAATGTCAATAGAAGACAGCCACTATTTTAGCAAAATAAGGAAGAAAAAAATACGAATGTTTCAATAGATGCAGAAAAAAAGCATGTGAAAAAATTCAACACATGCTCAGGGCTTAAAAAAAAAGTCCTCTCTCACCAGACTAATAGAAAGAAACTTCCTCAGTTTGATAAAGGGCATCTATGAAAACCATGCAACTAACATCCTAAGTCATGGTGGACCACTGAGTACTTTCACCCTAACACTGGGTGTAAGGCAAGGATGCCCACTTTTACTGCTTCTGGTCAATGCTAAGTTAGAAAGACTAACAGCAAAAAGCAAGACAGCAAGCAAGCGAACAAATGAAACAAAAGACACAGGGACTGGAAAGCAAGAAATAAAACAATCTGCAGATCGCCTAACTGTTCAAACACAAAATCCTAAGGAAGCTATAAAAAAGCTAGCAACAGAATCAATCCGTGAGTTCAGCACATTCACAAGATAAGAGATTACTACACAAAAATCAAGTATATGTTTTACATACTGCCAATAACCCAATGGAATCTAAACATTGTAAAAGCAATTCCGTTTTTAATAGTACTAAGAAACGTGAATTTTTTTTTGCCGTAACTTTTCATCTTGAAATAATTATAGATGCATAGGAAGTTGCAAAGATTGCCTAGAGAGGTATAGGTGGACCTGCCATGCATTTTCCCCAGTGGTTACATCTGTTGTTCTTATAGTACAATATCAGAACCAGGGAACTGACGTTAGTACAATGTGTGTGTGGTTCCATGCACTTTGTCACCTGTCTAGATTTGTGTAACCACCACTGCAATCAAGAGACACAACTGTCCCACCACAACGGTCTCCCTCGTGCTACCAATTTATAATCACAGCCATCCTCCTTCTTCCACCATCCCTAATCCCTTGGTAACCACGAATCTGATTTCCATCTCTAGAATGTATAGTCACTGATCTGTTTTCTGTTCCTATAGTTTTGCCTTTTCTAGAGTGTACTTAAAGTGAAACCATACAGCATGCGGCTTTTTTTTTTTAAAAAAAGAGACAGGGTCTTACTGTGTTGCCCAGGATGGAATGCAGCGGCATGATCATGGCTCACTGCAAACTCTCCTCCCAGGCTCAAATGATCCTCCTGCCTCAGCCTCCCAAGTAGCTGGGACTATAGGTGCATGCCACCACGATTGGCTAATTTTATTTTTTGTAGAGATGGGATCTTGCTATGTTGTCCAGGCTGGTCTTAAACTACTGGGCTCAAGCCATCCTCCCAAAGTGCTGGGATTACAGGTGTGAGCCCCTGCACCTGGCAGCATGTGGCCTTTGGAAGTTGGCTTTTTTCACTCAACATAATGTCCTTGGGATCTGCTCACACTGTTGCATCTGTCAGTAGCTTGCCCCTTTTTACTGCTGGGAGAATTCCATGGTCTGAACGTGCCGCAGTTTATTTAACCATTTACCAATCTAGAGACATTTTGGTTGTTTCTGTATTTTAGCTATTACACATAAAACTCTGTGAACATTCATGTACAGGTGTGGTGTGGATGTAAGTTTCATTTCTCTAGGGTAAATGCCCAGGAGTGTGACTGCCGGGCTGTATAAGTGTATGTTTAATTTTTTTTTCCTTTTAATTACATTTATTTTAATGCTGAATTTACTCCTGTGCCATAAGTTTTTGTTTCTTCAGTTTCTTCTGGGATATCTTTTTCTTCTGGGCAACCTCCTCTTCTGGTTTAGGAACAATCTGTTCCTTTTCAGTAAGGATCATCTCAATGTGGCAGGGAGAGCTCATGTATGGGTTAATCCGACCACGAGCTCTGTAGGTCCGGCGGCGCATCTTAGGTGCTTTGTTCACTTGGATATGCTCAGTGACCAGAGAATCTACATCTAAACCCTTAAGTTCAGCGTTACTCTCTGCCAAACTCTTTTCCAGAACGGTTGTACCCTTTTACCTCCCCACCAGTGATGAATGAGACCCAGCTTCTCAGTATCCTCACCAGCATTTGTTATTTTCACTATTTTCTATTGTATCTGTGTTAATAGGTGTGTAGTGCTAGCTCACAGCAGTCTGAGTCTGCATCTCCCTTAATTGGCAGTGACTCAATGGCTGGAGAGGCTGGATGTCTTCTCGTGCTTATGTGCCATCGGCATGTCCTCTTTGGTGAAATCACTTCATATGTTTTGTTATTTTCTGTTTGGATTGTTTTCGTACTGGTGAGTATTGTTTTGAGAGTTCTGTTTTCTAGATAATGAGTCCTTTGTCGGATATGTAGTCAGCAAATACTTTTCTCCCAGTCTGTAGCTTGTCTTTTCATCCTCTTACTAAGAGGATCTGGGCAGGGCACGGTGGCTCACCCCTGTAATCCCAGCACTTTGGGAGGCCAGGGCAGGAAGATCCCTTGAGCTTAGGGGCTCGAAACCAACCTGGGCAACATAGTGAGACCTCATCTCTACTTTAAAAAAAAAAAAAAAATTAGCCAGGTATAGTGTTGCGTTCCTGTAGTCCCAGCTATTAGGGGAGGCTGGGACAAGAGGACTGCTTGAGCCCAGGAGACTGAGGCTGCAGTGAGCTATGATCACACCACTACACTCCAGTCCGAGCAACAGAGTGAGACCCTGCCTCAAAAGGAGGACTTTTGCAGAGCAAACATTTCAAATTTTGATGAAACAAAAATGACCGTTTCTCAAAATTTGATTTCAACGGATCACTAGGGCGTCATGTCTAAGAATTCTTCACCAAGTTCTAGGCCCCAAGGAGTTTCTACTGTTATCTTCTCTCAAGTTTTAGAGTTCTGCGCTTTACACTGAAATCTGTAACTCAGTTTGAATTAATTTTGTATAAGAGATTTAGGTCAAGGTTCACTTTTTCTTCCCTACAGAGACAGTCCAGCACCCTTTGTTGAAAAGGCTCTCCTTCTTCACTGAGTTGCTTCTGCCCTTGGCTGCAATCAGTCGGGCGTGCTGGCGGGGAGCGATCCACGGGTCTGTCCAGTGACCTCGTGTCTCTCCCTGCGCCAGCACCACACAGGCCTGACCACTGCAGGGAGACAACAGGCCTTGGAATCAGGGAGAGTGGCCCCTCCCACTTTATTCTTTTTCAAACATTTTTGGCCATTCCAGTGCCTTTCCGCATACATTTTACAATAATCACATCCATGTCTACAAAAGATCTTGCTGCGATTTTCACAGGAATTGTGTCAAATCTGTGTATCAATCAGGGGAGAACAGACATCTTGACAGCACTGAGTTTTCCATGAACACGGCACATCCCTCCATTTGTTTAGATCTCATTTCTTGAGTGTTTCGTGCTTCTTATCAAACAAGTCCTCTAGATGTTGTGTTAAATTTACACCACAGTATTTCATTTTTAAAATGACTGTTAATGGTGTTGCATCTTAAATTTGTTTCCATGTGTCTATTGGTCATTGTTAGTCTATAGAAGTAAAATTTATATTTTGTATATGGATCTTGTATCCTGTAGCCTTGCTAAACTGACTCATTAGTCTATGACTTTTCTGGTAGATTCCTTGGGATTTTCTGTGCCATCTGCCAACAGGAACAGTCATATTTCTTTTTCTCTGATATGTCTACCCTGCATTTCCTTTTCTTGCCTTACTGCATTGGCTAAAACAGGAAATTTTTTTTAAATGTGAAAAATTTCTTTACTGAAAACTGAAGAACACTTGGGCAAAAAATTTGAAACCTAAATAATTGGAGAGTTATGTCATATTCATGAAATGGAAGATTCAACATTGTTGTTTATGCTCCCCAAATTGATCTAGATTGAATACCAGTCTCAATACAAATCCCAGCAGGCATTTTTTTTGGTAGAAATTGACAAGCTCATTTTAAAATTTATCTCTTCAAAACACCACAGAATAACAAACCATTTTATAAAGAAGAACAACGTTTTCATAATACCAACTTTCAACTTGCTAGAAAGTGACAGAGTTTATCATCGGCAAAAGAAAAGTAATATGGATCAACCGAATAGAAATGAGAGTGCAGAAACAGGCCCCCACATATATGGCCAATTGATTTATAAAAAATTGACAAGGCAACTCAAATGAGGAAAGGAAAAGTTTTCAACAAATGGTGCTGGAAAAACTGGTGATCTGCACATAACTTAAAAAAAACTCTCATTTGGAGGATCAGAAAATCAAAAAAGGACATTGATTCTAACTATGTCCTATATAAATCTAATTCAAACTGGATCACTAAAACTAGACTGAAAAAAACATAGGATGTCAGGTATGGTGGCTCACATTTATAATCCTACGAGTTCAAGACCAGCCTGGGCAATAGAGTGAGACCTCATCTCTGCAAAAAATTTTTAAAAATTAGTCAGGTGTGGTGGCACACGCCTATAGTCCCAGCTACTCAGGAGGCTGAGGCAGGAAGATCTCTTGAGCCCGGGAGGTCGAGGCTGCAGTGAGCCACAATCGTGCCACTGCACTACAGCCTGAGTGAGACCCTGTCTCAAACAAACAAACAAACAAACAAAAACATAGGAGAGGATCTGTGTGATCTTGGGTTAGGAAAAGATTTCTGTGCTGTCAGAATTCTAAGATGAGCCTCGATGACAGACGCCCCTGTCTTTCCCTGGAGTGTGGAAGGGACCTGAGAATATGATGGAACATCACTTTTGTGATTTGGTTACTTTAAGTTAGTCAAAGAGGAGGTGCTCTTGGGCCAGGTATGGTGGCTCATGCCAAGGTGGGAGGATCCCTTGAGCCCAGGCCATTTGAGGTTGGTCTGGGTAACACAGTGAGACCTCATCTCTATTAAAAATTTAAAAAGTAGCCGGGTGTGGTGGCACATGCCTGTAGTTCCAGCTACTCAGGAGGCTGAAGTGGAAGGTTCTCTTGAGCTGGGGAGTTCGAGGCTGCAGTGAACCGTGATTGTGCCAGTGGCACTCCAGTCTGGGCAACAGAGCGATACTCTGTCCCAAGGCGGGGGAAAAAAGGAGGTGACCTTGGCAGGCCCGATCTAATCAGGTGGGCCTTTTTTTTTTTTTTTTTTTTTTTTGAGACGGAGTCTTGCTCTGTCACCCAGGCTGGAGTGTAGTGGCACGATCTTGGCTCACTGCAAGCTCTGCCTCCCGGGTTCACGCCATTCTCCTGCCTCAGCCTCCCAAGTAGCTGGGACCGCAGCGCCCGCCACCATGCCCGGCTAATTTTTTGTAGTTTTAGTAGAGACAGGGTTTCGCCATGTCAGGTGGGCCTTTTAAAAGAGGTGCTCTCCTGCTGACCTAGAAGAAAGCACACAGCCGTGTTATGAGGAGGAGCCACGTGGCAAGGAAGTGAGGGCACCCCTAGGAGCTGCCAGCTAGTAAGAAAATGGGACATCAGTCAGAGGACTGCAAGGAAATGAACTCTGCCAGTACCAGTGAGCTTGAAAAAGGATGACAAGCCTTAGATGGGAACGCGGCCAGGTGCACCAGCCTGCGAGGTTCCGAGCAGAGCACGTGGCGAACTCTGGATGCCCAGGCTGCTGACCCAAGCACATTGGGAGATCATTACATCTGTGCCGTTTTAAGTTGCTAATTGGTGGTAATCTTTTCATCCAGCAACAAAAAACCTTTAGTACTTCTTAGGGCAAAATAACCATGAAGCATAAAGGAAAATGTCATCTTCCCTGCACATTCTCAGCCCCAGGGACCTCTTGCACTTAGTACGTACTGAACGCTTGCTGAGTCAATGAAGACATGTGTTTTTTCAAACCTGACTTTTTAAATGGCAGCTTAAATATTTTTTCCTTTAATAGCTTAGTGGTTCTCTGACTCCTGTTCGCTGTCCCCACATCAGAATAGCAATAATAAGGAATGATTCTTCCCTCCCCCTGCAAATGTAGCTGCCTGGTTAACACAGAACACAAGCTCTACAGACCTAATAAATGTCTGGAAAACCTCTTGCTTGGGGATGAGTCACTCCCTAACTCAAAACCAACAGGATGAGTCAGCAGCTGTTGCTTCAGGCTCTTTATGGAAAGCCCCTCTATTTTTACTATCCTATTCTTAAACAAAGACAAAAACCCAAAAACTCAACATCTCCCCAACTATCGATGCTTACAGTATTAGAAATGAAAACTCAGAGCTTTTAAGAAAACAAGGCTTTAGGGCCGGGTGCAGTGGCTCACACTGTAATCCTAGCACTTTAAGAAAACAAGGCTCTGCAAACACTTATCTCATTCGCCATCCAAGTGATGACATCCTCATACGTCGTGTGGCCTCTGAAAAGCTCCAATGCAGGCTTGCACATGAAAGAGGGTGTAAAGGGCAGACAGTGTCTCAGCAGTTTCATGTGTTCTGTGCTGTCAGGGTTCTAAGACGAGCCTCAATGACACACGCCCTGTGCAATTTCTTCCCCTGCAGCGTGGGAGGAAGCTGGAGTGTGATGGAACGTATCTCCTGTGATTGGGCGACTTTCAGCTAAGCCAAAGGGAGGTGATCTTGGTGGGCCTGATCTAATCAGGGGAGCCTTTCAAGGAACCTGGGGGAACCCCTGAAAGGGTCTCGGGGGCCCCCACAGCACACTTGGAGGAACCCCTGTGCTAGAGAGGTTGGTGCCTGTGTAGCAGCGTGCCCCTAACAGCAGAGTCACAGCCCTAGGCTGGAAGCCACCAGTGCCCACCTCTGGTTCAGTGGATAATCAAGTGCAGTTTACTCATCTAATAGAACACCACAGAAGAATGGATATGAGAGGGTTATCACCGCATGTATCAACATGATGGGTCTCTGCTGGGCGCGGTGGCTCATGCCTATAATCCCAGCGCTCTGGGAGGCCGAGGTGGATCACCTGAGGTCAGGAGTTCGAGACCAGCCTCCTGATATGGTGAAACACCGTCTCTACTAAAAATACAAAAACTAGCGGGGCGTGGTGGTGGGCGCCTGTAATCCCAGCTACTGGGGAGGCTGAGGCAGGAGAATCACTTGAACCCAGGGGGCGGAGGTTGCAATGAGCCGAGATTACACCATTGCACTCAGCCCTGGGCCACAGAGCAAAACACTGTCTCAAAATAAATAAATAAATAAATAAATAAATAAATAAATAAATAAATAAATAAAATAAAAATAAAAACCCCATGATGGATCTCAAAATATAACGCTGAAGAAATAAGTCATAAAATGGTTATACTGTCCTTATTTACATGAAGTTAAAACACAGGCAAAAGGAAACAAAGCGCTAGCTGTAAGAACTCACACCTACCTTGCACTTCCTATGTGCCTGCACTGTTCTAAGGGCCTCCCCCATATCACCTTCATTCTCACAATACTCACGGTGTGTTATTACTGTTCTGTCCATGTGACAGATGGGAAGACTGAGACAAAGTGGTTAAATAACATGCCCAAGTGGTAAGTTACTACTGTTTAGGAATAGGTGGTAAAAAGACAAGTAAAAGGAAAGGAATAATTAGCCAAATACTAGAATAGTGGTGACGCTGGGGTGGCGGTAGTGGCTCACATGGGGTTTATGAATTACTGTTGATGTTTTTCATCTGAGTGGCAGGTTCAGAGGTGTTTGTTCATGCTGTTTCACGCTGTGCCTATTTTTTCAGACCCTCTTCTGTAGTCATACAGGATAGGAGAGAGATGTATACACTTCAGAATTTTAAAAAGAGCAAAAGAGAAAAAACACAGACTGAAGGCCATGAAAAAAACTGTCCTTAGGGCTGGGCCGCTCCCTCCAGGCAGTTTCTGCAACGGGTGCAGATGCCGTCCAATGCGATTGTCCGCCCCCGTCTCAGAGCCCCACGGCCAGCTGAGGTCCTTTGAAAAGCTCCGCTCCCTGCTTTCTGCCACCTGCTCCTGCCAAGCAGGCTGTGTAGGCTGGAAGCCACCAGTGGCTTTGTCACATGACCACAAATGCATAAAAATGACAGGAACACTCAGTTTTAAAAGTATTTTTTAAAATATGAAAACACTAGGATGTCAAGGTTGAGGAACTGAAGGTCAAGAGCTCCAAGGCCTCTGTTGGCAATGTGTAGCTTGGATGTGTGGACAAAGAGAGCCCCACGTGATGGACGTGCTTTCTTCCCATCGCCCGCCTCTGCCTGGGGAAGGAGTGGAGATTGAAGACACACCCAACGCGTGCAGAGTCCAGGCAGGAGGGCACACCCCAGCACGAGCTGCTCAGGCTCGCCTCCCAGCAGCGCTGCCTCCCTAGGTCCACAACCTGCTGTGTTCTGCACAGGCTCGACTCAATAGAATGCCTTACCAGTACACCAGGGGGACACCAAGTCAGAGGATCTGAACTGGCTCACTGCCAATCACCCAGGAGATCAAAGCAATCAATGTCAGTGGTCTTTCCCGGACGCTGTGGTAAGCACCTGAGAACCACCCAGGCCCTTCTGCCTGTCAAATCAACACCGTGGCTTCACTTCCTTCTGGGCAGAGCCTATTCTTCATTCCAAAGACCTAAGATGACTATGGCACCACGTCACATCAGGGCGTCCCTGACGAGCACTGCACCAGAGCCTGTGAAGACTTTCCACACACATCCCTCAAGCAGGACAGACCTGTCACTGTCCCTTTAAACCTTCCCAACCTCCACCCTCCAAATCCATCTCCATTTCCTTCTACAGGCAGCTTATCCAGAGCTAAGTTTAGCTACGACCATTTCTAATCTTTCCTCTAGGGACAGCGTCGAGCTCCCTACTGCTGGACCGTCCCAGCTGCGTGGCTTTACCAAGTCACCAGAGGTTAGCTTGTCTGCAAGAGGCTGGTGACACGAGGAACAGAAGTTGTCACATCCTCACAGCAATGTGGCTTCTTTGGTGGGGAGTGGGGGGTTCTGGCTGGCACCTTCCCCACTCCAGCTCCCCCTGTCCTTCCCACAGTCTTGACGAAGTTGCTTGCTCTCAGTCCTCACAGTTCATGGGTAGTTTTGGGACAGCATGTTGTTTTAGACCCAAAACAATGACATGTAAACGGAGTCAGGAACGTAGCACGCATCTCATAGAAAGCATTTCCTACACGTCTGGCTCTCGGCTGTGGGGCTCCTCTTAGAGTTATGCGGATGGGAGACAACCACGGCCGCCTCACCGAGCCACCGTGCACGGCACTGCGCAAACAAGCTCCCAGCACAGCAGCCCCGGCTCTGCTACCTCCCGGCCGTGGATGGCACAGTCCCCCTCTGGGTCTCAGTTTCCTCTTCTATGAGGTCAAAGCCACCACCCCATGCTCACAGAGCCGTCTGCTGGCTATGCCTAGAGGCACGGGGTGGGCACGCAGATGGCAGCTGTGATTTCCCTGAAACCAGACATCTGTGCCACACAGACTCCCAAGGACGGCTGACTTCATGGCAGAATTTGAGATATTTCAGAAGCCTAGTACAAATAAAGAAGAAAACCAGAAACTTTTTCCTAAAACCTGATGCAATTCAGGATGACTAAAAAGAGCTGGAACGGACAGCATCGCCCTCCAGAATTGTCACTACCTCATCTACCGAATTCCTAGGATACAAACAGTTCTCACTTTACACAGGGCACGTTCCCGAACCGGCCTCTCAGGACGGAACCCAAAGACAATTTCACAGGATTTACAATTTGCAGCTATTGGTTCTCCTTTGACCGAATCCTTGAATTTGCTTAAAAAACAATGAAGAGTTGACAAGATGGGCCACTGGAAAATGAAAAGAGCATCGGCACTTCACGTTCATTAAAACGTGAAGAGATGACCAACTAATGCTGCTTTCATACCCTGGATAGTGCTGAGTACCTAACAGCTCTTTAGGTCACAACGTAAAATTCGGCTTCCAGCTGGTCCAGTTTTCCCATCTGTCGTATCCACGGAATGTCCAAATGTAAGGGAAAAATGTGGAGTGTCCAGCCGCCCACCAGTCCACCCAGCACCACAGCCTAACCTCACCGAGGCCTCCCAGCACTCACACAGAACACTCGCAGAGAACTGCGGCTCCATCCGCATTCCTTACCTTCATTACTGTCCCTACCTCCAGCCCCTCCAGAAAAAAGCGAAAGCGGCAGAGAAACCTGTGAAAACAAGACATGCCAAAAATACTGACTCAAAATACCAAAAGCTCTCACCCTGAGGTGGAGGGGTCAACCCAGGCTTCGTTTCTAGGAGAAGTTGTAAGGGCTTCGTGTTCTGCACTGCTAGGAAACACCACCCTGACTTAGGGTCGTCACAGAAGGTGCACATGGCGGGGCCGGCGTGCACCCACCACTCACGCCAGGCGCTGCGCGACTGCTGCTGGACACACACGATCCCACCGAATCCAGACACGGTATGGCGGTTCCCACTTTCCTCACTGAGGAAACCAAAGCTTAGACGTTAACTTGGCCAAGGGCAAAAACGCTACTTAACTCCAAAGTCCAGCCTCTGAACCCACCCGTGTGCGGGGCCTGAGGTGTGAGTAGCCTAACTGTGGACTACAAAAGCAGTTCCACCACGCCTTCTATTCTGGAGTTAGATCCAATGACATTTCCTGAAAATTACATTTACAAACCCAAAAAAGGACAATCCCCTTCCGGATAAGACCCCAATGCCATGAAGCACAGAGCGGCAGGACGATGAGAGGATAAATCATTTGGAAAGAAACCACGCTGCCCGGGTGGAGGAGCGCCAGAGGGAAGCAGGCCCCATGTCCTCCCTCCCGCAGGAAGTGCACCAGGCCCGTCCTTTCCACCCAGGCTGTACAAAAGGGAGGAGGAGCACTCAGGGCGGCCTCCCATCCGCCACACACCCAGTCAGCGCGGCTCCGAAGCAGGAGAGGGCCAGCTCCGAGCCCTGCTCGTGGAGCCATTGGTGCTGCGGCGGGGAGAAGAGGCCACAGGCGGGGACGCCCCAGACACTCCCGTGGGGCCCGTGCCAGGGTCTCCTGCTCCTCAGAAAGAGCCCTTGTGTGCTACTGTGGTCGCCAACAGCCCCGCCGGCCACTGGCCCAGGACTCAGCGTGCCGTTCCTCCAGGACGCAGACCGGGGCTCCCTACCAGCCTTGAGTGAGAGACCACAAGCAGCCTCTGAAGTCATCTTCCTCTCTCTTCTCAGAAGCATTTCTCGAATATTCTGCTGACAAGAGGTTAGCAGGACTTCACAAGACACCCCAACACACACACACACACACACACACACACACACACACACACGGTCTCAACACAGTTCAGAAAACACATTTGCCTTCCCA
Organism: Homo sapiens; assembly: GCF_000001405.40. Lineage (NCBI taxonomy): Eukaryota > Metazoa > Chordata > Mammalia > Primates > Hominidae > Homo > Homo sapiens. The sequence continues at coordinate 2,763,270 of NC_000007.14, forward strand.
GGCCCGTGGGAGGAGTGCTGTGAGGCTGAGACACAGCCCGGCTTGCTGACGGCACAAATGCCGGTGCGCCCTCGGCACAGTTTGTTTGCTTCATCGGGCGGAGAAGGCCGAGTTCCAGCTCAGGGAGCCCACAAAGGAGCTCTTCCTATGGCCCTGCCAAACGCCTGGAGCAAAGGTTTTGTCTGGAAAAGCTCCCCGAGCTCCCTCAACCCCGGCAGCAGTGCTGCTCTATGGCTGAGGATGAAGCTCCAGTCCATGTCCCAAGCAGTGTCTCAATTCTCAATGGTCCTGTAATCTAAGGCTAGCTCGAAACAAAAAACAATTATTTTAAGGTCTAAAATATGCAGAAAGAGCTGCAGTGAACACATTTACACTTCCCAAGGACAAGCATCTAAGGAAGATCCCTGGTAAGAATGAGAAAGCCTGGGCTTGTCCAGGAAACCAAAGCTTCTTCTAAATGTGCCTTCCCTGCACAAAATGCCTCCCCCACAGGCTCTGCTTTTCCTGTCGCCTGGAACAAGAAAGCTCCCTGGGCAGGCGAGGCCGGGACCTCTGCACTGAGATCCCCACTCAGTGGCCTCCATGGCTGGCAGAGAGCGAGGGAGACGGAGAGAGAAGGAGCTCAGCTGAGCTGTTGCTTTAGAGTCTTGGTTAAAGTGAATCCAATTATGCACCCTTCTTTCCTATAGCAACACTACAGGGGCATGAGAACAGGGTACGCACCTAAAGTGAGGCTTGCCTATACTTTCTAGAAGTCTTCCTAAGGCTGCTGTGCTGGTGTCCTCTGATTGGTTGAGTATTTTTTATCATTTTGGTTTTGAGACAGGGTCTCACTCTGTTGCCCAGGTTAGGGGGCCGTGGTGCAATCATGGCTCACTGCAGCCTCAAACTGAAGTGGGCTCAAGTGATCCTCCTGCCTCAGCCTCCTGAGTAGCTGGGACCACGGGCACGTGCCACCTATCCCCAGCTAATTTCTTTTTTTTTTTTTTTTTTAATAAAGATGGGATCTCACTATGTTGCCCAGGCAGGTCTCAAACTCCTAGGCTGGAGTGATCCTCCCATCTCAGCCTCCCAAAGTGCCAGGATTCCAGGCGTGTGCTCCCGCATCCAGGCAGTCTGGTTTATTATTCACACAGAAGTACATCTGATATTGCTGACCAGAGGAGAGTTGAGATTCCGTATGAAGTCTATTTGTTCAATTACCTGAATCCTCTGAGACGCCCCAGTTGCCCAGTATTCACAGTGGTTGTGGTCGGGCTCAGCGTTTACTTCACAATCCAGACTCCTGGGCTTTGTCTCTGACATGTGAATGAATGATCTCCTCTGCCATGGCTTAGGGAGCCAGGGCCTGTCAGCTGGTCTCATCAGAGCTGAGGCTGCCCTCGAGGTGGGGTTCTGTCTGAATGCATCTGAGTTTTGCTTTATTTCTCTGTAAACTGTAGGTGAGCTGGGTGAACCCAGTAGCTTCAGCCACAGCTGGGAACTGAAGCAGCATCTGAAGTCCCTCTCATTCTCCCAGCGTGAGCCGGCGGACCCTGAAGGGAACACTGAGACTGACCACAGCTGGACTTGCGCCGCCTCGTCCTCTTAGTGAATGAGGTCCTCAGAGGCTTAAGCACGCGTTAGTTATCCAAAATGCTTCTGTTCAGGTGAATGCACAAAGCGTTGAGGTAGGTCAACTGCATTTTGTACGGTGGAAAAGTAATAAGCAGTTTGCTTTTTGTATTATAATGAAAATGAAAACCTTTCCTTAAAGGAAAGGAAGCATAATCTCAGAAATCTGAATCCAGGGAATCCCAAATAACCCCCCCAAATTTTAATCCTTGACATTCATAATCACTTGGATTAAAATCTAAGGGAAAAAAAGAATCACAGGCTGACTTTTTTTTTTTTTTTGAGACGGAGTCTCGCTCTGTCGCCCAGGCTGGAGTGTGGTGGCGCAATCTCGGCTCACTGCAAGCTCCGCCTCCCGGGTTCACGCCATTCTCCTGCCTCAGCCTCCCGAGTAGCTGGGACCACAGGCACCCGCCACTGCGCCCGCCTAATTTTTTTGTATTTTTAGTAGAGATGGGGTTTCATTTAGTAGAGATGGTGTTAGCCAGGATGGTCTAGATCTCCTGACCTCGTGATCCGCCCGCCTCGGCCTCCTAAAATGCTGGGATTACAGGCCTGAGCCACCGCGCCCAGCCTACAACAGGAAGACTTTGTTAAATGAATGAGCGCGCAGGGAAGAGCAGGTGCTTTGTGAACTTGAGAGCTTCACTTCCTAATCCTGTGACTCCAACATTCAATTAAAGGTAAAGAAAACCAGCAAGACGAGGTAGGGAGTTCTGTATCCTGTGTTTGTTTTTTTTTTTCTTCTTTTTATTTTTTGCTTTTGAGACAGAGTCTCACTCTGTCACCCAGGCTGGAGTGCGATGGCATGATCTTGGCTCACCACAACCTCCGCCTCCTGGGTTCAAGCGATTCTCCTGTCTTAGCCTCCTGAGTAGCTGGGACTATAGGCGTGTGCCAATACACCCAGCTAATTTTTGTTTTTTAGTAGAGATGGGGATTTCACCATGTTGGCCAGGCTGGTCTCGAACTCCTGACCTCGTGATCCAGGGCCCCCCTCCCCTCCCCCCAAGTTTCCAAAGTGCTGGGATTACAGGCGCGAGCCACTGCGCCCGGCTCCACATCCACTTTTTTAAAAAGTGTAGTAAAAAACATATTGACATAAAATTTACCATCTTAATCATTTTAAAATGCACAGTTCAGTGGTGTTAAGCATATTAACGTTGTTGTGAAACCGATCTCCAAAACTTTTTCATCTTGCAAATGTGAAACTTTGCACTAATTAAACAACTCCCATTTCCCCCCATCTGCCCAGCCCCTGGTAACCAGCATTCTACTTTTTGTTTCTATGCATTTGACTACTTCAGGTTATCACATAAGCAGAATCATACTTCTGCGACTGGCTTATTTCACTTAGCATAATATCCTCAAGGTTCATCTCTGTTGTAGCTAGTATGTTAGCTGCAGTCTTTCCTTTTTAAGGCTGGCTAAAATTCCATTGTGTGTATGTACTACATGCTGTTTACCTGTTCATCCATTGATGAACATTTGGGTTGCTTCCGCCTTTTTTTTTTTTTTTTTGAGACGGAGTCTTGCTCTGTCGCCAGGCTGGAGTGCAGTGGTGCCATCTTGGCTCACTGCAACCTCCGCTTCCCAGGTTCAAGCGATTTTCCTGCCTCAGCCTCCTGAGTAGCTAGGATTACAGGCACCCACCACCATGCCCAGCTAATTTTTGTATTTTAAATAGAGACAGGGTTTCACCATGTTGGCCAGGCTGGTCCTGAACTCCTGACCTCAAGCAATCCACCCACCTCGGTCTCCCAAAGTGCTGGGATTACAGGTGTGAGCCACCGCACCTGGCCAGCTTCCACCTCTTAGGCATTGTGAATAAAGTTGCTATAAACATGGGTGTGCAAATATCTCTGAGACCCTGCTTTCCATTCTTCTGGATAAATACCCCGAGGAGGCACTATTGGATTGCATCTGGGTCTCTTCCTACTATATGGCTGTGCCATTTTACATTCCCACCAACAGTGCACAAGGGTTCCAGTTTCTCCATTCCTCACCAACACTTGTTATTTTGTTTTTCTTCTGATAGTAGCCATTCTAATGGATGTGTGGTAGTATCTCATTGTGATTTTGATTTGCATTTCTCTGACCATCAGGGATACTGAGATACTTTGCATAGGCTAGATGGCCACTTGCTTATCCTCACTGGAGAACTGTCCATTCAAGCCCTTTGCCCATTTTTTAATTGGGTTATTTAACTTTGCTTCTTGTTGAGTTGTAGGAGTCTTCATACATTCTGAATGTTAACTCTTTTCACATATATGATTTGCAAATATTTTTCCCGTTTTATAGGCTGCCTTCTCACTCTGTTGATTGTGTCCCTGTACCCACAAAAATGTTTACATTTGATGTGCTCCCATTGGTCTATGTTTTCTTTTGTTGCCTAGGCTTTTGGTATCATACCCAAGAAATCACTGCTAAATCCAGTATCTTGAAGCTTTCCCTCTATGTTTTCTTCTAGGAGTTTTAGTTTTCGTGATTATGTTTAAGTCTTTAAGCCATTTTGAGTTATTTTTTGTATACAGTATAAGAGTTGTGGTACTTAAAAAAAAATAGCTATGCTGCATTCCACTGAATAAATGTACAATCACTTATGTGACCCTTTCGATAGCCACCTGGGGGCATTTCCAGTGTTTTGCTGCCATCAACAACTGTGACATGAATACCCTTTATAGTACCCTCTCTCACACACAAGAACAACTGTTTCCCTGTCTTCTTATTTAAAATCAACTCTTGGCTGGCGCGTTTCAAGTTTTTTACTTCTTCATTTGTATTGTAACTCCTAACCTTTAAACCCTTAGCACCAGATATATTTTGGAATTCAGAAACTTTCAGATTTTGGAAAGATAACATGGTACATATGCTATGCATTACCAAATCCTCATCGTAAATAAAATCTGAGAATATTTCTACAATAACATAGATTTGTGTGTGTGAACAGTTGTACTAATGGAGACTATATTTTATTTTATTTTAGTTTTTGAGACGGAGTCACTCTGTCACCCGGGCTGGAGTGCAGTGGTACAATCTCGGCTCACTGCAACCTCCGCCTCCTGGGTTCAAGCAATTCTCCTGTCTCAGCCTCTTGTGTAGCTGGGACTACGGGCACATGCCACCATGCCTGGCTAATTTTTTTATTTTTAGTAGAGACAGGGTTTCACCATATTGGTCAGGCTGGTCTCGAACTCCTGACCTCAGGTTATCCACCTGCCTTGGCCTCCCAAAGTGTTGGGATTACAGGCATGAGCTACCGCTTACAGACCTAATGGAGACTATAAATGGCCACGGGTATGTGAGGCCAGGCTTTGCTACTAAACAAGTCCAAATTGAGTTAGATTAGGTTTTGCTGCCAAATAAGTGATCGGAAATGGTTTCTGTTTTCCAAGTTTAAATACAGCAAATGTAGTGACTAAGGAATTGCTAATTCAAACCTGGATCTCTCAGCTTCAAAGTCATGTCACTTCATCCAGTGAAGATCAGTAGCCTTCCTTTTTGAGGTCCTGGCTTAGCAAGCTACGTTTTTCCTAGTATTTCTCTGCTTCAGAGAACTCAGAAAAACACTAACTGCATTCGAGGACTGCGTGAAATGAAATCACATCCTAGAGTCCTGAGACATGCCCTTAAAATCATGGATGTAACACTCAGGAAAACAAAGGTTAGAGTAAAACCTAATGCTAATAAGTTTTCTTTCAAAATGGTTATAATGCAGTTACGTACATTTAGAAAATTAATTCAGTTATAAAATTAGGTAACAGGTGAATATGCTCTCAAGGTAAAAAAAAAACAAAACAAAACAAAAAAAAAAACAGTAAACCTATGGATAAAGGAGAGTTCATTCCCACTCATTCCCACAACTATTAATCACTGTTATCAACTTGGCATACACTTTTCTACCTTTGTTTCTGTATTTAATATGTGTATATTGTATGTGGAGAAATCTACACTTTAATGATTTGTTTGGTTTATATAAATGGGATAAACTACTACACATTGATTGTTTTCCAAGTTGGTTTTTACCCTTACCATGCCTTAGATATATTTCCTTTTCTTTGAGATGGAGTCTCGCTCCGTTGTCCGGGCTGATCTCGGCTCCCTCCACCTCCTGGGTTCAAGCAGTTCTCCTGCCTCAGCCTCCTGAGTAGCTGGGATTACAGGTGTGCACCACCACACCCAGCTAATTTTTGTATTTTTAGTAGAGACAAGGTTTCACCATGGTAGCCAGGCTGGTCTCGAACTCCTAACCTCAAGTGATCCAACCGTCTTGGCCTCCCAAAGTGCTGGGATTACAGGCGTGAGCCACCATGCCCAGCCACCTTAGAGCTGTTTCTGTGTGGACCTTCATTCCTTCTAATAGCCATCTGGTATTCTACTTAAACAGCATCACTGGCAGGTATTTACGTAGTTTTAATTTCTGCTACTACCATCAACATTGCAGAAACCATCCTCATGCACACCACTTCTGGGACATGTATAATTATGTCTGTAAGCTAGGTATCTGTAAATAGAACAGCTAGGTCAAAGAGTATCCATATTAATTTTTTAAAACAGCTCTGGCCGGCTGGGCACGGTGGCTCATGTCTGTAATCCCAGCACTTTGGGAGGCCGAGGTCGGCGGATCACGAGGTCAGGAGATTGAGACCATCCTGGCCAACACGGTGAAACCCCGTCTCTATTAAAAAAAATACAAAAAATTAGCCGGGCGTGGTGGCAGGCGCCTATAGTCCCAGCTACTCAGGAGGCTGAGGCAGGACAATGGCACGAACCCGGGAGGTGGAGCTTGCAGTGAGCCGAGATCGCACCACCGCACTCCAGCCTGGGTGAGAGAGTGAGACTCTGTCTCAGAAAAAACAAAAACAAACAAACAAAAAAAACACAGCTCTGGCCAAATTCTCTCCCAAAAAGGTTGTACCAATTTATATCCTAATGAACAAGGGTTTAAGATACCCACTTCTTTATACCCTTAACACACTGGATATTATCAATTGAATTTTTTTCTGAATTTGATGGGTGAAAAGTGATATGTCATTACATTTTAAGTCTAAGTGTTTTTGTTTTTTTAAATCATGGGGGGGCAAGTACTTTTTCAAAATTGCTTTTATAAAATTAAAGGTTTATAATAGGAAGTTACAATAAAATAGATCATAGTGACATGCAGAGCTAAGATTCAATTCAAGCTATAGACTGGCCTGGTACTGTGAGGAAAATAAAATATATCCTCAACATTATTCAACTGCATAGATAGCAACAAATAAACAAACCTACAATGTATGACTTTACTGAGGTTCACTGCCATAATATACTATAAACAGGATAACCATATGCCCCACTTGCCCTGGAGAGTCCCAATTTGAGTCAATCATCTTGGCAAAATTGTTTAATAGGGTCTTGTTTTATTTATAAACATGTCCCGTTTGGAAATTAAATTAAATGATCACACAATTTTAAATTTAGGCTCAAATTGAGGCTCAATAGCCTCTAGAACCATATCAAGCTCAAAGAGTTCAATTCTGACATAGTTCAGCTAGGCTTGTGACAGGGCAATGCTTGTCCATTGGAGTTGGCATTAGATTAAGTTAGAGTTAGCTAGGCGTGGTGGTGCACACCTGTAGTCTCAGCTACCCAGGAGGCTGAAGTGGGGGAAATCTCTTGAGCCCAGGAGTTTGAGGATGCAGTGAGCTACGATAAGCGTGCCTGTGAAAAGCCACTGAGCTCCAGCCTGGGCCACATAGTGAGACTCCATCTCAACAACAATAACAACAACAAAACAAAACAAAACAACACACAGAAAGAAAGAAAGAAAAAGAACAAACAAAAACAAAGCAACATGGATGCTTCACTGGGCAGCAGAGCTAATGGGATCCTGTGCTTGTTGCTTTGTGTTTCCACGTAGGACGATTACAAATCAGAGTTACTGAAACCGAATGCCCCTTCACTGTATACCATAGGAATACTGGCACTGCCTAAGTGCAAGGCCATCGTGCAAGATTATGGCAATGTTTTAAGATCATCTAAACGTGGACCTGGGGGTACTGCAAGCGCCAGGCTCTGATGACTCCTTGCAGAGCAAATGGACAGGGAACAGACTTAGTAAACCAAATTATTAAAATCAAAGAAAAGGCCAGGCGCCGTGGCTCACACCTGTAATCCCAGCACTTTGGGAGGCTGAGGTGGGTGGATCACTTGAAGTTAGGAGTTCAAGACCAGCCTGACCAACATGGCGAAACCTCGTCTCTACTAAAAATACAAAAATTAGCCAGGTGAGGTGGCAGGCACCTATAATCCCAGCTACTCGGGAGGCCGGGGCAGGAGAATCGCTTGAACCTGGGAGGTGGAGGTTGCCGTGAGCTGACATGTCGCCACTGTACTTCAGCCTGGGCGACAGAGCAAGACTCCCTGCCACTCAAAAAAAACCAAAAAACCAAAAAAACGAAACCGCACATAGTGAACTTGCCCAGTCTGATGACTTCTGACATATGCATACAGCTGTGGGACCATCATAACAGCCAAGATCATGAGCAAACACCCAAACAACTCCCACTGTGGCCTTATCAGCCCTTCCCCTCCCCTGCACTCCCTTCCTGCCCAGGCAACCCGTGGTCGGCATCTATCCCTCCATGTTGGTCTGCATATTCTAGATTCTCATGTAAGTCAGATCTTAGAGGACACTCCCTTCTTTGTGTGGCCTCCTGCACTTGGCACAATTCTTTCCAGATTCGCCCATATGCTGCAGGTTACCAGGTGCTCCCTTTCCTGGCTGAGCAGTATCCCCACAGAAGGGTGCACCCCAGTCTGTTCATCCATCTGCTTGTTGATGGCCACGTTCCCAATGTTCAGCTGCCATAAACATGTGTGTGCAAGTCTTTGTGTGGACAAATATTTTCACTTCTCTTTGGTAAATATCTACATGTGGAAGGGCTAGCTCATGTGATAATTGTATGTTTAACTTTTAAGAAAGTGCCCCGCTTTTCCAAAGCAGGAGTACCATTTCACATTTCTACCAGGGGTGTGTGAGAGCCTGAGTTCCCACCCCCGCCCTCACTGTGCCTTGGGTGGTCGCCTTCCAAAGGGCAGCCTCCTAGGAGAGCATGTGGTGTCTCACCACGGTGTTCAACTGCATGTGTGTCATGACTGATGACGTCGACTGAGCATCTTTTCATGTGTTATTTGCTTCAGGAATCTCTTCTTTGTTCAAATCTTTTGTCCTTTTAAAAAAATTGTTTTCTTGAGTTTTGAGAGTTCTTTACATATTCCGGATAATCTGACAAAGGACTCATATCGAGAATTCCCAAGAAAATGACCAACAACCCAACAGGGCAAAAGATTTGCACAAACCTGTTATAGAAGAGGATATCCCACTGGCCAACAGATGTACAAAAGGTGCCAAACATGCTGGGTGCAGTGGCTCACGCCTGTAATCCCAGCACTTGGGGAGGCAGAGGCAGGCGGATCACGAGGTCAGGAGCTCGAGACCATCCTGGCTAAAATGGTGAAACCCGTCTCTACTAAAAATGCAAAAAATTAGCCGGGCGTGGTGGTGGGCACCTGTAGTCCCAGCTACTTGGGAGGCTGAGGCAGGAGAATGGCGTGAACCCAGGAGGCGGAGCTTGCAGTGAGCCAAGATCGCACCACTGCACTCCAGCCTGGGCAACAGAGTGAGACTCCATCTCAAAAAAAAAAAAAGAAAAAGGTGCCAAACTTATTTAGTCAGGAAAGTTCTTACTTAGAAATGCAAAGTAAAACATCAATTGATACCCACCAGGAGGCTTAAAATCAAGAGGACAATGCCAAGTGTTGGTTAGAACGTGGACTAACTGTCCCACACTGCTGGAGAGACTATAAACCAGTACGGCCAGTTTGGAGAAATAGTTGGCAAACCCAGCAATCCCACTCCTAGGTATATTTCCAAGAGAAATCAGTGCATATATCCATTAAGAGACCTGTCCAAGAATGTTCAAAGCAGCTTTACTCACAGTAGCCAAAAACGAGAAACAAACACCATGTCTGTGAACAGGAGAAGAAATAAATTATGGTGTATTCATTTAATGGAAGGCTATAAAGAAAAAAGAAGAAAATACCAATCCACGTAGCAACACAGATGAATCTCTCAGTCATTAAGCAAAGAAGCCAGCTAAACGATTCCATTTAAACAAACTTCAAAAACAGGCAAAACACTAATCTACAGTGATGGAAGTGAAACTAGCGTGGTCACCAGGAGGAGTGGTATCAATGGGGAAGCAGCGGGAGGGACTTTCTTGGATGCTGAAATGTTCTTTCACGTGGGTGGTGGCTGTGTGAGTAGATACATACGTAAATCTCATTGTGTTGTATACACCTAAGATTTGTGCATTTTGCACACAGAAATTATACTTCAATTAAAACAAATAAACAAGGCTGGGGGCGGTGGCTCACGCCTGTAATCCCAGCACTTTGGGAGGCCGACATGGGTGATCACCTGAGGTTGGGAGTTTGAGACCAGCCTGGCCAACATGGCAAAACCCCTTCTCTACTAAAATACAAAAATTAGCCAGGCGTGGTGGTGGGCATCTGTAATCCCAGCTACTCGGGAGGCTGAGGCAGGAGAATTGCTTGAACCCGGGAGGCAGAGGCTGCAGTGAGCCAAAATCACACCACTGCACTCCAGCCAGGGCGACAGAGTGAGACTCAGTCTCAAAAATAAACAAACAAACAAAACCAGAATGAGATACCTCTACACGGCCACCAGAATGGCTATTTGAAAAAGAGGACAAGCACTGGTGATGAGGTGGAGTAATGGGAACTTGGCCTCTGCTGGTAGAGCACAAATACAAACACTGTGAAAAATCCATGAACACTGAACCCAGGCACACCTGGATGCCCCAGCAAGTCCACCCCTGGACAGCCCTGAGGGAAATGCCTACATCTCTTCACCAAAAGACAGGTTCTTGAATACCTACAGTAACATTTTTGTAATGACGCTGAGCTGGCGTCTACCCGGACGCCCATCACCAGGAGGGCAGGGAACTAAATTGCGGGACATTCACAAAATGGAATTACCATGCAGCAACAAGGAAGAACGTGCCGCAGAATTGGAAGAACCGCACAAAACGAAATGGCGACGAGAAGGAGCCAGTAACACAGGAGTAAATACCGTGTGAGGCCACAGATGAAGCAGCAACGCAGAAATACCCATTCTACAGAACAGCTGGTGTTCACGGTCAGAACTGGTTACTTCTGGAGAGCAGAAGGTGGTGTGAAGATGAAAGGGGTTCTGGGGCACAGGTCATTGTTTCCTGAGCTGGCGGCAGGTCACACAATCTGCTCAGTTTGTGAAAACTGAGTTAATATAGATGCACTTTTATTTCTATACATGTATATGCATATATACACACATGCATGCATATATATGTGTGTATATATATGTAATTCTCCAATAAAAACATTTTTTAAATGAAATAGGGAAAGGTAATAGGTAGTGGTGGGTGCGGTTTTGACTTTAATCAAGATTGTCAGGTAAGATTTCATGAAGATAACATCTGAGTCAAAACCTTGATGAGATAAAGGAGGAAGTGCATTCCAGGCAGAAGGAACAGCAAGCACAAGGGCCCTGATGGCGCTGGGAGGCCCTGAGTGTGCAGGGAGCAGCAGGAAGGCCAGTGCGCCTGCAGCAGTGACAGAGAGGAGGGGAGCAGGAGATGGGCTTGCCGAGGCAAAGGGGGGGTCCAGGTTGCTAATGTGTCGAATGCTTTAATGATATAAGGGTCAAAAAAAGTACAAGGTTTGAGAACCTACAGTCAACACGTGTCACTGAATCTTCATTCCTTTTGCACTTACAGGTTTGTCTTCCTTTTTATATAACTTCTTTCAAAGGTAAATAAAATCAGGCACGTCTAAGAATAAACATAAGTACAAAGCCCAGGGTACTTGTTTTTCCCCCCTTTTAAACACTGTCACATATTTACGCAGCTATCTGTGTTACTGAGCCACCTTCTTACCTGGGGTTGGGTTGACTCATGCACAGTGGTTGGCACAGCAGGCAGTCAAGATATGAGAGTCAATATTAATAATATTCTCAAAAGAGTATGAATTGCACAATTTAATTTACCGACATCCCTTCCCAATTTGGTGGCACCAGACGTGGCTTAAAGAGTTAAACAATTTGGACTTTTCACTATGTGATGAGTTACTTCCCCTCTACTGAGGATGACTAACATCTTTCAAGTTTTTGGATAGACAATACATGCACAGAGTACCAAATTCGTAACAGGGGAGGAGGACGCTAGAGAAACCAGTGTCTCAGCTCCCTAGCTCTCCTTTCTGTAGGCAGCCGCTGCGCCAGCTTCCAGGGTGTTGAGGTTTGATTTGAATAGGCTTAAGATATCCTTTCTCTGGTGCTAGTATGCTGCTTTTAATTTTGCAGCCTCATTTAGGGTTAGATACGGTCATATTAAGTTGATGGGAAGGAGACAGAGCCAGCCTGAATGTCCTGGGTGATGAGGATTGAAGTCATGGGGTCTAAAAAGGTTCTGGAAGACGAAGAGTGGGAACGACAAACCGAGAGGAGGAAAATCATCTGCAAATAAAGCCTCCATTGCTGATCCCTTCTATCTCAGCCACAGCAGCTCAGGAGGAACGTCGTGCCCAGTGTCTCGAAAAGGCCTGGAGCCGAAGCACTCTGCCAGCTCTTTTCATAAACGCAGAAGCAAAACAGAGCTGCCTGGTCTATGGGCATCTGCGAAACTTGGATACTAAACGCCTGTGTCCTACCCAACAGCCTGTTCTAACGTGACGGGCTTTCTTAGGAGAAGATATCTGCCATCAAACTCTGCCTATGAATTAAAGCAGAGGGCCAGGCTCCGAATCACGTCACAAGTGGAAGAGACCTCAGAGGCTCATCAGTGGCTCTCAATACAGGCCAGGCTCAGAATCACCTAAGGAGCCTCCCACAGAGCTGGCAGAGTCCTCCCCTCCCTTCATCCCTCACACTACCTGGACAGGTTACCCAGGGGCACAGGGCCCAGACCCGTACTGTGGAAAAGGTCCGTACAGCTAGGCTTAATGCAGCCATTCTGCCTGCCAGCTGGAGAGACAGAAACTGCCGGTGGCTATGGGGCAGCTCCCCTGGTGGGAAGGCCCTGGACACAGCTGGCAAGTATAGCCCTGGGGGCTAACAATGGGTCTTTTGATTTTTTTTTATGAGACTGGGTTTCACCCTGTCATCCAGGTTAGACCGCTCATTGCAGCCTCAACCTCCTGGGCTTCAGCAATCCTTGCTCAGGCTGGTCTCTAACTCCTAGGCTCAAGTGATCTTCCCATCTCAGCCTCCCAAAGTGCTGGGATTACAGGTGTGAGCCACCGCGCCCAGCCAACAAATGGGTCTTAACCAGAGTGAACACTGACTCTGGACTGGGCTTTGCTTGCCTGGTGGAAGAGGCCAGTGCTCAGAGTGCTATAGAAAGAACAGAACAGAAGACACTGCTCGGATCTGGACACCGACCGTCATTTCCTCAGACCAGGGGACACACTGTACATCCCACGGTGTCCAACAACGGGCAGAGACGCATCCTCCTCGGAGTGAGTCTGACAGAGCAGCGGAACGGGGAGTTAAAACCCTGGCTAAGACAGGGGCGATGAAAGCATGAAGGGCTGGCCCACATTCAACGGCTAAAGGACGTCCCCATTCGATGTTCCTGTTTTGTGGATCAGGGAAAGAGGGGCTGGGAAGGAGGCTGGTGTGACCACACAATTCTTGCCGAGAGAGGAGCAGGCTGGCATAAGGATTACACATTTTTCTTCCTTCCTTGCATCACCTCAGCTTGGCCACCCTGCTCCCACTTGGTGCAGTGATCCTAGGACCAGGTCTTGCAACCCCAGTGCTGGAAGCAGAGCTGGTTCCTAAGCAAGAAACTGTACTGTTTTTAAACCTTACGTCGGGGCCAGGAGAGGTGGCTCATGCCTGTAATCCAGGGACTTTGGGAGGCTGAGGTGGGAGGATCACTTGAACCTGAAAGTTCAAGCCTGCAGTGAGCTGTGACTGTGCAGCTGTGCTTCAGCCTGGGTGACAGAGACTCTGTCTCAATAATAAAATAAGAATAAACCTTACACTGGAATTCCAAGGACCTGATGGGGGTGGGTTGTGCCTTTACCCCATCTGGGAGAACTGGGGTTCACGGTGACTGCAGCTGTACTTCCTGGTGGTAAATACAGCCCCCTAGTCCTGCACCTGTGTAGCCCTACCCTATCTGAATGGGAGTGGACTGAGGGGAGACACTGGCTAGGTTATTGCTGCCTGCAATCCAGACCAGCACAGTGACTGAACCTAATGCTCCTTTCAAACGTGGACGCTTGGGTATAAATGAAGAAAAGGAGGACTAGTAGCAGAGGGTAACGGAATGAATAAATGGGCCATATGATAGAAATCCAATGGTATATTAATACCTCGAAAGCAGCTTCAAAACAAGAGATGATATTGTCTCTTAGTTCAATTATACCAGATGCCTGAAAGGGCGAAGCTATATGTTTGGAAATGGAAAGGAAGACCAAATGTATACTTCACAATATCACAACACTGTTATGAATGGAATGGCTGTGCCTCCCCAAATTCCTATCCCTAATTCCCAGTGGGATGGTATCTGGAGGTGGGGTCTTTGGGAGGTGATTAGGGTTAGAAGAGGTCATAGGTGGGAGCATGACCTGATTAGTGCCCTTATAAGAAGACGGAGAGACATCAGAGCTTCTCTCTCTCTCCACCATGTGAGGAAGCAGCAGGAAGGTGGCTGTCTGCAAGTCAGGAAGAGAGCCCTCACCAGGAACCCCACCGGCCAGCACCTTGATCTTGGGTTCACAGCCTCTGAACTGTGAAAAATATATGTCTGTTTTCAAGCCACACAGTGTGTGGAACTGTTATGGCAGCTCCAGCTAAGACAGAAAACATGATGAAAATACTACTCCTGGGGAATCTGCCCACTCAGATGTGAAAGGCTCATAAATAAACTCAGATTTGTTTCTAAACCTTGAACTCATAAGCAAGGAAATTTTAAAAAGATCAACTAAAACTTGTGAGGTGTCCCTGGTGATCCCAGCAAAGATGTCTTCCAACTTCAGAAGAGGAGGGCCTTTCAATCTCCTATTTACCAAACAGCAAATCACAACTGCACTCACATCACAGGAATGTCTCCGAGGAAATGCTCAAACACGAGCTACACTATGCCGCCTTAGCGGCATAGTCTTTTCCAAAGACTCGCTGGGATACATGTGTCCAGTTGTTAATACTGGTCTGCTAGAAGGTTTAGTGAGAAGAGACTTAAAAAAAAGCATATTTCGCCACAATTTTTTCAAAAAGAGAAAAGAAAAAAGTCATAACAACTTAATAAATCAAGCATTTCATTTGGCTTAAACGCAAAATTCTCACAAAACCTCTCCTAAGAACAGCCAGAATAGGGCAGGCCTTGCTTTTTCACAAGAGCAGGCTGGCTTCTGAGTCTCCGATCACCACTTATGGATTGCATCAGCCCATCTGTGCCACCTCCCTCCTATCTCTTTTGAGAATTTCATCTTTCATTCAAAACCACCCAAGTTAAAGTCTGATTTCTTCCATGACACTCACACCAACAGCTCCCTACTTACATAGAGCTGGAGGCTAAATTGTGATCATCTCTCCACAAGTTGGGTAATACAGGCCCCTACTTCAGGAGTTCAGACCCCTGGCTCTCAGGGAGATGAATGGAAGAAAATCGTTCCTCCTATAGCTCATAGCCCACTGCTGAGCACAAAAGAAATTCAAAATCAGAGAGCCAGGTAGGTAAACAAATACTACTTGCTAAGCATGGTGCTAGATGTTTTCACATCTCTCAGAGTCAGTCTAAAAGGAGGGTATTAATACCGCCTTCCTTGATAGCTAAGGACTGAAGCTTCAATAATATGTAGCGAAAATGGTGAGAGTCCAGGGCTCTTCTCATTCCCTGGGCTTTACTCAGTTCTTGTGGAAGCTGATTAAATTTGTTGAAATCTGGTAAAAGTGGATGGGGAATGGGGTTGATACTACCACCCTTTGAAACTTTCAGATTAAGGGTACGTTATATTTAACCAGAATTATTTCAACTGTAAGCCTTCTTTCAGGAATAATACATAAACTTTATGGGAGGCCGAGGCAAGAAGACTGCTTCACAGTGAGACTATCTCTACAAAAAATAAAATTAAATTAGCTGAGGCTGGGCGTGGTGGCTCCTGCCTGTAATACTAGCATTCTGGGAGGCCAAGGCGGGTGAATCACTTGAGCCCAGGAGTTTGACCCCAGCCTGGGCAACATGGCTGTTTCTCTACAAAAAATTAAAAAGCCTGATGTGGTGGCATGCCTGTAGTCCCCCAGCTACTCAGGAGGCTGACGTGAGGAATGCTTGAGCCCAGGAGGCAGAGGTTGCAGTGAAACAAGATTGCGCCACTATAATCCAGCTTGGGTGACAGAGCCAGACCCTGTCTCATAAATAAATAAATAAGTTGGGTGTGGTGGTGCACACCGGTAGTTCTAGTTACTCGAGAGACTGAAGTGGGAGAATTGCTTGAACCTGCGAGTTCGAGGCTACAGTGAGCTATGATCACGCTACTACACTCCAGCCTGGGAGACAGAGTGAGACTCTCAAAAAAAAAAAATTCCTGTCACAGTAATTTTTATAATTCACTCTAAAATTGTTCTCATGGCCTTTTCTGATTATAAAAACACTTCATTTTTAAAAACTTTTTAACTTTTTTAAGACAGAGTCTTGCTCTGTCACCCAGGTTGGAGTGCAGTGGTGTGATCTTGGCTCACTACAACTTCAGCCTCCGGGGTTCAAGTGATTCTCATGCTGCAGCCTCCTGAGTGGCTGGATTACAGACATGTACCACCACGCCTGGATAATTTTTGTATTTTTAGTAGAGATGGGGTTCTGCTGTGTTGGCCAGGCTAGTCTCAAACTCCTGGCCTCATGTGATCTGCCCACCTCAGCCTCCCAAAGTGGTGGGATTACAGGAGTGAGCCAGCAGGCTTGGCGAATAATACATGTTTTGGCCACAGTTAAAAATAAAAATAATTTAGAAAGTGAATGTTTTCATAAACATATATAAAAATAAGAAAAATAGAACAACTGAGGTAGCTCAGTGGATGTACTTACACCACGTACTAGTTTTTTACACATTTCTGTGTACATATATATATATATATATATATATATATATATATATATATATGCCTGTTTTCCCTTCTAAACAGAAACAGGATATATATTTTGCTACTTACCTCACTTTTTCACTTGATGCGTCAGGGACTTCTTTCCATGTCAACATAGAGAGTTCTCTCTCAGCTTTTCTAACCGCTGGACAATATTCTATCACATGGTCAGTATTCCAGTTTAGTCAACCAACCCCTACCAGTGAATAATTAGGTTGTTTCCTTTTTGTTTTTATAAGCAATACAATAAACATCCTTGCAAATAATCTTTGCATATTGATCTGATTTTCCTTTTTAAAATTATTATTGTAAATTATAACAATATAGGAAAAATGCATAAAAGATACATGCACTAACCGATAAAATAGCAATCACAAAGGTCAACAAATGGACTGCAACCAGCACCTCAGAAGCACCCTTATCAAAACACTCGCTCTGTCTTCTAGAAGCAACCACTGTCTTGATGCTGGTATCCTTTCCAGTAGTTTTATCTCCTGTGTATGCACTCTTCAACAATGTGGTTGAATTCTCAATGTAATCACACTATATATGTGCTTATGTATGAATGTAAACACACTATATGTACTCTTTTGTGTCTGGTATCTTTGGGCCAACATCATAATGTTTGTGAGATTGATCATATTGCTGAGAGCTGTCCTCTGCTCATTTTTCCTGCAGCATTCAGAAATTAAAAAAAAACAATTTACTCACCCATTTTACTGTTGAGGAACATTTGGATTTTTTCAATTATATATAATGCTATGAACATTTACATACATGGCTTTTCATACCTAGGATTGGGATTACTGAGCCACTGGAAACACATATCTTAACTTTAGTAAATCATACCCATCTGTTTTCCAAACTAGAGAAACCAACTTGTGTTCCCACCAGCACTGCAGTGTATGAGAGTTCCTGTCATCCCACATCCTTGCCAATTCTTGGCATTGTCACGTTTTAATTTTTGCAAATCTGTGAGTATATCATAATATCATCTCCTCTTCTCAGAAGTGCCTATTGAAAGCCGTAACTCATACTGAATTGCCTATTTCTGGATACTCACACCTTTGTAGGTTACAGATAGCAAATGACTTCACTGTCACAGCTGGTGCTATCTTTGAAAATATACAGCAGTTCTTAATTTTATGGGAGTCAAATTATTAATCTTTTCCTCTTGGATTTGTACTTTTAGTTCTTTAAGAAATTCTCTCCTACATCAAGATCATGAAGATTCTCTCATATATATGTGTATATACATACACACACACACACACGCACACGTTAAATACATGGTTTTGCCTTTCAAATTTGGTCTCTAATCCATTTCAAAGTAAGTGTCTGTGTGTGTGTGTGTGTGTGTGTGTGTGTGTGTGTGTAGGGTACAATTTCATTGTTCTTTATGTGGTTTGACTACTCTACTTATCTAATTCTGCACCAACACCTCCACTGTATTGAAGTTCTTAAAAAGATAAATCTTAATATCTGATAATTAGAGAAAGGGCTAGCAAACTTTTCCAGTAAACAGCCAAATGGTAAATATTTCAGGCTTTGTGGGTCTAAAGACATGTAGCTGTCTTTACTGTATATTCTTTTTTCTCAAGCCTTGAAAAATGTAAAGAACAATCTTATTTCATGGGTGGGCGTACAAAAATAAGCTACATGAAATTTAGCTTGCAGGCCAAAGTTTGCTAATCTCTGTGATAGAGCAAGTCCATGTTATTCTTCATCAATAACAACTACAACTTGACATCATTACTCCTCAAGGGAACGCAAATCAAAACCACAATGAGGAAAAGAAAACAAAGCTCAAAGACTCACAGTTCCCACTTTGAAAACTTACTACAAAGCTACAGTAATCAAAGTGATGTGTTCCTGGCATAAGCATAGATGTATAGATTGAGAGAATAGAATTTGGAGTCTAGAAATAAACCCACATATCTATGGCCAATTGATTTTCAACAAGAATGCCATTAAATGGGGAAAGAGGAGACATTTAACAAATTGTGCTAGAACAACTGAGTGTCCACATGTAGAAGAATGGATTTGGACCCCTACCTCAAACCATATACAAAAATTAACTCAAAATTTACCAAAAACCTAAATAGAAAATAACTTAAACATAAAAAGAAAATGTAGGTGTAAATCTTAATAACCTTGGATTTGGCAACAAATTCTTAGCTTTGACACCAAAAGTGAAAACAAAAGAAAAAAGAGATGTTAGTCTTCATATTATTTCTTACACATTTCAAACCTTCCATCAGAAATCACATTCTTCCTGTTTCAAGTGTAGTTCCTATGATTCCTGTTGGGAGGATTTGCTACCCATCAACTCTCTGTGTTTGGAAATGTCTCTGTTCTGCCTTCTATTTTACAAAACTCAATTAGATTGAGAGTTAAGCTCTCTTGTAGACACCACCTCGAGATATCATTCCACTCTTTCTGGCGCCTGCTGTAGCTTTTGGGAAGAAAGCTGTCAAACTGTCACTCCTTGAAAGTTCACGTCTACCTTTTTCTGTAGCTGCTTTTAAGATTTTCCTCTTTGTGTTTGGTTTTCTGCAGTTTTATTATGTCTATAGTGTTTTGGTTTTTTTTTTTTAATCTTGCTTGGGATTCACTGGGTTTCTTGACTGTTTGATATGATTTACCAGCCACCGTCACTTCAAACATGGTGCTGCCCCGACTTTTCTTCCTGTGACTCAGTGTTAAACGTGCATTACACCTTCTGACCCCATCCTCCTTCCTCCTGACCTTTTATATTCTCCCTTTTTGTCTCTCAGCTCTACATTCTTGATACTTTCTTCCATTATTTCTTCTAGTTTACTAATACTTTGTTGCCTAACATAGCCATTGAGTTTTTTAGTTTTAAATGTTCAATTCTAGAATTTCTAGTTTGTTCTTTTAAACATATGCCATGTCACTTTAAATAGTGTCCAGTTTTCTAACTTTTATCTTTAAACAAGTTAGGGCAGCTGTTTAAAGACCGGTGTCGGAGTCCAATATCTGAAGCATGTAGGTCTGACCTGACCCCACCGTCTGCTGCAGCCTCTGGTTCCAGGCACTGTGTTGTCTACCTGGGAGTCTGGCTGTCTCTGTGATGCCCCTGCCCCTAAGAAACCATCTGTGGGGAATCTCCATGGTTTAGGGTTAAAGTGTCTTTCCAGAGAAAGTTGGCTTCTACCAGGCACTTGGGTATGTTATCTGTTTGGTGTCACTTTAAACTGGATCCATCGCACAG
The DNA here is from genome assembly GCF_000001405.40 of Homo sapiens. Taxonomy (NCBI): domain Eukaryota; kingdom Metazoa; phylum Chordata; class Mammalia; order Primates; family Hominidae; genus Homo; species Homo sapiens. Next base: position 2,783,309 of record NC_000007.14, read on the forward strand.
GGGTTGCCTGGACTGCCATGGTGCTAGGTATGTGGGTGACAGGTCTCCCGGGGAGCTGGCCCATGGGTGGGATTTAGTTTGTCTCCTCCCTCTCCCTGCCCTGCTTCTCTGCTGTCCCCTCTTTGTGCGTATCCTTTCCATTCATCCTCACCCTCTGAGGTCCCCATTCATTACACGGCAGTCTCCTATCAGATCCCCCAACTTCATTTCCACCTCCACTTCGGGACCCCCAAAAGATCTGTCAGAAACTGCAGCTCAGGCTCTGCTTCTCCCACCAGGCTCTTGTAAGGTTTCGCCTGGTGGTGCTTTACAATCCTGTCAGTGCTTAGAGGCTGTAACACATTTATTTATTTATTTATTTATTTATTTATTTATTTATTTATTTATTTATTTTGAGATGTAGTATTGCTCTGTCCCCCAGGTTGGAGTGCAGTGGGGCAATCTCGGCTCACTGCAACCTGCGCCTCCTGGATTCAAGCGATTCTCTTGCCTCAGCCTCCCGAGTAGGTGGGATTACAGGCACCCACCACCATGTCTGGCTTATTTTTGTATTTTTAGTAGAGACAGGGTTTCACCACATTGGCCAGGCTGGTCTCAAACTCCTGACTTCAAGTGATCCACCTTCCTCAGCCTCCCAAAGTGCTGGGATTACAGGCGTAAGCCACCATGCCTGGCCTAATAAATTTATTTTTAACATTTTATCTAGCATTTTAAATTATTTTCAGCAGGTCTTTAGATAACTAGTCCACTATAACTAGAAGCTGGAAATCATTTTTATCTCATTTTATTTAATTTAAAATTTAACATTTATTTTATTATTTTATTTTGACACAGGGTCTTGCTTTGTCACTGAGGCTGAGGTGCAATGGTGTGATCATGGCTCACTGCAGCCTCAACCTCCCAGGCTCATGGGATCCTCCCACCTCGGCTTCCCGAGTAGTTGGAACTATAGTCACATGCCACCACACCTGGATAATCTTTTTGTATTTTTGGGAGAGAAGGGGTTTTGCCCCGTTGCCCAGGCTGGTCTTGAACTCTGGACTCAAGCAATATGCCTGCCTCACCTACCAAAGGGCTGGGATTACAAGTATCAGCCACCATGCCCAGCCAAGCTGGAAATCTTACAATTACTATATTAGGATAAATTCCTGGGACGATGAATTACTGCCAAAGAATAGAATAACACTTTATGTTTTGACACAAACTGTGGAACTTCCTCACTGTATACTCCTACCTTTTATGTATGATAGTACCTACTTCCTGAGACCCAATCAGCCCAAAGCATTATTCTTTAAAATCACTCCCAACCTAGCTGACAAAGCTATTTCACCATGACTTTAATTTATGTTTCCACAATGAGTGGCATGGATGATGACCCTCTTCCTTCTTTCCTTCGCTTTCTCCTGGGGATGCATCCCTTGTGTACTGATTCGCAAGCGCCCTCTCACTCCTTTAGCATACAGAAAACACCTTTGTTATAGGTTGCAATTTTCCCCAAATTTGTCATTTGACTCTTAATTTATGTTGACTTTTGCCATACAAATGTTAAAAACGTTTATGTATTCAAATCCATCATTATTTTCCTTTAGGGTTTCTGGTCTTGCTGTCACATAAAGTATTTCATTATTAACTCTATTACATCACACATTTTTACCCTGGGCCACTATGTACTGGCTTAAGGATCTATGTTAAAATACTTAACACTTCATTTTTTTCCCCTAGAGGAGTAGATTTTTAGAGGTTTATAAGTATATAATACTCTTCGTGATTAATGAAATGAAGGGGAAAGGCCAACATCACAGGCAGAAACACATTAAGTTTCTCACCAGTGCAGGATCCAAGAATAGCAAATACCTCAGCTTCCTGCTTCTGTATCCTCAGGCAAGAGCCACCCCAGAGGAAAAGCAAGTGTCCCACCCGCTCCAGAGCTGGGATCAGCACCCAAGTAAGCATGAGACTACCCAGGCTACTCTAAATTCTTCTCAAGCCTGTCTGGGTCATTCATTAGCTTTGTCACGTCAGGCAAATTTCTTCAAGTCTCAGACCTCAAACGGTGTCAATATCAAATAGGATTTGGTAGGGGAATTTCTCAGGTCCTTCTGACTGTAACAGTTAAGAAAGCTCTGAATCACACTATGGAAGTTAATTTAGCGTGAAAGGTTAAAAACGGTCACACATATATACAGTACCAAACCAAAACTAAGAAAGTAAATTCTGATGGTTTAATATCTGAAATAACTCTATTTTCTCTAGAAATTATTCACTTATTTCTGACATTGTGACTTATCCTATGAGCTGAAAAGTGATGCGGTCTTCATGTGTAAGTGTATTGTACATGTGCATATACACACACATTTTTCTTCATGTGTAAGTGTATTGTGTATGTGCATACACACACACATTTTTCAGATAAACAAGCTGTGGTACCTCCATACTAGGGAATACTACTCAGAAATAAAAAGGTACAATGGCTCATGCCTGTAATCCCAGCACTTTGGGAGACTGAGGTGGGTGGATCACCTGAGTTCAGGAGTTCAAGACCAGCCTGGCCAACATGGCGAAACCATATCTCTACTAAAAATACGAAAAATAAAAAAATAAATAAAAAATTAGTCAGGTGTGGTGGCGGACGCCTGTAATCCCAGCTACTCGGGAGGCTGAGGCAGGACAATCGCTTGAACCCAGGAGGTGAAGGTTGCAGTGAGCTGAGATCGCACCACTGCACTCCAGCCTGGGTGACACAGCGAGATTCCGTTTAAAAAGAAGGTACACTGGAAAGGGGCGGCATGAGGGAGGCCATGGTGGGAGATGGTTCTGTATTTCGACTGTGGTGTTACACATGTAATACAGTGACACAGTACTACATGCACACGCTCACCAATGCCAGTCTCCTGGTTTTCATCCCGTGCTATAATCCTGTAAGATGTCATCATTGGGGGGAGACCAGGTGACACACACAAGGACTATCTGTGTAACTTCCTGTGAATCTGTAATTAGTTCAAAATGAAAAATTGAAAAAAAGAAAAGGGAGTTGGAAAAAACGGGCGCCTGGCGATAAGACTGGTACGAATCAAAAGATGCTTATTCCCAAAGAAAAATAAAGCAGCAAAGAATGTCAATAGCCAACTAAGAAGAGAATAAATGTAAATGGCCAATAAACATATGAAAAGAACCAATGATTATGAAAAGTTCGACTTACCAAGCTGGCAAAACTTACAGAAAACTAAACGTATAAACATATTATATCTCTGTCTGTCTGTCTATCTATGGAAGACTAAGCATATAGAAGTCTAAAGCCATATAGCTGAGGTATGGGGAAAATCCTCTCATGCACCTGGTAGGGGCTGGTGCGATTTGCTGACTTTAGTTTTCACTAATTAAACACTAATCGAATGCTTGAGAAGTCAGCTAGTCCGTGACCAGCACAGACCGGGACTGATGCTGTCCCTGGGGCAGGTGTCTCTGAGCTGCTATAACCTCTCCCTGCCCCATTCAAGATGGCGACTCTGGGCATCCCCAACCCACCATGCCCATCTCGAGACCTGAAGGAACGATGGGTGATGGCCTTCATGGGGAGACTGGGGACTCTGGGTCTGAAACATGTCTCCTGGCAGAGAGCCAAGCCCCCGGCAAGGAAGACACCAGATGCCACTGTGAGTGACACCATGAACACGGGGTTCAGCTCTGTCTGCTCTGCCCTCCAGGGGCAGGGTCCAAACACACAGAGGCAGCCTGGGCGTACTCACAAAGACAAGCGGTGGGCTCCCCAGTAAGCACCCCAAATCCACAGACAGAACACAACAACCCTGGGGCTCGCTCTTCCTCAGGGCGGACACACCAGCAATCCTGAAGCTGTGTGAGCAATAGGCGAGGTGGCCTGTGAATCCCTCCCGGTTCTAGGGTGTCTGGAAACTGATGGCAGCTCACCGCCTCCGTCACCGTCACCTACATTACTTCAAGAGCCTCCATGGGACCCTCACTTTTATTATCAACATGGCTACCAACGCAATCCTATTTAAGTGTCAGTCAAACCACAGCACGCCTCTGACCAATTCCTAAGTCCTTCCGGCAGCCCTCAGGCGCCCCTCCACAGGCACCACGAGCTGTCGCCTGTCACCCACCGCTCTGGCCCACCTCCCGTCAGCCTCCCTGCTGCACTCTGGAGCACGAAGCCTGCTCCCGCCTAGGGGCCTCTGCGCTTGCCATTCTTCCAGCTACAACACTCTTCTCCCTTCCCCCAGGCACCCACCATCTTCTGAGCTTTCCGGGAAACGCCACTCTGGGAAGCTACGTTGGTGAGAGCTAAAGCCAAGACACAGAGGCTTAAACAAGATAGGCTGAAGGCCGCTTCCGTTGTGGGTCCACGCTGACTGCTCAGATTCTTGACACTGGCCAGGCATCGGGAAGGGGGAGAGGCCGGGGGTAAGTGTCATTTCGCCCCTACAGCAAGGCCCAGCACTCAGTCCCACGGCTATGCTAAACCACAAGAAGGCAGAAAATGTAGTCCAGATTTGTGGTCATCTTCTCAACTCTGTTACCACGGCAGAGAGAAAACAAATGCCAGGGCCGGGCACCATGGCTCACGCCTGGAATCCCAGAGCTTTGGAAGCCAAGGCAGGAGGATCACCTGAGGTCAAGAGTTGGAGACCAGCATGGCCAATGTAGTGAAACCCTATCTCTACTAAAAATACAAAAAATTAGCCGGGCATGGTGGCAGGCGCCTGTAATCCCAGCTGCTCGTGGGAGGCTGAGGGAGAATCGCTTGAACCCAGGAGGCAGAGGTTGCAGTGAGCTGAGATTGTGCCACTGCACTCCAGCCTGGGCAACAGGGCGAGACTGTCTCCAAAAAAAAAAACAAATGCCAGCAAAACCAGAGAGCCAAGAATATGTGGAAGCTGCTCCCATGGCCACCCCATGGATCCATCCAGGCTCCCCCAGGCTGCTCAACAGCTCCTCCCCGGGACAGTTTGCTGGCTGTGAGTCCACGCCGCACAGCCTGCCTTGTCGCTGTGGCCAGGTAACTGTGTTCCCGTTCAGGAGACTTCTGAGGATGTGTTGGACGGCACGTCTAGGAAGTCACTCTAAAAGAAGAGGGGAGCTCTCCCTCCCCACCCTCCTCTGGCTCATATGCAGCTGAGGACAGGAGCGCACACTCTGGACCGAGCAAGAAAAGACACAACTTATATTCACAACTTAGTTACTACATGTAATTGACTGGCCACAATTTCAAAAGTAAGTCATGAAAAACAATAAGTAGTTCCACTTATTCAGGCAATTCTGTACCTAAAGATGCTACCGGCCTGCTCACAGGCCATGTTTGGAGGAAAGTTAGATAGTGAGGATATTAACTAGGTAGGAAGCAAAGAGCTGTGCAGCCAGGAAAGAAGCAGATGGGGTGATGAACAGTAGGACATGAGGGTAAGGATCAAGACTACCTCTGCCCTGCTATGACCACACTGCCTCTCTATGGAGCCCAGGAGAGCTCAGCCGGCCTTGCCCCATCTTACCTCCCCTTTTTTTTTCTGACAGGGTCTTGTTGCACACACACGTTGCACAGGCTGGAGTGCAGTGGCGTGATCTCTGCTCACTGCAACCTCCATCCCTGGGCTCAAGCGATTCTCCTGCCTCAGCCTCCAGAGTAGCTGGGATTACAGGCGCCCCACCACCATGCATGGCTAATTTTTGTATTTTTAGTAGAGGCGGGGTTTTGCCATGTTGGCCAGGGTGGTCTTGAACTGACCTCAAGTGATCCACCTGCCTTGGCCTCCCAAAGTGCTCCCGAAGTACAGGCGTGAGCCACCGTGCCCGGACCCCTTCAGGCATCTTTTTTTTTTTTTTTTTTTTTGAGACGGAGTCTCGCTCTGTCGCCCAGGCTGGAGTGCAGTGGCGGGATCTCGGCTCACTGCAAGCTCCGCCTCCCGGGTTCACGCCATTCTCCTGCCTCAGCCTCCCAAGTAGCTGGGACTACAGGCGCCCGCCACTACGCCCGGCTAATTTTTTGTATTTTTAGTAGAGACGGGGTTTCACCGTTTTAGCCGGGATGGTCTCGATCTCCTGACCTCGTGATCCGCCCGCCTCGGCCTCCCAAAGTGCTGGGATTACAGGCGTGAGCCACCGCGCCCGGCCCCTTCAGGCATCTTTTACATGAGTCACAGTGATTTCTGGAAAAACAGCAACTCAGATCTGTGATTTACTGCTCTGACACCTCAGTGGTGCCTCACTACTCCCCATAGGTGAGTTCAAACTGCTTGGTACATGTGGCCGCAGAGAACGCTGTGACCTCTGAGACCTGCCTGCACCCACCTTACAGCACACAGACCGGGTGGCAACATCCCACCCACTGCTCCAGTTAGGCGGCCCCTACTTCTCCAGTGGTGAGGACAGGGATCCAGAGTTCATCCATGCCTAAACCAACCACGCACAGCATCTCCCTGGCCATGTGCCAGGTCCCCTCCTTGCTCCTGGTGGTGATGTGTGTGTGTGAGGCCTCATTCTGCTGCCATCATTTTGCAGCCACAGAGGAAGCCAGGCCAAAAAGGAACCAGCACAGAGAAGCCCAGGAAAGCCCAGGAAAGGGCAGAGAAATAGCTCACAGTGCACATAAAGCTACCGCCTGTGTCAGTTTTTGGCTCACAAAGCGCCTCTGGTTAAGCCAGTTTGAGCTGGGGTTTCTGTGCTTGCATCCACGTGCATGCATACTCTTCTTGCCTAAAGCCTGCTCAACTCTGCAGGGCAGCCTCTGGCTGAGCAAGCTTCTGCCCTGCCGGCTGCTTTCCCAGTCCCTGCCTGTGTCTGCTCCCTCTGCCACCTCACTCCGCACTGTCTCCTGGGTCATTCTACCTGCCTTTAGAAAAGTCTCCTCCAAAGCACCTCTGACCTCCTCCTGCCGGATAGAATTGTCTGCTTTTTTCCTTTATGCTTAACATAGCCTGATTATTTTTCAATTACATATTTTTTGAGACAGGGTCTCGCTTTGTTGCCCAGGCTGCAATCAGTGCAGTGGCGCGATCTCAGCTCACTGTAGCCTGGAACTCCTGGGCTCAAGTGAACCTCCTACCTCAGCCACCGAATAGCTGGAACTACAGGCGCGCAACACCTTGTCTAACCTCAATTATATTTCTTACCACATTTATAACAATTATTTGCTTGCATGTCTGTCTGTCCTACCGGCTATGTGAGGAAATGAGACCTGACTTCAGCACAGGGCCTGGCACACAGAAAGGACTCACTGAAAGAATACCCTTCCGTGGCACAGAAGGAGGACTATGACATACAAATCCAGGTCACATTCAGGTCAGGATCCACACACCAAAGACACTGATATATCTATATCATACCATTCTAATTAACTAGATCCTAAAATTCAAAGGTACACCAAGGCTGGGCCTGGTGGTATGCACCTGTAATCCCAGCACTTTGGAAGCCCAAGGCAGGAGGATTGCTAGAGCCCAGGAGTTTGAGACTAGCCTGGGCAACATAGTAAGACCTCAATGCTATGAAAAAGAAAAAGTAAAAATTAGCCAGGTGTGGTGGCACATGCCTGTGATCCCAACTACTCAGTAGGCTGAGGTGGGTGGTTTGCCTGAGCCCAGGAGATCCAGGCTGCAGTGAGCTATGACCACACTAGTGTACTCCGGCCTGGAAGGCAGAGCAAGATTGTCCCTTTAAAAAAAAAAAAAAAAGGTAAAGAAATAAATGGTATACTCAAAAGTAGATAATTCATCCACATTTGTAGTATGTAGGCAATATCATCCACATACTATATTATAAGCACATTAGTTAATGAGCAAGCTATATTTAAAAATGCTAAATTTTATTTTATTAAAAAAGAGGACAGACAAGAAGATAATATTTATATTAGTTATACCGATGACCAAAGTCTTTCTGTTGAGCATCCTGCTCTGTCTTACTTAACTGTGTTTTGGAAGATAAGGTCTAACATGGCGAGATCATCTTCCTTTTAACTGAGCCACAGAAGTGATGCTCATGGGGTGTCTGCTGTCTGTGACCAGCAGTGGACAGCAATGGCCAGGCATGGCAAGGGGCCAGTGGGGAAGGCGGCCAGGCTGCCTCCCCTATGGAAAGGGAAGATTTCCATCCCCCACCCCGGCCCACCCTGCTCCTCTCAGAGGAGAAAGGGTCGTCACAAGGTAATCACCAGACACAGCCTTTTTTCCTCCTCTTTTTGTTTCTATCTCTGACTGGAATGGCAGGAAAAAGCAAGACGGCAGAGGGAACAGGGAGGCGCCTAGTACCTGGCTGACAGCAATTCTCAAAGCAGCTGCAGCTCTTCACAGGGACTGTCAAATGCTGTCAGCTGGGGAAGAAAGACAAGCAAAAAACAAGGTGATGAAGCATTGCCCTAGAAAAGCTTTGACACTCAGGAAAAGATTGGAAGAGAAACAAGGGTCTACTGCAGGGGTGGGGGAGGGAGCCCTGGTAACGGTGACTTCAGATGGGTATGGTCTTTCAGTTTTGCTGTAATTGTGTATTTTGACAACAACGACTATTAGGGTCCTACTATCTAGCTATTTTAATAAAATGCTCCATCATTTTTTTTGAAGAATAAAAAGAAGGGCAAATGTATAAAGTATAGGAATAACAGTCATGCACCCACCACCCAATAAACAAGAATTTCACATCATCATCTCTGCATCTGATTATTACAGACTTTACAAATGCATCACTGACTACAACAGTATATTTTCTGTATCTTCACAAAGTCTCATGGTCTGAAGCATAAGATCGAACCAAAGGGACGACTACTGACCCACCTGTGGCCACCTTACCCTAATCACCCGCCAAGTGCACGTCTAGATTAAAAGCTCACTCGCTGGAGACAGGCTCATGTTTGGTCTTCTTCACTGCTATATCCCCAGCATGTAGCACCGGGTCTCACACAGTAGGTGATCCATGAATGCAGAATGAATGAATGAATGAGTGAAGAAGGGGAGAAACAAGCAGACTGGGCTTTGAGGCCCAAATTTCTCACAGTGATTACCAAGATGATGTGGCCTCAGGCACAGCATAACTGGTACGGGCTTACTTCCATGTCGTGACAATACAAGGGCTTGACTTCCTAAATTGGGAGGTCCCTTCCAGCACTGACACCCTGCACTGACGGAACAGGGCAAAGACAGAAGCCTGTCAAAGCTGCTGCACCATGCCGAATCCCAGACAGAAGCCTCACTCAGTACGATCAGCCCCAGACACTTCTGCTTCCTTCTTTGGAAAATCCTCAATTTCCATCCAAGTTCTAAATGAATGAGAATCTTCTTTCCCAGACTCTGTGAGTGTATGGGGAAAAGGTGTAAACCTCAATTTCACATTGAGATACTGACATGTATTTCCCAATTGTTTCTTCCAGCCCTGCTCTTTAGGAGATTAAAATTTCCTTTCTACCGCAACCACATCTTCCACTCTCTTTTGATTCTTTTACCTTAACTGTTAAAGTTAACTTGAGAAGGAATGTGCAGATGGAAAGGGGCTAGTAAAAACGTCATCCTTAAGATGCCCTGGAGGACATTAACATTTACAGGCAAAAGCCTGAGGAGAAACAGGCTATTTGCAGGGTCTCAATGTATCTCCCTAAGATATGTGTTAACAACACAGAGAAAATACTGACTTCCCAGTGGAGAAAGGTGGCCAACAGTGCCTCAACCAAGCAACCCAGGCTTGCATCACCAGCCACTGGACAATATCACGCACTTCCTGATCAGATGATCTGAGCAGGGCTCAACGGCACGCCTGCGGTTTCTGTGCCAAAAAAATGCATCCCCTCATCCTGATGACGAGAAAATACCAGACAAACCCAAACAGGAAGATTCTACACAATACCTGGCCAGTGCTCTGGACATGTCAAGGTCATGAAAGGCAAGGAAAGATCAAGGAGCTATCATGGACTGCAAGAGACCAAGGGGACACAATGACTAAACACAATGGGGGATTCCAGGCCAGGATCCAGCAGACAGGAGCGCGAGAGGAAGCAGCGGACAGGACGCGAGAGGAAGCAGCGGACAGGACGCGAGAGGAAGCAGCGGACAGGAGCGCAAGAGGAAAGGTGGGTCACATTCAGACAAGGTCTACAGTTAATTGATGCTTTCATACCGATGTCAACTTCTTAGTTTTAATAGTTGTATAGTGGTTAAGATGTTAACATTAGGGGGACTTGGGAGAAGAATATAAGGAAATTGAACTGAGGGGACTATTAGCAGACTATATAGCACCTCTCAGATGATTGAGAAAAATAAAAATTACTCTGCAGGAAAAGGATGGGTAAAAGATATGAATAGGGTGGGGCATGGTGGCTCACACCTGAAATCCCAGCACTTTGGGAGGCCGAGGCGGGTGGATCACCTGAGGCCAGGAGTTCGAGACCAGCCTGGCCAACATGGTAAAACTCCATCTCCACTAAAAAATATAAAAATTAGCTGGTGTGGTGGTGGGTGCCTACAGTCTCTGCTACTCGGGAGGCTGAGGTGGGAGAATCACTTGAATCCAGAGGTGGAGGTTGCAGTGAGCTGAGATGGCGCCACTGCACTCCAGGCTGGGCAACAGCGCGAGACTCCATCTCAAAAAAAAAAAAAAAAAGGAAAAAAAAAGACGTTTCCAATAGCAAAATATGAAAAACAGTTCAAAAGTACCTCAATGAAAGAAGGAATGGATCCTAGTATCTTTCCACAGTGGAGCATCAGACAGCAGTGAAAAGGGAAGAACCGCTGCTATGTGCCTCGCCTGATGAAATTCCAACATGTGGAGTGAAAAAGGCAAGTCACAGAAGCATATATACTATACACTAAGAAATGACTTATATGAAGGTTAAGAATCAGTAAAACTCAAGACTGTCGTGTTTACAAATAATAAATGGGTATTATGGCAAAATCATAAGAACGGCAAAGGATTCATGACTTCAACTTGACTCTGGGTGCTAAGGGGGCAAACGGCTGTGAGAGTGAGAGGCATTTCTGGATACCCTGGGTGTGTATTAATATCAGCTGTGCACATTTATGCTGGTTATCAGAAAAATTGTACATTTTACTTTATATACGGTTAATTTTGAAAGGTAGAAAAAAACAAAAAGCAAACAGGCAAAACCCCCCAGATTTTCTGGTTATAGATTCAGACCCCAAATGAATCTAAATAACTGGGCTTTGTGAAGTTTTTAGACCTTAAAACGAAAGGAACAAATCTGAAGGGAACAACTGGGAGGAGTTGGATTTGCTTCCGAGGCGCTGATCTGAAGGCGTTCGTGAGTTGCCCATACCCACAGGTCCAAAGTGGGAAGCTGTTGTGGGGGGTGTTATTTCCTACTATGAACAAGATCTCTAAAAAAAACTAAATTTCTCGGGTTGTGCCAATGCTGATGATTCTAAGAACCCTCCGTATTCCCAGAAGAAAGCTATTGATCTTACCTGAGTGGCTCTTGCTCCTTCCCCTCTTGAGCCTTTTATATAGCATCTGCCTCCATCCCGTGTTTTGGTTGTTGATCATTACAACTTACGGTGATTTAGAGCTTGCTTGGACTGTTACACAGTTTTTAAGGAAATTCAACTAACGGTCCAAAATAGTCATGTAAAAAACACACTATCAGGTGCCCAGCAAGAAGGCCTACTCACTCACCAGCTGAAACTCGCTTCTCCGGCTGAAAGCCTCCCTGATGCCAGAATCCCTCCAGAGTGCGCTCAGGGCCGGGACGTACAGCTGGAAGGTGGCCGGCTCCACAGGCAGCCCCGCCTTGTTCTCGAAGGCCATCAGGAACATCCCATGCTTCTCATTTTCAGAATACTGCCAAGGAATGCCAAGCTTATCTCGTGCATCAACAAGAACCCTTGAGCCCTAGAAAATAAAAGAAAGAAGAGAGGATTTAATTGCATTCCAAAGACTAAACCACGCTAGAGAAGCTCAAAATGGGCATCCATTGTCATAACGCAGAAAACTCACAAGCTCTGAGCTGTGCAGCCTGAGTCTGTCTCTTGGTTTGTTTGTTGTGATGTGGAAAGTCTTAACTCTCAGCAGTATAACCTCACCAAGACAGACGCACATGGCCGAGAGCAGTGGCTCACACTGTGAGCCTCCCCTTTGGGAGGCCAAAGAGGGAGGACTGCTGGAACACAGGAGTCTGAGACCGGCCTGGGCAACAGAGCAAGACCCTGCTTCTACAAAAAATTAAATCAAATTAAAAACAGCTGGGCTTGGTGGTGGCACACCTGTAGTCTCAGCTGAGCGGGGAGGATTGCTTGAGCCCAGGAGGTCAAGGCTACGGTTATCTATGATTGCTGCACTATATTCTAGGCTGGGCAACAGAGCAAGACCCTGTTTCAAAAAAAAAAAAAGAAAAGAAAAAAGAAAAAAAAGAAAACAGATGTACATAAGCACCACAGAAAGAAGTCTGCTTTCTGCTATCATTCATTTGCAAAGCTACTGGAAAAAAGACAACTGGGCGGGGAGGAGGTGGCAACAATTTCAGAAAATTTCACTGGAAAATGAAGTGTATCAGTAAAAAAACAACTTTTTTTTTTTTTTTTTTCTTAGATGGAGTTTCACTCTTTTTGCCCTGGCCTGGAGTGCAATGGAGTGATCTCGGCTCACTGCAACCTCCGCCTCCCAGGTTCAAGCAATTCTCCTGCCTCAGCCTCCTAAGTAGCTAGGATTACAGGTACCTGCCACCAGGCCCGGCTAATTTTTTATTTTTAGCTGAGATTACAGACCACCACGGACTGCTAATTTTTGTATTTTTAGTAGAGAGGGGGGTTCCACCATGTTGTCCAGCCTGGTCTCGAACTCCTGACCTCAGCTGATCCGCCCGCCTCAGCCTCCCCGCCAAAAAAACAATGTTTTAACAACAACTATAGTAGCCTCCACCCCTTATCCGTGGCATAAGTTCCAAGACCCTCAGTGGATGTCTGAACGGTACCAAGCCCTACCTGTATTGTTTTTAAAGTTTAATTTAATTTATGAATTAGGCACAGTAAGAGATTAATAATAGCTAATAATAAAATACAACAATTATAACAATATACTGTCATGAAAGTTAAGTAAATATGGTCTCTCCTTCTGTCTCTCAAATGTGGTATCACCGTCCGCGCCTATTTTCCGTTGGCGGCTGGCTGTGGATAACGGGAGATGACTGTACTGCCAAGAGTACTACCAGCGCTACTATTGTCATCATCACTGAAATCTGGCAGCTCCTCTATTCCAAAAGATACAACTGCTTCTTCCAGCTTAAAACGGGTGGGAAAACATACAAATCCAGGCAGTCAGCAGTCATGAGACAGGAAAAGACTAAAATACGACAAGCCAAGTAGCCCGCCCACCAAAACGGGAGCCAGGGGATCATGTTCTAGATTTAACGTCACCATCGTTTGTGATGAGAAACTACTTTTCATTCTTTTGCTTGTTTCCTCATTGTTAAAGATAAAGTTAATGTTGTTCTGCCCCTTCTTACCTCATCAACAGGGTCAAAGGGATGAAGAAATAACTAACATAGTATTAGGGAATGCAGCCAGCCTTTGGAAAATATTCTCTCAGCAAAAACAGCACCCCCTGAGCAGTTAGGAGGTCTGTTCCACCATCCTTAGACTAATGTTTCGAAATCAGCAAGGCAGTGTTTATGAGAACTTCTGTGTTCTTCTGAGGGGCACACTGCATACTCTCTGGTATGGTCTACACTGGGGGTATACAGAGTGGTCAAGGGCCCTGAGAAGGCTATCAAGTACACATCTGTCCATCTGGAAAAGCCTTCTCATCTCAGAGCAATCTGAGGGACTCAGGCCAGCTGAGAGCAGCATCCCATCCTCCAGGACAGAGAAAACCAGGGTCACCTGCTCACTAGGCACTTATCTATGTTCCTTTTTTGGAGACTGGGTCTTGCTCTGTCACCCAGGCTGGAGTGCAGTGGCATGAACATGGCTCACTGCAATCTCGACCTTCTGGGCTCAAGTGATCCTTGCCCGTAGCCTCTCAAGGAGCTGGGACCACAGGCATGCCTCGTTACGCCCGGCTAATTTTAAGATTTTCGTAGAGTCAGGGTCTCACTATATTGCCCAGGCTAGTCTCAAACTCCTGAGCTCAACTGATCCTCTGGCCTTAGCCTTCCAAAGCACTAGGAATTACAGGTGTGAGCCACTGCATCCGGCCTTTTTTTTTTTTTCCTTTTTAAATAACAGTTTTACTGTGCTATAATCCATGTACCATATAACTCATCAATTTGAAGTGTACAACTTAATGATTTTTAGTTGGCACTTATCCTAAAAATCTTCATTTCTGACACCCAGGGCAGAGCAGATGAATCCATTCTGCCTCCTTCATCTCTCTCCTGCAGCATCAATTTGGTGCCTATAACTTCCACTTCTGCCTTGAACCACTGAGTCAGACGTAATGATGACCAAAGAGTAGTTGAAAGTCTCCTCCAGACCCAGCTGACCAGGACGGTCTGGTTAGAGATGCTCCCTGATTTTCCCCTCAGGACCTTGTCTGTCTGCCGTTGGAGACCATGCCTAGTTCTACCAATCCACAAACATTTGTTCAGTGTGTTTGTTTGTGGGGGAAACAAACTTTAAGAAGCAGTATCTGACCCCCAGAAACTCAGAGTCTGGCTAGAAAGACAAATGTATGGATAAAAAAAATACTTACCACCCACTCATGATTTTAAAAAACCTTTGCAAACTAGGAACAGAGAAATGCTTCAACTTGATAAAGAACACTGACAAAAAAACATACAGCTAACCTCATAATTAATGTGAAAGACTGAATGCTTTCCCTCCAACACTAGGAAAAGACAAAGATGCCTACTTCTGCTACTGCTATTCAACATGGTTCTGGAAGTTCTAGCCAGTGCGACAAGGTAGGAAAATGAAATAAAAGATCACACAGCTCAGGAAAAGCAGGGGGGAAAACAAATAGATTAGACACACAAAAAAAGAAAACACACAACTAAACCCATTTGCAGATAAAAAGATGATCTATGTTGAAAATCCCAAAGTAATCTACCAAAAAAACTCCTAGAATAAACAAATGAATCCAGAATAGTTGCAGGATATAATGTCAACACACGAAATTCAATTGTCTTTCTATATACTAGCAATGAACATGTGGAAAGTGAAATGAAAGATGTACTACTACTAACTATCACTAAAAAAACGAAACAGGTATAAATCTAACAAAATATGTGTAGGACTTATGTGCTGAAAACTGCAAAATGTTGAGGAAAGAAATTTTCAAAATCTAATAGATATACCACGGTCACGAATTAGAAGATTCAACACGGTACCAATATCCTTAAATTAATAAACAGGTTTAGCACAATTTCCATAAAATCCCAGCAGGATCTTTTGTAGATATAAATATGATTATTTGAAAATTTATATGAAAAAGCATTAAATTAGCTAAAGCAACTTTGAAAAAGAAAAGTGGGAACAATCAGTCTATCTGATTTTAAGACTTATTATATAGCTATGATAATCAAGACTGTGTGGTATTGGTGAGGTGACAGACCCACAGATCAATGGAACATAACAGAGAACCCAGGGATAGCCCCTGATACAGCTAGGTAATTTTTGTAAAAGTGCAAAAGCAATTAAAAAGAGGAAGCCTGGTCTTTTCAACAAACGCTGTTGGAGGAAGTGGACTTCCACAGGTAAAGAAAATTGGGGGGAGCGGGGGAGGGGGTGGGGAAGAACCTTGACCTAAACCTCACAGCTTATACAAAATCAAATCAAAATGTAGAACTATATATAACATAGGAGAATATCTTCAGGATGTAGGGTGTGCTCAAAGTTCTTAGATGTGACTCCAAATACATGATTCACACGAGAAAAATTATCAATAAATTGAACTTGATGAAAACGAAAATATTTTGCTCCGCCAAAGACCCTCTTAAGAGGCTGAAAAGAAGCTATGAACTGGGAGAAAATATTTGCCAACCACACATCTGCCATATCTGACAAAGGACTCATTTAGAATATACAAGGACATTCAAAACTCAACAGTTAGGCCAGGCACAGTAGCTCACGCCTGTAATCCCAACACTTTGTGAGGCTGAGGGGAGAGGATCACTTGGGGCCAGAAGTTCGAGACCAGCCTGGGCAACATAGTGAGACCTCGTCTCTACAAAAATATCAAACAAATTAGGCAGGCATGGTGGCACACGCTGATAGTTCCAGCTACTCAGGAGGCTGAGGCATGAAGATAGCTTGAGCCCAAGAGTTTGAGGTTACAGTGAGCTATGACAGTGCCACTGCACTCCAGCCTGGGTGACAGAGCAAGATCCTGAGATACATACATACATACTCAACAGTTTAAAAAGCAAACAAATCCAGTTAGAAAATGGGCAAAATTCAGCAGGTCACAGAATGAAATGAAGAGAAAAAAAAAATTTTTTAAAGAAAATGGGCAAGACATGATGAGATATTTCACTGGAGAACATATATAGGCAGCAAATACACAAGTGAAAAAGATGTTCAAGATCACCAGCCATCAGGAAAAAGCAGATCGAGACCTCAGTAAGATACTGCTGTACACCTGTTAAAGCAGCTAAAAAACCAACCACCAAACCAAGACAACCAGCGGCAACACCAAGCGGAGGTGAGGAGGCGGAGACCCCGGACCTCTCATACACTGCTAGTGGGAATGTCAAATGGCACAAACTAGAAAACAGTTGGGTGGATTTATAACTACTAAAAATGCAACTCCCATACAGCCTAGCAGCTGTACTTGGGTATTTATCTCAGAAATTTGAAAGCTAAGTCCACACAAAACCCTGTAATGTTCACAGCAGCTCTGTTCATCATAGCCCCAAACTGGAAGCAAGCTGTGGTGCACCATACCATGGACCATTACCCAGCAACAAATGGGAGTTCACTACGGAAATGCAACAACTTGGATGAAGCTCTAGGATGTTATGTTAAACGAAAAGTCAGTCTCAAAAGATCACGCACTATGCGATTCTGTTTAATAACATTCTTGAGGTGACAAGATTACAGAGATGGACAAGAGATTCATGGTTGCCAGGGGTTAGTAATGGGAAAGACAGGGGGAGAAGTGACTAGAAAGGGGCAACACGAGGAGATCTTTGTGGTCTGGACTGTGGTGGTGGTTACAGAAACCTACACAGGTGAGGAAAGGGCGCACAACCACACACAGTGTCCCAAAGCCCGTCTCCTGACTTCAACAGCATACTGAAATTATGTCTGTCATAACCACTGGGAAAAACTGCCTGCCTCTCTGTACTATCTTTGCAACCTCCTGTGAACCTATACTTATTTCAAAATAAAAAGTTTTTAAAAAGTTAACTAGCGACCACGGCAATGTAAGTTCCAACGATGTGATGTGGAGAGGGAGGGTTAGCAGAGGCCGAAGGCAAAGAGATAGTAGGGAAGGGAGGCTTGCTAAAACCCTAACTGGAGGTGGGCCTCAGACGGAGCTTTCCGAAGGGTGGGTTCATCTGAGCGAGTGGCAGTGGTGGACTGGAATCTACCTAGAGGGAAAATGTGACTTGAATAAACTCTCCACTTTCCTTCCTCCCGGCTCCCCCACTGTGATTCCTCCTCCGGGTCCTCATCTCCCCACTTCCTTTGACTACACCACACCAAACTCTTGCCTTTCCAAAAGGACAAAACCAAAAAGGTTCAAGAACCCAAGGAAACAAAGGCAATTCCTCTTTTCCCCACTATGCACAACAAAAACTATCTCGGCACGGAGAAGGTAGCACACAGATTTCTCTGGCGAGGTCTCGGGCAAAGGGTCTCGGTGCCTTTGTACAAATCAGAAAAACGCTCTCCATCATCCAGGCAGATGCGGCCCAGCCTGGCAACAGTGGCTTGGATGGGGTTTCAGCCTCCATGCCCTCCCAATCAAGTCACCAACCCTCCCGCTATCCGGGAAGGCCCTGCTCGTCCAAC
This sequence comes from Homo sapiens, assembly GCF_000001405.40. NCBI lineage: Eukaryota > Metazoa > Chordata > Mammalia > Primates > Hominidae > Homo > Homo sapiens. The sequence continues at coordinate 2,801,206 of NC_000007.14, forward strand.
TCAAATACAGAAATTGGGTCCGACCCACCAGGTATCTATTCAGGTGCTATTTTTACAAATGAAAAGTTTAGCTTCACAAGGAGTACAATCTCACTCAGAAGTTAAATCAATAACCCCTAGGAAGTTTCATTTTTATGTCAAAGACGAAGTCAGGGGGCCAGGTAGGACTTGGAAGGCCAAAGGTCACTTACGAAGACTGCAGGACTGCACACACCAGGCCTTCCCCAACTATCAGGGTGAACATAGGTTTGGCTTAAAAACACACACACGCAAAACTGGCCCATGCAACAGCAGTCTATTCCCACCGCACAATCCGCCCAAGCAGGCTGGAGCTGGTCCAAATGAACTGCACCCAACCACAAGAAAAGACTCCTCCTTTCCCTTTTTCAAAACACAAGAAAGGTGGCTAAACTACTGATGAGCTTTGAACAGTTAAGTAGTAGTTTTGTAAGCTTTGTAGTTACAGTCCATTTTCCCTTCCTTTGAAGGAAAAAAGGCATTAAAAAAAAAAGATGTCTCTCTTTTGCCCTTTTACATTTATTCTAGTCAAAAACTGCTCTCTGCCAACTTTGTTCTGAAAATCCACATCTGAGTTCCAGCGAAGTTTTCTACTTGGGGACATTTGGCTAAATTCTGAGTCCCCTTTTCTTCCTTTTTAGAGAGAGACGTAAGCTCTCTCTGGAGTTTAAAGCCTGTAACAATAATGTATTTACCGTACTTTTGCAGAACTGATAGTTACACTTTTACCATTGTTATATAGAATTGCTAAAGTCTTAAAAGTAAAATACTAGTATAGGAGGCATATTATAATAAACCTCTTACTCCTGTCCTTTTCCAATGAAAGACCAATTTTCTAAAACACAAAAGCCAAGAAAATCCTAAAACTCACATACACTTAAAATAAATAAGAACGACAACTCATTCAAGTCTCTTTAATAGCTAAGAGAAAAATCCTTTTTTCAGTAATGGTATTACTGAAGTATTAATTGTTTGAATAACCATACATTTTATTTGGTTACCCAAATATAAACGGTTAAAGTCTCAAGCAGTTTGATGACTTCATCTCAATACAATGTCACACTTCAAACTGTTCAGACAGCATATTTTTAAGACAACTTATAAATCCAGCAACTTAAACTTCTAGTCAAAGTATAGATTCCCTCTCTGCTGGGGATGTAGATTTTTTTTGGGGGGGTGGGGGGTGGGGTTCAATTTTGCTGGATGAAGACCAAAAACTGCAAATCCTGTTATCTCATTTCAAAATAGATTATGTTAGTTTAGCCCCTAATCAAACCAAATCTTTTAAGATTAGTCATTCCTTAGTAAAATCTTCCCACAATAAATACCAAAGCTACGATAGACATAAAATGCTTTAAGATAATATGAGCCTTTTTCTACAAGATGAAACAGTTCCATTAAGACAAACTGAAGATTCTGGATGTTCACTCGGGCAACAGCATGTGGACTTGGAAAGCTCTGTTTTTTAAAAACCCACTCGGCTGAGTTGTTTGCCTTTGGCCACCATCCAAATAAAAGAAACGCTGCCAGAAGTGTAAACAGGATGCATTTCTTTACATTGATGAATCCAGCAAACAAAGACAGCGCCTCTTAGTTCCTCTCGAAAACTGAAGTGCAAGATACCTTTTAGTGTAAAGGTCAGCGAGAAACTGACGAAGGGAGGCAGTAAGCCGTCAAACCAGCCATCAGAGCCTCTGCCATTTCACAGCGCAGCCCTGGCCCCACCATAACTCCGCGGATTTGCCTTCCGCAACAAATGCACTGCCGTACGGGATCAGGCCTATTATTTCTCTAAGAAAGCCCCCTCTTGGCTCTGCCAGTGACTATACCGAGGGCTCACCTCAGGCAATGAAAAGTGGTGGGTAACGAATGGGGAAAACCCAAAAGGCGGTAAACTTGGCTCCTGCTATGGGAGAACTTTCAAAACAAGCGTAGCAGCAAGACAGAGCACGAGCAGATAAGCGACAGTCTCAGATGCAGAGTACAGAGGCCAGCCCCATAACTGGAAGGACAGGACCGTCGGAGGACAGCCAGAATCGCCACCGCTGGTGAGGCCTCGCTCACAGACAGGCTGTGGAGAGCTAAGAAGTCTGTGTGAGAAAGGGGACGATCGAGGGCTTTGGAAAAGGAGAATGGCAAGGTCTGAGGCTGCCTGCAGGTCCCGTGGCAGGTGGGACAGGAGGCAGGGAAGGAGCAGCTAAAGCAGGAGAGTGATCAGGAGCCCCCTAAGTGCTCTCACCCCAAGTGCTCTCAATAAAAGATGGAGAGATCCAAAACCAGGAATTCACCAAACCTGCAGAGCACGGAGAGCAGTGAGGGCCCTGTTGTGTAAGCACAATACCCACCAGTTCTCCCAAGTCAGGTCCACAGGAGGGGATGGCTTAGAAGGGGTGACATTTAGGTAGGTTTTCAACAAATTTAGTTCAGTTGGACAGTGGGAAATCCAAGCTAAGCTTCTCAAGAGGAGATGGAACTGCAGAGAAAACTCTGGGTTTAGGAATGGCATAGGAGAAGCAAATTATCATCATTAGCTTTTTTCAGCTGCCTTGAAAAGGTTTTCCTAAAAGTCCAAAACAAAACAAAACAAAACAAACAAACAAAAAAACAACTCCAAACCAATCCAGATTTCCCCAGATCTCCTGAACTGGAAAGTGAAAATCCAGGGCTCCATTTCAAAACTCACAAGCCAGCAGGCTGGAAACTCCTGGAATCATCTCCCCAACCCCCACCCGCCAGCCATGGCCATGGGCAGACCAACTTCTTCCTCTCCTGTTCTTCCAGGGGTCAGGATAAGTCTCGGAATCTCCCTTCACTAAAAATTTCACTACATGACAAACACTAGTACAAGGGGGAACGAAATCGTCCTCTTAAGTACAGAAAAGATCAGCAAAACTTGAGAACACAAACACACAAAATATCATTCTAAGGGGGAAAAGCTTGCACACACTATCAACAGGTAACAGCTTCATGTGCTAATTCAGTGTTTTCGAAATTCAAGTCAGGATCTGCATTGTGAAATCATTTAGTAGGCATTTTAAAAAGGAAAAGAATATACTGGTAACTAACTGAATAGACTGCAAATAATAAAGGTAAGTGTTTCAAAGAATTTGTTTTAGCAGAGACAGCTATATATAGACGGGTGTGTGTGTATGCGTAAACCCATAAACCCATAAACACACACGCGTGTACATACACCGGGTTCCTCTGGACTATGGTCTGAGTGCCACTGGGCCAGACTCTTGTAGATGAGCCTGCTACAAGGCTGGCTTTCCTTGGTCCCACCACTTCAAAGCCAATAGGACTGGGCTGAGTGTCAAAAGTCCAAACAGTAACAAGTTGGGTTTTGTGAAAAACTGATAAGAGTGCAAAGAAACTGTGTGAGGAGGTGTGAGAAAATGGTGAAATCTTTGTCCTCTGGGGGCAGTGTCACTAGGTTGGTTTTCATTAAACATATTCTTGGCCCATTCGTTGGGGCCATCTTGGATTGCATGGTGAGGTCTGGGAATCACAGAGCTACCACTCAACATTTTCTACCACTAAAGACGTTGAAGAGAGCTGGGCGTGATGGCTTAAGCCTGTAATCCTAGCGCTTTGGGAAGCCGAGGCGGGAGGATCTGTTGAGCCCAGGAGTTGGAGACCAGCCTGGACAACTTACCGAGACCCTATCTCTATTAAAATAAATTAAAAAAAAAAAGATATTGAAGAGGATACGCAGCTAATGTTCATTTTAGAAAGGCTGCTTTTGATTATCAAACATGATGTGTGCAGCGCATGGTGGTGGTGGCACCCCCAGGCAGTGTTCTTTAGAACCCTCCTCCTGATCCAACCTGGTCAAGCTGGGGCCTCAGCACACTGTGGTAAATAAAGGCCCAGAGCCTTTCCACAAAGCCTTTAAACACCGACCAAGGTGCCAAATAAATAAGCAGATGCAGACATGCATAAAATTCATGCCAGTCTATCAACCAAAAGGCTGCTTCAGAGAGGCCATAACAATCTGCGTTCATGGGACTAAGCGCCTGCCATGTGAACGACACTGTGTTAAGTACTCACTGTCCATTAGCTCATTTAGTCTTTATAAATAACTCTGCGAGGAATAGCATTATGCCCATTTTACAAATGAGAAAGCGGAAGCTCAAAATCACACAGTTATCAAGCCTGACCGATTTAGTTTAAGCTAGAGATTTTCTTTTTTTTTGTAGAGACAGGGTCACACTGTGTCCCCCAGGCTGGAGTGCAGTGGCGCAATCAAAGCTCACTGCAGCCTTGACCGCGCGGGCTCAAGCTAGAGATTTTTCAGCTCTGTTCTACACTGCTGTGAGTATCTGGAGAGATAAGGGAGCAGAGGAACAGGCAGGAGGCAGAAGATGCCTGGGCTGCCGCCTGCTCTCACGCAGCTTACAGCAGGCACGGAGACTAGAGCCAGAGCTGAGCTGACCTCTGAGGACCCAACACTTCTGAAATTCTCTAGAACATTTTTTAAAAATAGTAATTAAAATCTGGAAGTATGGGATATACTGTTAAGCCTGGCTACATTAGAAGACATTTTGTGCATTCAGACACTACTTGAGTCTAATATCTCCAGACACTGAAAACACTCACTCATCTACGCTATCTTGGCAGCCCAGCAAGAGACCATCTAATGGTGGCTCTGTCCCAGCCACGAGGGCCACCGAGCAGTGGACGTGCGGCCCAGCTGAACTGAGAGGTATTATAAATACATACTGGATCACAAAGAGTACAAAAAGAACACGTAAACTTCTTTTGTTTATACTGATTACATGTTGCAATTGTAATATTTTGGATATGTTGGATTCAATAAAATCTATTATTAAAATCATTTTTCTTTCGTTCTTTCTCCTTAATGTGGCTACTAGAAAATCTGAAGTACACACGTGCCTTACATTTGTGGCTCACATTCGATTTGCTATTGGACAGCATTGCTGTAGGATAACATATCTAAAAGAATTTGTCTTGGTCGGGGGCGGTGGCTCACGCCTGTAATCCCAGCACTTTGGGAAGCCAAGGCAGGCAGATCACCTGAGGTCAGGAGTTCGAGACCAGCCTGGCCAACATGGTGAAACCCTATCTCTACTAAAAACACAAAAATTAGTTGGGTGTGGGCACATGGTGGCAGGTGCCTGTAATCCCAGCTACTCGGGAGGCAGAGGTTGCAGTGAGCTGAGATTGCACCACTGCAGCACTCCAGCCTGGGGGATAGAGCGAGACTCTGTCTCAAAAAAAAAAAAAAAAAAAAAGAAAAAGAAAAAAGAAGAAAGAACTTGTCTTTTTCTGATTATAAAAGTGTATTTTTAGTGCAAAAAATAGAGGAAATATAGAAATACATAAAGAAGAAAATTAAATCCTTAAAAATATCACTATCTAGAAATAACTTATTAACATCTAGGAATGTTATCTGTCTTATTCTTTACAGAACATTTTGTAACACTTTAAAATTTTTCTAGCGATGTATCGTAAACACTTTCCTATGTCATTCAAGATTTCAAGATCTGTAATGGCTGCAGAGTAGTCCGACATGTGGGACATGCTAAGATTGAGGTAATCCCTATGGCTGGACATCGGAATTCTTTCCAGTGTATGGAAAGAATAAACAACGATGCAAGGAACTCCTTGATACATCCCTATTTTCACATATATGGCTATTTTCTTGTGACAAATTCCTAGATGTTGAATTATAAAACTGCTGGGTCAAAAAAGTATACACACATTTTTGAGGTTTTGATAAATATTACTAAACTGTTTTCCAGAAAGGTTCTGCCAATTTACACATTTATGTTTAATAACTTTTAATTTTCCTTTATTTTCCCCCAAATTGTTTTTTAGTTGATCTATTTGCTTCACGAAAATTGTCCTCCAATAATATCTAAGCAGTCATGACCTCAAACCACAGCTCAAAGAGAAATCAGGATAACTAGCAACTGAAAATGAGGAAAATTTAGTGTATGTATACTGACAACTGAAAATTAGAAAAAATGGAATAGACATTTGGCTTCTCTACTTCAAATAAGCTTTTATACTGATTTTTATACTTTATTTTCCTCTAAGTCCCATTATAATACAATAATAAGTAATAAAGTACCAATTAGTAATAAAAATGCTTAAATTTCACAAACATGTTTGAATTTCTAGTCTCTTGTTTCCAGTAAGAAAACTAGGCTCAGTCAACACTTCCAATAAAACGTTTCATGAAGGTATAAAGAACAATTTAAAACATTTAGCCTGAGTTCTTAGAAGTTTCAAAATCAAGAGAGCCTTGAATTTGATGGGAGATTTACTATTAATTACTGTCTCCATAAACAGAAATCTCTTTGAATTAATGAGCATTAAAATAAGGTATAAGAGAGAAAAAAAAAAAAACCTAGCCAGGATAACACAGCAGCTTGCTCACTGTTCTCATCCGTTGCCTCTAAGACTATCTGGAGGAAAGTTCAAACTTGCGATAAGACCAAATGGAAAAAAGCTGGAAGAAGTAAATTTAAGTAGTAAATTACTACTGCAGAAAATAAACTCAATGGTAACTTCAACAGCACCAAAAACGCACTTGGACATGGCAATAATTAAATATCAGCATCAGGCAGCCTCACTAAACAAGACGCTGCAGCGTTTCAAATTAAGGGGCCAACCTTAGGCACACACACGACCGAAGAGCAGCCGCTGAGCTCATGAAAAACCTGTTCGCGCAGAAACCGCTCTGTGCCCCGTGGAGGAGCTACGATGAATTATTAGGTGAAAGTACCACAAGCTCCGTGATCATTTTGGGCGCTTCCTCCACTTAGGACTCAGGCTGCTGCTTAATGAAGTCCTGCTCTGCAGGCATCCATCTTCTCTTCTATGGACTGCATGGGTAACTGTTTAGACAACTAAACGGAAAATCTTAATTTATGCTTCATTTGCAATTACAGAGTTGGCCTCTGCAAGTTTCAATATCTCTTTCGGGAATCTGTGAACATGTTTCCTTCTCACGCATACCCAACTCCCTCCTGTAAGCAGTGACCATCATGAGTAGTGCTACCCGACACCCACCTAGAGCAGCGCCTTCAGTGCTTACGGCCTGCACTTGGGTTAAGCCAGAGCTGGCCTACCCAGGCCCTGCTACCATGCTGCCTGAAAAGCTGCTTCTGCACCTTCTGCAGATCAGCAAGGGTGTGGGCCGAGCTGACTGTGGCCTTGGAGGCTGTCTGTCCCTGCAGGCTGGCCACTGGCTGTAGTAGGAGAGTGCCCAGGTGCTGTGGGTTACCCTGGACCATCCTGTGGGCCTGAATTTGGATGGGATGGAGAGGGACCTGGGCCGCACAGGAGGACCTCACTCCCCACAGAGCAGCAGCGGCCTGCAGCTAGGGGAGATGCACCATCCTGAGGTCTGGCCCAGCCTGTCAGCCAATGCCGTGGTTCTACCTTCCAGAGACAGCTACAATTTCCCTACTTCCTGCTGCTCCCATGGCTCTCACTTGGGTCCGGCCACCACCATCTCTCACCTGGATTATGGCAAGTCTTCTAATTGGCTGCTTTGTGTCCACACTTGTCCCCTTCAGTCTACTGTCAAAACCAGTGGTCAAGTTAGCCTGCTAAGCCTAGGTCAGCTCTTATCACCCGCTTTGTTCAAAACCCTACAAGGCTCCCATCTCATTCATGGCAAAAACTCAGGTCCTCAAAGAGGCACATCCTCACTTCTGCCTCAGGCCTTTGCACTTCTGGTTCCTGACAACTGAAACCCTTTGCCCCGGATAGCCGCACGGCTCACTTCCTCAATGCTCAGTGAGGACTGGGGCAGGGAAGCTTCTCAGGGTGGCCTGCCCTTGGCCATCTTATCCAAAACTGCACCCCAGGCCCATCCTTCCCACGCTCCATCCTCGCTTTACTTCCTTGACCACTTCCGGCTGGCTACCCGCCTTCAGAGTCCACTCAGCATCTCCTGTATGATTCTCTCCCCACCGAGCACAAGCCCCACAAGGACAGGGCTCTGCTCTGTTCACACCCGTGTCCCCAGGGCCGGCACAGAGCAGAGGCTCTACCTGTTGGCAGGATGAACTAAGGGACCCCAGGTCCTCATCCGCAAAGTAAGGGCAGCAGTCCTACCTCATACCTGCAGTGAGGAGCACTCAAGTAACAGGTGTTTTATATTAGATAGTCATTAGATCTGTCTTGTACCAAAGTTGATAAAAAATACACAAACCAAACATCATTAGCGTTTCAATGTATTTTTCATTGGAAATTCCACCCTATGATGACTCATTATTGACATTAATACATAAATATTGCCCCATACTTTATTTGAAAAAAAAATTAGTTGTACAATGGATCTGAAAATTCCTCCTAAAACTACCTCCTTTTCGTATGTCAAAGACAAAATTAAAAAGCCGGCTACTCTGGGTACACCGCCTTTGGGGTAGCCCTGCTCCCCAAGGAACAGTACAATAAAAATGAAAAAGCCTATTGACAGGAAAAGATCAGCCAAAAAGACAACAGCTTACTTTACTGTGGTGGATAAATTAAAACTGCAAGTGACTGATAGCGTTTAATAGAAGAAGCAATTTTCACACATCTGTAAATATGTAAATATTTATGTAAATGTAAATATTACTTAGTAATAAATTCATAGTAAAATTATGTAAGTATTGTTAGTAATAAATATTACTTTGTAATAAATTCTATGTAAATAGTATTTAGTAATAAATTCATAGTAAAAATTTCTATGATTAATACAATACAGATACTCCTTTAAAGGCATTCTGAATTCGGAACAGTCTTCTAGTATCATTACAATCACCTTCTTAGAGGGAAATGGTTTGACATTAGAAAGGGGTCAACCCCAGGAGGGGAGAGGATCGCTTAAGAAGTACGCAGCTGAATATTTCAGGTTCGCTGCATGTGTTAGTCTGGGCTGCTATAACAAAACCTCACAGGCGGGTGGCTTGAACAGCAGAGATTTCTTTCTCACAGTTCTGGAGGCTGGGACTCTAAGATGGAGACTGGTGTCTGGTGAGGGCCCACTTTCTGGCTCCTAGACGGTGATTTCTCACTGTGTCCTCAGATGGTGGAAGGGGTATACAAGCTCATTAAGGTCCCTTTTATAAGGACACTAATCACATTCATGAGGGCTCTGTCCTTGTGATCTCATCACTCCCCAAAGGCCCCACCCCCTAACACCAGCACCTTAAGGGTTAGGATTTCAACATAGGAATTTTGAGATGGACACATTCAGACCATAGCACTGCAAATGAGTAAAATAATAACAGTATTAGTAATACTGCTAACAAAAACCATGCTACAGCCTTTAGAAGGAACTTACTCCTTGGGTTTTGTCAATAATTTTTTTTTTACAGTTGGATTCCAAATGATGGACCTCACGGTCACTGGCAAGATAATGAGAAAAGTCCGGGCACAGTGGCTCACTTCTGTAATCCCAGCACTTTGGGAGGCTGAGGCGGGCAGATCACCTGAGGTCGAGACCAGCCTGGCCAACATGTTAAAGCCCTATCTATCTCTGCTAAAAACACAAAATTAGGTGGGTATGAGCATGGTGGCAGGTGCCTGTGATCCCAGCTACGTGGGAGGTTGAGGCAAGAGAATCACTTGAACCCAGGAGGCAAAGGTTGCCGTGAGCCATGATTACGCCATTGCATTCCAGCCTGGGTGACAAGAGTGAAACTCTGTCTTAAAAAAGAAAGAAAGAAAGAAAGAAAAAAACAAAAAGATAATGAGATAACATGTGGAAGGAGGCCCTGGAGCGCTCTCATTCAACAGGGACACCCAGGCCCGCAGCTCAGCCTTTGGAGATGGCAAGTCCCAAGAATCAGAAGAAACAGATGCTTCCTGAGTCGTCAAGTGAGGGGATTTCATCTCCCAGCAGCAAAAAGGAGATCAGAATTGGAAAGGAAATACAGACTACAAGGAACCCTGGCCCAGAGCCCCCAGGCTGTGCACACGTGGGCTCCAGGCGAACCATTTCAGGTTCAGGGAAGACGGCTCAGCCTAACCTGGGTGGGGCTGACTTCTGTGCACAACATCTACACCTGGCCCTCTGTGCACAACCAGAGCTCCCCGCTCCACCGATGCCCAGAGCACAGCGACTGTGCTGCAAGCGGGGTGACCTGGCTGATGACACCGCGGCTCACACAGAAGACAAAGGAGCAACAAAGCTGCCAGAACTCTAGTTTCCCAGCCTTGGCAGAGAAAGCCCAGAACAACCAGGGTGCTCACATGTTCCAGAGGTACAGGAGAATAAGTGTGCTGCTTCTTCTTACTCAGATAACTTTATGTCATGACCAATGAAGTAACTTTTATCAAATTTTTGCCAACTATATAGACTTCTTAAAAAATCATTTGAGAAGGGACCTCAAAGTGAAATCCATTTACCTGAAAGCACACGGCACAGATTTCGTAAGGTTGTAAAGAACGATTGCAAAACCAGAAGCGCTTCCCCTGACAGGCTCTGGTTAAACCCTAGCCGCCAATGCTGCCCAAGGGCTGCTGTCCAGTTTCACCCACAGCTGTGCTGGTCTCTGATGTTGCCATGTCTTCCCTGCGGCACGGACGCTGCTGAAACTGGTGCTCCCTTCAGAGGGGTTCTGCTGACAGCTGAAAAGACAGTCCGGCAGGCCACGCAGGACACCAGTGTCTACTTCTCAAAAAGCCCCTCCCTTAAGAGCCAAGTGAAAAGTCCCATGTCCCCGTCCATCTTATAAAACGAAAGGAAATCTGTTTTTTTCACGCACAGAGCAGCGCTTATTTGTTTCCCTAGAGAGGCAGCACCACAGCTTTCCCAGGGGCAGTGGGAAGGGGCTGTAAGTACTCAAGAGAACCCGCGTTTCACGCGACTCCTCTCCAAAAACCTGAAAAAACTCTCAAGAGAACTTGCGTTTCAGGCAACTCCTCACCAAAAACCTTAAAACCGGGCAAGTAAGTCCCTGTGTTACTAATTCCATGAAAAAAACTAATCTGTTTCAAGAAAGTCAGAATTCCTCCCTTAAGGACTCACATTTGCTTTTCTTCAGAATTATGGTAAATAACTCAATGTTTTTCTTGGCTTGCTTTTCCTTCTAAAGCTGCTAAGACACGGGCAGAGTCCTTAGGCCTTGGTGCTTTGCTAAAATCAGAGGCTTTGTAGGCTGGGTGCGGTGGCTCACGCCTGTAATCCCAGCACCTTTGGAGGCTGAGGCGGGCGGACCACTTGAGGTCAGGAGTTTGAGACCAGCCTGACCAACATGATTAAACCCCGTCTCTACTAAAAATACAAAATTAGCTGGGTGTGGTGGCGCATGCCTGTAGTCCTAGCTACTCAGGAGGCTGAGGTGGGAGAATCACTTAAACCCAGGAGGCAGAGGTTGCAGTGAGACAAGATTGTGCCACTGCATTCCAGCCTGGGCAACAAGAGTGAAACTCCATCTCAAAAATAACATCACATCACATCACATCACATCACATCACATCACATCACATCACATCACATCACATCAGGGGCTTTGTGCTCCTGTCAGTCACAGCCACCTTCTACGATGGTGCTTCACCAGGGCCACATGAAGGCACAGACGTTACATTTATAAAACTCAGCATCTGTCTAGATGCCTAGGAAACCCCACCTCTAATGAGAAAGTTGGTAAACAAAGCAGTTATTTGGCCCCTTTTTTGTTAGGTTTAAGGATAAAGGATAAACACATATATAAAATCAAAAGAATCCAGTGACCTTTACTTTTCAAACTTTAAAAAAAATTTTATGTTTAGAGACAGAGTCTCGCTCTGTCGCCCAGGCTGCTGTGCTGTGGTGCAATCATGGCTCATTGCAGCCTCAAACTCCCAGGCTCAGTCTCCTGAGTAGCTGGGAATTACCGGCATTCACCACCATACCCAGCTAATTTTATTTGTAGACACACAGTCTTGCTATGCTGCCCAGGCTGGTCTTGAACTCCTGGCCTCAAGTGATCCTCCTGCCTGGTATCCAGCAACCTTTAAAAGGTAATTGTTTCCCCTTCTATAACAAGAGGTTACAGTTTATATTTTCAAGCTCTAAGATGAAACAAAGTTTCAAACTATAAATATTTATGAGCTTTGAGGAAACCGGCTTTCTCCACAGTCATGTTTTCATTTAAATTATTTTAAAAAATAGATGACTCCATGCCCATAGTACCAATTTCACTGGTTATTAAGGGGCATCCAGGGGAGAGTCTCCTCCTACCTCCCCTTCCCCAGAGGGAACAGAAGTTCCCAGTCAGTGTAGCTTGCGTAAGGGGACATCACTGAGTGATGCCAGCACAGCGCTCCTTGCAGGAAGCCACCACAATATCTGCTATACCTCCAGAGGGAGAGGCTGGGGACATTCCGGGAGAGCTCTCAGGTGGGGAAAAAAAAACAAACAAACATGCTGGATGGTGAGCAAACCAATCTGTGAAGGAAATGAAAATGGAAATGGAGGCAATCGCCCCATGTGAGCTGTCAGAGTGCAGCTGGAGGAGCAGGAAACAGCGTATTCGTTAGGAGATCTGGGAATCTGGGGCCACGCCTAAGTCTGCCCATCTGCAAAGACCCCTTGTCCAGAAGGTGTGGACCACGGAGATTGTGATGTTAATTTCACTGAACTGGGCCACAGGGTGCCTGATGCAACACCGTTCCTGGGCGTGTCTGTGAGGGTGCTCGAGATGACATTAGGATTAGGACAGTGGGTTCAGGAAGGTGGACTGCCCTCCCCAAGTGGCTGGGCACCTTCCAATCCCTCAAGACCCTGAATAGATCAGACGGCAGAGGGAGGAGGAGTTCACCCCTCATTTCCTGCCTCGCCGCCGGAGCTTGGACATCTCATCCTCTCTTGCCCTGGGACTGGATGTCCACCATCGGCTGCCCAGGTTCTCAGGCCTTCGGACATGAGCTGAGTTTGAATCACGCCTCGGGCTTCCCTGGGTCTCTAGCTTGCCACACAGAACATGGGACTTCTCAGCTCCCAGAATCACGTGAGTGAAATTCTCCATCATAAATCTCCTTTTATACATCTATGTATCCTGTTGGCTGTGCTTCTTTGGAGAATCCTGACTGAGATCAGGGAGATCTGTGGCCGAGGAGTTGAACGGAGTGAGACTCACCCTGGACCCAGGGTGTGCAATGAGTAGGTGCTCAAAACGGCAGCACTTTCGGTTTCCATCTGGTGTGCTTCCCGAACCCTGCAAGTCAACATTTAAGAATTCCTATAATCTGAATTAAAGACAATTAGAGACATCAGAATAAAGCCCTGCTCAAGCTTCTCCAAGCTCACAAATAAAATCAAAGACACAAACCAAGACTTTGAGGAAATTTCTTCTGCACCCATGAAGTCTTTACTGGGAAGGCCTTCTCAGTGCGGCCTTACTGGACCATCCTATTTAAAGCCGCAACTCCCACCAAAAAATTCCTTATTTCCTTTTCCTGCCTTTTTTTTTTTTTTTTCGTGGCATAGAATCTCAGAGCTGGAAGGAGCTCTAAAAGGCTGGACCAGTCACCGTCCAGATGTGAACTCCTTGCATATAACGGCCTTCCACAGAAGTTTATCAGCCTGTCCAACACACATCCTAGAAAGGGTTCCCTGACCTGCCCCGCACTGCTCCCAAGCACCCTTCCTGTGCTCCCGACAGCACCGGGTGTGCACTGCTCCCCTCCACAGCACTCACTCACACGACTGCCAGGCATCCTTGCTAGGCACGGCCTGGGAAACATTCTCCGTTTCATTTCAAATGCCTACAATACAGTAGGCGCTCTGCACTCGGCATGGCTGACAAGGACGTCACTGTATCCAGGTCTAATCTCGCCCCTTCCACCCAATCCAGTCCCCTGTCAAAGCCACCAAGCGCCGCCACTGTGGCAGGCTCCGAGGACACAACAGAGAACCAGACAGACAAGGCCTTGCCCGCATGAGGCTTCCAAGCTCACTGGAGAAGGAGCAATACAAAAAGCAAGTGGACAGGAACATCGGCGAGGTGCCTGCGGTCCGGCACTGTGAGTGTGCTCTCAAGGAGGAAGCCAGTCAGCGGACCTACAGTCAAGGAGGCTGCTTAAATGAGGGCTGTTGGGGAAGGCGGCTCAGGAGGAGGCATTTACAAGACCTTAAGGAGGGGCCGGCTGCGCAGCAGGGGCAGGAGGAGCTTTCCTGGTGGAAGGAATCTCACGCACGAAGACCCTGAGCTTCGCATTTTTGAAACACTAAAGAAAACATGAGGGAGGCTGGAGCGTGTAGGAGAGATGACTCAGCGCAGGTTGGAGTGCAGGGCTATATTGGCGGCCCAGGCTCCACACTGCAGGCAGCCATATGCCTCTGCCAACCACCCCAGGGCCAAGCACTGGACAACCAGGGACCACCCTGATAGCACAGAGGCTGGGGAAATTACTCAAACCAGCCAATCCTAAACCGCGGATGCTGCCTTGCCCATTTCTTTTCAGAAACCACAATCGAGGCTCTTGCCCACAAGTACCCCTCCGCCTCCTGACCCAGCGTGGTGCTCCCTGGAGCCTGGTGCTCCCCGTGTGGCCCCGTGTGCTGTGCCTCCTGTTTCTACAAATCTGTGAGCACAAGCTCCTTCCTCACAACAGTCCCGTCTGTGTCTTAGCACACCTGATGACGTCCAATCCCAGAGACATTTCCCATCACTCCTCTGCTCCTCTCCATCTACACAAACACTGAATTTTTCATTCATCTGAAAATAAGGGAGATAGTTTTTGAGTTCATTTAATAGCCTTGCTGAGACTTTCCATGAGAAGCAATGGTTGACAGCCCCTGGCAAAGCTGGGCCTGCGTGGAACTGACCCAGCAACTCTGCGTCTAAGTACACATCCCGGAGAGACCCTGGCCGCCGCGCACGGAGGCGTGGACACGGACACACAGTGCAGCACTGTTGGTCGCAGGGAAAACGGTAAACAACCTGAATACGCATTCACAGGGAACGGATCAGCAATTATGGTAAGTAATGTGACGGTGGAAAGAAGTAAACCAGATCTTCACGCACCCCCATGGACAGCACGCACATGTGCTGCTCACCAAATCCTTTTTTTTTGAGATAGTCTTGATCTCGCCGCCCAGGCTGGAGTGCAATGGCACGGTCTTGGCTCACTGCGACCACCACCTCCCTAGTTCAAGCGATTCTTCTGCCTCAGCCTCCCAAGTAGCTGGGATTACAGGTGCCTGCCACTATGCCCAGCTAATTTTTGTATTTTTTAGTAGAGATGGGTTTCACCATGTTGACCAGGCTGGTCTCAAACTCCTGACCTCAGGTGATCCACCTGTCTTGGCCTCCCAAAGTGCTGGGATTACAGGCGTGAGCCACTGCTCCCAGCCTAGCAAATCCATTTTTTAAATGATATATTCAAAATAATGCCATTTCCATAAATTCTTAAAAACAAGTAATATACATATTGATTATGGACTCAAAACATGTACAGAACACAAATTGAATAATTATCCAGCTCATGCCAGGGTTTCCTCGGTGGGAAGGGCAGTAGCAGCAGTGACAGTGAGAATGATATTGAAGCTAACATTCACTGAACACCTACTCTGTCCAGGCACAGGTCTAGCACACATTAACTCATTCAATTCTTAAGAGCGGCCAGGAGACATCCATGATTACTGTCCCCATTTCACAGATGAGAAAACTCAGGCTAGAGAAATGATCAGGAATGTGCAATGCACTCCGGTGACTTCTTACCGCCTCCTCTGCTCCCATCAAGTCAGTCTGGGTCTCTGCTGCTCTTCACTGATGCCCCTGCTCTCATTCTTGCCCACTTCCACCTCCTACCCCTGGAGGAGGTCTACACTCCCCACTTAACAAACAATGACCCTTTTAAAAACACAGTTGGGTCAGTTCAACTCTCTACTTAAACTTTCCAATGGCTTCCCATCATACTCCACTTTATTTTTATTTATTTATTTTTGAGACAGAGTCTCGCTCTATTGCCCAGGCTGTAGCGCAATGGCGCGACCTCGGCTCACCGCAACCTCCACCTCCAGGGTTCAAGCGATTCTCCTGTCTCAGCCTCCTGATAGCTGAAATTACAGGCACGCGCCACCATGCCCAGCTCATTTTTTGTATTTTTAGTAGAAACGGGGTTTCACCACATTGGCCAGGCTGGTCTCGAACTCCTGACTTCAGGTGATTCCTCCCACCCCTGCCTCGGCCTCCCAAAGTGCTGGGATTACAGGCATGAGCCACCACACCCGGCCCATACTCCACTTTAAATGAGAATCCTTACACAGCCTGCAAGACTGTATATCCTCCCTTACCCCAGCCACCCCATGTCCACCTGCTCTCTCGCCCTCACTCACTCTGCTCTGCCCACACCAGCCCCTCAGCTCTCTCTGTGGAGACATTATATATTTCTTCACTTACTCATTATTTGTCCCTAACCTGCCCATTACGCAGACAACATGGACTCTGACTTTTGGCCACTGCTGTTATTCCCAATGCTGAAAACAGCCCCTGGCACTCAGATGTTTGTGGAACAAATGAATGAATGCAGCTGATCCAAGGTCACTCAGGATTCTGGTCTAAGCAGTTTGGTTCCAGTATTAGGACTGGGGAGGAGAACGGAACATAGAAGAAACATCTAAAGTTATGACAAATGTTGTCATCTATTAATTGTGAATAAGGAATTCTTTGTTAATTATCATCTCCTCCTTCCATTCCTCCTTCCCTCCCTTTAGTTTTATTTTTAAGTCTCCATAAGTACACTACACATGAATTATTAGTTCCAAATGTATTAGAACACCTGCTTTCATAGTTAGGAAACTAAACAAAAAAAGAAGAAAAAGTACTAGCACACTGTAAGATTGCTCTTAATGTTTCAAGTGGGACTGTAGTTCACTATAACGTATTAAAATTAATTCAATGAACACGGAATGACTCCCTACACAGCTAACAGGCATGTCAGGGTTTTGTAGGTTCTGGGGGGAGTCATCATTAAGAACATCAATTATTTACATAATAGTGTAATTCTGCCATTAAAAAACTGGCCATCTGACATAGAACAAAGTTTGTTTACCACATCAGTACTGACATCTGGGGGCTGGGGAATTCTGTTTTGGAGCGCCTCACACACTGCAGGACAGTCAGCAGCATCTCCAACCATCAGATGCCGGCGGCACCCATCAGTGTCACAACCAAACACGCCTGCAGACGCTGCCAAATGTCCCCCTGGGGAGCATAGTCTCTCCAACGGAGAACCACTGATTAGAGGCTAGACAAACTACAGCTTGTAATAAAGAAAATACAACTTATAATAAAGAACAGGAAGCCTGGTGCGGTGGCTCATGCCTGTAATCCCAGCACTTTGGGAGGCCAAGGCACACAGATTGCCTGAGGTCAGGAGTTCGAGACCAGCCTGGGCAACATGGTGAAACCCCGACTCTAATAAAAATACAAACAATATTTGGGCATGGTGGCGTAGCCCTGTAGTCCCAGCTCCTCAAGTGGCTGAGGCATGAGAATTGCCTGAGCCCAGGAGGTGGAGGTTGCAGTGAGCCGAGATCGCGCCACTACACTCCAGCGTGGGTGACAGAGACCCTAACTTGAAAAAAAAAAAAAAAAGCAAAGGACAAACGAACAAGGGAGGGAGGCGACTCAAAGTGGCCTCTCCCACAGGTTTCGCTTGCCGTTTTCACTTACTCTCTCTGACCAGCCTCACAACCCTTTCATGGTCCCCTGTAACTAGAAGGCTGTAAGGCAGGCCACAAGCCCGTGGCACGGGCAGAATTCTAAAGATGGCCGGGGGTATTCATCAATTGGGAACCTAGGTGAAAGGTCTTTGCAGAGGTAATTAAGGCTACCAATCAGCTGAGCTTAAAATAGGGCGATTATTCTGGATTACCCTGCGAGCCTGATGGAGTCACCAGTCCTTACAAGCAGATGTGGAAGGTGGAAAAGTCTGGCAGGTTCCTTGTGAGCCGCTCGCTGCTGGTTCTGAGTTGCAGGGGCTGCAAGCAAGACTGGAGGGAGGCCTCCAGGAGCCGAGGGAGGTCAGAAAAGAAACCGGACCTCAGTCCTACAGCTGCAAGGACCTGAACCCTTGCCACAACCTGAATGAACTTGGATGCCGATGCATTCCCAGAGCCTCCAAAAAGGAACACAGTCCGGCTGGAACCTTCCTGTTAGTCTCATGACACTCAGGGCAACCAACTGAGCCACACTGTGCCCAGACCTCTGACCCAAGCAACTAGGAGCTAACAAATAAATGTTTTAAGTCCCGAAGCCTGTGGTAATTTGTTACAGTGGCAACAGAAAACCAAAACAGCTGTGGAGGTGTATGTGACTCATTACTGAAAGGTGAGTTTATAAGTGAGAAACACAATAACCAAAAGCAGTCCCCTTAAGAAATTCCCTAGTCTGCATAAAAGACAAATAATCCAAATTAAAAAAATGGGCAAAGGATCTGTATAGCCATATCTCCAAAGAAGATACGCAAATGGCCCATAAGCACATGAAAAGATGCTATACCTCATTCACCATCGAGGAAAGGCAAACCGAAAACGGGATGGCTGGAATTCAAAGGACAGATAAACACAAGCACGGTTAGACCCCAAAGACGTTATATTGGTGGGAACAGAAATGTTGCGGCCAATTCAGAAACACTCGGGTAGCTCGTCAAAATGTTAAACATAAAGCAACCATTTGACTCAGCAATTCCACTCCTAGGAATACACCCAAGAGAAAACATGTTCACACCAAAACCCGCACATGGATGTTTATAGCAACATCATTCATAACACACAAAAGATGGAAAGAACCTAGATGCCACTGACTGAGGCACGGATAAACAAAACGGGGCGTAGCAAAAGGGAATGCTATTCGGCCGCTTAGAGGGATGACGATGCCACGCTACAGCATGGATGAACTTTGAAGAAACGATGCTAAGAAGTCCGTCGCAGAAGACAACATACTGTATGATTCCATTTACATAAAATGTTCAGAAAAGGCAAATCAACAGCGTCGAGAGAAATCCACGGTGTCGAAAGTGGGCTGGTGGCCGCCCGGGGCTGGGGCTGGGGCAGGAGGAAAATGTGCAGTGGCTGCAGGGTTTCTTTCTGGGGTGATGAAAATGTTTTAAAAATTGACTGTGGTGATGGCTGCACAGCTCTGTAAATAGACTGAAGTCCACTGAATTGTAGGCTTTAAATGAGGGCATGGTATGATATGTGAGTTATAGCTCAATAAAGCTTTTTTTTTTTTTTTTTTAAGCTGAGGCCAGGCATGGTGGCTCATGCCTGTAATCCCAGCACTTTGGGAGGCTGAGGTGAGAGGATCGCTTGAAACTAGCCCAGGAGACATGCAAAACCTATCGCTACAAAAAAATAAAAAATAAAATTAAAAAAGCTAAAAAATTGAAAAAGAAAGTCCCAAGCGCTGTAAAGCACAGAGCACGGAAGTGACACACAGTGTGGCAGCTGCTTGTTGTCCAGACCTGCCCCACCGGCCAGTCACCAGCTCCTGACTCACTGACCACCCTGGCCTCTGCCCTGTAATCTTCCAAAGAGGAAACTCCAACTGTGTCTTTTAAAACTTTTTACTTTAGAGACAGGATCTCACTCTGTCACCCAGGCTGGAATGCAGTGGTGCAATCACAGCTCTCTGCAGCTTTCAAGCTCCTGGACTCAAGCCATCCTCTTGCCTCAGACTCCCATGTAGCTGGGATTACAGGCATGCACCACCATGGCCAGCTAATTTCTAAAAATTTCTGATAGAGATGGGATCTCACTATGTTGCTCAGGCTGGTCTTGAACTGCTGACTTCAAGAAACCTCCTGCCTTGGACTCCCAAAGTGCCAGGATTACAGGCGTGAGCCACCGCGCCCGGCCTACATCCATGTTTTCATCAACATGGACAAAACTCCACAGGAATCACTCCCATTTCACAAAAATGTTGTCTAGGTGAAAGATGCCAATCAATTATTCTCTGGTTAATGTTCTGCTTATTCTTGGCTTAAGAATTTTTGTGATGACGCTTAGATTACAGATGTTCTGCAAGACAGGCTGAGAAACAGAATCATTCCAATCACTCCTGCTGTATCCTGAGGGGAGACTCTCCGCCTGTTCAACACAGGGACACGCTGCCTCCCGTGGCAAGGTGACTGTCTTGCTGCTGACTCGGGCAAAAAGACCATGAGAATGAATTCACCAACCAGGGTTCCCTTCCCTCGTAAATACTGTGAGAAAATGGATGTCAGTCTCCAGCTGACCGCAGAGAAATCACGGCCAGGTGTTGGCACTTACAGAGAAGAATGAATACAGAACTGCTTTAATCATCCACTCAGGAAACTCCCCAATTGTATCAATGACTCTATATAAGGAAGCGAGGCTTGCAACTCCAAACGAACTCACTGGGTGGCCCCAAGCAAAACAATTCACCCCAAACGGTGTGCCCTATGGACAAGAGAAACTCCTGCAGTTATTCTATTTTCTCAGCTCCCTGCTCCTCGTTTTCCTCCACCTTAGCAAGACAGTGATGAACAATGCTAGGTAAGCTCTTTCCCTTCCTGTGGCAAGTCTAGTAGCAAAGGGCTAGTTGCCAGGAAACATGAGGTTACACCATATTCCTGCTTAGTGGAATCCTGACCTTCATGTTACTAAAACATGAAAAATACTTTGTTTACAAGATCATCAATATTAAAATTTGGCTTTCAAGTTCCCTAAGACCTTTTTCCTGTATTTATTACAAGAATTTATTTATGCATCCAACAAATACTCAAATGCCTACTATGTGCTGCCATGGTGCCAGGCCCTAGGGACACAGGGGAATCAGACCAGGCCCTCGCATGCCCGCCCAGGCTGACATTCCAGGATGTGATGACTAGAACTATGTAAAATGTGATATACACATCAACAAGGGTGATTCAGATTACCACCAACATTTCTTAACAAACCTAGCTAAAAAACGTTAGAATGTGCTTAGCCTTCCCATTCTCTTTTAACTTTTTATCTAAACCTACAAATTCTGAAGCTTCTGTGGGAAGCTATGCCTCCTCCGAGATGTTGTTCTTCGTACGTTTTCAACCATACAGCGGCAGCGACTGGAGTGGTTGTTTTGCATGTCAGGCTTCACTGGGCAATTTCTTCAGAATTCAGAGATCTACCTACTGGAACTAGCATCTGTAGACAGTCCAGTAACTAAGAGTGGTAGTTCTGAGTTAGGTGGGCCTGAGACCTGGCACACTCTTAACCTCCCCAATCTAAGACATATCTTATGGAAGTCCCCTTCTCAAACCCTGATAAAGATTGAAGGGCCAAGCGTGGTGGCTCTCGCCTGTAATCCCAGCACTTTGGGAGGCCAAGGTGGGAGGGCTGCTTGAGCCCAAGAGCGTGAGATCAGCCTCAATCAACAAAAAGAAAAAGGACTGCAAGCCCAGGGCAGGAGGACTGCTTGAGCCCAGGAGTTTGAGACCAGGCTGGGCAACATAGTGAGTCCTTGTTTCTACAGAAAAATTAGCCAGGCGTGGTGGTGCGTGCCTGTGGTCCCAGCTACACAGGAGGCTGAACTGAGAGGATCACTTGAGTCCAGAAAGTAAAGGCTGCAGCGAGCTATGATCGCCCCACTGCACTCCAGCCTGGGCGACAGAGTAAGACTCCGTTTCCAAAAGAAAAGAAAGATTTAAAGACAATGACTTGGAAAGGAGTTGAAGGAGATAAACACTCAACCCCCTCAGTCCCTAAGAGAGTCTGCTCAGCCCCCTCCTAGATGTGATAAAAAGGTGCTCCCTAGATTCACTATCAGTCCTCTGCCCATTCCCTGGCCTCCCATTACTGGAATTCAACATGGTTTAGGAGATTAAAGACACTGAGTCTTTCAGGGACATTACAGTTACCAACCACTCTGATGGCCTTGAAGAAAGTAACTTTAATTCTCAGTAACTATTTGTATATTATTTGTAACTAAAAACGTGGGGTCCGAGGCATCATCTATGGCAGGCTTTGTTGGAGGGCCTTTTCCAGGCTTCCTGGTGTAGTCCAGAGACGGCCCCATACCCTGAAGAACCCTTCTGTCTGCTTCATCCAGCATACACACAAACCCAAGGGACCCCGCCTTCCCCAGCTCTACAGAGACAAGAGGGAACTATTTATATAAAAAGGCTACTTATCTGACTGAAGGCTGATAGCAGTAAGGGCAAAAGCGTGTTCTGACACTCCAACTTCAACCGCAGCCCCAATTCAGGACTTTGACGGCATATGCAGGAGGAGTGCTTGGGGAAGGTAACAGGAACAGAGGGCATAAGGAAGAACAAATGAGAACCTTCAAGAATTAGACAATCATTCTTTGGTCTTTCAAGCATGCTAATAATAACCCTCTGCAGATTTAGAAAAATAAAACTGTTCGGGAAGAGGCCAGTCGTTGCTTAAAAGAATTAGAACAATTCGTTCAATAAGCACTTAGGAAGTGTCTGTTACAAGCTGGAATACAGGAAAAATAAAAATGCAATACTCAATGTCAAAGGATCTTTCATTCTAGTTGGCTAGGCAAGCTAAAAAAAAAATTAAAAATTAAAAAAGCATGTTGCAGACATAATAAAGCACAAACTACCTACTAATATCTATAAAACCCAATGCAAATGAGTAAACTTCATAGAATAAAGATCATGCAGTAAAATTACTTAGAGAAAGAAGCAATGTCTTTTCTAAGACTCTTTTTCCCATGAAAATAATGCGCATTCTAGAAAACAGAGATAAGGGCAATAAAAATAAATCCCCTTTAATTAGAGAGAAACGCTCATTACATGTTAGTGTCATTACCATATGCCACCACCATTCTTTTTGCTCACATTCAAAACATGGTTCCTAAAAGATAGTTGACTCCTTTTCCAGTTGAACAGATCACACCCATGTCTGCCTGTCTCAAAAATGGTATTTTCAACATCAACACTTTCACAACATTTCTAGGATCTGACCGCTTCCCAGCATCTCCACTCCTAACACGCTGGTCCCACAGATCAGGATGACAGCCTCTCACTGCCCCCACGTCCACCTGGTCTCCCTCAGTGAGGGTGGCCAGGGCAACCCCGTGAATGTCCAAGTCAGATCCTGCCACTCCTCTGCAGAAATCCTCAGGGACAAAGAGCCCCTCACACACAGAGTTAAGGCCCGCGTCTTCCCAGTGGCCTGCACCCGCCTCTGCCCATCCAGGGGTCTCCTCCCTCACTACACAGCCATCACACTGGCTCCTCTGGGTCTGCGGAGGCCTCTGCACTTGGGGTGCTCTCCCCATCACCTCTGCAGGCGGCTCCCTGCCACCCCTGACATGGACACGCTCTCGCCCTGCTTTCTCCTGCCCCCAGCACTTGTTGCTTTCTAACATTTCATAAGACGTGCCTGTTTACCCTGTGGATCGTCTGTTTCCCACACTAGAATGTAAGCTCTACATGGCAAGCATTTGTTTCCAATGATGTATCCCGGGCACTTGATATACAGAAGGTGCTCGATAAATATCAGCTGATTCACCGACTTATTAAAAGCTGTGTAGTGCCCATCACACACCACAGTTCAATCAGTCAGCCCCAACAGGTGGCGATTAGGTCATTCCAGGATTTTAACAATGCAAATCAAACCGCAATAAAAAAATCCCTGCTGCTCAAAGCGTAGCTGAGGGCCGGTGGCAGCACAGCCATCACCTAGGAGCTCACAGACCTCCCAGGCCTACTGAATAGAATCTGCATTTGAACAGCATGGCCAGGTGACCACAGGCACAGGAAGTCCAAGAACCACTTTCCGACTAAAGACAAGGGAGGAGGCCCCTCTCCCTCAGGCCCCGTGAGGGTGAGGTCTGCACCTGCGGGTGGACAGACACCTGGCTTGCCTCCTCCTAGATCTCGCTCTGGGTAGTACCCAAGACTCCATGACCATCTCTAAACATCAGACTGCCACCAAAAGACAGGTTACAACAATTTACATCCTAAATCCAGGCACCCAACAGGAAACAAGCAGGACACTCAAATTAGGAACTAATCACAAAGGTGTGGGGGAAGCCCGAGAAACAAGACAGAAGGAATCCTGGGGCGTGGGAGGGGAGAAGAAATACTGAACCTCACTCTCTCCCCTCCCTCCCTCCGAGCTCTTGCCAGGACTTCCCACTGGCCAACCAGAAGCCAGAAAGCACAACACTCGCTGCTACAATCTATACAGGTCACCCCAAGAGCAGAGAGCTGACAGAAGCAGGAGAGAGGGCGGGAAGGGGCGGACAGAAGCTTCCCAGCATGTGCGCCCCCAGCAGTGTATGAAGACGCTTTCCTCTTTTCCCTAAAGGGGTGTGTTTTCATTTCACATAATATGAAGACGCCATGAAGAAGATGTAAACTAGGGAAGGAGGTGCTGGAGAGAAGGGAGCTATCTCAGAGAGGAGGAGAAGTGCGTTTGTGCCATCATACAGCTACTGTGGTCATTTCTGGCTGAGAAGGTATCGAGCTGATGGGAGGCTGAGGGCCGCTATAGTTTTGTAAACAGGAAAGCAGCCTTATGAAAAATGCCTGAGAAAACGTGTGCTGGCGTTTGCGTCCAGGACACTGAAAGAAGGAGGATGCAGGACAGAGAAGCCAGGGAAACGGCTGTGGTGGGGCCGCAGACACAAAGCAGCTGCGGCAGCTGAAGAGAACAAGTCTTTAGAGTACGCTCATTCCAGCGTTCATCCCAGCATTCCCACCACCCAGGGGACAACCAGCACATAGAAAGACGCTCCACACCATATATCATTAGGGCACTGCTAATTAAAATACTGAGATGCCATTCCTCACCTCTTAGGGCGGCTAAAATCCAAAACAGACAATGCCACATGGTAGCCAGGAAGTGGAGCAACAGGAACTCTCATTCCCTGCTCTGGGAATGCAAACTCCGGAAGACAGTTGGGCAGTTTCTTACAAAACTAAACATACTCGGGCCGGGGGCGGTGGCTCACACCTGTAATCCTAGCACTTTGGGAGGCGCAGGCGGGCAGATCACGAGGTCAGGAGTTTGAAACCAGCCAGGCCAACATGGTGAAACTTTGTCTCTACTAAAAATACAAAAAATTAGCCAGGCTTGGTGGTGGATGCCTGTAATCCCAGCTACTTGGGAGGCTAAGACAGGAAAATCACTTGAACCTGGAAGCAGAGGTTGCAGTGAGCCGAGATCACGCCACTGTACTCCAGCCTGGGTGACAGAGTGAGACTCCATCTCAAAAAAAAAAAAAAAAAAACCAACAAAAGCAAATACTTGTACCATATAATCCAGCAATTAACTGCACTTGAAATGAGTTGAACACTTATGTCTACACAAAAGCCTGCACACAGGTGTTTACCACAGCTTTATTCATAAGTGCCAAAACTTAGGAGTCACCAAAATGTCCTTCAGCAGGTAAATGGATAAACAAAGTGTGGTATATCCATACAAAGGTATACAACTCCATAATGAAAAGAAATAAACTAACATGCCACGGAAAGACACAGAAACCTTAAATATGTATTGCTAAGTGAAAGAAGCCCATGTGAAAAGGCTACATATTCCTGATTCCAACTACAGGACATTCTGGAAAAGGAAAAACGATGGAGACAGTAAACGCTCAGAGGCTGCCAGGGGTTGAGGGGAGACAGGGAAGGAGGGATGAACAGGTAGAACAAGGAGGATTTTTAGGGCAGTGAAACTATTTTGAATGATGCCATAACGGTGGAGACATTTGTCAAAACCCACAGAACTATGCAACACAACGAGTGAACCCTAATGCAAACTATGGACTTCAGTTAATAATATATTCATATTCACTCACAACTTTCCCAACCCTAGCACACTAATGCAAGATGTTACTCACAGGGGAAAACTGGTGTGGGGGAGGCAGGCAGTATGTGGGAAATCTGTATTTTCTGCTCAGTTTTTCTGTAAACCTAAAATTAAGTGATAAAGTATATTAATTTTAAAAAAGTGAAGGAAGCCAGACACAAAAGGTCACATATTATATGATTCCATTTATATGAAATATTCAGAATAGGTAAATTCATGGAGACAGAAAACAGATTAGTGGTTGCCAGGGGCCGGGAGAAGGAGGGAATGGGGAGTCACTACTAACGTGTCCAGATCTCCTTTTGGAGTGATTGGAACGTTTTGGAATTTGATAGAGGTGGTGGGTGAACAACACAGTGAATGTACTAAATGCTACTGAATGTACACTTCCAGATGATTAATTGTATGGTATGTGAATTTTACCTCGATTATTTTAAAAAACAGAGTGAAAACAGAAAGGTTGTATTAACGAAACTTCAGCTGGTCAGGTGAAGTCTGTGATGTCGCGTGAGAATTCAAGCACTGTGGCCCGGACTGAAGGCACCTAAACTGAGGGAATAACCACCAAACTGACTGGAAGGGAACCACAGTGGCTTCTGCATAACCACGCTGAGGACAGTGGGGCTGGGCTGGTCCGTGAGCAGTGCAGAGGACAGAACAGGACTCCTGACTGCAGTGACACCAGGACATGACTTAGAATAGGGCAGATGGCAGGACCAATGTCAGAACCACTCAGAGAAAGGAGTTATAATGAAGGAAAGAATCACCTAATTATAAAAACATACCAAAGAAAATATTCATGTATATCTATCATGAGGTATTGCTAATTAACTACAAAAACATCGCGCAAATTTTTTTAGAAGACTCAATTCAAGATTGAAGTCTTTTAACCTACTTCAAAAACACCTACATTTGAAACATTCTCCCTACCCCCGATACTTTATTTAAAATTTTTTTTAATTAATGAAAGACTAGAAAAAGGGCGTCTTACTTTACCAGAAGAGTTCTAATTTGCTCCAGATAACAGGAAAGAACTCAGGCAAGTTGGTGGCTCTTTTCCTGAAGTTACCAAGAATTAAGAAACAAGACAAGTTTCCAATTAAAAAAGAAAATGCCGAAGATGTTGTGGTCTCCTTGGCAGATATTTACACATTCTAAAAATATTCAAGATTACAAAAATTGTAAAGCAAGATTCAAACCAGAAATTAAAACACCTACAATTCAAAATGAAAACTTCCTGAAAACTGCAGAGGAATACAGGGAGAAAAGGCTTTAAATAATCACTACTGGACAGCTAAATTATATTCCTAAGGATTTGTACTATAAAATAACTATCACCAATGCAGTTTCTAAACTAATGTTTGCTGTAGACAATAGTTATTTTTATTTTTTCAGAGACAGGGTCTCACTCTGTCAACAGCCCGGGCTGGAGTGAAGTGGCACGATCCTAGCTTACTGTAATCTTGAACTGCTGTGCTCAAGCGATCCTCCTGCCTCGGCCTCCCAAACTGCTGGGATTACAGGCATGAGCCTCCACATCCAGCCGGTATTGTTATATGGTACCAGGGACGCAGCTGGGGAAAGATCAAAGTGTTGTCTACCAAGCTGGCTGCAGGTGGCTGCCCCCAAGTCCTCTAGCTCCTGTTACCTTAGGACGCTACGTTAAAACACCAGGAAAGGGAAAACAAAACTATTCCTGCTCTAGTGACTTCAGTTTAGCAGGTGGTCAAAGAAATAAATTTCCCTCTACTCCAATGGAGTCTTCTTTAGTGGATATACCCATATGAAAATGGCCTGCTTGGCCAGGCACGGTGGCTCACGCCTGTAATCCCAGCATTTTGGGAGGCCAAGGTGGGTGGGTTGCTTGAGCTCAGGAGTTTGAGACCAGCCTGGGCAACATGGCAAAATCTACAAAAATCTTAATTTTTCTCTACAAAAATTTTTTAAAAGTGAGCCAGGTGTGGTGGTGTCTGCCTGCAGTCCCAGCTACTTGGGAGGCTGAGGTGAGAGGATGGCTTGGGCCCAGGAGGTGGAGGCTGCAGCGAGCCAAGATCACATCACTGCACTCCAGCCTCGGCGACAGAGCCAGACCCTGTCTCAGGAAAAAAAAAAAAAGAAAAGAAAAAAGAAAATGGTCTGCTCATTGTATGAAGTACAAAGGGCTCACCTCCATGAGAGCAGAGACCAGCTATTCGTACAAAAGGCCCTTTGCTGCTCTTGGCCCTCACAAACAGGTCCCTGCCCCAGGCAGTTTAAAATCAGGCACACAGGAGGAGAAAGCCTAGAATTGGGAAATCCTCCACCCATATTTCCCTCTGTCGGAGAGATAAGAAAAACTAAGGCTTCTTTAAACACTGAGGTTTAGGTTCATGTTTTTTGTGCAAATGCCTGAAGGAGTCCAGTGTCTCTCTGACTCCCAACTCTACAGCCATGGGGACGCTGACAGTGGGTAGGATTCAGAGACATCCCCTTGCATCGTTGTTCATTACTATTCAGTTCCTTCCTGTCTCCGATGCACCTATGAGATCTATGACGATGCTGAGTTTTCAATCTATTACTTCTGCCATTTCCCTGTGCATCTCATGTTAATGCTTTCTCATACCCTGGAGCTCTTGTTTTATATCATCTATATACTTATTATTCTTATACAATATAGAGCACTCTTGGACAGGCTACTTCTCTTTCATAGTTTCTCTTCTTACCCTGTTTTTCATCTGACTTTTGTGTGCTAGTTTTCCTCTCGCCCTCTTTTCTTTAGGGACGGTGTTTCGGAGCTGCCATGTTGTCCCTTTCCAGCATCCCTGTGGTAGCCCTCCACCAGCCTGTTCTCAGACGTGCTCGAGGCCAGTTTTTCCTGATTCTGTTTCTACCTGGTTTGTCTTCTTGGACCAGAGCTAGAGTTTGACAGACAGACGCTGCTTTCAATCCCTGTCTGAGGAAAGGGAGATGATGAGAGCTGGGAACTTGTCTGGGGCTAGTGGATTTTCTCCTGCTAGCTAGTAAGTGTCCCAACCTCCAGTGGACTCCTGCCTCGAGCTGTGGTCAGCACAGAGCTCTGGGTGCCTCCACACTTCCTGGCTCCACCAAGGACCCTTTCCTTTTGAGTGTTCTCCCCGAACTTTTCCCCGGCTTCTATTCCCGACTCTGGGTCTGTTTCTTTCTAGATGGGAAGGTGTCAGAATGTTTAGGGTTGCAATGGCTCTTTCTTGCCTCAATACTACCTTAAGGGACTGGGGCTGGGGTCAGGAAATGCACTACACACCCTAGAATCTTCTTTTTGCCTTGGGTGCTGTGTTCATGCTCATACGAGTCTCAATATTTCTTCCTCTGCTCCCAGTCTAGAATCCATTTGGAAATCAAAACAGGAGTCAGGTGGATGGAGATGAAAATACTGGCCTTCTGACTAAAGAGTCTGGTTTTGGGTTTGTAGCCAAGTAGGCTCCTGACCACTGCCATAGTGGGACAAACGCAGGGGAGGTGGCCCTACAACTCTGGCAGGAGGAAGGCATGTCCCCTGTGGGGAGGGCGGCTCCCAAAGAGAGAACCTGGAGGGAATCTACAGGGCCTGAGCCCCACCTGCTTACTGCCTTCCCCAAAATCCACCAGTCAAGCAAGTCACTCCTTCCCCGAGCAAAGGGGGATAAGGGATGGCAGGAGAGGCAAGAGAATCACAGTAGCTGAGATCTCTCTGCAAGGAAACATGAGGCTAGGAAAGTGAGAATCCCACCCATCAGAGTAAAGCCCAACCTGACCTTACAGGTTTACTCGGAGGATCAAAGACATAACAGATAAGGTGCTTCAAACACACAAGCTCCCTGCCAAGTGGGCTATGGCGGTGTGCACCTGTGTCCTAGCTACCCAGGAGGCTGAGGTCGGAAGATCACTTGAGCCCAGGAGGTCGAAGCTGCAGTGAGCTGTGATTGCACCACTGCACATCAGCCTAGGTGACAGAGCAAGACCCTGTCTCAAAAAAATTAATGAAAAAAAAACAAAAAACAAAAGCTCCCAATGCACAGAGAAGGTATCAAGGTATCATTCCTTCCAGGCCATCTTCTCATCTCCTCAGCTTCTGCAGTACCTAGCACATAAACACACACTTAATAGGCATTTGTTGACTTGCTGTCCCAAGATGATTACTTTTCATGAGGCATCTGCTTTAACTAGTGCGTTCCAGCAGTCCTGGTATGTTTAAAAACAGTCTCATTGTGCTACGGTCATACCAGATAAGTACTGATAAGAAAGTAAATGACCGGTTTTCTATTTCTCAATTCTGACCAGCTCATCTCCCAGGGAGTTTTGCCTCCTGGTCCACATCACTCCATACTTTTAACAGAGTTTTCGATCCATATCTATCTAATCAAGTCATCAGAACCTTAGGGAAAAACAGTTCCTCTCCCCACCCTAAAACTAAAATTATGGAACTTCACTTTCTTTTTTTTTTTTTTTTTGAGATGGAGTCTCACTCTGTCGCCCAGGCTGGAGTGCAGTGGCGCGATCTCTGCTCACTGCAAACTACACCTCCCGGGTTCACGCCATTCTCCTGCCTCAGCCTCCCGAGTAGCTGGGACTACAGGCGCCTGCCACCACGCCCGGTTATTTTTTTGTATTTTTAGTAGAGACGGGGTTTCACCGTGTTAGCCAGGATGGTCTCGATCTCCTGACCTCGTGATCCGCCCGCCTCAGCCTCCCAAAGTGCTGGGATTACAGGCATGAACCACCGCGCCCCGCCTGGAACTTCATTTTCTTAAAAAAAACACAAGTGGTCACAAAAATATAAATAGTTATTAGTCACCTCATGTGCGCCAAAAATTGTAGATATAAAACTGAGCATGAGTGGAAAACACACATTAAAAGTGTTCTTAGTATTATACAAGTAAACATCTGAACCAGCTATTCCCTCTTACCTGTAATGGAAACCGGAAGGCAGGTGAGACTTTAAGTAATGACTCCCTTATCACAAGGGTTTTGCCTGGAATACTGTGTATCTTGTCTACAAAGATGTGCAAAATTTTACCTTAAAATGAATGTAATTTGCATCCCGTGGAGTTGTCAGTGACTGCCAGTATCTC
Organism: Homo sapiens; assembly: GCF_000001405.40. Taxonomy (NCBI): domain Eukaryota; kingdom Metazoa; phylum Chordata; class Mammalia; order Primates; family Hominidae; genus Homo; species Homo sapiens. The sequence continues at coordinate 2,832,043 of NC_000007.14, forward strand.
ACCTTGACTGAGCATCAAACTGTTTTGTCACAAATTTCTCCGCAGCCCAAATCCCTGATTTTGGCCCCAGGACATCGTTAGACTAGTCCAGGTGGATGTGTTCATCCATCTTATGGACAGTCGAAAGGCCTCTTCCACTAGGCAAGGCCTCCCCTCTCCTCCAAGTGACTTTCCCAGTGATGTTCCGGCTCATGCCCTGTCCTCCCGTTGTGTTTCCTGTCCCCAGAGAAGTGAACTAGGAATCAGCTCCACGAGGCCAGGACTGTGTCTCCTCCACTCACTACCATACACACAGCAGAGCACAAAGCCTAGCTCTGAACGACAGAGCAGGTCCTCCCGTGGACCCCGCATCTAGCCTGGCCTTTCCCAGTTGAGACCAGGCAACCTCCACTGACTGCCCCAAACAGGCACTCGAGGGCTGCGAGGAGTCCACGCCATGCACCATCACTGGAACGTTCCACCACGGTGACGAGAGAATTAGCACAGATTCTTCGGGTCTCAGTGTTCCTCGGGCTTAGTTTCTGTTCGGCTTGGCTTAAGTAGCTATTGATTACCCATGCCTGGCACACTTCCACCAGCAAATACCCACTACAGCTGGTTCTCTGCTGCTGTGGTCTGATTTAACAGGGCCATGTGACAAAGTTGGTGCTGTGGACTTCAGACTAGACAGTAAAATAGATGCTGACGTTCACAGAGAGGTGCCGTCTACTTGGTCTCTACTTAAGAAAGTGGGGGTCAGGGATGTTTTCTTCCCCTTGCCGTCCAGAGCGGCTGGATGTGCTGCCCTCCAGCACCTTTCTAGCTGCTTGCAAGAGCTCCCACCCTCTGCTTCTCTGTCCTCTGGATGCCGCACTTCCAAAGCAGACGTTCCAAATGCATTTGGTCAACAGAATCAACCAGAAGCATGAGCTTCTCTAACGGCTAACACAGGATACAAGTCATGTTTTCCATTCTGCAAAACCTGGACACACCTGAGCATTTATCCTCACAGAGAGAAAGACTAACCCATCACACGGTCAGCAACAAATATTCACATTCGGCTTTTAGGATTAAAAGGCAATCCGGTGGTCCTGAGCAGCTGCTCTGTCCAGCCCACTTGAAGCCTCCATTTCTTTTAAGTACAAACAAACCATAATAGTTACGGCATGAAATGAGCCGGCCTGTCATCATGGGATGGCACTGCCCTTCAGGTGATGCAAGTTAAGCCCTAGGTCCATTACACAACATCAGCTTCTTTGGTTTGAACATCACCCTATAATTACATCTCTAGATAAGGCCGAAGTTTAAATCTTCAGTTCCATTTAAAACCGGTACGATCCATGAACCCACTCTCAACTGAGTAAGAACAGAAAATAATTACGAGCTGTCAACGGAACACTATCTCACATCAAGCACAGCTGGCTTCCAAATCTCACATGACAGATGACTGAAGGTCAAACCCTGCTCCCCCTAATTATTTCGTTAAGATAATCAACATGTAAACTCGAAAGCCAGGGGACAAGACCAATCACTCATGTGTTCTGAATCCCCAAAAATGGCCAGAGGAGTCTCTCTGGACTTAGTTAGCTGACGGAAAAAGATGTTTTTGCATTTGTTTTGTTTGGTTTTTTGGTATTACGAAAGGACCAACCCCGTATGTCAAAGCATAAGGTAAACCTGTTAAATGCAATTTGCCAACAAGGCCATAAAAACCAAACTGTGCTTCCAGACCCCAGAAGCAGATGTATGCTTCTGCCGCCACGCAAACCCGCCGCAGCATCAAGCCTAAAGAGGCACTTCTGAACTCCCAAGACAGAGACTCTTAAAGGCCAGAACAGCAGAGGAGGCTGCTTCAAAGTTCCGTACGTCCTGGCAAAAAGTACATGTGATACAGCAAACAATTCTTCAAAAAAAAAATTTAATTTCCAAAATTTTTACATAATCTTTGATATTCCACAACAAAAGCTGTTAACCTGCAGTGCATGGGCCACTAGTAGGCCCACTCTTGGGATTCCGGATGTCCAAACACTCCCCTGAAACCCTACACAGATACATGAATTTTCTAGGGAGAAGACCCACAGCTTTCAGCTAGAGTGCTGCGACTGCAGTCCAAAGAAAGCCACCACATTACAACCACTCCTTTGGACTAGAAAGTTCTGATTCTTTAGTATCTCTATGTATTCGAATTTTCTGTCTTAGCTGATAAATGTAGAGGCATTAAGATGGTTCTCATTTGTGTATTCTTCTCCACTTGCTGAAATCCTACAAAACCTTCAAAGGCCAGCTCAAATCACAATTCAATAAGGCTTTTTTAGATACCTCAGCCAGAATTAATCTTCCCACTGGCCTCCTGCAACACCTCTCCAGTGGCATTTACCATGGTATCCATTCACGCTGTATGTTAAAGTTACTTGTGCAACTGTCTCCCCAGCTTGAGAGTGCGAGTGGAGAGTAGGGGCTCTGCAATATGCACTGAATATCCCTTCTGCATCAGCACCTAGCACAATGCCGTGGAGATTTTGTTGAACTTGATCTTTTTGTTTCAGTGGCAACAAGAGACCACCCACTCTAATCATCTAATTCTTCAAAAAGTTTCTAAAATCAGCCAAACAGTCACGCACTGCATAATGATGTTTTGGTAAAAGATGAACCACATATACGATGGTGGTCCCATAAGGTTATAACACCAGATTTTTACAGCACGTTTTCTATGTTTAGATACATAAATGCTTGCCATTGTGCTACAATGGCCCACAGTATTCAGTATAGTAACATGCGGTACAGGTTTGCAGTCTGGGAGCAATAGGCCTAGGTATACGGTCAGCTATATTATCTAGGTTTGTGTAGGTCCACTCTAGGATGTTTGCGTAAGAACCTCACCTAACGATGCATTTCCTGGACGGGATCCCAGTCGTTAAGCAATGCGTGACTATGCATCGCGATGCATGACTATACATTGCGATGCGTGACTATACATCTGCATATAAGACAAGTCTACCTTGGGGTGGCTAAAGGCTACACTAATGCAATCATGTGGATGGTTAGGACTTCTAGTCTATATAACAAGGAACCTTCAGACAGCTAACATTTTATCCACTTCTAACTGGATGTGAAATTTAGTAATGAAAACGCTCTTGGGATTTAACGCATCACACATAAGTCAGGGAATGGAAGCACTGTGAGATAAATCTAAGCTGGCCTGATGTCTTCCAACAGCCTGAGGCACACCCCACCACCAGAGGCATTATTACACAACTTCGGGAACACCAAATACACAAACTTTAAGGACAGCCCAGTCAGGAAGTGACGAGATATCATCTGTAGAATTAGAAAAATAAAAAGAATAAACTAGGCTGTTCCCCACACCCCCATTGATGTTGGCCCACGGGGGTTGCCGGTCCCTTTAACTGGCATGTACCAAGTCCTTCCAGGTGACATTTCCTCCCTGTGTCCCAGCTTTTAGGGATCATTGGCCATGGGTCCAAGGGGAGGGAATGTGGAGACAGGGTTGTATTTGCCAGGGAATTCTGGGCCGACAGGGAGCAAGAGCGCGCTTGGGGGCAAAGTCCCATTGTCTCATGCTGTTCTCCAGTCCCGAGATGGTGGCCACCATGAAGAAGACGGCTGCAGAAGATGTCAATGTTACTTTCGAAGAGCAACAAAAGATAAACAAATTTGCATGGAATACAAGTAGAATCACAGAGCTGAAGGAAGAAATAGAAGTAAAACAGAAACAACTCCAAAACGTAGAAGATGCTCGTGACGGTACCATGCTTGCAGATGCTGACTGCTTAATGATGCCTTATCAAATCGGTGATGTCTTCATTAGCCATTCTCAAGAAGAAACACAGGAAATGTTAGAAGCAGCAAATAAAAATTTGCAAGAAGCAACTGACGCCTTAGAATCCAAAGTCGAAGCAATTCAGTGGGTGTGAGCAGATTTGAAAGTTCAGTTGTATGCAAAATTTGGGAGCAGCATAAACCTTGAAGCTGATGAAAGTTAAACATTTTATAATACTTAAAAAAATTTGTTTAATAAACTTGATTATTGTTTAAGAAAAAAAGAATAAACTAGAAAGTCTTACTGGCAATCTTTACAAAAAAATCAAAGCAACTAGTAGATTCAAATAATGAACTGCAGAGGATAGAGTGAGGTAATGAAGTCCTCGCACTATCTAACAGAAATCCTATGTGCAAATTCAGGCACAACTGTGATCAAGATGGAAAAGCCCCAGACACTGAGTAAAAAGACCAGGATGATGGAGACTTCCACAAAGTAACAGCTCTACTCCTCCCAGGTCTGCCCCCTTACAGCTAAAAAGAAAGTTCTGAATGTAACACAACCAGCAAGTGCAGAAAGCAGGTGGAAAGAAGGCGGCAGGCTACCCAGCGACCTCAGGACTTGAGGGATGACAAGGCAGTGAGTTCTCTGGGTGTCCTTACTGCCTCCTACTTACCCAGGATGGGCGCTGCAGAAGCCTCCAAGCTGGAACAGCCAAAAGGTACAGAGAAAAAGAACTCCAAGAAGAGCCTGTTCTTGGCCAAAGGACCCAGAAAAGGATGCTCTTACAACAGCAGACCTTTTTGGCAATGCCCGTCCTATTCCAAATAACAAGAGAAGGCCAGGTGCGGTGGCCCACACCTGTAATCCCAGCACTTTGGGAGGCCGAGGCGGGTGGATCACCTGAGGTCAGGAGTTCGAGACCAGCCTGGCCAACATGGTGAAGTCCCATTTCTACTAAAAATACAAAAATTAGCTGGGCATGGTGGTGCGTGCCTGTAGTCCCAGCTACTTGGGAGGCTGAGGCAGGAGAATCGCTTGAACCTGGGTGGCGGAGGTTGCAGTGAGCCAGGATTGCGCCACTGCACTCCAGCCCGGGCAACAAGAGCGAAACTCCATCTCAACAACAACAAAAAACAAATACAAGAGAAAACATCAGCAGAGAAACCACATATACCACCCACTGAGGTTTCAGTGGAATTGAGGGGGAAATTGATCTTCTACCCTCAAGGAACCAGGTGACATGCTCCAAGTGGCATGTCAAATAGTGCTGGCAGGGCCAAGCAGGGATCTCACCTCCCATTCTCTGCCTGGAAGAAGCAGGAGGTGCTCCAATTCCCTCACCAGGGTGGTGTCAGCAGGGCCCAGTGGGGAAGTGCACCCCCACCACGAGGCAGAAAGAGGGGATGGGAGGGTGGGAGGGGGGAAGGCTGGATTAGCTGTCGCTTTGCTACCCCCTCCCATTCCCTAGAATCAGCAACGCCCAGAGGGGAGCTGATGTTCCAACCCCACTCAACAAGGCCACAGGGTCTCAGAGACCCGGAGGTCATTAACAAAAGTGCTAACAGCCGTATGTCAGAGTCCCAGAAGGAGATGAGAGAGAGGGACTGAAATAGTCATTCAAGAAATAATGGCTGAAAACTTCCCACATTTGGCAAGAGACATAAATGTACAGATTCAAGAAGCCAAGCAAACCCCAAATATAATAAATGGGATGAAGCCTGTGCCAAGACAAATCATAATGAAACTTCTGAAAACTAAACATAAAACTCTTCAAAGCAGCCAGAGAGGAGCAATGCATGAACTCGGAGAGGAGACCAACTCAAACGACAGTAGATTTCTCTTCTGAAACAATGTGAAGGTATCCTTCAGGAATGAAGAGGAAATACAGGCATTCTTGGACAAAGGAAAGCTAAGAGAATCTGTTGCAAGCAAACTGATCGTTAAAGAATGGCTAAAGGAAGTTCTCTAAACAGAAAGGAAATGACAACAGAAGAAGGCTTAGAGCCTCAGAAAGAAGACCATCAGAATAGGTAATAAAAAAAAAAGGGACAATTTTATTCAGTCAAAAGGGGGGAAAAGATAATATAATCTCCTACTCCTAATGAGTTTTTAAAATCACAGTTGATGACTGAAGTAAACCACCTGATGTGGCATTCAAAGTCTGTTAAGTGCTAAGACATTTATAGTGAAGTGGGGTGGGTAAATGGGCCCAAGCAGAAGTAAAGTTTCTACACTTAAAGCTGTAAAACATCAGGGCCAGGAGACTGGGATCAGTTACACATGTATACTGCAAACCTAAGGCAACTACCAAGAAAATAATACAAAGCATTATACTTAAAAAAAAAAATCAATCAGCCAGGGAGGACAGTTCATGCCTGTAATCTCGGCACTTTGGCCAGGAGACTGGGATAAGTTACATATGTATACTGTAAACCTAGGGGAACTACCAAGAAAATAATACAAAGCATTATACTTAAAAAAAAAAAAAAATCAGCCAGGGAGGATCGCTCATGCCTATAATCTCGGCACTTTGGCTGAGGCAGGAGGATGGCTTTGAGGCTAGCAATTCAAGAGCACCCTAAGTAACATAGTGGAACCCTATCTACAAAAAATAAATATAGATTAAAAATTAGCTGGGTGTGGTGGTGCACATCTGTAGTCCCGGCTACTAGGGAGGCTGAGGTGGGAGGATGGTTTGGGTCCAGGAGGTCAAGACTACAGTGAGCCATGATCGTGCCACTGCGCTTCAGCCTAGGCAATAGCAAAAGACCTTGTCTCTAAGATAGTAACAGTCATAATAATGACTTTACCCTAAATGTAAAGAGTGGATTAAAAAATATGATGCAACAATATGCTGTCTATATGAAACTCACTTCAAAACAAGGGTATTAAAAGAATGGAGAAATATATATTATGAAAGCATTAATAAAAACATAAGTGGCTATATTAAAATATCTGATAATGGAGACTTCAAAGAAAATTACTGGAGAAAAAAGAAGGACATTACATAATAAAAAAGGTTAATCTATCAAGATATAATAATCCTAAACATTTATGCACCACACAACAGAACCTCAAAATACAGGAAACAAAAACTGATAGAGCTAAAGAAGAAATAGACAAATCCACAATTATAGTTGAGGACTCTTAACTGACAGAACTACTGAACAATCAGCAAGCATATAGAACTCAACACCACTATCAATCAAGATCTGACACATGTAGAACATTCCGCCAAACGAGCATACGCGTTTATCATGTACTTACGGGATGTTCACCAACAAAAGACCACAGAACATCTGCCAAATAGACCGTATCCTAGGCCAGAAAACAAACCAATACATTTAAAAGAAGTGAAACCATACACAGTATACTCTCTGTCCATAGTGGAGTCGAACCAGAAATCAACAAAAGAGAGACAACAGGAAAATCTTTTCTTTTTTTTTGAGGCAGGATCTTACTCTGTCGCCCAGGATAAAGTGCAGTGGCACGATGTTGGCTCACTGCAACCTTTGCCTCCCAGGTTCAAGTGATCCTCCCACCCGCCTCCCAGGTTCAAGTGTGCACCACCACACCCGGCTAATTTGTTTGTTTTTGAAATGGAGTCTTGCTCTGTCGCCCAGGCTGGAGTACAGTGGCGTGCTCTCTGTGCACTGCAACCTATGCCTCCTAGGTTCAAGTGATTCTCCTGCCTCAGCCTACTGAGTAGCTGGGATTACAGGCACCTGCTACTGCACCCAGCCAATTTTTGTATTTTTTGTAGAGATGGGGTTTCACCATATTGCCCAGGTTGGTCTTGAACTCCTGGGTTCAAGCAATCTGCCTGTCTTGGCCTCCCAAAGTGCTGGGATTACAGGCATGAGCCATTGCACCTGGCCATGACATGTATGAAATGACAAAATTATCGAATTAAAGAACAGAGGCGGGGCACGGCGTCTCACATCTGGCACTTTGGGAGGCCGAGGCGGGTGGATCACGAGGTCAGGAGTTGGGGATCAGCCTGGCCAACATGGTGAAACCCCGTCTCTACTAAATACACAAAAATTAGCTGGACGTGGTGGTGGGCGCCTGTAATCCCAGCTACCTGGGAGGCTGGGACAGGAGAATCGCTTGAACCCCGGGGCGGAGGTTGCAGTGAGCTGAGATTGTGCCACTGCACTCCAGCCTGGGCGACAGAGCAAGACTGTCTCAAAACAACAACAGAATAGATTATTCACTGCCAGGGTCTGGGACAGGAAGGGGAGAGAGTGGCTACAAAAGAGCAACATGAAGGGTCCTTCTCTGATGGAAAGGCTCTGTATCGTGACTGTATCGACGTCAATATCCTGGTTGTAAGATTGTGCTATCTAGTTCTACAGAACATAATCACTGAGGGAAAGCTGGCAGAGGGTATGTGGGATCTCTACTATTTCTTACAACTGCATAGGACTCCAGAATTATCTCAAAATCAAAAGTTTAATTTTTAAAAAAGGCATGTTTAGTTCCTAGCTCTGCCATCTGCTAATTAGGTAGCTGACTTTGAACAGATTTTAATGTCTCTATCCTCAATTTCCTCATTCACTAAATGAGGTAATACCATCTGAAGCATTATGAAAATTCAACACCATATTTGAAAGGATCAGGCACGATGTGTACAGCACACAGTCCGTGCTCTAGAAGGAGCCTGTCAACACTAACCCTCTATATAGCCACAAGTATTATTCTAAATGGTATCATTCAAATGTCCAGTACTAAAGGCACTGCAGAGCAATTTATTTAAAGTCCCTTCCCTGGCCAAGTTTAGTATTTCACACATGTAATCCCAGCACTTTGGGAGGCTGAGGCAGGTGGTTCGCTTGAGTTCAAGAGCTCAAGACCAGCCTGGGCAACATAGTGAGACCCCATCTCTACAAAAATGAGCTGGGTGTGGTGGTACACACCTACAGTCCCAGCTACTTGGGAGGCTGAGGTGGGAGGATTGCTTGAGCCCACGAGGCGACGCAAGGCCACAGTGAGCCATAATCCTGCCACTGCACTCCAGCCTGGGTGACAGAATGAGACTCTGTCTCAAAAAATAAAAATAAAAAAATAAAATAGTCTCTTCTCAAAGTGATCTGTTCGAATAAAAATGCGGGGGTGGGGGCTGAAGAGGAGGAAACGATTTTTGGTTTTAAATTGAAAGATGAATTTCTAACTTGTTATTGAAATGGTCACGACACATGAAGTGAGTTTAATATGGAACTATAATTAGTAAAAAACAAAGCTGGAAAGAAGAACTAGGATACCAGTTAACACATTTTGTTTCTGCTGATAAGAAAGTCAGTGGAAGTTAGTGTTTCTATGCATCAGGAGGTTGAGTTTTCTTTTTTTCTTTTTCTTTTTTTTGAGACGGAGTCTCGCTGAGTTGCCCAGGCTAAAGTGCAGTGGTGCGATCTCGGCTCACTGCAAGCTCCGCCTCCCGGGTTCACCCCATTCTCCTGCCAGGAGGTTGAGTTTTCTAACACGCACTTCATACAGGGATTTAGATTTCAGATTCTATGTTTCCAAATACTTTCTCCATCTACTGAGTTGGAAGAAACTAGAGACAGTCAAACTGCTATACTTTTATGCCTGCCTGGTTCTGAGGTCTGGGCAAGCAGCAACAATAAAATCAGGATCTTTAACAGAGAAGTTACAGGGCAGGCCCTGAGACAGCCAAATGCACTTGAACACAGACGCTCCCAGTGAGCTAAGCTGGGCACCTAGTCTTCAAAGTTCACGAAGTATCTGACCAGAGCTCTGACGCACCGAGAGGCTTGGAAAGAGGTAAAATGAAAAAGGGTGTTTTATCAAATTATTTTCTTCCCTTCACAATCCTAAAGGAGCTCTATTAAAATGAAACATTTCCATGAGAAGTATGTCAAGTGCGAATACTGGCCTGGAAGTCTGGAGGCCAGGATTCCAGCACAGAGACCCCAGGAAGGAGTCACTTCATCTCTAGGGCTGAGGCAGGAGTCCTTATGGGTAAGTGATACAAATGTACCCGATAGGTTTCTACGGGGCTTTGCTAAATTTAAAATCTCCCAGGCACCATAAAACCTAGTCTCCAGGCAGGTTTTCTGGCATGGCAAACTTCTCTCCGACTCTGCTTTGAGATGATTGTCCTCGCCTCTAACTTGGTTTCCCCAAAATGGGCTGGGGAAAAAGTGGTGAGGGGACAAGGAAAGGGTAGAGAGGTAGGGAGGGAGGGAGAAAGGAAGGGAGGAAGGAAGAAAAGAAAAAAGGAAGGAAGGTAGAAAGAAAGGAAGAAAAGGAAGGCGGGAAGGAAAGGAAGGAAAGGAAGGAAGGGAAGGGAGGAAGAAAAGAAAGGAAGGAAAGAAAAGAAGGAAAGGAAGGAAGGAAAAAGGGAGGGAGGACAAAGGACGCTATCTAGGTGTAAGCAAGGCTGCACTGTTCCCTCATCATCAGTTTCCTCCAGATCTTCCTTGAGGCCCTTTAACACAGGCTCACGGTACTGAGAGACTGGAACCCCGACTTTATCAACTCTATGGTTCTTTTATTTTTTTTCACTGCCACTCAGGCTGGAGTGCAGTGGCCCAAACATGGCTCACTGCAGCCTCAACCTCCCAGGCTCAACCAATTCTCCTACCTCAGCCGCTCAAGCAACTGGGACTACAGGTGCATTCCACCATGCCCAACTAATGTGTTCATTTTTGTGGCACTGAGGTCTTGCTGTGTTGCCCAGGTTGGTCTCAAACTTCTGGCCTCAAGTGATCCTCCTGCCTCAGCTTCCCAAAGTGCAGGGATTACAGGCACGAGCCATCACACCTGGCCGACTTCTACAGCTTCTTTCACAAATATGGCGAAGAGAAAAAAGGAAGCAAGAGACAGGAGAATCTGGAGATTCATTGCAATGCATGTCGAGTCACACAAAACAATTATGCCACAATGGAGGAATTCTGAACACTGGATATCTGGTGATAATGAGCTATTACTAATGTTTAGGTTTGCTAATGGTACTGCGGTTGTGTTTTTACATGGAGGCCTCATCTTTTAGCCACTCATATACATCCTAAAACGTTTCCTAATCCAACTACACAAAGTTGGATTTGCTTGGAGACCATGGGGAGGGCACAGGTGAATAGGATTGGCACAGAATTGATGACTGCTTTAGTTGGGCTGTAGGTACTTTACAGTCAATCTACTATTTTCTCTACTTTTGTATACATTTGAAGTTTTCGTATTAGAAAGTGTGGCTCACACCTGTAATCTCAGCACTTTGGGAGGCCCAGGTGGGAGGATGGCTTGAGACCAGCCTGGGCAAGAGAGTGAGAGCCTTTCTAAAAAAACAGAAAAGTAAAAAGAGACTCATGGCTGGTTCCCGTCCAGTCTCCACTGCTCTTCTTCTAAGCTCAGCCGGAGGGCACGGCCGGTTGGGCTCCTATCCCACAAATCTTCCAGTGGGAAATGGACAGATACCATTCTGCTAGGGCACATCCAGGAGGGGGCTAAGTGCCAAGCCCCCACTCCCCATCCCCAGAAGCTGGCCCGAGTTCCCACTCCCACGGTCCCCAGGCACCCTAGAGAGGGCAGAGGCAGACCGGGCGCCATGACTCATGCCTATAATCCCAGCACTTGAGGGAGACCAAGGCAGGAGGATCACTTGAGGCCAGGAGACTGAGACCAGCCTGGGCAACACAGCAAGACCCCATCTCTACAAAAAAAAACTTAAAAATTAGCTGGGCTGGTGGTGCGCGCCTGTAATCCCACTACTTCGGGAGGCTAAGGAGGGAGTAGGGCTTGAGCCTGGGAGGTCGAGGCTGCAGTGAGCTGTGAGGGCGCCACTGCACTCAAGCCTGGGAAACACAGCGAGACCCCATCTCAAAAAGGGCGAGACGGGGTGGGGCAGAGACGACGCCAGCAGGCCTCGGGGAATGGGTCGGGGGGGAGTGGGGTGCAGGCGGGGCTGGATCCAGCATCCTCGCCCCAGGGGTCCCCGCCCGCGGCGGCGGACCACGGAGGGGCCCGGGGCGGGGGTTAGCGCCCCGGCCCACCTGGGTGCAGGTGCTGGGCGGGGGGCGCGCGTCACCTTGAGGATGTTGTCGAAGATGGTGTCGCGGAACTCCAGCAGCGCCTTCTGGTCGAACTCGCGGCCGTGGATGATGCGCATCTGCTTGAGGAACGTGGACTTGCCGCTCTCGCCCGCGCCCAGCAGCAGGATCTTCACCAGGCGCCGGACCGCGCGCCGCTCGCGGGCCAGCAGCGCGTCGATGTCGCGGCTACGCCTCCGGGCCTCGCGCTCCGCGTCGCGCGCGCCGCTGCCCGCCCTGCGCTCGCGGGCCCCGCCGGCCTCGGCCGGCAGCAGGCAGCGGCTGAGGGTCCGCACCACCCCGGACATGGCCCCTCAGGCCGCGGCCGCGCCCCGCCGGCGCCCGGGGGCCATGGACGCTCCCGCCGGCGAGGGCGAGCCCGGGCCGAGGCACCGCCCCACGCCCCGCCGCTCGCCTCAGGCCGCGTCCGCCGCCGCCGCTGCAGTCGCTCCGAGGCCCGCACTCGTCGCCCGGCCGCCACTCGGGCCCGGCGGAGGGGCGGGCGGCGCCGCGTGAGGCCCGGCGGATTGGGCCGGCTGCCGTCCATCTGGCCGTGAGAGCCCTTCGATTGGCTCATCTCGCCAAGGGAGGCGGGCATCCCTTCCGGCCTCGGGGCGGGGTCGACGCCGAAAGAGGCGGGATCTTTGAGGTGAAGGCGCTTCTCATTGGACGCCCAGGCTGAGGTTCTTTCTTTCAGAATGAAAGGGAGGCGGGGTCGCCCGGGAGGCGGAGCGATCGTCCGCCATGGCCAATTATAATTGCTCTGAGTGGACATCAGACGTGCCCAACGGGCTTTGGATTGGGTGTTCGGGGGACGGGGCGTGACGAGAAGTGCCAGGTGTACAGAAAGATTCTCCCTTGGTTCCCAGATTGGGTCCGCCTGTGAGACCAGGACCTCGCGGAGTAGCCCAAAGGCTGGGAAATGCTGATAAGAGGTTCAGCTGCTCGTCGTATTCCCTCCGATGATCTTGTTTCTACACTATTTTCCTTCCAGAAACACTGGAGGGGGATGGGCCATAAATTTCAAACACATGCACCCTTTGAGAGTGGCATGGGCTTCTAGGAGGCTTTGCGAAAAGCTGACTAATCACTAAAATCACCAGAAGCTCCCCCAAAAGTCTTATGTCTCACAGTGATTGAGAGAGTGGGGTCTGGAGTTGCTGGGCCTGAGTTGGAATCTCCAGTCGACCAGTTACTAGGTGTACTAGTTGCATAACTTTTTTTAGCAGCTTTCCCCACCCCCCCCAACAAACCCTTTTGGATGTTCTTAGCTTCCGTTTCCTCATCTGTAAAACGGGGGTGTCATTGACGACATTGGTTATGGCTTGACATTGCTCAAATCGTCATGAAGATATAAACTGAGAACATGAACTTACCAAACACTTAGCACGTGAGCTAGCCCAAAATCAGCTCTTGATAGAGATCAGCTGATTACAGATTCTTGACTCTCCCAGATCTACTGAATCAGAACCTCCTAGAAGGAGCTCAGGTATCCCTTAAGATTAAAGGCGTGAGCCGCCGCGCCTGGCCCAGTGTGTAGTCTTTTATCTCTCGCCACCCCCCACCTTTTACCCTGAGTCCCCAAAGTCCAATCTCTGTGCGGTGTCTGTTAACTCTGCTGATTATTTCTTTTGCAGTGCCGAAGCTTTTTAGTTTAATTAAGTCCCATCTATTTATCTTTGTTTTTGTTGCATTTGCTTTTGGGTTCTTGGTCACAAAGTCTTTGCCTAAGCCAACGTCTAGAAGGATGTTTCCGATGTTATCTTCTAGAATGTTTATGGTTTCAGGTTGTAGATTTAAGTCTTTGATCTATCCTGAGTTGATTTTTGTATAACGTGAGAGACGAGGATCCAGTTTTATTCTTCTACATGTGGCTTGCCAATTATCTCAGCACCATTTGCTGAATAGGCTGTCCTTTCCCCACTTTGTTTTCATTTGCTTTGTTGAAGATCAGTTGGCTGTAAGTATTTGGCTTCATTTCTGGGTTCTCTATTATGTTCCATTGGTCTCTGTGCCTATTTTTATATTAGTACCATGCTGTTTTTGTGACGATAGCCTTATAGTATAGTTTGAAGTCAGGTAAAGTGATGCCTCCAGATTTGTTCTTTTTGCTTAGTCACAGATCTAAACTCCCCAGAAGGCTGGGCACGGTGACTCACAACTACAGTCCCAGCAGTTTGAGATGCTGAGGTGGGAGGATCACTTGAGCCCAGGAGGTCAAGGGTGCAGTGACCTATGATCGTGCCACTGTACTCCAGCCTGGACAACGGAGCAAGACCCTGTTTCAGAAACAAAACAAAACAAAAACCAACTCCCTGACAACCTTGAATGCACATAATATGTATTATTTGTCACTTGCTACAAATACTACAAATCATGCCATGAATTTGTATCACTTATGAGTCAAGATTTTGTAATCCTTGGAAAATGATTAGAAAGTCTTGCTTGTTTGTGGAAATGACCTCCCATAGGAGGCCAAATATGGCTGGGCACGGTGGCTCATGCCTGTAATCCCAGCACTTTGGGAGGCCAAGGCAGGCAGATTATCTAAGGTCAGGAGTTCAGGACCAGCCTGGCCAACATGGCGAAACCCTGTCGCTACTAAAAAATACAAAACTTGGTTGGGTGTGGTGGCGGGCGCCTGTAATCCCAGCTACTGGGGAGGCTGAGATAGGAGAATTGATTGAACCCGGGAGGCGGAGGTTGCAGTGAGCCGAGATCGCACCATTGCACTCCAGCCTGGGCAACAAGAGCAAAACTCTGCCTCAAAAAAACAAAAAAAAAAAAACAAAAACGGGAAGGCCAAATACTAGGTCTGGCATGGTAGCTCACACCATGTAATCCCAGCACTTTGTGAGGCTGTAATCCCAGCACTTTGTGAGGCTGAGGTGGGCAGATCACTTGAGGCCAGGAGTTTGAGACCAGCCTGGCCAACATGGTGAAACCTCCATCTCTATTAGAAATACCAAAATGAGCCAGGCATGGTGGTGAACGCCTGTAATTCCAGTTACTTAGGAGGCTGAGGCATGAGAATTGCTTGATCCCAGGAGGCTGAAGTGGCAGTGAGCTGCGATCACACCACTGCACTCCAGCCTGGGCAACAGAGCAGGACTCTGTCTCAAAAAGAAAAAAAAAAAAGAAAAAAAAAAAAAAGGCCAAACACTAGTATTGAAATAGAAGGGAGGAGAAATTGGAGAATCCAAAGAAAGCAATGTTTCTGAGACAGAAATAGGGAATTTTGAATCACTAAAGAGTGGACTAGAATTCAGAACAGGTTTTTGGCTCATCCAGTTCACACAGGGTTTATTCCTCATTCAGTTTTAAGAAATTAAGAAAAACTGATTCACAAAACAGTTTCAGC
Source organism: Homo sapiens (assembly GCF_000001405.40). Lineage (NCBI taxonomy): Eukaryota > Metazoa > Chordata > Mammalia > Primates > Hominidae > Homo > Homo sapiens. The sequence continues at coordinate 2,847,215 of NC_000007.14, forward strand.
AAGTGCTCCAGACAGCACTCACAACTAACTTTAAATCCTTATAAATAAGCCAGGTATGGTGGGAGGCTGAGGTGGGAGGGTTGCTTGAGTCCAGGAGTTTGAGGCTGCAGTGAGCTATGATTGTACCACTGCACACCAGCCTGAACAACAGAACAAGACTCTGTCTCTATTTTTTTTAAATCTTTATAGCTTTATGCCTTGTGTTTATGTAATCATTAAACATTTTAAAGAGTTATTTACTTTTCTTTTTTTTTTTTTTTTTTTTTTTTTTTGTGATGCAGCTCTGTTGCCCAGGTTGGAGTGCAGTGGTGCAATCTCGGCTCACTACAACTTCTGCCTCCCAGGTCCAAGCTATTCTCCTGCCTCAGCTTCCTGAGTAGCTGGGATTACACGCACACACCACCATGCTTGGCCAATTTTTGTATTTTAAAAGAGGTGGGGTTTTATCACATTGGCCAGGCTGGTCTCAAACTCCTGACCTCAAGTGATCCACCTGCCTCGCCCTCCCAAAGTGCTGGGATTACAGGTGTGAGCCACCGGGCCTGGCCAAGAGTTACTTACATTTTTAAATGACACATTATGGCATTTTATGGGAGAAATTCTTCTGCTGTCGGCAATATTCGATTTGAGGATTTGACCAGGTCTCTGGACATCTCCACACGTGTCAATGGGCTAAGGTGCTTTAAATAAACAAGGTTATCTGCATAGTCCACAATAATCTCTTAATTATCCCTTCTGTTTGTACGGCATGCTAAAAGTTTTGAAGTACTTACAGGTGCATTATCTCATTTGCCCTCTCTACACTGCTGGGGAAAGGTGACTGCCTTACCAGTATCTGAATCCAGGTGGCTAAGCTCTCCTGGCAAGGGAAGTATGGTTAGTACACTGCAAACCCCGAACTGGAAGTCTGACACACAGCATTCTCTGTGTATAATAGGATGGAGAAAAACATGAGAACTTTGAAGTTTGGCTCCATCACCTACCAGCTGTGTGACCTTCAACAAGTCATACAGTATCTCTGAGACGTAGTTTCCTTGTCTGTAAAATCAGGATGAAAATAAAGCTGTACTACACCTTAAATAAGTTAATACAGATAAGGTCCTAGAACTGGACCTTAGCACATAACAGGCCCTCAGTAAATGGTCATATTGTTATTATTATCATCGTGGAGCTTTGGGAATCGGGTATTGCAAATTTAGAATAATAGTGGCAGGCTGGGGAAGAATCTATAAAGACAATACCTTGTATGGTATGATATTAAAAATTAAAACCTGGGAGGTGGTCTGGTCAAATAAATTAAGGTACATCCATATAAGTACAATAACATATTATTCCTGGCCAGGCATGGTGGCTCACGCCTGTAATCCTAGCACTTTGGGAGGCCGAGGTGGGCAGATCATCTGAGATCTGGAGTTTGAGACCAGCCAGGTCAACATGGTGAAACCTTCTCTCTACTAAAAATACAAAAATTAGCTGGGTGTGGAGGCACGTGCTACTTGGGAGACTGAGGCAGGAGAATCGCTTGAATCCAGGAGGCAGGGGTTACAGTGAACTGATATCGCACCACTGCACTCCAGCCTGGGCAACAGAGCGAGACTGTCTCAAAAAACAAACAAAATAACATATTATTCCTAAAAAGAATATGCAAGACTAAAATGTGTAAATAGATGGCCCACAGACATGCTTTCTTGGTCTACCAGCTGTTAAAAAAAATTGGTAGAGAGTAGGAGGAATAGACTGAATGTTCCTCCCAACTTGTATTCAGTTCCACCTCTGGAGCTAAGGAGAAGCCAGGAAGGGGGAGTCCGACAGCAGGGCCTGAAACCTTCATGTGACACGGTAAGCTCACCTGAAATCTCTAGGAAAGGAAGCAGCCACAGGGACTCTCACTCTCCAGTGGGCCAGCAGTGAGGGGATCAGGAACTCAGAGGCCTGGTATAGGGCCCAAGACGCTGGGATTCCCAATAGGAACAGGATCCCCTTAGGTCCCATGCATGCAGTCTCCTTTTGAGGTCCTAGTAGGGCCTTTCTGGCCTGGGGAGAATGTGGGTGATATGGTTTGGCTGTGTCCCCACCCAAATCTCATCTTTAATTGTAGCTCCCATAATTCCCTCATGTTGTGGGAGGGACCCATGAGAGATAATTGAATCATGGGGTGATTTCCCCCATGATTCCCCCAGACTGTTCTTGTGGTAGTGAATAAGTCTCACGAGATCTGATGGTTTTATAAGGGGAGACCCCTTTCACTTGGCTGTCATTCTTCTGTTATCTGCCGCCATGTAAGAAGTGCCTTTCACCTTCCACCATGATTGTGAGGCCTCCCCAGCAACATAGAACTGTGAGTCCATTAAACCTCTTTCTTTTGTAAATTGCCCAGTCTCAGGTATGCCTTTATCAGCAGCGTGAAAACGAACTAGTACAGTCTGAGAGCTCTGTGGGGTGAGAGGACTGGGAGATTTCCCCCATCCCTGAACATGGGAGCTGCCAACAACTTCAGCTCTGAGACCTCTTCCCTTCCTCCTGGTGCTCATCACAGGAGTGGCATCCTGCCTGTTACCTTACCTTTCTCCACTGCATAGGAGACCCTAAAGGCTCCCCCTGAAAGCCAAAGAGCTATGAGTGAGAATAAGAAAATGTCAATAGACTTAAGGGGACCGAGGTGCCAGAGAGAAGAAGAAAAAGTAGGATATCTCACATAATGGTAAATGAATGAATGGAAACTTTATATCGCCATCATTGTCACCACCATCACTATCACCATTGTCACATCACTGTCACCATCACCATCGTGATCATCATAATCATCATCACCACCATCACTATCACCAACACCAGCACCATCATCATCATCACCACCACCATCACTGTCACCATCATCACCACCATCACTATCAGCATCATCACCATCACCATCATCACCACCACCACCATCATCATCACCACCTTCGCTATCACCATCACTATAATTACCACCATCACTATCACTATCACCATCATCACCACCACCACCATCATCACCACCATCACTATCGCCACCACCATAATCACCACCATCACTATCAGCATCATCACCATCACCATCATTGCCACCATCACTATCACCATCACCATCATCGTCACCATCACTGTCACCATCACCATCAGATCATCATAATCATCATCACCACCATCACTATCACCAACACCAACACCATCATCATCATCACCACCATCACTGTCACCATCATCACCACCATCACTATCACCAATACCAACACCATCATCACGACCATCACTATCAGCATCATCACCATCACCATCATCACCACCACCATCACCACCATCACTATCATCATCACTATAATCACCACCATCACTATCACCATCACATCATAACCACCACCACCACCACCATCACTATCACTATCACCCTATCACCACCATCATTATCACCATCACCATCACCATCACCATCATTATCACCATCACCATCATCACCATCACTATCACCATCACCACCACCATCAACATCACCACCATCACTATCACCACCATCACTATCATCACCACCATCACCATCATCATATCACCACCATCACTATCAGCATCACTATCACCATCTTCATCATCACCACCATCACTATCACCATGGTTCCACCTTAGAAGAATTGTCAATGGCATAAAAAGACATTGTATTTGGCTGGGGACAGTGGCTCATGCCTGTAATCCCAGCATTTTGGGAGGCTGAGGCAGGTGAATCACCTGAGGTCAGGAGTTCAAGACCAGCCAGGTCAACATGGTGAAACCTTCTCTCTACTAAAAATACAAAAATTAGCCGGGTGTGGTGGTGCACGCCTGTAATCACTGCTACTCATGAGGCTGAGGCAGGAGAATTGCTTGAACCCAGGAGATGGAGGTTGCAGTGAGCCAAGATCATGCCACTGCACTCCAACCTGGGTGACACAGTGAGAATCTGTCTCAAAAAAAAAAAAAAGAAAAAAAAGAAAAGAAAAAGAAAGAAAAGAAAAGACATTGTACAACAACAGCAAATCATAATTTTAAAAAATTAATGGAAGAGGGAATGGTAAACATTGATAACAAAACAAGAGACCTAGAAGATTAAAAAAAAAAAAAATCTCAAAACCCAGAGAACAAGTATAAAGAGATGGGAATTATAAGAGGAAGGGCAGGACAGTTAGAGGAGAGATCCAGGAGTTCTAATATGTGAACTGTGAGTTCCAAGAGGAAGGGGAAAGAGATGGAGAGGAGGAAATATTTAAAGAAATAATAGATTCCCTTTTCTGACAGTATAGTGAGCAAAACACTCAGATCAACCCTCCTGCAGCAACAATTTAAAATGCTGTACAAACCACACAGAAGGTTTTTTTTTTTGTTTTTTTTTTTAAGTGTTACTGAGCTGAGTAAGAAAGCCTCAGAGGCTAAAATCAAAGTGAAAGCAGAAATTCAGAGTTAAACTGACACACTGTGAGGCCTCTAGCTGCCTCAGGGGCATCTGCAGAACCCTTGTAAATCTGACCTTCTGGCCGGCACAGTGGCTCACACCTGTAATCCCAGCATTTTGGGAGGTTGAGGTGGGTGGATACCTGAGGTCAGAAGTTCGAGACCAGCCTGACCAATATAGTGAAACCCTCTCTAATAAAAATACAAAAATTAGCCAGGTGTGGTGGCACATGCCTGTAATCCCAGCTACTCAGGAGGCTGAGGCAGGAGAATCACTTGAACCTGGGAGGCAGATATTGCAGTGAGCCGAGATCGCACCGCTGCACTCCAGCCTGGGTAGCAAAGTGAGACTCCATCTCAAAAAATAAACAAAAAATAAAAATAAACAAAGACCAGCTATATGCTTATAAGAGACACACCACACTTTGGGAGGATGAGGTGGGCGGATCACAAGGTCACGAGATAGAGACCATCCTGGCCAACATGGTGAAACCCCATCTCTACTAAAAATATTTTTAAAAAATGAGCTGGGCGTGGTGGTGCGTGCCTGTAATCCCAGCTACTCAAGAGGCTGAGGCAGGAGAATAGCCTGAACCAGGGAGTTGGAGGTTGCAGTGAGCCGAGATTGTGCCACTGCACTCCAGCCTGGTGACACAGTGGGACTCTGTCTAAAAAAAATAATAATAATAAAATAAATAAATAAAATAAATAAAAAAAGAGACACACCCATTAAGGACCCAGAAAAGATCAAAGATCAAAGTAAAAGAATGGAGAAAGATTTACCACGCAAGTATTAACCATAATAAGTATAGCATATCAATATTAATAGAAGGCAAAATAGATTTTAAGCCTAAAAGAATTAGAATTACTAGTGATAGAGAGGGTCATATATGCAATAAAAGCAAGGTATAACCATTCTAAACTTGTATGCACCTAATAATATAGCCTCAAATATTTAAGGCCAGGCTGGCTGCAGTGGCTTATGCCTATAATCCTAGCATTTTGGGAGGCCAAGGCAGGAAGATTGCTTGAGTTCAGGAGTTCCAGACCAGCCCAGGTAATATAGTGACACCCTGTCTCTACAAAAATTTAAAAAATTAGCCAAGCATAGTGGTACATGGCTATTTCCCAGTTACTTGGGTGGCTGAAGGGGCATGATCACTTGAACTGGAGAGGCTGAGGCTGCAGTGAGCCATGATTGTGCTGCTGCGCTCCAGTATGGGAGACAGAGCAAGACCCTGTCTGAAAAAAAAAAAAAAAAAATAAAGGCTCAAAACTAAGAGAACATAAAGGAGAAACTGAGGAATCCATCCTCACTGCTGGGTGTGAGTGTGGGTTAAGTATATCTCTTCTAGTAATTAATAGTTCAAACAGCTGAAAAATACAATTGTAGCAGTCTAATATATGAGTAGTCTCCAAATGAACCACTTCTCCAGGTATCCATTCCCTTGTGTAACCCCTCCACTTAAATCTGGATTGGGCTGGAACTTATTTTGACAAATAGAATGTGGCAGACGCAATATTCTACCAGTTCCAAGTCTAAGCCTTAAGAAAGCCTGATAGCTTTGTTTTTGTGTTTCTGGAGCCCTGTGAGTCATGTAGGAAGTCCAGCTACTCTTTTGGAGAGACCCATGGGAGAGGTAAAGGGCCTGAGAGTACGTGGGGAGGAAGAGAGTCCTACTCATCCCAAGGTCCCAGCTGAGCCAAGCCTTCAGTCAATCTGCTAGCAGAATACAGTCGTAGGAAATATTAGCCTGCCTGCCCAGCTGAGTCCAGCCCAGGGTGCAGATTCATGACAAAATAGTGTTTTAAGCCACTAAAATCTGTAGTGGTTAGTTATGCACCAACAGATCACTGAAGCAACAGTGAACAAGTTTGGCCTAATAAATACATTTCGAACTGTGTGTCTTCTATGGTTTGGCTGCATCCCCACCCAAATCTCACCTTGAATTGTAGCTCCCATAATTCCCACATGTTGTGGGAGGGACTTGGTGGGAGGTAATTGAATCATGGGGCGGGTCTTTCCCGTGCTGATAGTGAACAAGTCTCATGAGATCTGATGGTTTATGAAGGGGAGTTCCCTCCACAAGTTCTTCTTGCCTGCCACCATGTAAGACATCCCTTACTCTCTCACCATGATTGTGAGGCCTCCCCAGCCATGTGGAACTGTCAGTCAATTGAACCTCTTTCCTTTATAAATTACCTGGTCTTGGGTATGTCTTTTTTTTTTTTTTTTTCTGAGACAGAGTCTTGCTCTGTCAACCAGGCTGGAGTGCAGTGGCACAATCTCGGCTCGCTGCAACCTCCGCCTCCTGGGTTCAAGCAATTCTCCTGCCTCAGCCTCCTGAGTAGCTGGGATTACAGGTGCACACCACCGTGCCTGGCTAATTTTTGTATTTTTTTTTTTTTTTCCAAGAAAGAGTCTCACTTTGTCACCCAGGCTGGAGTGCAGTGGTGCGATCTCAGCTCAGTGCAGCCTCTGCCTCCCGGGTTCCAGTGATTCTCTTGGCTCAGCCTCCCAAGTAGCTGGGACTACAGGCACACACCACCACATCCAGCTAATTTTTGTATTTTTAGTAGAGATGGGGTTTCACCATGTCAGCCAGGTTGGTCTCAAACTCCTGACCTCGTGATCTGCTCGTTTCGGCCTCCCAAAGTGCTGGGATTACAGGCTTGAGCCACCGCACCCGGCCCTATTTTTGTATTTTTAGTAGAGATGGGGGTTTCACCATGTTGGTTAGGCTGGTCTCGAACTCCTGACCTCTTGATTTGCCCGGTGTGACATCCCAAAGCACTGGCATTACAGGTGTGAGCCACCACATCCGGCCCTAGGGTATGTCTTTATTAGCAGCTTGAGAACAGACTAATACAGTGTCCAAGAATTAGAGAATACATGTTCTGTTCAAATACAAGAAACATTTTCAAAAACTGACCAAATACTAGGACACAAAGCAAGTTTCAATACATTTTAAAGGAGTGGTATCATACAGGCCACATTCTCTCACCATGTTGCAATTACATTTGAAATCATTAAAAGATATCTTCTAAAAACTCCACAGATACATAAGTTAAAAATACACTTCTAAATAAACTCATCAAGCAAAGATGAAATGTAAAGAAAATTTGATCTATTTAAGAATGAACACCAGTGACATTACTACATATCAAAACGTTCATGATGTAGCTAAGGCTGAAACTAGTGGGAAATTCATAGGCTTACAGACTTATGTTATAAAACAAGAATGGTTGCGGCCGGGCATAGTGGCTCACGCCTGTAATCCCAGCACTTTGGGAGGCCGAGGCGGGCGGATCACGAGGTCATGAGATCGAGACCATCCTGGCTAACATGGTGAAACCCCGTCTCTACTAAAAATACAAAAAATTAGCCGGGCATGGTGGCGGCTGCCTGTAGTCCCAGCTACTTGGGAGGCTGAGGCAGGAGAATGGAGTGAACCTGGGAGGCAGAGCTTGCAGTGAGCAGAGATCGCGCCACTGCACTCCAGCCTGGGGGCTGACAGAGTGAGACTCCGTCTCAAAAAAAAAAAAAGAAAAAAAAAAAGAACAGTTGCATGTTATTGAGCTCACCATGTCAGCATGTCAGCATGTCAGCATGTCAACATGCAAAATAAGGACTTAAGTTGGACATGGTGGTGCACGCCTATAGTCCCAGCTACTTGGGAGGCTGAGGTGTGAGGATCGCCTGAGCAGGGAGGTTGAAGCTGCAGTGAGCTATGATCACGCCACTGCGCTCCAGCCTGGGCGACAGAGTGAGACAGTCTCCAAAAAAAAAAAAAAAAAGAAAAAAGAAAAAGGAGGACTTAGAAAAAGAACAGCAAAACAAACCTTATGAAGGAAAAAGGCTAACAGGATACAAGAGGCTCAAGCGTGGCCAAGTGAGTCAGGTGTGAGACCTTTAATGATGTCAGCACCAGGCAGGTGCAAACCAAACCTTTTGCGGGGTGTTGGCCAAGGATGGGACTAACCTAGGGCAAGCAGAATAGCTCATGGAAGCCAAGCTATGTTTCCAGCCTGCCACTCCATGAGACTCACTTTAACCTCTGACTCCTGGGTTCAAGCGATTCTCCTGCCTCAGCCTCCTGAGTAGCTTGGATTACAGGCACATACCATCATGCCTGGCTAATTATTTTGTATTTTTATTAAAGACGGGGTTTTGCCATGTTGGCCAGGCTGGTCTCAAACTCCTGGCCTCAAGTGATCCTCCCACCTTGGCCTCCCAAATTGCTGGGATTACAGGCGTGAGTCACCATGCCTGGCCATCCTTAATAATCTTAAAGGTCTCTTAAAAATATTTTAACTATCTTACTGCTCGGATTGAACGTATTTCTTTTTCTTTTAGGGACAAGGTCTCACTCTGTCACCCAGGCTGGAGTGCAGTGGTGTGATCATAGCTCACTGCAGCCTCGACCTCCCAGGCTTAAGTGATCTTCTGCCTCAGCCTCCTGACTAGCTGGGACTACAGGCATGTGCCACCACACCTGGATAACTTTTTATTTTTTGTAGAGATGGGGGTTTCACTATGTGGCCCAGGCTGGTCTTGAAACTCCTGGACTCAAGCAATCCTCCTGTCTCAGCCTCCCAAAGTGTGGGGATCACAGGCATGAGCCACTATGCCCTGGATTGAACATATTCCTTTCTGTCTGGGGCAGGTTGCTGTGCAATATGACTTCCTCTGGTCCTTCTTGTTGTATCATCAAAATAGGCTAATAGAGTAGCCTTCAAAAACTGTAGATTGAATTACTGTTACTGATTCTTCACTCTCTTATAGTTGGACTATACATTCACACCTTTGACACTGACTCCCAGCAGGCAGAAGTGTTCTTCCTCTCCCATTGTCTTTGGGCTTGACCTTGTAACTTACCTTGGCCAGTGGGATATCAACAGATATGAGGCAAGGAGAGGCTTGAAATAGGCATGCCATATTTGGGTTGGCTTGGCCTCTTGTGCCCTGGAGAGGAGACGTCCGAGGAGGAGGAGACACACACAGCAGACCTAGACACACACACACAGCAGGCCTAGAGATACACACAGCCGACCTAGACACACACACACAGCAGGCCTAGAGACACATACAGCAGACCTAGACACACACACACAGCAGGCCTAGAGATACACACAGCAGACCTAGACACACACACAGCAGGCCTAGAGACACATACAGCAGACCTAGACACACACACACAGCAGGCCTAGAGATACACACAGCAGACCCAGACACACACACAGCAGGCCTAGAGGTACACACAGCCGACCTAGACACACACACAGCAGGCCTGGACCCAACACATCCCAGCTGAGCACAGCCTAGATCAGCTGATTCGCAGTCAAACCAAAGGCATGTGACTGAGAAGAAGTGGCTATTGTTTCAAGCCATTGGATTTAGGATAGTTTGTTATGCAGTGTTACTATGGCAATAGCTGATGAATACAATTTTTTTTTTTTTTTTTTTTTGAGATGGTGGGAGTCTCACTCTATTGCCCAGGCTGGAGTACAATGGTGTGATCTTGGCTCATTGCAACCTCCACCTCCAGGTTCATGTGATTCTCCTGCCTCATCCTCCTGAGTAGCTGGGACTACAGGTGTGCACCACCACGCCCAGCTAATTTTTGTATTTTTAGTAGAGATGAGGTTTCCCTATGTTGGCCAGGCTGGTCTTGAACTCTTGACCTCAGATGACCTACCTGCCTCAGCCTCCCAAAGTGCTGGATTACAGGCTTGAGCCACCATGCCTGGTCTGATGAAAACAAAATCTATTACCTGATTTCTTTGCAACTGTAGTTCTAGGGTGAAAGGGCTTTCCCCGTGTTAAAGGTGACAGGCCAGGAGCTGCTTTATTATCTAGCCTGTCTGGGGAATGGGATGTTGTTTTTAGTCAAATACCCTGGTGCTGCCTGTATTCTCCCTGGATTCACAGGTTGCAAGAATAAACAAGGTCCTGTTGACTTTACCTTCTGATTTTTGTTGCCATGGAAACCAGCACCTGGATAATTGCAGGGCCTCAGCCCCTGCGAGGTGCCCTGAGGATAGCTAAGTGTCTCCAGGGAGACCGTGCTCATAGCCCGGCCCCTCGTTGAGATCGACCGTGTTCCACGGATATTTACAGCAGCCACTGATTGTCTGCGTCCCCTGTGTGTTTGCCACTGTGGCTCTTCCGTCCCTGAGCGCTGCCTCTGTCTGGTTCATCCTAAAGCCAAAAACCCCCCAAAGGCCAGGCACAGTGGCTCATGCCTGTAATCCCAGCACCCTGGGAGGCTGAGGTGGGTGGATCACCTGAGGTCAGGAGTTTGATACCAGCCTGGTCTACATGGTGAAACCCAAATTAGCCAGGCATGGTGACTCACACCTGTAATCCCAGCTACTTGGGAGGCTGAGGCAGGAGAATCGCTTGAACCCGGGAGGCAGAGGTTGCAGTGAGCCAAGATTGCACCATTGCACTCCAGCCTGGGCAACAAGAGTGAAACTCTGTCTCAAAAAAAAAAAAAAAAAAGAAAAGAAAAGAAAAAAGGCTGGGTGCAGTGGCTCATGCCTGTAATCCCAGCACTTTGGGAGGCCGAGGCAGGCAGATCACGGTCAGGAGATTGAGACCATCCTGCCCGACATGGGGAAACCCCATTTCTACTAAAAATACAAAAATTAGCCAGGCGTGGTGGTGCATGCCTGTAATCCGAGCTACTTGGGAGGCTGAGGCAGGAGAATTGCTTGAACCGGGAGACAGAGGTTGCAGTGAGCTGAGATTGCACCACTGCACTCCAGCCTGGGTGACAGAGCAAGACTCTGTCTGAAAAAACAAAAAACAAAAAACATAAAACAAAAAAAAACCAAAAAAAACACAAAACCTCAAAGAGTGGATGCTTACCCCTTCAGCCCTCTCAAAGCCCCATGTCAGAAACAGAGCCTCAGTTTCCTCATCTGTAACATGCAAAATCCTTGAATCTCTTTTAAGTGCCAGATCTGTGTTCAGTCCCTTTAGAAGACACATGCATTAGTGCATGGCTAACCTGGCGTGGGGACAGGCAGGGGACAGGAACAGCTCAGAGGCACTCCACTGTCCCCGGCAGAAGCCCCTCAACAAATGTCTGCTTCAGCCATGAAGGAAAGAGGCATGAAGAGGCATCCATGAACTTAGAGATAGATGCCAAGGGGGCTGGTCGCAGCTGTTGTGCTCATGGCCAGTGTCTTAGTCCATTTGTGCAGCTACAACAGGATACCCGAGGCTGGGGAATTTATAATGAATAGAAATTGATTTCCTCACAGTTCTGGAGGCTGGGAAGTCCAAGATTAAAATGTCAGCACCTGGCTGGGCACAGTGATTCCCACCTATAATCTCAGTGCTTTGGGAGGCCGAAGCGAGAGGATTCCTTGAGGCCAGGAGTTTCGAGACCAGCCTAGCCAACACAGTGAGACCCAGTCTCTACAAAAAATTAAAAAAACAAAACAAAACAGGCCTGCTAGCGTGTGCCTGTAGTCCCAGCTACAGGAGGCTGAGGCTGGAGGATTGTTTAAACCCAGGAGCTTGAGACTGCAGTGAGCTACGGTCACATTACTGCATTCCAGCCTGGACAACAGAGTGAGACCCTGTCAATCAATCAATCAATCAATCAATACCAGCATCTGGCAAGGGACTTCTTGCTGCAACCTGCCATGGCAGAGGGACAAAGAGAGTCAAAAGGGAGCTGAACTCACCCTTTTATAATCCCACCTGTGGGGTAGAGCCCTCTGGCCCAATCACCACATATATATATATATATATATATTTATATATATTTATATATATTTATATATAATTATATATAATTATATATAAATTTATATATAATTATATATAATTATATATAAATTTATATATAATTATATATATAATATATATATTTATATATAAATAATATATATAATTATATATGTATTTATTTATTTATTTGGAGATGGAGCCTTGCTCTATCACCCAGGCTGGAGTGGCACAATCTTGGCCCACTGCAACCCCCGTTTCCTGGTTTCAAGTGATTCTTCTGCCTCAGCACCCCCAAGTAGCTGGGATTACAGGTGCCTGCCACCACCACATCCGGCTAATTTTTGTACTTTTAGTAGAGATAGGGGTTTCATCATATGGGCCAGGCTGGTCTCGAACTCCTGACCTCAGGGGATCTGCCTGCCTCAGCCTCCCAAAGTGCTGGGATTACAGGCATGAGCCACTGGGCCCGACCGAGCGTGTGATTTTGAGCGAGAGGTTTCACGTCACTGCGTCATTTGTATCTCGTGTCATATGAAGATCATGATAGTGATAATAATTAACATTTTTTGAGAGCCGACTTTGTGCCGGGCACTCTCCTTAGGACTTTATGTGTATTATCTCCTTGGATCTTGATTTTAGTCCTATTGTGCTATTGTACATACTCTTATTGTTCCCACTTTACAGATAAGGAAAAGCGAGGCCCAGTGAGGTTAAGGAATTTGCTTAGGATCACACAGCCAGTTACAGGCAGAGCCAGGATTCAAAGACAGACAGGTGGCCCTGAGCCCATGCTCTGAACTGTGACACTCTGTGCCACATGGGAGTGGTATGAGTAAGGATCAGCCCGGTGGTGACGAAGGAGGGAGCTGCCTTTCATGGCTTTTTTTTTTTTGAGACAGAGTCTTGCTCTGTTGCCCAGGCTGGAGTGCAGTGGCGGGATCTTGGCTCACCACAACCTCCACCTCCCAGGTTCGAGCAATTCTCCTGCCCCAGCCTCCCAAGTAGCTGTGATTTCAGGTGCCCCCCTCTACCACTCCTGGCTAATTTTTTTGTATTTTTAGTAGAGACAGGGTTTTACCATGTTGCCCAGACCTCAAATGATACGCCGGCCTCGGCCTCCCAAAGTGCTGGCATTACAGATGTGAGCCACCGCGCCCGGCCCTTTTCATGGCTTTTAACACCCAAGACTTATTTCTGGTTTGGGGACTCTCTTCCATATCATCTCACCCCAGGATCCAGGCTGACGCAGCAGCCACTGTCTTGAACGTTGTTGGCCACTGAGCCAAGAGAAAGAAAGAGCTTGGGAAAGTTTTGTGCTGACAGGTGCACGGCCTGCAAGTGACACACGAGTTCTGCACACAGCGTACTGGACAGAACGGTGCTGAGGAGTTGCGTGTGTCTGCTTGGCTAAGATCCTAATCAATTATTTAATCACACATGAATGGAGGCATTGTGGTGAAGGTGCCTGGGAGGCGTGGTTAATATCCGCAACCACTTGTCTTTATGTAAAGGACGTCGCCCTCAATAACGTGGGTGAGCCTCATCTGATTTGTTGTTCCTTGAGAGCAAACACTGAGGCTTCCTGGAGAAGAAATTTTTCCTCTAGACTCAAGACTGTGGCACCAGCTCCTGCCTGGGTGTCTAGCTTGCCAGCCTGCCCTGCAGACTACAGACTGGCCTGCCCCCAAGATTGTGTGAGCCAATTTATTAAAATAAAACCCGGCTGGGCGTGGTGGCTCATACCTGTAATCCCAGGCCTCCCACTTTGGGAGGCCAAGGTGGGCGGATCACCTGAGATCAGGAGTTCAAGACCAGCCTGGCCAACATGGTGAAGCCCCGTCTCTACTAAAAAAAAAAAAAAAAAATAAATAAATACAAAAATTAATCGGGCATGGTGGCGGGTGCCTGTAATCCCAGCTACTCGGAGGCTAAGACAGCAGAATCGCTTGAACCCAGGAGGCAGAGGTTGCAGTGAGCCGAGATCACGCCACTGCACTCTAGCCTGGACAACAAAGAATGAAACTCTGTCTCAAAAAAAAAAAAATCCCGTTACCAGTGTATGTATATAATATCATTAATATATTTGGTATTATATTATGTTATAGAATAACTATAAATATATTACAGTTGTCTCATAGTATTTATGGGGACTTGGTTCCAGAATCCCCCATGGGTACCAAAATCCCTGGATGCTCAAGTCCCTAATATAAAATGGTGTAGTATTTGCATATAACCTACGCACATCCTTCTGTACACTTTAGATAATCTCTAGATTACTTGTAATACCTAATTCAATGTAAATGCTGTTCCAGACCAGCCTGGGCAACATAGTGAGACCCCATCTCCACTAAAGAAAAATTTACAAAAAAAAAAAAAAGATAATGGCCGGGTGTGGTGGCTTACCCCTGTAATTCCAGCACTGTGGGAGGTCGAGGCAGGCAGAGCACTTGAGGTCAGGAGTTTGAGACCAGCCTGGCCAACATGGCGAAACTCTGTCTCTAATAAAAATACAAAATAATTAGCCAAGCGTGGAGGCATGTGCCATCACAGAGTGATACCCTGTCTTAAAAAAAAAAAAAAAGAAAGAAAAAGAAAAATTGAGCCAGCCACGGTGGTGCTCACCTGTAATCCCAGCTACTTGGGAGGCTGAGGTGGGAGGATCACTTGAACCTGGGAGGCGGAGGCTGCAATGAGCTGAGATCGCACCAATGTACTCCAGTCTGGGCAACAGAGCAACGCTTGGTCTCGAAAATAAATAAATCAATAAATATAGTTGTTAGATTGTATTTTTAAGGTGTTTATTTTTTATTGTTGTATTGTTATTTTAAGAAATATTTTCCATCCCTGGGTGATTGAATCCATAGATGCAGAACAAGCAGCTATGAGGGGCTGAGAGTGTGTGTGTGTGTGTGTGTGTGTGTGTGTATACATAATTTATTAATTACATATAAAAAAATCTCCTACTGGTTTTGTTTCTCTGGAGAACCCCCAACTAATACAGTACTAGTTATGCCTCTCCCAGCTAAGGTCCCAGGAAGTACAATTCTACCCATTACCCTTAAGACATCACAGATGATCGGTCAGTACTAATAAGTGCTGTACGGTTATTGGACAGATTCGAGTTAACGTATGGAGAACAGGCAGGGTGCAAAGTGCATCCTGGCGTAGACCCCAGCTCTGCCAGGCACTAGCTCTGTAGGCTCTTGAACAACTTCCTTACCTCCCTGTGCCTTGTTTTCTTTTTTTTTTTTTCCCGAGACGGAGTCTCTCTCTGTTGCCCAGGCTGGAGTGCAGTGGCAGGATCTTGGCTCACCACAACCTCCACCTCCCGGGTTTGAGCAATTCCCCTGCCTCAGCCTCCTGAGTAGCTGGGATTACAGTTGTGTGCCATCACGCCTGGCTAATTTTTGTATTTTTAGTAGAGACGGGGTTTCACTATGTTGGCCAGGCTGGTCTCGAACTCCTTACCTCACAATGCGCCCTCCTCGGCCTCCCAAAGTGCTGGGATTATAAGTGTGCGCCACCGCACCCGGCCCTTGGTTTTCTATTCTGTAAAACGGAAGTGACCCGGTGGAGATAAAGGGGTAAATGCAGAGAATGAACTCAGAACATGCCGGTCGCCTTGGCAGTGCTCGCTAAGTGTTTGCATTTTTTTCCCTCCCTGTAACCGCTAGACCACCACGGAACTTGCATTTTTTGCTACTGGATGACAGGTCTTCCTCCTCTCCCAGGGTGGCTGTCTGGCAGGTTTCCCCACTTCCTGCAGTCTTCTCTGCCCTAGGGGACCAGTAGCCATGTTTCTGCCCCAACAAGTAACCTCCTTGCCCTGTCCTGGCTCCCGGGATCCTTCCTCTGGTGGTCTGCACGGGCCACGGCGCTCAGGGTGCCGCAGCGGCAAAGTGGGCAGTGGTCGCCCGTGTTCCAGGGAAGGAGGAGGGTGAGGGCGCCTGACCTCAGAGACCCCCAGAAGGTATCTGTGGGGGCACAGATGACCAGGAGCCCTGGAGTTAGTTCCATTTGCTGGCTGTGACCTTGGAAAGCCAGCAATGATTCAGGACCGGCTGCACAATTTGTGCAAAATGAAAATGTGGGGCCTCTTGTCCAAAAAGTATTACGAATTTCAAAACAGCCACAGCAGAGCACCACGCCGAGCAAGGGCCCTTCTCAGTACAGACCCTGAGCCTCCCGAGAGTGTGAGTGCTGGGGAAATCTGGGGAAAGAGGCCAAGGCTGTCCAGAGCCGAGCCCCTCCCTGGGGATTGTGTCTGGGGCCCGCAAACTCCCCAGGCGGAGGGAAGAGCCAGTCCTCCGGAGACGCTGGGCACCGAGCCTCCTCCAGGCCCGGAGAACGAGCCTGTAGCCTGTCGCTGTTTGCTGAGGGCCCTGACCTCTGTGGGAACACACAGGAAGTGGTTCATTTTCTCCCCACCAGTGACTCACTCCCGTCAGCCCTGCCCTTTCCAATCTCTGCTTCCTGTCCCTTAGCCTCAGCTTGGGTAATTCTGGGCAATAGAAAGGCCAGTCTGGTTGAGTCTGAAACTGCCATCTCACATGCAATTTCGCACTCATCTTGTCCCCCACTGAAGGGCTGGCTTAGCCTTGGCCGGAGAGCCCTGGAGAAGGAGGGGAGAGGTCGGGGGGACTGGCTGCGGTCCTTCCTCTTTCTCCTGGCTTCTGGGGTTGGGAGGGGAAGAGGAGGAAGAGGAGGAGGAGGAGAAGGTCTGGAGTGTCGGCACAATAGTAATATCAATAACAATAGCAGCTAATATTTACTGCAAGTGGTTCTCTGGGTCTGGAGATGCTCCAAGCACTTTTCTGACCGTAAGTTATGGCATTAAGTTTTGTAACTAGGAGGTAGGTCCTGTAATAAGGTCCTGTTGTAATTCCCATTTTTCTCTGTTGAGGAAACAGGCTGAGACAAGGTAGGTAATGTGCCCAAGGCCACAAAATTAGGAGGTGGCAGAGTCAGGATTGGAACCCAAGGTCTTCCTGATTCCACATCCGTTGCCCAGTCACTCCACTGCCTCACTTTCGCAAGAGTCCATATAAAGTTCCTGAGGTTGGGGCCTGGGACCTGTGGCAAGGTAAGTGTCCAGGGATTCAGCTAAGATGAGGCTTACACTTTTTTTTTTTTTGATAGAGTCTCTCTCTGTTGCCCAGGCTGGAGTGCAGTGGCAAGATCTCAGCTCACTACAACCTCTGCCTCCTAGGTTCAAATGATTCTCCCACCTCAGCCTCCCGAGTAGTTGTGACTACAGGCATGTGCCACCACGCTTGGCTAATTTTTCTATTTTTTGGTAGAGACGGGGTTTCACTGTCGGCCAGGCTGGTCTCAAACTCCTGACCTCAAGTTATCACCCCGCCTCGGCCTCCTGAAGTGTTGGGATTACAGGCGTGAGCCACTGCGCCCGGC
Source organism: Homo sapiens (assembly GCF_000001405.40). NCBI lineage: Eukaryota > Metazoa > Chordata > Mammalia > Primates > Hominidae > Homo > Homo sapiens. The sequence continues at coordinate 2,864,814 of NC_000007.14, forward strand.
CTGAGATGAAGCTTATTGAGGGTACTGAGAAAGATTTTTGACTCAATTTCTGAACCTTGTGAATTCTCACAGCACTTAACAGTAAGGAATTATCTGATATTTACATGCTTGTTATCTGCTTTCCTCATTAGGATGCAAACTTCATAAAACCATTTTGTTCATCTCTTCCTGATACCTGGTATGCGCTCACTAAATGCTTGGGAACGTGAATGAATGAATGAAACGTCTTCTGACGTGATCCTTGTATCTACATCTCCTTGCTGCGGCCAAGTCTCAGGTGCACCCTGAGCTCAGTGGTGGTCTTGCCTTTGCCCAGAGTGGGATGGGGTCCAGGTGGGGTGTCCCAAGCAGCCTGAAGAACATGACTCGAAATTCCCATCTGTGACCACCAGGTGTCGCTCATGCCACACAAGGAAACCCATAGATGGCCTCTGCTGAATTAGGGGTGCAGCGGGTGGGGAAATCTCATCTGTGACCACAGATGAGTTATCCAGGCTGCCATTTGTTCTCATTAGGTCCTGGATTTCCTCCTCAGAACCAGACAGATGTGATCAGCATTGTGGGCCGAGGGCCGGCACCTCCCCACCTCCCCGGCTATGGGTAGCTGTAGGGTGTCAGGGAGGGGATGCTGGGGTTCAGGCCCCGGATTCCATCCAGCTGCAGCCGTGTCACTGCCACTCCTCCTGCCCCCAAGCTTTGGCCTTGGCTGCCCAGGTAAGGCTGGCCCGGCACAGCCATTCATCAGTGTCAGCCGCCAGATGCCCCTCACAGGGCTCCCGTCCTCCGGGAACACTCCCAGGCCCCTAGCAACAAACTCAGCTTCCTGCCCTCATGGCACCGGCATCTTCCCCACTCCTTTTGCCGGGGTCTAAGTTTGGGGTGCATGCTTCCAGCCCCAGGAGCCCCCTCAATATCACACTGAGGTTGACTTGGCCATTTCTGCTTTCAGCCAACATAACCGGGTTCTAGAAGCTTCCTGACCGCTGTGGGAGGGTCACTTGGCCAGCAGGCAAGCGTTTCTTATTCCATGTACTTGAGTGAAGCAAAACCAGGGCTGTGTTTTTTTCCTTTTTTTTTTCTTTCTTTTTTTTTTTGAAACCAAGTCTCTCTGTCGCCCAGGCTGGAGATAACAGGTGCCCACCACCACGCTCAGCTAATTTTTGTATTTTTAGTAGAGATAAGGTTTCACCATGTTGGTAAGGCTGGTCTTGAACTGCTGATCTCAAGTGAACCACATGCCTTGGCCTCCCAAAGTGCTGGGATTACAGGTGTGAGCCACCACGCCTGGCCCTTTTTTCTTTTATTTGAGACAGGGTCTCGCTTTGTTGCCCAGGCTGGAGTGCAGTGGTGGGATCACAGCTCATTGCAGCCTCAACCTCCAGGGCGCAAGCGGTCCTCTCACCTCAGCCTCTTGAGTAGCTGGGACCAGAGGTGCTTGACACCACACCTGACTCATTAATTTTTTATATTTTTTGTAGAGACGGGGTTTTGCCATATTGCTCAGGCTGGTCTTGAACTCCTGAGCTCAAAGGATCCTCCTACCTTAGCCTCCCAAAGTGCTGGGATTACAGGTATGAGCCACTGTACCCGGCTAGGACTGTGTTTTTCTGTGACCCAACCTAATCGTTATTTCCAGCCCCTTTTCAGACTGATGATGGAAAATGTCATCTTGGCCAATTCCAGATGAACTTGGTCATTTAAGCTCAATTCTGAGCATTCCTTTGCTCACCTGGCGTGGCAGGTATGCTCTAGGGGGTGGTATAAACTTATGGCCCTGGGGAGGCTCCAGTTCCCCCTCCAACACAGATGTCTCCTGGAGGGACATTGTCATGTGCCATCCCCCACCCTCCATGCTGGTTATCCCAGAGGTGCCTGGTTCTCTGTGGAGGGCATTTTCTCTGCATCTTGCTAGCAGTCCCTGACTAATTTCCCGGCCTCACATCCTCCCGTGCTCCCATGGGGGCCATGGGAGACTTGGGGACCGTCTTTCTTGGACCCCTGCCAGGTGCCTTCTGTGTTAGTGAGATGTGCCCTTCCCTGGGTGGAAGGTTGACTTCCCATTCCCTGGGTTGGCTTCCCATTTCCCTGGGTGCCATCTGTGCCAGTTTGTTCTTGCATTGCTATAAAGGAGTACCTGAGACTGGGTAATTGATAAAGAAAAGGGGTTTAATTGGCTCACAGTTCTGCAGGCTGTATAGGAAGTGCGGTGCTGCCTTCTGCTTCTAGTGAGGTCTCCGGAAGCTTCCAATCATGGCGGAAGGTACAGGCGGCAGGAGTGAGAGAGAGAAGGGGGAGGCCCCAGACTCTTAAACGACCAGAGCTCTTAAACCCAGATTCTTAAACAACCAGATCTCATGTAAACTGAGCAAAAACTCACTCATCACCAAGCGAATGTGGCTAAGCCACTCGTGAGGGGTCTGCCTGCCGTGATCCAACACCTCCCACCAGGCCCTGCCTCCAACACTGGGGATCACATTCCAACATGAGATTTGGAGGGACACACATCCAAACCATATCACCACCTATCTCCAGGTATCCAGCACATGTGGGCTTCCTCCTCCCCTGCAGCCTGGGGGTGGGGTACTACATTTTCCTTTATAACATAGTGGTCACAATTTTGCGTTCTTTTCTTCCTGTTAAATGCCTCTCTCTCTCTCTCTCTCTCTCTCTATATATATATATATATAGATAGATAGATAGATAGATATTTTTTTTTTTAGATGGAGTCTCGCTCTGTTGCCCAGGTTGGAGTACAGTGGTGTGATCTCAGCTCACTGCAATCTTCGCCTCCCGGGTTCAAGCAATTCTCCTGCCTCAGCCTCCCAAGTAGCTGGGATTACAGGCAAGCACCACCATGCACAGCTAATTTTTGTATTTTTAGTAGAGACGGGGTTTCACCATGTTGGCCAGGCTGGTTTCAAACTCCTGAGCTTAGGTGATCCACTTGCGTCAGACTCCCAAAGTGCTGGGATTAAAGGTGTGAGCCACTGTGCCCAGCCTATAAATATTCATATATATACACACACACACACACACACACACACATATATATGTATATACATGTAAAATTTTTTTTTTGAGACAGAATCTTGCTCTGTTGCCCAGGCTGGAGTGCAGTGGTGCAATCCCAGCTAACTGCTTTCTGTGTTCAAGCGATTCTCCCGCCTCAGCCTCCTGAATAGCTAGGATTACAGGCATGTGCCACCATACCATGCTAATTTTTGTATTTTTAGTAGAGGAGGGGTTTTGCCATGTGGGCCAGGCTGGTCTGGAACAGTTGACTTCAGGCGATCCACCTGCCTTGGCCTCCCACAGTGCTGAGATTACAGGTGTGAGCCACTGCGACCAGCCTAATTTTTGTATTTTCAGCAGAGACAGGGTTTCACCATATTGGCCAGGCTTGTCTCAAACTCCTAACCTCAAGTGATCTGCCCGCCTTGGCCTCCCAAAATGCTGGGATTACAGGTGTGAGCCACTGTGCTGGCCTATTTATATTTTTAATTAAAAAAATTTTTTTGAAACAGGATCTCACTCTGTCATCCAGGGTGGAGTACAGTGGCGCAGTCACAGCTCACTGCAGCCTCTACCTCCTGGGCTCAAGTGATCCACCCACCTCAGCCTCCCAAGTGGCTGGGACTACAGGTGTTCACCACCACACCTGGCTAATTTTATTTTGACTTTTGTAGAGATGGGGGTCTCACTTTGTTGCCCAGGTTGATCTTGAACTCCTGGGCTCAAGTGATCCTCCTGCCTTGGCTTCTCAAACTGTTGGGATTACAGGTGTGAGCCACTGTGCCCAGCTATTTATATTACTTTAAATGGACAAATAGCAATTGATATGTTTATCATGTACAACACAATGTTTTGAAATACGCATACCTTGTAGAATGGTTCAATCAAGCAAATTAACATATGCATTCCTCCCATGCTTATTATTTTTTGTAGTGAGAACACTTAAAATCTGTCTACATGGTGAAACCTCATCTCTATTAAAAATAAAATACTCGATTGCATTTTCAAAATACAAGATGTCTCGATTTAAATAAGGGTTAAATCTTGTTTTCTCCACCTTATTTCCTAGTTCGCTAGCAAATGCTGCATTTGTTAATTAATTTAGGGCAATTCTTTCTTTCTGTAATTGACAAATAATAATTACGTCTATTTAAGGGGCACCGTGTGATGCTTCGATCCATGTATACGTCGTAGAATGATTAAACGCAGCGAATTAACATATCATAACCCTTAAAGCAGAGGCTTCCAGTTTCCTCTAGGGGATTCCCCATGTTCCATTCCAGTTCTGGTGGGGCCTTTCCAAGCCATACACAAACACATACACACGCGGATGTACCCCATGGAGTCACATACGAACGCACGTACACCACAGCCACGCATAGTCACAGGAGCATTGCAGGCACGCACGTGCACACACCCACCCACACACCCACCCACACACCCACCCAGGGGCATGGTCCTGTAACCCGGACCTCTTCACATCTTTGGCAACAGTAACGTGGCCCAAGGGGTAGGCCTATGTATTAGTCTGTTTTCACCCTGCTATAAAGAACTGCCTGAGACTGGGTGATTTATAAAGGAAAAGAGGTTGAATTGACTCACAGTTCAGCATGGCTGGGAGGCCTCAAGAAACTTACAATCATGATGGAAGGTGAAGAGGAAGCAAGGACCTTCTTCATAAAGTGGCAGGAGGGTGAAGTGCTGAGTGAAGCGGGAAGAGCCCCTTGTAAAACCATCAGATCTCCTGAAAACTCAGCCACTCTCACGAGAACAGCTTGGGGGAAATCTATCCCCGTGACTCAATGACCTCCACTTGGTCTCTCCCATGACTCAGTGGAGATTATGGGGATTACAGTTCAAGATGAGATTTGGGGCCGGGTGCGGTGGTTCACACCTGTAATCCCAGCACTTTGGGAGGCCGAAGTGGGCAGATCACTTGAGGTCAGGAGTTCGAGACCAGCCTGGCCAACATGGCGAAACCTTGTCTCTACTAAAAATACAAAAATTAGCCAGAAGTGATGGTGCGTGCCTGTAGTCCCAGCTACGTGGGAGGCTGTGGCAGGAGAATCGCTTGAACCCGAGAGGCAGAGGCTGCAGTGAGCCGAGATCACACCAGCCTGGGTGACAGAGCCAGACTCAGTCTCAAAGGAAAAAAAAAAAAGATGAGATTTGGGTGAGGCGCAAAGCCTCACCATATCAGTCTCCACCCAGGAGAGTCCACCCTGCCTGGAGGAGAAAGAGGGCGCTGGGCTGTGGTGGCCCCGTGTGTCCCAGTGGAGGGGTCTGTCTGCCATGGGCAGGAGTGCGCCCCCCCTGCACAGAGGGCTACAGCTCAGAGGCGAGGCGGGGATCGGACCTAGTGAGAGCTGAGCGCCTGGTCTGGGCCCTGTTGGGCTTGGTGAGCCACTCTGTGGCTTTTAGTGATACCTGAGCCAGCAGACCTTACCTCTGTGCGCCAGGGGTGCTTTGTGGGGTCCGATGCTGTTCACACCCTGCGTCCTCCCGTCCTGTCCGGGTCCCCCTTTCCCACGTGCACAAGGAGTGGCTGACGGTCTCCCAGGACTCCCCCACCACCCCCTACACACTCCACTTCAACTCTGCAAAGGCAGCACCCTTCCCTGGAGTGTGAGACCCTCCCTGCCTGCCCCTCTCTGCCTGAGCAGGACAGGAAGCTATTGAGCCCCTGTGAAGCTCTAGGCCAGGTGCCTGGAGTCAGCGATGAGTAAGAGGAGGCAGGGCCTGCAGCCCTCGGAGGCCCAGGACTTTAGGGAACTCATTAGAGAGACTCATTTCGTTACCTGTGTCACTTTGGTCATCTGGGAGGCAGACGTCAAGACAGAAGAAATGAGCAAGAGATTGATGAAACGCAATGCCCAAGCAGGATACAGGGAGAGGATGCAGGGTGGGCGGGGACCAACTTCCAACCGTGACGCAGGGCTTGTGTTTGCCAGAGGAGAAGAGGAAGGAAGGAGGGTTAAGTGGGAGGAGCCCCAGGCTGCAGTGCAGCTGTGAGAAAGTCCTCTCCAGGCCCACGGGGAGCTCTAGCAAGGTCCCGGGTGGGGCAGGAGCTGCCAGGCCCCAGGTGCTACTGCATTCCTGTGGAGGGTGACTCTGGGAGGGAAAGCAGAGCCGTGCACCTCCAGGGCCACCCCGACGGTGACACAAAGGCTGATGTGACACATGCATCAAAGCACTGACCAAATGCCGGGGCCGGTGGCTCACGCCTGTAATTCCAACACTTTGGGAGGCTGAGGCGGGTGGATCACCTGAGGTCAGGAGTTTGAGACCAGCGTGGCCAACATGGTGAAACCCCATCTCTACTAAAAATACACAAATTAGCAGGGCGTGGTGGTGCCTGCCTGCAGCCCCAGCCACGGGGAAGGCTGAGGCAGGAGGATCGCTTGGACCTGGGAGGCGGAGGTTGCAGTGAGATGAGATCGCACCACTGCACTCCATCCTAGGCAATGGACCGACCAAGGGACTGGGGTCAGGGAGCACCGACCAAGGGACTGGGGTCAGGGAGGCTTCCTGGAGAGGGCTGACACCTGAGACATTTCCAGTGTAAAGGAGATGGGGGCTGAGTGTCAGAGGCCAGGGCTTATGCAGGGCCCCGAGGTGGATCATCTCTCTGGGACTGGATGAGGACAGCATCACAGGCGCAAGTTGAGGGCAGGACTCATGGCTTGCGGGCGCAGTGAACGTGACATGGGCCAGGCTTGCAGAGCCCGAGGGTTGTATTTGGGACTCTGGTCCTGTGTCCCAGCCCACTTTGATTCCAGTGGGCAGACCAGCTCAACCCAAACCCCTGCCACTGGCTGAACGCTCCCTGGGGCCCTGGGTCTACCACCTGCCTTGGGAATGCTGCCTGAGCTCTCTCTCTCTGGCATTCTGACCACTCCTGCCAGATACAGCTCGATCTGTGCCTTTGTTCTAGCACTGATTTTTGTTCCTGCATGGAGAGCAGGCTTGCCTGTCTCCACAGTTAGGCTGGGGCCATGGTGGGAGGGGATCTGCTTATTCATTGCCTGATTATTCATTTTGAGGTCTGGTAGAGTGGGATTCTCAGGGAATGGGTGCCTGCCCCAGGATGAGGTTCAAGAACCTTCTCTCCAGTGCAAGGTTTGGAGAAGGTCCAGGTGAGCAGGGGTCTGGGGTCTGAGTCCAGAGTGACCCTAAGCCAGCAGCATCCCCCAAGAGCTTATTAGAAACACAGATACTCAGGCCTCAAGCCCAGACCTGTAGAATCAAAATATACCTGGAGGTAGAGTCCAAGAATCCGCATGTTATGAACTTTCCTGATGATTCTTACACCCATCCAAGTTTGAGAAACACCAGTGGTCCAAGTTTGAGAAACACCAGTGGTCCAAGTTTGAGAAACACCACCGGTCTAGTGCAATCTCCTCACTCCACATGGGGTGGCGGTACTTGGGCTGAGGCTCACTCTGAGTCCCACACCCAGACGGTGGCTGAATGCAGACAGAGAGCACATCAGGCCTCTGGGCTGTGAGGAACACAGCCAGAGACTTCAGTAAAAAACGCATCTGGGGGACTAAACCTATGATTTGTGCAAAAACACCTGGGTGATTTTCATCATGAAATAGAGCTCATCCTTCTGGAAAAACAATCCACCCATCTGTTCGCAGTCAGAGGAGGATGTTCACGTAACACCAGATGCCGTGTTGGGTGCCATGGTAACAGCACGCTTCCGGCAAGATGGTCCTGCCCTGCACACAAATCCTGAAACAGACAAAAAATAATTTAAAAAAAAGCCATGTAAGTTGCCCATGCTCAGGCCTTGTTCTTGCTCTCCCCAGGATGTGTCCTTCCTCTCCTGTTTGTCAGACTCCTACTCACCCTTTGAAACCCAGCCCAGATGTTCCTTCCTTCCCATTTGCATGCATCAACTTCCTCACCCCATCCTTTTTTTTTTCTTTCTTTTTTGAGATGTTGTTTCGCTCTTGTTGCCCAGGCTGGAGTACAATGGCGCGATCTCGGCTCACTGCAACCTCTGCCTCCTGGGTTCAAGCAATTCTCCTGCCTCAGCCTCCCAAGTAGCTGGGATTACAGGCATGTGCCACCACGCCCGGGTAATTTTGTATTTTTATTAGAGTTGGGGTTTCACCATGTTGGTCAGGCTGGTCTCGAGCTCCTGACCTCAGATGATCCACCTACCTCGGCCTCCCAAAGTGCTGGGATTACAGGCGTGGGCCACCGCGCCCGGCCCACCCCATCCTTAAGTGTTCAGGACACTTGGCCTGTACCTTTGCTCTGGTGCTTATTTTTGTTTCTGCATGGAGGGCAGGCTCACCTGTCTCCCCAGTTAGGCTCTGGCCATGGCGAGAAGAGGTCTGATTATTCATCGCCTGATTATTCATTGTGAGGTCCAGTATAGCAAGGTTCTGAGGATATGTCAGCAGGGACTGAGGCTGAGAGACGCTGATCACAGTTCCGTCAGGGATGACCTCCTCTGTCCTGGCAAGAGGCCAGACTGGAGCGACACTTCAGTAGAGAGAAGCCAGGGCTTTCTTCCCGCAAAGTCAATGATGTCTGGTCTCAACTGTCGGAAACTCGGTCAGCAAGTTTATGCTGTGATGAGAACTGGAGCACCAAACTCTGTGATGTGCATATGTTGTGGGCAGTGGCGGGTGCTGTTATCATTCATGACTGTTCCCTTCCCTGCACCTCGAGTTTGGGCTTTGCTGAGAGATTGCTTTGGGCAGTGGGCTGTTGAGGGGGATGTAGCAGGAGCAGAGGCTTGACACGCACTTCTTAATGGGGCTTGCCTTCTTGCCCACCTCTTTTTCGCCATGAGAAGAACAGCCCTGGGCTAGCCTGCCAGGCCACAGGGCTGAGCCTCACCTGCAGTTTGGAGCCAAGCCCAGGGAGTCCAGTCTAAGTCATCAGGATGCAAGAAATACATACTGTTTTCTGCAGCTGAGGTTTTCGCGGCTGTTATGCAGCCAAAGCTGACTCATGTACAGGATCTAGACTGGCCTATGGAATTAGAAAATCCTTTCTGTTGTTTTCCTGTTTGCTCCTCCTGGCTTTAGCCACAGCCCTCTGATTTGCATATGGCCCAGGAGTCTCCTGGGAAGAAATTTAAACCCCATGTCCAACATGGTTTTAAACATGTGCAGATTGTCAGATGCGGTGGAGAGGTACGGGCCATGGAAGACAAGTGTAGGGAGGAGAAAAAAATCCCTCCACAACAACAACAACAAAAAAGAACTCACCATAACTAAGAGAAGAGTTGGGCATCATGGGAAAACTCAGGAAGAGCCTGCGGGAGATGAAACAATGTTTTTCATAATGACGGTAGATTGAAGTAGATTTTATTCTCCTCCATCCTTGCTTTATCTACTCTGTTCTGTGTGGGGGTAACATACAGGTCCTTTTGCTTTCTTCGGGGATGATACAGCCACCTGGCCAAAACTGATCAAACCCCTGCTTCTGTGGGAGGAAGACCCCCAAGAACCATCAGAGACCAAAGGCAGGTGGATGAGAATGTTGGGTGGGGACTTGGGAGGCCCCAAATGGTGATGTGTTGATGAGGGCAACCTGCCTGCCAGTCATCCTTTAGGGACTCAGAGGACCACAGGAGAAGGGAGGGTCAAAGTCACTTGGCTGTGTGAGCTTTTGATGCAAGCTTTCCTGGGCAGGCTGTCAACACAACTGCATATCTGTTCAGGCCACAACACTTTCATTCACAGTGACCATTTGTTTTGTTTTGTTTTGTGTTTTGCTTTTTGAGAAAGTCTCATTCTGACACCCAGGCTGGAGTGCAGTGGCACCATCGTGGCTCACTGCAGCCTCAAACTCCTGGGGCTCAAGTGATCCTCCTGCCTCAGCTTCCTGAGTAGCTGGGACCACAAGCTCACACCAGCAGCCCTGTCTAACTTTTAAATTTTTGTAGAGATGGGGTCTCCCTGTGTTGCCCAGCTGGTCTCAAACTCCTGGCCTCAAGTGATCCTCCCACTTTGGCCTCCCAAAGTGCTGGATTACAGGCGTGAGCCACTGCACCCGCCGACACAGCAACCTTCTCCTGTTGGAGTCCTTAATGTCCCACTTACAGATGATGAGGCAGGGGTGGGGTGTGGTGTGGGATTTGCCCACGGTACCACACCTGGGCATGGTGAGGCTGGACCTGGAGCAGGACTTTCAGATTGTGAGTCCAATGTGCTCCTTGACTCTCAGACAAGGACACAGGTTCAGGTGGTTTATTTGGGAGGTGACCCCAGGAACACCATAAAGACGTGAGAGCTGAGACAGGGCGGGAGGAAGGCTATTAAGGGTAAGACATGGAAGGCATGTGAACTTCCTTTTACTGCTGTAACAAATCACAACGGAGTGACTGAAAACAACCATAGTTTGTTTTCTTACTTTTCTAAAGGCCAGAAGCCCAAATTCAAGGTGTCTGCAGGCCCTTGTCCTCCTGGAAGCTCTAGGGGGATCCGTCCTGTCTCTTCCTGCTTCTGGAAGCTCCCAGCATTCCTTGGTTTGTGAATGCCTCGCTCCAATCTCTGCCCCCGTCATCACGCGACCTTCTTCCCCATGCATGGGTGCGACTGTGTCTTCACAGGATGTTCTCTCTGTGTGTCTGGGTCTAAATTTTCATCTTCATCTTCTTTTTTTTGAGACACAGTCTTACTCTGTCACCCAGGCTGGAGTGCAGTGATGCAATCTCGGCTGACCTCCCAGGATCACCTCCACCTCCCAGGATCAAGCGATTCTCCTGCCTCAGCCTCCTGAGTAGCTGGGATTACAAGCATGTGCCACCATGTCTGGCTAATTTTTATATTTTTAGTAGAGACAGGGTTTCACCATGTTGGTCAGGCTGGTCTCAAACTCCTGGCCTCAAGTGATCCGCCTGCCTCGGCCTCCCAAAGTGCTGGGATTACAGGCGTGAGCCACTGTGCCCGGTCAAGTTCCTTCTTCTGATAAGGACTCCATTCACCGGGCTAGGGCCCTTCCTACTCCAGTGTATCCTCATCTAACTAATTACATCTGCAATGATGCTATTTCCAAATAAAGTGATGTTTGCAGTTACCAATGGTTAGGACTTGCGCATATCTTTTGGGGAATATAATTCAACTCACAAGAGAAGGTTGTAGCTGCAGGCACTTGGGGCTCAGTCTTGGTGGCACCCCTCCCTCCAAGAGGCTGTGTGGAATGTGCTTGAGAATTGCCCCCGTGAGGCGTGAGGAGCTGCGGCATTGACCCGCCCCCTCCTGCCTGGAGGTGTCTCGGAGCCCTGGGATTTTCCTCCCAATGTGGCATTCACAGGCATCACATCACTATCTGGCCATCAGCCACGGTGGGAGTATTGACACCACAGACATCAGCGGATGTTACAAATCAGGCTTCTTTTTCCCCGTGAATCAGCCTCCTGTACCACTCCGGCCCCTCCCTGGTGCAGGAGCAGTGCAGTGAGCTGATTCATGCGGAGAAAGATTGGTCTGGCCTGCCCCGTGAACGGTCTGTGTGTGGTCCTGGCCTGAGGACACCCCAGCGGGCTCATGTGGGGACTGCCTGCAGGTAACCTCTAGACTTGGCTGAGCACCAAGAGTGTTGGCCATAGGGGACCAGGCAGGTGGACGCCTGGGGGCAGCTGCTGGCTTCCCAGCGGGGCGCTGCCTGAGGCCCGGTTTGCCCAGAGAAGTGAGCAGCCAGCTGTGGCCCGGCAGAGTCCCAGGCCGTGCTGACAGGTGTGGCCAAAGGGCAAAGGGTGTTATTATAAAAGAGAATTTACGGCAGCGGCAGCTTGGGCTGGCTGAGCCCACGGGCAGCAGGAGGATGGAGTGGGGCTGGCAGGATGCTGGCAGGATGAAGGATCTGCATTTCATTGAGACAGTGGGTTGGAGTCCACGCGGCTGAGATTAAATAGCCCGTCCCCGGAATGCAGAGAGCCAGAGATAAATCAGACTTTACTGCAAGTGGGGTGGCAGGGAGTTAATTAGGAAAGAGAAAAAAAAATACATTTCAACTCACAAAGAAGCCCAGTGAGCCAGCAGAGAATAGCCCGGCCCCTCCAGGGGTCACTTTGGGGAGGGGCTGGCATCCCTGGTCCCACCAAAGGGCACACAGGACTGGGAAGGATGTCACCTTGGAAGTGTCAGGGCCCAGTGCAAGAGGGTGAGAATGCTGGCTGCCCCGTGGAGCTGTGCCCGGGCTGTGCCCCGGCTGGTCTTGGCCTGGGCCCTGCCAGTGAGGTGAGCTGGGTCCTGAACTTCCAGGTTGGGGACCAGGTCCTGGAATTGCATCCTGGTGCAGGAGCAGGCATCGCAGGTCACATTCAATGAGTGCTCAGAAATACTCACGGAGGACCGGGCGCGGTGGCTCACGCCTGTAATCCCAGCACTATGGGAAGTTGAGGTGAGTGGATCACTTGAGGTCAGGAGTTCCAGACCAGCCTGGCCAACATGGTGAAACCCCATCTCTACCAAAACCAGAAAAATTAGCTGGGTGTGGTGGTGGGCACCTGTAATCCCACCTACTTGGGAGGCTGAGTGGGGAGGATTGCTTGAGTCCAGGAGGCAGAGGTTGCAGTGAGCCAAGTCATACCACTGCACTCCAGCATGGGAGACAGAGCGAGACTCCATCTCAATAATAACAATAAAAAAAAAAAGAAATACTCACGGAGGGAGCCCTTTACCCTAAGCCCCCCAGGTTCACCTCTTGCCATGCCCCACCCAGCCAATTGACCCCCAGCACCTTCCTTTTTCGTCTCCTCTCTGCCTCTTGCCTTTACTTGCGAGGGGACCCCTGTATGAACATCTGCCTCACTTTCTCCCAGCCATCGTTCAAAGTCCAGTTCTATTTATTTTCTTTCTTTTTTATTTTCTTACAAGACAGGGTCTTGCTCTGTTGCCCAGGCTAGAGTGCAGTGGTGCAATCATAGCTCATTGTAGCCTGGAATTCCTGAGCTCAAGTGATCCTCCCACCTCAGCCTCTTGAGTAGCTGGGACTACAGGCACGTGCCACCATGTCCGCCCGCATAATCTTTTTTTTTCTTTCTTTTTTTTTGAGACAGAGTTTTGCTCTGTTGCCCAGGCTGGAGTGCAGTGGCACGATCTCGGCTCACTGCAGCCTCTGCCTCCCAGGTTCAAGCGATTATCCTGCCTCAGCCTCCCAAGTAGCTGGGATTACAGGAGCATGCTACCACACCTGGCTAATTTTTTTGTATTTTTAGTAGAGACAGGAATTCACCATGTTGGCCAAGCTGGTGTCGAACTCCTGACCTCAAGTGATCCACCTGCCTGGGCCTCCCAAAGTGCTAGGATTACAGGCGTGAACCACCATGCCCAGTCCCGGCTAACGTTTTCGTATTTTTGTAGAGATGGGGTTTCACCATGTTGCCCAGGCTTGTCTCAAACTCCTGGCCTCAGGCGATCCTCCTGCCTCGGCCTCCCGAAGTGCTGGGATTACTGATGTGAACCACTGCACCCGAACTCTATTTCCAACTTTTATTTAATTCATGCATTCATTCCACATCACTTACTGAACTCCTACTCTCTGCTGGGCCCTGCTGGAGGATCTATACCCAAGACCAGCCTCTGCTCTTCATGAATTTACAGCTTAGTGCTGTCCAGGGTAGGGGTACAGATGTGTGAACAGGTGGTCCTAGGATGAGTGGGGGATGTTGTTCATGGAGGAAGTACGGGGTTTTGGGCACCAGAAGATGGTGATCTGGCCTTTTTTTGTGGTGGGGGTGGGTGCAGTAAAAAATGTTCTGAAGTCAAAGTTGCTTAGAACATCAAGGCACACAGCCTGGCTGTGGGTCCCTGCAATGCCCTGGGGCAGCTGTCCTTCGTTTTTTTCCTTTTTTTCTTTTTTTCTTTTTTTTGTTGAGACGGAGTCTCACTCTTGTCACCTAGGCTGGAGTGCAATGGTGCAATCTTGGTTCACTGCAACCTCTATCTCCCAGGTTTAAGCTTCTCCTGCCTCAGCCTCCTGAGTAGCTGGGATTACAGGCGCCCATTACCATGCCTGGCTAATTTTTGTACTTTTAGTAGAGATGGGGTTTTACCATGTTGGCCAGGCTGGTCTCGAACTCCTGACCTCAGGTGATCTGCCCGCCTCGGCCTCCGGAAGTGCTGGGATTACAAGCATGAGTCACCGCACCCGGCCGGTCCATTGCTTTTTAGTGCCCCCTCTTGATGTGGACCGGTCTGTGAAAGAGGAGCCAGCACTAGAGGGTCCCTCGTGGCCAATTCCACCTTGATCTGGGAAGCAACACAGGCTGCAGCTGGCCTCTTCAAAGGGGCAGGAAGTGTAAGCTGCCTGTGTTTCCGGGAGCGGGGCCCCTAGTTAGATGTGCACGGGCAAACGCTACCATGGCTGAGTTTGAAAGGAGTAGGAACTGGCCTGACATGGGAGAGGGGTGGCCCATCAGAGGCAGGGAAGCAGGGTAGCAGAGTGCTCATTGTCACTGGAATGTGTGTGTGTGTGTGGACGCACGTGTGCATCCGTGTGACTTGAGTGTGTTTGCACATGTATATGTGTGGCTGTGTGCATGCCAGAGTGAAGCACAGGTGTGTAGTCCATGGATATGTGTGTCATGGGAGTGTGCATGTATCTGTGCCTGACTCGAGTGCATTTGCACGTGCATGTGTGTGTGAACGTGTGTGTGCATGTGGACATATGTGACCATGTGCATGTGTGCATGCCTGTGAGCAGCACATATGTGTATATGCACGTGTGTGTGAAAGTGCATGTGTGTATCTGTGCATAACTCGAGTGCATTTGCACATGCACATGTGTGTATGTCTGTGCATATGGGCATATGTGGTGTGTGCATGTGTTCATGCCTGTGTGCAGCACTTATGTGTATATGAACATATGTGTGAGTGTGCGTGTGTGTATCTGTGCATGACTGGAGTGCATTTGCATGTGCACGCGCATGTGTGTGAATGTGTATGTGCATGTGGACATATGTGACCATGTGCATGTATGCATGCCTGTGTGCAGCACACAAGTCTAATTGTACATGTCTATGTGTGCCTGTGAGTGTGCATGTATCTGTGCATGACTTGAGTGCATTTGCATGTGCATATGTATGTGTGTGTGCCTATGGGCATATGTGGTATGTGCATGTGTTCATGCTTGTGTGTAGCACATATGTGTATATGAACATGTGTGTGCGTGCATGAGTGTATCTGTGCATGAGTGCATTTGCACGTGCATGTGTGTGAATGTGTGTGTGCATGTGGACATATGTGGCCATGTGCATGTGTGCATGCCTGTGTGCAGCACACAAGTCTACTTGTGCATGTCTATGTGTGTCTGTGAGTGTGCATGTGTGTATCTGTGCATGACAAGTGCATTTGCACAAGTGCACGTTTGCGTGCATGTGCGTGTGCGTATGTGTGTCTCTGTGTGAATGTGTGCATACATGTGGGCATATGCATGTGTGCAGCACATGTGTATTTGTACATGTACACGTGTGAACATGTGTGCATGCATGCATTCGTGTGTGTGTGTGTGTAGGGATAAGGTGGTAAAGCCAGCACGGGAAGCAGAGACCAGACTGTGCAGAGTGTTGGAAACCGGGCTACAGAGGGCAGATTCTGCCAGAAGGCAGCAGGGAGCCCTGGACATTTCCTGTCCATATTTGCATATAGAAAGACCCCTCTGGGAACAGAGAGGAGAGTGGGTTAGAGGGAACCAGAGTGGACAGGAGACCCTGGCTGTATCCAGTGGGAGGTGATGGTGGCCTGGAATTGGGGGCAGGGCGATGATGGAGAGAAAGGGGCTGTGAGATGCGTCCAGGCAGGAGGCTGGCCAGGGTCCTCCCCCAAGTGGCCCCCGCCCCTCAGTTTCTCCAGCTGGGCCTCTGCCCAGGCTGGCATAAGCCTGCCCTGGGTCCCCCTCGGACTCTCCCACACACGTTGATCCTGCTTCTCTTCCGAGCCCATGAGGCAGGGATGGTGTCTGAAAATTGCTTGTAGCCCTCGGGGATACAAAAGAGGCAAAAATCGATACCAGCACGCAAAAAAGAAAAATGCTAAATGGAAGGGAACCGCCTTCTGTTGATGCTTATGGGGGGGCAGATGCTTGGTTCAGCCCCATTTCACAGAGGCTGCGGGCAGCAGTGGAGGCCCAGCCCCACCAGCCGGAGCCAGAAACAGCTCAGGATCCAAAGCATCTCTGAAAGAGGGTGGGAGGTGCTGCCTTGGGGCTGCACTTGGGACAAGTCCCAGCTTCTCCTGGCCTTGCCCTCCTCTCCACCCCGAAGCCCCTCCCACAAGGCTGCCGAGGAGGTCAGAGATTGGGGAGTCCGGGCTGGCTGCCCCAGCCAGTGGGAGGTCAGATCCTGCATGAAGCTGGGAGTGGCGGGCAGACAGCCCACCCTCCTACCCGCAGACCAGAGGTAAACATCTGATGCCCAGACGGAGGTGCAGAAACTTCTAGATGCAGCCAGCTGCTCTGCAGTGGGGAGAAATATAGATCTTGAAAAAAAAATCCTATGGTTCCCAGAGGTAACAGCGTGGATGCCACATTTGCAGGCGTTTCTGTGCACACGCAGCCTGCGCAGTTACCATCTGAGCTTCCCACGCGGACCGCCCATACTGTTACCCTCAGCTGCCTCCTCGCGCCAGTGCCTCCTGAACATGTCGGGATCCATGGGGGCTGCTTTGCTGTTTTTCACCAGCCCAGAATTCCCTGGGTCCCATATCCAGCTGCTCTGTGGCCTATTGGTGGTCATTTGTCCTTTTTTTCTTTTCTTTTTCTTTTTCTTGAGATGGAGTTTTACTCTGTTGCCCAGGCTGGAGTGCAGTGGCGCGATCTTGGCTCATTGCAAACTCCACCTTCCAGATTCAAGCGATTCTCCTGCCTCAGCCTCCCAAATAGGTAGCTGAGGCTCGCCACCACGCCCAGATAATTTTTGTATTTTGAGTAGGGACAGGGTTTCCCCATATTGGCCGGGCTGGTCTCGAACTTCTAACCTCAGGTGATCCGCCTATCTCGGCCTCCCAAAGTGTTGGGATTACAGGCGTGAGCCACCAGGCCCCCTTTTTTTTTTTTTTTTTTTTTTTTTCTGATGTTGGGCTATTTTAAGCCACGCTGCAGGGGGTACCCATGGGCACCATCGGTGTGTCCTGTGGGGAGTATTTCTAGGTGCAGAGTGTTAGAGTCACTCACTGGGTCCTGAGATGACCACTCCGTGCCTCAGTTTGCTGATCTGTGAGATGGATTCTAGCCCTTCCTCCTTTATAGGATTAAAGGAGGGAGAGTGCGAGATGTGGGATGAGTTCTCTGATTTCCATGTCCCGCCTGGGTGTGGGTGGCTCAGGGCATGGGCCCAGAACCCGGCCTCTGCACCCCAGCCTGGCCAACCAGAGGACAATGCCCGGCTTGGGAGAACAACCGGCCCTTGCTGTCAAGGCGTGAGGATTAGATGCAGAATAATGCAGTCCCCGATCAAACCTGCAGCTGTAACTCAGGCCCCAGACGCTGCCAGTGCCATAAATTTGGGGGGAAAGTGCAGCTCTAGCAGTTTGCGAACAAGAGCGGGGGAGGCTGAGTGAATTACAGCCCAGAGGAAGCGAAGGCCCCCTGCCTGGCATTGTTAGCCCCAGCCAGGGACTGATTGCTCACTGCCTTTAATGAAATTGAATTTTAATTTATATCCCAACCCAAGGTGGGGGACAAGGGTGTGCCCGGGCAGAGGTGGGCTCAGCCCCAGGATGGGGGCTCCTTCTGCAAGAGGAGCTTGCAGCCAAGTCCTACAGGAGAAAAAGATGGGCGCCCGGGGAGCTTCTCCAGCCCAAAGTTTCGAGGTCCTGCCAGTGCGGGCTCTGGGCAGGGTGCGGCCCCCGTTTGGCAATTCCTGCCTTGCTTAGGTGCAAGCCCCTAGAGGGCTCAGCGAAGGGGAGTCCCCGTCTCTTCCTTGTGAGAACTGGGAGCTCTGCCAGGTTGCAGGGGGAAGCCTGGGGAGAGGGGGAGCGTAATGATTTGTGGGGTTCGTTGGGAGCCCCCAGCTCCTTCACCTCTCCAAGGTTCCCAGATGACACATGATAACCCGCTGCACCCGATTTCCATATATCGCATGGGGCTTTTGAGGCCTTGCCAAGTGCCAGGTGAGGCTCCACGGGCACCCGTGTGGCCTTTGCCTCCTGTCTGTGTGCACCTGCTCTGGGTGGTCGAGGAGGGGCCATACCTCGGGGGCAGGCTGGCCTGGCTGCCAATCCCACCTGCACATTTCCTGGCCTTGGAAAACCACTTCCCGCCTCTGAGCCTCAGTTTCTACATCTGCAAACTGGAGATGAGGAGCACACCTCCGCCCAGAGCATCTGAAGGGGGACAGGAAGTTTGCAGGAGCTGCGGTTCTGCAGCGGCGCTTTTCCAGACCCTGCTCCGAGCTCATGGTTCAATGTGCTGGCGGCCAGCTGGGGGTGGGGGGTGATGGCCATCAGGACGCCACCCCCGTGGCCACGGCAGAACAGTGGTCTCCTTACGGCCCAGTGAGGAGGGGCCTCACAGAGGGGCTGGCAGGCGTGAGGGCATCCTGGGAACAGGGTTCCCGTGCAAGGGTTGCGCCTGCCGGTACAGGGGCTGGGAGGGCCAGGGCCTCCCTTGCGGCTGAACAGACGGGCTCAGGAGGCAGGCAGGTGGGGGCTGCAGGCCTCCCCCGACTTGCCTGGGAGCCTGGGAACAACATCTAGGGCTTGTTCTCTGCCTTCCTCACTGTGGTGGCCCCAGCAGGGCCCCTGGACATGCATCTGGACCCTGTAGTGGCTTCCTCTGTGGCCCTGAATGCCTGGTCTCCTTTGCAGGCCACAGGTCCCCCGTTAGTAAAGTGGGGAGTTGTCCTGGCTCCTGAGGACCTGTGGATGCCTCCCTACCCTGTGCTCTCCCCATTGTGCCACCCACACGCACCCATGAGCCCCAGAATCCACGTGTGGGGCCACGGCTCTCAGGGCTTTCGGGCCAGTCCTGCTCCCAGCCCTGCCAGTGTGCACCGTGGCAGGGCCTGTGGCGGGGGATGGAAGGCAGCTGCCTCCCTCAGTGACTTAGGACAGGTTGATCAGGCTGCGGCTGATGAGTGAGGCATAAATCCATTGGCTGCTGGTGGAAATTATTTTCTGCTGGTGGAGCTGTCAAGTGAAGCCATCGGTTTAGACACAGGGTGTGTGTGTGTAGGAGAGAGACTGGGGGAAAGAGAGACTTCCACACTGACTGTGCTGGGGGCGCCTTTGGAACCCAGGAGACATCTTTAGCTCCTACCTTTCGATTTTCAGGTGGAGAGACTACTCAGGCCCAGAAAAGGACAGGCACTCGGTTGAGGTCACACAGCAAGGGAGTCGGGAAGTTGGAAGGAGGAGGATGTGGAAGACGCAGTTTGCTCCTGGGTCCTCAGAAAGGAGGCTGGGTGTCAAATTCTACCCTTAGGAATTTTAGTGAGCAGGCGGTGCCTTTGTGCATAGAAAAAGATGCCCCATCCTCTGGGTGGCCCGGCCCAGCACCAGGGCGTGTGGCCAGTGAGCAGGCACAGGCCGGGCTCAGCCCACCTGGACCCCTGACTGCATGCAAAGGGTTCCAACTGGCACCAATGTGCCATTCCTGACCCCGCCTTAAACAAACGGATTATAAAAGGAAATTTTATAGCCATAATTTATGGGCAGCCAGCAGTGCTTGCCAAACATAGACGATAACACAAAAATAAATATGTCTCCAATACATTTTATACTCTTTTTTTTTTACCCCCCAGAGACAGGGTCTCTCCCCACGGTCCAGGCTGGAGTGTACTGGTGCAATTATAACTCACAGCAGCCTCCTGCTCCTGGGCTCAAGCGATCCTCCCACATCGGCCTCCTGAGTAGCTGAGACTACAGGCATGCACCACATGCCTCACTGATCTTTTTGTATTTTTGTAGAGATGGGGTTTCACAGGCTGGTCTGGAACTCCTGGGCTCAAGCGATCCTCCCACCTCGGCCTCCCAAAGTGCTGGGATTATGGGTGTGAGCCACTGCGCCCAGCCCTATCTTATATTATTATAATATTTATGATATAAATATGTATATATGACATAGATGCATATATGGATATACATACTTTTTTTTTTTTTTGAGACGGAGTCTCGCTTTGTTGCCCAGGCTGGAGTGCAGTGGCGTGATGTCCACTCACTGCAAGCTCCGCCCCCCGGGGTTCAGGCCATTCTCCTGCCTCAGCCTCCCGAGTAGCTGGGACTACAGGCGCCCGCCACCACGCCTGGCTAATTTTTTTGTATTTTTAGTAGAGGCAGGGTTTCACCGTGTTCACCAGGATGGTCTCAATTTCCTGACCTCGTGATCCGCCTGCCTCAGCCTCCCAAAGTGCTGGGATTACAGGCATGAGCTACCGTGCCTGGCCAGATATACATACTTTATATTTGTATAATATTATCGTAAAAGGTTTGTAATCCCAGCACTTTGGGAGGTCAAGGCAGAAGGATCGCTTGAGCCCAGGAGTTCATGAGCAGCCTGGGCAACACAGTGAGACCCTATCTCAAAAAAAAAAAAAAGTGCAAACCTGAAGTGCAAGCAAACCTGCTTATGAGGATTAATTGATCAAGTTGCTCTCCTGAGGTTTGGGGAAGGAATGGAGGATAGCTGAGTTTTGATGGGGACTGTGGCTGGGGGTCAGGGCTGGGCAGGTGCCATGAGGTAGGGTGCTGGTAGCAGGTGGCAGGGGATGGGATGGAACAAGGTCTGGCTAAGCACCAGGCACTGGGCTCAATGCCCTGCAAGTAGCTTCCCTGCAGTCCTGAAGGGGGGCTTGATATCCTCACTTTATTTTACCTTTGTATCTTTTTTTTGGAGACAGAGTCTCACTCTGTCACCCAGGCTGGAGTGCAGTGGTTCAATCTCTGCTCACTGCAACCTCCAACTTCTGGGCTGGAGCGATTCTCCTGCCTCAGCCTCCCGAGTGGCTGGAATTACAGGTGCACACCACCACGCCTAATTTTTGTATTTTTAGTAGAGATGGGGTCTCACCATGTTGCCCAGGCTGGTCTGGAACTCCTGACCTCAGGTGATCCACCTGCCTTGGCCTCCCAAAGTGCTGGGATTACAGGCGTGAGCCACCGTGCCTGGCTGTATCTTCTTCTTTTAAAATAATTCAAACATACAGAACACTGCAGAGTAGCAGAATGAACCTGCCAGGTACCTGCCTTCTAGCCCTATCTGGTCCCAATATGCAGGTATTTTCTTGGTATCTTGTGAAGAAACAGACCATGATAGATGTTACTGAAGCCCCACTCCCAACTTGCTCCAACCCAGCCCTCTCCCCTTCTCTGTCTCCTGAAGAAGAGCCACCTTCTCAGTTGATTATCCATTTTTCCATTGCAGGAATTTATACTGTTATTGCATATGTACATAACCATAAATAATATATGCAGTATTGTTTTTCAATTTCATAGATCTGTGCCCATTTTATAGTTGGAAACCCTGCGGCCCAGGGGACTGAGCCACTTGCTCACGTGCACATGGTTGTGAGTGGTGGAGCTGGGCTCAGACCCTGGGATCCTCCCTCCGGAGTCCCTCTCACGGGGGAATTCAGTGACCGTGGGTGGGGGTGCCCTGGAGATACATTTCTTCTCCACAAAGGCTGCCCTGGCTCAGGGATAAAGACACGTGGATTTATTGGAATGGCTTTTAGGGCCTGGGGACCTGCTGGGTGGTGCCAGGTCTCAGGGGCTCCGGGTCACATGGGGCGGGAGGGAAGAATGTGCAAGGGGCCTGCCCCTTGACTCCATGTTCTTTTGCAGAAAGGAAATCAATACCTTCCTGCTCCAGCAGGCTGGGGCACGAAGCTGTGGCCTGTGAGGTGACTGGAGCTGGGAGGCACCTTCTCTGCAGAGCAGGGAAAGGCTTAATCCTGGGAGACTTATGTCACCAAGGATGGCAGAACTCTGGGTGAGGGGAAGGGGGTCCTGGTCACCCCTCCTTGTTGCGCTGGCTGAAAAGTGGGGTAGTGGGCCTGAGAGGGAGGGTCTGCCAGGGGCCTGGGTTTGCCCATCTGGCTTTGGGCCTGTCTGGGGGGATGTGAAGAGGGTGGGGTGCAGCTGGGGGACATCTGGCAGTCATAGCCTGCAGGGAACAAGGCCACCAGGGGGGCCAGGGTGGAGAGGACAGTCGGGGTGGGGTCTCTGTGCATGTGCGTGGGACCACAGTGAGGGTCCGGTACCCACGTGTGCCCCACCATGGACCTGACACCCCCCCACCCCACCGTGCACAGACATGTGTGTGCACACATGTGTGTACACCTCTCCACATACACACACACACACACACACACACACACACACGGAGCCAAACACACACGTGCACACACAGAGCGCAGTGGAGTCCTTCCCACAGCTAGGGGGTGCTAGAAGTCTTCCCAGCAGAAATTCATTGGCTGAAACCGACGGACACACACTCACACAGAGGAAAAAAAAGGAAGAAGGAAAAAGAAAAGAAAATCCCTCGAAAAATATAGCCGTTGATGGTAATTCAAGTCGACAACACCCGTAAATCCTGGAGGCTGATAACAACAATAGAATATGAACGGAGCGGTGCCAGATTAACCGAGATATTTGATGCTTTGCCACCCAGATCAATAAGCCGCACTGAGATTTTTCCCGACATTCGGACCCCGAGCTGGTCCCTGCTGTAGGTTTGTGGGTGTCGTGTTCACCTCCGTCCCAACTCATTCTTCTTTTTTTTTTTTTTTTGAGACAGAGTCTCACTCTGTCACCCAGGCTGGAGTGCAGTGGCACCATCTTGGCTCACTGCAACCTCCATCTCCTGGGTTCAAGTGATTCTCGTGTCTCAGCCTCCCGAGTAGCTGGGACTGCACGCACGCACCACCACGCCCAGATAATTATAGGCACACGCCCTGGGCCCAGCTGATCTTTGTATTTTTAGTAGAGACAGGGTTTCACCATGTTGGCTAGGCTGGTCTCAAACTCCTGACCGCAAGTGATTTGCCCACCTCAGCCTCCCAAGGCCGAGGGATTACAGGTGTGAGCCACTGCGCCCGGCCTCCAACCCCCTCTTCCAACTTCTCTGTGCAGCATTAGGAGCTGCCTAGGGGTGGGGGGTGAGAAATCACATTTCTGACGGCGATGCCCCTGGGTCTTAGCTGGCTGTTCTGTTCTTCAACGGTGACCCAAATTGCAGCAGGGAATTGGGCCTGCCAAGGTCTCTTTCTGCTGGGCCAGGAGCCCCACTGGGATCCCAGCCATGGCTGGGCTGCTGCCACCTCCCCTGCTTGGGTTCTGCTGCTCAGCCCCAGGAGGGACAACTGCAGCAAAGGGACCCCACCCTGTACCCCCAACCCTTGTGCATGGGGAGCCCGGACCAGCAGCAGCTGCCTTCAGATGGCTCCTGTTTGCAGTGTAGCTTCCCTCATTCTCATTCACCGCCAATGGCAAATGTGCGTGTCTGTGTAGTTGGTAATTTTATGCTGTCGGGGTCTCCAAGGACAGGGAAAGATGGGCTTTTTAATTTTAACTTTTAACAATTATTTTAGGCCAGGTGCAGTGGCTCATGCCTGTAATCATTGCACTTTGGGAGGCTGAGGCAGGTGGATCACCTGGGGTCAGGAGTTCCAGACCAGCCTGGCCTAAATAGAGAAACCCCGTCTCGACTAAAAATCAAAAAATTAGCTGGGCGTGATGATGCACACCTATAATCCCAGCTACTTGGGAGGCTGAGACAGAAGAATCGCTTAAACCTGCAAGGTGGAGGCTGCAGTGAGCCGAGATTGCACCATTGCACTCCAGCCTGGGCGACAGAAAGACTCGTCTGAAAAAAAAATTTTAGGTTCAGGGCACACACGTCCAGGTTTGTGACTTGGGTATATTGTGTAATGCTGAGGTTTGGGCTCCTACTGAACCCATCACCCAAATAGTGAACCCAATTGTAGGTAGTTTTTCAACCCTTCCCCCACTCGCTTCCTCCCACCTTTGGAATCACAGTGTCTATTGTTTCCATCTTTTTTTTTTTTTTTATTTTTTTTGAGATGGAGTCTCGCTCTGTCGTCCAGGCTGGAGTGCAGTGGCGCCATCTCGGCTCACTGCAACCTCCGCCTTCTGGGTTCATGCCATTCTCCTGCCTCAGCCTCCCGAGTAGCTGGGACTACAGGCGCCCTCCACCATGCCCGGCTAATTTTTTGTATTTTTAGTAGAGACAGGGTTTCACCATGTTAGCCAGGATGGTTTGAATCTCCTGACCTTGTGATCCTCCCGCCTCAGCCTCCCAAAGTGCTGGGATTACAGTATTGTTTCCATCTTTACGTCTGTGTGTACCCACTGTTTAGCTCCCACGTATAAGTGAGAACATGAAGTATTTGCTTTTTTGTTTTTGCATTAATTCACTTAGGATAATGACCTCCAGCTGCATCCATGTTGCTGCAAAGGACACGATATCATTTGTTTTGATGGCTGCATAGTATTCCATGGTGTATATGCACCACATTTTCTTTATCCAGTCCACTATTGATGGATGCTTAGTTTGACTCCATGTCTTAGCTATTGTGAATAGTGCTGCAATAAACATACCACTGCAGGTGTTTTTTTCGATTGAACGATTTATTTTCCCTTGGGTAGACACCCAGTAGTGGGACTGCTATATTGAATTGTAGATCTATTATTATTATTATTATTTTGTGTGTGTGTATTTTTAGTAGAGACGGGGTTTTGCCATGTTGACCAGGCTGATCTCGAACTCCTGACCTCAGGTGAACCACCGGCCTCGGCCTCCCAAAGTGCTGGGATTACAGGCGTGAACCACCGCACCTGGCCAATCTATTTTTGGTTCCTTGAGAAATCCCCAAACTGTTTTCCACAGGGGCTGAATTAATTTACATTCCCCTGGCAGTGTGTAAGCGTTCCTTCTTCTCTGCAGCCTTGCCCGCATCTGTATTTTGACTTTTTAGTAATGGCCATTCTGACTAGTGTGAGATGCTCTCTCATGGCAGTTTTGATTTGCATTTTTCTGACGATTCGTGACGTTGAGCGTTTTCTCATGTTTTTTCGCTGCTTGTACGTTTTCTTTGGAGAAGTGTCTGTTCATTTCCTTTGCTCACTTTTTAATGGAGTTTTTTTTTTTTTTTTCAAGAGAGTCTTGCTCTGTCGCCCAGGCTGGAGTGCAGTGGTGCACTCTTGGCTCACTGCAACCTCCACCTTCTGGGTTCAAATGATTCTCCTGCCTCAGCTTCCCAGGTAGCTGGGATTACAGGCGCCCGCCACCACGCCTGGCTAATTTTTAGTAGAGATAGGGTTTTGCTGTGTTGGCTGGGCTGGTCTTGAACTCCTCCTGGTCTGAAGCAATCTGCCCACCTCGGCCTCCCAAGTGCTGGGATTACAGGCGTGAGCCACCGCACCTGGCCTTGTTGTTTTTTCTTGTTGATTTAAGTTCCTTATAGATCCTGGATGTTAGTCCTTTGTCGGATGCATAGCTTGCAAATACTTTCTCCAGATGGGCTCGTTTTGGAGGTGACTTCTGGGCCAGACCTCCCAGGCTCTAGTTTTGTTTCAGGGTCTGTGTTCCTCACTGCTTTGAGCTCTGGAGCAGCCTGTATCTGGCCATTCTCAAGGTCAGGGCTGCCTGTGAGATGGCTGGAGGGGACGCTGCCATGGAGCCCTCAGCCTTTTGTCCAGAGCATGTCCATGGTGGGCCCCGGCTGCTCAGGGCTTTTCCCCACACCAGACCTTGGTCCTGTTGTCTATGGTGGAGGCAGGGCTGGGCTTTCTGGCCTTACTGTCTGCCTATCCAGGACCCTGTCTCTGCAACATTCCTTGATCAAGCACTTCCTACACGCTCCAGGCTCTGTGGATGCAGGAGATTCAGGAGCGGGTTCTGACGGAGAGGGGAGCAGCTAAGCCAACCTTGCCGGCAGACACCAGTGATGAGGTGGACGGAGCGGCCGGCGGTGGTCAGCACTGAGACCCAGGAGGAGAAGAACAACGCTTCACGCCTGGACATAGGTTTGCAGTTTTGAGAACACATCCATTCTTTCAACAACACTTATTAGGCACCAACTGGGTACCAGGCATGTGCATAGCAGTGCCTAGGAAGACAGGGTCCCTGCTCTTTGACATTTAAATTCTGGTAGGAGTTCCCTGTGGCTGCTATAAGGAATCACTGAAAACCAGGTGGCTTAAAACAACAGAAGTGTACTCCCTCACAGTTTCGGAGCCAGGAGTCCGAGGTCAAGGTGTCTGCAGGACCTCCTTCCCTAAAAAGGCTCTGTGGAGGGTCCTTCCTGCCTCTTCCAGTCTCTGGCGGCTCCTGGAGTTGCTTGGCCCATGGCTGCGTCATTCTAGCCTCTACCTCCCTCTTCAGCCTTCTGGCCTTCTCTGTGTCTCTGTATCCAAATCTCCCTCCTCTTTTTTTTTTTTCTTTTTGAGACAGGGTCTTGCTCTATTGCCCAGGTTGGAGTGCAGTGGTGTGATAACAGCTCACTGAAGCCTCCAGCTCCTGGGCTTAAGTGATCCTCCTCCCTCAGCCTCCCGAGTAGCTGGGACCACAGGTGTGCACCACCATGCCCAGCTAATTTTTGTATTTTTTTGTAGAGATGGGGTCCTGCTATGTTGCCCAGGCTGGTCTTGAACTCCTGGCCTCAAGTTATCCTCCTGCTTCGGCCTCCCAAAGTGTTGGGATTACAGGGGTGAGCCACCGTGCCCCGCCTCCCTCCTCTTTACGTGGACACCATCACTGGATTTGGGGACACACCCTAATCCCGTATGACATCTTAACCTGATTACATTGGTAAAGACCCTATTTCCGGATAAGGCTACAGTCACGGCCACTGCAGACTTGGGCACATCTTTCACGGGGAGGTAGTCCGGTCAGTCCAAGAAAACCATGCAGCAGCTGAGAAGGGAGAAAATGCGGAGGCCGAGGCGGGCCTGAGCCCCATACCAGGGGAGGGGGGGAGGGAAGCGGGAGGGGGCAGCAGAGGGAACACCGCCACTAAGGCCTTGCACAGAAAGAGTTTTGGGGACCAACAGGGGGCCAGTGTGGCTGAATATAGCCAGTAGGAGGAAGAAGGTTCTGGAAGGGGCCAGGCCATGTAAGCACGGCAGATTGTTCTCATTTAATTCCAGCAGCAGGGGATCAGGTGCTATGGCTCTCACCTGTTATCCCAGCACTTTGGGACGCTCAGGTGGGAGGGTTGCCCTGGCTTAGGAGTTCAAGACCAGCCTGGGCAACATAGCGAGACCTCCTCTCTACTAAAAAATAAAATATAAAAAAATAAATAATAGTAATTCCAGGCTGGGCGTGGTGGCTCACGCCTGTAATCCCAGCACTGTGGGAGGCTGAGGTGCATAGATCACTTGAGGTCAGGAGTTCGAGACCTGCCTGGCCAACATGGTGAATGAAACCCTGTCTCTACTAAAAAAAAAATATACAAAAATTAGCCGGGCGTGGTGGTGCAAGCCTGTAATCCCAGCTACTCGGGAGGCTGAGGCACGGGAATCGCTTGAACTTGGGAGGTGGAGGTGTAGTGAGCCGAGATGACGCCAATGCGCTCCAACCTGGGTGACAGAGCAAGACTCCATCTCAAAAAAAAAAATAAAAAAAAAAAATTAGCAATTCTGGTAGCTTCCAATGGGAAGGTCTCAATCATCACAGTGACACTCCAATTTGTGTTCCAGAAAGATCCCTCCATCAGGGCGCTCTTCATTCGAATCCATGGATAGAGAATTCAGGGAGTCTGTGAATGTTGAATGGAAAAAAAAAATGACATCTTTATTTTCCCTACCCCCTAATGGAAAGTGAGCATTTCCTTGCCTTATGAATGAATGGAAGAAAAAAAAAAACAAAACTGCAGAGGCATGATGCAGCGCCTGGGACACGTTCATCAGTAGAAACACGGGGGTCTTCCCATCCCACTGCAGCTGCCGCAGGTAGCGTGAAACACCAAGCATGCTTGTCACAACTCCAGAATAACGACAGCTGTTGGCCCCACTGCCAGAGCTTGTTATTCAATCCTGTGATTTAATACATTCACTCACCACACACACAAAAAAGCATGCAAATTACCGGATTACCCATTTGCTCTTTAAATATTTTGATAAGAAAGTTGGCTTCCTTTGCGATCCTGTGTGTTTTATTTCATGCATTTGAAAATGTTATTTTGAGAAGGGAGTCTCTGGGCTTTCAGAGGCTCAGGGGAGTTCATGGTTCAGATGGAGCAGAGGGTGGGGCTGGAGAGAAGCAGGGGATTTGAGGTGTCTGTTGGGGTTCAGCTGGGAACCGGGGATGAGGCTTGGGCTTTAAGCCTGAGTGACTGGTGGGTGGGGATGCCATTGGTGGAGGGGGAAGAGGAACAGGTTTCCTCTTTCCAGGGAGAAAGTGTTGGGTTTATTTTTAAAAATTATTTATTTTTTTGAAATGGAGTCTCCCTCTGTAGCCCGGGCTGGAGTGCAGTGGCACGATCTCGGCTCACTGCAATCTCTGCCTTCTGGGTTCAAGTGATTCTTCTGCCTCAGCCTCCCAGAGTAGCTGGGATTACAGGCGCCTGCCACCATGCCCGGCTGATTTTTTTTTTTTTTGTATTTTTAGTAGAGATGGGGTTTCACCACGTTGGCCAAGCTAGTCTCAAACTCCTGACCTCAGGTGGTCCGCCTGTCTTGGCCTCCCAAAGTGCTGGGATTACAGATGTGAGTCACCGTACCCGGCGGTTTGTTTGGATTTGGACACTGAATTTGGGGAAATCCAAGCAGAGATGCCAAGAGGACCTGGCTCTACTAGGCTGGCCATTTAACAGCTGGGCTGGAGGTGCCTATGTGGGGGTCCCCTTGCATGTGGGGGGGTCCCCTTGCACGGGCTCACTGGGTCCTCACAGTGACTTCCTGTGGCTCGTCACCCAGCCTTTCTAGTGTGACGTTACCTCCCTGGGCTTACAGAAAGCTGTCAGAGAGCTCAGATGTGGCCATTTCCAACCCTGGGGCTCCACGTCATCCCACAATATGGGCATCTCCCAGCCAACAGACACCCTAGGACTCCTCACTGTGAAATCACATGGGATGGCACATCTGGGGGCCCGGCTACTCCATCACCAAGACCCCAGGCCAGGCGTGGTGGCTCATACCTGTCATCTCAGCACTTTGGTAGGCTGAGGTGGAGGATTGCTTGAGCCCAGGAGTTTGAGACCAGCTTGGGCAACATAATGAGACCCTATTTCTTAAAAAAAAAAAAAAGAAAGAAAATTAGCTAGGTGTGGTGGTGCGTGTGTGTGGTCCCAGCTACTCTGGAGGCTGAGGCAGGAGATTGAGCTCAGGAGGTCGAGGCTGCAGTGAGCTGTGATCATACCACTGCACTCCAGCCTGCGTAACAGAGCAAGAACTTCTCTCAAAAAGAAAAAGAAAAAGGAAAAAGAAAAAAACAAGACACCTAATGTCCACCTGGGCCTTGGCTGGTAACAGCCAAGCAGCTAGTGGTCTAAAAGCCTGTGTGTGTGTGTTTCTTTCTGTTTCTCTTTTTCTCTCTGTTCTGTTTCCCCTCTTCCTGTTTCTGTCTCTCCCTCCCTCCTTCCCTGCCTCCTTCTCCTTCTCTCTCCCTTCCTTGGTCCTTCCTCTCTGTGTCTCCTTCTTCATCCCTTCCTCCGTCCCTCCTCCTCTTCCTCTTCTGTCTCTCTGTCTCCCTGTCTCGCACACACACAGAAGCAAATGCAATTTCACAGCCTCATACCTGCGTTCGTATCCCACCCATCATACAAGCTAGGAGGGGCACACAGCGTCGGTCAAAACAACATCAGAACTGAATGTGACATGTAATAAGGAAGAAAGACAATCCTGTATCAGAGACTCATTTCCAGTCACCCCAAGCCGCGTGGAAACTTTCAATACAATTTTTAGCCAAGCACCTGGGGTTTCAAAGCAGACTGTGCTGAGAGGAGAGGGTGTGAGCCTTTGGCCCCCTGTTCACAAACAGCTAATTTTAGTAGCCAAACAAACCAGAAAGCCCCCAATCCTTTCTCCTCTCTCTCCTCCACGCCCCCGCCTCACCCACCTGCTTCCCGGCGCAGCTGCAGCTCCTGCCCACAGCGTGAGCCCCAGCTTCCTGCCAAGGGCCCCGGCTGTCTTGCCTTGGGGCTGCCAGGGAAGGACGATACCGAGGAGTTCAGGGACCCAGGTTGGGGTGCTCCTGTGCAGAGGACCTTGTTGGCACCAGGGGCCTTGTTGACCCCAGGGGCAGTGCAGGAAGTGGGCCATGCTGGGGACCCTCAGTCAGGACCAACCTCTCCATATCTGGGTCTGCAGGGAGGAGGGGCCAGGGCTCTGAGCTGAGCCCCCACATATGTACCAGTATTGGTGGCCCACCCTTCTCATTCTTTTTTTTTTTTTAAATTTTAATTTTAGTTTTTTTTTTAATTAAAAACTTTTTTTTTTTTTTTTTTTTGAGAGAGAGTCTCACTTCATCACCCAGGCTGGAGTACAGTGGCGAGATCTGGACTCACCGCAACCTCTGCCTCCCGGGTTCAAGCAAGTCTCCTGCCTTAGCTTCCTGAGTAGCTGGGACTACAGGCACACACCACCACGCCCAGCTAATTTTTTGTATTTTTAGTAGAGATGGGGTTTCACTATGTTGGCCAGGCTGGTCTCAAACTCCCAACCTCAGGTATCTTCCCGCCTCCACCTCCCAGAGTGCTGGGATTACAGGCGTGAGCCACTGCGTCCGGCCCCCACCCCTCTCATTTTTCAGCACTGCCTCCTGAGCACCTGGGAACTCCAGTCTTCCTGAATTTTGTCTGACCTTGACCTCTGTCCTTGGACCTGATGCACACCTCAGTGAAGCTTGTACCAAGTAAGCCCTGAGGCGGCCGTGAGAAGCCCTCGAAAGTTCCCCTGTTCATTATTATAGTTACTTTTAGAGACAGGGTCTCACTCTGTGGCTCAGGCTGGATTGTACCATCACGGATTACTGTAGCCTTCAACTCCCGTGCTCAAGTGATCCTCCCACCTCAGCCTCCTGAGTAGCAAGGACTACAGTGTGTGTCACCACGCTGGCCAATTAAACTTTTTTTTGCAAAGACAAGGTCTCACTATGTTTCCCCGGCTGATCTTGAACACCTGGCTTCAAGTGATCCTCCCACCTCGGCCTCCCAAAGTGCTGGGATGAGAGGTGTGAGCCACTGTGCCCAGCTGGAGGTTTCTGTCTTCAGATCTCAGCTCTGTTCCCAGATGTGAGACCCCCCTGAGCCTCAGTTTCCCCATCTGTAAAGTAGGAATGATGGTCACCAGGGGAGCAGGTCTGTGCTGGGTTTGTAAACACCAGGTGTAAATGGGCAGGTGCATGGTAGGTACCCTTGTCTGCTGGAGGGGACCGTTCTCTTTGCCTAGTTTGGAGGTCACCTTCAAGGTTAGAAGACCCAGAGGCCTCAAGCAAAAGGAGCTGCAAGCCCCACTCCGCTCGCCCAAAGCGGGCACTCAGAGGCATGTGTGCGGCAGTGACGGTAATGGGATGTGATGGGAGATCAATGGGAACACAGGCAGCTGCCTGGGTAGGGCTGTGGCTATCCCAGCCCTGGGGTTGCTGCTCTAGTTCATCAACAGAGATCTGATAACAAGAGGCCAGGCCAGGTGCCGGGGCAGGAGGGGAGCTGCCGATGGCAAAGGGACTCAGGCCCGTGGGGAGGGGGAGCCCTTTGACCTCTTAGGTGAAGCACTGCTAGACCCAGCTCCCCAGAGGCCCCCCACCGTGAGCTGGCCATGGGCAAAAGAGACGTCTGCTTTCAGTTTCTGATTATTACTATTATTTTTTGTTTTTGAGAGGGAGTTTCGCTCTTGTTACCCAGGCTGGAGTGCAATGGCGCGATCTCGGCTCCCTGCAACCTCTGCCTCCCGGGTTCAAGTGATTCTCCTGCCTCAGCCTCCCTAGTAGCTGGGATTACAGGCGCTCGCCACCACGCCCGGCTAATGTTTGTATTTTTAGTAGAGACGGGGTTTCAGGTTTCACCATGTTGGCCAGGTTGGTCTCAAACTCCTGACCTCAGGTGATCCACCTGCCTCGGCCTCCCAAAGTGCTGGATTACAGGCGTGAGCCACTGCACCCTGCCAGTTATTTTTAACACACAAAAATTCAATGAAATCCGTGGATCGGGAGAAAAGGTAGGTATGACCTGAGGAAGGGTTGCCCAGGGAGCCGTCCACTTGCCCTCTCGGCCCCTCCTCTCTCTCTGAATTGCGTCTCCAACCTGCCAGAATGTCCCTATGAGCCCTCTGGTGTTTTTCTTGAAGTTTATTGTGTTTTCCTCCTCAGCGTACTGGTCGGTGAAGGCCTGGGGGAATGAAATGTGTCTTGAGAAAAGCCTGGGTCACAGAGTAGGGTGGGCCACGTGGGATCTCGGGAGTGGGTGTCCCTGGTGTGCCCCCTACTGGTGACCTCTTCCCTGAGGATGGCCAGTCCCCACAACCCCGCTGAACGCACAGGCCTGGGCAGCCACCTTCCCGCCATGTGACCCTGCCTGGTCCCGCAGTGAGTCGAGCCGGAAGCCTGCTGGTCCAGTCAGATTCCTCCTGCAGCACTGGGCTGGAAGCCATATGGATATGCGGGCTGAGTATAAAAATGGTCACTGGAAGCAGACTCAGAGAGGAGAGAGAGGATCCCGTTGTGCGAAAGGCAGAGATGAGAAGAACCAGGTGTCCCCTGTCTGGGAGAAAGTTGTAGACAGACGTGCTAGGAAAGGTTCCCTGCTGGCCCGGCGCAGTGGCTCATGCCTGTAACCCTAGCACTTTGGGAGGCCGAGGCAGGCGGATTGCCTGAGCTCAGGAGTTCAAGGCCAGCATGGGCAACATGGTGAAACCCCGTCTCTACTAAAATACAAAAAAATTAGCTGGGCGTGGCGGCGTGCACCTGTAGTCTCAGCTACTCAGGAGGCTGAGGTAGGAGAATGGTGTGAACCCGGGAGGTGGAGGTTGCAGTGAGCCGAGATCGCACCATTGTACTCCAGCCTGGGTGACAGAGTGAGACTCTGTCTCCATAAAAAAAAAAAAAAAAAAAAAAGTTCCCTGCTCTCTGGGGAAAAATCCTGATTCATGGCTTTTGCCACCTCCCTGGTATAAACACCTCCATCATGCCAATATCAAGCTGCCCCTGTAAAGTCACTGAATAGGGACTTGGGAAGAGGTATCCACAATCGGCTCTTGCTGGTCTGGGCTGGGTGTGGCCTCGGTTTCTGATAGTTTCACTGTCTTCATGGGGCCTGGAGGCTGTCCACTTTCTGGCCATGAATCTTGTCCGCCCCTCCAAAGGTGTGACCCAAGGGCAGTCTCTCAGAAGTGTCTGAAGCCAAGAAACACAGCCCAGCAACCAAGTAAAGGAACTCGAAGACTTTTGCTTCTTGGCCAGGCATGGTGGCTCATACTGGTAATCCCAGCACTTTGGGAGGCCGAGGCAGGAGGATCATTTGAGGCCAGGAGTTTGAGACCAGCCTGGCAGCATAGTGAGAATCTGTCTGCATAAAATATTTTTTAAACATTTGTCAGGTGTGGTGGCATGTGCCTGTAGTCCCAGCTACTCTGGAGACTGAGGTGCGAGGACTGCTTGAGCCCAGGAGTTGGAGGCTGCAGTGAGCCATGATTATGCCATTGCACTCCAGCCTGGGTGACAGAGTAAGACCCTGTCTCTAAAAAAAAAAAAAAAATAAGGAGAAATCCTAACTGAGGAGGAGGCCCTCCATTTTTGCTTTGGGCACCAGCATGTGAAGATGTGATATCTGGATTGGTGGCAGCTATTTTGTGATAATGAGGCAACCTACCTGACAAAACCAACAGTTTTCTTGAACAATCTGTTCTGGCCAGAAAGAGCCTGCTTCCTGCATGACACCAAGCAATTGAGGCTGAGTTCCAGGTGTCCCTTTTAAGTGGATTATGTCCTCTCCAATTTGCCACAGTCCCCGCCTGTCCCTATTGCATTACTCTGGTCCACTTCACTCATTTACATTCTTGCTGGCACCTGGGCAACTCCAGTGGCAATGTAATAACTTGTTTAATTGCATGCCTATCCCAACAAGCTGTCAGCACCTTGAGAATAGGGACTGGGGCTGATAAATCTCTGGGCTCTTGGACCCATCCCTGTGGTTCCAGGGACATGGCAGGAACTCAGCGACTGTCCAAGGCAGGGCAGGCGCATAGAAGTATCTGCAATGATGGAAATGTTCTCTAATCTGCTCTGCCCCATACCGTAGCCACTAGCCCCATGAGGCTCTTCAACATTTGAAATGTGGCTCATGTGACAGAGGAATTGGATTTTTATTGACTTGTAATTAAAACCCAAATCCCAAATTCCTCGGGGAGGTGGAGTTGAGGTTTGGCGACCCTGCGATTAAACCCCTTTCTCTGCTGCAAGCTGATGCCTTGGTGTATTGGCCTGCTATGTCCAATGGGCAACAAACCCATTAGGGTCACAGAGCCAGGGAGGCAGACGGTGGGGCTTGGAGCGGTAACTGCTCTTCAACTGGTAAGGAAGAATCCAGTATTTTCCCCAATGGATCAGCTCTGCCAAGGCCATGACTAGCTGAATCCATGACTGGTCCCTGACCACTCTTTCCAGGCTTCGAACCTCAGCTTCGCTTTTCCTCTACCCACAGTCTACGAGGACACACTCAGTGAGATCTAACTCATCCTTCAGGCCTCACCTCTGACCCTCCCGCTTTGAGCCCCTGGCGGAATTGATCGTTCCTCTCCTACCCTTTCACCAGAACCCCTTCCCGTGGGGCATGTTCACCCTGAGGATGCCCTGAAATTGGTCGGTGAGTGAATGTTAGAACAAGTGAAGGAAAGTTGGGGGGGGCCCTGCAGGCTGCCCCTCCTGACGGCCTTCCTCCTCCTGCAGCCAGAGGGAAAGGAAAGATTCGCTTTTGTTCATGCTTTTTTCTTTTTTCTTTTTTTTTTGAGATGGAGTCTCGCTTTGTCGCCCAGGCTGGAGTACAGTGGCGCAGTCTCGGCTCACTGCAAGCTCCGCCTCCCGGGTTCACGTCATTCTCCTGCCTCAGCCTCCCAAGTAGCTGGGACTACAGGCGCCCGCCACCACGCCCGGCCAATTTTTTGTATGTTTTAGTAGAGATGGGGTTTCAACGTGTTAGCCAGGAGATTTAGCTAGGATGGTCGCGATCTCCTGACCTCATGATCCGCCCACCTTGGCCTCCCAAAGTGCTGGAATTACGGGCGTGAGCCACCGCGCCCGGCCCACGCGTTTTCTTTTTTTTAAAAACAATGGTGCAAAAGTACATATGACCTAAACTTCACCATTTTAACGATTTTAAAGTGTACAACTCAGTACATTCACAATGCCGTGCAATCAGCATCACTGTCTAGTTCCAAACAGTTTCATCACCCTAAAAAGAGACCCTGCACTTATGAAGCAGTCACTCCCATTCCTCTCTCCCTGACGCCTGGTAACTGCTAATCTTTTTTTTTTTTTGCCTCTAGGGATTTGCCTATTCTGGACATTTCATATAAATGAAATCCTACAATATTTGTCTTTTTGTGGCTGGCTTGTTTCACTGAGCATAGTGTTTTCAAGGTTCATCTAGGTTGCCATGCGTATCAGCATTTCGTTCCCCCCCTTTTTTTTTTTTTTGAGACAGGGTCTTACTCGGTTGCTCAGGCTGGAGTGCAGTGACACAATTAAAGCTCACTGCAGCCTCGAGCTCCCGGGCTCAAGCGATCCTCCTGCCTCAGCATCCCAGGTAGCTGGAACTATAGGTGTGCATCCCCAAACCCAGCTAGATTTTTTTTGTTTTTTATTATTTTTATTTTTTTTGAGACGGAGTCTTGTTCTATCACCCAGGCTGGAGAGCAATGGCACGATCTCGGCTCACTGCAACCTCCGCCTCCTAGGTTCAAGCCATTCTCCTGCCTCAGCCTCCTGAGTAGCTAGGATTACAGGCACATGCCATCACACCGAGCTAATTTTTGTATTTTTAGTGGAGACAGGGTTTCACCATATTGGCCAGGTTGGTTTCAAACTCCTGACCTCAGGTGGTCTGCTTGCCTCAGCCTCCCAAAGTAAGTGCTGGGATTACACGCATGAGCCACCATGCACAGCCTGTTTTTTTTTTTTTTGTTTGTTTGTTTGTTTGAGATGGAGTCTCACTCTGTCGCCCAGGCTGGAGTGCAGTGGCGCAATCTCGACGCACTGCAAGCTCCGCCTCCTGGGTTCACGCCATTCTCCTGCCTCAGCCTCCAGAGTAGCTGGGACTACAGGCGCCCGCCACCACGCCCAGCTAATTTTTTGTATTTTTAGTAGAGATGGGGTTTCACCGTGTTGGCCAGGATGGTCTCGATCTCCTGACCTTGTGATCCACCCACCTCGGCCTCCCAAAGTGCTGGGATTACAGGCATGAGCCACCGTGTCCGGCCCTGTTTCTTATTTTTAGTAAAGATGGGGTCTTGTTATGTTACCCAGGCTGGTCTCGAATGCCTGGGCTCAAGCCATCTCCCATCTTGGCTTCCCAAAGTGTTGGGCTTACAGGCATAAGCCACCATGCCCAGCCTCATTCCTTTTCATGGCTGAGCAATATTCCATTGTGTGGATGGACTATATTTTGCGTATCCATTCACCACTTGATGGACACTTGGCTGGCTTCCACCTTCTGGCTGTTGTGAACAGTGCCGCTGTGAATGTGTGTGTACAGTTGCCTGTACAGATGGAGAGGAGAGGAGAGGGGAGAGACAGTGCCCGTGTTACCTGGGTTTCTGGCTGAGTGACTGAGTTAAGGGTGGGCTGGGGAGGAGAGGGGCAGGTTTGGGAGTAACAAGGTGAGTGGGTTTTAGGCCTGTGTGGACTGGATTAGTGTCCCTCACAGGATGGGGGGGTGGGGATCAGTCTGTATCTTGTAGAGGTGGTGGGGTCCCAGCACCAAGCGTCTCCCCAGACTCTCCCGGGGAAGAACCACCGTGGTTCACAAACCACATGCACTACTCTGCAGTAAAGAACAGCGGCCCTGGGACCAGGTTCCCAGAGCT
Organism: Homo sapiens; assembly: GCF_000001405.40. Classification (NCBI taxonomy): domain Eukaryota; kingdom Metazoa; phylum Chordata; class Mammalia; order Primates; family Hominidae; genus Homo; species Homo sapiens. The sequence goes on from NC_000007.14 coordinate 2,901,773, forward strand.
TAGGGTGTAACCGAGACAGGTGAGTCCACCATCCACACTGACCCCTGCCCCTATGGTTGGACAGGCCGAAATGGAAACGTCCCAGGCCAGCGCCGCCAGCCTGCTGTGGCCATCACGAAGCCCCGTCTGTGTGCGTGCACCCTCCGGGGAGGGCCGTGGGGCTCCCTCCAAGGAAATCAGTGCATGGCCCCTCTTGGGGGACTATCTTGCAGAGAAGAACTGTTCAAAATGATGCTCAACAGTGATTCCCTGGAAATGACGGCTGTCTACCAACAAGGACTGGTGACGGAAGGACAGGCCAGCACCGGCAGAGCACCACATGGCTGTCAAAAGGAATGCGAGAGGCCGTGCGGTGGCTCACTCCTGGAATCCCAGCACTTTGGGAGTCCGAGATGGGACCATCTCTTGAGGTCAGGAGTTCCAGGCCAGCCTGGGCAATGTAGTGAGACCTCGTCTCTACAAAGAATGTTTAAAAATTAGCTGAGCATGGTGATGCATGCCTGTAGTCCCAGCTACTAGGGAGGATGAGGCTGGAGGATTGAGCCCAGAAGGTTGAGGCTGTAAGTGGGCCATATTCATACCACTGCACTCCAGCCTGGATGCTAGCTTAAGAGATATGCCTACCTTGGCCTTCCAAACTGCTGGGATTCCAGGTGTGAACCCCCACACCCAGCCTGTGATGGCTTTTGAGAACAGCATGGTGGCATGATGCCAGGGCTCAAAGACATCTCACTCCTGCATTCACCCCCTCCCCAAAGCAGCCCCCTTCCTGGGTTGGGTGAGAAAACCAGCGTTTCTCAGAATTGTGACCTGGTTAGGTAGAAGCCCAGGGCCAGCGGGCCGACACTACCAGCGGGTGAGCAGACCGACTCTTCCAAGAGAGGAAATCCTGTAATCCCAGCACAGTAGCTGGGACTACAGGCATGAATCACCATGCTCAGCTAATTTTTAAATATTCTTTGTAGAAACAAGGTCTCACTACGTTGCCCAGGCTGGTCTGGAACTCCTGACCTCAAGTGATCCCAGCACTTTGGGAGGCCGAGGCAGGCAGATCAACTGAGGTCAGGAGTTCGATACCAGCCTGGCCAACATGGTGAAACCCTGTCTCTATTAAAAATACAAAAATTAGCCGGGAGTGGTGGTGGTGCACACCAGTAGTCCCAGCTACTCAGGAGGCTGAGGCACAAGAATCATTTGAACCTGGGAGGTGGAGGTTGCAGTGAGCCAAGATCGTGCCACTGCACTCCAGCCTGGGTGACAGAGTGAGACTCTGTCTCAAAAAAAGAAAAAAAAAAAACAAAAACGAAAACCAAAAACAAAACAAAAGCAAAAACAAATGCAACCAAACAAAAAACCACAAACAAGAGAGGAAATTCACATCCTCTCAGTGTGGTCATTATGTCACCCAGCCACCCAGCCCCCAGCCAGCCACTGCCTGGGACACCAACCACTTCCTTGGTCCCTAGAAGAGCAGAGGGGACACACGACCAAAGGCCCTGGGACCCCAAACAGCACCTCAGAAATGGAAAATCCAGCCCCGAGCTTACAGTTGCAAATCAGCAGACCTGGGTGAAGTTCCAGCTTACCAGCTGTGTGACCTTGGTCAAGTCACTTAACCTCTCTGAGCCTCAATTTTCACCTGTATAACATGGAGAAGAGTTTGGGGATAAGTAAAATAACATTTACAAGGTGCTCAGCACAGAGGAGGAGCTCAAAAAACATTTGCTCATATTTGCCAAATCCCAGAGCAATAGTTCTTTATCTTTTTGGGATTGCAACACCCTTTGGGAATCTGAGAAAGGCTGGACTTTCTCCCCAGAAAAGTGTGTGTCTACACATACGACACAATTTCCAGTGCTCGCCTCTCACAGTGGCTCTGGGCTGCGTGGCTGGTGCCCATGGTGTGAACCAAGCATCGTTGTGGCATTGTCGGCTTGGCACAGGCATCCAGAGCCTCGGGCTCCAGGCTTTGCTGTACGGGGAGCTTCCCTGAGCCCTGGGCTGGCTCTGCAGTCAAAACTCAGCTTGCAGGCCCTTGTGCAATACTTGGACTTGCAGGCAGACGGTGCAAAGAGCTCCGTGCCTCCCTCCCCGGCCTCCCAGACCCCACTCGGCTCACCAGGCAGACACAGGGGTTGCTGGCAGCTGAACAGGCAGGACCTGGGGGCTGAAGCCGATGATGCTGGAGGTCTCCTTGGAAATCCTCATGTGGACCCGTCCCCGGGGTGCCAACCCCACTCCCCTGCTGCCTTCACCATTTCATCAGAGAAGGGAAGGGAAGAGGGAACCTCATTCCAGCCCTCGGCCCCTGCCTCCTCTCACCCGCTTATTAGCAATTATCCACCCCACAGCCCTGCACTCTCGATCCTGGTTAAAATCACTCGGGCAAGGCAAGGGGGAAAAGAAACCCCACCACAGATTCTTTTCAGATATCTTTCCCTACGCACAGCTTATCTCCACCCCACTTGTCCTCCCAAATGACATGCAAGCCACCTGTTTGCTTATTCTGCTCAGCCACCCGAGAGTTCTGAAGTCAAACAAATGATATAAATCACTCAGCTGGCTTTTTGTCCGAGACTCCTTCCCGGTCACGTCTGTCCACTCAGCACGGAGCGCTTTACGAGGAAGCACAGCTTCCAGGCCGAAACACGAAGCCCTCGGCTTGGGGGAGGTTTACATTTTAACTTAAGGCTTTCACAAGATGGAAGCTGCAGGCCTTCCGGCCCTAGCATGGCCTCGTGTGGTGGTTTATTTGGCCCTAAATAACGGCAGCTGCACCTAGGAGTCACGGCCTCTCTACACCCAGCACGTCTAGCTTGTTTCTGGGGGCTGTCTTGGAAAAAGCAGCATTGCTCATGGGCTCTTGGAGGGAGACACTGTTTTTCAAGGTGTCACACTCCCTGGCAGACCCGGAGCTGGTGGTGCAGAGATGGATTGTGAGGGAGGAGGCAAGAACAAGGCATCCTCCTAGGACCCCCATGCATTCACTCCCACCTCCTGGAGATTTCTGCTGCTAATTTGTCTTCTGTAGGTCAAAATGCCAGAAAATGCTACAGGCCACACAGTATTTTCTTTTTTTGGAAGAGATCTTTATTAATAGAGTGCTTTTATTAATAATTCATACCTTGTCTAAGCGGTAAAAACCCAGCAGAGGATTAACCCATGCCCATGGTATTTGAAACTATAAAGAATAAAGTTTTCTCCTGTATTTGTTAGGAATTGCTCTTGGCTGCAAGTAACAGAGAACTGAAATAACAGTCATTTAACACAAGACACAAATTTCTTTCTGTCTCATGTAAAAGAAACCCAAGCAGCAGTCCTGGGCCCCCAAGTATCATCAGTGACTGTGGCTCCTTCTTTCTTTCTGATCTGCCATCCTCCAAGTGGGGTTTCCACCCTCACAGTCACCTCAAGATGCAAGAACACTGCTGGTGCTCCAGCCATTGCGTCTGCATCCGCAGCAGAAAACTGGAGGAAGCGCCATTTGTCTCTCCCCCAAACTTCCCCTTACATTTCCCTAATTGCAAGGGAGGCTGGGATATATGGTCTTTGAGCTGTGCATGTAGATTCCCAGGATGAGTCAGGATTCTCTTAGGAAGGAAGGGGAATCTGGGTATTAGGTTGTTAGTGAGCAGTTGCTCCCACAGTTCCCACATTCAGACAGACCCGGGTTTGAATCCGAGCCTGCCACCCAGTAGCTTCCTGCACATGCAGTGTGGTGCCCCGTGAGGGTGCAACCTGGCCTGGTTTGGCTGTGCCTGTCAGGTCCACACTCGGCAAATTTGCGTCAAGGGGGTGAAGGAGAAGAATGGTTCTAGAACTCCTAGGACTTTTGCTACCTGCTGGGGAGCGGGCGTGGCTTTCCTGCACCCCTCAAGCTCCTGGGAAGTGGGGTATGAACCCCCCAGAGGGCTGTACCTCACGTGCTTGCTCCTGACCTGCAGGAGGAAGCGGGGCTGCCCTTTAGGGACATTGAATGTGGGGCAGGGGCAGTTATGTGCAGAGAAGAGCTGAGTGACGGGGGCCTGGCCTCAGGGCTGGAGTTACGGGGCAGGCCAGACACAGACTGCAAGGGCTCCCCAGGGTCAGTGAGAGGATGGGCCCTTCTCAGGGTGACAAGATAATTTATTGATCTTCCAAATCAGGATGCATTTGAGTCCATAGGGTGCGATTAGCAAGTATTACCCTAAGCCCAGGGGTAAATCAGGCCTGTCCTGGGACCCTGGGGTGTGTGGTCACCCCACCTTCACCCTACCCAGGAACATGGGGCCTGAGTCTCCAGCTAAGCTCACTGGGCATGGTTTTCAGGTTAGGAAGGCGGCAAGGGCTCAAGGCCTGGCAAGCTGTTCACAAACAAAGGGTCGAAACAAAGAAATAATAATACATTTTAATGCAAGAGAAATCATAGCCTGGTACACACCCCTTCCCCGATCTGTCCTGCCTGGGGATGTGTTTATGGTGAGTGTGTCCCCAGGACTGGTAGTCACCTGGCTGTCCGGGTCCCCGCCCTACTGGCGGCAGCATGCCTGTCCCCAGCATTACATTCAACTGCTGCTCTGGCTCTCGAGAGGCCGGCTGGCCTCGGGCCTCCGGCTTGGCGTTCTTTGCTCCCCTGTCTCCCTGCTAAGGCCAGCAGGGCCAAACTGCTAGGCCAGGTCAGCCAGGGCTGGGGGAATGGGCTGTACCCTGCTCCTCCCCAGGCACGACTGTCCCCCCGGGGCTCCATCACCGGGTGGGGCGGAGCGTCTGCTGGGGCAGCTCTGTGGGCCACAGGATCCCCCCGCACCCACTGCATCTCTCTGCCCAGGGTGCCTGCCTCATAGGATGCCCCGCGCCACAGAGTCTCTCTGCCCAGGGCGCCCGCCTCACAGCTGGTCCTCGTCCACCCAGATGGTCTTGCGCTGCTCCTCGCCGATCTTGTCCTTGACAACGCGGAGCAGCTCCTCTACGCTGCCCCACATGTCAGGTTCCACCGTGGCGTACAGGCACGGCAGGGCCTCCAGCTCCTTCTCCTTCAGCCGGCACACGCGCAGGAACTCCTCCTCCGTCTCAGGTCGGGGCAGCAGCTTTCTGGGAGGAGACACGCAGGGGCTGTGGGGAGGCTGCAAGGCCGTGGCGCTGGTGTGGCACCACCTGTCCGGCCACCCCTGACTGCCGTGGTCCCCACCCCTTCCCTGCCTTGCTTCTCCCTATAGCGTCCGTGCCTCTTAACGCTAGGGACCGTGCCCCTTCATGCTGTTCATCGGAAATTCCAAATACATCCTTATTGATTGATTGATTGATTGAGATGGAGTCTTGCTCTGTTGCCCAGGCTTGAGTGCAGTGGCACTTTCTTGGCTCACTGCAACCTCCACCTCCCGGGTTCAAGTGATTCTCCTGCCTCAGCCTCCTGAGTAGCTGGGACTACAGGCATATGCTATCATGCCTGGCTAATTTTTATATTTTTAGTAGAGATGGGGTTTCACCCTGTTGGCCAGGCTGGTCTTGAACTCTCGACCTCAAATGACCTGCCTGCCTTGGCCTCCCAAGGTGCTGGGATTATGGGCGTGAGCCACCGCTCCCGGCCACATCCTTTTTATTTTTAATTGTGCTAAGGTACGCATAAAATAAAATCAACCATGTTACCTATTCTTTAAGTGAGTAATTCAGTAGCATGAGGTATATTCACACCGCTGTGCAACCAATCTCCAGAACTTTCTCAACTTCCCAAACTGCAACTCTGGGCCCATTAAATACTCACTCCCCATCTTCCCTCCGGCAGCCCCTGAGAACCACCCTTCTACTTGCTGTCTCTAGGAATCTGACTGCTCTAGAGACCTCACAGAAGCGGAATCACATACAGCATGTGTGTTTTTGTAACTGGCTTATTTAACTGAGAATGACACCCTCAAGGTTCATCCATGTTGGAGTGGGTGTGAGAATCTCCTTCCTTTTCAAGGCTGAATAATACTCCACTCTATGGGCCGGGTGCGGTGGCTCAGGCCTGTAATCCCAGCACTCTGGGAGGCCGAGGCAGGAGGATCACTTGAAGTCAGGAGTTCGAGACCAGCTGGCCAACATGGTGAAACCCAATCTCTAGTAAAAATACACAAATTAGCCAGGCATGGTGGTGGGCACCTGTAATCCCAGCTACTCGGGAGGCTGAGGTAGGAGAATCTCTTGAACCTGGGAGGTGGAGGCTGCAGTGAGCCGAGATCGTGCCACTGCACTTCAGCCTGGGTGACAGAGTGAGACTCCGTCTCAAAAAAAAAAAAATACTCCATACAGTATTTTTGTTGTGATACACACTGCACCATAAACACATTCCCAGGCAGGACAGATCAGGGAAGGGGGTATGTACCATGCTAGTATTTCTCATGCATTAAATGTATTATTGTTTCTTTGTTTCAACTCTTTTTTTGTTAACAGTTTGCAAGGTTTTCAGCTCTTGCCACCTTCCTAGCCTGTATGGATGGGCCCTATTGTGTGTATTCACTCCCCACAGACCGACCCTTAGGTGACGTCTACGTTTTGGCTATTGGGAGTAACGCTGCTGTGAACACGGGCGTGTATATGTCTCTTACAGACCCTGCTCTCAATTCTCTTGGGGATATGCCCGCAGGTGGGGTTGCTGGATTATATAGTATTCTATTTTTAATTTTTGGGGGCATCGCCATGCTGTCCTCCACAGTGGCCGCTCTCTTTTGCATTTCCAGCAGCTGTGCACCGGGTTCCGACGTCTACCCTCCTCGTCAACACTTGTCAGTTTCTGTCCTTTTGGTCCTGGCCAGCCTAACGGGTGTGAGGTATCGAGGGGGATGCCCGTCTCTTTTGCTCACTGCTGCGTTCCCCAGAGCCTAACCCTTCACAATGGCTCAGTGAGTATCTGGTGAAAAGGAATGAATGGGCCTAAACTCTCAGTCTGTGATTCCCTCTGCAAAATGGTGGCAGGACATTTATTTTGCAGGTGCGTGCGAGGAGGGGCGGGGATCCGAGATGAAGCCACTTAAGGGCCAGTCTGTCCTCATCACCCAGGCCCCAAACCTCAGCGCCGTCCTTTCGTTTTTTTTTTTTTGTTTTTTTTTTTCTGAGATGGAGTCTCACTCTGTCGCCCAGGCTGGAGTGCAGTGGCTCGATCTCAGCTCACTGCAACCTGCCCCTCCCACGTTCAAGCGATTCTCCTGCTTCTGCCTCCTGAGTAGCTGGGACTACAGGTGCCCGCCACCACGCCCAGCTAATTTTTTTTGTATTTTTAGTAGAGATGGGGTTTCACCATGTTGGCCAAGCTGGTCTCAAACTACCAACTTCAGCTGATGTGCCCACCTTGGCCTCCCAAAGTGTGGGGATTATAGGCGTGAGCCACCGCGCCCAGCCTCTGGTTCTCTGGAACCCCAGAGTGAACCCTTTCCCGAATCCTGCAGGCTCGACCCTGAACACGGATTCGGAGTCAGACTGCCTCTCATCGCCTCTCAGACAGAAGCCCGGCCCACACCGCCACCCTGCCCGTGTCCAGAGGTGAGAGGTGCGTTTATACCCTAAAGTGGACCATGCCACCTTCAGTGGCCTCCAGATGCACCCAGAACAAGATGTCGCAGCCTCCCGTGGCCCTGCATGGCCTGGACCCGCTGCCCCTCACCCCTCAGCCTCTCACTCTCCGTCCCTCACCCTCCGCCCCTCACTCCTCAGCCTCTCACCCCTCTGTCCCTCACCCTCTGCCCCTCACTCCCCAGCCTCTCACCCCTCCGCCCCTCACCCCTGCGCCCCTCACCCCTCCACCCCTCACCCTCTGCCTCTCACCCCTGCGCCCCTCACCCCTCAGCCTCTCACTCTCCGTCCCTCACCCTCCGCCCCTCACTCCTCAGCCTCTCACCCCTCTGTCCCTCACCACTCCGCCCCTCACCCCTCCGTCCCTCACCATTCCGCCCAAACATCTGTCTCAGGGTCTGAGCACCAGCTGTTCCCCTGCTGCCCAGATTGCGTCTTCTTTCTCATCTCCTAGGCCCCCCTCACTGCCATGGGTCTCGCTGATGGATACCCCAGGCCTTCCCGGACCACCCTGGGTGATGGGCACTCCGCCCCGTCCCTCCCAGCTCTTGTCCCCTGGGATGCGCCCCATATGTGAGTCACCATCTCGGCCGCTGTCCTTGGCATCAGCTCTGCAAGGTCAGTCCCGTACTTGGTGAGGGTTTACAAAAGGGGTGCATGAGGTGGGGGCACACAGGCCTCCTGCGATCCATGGAGGCTTGGTGGGGTGCTAGGGACAGGAGGGGACAGCCCTTAGGGGTCTGGGAGCCCTACCTGAACCTCTTGATGTTCTTCTCACACACCCGGATGAAGAGCACGATGGGGTAGATGTTGGACTTGATCAAGTCTCTTGTGCAGCCGATCCCAGCCTCCAGCAGGCAGTGCTTGTTCTGCGGGCACAGCGGCTTTGGTCAGCAGCAGCCCACCCACCTCCCGCTCCTGTGAAGGTGCCTGCAGCGGGGCCTGGATGCAGGGTTGGGGTCTATAGCGGGGCGGGAGCCCTGAAAGCCACCTGCCGCTGATCCAGGAGATGAGACCCCCACATGAGTCTGGACACTCCAGGACTCTGCTGACCACAGTGATGTTCATGGGCAGAGATGAGGCCCCGGACGGGGTGAACCAGGTGGCGTGAATGAGTTTGAATGAAACACCTGCTACCAGCCGGGCGTGGTGGCTCACGCCTGTAATCCCAGCACTTTGGGAGGCCCAGGCGGGCCGATCACTTGGGGTCAGGAGTTCGAGACCAGCCTGGCCAACACGGCAAAACCCTGTCTCTACTAAAAGTATAAAAATTAGCTGGGTGCGGTGGCCCACGCCTGTAATCCCAGCTACTCGGGAGGCTGAGGCAGGAGAATCACTTGAACCCGGGAGGTGGAGGTTGCGGTGAGCCGAGATGGTGCCACTGCATTCCAGCCTGGGTGACAGAGTGAGACACTGTCTCAAACACACACACACACACATACACACACACGCACACACACACACACCCCAAAACACCTGCTACCCTAGCCAGCCTTCAAGTAAGAGGGTAGGGAACACATGAAGGGTGAGGCGGCGAGGCTGGCAGGTCCCAGGAGTATCTGCAAGGTTCTCAACCATGAGCTCATCATTTTGAGAAAGGGCAATTTCTGCTTTGCTGAAGGCATCACTTAAAAAAAAATTCCACCAAATGTTGGCATGGTGGCTCATGCCAGCAATCCCAGCACTTTGGGAGGTGGGAGGATTGCTTGACGCTAGGAGTTCGAGACCAGCCTGGGCAATATAACAAGACCCTATCTCTAAAAAAATTAGAAAATCATTAGCTGGGCATGGTGGTGAGTAACTGTAGTCCCAGCTACTCGGGAGGCAGAGGCGGGAGAGTTGCTTCAGCCTAGAAGTCGCGGCTGCAGTAAGCCGGGATCATGCCCTGCACTCCAGGCTGGGCAACAGAGCGAGCCCCAGTCTCTAAATAAATAAAACATCAAACTTTGCATTGGAATAGAACATAAACACAGCATTCTAAGCATGCAGCTCAGTGAATTTCACAAACTGAACGCAGTCTAGCACTCGTGTCTGGAGGTGGGAATGACCCCCCTCGCCCAGGGTCTCCTTGGGCCTCCTGCGGGGCCACTGCTCCCCATTCCCCACCAATAGGACCATGGCCCACATTTCTACAGCACAGATCTGCTGGAAGGCTTCTTCTTTTCAGCTAAAAACAATCTCAGCTCCAACCCTGTCTGCTCACTTTCTATCCACGCCAGCTATCAGAATTTCCTAAACTGCTGTGGCCCAGACTTAAAAAAAACAAAAACACCACCATCTGCTCTTGCCATCCCCAAGGTCAGCGTCCACCACGGAGCCAGCCCCCGGCAGCTGGGGGAGCCCTCCAGTGACGCGGACAGAGAGCCTTTTCTTCATCCAGTGCTGGGACGAGGAAGAGCTCAACGCTTAGGTCACATTGTCTGGCTCCAAAGACTCCACATTGCACACAGACAACCTTTTTGCATCGTTGCCAATAACCCTTGTGATGCCCCGTTTTCCCCTCGTTTGGTGAATGCAATACCTGTCACCTTCATGTTCATCCTGTCTCTCGCCCTGATGAGCTCGTTCTCTATCTCTGGCCCTTGTTATCACAACCAGACACACACACTCCTAAATAATGCGAACACACACCAGCTCCAGGAAGCCAACACAAATAGAAAGCTCCAAAATAAAAACTCACTTCAGAGCCCAGGGAACAAGGGTGCAGAGAGGGAGTTAACACGGGGCAGCTGCTGGGACAAGGGGAAAAGGAGAGGTCTGGCCACGGGGAGGTGAAAACAACTCTTCATCCCACCCTTGTCCCTGGCCCAGGTGGCCTCATGAGGATCATCACGGAGGGTCCTGGCCCCATCCAACCTCCCAGTCCCCGCCTCACCTTGGCGGCCACAGCTTCAATGTTGGCAGGGGCGATGCATTCGAACGCGTTGGGGTTCTTCTCTCGGGAGTAGATGATGGTCTCCGTCTTCTGCCTTCTGAGGAACTCATCTCTTGTGACGATATCTGCAGAGAGAGGGGCCAGTCCTGAGGGCAGCACGAGGTGGCCTTGGGTTGACCATCCCACTCAGGCCCTGCCTGCCACCTTCTGGGCTCTACAGAACTCGATGTCCGATCCCCTTCCAGCCATGTTTAAATGAATCTCGTCTCCCCTCGACTAGACTGTGAAGCTCCTTGAGGGCAGGGCTAAGGTTAACCTTCTCCATACTCCCCATGGCAGCCCATAGAGCAGGTGCTTGGCACCTCAGCAATACCTTTCACTGGACAAAGCAGCTCAGGCACCGTGGTGCAAGGCTGATCACCAGTCTAAATAAATCTCCTGTTCCACCCACCCACCCACCTACCCATCCATCCACCCACCCATCTACCGACCCCTCACCCACCCACCCATCTGTCCACCTACCTATCCACCCATCCACCCATCCCCTTATCCATCCATCCATCCATCCATCCATCCATCCATCCATCCACTCATCCATCCATCCACCCACCTATCCATCCATCCATCCATCCATCCATCCATCCATCCATCCATCCACCAATCCATCCACCCACTCACCCATCCACCCACCCATCCTTCCATCCATCCATCCACCCACCCATTTATCTATCAATCTGTCCACCCACCCAGTCACCCATCATCCATTCAGCCATCCTTCCATCCATCCATCCACCTATCCAGGGGGAGGAGGGGTGATGGGGAGGAGGAGGAGGGAAGAAGAGGGAGGAGGGAGGGGAGGATGAGGAAGAAGAAAAGGAGGGGAGGAAAGGGGAGGAGGGAAGTGAGGAGGGGGAGGGGAGGAGTGAGAAGTTGGAGGAGGGAGAAGAGAAGAGGGAGAAGGGAGGAGGAAGGAAAGGAAAGAGGGAAGAGGAGGAAAGAGGGAAGAGAAGAGGGGAGGAGGGAAGAGAAGAGGGGAGGAGGGAAGAGAAGAGGGGAAGTCGTCCTGGTTCATGGCTCCCGCGGGGCTCCCCAGGTGGCCGTGGCTCGCCGCTCACCTGACTTGCAGATGGTGAACTCCATGGCACCTCCCGAGTTGAGCAGCCTCTGCACCAGCGTCTTGGCCAGCACGGTGGGTGTGAAGAGCACGGGCCGGCGGCGCTCGCAGTAGAAGGCGCGTACCAGGCTGTAGGGGATGAGGCTGAGGTTCTTGCCCAGCTCGCTCTCAGGGTCCAGCTCTGGCAGGGGCAGGAGAGGGTGGCGGTCAGACCCCTGGGGCTCCGAAGACCTTCCACGGAGGACGGGGCCCCTGGGCTGGGTCCTGGAAGCCACCGTCAGTGTGAAGGCCTGGCTGCTGCCCCGGGCATCCAGTGTCTGAGGTCACCTCGGGCTGGCACTGCTTGGGGCTTGTGTGCCAGGGAGGGGAGGTGTGGTGGGGGGCAGGCAGAGTGTGTGACAAATGCAGGAACCTTGGCTGAGCTCTGGAGGGAAAGTTTGCCTTGTCAGACGATCAAGGAGGGCTTCTTGGAGGAAGGGTAGGGACTGGGTACAGCCCAGCGGAGGGGAGGGCGAGGGCAAGGAAAGCAAGTGCCGGCAGGCACCCACGAGACACCAGGACCAGCGGCCAAGGCCTTGGGTGTCTCCCAGGAGCACTGGGAGGGACGACTTGGCCTCAGTTCTGCTTTCTCAGTCCCTCTGTGGCTGGAGTGGCAGAGCCACACAGAAGCCCGGGGTTCTGATGAAGCCACCCCCAGGCAGCCCGAGGAAACAGCTCCCAGAAACGGGCAGCCTGTCCCTTGTCCCTTGTGCCTTTTCTTGTACCCTGGCCTGGCCACTCCAACGTCCAAAGGGCCAGCCCGGGAAGCCGCCCCAAGGCCTCCTTTGAGATCCAGCCAGGGCTGTGTGGCTTCCCTTTCCCTGAGCAGGGCCAGCCAGGGCCAGCGGGGTGGGGGACGGTGGACCGGGAGGCCCCTCGCCGGGTTGATAAATGGCAAGTGGCACTCAGTGGGTAGAGAAATCAATAAAACGAACACTTCACAGCAAACAGCCCCAATTAACACGGGTACCCGGGAGCGAAGCAACCACACGAGAGCGTCGTTATTGGGTGAGCTTGGCGGGATGTCACCCCGAGGCAGCATGGTCCTCACAGCCAAGGCCAGGCTCCCTCACCGTTTTAATTTCTTTTTGTCTTTTATTTTTATTTTTAGAGCTAGGAGTCTTGCTGTATGGCCCAGGCCAGAGTGACTGCAGTGATGTTATCTTGGTTCACTGCAGCCTCAAACTCCTGCTCAAGTGATCCTCCCACCTCAGCCTCCCAAGTGGCTGGGACCATAGGCACGTGACACCATGCCTAGCTATTTACATATTTTAAGATTTATTTTTAATGCTTTATGTTTTTATTTTAATGTTTTTATATATTTTATAGTTATATATATATATATTTATTTATTTATTTTATTTTATTTTTTTTTCTGAGACGGAGTCTCGCTCTGTCACCCAGGCTGGAGTGCAGTGGCGGGATCTCGGCTCACTGCAAGCTCCACCTCCCAGGTTCACGCCATTCTTCCGCCTCAGCCTCCAGTGTAGCTGGGACTACAGGCGCCCGCCACCGCGCCCGGCTAACTTTTTGTATTTTTAGTAGAGACGGGGTTTCACCATTCACAGGATGGTCTCGATCTCCTGACCTTGTGATCTGCCCGCCTCGGCCTCCCAAAGTGCTGGGATTACAGGCGTGAGCCACTGCGCCCGGCCATAGTTATATTTTTTTGTAGAGATGGGGGTCTTACTATGTTGCCCAGGCTGGTCTTGAACTCCTGGCCTCAAGCGATCCTCCAGCCTTGGCCTCCCAAAACACTGGGATTGCAGGCGTGAGCCACCTGTGTCCACCCTCCTCTCCCTTTGGAGGACTTCCAGGCCCCCTCACAAGGACCGATGTTCCTCCAGGTGAGGGTGAGGCATGTGTGACTGTGGCTGGGAGTGGTGGGAGGGGCCAGGCGGTCCCCATGTACCTTCCTGCTTCTCAGTCAAGAGCTTGGTGGCGTCCAGCGAGGACCGGGCCAGGCTCCCTAGCGGACTCCCCGAGATGATGCGGACCCGCTCGTTGCTGTTCATCCGCTTATACTTGTTCTCGGACCTGCTGACGAACTGGAGGAGAAGAGGGAGGGTCGGGGGAGGACTGTTTTGCTTCCACTTCTAAACAGACAGGGTGCTGCCCTCAACCCGGCAAAGCCAGACCTTGTTCAAATCCCTGCTCTGCCCCTGGGGGTTCCTGGGCCAGTCATTTCCCCTATAAAAGCAGGAGACTCCCAGCAGGTGGCTCGAGCCCTTTAGCCACTGGAGAGATGTTCTCAGTAGGTAAATGAGTGAATCGGTGCCCACGCTGTCTTCCGCAGCCGGATGAGTCTCGGGTCAAGCTCATGTGCATCCCCGTGGGAACCTCAGGTGCAGCTCTGCAGGCACTGTGGGACCTGAGCCGCCCCAGCCATGAAGACCCCTGGCTGGAAACCCCTGTGGGCAGGGACTGTCCCCCTGCTGGGCATGTGCTGGACAATGCCACCTCCCTCTGACACTGTGCTCACCATGCCTTTCTGCTTCGGTATCCCTAAGTTTAATGGGGGCACCCACTTTTTTCTACAATTCACAGAGTTGAGTCCTGGAGGGCAGAAACGGATGCCCTGGCAATGGGCCCAGAAGCAGGTTCACACCATATTCTATGGGCTACTTTGAGTCTCTCCACACTCTTCCTTCTGCAGGAAGGAAAACGCATGGCATCTGGGGTGTCAGCCGGCTCTCTGTTAACTGGCTACAGGGCTCTGGATGAGACTCCCAAGGTTTCACTTTTTTTTTTTTTTGAGATGGAGTGTTGCACTCTCACCCAGGCTGGAGTGCAGTGGTGCGATCTTGGCTCACTGCAACCTCTGCCTCCCGGGTTCAAGTGATTCTCCTGTTTCAGCCTCCTGAGTAGCTGGGATGACAGGTATCTGTCACTGCACCTAGCTACTTTTTGTATTTTTAGTAGAGACGGGGTTTCACCACGTTGGCCAGGCTGGTCTCGAACTCCTGACCTCAAGTTATCCACCCGCCTCAGTCTCCCAAAGTGTTGGGATTACAGGCGTGAGCCACTGTGCCTGGCCCCAAGGTTCCACTCTTGCATGTCATGCGGGTGTAAAAATGCGTCATCTCAAATGGTTCTGCCTTTGTGAACCCCTCAGACTTTGCCAGGTTTCCTTTCCACCTGGGTGTCTCTCCGCCACTTGTTTGTGTCTACCTGGATTTTAGGGTCACACTGCTCACAATTTCCCTGGGTTTCCCTGTTCCAAGGTTGAGATGGAGCAGCGGAACATAACACTGTCTCCGTTGGGGTCTAATGAGTGAGGCAGCCACACAGGAACACGCTCATGGGGTCACATTTTCATATTACCCCCTTGGCTTTTGTCCACGGGCGATACAAGAAACGATCCCAAAGAGTGTTTCTGCATTTACGAGAAACCATTTCTGAAGATACCACACACGATGCTAGTCAATGTTCTTTGTATAATGATCCACGCCAGAAAAAAAAAAATCCCTTTTAGAATTAAGTAGAAGGGAAAAGTCCTTTCTGGTCTTGATTGCTAAAATGTTTCCCAAGACAGATAAGATTGAAAGACTCTGCTGGGTTCCCTTTTTTCCTTGGCTGCCGGGATGCTCAGATAAGTTGAATGCTCAATTAATGAGGACCTGATCTGGCCTAGATATTTAGGATGTTTGTTTTCATCTCCTGATACACTGCTTCTGATCTTTCTATTAGTATCTGAACAGCTAACTTCAGTTTCTTTTCACCATAAGGTTCCTCAATCTTTTATGAAAGTGGGATTTGCTTCCCGCAGGCACAGAGATTGTCTACCCACCTGTCACTGAGAGGATAAAACGGGACAGGAGATGTGAGGCACTGTGAAGAGTTGCAAGTGGTGTACAAACACAAAGCATGGTTATTTTGATTCGGGTGTCTCTTCTCAGTGGGGAGAGGGCAGGGCCACAGCAGAATATGATTGAAAAATCGGTAGGTGCTCCGGAGAGCCTTACCTGAAGGAGCTGGCCAAAAAGGAAGCTTGCTCGCGAGAGACGGGGGCTGACCCGGGGGTCGCTTGTTGAAAGCGCTTCTTCTGGCTGCAGGGTGTTCTGAAATGAATTTATCAATCAGTCAGGCCCTGCTGGGCTTGGCAGGAGGGGAGAACACAATGATGCTGGTGAGAACTGGAGACCTGTCCTCAAGCCCCTCCATGCTAACGCTTTCTTAGGGAAATCAAAAGGCTGCAGGCAAGGGGCGGGGGCAGGCAGGGGCAGGCGGGGTAGGGGAGAGGAGTCCTGGAGACTTGGGAGAGAGGTGATTTGCTTCAACAGAGACCAGGGATGGTAGAGCAAAGGCCTGCAGTCCAGCTGGAGCCAGAAACCTAGGCTCATCTTCTTTTTTTTTGAGACAGAGTCTCGCTCTGTCACCAGGCTGCAGTTCAGTGGCATGATCTCTGCTCACTGCAACTTCCACCTCCCAGGTTCAAGCGATTCTCCTGCCTCAGCCTCCCGAGAAGCTGGGACTACAGGCGCACCACCAAACCCAGCTAATTTTTGTATTTTTAGTAGAGATGGGGTTTCACCATGTTGGCCAGGATGGTCTCGATCTCTTGACCTCATGATCCTCCCGCCTCTGCCTCCCAAGGTGCTGGGATGACAGGCGTCAGCCACTGTGCCCAGCCTTGTTCTTGTTTTGAGACAGGGTCTTGCTCTGCCGCCCAGGCTGGAGTGCAGTGGCACGATCTTGGCTCACTGCAACCTCTGCCTCCCAGGTTCAAGTGATTCTTCTGTCTCAGCCTCCTGAGTAGCTGAGATTATAGGCGCCCACCACCATGCCTGGCTAATTT
Organism: Homo sapiens; assembly: GCF_000001405.40. Taxonomy (NCBI): domain Eukaryota; kingdom Metazoa; phylum Chordata; class Mammalia; order Primates; family Hominidae; genus Homo; species Homo sapiens. The sequence continues at coordinate 2,918,123 of NC_000007.14, forward strand.
TTGTGTTTTTAGTAGAGACAAGGTTTCACCATGTTGGCCAGGCTGGTCTTGAACTCCTGACCTCAAGTGATCTGCCCACCTTGGTCTCCCAAAGTGCTGGGATTACAGGCGTGAGCCACTGTGCCCGGCCAGACACCAACCCCTTGTCCTGGAAAGTCAGGACCTGTGGGAGGGCATGAGAGGATGGGGCTCCTTCTATAGGGAGCGTCTCATTCCTAAGGAACCAAGGAACCAAGTTCCCTAGAATTCATCATCCCAATACGGATGGATTGCATTTGTTACTGCCTCTAAAAAAGACCCGGGAGTTAGGTTTGAAGCTGGCGAGATCCCTGCCCCTGCTGCCCCCACAGGGTGCTTGGCAGACCTACCCGGAGTGCCCGCAGGGTGTGGTGGGTGCCGTCTACCTCCTCCCGGCTGCCTCGGTGCATCAGGCGCTGCAGTTTCACCAGGAGGAGCTGCTGGGCTCTGGGGAGCGAAGAGAGGAGCCTCAGAGGCTGAAATTCAGGGGCCAAGCACCGGGAAGCCAGCGGGGCCGCAGCACCGCACTGGCATGGGTGGGGCGCGTGTCCGACTCTGCGTAGGGATGGCCCTGTGGCTGGTGTGCGCTCTGAGCCCAGGGGGCGCCCGGGGAGAAGATGTGGCTCCTTGTATCTGTGTTTGGATCCCACCTCCAGCACTGGCTTGCTGTGAGGCTGCAGCAAAGTGGCCGAACCCCTCTGAGCCACGGTCTCCTCCTCTGTAAATCTGGTGTGATGATGCTTGCCTTCGAGGACTGGCCTGAGGTGTGGTGTTATGGTCTCATAGATGCTGTGGTATGGATGTGTAGTGTTACAGTCTTACAGATGCTTCCAGATGCCTGCTGTGTGCCCGACACACTACCTGTGCTCAGTCCTTGGGGGCTAGTGCTGTTATAATGACAACGTCGTTGTCGGGATGAGGTCTATGGAAAAGAAATGACTAGTGAACCCAGCAAGACAGCATAGAATTGAGTGGTCTGGTCACTACCAGATGGAAAAGGATTCTACAGGATTCTAGTGAAGGTTGAGAGAAACATCTCTGAGGAGGCAGGAAGGGCTTCCTGGAGGAGGAGGGCCTGGGGGACCTCACTGTGAAACAGGGAAAGCAGTGGCCTTCTTTGGCCTGGGCTTCTCTATAAGCCCCTCTGCTGATGTTCGTGGCATCCGCAGCCTCCTGCCTGGTCCTCCATAGACTCAGGGAAATGGAGGCCCCGCCCTGATTCTGGCCTCACCGGCTGTAGCTGGGTATGGTGCCCATATCCAGGTCATGGTCTGTGAAAGGGTCGACCCGCGCGCACAGCCACTCGTGCCTGTCCTGGTACATGGTGTCACGGACGTGCACAACATCGTCACACTTCAGGGACATGGTGCAGGCGTCCAGCTGGCTGGAGATGTTCAGGTTCAGCCGGATGTAGAACGAGTCCCCCGATGTGATCAGGCCGTCCTCCATGTCCTTCACCAGCTTCCGGTACCCTGCGGAGGGAAAGATGCTCCAGCTGTCTATCAGTATGGGGTCCCCCGACCATCAGAGCTGCTCCTACAGCAGCTTTCCTCACCACCAACGTGCCTGTGCAATATGCTGCTCTTAGAGCTCATAGCCAGGGGAAAGTTCTACCTCCCCAGTGAAGGTAGCCATGTTGTTTACCAGTTTCCCTTTTTGTCTTGGCTGCCAGGAAGCTCAAAGCTGAAATTTTTGCCAAGTTGCAGTGATCACCTTTACTAGCATTCCCGCTACACTCTTCATATTTCCCCACCATTATACAGCACTTGTTTGTTTTTTATTTTTTTCACTGATGCACAACTCGCATACAGTAAACTGCATAAATTCTTAAGTACTCAGTTCAATGAATTTCCACAAATGTATATGTGTGGGCAGCAACAACCAGAACCCTCTCTGTCAGTACCTTTCCTAAGGGGAACCACCTTCCTAACCGATGTTGCTATAAATAGGCTGAATCTCACTTCATGTAAGTGGAACCAAACAGTATATGTTCTCTTCACTTCCAGCTTCCACTTTTCAACATTACGCCTGTGAGATTTGTCTGTGATGCTGCAATGTAGCTGGAGGGCGCTCTTTTTCACTGGTGTATAGTACTCCATGGTATGTGGATGTATCCATTCTCCCATGTGCAATTTGCATTGTTTGCAGTTTTGGGCTATTGTGAACAACTCTGCTATGAGTTATTCACACACACTGCTGTCTGTGGATATACGTGCTCATTTCTCTTGGGTATATATACAGAAGTGGAATTACTTGGTCATAGAATATCTATCTATTCATCTATCTATTATCTTTCTACCTATTATCTGTCTATCTATGGATATGTGTGCCCATTTCTCTTGGGTACATACACAGAAGTGGAATTACTTGGTCATAGAATATCTATCTATCTATCTATCATCTATCTACTTATCCATCCATCATCCATCTACGTATCCATTATCATCTATCTATCTATCGTCTATCTATCTATCTATCTATCTATCTATCTATCTATCTATCTAATCATCTATCTACTTATCCATCCATCATCTATGTATCCATTATCTATCATCTATCTATCTATCTATCTATCTATCTATCTATCTATCTATCTATCTTCTACCTATCTTCTATCTCTGTATCTTCTATCTATTTATCTATCTTCTACTTCTATCTATCTTCTATCTATCTATCTATCTATCTATCTATCTATCTATCTATCTATCTGCCTATCTATCTTCTATCTATCTTTAGAAGATACTGCCAAATGGTTTCCCAAAGAGACCATGGCACATGTCGTTTTAACCTTATTTAAATGTCATCAACCTCCCAAGTAAAGTTTTGCAAATACTTTGTGAGGGAGCGGGGCATAAACCATGAATGCAACAAATGCAGCAAGCTCTGCTATGATATCAAACCATAATATAAACCCCCACATCAGCCCCACCTGCTGAGGGCTGTATAATACTGCGGAAGCTAAAATGGTTCTAATAACCAGAGTAGCCTGTCGAATGTCCACGCCCACATTCCAGGGCCGTGCCAGCCAGCTGGATTATCTGATGAATGTTCCCACCACTGTGCATGGAGAAACAAGGGTTCCCTGTCAGGTCCGTCCGGGGGATCTTGGCCTTGTCCAGCACATCTCAGAATTCTGCCCATCCACCTGGCCAGGGGCCACTGTGATCGCTATCTGAGTTCTCTGCCTCCTGTGAAAACGGAACCTGCACACAGGACCCTGCCGGAATGAACTTTCTTTCCCTGGAATTCCAGACTTGCAGGGCTGTGCTGCTGCGCAGCTCCGGGCTTTGGAGGTGCTGCCCACATCATATTCTGCAGGCCCACGGATTTTCTGCTGGGCTGGAAGATCAGGGTGCACCATCGGAGAGAAGCCTGTCCTGCATGTAGGGACAGAGCATCACTATTGTCTTTGCACGGGCAGGGCACTGCCGGGAAGGAGCTCAAGCAGGCGGCTCTGGGGAGTGGATAGAGAGAAACTGGCTATTTATTCTCTACTGAAACATTCATGAGCCCTGGCGGTTAAAAATAAGATCCAGCTGCAGAGATAATCATGTAGAAAAACCCAGAGGTGAGAACAAGAACTCAGACTTGTTCAGAGCGGAAAACAAAGCTCAGAGCTCACAGCCCAGGAGTCTTGGCCGAGAAGGAGGAGATCCCATTCAAAGGATGCTGGGGGCCCCGTGAAAAGGGAGGGTGAGGCCCGCCTGCCCCGGAGCTGGGGGATCACAGAGCAAGAATCCTGGGGCCCAGGATGTGGTTCAGTGGTCTTGGTCCTGGGTAGAGAAATCTCTGGGCCCCCTGGCCAGCAGTGCCACAGAATATGATGTGAGCAGCGCCCCCCAGGGTTGGGAAGCAGCACAGCCCTGCAGTCTGGAATTCCAGGGAAAGAAAGTTCACTCCAACAGGGTCCTCTTTGTAGGTTCTGTTCTCATAGGAGGCAGAGAGCTCAGGTAGCCATTGCTATGGCCCCCGGCCTGGTGGGTGAGCAGGCTTCTGAGATACGCTGAACAAAGCCAGGAATCCCCCAGCAGGACCTGACAGGGAACCTCTGTTTCTCCATGCCCAGTCCGTGGGCAGACTGACCCTAGAGCTGCTGCCTACGGACATCAGGAATGGGAAGCCCGAGAGAGGAGGAAACTTCCACTTACCAGGGAGAGGGCTGAGCTGGGCCAGCCGGGGCTCCAACAGGTGTGCCTGAGGCTGGGGATGCCGTGTCCACTGTGACCCGGCGGGCAGCCCGAGACACCTGGGCAGGTGAGTGCAGACGTGGCCAAAGAGCCAGTGCAAGACAGCAAAGCCCCGCTCACGGCTGTTGCCGTCCCTGTGTGCTCTCCCAGACCTGCCCCTGCACCTCGTGATGCTGCCAGGAAGTGCCCATGCCTTCCACTGAACAGACGAGCAAGCAGAGGCTCTAGGCGGCGAGGTCACTTGTCCAGGTCAGAGACTCGCCTCCCTGGCCAAGGGTCGCTCCAGACGGTGGAGGGAGGTCTCACCTTCGTGGTTGACCTTGTAGTGCAGCGTGACGGGGCCGCTGCACCTCTGGATGGTCCAGTGGGCTTCCTCTTTGGTGCATGTGTCCAACGGGACACTCTGCCTCTCGCCTCGGATGCAGCCTTCTAGCTGGAGAGCAGAGACAGCGTTTGTCTCCTGGCCCCACAGGCAGCAGAGCTGCGGGAGCGAGACCGCTCTCTGTACATTGGGAAAAAAACCATCTCTCCCTGAACAAAGACTAGCTCAGTGCCAACAGGGGGAAAAAGCATCTTGTTCAGGGGGGTGCACCTGCCTCCTGCCTGCACCCTGGGAGCTTGCAGGATGCAGAAGCATGGGCGGGGAGCTGGGGAGAGAAGGGCCCAACAATGCCGACGGTCTGACCACCTTCCAGCTCCCTCCTCCTGCCCGGGGATCCATGGCTGAATGCAAGGCTTAGGGGCTCCTAAATGTCACCACTGACACTACAGTTGCAGCCACCTCCCTTGCCGCCATCCCCTCACCAGCAGCAGCTGGTGGCCCTCACGGAGGCCGGCTTTCTCGGCCAGAGAGCCAGGCTTGACCGAGTGCACGAAGCTCCCTCGCGCGTTGCCCCCCAGCAGGGTGAGCTGGGAGGTGAGGCTGTCGCCATTCAGCGTCGTGTGCTGCACCGAGGGCCCTGGGCCCCGCACGTGCCCCACAGAGGTGACCGAAGGCCGGAAGGGTCTGCAGCAGGAAACAGAATGTCAGTTAGGCAGCTGGGCTGAAAAGAGAAAAGCCCTACTGGGACACACCGGGGGTTGGTGGTGGGCGCCAGGACCCCGGTGGCATGGCCTCCTGTGGTCATCAGGCGCCTGGGTGTCCTGGCTCCGAGAAGGCCCTTAATGGCTAAGGGAAGTGAGAGCTCACAAGTGGCTCCTGCTGCGAGAAATGCAGATGAGGAGAGGAGCTGAGGCACCCTCTGTGGCCGCAGCGGCCGTGCTGGGACTGGCAAGGGCCATGTTAGGAGGGTCCCCTTGAGCGCGGCCCACCGGGCTCCACTGTGTCATGGATGGGGACTGCTGGGTATCTGGGTCCCACTTCTTTGCCTCTGCCATGCTGCATGGCCTTGGGCAAGCCCCTTCCTCTGTGGGCCTCGGTTTCTGCACCTGGACACTTGGGAGGTCAGAGGAAGTGATTTCTTTTTTTTGAGACAGGGTCTTGCTCCGTCGCCCAGGTTGGAGTACAGTGGTGCAATCATAGCTCACTGCAGGCTCAACCTCCTGGGCTCAAGTGATCCGCCTGCCTCAGCCTCCTGAGTAGCTGAGACTACAGGTGTGTGCCACCATGCCTGGCTAATGTTTAAATTATTTTGTAGAGATGGGGTCTTGCGTGTTGCCCAGGCTGGTCTGGAGCTCCTGGGCTCAAGCAGTCCTCCCGCCTTGGCCTCCCAAAGTCCTGGGATTATAGGTGTGAGCAATGCGCCCAGCCAGGAAGTGATTTCTGACTCGGGAATGCTACAATTCTGGTTCTGGCTCTAGGAGAACAAAGCCCACATGAATGGTCCCCTTTGTAAGAGAGCGAGGGGGCAAGGGGTCTTTATCCCATCCCCACCCTCAACCCCGGCTTCCCCTTCACTGGGGTACCTTTCCAGAGAGAACTTCCTGAACATGAGGTTGACCTGCTCCAGGTCGTAGGCATCCAGGCCCTCGGATTGGTGGGAGGAGGAGGAGGAGTGGATGGAGGAGGGTCCGAAGGAGTAGCGTTCGTGACTGTCATCTGCAGAGGGACGAGGGCCCATCAGTACCAGGGGTGGCGGGGAGCTCTGGAGACAGCCCTGGGACCTGCTGGGCTGGTCCCGGCACTGGGGGCAGGCTCGGAGCCCTCCTTCCCTACTCTTCCCGGGCAGCCTCCCAGGAGATGGGTCTCTGAGGTTCCCTGGCACAGATGGCTGAGTCCTGCATTGAATGTCTCCAACACAGATGTTCTCCAGCCTCCAGGAGCTTCCTCTTAGTGGGAAGCTTTATCAGGTATCTGGTTTTTAAGATTTTTTTTTTTTGAGAGAGGGTCTTGTTCTGTTGCCCAGGCTGCAGTGTGATGGTGTAATCATAGCTCACTGCAGCTTCAACCTCCTGGGCTCAAGTGATCCTCCTGCCTCAGCCTCTGGAGTAGCTGGGACTACAGGTGTGCACCACCATGTCTGGATAATTAAAAAAAAATTTTTTTTTATAGAGACGGGGTCTCACTATGCTGTCCAGGCTGGTTTTTAATTTCTGGGCTCAAGCCATCCTCCTCTCTTGGCTTTCCAAGGAGCTGGGACTACAGGCATATGCCACCATGCCTGGCTAATTAATTATTTTTTTGTAGAGACAGGGTCTTGCTATGTCACCCCTCCTGGCCTCCAGTGATCCACCAGCCTTGGCCTCTCAGAACGCTGGTATTACAGGCGTGAGGCACCGCGGCTGGCTTCATTCTGTTCTTGAATTGGGCCCCCACATTTTCATTTTGGGACCCTAAGGCCTCACCATCATCCATCAGCTTCCCGGCCCGCAGGGGCCTGAAGCAGGGCAGGAAGAGGAGGGTCTGGCCCCGATAGGAGCCCCTCCCTATCTTCTCACCCCAGGTGGACCCAGAACACCTGGAGGAAAGACACCCACTGCCCAGAGCTCTGGGTGGCTGGGATGGAGAGAACTACAAATCTGCTCGGGGCTGATAACAAAGGCTTCTCTGCAAATGGAATTTTTCCCGACACTGCAAAATACTTTGGACGGTTGCCCGGGATTCTCTCCCCTTTCCAAAACTCTTTCAATTCTTCTCATTACCCAGCCTCGATTAGGGGCTAACCTCTCTTTAACACTTGGTAGCGCTGATGCTTCCCCATTAAGGAGGACCACTCATCTTTCGTTTCATCGGTTGGCAGCCTTAGCTGGCAAAGGCTGGGGGAGCCCTGGAAGAGAGGGGGCTGGCAGGGCACACCTGGAGGACTCTGAGCCACAGTCTCCCCTGCTGCCAGCTCTGTCGGGGCCAGGGGATGCTGCCACCCTCCCTCGGTGCTGAGACAGGCTTGAAGGTGGTGATCCTGCAAGCCCGCCTTCACCCTCCCTACTTCTCCCCATCCTGCCTTGCCCCTCCAATGTCGACCTGTTCCCCTGGCCTTGCCCTTCCAATGTCGGCCTCTCTCCCCACAGCCTTGCACCTCCAAGGTCGGCCTCTCTCCCTGGCCTTGCCTTCCAATGTCGGCCTCTCTCCCCACAGCCTTGCACCTCCAATGTTGGCCTCTCCCTTCAGACTTGTACCTCCAAGGTCGGCCTCTCTTCCTGGCCTTGCCCTTCCAATGTTGGCCTCTCTCCCCACAGCCTTGTACCTCCAAGGTCGGCCTCTCTCCCTGGCCTTGCCCTTCCAATGCTGGCCTCTCCCCACAGCCTTGCACCTCCAATGTTGGCCTCTCCCCACAGTCTTGCACCTCCAATGTTGGCCTCTCCCCACAGCCTTGCACCTCCAATGTTGGCCTCTCCCCACAGCCTTGCACCTCCAATGTTGGCCTCTCCCCACAGTCTTGCACCTCCAATGTTGGCCTCTCCCCTCAGCCTTGCACCTCCAATTTCGGCCTCTCCCCCTGGCCTTGCCCCTCCAATGTCGGCCTCTCCATCTGCATTCTGTATTCCTTTTGCAGAGGCTGGTTAACAGCTCAACACATGAATTTCGCATGAGAACTCCCTGCTCCCAGCCCACTCTCTGCCCTCCTGTTCTTTCCTGTCTCTGAGGCTCCTGTCTTTATCTATAAAATGAGGGTAACAATAGCATTTCTGAGAGCGGCTGTTGAGATTAAACTGGATCAGGTATGCAGGTCGAGCCCCTCCATGGTGCCTGGCTAGAGTATGTGAGAGCTACGCTTTTTAAAAGCCCAGACCTAGCTCGCACCCTCTGCACAGCAGCCGGATGGGCCCCCATTACCTACAAGACAAAGAACAAGCTCACAGGGCATCTCTCAGCCATGGGCAAGCCCAATGGGGGACAGAGGCTTATCTTTTGTGTTCAAGAGCGACTCTGAGTCCATTCCACATAGTAGGTCTTAAGGACCTGTGACCCTCCACCTGTGACCCTCTGTGACCCGTCCTACCCAGGACCCTCCCGGATCTGAGAGGCACGTACCATCCAGATCTAAGGCGTCAAACCCGCCGCTGTCATTGTCTTCTTCGACTGTGCTGCAAGACACAAGGGAGGTGGGGGAAAGCATGCATGTGAGTGTGTGTGTGTGTGCACACGCAGGCAAGGGAGAGAGAAGCTTCTGGAAGGTTCCAGGCTTCCGAGTGGCCTTGCTTCTGAGAGGGCAGTGTGGGTGGAGGAGGTTGGGACAAGGAAGGGTGGAGTAGGCAGGAGGCTCCCTGGAAGGGTGGGTGGCCTGGAGGTCTTGGAGATTGCCTCCTCCAGCAGGGGAGGAGGAAAGCCAGGGCAGGTGAACAGAGGCCCTGCCGGCCCCACCTGCTGTTCACGTCTCTCTCACTCTTCTCCGACATGGTACAGGACAGAGATCCATCTGCCCTGTGTGATGGGTTTGGGAGCTGAGCGCCCTTCAGCCGGAGTGGACACAGCAAGCTTGCTGTGCTCTGGAGTTCTCAATTGTCTGCATGTGGTTTTTGCAATAGTGCTTCAAGGTGCAGGTGCTTTCATGCAGACGCCACATGTGGCTTCTGAAAGCTGCTTTCAACACCTGCCCCCGGCTGGCCAGAGGGTGCCCCCGCAACACAGCTGCTGGTGGAGGGGCTGGTGTGGGTCTGATTTTTTTTTTTTTTTAATTTTTGAGATGGAGTTTTGCTCCTGTCACCCAGGCTGAAGTGCAATGGTGCGATCTTGGCTCACTGCAACCTCTGCCTCCCGGGTTCAAGCGATTCTCCTGCCTCAGCCTCCCCAGTAGCTAGGATTACAGGTGCATGCCACCATGCCCAGCTATTTTTATTTTTTATTTTTTTAATTTTTAGTAGAGATGGGGTTTTGCCATGTTGGCCAGTCTGGTCTTGAACTCCTGACCTCAGGTGATCCACCCGCCTCAGCCTCCCAAAGTGTTGGGATTACAGGCGTAAGCCACTGTGCCCGGCCTAGTGCAGGTCTTTGCTGCTGATCTCTGGAGCCAGCCAGGGAAGGCCATGCTAAGAGGCCCAAACCCAGGCCCCAGTGGGACCGGGGGTGTGGATCCAGCCTCCAAGGCCACTGCTTGCTCTCTGCCCTTCTGGAAACCGCCCAACAACCTCTGACTTTGTAGGTGACGTGCCAAACCCTGGCAGGCTGGAAACACCCGTTGCCCAGGCATACTTCTACTGTGGTTCTCTTTGTGAGGACACTAATGGTTTTTAGGAAGTAAGGAAGGTGGGAGAGGAGATTGGAGAAGCCATTCATGAGTTTCTTTTTTTTTTTTTTTTGAGATGGAGTCTCGCTCTGTCACCCAGGCTGGAGTGCAGGGGCATGATCTCGGCTCACTGCAACCTCCACCTGCCGGATTCAAGCGATTCTCCTGCCTCAGCCTCCCGAGTAGCTGGGATTACAGGCACATGCCACCACACCCAGCTAATTTTTTGTAATTTTACCAGAGATGGGGTTTCACCATATTGGTCAGGCTGGTCTCGAACTCCTGACCTCAGGTGATCCACCCGCCTCGGCCTCCCAAAGTGCTGGGATTACAGGTGTGAGCCACCATGCCCAGCTGTGAGTTTCTTATTCTTTGGCAGAAAAAGCCAAGCCCTGGGGCTGTGGGGCCCGGGAACCTGATTTCTGGGCAGCATGGAGCCACGGGTCATAGGTTTTGTCCTTGGACAGGCAGCTGGGTGAACCCAGGGAGGCCGCTTCCCTCCTCTGAGCCTCAGCCTCCTCATCTGTACAATGAGCAGTACCCTGCCTTTCAGGGTTGCTTCGAGGACAGCTGGGTCAGCAAGCGTGGACTGGCCCAGAGACGGGGTAAGGAGGCTTGGCATGGTGGCACGGGGCAAAAGCCCAGTCCTCCCTCACCTGCCACCCACCTGCGATGGGGCGCGTCCTCCTTGTAGCGTCTGACGATGGAGTCGTTTCCCGGGGGCTCGGCGGTGATTGACATGATGCTGCTGCGGCTCCGGGGGGGCTGCTTCAGACACAGACACACACACGTTACGGGTGCATAAATATTACACACGCAGGGACTCAATTCAATGCAAAATCGTGCCCGCCTCCTACTCAGGCGGCATGGAGGCAGCGAGCCGGCTATCAGCGGCGACCTTGGCTGGAGGAGGCTTGTGCTGAGCCCGGAGCGGCCGCAGCCGCCGAGCTTGAAGCACATCTGCTCGCACATCTGCTCACAGGGAGGACGCAGGCGGGAGCCGGCCGGCTGGGGGACTGGGGCGCTGCCTCGCCATGGTGCACAGGCTGAGCTCAAGGCCCCCGGGCTGCACCTGCTGTGGGCACCTGCTCTAAACATGGTGAACAGTGTGGGCCTGGGGCGTGGGGAGGGCAGTGGTGCCCCGGACGGCACAGCTGCTGGAGGGCAACCTTTGAAACCAGGCCTGCTGGCTCCTGGCCAGAGCCGCTCTTAATAAGAGCCTGGGATTCTGCCACCCAGGGCAGCCATCAGACAGGAATCATTCATTATCAAATATCTGCCTCCCCCAGGGCCTGATTTTGGAAGCTGAGCTGACAAGCTTCCCAGGGCTTCCCCTTGGGGTTAGAATCTCTAATCTTGGGCCTTCTGCTGCCTGTCAGGGGGTGGGCAGTGCTGGATGCAGTGGCTGGGACCCTGCCCGGCTCTGCCCGGGTAGGGGTTCTGGGCTGGGGATGGGGCCCCAAGCCTCAGCTCTGCGGCGGCTCCAGCTGCTCACAGCTCCCTGCCCTGCCTGCCGCCCGTTCCCCAGGCTGCGGGAGTTGCCAGGGGCTGAGAAGTTGCGGCAGAATTTTCACGGCCTGTGCCATGCGCGACAGCCCCTGGGAGGCCCAGCTCCTCCTCCCACCAAGTGTTAAATTGGGAAAGGAGGCGGCAAGAAGGTGTAAATACATTGCGAGGCTGTGGAAACCTCTCTAAATAAACATAAGGGAGGCTGGGGCTGCAGCCCAGAGCAGGCAGCAGCGCTGCTCAGAGGCTGGGTCTTGGGGAGGAAGGCGAGGTGGGTCAGGGCTGGTGGGGTGGATGAGGCTGGGGCCCCGGGACGGTGCTCTGCAGCAGGAGAGGGTGTTGGGGGATGAGCTGGTGCCCCGGATGGCACTCTGGAGGGAGAGAGGGTGGTGGGGATAAGCTGGGTCCCTGGATGGCATTCTGCAGGGGGAGAGGGTGGTGGGGATGAGCTCTGGAGGGAGAGTGGGTGGTGGGCATGAACTGGGGTCCCAGACACTCTTCTGCAGGGGGAGACAATGGAGGGGACCTGCAGATCGGGCAGAGGCTGCAGCTCACCATCTTGGTGAAGGAGTTGGTGATGGGCAGAGATCCGCAGGAGCTAGGGCTGGCGTCCGTGCCTTCTTCCTCGTGCCCCTTGGCTGTCCTCACGGGAGACGAGATGGGAGAGACAGAGAAAGGAGAAGGGGGCCGGGGAGGGTTTGAGGTGGAAGAGAGAGAGGGGAGGAAGAGAAAAGGTGGGGAAAGGGAAGTCAGAGCCTCATGGCCCATAGGCACATGGGGCTCTCTGGCATCATCCCCAACCTCCTTCTAACGAGGTGGGTCTGGGGCCTCTTCTCTCCCTTGAGGGCTCACTCCACTCTCTGTGGCATCTGCTGGAGAAAGAGCCCTCAAAAACCTCCTCTTGCTTTTTATCAAATTTTTTATAGAGATGGTGTCTTGCTATGCTGCCCAGGCTGGTCTTGAACTCCCGGCCTCAAGCAATTCTCCTGCCTTGGCCTCCCAAAGCGCTGGTATCACAGGCATAAAACCATCTCTTCTTTTCCTGTCTCCCCCCACCACAGTAGGCTCCTGGCGGGGAGGGGGTGGTGGGTCTCATTTGCCAACATATCGCAGCTCCCAGCGAGGGTCACCCCCTGGGCAGCCTGGGTCAAAGCTGGACAACGCCATGTGTCTCTGAGGACTGGTGTGGGGTCCCCGGCTGGCATTTTCTGTGAACAATGGACAACCGGGGCATGAGTCTTCCTGTCCAATTCTCTGCCATCAACATGGACTCTGCCTCTCCCCGACAAGCAGGGCTGGCTGATGGGGATGAGGACAAACTGGGGGCCAAGTCCGTCACCTCCTCAGTGAAGCCTCCCTTGATGTCCCTGCCCCAACCCCTGGCTCTGTGGTGGGTTGCCTGGGGACCATGTGCACATCCTCTCAGCCCTCCTAAGACGGCTTTGCTCTCTGTGTCCCCTCCTTGCTCCCACCCTTGCTGTGTGTGCCCGTGTTGTGTGCACAGAGAGATATACGTACATGCACCCCCATCAGTGGATGCCTTGTGGGGAGGAACCATATGCTGTCCTTCCCTGGGCCCCCAGCACCTGGCACTGGGCAGCCTATTAAGGTCTGATGAGGAGCCCCATGGCCACTGCATCCTGTCCCTTCCCTGTGATGCAACCCCCTTCTCTGCTTCCTGCAGGCCCCAGGCCCTTTGCACCTCCCTTCTGATACAGAAGGCCACTGAGACACCGGATGTGGCCGTGAGGGAGCTGGACGGGGCCCCCCGCCCTGGCCTCCCTCTGCTGCCCTCCGTGTCCAGAGAGAACGGCCTTAAGCACAGGTCTGCACTCTTCACTCTCCTGCCCACCCCAAAGCCACCTGGGGGAGGCTTCATCCTTGCCATGCAGGATGAAGTCCATATCTTCAGTGAGGCGCCCACAGTCTCAGCCCAGTGCTCTCCTGCTTTACGCTCTGGGGTGGCAGGGCGGCTTCTGCCTGTGCACCTCCTGGTCTCCACACCTCTGTTTATGGGCCCCTCTCTGAGCTGAGGAGTACTTCTGGACACTGTGTCCCTCCACCAAAAGGCTCCCTTTTCCAGCCCCAGTTTAAATGTCCACCCCGCCCCCACATTTTTCTTTCTTTCTTTTTTTTGAGACAGCGTCTCACTGTGTCACCCAGGCTGGAGTGCAGTGGTGCCATCTTGGCTCACTGCAACCTCTGCCTCCTGGGCTCAAGTGATTCTCCTGCCTCAGCCTCCCGGGCTCAAGTGATTCTCCTGCCTCAGCCTCCCAAGTAGCTGGGATTACAGGCATCTGCCACCACGCCCGGCTAATTTTTGTATTTTTAGTAGAGACAGGGTTTCACCATGTTGACCAGGCTGGTCTCAAACTCCTGACCTCAGGTGATCTGCCCGCCTTGGCCTCCCAGAGTGCTGGGATTATAGGTGTGAGCCACCCCACCCGGCCAAATGTGCCCTTCTTGATGGATCCTTCTCTGACCTTTGTCCAGCCACTCTCAGGACCCATGCACTTTCCACCTCCTGGCTGTGGCCCTGCCTGAGTGTGTGGGGTCTATGGACATCTACTTGGGCCTTCCAGCACCTGGCACATAGTAGGTGCTTGATTTGCTTAGGCAAACCCTTCTAGCCGATCTGTCACTCCCAGAGACATGGTGAGGACAAAAGAGAAGATTCTGAAGGCAGTGTGTCTCGGAGAACCAGGGACTGACGAATGAACCAGCCTCCTGTGAAGTCCTGTGGGGGAACACCCGGCCAAAAGTCTTGGAAGAGGGTCAAAGAGTCCTTTCGCTGAGAAGCCACGGGCAAAACGCACAGTTCAGCTAACGCACCAGGGATTCCGGACAGACCCACCGGGAGAGGCGGGGAAGCGTGGAGGGAACCACAGAGGGGACCTTTCAGCAGTTGGGCTCCTGCCTGCTTTGAATGACGATGAACATTAATTGCTATTTGGATGGACCCCCACCACTCCGAGACCCCCGAGAACCCGCCACGTTTACCACGCAGGATTGTTCGTTACAGTGGGAGAAACAGATGGACCGAGAGAGACAGAGTGACAGATGAGACAGGCCAAGAGAGATTTGGGCGTCTCACTAACCTTGAAAATCTGATGTTCGCTTCAGGCTGATGGGGGATTTGGCTCTCTGCAGCTAAAAGGGAGGGGAGGGGAAGAAACAAGACACAAGACACAAATCAAACAGGGACCTAGACACATGTCACTGGGGCTTAGAAAAAAATAGAGAGAGGCCAGCCATCGTGTCCCTCGTCATACGGCCACCAGGTTCAGCCCGGAACGCACACGGACCGATGCTCATCTCCCGCGGCCGGGACGACAAGACACAGCGGCTCCCCTGGGCTTGAATCAGGCAGCTGCTGGTATAGACAAGCTCTCCTCCCAGGGCGGCCGTGTAATATGGCTCATGGCAGAAGACAGGACAGGAGCCAAGAGCGGCAGAGGGGACCAAGTGATGTGCGGGGAGTGTGAAGCTGAGCAGAGCTGGGTACATGACACAGAGCAGGTTTCAGAAGAGGGTGAGGCTGCCAGGCAGGTGCCCTGGCCACCCCCGGCCCGGAGTGCTAATGGGGTCTCAGTCAGCTCAGATGTGCTGCCTCAGGCCTTCTGGCTTGGCGTGTGGAAGGCTGGGAGAGGCAGAGGCATTGTCAGGCCCTGCTGTGGCATCTCATTCATTCACTCATTCCCTCCCCATCGAGAGCCAGCCGTGGGCTTCGGGTTGCCCGAGATTCTGAACACAGTGACAGGATTACTGCTAACTCCAGCTCCTGGGATGGTGCCTGACATGTGACGGGCATGTGATTGGCACTCAGTACATATACTCAATACATATGTGATGAATAAACAAATGAATTGGTTTTTTTTTTTTTTTTTTTTTTTTGAGACAGAGTCTTGCTTTATTGCCCAGGCTGGAGTGCAGTGGTGCGATCTCGGCTGACTGCAACCTCCGCCCTACTGGGTTCAAGTGATTCTCCTGCCTCAGCCTCCTGAGTAGCTGGGACTACAGGTATCCACCAACACGCCCGGCTAATTTTTGTATTTTTAGTAGAGATGGGATTTCGCCATGTTGGCCAGGCTGCTCCCGAACTCCTGACCTCAGGTGATCCGTCCACCTCAGCTTCCCAAAGTGCTGGGATTACAGGCGTGAGCGACTGCACCAAGACTGAATTTGGAAATGATGCTCATTTCATTCTCTTTCCCTCCTTCCATCTTTCTTTCTTTCTTTCTTTCTTTCTTTCTTTCTTTCTTTCTTTCTTTCTTTCTTTCTTTCTTTTTCTTTCTTCCCTCCTTCCATCTTTCTCTTTTTCTTTCTTTCTTTCTTTTCTTTCTTTCTCTCTCTTTCTTTCCTTCCTTCCTTCTTTCTTTCTTTTCTTTTTCTTTTCTTTCCTTTCTTTCTTTCTCTTTCTTTCGTTTCTGTTTCTTTCCTTTCTCTCTCTCTCTCTTATTATTGAGACAGGGTCTTGCTCTCTCACCCAGGCTGGAGTATAGTAGTGCGATCATAGCTCACAGCAGCCTCCAACTCCTGGGCTCAAGTGATCCTCCTGCCTCAGCTTCCTGAGTAGCTGGGACTACAGGTATGTACCACAATGCCTGGCTGTTTTTTTTCTTTTCTTTTCTTTTCTTTTTTTTGAGACACTTGATCTTCCTATGTTGCCCAGGCTGGTCTGGAACTCCTGACCTCAAGTGATCCTCCCGCATTGGCCTCCCAAAGTGCTGGGGTTACAGGCGTGAGCTACCATGCCCAGCCTGTCTTTCTTTCTCTCTCTTTTAATGTCTATTACATTTATAAGAGTGAGGAAATCAGTAAAAATGTACAAATGAGTAAGAAGCGAGTCGCAGGATTTCCAGCTTACAGGGTTGAAATAGGGTGAGTCACAGTCTGGGCACCCAAGACCCACCCAGAAGCAGGCGTGGCTGTGCTGCCCCATCGCCGCCTGCAGGGGCCCCCGGCTCACAGACCCTCTGCCCTGCACCTGCGCCCCCTCCCTCCACACCCATGCACCTGGATGCCCTTCAGGTTCATCCTGCGCTGGGGCGGATGGTAGGGCAGGAAGTACTTGCTGTCTTCAGGTGACTCCTCCGAGGTGGAAGAATCGTCAGCTTCTTGACCATTGGTCCTGGGGCTGGCATCCCCAAAGTCCTGAGAGATGATGGTTACTGGCAGGTTCCTGGGCAGACTCTGGGGACAGAGAAAAAGCTGGCGTTAGTGGTGGGGCTTGGCGATGCGCCACCAGTGGGCAAGATGGCTGGGCTGATGGCATCATCATTCCCTCGGCCACCCGAACATGAAGCTCACTTTGGCCATTCTTCTTTCCTGACCCCAACCGTAACCCCAGACACTGAGCCCCCATCAGTCCAGCCTAATGATGCATCCTCCTCCCAGGCTTCTGGTCCAGTCTCCCAAACAAGCCCCGGTCTTCTTGTACAATGGTAAAGGCATTGCCTCCTAACTGGCCTCAGCCCCTTCCATCTCATCTGCCACCATGAAATTTCCAATTTCTAGCCCTGTGCCTGAGCTAAAAATATAAAAAATATTCAGAATGACTGAATGATGTTAAAAAAAAAACACACACACACAGTCCTAGGTACTGTCTTGTCTGGAGCGCTTCATAGCTGTCACCTCATTGAATCCTTCCTGACAAGTAGAGGTTGTTGTTGATAATTGCTTTTTACAAAATAGGAAGCGGAGTGCTGTAGCATGAAGGAACTACGTGGCCCACAAAGCCACATGGCACCCGCATGCTGCGCTGCCTCCAGACTCAAAGCGTCTTGTTCCACTCCCTGTGCAAAATCTTCCAGGGGCTCAAAACAGCAGTAGAGCTCCTGGGTGTGCACAGCCCACCTTGGCGTGCCCCGTTAACCCCCTGCTGCTCCTTGACTCCCACTCTGCAGACGGATGGAAGCGCCGGTCATGCCCTGCTGACAGCACAGTGGGCTAATGCCAGGCCTGTGTTCACGCTGTAACTGCAGCCGGGAGCACGGGTCCTCCCAAAGTGCTGGGATTACAGGCCTGAGCCACCGCGCCTGGTCAGGGTCCCTTCCTTTGTAAATGAGGACACTGAGCATGCTTTCCATGCAGGACAGTTCCGTGGGGTAAATGAGGTAATGCACAGAGGGCACATTGCGTGGCACCTGCACGTGACAGCACTCGGTAAACCCAGAGCTATAATAGTGGTAACATTTACCCTGGAGGAGGCATTCCTTCATTTCTCAGTGCCTGGAGCCCTGCTGGGAAATGCACTCTGCAATTCACATAGTCCATAAATGAGGGTTTACTCACAAGCACTAGGAACCGTAACGACCACAGGGTGTCTTAAACCCAGTGACGGTTCAGGTGTGCGGGGGAACCCCAGTGGGAGGCCAGCAGCTGGCTGTGGTCACTGAGAGGGCACTGAGGCTCCTAAGGCAGAGGCTGCCCAGCAAGGAAGTGGCCAGGTCAAGCTTGCCTTTTTTTTTTTTGAGATGGAGTCTTGCTCTGTCACCAGGCTGGAGTGCAGTGGCGTGATCTCGGCTCACTGCAACCTCCGCCTCCTGGGCTCAAGCGATTCTCCTGCCTCAGCCTCCCGAGTAGCTGGGACTATGGGCACGCACCACCACGCCTGGCTAATTTTTTTGTATTTTTAGTAGAGACAGGGTTTCACCATGCTGGTCAGGCTGGTCTTGAACTCCTGACCTCGTGATCCACCTGCCTCGACATCCCAAAGTGCTGAGATTACAGGCGTGAACCCTCGCACCTGGCGCCCTGCATCTTCTTATTTATGTTTTTAATTTTAATTTTTTAAATTTTTAAAAATTTTCGCTCTGTTGCCCAGACTGGTCTTGAACTCCTGCCCTAAAGCGATCCTCCCACCTCAGCCTCCCAAAATGCTGAGATTACAGGCATGAGCCACTGTGCCCAGCCCTACCCTGCATCTTCTAACTTCAAAATGAGTGGCTTCCACTCATCACTAAACAGACACAAACACAACAGTAAAAGATGTGGATTATGCTGGGCGTGGGAGGGAACTTCCGGCTTCAAATATATGAAGAGCCAACCGGGCACAGTGGCAAACGGCTGTAATTCCAGCTCTTTGGGAGGCTGAGGCGGGAGGATCGCTTGAGGATAGGAGTTTAAGACCAGCCTGGGAAACAGTGAGACCTCGTCTGTACAAAAAAATTACAAAATTAGTCAGGAATTGTGGTGTGTGCCTTTAGTTCCGCTACCCAGGAGGCTGAAGTGGGAGGACTGCTTGAGCCCAGGAGTTTGAGGCTGCAGTGAGCTGTGATAGTGCCACTGCATTCCAGCCTGGGCGACAGAGTGAGACCCTGTCTCAAAAGCAAAACAAAACTAAACAAAGGACAAGGAGCCATTCATTGCACAGGGAAGCGGCGACTGGTCACAGCCCTCAGTGGGTGCCAGGGGGCACCTGGCTTCTGGTTTGGGGCCCCACAGGGAGGTGGCGACTGGTCACAGCCCTCAGTGGGTGCCAGGGGGCACCTGGCTTCAGGTGTGGGTCTCCACGGGGAGGTGGGGACTGGCCACAGCCCTCAGTGGGCACCAGGGCCCACCTGGCTTCAGGCGTGGGGTCCTGCCCGTCCCGCCCCACCTGGTCCAGGTTGTTGCTGTCCTTGGAGAGGCGCCGCAGCTTGCTCTCCAGGTTGACGATGCAGGCCTCCCGCCGCACCATCTCGATCCTCATCTCGTCGTTCTTCTCCTCCAGCTCGCGGATCTGCTTCCTGTACTTGTCCTTTTCGATTAAGCACTGCGAGTACTGTGTCTGAGCTTCATCTCGGGAGTGGAAGGCCTGCCAGGGAGAAGCGGGACGAAGGCTGCTTTGGGGGTTGCACCCCAGCCAAATCCAGCTGGGCCCAGGGACAGGCATCATCCCAACCCAGGGGCCAGCCACATCGTCTGTGGCTCTCGTCTGCAGTCTGACCCCTGGGCGTGTCAGTCACTACCTTCTTCATTAACGCGATCACAGAGCCGATGGTCCGACCCTTGCTAGTGGCAGGCTCTGTGTTGAGAGCTTTGATGCAGTGTCCCTGGAAGGCCACAGCCTGTCCCTATGAGGCGGTGCTACCGTAATTATCCCCATTTTACAGATGAGGGCACTGAGGTCAGGGGTGGCAGCTTGCCTATGGGCATACACCTTATGAATGACAGGGCTGGATCTGAACCCATCCTCTCACCCGAGAGAACACACAACATTTAAGAACCATGCTTGGTCGTGGGAGCTGCTGGAGCCCAGCTCGGATCCCCCTGCTACCCAAACGCCTGTGACTTCCAAAAAAGCCTTTTGGAATTCATCTTTTAGAATTCATCTTTGGAACAGAAATGGGAAAGATGGATTCAGGAGTGATCCCTGCATTGTCAGTGATGTTGCACTGGACAAAACACTCTGAAGGAGCCGGTGGTCTGGGGTGCGGGCCCCGCTGTGCAGCCTCGCCGCCCTGCACGCTGCAGGTGGTGCCTGTACCTGGTCCCGCTCCCGCTCCACCTCCTCCAGCTGCAGCATGACCGTGTTCATGCGGTGCTTGTACATTTCACAGTCCTTTCCCAGGGTCGAGCACTTGAGCTCCAGGTCCTCCTTCTCCTCCAGGTACTGTGAACCACACAGAGAAATCAATATGCGCATCGAGCAATCAATAGGTCAGGACTGAAAGCTGTTCTCTGCTCGTGCCTTCCCGCCAGCTGGCTGGAGCTGGCCTGTCCCTCCCTAAGCTGGCATGGTCAGGACATGGCCTGCCCTTCTGGGAACCGACTATCTGACTGTTGGGGCTCAAGGTAGGAGACCAATCAACCCAGCATTGTTGTGAACCCACTACAGACCAGGTAACATAGGGGAGGACAATGTGATCTCAGTCAGGAGGGGGACACAGGTGCTAAGCTGGTGCAATAGCTTGTACATGCCCAAGGGTGGCCGGCACATCTGGGATCCTGCAATCCGCAAGGTGTGGGTGAGGCTCTGAGACTCACACCTTGGCAGGTATGTGGGTTCCCCCAATCCCAAGCCCTCACCCTCCCCTCTGCCCACATTGCTCCCACCCCCAGGCCCTCATCTGGTTGATAAACTGCAGCTTCTGCCAGGGGCTGAATACTGGGAGGTACAGGGGATTTATGCCAGGGGTCTGATCTAGTCCCTGGAAAGGAGTGTGGGGTCAGGGAGGTCCTGCTGACACACACCACTGCCCCCTGGTGTGAAGGGGGCCGGCCGAGGGCACCGCTGGGCGGGCGATCCCCACTCCCACCTTGTCTCGCAGCTCCTCTGCCTGGCGGGCCTCCTCCTGCAGGTTGTAGATCCTGTTGACCAGCTCCTGCCTGTCCTCCAGGGCCTCCTTGCGGTCGTGTTCCAAGATGTCCAGGATGGCCTTGTCTGAGTCTGGCAGGCTGCGCTTCCCGGCCTGGGTGGGAGGGAGGAGGTTTCAGAGGGTCAGGGTCGGGGTGGGGAGCCAGGTGGTCCTGGAGGGCAGGGGACAGAAGAACCAGCAACAGATACGGACAGAGCAGAAGGTTTTGTGCCTGGAAGGTAGAGGCAAGAAGAGATGTATGTCCCCTGGGGTCTCTAAGAAGCTTAGCATTTAAGAAGTTTATTGCCTGGAAAGAAGCAGAAAACTGGCTTTTGCTTGGGCGTATCCTGGGCCTTTTGTTCTCCCTGGCGCTTATCGGAGCGCAGAGAAGCAGTTGCTGCACCCGAAACACTTTTTAGATGCTGCCCCTGAAATATCAAGGAATCTGTTCTGGAGAAGCTGGGTTCATCCTCGGCTCTGAAACAGAGCCTCATATACCAGGCAGCCACTCCTGGGGGGACTGTTCTGGAGGGAGCAGGAGGATGCATGTTTTTTTTCTTGCCCTGTAGATATGTTTTGGGATGTCACTCCTCAGCAACTTCCTCCTCTGTGCCCACAAGTGACTCGGCGATGACAAGTGTGGGGAGGCATTTGAGGTTGGAACAAGAGGCACGGAGCTTACAGTTGAGTTTCTTGGAATCTTTAAGGGCACGTAGGTTTCCTAGATGTCCTTGTCTCTTCCCACAGTGCCCAGGGCATTGATTTCCACGTGGTTGGTGATTTTCCTGGAGTGCTTCAAATAAGCACATGTTTTCCCAAGTATGATATCCTATCTCTGACAAATGGGTGGTGGGGGTCACCGCTTTACAGAGGAGGAGACAAAGGTGCCCAAGGATGGCACGCATGCCTGTGATCCTGCAGTCAGCATGGGTGAGGCTTGGGGACTCACACCCTGGCAGGTTCATCGTTTCCCCCAACCCCAAGCCCTCACCCTCCCACTGCCCGCGCTGGCCCCGCCCCCAGGCCCTCACCTGGATGATGGACTGCAGCTCCTGGTTTTTGGTCTTCAGCATTTCATTCTCCCGCTCCAGTTCCAGAACCTGCTCCTTCTTGGGCCGATTTTCAATGTCATTCTTCAGTTTTAGAGACTGATTTCTCTCCAGCTTACATTCCTCCTCCATCTTATTCAACCGGTGCTTTAGCTGATCGATCTGAAATACCCCAAGGGTGCCCAGGGGAGAAGGCAGGTGGCAAGAAACACTCAGAAAAGGCAACGCTTCCCCCGATCCCACTGGGCTGGCAGCATAACCTGAGTTATGCCCCTCTCTCCTTCTTCCACGGGCAGAGAAGGGCTCCAAGAAACCTTCTCCAGTAAAACAAACTGTCATCACCCTGTTGATGGAGAGTTCCTGATTAGTCTATTTAGAATAGCTCCAAAGGGGCTACAGGCCTCAGAGAAAATTCCCTCAACCTTTGTCAGGTGGGACAGGTTATGGATTTTGGGATAAAAGAGATCCAAGTTGGTGTTTCCCACTTCAACGCCCTTCTCTGATGGGTTTCAAATTCTGATCCTCGGAACTCAAGGATTCCCCTGAGGAATCCAGGGGTTACCCAGGGGGAAGGAGGAGATGGTTGACAAGTTGGGGTTCTGGGCATCCACACTGACTTCACATCCCAGAACAGCTCTGCTTGTGTGGTTTGTTCTTCTGGGTTTCACACAAGATTTTATTTGGATAAATAGCACTGTTGCTAAAAAGGAAGAGGAAGAGGAGGAGGAAGAGGAAAAAGAAGAAAAAACAGGAGAAGGAGGAGAAGAAGAAAAGTAGAGGAAGAAGAAGAGGAAGGGGAAGAAGAGAAAAGAGAAGAAGAGGAAGAGAAAGAAGAAGAGGAAGAGGAGGAATGAGAAGGAGAAGGAGAGGAGGAGGAAGAAGAGGAAAAAGAGGAAGAAGAGGAGGGGGAGAAGAAGGAAGAGGAGGAGGAGAGGAGGAGGAGGAAGGAGGAGAGGAAGAGGAAGAGAAAGGGGAAGAAGGAGAAGGAGAAGAAGAAAGAAGAAGAAGGAAGAGGAGGAGGAGAAGAAAGAAGAATAATAGGAAGAAGGAGGAGAAGAAGGAGGAGGAGGAGAGGAAGAGGAGGAGGAGGAGAAGGAGAAGGAAAAGGAGAAGGAGAAGAAGACAGCCTGAAATTCACTGAATTGTAATTTCACAGGATCTCCACCCTAAAGAACCTCCCTAGACTTAGTGGCAGAAAGAGTAGCTTCCTGGAGGAGGCAGCTATTGCATCTGGAAATGAGACAAGTGGAGATGTGCTGATTTTCACACTCAAGAGTTTAGTGTCAGGAACTGGGACCAGCAGAAGACTTCTTCAACCTGTGAGACTAACCTGTGTTCCTCCCCAAACACATCGGCTTTGCTAAAGTATCCCAAACAAGAAGGTTGCATTCGAGGGCTATAAAGAAAGGAGGCACCAAAGGGGAGAGTGTCATTTTTCAAATCTAGTCTTGGAAGGAGAATCATCTCAAGGAATCTGGCAGGTAGAGAGCAGTGGCTTTAGCAAGAAAAGACCAGCTCCTGCACCCCAGTGATTAACCTGAGACGATGAAGAAAGGGGCGTGCAGGAAGCAGCCCGAGGCCAAGAAAACCAGCCAGGGACTCTGCTGGCCAGATGTTCTTCCAAATTCTACTTACACTTTCTCACTATTAATGTATCTCCAGGGAAACATAACACAGGAGGAAGTTCCGGGAGAGAAACTTGTAAGTCTCTGCCACAGGGTAACTTCCCCAAATCCTAGGTAAAAACAGCATAGAAATCTCTCCTGCTCATGCAAAAAAAAAAAAAAAAAAAAAAAGCTCCTCAGCATCTTCAAAGCTTAACCCAAGTGTCCTGTGGTAAGTCCCGGGTCCCACACGAGCAGGCATGGGGCGCTAGCATTGTGGGGTGCTTACAGGGTCAGCCGCTCCGCCAAAGACCTACGGTTCAGTATCCCAGCAATCCTAGGGCACACGTATTACTTTCATTATTGACATCTGCAAATGAGGAAACTGAGGCCAATAGCTAAGTAAGTCGTAAAGCATAAAGCCAGAATTTGAACTCAAAGCTACAGGACTTACAAAGCTCATGCTTCTAACCAAAACACTATTGCCTGCTATGCCACTGACTCAATTCACCTGAATTCCCGGTGGATTGTTTACGGATCTGTCTGCTTCACTAAATTGTAAGTGACCTGAGCACAGCTCACGTTATTTATCCCCATGTCTCCCACAGTGCTTAGCACAGTGCCTCACACGTGGCAGGTGCTTAATAAATATTCTGTGAGTCTATTTTCCATCCAGCAGCCAGAGTGATCCTTCTCAGACATAAATCAATTGTCACTCTTCAGCTCTCAATCCTTCAGAGGGTTCTCATCACAACTAGAATAAATCCCAAAGTTCTTACCATGCCCCCATGATCTGGACCCCGCCATCCCTTCCACTCCCTTCTGCACCATTTGTTTATTTGGCTCTGGCCCCACTGACTCTCCTGCCATTTCTTTTCTCTTTCATTTGTTTCTCTTCCTTCCTTCCTTCCTCCCTCCCTCTTCCTCCCTCCCTCCCTCCCTCTTCCTTCCTCCCTCTTCCTTCCTTCCTCCCTCCCTCCCCTTCCTTACTCCCTCCCTCTTCCTTCCTTCCTCCCTCCCTTCCTCCCTTTCCTTCCTTCCTCCCTTCCTTTCTTCCTTCCTTCCTTCCCTCCCTCCCTTCCTGTCTTTTTCCTTCCTTTTTCTTTCTCTTTCTCTCTCTCTCCCTTCCTTCCTTCCTTCCTTCCTTCTAGTTCTTTCTTTTGACAGGCATGGCTCACTGCAGCCTCGACCTCCCAGGCTCAGGTAATCGTCCTGCCTTATCACCCCTAGTAGCTGGGACTACAGGTGCATACCACCATGCCTGGCTTATTTTTGTAGAGATGGGGTTTTGCCATGTTGCCCATGCTGGTCTCAAACTCCTGGACTGAAGCAATCCTCCCGCCTTGGCCTCCCCAAATGCTGGGATTACAGGTGTGGGCCATCAAGCTCAGCCTTCCTGCTGTTTCTTCAAAAACAAAAACAAAAACAAAAACAAAATGCCCCCTACTTATGGGCTTTGCGAGTGCTTTCCCCTGAGACTTGCATGGTTGGCTCCTTTCATCCCTTCAGATCTCTCTTCATGTGTCTCCTTCTCAGAGACCTTTCCTGGACACCCTAGTTAAAGTAGCAATCCTCATGTTCTGTCCTCACGCCCTGTCTTCTCTTCTTGATAGCACTCATTTCTACCAAGTATCTATGCATTTGTTTTCTGATTACAATGTTAGTTCCACGACAGAAGGGTTTTAGTCTTCAGCTATGTATCCCTGGAAAAGAGCCTGGGGGCCAGGTGTGGTGGCTTATACCTGTAATCCCAGCACTTTGGGAGGCCAAGTGTGCAGATTGCCCGAGCCCAGGAGTTCAAGACCAGCCTGGGCAACATGGTGAAACCCTGTCTTTACTAAAAATAGAAAAAGGGGGGTGGGTAGGATAAAAATAGAAAAAAATTAGCTGGCATAGCATGTACCTGTAGTCCCAGCTACTTGGGAGGCTAAGGTGGGAGGATCACCTGAGCCTGCAAGGCCAAAGCTACAGTGAGCTGTGATCACACCACTGCACTCCAGCCTGGGTGACAGAGTGAGACTCTGTCCAAAAAACTCCTCCAAAAAACCCAAAAACAAAAAGCCTGGTACCCGATGGAACTCAATAAACAGAAAGAATGAACGAGGCCGGGTGCAGTGGCTCATACCTGTAATCCCACCACTTTGTAAGGCCAAGGGAGGCAGATCACTTGAGCCCAGGAGTTGCAGATCAGCCTGGGCAAAATAGCGAGACCCCTTTTCTACAAAAAAATTGAAAGAATAGCCTGGCGTGATGGTGGGCACCTGTAGTCCCAGCTACTTTGGAGGCTGAGACAGGAGGATCACTTGAGTCTAGGAGGTCAAGGCTTCAGTGAGCCATGATCACACCACTGCAGCCTGGGCAGTGGAAGACCCTGTCTCAAAAAAAAAAAAAAAAAAAAAAAAAAAAAAGAAAAGAAAAAGAAAGAAAGAAAAGAAGGAAAGGAAAATAAAAGAAAAGAAAAAAGAAGATGTAAATCTCCTTAATTCATTTGCGGAGTGAGCCATTCTGGGTCTGCATGCGCATGTGCAAGGTGGATCTGGGACTGAGCCGGTGGTGGAAAGCTGCGCACTGGGTCGGTCCTTGTGCGCATGTCTGCCCATGCGCACAGGGGATGTAGGCCGCTTACCCGGTAGCGCTAAGCACTATGGGTACACGTGCAGGTGCATAGTGGACCTAGAACTCCCAGAGGCCCTGTGTCCTCCATTCCCCCACACCTGGCTGGCAGGAAGCTCCGGCAGACCACGTGCATGTGCCTGCACCTGCTTTATGGGAGAATTGAGCCCTGGTGACATTTGTTTCCCCCGGGTCACCCTGGCGGAGTAGCCCTTGGGCACCCCTCACCTCGAGTTGGAGGTCTCGGCTCCTCATGACCGCCATGTTCTTCTCCTCACTGAGCTGTGCGTAGCGCATGGCTAAGTTGTAGTTGTCGTCCTTCACCTTGACCAGCTCGTCATTGTAGCTGTCCCGCTCTTCCTTCATCTTGTAGTACCGCTCCTGGAAGGTTAGCAGCTCCACGCGCGTCAGCGTCATCTGCTTCTTCTCATCCTCCAGCTGCCGCAACCTGGCCAGCAGCTCGCAGCGTTGCAGGTCCTTGGCCTTCATCTGCTGCTGCAGCTTGATGACCTCGTTCATCAGGAAGTGCGTGAGGCCCTCGTGGCCTTCCTCCACTGTGGAGAGGGGGCACCCAGTCAGGCCTGAGGACTGGGAAGTGGAAAAAGGAGGTTCCAGACGCAGGGCAGGTGCCATTCATTCACTCACTCACCAACGTTGTGCCAAGCTCTTTACTCACTCTGCCCACGAGGCACTGGGGATTCAGAGTGAGCGAGACTCACAGCCTTGGCCCCGGGAGAGCTTAGGGTGTAATAAGAGAAACACATTTAAAAAAATCAAATGATACCACAAATAGAATTACAGACCGTGAGGATTTCACAAAGTAAAGGTAGATGGGGCTATGAGAGTGTGTAGCAGGGGCCCAGATCCAGCCTTGTGGGCAGAGGGGGTTGGAGAAGGCTCCTGATGGTTGAGGTAAAATGTTAAGTTCGGGTGGGAAAAGGCATTCTAGGAAAGGGGAACAACATTGCCAAGGCCATATGGGGAGGAGGGAGGAACTTGGCATATTTCAGGAACTGAACGAAGACCAAAGTGGCCGAAGGAGAGAGAGAGAAGAGAAAGGCGAGGCTGGTGGTGTCAGCAGGGACTGGATCATGAAGGGTCCTTGTGGGCTGCATTAAAGACCTGGGACTTTTTTTATATTTTAAAACAGGGTCTCGCTCTATTACCCAGGCTGGAGTGCAGGGGCATGATCATAGCTTATTGCAGCCTGGAACTCCTGGGCTCAAGCAATTCTATGGCTGCAGCCTCCAAAAGTGTTGGAATTTCAGGCATGAGCCACTGTGCCTGGCCAAGACCTGGGTCTTTACAAAGAAGCAATGAAAAACCACCAAAGGGTTTTAAATAGGGGAGGAAGAATGGAGAAAGCACTGGAACAGATCGGGAATGGATATGGAGAGTTAATGGGGTTGTGGGAGTCTGGACTGTGGGAAGTGTTGGGGCGGGCGAGAAGACTGATTCAAGAATGTTTAGAAAGGAAGATTAAGAAGGCAAGATGCTCAAGGGCTCTGGCCCATGAGACACTAGAAAGAATGCAGGCAAGGCAAGGACAAGATCTACGGGGTAGAATGAACTTGTGTTCCACCTGGCGCCATTCATGGGGGATGGTCCGTGAACACCCACTTCTCTTGGTTCCTGCTTCCCTTTGCCCCTGTTAACCTTTCATCATCAAGCAAAATAAGTGGTTGACAGACCCCAGTTCTATATGTCATAGATTCACAGCTTAAGAACCATGCCACTACTGAGGACACACACACACACACACACACACACAGACACACACACACACACGCCCCTCCTCTTAGAGTCCAGATGTTCCCAATGGCAAAAGCACTTACCCACAATGGTGGAGAATCTCCGAGTGGGCTCTTTCCCAGTCACCAGTTTGTACAGTTCTGGGTAATAAAATTCTAGGCTCTCCAAGAAGACCACATAGCCCCTTTGCCCCTTGGTATGTAGAATGTCCAACAGCCGGCCTAGGGGAAAGACCAGATCACTCTGTGAGAATACATATCTGATGGAACGCAAGTCTCTGTGGCTGGTCTCATCCTGGACTTGTGTCCTTCAATCAACTCTAAGAAGACAGTCTCCCCACATTCTATCACTTCTGAGTTGTATCTTGGAGCCCAGATGACGTAAATCAAGGTGCCAGGCCCTCCGCAGGGATTTGGTGAGCGTTAGTTTTCTGTTTCTAATAAACTGGTAGAACCAGGATAAATGGAATTGCCGCCCCAGTTTTGAAGAGTTTCCCAACTGACCAGGGCCAAAATGAACCACGTAGGCACCAGGTCTTCTATGACTGAAGGAGGTTGGAAGCACGATAAAAATTATGGAATAATATATGGTTCTCTGGGATTGAGAGCAGGAAGACAAATCTTTGGGTGAGAGGCTAGGAAAAATCATAGGAAGTAGGGATAGTTCTAGGTTTTTCTTTGGGATTATTACACAACCTGGAAACACCTTAAATGTAATTTCCCCAGCAGGTCCCAGTTTCTATACTATTGATTCCACTTATTGCTTACATTTCTGGGCCCTTCCTTAAACATTTTATTTTCAGATATTCTTCTGAGATATAGAAGAAGAAAGGTAGGTCTTAAAACTCGACCTTTTCCCTAGGACGGACAGAAGAAATAAATTTGATGGTATGTCAACCCCGATTGTTTGGTGAAGCCGCCTGCAGTACTGTTTCGAGAAACATTCCAAAGTTACATCCAAGCTCAGTGGGAAAGCATGCTGATTACTGATGTCTGCCATGGATGCCAGAGAGTCGCAGCTGATGAGCCACTTACCACCAGCCACGCTGGGGGACAGTGATTATCAAACCTTCTAAACTGATCCATAGAAAGAAAAACATTTAACATTGTGGTCTAGTGACCATAGACAAAGATAACTCTACAAGTACATGTGTATACACATGTACATAATGTAAAATTAAAACAAGCTTCACAAACCATATTTATTACCTTTACTGAATATGATAAACCCCCCCTCCAGAAGTCAGGCTAGAAAAGCTTGTGGAACCCTTCTCGGAATATTTTTAAACAGATAAAGTACATCAGATTACAAAAGAAACCAATTATAATAAAATCCAGTTATCAAATATTAAATAAATTTGTGTTTCAGTAACATACTTCTTTATTAATGCATTAAATAACAAGACCTCTCGGCAGGTCTAATAAGTACTGTAATTTTGAAAGAGAGATGAGTGTAAGTGGCATTTTGAGAGATTTGCAGTAACTGTAGTGATAGGAAGAGATCTGTAATTTTCATTGTTGCCTAAGTCACAAGAATTACTAATCACTCCTGTAATTTGTGGCTTCCTGACATTTGCAATTGAGGGCAATGCTGAATTGCAGTTGAGGTTGGTAAAATAAAGATGGCATTTCTTCCCCCCTCCCAGTTTATGGATCCTTTGAGTTCCATACACAGACAGCTTGAGTTCTATACACAAATGAGTAGGTGATGGACTGCGGACCCCAGTTTAAAAATCCCTGACCTAGAGCAACTTCATTTTGGTACAGCTACCAAAGGGTATGTCTGGAAGTTGCCGTGTGCGGTAGCCCTCCCTCTCCCGCAAAGAGGTCCTAAGGTTACCTGCTCGGTTGATCTTGGATGGCAGCATAGGGGCATTAAGCACTTCATCTTCATCCTGCTCATCAATGACCTTACACTGACGCAGGTAGGGCGTGAGCTTGGCAGGGTTGATATAGCGGCTGAGCATGTGCCGGTTACACTCCACATTCTCCCACAAGGCGTCCTCTTCATCCTTCAGCGTCTCCATGTAGTCATCCATCTCTGGCCCTCCTCCTTTTAGACATAAACCCCAACAAGCTTAATAAAGCAGTCTCACTGGAACAGCTCTATCAACTCCTCTGGAGTGACCTCTAGAATATATTAAGTTAAAAAAAAGTCCTGTACACTAAAGTATATATAGCATTTTACCTTTTGTCTAAGAAAGGGGTTATGAATATAAAAATATATATTTCCTTATATGCTAAACATAAACAATGGAAGTTTAAGCCATCAATTTTAAAAAAGATTATTTATAGGGCAGAGAGGGAAAATCCTGCGGTTGAGTCTACCCTTTCCATCCAAGTTTTTATGTCTTACTAAAAATGTATAGTTCCCTAAACAATATATACTATTGGCTTTTGTTTTAAAATTTCACATAAATGGTGTCATACTGTACGTTTCCTTTTTCAGCATGTTTTTCTCCCTCTACATTTTTTTTTGAGATTTATCTAGATGGATACATATAGATCTAAGTCATTCGTTTTTAAAAATAGCTTTATTGTGATGTAATTCACATAGCATACAAGTTACCTTTTTAATATGTTCAATTCAATGATTTTAGTATATTCACAGAGCTGTGCAACCACCACCACAATCAATTTAAAATCATTTCCGTCATTTCAAAAAGAAGCTCCTCACCCTTTATTAGCCACTCTCAATTTCCCTCTAATCCCTGCTCCTCCAGCCCTGTGTAACCACTCGTTCACCTTCTGTCTGTATAGATTTGTCTTTTCCGTACATTTTATACAAGTGAAATCCTACAATTTATGGTCTTTCATGTCTGGCTTCTTTCACTCAGCAACTTTTCAAGGTTTGTTCCTGTTGTAGCATGTATCAGGACTTCACTTATTTTAAATTGCTCAGTGATTTTTTCATTGCATGGACATGCCCCATTTTGCTTGTCTGTTCATCCACTAATGGACATTTGAGTTATTTCTACCTTTTGTCTATTATGAACAATGCTGCTATGAACATTCATGTAAAAGTTTTTGTGTGACTGTATGTTTTTATTTCCCTTGGGTAGATACGTAAGAGTGGATTGTTAGGCCATATGGCAACTCTATATTTAACATTTTGAGGAATTGCCAAATTGTTTTCCAAAGCAGCTGCATCATTTTACATTGCCACCAACAAGCCATGAGGGTTTTAATTCCTCCATATTCTTGCTAACAACTTGTTATTGTCTGTCTTTTTTATTACAGCTCTCCTACTGAGTGTGAAGTAGCATCTCATTGTGGTTTTGATTTGCATTTCCCTAATGACTAACGATGTTGAGCATCTTTTCATGTGCATATTGGCCATTTGTGTGCATTGAGAAATGTCTATTCAAATCCTTTGCCCATTTTAAAATTGTGTTGTTTGTCTTTTTATTATTGGGTTGTAGGATTTTGTTATGTATTCTGGATGCAAGCCACTTATCAGATATATGACTTGCAAATATTTTCTCCCACTCTGTCAGTTGTCTTTTCACTTTCTTAAAAGCATTGTTTGTAGCACAAAAGTTTCAAATTTTGAGGTAGTCCAATTTATTTATTTTTTCTTTTTTTCACTTGTGCTCTTGGCATGTATCCGAAACACCATTGTCTAACTCAAGATGATGAAGACTTACTCCTGTTTTTTGCCTTTGAATATTATACCTTAGTTCTTACATTGAGGATGATCCATTTTGAGTTAATTTTTGTGTATGGTGTGAGGTAGGGGTCCAGTTGCATTCTTTTATGTGTGGATGTCCAGTTGTCCAAGCACAGTTTGTTTGAAAAGACTACTCTTTCCCCATTGAATGATCTTGCTACCCTTGTTGACAATCAACTGACCATAAAAGTAAACATTTGTTTTTGCACTATTGATTCTATTCCATTGATCTATATGTGTATCCTTATGCCAGTACTACATTGTCTTGATTACCGAAGATTTGTAGATTTGTAGTAGGCCTTGAAATTGGGAGTATGGGTCTCCCAACCTTGTTCTTTTTCAAGATTGTTTTGGCTATTAGGTGCCTTTTACCTAATTTTAGGATTAGGATGTCAATTTCTGCAAAAAAGGCAGTTGGCATTTTGGTAGTGAATCTGCTGAATATGTAGATCAATTTGGAGAGTACTGCTACCTAACAATATTAAATCTTCTGATCTATGAACAGGGGGATGTCTTTCTTTAAATCTTCTTTAATTTCTTTCAGCAATGTTTCATAGTTCTCAGTGTACAAGTCTTGCACTTCTTTTGTTAAATATATTCCTAAGTATTTCATTAATTTGATGACATTATAAATGGGAGTTTTTTTCTTAATTTCATTTGTGGGATATTCATTGCTGGTCTATAGATATATAATTTATTTTTGTATATTGACCTTGTATTCTGCAACCTTGTGAAATCATTTATTAGTTCTGTTAGTTTGTTAGAGACATCTTATGATAGCCTATATATAAGATCATGTCATTTGCAGATAAAGGTAGTTTTACTTCTGTTTTTCCAATCTGGGTGCCTTTTATTTCTCTTCTTTGCCTAATTGCTCTGGCTAAAATACCTCCAGTACAATGTTAGATAGAAATGTTAACAGCAGGAATCCTTGCTTTGTTACTGATGTTAGCGGACAGCATCCAATCTTTCACTGTCAAGTATGACATTAGCTGTAGGCTTTTGCTTTTGTTTTTAAGATAGATGTCCTTTATCAGGTTGAGGAAGTTTTCTTACCTTCTTGGTTTATTGAATGTTTTTATCCTGAAAGGGTTGTCGATTTTGTCAGATGCTTTTTCTGCATTTATTGAGGCTGCCATGTGGTTTTTGTTTTTTATTGTATTGATAGGGTTACACTACCTGACTTTCAGATGTTAAACCAACCTTGTATTCCTGGCATAAATCCCACACAGTCAGGGTGTATAATTCTTTTTATATGTTGCTTTTTATATGTTGCTGGATTTAACTTGTTTTTTAAAATAGGATTTTTGCATTCATATTCATAAGAGATATTGGTCTGTAGTTTTCTTTTCCTGTGATGTCATTGTCTGGTTTTGATATTGGCCTCAGAATGATTTAGGAAGTGTTTCTTCCTCTTCTGCTTTTTGGAAGAGGCTTTTAAGAATTGATATTAATTTTTCTTTTGTTTGGTAGAACTTACAAGTAAAGACATCTGGGCATGGGTTTTTCTTTGTGGATTATTTTTACAAATTCAGCCTCCTTACTTATTACAGGTCTGTTCATATTTTCTGTTTGTCTTGAGCCAGTTTCAGTAGTTTGTGTCTTTCTAGGAATTTGTCCATTATATCTAAGTTATCTAATTTATTGGCAGCAATTGCTCACAGTTCCCTTCATAATTCTTTTTATCTCTATAAGTTCAGTTATAATTTCCCCCCTTTCATTTCTGATTCTAGTAATTTGCATCTTCTCTCTTATTTTGTCGATATATCAAAGAACCAACTTTTGGTTTCATTAATTCTCTGTATTCCTTTTCTATTCTCAGGTTCATTTGCTTCTGCCCTAGTCCTGATTATTTCCTTTCTTTTCCTTGCTTTAGGTTTAGTTAGCTCTTCTTTTTCTACTTTTGCAAGGGAGGAGGTAAAACTGCCTTTGCAAAAGTTATAACAGAAAATTCTGACAGTGAAAGAGATCTGACCTAACCAATTCCATCTTGCTTCTAACCTCCAAGCAGTCCTCGTTCATTCCTGGGCAGAGGCCAAACTAACTTTGGGAGGAACTTAGTTCATAGATTAATGTATTATTCTGCTGCTGTCAGATGGAGTGGACTACAGATGTCTGTTAGGTCTAGTTTTTTTTTTTTTTTTTTTTTTTTTTTTTTTTTTGATAAAGAGCCTCCCTCTGTCACCAAGGCTGGAGTGCAGTGGTGCAATCTTGGCTTACTCCAACTTCTGCTTCCTGGGTTCCAGCCAGCATGTCTGGCTAATTTTTGTATTTTTAGTAGAGACAGGGTTTTGCCATGTTGGCCAGGCTGGTCTCGAATTCCTGACCTCAAGTGATCCACCTGCTTTGGCCTCCCAAAATGCTGGGATTACAGGTGTAAGCCACCACGCCCAGCCAGGTCTGGTTTGTTTATAGTGTTGTACAAGTTTCTTATTTGTTGATCTTCTGCCTAGTTGTTCTATCCATTATTCAAAGTAAAGTAATAACGTCTTCAACTCTTTTTTTTGAGACAGAATCTCACTCTGTTGCCCAGGCTGGAGTGCAATGGCGTGATCTCAGTTCACCGCAACCTCTGCCTGCCGGGTTCAAGTGATTCTCCTGCCTCAGCCTCCTGAGTAGCTGGGATTACAGGCACCTGTCACCATGCTTGGCTAATTTTGTATTTTTAGTAGAGACGGGGTTTCTCCATGTTGGCCAGGCTGGTCTCGAACTCCTGACCTCAGGTGATCTGCCTGCCTCGGCCTCCCAAAGTGCTGGGACTACAGGCATGAGCCACTGCGCCTGGCCAACGTCTTCAACTCTTATTGTTGAATTGTGTATCTCTCCCTCCAGCTCTGTCCATCTTTGCTTCATGTATCTGGGGCTCTGATAGGTGCATATGCTTATAACTCTTATAGCTTCTCAGTGGATTGACCATTTTATCATTATGAGATGTTCTTCTTTAGCCACAGCCAAATTCCTGGACCTGGGGATTTCACAGTGGTGGGATGGGTGAGTGTGCTGGGGGCAATTGAGCTAGAAGGTGGCATTGGTGTAGCCATGGAGGTTGGAGCTCAGCCAGGGTGAGGAGACATGCAGGCAGGTCAAGGCTATGAGGGCAGAGAAGAAACCAGCAAGCAGAGGAAGCTGGTCTACCGAGTGGTGCCATGGTGAGCCCATGAGGTTCCATGAGAAGCGGATGGCCGGGGTCATCTCTCTTGCTGCATAACTCAGTTCCCAACCTCATGAGCCTTGGCCTTCTGTGGTGTCTGGTCCTTGTTGTAGGCTTTCAGTATCCTTCCACCTTCCCCGTTAATTTGAGCTATTAAATTTGTTTTAAAAATTATCATTTTTAGAGACAGGGTTTTGCTCTGCCACCCAGGCTGGAATGCAGTGGGGCAATCCTAGCTCATGGCAGCCTCAAACTCCTGGGCTCAAGCAATCCTCCCACCTCAGCCTCCTGAGTGGTTAGGACTACAGGTGTGTGCCTCCACCCCTGGCTGTTTTGAACATTTTTTGTAGAGACAGGGTCTCACTACAGGCATGCACCACCATGCTGTAGTTTGCCCAGGCTAGTCTCAAACTCCTGGCCTCAAATGACCCTCCTACCTCAGCCTCCCAAAGTGCTGGGATTACAGTCATGAGCCACCACTCTTGGCCAATTTGAGATATTTCAAGTGGGATTTTGTTCCCTGCAACCAAAGTGCCTTGAGTAAAAATATCTATTTTCTGTCATGAGCAAAAGTTGGATTTAAAGTAATTAAAAATGAGGATTTGGTCTCCATTGAATCCAATGAACTTTGTATAGATGACAACCTCCATAGTTCACTGCCTTAAGTTCTGACCTCTATGAGCCTTTTGCTAACACATGGCACTGGCTACCTGGGTCAAAGCCAGCAACACCATAGACACGCCTACAACAATGGCTCATTCTGACAACATGACCACGTGATCATTTGCATTCACAAAGGAAAATGTACTTGCTTTTATTATTTTCAAGAAGTGGACAGCCTAAGAATTTTATTCAACGAATTATTTATTGACTAGGTGGCAGGCACTGCTGGTGTCTCTCCACACGACCCCCGACTTCCTGCTAACAGAATCCTTTTTTTTTTTTCCCCAAAAGCCAGGCAGTCTGATGCTTCAGGGAGGCTGAATATCTTTTGAGCTGCAAAGAGTGGCCCTTGTTTGGTCTCTACCAGTAGCGTAGAAACAAGCAGGTGAAGTGCTTTTGGCCATGCAACCTGCAGGAACATGCACTGGGAGCGGTTCTGGAGGTTTTCCTTGATCTTTAACAGGGACACCTTGTCCTTGGGCTTTTGGCTATGAGTGTGTAAAGGTGAATGTGATGGTTTGGGTCACTGCACCTCAGCCTGTATCCCTCAGGTGACATCAAGGACCGAGGGTCTTTCCAGCTCTCTGCTCTGCCATCCTGAGCCCCTCCCACCTCTGGACTCCTGTAAGATATAAATGCTCTTTGTCCCAAGCCTTGTGAAGTTGGGTCTACTGTGATTTGCAGCCCAAAGCCTCCTAACTAATAAAGACATCTACTTAGTACAAAGACTTGCTCAGCACCATGAATGCACAAGAGAGCTGAAAGGCAGGTGTTAAGAAGCTTATACCTTTTGCGGGGTCAGAAGGCACAGGCCTAGGAATTAAACAGCAGCTCAAGGCAAGAAGACAGGCAGGTCTGGATAGACCAACCAGCATTTCTTACCAGCTTTCATGAACAAGGAGGTTGTAGTTGGCACATGCCAACCACGTGTTACAAGAGTGCTCAGTGACATAGAAAGCCTTCCTCCCGGGACCCCGGGTGACCCGGTGCAGCCACCTCAGCGGCCTGTCAGCTAAGCAGGAAATAACTAGGGCCAAATCTTCTTTCCAGAGCAGAGATGAAAGGGACCCTCCTACCTCATTGTAGCTCTCTGCAGCCTTGAGCTCCCAGGCTCCAGCAATCCTCCCACCTCAGCCTCCTAAGTAGCTGGGACTATAGGCGCACACCACCATGCCCGGCCAAGGGACCCTTCTACCTCAGATGCAGTGAAATCACAGACCCTGGATCTCGTTGAAACCTGTCCCATCGTTAATGCCCCTTTGCAGCACAGTTGCTTAGCAACCAGGGGTGAAGTTGAACTTGGGAAAGTGGACCAGTTTGTGAGTGCCTGGACTGAAAGGGCCTCTTCAACCTCAGCCGACTTGAGTGAGAACTGGCTCTGTGCTGAGCACTGTGCTGGGAACAGAGGGTGCAAAGACGTTTCGCACACAGACCCTGGGTTGCAAGCTGCTCAGAGGTTGGTGGTAAGTGTCAGCCGCCCACACAAGCCCCGGTGGGAGGAACAGCATCCTCTGGAACCCTGCAGAGAGGGCAGCCACACGCCCTGCTGGCAGAACAGGAAGTGCTTCCCCACTGGGCTGCCCGCGTGCCAGGCACCGTGCCTGACCCTTTATAGAAATTATCTCATTTGGCTGGGCATGGTGATTACACCTGTAATCCCAGCACTTTGGGAGGCCGAGGTGGGCAGATCACTTGAGGTCAGGAGTTCGAGACCAGGCTGGCTAACATAGCGAAACCCCGTCTCTTCTAAAAATACAAAACATCAGCTGAGCATGGTGGCAGGTGCCTGTAGTCCCAGCTACTCAGGAGGCAGAGGCAAGAGAATCACTTGAACCCAGGAGGCAGAGTTTGCAGTGAACCCAGATTGTTCCACTGCACTCCAGCCCTGGCAACAGAGCAAGACTCTGTCTCCAAAAAAAAAAAAAAAGAAATCATCTCATTTAACGACCACAGCGGCTCTGAGAGATGGATGTGCTCACCCTTGTTTTGTAGACAAGGAAACCAAGAACCAGAGAGCCCTAGCAACTTGCTGAGGGTCACATAGCAAATCTAACTGGGGTTCCAGCCCACGCCTCCTTCATGTGAAGACCTCCCTGAGGTTCCCCCTCCTTAGAGAGCTGGGAGCATTTTGAGTGGGAGTTTGCTAGGCAGAGGGACAGGCAAGATAAAGTAGCCTGGTGAAGGGTGAGTTCATATCACAAACACCCGGAGCCATGATCTGGGGGCATCTGTTCTCACTGGAGTGACAGAGTAAGGACGCTATTGCACCTCTGCTCCCAGCAGGGGCTCACCTGCAGACATTTGTTACTGTATGAAAAAAACCTGCAAGGGCTGGAAAACAAGTTGGTTTCACCTAGTAGGGTTGAACATGCAGAACATACATGCCAGGAGTCCCTTCTAGATATCATCCCTAGAGAAATTCTACCCGTGTGCATCCAGAGACCTGTGCAAGAATGTTCAACAGCAGCACCGTGTATCCAAAACCAGAAACCACACACAGACATCGTCCAACAGCGTGGATAAATACACTGTGTATTCAACGCTGGAGCACTCCCCAGCAGTGAACATGGAAAGAAATATGACCATGTGCATAAGCACAGGTGGACCTCAGGAACATGATGCTGAGTGAAAAAGCAAGCCACAGAAGATGCATGGTATAAAACTGTCTATAAGTACTTCAAAAACAGGCTGGGCACAGTGGCTCACGCCTATAATCTCAGCACTTTGGGAGGCCCAGGTGGGAGGATTGCTTGAGGCCAGAAGTTTGAGACCAGCCTGGAAAACACAGCGAGACACCATCTCTACAAAAAATAAAAACAAAGTAGCTGGGCATGGTGGTACACGCCTGTAGTCCCAGCTGCTTGGGAGGTGGGAGGATCACTTGAGCCTAGGAGATCGAGGCTGCAATGAACTACGATGGCACCACTACATTCCAGCCTGGGAAAAAGTGAGACCCTGTCTCTAAAAAATTAAAAAAATATATACATATATATAAAACAAGGCTGAGTGAGATGGCTCATGCCTGAAATCCCAGCACTTTGGGAGGCCGAGACGGGAGACTGGGAGTTTGAGGCCAGCCTGGACGATATAGCAAGACCCCATCTCTACAAAAAAATAAAAACTTAGCTGGGTGTGGGGTTGCGTGCTTGTAGTCCCAGCTACCCAGAAGGCTGAGATGGAAGGATTGCTTAAGCCAGGAGGTTGAGGCTGCAGGGAGCTATCATCATACCACTGTACTCCAGCCTGGGAGACAGAGCAAAATCCTGTCTTAAAAATAATTTTTTTTTTAAACATACAAAACAAAACCCTACTGTTAAGGATATACGGCAAAACTATACCAAGAAACAAGGGGACTGATAAAAATCAGAATGGTGGCTTCCCATGGGGAGGGGCAGCCAGACAGATGTGACCTCGGAAGGTCCCCTGAGGACATTGGTGACACAAGGAATTATGTTATGCTTCAACTGGGGACATGAGTGTCTGTTTCATTGTTCTCTGCCTCATAGATACACATTATATATACATATTTATATGTATGAAATATTTCATGGAAAAAATCTATGGAGAGTGTAGCTAGCCTCAAAAGAAAAAAAATGT
This sequence comes from Homo sapiens, assembly GCF_000001405.40. NCBI lineage: Eukaryota > Metazoa > Chordata > Mammalia > Primates > Hominidae > Homo > Homo sapiens. The sequence continues at coordinate 2,956,816 of NC_000007.14, forward strand.
CTCAGACGCAATTCGAAATGTATTTTCCCTTCTAACACTTCCCTCTAACTCAGCATGACTCAGCCTCATCACCGGGGATGAACCCAGTGACTCTGTCAAGCTCTGGGCAGTTTCTTTGAAGGCAGTTTTCTCAGAAATGTGCCCAGAGGCCCCGAGGCTCTGAACTTTAACAGCATGGCAGGTTGGATGGCCCGTCCCTACCTAAGTCTTAGCTGGAGCTTGTCGCAACTCGCAACTCAAACCCAACCTTTGGCAGGGTTTGACTTCCAGTGTGAGACAGGTCCTAGGCCACACCAATCTCTTTGCAAATGGCTGAAAAGCAAGTGCCAGACCCCCAGGCTAGGCTCCACAGAAAGGGCTGTGTTGCTCACCTTCCCTGGGAAGCAAAGGACCAGGAGGTGACCCACCTGAGGACGAATTCCATGAGAGTTGCTGGCCTCACGTCCTGACTTACTCATTCAAGACCTCTACTGTGGCTTCCTCTTGCTGTTATGATAAAGTTCCAATCTTTTTTTTTTTTTTTTCTTGAGATAGGGTCCTGCGCTGTTGCCCAGGCTGGAGTGCCGTGGCGTGATCTCAGCTCACAGCAGCCTCTGCCTCCTGAGCTCAAGCAATCCTCCTGCCTCCACCTACTGAGTAGCTGGGACCACAGGCAAACACCACCGTGGCCAGCTAATATTTTAAAAATTATTTTTGTAGAGATGGGGTCTTGCTATGTTGCCCAGGCTGGTCTCAAACTCCTGGGCTCGAGTGATCTTCCCACCTTGGACTCCCAAAGTGCTGGGATTACAGGCATGACCACCATGCCAAGCCATGTTCAACTTTTTTTTTTTTTTTTTTTTTTGAGATAGAGTCTTGCTCTTTCACCCAGGCTGGAGTGCAGTGGCACCATCTGGGCTCACTGCAGCCTCGGCCTCCTGGGTCCAAGGATTCTCCTGCCTCAGCCTCCTGAGTAGCTGGGGTTACAGATGCCCACCACCATGCCTGGCTAATTTTTGTATTTTTTGTAGAGACGGGGTTTCACCATGTTGGCCAGGCTGGTCTCGAACTCTTGACCTCAGATGATCCACTTGCCTCGGCCTCCCAAAGTGCTGGGATTTACAGGTGTAAGCCACTGTGCCTGGCCCATGTTCAGCATCTTGATCTTGATCTTCAGGCCCTGCAAGGTTTGCTTTCTGCCAGCCCCTCAATCTTATCACAACTACATCCCCGGCCTGCCAGCCTTTTCTCTGATGGTCTCCCAAGCTCCGGCTGGTGTCACAGCCTGATCTCTGCCCCTCTCTCCCTTCACTACTCCCGCCCCTCCGCCAAGTCTCAGGTCACCATCACTTGCGTTTTTTCCAATATAAAGGAACGGCCAGGCACAGTGTCTCCTGCCTGTAATCAGTGCTTTGGGAGGCAGAGACAGGGAGATCGCTTGAGGCCAGGAGTTTGAGACCAGTCTGGGCAACGGAGCAAGGCCCTGTCTCTACAAAAAATTTAAAAAATTCACCAGATTTGGTTGTGTGTGCCTGTGGTCCCAGCTACTTGGGAGGCTAAAATGGGAGGATCACTTGAGCCAAGGAGGTGGAGGGCTGCAGTATGTTATGATCACATCACTGCACTCCAGCCGCAGTGATAGAACAAGACCCTGTCTCTCCATAATATATAGAGAGGTATAGAGGGGATAACAGATGCCGAGTACCTGGCATGGAGGGGTGCTCACACACAGGGGCTGCTATCCCGCCATTGGGGTGTGACTTCTACACTTTCCGGCTGGATCTTGTCGTCCCTTGAGCCAGGCTCCCGTTGCATCTGGACTTGCAGTGCTTGGGATCTGAAAAGGAAGAGATAATCAGCCTTGGAGCAGGAGGCGGAGGATGGAGAGAAAGGGAATCGTTCTGGGATCAAAGAGATGTTCTGCTTTGGAAGAAAAGGCCAGGAAGTCCTGAGGGGCGTGTCACCCTCGATGACACTGGCAGAGTGGACCACACCAGGGGCTGCAGGGGGAGAGGGGCTTCTGTTCCACCCTGGGGAGTGGACAGCCTGGGAGGCCACTGACACAGGTCCTGACACCCCTGGAGATGGGGAGGAGGGAAGATGGCAGCCTTGGGCATGCTCGTGGCCAGTGTGGAAGATCTTTGATGGAAAAGGCTTTGATGGAAACCTCTGCAGACTGGAGCCGCTCTAATCAGCTGCTAATTCATTAGGTCAAAAGCAGCAAACCCCGTTCCCAAACCCCGAAGAGTTCCCGTCACTGTGAATTATGTCTTTAGCCTCCAGCCTGCCATGGGTTTGGGCAGGAACACGCGGTAGCCCACACACGCTGTAATTTCCCAAGGGCAGTGTTCCTTATGGTGACTGACGAGGCCACCGCTAATGCCCCACTCAGCCATCCAGGAGCCCAGCTGGGGGTTTGGGTTTTTTGGGGAAGGGTCAGTTCTCCTTCTGGAGAAAGGAGGCCAGGATCTCACTCTGTTGCCCAGGCTGGAGTGCAGTGGGACAATCATGGTAAGAGGGAAAGGTGGGGTTCAAACCCTTGTACGGTGGAAAGAGCCTTATGCCTGTCCCCAAAGCTGCTTGGAACCTGGTGGGGGGCAGGCTTTAGGCAGCTGCTCTAGGACAGTTCCATTCAGGAGTGACAGGGACCCTCGGCCGCTGATGTTTAATCAAGGACTTCCTTGGTTTTGGCTTTGAAGACTAACCACAGGTGACATGAGATCTCCCGGGGCTGACAGAAGCTGTTCCTGTCGGGCAACGGCTGGGCTTGGAGTGAACTGTCAGAGGCCCTCAGCCCCGGGGAGGTGGTGGCGACAGGCATCGCTGCAGGACACCATCTCCCTGGTCTCCTCACGGCCTCCCTGCTCTGTGGCTGGGACAGGGCCAGGGGTTGGGGCTGGGTGGGGAAGGGAATGAGAGAACCAAGGGCCTCTGCAAAGGCAGCAAAGCAGTCCACAGGCCAGTCAGCAAACACAAAGGGAAATGACACTGTCTGCATTTCTTAAAAAAGAGAATGTGTTTATCATCAGAAAAAAAAAGGCTTTAAAAAATTGTAAGGAAGGCTTTAATTGTGGCCAGGCATGGTGGCTTATGCCTGTAATCCCAGCACTTTGAAAAGCTGAAGTGGGAGGATTGCTTGAGGTCAGGGGTTCAAGACCAGCTTGGGGGAACATAGCGAGACCCTATCTCTACAAAAAAAAAAAAATTATCTGGCCTGTACACCTACAGTCTCAGCTACTCAAGAGGCTGAGGTGGGAAGATCGCTTGAGCCCAGGAGGTTGAGGCTGCAGTGAGCCATGATTGCGCCACTGTACTCCAGCTGGGGTGACAGAGCAAGACCCTGTCTCAAAGAGAAAAAAAAGAAAGGTTTTAATTACAAGAAAGGAGAAACAAGGCTGGGTGCTGTGGCTCACGCCTGTAATCCCAGCAGTTTGGGAGGCCGAGGTGGGCAGATCAGCTGAGGTCGGGAGTTTGAGACCAGCCTGACCAACATGGCGAAGCTCCGTCTCTACTAAAAATACAGAAATTAGCTGGGTGTGGCGCATGCCTGTTGTCCCAGCTACTGGGGAGGTTAAGGCAGGAGAATCGCTTGAGCTGGGGGCAGAGGTTGCAGTGAGCCGAGATCGCACAGTCGCACTCCAGCCTGGGCTGCAAGAGTGAAACTCTGTCTCAAAAAAAAAAAAAAAAAAAAAAAGGAGAAACAGGCTTGAACAACTACCCTTGCTGTTCTACCCCTACCCCCTACCCACTATGTCAACGTAGGTTGGGAAAACTGAGGCACAAGAAAACCAGTACTGAGGCTGGGCTGTTTCTGACTTTAGAATTTTGATGACAGCATTTGGGAACTTGGTCCTCAGGTCAGGGAAGATTTCTAGGATTAAAAGTCAATCTCTTGACCACTTGCAAGACTGGCTCATAGGTGTAACATGCAACTGACCAAACACCATCCCTCGTGCTTACAGACTATCCGGTGTGTGCCAGACACTTTGTTAGGCGTCACTGATGAACCTCCAGAACACTTTGAGGTAGGTGGTATCATCATCACCACCACCACCACCACCTTACAACCAAGAACACAAAAGCTTAGAGAGGGCTGGGCATGGTGGCTCACGCCTATAATCCCAGCACTTTGGGAGGCTGACGCGGGTGGATCATGAGGTCAGGAGATCGAGACCAACCTATCCTGGCTAACATGGTGAAACCCCGTCTCTACTAAAAGTGCAAAAAAATTAGCCGGGTATGGTGGTGGGCGCCTGTAATCCCAGCACTTTGGGAAGCCGAGGCGGGAGGATCACAAGGTCAGGATATAGAGACAGTCCTGGCTAATATGGTGAAAGCCTGTCTCTACTAAAAATACGAAAAATTAGCCAGGCATGGTGGTGGGTGCCCGTAGTCCCAGCTACTCGAGTGGCTGAGGCAGGAGAATGGTGGGAAACCGGGAGGCGGAGCTTTCAGTGAGTCGAAATCGCGCCACTGCACTCCAGCCTGGGCAACAGAGCAAGACTCCGTCTCAAAACAAACAAACAAACAACTATTGCTTCTCAAAAGAGGAATCAATTGCTTAATGCACTGTAGATTCCTCATGGTGGTGTTTTCCAAGTACAATCAATGCCCATTCACCCCACTATGAAGCCTGCTAGTTGACAAACGAAATGTTAGTTTTTCTTTTTTTTCCTTTTTTTTGAGATGGAGTGTTGCTCTCGTTGCCCAGGCTGGAGTGCAGTGGTGTGATCTCTGCTCACTGCAACCTCTGCCTCCTGGGTTCAAGTGATTCTCCTGCCTCAGCCTCCTGAGTAACTGGGATTACAGGCATGCGCCACCATGCCCGGCTAATTTTTGTATTTTTAGTAGAGATGGGGTTTTACCATGTTGGCCAGGCTGGTCTCGAACTCCTGACCTCAGGTGATCCAACAGCCTTGGCCTCCCAAAATGCTGGGATTACAGGTGTGAGCCACCGTGCCTGGCTGGGAAATGCTGGGGTTTTTGTGGCCTCTCACTTAAGAATAAATAGAGGCAAGGATCACTTGATGGTTGAGGAAAGTCTCCACATGAAAGGCAGAGATCAAAAGGGTCACACAGACACAAGGAACCTGCTAGGAGCAGACAATGCACAGAATAAGAGAAAATTTTAAAAAAACATAACCTGGCCGGTGCAGTGGCTCACACCTCTAATCCCAGTACTTTGGGAAGCTGAGGTGGGAGGATTGCTTGAGCCCAGGGATTCGAGGCCAGTTTGAACAATATAGCGAGACACTGTCTCCACAAAAAATCAAAAAATTAGCTGGGCATGGTTATATGTACCTGTAGTCTTGGCTACACAGGAGGGTGAGTCAGGAGGATTGCTCGACCCCAGGAGATTGAGGCTGCAGTGAGCCATGTTTGCACCACTGCATTCCAGCCTGAGCAACACAGCGATACCCTGTCTCAAAAGAAACCCCCAAAACATAACCTGATAATTAAGAATCATTTAGAGATGAGATGAAGCACTGCATCCATAAAGCAATGGTAGGGTGCTAAGAAGAGGAACAATCAAAGAACAAGAAGTTCTTGGCAATTAAAAATAAGGCAGCAGAAATTTAAAATCAATAGAAGGCTTGGAAGATAAAGTTGAGGAAATTTCCTGAAAAGTTAAATAAAAAATTAAAGAGAAGGAAGATAAGAGGGGAGGGAATGAGATCAATTTAGGAGGTCTAATATCCAATAAATAGAAATCCTAAAAAGAGATGACAAAGACTGTGTCTTCTTGTTATATATCTTCTGGGGATAGACTATAAATCAAGGGATGAAATTATCAGAGAAATAAAGTTAGAGAATTCTCTGAGTGTAAAAACATGAGACTTCAGACTTAATAGGCTCTTTGAATATTAGTACAATCAGTTGAAAAGAACCTTCTCAGTGCACATTGTTGCAAAAATTCTGGCCACCAGGGAATAAGAAACGACCCTAGAAGTTTCCAGAGAGAAAACCTCAGGTCACATGAAGAAGAATGGAAGCAAATATACCATCAAACTCCTCAATACAAATACTGGAAGCTCGGAGAAAATGAGGCAATGCCTTCACATTTTTGATGGAAAATTCTTTTTTACCTGGGATCCTATATCCACCCAAACTATTATGTGTGAAAATAGAATAAAAATTATTTTCAGAAAAGCAGGAACTCCAAATATTTGCTCCTGGGCACCTTTTCATTGGAAGCTACTAGAGGATATGATGCAGCAAAATGAGGAAGTAAACAATAAAGAGGAAGGTGTGGAGCTCACAAAGCAAGGAATCTACTTGGGGAAGCATCAAGGAAAGTCCCAGGGTGAAAGTAAAGCGGCCAGGAGCAATTGGCCAAGATTGCAACAGGATCATGGAGTGTCCACAAGGGAGAGGTTGCCAGGGGAAAAACAGAATGATTTTCTGATATATTTGATAATTCAGGAAATCATATTGTTAGGCGAATGACAGATCTGAGAGTCAGATGGGGAAACAATGAAGAATAAGTATATTTAAAAGAAACCCTGCGCAAAAGCAAAGGAAAAAAAAAAGAGGCAATATTAACTCCAGGAAAAAAACAAAAGTGCAGACAAGAAAGAAAATCAGAGCACACAACTTGCCTTAACATGAACAATATTTACCTAGTTATAATAATATAACCACCACAGATGAATCAACACAACAGATTGTGGCCTAATATAATGAGAAAATGGAGGAAGGGGAAGTGCTTTGAATGGGTTATTAGTAAAAGAGAGCTAAATTCTCATCTATCTAACAATATGTCAGTTGATAATGTCTTAAAACTAACATATCAACAAATAGCAAGGCAAACATTATTTAGACCTAGTGAAAAAGAACAGAAGAAATAACAGAAGAAAACAAAGTGAAAAAGAGGTTTTTTTGTTTTGTTTTTTGTTTTTAGGTGGAGTCGCACTCTGTCACCCAGGATGGAGTGCAGTGGCACGATTTTGGCTCACTGCAACCTCCACCTCCCAGGTTCATGCGATTCTCCTGCCTCAGCCTCCCAAGTAGCTGGGATTACAGGTATGCTCTATGTCTGGCTAATTTTTGTATATTTAGTAGAGACGGGGTTTCACCATGTTGGCCAGGCTGGTCTCAAACTCCTGATCTTAAGTGATCCACCTGCCTGGGCCTCCCAAAGTGCTGGGATTATAGGCATGAGCCACTGTGCTTGGCCTGAAGAAGAGTTTGAGGTGATTGCCTCTGGGGATCAGGACTAGGGGATGATGATGGCTGGGTTGGGGAGTGATGTTTTTCTTACATGCCTATTTTACTTTCTTATTTTCAATTTTTTAATTAAAAATATAATAGAGATGGGGTTTTGTCATATTGCCCAGGCTGGTCTTGAATTCCTGGACTCAAGTGATCCACCCGCCTTGGCCTCCCAAAGTGCTGGAATTACGGACGTAGCCACCATGCCTGGTGTATTTTGCTCCTTTGCATGACTCATGTATGACTTCGATAAAAAATAAAACTAACTTAAAAAAACACATGTCAGTCATTGGAAATATGGATAATGCATTTAAGTATGAAGAACAAAATAGTTATCTTCAGTCTTTGCACACACACCACGTTCCATCTTTTGCAATGCTTGTGAGTCAGCTCACCCCTTCCTAAACTGAAACTGCTGACTGTGTACCTGGCTCTTCATGGCTATCACCTTGATTAATCTTCACAGAAGCTCAATTAGGTGGTTTTATTACTCCCATTTTATGGATGAGAAGGTAGGATCTGAGAGTTCAATAACAGAGTGAGATCTCACAGCTAATAAGTGGAAGAGCAGAGATTCCTACTGAGCCTCCCTGAACTCCACATCATCTGAGCTTAATTAAACTAGCAATCATCCCAGCTAATGTTTATTTAGCATAGCATCTAATCGAACCAATTATATTCTTTTCTTCCTGAGCTCCAAATCTTCCTCTTTATTACTGTGTGTGTGTGTGTCTGTGTGTAGAGACAGGGCCTCACTATGCTCTGGAATTATAGGTGTGAGCCACCGTGCCCAGCCTCTTTATTAATTTAAGCCCTCATTTTGCTGGAATGTATACTCGAATAGCTGCCTCTGAAAAGGCATATGGAGTTGCTATTTGCCAGATATCATGCTAAATGCTCTATGTCGATTATCTCATTTAATACACAAAACAACCCTATGAGGTAGATACTCCTACGCTCCTTATTTTATAGAAGAGGAAACTGAGGCACTCAAAGAGAGTTCCAGCAATTTGCCACATGTCTGTCTCATCTCTGTATCCCCAGGAGAAATTAGCATGGAGCTATATTCTTAGTAGGTGTTCAATATATATATTTGTTGAGTGGATAAATACAAATAAATATCAAATCTTGAATAAAATAAACATTAAGTTTCCCATTGCTTCAAACCCAGGGAGCCCTCTGGAAATGAGCTGTCTTGGGGGGGCAGACACCTCTTTTTTCCAAGAGCTGCCCCAGTGCAAAAGCTCTGGAAACAGGAGGAGATAAACAGTTAGTTAGATGAATGCATCTCTGGTTAATTGATTTGCCTGCATGATTGGAGTGAATGGCTTAATATGCAGGGTTTAATTATTCCAATGAAACCTCCACTTAATTGAAAGGGCTTCTAGCAAAAAAAGGGAAAGAGATTATTTAAAAGGATGATCTACTGCCCATGAGAAAGGATTGAAGAGACATGGATACATGCCCGGACTCCAGCTATACTCAGTGTTTACAGCCTTGAAATGAAAGCTTGATGGAAAAGAGCCAGAATCATCCCTTCATGTACCACCTGCCCCATCCCCTTCATTCCTACAAAGAGGGCACTTGCAGAAGCAGCTAGAAAATTCCCCCTGCAAGACTATTCCCTGGTATCCCAGTTAACTTTTTAACCTCTGTCTATCTCAGCTCATTCAACCAAAATCCTGAGATGATAATATTTCCCATCAATTAACATGCGTTGAGCAATCAGCAGAGCTTCACTGATACATATTTTGAAAGTAGCAATTATCATTTTAAATTTGCAGTGGTGTGGCAGACATTGCCAGCTGCTGGCCCAATAGCCATTCTCTCTTACTTATTAAGAGATCACCAGTTTTGTTTGGGAACATTACTGTGCCCAACCAAAAACCTGTTATTTCCAGCATCCCTTGCAGCTAGGTGGCTATTTGACACGACTCTGGCCAGTGAGATGTAGGTGGAAGTTTCTGGATGAGTCATATGGGAAGGCTCTTTAAAAGGAGGCAGATTTCAGATGAGAAGAGCCCTTTACTTGTCCTTCTCTTCCTACCTGGAATGTGGGTGTGATGCCTGGAGGCATAGCAGCTATTTTGTGACAGTGAAGACTAGGCCAGGCTCTAAGGATGTCTGACTAGGATGCTATAAGAACCTCAGGTCATTGATGACAACCCTGGACAGCTAACCTTTGAATTCTTGGTCCATGAGAAGAGTAAAACCCCTAGTAGGCAGAAAATCTGATTCTGTTTCTATTATTTGCAGCTGCAAACAGTCCTAACAGATACAAGTGCCACATACAACGCACACTTTCTAAGTTATATTGGTCCTGGCCACAGACCCCTGATCCCTGAAATCAGAGCAACCCGCTTATCGATCTATTCCTTCCCATTCTTTTTTCCTAGAGACAAAACCAAAGTTGGCAAGTGGTCAATAAGAACTAAGTATTTAATACTATCCGTGTCTAAAGTGCTGCGGCGGACAGAAACAAATGGTGCAGCTCTGAGGGGTGAGCAGTACCATGAGGAGATAAGGATCGCCCAGGAAATTGTAACTCACGGACGACACCCTCAGCCATTGGTTTAACCACTCCCAGCTTTCAGTGTGTAGGCAGGATGATTTATCTCACCCGCCTTCTGTGGCCCTGCTTTGTATCCCCAGCATGCCCCTCACTGTGCAGTCAATGCTGTCACTTCTCCAGCCTCTGCCTTATCCCCTGGGCTGCATCTCCCCTTGCATCAGCTCTCACTCTTCCATAGGCACCCTACCTCCTCCCCATGTCACATTACAGCCGAGCTTCCCGGCCACCATCCCCGGCAAGGCCTAGTCCCTTGGTCCAGAGCACTGCCCGCCACCCCAAGCATCCCCTCAGGCACCAGACTGCCTCTAATATTCATACCTGAAGCTCCCCAAGAGGCCACATCATTTTTAGCTGACTCAGGCAAAGGGCCAATGGCTCCTGAAGATAAAAATGTCTCATCTTGATTCCTTTTTAGGGAAGGCGAGAGCATCAGTAGGAAGTTAGGAGGGGCTGGTGTGCCCTGAACCCAGAGACCAAGGGCACCACCACATATCATCCCCCAGCCCCCCGGAATATATCCACACTTATTCTGCAGTGGCTTCAGATTTGTACCAAGACGATGAAGTGTGGAAGGGCACGCACCCCTAGTATTCCCAAAGGACCCTGCTTCCTGGGTCTCCTTTTTTCTAACGCCACCGCAGAAAAGCTTTTGATAGAAGCCCAATTAGGAGTGACAGATTTAAATTGTTCTGAAATGCACATCAATTCATCACGTCCACTTTTTATGAGCATTGGCCCCACCTGGATTTCAGGTCCGTGCACAGGGCTGATTGACAGCTCTGATGGCGACCAGGAGCCATGATGGGACCACTCAGCCAGACCCAAATCCCAGAGTGAGGTCACCCTCTCGGACTCCTGTCAAGTCAGACTTGCTACAGGACTGGCTAGGGGGAAACCCTGGCCTTGATAACGAAATACTCTTCTCTCCTGCTGTTGCCTCTGAAGCCTGGTCAGCAAATCCGCCTTCCCCACAGGAGACTGATAAGCAGTTGCGACCACCAGCTGATTCCAATTCAAGACCTCTCTGTGCTTTCAAAGATGGGCTCTTGGCTTCACCTGTGCACTGGATGGAATTTGTTTCATTGCTGTGTTCTTCAGTGTCCTGGCTGGCATTTTATTGCCTGGGTTGGAAGCAACTTGGGGAGCCCATTGTCCCTCTTTGAGTTCTCTATGTCAGTGTCGTGATTTGCTTGGGCCACGCTATCCGGTATGGAGTGGGTTTTTAATAAATATTTGCCGAATTGAGTGCTCTGATGTTTTATGATAAAAACATTCTGTTGTCACAGAATTACATTCAGTGTCAGTCCACCAAGGAGAATGCAGTGAGCTTAAGTGCTGTGACGGGCCCGGGACGGCTACTCTGCAGTTTTGTCTGACTGCTCCAGTGGAGTGAGGACCCTTCCTTCATGCCACCTGTGCACTGGGCACAGAACAAATTTTTGTACCACTTCTTTTTTAAATTAAAAATTTTATTTTTACAGATGGGGTCTTGCTCTGTCATCCAGGCTGGAGTGCAGTGGCATGATCATAGCTCACTGCAGCCTCCAACTCCTGGGCTCAAGTGATCCTCCCATCACAGCCTCCCAGAGCACTGGTATTACAGGGGCACACCACCACCCCTGGATAACTTTGTTTTTTAAGAGATGGGGGGGCGGGGGGTTCTTGCTATGTTGCCCAGTCTGGTCTTGAACTCTTGGCTTCAAGGGATCCTCTTGCCTTGGCCTCCCAAAGTGCTGGGATTTCAGGCATGAGGCAGCCTGCTGGGCCCAGTTTCTGCTTCTTACCCTCTTTTGCCATTGCTGGTTCATACACCTGTCGTGAATTCCTTGGAGGAGGCCTCACGTGCACCCATCGGTGCCTTTCCAGCACAGCACCTGGCCCTCCTTTGTAGCGTGACGGAATAAACAAGTCTCCTGTAGCGTTTAGCCTGGAGACTTGACACGAAAGCAACAGCAAGGTGGGATACAGAGCCTGTGTTTTTGTGCATACATTAAATTCGGGAGGAGGAGAGGTGGGAGGAAATTGTGTTACTCTTTGGTTTTGGGAAGTTGAGAGACAGTGTGGAAGGTGCAAAATCAGACATGGGACAGGCACTGCCAGAGACTTGGGCATTAGAAAGCAAAATCCTGCCCCTGGGAGCCCTTGGGGCTGGCATGTGAATGTGTGGGGTGGGCTCAGCAGCCCCGAGAATCTTCTCAGTGAAAGAGTTGGGCCCTTGAGTTTTGTAGAAAAGGTGACCAGTATCATCAAATGAGTCCCACTCGGAGAGTGGCCAAGAACCAGAGGTGGAAGAGTCTGTGGGAGCCACAGTCAGACCTTAAATCTTCCTCATTATCTTCTTCTCATCTTACTCGGCTGCCACTAGAACCCCCAAGGAGCCCGCGACAGGGTTAGGCCAGGCCAGGCCAGATGCCTTTGGAGTCAACTCCGGGAAAGTGTGCAAAGCGTGGTAATGAGGATATTCCAGACAGACTGCGGGGACGGGGGTCCCACTCACTCACTTGCACATTCACTCACTCGCGCATTCACTCCCACTCACTCATTCACTCATTCATTCACTCATTCATTTACTCACTCATCCACTCATTCACTCATTTACTCACTCATCCACTCACTCATTCATTTACTCACTCATCCACTCGCTCACTCTCCCATGCACTCACTCATTTACTCACTCATCCACTCATTCACTCACTCACTCATTCACTCACTCATCCACTCATTCACTCACTCATCCACTCATTCACTCACTCATTTACTCGCTCATCTACTCATTCATTCACTCACACATCCATTCACTCATTCATCCATTCACTGACTGACTCACTCATCCATTCACTCACTCATTCACTCACTCATCCATTCACTCATTCACTCATTCATTCACTCACTCACTCATCCACTCACTCACTCATTCATTTACTCACTCATCCACTCGCTCACTCTCCCATGCACTCACTCATTCACCCACTCATTCATCCACCCACACATCCACTCGCTCGCACATTCACTCACTCATTCACTCACTCATTTACTCACTCATCCACTCATTCACTCACTCATTCACTCACTCACTCATTCACTCATTTACTCACTCATTTACTCGCTCACCCACTCATTCATTCACTCACACATCCATTCACTCATTCATCCATTCACTCACTCACTCATTCAATCACTCTTCCATTCACTCACTCACTCTTCCACTCACTCACACATCTACTCACTTATCCACTGACTCACTCATGCATTCACTCACTTATTCACTCACTCATCCATTAACTCATTCACTCACTCATCCACTCATCCATTCACTCACTCATCCACTCACTCAGCCATTCACTCATTCACTCACTCACACATCCACTCACTCATCCACTCATTCATCTATTCACTCATTCATTCACTCACTCATCCACTTATTCACTCATGCATTCACTCATCCATTCACTCATTCACTCACTCATCCATTCACTCATTCACTCACTCATCCACTCACTCATCCACTCACTCATCCATTCACTCATTCACTCATCCACTCACTCACGCATCTACTCACTTATCCACTGACTCACTCATGCAATCACTCACTTATTCACTCACTCATCCATTAACTCATTCACTCACTCATCCACTCATCCATTCATTCACTCATCCATTCACTCACTCACTCGGCCACTTACCCAGCCATTCACTCATTCACTCACTCACACATCCACTCACTCATCCACTCATTCATCCACTCACTCACTCATCCACTCACTCATGCATTCACTCATCCATTCACTCGTTCATTCACTCATTCACTCACTCTCACTCAATCACTCATTCACTCACTCATCCACTCATTCATTCACTCACTCATCCATTCACTGATTCACTCACTCATGCACTCACTCACTCATGCATTCACTCATCCATTCACTCACTCATTCACCCCTCAGTCACTCATTCACTCACTCACTCACGGATTCACGTGTTCGTTCTCTCACTCACACATTCACTCATTCATTTATTCACTCAATCATTTACTCACTAATGCACACATTCATTCACTCAATCACTCATCCACTCATTCACTCACTCATCTGCTCATTAATTAATTCATTTACTCATTCATTCATGTGCTCACTCACTCACTGACTCACTCATTAGATTCAAAAAGCATTCCTAGATGCAGAAGTCAAAAAAATCGAAGAAACTTTGACTATGAGAAGACTCAGGGAATGAAAAATAAGTAAGAATATGCCACACATGACAAATATGGGAGGTTCAGAGCCGAGAAAAAGAGGCAGGGAAAGAGAAACTCAGAGGAAAGATGGTCAAAAGGGCCCCCAGACTCATTGGAAGAAGAAAGAAGTGGCAAGAAAGATCGGGGCTGAGGAGCAGTGAGAAGGAGATTGGAGGGAAGAAAGAAACCTGGATCCCAGCCCAGTCTGGCCCGTATTTTAAAGTCAAGCATTAGCTCAGAGAATGCAAATCAGAGCTACAGCAGAGTGATTTACCAAGGGAACGCAGCGTGATCACTCGGGTCACTACCTGCAGCTCAAATGAAGTTATCTCCAGGGCCCAGAGCTGGCCCCGACCGCATCACAACCTTCCTTTGAGGAGTCAGCAGGCAGCGGGACACACACCAGGCACCCGTCGCTGCCTTCTGCATTTATAAGACACGCTGGAAATACACTTAGAATAGACGCAGCGATCAATTTAAAATGCATTTCTAGTTGTGGGGCCATCTATTTTATGAAATACCCTGCAAATGGATAAATGCAGCAGTGCTTCGAAACACATTCCCAGGTGTTTGAAAGTAACTTTGCCAACTTTTTCCATTGGCTAGAAGGTCAGTATTTTTTTTTGAAATGCAGATTTCAGGTTTTCTTCCATGGTGACAGGGATGTGGTGGTGGAGGCTTCTGCCTCTAGCTTTCTAATCCTCCCATTCTTGTCCCAGGATCCACCAAGAGGTGCAGTCAGGGCAAGTCGCCTCAACCACAGCAGAAGAGCCCAAGGAGGGGTCTGTGTGTCTTTCCCTGGAGCTTCACAGGGCTCCCAGCTCTTCCTTCTAGAAAGGCCTTCAGGTCTGGTCAACCCAAGGTTCAGGAAGCAGCTTTTTTTTTTTGGCCAGGCATGGTGGCTCATGCCTGTAATCCCAGCACTCTGGGAGGCCGAGGCGAGTGGATCACTTGAGGTCAGGAGTTCACGACCAGCCTGGCTAACACGGTGAAACCCCGTTTCTACTAAAAATACGAAATATTAGCTGGGTGTGGTGGTGGGTGCCTGTAATCCCAGCTACGAGGGAGGCTGAGGCAGGAGAATCGCTTGAACCTGGCAGGTGGAGGTTGCAGTGAGCCGAGATTGCACCATTGCACTCCAGCTTGGGCGACAAGAGCAAAACTCCTTTTCAAAGAAAAAAAGACACTTTAAATTTTGTGTGTGTGTGACAAGGTCTTACTCTGCCACTCAGGCTGGAGTGCAGGGGTGCAATCAGAGCCCACTGCAGCCTTGACTTCCTGGGCCCCAGTGATCCTCCCACCTCAAGCCTCCCCAGGAGCTGGGACCGCAGATGTACACCACCACACCCAGCTACTTTTTAAATGTTTCTATTTTAAAGATGGGGGTCTTACTACATTGTCGAGGTTGGTGTTGAACTCCTGGCCTCAAGCCTCAGCTTCCCCAGATGCTGGGATTGCAGGCATGAGCCACCATGCCCTGCCAGATCTGGGTTTTATTTAGGTCTTGGACTTCCTTATTTTAACCCAAGGTGTTCAAGGCTTGAGGTCAACACTGCATTTTCTCATCTATCAGGCTCAGTGGGCAGATTTCCAGGCAGCAGAAGAAAAAGAAGTAGGGTGGTTTTTGAGGGCTAGGCTTGAGTGACTTTAACCTCCTGCACTCAGGAGGTTAAAATATTGTAAGTTGTACTTGCTGCTGTGAAGTGACATCGTTCCCTCCAAAAAGGGCAGGGGTTGTAGGGGAAAGGATTGCAGGAATTCTAATTAAACAAAAAGAAAGTCAAACCAAAAAAAAAAAAAAAAAACCTTTGCATGAAGAGATAAAAACGGCAGTTCCCCTCTGTGTTCTTAGTGGGAAGGATGTGGTCCTGCAGTCAGAGAGTCCTGGGTTTAAACTTCAGTTGTGCCATTTGTTGCTGTGTGGCCTTGGGCATGTTGCTTACCCTCTCTGAGCCCCCTTTTATTGGCTGAGTAGCACTAACATCGTTTTTTGTTGTTGTTGTTGTTGTTTTTTTGAGGTGGAGTCTGCTTCTGTTGCCCAGGCTGGAATGCAGTGGCCCTATCTTGACTCACTGCAACCTCCGCCTCCTGAGCTCAAGCGATCCTCCCACTTCAGCCTCCGGAGTAGCTGGGATGACAGGCATGTGCCACTGCGCTTGCTTATTTATTTATTTATTTATTTGTATTTTTAGTAGAGATGGGGTTTTGCCATGATGGCCAGGCTGGTCTTGAACTCCTGGCCGCAAGTGATCCACTGGCCTCGGCCTCCTAAAGTGCTGGGATTCCAGGCGT
This sequence comes from Homo sapiens, assembly GCF_000001405.40. Lineage (NCBI taxonomy): Eukaryota > Metazoa > Chordata > Mammalia > Primates > Hominidae > Homo > Homo sapiens. Next base: position 2,973,102 of record NC_000007.14, read on the forward strand.
GAGCCACCGCTCCTGGCCACGAGTAGCACTAACATCTTAAGGCTACTGTGGCACGTACAGTGGGCAATGCTACTTAGCTACTCAGCCCACCCCCGTCGGAAGCTAGCAGCAAACTCAGGACAGAAACAAGAAGTCACTACCTACTCGTCCTGTGTAATTACCTCCATTCCAAGCAGAATTTAGAGAAAAACTTTAAACATTTACCCTCAAACCTTCTGTCTGAGCTTCCGATTGGAAACTCACCCAGCCGGTGGTGTTGGCATCTTTCTGTGTCTTCCACGTTCCTCTGGGCAGGGACACACTTCATATTTCCTTGTGTACCCTGGCTTAGCAAGTGTGTTCCATAAATCGGCATTTCATATTTATCAAGTGAGTGGTGTCCAGTGGCTAAACGCTGGCTTTCTTTCGCTCATTACAGCTTCTTCCCTTCAGCCGATCAGACCTCTACCTCCCCATGTGTGGGGAGAGCTTTCACTGTGACTGCTTTCCGGTGCCTGCTGTTCCCACCTAGATGGTTCCACTGTGCCTGCAGTTTGGAGGTATGCACCAATCCATCTTGTACTCTCAATCACTCACGGGTTAGAAGCCTAGAATAGATGGCCCTCTGATTTCTGACCTGCAGGGCGCAAACTGTCTTTACCTGGTGAAATGCAGACAGGCCAGCTGGTCCTATGTCCCACCAGGAGAGCTCTTCATTTGCCAGTGTCCCCAAACATCAGTGTTACGGAAACAACAAACATATCTGCCACCTGCTCCCACCCTGGGCAATTTCCAGAATCTGAAGGGCCTTCTTCACTATCAAAGCCAGTCTATTCTGCTGGGCACCATGGCTCATGCTTGTAATCCCAGCACTTTGGGGAGGCTGAGGCAGGAGGATTGCTTGAGCCCAGGAATTCGAGACCAGCTTGGGCAACATAGTGAGACTCCGTCTCTATAAAACTATAAAAAAATTAGCTGGGTGTGGTGGCATGTGCCTGTAGTTGTAGCTATTTGGGAGGCTAAGGCAGGGGGATCACTTGAGACTGGGAGTTTGAGACCAGCCTGGGCAACATAGTGAGACCTTGTCTCTACAAAAAAATTAAAAAAGTAGGCAGGCATGGCGGTGTGTGCCTGTGGTCTCAGCTACTCAGGAGGCTGAGGTGGGAGGATCACTTGGGCCCAGGAGGTAGAGGCTGCAGTGAGCCATGATTGCATCACTAGACTTCAGCCTGGGTGACAGAGCGAGATCCTATCTCAAAAACAAGAAAGTCCATTCTGTCCACTGGGCTGTTTCTGGAGTTCAGTTATGTTTGTGGGATATTGATAACCCCATATCAGCCATCATTTTTTGGATTATACTCGTCCCTCTCTCATTGTTTAAGGGAATGAGGGGTGTATGGGAACTTCTTTACCAGTTGACCTTCAGAGGACATATTCCCAGACAACCAGGGCACAATGTCTCTGTGCGGTGGGTGTCTGCACACAGTGGGCATTCAGTCAACCTCAGAGCAGGACGACAGAATGTCTCAGTTACCAAACCCACATGACAGACGCGCAGGCGGACGCTGACAGCCTCTAAGGGGAGACTGCTGTGGTGTAGGAGACCTGGGAAGCCCCCATCCCGTGTTCTGGACGTTCATGCTTGGGCTGTCTGTAACCTCACCAGGATTACTGTAGGCTGTGGCTGGGCTTCCGGGAAGGAAAATGAATAATTAAGACGCTGGAGATGGAAAACTTCAGGACACAATAGAGATTTTTAGTCTTAACTAGACAGGAAAATAAGTGTCTCAGGCCAGGCACAGTGGCTCACACCTATAATCCCAGCACTTTGGGAGGCCAAGGTGGGTGGATAGCTTGAGTCCAGGAGTTTGAGACCAGCCTGAGCAACATAGGGAGACCCCGTCTCTACCAAAAATACAAAAACAAGCCGGGTGTGGTGGTGCACACCTGTAGTCCCAGCTACTTGAGGAGGCGGAGGCGCGAGGATCGCCTGAGCCCAGGAGGTTAAAGCTGCAGTGAGCCGTGATTGCGCCACTGCACTCCAGCCTGGGTGACAGAGCAAGAGCTTGTCTCAATAAAATACAATAAAAATAAAATAAAATAAAGCAGCATCTCAATATTTAAGCACATTTGACCATTCAGGAAAGGGCTCTCAAGAGACCTCCAAAGAGTAACCTCACCACCTCTTAATCCCCAGGAACTGACGACCCAGTGGGGCAGGTTCCAGATTCCTCATTTGTCTGATTTTGCTTTCTACTATGTGTTTTTTGTTTTTGTTTTTGTTTTTTTGTTGAGATGGAGTTCACCCAGGCTGGAGTGCAGTGGTGCCATCTCGGCTCACTGCAACCTCTGCCTCCTGGGTTCAAGCGATTCTCCTGCCTCAGCCTCCCTAGTAGCTGGGATTACAGACGCCCACCACCACACCTGGCTAATTTTCGTATTTTTAGTAGAGACAGGGTTTCCCCATGTTGGCCAGGCTGTTCTTGAACTCCTGACCTCAAGTGACCCACCTGCCTCAGCCTCCCAAAGTTCTGGGACTACAGGCGTGAGCCAGCACGCCTGGCCTCTGCTGTGTGTCTTACAGTAACATCACCATTTACAGGAGGCATTTCTAGAAGAATAAAGCATGAAACCTACATCCGGTGCTCTTATTATCACAATTATTATAACAATGAGTGTCTCCATCTGAGGTTAGGTGGGCACAGAAACGGAATTCAAACCAGTCGGATTTTCTGTCTCGGAGAATTCTGCCAACAAGATGCCAGGGGAGCTCGTGCGTTGAAATGCATTAATTGAGTACCACTATTTTGGGAGCAAAATAGGTTTGTGCATCCAATTAAATGTGGGGCATCTGAGAGGGAGAAAGACGGAGAGAGAGCGGGGATTCAGAAAGGGTCTCTTTACTTATAATTAACTACAAAATAAACAGCTCTTTCATGGAATGGGGCCCTCTCTGTTCCCGCCACCCCTGCAGCCCACGTTTCAATTAGCTCTGTGTTATTCGGGTCCCCTATTACTCCAGATAACCCAGGACTGGCTGTAATTAATTGTTATAATACACTCAGGAGCAGAGCCAAGCTGCAGCTCGGGAAGGCTGGTTGAAACTGCTCTGTTCCTCTAACCGGCCTCCTGGAAGGGCTGGCTTGGAGCTCCACCTTCACCAATAAGTCAGAGCTCCTCCATGGGATGACGAGGGAGAGGGGCTGAGATACTTGGAGTCTGCTTTGTTTGCTGCATTTGGTGCTGAGCAAGGTGCTGGCCCTTTTCTCTCTGCCCCGCTCCCTTCACAGTCCCTGAAGCCCTGAACCCTTCACTCCAGCGACATTTAAAATAAAGACATCAGGCCAGGCACGGTGGCTCACGCCTGTAATCCCAGAACTTTGGGAGGTGGAGGTGGGCCTATCACTTAAGGTCAGGAGTTTGAGACCAGCCTGGCCAACACGGTGAAACCCCGTCTCTATTAAAAATACAAAAATTAGCCGGTCGTGGTGGCATGTGTCTGTAATCCCAGTTACTCTGGAGGCCGAGGCAGGAGAATTGCTTGAACCCGGGAGGCAGAGGTTGCAGTGAGCCGAGATGGCGCCACTGCACTCCAGCCTGGGCGACAAGAGCAAAGCTCCGTCTCAAACAAACAAACAAACAAACAATCACAAAAATCAGCCGGGCGTGGTGGCAGGCCCCTGTAATCCCAGTTACTTGGGAGGCTGAGGCAGGAAAATCACTTGAATCCGGGAGGCGGAGGTTGTAGTGAGCTGAGATTGCACTACTGCACTCCAGTCTGGGCGACAGAGTAAAACTGTCAAAAAAAAAAAAAAAAAAAAAAAGACATCTTATCCATAGAATGGAATATTATTCATCCATACAAAGGCACGAAGAAGCATTGCTGCTTGCTGTGGCACAGATGAGCCTTGCAGACACTAAGCTCAGTGAAAGAAGCCAGACACAAAAGGCCACACATCATAAGATGCCATTTAGATGAAACGCCCAGAATAGGCAAATCCATAGATTCAGAAGGCAGGTTCGTGGGTACCAGGGACTGGGGGGAGGCAGGGATGGAGGAGGGGGTGGGTATTAATGGGGATGAGGTTTCCTTTTGGGGTGATGAAACTGTCCTGGGGCTGGATAGAGGTGGTTGTTACATAGCACTATGAATGTACTAGACGCCACCAGGTTATTGATTTTAAAATGGTGACTTTTATGTTATATGAATCTTACCTCAATAAATAAATAGCAACAGGCTGGGTGCAGTGGCTCACACCTGTAGTCCCAGCACTTTGGGAGGCTGAGGCAGGAGGATTACTTGAGCCCAGGAGTCTGAGACCAGTCTGGGCAACATAGCAAGACCCCATCTGGGCAAAAAAATAAAAAGATTAGGCAGGCGTGGTGGGGTATGTCTGTAGTCTCAGCTACTCAGGAGACTGAGGCAGGAGGATTGCTTGACCCAGGAGTTTGAGGCTGCAGTGAGCTATGATCACACCATTGCACTCTAGCCTGGGTGACAGAGGAAGACCCTGTCTCAAAAATAAACTAAACTAAAATAAAAACAGCTACAATTTTTTGAGCCGAGGTGAGCAGGGGCTAGGCCCCAAACCCTCAGTGACTCCAAGCCCCAGACAGCCTGGGCAGGAAGCTCTGATCATCTCTGGTGAAGACCTGAGACTTCCCAGTCTTGGGGAGGGGACACCAAGGGATGAGACAGGTTGTGGGGAAGCTGGGACTTGAGCGCTGTAGGGAGGCCGTGTGCTTGTCATGGGAGGCAACAGTCCACGTGGGAATTGCAGGAATGCCTTTTTTTTTTTTGAGATGGATCTCACTCTGTTGCCAGGCTGGAGTGCAATGGCGTGATCTTGGCTCACTGCAACCTCTGCCTCCCGGGTTCAAGCGATTCTCTCGCCTCAGCCTCCCAAGTAGCTGGGATTACAGGCGTGCACCACCATGCCTGGCTAATTTTTTTGTATTTTTAGTAGAGACGGAGTTTCACCGTGTTAGCCAGGATGGTCTCAATCTCCTGATCTCGCGATCCACCTGCCTCGGCCTCCCAAAGTGGTGGGATTACAGGCGTAAGCCACCGTGCCTGGCCTTTTTTTTTTTTTTCTGAGACAGAGTCTCACTCTGTCGCCAGGCTGGAGTGCAGTGGCGCGATCTTGGCTCACTAAAACCTCTGCCTCCTGGGCTCAAGCGATTCTGCTGCCTCAGCCTCCTGAGTAGCTGAGATTACAGGCACCCGCCACCGTGCCCTAATTTTTGTATTTTTAGTAGAGACGGGGTTTCACCGTGTTGGCCAGGATGGTCTCCATCTCCTGACATTGTGATCTGCACTTACAGGAGGCAGGGTCAAGGAAAGGACAAGATAGAAGCAGAGGTGGAGAAAGAGGGTGAGGTGAGTGGGAGAAGAGGGGACGGCGGGACAGAGGCCTTGTGACAGAAAAGGGAACAAGAACTCAGGGTTTTACGTTGTACCCACAGGTGCAGAGCTGAGAAAAGGAAAGAGAAATGAAGAACGGCAACTCGGAGGGAGGAGACGGTGGGGGTGGCGCGGGCACCGGGTGCAGGCTGAGAAAGCGAGAGGGCGGTCCGGCCAGGGGGTGGGGGTGCTGCAACCAGCTCTGGTCACGCCCCTTCTCCTGAGAGCTCCCAGGACTGCAGGCAACTTGCTGAAGAACTTGGGTAATTTCCCGGAGGCCGGCTCACCTGTTTCCAGCCCATCAGTGATCTTGAAACTTACAAATACTCAGACTCACACTTTCCGCCTATCCGTGCAAGGTAAGAGGAGCCAAACACATCTCGAAATGCACCGATTTTTCTTCTTCTAAGGGGGCAGACTCTCGTGGTGTGCCCCCACCCTCTCTGTTAATGCCTCTATTGTGTAAAAACGTCTTTAGATAAATTTGTCGGGCTTGGAGCCTGGGGTGGCCATTTCTTTGCACTTTATCTACTACAATCCAAGACCAGCAAACATGAGGCCACGTTTTTCCAGTGGTTTCTGCCTCCCCCACCACAGTGGTGACGGAAATACGCTCCCCAGCAACAGTGAGAAGACCCTGGGATTCTGCAGGCTCAGAGATCATCTGTACCCTCCCGCCGTGTAACTGCAAGACGACAAATGAGATGCAAACAGGGAAGTCTTTCTTACGTTTGTGCCAAATGATACAATCACCAATAATGAAATAAGGCACCTGTGAAAACTGCACCCAGAAACGGTCGATCAGTATGGACATGAGGTTGTTAAGAATGCGTTTCCTTAGCATCGAAGAGGGGGTAACTGGCTGCTCTCTGATCATCTGTCTCTTCTTCCCTGTGTGCAGGGAGCTATGAAGGAGCCCACTTAGGAAGCCAGGATTTAAGGTGACAGGAGCATATTGCAGGTGGGGCTCCACCTGCCGGGCAGTGACGGCTGGGGGTCACCCCGAAATCTCTGCACTCAGGGCTGTCAGACGGACGTTACGCGGTATGTGAACTAGAGACACTAAGAGCCTATTATTCTGTTTTGCATTTTAAAGGAGGTCTCTGAGGACCAGCTGATGCTTTCAAACCACTTAAGTCAGCGAAGCCCCAAAAAGGCTGTAGTCTCTTGCAAGCAAAAGTTACCAAGGGGCTGCCGAGGGTCTTCAAGCCCGCAGGACTTAAGAAATTCCCGAGTGTTTCACCAGGAATTGAGGAATCTACTCGGATCCCTTTCAGGGATCCCGGGGGGAGGGGAACTTCCCCTTTGGGGTCCCCAGTCCTACTGTCTCTTTGGGAAGCTCCTTGTCCCACAGTCGCCTGGTTTGTCCTCCGGTGTTTGTGGGCAGGGGCTGGGCCTTTGGTGCCCCGGTGGACACCAGCGAGCCACAGCCTCATTTCTTAGCATTTGCAATCTCAAGAGATCCCAGAGGAACCGTCTGGAAGGTGCTTGCGGGGTTGAGGGGTGGGGAACACGAACCCTTCCCAGACCTGGGGAGGGCCAGGCTGCAAGGCCCCACGTTTTGGAAACAGACCCTGTACACACTTCCTCTCCACCCAGCTGGGGGCCACGGGCAACTCAGGCCTTGAGACACACTCTGCGCACTGAGCCCCACTCCCCGGCCCCTGGCACTGTCCCAGTCAGAAGAAAATAAGACCCAGTGCCACATGACAACGGGAGCATCCTGGCCTGTGTGGGTCACCGGGCATGTATGGAGAGCGTCTACGGGCTGGATCCATGGAGCTCTGTGCAATCCAAGCCACGGCATGAGACAGTCGCCCCAGCACCTGCTGCTGAGACTCCACATCTGGTTTAGGAAATTAGGAGATGCAAAGAGGTGTGCATGAAGCCATGAAAACACATGGGCACGGACAGGACAAGGGGGCCAGGTGCTGGGGAGAGGGGGTCCCATGGCAGCCCCCCAGGGACAGGGCTTCACCAGCGCTGCACCCGCGGGCCTCAGTCACGGGACCGGCCAGTTGGGAAACGTACTCACGCGGTTGTGAGCCAGCTGGGTCCTGGGGGTTCCTCGTGTTCCTCTCAAATTCTCTCTCCTCCTGTTGATTCCCCAGAAAACACCAAGGCTGTGGGAGAGCAGCCACCTCCCCCGGAAGCCTACACCGACGCCCCACTCAGATGCTGCCTCTATTTTTAGCGGGGGCAGAAGTGGGGACTGGGGGTGGGCTGCCTTACTTCCCTCTTTTTTTTTTTTTGTTCCGAGCAGAATCTGTGGGTGACTTTCCATTCATGGGAGTGGGGAGGCTCGGAGAGCAGAAAGGGACCCAGGCCGTGCAGGGCAGGCAGAAACTGCAGGGAACAGGGTGCGTCTGTCATCAGGGCCAGGAGGGCGGTGGGGCAGGGAGGCAAGGGCAGGAACCCGGCGTCGTCAGTCACTGTTCGCACCTCTGCTCTGCTCTCACCGCTGGGCCCCGGGCCACGCCAGACCTCACCCAGGGGACCTCTCTGGCCTCCTCTGCCTCTGAATTCCACAGAGGAGGAAGACTGGCCAGCAGAAGTGCGGGGCCTTGGACATTCCAGGGAACACTCTTCTATGAGCGTGCATCCCATGATGCATACCCTTTTCCCCTCTGTCTCTTTGAAGTTTGTTAGTGGGTGTGGAGCCCAAAGTACTTTGGACTGGAACATCATGGCTGGAACATCGTGTCTTTACCAGAGAATGGAGGGCAACCAGAGTTGTGGGAATGAATGGAGGCAATGCATGAACACCGCCCACCCCAGCGACCTGTGGATGCAGGCGATCAATTCCTTCCCCAAAGCTGTCAACGTCCCCTCCGCTCCTATACAAGCAAACACCAGTTTCTCGGCCATTGCTTCCTGGCCCTGGCCCTGTGTGCAACAGCACCCAAGTCTACTATCTTAGCAGGCTTCCTCCCTATTTCCCAGCCTATACCAATCACAAGAATACTCGCTGTTTCCCTTCTTTTCTTCCAAAAAGTTGAGGTGTAATCAGTGAGCTGCATGGGTCTTCAGTACACAGTTCGATGAGTTAGGAAGATGCCCACGCAACCAAGATCTCAGTCGTGATACAGAGCATGGTGACCCCCACTAAGAAGTTCTCCAGGGCCCTTTCCATCCCCCTGTGGCCCCCAAAGGCAACCGCTCCTGTGATTTCCATCAGCTTTGCCTTTGCTTGAACCTTAGGAGAGTAGAATAATGTGTTGTTCTACTCAGACGTCCCCTCCTTGGGTCTCCAGGAAGCTCTGGGCACCGCAGCTGTGTACTCCATGCAATGGTTAATTTTCTGTGTCAACTTGACTGGGCTAAGGGATGCCCAGATAGCTGGTAAAACATTTCTGGGTGTGTTGTTGAGGTTGTTTCTCAGCATTGGAATCAGAGGACTGGGTCAATAAGACCCGTCCTCCTCATTGTGGAAGGGTGCCATCCAATCTGCCGAGGACCCCTGATAGAACAGAAAGTCGGAGGAGGGAAGAATTTGCCATTTTGAGCTAGGGCATCCATCTTCTTTAGGGTCTGGCTGCTTTCACGCAGCGTGTGAGGCTGGTGTCAGTCACGCATTCCTGTTTGTCACTGGGCAGTATTCCATCGAAAATGTCCCACATTTTCCTGACTTGTGTATCTTTCGCTGGACATGTGGGTTGTTTCCTGTTTGCCTGGGACCTTCCTGTACAGATCTTCATGTGGACGTGCTGTCATTTCTTTTGAGTAAACGCCCTGGAGTAGGACTGTCTGGGGGAGGAAGACACGGTGCCCCCAGCCAGGGCCGCCATGGAGAATTGGGGGAGCAGCAGGGACTGACCATGATCTCCTCACACCTCCGCTCTCTGATCATTCCAGCGCTAGCACTTTCTGGGAAGGCTGGGAAGCTCACTGATTACACCTCAAGTTTTTGGAAGAAACGAAGGGGAACAGCAAGTATTCTTGTGATCGATGTAGGCTGGGAAATAGGGAGGAAGCCGGCTACGATAGTAGATTTGGGTGCTGTTGCACAGGGAAAGGAAGCAACGGCTGAGAAACTAGTGTTCACTTGCATAGGAGCGGAGTGGACGTTGACCTCATCCTTCCCGGCTTAGGCGGGAGAGACAGTGATGATGATATCGGGAGGCCTGAAACCCACCAAAAAGAGTCAGAAGGAAGCTGATTCAATATGGGACTGGCAATTTCAGGGGGAAAAGATGTCAACACCTTCAAAGGTGGGGCCAGACCCCCTGGAGGTAAAAGTCCCTTCCAATTGGATTCTTAAACACACCCCATCGGAGAGACCAAAACATGGCTGGTGGAATTCAGGCTTGATTCCCATTTCCCCGGGAGAGGGTGAAAAGGTTCCTACTGGGCTGCTCCAGGGAGCACGCCAAGGATCACCAGCGCCATGGGGCAGAAGAAGCTGAGTCCCCCCATGAGCAGCACGGAAAAGAGGGGGTCACCTGAGGCCACAGAGGAGAGGGACTCCTTGGAGGAGGCAGCAGTAACTAAGTCACACACATAAAGGAAGTGGCATCTGAGAGCTTCCGGCACGCACGCCCAGGGAGGTGGGAGCCTAAGCTTGTGGGTGAGGAGTGATTTTTCTAGTATGACAAGAAACATAAAATACAAAACAGGTGGTTCTGCCAATAAGTCAGCCCCAGAGGAGCCTGGTGACCCTGGAAATGGGGCCGACCTGATGTGGACTTAGGGGCTTTGGGGTTTGAGCCCCAGCCTGGACTCCTGAGCTTCAACAAGGGGGCTGGGAGGCAGCCCTCTTTCCCTTTTTTTTTTTTTGAGACGGAATCTTACTGTGTTGTCCAGGCTAGAGTGCAGTGGTACAATCTCGGCTCACTGCAACCTCTGCCTCTTGGGTTCAAGCAATTTCTCCCACCTCAGCCTCCTGAGTAGCTGAGATGACAGGCGTGCACCACCACGCTCAGCTAATTTTTGTATTTTTAGTAGAGACGGGGTTTCACCATGTTGGCCAGGCTGGTCTCGAACTCCCAACCTCAGGTGATCCACCCGTCTCGGCCTCCCAAAGTGCTGGGATAACAGGCGTGAGCCACCGCACCTGGCCAGGAGGCTTCTTTCCTGATGCTGCTCCTCCAGTGGAGCCAGGTCTGTCCTTCTGAGGCCCCCAAAGCAGTTCAGGCCTAGGCCTGTGCAAGCACTCAGGATCCCACCTCCTCCCTGGCACTATTTGTTTTCTTTATCTCCGCCTTGAAGCTGTAGTTCCAAACAGGCAGGCCCTTGACTGCTGATTCAGCTGCCGGAGCCAAAACTCATAAAATCCTATTTCAAAAAGGTCCAATGATTTTCTTTTCTGATCATAAATATGAAATTTAATTAGCAGCCTGCTGCTAATGAAGTCACCGTGGAAGCCAGCCTGGAGAGGCGGAGGGAACGTGAACACCTGCAGGCAACAGAACCTACTGCCTGATTAACCCTTCCTCTCCTGCTGCCCCTCACTGGGCCCTTTCTAGGGCCCCATGGGCCCCGCTGCAGAGGGGCAGCCTCTGGCCTGGAAGGACAAGGAGGGACTGCTCGTTCAGGCAGAGTTGGAGGTGGCTCAGATGTCGCTTCCTTGGGTCTCCAGGAAGCTCTGGGCACAGCAGCGGGGTACTCGATGTGCTGGTTAATTTTATGTGTCCACCTGATTGGGCTAAGGGATGTCCAGATAGCTGGTAAAACATCTGGGTGTGTCAGTGAGGATGTTTGTGGAGGAGCTCAGCATTTGAATCAGTAGACTGAGTTAAGAAGATCCGCCCTCCCCAACGTGGTTGGGTGCCATCCCATCTGTCCAGGGCCCCTGATAGAACAAACAGTCAGAGGAAGGAAAAATTCTCGTTTGAGCTGGGACATCTGTCTTCTCCTGTCCTCTGACACTGGAGCTCTTGGTTCTGGGCCTTCAAACTCTGGGACTGACACCATGGACTCCCTTGTTTTCGGACCTTCAAACTGGGACTGAATTATATACTAGCTTTCTTTCTTTTTCTCTCTCCGTTTTTCTTTCTCTTTCCTTCTTTCTTTCTCTCTCCCTCCCTCCCTCCCTCCCTCCCTCCCTCCCTCCCTTCCCTCCCTCCCTTCCTTCCTTTCTTCTTTTCTGAGACAGGGTCTTGCTCTGTTGCCAAGGCTGGAGTGCAGTGTCATGATCATGGCCCACTGCAGCCTTGAACTCCTGGACTCAAGTTATTCATCTGCCTCAGCCTCCCGAGTAGCTGGGACTACAGGTGTGCATCACCATGCTTGGCTAAGTTTTTAAATTTTTTTTAGAGATGGGGACTCCCTATGTTGCTCAGGCTGGTCTTGAATTCCTAGGCTCAAGTGATCCTCCTGCCTTGGCCTCTGGAAGTGTTGGAACTATAGGTGGGAGCCACCACGCCCGGCCGTGGCTTCTGTGATTCTCCAGCTTGCATAGAGCATGTCATGGGGCTTCTTGGCCTCCATAGTCATGTAATCCAATTCCCATAATTAAATCCCCTTTTATATATGTCTCTATGTATCCTACTGTTTCCATGTCTCTGACTAATACACTGTGCTGCAGATCAGAGACCCAGCTTCTGTCTTCTCTTTAAAACCCTCTGGTAGGCTGGGCCCGGTAGCTGACACCTGTAGTCTCAGCAATTTGGGAGGCTGAGGTAGGAGGATCACTTGAGCCCGAGAGTTCGAGACCAGCCTGGGATAGTCAGACCTCTCTACAAAAGATTTTATAACATTAGCCAGGCATGGTGGTGTGCCCCTGTGGTCCCAGCTACTCGGGAGGCTAAGGTGGGAGGATCACTTGAGCCCAGGAGTTCAAGAAGCGGTGAGCCATAATCGTGTCACTGCACTCCAGCCTGGGTGACAGAGCGAGACCCTGTCTTTAATAATAATAATAATAAAACCCTCTGATGGAACATTGTCCACAGCAAAAGGGAGGCACTGGGAATAATACACAGCTCGGCATAGGAGCTTAAGGGAAGGCCACCGGAGCTCAGAAAGTGCCCAGGGCCTCTGCTCAATGCTGTGCGTGAGCTGGGGGCACACAGCATAGTCCATTCTGCCTTACAACGGACTGGATGGTGCGGAGTCCTTCTCGCCACCAGCCAGCCTTCCTGGTAGTGACTTCCAGATACCTTCTGCCCACAACCCAAAAAGATCAGAGGAACCCTATAGTTCCTCCTTCATACTCCACAGAACACATGAAACCCAGGACCACCCTATTCCTCCCACTACTCCTGGCTTCATTTTCTCCTCCTATAATGCAGGAATAATAATGCCCATAGTTTGCAGGATTTTAGGGATGATTCAACAAATGTCTAAAGAACATGCCTGGCATACAGGAGGAGCTCCATAAATGGGAGACTTTATAATCATCATCTTGCATGAGTTTATGAGTTAAATCCCCAATCCAGAACTCACTACTATCTGAAGTCCTACGGAGGAGACACGGACTATTTCAAACATGATTCAGGAAGCTGAAGTGAGAATGTGACCATTAATTTCCCAAACATGTTCGGAAAAACCCAATCCATCTGGTCGGTGCCGACATCACGCTAATATCTACTCAAGCGTGTCCGTGTGTGGAACACAGGGTCTGCAGTCCCAGCGTGTGTGGATCGTGTGGGGATGTGTCATTTCCCTGCACACAGGTCACGCCTGTGCAGACAGCCTGCATGGGCACTGCACACAGGACCTGGTACACAGACCCCTCCCTGCAAAATGCAAATACTCATCAGAAGTGAGAAGGAGCCGTGCTCCCCCCGATAGAGCCTGCAACGTAAAACTTTAGATTTAGTCTGTGGTCAAGGCACACAGGATTATATTCTAGTAAAAAGTTTATGACAGAAGGTAATAGAGTTTTTGAGGGATTTTTTTTCTCGCCGGATTTTTTTTTTTTAAACAGAAGCGTATTGCAATTCTGCAGGTATTTGGGTCCCAGCTCCTGAACGAGTAGGAACAGCTCAGGTTTTGCTCCCTGCACCTCTGCAGGGAACCCTCCTAGGGTCATGGCTGAGGTTGTTGGGATGCTGGAGCCGGAACCCCTCAGGTATCACGGTCAGCACCAACAGGTGCAGCTGGCTTCCAGGATTAAATGTTACCGGTAAGCTGAGTTTGTGTAAATCAAACTCTCTTCTCCCCATTGACTGGATTTAGAGCTGACTCCTCACCTATGCAACTGCCCTCCACAGCCCCTGCTCACAGCCTCAAATTCCTCACTCAAAGTGTCGCCCATCGGCCGCAGCGTCAGCAGGTGCTTCACCTGCCGCATTTTGAGCCTCACCTCAGCCCTTCGGAACGGAGCCTGCGGTTTAACAGGCTCCCCAGGTGACGCTCACACACACTGATAAACGCCGCTCCAACTCACCCCTCCCTGTGCGCAGAGACGTGGGTCCCCGACTCTTGGTTCACTCCCTGCCTGACCCCTCCCCGTGCGCAGAGATGTGGGTCACCGACTGCCGGTTCACTCCCTGCCTGAGTCTTTCAGGACTTTGGTTTGAAGCACTATAGAATTCGTCCATGTAACTAAAAACCACTAGTACCCCAAAAGTGATAGAAAATTTTAAAAAATCTGTTAAAAAAACCCCAAACAAGTTAAATATTTAAAAATCAGATAATATTTCATATAAGTTTTTTCAGTGCACTTGAAGTCTTCTTTGGGGACAGGGTGCCTAGTGAATCCGACCCTCCACAAATCCCACCTCATGGCCAACCTTGGTCCACTGCAACCTCCGCCTCCCAGGTTCACATGATTCTCGTGCCTCAGCCGCCTGAGCAGCTGGGATTACAGGCACCCACCACCATGCCTGGCTATTTTTTAAAGAACTGAGCACTTCAATGAAAAGGCAGAGGTGATCGGGGTGGATTAAAGAGGATTCAATTCTATGCCGTCGATAACAGGCACACTTGAAACATAAAGATGTAGAGAAGGTAACAGTAAAAAGATGGAAACGCTATTCATAAAAACTGAAATGGCAATATTAATATCAGAAGAGTAGACTTCAGGAAGAGGTGTATTACCAGGGATAAAGAGGGACATTTCATAATGAAAACAGAGTCAATTCATCAAGAAGATACAATCTTAAATGTGTATGCACCAGTTCTAAAGCTTCAAAACACGTGAGGCCAAAAGAAAGAAAACTGAAAGGAGAATTGGACAAAATCTACAATGATGGTTGTTGATTTCAACAGTCTTTTTCACTAATTGTTCGAGCCAATAGATAAAAATGAAGGCTATAGAAGATTTGAATAATAGTATCAACCAACTTGACCTAATTAATGTTTAAAACACTACAATTAACAGCTGCAGAATACATACTCTTTTTTTTTTTTGGGACTGAGTGTCACACTGTCGCTCGGGCTGGAGTGCAGTGGCACCATCTTGGCTCACTGCAACCTCCGCCTCCCAGGTTCAAGCGATTCTCCTGCCTCAGCCTCCTGAGTAGCTGGGATTACAGGTGCCCGCCACCACACCCAGCTAATTTTTTGTATTTTTAGTAGAGACAGGGTTTCACCATCTTGGCCAGACTGGTCTCGAACTCCTGACCTCGTGATTTGCCCGCCTCGGCCTCCCAAAGTGCTGGGATTACAGGTGCGAGCTACTGCACCCAGCCATACATACTCTTTTCAAGTGTACGTGGAACATTCACCAAGATCTTTTGTTGGTCTATAAAACAAGTCTCAACTTTAAAAGGACTAAAATTATATAGAGTATGTTCTCTGACACAATGAAACTAAAGTAGAAACTTATGATAAAAAGGAACCTAGAAGTTTTCTAGATGTTTGGAAATGAAATGACACAGTCCTAAATAACTCATTGGTTAAATAAGAAACCAAAAGAAACTTTTGAAGATGTTTTGAACTGAATGGAAATAAAAACAAAACATCAAAATGTGTGGAATGCTGCTAAAGCAATGCTTAGGGAGGACTTTATAACTTTAAATGATCATATCAGAAAAGAAGAATAATTTAAAATTAATGGTCTAAGTTTCTGCATTAAGAAGCCAGGCTGGGAGTGGTGGTTCACGCCTGTAATCTCAGCACCTTGGGAGGCTGAGGCAGGAGGATCACTTGATGCCAGGAGTTTAAGACCAGCCTGGGCAGCTTAGTGAGACCTCATTGCTATAAAAATAAAAATAAAAGGTGGTGTGCACCTGTGGTCTCAGGTACTTGAGAGAATTAGGCAGGATGATCACTTGAGCCCAGGAGCTTGAGGCTGCAGTGAGCTATGATTGCACCAATGCAATCCAGCCTGGGTGACAGTGAGACCCTGTCTCAAAACAAAACAAAACAACAACAACAACAACAACAACAAAACCCCCAGAAAAAAAACAAAAGAAAGAAAGAAGAGGAAAGAAGATAATGAAAATAAAGATAAGAGTGAAAAACAGTAAGTTAGAAAGCTTAAAAACAGTTTAGAAAACCAAAAGCTGGGTCTTTAAAAAGAGCAACAAAATGGATAAACCTCTAGCTATACACTAAGAAAAAAAGAGAAAAAACAGGCCTGGTGCGGTGGCTCACACCTGTAATCCCAGCACTTTGGGAGGCTGAGGTGGGTGGATCACGAGGTCAGGGGTTCGGGACCAGCCTGACCAACATGGTGAAACCCTGTCTCTACTAAAAATATAAAAATTAGTTGAGCGTGGTGGCACATGCCTGTAATCCCAGCTACTCAGGAGGCTGAGGCAGGAGAATTGCTTGAACCTGGGAGGCAGAGGTTGCAGTGAGCCGAGATCGCGCCACTGCACTCCAGCCTGGGCGACAGAGCGAGACTCTGTCTCAAAAAAAAAAAAAAAAAAAAAAGAGAAAAAACAAAATGACCAATATCAGGAATGAAAGAGGAGCTATCACTACCAGTGCAACAGACATTAAGAATATATTAGGAATATTGTTTTAAAAACATTATGCCCACAATTCTATAATATGAATGATAAGAACAGAAATTACTCAAAAGATATACATTCCCAAAATTGACTTAAGAAGAAATAGACAGTCTGAATTAGCCCTATATCTATTTGAAAAGTTGAAGTCATTATCAGAAACTCTCCCACAAAGAAAATTCCAGACTCATACAGCTTCACTGGTGAATTCTGTCAAACATTTAAGGAAGAAATAACACAAATCTTACATAAATACTTTCAGAAAACAGAGGAAAAAGCAACACTTCCCACCCATTTTATGTGGCCAATATTATGCTGATTCCAGAATCAACCAAAAAACATTACAGGAATAGAAAACTAGGAACCAGCATACTTCATGAACATAGATACGAAAATCCTTAATGGGATTAGCAATAACTTCAAAAATATATAGAGAGGATAACACATCATGAGCAAGTGAGATTTATTCCAGAAATGCTAGTCCATTCAACATTAAAAAATCTACCAATGTGGCCAGGCACAGTGGCTCATGCCTGCAATCCCAGCACTTTGGGAGGCAGACGCAGGCAGATCATGAGGTCAGGAGTTCGAGACCAGCCTGACCAACACGGTGAAACCCCCTGCATCTACTAAAAGTACAAAAATTAGCCAGGCGTGGTGGCGGGCCCCTGTAATCCCAGCTACTCAGGAGGCTGAGGCAGGAGAATTGCTTGAACCTGGGAGGCAGTGGTTGCAGTGAGCCAAGATCATGCCACTGCACTCCAGCCTAGGCAACAGAGCGAGACTCCATCTCAAAGAAAAAAAAATAAATCAACCAATGTGCATCACCATATTAAGAGAATAAAGAACGGAAAAATCATCTGATTACTTCAATCTATGCAGAAAAGTCATTGGGCAAATTTCAGCATCCATTCATATTAAAAACTTCCACAAATTAGAATAGAAGGGACTGTTCCCCAAAGACTGGGACCAAGGCAAGGATATTCACACTGACCACTTCTATTCAACATTGTGTTGAAGTTTCTAGTTAATCCAATAAGACAGAAAATAAAAAGGACGAAGACTGGAAAGGAAGAGGTAACCTGCCATTATTTGCAGAAAACATGATTGTCTAAAAGAAATCCAAAGTAATCTACAGAAAAATCTGCTAGAATTAATAATATTCAATTAACAATGATTAATAATTATTTGCTAAATTAGCAAAGCCACAGAAGGTCAATATACAAAAGCCAAAAACCCTAATATCCAGAAACATAACACACGTAGGATTTAAGATAAGGAAAGCTTTGTAAAGTGTCTGCACCAAGAACTACAAAGCATTGCTAAGAAAAATTAAGGAAGCCCTAAGTCAAACAGAGAGATATATCATGTTCATTGATTGGAAGATTCCTTAATATTGGTTTTTGGTGTTTTTTTTCTTTTGTTGTTGTTTGTTTGTTTTTTTGTTTTTATTTATTTATTTTTTTTGAGGCAGGGTTGTGCTGTGTTGTCCAGGCTGGAGTGCAGTGGTGCAATCATAGTTCACTGCAGCCTCAGACTCTTGGTTCAAGCGATCTTCCTGCCTCAGCCTCCCAAGTAGCTGGAATTACAGGCACACATCACCACACCCAGCTAATTTTTGTATTTTTTGTAGAGACAGGGTTTCACCATGTTGGCCCAGGCTGAGCTCAGGCAATCCTCCCACCTCGGCCTCTCAGACAGTGCTGGGATTACAGGCATAAGCCACCATGCCTGGCCTGGAACTCTCATACATAGCTGGTGAGGGTGTAAAATAGGACAACCACTTTAGAAAACGGTTTGGTAAATTAAATATATACCTATTCTGATGACTTAGCAAATACCTAGGGTTCTAGGACCCAGGACCCCTATGTATTTACTCAAGGAAAATGAAAATATGTCCACACAAAGACTTGTGTGTGGTTAAACTGATAACAACTTCATTCATAATAGCCTCAAGCTGGAAACCACCCCAGTTACCCAACAGGAGGAAGGATAAACAAATTGTGGTAATAAAAATAAACAGGAAAGAGACATGCAACAACGTGGAAGAATCCGAAAACATGCAGAGTGAAAGAAACCAGACACGAAAAGGTACACACTGTGTGATTCCAGGTATGTGAAGCCCCCGGACAGACAAAGCTACCCAACGTGAAAGAAATCAGAACAGTGATTGTCCCAACAGCTTCTGGTGGGAAGGATGGAAACTGAGCAGGAGGGGCATGAGGAAACTCTTGAGAGCACTGAAGATGTTCTGTATCTTGATGGATTATGGGTTACGTTCGTCAAAAACGGTTGAACTATCTACCGTGCACTTAAGATCTGTGCATTTCACGGTGTACAAATTATATCTCAATTTAGAAAAAAGAAATGAGAATGGATCTGAAGTGATCCCTCCAATACAATACTGTGCTTTCACACCTCTGAAATCTTTTATTTGATTT
Organism: Homo sapiens; assembly: GCF_000001405.40. NCBI lineage: Eukaryota > Metazoa > Chordata > Mammalia > Primates > Hominidae > Homo > Homo sapiens. Next base: position 2,991,767 of record NC_000007.14, read on the forward strand.
TTAATTTTCATTTTTTATGTCCATAGGTTTTTGGGGGTACAGGTGGTATTGGGTTACATGAGTAAGTTCTTCAGTGGTGATTTGTGAGATTTTGGTGAACCCATCACCCAAGCAGTATACACTGAACCCAATATGTAATCCTTTATCCCTCTCCCCATCCCACCCTTTCCCCACTAAGTTCCCCAAATCCACTGTGTCATTCTTATGCCTTTGCATCCTCTTAGCTTAACTCCCACTTATGAGCCAGAACATACGATGTTTGGTTTTCCATTCCTGAGTTACTTCACTTAGAATAATAGTCTCCAATCTCATCCAGGGCCCTGCAAATGCCACTAATTCATGCCTTTTTATGACTAAGTAGTATTCCATCGTATAGATATACCACAGTTTCTTTATCCACTTGTTGACTGATGGGCATTTGGGCTGGTTCCATATTTTTGCAATTTTGAATTGTGCTGCTATACACAAGCGTACACCCTTGAAATCTGAAATGATAGCTCAGTGGGCCTGGGGAGAGGGGTAGAATTCCAGCAGATACTCCAGGAATAAACCAGATCCCAATGGGCCCTTGGTGTTGTTTGCACCTGTGATCCCCATGCACACAGGTGATGGGGGATGGCTAAGTTAGACGACATCTGTGTTTCCTAGAGCTGCAGTAAAAAATTATCACAAATTTAGCAGCTTAAAACAATGGAAATGTATTCTCTCCCAGTTCTGGAGGCCAGAAGTCCAAAATCAGGGTGTCGGCCAGAGGGGCTCCTTCTGGAAGCTCAGAGGGAGAGTTTTTTCCAAGCCTCTTTCCCAGATTCTAGTGATTTCTGATGATCTCTGGCATTTCTTGACTTGTAGATACCTCACTCCAATCTCTGCCTCCGTCATCACACGGCTTTCCCTGTGCATCTCTGCACAGCCTCTCTTCTTTTTATTTCTTTTTAAAAAATATTTATTTATTCAGAGACAGGGTCTCACTCTGTTGTCCAGCTGGAGTGCAATGGCACAAACACGGGTCACTGCAGCCTTGACCTCCCAGGCTCAAGTGATCCTCTCACCTCAGCCTCCTAAGAAGCTGAGACTACAGGTGCATGCCACCATGCCCAGCTAATTAAAAACTTTTGTGTGGGGGGTAGAGATGGGGTCTTGCTGTGTTTCTCAGGCTGATCTTGAACTCCTGGGCTCAAGTGACCCTCCCATGTTGGCCTCCCAAAGTGTTTTGATTACAGGTGTCAGCCACCAGGCCTGGCCAGTCTGTCTGTCTCTCTCCTCTCGTTCTCCTTTTTGTAAGGAGGCCAGTCATTAGATTCAGCCCCCACCTCCTTATCCAGTATAATCTGTTTTTAACTTAACTAACCCCATGTGCAGAGACCCCATTTCCAAGTTAGGCCACACTCTGAGGTTCCAGGTGGGCAGGAAATCTGGGAGACATTATTTCCTCCACTGCAGTCCATGCTCTGGCCAAAGTACAGGCAAGTTTCAATGAAGGTGAAAATACAGCACAGGGCCTGGGTCTTCATAGGGGCCTTCAACAACCCATGTGTGGGTTTGGGACATGGAAGCCCAGGCCATGGAAAGCAGATCATGAATTAGAATTTGAAAGAGCACGATGTGTGGGTGTGCGGGGCCATGATCGCACCAGAGGAGGGATGGAGAAGGCATTTCTGGGGGTTCTTGGGAAGAAAGTGCATTTCTAGTGACCCCACCCTGGCATCTGATCCACCCAGAGGCATTGCTAAAATTTGAAGGCCCCGAAAAGCTTTGAGAACACACCCGTGACACGTGCGAAGTCTACGGGAAAGAGAGGCGGCGGACTCGCCAGGGGAAAGCTCATATCCAGGGACGCAGCAGAAGGTGGGCCCCGTGATCCGGGTCGGAGCTGCTTTTAATTGCCTTTGCTTTTCCTGCACAAAGGAGTCTGGGCCATTTGGCTTTCTCTGCAGAAGAATTAACCTTTAGCAGGATGGATAATTGATCCTCAGCAGGGGAAACGTCCCGTGGGTTTTGACGCAGAACCGGCTCTCGGTAAACCTGTCCCTGCCACACCCTGCAAAGCTCCCGCCCCTGCCTCCTCTTGTCTGGAGCTGTCTCCCTTCTAGCTCGCCAAATGCTCAGGGTTCCTATATTTTAAAAAATCTTGTCCCATCAAACTCTGCTTTCAGGAATGGCACGAAGAGCCGACACGCACGGTGAGCAGCTGCCTTCTGCAGATGGAACGCCTCACCTGGGACGCCTCACCTGGGACGCCTCACCTGGGACGCAGGCGTTCCTGTTCCTAGTCACGCCCTGAGCCCTGGATTCCTGCCCAAGCTCACATAGCAGGGACTGGCCCAGCCCCATTCACTCATGCATGTCTGACCCCAAGGCAGGGCTGGTGGCCTCTAAATCCTCCCGCTAGGGTTTCAGCGCCTGGCTGCGTTGAAGGTATCACCTTTTCTACGAACACCTGTTCTGAACAGTGAAAATAGCTATTCCTAACAGAGGAGTTGCAAGCTCCAGGGATCTGTGTGTGCGTTGGGGAGAGTGGAGTACATCATTTCTGGAAAACGGGGCCTCAAAACGTAGCGCCGTTTACAGATGAGAAAAGATGCATTTAGAGGCTTGAACTGGAATGGGCTGTACACAGGACTGCCTTGCCAGACAGCGGCTCAGAAGTCTTCAAAAACGTTTGAAGATGCCCCGTTAAAAGCGTTTGGTTATCTGTTGGTAACAGTGCTGGTCTGCTCAGCCTGCCTTAACAGAATACCACAGACTGGGTGGCCTAAGCAAGAGAAATTCACTTTCTCACAGTGCTGGACACTGGAAGTCTGAGATCAAGGTGCCAGCAGGGTTGGTTTCTGGTGAGGCTCTTCTACCTTCCTTGCAGGTGGCCACCTCCTGGCTGTGTCCTCAAATGGCCTTTACTTCCATGCACGTGAACCTGGTGTCTCTTCCTCTTCTTACAAGGACACCAGTGCTGTGGGATCAGGTCCCCACCCTCATGGTCTTATTTAAAATTGCCTCCTTAAGATTCCTCAAATAAATAAAAATTGAGCTACCATTTGACCCAGCAATCCCACTACTTGGTGTCTACACAAAGGAAAACGAATCATTGTACTAAAAAGATACCCACGCCCTTATGTTCATGGCAGCGCTAGTCACAAAGCGAAGATGGAATCAATCTAGGTGCCCATCAACGGTGGATTGGATAAAGAAAATGTGGCATATATACACCATGGAATACCACACAGCCATAAAAAGGAACAAAATCGTGTCCTTTGCAGCAACATGGATACAGCTGGAGGCCATAATCCTAAGTGAATTAACAGATGAACAGAAAACCAAATACTGCATGTTCTCACTTAAAAGTGGGAGCTGAATGAGGAGAACACATGGACATAAAGATGGGAACAACACACACTGAGGTCTGCAAGATCAGGGAGTGAAGGAAGTGGGCAAGGGTTGAAAAACTACTGATTGATATGGTTTGCCTCTGTGTCCCCACCCAAATCTCACCTTGAATTGTAATAATCCCCTTGTGTCAAGGGCGGGACCAGGTGGTGGTAATTGAATTACAGGGCTAGTTTCCACCATGCTGTTCTCCTGACAGTGAGTGAGTTCTCACGAGATCTGATGGTTTATAAGCATCTGGCATTTCCCCTGCTTGCACTCATTCTCTCTCCTGCCGCCATGTGAAGAGGTGCCTTCTGCCATGACTGTAAGTTTCCTGAGGCCTCTCCAGCCATGTAGATCTGTGAGTCAATTAAACGTCCTTTCTTTATAAATTACCCAGTCTTGGGTATTTCTGCTTAGCAGCATGAGAACAGACTAATACAACCACCTATTTGATGTTCACTATTTGGGTGATGGGTTCAGTAGAATTCCAAACCTGAGCATTATGCAATGTCCCTATGTCACACACAAACCTGCACATGTACCCCCGGAATCTAAAATTTCCAAAAAGAGAAACAATAACTAAAAAGAAAAACCAATCACTCCCTGCTTAAAGGCCCCATCTCCAAATACAATCACATTGGGAGTTTGGGCTTCAACATGTGAATTTGGGGGACACCATTCGGTCCATCACAGTAACCAAGCCTGCTATCCCTCCCCGTCCTGATGGGATGTGTGAACGAAAGTGGACTTTTTTAAGAAAGGAGGCTTGACTTGACAACACCCAAACGAACAGTCCTTTAAGACAGTGTTTCCGGCAATTTCCCAATTGCTCCACATGTTTTCTGGAATTTCTTCCTCTGAACTGCTGCAATTCTAAAGCTTGAGAAACAGTTGCAGAGGGTGAGAATCTGCATTCTTCCCTGTGCAGTGACACCATCGCTGGGATAGGCACAGAGACCAAACAGCGGCCACATCGAATGACCTCACATTTCCCAGCCTCTGTGCACACGCCCATGCTGTTCCATGCACCGGGAACACCCTTCCCATCATGTCCATGTACAAGGCACACCCCTTAGGGCTCAGGGCCACTGTTGCCTGAACTCCATGGCAGTTCCATGCCTGCTTCCTCCACCGCTCCCAAGCTGCAACTTTCAGACTCACACTTGTCACATGGGATTGTGCTTTTTGGCCTCCTTCACTTGGCAATTTGCCCTGGAAACCAGCAGACCTGTCTTGTCACCAGGAGGGCCTCAGTCATCAAGGCACTCTGCAGATGTCTGTCTAATCTTGTGGAGGTGACGTCCTAGCCAGCTCCCCCCAACCCCACCCACACCAAAAGCTGCCACTGCCTGGTTTTGTCACAAAGAAAAACAGGGAATAAAGTGACACCAGCAGACCTACTGCCACTATTCCCAGCTCTGTGCCTGAGGCCTTTCTTTCAACTGTTTTTTTTTTGAGGCAGAGTCTTGCTCTGTTGCCCCGTCTGGAGTGCAGTGGCACAATCTCAGCTCACTGCAACCTCTACCTCCTGGGTTCAAGCAATTCTCTTGCCTCAGCCTCCCAAGTAGCTGAGATTACAGGCGTGCACTACCATGCCCGGCTAATTTTTATATTTTTAGTAGCAACAGGGTTTCCCTGTATTGGCCAGGCTGGTCTTGAACTCCTGACCTCAAGTGATCTGCCCACCTCAGCCTCCCAAGCGCTGGGATTACAGGCATGAGCCACCGCACCTGTCCTTCCGGGACTATCTTAGACCACCAAGCCCAGAGTGTAACAATTAAGGGTGTTTGGGTTGAATAACCCCCCAGGTACCTCAGTCTCAGGAGGAATCCCTGGGCGTGAGTTCTGCCCATCTGCCCAGCCTCCCCATGGGATGGAGTCCCTGTCATTCACCGTAGTGACAGGCTCCATAACATTCCCTTTATCAGCTGCCCCTCGACGCTGTACCACTTCCCCACCCCAAGATCCTCATCCCCGGCAACTCCCAGATGAACTAGTTGCATTCAAACCCTCATCTCAGAGACTGCTTTGCGGGGGCACGCAAATGATGATGCAGTCCGGGATGGCAGATGTTGCTCTGGACAGGTGGCATGGAGCTCAGATCCCAGCTCCGATAAAGGCTCGTTGGAGCTGGCCAGATTCAAAGCAAACAACAAGCAAAAATGCCTGCCCTCCCCTACCCACCCCAACAAATCTCAGATGAGAACCTCAGATGGTGCAGATGGACAGGGCACCATTTTTCAGGAGAGGGAAAGCCGGGGTCATCCTGAAACTCCCTTCAGCTCAGCCCACAGGGGAGGCAGGGCGAGGATGGAGGCTGATGGTTGTGGGTGAGTGGCCCTAGGCATGGCTCAGTTCTGAGTCTTCTTGTGGGCCTGACTTAGCTGAGAGGCAGTCCTGAGATGCTCAGGCCCACAGCAGGGACAGCAGCGGCTGCTACCACCTCCGTGCTGAGAAAAAAACAACAAGCTGCCCAGAACTGAGACACCCCACCCAGCAGCAACCAGGGGCTCCGGGGACAGGATGGTGGTCTGGGCCCTGGGCTCTCAGCTCACATTCTACAGTGAAAAGATGGACGTCTTTTTATTTTTATGCAGAATCAAGCTGACAGGGTCTAATTCTTTCCCCCAAGGAAAGATTAAGTGGGGAGGTTGAACTTGGGATGGTAGAACGAGCTCTGTGCTGGAAAATCTACGTTTAGATCCCATTTCTCTTAAAGTCTATCTGTGGCAATTTTAAAACCTGACCCCCAAATTCTCTGCCACTCTTCCCATTGTTAGATGGGGCTTGTGTCCCCACCCCTTGAACCCGAGCTCTGTAACTGCTTGACCTACAGAAAAAGCTGGAAGTGATACTGTACCAGTGTCTGGACTGAGGCTCTAAGAAACTGCAGCTTCCTGGTCGGGCGTGGTGGCTCACATCTATAATCCCAGCACTTTGGGAGGCCAAGGTGGGCGGATCACCTGAGGTCAAGAGTTCGAGACAAGCCTGGCCAACATGGTGAAACCCCATCTCTACTAAAAATACAAAAATTAGCAGGGTGTGGTGGCTCATGCCTGTAATCCCAGCTACTCTGGAGGCTGAGGCAGGAGAATTACTTGAACCCAGGAGGCGGAGGTTGCAGTGAGCCAAGATCACACCACCACACTCCAGTCTGGGTGACAGAGTGAGACTCTGTCTCAAAAAAAAAAAAAAAAAAAAAGAAAAAGAAATATATACATAGCTTTCATTGTCTGTGTCCTGGGACACTCACTCTTAAAGCCCAGACATGCCTGGGCATGGTGGCTCGTGCCTGTAATCCCAGCACTTTGGGAGGCCGAGGTGGGAGGATCACTTGAACTCAGGAGTTGCCTGGGCAACATAGCAAGACCCAATCTGTAAAAACAAAACAAAACAAAACAAAATTATCTGGGTATGGTGATACACACCTGTAGTCCCAGCTACTTAGGAGGCTGAGGCAGGGGATCACTTGAGCCTGGGAGGTTGAGGCTGCAGTGAGCCGTGATTGCACCACTGCACTCCAGCCTGGGCAACAGAGCAAGACCCTGTCTCTTAAAAAAAAAGAAGCCCAGACAGCAAGCAGCCCATGCAGAGTCCACGTGGACAAGGATCAAGGTTCCCAGCCCTCCCTGGCTGAGATCCCAGCCAATAGCCGGCAGCACTTTGCAGCCACATGAGAGCACTGTCTGGGAAGTGGATCCTGCGGCCCCAGCTGAGCTGCCCGAGTTGACCCCGCGTGGAGCAGAGACAAGCTTTCTCTCCCAGGCTCTGCCCGAACTACAGAATCCATGAGCTCAAGAAATTGTTGTTGTTTGAAGTCATTAAGTTTTGGGGTGGCTTTTACACAACACACAACCAGAATAACGTCTCTGTGGCCTGGGGCAAATGCTTAACCTCTCCCGACCTCGGTTTCCTCGTCTGTAAAGGGAATAGGATTCAAAGCCTTCCAAAGTGCATTTCAGGATGTGAGGGTAATCTGGCTGCAACAGCTGTCACCCCCATTGATCACCAGAGTTGATTTGGCTGATCTGGTTGGCTAGGCGGGTGTCCCCTTCCTCCCTCACCGCTCCACATGTGTCCCTCCTGAGGCTGCATACTTGGTCAAAGAGGATGACCATCCCCGAGAGAGGAAGACCGGTCTTCCATCAAGGGTACAGAAGTAGCCGCGCTCCCCTGCTAGAACCTCCAAACAAACTCTCAAGGTGCAAAGTGCATTTCAGCTCAAATAGTCAATGCACTCTTTCAACAATAGTGAATCAGTTTCCTGGTTTTATCATAACACGTAACGCCCTTTCTCCAGTTTATCAAAAAATTCCCTAAAAGGACCAGAATGCTTTGTCAGTCCTTCTTAAACATCAATGTCTACATGACTCAGCTGGAGATCCTGTTCAATGCAGGAGGTCACAGATGGGGCCTAGAAATCTGCATTTTAATGTGATTTTTCTTTTTTCTTTGACTCAGGACAGAGTCTCACTTTGTTGCCCAGGCTGGAGTGCTGTAGTGGTGCCATCATAGCTCACTGCAGCCTCAGCCTCCCTGGGTTCAAGTGACCCTCCCACCTCAGCCACCCAAGTAGCTGGGACTACAGGTGCACACCTACCATACCTAGCTAATTCAAAAAAAATTATTTGTAGAAACGAGGTCTCACTATGCTACTGAGGCTGTTCTTGAATTCCTGGGCTCAAGCAGTCTTCTTGCCTCAGCCTCCCAAAGTTCTGCGATTACAGGTGTGTGCCACCAGCCCAGATTTTTTGCTTTTTTTTTTTTTTAACAAGATGGGATCTCACTTGCTTGTCCAGGCTGGAGTGCAGTGGTGCAATCATATCTCACCACAGCCTTGAACACCTGAGCTTGTGATCTTCCTGTCTCAGCCTCCTAAGTAGCTAGGACTACAGGTGTGCTCCACCACAACCAGCTAAGTTTTTTTGTATGAAGAAATGAGGTCTCACTGTTGCCCAGGCTGGTCCTGAACTGGCCTCAAGCAATCCTTCTGCTTGGCCTCTCAAAGCGCTGGGATCCCAGACATGAGCCACTGCACCCAGCCACTGATTGCTTTTTTCTTTTTTCCTGAGACAGAGTCTCACACTGTCACCCAGGCTGGAGTGCAGTGGTATGATCTCAGCTCACTGCAACCTCTGCCTCCAGGGTTCGAGCAATTCTCCTGCCTCAGCCTCCTGAGTAGCACTGATAGCATTTTGAGTAGCAAGGGCCCCTTTGTTTGTCTGTTACCAGCAACCACCCTTACCCACAGGATTAAACATGGAAAGGCAGTATCTTTTTTTTTTTTTTTTAAGACAGGGTCTCACTCTGTCACCCAGGCTGGAGTGCAGTGGTGTGATCATGGCTCACTGCAGCCTCAACCTCCTGGGTTCAAGCGATCCTCCCGCCTCGGCCTCCTGAGTAGCTGGGACTACAGTCATGTACCACCAGGCCTAGCTAATTTTTTGTATTTTTAGTCGAGATGGGATTTCACCATGTTGCCCAGGCTGATCTCGAACTCCTGGGCTTGCTCAAGTGATCTGCCCGCCTTGGCCTCCCAAGGTGCTGGGACTACAAGTGTGAGCCACTGCGCCTGGCCGGCAGTATCTCATTTAATCCTAGAACAACTCCCAAGGAAGGCTCTAGAATCACGTGCACTTTACAGATTGGAGACACAGCATCTGGAGAGGTCTGGGGATGTGCCCACGGCCACAGCTGGTGAGTGGTAATGGCCAGGACTTGCACTGAAGTCAGCTCCTCCATGCTCAATCCCCTGCCGCCCTCTTCTGAGCACCAGGTGATGTGAGATCAACCATGTTTTTAAAAATCTCACCCCTTCATGCCTGCAGCAAGGCAGCTGGGGATGAAGATCTATCACAGAAGGACAGAAATGGGGACTCAGTTACACTCAGGAATAACAAAACAGAGTTAATAAAGATAGAGGTGACTTTTTCAGGTTCCCCAGCTCCAGCCGTGATTAATTTACAGCTTTTTACATGCTAATGTTTTCCTGCCTTCTGCTCATAATAAATAACCAATATGCTTTAATACCTAGTTATTATTCATCCCTTTCAGATACTTGGATTTTGATTCTTTGCTGCAGCTCAATCACATTGAATTTCTTTAACCAGGACAGCTCCATTAAGAGTCCCTTGCAAGGACACCCTGGCGGGGCGGTGACAGTAACAGGTAACGGGTGACGAGAGAGTGAGGAGCTGCCACACGAAATATTGGCAGCCATGGGGAAAGAAAGGGGAGGCCGTAATAAAAAACACCACCAAACTACATTTAAGTAACGCGGAGGTGATAACACAGACCAATAAAACCAGGGAACGCACAGTGAAGGTTGACACGCCATCCTTAACGCGCCTCCCCGGCTTGTTTCTGCAATAGAAACTCACATCCATTTAATCACCTTTCTGACATGGAGCGTTCCCTTATATTGGGATAAGAATGGCTCGTCATCCCTCCCACCCCCTCCACCTGCCGGGCTGTGTATTTCAGAAAGTTCCTTGGAACTTTCTCCATCTTCTCTCCCTCCCAGTGGTTTTCAAGCAGAGAAGGCCAGCTCATCAAGAGACATGCATGCGAGTTAATAGAATTGCTTCCTTCTAACGAAGCTGTTCCTTCTCCTGCAATCCAAGAGCTCTCTGGCAATCCTGTTCCCCATTTGACACACGGCGACTCACGTTCCTCCAGGCCCACTGAGGACTGAACGTGGCAATCCTCATCCTGCTCTGCGGCTGCCCCAAGAACAGCAGCCTCACTCCTGGGGCTTCTGGGCAGCCACTTTCCTTGGCCACCTGGACCCTCGTAGGTCAGTCCTCTGCCTCCCATGCTGGGCCACTCCTTCCACTGTAGGAACCACCCAAGGTGTTTCCAATACAGGAAGCCCTTTCTCAGGGACAGCACTTTGTATCTTTCTTGAACTCATCTGGGACTACTTCCCGTATAATGTGGTGTTTTTTTGTTTTTAAGAGATGGGGTCTTGCTATGTTGCCCAGGCTGAAGTACACTGGCCATTCACAGGCGTGATCACAGCACACTACAGTCTGAAACTCCTAGGCTCAAGCAATCCACCTGCCTCAGCCTCCTGAATAGCTGGAACAATGGGTGTGTGCCACTGTGCCCAGCTCAGAATAATGTTTTTAAATACATAGAATAACATATAGGCCGCGTACAGTGGCTCATGCCTGTAATCCCAGCACTTTGGGAGGCCGAGGCGGGTGGATCACTTGAGGTCAAGAGTTCGAGACCAGCCGGGCCAACATGGTGAAACCCTGTCTACTAAAAATACAAAAATTAGCCGGGCGTGGTGGTGCGGGCCTGTAGTACCAGCTACTCAGGAGACTGACGGAGGAGAATCGCTTGAACCCAGGAGGTGGAGGTTGCAGTGAGCTGAGATCGTGACATTGCACTCCAGACAGTAAACAAATGAAACTGCATCTCAAAAACAAACAAACAAACAAAAAGCTTCTGCGGAGGCCTCAGGAGACTTATAATCATGGTGGAAGGGCAAAGGGGAAGCCAGCACATTTATGTCAGGAGCGGGAGGAAGAGAGAGAGAAGGGAAAGGTGCCACATCCTTTTAAACAACCAGATCTGGTGAGAGCTCACTCACTGTCAGGAAAACAGCAAGGGGGATGTCCATCCCTCCCCATGATCCAGTCGCCTCCCACCAGGACCCTCCTCCAACACTCAGTCACAACTGGACATGAGATTTGGGTGGGGACACAGAGTCAAACCGTATCACTCGGCCTCCCAAAATGCGAGGATTTACAGATGTGAGCCACCACACCTGGCAAATTGGGTCATTCTTATCACACCCACCTAAAACAGAGTTGGGAGGGGTGGAGGTAAAAAGCACCCGGGACACATAACATGGCTCCAGAAATGAAATTCTCTGCAAGCCCGGGCTGCGGACACTGCCAGCCGTAACCTGAAACCAGTTTTCTCTAACAGCTACTGAAACAATCTGCTATGACTGTAAGGTTAGTTTTACCCACCGCTGTCACTCACCAATCGGGGCTTGCCAGCTCCCCAAAACTTCACTGGTGACGGTCAACTTAAAGAACAATACGTAACACTTCTGTTTTAAAAATAAAACCTCAAACCTTTGTTCTTTGGACATAACGAAGACCACCCAGGTCTGTGTGTACGTCAAAAATTGTAATTCTTTGTTTTTTTTGAGGGGTCTTGTTCTGTTGCCCAGGCTCTAGTGCAGTGGCCCCATCATAGCTCACTGCAGCCTTGACCTCCCAGGCTCAAGAGAGCCTCCCACCTCAGCCTCCTGAGTAACTAGGACGACAGGCGTGTGCCACCACTCGCGGCTAATTTAATTTTTTTTTTTTTTTTTTGTAGAGATAGGGTTTCACAATGTTGCCCAGGCTGGTCTCAAATTCCTGGGCCCAAGCAATCCTCCCCCCTCGGCCTCACAAAGTGCTGGGATTACAGGTGTGAGCCACCGTGCCCAGCCCAAATTGCTGTTCTTACTTCTCAAGTAAAACTTCTGAATTGCAGAGATTCGTCTCTACAGTTTATTTGATGTCAACAACTCCTATATATCCAGTGCCTGGCCCAGAGCTCAATAACAACCACCAACTGTGTGGAAGAGTCCGATCTGATTCTAACTCTACAGTAAAGGACGCCCCACAGTCATTGAGAGGCCACGAACACTGCAGCAGATGGCACAAGGTGGTCTGCTAGTCTCCTGCCTAACTCATCATCACAGCCTGGCCTATTAAGAACAATTCCTTGCCAGAAGGGCCTCTCTCTAGCCTTACCCCATTGCAGCATCAGCTTACTGGTGGGTTTTGGCAAGAACCCGAAGTTAAGACGGGCACGGGAATGATGCCTCCACGTCCGATCAGCGCCAGAAGGTGCTGCTGCGACCTCTTCTTCCCCGCTCCCCCCAGTCATTTCTTCCCTGCCTGGACTCACTCTGTGGGAAGTGATGGTATCTGAGGACTGCAATATGCTCCACGCCAGGCCCCCATCCATCACCAGCTTCCTGCTGGTTACCATGGAGACGGAATGTGGGGTCCCCACTGGGATGGCACATTCAGAGTCCCTGGGCGAGGGAGTATTTGTGGGCAAAGGGACACTGTGAGATCCAGGACCACCCAGAGTGGGGCCACGCAGAGGTCCACGCAGGCAAGAGAGGCCAAGGGGGAAGGAGGCAGCTGAGAAAAACTGCTGGATGTGCACAGAACTAAGGGCAGCATCCATGAACGTCTGGAAGACCAGACCAACCGCACGTGGAACTCTGGTGAGCTGAAGAAACCAGACCCTGACTATGGCACAGAGGTCTGGGCGAGCTAAGAGGTCAGCAGCTTCTTAAGTCCACAGCCCACCGTGAAGATACCACGTGCCTTCCCAGGTAGGGAAACACTGGATAATCTCAATAGTCACTTCTGCAGCTATCTAAGACACGCCTTCATATATATATATATGTGTGTGTGTGTGTATACACATATACACACACACACACATATATAGGAGCAAATGATAGCATCCATAGGAAAGCTTAGTTCACAGCCTGCCACATAGAAACTCAATATATATCTCTCTCATATATTATATATGTAACAATATATATTATTGATATATGATAGATATATAATTATATGTAATATCATATAAATATACATTATTGTATATAATATACAATTATATATTATATATTTATATGAAATATGTTATATATGATATATAATTAAGTATATATTTGCATTTTTAATTTATTATATTTTATTATATATTATACATAATGTATATCATATATATTTATAATTTTAAATTAAAATATATATTTCAATAAATATATATTTAAATATATAATATATAAAAATAAATATAAATTTAACATATATTTTACTATATATTTATAATTATAAATATTTATATATAATATATATAATTTATATATAATATAATATAAATTTATTTATAAATATAAATATATAATATATAATATAATAAAAATTTATATACAATATAAATTTATGAATATTTATAATTTATTGTAATTATTGTTTTTTATGAGACGGTCTCGCTGTGTTGCCCAGGCTGGTCTTAAACCCCGGGGCTCAAGCGATCCTTCTGCCTCAGCCTCCCAAATAGCTGGAGTTACAGGAAGGCACCCCTGCCCCTGGCTTAGCGCAGGCCTCTAATGAGCCTAGCAGCATGCTGGATTTCTTTTGACAACGGAGGCTGGCCATAGGAAGGTAAGGAGAGAGTCTAGGAAGAGACCAGGAACCTGGCTACACCTTAGTGGGGTCACCCTACACTCAGGATATGGGGCTCCGTTTTGTAAGCTCAAGGAATTTACTATTTCCTCCTTCATTCTGGTCACTGAATGCTTAAGAGGCTGACTCATAAACCATAATGCTTATTTATTTGGGACAGGGTCTTGCTCTGTCACCCAAGCTGGAGTGCAGTGGCACAATCACAGCTCACTGCAGCCTTGACCTGGGCTCCAGCAATCCTCCCACCTCAGCCTCCTGAGTAGCTACTACTACAGGAGCTTGCCACCATGCCTGGCTAATTAAAGAAAAATTATTATTATTATTTTTTTTTGTAGAGATAGGGTCTCGTTATGTTGCCTAGGCTGGCCTTGAACACCTGGGCTCAAATGATCCTCTTGCCTTGGTCTCCCAAAGCTCTGGGATTACAGGCGGGAGCCACTGCACCTGGCCCTAATTTACCTTTTTATTATAAGTGGCCATTTTCTTCTGGGGAAGCATGATAAAGTGGACTTTGGAGGGAGGCAGGCCTGGGTTTGAACCTGGCTCTACCACTTACTGGCTGAGTGAGGAGGGAAAGTGGCTTGAACTCTCCAAGCCTCGAATGCTTTACCTGTCGAATGGGAGTGATGACAATATATAAATTTCACAGGGTTGCTTTAAGGAGCAAATGAAATCATACAAAAGAAAGCTTAGTTCAGGGCCTGCCACATAGAAACTCAATAAATATTTCCTGTTAACTACACAGAACTGTGTCCCTAGGAGACAGTGTGTTTAGTCAAAAAAAAAAAAAAAAAACCAAAAAACAGTGAGGAGTGGGGTGTGTGATGTGACCAAATGGATTGGTAAGCCTGGTATCACAGGACTTCTCAGATCCTTTGCACATGAATCTTGCTAAGGAAGGTGCAGCACGCAGCATTTCCCAGCTTATCTGACCATGGCACCCTTGGTTCATGGAGCAACTCACGAACTAGTGTTCTGTGTGGCATACACTTTGAGAAACATCATCACAGGCCATGTGTCCATCAACCTGGAGAAGCTGATGAACTCACGTGCACTCTGGGGATGCATCTGTTCAGAGAATGTGGACTGGTCGGTAGCATCAGGCCATTCCCTCCCCAGGAAAGTGGAGGGGAAAAGCACATGCACAAGTCTTACTCTTGGACAAGAACACCGTCTTCAGTCATGGCACCAATATCCATGATGGATAAGCTCAGTGAATGAGATCACTTTGCATTCATTTACATTCTGGCTTGGAGTCTACTGATGAGGTGTGGGAAGGACCCAGTCACTGCGGAAACTCGGCTCAATTCATCTTTTAGGGCAAGTGATCCCTGCTGGGAATCGCTCATTCATTTCTCTTCAATTCCTATCAGGTGGAATTTCAGGGCATGGCATTTTCTGAGCCTGCTCCCAAATTCTGGAAAGAGGGAGGGAGTGGGTGGAAGTGCAGAGGGCTTGGGACAAGATAGTCAAACAAGCTCTACTGCAACCAGCAGGGTGGCCTGGCCCAGAGCACGATAAACCATCAAGATACTTCCCTGCCTATGAAATCAAAACCATAACAGCTCCTCCAACTGTGGGTGGTGAGTTAATATTTATACACTCTATAGATTTATTCTAGAAGAGGAAACTGAGGAACTCTCCTAGAATCCAGCAGAAAAAGGTGGTGGTGGGTGGAGCTGGACAGGATAAAAGAAAAGCTAAGTGGAAGACAGATTGAGAAGTTGCAACGGTTGTCTTACAGGTGATACAGATGGAGAAAATTAAAAGAATGGAGAGGAAGAGAAATTCAAAGAAACTCTAGAAAAAAAATCCCAGAATTGAAAAAATATAGGAATCCTAAGCTCAAATAATGCAATGGTTTCCATGCCAGTGAGTGCATGTGCACAGCTGTACGGTAAGTCCTCAGTCGGCATTGCCCACTCGTTCTTAGAAACTGCAATTTTAAGCAAAATGACCTGTAAGGCAATGAATTTTACCATAGGCTAATGATTACAAACAGGAATTAAGTTTCTACTCACAAAAACATCACCAAACAACAGCAACAACTACTACTACAACTTCTTCTTTTTCCTCCTCCTCTTCCTCCTCTTCCTCCTCCTCCTCCTCCTCCTCCTCTTCTTCTTCTTCTTTCTTCTTTCTTCTTCTGTCTCACTCTGTTACCCAGGCTGGAATGCGGTGCTGGAATCATGGCATACTCACTGTAGCTTTGACCTCCCAGGCTCAAGTGATCCTCCTGCCTTAGCCTCAAAAAGTGCTGGGATTTCAGGCATCAGCCATTGTACCTGGCCTACCAAACTTCTCAAGACCAAAACACTTCTAGTATTAAACATGGAAATAAATGTGCACTATACATAGAATAAATATGAGCTTAAGAAAGATTCATTAAGAACAGCAAATAATTATTTACCCATTTATTGCAGTTAAGGGTCTTGGGTGGTCAGAGCCCATCCCAGCAGCTCAGGACACAAGATGGGCACCAGCCCAGGATAGGACACCATCGCGGGGCATCTCTCACACCCCACACTCACTCAGACTGCAGCCATGTAGACGCACCAATGAACCTAATATGCACACCTTTGGGATACGAGAGGAAACCGCAATACCCAGAGAAAACCCACACAGACGTAGGGAGACTCACAGACTCCACACAGGCAGTGGTCCCAGCCAGGAATCAACTTTTTTTCCCATTGACATTATAATGAAACAACATTGAATGAAATGACATCAATACCCTCCTCTGAAAAACTCAGACTTCAGCTTGGAAGACAAACCAATACACCAGAGAATCAGAAAACAAGAAGACAATTGTACATCTTGATTTTAGCTTCTGACCAATTTTCTATGATAACCTTGAGAACAAGATGATAGAATTGGGACTGACTGGTTTTCCTCATAGGTGAACGCACAGGTGGTTGAACAGCATTACCTAAATAGTATTGATAATAGTGTTTTCTTTGTGCTGAATACATTTTAGACCTTGGAGAATGTCTAAGGGGTTAGACGAAAGAGCTCATTTCTGGACCCTGTTTTGTTCAACACCTTTGGCAATGATGTGTGTGATGACATACAGGAGAACCTTATCAGATTTGCAGGTCACATAAAGTTGGGAAAAATGGTTAATATGATAAATGCACTCATCAATATTCAAAAAGACTTGACAGGCAAGAAGATAGGGCCCAAACCACAAGATGGAATTCAACAGAAATTAACGTAAAGTGCTGAATTTTGCCTTAAAATTTTGCCCAAGGGCAGGATGGGGGAGAATTGGCTTGGCAGAGGCTTAGGAAGGAAGGAAGGAAGGAAGGAAGGAGGGAGGGAGGGAGGGAGGGAAGGAAGGAAGGAAGGAAAGAAGGACGGAAGGAAGGAAGGAAGGAAGGAAGGAAGGACTGACTTTATCAGATTTTAGCTGGTCACACAAAGTTGGGAAAGATGGTTAATATAACAAAGGAGGAAGGAAAACAGGAAGGAAAAAAAAAGAAAGAAAAAGGAAGGAAAGAAGGAAAGGGAAGAAAAACACTGTGGGCTTTTAATTAACTAAATGTTCAATGTGACCCGGTAATGTAATAAGTGACACTTAAACCATAAGGGCAGATTATACGAAGAAGGCAAACTGTAGATGCTGTAATTTCTCCCTTCTCTCCCACTCCCAACCCAGTGGATACAAAATTATGAGAAATCATTTTATCGCTAGCAGACAGGATCGAGCTGAAAGAGAAAACCCAAGTCCGGAGGCTGCAGGAAAGACCAACTCCAAGACCGCAGACACCAGATACAAAGGATAGCTCTAGGGTGACAAGTTAGAGCTCTGCCTGAGACAGGGACAGCTGCCCGGGTTGAACCTCCTGCAAACTCCCCTCACCCCATTCCATGGCCAGGCAGCACCCCAGGGAGATGTCTTCCCTCCTGCAGGCAGACTGCGGGCCTGGCGGTCAGAGAGGCACGACGGTGCTTGCGGGGAGGGTTGGGCTGTGCAGGTGAGACCCAGGAGGAACAGGAAGCCTCAGATTCTAGAAAAGGAGTCCCTACAACGCAGCAGGGATCATCTCGTGCTCACCAAAAGGCCGCAGGCACAGATACAGTCAGAGCTGACCATTTGGAGAGGATGCCCAATGTGAACGTGGTCCTCTCCCCAGGAAACACTAGACACTGGAGGAAAGCCAACGCCGTAAGAGAAACAACCAAGCACGGTCAAGGAAAGCGTTCACAGGGCCAGCAGAACAAGCCATTAGATTGTGCGTGCTTCATGTCCTCAGAAAGACGCAAGAGAGCATTGGCTCCACAAATAGAAATTAAAACAAAACATCACCGCTGGGTGCGGTGGCTCACGCCTGTAATCCCGTCACTTTGGGAGGCCGAGGCGGGCGGATCACGAGGTCAGGAGATCGAGATCATCCTGGCCAACATAGTGAAACCCCATCTCTACTAAAAATACAAAAAATTAGCTGGGCGTGGTGGCAGGTGCCTGTAGTCCCAGCTACTCGGGAGGCTGAGGCAGGAGAATGGCGTGAACCTGGGAGGCGGAGCTTGCAGTGATCTGAGATCGTGCCACTGCACTCCAGCCTGGGTGATAGAGTGAGACTCCGTCTCAAAAAAAAAAAACCCAGAAAACCCCCCCAAAACATCACCAAAACAACAACAACAACAAAACCAAACAGTAGATGGACTGAATTTACAGAATGGACACAGCTCATGACCAAATCACTGACTTAGCAGATGGAATTGAGGAATTCTCCCACAATCCAGAGAAAAAAGGCATTGGGGGTGGCCTGGATAGGATAAAAGAAAAGTTAAAGAGATGTGGGAGATAGATCCGGAAGTTCCCACGTTTGTCTTACAGGTGACCTAGCAGGAGAAAATGAAAAGAACAGAGAGGAAGATAAACTCAACAAAACTCTAGAAGAAAAGCTCCCAGAATTGAAAAAAGATATGAATCCTGAGCTCAGAAAGATGCACAAAGTGCCCGGAAGAACGAAGGGGAAAAAAAAAAAACCACAGCAATTCACGTGATGCTGAAGTCTCAGATGCCAGGCTTGCGAGAAAAAGTCTTGAAAGCTTGCAGGGATCTGTTACCTGCAAAGCTATAGAATCAGATGGATCAATTGGCAATACCTGGTCCAAGAAGACAGTATCTTTAACATTCTAAGGAAAAACAATTTTGAAACTAGAATTCTATATTTAGCTCGACAATGATTTCAAGTATAAACATAGAAAAAAAAATTTCACACATGCAAGGACTGAAAAAGTTTCCCATCCATAGACGTTCAATGAAACCATCACCAAAAGCAGTACATCGGCAAGGAGGAAGAAAGACTCCAAGGGGAAGAAATAGGATATAAGGAACAATGGTAGTTGCCTGTTATGGACTGCACAGCATCCCCCCGAAGGCATAAGTTGAAGTCCTAACCTTCCGTAGCTCAGAATGTGACTGTATTTGGAGATAAGTTCTTTAAAGAGGTAACTAAGCTGAAATGAGAGTTAAGTGGAGCCCTAATCCAATCTGCCTGCTGTCCTTATATGAGAATACGTTAGGTTCGTGCAAAAGTAATTCCAATCCTTGCCATTATATAATGGTAAGAACCACAATTACTTTTGCACCAACCTAATATAATTTGAGGAAAAAAGCATGAAAAGTAACTAGGAAGATTTTTATGCTATTTTTGAGACAGGGTCTTGCTCTGTTGCCCAGGCTGGAGTGCAGTGGGGCCAGCAGAGCTCACTGCAGCCTTGATCTCCCAGGCTCAAGTGATCCTCCTGCCTCAGCTCCTGAGTAGCTGAGACTACAAGTGTGCACCACCATGCCCAGCTAATTTTTTAATCTTTTGTAGAGACAGGGTCTTACTATGTTGCCCAGGCTGGTCTCAAACTCCTGGGCTTAAGAGATCCTCCTGCCTCAGCTTCCCAAAGTGCTGGGATTACAGATGTGAGCCACTGTGCCTGGCCACTTTTCATGCTATTAAGCATGAATGCTTGCATGCCTCACAATCTGGCTTCACAGCACATAAAGCAAAACTGATAGAAATACAGGAAGAAATCGGTAAAGACATTGCCACAGTAAAGAGACTTCCTGCAGTCCTCTGAGACGGGGACGGCAAGTACAGGGAGAGATGATTCAAATAGTTAGCATGTTTGCTCTAATAGAGCTACAGAACTCTGTACCCAACAAATAGAAGAAAAAAAACTCTTTTCAATTACACATGGAAATTCTACAAAAATTCAACACAGATTAGCCACAAAGGAAATTTCAAGTAATAATGAAACGCAGAAATAGCATATGGCATATTTGCTGACAAAGACATAATAAAATTTTTAAAATGACAAAAGAATACCCCCTCTAATCTATAAACCAGAATATTTACAATTATTTAAAAATGAACCATAACGAGAGCAGAAACTGCTAGAATCAATATGAGAGTGCAATAAGGTGGCTAAATCCAAAGTCAACTTGCATCTCTCCAGATATTAAAACATATTATAAGACTACAGGCCACAGTGGCACAGAAACAGATAATTAGATGAATGAACAAAAGTCTAGCAGACAGCCAGTGTAGGTGTAAAAATTTAGTGTATGATTAGGGTGACATTTCAAACCAAGGTAGAAATTCAAGTGCTGATGGATAATTGGCTAACGATTCAGAAAAAATTACGTTCCTACCTGCCCCTTTGCATAATTTGCAGATAGATGAATGATTTATAAATGAAATAATAAATTCCAAAGTATTAGAAGAAAAAAAACTGTTAAATACGCCGATAACCTTCATATAGGAAAGGCCTTCCTAAAGAAGGCATGGTATGCTAATGTCATTTAGGAAAAGATTGATGCCTTCGCGTACATTGTAATTTATAACTTCTATGTGGTGAGAAACAGCACGACGAAGTTAAAGTGTAAGTTATGGTCCAGGAAAACATCTGTAATATATGAAATAGAGATTAATGTGCAGACTGTCAATAAGAAAGAGACAAGGCACGTGGTGGGAAAGAAAAGGAGGAAACTGAGCAGGAATTCACAGAACTTTACACAACCAATGAACATGGCAGTGGTAATTAGGCTCACTAACAAAGAAAAAAATTGGAACATTGAGATTCCATTCTGCGCTTGAGCTGGAGCTGCAAAAGAGGAGTGAGAAAAGAGCTCACCTCCACCAGGCACTGTGGCTCATGCCTGTAATCCCAGCACTTTGGGAGGCCGAGGCAGAGGATCGCTTGAGCCCAGGAGCTCAAGACCAGCCTGGGCAACATAGTGGGACCCCCCCATCTCTACAAAAAAGAGTCAAAAAATGAGATGAGAAGATGGTTTGAGACTGGGAGGTTGAGGCTGCAATGAGCAGTGATATCCATTCACTTAATCCCACAACAACCCTGTGAAGTGATTTTTTTTATTTTTAATTTTGAGATGGGTCTCACTCCGATCACCCAGGCAGGCTGGAGTGCAATGGTGCAATCACTGCTCGTTGGTACTAGCAGTTTCTGCTCTCATTATGGTACAGTACCTGGGACAGGATCGGCGGCCAGTAAGCATAGGCAGTTGCTATCATTATCATCAGCATGTTTCCACCATCTGAGTGGCTAACATTTTCAAGCTGGATAATACACAGTTTTGGCAAGGGTGCAGGGAAAAAAAAGGACTCTCCCGCTGTCTTGAGGGGAATCTAAATGGGTCCGGCCAGTTTTTGAGGGCAATTTGGCAATATCCATGAACACATGCCACCACACATCTGACACTGGGTGCTGCTGTGTGATTGTGTCTCCCTGAAATCCTATGTTGAGATCCTAATCCCAAGGAGATGGTATTAGGAGATGAGGGAGAGTACCTCACCCTTGGGAGTCGGTTAGGTCAGGGGGTGCTGAATCCTTGGGGATGGGATTAGGACACTTATAAGAGAGTCCCCAGAGAAATATCCTAGAGAGACCCCTTGCCCGTTTCACCATGGGAGGACATGGCCAGAAGGCACCGTCTATGACGAAGCAGGCCCTCACCAGACACTAAATGCCTTGTTCTTGGACTTCTCATCCTCCAGAACCATAAGAAATAAATGTTTGTTGTTTGTAAGCTGCCCAGTCTATAATATTCTGTTATAGCAGCCTGAATGAACTAAGATGCCCAGGAATTCCTATTTGGCGCCCAACCTAGAGAAATATTCAACCCTCTGCACATCCATGGACACACAAAGGACAGCAAAAGGTTGGAAGCCATCTTAAATGCCCATTAGAGAAACCACACTTTTTTGTTTTTTTTGAGACGGAGTCTTGCTCTGTCACCTAGGCTGGAGTGCAGTTGTGCGATCTTGGCTCACCGCAACCTCCGCCTCCTGGGTTCCAGCGATTCTCCTGCCTCAGCCTCTTGAGTAGTTGGGACTACAGGTGCCCACCACCACACCTGGCTAATTTTTGTATTTTTAGTACAGATGGGGTTTCACCATGTTGGCCAGGCTGTTCTCGAACTCCTGACCTCAGGTGATGCACCCACCTCGGCCTCCCAAAGTGCTGGGATTACAGGTCTGAGCCTCTGTGCCCAGCCTCATATGGTAATTTTGTGTTTAACTTTTGCCAAAACTGCCCAGCTGTTTTCCATGGCAGCTGCACCATATTACATTCACACCATGATTTCTTCTTTAATCACAAAATGCAAGAGAAATTCTGGGAAGGGAGTGGGAATGCCAGAGGGAGCAGCTAGGAAAGGAAAGGTTTGTTGGGCATCAGTGAGTGTGCAGGAGGGTAGAATCTGCCCAGGCCAAGAGGAAGGCAGGCAGGCAGGCCAGTGTTCAGACAGGAGCAGAGCCAGGCAGGGCCTGGAGAGGGAGTGGGCTGGGCCTATGTCTGGGCAAAGAGCTGGGCTTGAGTGCATAAAGTCACGGGGAAGTCTATTTAACAGCAGTGGCCGGGAAGGGGTGTTGAAGTCTTTTATGCAGAGGCCGGCCTCAAGCACGGGCCCAGCCCACCATCTGGTCACCTGCAGAAGGACCCCTTTGCCCCTTCCCTTTTAGGTGCATCCTGGAATCTACTGGAAGACGCAGGAGGGTGAGAGGGCAGTGGCAGGCTGGATAATGAGGTCGCTGGTCCTCCTGACCCTGCGGTGCAAAGGCAGGGCGCCCGGAACTGTCATCATCTGCTTCCAACTGTCATAAAAGAGATGTGGCGAGTGGGGAGGACATCAAACTAAGTTTAACATGCAATTGAACCAGGGACTGAGCTGGCTCCTGCGTCTTCTCTCTCTGACTTTAAAATGAACTCCCGGAAGCTCCAGCGGTGGAGCTCAGCACCGTGCCCACAGAGGAGCTCAATAATAGGGGGGATGACAGCGGCGGTGGTGAGGGCACAGGACGGAACGGCAGGCCCTTCAGTGCTGCCCTGGAGACCCGCGGGCTGCACACACATCAGAAACATCTCTGTGGAGCCCCCGAGGCCTGCATTGCCGCAAGCGGGAAAATGGATTGTTGCACCAGCATTTCTGGTGGCCAGCGACAGGGTCTGCCTCCCATCCTGTGGACGGAAGCCCAGGAGTTCAAGGCTCCAGACTTGGAGGCAGGAGTCACTCCAGAGCAGGGAGGGACCAGCAAGCCTCTGTATGAGTTTCCTGGGATTCATGTGTTAAGAATAAACTGCCATAGACAGGGCGGCTTCAACAACAGACATTTAGCATCTCAGGGTCCTGGAGGCTGCTGTCCGAGATCAAGGTGACAGCAGGGTAGGCGTCTCCTGAGGCCTCTCTCCCGGGCCTGTAGACGGCATCTTCTCCCTATGACCTCACAAGGTTGTCGTTCTGTGAGCATCTCTCTCTGATCTCTCTCTCTCTTTTTTTTTTTTCTTGAGATGGAGTCTCACTTTGTTGCCCAGTCTAGAGTGCAATGGCGTGATCTTGGCTCACTGCGGCCTCTGCCTCCCTGGTTCCAGTGATTCTCCTGCTTCAGCCTCCTGAGTAGCTGGGACTATAGGCATGCACCACCCTGCCTGGCTAATTTTTGTATTTTTAGTAGAGACAGGGTTTCACTATATTGGCCAGGCTGGTTTTGAACTCCTGACCTCAGGTGATCTGCCCGCCTCCGCCTCTCAAAGTGCTGAGATAATAGGCGTGAGCCACCAGGCCAGACCTCATTTCCTCTTCTTATAAGGACACCAGTCACATGGGATTAGGGCTCACCCCCATGACCTCATTTAACTTAATCACCTCTTTAAAGACCCCATCTCCAAATACAGTCACATTGTGAGGTCCTGGAGGTTAGGCCTGCAACATATGGATGTGGGGGGACACAACAGCCCATGATCCCCCAGCAACATATGGATCTGGGGGGAGACAGCAGCCCATGATCCCCCACGGGGGCTTTGGCACTGGAGTGGCCCCAGGCCTGCCTTCTCCTCACCTGGCTGCATCAGGTAACTCTGGCTGGCAACACTTCCAGACTCTCATTCCAGAACCACCCCAGGGAAATAACAGAATGTGTTGAGACTCTTACTGTTGATAGCAGCCGGCTGGGTATGGTGGCCCACACCTGTGAACTTTGGGAGGCTGAGGAAGGAGGATCGCTTAGGCCAGGAGTTCGAGACCAGCTTGGGCAACAAAGTGAGACCTCATCTCTACCAAATATTTTAAAATTAGCCGGGGATGGTGGCACACATCTGTAGTCCCAGCTACTCAGGAGGCTGATGTGGGAGGATCGCTTGAACCCAGGAGTTCAAGGCTGCAGTAGGCTGTGATCAAGCCACTGCACTCTAGCCTGGGTGACAGAGCAAGACCCTGTCTCTAATAAAAGAAAAGATAGCAGTATTAGCCACTTGACCCTTCCCGTGGGGCTGTGTCCAGGAATCGCAAACTCTCAGAGGCATTTGAACAAGAGCAATTCCATCTTGAATAGGAGCTGGGTAAAATAAGGCTGAAAACTACTGGGCTGCATTCCCAGATGGTCAGGCATTCTAAGTCACAGGATGAGATGGGAGGTTGGCATAAAGACCTTGCTGATAAAACAGGTTGCAGTAAAGAAGCCGGCTAAAACCCACCAAAACCAACATGGCGACGAGAGTGACCTGTGGTCATCCTCATTGCTATACTCCCACCAGTGCCATGACACTTTACAAATGCTACGGCAACGTCAAGAAGTATGGTCTAAAAAGGGGAGGCATGAATAATCCACCCCTTGTTTAGCATATCATCAAGAAATAATCATAAAAATGGGCAACCAGCAGCCCTCAGGGCTGCTTTGTCTATGGACTAGCCATTCTTTTATTCCTCTACCTTTTTTTTTTTTTTGAGATGGAGTTTCACTCTTATTGCCCAGGCTGGAGTGCAATGGTGTGATCTCAGCTCACTGCAACCTCTGCCTCCTGGATTCAAGCGATTCTCCAACTTCAGCTTCCTGAGTATTACAGGAGCCCACCATCACACCCAGCTAATTTTTTGTATTTCTAGTAGAGAAAGGGTTTCACCATGTTGTCCAGGCTGGTCTCGAACTCCTGACCTCAAGCAATCCACCCACCTTGGCCTCCCAAAGTGCTGGGATTACAGGTGTGAGCCACTGCACCCGTCTGGTCTATTCCTCTATTTTCTTAATAAACTTGCTTTAACTTTATTCTATGGACTCACCCTGAATTCCTTCTTGCATGAGATTCAAGAACCCTCTCTTGGGGTCTGGATCCGGGTCCCTTTCCAGTAACAAAATCACCCTCACCGCACCCTCCATGAAATCTCACAGCATCTCAGTGGAAATTTAGGTGAGCATCCAATTGGCAGGTAAGAAACGGTCCTGGAGAACCAGACTCAGAGCATCCTCCATCTTCCACGTGTTTATTGGACACCACAAGGTTCATAGAAAAAGGTAGAAATTGGATGCACAGCCAGCAGGATGGGCATGGCGGCCAGTGGGGTCCTGCTTTACCTCCAAGGGGGATGGGCTGCCCAGCTCAGGCTGCCCAGGAGGGAGAGTGTGGACAACCTGGACCCTGTAGATCAAACAGGACGCTGGAGGTGCCAAGCCATGAGTGCCTGCGAGAAACATCAGGAGGAAACAGGGCTTTTGTATTTCTTTCCACATCAGTCCTGGGTCCCACTAAGGCTACTGGAATGATTGATTTTTGGTTTGGCAGTACTGTTGTCTGAGGCGTTCAAACCACAGCGACTCCATCCTGAGTGAGGCTGAGGAAAATAAGGCTGGGACTTGGTGGGCTGCATTCCCAGAAAGTTAGGCACTCCTGGCCTCTAGATGTTAACGGTTAAGAGAACAGACTGATAACGTTTACCAAACAGACCCAGACTTGTGAGTGTCCTGATATTCTGACATCTTTTTTTTTTTTTTGAGACAGACTCTTGCTCTGCCGCCCAGGCTGGAATGCAGTGGAGCAATCTCAGCTCCCTGCAACCTCCACCTCCCGGATTCAAGTGATTCTCCTGCCTCAACCTCCTGAGTAGCTGGGACTACAGCATATGCCACCATGCCTGGCTAATCTTTATGTTTTTAGTAGAGACGGGGTTTCATCATGTTGGCCAGGCTGGTCTCGATCTCCTGGGCTCAGGTGATCCTCCTGCCTTGGCCTCCCAAAGTACTGGGATTACAGGCTTGAGCCACCCCACCCGGCCCCGATATCTTGAGAACAAAAGCATTCCTAATTTGCTTTAAAGATAGTAATATCAATTCTTGCAAAATATAGTAATTAAGAAAATTAATCCTCCATCACAAATCCTTGTAGCAAAGTATATTTCCCCATGATTTTCTTTTTTTCTTTATCCTATATATAAACAAGTATTGTACCTAGGTAGACGCGTCCCTCCTCTTACTTTCAGGACCACCCTACTCTGTCTATAGAGGTAACTGTTCTTTCACCCTTTTTTTTTTTTTGAGACGGAGTCTTGCTCTGTCACCAGGCTAGAGTGCAGTAGCGCAATCTCGGCTCACTGCAACCTCCGCCTTCTGGGTTCAAATGATTTTCCTGCCTCAGCCTCCCAAGTAGCTGGAACCACAGGCACACGCCACCATGCCCAGCTAATTTTTGCATTTTTAGTAGAGACGGGATTTCACCACGTTGGTCAGCCTGGTCTCGAACTCCTGACCTCAGGTGATCCACCCGCCTCGGCCTCCCAAAGTGCTGGGATTGCAGGCATGGGCCACCGTGCCTGACCCACCTCACTTTCTTAATAAACCGGATTTTACTTTGCACTGTGGACTCGCCCTGAATTCTTTCTTGCACAAGATCCAAGAACCATCTTTTGCAACATAGTCACCCTGCAACATCGTCACCCTGGGCCTGAGCTTGCCAGCAAAGATGGCGGCGTGGGAGGAAATGGACGTTGTGACCAGTGCGGGCTCCTGGCTGAGAACACAGCCCGGCCTTCCTCAGACACTGTGACTCAGGTGCACACTAAACACAGGGGGAGAACTGGTGTGGGGCACAGCGGAGACCCTTCCTCTCTGAGCACCATGAAATCATGTCAAACCTGGAAACTTCTGGCAACCCATCAGATGACGCAAAACATTGAGAGCTTCAACTGAATCCAAGGTCCCAGGAAAACAAGGTTCTGGGACATTAACCAGAAGTCCAAGTATTTGAATGCAAAATAATTCTGTGCAGCCAGACATGGTGGCTCATGCCTGTAATCCCAGCACTTTGAGAGGCCAAAGCGGGTGGATCACCTGAGGTCAGGAGTTCAAGACCAGCCGGGCCAACATGGTGAAACCCTGTCTCTACTAAAAATACAAAAATTAGCCAGGTGTGGTGGTGGGCGCCTGTAATTCCAGCCAGCCTGGGCAACAAGAGCGAAACTCCATCTCAAAAAAAAAAAAAAAAATCTGTGCTCTTGGAACTACATGTCATTTACGTTACATGTGCAGAAATCTACTCATTGCCCTGAAGGGCTGTTTCCTAATCTCCAGAATGTTCTCCCACGTTCAGGCTGGGAACTTTTTAAGGGCAGGGCCTGTTTTGTGCTGTCTTTGCATCTCTTTGGCATGTGTTAGGATCACTTGTGGAGTTTTTAAAAATCCATTACCCCAAATAATGAAGCAATTAGTTGTGGTAGGGCCTAGGCAATGGCAATTTTAAAAGAGGATTCTGACCGGCAGCCAGGGCTGGGAACCATTGCACCAGAGCCCCTGGCTTTAACAAGGACCCACATGAAGTGTGAGAGGAGAGGCAGCAGAGGAGAAAGGGGGCCCAGGTGAAGCTTGTGGACTGAGCAGAGCTTCTCCAGGTTTACTGTGTGTAGGAACCCTCTGGGCTCTTGTTGAAGTCATTCACAAGGTCTGCGGTGGGGCCTGAGAGTCTGCATTTCCAACACAGGCCCAAGAGACGTCAGTGCTGCTGCTCTGAGGACCACACTTTGAGGAGTAAGAGAAAGGGGCACCAGGAGAAAATGCTTCCAGCTGGATTTCCAGTGAAATGCATATACATTTCTCTCTGCTCCCTCCTGAAAATGGAGCAATTCACCTGTTAAGAAATGAAATGTGTGTGTGTTTTCATATGAACATAAAGAACAGAGAAGATGACAGTAGATGAGAGATGCTGAGAAAATTTTGGAAGATGGAAAGCAGATAGAGACTACCATTTCTGGGGAGACTACTGCTATGGTCTCAATGTGTGTGTCTTCCCCCAAATTCATAGGCTTGAATTCCTCTCCCGTAAGGCGATGGTGTTAGGTGGTGAGGCCTTTGAGAGGTGATTACGTCATGAGGGTGGGGCCCTTGCAATGAGATTAGTGCCTTTATAGAAGGTATTCCAGAGAGTTCTTTCACCCCTTCCACCATGTGAGGACACGGCTCTGAAACACAGGCCCATTAAAACAATTAAATGTAATCAGAGATTATAGAACATTTCCCCTCCCCCACACTTCACCACTACACTGACAGGGCTCCAGTGTAATCACAGTGGATTAGAGCTGAAAGAGCTGCAAATCACAGACTTGCTCTAAGGAGGAATATACAGGGAATCCCCAAGTCAAGAGACTAGACAAAAGCAAGGACATTTGAGGAGTCTGAAGCTCCTAGTACCTTGAAATACAACAAACATTAAACAGAACCTGAATCTTAGCAAGATTCACAGAATCTTCACACTAACGGCTCATTTTTCTCAGTTCCTATTACCTAATACAGCATGTATGGCTGTCAACAAAAAAGTACAAGGTATACCAAAAGGCAAGAGAAAACACTCTGAAAAGACAAATTGATGATCAGAACCAGACTCAGATAGGACATAGACAGGGAATTTAAAGAAGAAGACATTGATGCAGCCAAGAAACAGGAAACAAAGCTCAACATCACTGATCATTAGAGAAATGCAAATCAAAACCACCGTGAGATACCATGTGTTGAGGGCCCAAATGGAAAAAAAATAGACAGTATGTAAGAACAGATGGATAAAGTAAGCAGACAAATGGAAACTGTATGAAGGAATCAGAAGGACATGCTAGAAATAAAAATCACAGAGTAGAAAGGAAGAATGCCTTCAATGAGTTCATCAGTAGACTGCACATGGCCAAGGAGAGAATCAGTGAGCTTGAATACAGATGAATATAATGTCCCAAACTGAAATGTAAAGAGAAAAAGGAATTAAAAAAAATCTGAATCCAGAATCTACAGTGAACTCAAACAAATTCACAACAAGAAAAAATCAAACAACCCCATTAAAAGGTAGGCAAAGAACATGAACAGACACTTCTCCAAAGAAGACATTTATGTGGCCAACAAACATGAAACAAAGCTCAACATCACTGACTATTAGAGAAATGCAAATCAAAACCACAGTGAGATACCATCTCATACCAGTCAGAATGGCCATTATTGAAAAGTCAAGAAACAACAGATGCTGGTGAGGTTGTGGAGAAATAGGAACGCTTTTACACTGTTGGTGGGAATGTAAATTAGTTCACCCATTGTGGAGATGGTGTGACGATTCCTCAGAGACATAGAACCGGAATACCATTTGACCCAGCAATCCCATTACCGGGTATATACCCAAAGTAACATAAATCATGCTATTACAAAGATACATGCATGTGTATGTTCATTGCAGCACTGTTCACAATAGCAAAGACACAGAATCAACCTAAATGCCCATCAATGATAGACCGGATAAAGAAAATGTGGTACATATATACACCATGGAATACTATGCAGCCATAAAAAGGAACGAGATCATATCCTTTACAGGAACATCGACGAAGATGGAGGGGAAGTTGAACAATGAAAACGCATGGACACAGGGAGGGGAACAACACACAGTGGGGCCTGCTGGGTGGTGGGGTTGGGGGAGGGAGAGCATTAGAACAAATAGCTAATGCATGCTAGGCTTAATACCTAGGTGATGGGTGGATAGGGCAGCAAACCACCATGGTACATGTTTACCTATGTAACAAACCTGCACATCCTGCACATGTACCCCAGAACTAAAAATAAAAATTAAAAAAAAAAATCAGGGCAGAACATCCAAGAAGTATCGAATAATATCAAAAGTGTGTAAGGCATACTTGGATAAGCAGAGGGAGACGAAAAGAGAAGGAAGCAAAAGAAATATTTCAAGTGGTAACGACCAAGAATTTTGCAAAATGAATGACACAAATCCAGGAAGTTCAGAGAACACTAAGCAGGACAAATAACAAAACACCCCAAGGCATATCCTGTCCAGCTGCAGAAAACCAAAGATAAGGAGAAAAATCTCAAAAGGAATAAAAGAGGGAAAAAAACCCTACCTTATCTGTAAGTGAACAATGATAAGAATTACTGCAGACATCTCATCAGAAACCAAGTGAGCAAGAAGAAAATGGAGTAAAATAGTGACAGAAAGAAACCACTGACTTAGAATAGAATTCTGTGAAGTAGTCCTCAAACGTGAAGGAGAAATAAAGACTTTCTTAAATAAGCAAAAACAGAGAGAATTCATAGCAGACTTGCTCTGCAAGAAATGTTAAAAGAAGGTCTTCAGAAGAAGAAAAATGATACAGAGGAAGAACAATGGAGAAGAAATAACTAAAAGTAAAATAAGATCTTTTTAAAAACTCTTAATTGATCTAAAAGATAACTGTTTTTAAAGAATAACAGTAATTATGTATCAGGTAATTCTAGCAAATGGATCAGTGAAGTGATTGACAGCCATCTCACGGAGTCAGGAAGAAGGAATTGGGAATTCTGTTACAAGGTATCTTCACTGCATATGAAACAGTACAGTGTTATTTGAAGGTGAATTTGGATTAGCTAAAAATGCATTTTCTAAATTCTAGGACAACCACTAAAAATATTTAAAAAGAAATGTGGTTGATATGCTAAGACAGAACATAAAATGCTCAATTAAAACCTGAGAAGTTGGCCGGGCACAGTAGCTCACATCTGTAATCCCAATGTTTTAGAAGGCTGAGGCGGGAGGATTGCTTGAGGCCAGGAGTTTGAGACCAGCCTGGGTAATATACTGAGACTGTGTCTCTACAAACAAATACAAAAATTAGGTGGGTGTGGTGTTGTGTGCCTGTAGTCCCAGTTATTTGGGAGGTTAAGGTGGTAGGATGGCTTGAGTCCGGGAGGTTGAGGCTACAGTGAGCTGTGATGGCACCACTGCACTTCAGCCTGGGTGACAGAGTGAGACCCTGCCTCAAAAAAAAAAAAAAAAATTTATATATATATATATATATATATATATGAAAAAACAACAAGAAGACACCTGAGAAGTCAGAAAAGGAGGCCGGGGGAAGAGAGCTTGGTATTTATTCAGAGAAGGACAAGTAGATCTAAGAAACAAAACAGAGTTTGGGTTCAGATTTGAAGCCATGATTATTTGAAAATTTTGATATATCAGAAGCTTAGCATTGCAAATCAGTGGGGAAAAGATGCTGCAAAAACAAATGGATATTTCTTTGGAAATAAATTTAACTGGATTTCTCCCATAAGCCATCCACATAAATAAATACCATGTACTTTAGTGTGAAATCTTATTGCTAGCATTTCTTATGATATATTGATCTATACAGATCATCCCCGATTTACGATGGCTCGACTTACAATTTTTTGACTTTACAATGGTGCAAAAGTGATAGGCATTTAGTAAAAACTCTATCTCAGGCACCCAAACAACCATTTTGTTTTTCACTTTTCGTATGGTATTCAATAAATGCCATGAGATATTCAACACTTTTTTAGAAAATAGGCTTTGTGTGAGAGGATTTTGCCCAATTGTAGGCTAATGTAAGTGTTTTGACCATATTTAAGGTATCCCAGCCTATGCTAGGATGTTCAGCAGGTTTGCACTAAACGTAATTTCTTTTTTTTTTTTTTTTGAGTTGGAGCTTTGCTCTTGTCACCCATGCTGGAGTGCAGTGGCGCGATCTTGGCTCACTGCAACCTCTGCCTCCCGCGTTCAACAATTCTCCTGTCTCAGCCTCCTGAGTAGCTGGGATTACAGGTGCCCGCCACCATGCCCGGCTAATTTTTGTATTTTTCAGTAGAGACGGGGTTTCACCATGTTGGCCAGGCTAGTCCTGAACTCCTGACCTCAGGTGATCCACCTGCCTCGGTCTCCCAAAGTGCTGGGATTACAGGTTTTAGGCACCATGCCCAGCCTACTAAATGCATTTTTGACTCACATATTTTCAACTTATGATGGGTTCATCGGGATGTAGCCTTATCATAAGCCAAGGAGTATCTGTATATCCTTTTGTCTGAAATTTTCAAGAAATCTAACTTATAATTTCAAAACGTTTACAGACTTTACATTAGAGAAGGATGAAACCCGAGTTCCTAATGGTGGAAGAGCTGGCGAGGAGAGAGACAGTTTTCTCTGCAGAGCCCCAGAAGAGCTCAGAAAATGGAAGCACCTTGTACTGCAAGAGGTGGTGTGCAGGGCAGGGCTGGGGCCAGCAGATGAGTGGAGGAAATGTAAAAAGAGCAGGTGAGCCCCCAGATTCCCTCCCCAACTGATAGGAGAAGGTAGGTTTACTCGCTGGAAAATTATGGGGACAACAGGTGTGGGGATAAGGTGCCATCTGGAAGGGTAGATGATTAAAATGTTGGAAGAATGGGATTCAGAAGTGGGGAGGGGCAGGCTACAGGACTGCTATTTTTTATTTTAAGTCATGTGATAGTATTTGATGTTTTATTTCTATTTCTAGTTTTAGACAAGGTCTCACTCTGTTGCTTGGGCTAGAGTAAAGTGGCATGATCATGGCTCACTGCAGCCTCGACTTCCTGGGCTCAGGCTATCCTCTCACCTCAGCCTCCCGAGTAACTGGGACTACAGGTGCGTGCCACCATGCCTGGATAATTTTTTATTTTTATTTTTGGTAGAAACAGGGTTTTGCCATGTTGCCCACGCTGGTCTCAAACTCCTGGGCTCAGGCGATCCGCCTGCCTTGGCCTCCCAAAGTGCTGGGATTACAGGCAGGAGCCACCACACCTGGCTGTGTTTGACTTTTGTAAACCAAGTACACATATTGTTTAGATAAAAATAGAAAGCAAGCTTAAAAACAAAGAAAACAACCGCAACCTAAAATTAAGGTCTCTTCTGGATGTGGTCATTGGAATGGCTTTCTCCACTGTGGTACAGAATGAAGACCAGGAAGCAGCTACCCAGGGAACGCATAGTCTCACCAGTGGAAAATCCTGCCCCTCAAATCTGCAGGTGTCATGCCCTGCCATAATGTCAGTGGGGCCAGGCCTCAGGGAGAATAGGTGTTTGGTCCAGGAAAATAAAGGGTGTTCTTGTAATGACTTCACAATTTCTTCCCAACTTGGTTCTTCTCTCATTTTTCCCCCTAAACTCAATCATCCATCATTTACCTCGGACTTGCTTCAGGCCACACTATTTATAACAATAGAAGCAGCATTTTTGGCTTGTCACCTTTCTCCAATGGAGCCCAGATTGTCTCTAAACCTTTAATGGGCATACAGAGTACCTGGGAACCTTGTTAAAATGCAGTAGGTCTGGGGTGGGGCCTGGGAGTCTGCCTCATGGGAGCAGCCCCAAGGGGAGGCTAACGCTGGTCCCTGGAACACACTCTGAGTAGCAAAAGGACTTGAGGCAACTTTTTGGGGGTGATGGAAATGCTCTAAATCTTGATTGTGGTTACATGGAGTATATACATTGATCAAAATGCACTGAGTTTATTGTATGTAAATTATACCTCAATAAAGTTGATTTTAAAGGAAAAAACCCATTCTAGATGAATTACAGATATAAATGTGAAAGATGAAACAATAAGGCTTTTAGAAGGAAACATAAACTTTAGGATAGGTGAATGCTTCTTAAACAGGACTCAAAACAAATTAACTATAAGAAAAAAATACACACATGAATTGGACTGCATTAAAACTAAAAACTTCTGTTCATCAGCAGACTATTGAGAGTAAAAAGCTGAGCTGTAAACTGAAAAAAAATCCACAATACATATATCTGACAAAGAACTCACGTCTATCATATATAAAGAACTACTACAATTCAATAAGTAAAAGACAACTCAATAGAAAAATGGGCAAAACACTTTAACAGGCACTTTGCAAAGGAGGCTATCTGAAACGGACAATAAACACATGAAAATGTATGCTAATTAGTCATAAGCAAAATGCAAATTAAAGATACGAAATTATTTATTTTGCCTAAACACCCACAAGAATGGCTATAATGAAGACACAGACAATTCCATGTGTGAGTAAGAGTGTGGAGCAACTGGAACTCTCATACACTACTAATGGGAGTGCAGACTGAAATGACATCCTTAAAAACTATTTGGTAGTATTTATTAGAGCAGAACAAAAACATAGTCTAAGATCCAGCAAATCCACTCTTGAGTGGCCAAACACATGTTTCCAAAAACACATAAGAATGAATGCCTGGCTGGGCATGGTGGCTCATACCTTTAATCTCAGCACTTTGGGAGTCCAAGGCAGGAGGATCACCTGAGCCCAGGAAGTCGAGACCAGCCTGGGCAACAAAGTGAGACCACCCAATTCTACCAAAAAAGAACGCTTGTAGCAGCATTATTCAATGCAGCCAAAAATTGGAAACAACTCAAATATCCATCAGCAGTAGTATAAATAAAACGTTATACTACTCATTGGCAATAAAAAATGAATTATTGGCAATAAAAAATGAATGAGCGACCGCCGCAAGCAACAACATGGATTAAGCTAAGGTTGCCAGATAAAATAGAGGACATTCAATTACATTTAAATTTTGAATTAAAAACAAATGATTTTTTTTTTTTGAGACGGAATCTCACTCTGTTGCCCAGGTCAGGCTGGAGTGCAAGTGGCATGATCTCGGCTCACTTCAACCTCCGCCTCCCGGGTTCAAGCGATTCTCCTGCCTCAGCCTCCTGAGTAGCTGGGATTACAAGCACCCACCACCACACCTGGCTAATTTTTGTATTTTCAGTAGAGACGGGGTTTCACCATGTTGGCCAGGCTGGTCTCAGACACCCAACCTCAGGTGATCTGCCCGCCTTGGCCTCCCAAAGCCCTGGGATTACAGGTGTGAGCCATTGCGCCCAGCCCAAATGATTTTTATTTTTATTTTTTTTTAGCATAAGAATGTCCTATGCAGTATTTGGGACATACTTACACTACAAAATTCTTATTCTATTAAATGTTATTATATTACAATATTATTTTTTAGCTGGTCATGTTCTGTTTCTTGATCTGGGTGTCACTGGGCGACCTGGGTGTGTTCACTTTGTGAAAATCCGCTGAGTTACACACTTAGGATGAGTGCAGGTCTCTGGTGTGCATTTGCTACTTCAATACAAAGTTTATCTGAAATCACAATAAAACGATC
Organism: Homo sapiens; assembly: GCF_000001405.40. NCBI lineage: Eukaryota > Metazoa > Chordata > Mammalia > Primates > Hominidae > Homo > Homo sapiens. The sequence goes on from NC_000007.14 coordinate 3,027,091, forward strand.
CCTGGCCCGTGGCCCATTAAATGAGGGCCTGCCTCTTGCCTTGAGGGACCCATCTGTTGTCGTCTCTGCTGTCTGTGATCTCTGTAACCCGTGCATCCATCCTGGCTTGTAGCCGCTGCTCAGAACGCCCCGGTGACGCACCCTTGCCCACAGGACAGCATCTGCCCTCCTTGGCACAGCACCCCAGGGCTCCTGTGGCCTCCCCTGCCCCATTTCCACGTCCTCACATCTTTTTTCCAGCGCTGACACTAACCACACCACCACGGCTCTGTGCCTGCCGCTTCGCCTGCTGCTCTGCCAGGCAAAAACCTATTTATTTTCCCAGTCTCATTTCAGCTTCTGTCGGCTCTGGGAGGTCTTTCCTGACTCCTTCAGGCAGACCTGTCTGTTCCTGTCCCCAAGGTCTGTCTTCATTTCAAGCATCCATTAGAGCAACTCCATTACTTCGCAACTGACTGTTTATATATCTGTCTCCTCCCCGGACAACAGGCTTGCTGGGGCAGGGACTCTGTCTTTTTGTCTTTTTATCCCTAGCAACTCACAGAGTGTCTGTGCGTGTTAGGCTCTGCGTATGTGTTAAGTGGGTCATGACAGTAATGGGTGTTAATGAATGGGGACCAGCAGAGAGATCGAAGGGCTCTGTAAAGCGTTCACACTTAATTTTAGAATTAGAGATGGCAAAACCCTGTCTCTACAAAACAAAACAAAAACCAAAAATTAGCTGGGCATGGTGGTGCATGCCTGTAGTCCCAGCTACTCAGGAGGCTGTGTTGGGAGGATCACTTGAGCCTGGGAGGTGGAGGCTGTAGTGAGCCATGATCCTATCACTGCACTCCAGCCTGGAAGACAGAGCGAGACCCTGTCTCAAAAAAAAAAAAAAAAAAAAAAAAAAGAGAAAGAATTGGAAAATGATGCTGTAAGTCACTCTGCTAATGAGTGGCCAGTGTCTCATTTAACTTCCCAGGAGAAGGGTGCTGGTCTTGTCTCCCATGTCACAGATAGGAAGAAAAGTGCTGAGCAGTTCAATGGTTTGCCCAAGGTCACATGGCCGGTAGGGAGCAGACCACACACTCATGGCACTGGCTGTTCCGTGAATCACAGCAGACGCTGAATCACTAAAATGTCCTTCTGGGACAGGCAAGTCAACAGAGGAAGTGCCCAGTCTGCCCCGGGCCACCTTTTGACTCAAGCAAGCTTTCTGGCACCTCTCAAATCAGTCCCTGTGGGTGGCCACCCCCTCTCCCATGGAATGGCTCGCCGGGAACGGGTTAACACCTCAAACACCTAAACACAGCGTTCAGCTCTGTCCAGACACTCTCGACTCCTGCCTGAGATTTTCAGGTTTTAAACAAAACAAAAATCTGATTCACTGTTTCCAGTCCTACAGGAAACTCAGGTCCTTTATTTATCTGCCACTAAAAAAAAAAAAAAAAAAAAGAAGAAGAAGAAGGAAAAAAAAATCAAACCAGAAAAAAAGCCCTTTATGTCTTAAAAGGGTTTTGAATGCATCTCGTTTCATACAGCACCAAACATCGTTCATGACGGGGGCTCCAGGATGAAGCCCAGACTAAAAGACAGAAGGAAATGAAACGCATTGCAATAAAACACACATGCTAATAAATAAGGGCCTGGGCAATGAATCCAGCTCGGAATATACCACTGGCAAGAAGAAATGCCCCAAAGCTTTACTTAAACCAAATAATAGAAGAACAGATGGCTCCCCTGGGTCTCTGGGAAAAGTTAATAGATCCAGGAGGCTGCAGATAGAGGCTTTGTTTGGGATTTGGGCAGAAAACACAAGGCATTCACAAGATTCAAGGTGAAAGAAAGAGGGCTTGTAGATTTAGGGACAGGGACATTTTCATCAGATAACGAAAATAGATATGTCTGGATATCTCTGCTGGGTTTCCACAGGCTGCAGGGCACGTGCCCTCTCCAGAAATTAACCAGGGCTGCGCTCGGCAGCATGCTAGGGAGACCGACTGCTTCTAGCTGCCCAACTGGAGAATTAATTTAACTCCAGAGATTTGGATAATAAGAAAGAACCCTTAAAGGAGATAAAAATTTACTTTGGGAAGATTTTTGTCCCCACCCATTGTACAGCAGCATCCTTAAGTGGTGGGAACAGTGGGTGGGAACTGGAAGCTCTGGGTTCTATGATGCAAGACCCCCCTGGTCACTGATTAGCTGAGTGACCCTGAAGAAAACCTTCAGGCTGCCACCTGCCCAGCGGCTGTTAAGAATGCTGAGATCCGTGGACACAGGGAGGGGAACATCACACACCCGGCCCTGTCGGGGGTTGGGGGGAAGGGGCGGGAGAGCATTAGGACAAATAGCTAATGCATGCGGGGCTTAAAACCTAGATGACGGGTTGATGGGTGCAGCAAACCACCATGGCACATGTATACCTATGTAACGAACCTGCACGTCCTGCAAATGTACCCCAGAACTTAGAGTGAAAAAAAAAAAAAAAGAAAGAAAGAAAAAAAAAAGAATGCTGAGATCCGGTTGGGCGCGGTGGCTCAGGCCTGTAATCCCAGCACTTTGGGGGCGGAGGTGGGCGGATCATGAGGTCGGAAGATCTAGACCATCCTGGCCAACACGGTGAAACTCCGTCTCTACTAAAAAAAAAAAAATACAAAAAATTCGCCTGGCGTGGTGGCGGGTGCCTGTAGTCCCAGCTACTCGGGAGGCTGAGGCAGGAGAATGGAGTGAACCCAGGAGGCAGAGCTTGCAGTGAGCGAGATGGCGCCACTGCACTCCAGCCTGGGAGACACAGCGAGACTCCGTCTCAAAAAAAAAAAAAAAAAAAGAAGAATGCTGAGATCTGTGGACACAGGGAGGGGAATATTACACAGTGGGCCCTGTCGGGGGTTGGGGGGCAAGGGGAGGGAGAGCATTAGGACAAATACCTAATGCATGTGGGGCTTAAAACCTAGATGACAGGTTGATGGGTGCAGCAAACCACCATGGCGCATGTATACCTGTGTAACAAACCTGCATGCTCTGCACATGTATCCCAGAACTTAGAGTTTTTAAAAAAAAAAGAGAGAGAGAAAAAAGAATGCTGAGATCTTCTAAGCACGGAAGGATCACACCCGCATCCAACCCCCATATTAATCCCCTTTCTCCTCCGCACCAGGGAAATCCAAATGACCTTGTCTTCCCAGAGTGGGGGGCAGCAAACTGAATCCATTAACAGGGAAAGAAAGGGCTTTCAACCCAACCGGTGAGATGGTTCAGAGGAGTGCGTGACCGACAGGAATCCACAACTGGAGAGGTCAATTAATAAAAAATAAAACTTCCCCTTTATACCACGGTGCATAAAAACCTCCAGCACCATTTTTCATCTACTTACATTGTCTTGAGAGCAATTTTGTGTAGTGGCAAGGCAGGAATTATTTATCTCCATCTTATTCATGAAGAAATAAAATCTTGGGACAGTGAAGCGATTTGTTCAAGGTCACGAGGTCATCACGGATTTTTTTTTTTTTAGCTTTTATTTTAGGCTCTGGGGTATACCTGCAGGTTTGCTATATAGGTAAACTAGTGTCATGGGGATTTGGTGTATAGATTATTTCATCACCCAGATACTAAGCCCAGTACCCAGTAGTTCCTTTTTTTTTTTTTTCTCCCGAGATGGAGTCTTGCTCTGTCACCCAGGCTGGAGTGCAGTGGCACAATCTCGGCTCACTGCAACCTCGACCTCCCGGGTTCAAGTGATTCTCCTGCCTCAGCCTCCTGAGTAGCTGGGATTACAGGCGCCTGCAACCACACCTGGCTAATTTTTGTATTTTTAGTAGAGACGGGTTTTTGCCATGTTGGCCAGGCTGGTCTTGAACTCCTGACCTCAAGTGATCTGCCTGCCTTGGCCACCCAAAGTGCTGGCATTACAGGTGTAAGTCACCGTGCCCAGCCCCCATAGTTACTTTTTTTCAGATCCTCTTCCTCTTCCCACCCTCCACCCTCAGGGAGGCCCCACTGTGTGTTGTTCCTGTCTTTGTGTCCATGTGCTCTCATCATTTAGCTCCCACTTATAAGTGAGAACATGAGGTATTTGGTTTTCTATACCTGCATTAATTCACTTAGGATAATGGCCTCCAGCTGTATCCATGTTCCTGCAGAAGACATGATCTCATTCTTTTTTAAAGCTGCATAGTATTCCATGGTGTGTATGTACCAACTTTCTGTATCCAATCTGTCATTGATGGGCATTTAGGTTGATTTCATGTCTTTGCTACTGTGAATAGTGCTGCAGTGAACATTCACAGGCATGTGTCTTTATATCGTGGATTTTCAAGGCTGGAAGGGCTCTGGGTCATGCAGGGCAAGTGCAGATGACGGATGGGGCAGCCCAGCTTCCACGTTCAGATTCACACCCATGGGCAAACGTCAGTGATTGATCACTGAGCTTGGGTCCTCAATGCGGTGCTCCAGCAAGCCATTACTAGTTGATTGGAATTGGCTTGCTAGATGCAACCCATTTACTGCCCCAAGTCCTGTACAGTCTTCTCATTTGACTTACGAGGAAACTGAGCCCCAGAGGTGAAAGGGAACTTGGCCCAGACCATCCAATGGGTCAGTGTCTGAAAACCAAATCCCTCTTTCTGAGCCCAGTGGCCTCTCCAGTGCACTGTGCGGTGCCCTATCTACTGCAGAAAGAATTCCCCCATCAAGGTGGGGCAAGATGGCTCATGCCTATAATACCAGCACTTTGGGAGGCCAAGGGGGGCAGATCACTTGAATCCAGGAGTTCGAGACCAGCCTGGGTGACATGGAAAAACCCTGTCTCTACAAAAAATACCAAAATTAGCTGGGCATGGTGGTGCATGCCTATAGTCTCAGCTACTTGGGGAGGCGGAGGCAGGAGGATCGCTTGAGCCCAGGAGGCAGAAGTTGCAGTGAGCCGAGATCATGCTACTGCATTCCAGCCTGGGTGAGAGTGAGACGTGTCTCAAAAAAAAAAAAAAAAAAAAAAAAAGATTTCCCTATCAAAAGACGCATGAGAATGACATTCTTCATGACCTAGCCTGAGCAAATTTTCTTTTCTGTGCCCAGCAAGCGGACAAACTACCAACAGAGAAGTGAAGGACTGTTCCAAGGATCTTAAGTCCGAGTCCCAGGCAGGATGGGATGGAAGAGAGAGTTTGGAAAATCACAAGTTTGATTTTGGATTCACTCCATGTCCAGGCAGACGTGTGAAGACAGTTGGATATTAAAGTCTAAAGTTCAAGAGGAGACCCTGGGCGGAAGATATAAACTTGGGAGTCATTGGCCTATAGATGACTTTTAAAGCAAGAGGTGGGAGGAGACCACCCAGGGGAAGAGGCCCACGGACTGAGCTCCGGGCAGTTTGACCTCAGAGGTGAGGGAGACAGAAGAGTCAGAAAAGAGGCCAGGAGGGAGTAGCCAGTAAAGAGGGAAAGAAACAAGATGGAGAGGCCCCAAAGCCAAAGGAACCTGTGTTTCAAAGAGGAGAGAAGAATGGGCTTCAGATGCTGCTGAGGTCAAGATCTATAAGGACAGAGAATGAGCCATCAGATAAGGGCATTGGTGACTTTGTGTTTTTGTTTTTTGAGACAGGGTCTTACTCTGTCATGCAGGCTGGAATGCAGTGGTGTGATCATAGCTCGCTACAGCGTCGACCTCCTGGGCTCAAGTGATCCTCCCACTTCAGCCTGCCAAGTAGCTGGGACCACAGGTGCACACCACAATACATGGCTTTTTTTTTTTTTTTTTCCAATAGAGACGGGGTCTCCTATGTTGCCCAGACTGGTCTCAAATTCATAGCCTCAAGTGATCCTCCTGCCTTGGCCTCCCAAAGTGCTGAGATTACAGGCGTGAGCCCACACCTGACCACATGGGTGGCTTTGGCTAGAGCTGTTTAAATTGAGTACTGGGGCAAAAGCCTGAAGAAAGTGGGCTCAAGATGGAAGGGGAGGAGAAGAATTAGGACAGGGAGTACAGACAACACTTTGCTATAAAGGTGTTACGGGCTGAATCCTGTCCCTCCAAATTCCTATTATGGACATCCTAACCCCCAGGACCTCAGAATGGGACTGTATTTGAAGACGGGGTCTTTAAAGAGGTGCTGAAATTAAAGTGGAACTATTGGAGTGGGCCCTAATCCAATCTGACCTGTGTCTTTATACCAAGAGGAAACTGGAGGCACAGAGACCCAGGGGACACACACTCAAGAGAAAAGGCCAGGCGAGGACACAGGGAGAAGACGGCACCTGGGAGCCGCAGAGAGAGGCCTCAGAAGGAACCAGCCCGCCCGGCACCTTGATCCAGGACTTCCAGCCTCCAGAAATGCCAGGCAATAAATGTCTATTGCTGCAGCTGCCCAGTCTGTGGGATTTTGTTATGACAGCCCCAGCAAATTAATACAAAGGGGGTGCAGAGAAATGCGGCAAAGGCTGGAGGGGAATGTAAAATCAAGACAGGTTTGTCATTTGTTTGTTTTAAAGTGGGTGAAATTGCAGTAGATCAGTCGCACTTGGATAGGAACGGTCCCCGTAGAGAGGGAATACAGAATGGAAGATGCAGCAGAGAGAGAAGACAGTTGCTCGAGAAGCGTCTTTGATTGGAGAGAGGTGGGCTCTGGTGCCTGTGCAGAGTGGGCCTTGGCAGGTGGCAGGATCATCATCTCAGGCACAGGGCAGGGCGAAGTGCCAGGCGCAGAGGCAGGAGGCCCTAGGCAGGCGGAAGGGGGAAGTAGGGCCACCAGTGCAGTGGGAGGAGGGCCTCCGAGGCCCATTAGTCTGACTGCCACAAGACATAAGGTTGATCTTTAAAATATATTTTAAAATTACAGCTGGGCACGGTGGCTCATGCCTGTCATCCTAGCACTTTGGGAGGCTGAGGCGGGCGGATCCCCTGAGGTCAGGGGTTCGAGACCAGCCTGGCCAACATGGTGAAACCCTATCTCTACTAAAAATACAAAATTAGCTGGGCATGGTGGCACACACCTGTTATTCCAGCTACTCAGCAGGCTGAGGCAGGAGAATTGCCTGAACCCGCGAGGTGGAGGTTGCAGCGAGTTGAGATCACACTACTGCACTCCAGCCTGGGCAACAAGAGTGAGACTCTGTGTCAAAGAAAATAGAACTGTATATATATAATTACTAAATTATATATATAAATTATATAAATAGATATTATACAAATATAATTATACATATTATATACAATTATATATAAATATATAATTATACATATAATTACATATATAATTTTTTAAAAATAATATGTATATATGTACAAATTACTTAAGAAAGATACAGGGCTGGGCACGGTGGCTCACATCTGTAATCCCAGAACTTTGGGAGGCTGAGGCTGGAGGATAGTTTGAGTCTAGGAGTTCGAGACCAGCCTGGGCAACATAGCAAGACCCTCATCTCTACAAAAAATAAAAAAATTAGCCGGTCATGGTGTCACATGCCTGTAGTCGCAGCTACTTGGGAGGCTGAGGTGACAGGATTGCTTGAACCCAGGAGGCTGAGGCTGCAGTGAGCTATGATGGCACCATTGCACTCCAGCCTGGGCAACAGAGCAAGACAAAATTACAGCAAACTTCCACATAAAATGAGTGAGGAGACACGGTGACCCGTCCCCGGCGCACAGACGGCCTTCTGCTTGTACCGGAGCTGGGTCCTTTCCCCACTAGGTCATGCTCTTCGCCAGTCTAAGACCTCCCCGGGCTCAGAACACTCGGAACAGGGCCCGGTAAAAGGCCGTCCTTTAAGAAGGAGGAGAAACATTTTTCAAAGATCGAGAACTCTCCTACGAAGAGCCAAGAGCCTCTGCGTGCCTCAGGGACTCAAACGGGGATCACGGTGCCTGTTCACTGGCAAACAGGGACCCCCATGTCAGCTCGCAGAGGCTCTCCGCAGGGTATCAAGCTGCTTCTTGAAACGCGTCTGAGAATTGAAGTCAGGAGTCTTGGAAGGCGGTGTGAGGTATCGTTATTATTCTGCTGAACGTTTCCCCCGGAACCAACGATACCTGAATCCCTTTAAAAATAGGCCATTTCTTCTTAGAAGATTTCCACGAATCACATAATCCTTACGCAGAGGCAGGCAACGAAGCACTAATGTCAATAACGTTACAGTTTTACTTCACAGCAGCATTTATCCACTGACATAGCAATTTACTAAACCGCAGAAAACGCCGGCACAGGGCCTCTGCTTGCCCTTGGATTTTTTTTTTTTTTTTTTTTTTTTTTTGAGATGGAGTCTCACTCTGTCACCCAGGCTGGAGTGCAGCGGCGCGATCTCGGCTCACTGCAGCCTCCGCCTCCCGGGTTCACGCCACTCTCCTGCCTCAGCCTCCCGAGTAGCTGGGACTACAGGTGCCCACCACCACGCCTGGCTAATTTTTTTGTATTTTTAGTAGAGAGAGGGTTTCACCGTGTTAGCCAGGATGGTCTCGATCTCCTGACCTCTTGATCCGCCTGCCTCGGCCTCCCAAAGTGGTGGGATTACAGGCGTGAGCCACCGCGCCCAGCCCTCCTTGGATTTTTTAAATTTCAGAGACAAGGTCTCCTTCTGTCGCCCAGGCTGGAGTGCAGTGGTGCAATCACAGCTCACTGCAGCCTCTACCTCCTGAGCTCAAGTGATCCTCCCACCTCAGCCTCCTGAGGAGCTAGGCCCACAGGCATGACCACTACACCAGCTAACTTTTACATTTTTTGTAGAGATGGGGTCTTACTATGTTGCCCAGGCTGGTCTCAAACAACTAGGCTCAAGCCATCCTCCTGCCTCAGCCTCCCAAAGTGCTGGGATGATAGACATGAGCCACTGTGCCCAGGCTGCTTCCAGATTTTTTTTTTTAAAGGGCCATCACCACCAAGACACGTATAAGAATGTTCACAGTGGTTTCATCATAACAGCCCCAAACTGCAAGCAACAGAAACATTTATCAACGGTCAGGTGGATAAGTAAATTGTGGTAATTTTTTTTTTTTTTTTTTTGAGACAGGTCTCACTCTGTCACCCAGGCTGGAGTGCAGTGGTGCGATCTTGGCTCACTGCAACCTCTGCTTTCTTGGGCTCAAGCAATTCTCCAGCCTCAGCCTCCCGAGTAGCTGGGATTATAGGCGCAAGCCACCAATGCTTGGCTAATTTTTGAATTTTTGTAGAGACGGTTACATCCTGTTGCCCAGGCTGGTCTTGAACTCCTGAGCTCAAAGCAATCTGCCTGCCTTGGCCTCCCAAAGTGCTGGGATTACAGGCATGAGACACAGCGCCTGCCCCTATTGCGGTAAATTTATGCCATGAAATACTGTGTAGCAATGAAAAAGAAACATTGAATGTGACTCCGTCCACGTCAAGTTCAAGGACAGGGATGGTGATAGAGGTTGGAAGGGTCCTCCCTTAGGGGACAGGGGAGGGGTAACGACTGGGAGGGGATATGGCACTTCCCCAGAACCTAGAAAGGACCCAAATCTTGATCTGGGTGATTGGCTCCAGAAGGGCATGTGAAGGCCCGTCAAGCTGTTTGTACGCTTAAGACTGTACTGTGTGTGTGTTATACCTTAATTTTTAAAAATTATTATTATTATTATTACTGATGGGCAATCAGTTTTACCTTTCTTTTTTATTTTATTTTTAGAGATGGGGTCTTGTTCTACTGCCCAGGCTGGAGTACAGTAGTGCAATCCTAGCTCACTGCAGCCTCAAACTCCTGGGCTCAAGTGATCCTCCCATCTCAGCCTCTGGAGGAGCTGGGACTACTACAGGTGTGTGTCACCATGCCTGGCTAATTTTTTAAAGTTTTTTTGTAGAGGTGGGATCTCACTATGTTGCCCAGGCTGGTCTCGAACTCCTAGGCTGAAGTGATCCTTCCACCTGGGCTTCCCAAAGTGTTGGGATCACAGGTGAGAGGTGCCACGCCTGGCCTATCAAACTTTTTGATGTTTGCCAGTCTGACAGGTGGAAAACGCTATGTCCCTGTTGTATTACTTCACATGGATTTAATTACAAACGAAGCATGCTGACTGACCTGCTCATATTCCGTGTGTTTGTACCCTTTCACCATTTTTTCCATTGGTTGAATTCTCTAATTTTGGGGTCTGGACACTCCCACTGAGGGTCCAGTCCTGTGCCATCCACTGTGCCGAAGGTGGCCATACTCACTCCCAACTGCAGCCGCCTCCACCCCGCAAGGACAGAGTTGCTAGCTTCGACAGAGACCCTCTGGCTCACAAGGCCTAAAATATTTACTATTTGGAGCTTTCGAGAAAAAGTGTGCCAGTTCCCATGTCTCATTGGTTTACAAGAGTTCTTAGTAAATTAAGGAAATAGCTCTTTGCCACATATACTCTGTTTTGCATTTAGCTCATCTCTCTCTGTTCTCCCTCCTGGCCTCTGAATAAGCAAGTCAGAAGTAAAACTTAAAAGCAGAAGCCTGCAGAACCCCTTGACACATTTGGTGCGTTTGGAAACACTTTGGTCTATGCTAATCTAGGGGTGGTATCATTATTATTATTAATTTGTGATAGAGTCTTGCTCTGTTGGCCAGGCTGGAGTACAGTGGCACAATCGTGGCTCACTGCAACCTCTACTTCCCGGGTTCAAGTGATTCTCCCGCCTCAGCTTCCCGAGTAGCTGGGATTACAGGTGCTCACCCCCATGCCTGGCTAATTTTTGTACTTTTAGTAGAGACGGGGTTTTGCCATATCTCAAACTCCTGACCTCAGATGATCTGCCCGCCTCGGCCTCCCAAAGTGCTGGGATTACAGGTGTGACCCACTGTGCCCAGCTAGGGGTGGTAATTTTATACCCATTTTACACGTGCAGCAATTGAGGCTCAAAATCATCATGTGACTTTGTTGGGGTCACCGAGATTGCAGGCAGTGGAGCCGGAATGGGCACCTTGTCTGTCAGGCTCTAAGTCTGTAGATCTCTCCAGAAAGCAGGTTTGCCTTTTTTTTTTTTTTTTTTTGAGACAGGTTCTTACTCTGCTGCCCATGCTGGAGTGCAGTGGTGCAATCACGGCTCCCTGCAGCCTCAACTTCCTGGGCTCTAGCAATCCTCCCACCTCAGCCTCCTGAGTAGCTGGAACCACAGGCGCATACCTCCATACCTGCCTCATTTTTAAATTTTTTGTAGAGATGGGGTCTCGCTATGTTGCCCAGGCTGGTCTCGAACTCCTGAGTTCAAGCAATCCTCCGCTTTGGCCTCCCAAAGTGCTGGAGTGCTGGGATTATAGGCATGAGCCCTCGTGCCTGGCTTTTTATTTTTTTTTAATCTTGCCTCTTAAGGAATGAGGCCAGTCCCAGGGGACGGCAGAAATCATAACCAGCATTGTCCTGGCAGGTGTTGCCTTTGATACCACCATGACCGAGGACATGGCATGGGGCAGCCCCCATTCTGCTGCTGTGATACTTGGGTATAAAGACAGCAAATTCCTCAGTTGCAGAGGGGCAGGAAGGAAGATGACATGCTAGACACAGAAACCACACAAAGGAGGATGGAGCCCTGTTTGTGAGCATGGATACTACACATGCCCCTCTCTGGCTCTCACACTTGCAAGAATAATGCCCACTAAGGAATGGCCCCGGCTGGGCCAGGAGGAACCCAGCACTTTGGAGGAATGACTGTGCTTGGAGTAGCAGGACAGGGGAAGAAGAAGTGACAGCCACACAGATGGGACTGGAAGGACTTTTATCACCCTCTGGCTCTCGGCCACCAACACCTATTACAGAAATGTGACAGCAACCATTATAATCTCTGAGCCCTTGAACAAATCACAACCCAAAAGGTTACCCTCCCGAAAATAATCACCCCATTAAAACCACTGACCCAGAGAGCGGCAGTCCCTCAAGGAGAGAACGCAGACAAGGCATGGGGCGTGTTCTTTGTATGGAGCGTGCAGTGCCCTGGCCGTGATTTTCTTATGTGGCCTGCCACAGGAAGAGGCTGGCATCTGGAATCTGTGCCTTCTAATTTTTATTCTTTTCTTTTTTTTTTTTTTTTTGAGTCGGAGTCTCGCTCTGTTGCCCAGGCTGGAGTGCAGTGGCACGATCTCGGCTCGCTGCAAACTCCGCCTCCGTGGTTCAAGCAATACCCCTGCCTCAGCCTCCCGAATAGCTAGGATTACAGGCGCCCGCCACCACCCTGGCATAATTTTTTTTGTATTTTTAGTAGAGACAGAGTTTCACCATGTTGGCCAGGCTGGTCTCGAACTCCTGAACACAGGCAATCTGCCCACCTCGGCCTCCCAAAGTGCTGGGATTACAGGCGTGAGCCACCACGCCCAGCTGCCTTCTAATTTTTCTTTGGCAGAAGAGCATGTTTAAGGGGCTCCCTCGAAGGTTCTCTTTTCCTTCTCTTTTTGTTTCTGTATTTCAATCAATCGATCAAAATATTTCCTTTCTTTTTTTCGTTTTTTTTTGTTTGAGACAGGGTCTCGCTCTGTCGCCCAAGTTGGAGCGCAGTGGTGTGATCTCGGCTCACTGCAACTTCTGCATCCCAGACCCAAATGATCCTCCTGCCTCAGCTTCCCAAGTAAGGAGAGACCCCTATGCCTGGCTAATTTTTTAGTATTTTTTTTGTAGAGACATGGTCTCATCACGTTGCCCAGGCTGGCTGGTCTGGAACTCCTGGACTCAAGCGATCCTCCTCCTTGGCCTCCCGAAGTGCTGGGATTACAGCCATGAGCCACCGTGCCCAGCCAATCAAGCTATTTTCTAGACTGATTGGGTACTGCCACCACCAAGAGTGAGGGTTTTTCTACAGGGTAGATTGACGGAGCATCAGCTCGGTCTGTGATTTCCTTGGGCCTCATAATTCCCCCGTAAGATTGAGATTGCAGATAAGGAATCTGAGGTTGCACCAGAAAAAAGTAACGAGGTCCATCCAGCTGGTGTTTGCGGGGATACCGGCACTGCAGCCCTGGGTCTGGACTCCAGGGTCCAACCTCTGATCTGCTCCAGACCTTAGTCATCACGGCAAAGGTAGTCCTAGCTCATATGCCGCATTTTCTCATTTTATGCTTGGTGTAACTGACAATACTGAAAATAACCAGTATTGATATCCTGATTTCATTAGAGAAATGACTCTCAGAGAGCTTAGGTGACGGGAAGCCTGTCTAAGGTCACACGGCTAGCACAGATCAGTAGTCATGCCTCAAACCCATGCCTTCATGGGCTCCAACCCAAAAGACGGAATGCTGCTGGAGGCGCTGCCTGCAAAGCAGATAGTGCAGGGCCTGGCCAAGAGGGAATGGAAAGTGTTTTTTTGTTTTTTTTGTTTTTTTTTTTTTTTTCCTTTTTTGGAGACAGAGTCTCACTCTGTTGCCCAGGCTAGAGTGCAGTGGGGCAATCTCAGCTCACTGCAACCTCTGCCTCCTAGGTTCATGCGATTCTCCTGCCTCAGCATCCCGAGTAGCTGGAATTACAGGCGCCTGCCCAATTTTTGTATTTTTAGTAGAGATGGGGTTTCACCATGGTGCCCAGGCTGGTCTCAGACTCCTGACCTCAAGCGATCCGCCTGCCTCCGCCTCCCAAAGTGCTGGGATTACAGGTGTGAGCCACCGTGCCTAAAGGCGGTTTTTAAAATGGATTCGAAGAGGCTCCATTTTTCAGCATTTGACACGCCTTTTCATCATCATCATCTGAAAATCGGGACCCTATTTGGCCTTTCATGCCCGACATGCTATGAGGAGCTACAATCACAAGTGCGTCTTCAACTCCACGGCCTCTGCCAGCCACCACCAAGCCACAGTCACACAGCCCCTCAGTCCCAGGAAGCAAGCCTTTTATCGGAAGGGTCCAGAATCACTGCATAGGATAAAGAAGTCCAGACACTGCCCCTCTTTTTTTTTTTTTTTTTTTTTTTGATACAGGGCCTTGCTCTGTAGCCCAAGCTGGACTGCAGTGGCGCCATCTTAGCTCACGGCAACTTCCGCATCCCAGGCTCAAATGATCCTCCTGCCTCAGCCTCCCAAGTAGCTGGGACTACAGCTGCACACCACCATGTCTGGCTAATTTTTTGGTATTTTTTGTAGAGACAAGGTCCCGCCATGTTGCCCAGGCTGGTCTCGAACCCCTGGACTCCTAGAACCTGGGCGCCCTCTTGTGACCCTGCCAACCCCTTCCTAGTACAGTGTCCACAGGTGGCTGTCCTGTCCCATCTCCCAGCTCCACACCCCCTTTTGGTGGGGATGCCCTTCCTCCCTGAGATTTTCAGCACCATCTCGGCCTGGAACCTTCCAGGAATCCCTGGACCTTCTGAGTCCTACCATCACCCAAGCTCACTCCCTGCTGCCCTTCCCACTCCTCCTAATTCTTTACCATCTCATGTGTGTCTCAGCCACACTCTGACCACGGTATACACAGACTGTGTGATGAACCTACTCAGGGTGGAGCGCTGCTTCTCACATCCCTCCTGAGCCCCCTGCGGCACCAAGTACAAAGCCACTCACACACGCCCACTGATGGATTTAAACAAGCGTGTCATCTTTAGAAGAGCTTGGTTTAGAAGTCTTTTTTTTGAGACAGAGTCACGCTCTGTCACCCAGGCTGGAGTGCAGTGGTACGATCTCAGCTCACTGCAACCTCCGCCTCCCCAGTTCAAACGGATTCTCCTGCCTCAGCCTCCTAAGTAGCTGGGACTACAGGTGTGCGCCACCACGCCGGGCTAATTTTTTGTGGGTATTTTTAGTAGAGATAGTGTTTCTCCACTTTAGCTAGGCTGGTCTGGAACTCCTGTCCTCGGGTGATCTGCCCGCCTTGGCCTCCCAAAGTGCTGGGATTACAGGCATGAGCCACCGCGCCCGTCCAGAAGTCATTTTTTAAAATCACATAAAGGATGAGCGGATACACAAAATATGGTCTATCTGCACAATAGAATATTATTCATCCTGAAAAGGGAAGGAGATTCAGTCACAGACTACAACACAGATGAACCGTGAGGACGTGAGGCTCAGAGAAATAAGCCAGGCACAGGAAGGACATAGGTTGTATGAGCCCCCTTATATGGGGTCCCGAAAGTCATCAGATTCCTAGAGACAGAACGGGGAAGGGTGGCTGCCAGGGGCTACGGAGGGGGCCAGGAAGCTGCTGTTTAACGGGGGACACAGTTTCAGTTTGGGAAGAGCTGGATGGTGGTGATGGCCGCAAGATAACATGGACGGGCTTAACAGCACTCAACTCTGCGCTTCAAAGTGGTTCAGCGAGCTCATTTTATGTCACATGTATTTCACCACGATTTTTAAAAAAATCACATCAAGGACCATTCATGCATTAACAGAAGACTGCTGGGGCCAGTGGAGCCACGGCCTGCCTATCTGATACCCAGGCAAGTAACATCCACACGGGTCCAAGCATTCCCTGGCCTTGAATTACGCTGAGTCCTGGTCACTGTTGCGCTCCTCAGGGCAGCCCTGGCCTGAGGCAGGGGTGTCATCTCTTTACAGATGCCTTGCTGGGGAGAGAACCGGAGTTTCCGCGAAAGCGCAGAAGTGGACACTTACGGAGAAATTCCTGTCCTCATATCAATTCCCGGCTCCCGGGATTTCCGGCACGCATTATGCACAGGCTGAGCGCTCAATAAATGTGGAATGAACGATCGACTATTTTTCTCCCCTTTCTGGTAGGTTGGTAACCTTATACCTTCAAGACGAGTCATAAATATTAGGAGAAAATGTTTTGAACTACAAATCAAAGGCTTTGAGAGCAGGCCAGGCAGAGAGAGGTCAGTTTGGTCCAAGACCAAGTTTGTGTGGGCAGCCCCGAAGCTCACAGCTGAGACCACTGTCCATGAACCTGGGTCCCCGTGACAGCCTCCAGCGGTGCTCAGAGCCCCCGAGGGACAGAAACACCCTCTCTGCCCCTATCTGCAGAGGGGGCTCAGCAGAAGGCCTGGTGGCCCCATCGGGCCTGGAGGGGCCTCCTGGGGGAGGTGGCTTTCAGGCCTGAGGCCGCTAGGACCTGCTCCGGGTTTCAGTCGGGAACCTGGGCCCTCTCCTGTGCCCCCGCCACCCCCTTTCTAGTACAGTCCCCGCGGGGGGCTGTCCTCTCCCATCTCCCAGCTCCACACCCACTTTTGGTGCGGCTGCCCTTCCTCCCTGAGCCAGGCCCCACCTTCCCAGGAGCCTCTGAGTCAGGCTGGGCTGTGGTCTGCAAACTTCCGGGCCTTTCAGGTGTCAGAAAAGTTTCTCTTCCTCCCTCTGGGGCAGGTGCACCAAGGGGCTGCAGCCTCCTGACCCCCGATTTTTTCCTGTCCAGTAGGAGGAGGTGGGGGCTTTGCTGGGCGGTGATACTCAGAGACGCTCAAAGAGACACGGAGGAGAGGCACACGAGGTGGAAAGTGAGGGAGAAAAAGGGTTGGAAGGGAAAAAGGGGAGAGGAGAGTGAGAGAGAGAAGGGGGGCAGGGGGACAGAGATGGAGAGGGAAGGATACCCCCAGCATCGCGGGACCAGCGGGAGCCACTCCCATCCCCCGACGCCCCCCCCGCCACCGTGTCATCTCACTGATGCCCCCCATCTCCTCCCCGTGCCCTCTTCTCTTCCCCCAACTCCCCGCCTCGTGCTCCCCCTCCGCCAGCTCCCCCATCCCCGCTGCGCCTACCTGGGGCGCTCATGCTCCGCCAGCCAGCTGCGCGGGGCGCCTCCTCCACGCAGGCCTCCGGCTTCCTCCAGGCGACCAGGCCCTCCGTCCCCCCGGGCCCGGAGCCGTCCTCCGAGGGGCGCCGCCCGCCCAGGGGCTGCAGGGCCGGGAGGGGGCTGCGGGCGGCGCGGGCAGGAGTCCGAAGGCCAGAGGAGGCAGGAGAGAAAAAAGGAGAGAAAGTATGTCATAGGCTGGGAGGGGCGGGGGAGGGAAATGCAAAACCCGACAGGAAATGAGACTAAAAAATGCGAAAGGTTAGAAAAAGATAAGGAAGAGAGGGAGGGGGCGGAGTCGGTGCTTCGGGAGGAGGGCGGCAAGGAGGTGGGGGTGGGAGTGGGGACAGGGCCGGGGGTGGGGGTGCTTGGGGACAGATCAGGGAGCCGGAGATGGGGAGACCAAGGCGAGTCTCAGGGCCCAGCCCACCTGCATCAGTCGGGGTGAGGCTGGACCAGTCTGGGCATCAGTCCCCACCCAGCCGTGACCCCCGGCAGAGTCCAGGTGGGGCCTTGGGAGGGGCTCTCTCCCTTCTAGGTTCTCCAGGGCACTGGCTCCCGAGATCTAGCTGAATTTCTGAAGAAATTCCAGAGCCTGTCACTGCAATGGGAGGGGAACGGGGTGCCCCACATCAAATCCTGCAGCCTCCTACACCCCAAGCCTCTTTCCTCCCTCAGCCCCTGTTCTGGAAGCTTCCTGGGCATGCCGGGTGGTCAGCACCCCTTCAAAGGCCTTCCTCACCCCGACAGCTTTGGGGTCCAAGACACCCACCATCAGCTTGTGCCCTCGATGTTCCGGTGAAGTATACTTGTAAGAGAAACTGTGATTTGGATGTCATCATTTTACTTTATTTTTATTTTTTGAGATGGAGTCTCGCTCTGTCACCCAGGCTGGAGTGCAGTGGCACAATCTCAGCTCACTGCAAGCTCCACCTCCTGGGTTCAAGCGATTCTCCCACCTCAGCCTCCCGAGTAGCTGGGACCACAGGCGTGCACCACCAAACTTGGCTAATTTTTGTATTTTTAGTAGAAATGGGGTTTCAACATGATGGCCAGGCTGGCCTCGAACTCCTGACCTCAAGTGATATGCCCACCTCAGCCTCCCAAAGTGCTGGGATTACAGGCATGAGCCTCTGCGCCCAGCTGGATGTCATCATTTTAATAATTTACCCCAAATGGCCATCGTCATGGGTGGGATGGTCCCAAGGGTTTACATGGATTGCAGACTCAAAAATCTGGATGAAAGAAAATGTGATACACACACACACGCCATGCAATACTACTCAGCCATAAAAAAGAACGAAATAAAGTATTTTGCAGCAACTTGGATGGAACTGGAGGCCATTATCCTAAGTGAAGTAACTCAGGAGTGGAAAACCAAATACTACATGTTCTTATTTAAAAGCGAGAGCTAAGCTATGGGTAGGCAAAGGCAGGCAGAGTGGGATCATGGACGTTGGAGACTCAGAAGGGGGAAGAATGGGAGGGGGTAGGGGATGAAAAATCACCTATTGGGTACAATGTATACTGTACAATGTGCACTATTCCAGTGACTGATGCACTAAAAGCCCAGACTTCACCACTATACGCTTCATCCACGTAACCCAAAACCGCAAGTACCCCTAAAGCTATTGAAATAAAAATCTGGATGAGCCATGCCTACCCAGAAAACCTTAGTTTCTATTCTCTTGCTGCAATTGCACTGCCTCCTGCACCGCCCGCCCCCCCGTTGCCCCAGCCTCTGCACCTCTCATTCTACTCTGCCTCAGTTTACCATTCTCCTCTCATCTATCTCCCTCTCTTTTGATCCCCTCATTATGGCTAGAGAATGTAGGCTTCTGTTTCATGTTTTAAGTGTTCTGAGAAAAGTTCCTCGAGCTGCTAGAAGGAAAGGCCTTCAATAAATTAAATTTTCAGCAAGACAATAAATAAAAAATGGGACATTGGTCCAAGCACGGAAGAATCTGAAATACCAGTGAGGAGTCTGTTTGCACTGATGCACATGTGCTAGGGATGAAGGAAGACACGAGTTTGCTTCCTGTAAAGCGTGTTCAGAAATGCAAGCAAGGGCCGTAAAGAAAGTTTCTAAAATGAACACCAAGACCCACAGCCTTCTAACACCAAGACCCACAGCCTTCTAGGCCTTGGTCCCTAAGGATACATCTCACTGCCTACCTGGGACTGGGGAAGCTGCTTGTACTCCATGAAACCTCTAAATCAGGCAGTGGCATTTTATTTATTTATTTATTTATTTGGGATGGAGTCTCACTCTGTTGCCCAGGCTGGAGTGCAGTGGCACGATCTCGGCTCACTGCAACCTCCACCTCCCGGGTTCAAGTGATCGTCCTGCCTCAGCCTCCTGAGTAGCTGGGATTACAGGCACGCACCACCACACCTGGTTAATTTTTGTATTTTTAGTAGAGATGGGGTTTTACCATGTTGGTCAGGCTGGTCTCTAACTCCTGACCTCATGATCCGCCCACCTCGGCCTCCCAAAGTGCTGGGATTACAAGTGTGAGCCCATGCGCCCGGCAAGCATTTTATTTTATTTCATTTTATTATTTTTGAAACAGGGTCTCGCTCTGCTGCCCAGGTTGGAGTACAGTGGCTTGATCAAGGCTCACTGCGGCTTTGACCTCCTTGGCTCAAGCCATCCTCCCGCCTTGGCCTCTCGAGAAGCTGGGACTACAAGTGCACGCCACCACGCCTGGCTAATTTTTTAATTTTCTGTAGAGATGAAGTCTCACTATGTTGCCCAGGCTGGTCTTGAACTCCTGACCTCAAGTGATCCTCTCGCTCAGGCCTCCCAAAGTGTCAGGATTACAGACATGAGCCACGGCATCTGGCCTGTCATTTTAAAGAAGAGCTCAGATTTCCCTCCTGCAAGATACGAAATGAGGGCAGTGCCTTAAAACAATGAAACATGTCTGTAGAGATATGTATGCAGTAAAGTACACAAATGCTGCAAAGTCCCATGAATTTTTGCAGCAACTTGGATGGAACTGGAGGCCATTATCCCAAGTGCGAGTGTAACCCACACCCGCACTTCATTCTATCAAAACATGGAACTTTATCTGCACCCCAGAAACCCCCTTGTGTCTCGTTTCAGTCACTCCGCCACCAAGGGTAGGCACATTCCTGCCTCTGACAGCATCAGTCAGTTTGCCTGTTTGTGAACTGCATGTAAACGGCAGCATGCATGCGTTCTTTCGGCAGCCTGGTCCCTTTCACTCAGCGTTATGTTTCTGACTTTTATAGATGGGACTGCATGCGGGTCTAGTTCATTAAGACAAGCCTGTTTCTCCTCCAATATCTTATTAAAAATTTTAAATGTTCAGAAAAGTTAGAAGAACCATCTAGTGAATCCGCATATACCCCACCACTTGATTCTACAACTAGCATTTTGCTATATTGGCTTTATCACAGATCTATCCATCTATCTCTCCATCAATCCTCTCGTCCTTTTTGTTTTTTTTGTTTTTTTTTTTTTTTTTGAGACAGAGTCTCACTCTGTCACCCAGGCTGGAGTACAGTGGCACGATCTCGGCTCACTGCAAGTTCCGCCTCCCGGGTTCATGCCATTCTCCTGCCTCAGCCTCCCAAGTAGCTGGGACTACAGGCGCCCGCCACCATGCCTGGCTAATTTTTTGTATTTTTAGTAGAGAGGAGGTTTCACCGTGTTAGCCAGCATGGTCTCGATCTCCTGACCTCGTGATCCACCCGCCTCGGCCTCCCAACCTCCTGTCCTTTTTTCTGGGTGTATTTCAAAGTAAGTTGCAGACATCATCAGTACACGTCACTGTTAAACACTCCATCATGCATGCCATTCACTAGAGAGGTTTGTTTAGGTGAAATTTACAAACAGATTTTAACCATATGATGCAGTGAAGCTGGGGATGGTGGCAGGTGCTTGTAGTCTCAGCTACTCCAGAGGCTGAGGTGGGAAGATTGCTTGAGCCCAAGAGTTCGAGGCTGCAGTGAGCTGTGATTGCACTACTGCACTCCAGCCTGGGGGACAGAGCAAGACCCCACCTCAAATACATACATACATACATACATACATACATAAATGATTTAAAAACTATATGATGCAATGAGTTTTGACAAATGTACATATTGTGTAAGCCAAGCCCTTATGAGGACATAGAACGGTGTGGTCCAATGTGACAGCCACTGGCCACATTTGACTGCTGAGCACTTTGACAGGAGGCTGGTGAGAATAGGAAGCGAGTTTTTAATTCTCTTCCATTATTATTATTATTATTAGAGAAGGAGTCTTACTCTGTAGCCCAGGCTGGAGTGCAGTGGTGCGATCTCGGCTCACTGCAACCTCCACCTCCCGGGTTCAAGCAATTCTCCTACCTCAGCCTCCTGAGTAGCTGGGATTATAGGCGCCTGCCACCACGCCCAGATGATTTTTGTATTTTTAGTAGAGACTGGGTTTCACCATGACGGCCAGGCTGTTCTTGAACTCCTGACCTCCAGTGATCCGCCTGCCTTGACTTCCCAAAGTGCTGGGATTACAGGCATGAGCCACTGCACCTGGCCAATTTTAATTATTTTTAATCTAAATCCAAAAACTAACACTTGATTTTGTTATCGAAAAGCTTTTAAGTACGTCTGGAGCAATTTGAGCATGTTCACCTACTTTTTCAACTGTAAAGTTAATGAAATCTAAATACAGGTCAAGTATCTCCGAGGAAAATGTGGTGTCTGCATTGACGTGCTGTACGTGTAAAAGAAACCAGATTTTGAAGACTTTGTGTGTAAAAAAGAATATGAAACGTCTCATTAATAATGTTTATATTGATTGCATGCTGAAATAATATTTTTGATAAGTTGGATTAAATGAAATATCTTATTAACATGCATTTCCCTGGTTTCTTTTTGGTATTGCCAGTAGGAAATTTAAAATTACACATTTTATTTCTATTGGGCGGTGCTGTATTATATAGAACACAACTATCACCCCACTGAGTTCCCTCATGCCTAGATACACCATTTTGTATCTTGATTCCTCTGTGATCCCAGAGAGAAGTTGATTCCAAAGTCCTTGAATCATAGACACAAAGATGGGAACAACCTGCTGGGCACGGTGGCTCAGGCCTGTGATCTCAGCACTTTGGGAGGCCAAGGCGGACAGATCACTTGAGATTAGGAGTTCGAGACCAGCTTGGGCAACATAGGGAGACCCTGACTCTACCAAAAATACAAGAAAATTAGGTGGACATGGCGGCGGGTGCCTGTAGTCCCAGCTGCTCGGGAGGCTGAGGTGGGAGGACTTCTTGAGCCCAGGAGTTCAGGGCTGCAGTGAACCATGATCACACCACTGCACTCCAGCCTGAGTGACACAGTGAGACCCTGTCTCTAAAAAAAAGATAGCAAACTAAACACAAAATTTACCTGCCAAGAACAGTGGGGGATAGGTTATAAAAAGGTGCCTGGAAAGAATGCAGGTAAGAGGTGAGAAGCATTTCTGGGAGGCAGACGGCAGTGGACAGGAGCCCCGGCTCAGAGCCTGGAGCAGGGAGTCAGCAGCAGAGCTGAGAGTGACTCTCCTACTGTAGAACCCCTCAGATCTGTCAGGATTGAACTGAAGGCAGTCTCAGAGGAAGGGCAGACACCGAGTGACTGATGGGAGCATCATCTGTAGGACTGCTGGGGCAGGTACGGCTGCCCCACTTCCCTCCCCCAACCCTCCACTGTGCCACTTTAGCTTCCCCCCTAGGCCGAAGCCAGAGAGATCTTTCCAGTGAAAACTCTTGGTTTGATGGGTACAGACATGCAGTTAAATAGAAGGTACAAGTTCTAATGCTGGACAGCAGAGTAGGGCGATTGTAGCTAGCAACAATGTATTGTATATTTCAAATTAGCTAGAAGAGAGGACTTGAATTATTCCCAACATGGAGAAATGATAAATACTCAAGGTGATAGATGCCCCAAATACCCTGACCTGATCATTCCACATTCTATGCATGTAACAAAAGGCTGAGCCCAGTGGCTCACGCCTATAATCCCAGCACTTTGGGAGGCCAAGGTGGGAGGATCGCTCGAGCCCAGGAGTTCAAGGCCAGCCTGGACAGCATAGCAAGACCCCATCTCTACAAAAAATTTAAAAAGTTAGCTGGGTGTGGTGGCATGTGCCTGTGGTTCCAGCTACTCAGGAGGCTGAGGTGGGAGGATCGCTTGAGCCCAGGAGCTCAAGGCCAGCCTGGAAAGCATAGCAAGACCCCATCTCTTCAAAGAAAAAAAAAATTAGCTGGGTGTGGTGGCACGCACCTGTGGTTCCAGCTACCCAGGAGGCTGAAGTGGGAGGATCGCTTGATCCCAGGCGTTCAAGGCCAGCCTGGACAGCATAGCAAGACCTCATCTCTTCAAAAAAAAAAAATTAGCTGGGTATGGTGGCACGCACCTGTGGTTCCAGCTACTTAGGAGGCTGATGGGGGTGATCACTTGAGTGCAGGAAGTTGAGGCTGCAGTGAGTTGTGATCACACCATTGCACTCCAGCCTAGGCAACAAGAATGAGATCCTGTCTCAAAAAAAATCACACACATACCATAAATATATAAAATATTATGTATCAATTTTTGAAAAGCTGCTCAGAGGGGCAAATGCTCTTAGAATGGGGGCATGGGCCCCAAAAGCCCTTCCTCATGTCATAACAGGGGGGCGGCTGGGGTAGCCTCTCCCTGCCTGGGTTCCCAAAAGCAGGGCTTCTGGAACCATCTGCAGCGAAAGACACCCCCAACCCCTCCTGCCTTTAAAAAAAATTCTAATCTGTTACGGCCTGATACTTTTGTGAAATATAATAAAAATTAATTACTAGAAAATAGAATTTTAAAAAAGACACTCAAGACACAAGCTGGCCGATCATGCTTGGTTGTCGTGTCAATGTCAAAACTGCTATAAAAGTTTCTAAATGCTTAGTCTTAGTTTCGGCTCTTATCTTGGTGCGGACCGGTGCACTGAAGGACACAGGTCCCCAGACCAGATTTCTCAGAGCATAGCCCTGGAGTCAAGGCTGCCTGTTGACACAGTATTCCTGCCCCCCGTTATCCCAGCTGGCCTCTCCTCCATACAGAGGTTGGAAAAGACAAAGGAAACTCCACACGAGTCAACACGGACCTTCCCAAACATGGACAGAGATCAGCAGCTTGAAAGGGTGGGACTTAGATGAACAAATTGGACAATCATCTCCCAAGGGCAGGAAGGGAAGAAACAATGATGAGAAGGGAATGAAACATAATGATCCAAAAAGATCCTCCAATGAGAATCCGCAGAGAGATTCGAGCAGAGATCACATCCATCAAATAAGAACAAATTACTATGAAACAGGCTGCCTGAATAAAGGAACAGGTCATGGAAATTAAAAATAGGGTTGTTCGAATAATAAAATAAAATTTAACATACAGTAGAAGGGCTGGAAGAAGATGTCTGTGAGGTCTATCTGCTGGGCTGGAAAGCGAGAACTAAATAAAACCCAAAAAGAAAGAAGAAGTTTGAGAGAAAAGTTGAGATCTAAATGATGAATTCAGAAAGACCAATGTCTACTTAGTTCCAGCAGGAAGAGAGAAGGTGGAGGGAGGAATTAATCATGAGATAACGATAATATTTGTCCGAGCTGAAGAATGACATGATTCTTCATGAGGAGAGAGACCACGGAGGGCCAAGTAGGATGAATGAAAAAGATCTGTACCTAGATATAGCCTCATGACATTTCAGGAAAGAAAAAAAAAAAGATGGATAATGAGAAGGCTCTAAAATCTTTTAGAGAGAAAAATCATGCACACTGATGCCAAGTTCCCAGTGGGATTCAGAATTCTCATCAGCAACATTGGCTGCTAAAAGACAAGGAAGTCATGCATCAGTGTTCTCAGGGACATTTAATTTAAACTTAGAGTTCTGATTTCAACCAAATCATCAATTAAGTGTGAGAGCAAAATAAACATTTTCCTCAACATGCAGGGAACTTTGGAAATTTAATTCCTAAGCACTCCTCAAGAAAAAAGTTCCTTGAGAATGGATGACAATAAAATGAAAAAGAAATCTAGGGGCCAAGTGTGGTGGCTCACACCTATAATCCCAGCACTTTGGGAAGCTGAGGCAAGAGGACCAATTGCTTGAGGCCAGGAGTTCAAGAGGAGCCTGGGAAACATAGCAAGACCCCATCTCTAAAACCAAACAAACAAACACCTAGAAATTGGCTGTGTACACACCTATGGTCCTAGCTACTCATGAGGCTGAGGTGTGAGGATTCCTTGAGCCCTGGATTTGGAGGCTGCTGTGAGCCATGATTGAACCACTGCACTCCAGCCTGAATAACAGAGCAAGGTCTCAAAAAAAAATCTAGGAAAAAGGAACTCAGAAAGACTGAAATAAATAAGTGAAAATAATTCTTTTAAATATAAATAAATAGGACAATTTAAAAAATAACAATTGTGCAAGAGACCTACAAAAATGTCAGTATACAAGGAGACTTCAAAAAATTCATTGAGAAATGAAATTAAAATATAAAAATAAAAAATATAAATGTTATTTCCCAACATAAGCTCCATCAAGGTCAACACTTTGGAAAATTATGATATCACCCATTGAGTTCATGCCTAAAGAACTGAGGGTCCTTGGAATTTCATCATGTCAATGCAGTCTTTTTCGCATTTGTAACTGAAGGAGAATGGGTGCCCTTTGCAGATTTTTTAAGATTAGGAAACAAAGAGAAGTCAGAAGGAGTCAAATCAGGACTGTACTGTAGATGCCTGATGATGTCCCACTGAAACTCTCACAAAATTGCCCTTCTTTGATGAAAGGAATGAGCAGGAGCATTGCCATGGAGGAGAAGGACTGTCTGATGAAGTTTTCCCTAGCGTATTTCTGCTAAAGTTCTGGCAAACCTTCTCAAAATACTCTCACAATAAGCAGATATTATTGTACTTTGGCCATCCAGAAATAGAACAAGCAACATGCCTTGAGCATCCCCTAAAATTCTTGCCATGGCCTTTGCTCTTGACTGCTTCACTCTTGCTTTGCTTTGACTGGACTCCTTCTACCTCTTGGTAGCCATTACTTTGATTGTGCCTTGTCTTCAGGATGGTACCAGTGAAGCCATGTTTCATCTCTTGCTACAATTCTTTGAAGACATGCTTCAGGATCTTGATCCCACTTGTTTAAAATTTCCACTGAAAGCTCTGCTCTTTTCTGTAGCTGATGTAGGTGCAATGGTTTTGGCACTCAACAAGTGGAAAATTTGATCAATTTTAATTTTTCAGCCAGAATGGTGTGAGCTGAACCAGTTGAGATGTCCGTGGTGTTGGCCCTTATTTCTGCTGTTAATCATCAGTCTTTTTCAACTAGGGTGTGAACAAGATGAGTTTCTTTCTCACGACTTGATGTTGGGGGGGGGGGGGGGCTTCATCTTCAACATTGTTTTGTCCCTTCTAAAAAAGAGTTGTCCATTTCTAAACTGCTAGTTTCTTTGGGGGCACTGTCCCCATAAACTTTGCCAAGCATCAATGATTTCGCCATTCTCCCACTCGAGTTTCACCATAATTTTGATGTTGCTTCTTGCTTCAATTTTAGCAGAATTCATGTTACTCCAATAGGGACTTTTTATAAACTGATTCCTTAGCCTTCTTAGTGCTCCAAACTGGATCCTTTTCAGACATGTTATAACCAGTTCACATGCGTTTATTTTGGTGCCAAAAAAAATTTAAATCTATGCATGGTTTTTTGAAAATATGCGTTTTCCATGAACTTTTTGAAATCTCTTCCAATATCAGAGCTTTTAGTAAAGACCCTGGCTAGCTAGTGGAAAGATCTTAGCTGCTAAAAGAACTGAAAAGAATTGTTGAAGTACCGGATGGGACTAATTTTTAAGCCAGATCCATCTGGAAGTCTTATTTGATCAAAAATGGTCATTTCTAAGGAGCTCAACTAGGAAGGGCGTGAGCAAGGACTATATGGGTGCGCTTAATTTTCAGTGTGTGCCCCTTTATTCTGACAAATGTCTATTTCCACAACCGTGCAATTCTTTCATAATAAAAATAAAATCATTTACACAAGAAGCGTGTGCATGTGCATATGTGTGTGTGTGTCTGTGCATTTGTGTGCACGCATATGTGTGTGCATGCATGTGTGTGTGTGCATATGTGTGTGTACACTACTGAATATTAAATACCAGGGCAGAGCTGATCAGTTCTCTTACCTCCCTGCATTCAAGCAGTCAAGTGATCGTAGCATGGATCTGTGGTGTGGTCACAGGTCACATACTCAAATCCTTCTTGTGTTTAGAGAAAACCCCTCTGTTATCTGGAAAGCATCTTGTCTTTCTTCTGCGCCCCTCCTCCATGATAGTAGGAAAAGTAAAACTTTTAGCTCTCTCTGGCTTAAAATTTAGCCCAATCCAGTAATTGATTAGTCCTTTTAGATGGTACTCACTCTTTCTGGATTGACATGTTGAGTCTCTCATGCAGCCGTCCCCTCCCTCAGCTTCCCCCTCTCGGATGGTTCCTGAGTGTGCAGGAGGAGAGTGGCTCATAGGGGCCTGGAAGGTCCCAGAGGACGTCTTGGGGTCCCAAGCCTCTGTCCTCTGTTTCTCAGTTCTCTAAGACAATGCCCCTTCCTTGGCTGATTGTGCTGGCCTTGCTGGAATTCATGCTGATTTCCAGCTTGGGTATAACACACAGTCTGCTTTCTCCCAGCTCGGCTGAGTGTCTGTCATATTCCTATCCAGCCTGGAAGTCCACCTGCCGCCTCTGCAAAGGGGTCACTTTGCAGTATCTCAGTCACTCACCTAACTGTCACTGCACCGGGAACTTAAAAGCAGCTTGGGAAAGCCCATGCTTCAGGCCTCTCTGCAGGACATGGAGTGGCACTCGGTTTTTGCAAGGGCAGCCCAAGATGCAGGTCTGGCCCTGCCCCACTATCCCCTCCCTGTCTGCTCTGTGCAGGAGGAGGCCAGTACACCCACCTCTCCCCCTGGGGAAGCTGAGAAAGAAAAGTGATATCTGCCCCTAGTGCATGCATCCGTGTGTGGACAGACATGTGCACGCTCTTTTTCCATCTGAACAGAGACAACTGGACTAGCCCCTGAGATGGGGATTCTCATGTGAGTGGTTAATTGAGGGGTGCTCTCAGGAGCAGGAAAGTGAGAGGAGGGGAAGAGCAGAGAGGGAGAGCTGGATGGGGAGGTGATGCCAGCTGGTGTTGAGACTTGACCCCTTCTCCCGGGAGCTCTGGAGCATGAATGGCCTGTTGGGCTGATGGGCTCCACCATCCGTCAGTCACTGGTTGCAGGCTGCCTGGAGGTGGTGTGTGTAACATGTCTTCTCTCAAAACAGGGTCACTTTGAGCTGAGATCATCTTAGAAACAGGGAGGGCAGAGGCTGGGCGCGGTGGCTCACGCCTGTAATCTCAGCACTTTGGGAGGCCGAGGCGGGCGGATCACAAGGTCAGAGCTCAAGACCATCCTGGCTAACACGGTGAAACCCCGTCTCTACTAAAAATACAAAAAATTAGCCGGGCGTGGTGGCGGGCGCCTGTAGTCCCAGCTATTTGGAAGGCTGAGGCAGGAGAATGGCGTGAACCTGGGAGGTGGAATTTGCAGTGAGCCGAGATCGCGCCACTGCACTCCAGCCTGGGTGACAGAGCGAGACTCCATCTCAAAAAAACAAAAACAAACAAACAAAACAACAACAACAACAAAAAAAAAACAGGGAGGGCAGCAGCAGGGGTCCATGCTGCAGCTGCAGGATCAGATGTGGTTCGTTAAATCAGTTCAATTTTTGAAACTGTCAGCTTGGCTTGCCTCAATGCCCCTTCCTCACTACTGTCCCCCATACGCCTCCGTATGTCTCCCAGTGCTCTCCATCTTCTGTGGTTCTTCCCCTTACAAACGTTAGCCATTTATAGTAGCTTAAGAGTTGTCTGCATCCCCCCACAAGAGATTAAAAAAATGGGGAGAACAGAGAGGCTGAGGTCGTACCTTGGTCTCAACGCTGTGTTAGGAGCCATTGCTGGATTGTATGGAGAGTGAAATGGAATGAGAGAGGGAACCCAGGGGAGGTTGTGGTTCTGTCTCTTAAATGACCCCTCCTTTGCTAGGGCAGTCCCCCTTCGTTCCCTCGCCTCCAGAGAGCAATCTCAGCCAGTGGCAGCTGCCTGTGACTCTGGGAAAATCATTCCTTATCAGTGAAACAGTCACACGCTTGGGACAGCAAGAAAGCATTTCACAAACTATTGATCTGAGAATTAATATATTGCTTTTTTCCCAGATGCCACACCTCACTGCCGTGGTATATATTAATACCCCACAAAATAGCATCAAGAGCAAAACAGAACCCTATAGGCCTTTAATTATGTTTTACGTACTTTATACTTCTACGTGGTTATTGCTCTCTGCCTCTGCAAGCTCATGCCTCTTAATTTCAGATTGTTTCCAAGCCATCTCCCTATGCAGAGATGATTCCAGAAAGGCATCAATGTGTCCACATTACCCCACACTGATAAAAAATAACCCACTGAGAGGTCCATTTACTTTCCTGACTGCTGAACACCTTCAATGACCCCTGACTTGTTGGCTGTTTTTTCTTAAAAAAAATTCTTGCAGAAAGCATGGCTCATATCCAGGAGGAAAATACTTTCCATCTGTAGGCTGGTAATACACATGCAACAGTTTTCAATTGCTTGGGCTATGAAATATGATGATAGCCATCTATATATTTCACGGGGGGAAAGGATACCTTGAAATTCACTCCACTACCGTGCTGGCGTGGAGGCATTTCTGCACGAAATGTGCAAAACGATTGTATGCTCATGAGAATACCACGACTAAAATGAACTCAGGGCTTTCTGATCTAAGCCTTGAGGACAGCTCCAGGTGGTCCTATAGAGGCTCTGTTTTCTGCGTGAGGCAGATAAATGTTGGAGAAATGTGGCAACATCCGATTCACCGCTCATGGCTGTGTACTGTCTGCTTTTCCTTTCCAAGGGGAGAGGTGACAGTCCCTGAAACTTGACCACCATTTTCTTCCCCCGTTAATCAACATTAGGGTAATTGGCACGCTACATCCATTTACAGTGTGGCGTGTGTGCTTGCGGCTCTCTATAAATAATGAAAAAATCACAGTAATGACCAGAAATGTGTGTGAGGCGTCGCGGCGAGCGTGTAATGGATGCTTTGTTTGTCTTCGGGGACTGTATTACCAGCATGTAACTGATTAGGCTTTAAAACGCTCTAGGTTACCTGAGGCCCGGAAGGTGCTTCATCACCTCTGAGTCTGTTCTCCTCTGCCGGGAACTTAACAGAGGTCCAATATTTGCTTTTGGTTCCCCCTGTTTAAAGACGGAAAATATTTAACCCTGCTCGTCCATCACCATGCCTGCCGATTGCTTTTTCTCCTCCCTTTGCTTTTAGAGGAAGAAACTGGAAACACTCAGGCCGTATAAACAGCTTTGAGTTATGTCTGTTTTTTAGCACACAATGTTTGAGTACGCAAGTCAGGGCTCATTAAAAACACGAATGTTGTAGCTTATACAATTGGCCTCTTTAAACACAGTCGTCCACACACCAGTGGTTCTCGAACTGTTTTATAGTAGTCTGGGTTTTTTTTATGAGGCATCTCTCAGTATCTACGTGCATAACACACTCCAGCGTATTTCCCTAAGGTTCTGCTGGGCACAGCGGTACTCACACCATCACTCCAGCCAAAGAAGAAGTAAACATCCCGTGATTAAAGTGAGAACCAACTGTCACTTTATCAATGTGGACACCAGCGTGTGACAGTTACGTTGCAACTATTTAGAAGAATTTCATGAACCTCTGAGCTTGCACACACTTATGCTGTTTAACTTTAGCCTTGGCATATTTTGCACCCTGTAAAATCAAATGCATTGTTAGCTGCTTGGACCCAAACCGTGCATAGCATGTTTGAAAATCGACATGTTTCCAACCTTTGATTTTCTCAATCAAAGAATTGTGTCTATTTGGAATGTGTCTGCTAAAATGGCTGAGTTCAGAGTATAAGAACACAGAGAGAAATAGCAGGGCTGCGAGGAAAGGGTTAGCCGAGGGAGGAAAACAGGAGGAAGGGAAACTTTACAAGGTCAGACAGGGAGCGCTGGAGAAAGAAAAGAATGATTAGAAGTGAGAGGAACGGCCACGCGCGGTGGCTCACGCCTGTAATCCTAGCACTTTGGGAGGCCGAGGCAGGCAGATCACCTGACGCCAGGAGTTCCAGACCAGCCCGGCCAACGTGGTGAAACCCCGTCTCTACTAAAAATGCAAAAAATTTAGCCAGGCGTGGGGTCGCGCTTCTGTAATTCCAGCTACTCAGGAGGCTGAGACATGAGAATCACTTGAGCCCGGGAGGTGGAGGTTGCAGTGAGCCGACATGATGCCACTGTATTCCAGCCTGGGTGACAGACTCCGTCTCAAATAAATAAATAAATAAATAAATAAAAAGAAAGAACAGAAGTGAGAGGTAGAACAAATCACTCTGATCAGAGAGAAGCCAATGCTGGTGACATCAATAAGGTTCAGTAATATTCAGCACGAAATACAAGAGGCAAATACACTGAAAAAATAGGCAAACCATCATGGAGCCGGAAGGCTTTCATTTGGCAAACAGTCCAAGACCCCCATCCTGTGCACTGCCAATGGGGGGGCACACACAGAGCAAAATTAAAACAAGAGCAGCCAAACACACCCTCTCTCCCTCTCTCTCTCTCTTTCACACACACACACACACACACACACACCCCGCTTTGGTTTTCAGCACCAGTTTTTGTATCAGGGGATGCTGAGATGAAATTACTGTGTGGAAATGGCCCATACAATTTTAAAGCACTTGACTAGATAAATGAATGATATCAATATTTTATTAATAACTCTTAAGATCACTGGGCCCGCATACATGACTGTGGATGCAGCTAGTTCCTTTAAAGTGTGGTGTTCTACTCCTTCATGACCTGGCCTGTCCCAGTAACACCACTGCATATTTGAGCCACGGAACAGAGCATTCTGAACAACTTTCTACGTATTTCAAAATTATATTTAGCAATAATTATATCAATCTGTAATAATCATTACTTTAATCTGTTCTATGGCTTTCAATGATCAGTTATAAAAAGAATGGATTTTTCAATTTTATTTTATTTAATTAATTCATTTAGAGACAGGGTCTTGCTCTGTTGCCCAGGCTAGAGTGCAGTGGTGCAATCATGGCTCACTGCAGCCTCAACCTCCTGGGCTCAAGCAATCCTCCTGCCTTAGCCTCTGGAGTTGCGAGTACTACAGGGGAGTGGCACCATACCCAGCTAATTTTTTTGTTTTTATGGAGCCGAGGTCTCGCAATCTTGCCTAGGTTGGTCTTGAACTCCTGAGCTTAAGTGATCCTCTTGCCTCCGTCTCCCAAAGCGCTGGGATGACAGGCAGGCGCCACTGTACCCGGCTGATTTTTCAGTTTTAAAGGTGTTATGCAAATTCAGGAAAAGATTCTGGGTAAATACTGAAATGTGTACCTACAACAAAAATATGGCAATTTGGGATTCACCGTCTGTTTCAGTGTTTTAAACGTTAAACATAAACTACAAGTGATCACAAAAATGGCAGCAATTAAGTAACTCAAGCTCTGTTTTGTTGTCCTTCTCACTGTTATTTTATTCTCGTTCATTTGGAATCTACCTTTTAAGCACAGGAATCTGTAGGACCGTAGGGGTTCGAGACAAGAATCTGCCAGAAATGAACCCAAACAATCTTGAAACTTTAGGAATCTACACTTTTATTTTCAGTAGCTTTATTGAGATATCATTTACATACCATAATGTTCACCGATTTAAAGTGTGCAATTCAGGCCAGGCACAGTGGCACCGAGTAGTTCAAGCTACTTGGGAGGCTGAGGCGGGAAGACGGCTTGAGTCTAGGAGGTGGAGGCTGCAGTGAGCCATGATTGTGCCACTGCACTCCAGCCTGGGTGACACAGTGAGACATTGTCTTAAAAACAGAACAAAGCAAGGTTCAGTTCAATGGTTTTTAGTATATCTACAGAATTGGTATCACTCCAGCCAAGGAAGGAGTAAACATCCTATGATTAAAGTGAAACCCACCCGTCACATTTTTTCTTTTTTTGGTTTGGGGGACACAGTCTCACTCTGTTGCCCAAGCTGGAGTGCACTGGTGTGATCTCGGCTCACTGCAACCTCTGCATCCCAGGTTCAAGGGATTTTCCTGCCTCAGCCTTCCAAGTAGCTGGGATTACAGGCACCCACCACCACACCTGGCTAATTTTTGTATTTTTAGTAGAGATGGGGTTTCACCATGTTGGCCAGGCTGGTCTCGAACTCCTGACCTCAGGTGATCCGCCTGCCTCGGCCTCCCAAAGTGCTGGGATTACAGGCGTGAGCCACCGCATCCGGCCACACCTGTCACTTTATCGATGTGGAGACTGACGTGTGACAGTTACACTGCAACTATTTAGAAGAATTACATGAATCTCTGAGAGTGCACACAATTATGCTTTTCAACTTTAGACTTAGAATATTTTGTGCCCTGTTGTCTAATTTTAGAACTTTTTCTTCCTCCCCCAAACAAACCTCGTACGCATTAGCAGTCATTCTCCTTTCTCCACCCCCTCTCCCCAAATCTCCTCCGTCACCCCTCCCTACCCCTAGCCAACAATCACTCTTCTCTTTATTTCTATGGAGTTACCTGTTCCGGGAATTTTCTATAAATGGAATCATACAGTAGTCAGACTTTTGTGTCTGGCTTCTTTCACTTAGCGTCATGTTTTCAGAGTTCTCCCACGTGGTAGCAGGTATCAGTATTTCTTTCCTTTTGTTGCCAAAAATTATTTGTTTCTAGAAATAGATGACAAGTTATTTATCTGTTTATCGGCTGATGAACTTATATTGTTTCTACTTGTCGGCTGTTGTGAATAACACTATGAACACCGATGTGCAGGCTTTGTGTTAAGAGATGTTTTCATTTCTCTTGGGTAGATACCTAAGAGTGGAATTGCTGGGTCATATGTATAACTGCGCATTTAACATTCTCAGGAGCTGCTAGAGTGTTTTCCAAAGCAGCTGCACCATTTTACATCCACTCCAACAGTGTTCAAGCATTCTAATTTCCCCAATACTTGTTACTCTTTTCTTTATGGTAGTCATTTAAATGGTGTATGGTGGCATCTCATTGTGGTTTTGACTTGCATTTGTCTAATGACTAATGATGTTGAGAACCTTTTCTTTATTTACTGGCCATTTGTGAATCTTCTTTAGAGAAACGTCTGTTCAAATCCTTGGCTGATTTAAAAAATGGGATTGTCTTTTTATTATTGAGTTAGAAGTGTTCTTTATATATTCTGGCTACAAGTCCCATATCAGATTTGTGATTTGCACATGTTTTCCCCCACTCTGTGGGCTTTTTCACTTTCTAGATGGTATTGTTTGTAACACAGAAATTTTAATTTAATTGCTTATGCATTTGGTGAAATAGCTAAGAAATTATTGGCAAACCCAAGGTCACAAATATTTATTCCCATGTTTTCTTCTGAGACTTTTACAGTTTTAACCTTTACGTTTAGGTCTATGATCAACTTTTTTTTTTTTTTTTTTTGTGTGTGTGTGTGTGTGTGTGTGTGTGTGTGTGTGAGAGACATAGTCTCACTCTTTGGCTCAGGCTGGAGTGCAGTGGTATGATCTCAGCTCACTGCAACCTCTACCTCCCGAGTTCAAGCGATTCTCCCACCTTGGCCTCCTGAGTAGCTGGAATTACAGGTGTCCACCACCATGCCTGGCTAATGGGGTTTCACCATGTTGGCCAGGCTGGTCTTGAACTCCTGACCTCAAGCGATCCACCCACCTCAGCCTCCCAAAGTGCTGGGATTACAGGCGTGAGCCACTTCACCTGGCTGCCATGATGCTCTTTGATGGAATATTTATGTATGGTGTGAGGTAGAGATCCAAATTCATTCTTTTGCATGTAGATATCCGTGAGTCCATCATCCATCCATTATCATCCATCACCATAATAGAAACGATTCTCTCCTCATTGAAGTGTCTTGACACGCTTGTCAAAAATCCATTATGTTTGGACTCTCAGTTTTATTCAATTTTTCTCTATGTCTATCCTTATGCTAGTACCACACTATCTTGATTACTGTCATCTTGTAGTAAGTTTTGAAATTAGGAGCTGTGAGTCCTTCAACTTTGTTCTTCATTTTCAAGACTGTCTTGAATATTCTGGGGCCCTTGAATTTCCATATGAATTTTAGGATAAGCTTGTTCAACTTCTGCAAAGAAAAAAAAAACAGCTGGGATTTTGATAGGAAATTGTGTTGAACCTGTAGATCAACTTGAGGAGTATGAACGTGGGTTGTCTTCCTATTTATTTAGATTACCTTTAATTGCTTTTGACAATGTGTTGTAGTTTTCAGTATACAAGTCTTATACTTCTTAGTTATCCCTAAGTATCCTATTCTTTTTGATGCTATTGTACATGAATTGTTTTCTTAATTTTATTTTTGAATGGTTTATTGTTATCATCTAGAAACACAATTGATTTTTGCATATTGATTTTGTATCCTTCAACTTTGCAGAACTCATATTTAGTTTCAATAGTTTTAGTGGGTTCCTTGAGATTTTCTACAAAATCATGTTATCTGAGAATAAGGATTGTTTTACTTCTTCTTTTCCAATCTGGAAGTCTTTCATTTCTTTTTCTTTCCTAACTGCCCTGGCTAGAGGCTCCAGCAGTGGCCAGAGTGGATGACCTTGTCTTGTTGCCACGGGAACTCACTCTTGGGGAGCAGCTGAGTTGGGGGGATGTTGGGAGCCGACTGCAGGAACGGGAGTTCTTGGAATTAACTCCCAGGTAGTATACAATATGTATTAAAGCTTGAGTAATAAAAACTGTGCTAATCCAGAGTGCACATAGCTATTATTAAAACCCAACAGTCACCACAGCAATTGTTTAGAACTTAGCCCGAACAAAGATTTTTTTCTTTTTCGATGAGGAATAGCTGATCATGGGCATTGTGTAGAATTGCTGGTGCATGGTGATAATAGAAACAGTCTAACTCTTCATTGGTTTTATTGTTAATTTTAAATTCTCTACAGACAATGGACCCTTTCCTGCAGGAGCCTGGAGTAGGTGGCTCCCAGTGTGCTCCACCCTTGGGGTGCCAATGCCCACCCCACTTTTCTGACACCCTCTGAAGCCTACTCAGACACAAATCTTTCTCTGATGTGCACACCAGTTCAGCCATGAGCATGGCCTGGGTCTTATCCATTCCTGCCTCCCTTCCGACACTGTGCACACGTGCTTCAGAGTGGAATTGAGACGGCCTGGGCCCCATTGATTGGCACTCTCTGCTCTACCCCAGCACTGGTCTTTGGGGCCCATGTGCAGACAGCCCAGGATGGCAATCACAGGGCTGCAGTGTCTCAGTCCAAAAACCTTTAGGCAGAGCAAACACAAGCTAGAAGGACCCAGTCTGAGTCACTCAGTTCCACTGTGAGTGCATCGTGGGACCCGGGGCCCATGGTGCAGCTCTTTCAGTTTCTCTTCTGTGAAATGAGGACAGTGGTGCAGTCTCAACCTGTTGCCACCACCCAGCCTCCTCCCCTTTCTCCTCCACCTCCTTCCCTGCCCACCTCAGAGTGGAAAGTTTTGTTAAGGTGGCTGTATTATTGAGTCTTCGGGAGGAGTGAGGTGTCAGGAATGAAAAGGGGGAGAAACAGCCTGCTTACATCATTCCTACCCCCTAGCCCCCTAGGGGCTCACATTCTTCTTCTTCTCTTCTTCTTCTTCCTCCTCCTCCTCTTCCTTCTTCCTTCTTTCTTCTGCTTCTCCTCTTCTTCTTCTTCCTCTTCCTCCTCCTCCTCTTCTTCCTTTTATTCCTCCTACTCCTCCTCGTTCGTCTTCTCCTCCTCCTCTTCCTTCTTCTTCTTCTTCTTCTCCTCCTCCTTCTCCTTCTTCTTCTCCTTCTCCCCCTTCTCCTTCTTCTTTCTTCTTCTTTCTTTGTTTTTTAGAGGCAGGGTCTTGCTCTGCCGCCTAGACTGGAGTGCAGGGGTGTGATCCTAGCTTACTGCAGCCTTGAACTCCTGGGCTCAAGCAATCCTCCTGCCTCAGCCTCCCCAGCAGTGGGAATACAGGTGCACACTACCACGCCCAGATAATTTTTAAATTTTCATTTTTGTGGAGATGAAGTCTTGCTACATTGCCCAAGCTGGTTTCAAATTCCTGGGCTCAGGCGATCCTCCTGCCACGGGCTTCCAAAGTGCTGGGATTACAGGCATGAGCCACTCCGCCTGGTTGGGACTCACATTCTTGAGCCTGTGACATACATATTTTAAAATGTGTTTTATTTTTTACATGGATTAGGGGAAAGTGGAGAAGATATGGCTTTCTTACATAAGCCCACTAACTGAGATCAGCGATTTCTAGAAAAAGAGACAGCGAATTGTTTTGAATGACGAAGTGCGTGCCCCTGAGGGAGCTTTAAAGGAGATGAAGCTGCCAGGCTCTACCCAAGTGCCCCCGTGCTTATCACTTCTGGGTGCAAAGGCCCCACTTGCACCAGCTGTAACCACCTGGGACTTTCTGCCTGAAGGTGTTCTCTGTTTTATATGAGTGGCCCTAGGAGCAGCTCTCAGCCCATAACTGGTGGAGTTGCAGGATAAATAACCCAGTTATCTCAACTCTCTGGTAGGGTAACTCCAAGGTATGTTCTGTCCTGTCTCCTGGAGGCTCCTAGCAGGACTGCATTCCAGTTGCCTATCATGGGGACTGGATCCAGGATGAACATGTTATCTGTTGCAGGCAAAGGGAAGAGGTCTGAGAGAGGATCTCTTGGGAATCCCAGGAGGCAGGGACACCTTTTTTTTTTTTTTAAGAATTTTTTTTTTCAGAGATGAGGTCTTGGTATTTTGTCCAGGCTGGTCTCAAACTCCTGGACTCAAGCACTCCTCCAGTCTCAGCCTCTCCAGTAGCTAGGACTATAGGCTCACACCACCATGCCTGACTAATTTTACTTAATGTTATTTTATTTTTTGTAGAGATGGGGGTCTCACTATGTTGCCCAGGCTGGTCTCAAACTCCTGGGCTCAAGCAATCCTCCTGCCTCAGCCTCCCAGAACGCTAGGATTACAGGCATGAGCCACTGCACTTGGCCTTCAGCTCGGTTTTTTAAAGGTCCTTGCAATTCTTAACATGGGACAACATGCCAAAAATAGTTACAATGCTGCATATATTTAAAGTATTTTCCTGAAATAATTTACTCTTTTAACACACAATGCAATATAATTGTGCTTTTCACAAGTTGATTAGAGGATATATTTTTTAAATCCTTTGATTCATTTTGCAGGATGGGTGGCATGGGCCGATATGGAGGCATCACCTATAGTTGCATGAAGAAAGTTGTCTCCTTTTAAAATTGTCAGAGTAGCTCTGTGACCATGTGTATGACCTCATTTGGAGATAATGTCATAAAGCCATGCGGGAAACCCTTTGGGAATGTAGGGTCTGGGTCAAATGGCCTTGCATTGAGAAACCAGGAAATTCACTTTTCAGCTCTTTTCCATATCTGTAAAGTGGGAATTACAGTCCCTATCTCACTGGTTTGCTGTGAGAAGTCAATGAAACAATATTGGTAAAATGCTTAACTCAGAACCTGGCAATGGGGGTGGTGTGTGTGTGTGTGTGTGTGTGTGTGTGTGTGTGTGTGTGTGTGCCCTGTTTCCTCCCCGCCCCGACACTTGCCTTTGAGATTAGAGGAGCTTGTTGTGTGGCTTCTGTAAAGTTCCCAGACTCTGGTGAGTGTCACATCAGTGTCTGATGAAAGGCAGCTTGTAAATATAAAATGCTGCTTTGATTGCAATAAAGGTTCATGCACAAAGTAAGAGAAATAACAGGAACAAAAATAAAGAAAAGAAAAAAGTTCAGGCTAGGTCAACAAGTCCACGTTTCCTACCTGAACTGTGGGCTCTGGGATGGGTTGTTGGGGACAGACCTTGAAGCAGAGAGGACCACAGAGCCAGGACCAGGGCCACAGGGCTTGAGGAATTGTCTATTCCTGCTGAGGGTGGGGAGTTCAGGAGAGCAACGATTTCTGTTCCTTGTTGATGACCTTGGCCAACTCTTCGACTCCTCAGGCTGCTCTTTTTCCCGCCCCCAGGTGGCGCTCTTTCCTCCTTCCTTCCCACCCCTCCATTGGTGACTTCATCCACCATCGTGGTGCAGCCCTAGCTTCTATCTGGACAACGCCCACCTTTCCCTCCCATACCGATCTCAGTGACGTCTCCATGAAGCCCTTCTAAGTTTCACCCATGCAGAGGTGGAAATACATGATTGCACTTGTTATTTAAGGAGGTTTCCTGTGTGCCCCCGCTGTGCTGAGGCCTCGATATAGAATCTCAGTTATTCCTCAGGAAATCTTCGCATGCAAGTGGTTTATTTGGGAAAGGATCCCAGGAAACACTGGCAGGAGAGATGGGAAGTGAGACGGGAAGGGAAGGCGGCCAGCAAAGGGGGCATGGATGGATGAGCTGGTCATAGAATGTTTGAAGAGACATGGCTTAGGAAGGAAATTCATTTGAATTTTTTTAACTTTGGACCTGTGCTTTCAAATGTCTTCTCCCTTGCCTGGCACAGTGGCTCATGCCTGTAACCCAGCATTTTGGAAGGCCGTGCAGGAGGATTAATTAAGGCCAGGAGTTTGAGACTAGCCTGGGCAACATAGTGAGACCTCGTCTCTATAAAAAAATCAAAAATATTAGTGGGGCATGATGGTGTAGACCTGTAGTCCCAGCTAGTTGGGAGGCTGAGGAGGGAGAATTGCTTGAGCACAGGAGTTTGAGGCTGCAGTGAGCTATGATTGTGCCACTGTACTGCAGCCTGGGTGACAGCGCAAGACCCTTTCTAAAAAAAGAAAGAGAGAGAGAGAAGGGAGAGAGAAAAGAAGGAAGAAAGGAAGGAAGGAAGGAGAAGAAAGAAGAAAGAAAAAAAGAAAGAAGAAAGAAAAAGAAAGAAAGATGGATGAAAGAAAGAAAAAGAAAGAAAGAAAGAGAAAAAAGCTCACTGTTAGAAAAAGAAGATTGACAAGGATGAAATAATGATAAATCCCAGGGGGATGAGCCTCCCAGCTCAGTCTCTGCTGGAAAAAAGTATTGAAAAGCACAGGTCCACCATGAAAAGAAATTAAAATGAATTTCATTCTTAAGCCAAACATATTCCAGAGAATCCATTTTAAGCCCTCCTGAACATTTATTGAAACCCCCTTCCATCTCCAACCCCAAAAGCTCCAAAGGACCTCACTTCTTGCTCCCCTTCCCAAGCCCCTGCTCTCAGCCTCCTCTCCCCTCTTCCCCATCTGTCCCATAAATTTGATCCCAGCAAGCAAGAATCCCTTCTTTTTATGAGCTAGAAAACTGACCAGTGACAGAAGATTTTTATTCACAGGAGGAGAGAGAGGATACTTCATTAATTTCAGTCCTACCTGTTGTACATATGTGTGTCCTGTAATAAATCATTTGTCTGACCCTTGTTTCTGGTTCCTAGGAGGAAGCTTCTAATTCTTGGAATTTCCTGAGTGATGGGATTGCCTGAGTTTATGCTAACAAGGTGACTCGGGATGGTGGCCAGCCACACCAGAAAGACCAACTGTGTGATTAGAGAGTTGGGACTTTGGGCCAGTGACATCAGCCTGATGATGTCTGGGGAGTGGAGGGGTTGCTGGAGATTGAGTTCAATCATGTGGCCAGTTATCTAGTCAATCATGCCTACATAATGAAACCACAAAAAAACCTCTGAATGATGAGACTCAGTTGAGCTCCCCGGGTTGGGAGTCATACTTCTGTGTGCTCAGAGGGCGACACAGAAGCTTTGTGAATTGGGCCCTCCCATGGGTTTTTTTTGGGGGGGTTGTTCCTTTATAATAAACAATTATAGAAAGTACAGTGCTTTTTTAGTGCTTTGAGTTGGTCTATGAGTTACTGAACCTGAGAGAGTAATGGGAGCCCCCGAATGTGTAGCCAGTTTGTCAGAAGTGTGGGTGGCCTGGGAGCCCTGGCGCTTGCAGTGGGTGCCTGAAGGGAGGACAGTCTTGTGGAAGACTGTGCCCTTAACCTGTGAAATGTGACCCAAGTCCAGGTGGCTGGTGTCAAAACTGCATTGCCTTATACTGTGGCTCAGACCATATGACAGAGATGAGAATCTGTCATTTCTGCTTGGAGAAATCAGTTTTTGGGGTGTGACTAATTTTTGCTCTGGGACCCAGATTTCACCCCCCCTAGAGTTGAGAGTTCTGCCCTTGTGTTTTATTTTCTGCTTTTGGCTAGAGATGTGAATGAGGGTGAGAAGATTATTGCCTGGGGATTGAAAACCAGGCCACAATGAAGTGGGACCCCCAAGGCCAAGAGTCCTGTCTGTGTTTTCCTCCTATAGGGAGATTGGCAGGTGGGGTCAGAGGCTACATTCATAAAGCATCTCAATTTTCCTCCACAGTTTGTGCTACTTAATGGCCCTGCATAAATACTTCTACAAGAGCCAACAAATTAATGACTCATAAGGCCCTTTAAAGCATTGGAAAGAAACTAAAAAGGAGATCTAATTTGTTTGGTTCAGGATTATTGGTATCAAGCTGGGTTTGGTGTCTTTTGTTTACTCATTGGTTTCCAAAAATAAATTTTGGGAAAACAGACCATTAAGGATAAAAGATGCTCCAGTGTACTTGAAACTGTTTGAGAAACAGGTAAAAAGGCAGTAAAATATAAAATTTATTGTGGCTGAGGGTTTTTCTAATGCCAAGCACAACAGCAGTAGACAGAAGCACAAACTGTGGACAATTGACCTTGGCTGGATCATGCCTTCTTCCCAATTTCCCAGGGCAGAGTGTCCCATTACGTAGAAATAAAAAAGAAATGCATTGTGTCTAGAGCCTGGAATGTGGGGTCCTCTGGGAATATTCATTTCAGTTACGCAACAAATATTTATTAAGCCTAGATTGCGCCTGGCCTATCTTGAGCTACTTTTATTAGAAGCCTTCTCTCAGAGGCTTTAAATATCTCTACCACCCACATATAGCAGCTCCAACGCTTTGATGTCATACAAAATTAGGCCAGAGTCATACTTCCATCACCCACAAGCTCTGTGACCATGGGCAACCTCAGCTTCCTCATTTGTAAAAATGAGTTGTAGTGGGTGAAACAGTATCCTCCAAAAATTCATGTCTACTGGAAACTCAGAATGTGAGTGTATTTGGAAATAGGGTCTTTGCAGATAAAATTAGTTAAGGATCTCAAGGTGAAATCATTCTGGATTTAGGGTTGGCTGTAAATCTAACGATGAGTTTCTATATAAGAAGG
This sequence comes from Homo sapiens, assembly GCF_000001405.40. NCBI lineage: Eukaryota > Metazoa > Chordata > Mammalia > Primates > Hominidae > Homo > Homo sapiens. Next base: position 3,069,056 of record NC_000007.14, read on the forward strand.
GGAGAAGATAGAGAGAGACAGAGAGAGAGAGACCGTGTGAAGATGGAGGCAGAGAAAGCAGTGATGCATCTACAAGTCCGTGAACACCAAGGACTGGCAATGACCATCAGGAGCTAGAAGAGAGTCATGGAACAGATTCTCCTCCAGAACCAGAAGGAAGCAACCCTCCCAACACCTAGATCTGAGACTTCTGGCCTCCAGAACTCTGCAAGAATACATTTCTGTTGTTTTGAGCCACACAGGTTGTGGTCTTCTTTTTTTTTTTTACAGCAGCCCTAGGAAACTAATGCACTACTCCAAATAGAATTATGGCCTCGTAAATGAAAAGATGGATGCAAGCATTTGACTGATACAGATATTCAACCAGTGCTAATTCTTCTTTCCTTTCTAGGCTGATTGAATAGGTAATGTTGAAGCTATGGGTTAGTTTTCAGCTTCATCTATCATCTTCCTGGTTTATTCATTGAAAAAGGTTTTCACGTAGTAGGCTTAACCTTTTTGCCCCAGTTTGGGTATCCGCTTTGGAGCTTTTCCGTTTATTTTTGTGTGTGTAGCAGACATCATTGTTGCCCTGCCCAAATGCCCTCAGCACTCCTCATTTTTATGCACATGGACTCATGCAGAGGTGTAACTGCAGCGGCTGCAACTCTTCCTGAGAGCTCTCTCTGGCTGCTGGCACCTGCTTGGCTCACACACGAGACAGAAAGTTGAATACCCCCTCCTCCCGCAGGAACACCCTTAAACCAGCGACTGATGGGAGTCAGTGCATACATTTCCCAGCTCCCTTGCTCGCAGCTGGGATGAGTCTGAGCCACGTTTCACACTGTTTTCCAGAGTCCCCAGCAGGACTGAGCTTCACTTTCCCACAGCAGTGAGCTGCTTGGTAACACACACATTACTAGTTTTCTTCCTGTGTTAGCTTCCTGTGGCTGCCATAATGTATGACCACAAACTTGGTGGCTTGAAACAGTAGATATTATTCCCTCCTCGTTCTGGAGGCCAGAAGTCCAAAAATCAGTATCAGTGAGCTGAAATAAGTGTCTACAGAGCCATGCTCCCTCAATAGTCTCTAGGGGAGAAGCCATTCCTGGCCTTTTCCAGTTTCTGGTGGCTGTTGGCTAATCCTTGGAGTTTCTTGGTTTGTGGCTGCATCACTCCAGTCTGTGCCTCCTTCTTCACATTGCCTTCTCTTCTGTTACGCAACAAATATTTATTAAGCCTAGATCGTGCCTGGCCTACCTTGAGCTACTTTTTCTAGCTCAAGTGATCTTCCTCTCTCAGCCTCTCAAAGTGCTGGGGTTACAGGTGTGAGCCAGCCGCACCCGGCGCCCTGGTAAGTCCTTCATCAAGGTGGAGAAGGGTGAAGATTCCTGTAGTCAAATCTCTATTTCCCTTTTATAAGGATACATGTGATCGTATTAAGGACTCATTCAGATAATCCAGGATAATCTCCCTACCCCAAGGACTTCAATTTAACTACATCAGCAAAGTCCCCTTTTTTTTCCACCTAAGGTGTATTAGGTCATTCTTGTATTGCTATAAAGAAATACCTCACACTGAGAAATTTATAAGAAAAGAGGTTTAATTGGCTCACGGTTCTGCAGACTGTACAGGAAGTACAGCAACATCTGCTTTTGGGGAGGCCTCAGGAAGCTTCCAATCATGGTAGAAGGTGAAGCTGGAGCAGGCATCTCACATGGTGAAAGCAAAAGAGAGTTGGGGGAGGTGCCATCCACTTTTAAATGACAAGATCTCATGAGAACCCACTCACTATGGGTATTAGTCTGTTCTCATGCTGCTAATAAAGACATACCCAAGACTAGGTAATTTATAAAGAAAAAGAAGTTTAATGGACTTACACTTCTACATGGCTGAGGAGGCCTCACGATCATGGCAGCGGGTGAAGGGGAAGAAAAACGCATCTTATACTGCGGCAGGCAAGAGAGTGTGTGCAAGGGAACTCCCCTTTATAAAACCATCAGGTCAAAAAAACTGTGTGCTGTAAAATAATTGTGCAGTATCCATACAATGGAATATTACTCAGCCATGAAAAGGAGAGATGCACTGACACACACTACAATGTGGATCATGAGACTTACTCACTATTACAAGAACAGCATGGGAAAGATCCACTCCCATCATTCAATTACCTCCACCAGGTCCCTCCCATGACACATGGCAATTATGAGAGCTAAAATGGAAGATGAGATTTGGGTGGGGACACAGCCAAACCATATCACTACAGCAAAGACAGCACCAAGGGGATGGTGCAAAACCATTCATGAGACATCCACCCCTGTGATCCAGTCACCTCCCACCAGGCCTCACCTCCAATACGGGGGATTACATTTCAGCCTGAGATTTGGGCAGGGACAAATATCCAAACTATATCATATGGTAACATTCATAGGTTTCAGGAATTAAGATGTGAACATCCGACCTACCACAATTCCCTTTCTCTCCTTACTTCCCATTCACCTATCAATGCTTCCTGGGGATCAATTTACCAATAAACTCCTTACTCTCAACTCTTTGCCCTCAGCATGTGCATCTGGAGGGACCTCACCTCTGACTGTATCACTTCATAGGGAATGAGAACCAACCTTTCAAGGAATCATTTATTAATTTGTTGCACTCACATTCCACTAGCAGTTGTACTTACATGAGTCTGAACAAGGTTGTCAAATTCTATGAAGGTCGTTGATTAGCTCACAACCATAATGCCAAGTTGGAGGGGGTGATTGGCTTGAACAGGCTTTTGAGTGATAATAACCCAAGAAAAAGAAATGAGGGAGAAGCCTACTGGGGACTCTCACTGCTGCTTGAAACATCTCTCAGCCTCACTCTGTGATTTATGATTTGATAGATCTAGTGAGAGAGAAGTTGGGGTGGGAGAGTCACTGGCCAGAGAGTCCCAACCCTCATAGCTGTGGACGGTCACTTGCAGTGGGTTGGGAGGGTAGGTGGTGAAATCTTAGGAACAGGTGACACAGGTGAGCTCTTTCTGGTAAGTACCTTTTTTTTTTTGTTTGCGTTTTTTCTTTAAGAGACAGGGTCTTCCTGTTTTCCAGGCTGGAGTACAGTGGTGCAATCATAGCTCCCTGCAGCCTCTACCTCCTGGGCTCAAGCAATCCTCCTGCCTCAGCCTCCTGAGCAGCAGGGACTACGGGTGCACACCACCATGCCTGGCTAATTTTTTATTTTTGTAGAGATGGGGTCTCACTACATTACCCTGGCTGGTCTTAAACTTCTGGGCTCAAGCGATCTTCCCACCTCAGCCCCCAAAGTGCTGGGATTATAGGTGTGAGCCACTGTGCCCAGCCCCCTGGTAAGTCCTTCATCAGGGTAGAGAAGAATGAGAGCACCTCTAGTTTCCTGGAGCTCTGTAACCTCTGCACCAACGTAAAGGTCAAGACTCCCTGGTTAAGGCTTTCAACTTTCACTGGAGGGGCTGAAAGGCCATGCACTGTGCTTGGAGATATTTACTTGTTTATTCACTTGATTGTTCATTCATTGATTCATTCATTCATTCCTTTTCCCTTCTGTAGAACAAGTACCTATTGAATGTCTGCCATGTGCCTGGCAGTGGGGGCTCCTGTAGATCAGAGGAGAGAGAACCAGGGAAGGCTGTCCTGAGGAAGTGACATTCAAGTAGAGACTCCAAGGAGTGAGTTAGCCAGACCAGGAGCATAGGGAGCCAGAGAGCATCTCCCAGCAGAAGACCTCCATGAAATGCCCTGAGGCAGAAGAGGAAAGACCTGGGAGGGCTGGGAGGGGCGGGGAAAACAAAGAGTCCAGTTGTCTTGAGCACCACGATGACTGGAGGTCAGAGCTGGAGATCCAGGCAAGGGCCAGCTCTGGAGCTCTGTTGGGGGGTTTGCATCATTCAAAACTCAGTGGGAAGTCACAGGAGGTCTGGGAGAGAGAGACAAGAGCTGATGGATGCTTTAAGAACATCACTCGACTGGGCACGGTGGCTCATGCCTGTAATCCCAGCACTTTGGGAGGCCAGGGTGGGCAGATCACGAGGTCAAGAGATTGAGACCATCCTGGCCAACGTGGTGAAACCCCGTCTCTACTAAAAATACAAAAATTAGCAGGGTGTGGTGGCTCATGCCTGTAATCCCAACTACTCGGGAAGCTGAGGCAGGAGAATCGCTTGAACCCGGGAGACAGAGGTTGCAGTCAGCCGAGATCACACCACTGTAGTCCAGCCTGGTGACAGAGTGAGAATCCATCTCAAAAAAAAAAAAAAAAAAATCACTCACCCTGGTCACTACCTCCTGAGTGCTCCAGGAAGGGTGAGGGCAGGAACCGATGAGGCTGCTGTGGGCATCTGGGTGTGATTTGGCGGGAGCTGGATGGATGGTACTTTGGCTTCATTATCTGTGATAGGTTGAAAGCTGTTCCCTGCAAATTCCTCTGCTGAAGCCCTAACTCTCAGTACCACACAATGTGACTGCATTTGGAGACAGGGTCTTTAAAGAGGGGATTAAGGTAAAATGAGGTCATCGGAGTGGGCTTTAATCCAATCTGCCTGGTGTCCTCATGAGAAGAGGAGATTAATACCCATTTATGCCTAGTGTTCCATTACTGGAACGCTAAGCATGTGAGAATTATTTATATCCTACTGCTCAAGGTCATCGCAGGGGTCTGATTGCAAAAATTCAAAAAATTGCAACCTCAGGCATAAATGTTAAGACACAGACACACACAGAGGGATGCACATAGGAGGATGTGGGGAGAAAGTGGCTGTCTGCAAGCCAAGGAAGGAGGCCTCAGGAGAAACCAACCCCACCAATCGATACCTTGATCTTGGATTTCCAGCCTCCAGAACTGTGAGAAAATAAAAGTCTGTTGTTGAAACCGCCCTGTTCATGGTGCTTGTTAGGGCAGCCTGAGCTGACTCATGCACCCTGTGTGAGCTAAAATTGGGCCAGCCCAGGTGATCCAGCCTCTCTCCTTCTCCTCCTGCTTCGTCCAAATGCCCCAGCACCTCTCTGTTGTTCACAGCAGCTTCTTAGCCATAAAGGCCATATCTCCCATGGACTTGTCTGCTGGAGCATCCTCCCACCAGCAGACAAGTCCTGGTCTCTGGAAAGCCTGTTGGCTCTCTGTCCTCTGCCACCTGCCTCCCAGAATTATGTGCTGACTCTTTCCAGATGAACTCACTGAAAAATTGTGAACTACCCCTCTGCTGCCCCAAGTCGCCTACACACTTATGGCAATTCCCCAACCAAACGAATGTCACTTTTACATTATGCAGACAGACCAAATTAGCATTTAGCAGAGAAAGGGGCTTCTTCTTCTTCTTCTTTTTTTTTTTTTTGCAAATCATATAACTCTAAATTACCTTCAATTTCCCAAATGGAATTTGGCTCGAGATTCACTCTGGTATGGAGTAGTCTGTAATGAGATTATATTATGTTTGGGGGAAAACATTCAAATGACCAAGATAATTAATTTTGCATAACAACCAACATAGAGCAAGCTCCAGAGCTGGAACTCAAAGCCTGCAACCTGCAGGGGCCCCTGGGGGTGATCAGAGTTCTTTCAAAATACAGCAACAAAGGCCATTCTGGGGACCCGTGCAATGCCCGGGTTTGAAAGCTGGAAATGTCGGGTTCTTTCTCCTCTGGCTACTGTCTTCATATTTTCTCAGCAGCTGTGATTTGCTGTAGGAGCTGTCCTGGGTTTGGAAAGACAAAAGGAGCCCGATGGCTCAATAGAGCATTCTGGAAGAGCTTTACTGGGAGGAATTTTTTGAGAAAAGTCCCTAAGATTTCAAAACGTTTGGTGCTGTTTCAGGGCCCAGCTTAGGGTAGGGTGGTGTGTGTGTATGTGTCTGTGTCTGTGTGTGTGTGTGTGTGTGTGTGTGTGTGTGTGTGTATGTATCTTGAAAAGGAAAGAATAAGATCAAACCCTCCTCTTGTCTTTGAATCTTCATTGTCAGGTGGCTTTATTTGCATGATATCAGACTTGTCTGAATATCTGGGAAGAACCTGACACAGCGGCAATTTTCTGGTTCTGATTCATTGTGAAAATCACCTTGGAAATAGCCAGGACCTGGCATCTCCCCACCTCCACCCCTTGCACCTCTTGGCTGTGTCTCATTCTAACACAGTTTAGAATATGCATCAGCCTGGGAGCCAGAGAACCTACATTTTCACTTAGGCTCTGCCTCTAGCTGCCTGCATGGTCTCAAAAATAAATTCCTGCACCCAAACAAATCCTTGTCCGTGAATGTTCACAGCAGCACTATTTGCAATAACCAAAAGGTGGGAGCAACCCCAATGTCCACCAATGAATGAGTGGATAAATAATTGTGCGGTAGCCATACAATGGAATATTACTCAGCCATCAAAAGGAAAGATGCACTGACACACACTACAATGTGGATGAAACTCGTGGACATCTTGCAGAGTGAAAGAAGCCAGACACAAAAGATCACATATTGTATAATTCCATTTACATGAAATACTCAGAATAGGTAAATCCATAGAGATAGAAAACAGATTAGTGTGTGCCCGGGGCTGCAGAGCAGGAGTGCAGAATGACAGCTTAATGAACGTGGGGCTTCATTTTGTGCTGATGAAATGCTTTGGAACTAGATAGTGGTGTCGGTTGCACAACATTGTGAATGTACTACATGCCACTGAGTTGTAAACTTTAAAGTGAATTGTGCAATTAAAATGCTTACTTTTATATTATCTGAATTTCACCTCAATAAAAAAAAAAGTTCCTCCCATCCTTGATCTCACACTGGATCTTGGGGTCTTCATCTGGGAAAATTAAGGTGTTGGACTAGAAACGGGGATTGCAAACTCTTACTCTATAGACCACATTTGGCCAGCAGATATTTAATTGGGCCTTAACAGTGTTTTTTAACACATTCTAAATCTGAATTCCTTTTTTTGACGGTCAGTTTCCAAAGATGAGCCTCCCAGCCCAATGAGCTATCCCTCCTGGTATCCATGCAATGGGGTGGCCACCTCCAACACTGAATCCAGGCTGGCCTTTTGACCAACAGAATGCAGCAGGAGTGACACTACATAATTCCAAAGCTGGACCTTAAGGTATCTGCAGCTTCTGCCTTTATCTCATGGGATGCTCCCTCTCTGAACCCAGAAACCATGCTGTGAGCAAGCCCTCGCTGCATGGGGAACCACATGGAGAAGCCCCCACAGAGCAGTCCATGCCAACTGCCAGCCATGTCAGTGAGCAATCTTGGACGTTACAGCCCAGCTGAGCCTCTGAATGATACAGCCCTAGCTGATATGTATTCATAGAGAGAGCAGAAGAACCACCCAGCTAAGCCCAGGCAACACACAGAATCATAAGAAATAATACAATGATTATTGTTTAAGCCACGAAGTTTGGGGGTGGTTTCTCACACAGCAACAGATGACAGGAACAGCTTTGACTGCTTCTTTGGCTTGTCACAGTCCTCATCTTATCTCCTACACCTGCCCACTTCATACATCTGAGCTACCTGCCTGGCCCCTGCAGGCAGCTGGCTCTGCAGCCCCAGATGTGATGATGATCTCTAGGTTCCCATCCAGGTTTGCCAAGTGCATATTCTCCATGTTCCAATCTGAGCACATTGAGCATTCATGGCCAAGATCTTTCAGTGGGTGGATAAGACTGAATTCTCCAAAGACATAGGACCAACATGACATACATATGTATGTGTGTGTGTGTGTATATATATATCTATACGTATATGTAGGTATATGCACGTGTGTGATGTATTATGTGAGAGAGACAGAGTGAAAGAGAGTGAGATTTATTTTAGGAAATGGCTTATGCAATTGTGGAGCCCAGTAAGTCCAAAGTCTGCAGGGAAGACCAGCAAGCTTGAGGCCCAGGGAAGAGGTAATGTTGCATCAATAGCCTGGACAGTTTGAAGAGAGTCTGCAGGCAGAATTCCCTTTTCCTTGGGGAATGTCAGTCTTTTGTTTCTCTCTCTCCTTTTTTTTTTTTTTAGTCAGAATCTCGCTCTGTCACCCAGGCTGGAATTCAGTGGCATGATCTCGGCTCACTGCAACCTCCACCTCTCAGGTTCTAGCGATTCTTGTGCCTCAGCCTCCCCAGTAGCTGGGACCACAGGCATGTGCCACCAAGCCCGGCTAATTTTTAGTAGAGATGGGGTTTCACCATGTTGGCCAGGCTGGACTCAAACTCCTGGCCTCAAGTGATCTGCCTGCCTCGGCCTCCCAATATGCTGGGATTACAGGCATGAGCCACCACGTTCGACCTCTTTTTTCTGTTAAAACCTTCAGGTGGTAGGATGAGCCTCCACCCACATTATGGAGTGGGGTGGTAATCTGCTTGACTCAAAGTCTACTGACTTAAATATTCATCTCATCTAAAAATTCTCTTTACAGCCACAGCTAGGCTGCTGTTTACCATATATCTGGGTACCATGGCCTGGCCCAGCTGACACATAAAATTAACCACGCTGGGGGGTAATGAACCAACTCACTGACTCCCATTTGGCTTGCAGATTCCCAAATTAAACTTCTCCCCGGGGTCCTGTGGATCCCTTCTGCATTTCCGGGTGTACCTGACCCCACTTTAGCATGCTTTGGCCCCCAGTGGGCCTGCACCTCACCTCTCCCTCGGGCTCCTGGAGATGATGGCCTGGAAGGCACAGGTGGCTGGAGTACTTGAGGGCTGATGTTCCCCAGAGGGACACTTGGCCAATGAGTGAAGAGGTTGGGGGCGGGAGGGCAACTTGGAGCCCTAATTCTCCCTCCAGTGCTCCCTCTCCATGGGCCCAGGCTGAAGCCACAGTCCACAGAGCCTTCCCGGACCTCACAGCCTTGCCGGGCTCCACCCCTTCCCTGCCAGCTCCCCGCTCTCCCTCACTCCCTCCCCAGTTTCTCCTGGGGTGCCCCAATCCTCATGTCAGATCCGTGTCTGCAGAACACAACACAGGACAGACCATCACGTGAAGAGAGGAAAAACATTCATTAAGGAAAAAAATCATTGAGCATTGTCTTCTGTGCCAAGCATGATCTCTAGACATGGGAGACAGGGCAGTGAACCAAGCTGACAAAATTCCCTGAACTCCTGAAGCTGACATCCTTCCATTCGGATGGGACTCCAAAGTTTTTCCAAGCGAGGAGTAGAGTATATACGTCTATGCTGAGAGCGCTGGCCTTACTCTGTTATTGTCAGTCCGGCCTTATCCCTACAAGGACTTGGTGAGAAGGCAACCCTCTGCTTCAACTTGATTTGTGCGTTTTGTGTCTCCCCGTCACCATTTCAGTTTCTTGCTCTTACAAATAAAGGAATAAAGTGCACATTACACGCAGCCACCAGTGCCATGCAGGTCTCACTCTTTATGCAGCATAACCAAGCCCTGAAGGCTGTCTGTGCTCCCCGTGCTGCTAGTGAGGGTGGATTCGAGGCTGCCAGCACGTCCAGACCACCGGCATGTCCAGACCCCCCTTATCTCCTCATGCCTTCTTCCTGCAGCCTCACCCCAATCCTACTGAAGCAAGATCAAAGCACAAATAACTCCCAATGTGGGCCTTACTGTTCCTTCCCATGATCAGAGGTCATGCGTGACCCAGAGCGACACGCAGTGTGATCACTGACATCATAGACACATGTAGAGATGCGTTGGTGTTTGGTGACGAATATGGAAATTCAATAAAAGGCAAGTTAATTAAAACAGAACAAGCTGTGGCCTGGGGCAGGGAAATGTAACTGCTGATTGTGTGACGGAGAGTTCAGCTACAAGGGGAGTGGGACGTTTTCTCTCTTTCTTCCTGTGTTTCTTTGGAGTCTGTTTGGAAAAGGCAGATTCTGAGTTTGAGGGGTAGGGAGTGAAGGTTCCAGGCTGGGATGCACGTGCGTGGTGCACATGTGTGTGGCTGCTCCCTGTGTGGGTTCCAGATGAAGAAGCACTCACAGCCCATCAGCTCCTTGACAACCAGGAGGACAAACCTGGTTTGTCCTTGCTTAGAATCCCAGTGCAGACGCGGTGCCTGGCACTGACTAAGAGTATTTCTTACTCATGCCAATAGTGATGTTTTGAAACAAAACACCCTGGTATGGGTTGAATTGCGTCTCGCCCCTTCCCAGTTCGTATGTTGACATCTTAACCCCCAGGACCTCAGAATATGACTACATTTTGATATAGGGTCTTTTCTGAGGTAATTAAGGTGAAGTGAGATCATTAGGTTGGGTTCTAACCCAATAGGACTGGTGCCCTTATAAAAAGAGAAGATCAGGCCGGGCATGGTGGCTCACACCTGTAATCCCCACACTTTGGGAGGCCGAAGTGGGCAGATCACTTGAGGTCAGGAGTTTGAGACCAGCCTGGGCAATATGGTGAAAACTCATCTCTACTAAAAATAAAAAAATTGGCGAGCCTGTAATCCCAGCCACTTGGGAGGCTGAGGCAGGAGAAGCACTCAAATCCAGGAGGCAGAGGTTGCAGTGAGCCGAGATTGCACCACTGCACTCCAGCCTGGGTGACAGTGTGACTGTCAAACAAACAAACAAAAAAACAAGAAGAAGAAGAAGAGAAGGGAAGATCAGGCCGGTCACAGTGGCTTATGCCTGTAATTCCAGCACTTTGGGAGGCTGAGGAGAAAGGATTGCTTGAGGCCAGGAGTTCGAGACCAGCCTAGGTAACGTGGTGAGACTTCTCTAATAAAAATAAAATAAATCAGCCAGGCATGCTACCATGTGCCTGTAGTCCCAGCTACTCAGGAGGCCGAGGCTGGAGGATAGCTTGAGCTCGAGAGGTGGAGGCTGCAGTGAGCCATGATCATGCCACTACACTCCAGTCTGGGCAATAGTACATGACTCAAAAAATTAAAAAAAAAAAAAAAAAAAGGAGATCAGGACACAGACACACACAGGGGGACAGCCATGTGAGGACACAGGGAGAAGATGGCCTCTACAAGCCAAGGAGAGAGGGCTCAGGAGAAAGCAGCCCTGCAGACACCTTGATCTTGCACTTCCAGCCTCCAGAATTGTGAGAAAATGAATTTCTATCGTTTAAGCTGCCCGGTCTGTGGTATGTTGTTTTGGTGGCTCTAGCAAATGAATATATACCCCAACCATTTATCATTGCTCAGGGGTCTATGGGTGGGAGGGGTGGCTCTGCTGAACCGGGCTGAGCTCACCTATGCCAGAGCTTGGGTGGCCGTTGGCAGGTCCTTGATGGGCTATGATCCACATGGCCTCCCATGCTCCAGCAGAGAGCCCGGGCTTGTTGTCATGGCAACGGCACGGTTGCAAGACAGAGGGTTCTAGTGCACAGACTTCCTGAGACTTAGACTCCCAATGGGGATGTCATAACTTCTGCTGCCTCCTATTGACCAAAGCAAATCACATGATCAGCTTAGATTCAAGAGGATGGAAACAGACCCCATCCCTTGGTGGGAGTTGCTACACAGTCAGAAAGCAAATGGTTTAGAAGGCCTGGATTTAGAAAGGGGGCTAGAGAAACAGGGTTAAGTTTGCCATCAGTCTAGAGGATTACTGAGCATTTCCTTTTGAATGTAAGAATCTGAACTTAAAATGTTTGAGTAATCTGGCTAAAATGTTTGAGTAATCTGGGCCGAGAGTGGTGGCTCACGCCTGTAATCCCAGCACTTTGGGAGGCTGAGGCAGGCAGGTCACGAGGTCAAGAGATCGAGACCATCCTGGCCAACATGGTGAAATGCCATCTCTACTAAAAATACAAAATTAGCTGGGCGTGGTGGTGCACACCTGTAGTCCCAGCTGTTCGGGAGGCTGAGGCAGGAGAATCACTTGAACCCGGGAGACAGAGGTTGCAGTGAGCCAAGATCATGCCACTGTACTCCGGCCTGGTGACAGAGTGAGACTCCATCTCAAAAAAAAAAAAAAAACCAGCTTGAGTAATCTGGAAGCCAATTATCCACACTAAAAAATTATCCACATTAATCGGGAAGCCAATTATCCACATTAAAAACATTAATGGCAATTTGCTTGGCAAAGGCAGACTCTGAGTTTGAGGGGTAGGGAGTGAAGGTTCTAGGCTGGGATGCGCGTGTGTGGTGCACATGTGTGTGGCTGGTCCTGGTGTGGGTTCCAGATGAAGAAGCACTCCAGCCCATGAGCTCCTTGACAACCAGGAGGACAAACCTGGTTTGTCCTTGCTTAGAATCCCAGTGCAGACATGGTGCCTGGCACTGACTAAGAGTATTTCTTACTTATGCCAACGGTGATATTTTGAAACAAAACACCCTGGTATGGGTGGAATTGTGTCTCACCCCTTCCCAGTTCATATGTTGACATCTTAACCCCCAGGACCTCAGAATGTGACTACATTTCGATATAGGGTCTTTACAGAGGTAATTAAGGTGAAGTGAGGTCATTAGTTTGGGTCCTAACCAAATAGGACTGGTGTCCTTATAAGAAGAGAAGATCAGGCTGGGTGTGGTGGCTCACACCTGTAATCCAAATACTTTGGGAGGCCGAAGTGGGCGGATCACTTGAGGTCAGGAGTTTGAGACCAGCCTGAGCAATACGGTGAAACCCCGTCTCTCCTGGAAATACAAAAATAAGCTGGGCATGGTGGTGCACACCTGTAGTCACAGCTGTTCAGGAGGCTGAGGCAGGAGAATCACTTGAACCCGGGAGGCGGAGGTTGCAGTGAGCCAAAATCGTGCCACTGCACTCCAGCCTGGCGACAGAGTGAGACTCCACCTCAAAAAAAAAAAAAATTTTTTTTTTGAGTAATTTGGAAGCCAATTATCCACACTAAAAAATTATCCACATTAATCAGGAAGCCAATTATCCACATTAAAAACATTACAAATTCTCGCTGGAGCCCAAAAGTTTGAGGCTGCAGTGAGCTGTGATTGCACTCTAGCCTGGGTGCCAGAGCAAGACCCTGTCCCCAAAATAGTAAATAAATAAGTAAATAAGTAAATAAATAAAATGATTCTTGGCTTTACAGAAGGATTCACCATAGGATCACCCAGTTACAGAAGCATCCCAGTGTGTCTAAGGGATCACTGGCAGGGTATTCACTCCTGGCTGGGATCGAGGAGATTGGAAGTACTTACGAAGGACAGAAATGCTTAGAAACAGAGTTAGGAGGCCCTGCCAAGCAGCCATCAATCAGAGAGGAAGATATGCCTCCCTGAAATTAAGTCCAAAGGAAAACCCAGAACTGACCCACATTCTCAGTGACAGGGTTTTTAAGGTTTATGGTGTATCCCAGGAAATCTATACATGTTAAATAACAGAGGTGGGATAAGCCCTGGTTTGAGGCCAATAAGAAAAGCTCTATCTCGGCTGCAAGAGTCAAGATTTCAGGCCAGTCACTGTGGCTCACACCTGTAATCCCAGCACTTTGGGAGGCAGAGGTGGGAGGATCGCTTAAGCCCAGGAGTTCAAGACCAGCCTGGACAACATAGTGAGATCCTATCTCTACGAAAATATTTTAAAAATGAGCCCGGTGTGGTGGCACATTTGACCTGTAGTCAAAGCTACCTGGGAGGCTTAAGCAAGAGGATCACTTGAGCCTAGGAGTTCAGGGCTGCAGTGAGCTACGATTGCACCACTGCACTCCAGCCTGAGCAACGAAGCGAGACTCTGTCTCTAAAAAATAAAAAGATTTCAGGCTGCAGCTGAAATGCCACTTCCTCCCAAAGCCCCTGTCTGGGTCTTCAGCCAAAAGCAAGTGGCCATGCTCTGGTTTCTCAGACTCCTGAACTCCTCTCCAAAGTAGTGCTTCTCACACAGGGCCAGTGCACGTGCCCCTGTGCGCTTTGCCGTTTGCGGATTGCAAACCGCATGAGGGCAGGAAGTTACTGGGATCATTTTCCCAGCAAGTGGGAAGCCCACCATAGACATCTGTCCATTGACCTCCCCGTGCCCCCTTCCTTCTAAATCCCTTTGCTTTCTGACTTGGTAGCATCTCCTACCACGAGGTGGGGTCTGTTTCCCACCTCTTGAATCTAAGCTGATCATGTGATTTGCTTCAGCCAATAGGAGACAGCGGAAGTTATGACAACCCCATTGGGAGTCTAAGTCTCAAGAAGGCTGTGCACTAGAGCCCTCTGTCTTGCAACCCTGCCATTGCCATGACAACAAGGGGGAAGCGCTCCATTTGCTTTTGGGGAAGAAACTGAGAATAACCGCGTTGAGCAAAGTACAACATCCCTCCTCGGCAGCCCCATTCCTTTAGGAAAGCCTTGGAAAGAAGCAGAGATTTATTTACAAGGAAATAAAAAGGTTTGCATTTATAATGGGCTAGGTACCATTTAAGTGGGTGCTGTCCTCAGCCTGCCTGCCAGGGATGTGGGAGAGGCAGATGGTGAAACTGTGATTGGCTCTGGAAGCTAAAACTAATACAACACTCCCTGCCCACCCCACCAGCTGAGGTGCGGCACCAAGGAACTCACTCTGGGGGGATGTCCTAAACCAAACCCTGGTTTGGTTTATAGCTTGTTTGAACTCGACTTTGTCCAGCCAAATGTTTCTCAACAGCTCTGAAATATGTGAGCACATTCCTTGAATGCTGGTAATTTAGTCCCAATTGCTACTTGCTGGTGGAACACAGCAACTGAAAATAAACAAGATTCATACTTATTTTCAAGCACGTTGCAATATGAGCAAAATTAACTTTGGTAAACAAGACCCTCCTGAAAAAAGATCGAGTTGGTAGAAACTGCTCTGTACCCTGAAAACTAATTCTGAGGCTGAAAAGACCCAGTAATCAAAGGCAAGAATAGCAATTTTCAGGATGGTAATATAGCGGGCAGATCGGAGCCGGGCCAGGGAGCGCGCCACTCTCTCAGGAGTACAATACAATACGATGCAATTAATTTTCCTCCACCATCTTTCATGTAGAAGTTTAACAAAATGCTCTGCAGCTAATTACCAACTTCCTATGCAAATATAAGCAGAGTGTGTAGTTTGCAATTCATCAAATGGATACAGTGAGAAGACACCCTAGAAGACACAGAGATGGGGAGATGGCCCAAGGAGAGTGTTGATGGCACCATTAACCAGGAGCTGTTGGTCTCCTGGAGGGGGCAATGTAGGAACCAGTGGGGGTCTGGGTATCACCAGGAAGCTGAGCACAGACAGGCCAGGATGCCCTGGTGAGAATGAAGAATCAGACATCTCATGGACACAAAGAAGGAGTCAGAAGCAAGGAAGAGATGCCAGTCCTGATAGGGGGTGTGTGAGATGCTGAGCTGGTTCTGGAGGGGGTCGATTGAAATTCTGATGTGGACAAGATGCCACCAAGGTCTGTGGTGACAGCAGATGGAATAGGCATGCATGTCTGGATGAACATGGAGGTGAATGGGTGTGGGTGTCCCGGGATAGGGGGCCTGCAGTGGGACAGTGCAGAGACGGGGGACAATGATGGGCCCTAGAGAGTCCCTGGAGGTGGTAGTATGGAAGCGGGGGCAGAGAAGTGCTGGGTAGAGAAGGGCAGTGTCCCTGGCAAAAGCTCCACCCTTGGACCTGGGCCTACGGACCTGAATGAGGACAGGTATTTCTGTTTTCACACTCGAAAAGTTGTCTTTTGGCCCACCACGCTGCCCATCCTGTGCCCATAAAAACCCCAGACCCTAGCGAGCGCAGACACAAGTAGCTGGACATTAAGAGGAGCAGAATAGCACACCAACAGACACCAGCAGACGCTGGCAGCCAGTGACAGCAGAACTACGCTGACGCCAAGGGGAATTTGGCCGGGGGTGGCTGCAGGAGAGTCCGGCTGCTGGGTGGCCTGACTCCAGGAAAAGACCACCTTCCCACTCCATTCCCCTTCTTTTTCCCTATCCATCTTGCTAGGAGCCACCTCCACCACTCAATAAAACCTTGCATCCAGCCGGGTGTGGTGGCTCACGTCTGTAATCCCAGCACTTTGGGAGGCTGAGGTGGGTGGATCATGAGGTCAGGAGTTCAAGATCAGCCTGGCCAAGATGGTGAAATCCCCGTCTCTACTAAAAATACAAAAATTAGCCGGGCATGGTGGTGGGCGCCTGTAATCCCAGCTACTTGGGAGGTTGAGGCAGAGAACTGCTTGAACCCAGGAGGCGGAGGTTGCAGTGAGCCGAGATCATGCCACTGTACTCCAGCCTGGGCAACAGAGCGAGACTCCATCTCAAAACAAAAACAACAACAACAGCAAAAAACCTTGCACCCATTCTCCAAGCCCATGTGTGGTCTGATTTTTCTGGTACTCTAAGGCAAGAACCTGGGATACAGAAAGTAGCGCTCTGTCCTTGCGATAAGGCAGAGGGTCTAATTGAGCTGATGACCACAAGCTGCCTGCAGACAGCAAAGCTGAAAGAGTGTACTGTAACACACGCCCACTGGGGCTTCGGGAGCTGTAACCCCTCAACACTAGATGCTGCTGTGGGGTCAGAGCCCCAAAACGCTCCCCACGAACTGCCTGTCTGTATGCTCCCCCAGGGGTTTGGGCAGCGGGGCACCAAAGAATCGAGCCGTACTCCTGTCACAATGCCCTGAGAGGGGGATAAGGGAGGTTCTCCTGTTTCAGTGTCATCAGTGACCCTGTCCCATCCAACACCCCTTCATGTTCCTGACATCAGAGGAAGACACAATCCCGGAGTTGGAGAAGAGGACCAAGACTGAACTGGGAATTTTAGGTGACAATATTCTAATGACATGTCAGGGGTGACACTGGTGGGATCCTGAGGTCACCAAGTGATAGATGGGAGCGGTGACCAGAGCTTTACAGCCTACAAAGGACTCTTAGTGGTCAGGAGGCAGGCAGGTATGAAGGCCCCTTGTCCCTTGTCTCATCTCCAGGCCGACAAAATCAGGGCTCAGAATAGAAGACTCATTGGGAAAAACATGTACAAGGCTGATTCAGGAATTCAGGTCCCTGATTTTAAATCCAGGGTTCTTAGGATGAAAACAACTTCCAGCTTAAACCTGATAAATTGCTCTGAAATGAACCCAATGAAAGCAAAAATAGAAATTAATATACGAAAACCCGAGTGTGTTCAGAATGCTAAGCATTCTGGAAATAATAGAGGAAATCAGTCAAATCAGTTGTTGGCATCTTATAGATCAAAAAGGAAAAAAAAAAAAAAAAACAAGAAAGAAACAAACCCAAACAGAAACCCAATGAATGAAGTGATATTTTCCCTCCGCGTCAGCTGTTTTGGTGTTTTTGTTTGTTTGTTTTTTTCAGAGCCCATTGTCAGGAGAGCATAGTTCTGACTAATGTAGGTTTAGCCCATTTTTGTTTCAGAAATTGTAAAGAGGATCTCAGAGATTCACGGATGGAGGCCTAGGGGTACTGCCTACTTACCTGCAAACCAGCAAAGAGATGATACAGGCTCCTACCTCAACACTTCAAAGTCCTTCTTCTTTGAAATAGCTGAAAGATGGAGCCAAAAGCACGTGAGAGTCAAGGTCAGACTTAGCTAATCTCCCGCAGGTAATGCCTTTCACCTTCATAAAGAGAAGAATTACAACACTGTCTTCCCGCATGTCCTCAGCTGATGGCCAGAGAAGAGGAAGATAATATTTACTATTTTGTCCTTACAAAATGCACACAGATGCCGACCGTATATTTGAAAAGCAGGGGCTTAATATTTTGAGATGAGGTGTGGGACCGGGAAAATGTGGACGATCTCACCTTATTCATTTATCTAAATTTGACAGTGGAACCTTCTTCCACAGAACTCAATGTCACACCCGCAGAATGCCGGGGCGTGAAACAAGGCCACTGTTAACACGAGGAAGAATTACTTACGATGTATTAACAAGACAAAAAAGTCAGGAGAAGTGGAAGAAAATGATGAGACTATCAGCATTAGTTCCTCGCTGGCTGAGTTTAGTCTGAAATGACAGCTTTGCCCGCAGGCTACAAAGCAAGCATTCAGAGAGATTCAGGAGTGGTCTTGCTTTCAAATTTTGCTGAGCTGAAGAGTGTCATTTTTCATTTTCGTGTCTTAGAAGCCCATGTCCACACCTTCTCATGGTAGCCTTGCCTGCCTCTCTCCCTGAGAAATGTCTAGGCTTCTTAGATTGCAGCGGCAAATCAAGGTGGGCTCCTCTTACCTGGGGGAGAAAGCCTAGACTCCAACCCCAGTGGAAGCAACCACCGTGCCATCAGGGTGCCACTGAACAGGGCTGCTGGCTGCAGGAGACGTGGGTTCTCTCTTTTCACCTTGAGGAAGAGCTGCCCAGCCCCACACCTTCCCCTGTGGAATTCTCTCGGGTGATGCTGTCATTGTCCTACCCTGGCAGACCCTCCTTGGAACAGGTGTGTGCTTTCAGCCACCGAGTTTTGCCAGAAGCTCAGGAAATCTGTATCTTCACTTGCTGGCATTGACGGATGATCCTATCGGTAGGGGGAAAATGCTATGGTCATGCACTGATGATGTGGTAGGAAAGAATTTACTGCATAAACATCTACTTTCTGAGAAGGGCTGGGAACAGAAGGCCACAGGGGGTGAGAGGGGTTTCTTCTCCCTGTCAGCCGGCTCTTAGTTTGACCTGCCATTCAGGGCTTGGACACAAAAGACAAAACAAGACAAAACAAAACAAAAACACTCAGAGCTCCGGAGGTCTTTGTCTCATGTCCATGGCCATGCCCGGAGCCAGGAATAGGAGCAAGCTGGTCATTCTGACCCCAGACCCTGACATGGGGTAAGCTTCCTTCAGAGGGCTGGTGAAAGCTTTGTCTTGGTGTGGCAGGAACTAAGAATGCAAAAAAGAAGGAGAGTGAGGCCAGATGTGGTGGCTCACGTGGGTAATCCCAGCACTTTGGGAAGCTGAGGCAGGTGGATCATGAGGTCAGGAGTTCAAGACCAGCATGACCAAGATGGTGAAACCCCCATCTCTACTAAAAAAAAAAAAAAAAAAAAAAAAAATACAAAATTAGCCGAGCGTGGTGGCAGGTGCCTGTAATCCCAGCTACTCAGGAGGCTGAAGCAGGAGAATCCCTTGAACCTGGGAGGAAAAGGTTGCAGTGAGCCGAGATCGAGCCATTGCACTTCAGCCTGGGCGACAGAGTGAGACTCTGTCTCAAAAAAAAAAAAAAAAAAAAAAAGGAGACTGAGTGATTGCCGTTGGTGCAATGGAACCACCAGAGGTTTCTGGCAGAGACAGCCAAAGACCTGGTGTGTCCTCCCCTGGGGCTCCTCAGGCCCTGGCTCTACAGAAAGACCAGCATCAAGCATGCCTTTGCCCTAGGTGGAGGCTTTAGAAAGCAGGGTGGTTGCTAAGGGCAGATGCCAAGCACTAATACCTGCTGTCCTGCCTTCTTAATAGACCTTCACCCTCAAACCCTTTCATTTTTACAAGACTCCTGCCTGCCGCAGTTCCCATGTTGGGGAGCCAGTACTCACGGGAGACATTGTTTTAATCTTATTTTTAATTTTTGTGGGTACATAGTTGTTGTATATATTTATGAGGTACATGAGATGTTGTGATCCAGGCATGCAATTCATAATAATCACATTAGGGTAAATGGGGTCTCCATCCCCTCAAACACTTCTCCTTTGTGTTACAAACAACCAATTTTAGTGTTTTGATTACTTTTTTTTTCTTTTTTTGGAGACAGAGTCTCCCTCTGTTGCTCAGGCTGGAGTGCAGTGGCATGATCTCGGCTCACTGCAACCTCCGCCTCCCAGGTTCAAGCGATTCTCCTGCCTCAGCCTCCTGAGTAGCTGGGATTATGGGCACCTGTCACCATGCCCGGCTAACTTTTCTATATTTAGTAGAGATGGGTTTTTGCTATGTTGGCCAGGCTGGTCTTGAACTCCTGACCTCAGGTGATCCACCTACCTCTGCCTCCCAAAGTACAGGGATTACAGGCATGAGCCACCGTGCCCGGCCTCTTTTGGTTACTTTTAAATGTACGAATTATTTTTGACTACAGTCACCCTGTTGTGCCAGCAAATACTAGGTCTTATTCATTCTTTCTAATTATTTTTTTGTGCCCATTAGCCCTCCTCACTCCCCCTCACGCCCCCTCCCACTCCCTTTCCCAGCCTTTGGTAACCATCCTTCTACTTCTCTATCTCCACAAGTTCCATTGTTTTAAATTTCAGCTCCCCAGTGGGCGGCTTTCAAGAAGACCACTAACTGAGTAGAGTTCAAGCTGGGGCAAGTCACTTGACCTCAATTTACCCATCTGTACAATTGGAGTGACAGAGCCTACCTCGCAGGGTGGCTGCAAATGTCAGAAGACACCGCACGCTGGAGCTCAGCGCCCATGCACAGGGACAGGTGAGGGGTGCCGACAGTGTCAGCGAAGGGTCTGGGGACCAGCAGGAAGCAGGAATGATGGGATGTGGTGGGAAGGGAATGATTCTGCTGAAAGTGGGGAGGCACCAGAGGGTACCTCGTTAGCAGCTTGACCGGGATCATGGCCAGCTCCAATTGGTCTACACGAATGGTACTCTGAGGGTCATTTGTCATGCAAGTAACCCCTGCCCTCCCACCTTCTGGCTTTTAATATATTAGCCCGGGAAATGCCCGGCAGGAACGCAAACCGCTGGAAAAGATCTCTGGGTTGCATTCCAGGCAGACGGCAGTGGTACCCACTCCCCGTCTCCACCAGGAGACCCCTCTGGAGGGAGGTGGCCGGGTCAGGCTCAGCTTGGGGCAGCGCATTCTTTCTCGGTCCACTAGGGGGACATTTACTAAATCCCCACAACCTGCAAATTCCATCCTTGCTGGGACAAATGGCTCCCTCGTGTCTCTCAAGACCCACTGCTGTTTGTTAACCTGCTGGACAGCCAATCTCTTATAGCTTTCAGGGGACAGGAACATATCAAGTTCTTTCCTTTTTTATTTTTTTAAACAGTGAATGTGAATGTACTGCAGATTTCCCGTGAAATGCTCCATCGTGGGAGTTACTAACTGATGAGTGCATTCATTCGTTCCTTCATTCATGCGTAGGGTACCTACTATGGGCCAGGCCTGTGCAAGGCTCTTGAAGGACAACTGGGAAGAAAAATCAGACATGGCCCTATTCTTATGGCACTTACGATTCAGTGGGAAGCTAGACAATAACCAAATAATTGCATAAACAAATGTAAAAAATCATCAATTTAGGCCGGGTGCTGTGGCTCACGCCTACGATCCCAGTGCTTTGGGAGGCTGAGGTGGGTGGATCACTTGAGCTCAGGAGTTTGAGACCAGCCTGGGCAACATGGCAAAACCCTGTCTCTTAAAAAAAAAAAAAATTATCCAGGCGTAGTGGTGTGGACCTGTAGTCCCAGAGTCTCAGGAGTCTGGGGTGGGAGGATCCCTTGAGCCCAAGAGGTTGAGGCTGCAGTGAACTATGATGGTGCCATTGCACTTCAGCCTGGGAAACAGAGCAAGAACTTGTTTAAAAAAAAAAAAAACAAAAAACAAAACAAAACCTCACAAATGTATTTATCTTTTGAGACAGGGTCTCACTCAGTTGCCCAGGCTGCAGTACAGTGACTTGATCAGAGCTTATTGCAGCTTCTAACTCCTGGACCAAGTGATGCTCCCATTTCAGCCTTTTGAATAGCTGGGACCACAGGTGTGTGCCACTAAAAGATTGTTTTCTGTAGAGAAGGGGTCTCCCTGTGTCCCGGCTGGTCTTGGACTCAAGGGATCCTCCCACCTCAGCCTCCTAAAGTACGGGGATTACAGATGTAAGCCACCACACCCAGCCACAAATTTCTACAAAGAAGAGTTACACAGTGTTCTCACAGTCTACAGTAGGAGGGTTGGACTCGCTCAAAAGGAGGGGAGCTTCTCTGAGGAAGTGGCCCAAAAGATGAGAGAGAGTCAATTAGGTTTTTAAAAAAAAAAAAAAAAAAAAGCCATCCAGGCTGGGGAATGAGCATTTGCAAAGGCCCTGTGGCAGGGGGCTCATGGCAAGCAGGAGGTCAGAGTGGAAAGGGAGGGGCGCAGGGCAAGAAGAGATGTGGAGGGGGCAAGGGCCAGGCTTGGAGGGTCAAGTTAAGACACTTTAGTCTTTATCCTAAGAGTAATGGGAACCCCTGAAGGATGTAAAGGGAGTAACTTGGTCAAATTTGTGTTTTAGAAAGACCAGCTGGGGCATGCCTGGTGGCTCATGCCTGTAATCCCAGCACTTTGGGAAGCTGAGTCAGGAGAATCACTTGAGGCCATGAGTTCGAGAACAGTCTGGGCAAAACAGTGAGACCCCAGCTCTACAAAAAATAATTAGCCAGGCGTGAAGGTACACACCTGTAGTCCCAGCTACTCAGGAGGCTGAGGTGGGAGAATTGCTTGAACCCGGGAGTTCAAGGCTTCAGTGAGCTACAATCCTGCCCCTGCACTCCAGCCTGGGCGACAAGAGAGAAACCCTATCTTAAAAAAATAAAAATAAAGGCCACCCTGGCTGCTCGCAGGGGGCTGGACTGCCCCCACCACATGGCCCTGCAGAAATGAAGGCCTAGTCCCTGGGTGGTGGGAGGGCTGCTGGCAGAAAGTCCCGGCTCCCCATCCTTCAGGGATAGTGGCTGTGGGGAACGTGCTGGCTCTGAGGCATACTCCATTCCAGGACAGCCAGCAGCTGATGCATGATCAACGAGGGGTAAAAAGGCCCAGACTCAGCTCTGAGGGTCTCCCCACCCCATTTCCAGATTCCCTTCAGGGTTGTCTGAAGCCTTCACGGAGGCTGCCTCAAAGCTCAATATCCTTCCTGCCTAATTCTGTACTTTTCCCTTCCCCGGATGCCAGTCCTAAGAGAACCCCTTGACAGATCTCCTGCACAGTCTCCTCCCTCTCTGAGTCTGCTTCCTGGGGCACCCACCCCTCCACCCTCCGGCAGGAGAAGGGATCAGAGACAGTACAGAGTGGAGGAGGGGATGGGCTCTCTAAGTCAGATGGAGCGAGCTCACGGCCTGCACTGGGTGGTGACGGAAGAGACCCAGGCAAGGAGGGCGCCTGTCAGGGCTAAATCATGTCCCCACAAACGATGTTAAACCTCCAAAAGATCATGTCCTAACCCCCAATGCCTGCAAATGCCATCTTATTTGGAAACAGGGTCTTTGCAGATAATCAAGTCAAGATGAGGTTCTTAGGGTGGGCCCTAAACCAAGATGACTAGTGTCTTCATGAAAAGGGAAATTTGGACACAGACACACAGGAGAGCACACGTGAGGATGAAGGTGGAGATCAGAGGGATGCGTCTACAAGTCGAGGATCACTGCAGATTGTGGAGAACCACCGGGAGCTGGGGAGAGGCCTGGGGCAGGTTCTCTGCCCCCAGAAGGAACCAACCCTACCAACACCTTGATCTTGGACCTCTGGCCTCCAGCCCCATGAGGCCATACATTTCTGTTGTTTAAGTTGCCCTGTTTGTGGTACTTTGTCGTGGCAGGCCCAGCATACTAATATAGGACCCAAGAGGTAGCTGGGGAAAGATTGGGCAAACTGTGTGCATGGCATCATTACTCAGGTCAAAAATTTGAAATGAAGCTCAAACTTAAAAATATTGGTAAGTATGAAAAAAAAAGCATGATAAAAAAAAAAAAAAGAAAAGCTATTGCTGCTAAAGGAAGAAGGGTAGGGTTTCCCCACCTCCATCAGCTTGCAAAAATGAGGCTGGTGACGTGGCTGTGGGTCTCATTTCCTGCACGGCCTGTTGGGGTTTGTGTAGTTTCTGGGCACTCAGCTTGAGAGGCTGACCTCCCAAAGGCATTGGGAGCCTGCGGGAGCCAGCCAGGGGGAGCACAGCTGTGCAGCCATGCCTGTTTGTCCTGACCCTACAGCAGGACGCAGGCGCCCCACCACCCAGAACCCCAGAACCGGATGTAGGAGGTGGTGAGAGCTGCATTGGTTGATTTCCTATTTTCTTCCTTCCTATTTTTTTTTTTTTAATTTTTTAGAGCAAGGTCTTGCTCTGTTGCCCACGCTGGAGTGCAGTGGTTCAATCATAGCTCACTGCAGCCTCTACCTCCCGGGCTCAAGCAATCCTCCTGCCTTAGCCTCCTGAGTAGCTGAGACCACAGATGCATGCCACCATGCTCGGCTAATTTTTAATTTTTTTTTTTTTTTTTGTAGAAAAGGGGGGTCTTGCTATGTGGCTCAGGCTGGTCTCAAACTCTGAAGCTCAAGTGATCCTCCCACGTTGGCTGCCCAAAGTGTGGGGATTATAGGCGTGAGGCACCGCACCTGGCCTGATCTCCTATTTCAGTAATGTATCACCTCCTGTGCAAAGAAGGAAGATTGTTGCAAATTAAACATAAAAACATGAAAGCTTTTCAAGCTGGGTATCTAAGTAGCCTTTTCATTCCCACCAACTCCATGACAGATTCCTATATGTGTTGTGCATAACCATTATTAAAATAACAATATCGCCCTGTTGGAAGAATTCAGAATGTCACTAGAACATTCTAAAGATAAAGGCCAAAAAAAACCCAAACCCCCCCCCCACACACACAAAAAACACAACCAAGCTTTATCTTTGGAACAGAATAAGGTTAAAAAAAATTAAAATAATCACAAAGGTATGATTTAATCTTTACAATGTTATAAATATTAATATGAAAAAGACTTTATATTGGGAAACATTATTATACAGTATAACGCTAATTTTATGAAAATCAATTCATTTAGTGCTCATACATTTTTTACCTCTCTCTTTGGCTTTTGCTGACGATTTACGTCTTATCATTTTCTACTTCAACACCTACCACCTTGCACTGGGGTACAGTGCAGGATTTGGACATCACAATTTTTTCTTCAGTAATGCCCCAAGGTTTCCCACAGATAAGAGGAGAAGGTTGGCCAGGTGTGGTGGCTCATACCTGTAATGGCAGCACTTTGGAAGGCTGAGGTGGGAGGATCACTTGAGCCTGGGTGTTTGAAATCAGTCTGGGTAACATAATGAGACCTCATCTCTATTAAAATTAAAAAACTAGCCAGGCATGGTGGTGAACACCTATAGTCCCAGCTACTCGGGAGGCTGAGGCAGGAGGATCACTTGAGCCCAGGAGGTTGAGGCTGCAGTGAGCCATGATTGTACCACTGCACTCCAGTCTGGGCCCCAGAGCAAGATCCTATCTCAAAAACAGCAACAACAAAAGAATAGGATGTTGCCAAAATAGGACAAACAACTGAGCTGAACGTTGGATGTTTTTAATCATAAGCATGGCTTGATTTACATCACTCCCTTCAGAAATGCAAAGGCTTCAGACATCGAGCCAAAGGCAAAACCATTGCAGGTATGTGGGGCCGGGAGAGCCCCAGCGAAGTCAGCTTGGTGCCCACTCCAGGCAGGCACAGGGCCAGCCCTGCTATGCTCCTTATCTCCTTTAATCCCCTAGCAACCCCAGAAGGTAGGTTTGTGATGATCCACACTCTGCAGATGAGGAAACTGAGGTTCAAGAGAGTTACTAACTTGCCCCTGGACATGCCCCTGGGAAGTGGCCGGGATGAGTTGGAAACCCATATCTACTTAGCTCCATGGTCCGGCTCTGTGTGCACTAAGACATCAATTACCCCCCGGGACTGGAAACCAGAAGGAGGCGGGCAATAGGTTGTGTTTGCTGACGGATCCCACCCAGAACTGATCCTACTGGATCTCCCTTAGGGAGACTCAGGAATCCTCACTACAGTGAATTACATGCACAGTTTTGGTGGCCAGAGGGGCATTTAGATGATGGCTACAGGAGTGCTTTTTTGAAAGCTTCATTAACTATACAAGTCAATACCCTATTGCAATTTCCATGAAATGGGTAATTCGGTGAAGTTCTTTTTTAACAAAATGTTGCATCAATGAGGGAATTCAGGGTGGGAGATCAACAGGAAGTTACAGTTGGAACCAATTTCAACCCACATAGAAAGATCCGGAAGCCTTGCAAGGAGACCATCACAGTAATCCGGCGTGAGAGTGCCGAGGCGTAGCTGCTGGAATCATCGCCCATTTTTCTAATTTGCAGCCTAGGAGCTGATCGTGCAACCCTGTTAGGGAGCTAATATAGGATGAAGATGGGACAAGTTGGTGTCGAGAGTAACACGCCGGCTCCTTAGCGGAGGTCTGAAGAACAATCGAGTTGAATTAATTTCTAAGAGACCCCATGACAGATTCTTGATGATGATCCCCAATTAGGGAAACCTCGGTTTCGTTTTTGTTTAATGTCAGGAAGTTAAGAGGCTGTGGGCGGATGGCTGTGAAAGACACGGAGGGTGAAAGCCTTGCCTCTCTTGAAACGTATGGGGCCGTGGCTGCAGGTCCTTTCATGCCTTCTCCAAAGAGGAAGTCGTGAAATCTGTGTGTCTCAGCCCATGTCCAAAGAGGGAAACGCTGTGATGAGAAGATACAGCGGTTCAACTCATTCTGGAGCCCACAGAGGCTTAAAAGAGGGGGAGAATCTGTTTCATGAAAAAGGGAAAGATTCAGTCTTGAACCAGATGAATGTGCCTGGGTGAAAATGCGTCAGTGGTACCAGAAAATCCAGACAGAATCCTTCCTCTGGGTTTTTCCCAAATCAACAAGTGTCTTTGGTTGCTGGGACGCAGGGAGAGAGCTGTTCATGGAGGAGCGTGGGAGGTCACATTCTTGAGGCCTGTTTAGTTTATCCTGTTAAAAGGAGGAGATGTGAGGCCAGGCACAGTGGCTCACACCTGTAATTCCAGCACTTTGGGAGGCCAAGGCAGGTGGATCACTTGAGGTCAGAGGATTGAGACAAGCCTGGCCAACATGGTGAAATCCCATCTCTACTAAAAATAAAACAAACAAACAAACAGAAACGCCTGGCGTGTTGGCTCACGCCTGTAATCCCAGCACTTTGGGAGGCTGAGGCAGGCGGATCACCTGATGTCAGGAGTTCAAGACCAGCCTGACCAACATGGAGAAACCCCGTCTCTACTAAAAATACAAAATTAGCCAGGGGTGGCTATGCATGCCTGTAATCCCAGGTACTCAGGAGGCTGAAGCAGGAGAATCGCTTGAACCCAGGAGGCTGAGGTTGCAGTGAGCCGAGATAGTGCCATTGCACTCCAGCCTCGGCAACAGAGTGAGACTCCATCTCAAAATAATAATAATAATAATAATAATAATAATAATAATACACCATATATTAGGGAAGAGATTTTTGTTTTTTTTTTAAACCACTTTCAGTCTCTTGATATCTCATTGCAAGTAAATAACCAAAGTACAGCCTGGTCTGGACAGGAGATCACCTCAATTTGGGGCAGCTCACACAATACAGTCTAAAATGTGGATGTTGCTGGGGGCGACCTCATTAGTCAGGCAGTCACCCCTGTGAGAGGGCGATGCGTCCCACTGCCAAGACGCTCAAGTACCAATATGGAATGCCAGTCCCTTAAAAGATTTTCCCTCCCTACGTCCCTGCGAAAGAGAGGCTGCCTGGATAATAGTCTTTCAATGTGTTGTGAAAAAAAAAATAGTGTTTCTAGCAAAAGTGTTAAAGTTTTATGGGAAAGTAAATTACTGTCTACCTGGTATAGATGCTTTTCGCGATGTAGCAGGCATTAATTACACATCTGAATGTGACAAGATCAGTCTTCGGTTTACTGAATTGAAGACGGTCTGCTCACCAGGAGGGGGTTTTCCTGAATATCATCAGGGTTCCTCCTCCTACTCCATGTCCGGTTTTACTGTGTACTCCTGGGATGGGATCTGAGGCTGGAAAGAGCTAGAAAACCCCTCCGAGTCCCCCCAGAGAGATGGTAGCCTGTACACCCAGGTGGATTTTGGTCACTGAAAGAATCAGTCTTCTTTTTTTCTCATCTTAAAATATCTGGACAAGGAAGTGGCTAGGATTATTGTGGGAGAAACTAGCTCATTGGTGGTTCTGGGATATGAACCCAGGATTCTCGGCCAGCATTCCAGCAACAGGGACTGATATGCTTTGGCTGTGTCCCCACCCAAATCTCATCTTGAATTGTAGCTCCCATCGTTCTCACGTGTTGTGGGAGGACCCGGCGGGAGATAATTGAATCGTGGGGGCGGTTTCCCCCCATACTGTTCTCATGGTAGTGAATCAGTGTCATGAGGTCTGATTTTATAAGGGGGAACCTCTTTTGCTTGGTTCTCATTCTCTCTTGCTTGCTGCCATGTAAGACGTGCCTTTTGCCTTCTGCCATGATTGTGAGGCCTCCCCAGCCATGTGGAACTGAGTCCGTTAAACCTCTTTGTCTTTATGAATCACTCAGTCTTGGGTATGTCTTTATCAGCAGTGTGAAAATGAACTAATACAAGGACCTTCCCACCCTGCACTCCACAAACACCTTTCAGCAGGCTTTTGTGACTCCCAATTTGAAAGTGCTGCATTCGTTCCTGATGTGAAATGATTTGCGTATAAAGGTAATACAAATCTGAACATTGCTTTTTTGCATCTCACAGAAGCAGAAACATTCTTCTAGAAGAATATGCAACGGCAGAGGATAAAAATGGCCTTTTGAGTCTTTCAGTCATGAAAAGATCTCCCCACCAAAAATACATGAGACCTCTTACCCTAGAACAGTGTTTCCCAAAGTAAGTTCAGTGTTGGTCACCTGTAGACAGGTTGGCTTCCAATACCCTGGCTCTTGACCCTGGAATTCTCCTGGATCACATGGTCGTGGAATGCTTTGGTTGTAAGTATGCCTTGGTGCCTGTCTTCCCTGATACATGCAAGATGTCTAAGAATAGAGGCTGTATCTATTGCGTTCATTATCATCATTCCCAGGATCCATCATGGTGCCTGCCACAAAGTAGATATATGATATTTTGGGATTGAAGGAAGGAGATTCTACATGGAAAAAAGGTTCCATGGTCAAGTACATTAGGAACTAGATAAAAAGCCTTCCTTTTGGGGGCTCACAAAACACCACTGGATAAGACACAGATGGAAAAAAAAGAAAAGCAGGTGTTTGCTCTGGCTTTTTGTCATTCTTGCTGCAGGACTTATCAGAACCTTGAATATGCTGATGTGTATGGTATCATCTCCAAGATAAGGCTGCAATGTGCAGTGGCCCCTGAAGTCACTTGATTGTGTAGCCTCCTCTCCTGGGATACTCAGTAACATTCAAAGGGAGCAGCTGGTAGGAAGGCCTGGAGAAACCCACCTAACGGACCCCTGAATTACAGGGATAGCCAAGGCAGCCCTAGAGAGGCCAGGCTGCTGGGAAGGGCACCAGATAGAAGCAATCTACAGACAGCCCAGAAAGCTGTCATTCCCTCACTCAATCAGCAGATGTTTCTATTTCTGTTAAAACAGGATCAATTCATTTTCCAATCATAAAAATAACAAGTGTGTACAGAAGCCCCATGCCTGTCTTGTTAAGCATTGAATCCTCAGTTTGACAAATATTTGCTGAATGAATAAACATATAATAAATGGTAAAGTAGTATTACAAAGAGAATACATTCTGCTATCAAACCATCCTGAGCACTTTCTTCTGTGACTACTTACCATAAATAAAAATTCCGTGGCGAACCTTATTAAAAATATACCGGGGCCGGGCGCAGTGGCTCACACCTGTAATCCCAGCACTTCGGGAGGCCAAGGCAGGTGGATCACCTGGGGTCAGGAGTTCAAGATCAGCCTGGCCAACATGGTGAAACCTCATCTCTACTAAAAATATAAAAAATTTGCCAGGCATGGTGGTGTGAGCCTGTAATCCCAGCTACTCAGGAGGCTGAGGCAGGAGAATCATTTGAACCCGGGAGGCGGAGGTTGCAGTGAGCCGAGATCGCACCATTGCACTCCAGCCTGGGCGACAAGAGCAAAACTCCGTCTCAAAATATATATATATATATACATACACATACAGATGTATGTTATGGCAGGGATCCCCAGTGCCTGGACCATGGACTGGAACTGGTCCATGGCCTGTTAGGAACCGGGCCGTACAGCAGGAGGTGACCAGCGGGTGAGTGAGCGAAACGTCATCTGTAGTTATAGCCGTTCCCCATCCCTCACATTACCACCTGAGCTCTGCCTCCTGTCAGATCAGCAGCCGCATTAGATTCTCATAGGAGCTCAAACCCTACTGTGAACTGCGCACGCGAGTTCTAGGTTGTGCACTCCTTATGAGAATCTAATGTCTGATGATTTGTCACTGCCTCTCATCACCCCCAGATTGGACTGTCTAGTTGCAGGAAAATAAGCTCAGGTCTCCTACTGTTTCTATATTGTGTTGAGTATAACTATTTCATTGTATATTACAGTGTAATAATAATAGAAAGAAAGTGCACGATAAATGTAATGCATTTGAATCATCCCCAAAGCATCCCCCTAAAACCACCCCCAGTCCGTGGAAAAAACTGTTTTCCATGAAACCAGTCCCTGGTGCCAAAAAGGTTGGGGACCATTGGATTTTGGATTCATGGGCCTCACTGCAGAACTATTGAAGAAGAATCTGACTTTTAAAGGCCTCCAGTGATAGTGCTTCCAGAGTCCTTGGTCTGAGAGCCAGAGAGATCTGAGTTCAAAACCAGGCTCTGGCATTTACAGGTACTGGAGTTTGGGTGGGGAACAATGAGGTAGTTGGCTATCAGCATAAGCTTCTTCCAGCAGAGGGTTAAGCTCAGATACGAAGGAGAAGAAGGAACCAGGCAAGGGAAGGTTGGGGTATATTGGTTTAGGCTCCCCTAGAAGCAGACTTTGAGCCGGAAGTGGGAGTGTAAATAAGTGTATTTGGGAGAGGATCCCAAGAAACACCATCGGAGGAGTGGGAAATGAGGGGGAAGAGGAGCAGTCATTGAAGGGTGCCGGGTAAAACACGCATCTTGGATTTTGGTTGCTGAGAGAGTCAGTCTTTTTTCTCATCTTAAAATATCTGGACAAGGAAGTGGCTAGGATTATTGTGGGAGAAACTAGCTCATCGGTGGTTCTGGGATTTGAACCCAGGATTCTCGGCCAGCATTCCAGCAACAGGGACTGATATGTTTTGGCTGTGTCCCCACCCAAATCTCATCTTGAATTGTAGCTCCCATCATTCTCTGGGGCTTTTCTCCACCAGTCCCTGTAAGCCTTTGCTAAGGAATTACGGGTGTGGTTGGGGCTGGAGGGCGCCTCCATTCCCTGTCACTCTGGTAGCAAATGGTGGCCTGAGAACGTTCTCTGGTATAAATGTGGTCCCAGCGGTTGGACTCTGGAAGCCTGTGTTCACTGAAGGTCATGGAAAGGGGGCAGCATCTATTACAGGGGGCAGGAGTACTCCATGCTAAAGGATTCGAAGACACAAAAGTCCTAATTGGCCAGGCATGGTGGCTCACGCCTGTAATCCCAGCACTTTGGGAGTCTGAGGCAGATGGATCACCTAAGGTCAGGAGTTCGAGACCAGCCTGACCAATATGGTGAAACCCCATCTCTACTAAAAAATACAAAAATTAGCCAGGCATGGTGGCATAAGCCTGTAGTCCCAGCTACTCGGGTGGCTGAGATAGAATTGCTTGAACTTGGGAGGTGGAAGATGCAGTGAGCTGAGATCGTGCCACAGCACTCCAGCCTGGGCGACAGAGCAAGAATCTGTCTCCAAAAAAAGAAAAAAAAAAAAAAAAAGAAGTCCTAATTAAGAGTTTGATGTGTTCAAGGAACAAAAAGAAGGTCAGTGTGACTAGACCGTGGAGAGTGATGGGGAGAATGGTAGGAGTTAAGGCAGTGGTGTGCTGGGAAATAGTTACAACCAGCTCTAAAAAAAGAAGGAGCACTGATTTGTCATGTTTGTCAATTTCCATGGTGTAAATACTCCCGTCATAGCCGACTTCAAGCTGCCAATGTCAACCCTGAACACAGAGCTGGGAAGAGATGTGCACGTTCACGTTCAGCTCTTACAAGCCAGGGCAAGCTGACTCCAGCAAACACTGCAGGGCCGGGGCAAGCCGACTCCAGCACACGCTGAAGGACCGGGGCAAGCCGACTCCAGAACATGTGGGACAAGCCGACTCCAGCACATGCTGAAGGAGGAGTTCAGAAAGGAAAATGGAAAGGTCAGCCTGGGCAACACAGCAAGACCCTGACTCTATAAAAAATCTTAAAAATTAGCTAGGCAAGGTGGTGCTCACCTGTAGTCCCAGCTCCTTGGAAGGGGACCGCTGTGTCTTCCCCCTCTCCAGGATTTACTGCATTGATTGGACGTTCCGAAGCCTTGCAGAGTGGCTACCCCAGGACTTGGCGGTACAGCAGTGAGCAGGACACACAAAGCTGGCCTCTGGGAACTCACAGGTCCAAGCGAAGATAAAAGCCCCATAGGAAGTGGTGAGATGGGACAGACACGCTGGCACTGGAGGAAGTGACCTTTCTACTGAGTCCTGAAAAGTGGCAAGGAGAAGACCAGGGGAGTGGCCCAGAGAAAGAGGCTCACTTGAGCCCAGGAGTTCGGGGCTGCAGCGAGCTATGATTGCACCACAGCACTCCAGCCTGGGTGACAGAGCAAGACCCTGTCTCAAAAAAAAAAAAAAAAAAAGGAAAATAGAAAGCCATTAGAAGTGTTTTAAGCAGAGGATAGAAGGAATGATCTAATTTATGTCTGTCAACGAGCTCTGAGGCTGGAAAACAATGGGCTGACCTGGAGCATTTCGGCATAGACCTAAACTCTATCCACTTTAGAACTTTGGTGGTGGGCACCCCAGACACACCCGGCTTCTGAAGAGCCCAGTTTCCGAGCAAAGAGAGAGAAAATCCCTCGTCAGACCTTCTCATGCTGGGCCGAGATCCATGCTTCCATTTAGATAGCATTAAAGGTCTTCTATAAATTAACAAAACAGGAAGAGCTGCAAATAAAAATGGACATGCCACACCGCCACGGGCATGTGAATTTCCCAGTGGTTCCCATTCGCCGGAGTAAGTTAAAGACCGTGTCAACCTTAACACAAGCTTTGGTGACTTTTGTCAGTTTAAGTAAGACCTTTAATACTCCTTAAACATATTTTTCTGTAAGTAATAGAATCGTGGCAGAGAAACGAAGCTATCTGTCATGGAAACGCCGGCAAAGGAGGAACAGGCGTGTAATAACAGGGGTGCCTGACTACCAGAATACCTGTGCAAATGAAAATTGATTTTCTCGAGAATTCTTCGCCTGATGAAATAAATTAAATCTACATTTACTTCTATTTGTTTAAAAACCTCTTTGTTAAAATAAGTACAGCAGTATATAGACATAATCCAATAAATTAGAGGAGGATAAATTATACCCAAGAACATTCTGCACAGAGAATACACACACAGAGGGGACCCACAGAAGGAAGGCCTGTGAAAAACCACTTAAATGTTTGGCTTAATTCCATTTGTAATGGTAAAACTGACAAACAGATACGTTTGGGTTTCCTAGAGCTTGTTTTATTTTTTTCCAAATCAGTTTTATTATGATTTTAATTTGGAAAAAATAATCTACAGAGTTTCCACTTAGCCTGAAGAAATACAAGTTTAACTAGGTCTTAAAATTTAACACAGCTTGGAAAGTGCGCCAGTAGGAACAAAAACAATCCCTAATGAGAGGAAACAACATTACAAGACTTACATGAAAAGACATTATCTGAGGCCTCATCTTCCTGCCTGAGCCTGCCATCCTGCCTCTGAGACTCTCACTTTCCCCCAACAAAAGGGAAATGTTAAAAGCACAGAGGGGGCCGGGCGCGGTGGCTCACGCCTGTAATCCCAGCACTTTGGGAGGCTGAGGCAGGCGGATCACAAGGTCAGGAGATCGAGACCATCCTGGCTAACACGGTGAAACCCCCGTCTTTACTAAAAATACAAAAAATTAGCCGGGCATGGTGGCGGGCGCCTGTAGTCCCAGCTACTCAGGAGGCTGAGGCAGGAGAATGGCGTGAACCCGGGAGGCGGAGCTTGCAGTGAGCCGAGATGGTGCCACTGCACTCTAGCCTGGGCGACAGAGTGAGACTCCGTCTCAAAACAAAACAAAACAAAACTAACAAAAAAAGCACAGAGAGTTTATTGAGCATCATGTAAGGGCCTGGCACTTGTTTGTTTGAGATGGAATTTCACTGTTGTTGCCCAGGCTGGAGTGCAATGGCATGATCTCAGCTCACTGCAACCTCCACCTCCCAGGTTCAAGCAATTCTCCTGCCTCAGCCTCCCAAGTAGTTGGGATTACCGGCACCTGCCACCATGTCTGGCTAATTTTTGTATTTTTAGTAGAGACGGGGTTTTACCATGTTGGCCAGGCTGGTCTCGAACTCGTGACCTCAGGTGACCCACCCACCTTGGCCTCCCAAAGTGCTAGGATTACAGGTGTGAACCACTGCGTCCGGTGCTGGCACTTGTTATATTAGGTGTGCCTCCCAGGGCGGTGCTGGGAGAGGTGAGGTGGAAGCTTTTTAGTGATTGGCTACATTTATTTATTTATTTTTGCGAATTTAGTTTTTTTTTTTTTTTTTTTTTTTTTTTTGAGATGAGGTTTTGCTCTCTTGCCCAGGATGGAGTGCAGTGGCATGAACTCATCTCCTTGTAGCCTCCATCTCCTGGGCTCAAGTGATTCTCCTGCCTCAGCCTCCCGAGTAGCTGGGACCACAGGCAGGCATTATCACATGCAGAGATTTTTTTTTTTTTTTTTTTTTTTTTGTAGAGACAGGGGTCTCACTCTGTTGCTCTGGCAGGTCTTGAACTCCTGGGTTGAAATGATCTTCCCACCTCGGCCTCCCAAAGTGCTGGGATTACAGGCATGAGCCAGCATGCCTGTAAACTGGCTGCATTTACTCACGCACTATTGTCCCATGGCAGGGTACTGGTGGGTGCACAGAAAAATGAAACTGTTGTCACTGTGGTTGCTCTGATGTCACTGGAGACTGTGAGAACCACACAATAAGGGCAGCTCATGTTGCATTCAAACGCGTCAAGGCAGGTGCGTCACCCCAGGCTCTGAGCACACACCTCATTTCATCCCGAGCCAACACTGCTCCCATTTGACAGATGAGGACGTTGAGGCCTAAAGTGGAAAATTATAGCCAGCAAGTCTGACTCCAAAGCCCGTGTGCCCACATGGCCTTTCTGTCCCATTGCTGGAAGAAGCCGCTGAAGGCACCATGTGTATCTTTTTCCCTAAGGATTTTCTTGTTGCTTTTAAAGGGATGGTAAAAGTGAACAGCTTGAGTTCTGTTTCTACCAAGTATGGGTGCTTACTTCCCAATCCCTGTTTTTGACTTCTGCTTTTTGGATTCCTTCTGAGCTGTTCATAGAAATGGGAACATTATGTACTCTTAACTTCCAAGTCGAGCCCAGTCAGATTGGTGCATCCAGAAACCTAACATCACCCAGCGTCATCTGAAGAACCTGCAACTTTTGAGTTTTTGGAACTGAAAGCAGACTAGGAGCTGTGCAGAGCTAATGGCCTCCTGCAGAAGCCGAACGACTTTGTTACATTAGGTGTCTCCACACCCTGACCCCAATCCCTCACCCTTCTCCTCTAGTACCCCTGTGTCTTCCCCATCTCCAGGATTTACTGTGTTGATTGGATGTTTCAAAGCCTTGCGGAGTGGCTACCCCATCCCAGGACTTAGCTGTACAGCAGTGAGCAGGAGACACAAAGCTGGCCTCTGGGAACTCACAGGTCCAAGCGAAGATAAAAGCCCCATAAGAAGTGGTGAGATGGAACAGAGACCCTGGCACTAGAGGAAGTGACCTTTCTACTGAGTCCTGAAAAGTGGCAAGGAGAAGACCAGGGTAGCGGCCCGGCAAAGATGTAGATTTGAGAAAGAGAGGAATTGCTGGGTGCTCTGGAGTCATTCCATAGGGTTGGAGGAGTGGGAAGAAGGAATCCCAGGGAATCAGGAGGATGCTTTGATGGGTCAGGCTAGGGAAATTGAGCAGCCTTTCTCAGCAGGGCAAAGGGGACTCACGGAGGCTTCAAAGCAGGGGAGGACTTGGTTGGATTTGCGTTTTACAAAGACTTTAGAAAGATGTCTCTTCCATTATTAACAGGCCACTCCATGCCAGCCTCTTGTGAAGGGCCTGTCCAATGCATCAGCCCCCAGGTGCTCAGGCTCAAACTCAGGGTTCATCTTTCCTTCCTGTCTCCTCTCCCTCTGCAAGTGCAATTCAGGGAATTAGCAAGTCCTGAGACCTCACCTTAAAATTTCATCCCCATCCTGGTCTGCTTCTCCCCACCCCACACCAATGCCTTTTCAATTCCTGTGGCAGCCTCCTCCCTAT
The DNA here is from genome assembly GCF_000001405.40 of Homo sapiens. Taxonomy (NCBI): domain Eukaryota; kingdom Metazoa; phylum Chordata; class Mammalia; order Primates; family Hominidae; genus Homo; species Homo sapiens. The sequence continues at coordinate 3,105,124 of NC_000007.14, forward strand.
CTACCTGCCTTCATGTGTCCGCCCTCCGCTCCTCCCACTGCAGCCCATGGGCCTCCTAACATGAACATCCATCCCTTTGCTCCCCTGCAGGAAGCCCCGCCCTGATCTCCTGCTGCTCCCGGGATGAAGCCCAAGCCCCTTCTCTGGCCCCAGGGGTCTGTGTGGCCTGGCTTCTGCCCACCCCAAGCCACATTTTCCTGCCCACTCCACCCGACCTTCCCACTCTGGCCACCGGAGCCTCCATTTCTCCAGTGGCCATGCCCTTCCCTGCCCTCCTGACCTGGCACATCTGTTTGTTTTGTTTTTTGAGAGAGTCTCACCCTGTTGCCCAGGCTGGAGTGCAGTGGCATGATCTCAGCTCACTGCAACGTCTGCATCCCAGGTTCAAGCGATTCTCGTGTCTCAGCCTCCTGAGCAGCTGGGATTACAGGTGTGTGCCACCACGTCCAGGTTTTTTTTTTTTTTTAGTAGAGACAGGGTTTTGCCATGTTGCCCAGACTGGTCTCAAACTCCTGAGCTCAAGCAATCTGCCCAACTCAGCCTCCCAAAGTACTAGGATTACAGGTGTGAGCCACCACACCCAGCCACTTTTTGTTTCTCTTTTGAAATGGAGTCTTACTCTGTCACTCAGGCTGGAGTGCAGTGGCAGGATCTTGGCTCACTGCAAACTACGATTCCTAGGCTCAAGTGATTCTCATGCTCAGCCTCCCGAAAATAACACTCACTTGACCACTCCCCCATCAAGATGTAGAGTCTAATTCTTTTCCCTTTTAACTTGGCTGGGTCTTAAGGACTTGTAAGCAATAGAATATGATGGAAGTGATGCCATGTGACTCCAAGCCTAGATCAACAGAGGCCATGCAGTGCCCACCTGATTTCTTGGAATGCACACTCTCAGGACACCCATCTCAGTACCCCTGCTGGGCTCTCAGCCACCATATTGTGAGGAAGCCCAAGCCACATGGAGGGGTCAGTCTTCAAGACTTTCCAGCCCAGGGGCCAGACATGAGGAGAGAAACCTCTCAATGATTCCAACCCTAGGCATTTAAGCCACCTCAAATCACCTCCCCAGCTGAACCCCCATACTTCAGGGAGAGAGACAAGCCATCCCTGCTGTGCTCTGTCCAAATTTCTGGCCCACACAGTCTCTGAGCATATACAATTATTTTATATCCTTATGTTTGGGGGTGGTTTCTTACATACCAGTAGATAACTGTAACAGCTGGCTATGAAATACCCATTCCCCACATTCCCTCTCCCTTGCTAAAAGGTTTTGTTTGAGGTGGCCATGTGCCTAGCTAAATACTGGCTCTCCCAACCTGTCTTGCAGCTGGGGTGGCCCTGGGACACAGTGGAAGTCTCTGAGAAAATGCTTTCTTTCCTGTGAAGAGGGAACAGTGCAGCTTGTACCCTCTGTCCCTCCCTTTTCTGCTTAGAATGAGAACACAGTGGCACAGTGGCTGGAGCTGCAGCCATCACTCTGTGATCTTGAGGGAAATGTGGGTTTCAAAGTTACCAAGTGGCTGATTCAACACAGGGAGCTATGACTCGACCTTTCTGGTTAGGTGAGAAAAATAACCCCCTTTTGGTTTGAGCCTCTGTAGCCAGGATTCTTGTTGATCAGTTCCACGTTTCTCATGTATGCTACACTTGTATTCTCAGAAGCCATCTCCCCACCAGACCACAAGCTCTGTGAGATTAGGGACAGGGTCTGTTGTGTTCACCATCACATGCCCTCACCCTGAGGCTGGTACATTGGAGGTTTTCACGTATTTGTTGAATGCTATCAAATTCTATCAAATGCTATCAAAGGACACTGAAGGTTTTCTAGGTGGTTAGACACAGAGTCTCAGAGACATTTCCAGCCTGACAATTTCATGGATGAGGAATCTCCAGGAGGAAGGGTTGGGTCAGGGTTTCTCAGTCTCATTCTGGCACCTGTTCCCAAGGTCGCCAGGGTCCCTGGAATCCTTACTTCTCTGTGCACTTGGACTGGGTTGAGGTGGAGAAATCGCCTGCCGTTGGAAGCTTCCTCTGCGGCATTTCTTCCCCTGGTATTAACAAATGTTAATTGGAGGCAATGATCACTGGCCTTTCGTGTGCCCTTTAGGCTACCGTAATTCTGTGACTTCACTGCAAAAAAAAAACCAACCTTGTAATTTTACTTGGCCTTACAGAAAAATCCTTAGAGGATGCATTCTAAGACAAGAGGAAGTCCAGACAATTTTTTTTTTCTCTTTTGCTTGTGGGGTTGATTCTGCTCTGCATACAGATTTAGGTCGCACGTGTGAAATCGCGTACTTATTTTAAAATGGAATAAACACGCAGCCGGCTTTTATGGCCATCTTCCCCCACTGCATTTCATTCTGACGTCCTTTGGTTACAAATGACCAGTCACATAGCTGGTCTAACACTCACACTCTTTCCTGTGAAGAGGGAACAGTGTGGCTTGCACCCTCTGTCCCTCCCTTTTCTGCTTAGAATGAGAACCCAGTGACTGGGGCTGCAGCCATCACTCTGTGATCTTGAGGGCTTTTAGGGCTTGGTGTACTTGTGACTTTGTCATAGTCAGTAAAAAGCTACTCATTTACTTTCCTTTGCCTGGTGGCCTCCAAGTTGTCTGTGTGCATTCTTGGGCATAGGTCGGACTACCTTTGGGAGGAACTTAGTTTATAGTTTGAAACAAAGATGATAACAGCCCTTTCCCAAAACAAACCCCCTTCCTGCCTGGGGATGAGAGGGCCTTTGTAGGACTAACAAATTAGCCACAAGATTAGAAATAAGGGTTTAGGAGTCACACAGGCGGAGGCTGCAAGATTCTAAGCCTCCCCAAATTGTTTTTGGGGATAACGTCACTATTGTAAAACCCAAGACCAGCGCTTGAGATACTTTGCAAACCCTGCACTTGATGGATCAGCTGGCACCACCCAGATCGATAGACTGGCTCATCTGGTCTTGTGGGCCCCACCCAGGAACTGACTCAGTGCAGGAAGACAGCTTCAACTCCCTATGATTTAATCTCCTTCCTGACCAGTCAGAACTCCTTATTCACCGGCCCCCTACCCACCAAATTATCCTTAGAAACTCCGATCCCTGAATTCTTGGGGAGACTGATTTAATAATAAAACTCTGGTCTCCCACACAGCTGGCTCTGTGTGAATTACTCTTTCTCTATTGCAATTCCCCTGTCTGGATAAGTTGGCTCTGTCTAGGCAGCAGGCAAGGAGAATCTGTTGGGCACTTATAGCTTTGTGTCCTTGGGCTATGTTCTTAGCCTTCCTGTGACTCATTTTATCCACTGTACACAGGGATGTAACTGAATTGAGGATGAATTTTTTTTTTCTTTGAGGCAGAGTCTTGCTCTGTCACCAGGGCTGGAGGGCAGTGGTGTGATCTCTGCTCACTGCAACCTCCGTCTCCCAGGTTCAAGCGATTCTCCTGCCTCAACCTCCTGAATAGCTGGGATTACAGGCATGTGCCACCATGCCTGGCTTATTTTTGTATTTTTAGTAGAGTCCGGGTTTCACCATGTTGGCCAGACTGGTCTTGAACTCCTGATCTCAGGTGATCCGCCCGTCTCGGCCTCCCAAAGTGCTGGGATTACAGGCAAAAGCCACTGCGCCTGGCCAAGGATGAACTTTGTTAATGCGTGAAAGGCGCTGAGAGCAACACCTGACACGCGTTATATGAAAACAACAAATTCTGGGTGTCTTTGCATCCATCTGAGCAGAGAGACGGCTGTGTCTGGAGCCAGCCCAGGGAGGCAGGAGGCGTTCCCTGACATGACATCTCAACAGTGTCTTCCAGCCTTGATTTCTCCACTTGTAAAATGAAAGAGATCATATACTAGTTAGTGAAACCTTTGGCAATCTCAGATGAAATGTGTGATGAGGATGCAGAGTGTTATTGTAATTCCACGATTACAATCTCTGCAGAGCCGGGAGGCAGGAGGCTGGCGGGATACCACTGCCTACACACATACCTGAGGAGTTTTCTGTGTGTCTGTGAGGTTTCTATTGAAAACAAGATTCACAAAGGGAAAATCACCACCAGTCCTGGCCCCGCATAAAAGATAACAAGGAGAAGATAGAGCCTGAAATACCAGGGAGGTGAGACACAAAGAGTCAGTTAATAAATCCATCGAAAGCCCGTCCCCAAACACTGAAGCCAAATTTCATCTTGGAACACTTTGCATAACAAGCAATTTAAGGTAAGGCGGACCCCCGAGAGCTACAGAACGTTTAAATGATGGGCAAATATTTCTGTTTGGTTGTTAGGAGAAATGACTTTTTGAACTCCAGTCTTTGAGTAAAACATGTTTGACCAGCTATAAACAGATTCAAACTATTTGCTTTTGCGGGGCTCCCATTTCATTTTCATGAGGTTAGAGAGTGGCAGGAGATCACTTCGTGAGACAACAGGTTGTAAAGGTTGAAGCTGGTAGCTACGGTACTGAATTGACTGAAAAATACACCACAACCCACACTGCTGTTGAGCCCATTCCGTTGGATGAGAGGACTTGCAATAGGAGTGCTGGCTTCCATCCCTGTCTGCAGGGGAATGTTGGCACCAGAGATGAACAGTGGGCCGTTGGGAATAGAGAATTGCAATTTTTTAAAGAGATAAGATCTTGCTCTGTTACTCAGGCATTTGAAAATGCTTCTCAAAAGACATCATGAAGATAAGCCACAGAGGCTGTCATCCCAGAACTTTGGGAGGCCAAGGCTGGAGGATGGCCTGTGCTCAGGAGTTCAAGACCAGCCCGGGCAACATAGTGAAACCCCATCTCTACAAAAAATAAAAAAATTATCTGGGGATGGTGGCACATGCCTGTAGTCCCAGCTACTTTGAAGGCTGAGGTAGACGATCGCTTGAGCTCAGGAGTTTGAGACCAGCCTGTGCAACAGAGTGAGACCCCATCTCTACAAAAAATACAAAAATTAGCTGCGTGTGGTGGCACATGCCTGTAGTCCCAGCTACTCCAAAGGTTGCGGTGGGAGGATCGCTTGAGCTCAGGTGGTTGCAGCTACAGTGAGCTGTGATCACACCACTACACTCCAGCCTAGGGGACAGAGTGAGAACCTGTTTCAAAAAAATTAAAATAAGCCACAGAATGGAAAGAATATTGGCAGCACATGTATCTGACAAAGGACTTGTGCAGAATATGTAGAGAACTCCTACAAATTAACCCTGAAGAGAACAACTCCTAAAAAATGAACAGAAGATTTGATCAGGCCCCCTCACAGAAGATCTAAGAATGGCCAATGAATACATAAAAGATTCCCAGCCGGGCATGGTGGCTCACACCTGTAGTCCCAGCACTTTGGGAGGCCAAGGTGGGTGGATCATGAGGTCAGGAGAGTGAGACCATCCTAACACGGTGAAACCTCATCTCTACTAAAAATACAAAAATTAGCCAGGCGTGGTGGTGGGTGCCTGTAATCCCAGCTACTCGGGAGGCTGAGGCAGGAGAATCGCTTGAACCTGGGAGGCAGAGCTTAAAGTGAGCCAAGATCATGCCATTGCACTCCAGCCTGGTGAAAGAGCTAGACTCTGTCTCAAAAAAAAAAAAAAAAAAAAAAAGAAAGATTCCCAATGTCTTGAGTCATCAAGGAAATGAACGTGATCACCATGGTAGACACAGTGGCTAAATTTTAAAAGATCGACAGTCCCAAATGCTGACAAAGATGTGGGGAACATGGACGGCTCCATGCTGCTGTTTGGAACATGGAATGGCACCGTCTCTCTGGAGTGCTGCTGATTACAAAGAGCAACACGTACCTACCCTATGACTCGGCAATTCCCCTTTGGTGTTTAGACAAGAGAAATGAAAACGTACGTTCATAAAATGACATGCACTAGGATATGGATAGCAGCCTTGTTCAGAAGAACCCCAGAGTGAAAAGAGCCCAGATGGATACCATGCATCTGGGTCCATCGTGGTATGTTTATGCAGTGGAATACTATGCAGCAATAAAACTACTGATATGAGTAATGATGTGGATGGTTCTTAAAAACTATACTGAGACTGGGCACGATGGCTCATGCCTGTAATCCCAGCACTTCGGGAGGCTGAGGGAGCAGATCACATGAACCTAGGACTTCAAGACCAGCCTGGGCAACATAGTAAAACCTCATCTCTACAAAAAAAATACAAAAATTAACCAGGCATTGTGGTGCATGCCTGTAATCCCAGCTACTTGGGAGGCTGAGGCAGGAGGATCTCTTGAGCCCAGGAAGTTGAGGCTGCAGTGAGCTGTGATTGCACCACTGCACTCCAGCCTGGGTGACAAAGCAAGACCTTGTCTCAAAGCAACCAAACAAAAAACTATACTGAACAAACAAAGCAGGAGACAAGAGTATAGGCTGCATAAACCCATTTATATGAAGCCCAGAACAAACAAAGCAATCTGTAATGATAGAAAGTGGTCACCTGGGGAGAGGGAGGAAATTGACTGAAAAAGGGGAGAAAGAACTTTCTGGGCTGATGGTGGCATCTAATCTTTGCTATCTGATATGGTGGCCACTAACCTCATAAAATGTGACTTGAATTGTGGCTGGTATGACTGAGAGACTAAATTTTTAATTTTATTTAATTTTTCCTTAGAGGCAGGGTCTTGTTCTGTCATACAGGCTGCAGTGCAGTGGCATGATCACAGCTCACTGCAGCCTCGAACTCCTGGGCTCAAGCAATCCTCCTGCCTCAGCCTCTGGAGAAGCTGGGACTATAGGTGTGCATCACCATGCCCAGCTCATTTTAAATTTTTTCGTAGAGAAGAGGTCTCACTGTGGTGTTCAGGCTGGTCTTGAACTCCCAGCCTCAATCAACCCTCCTACCTCAGCCTCCCAAAGTGCTAGGATTACAGGCACTAGCCACAGCACTAACTGTTAAAAATTAACCTCCAAATTGAGATGTGCTGTAAGTATAAAACAAGCACAAAGTTTCAAAGACTTGTTACTGAAAAAAGAGAACAATTTCTTATCATTTTGTATTAAAATCATGTTTTAAATACACTGGGTTAAAAATATAATATTAAAGTAATTTTCACTTGTTTGTTTTACTTTTCCAAATGTGGCTCCTAGAAACTTTAAAATTACATGTATGGCTCTTGCTCCATTGCTATCAGACAGAGTTGGTCTGTGTTTTGTTTGGGTAGTGGCTACCTGGGAGTATGTAATTATCAAAACTCGCTGAACGGAATGCCTAAAATCCGCGCATTTTGTAGTGTGTTAATTATAGTTCAATTAGAAAATGACACACACATGACCCCTGCTTGACTCAGACACGGTAATAGAAATTGGGAGGCAGAAGTGCAATGACTGTGAGGGAGAATGAAAGGTGCTGCAATGTTCTATTCCTTTCCAGGAGTTTAACTCTAAAATTGAACCTAGCTTTATGATACGTTCAAGGAGTGGGAGTCTGTTGAATTTAAGAGGCAAATTTAGGCAGAACAGCTGGCTAATTAGTGTGCTGCCCTGGGAGCCATTGTGTTTTACAAGTGAGAAGGTTCCATAGCCCCAGGACTGGTTTCTCTAAGCCCTAATCTCCCCCTGAGGGCCTGGACTTGCCCTACTGGAGAGGGCTCGACTGACTCCTCCCCTGAAGCAGCTCACACACTACACTGTCTCCCCGTCCCTCAGACCTTGTCCTCAAAGAAAAACCCCAGTGCCAACCTGCTTAGGCTCAAGTGCATTTTCAGGGGAGCAAAATCTTTTGACCAAGAAGATACCTTTCCATCTGCTACAGGCAGGCCAGGAGCCTGGTGGCATGAGGGATGTTGACTTCCTGAACCCAGGTGGCAACGTGGCAAAGGGTGGGGTTAACCACTCCATCTATCTGCCCTGACCAGGGTGACCACAGCTTTGGGCTGGTTCAGGCAGGAAGCACAGATGCATGCTAAGAGTTTCCACTGTGGGTATGGAGGGGCAGGAAGTCAGGAGTAGTGGGTGAGGAGTGGGAGAGGACCCTGAAAACAGGGTTGGATGGATGGTTGTGCGAAGAATTGTGGTCAACATCAGCTCCATCCCCATCTGATTCTATCCTTTGTTGGGGGGGGGTGGGGAGTCAGACGTGCAGACACAGCTTGGCAGCAGGTGCAGAGAATGACCAAAAAGCAAACACAATGAAAGTGAAGGTCATGAGCTTTGGACCTTCCAGATGTGGGTTCAAGTCATGGCTCTGGTGCTAGCAATGCAAACTTGTACATGTTACTTAATTTGCCTAAATCTCAGTTTCCTCTCCTGTAGAATAAAGACAATAGTAGCTGCTATAAAGGATGAGTTGGAAGTTATGTTAAATGGGGTGATGTCAGCTGAGTGTTTGGTAAAGGGTATCATTGGTTCTGGGTGGTGGCTGTATTCTAATGGGGCCCTAGCCAATGACTTTTGAGACAAAGGAGAGAATGAAGCCCCCATGGAGTGGGTCAGGGCCACAGCCAAGGAGGGTGAGGCTCACAGCAGTGCTCCCATTCCAGCAGAAAGCCAGAGGGCTAATCAGAAAATGGGTGGGCTGCTCATCTATATTTTATGTCTTAGGCTGTGTTCTCTAGAAGCAGATCTTTGGGGAAGAATTCATGTGAAAGTGAAAATCCCCTGGTAGAAACTGCTCTTAGGAAAAACTAATTGGAAAGTAGGGAAGCAGGACCAGGAAGAGAAGGTGGCCAAGGGAGGGCACAATATCAAGCAAAGTCTCACAGAGAACCATAGTAGCCACCCCAAGATGGCACCCAAGGATGCTCCCCTCATGGTATTTCTGCCTTTGCATATCCCTGCTCCCACTTTGAATACGATGGACCTGTTTAACAACAGCGATTGTGAAACAGATGGAGTGTGGCTTCCAAGGCTAGATCACAAAAGACTGCAGTGTCTCCCTTGCTCTCTTGGTTCACTCACTCTGGACGAAGCCAGCCACCATGTTGTGAGGATGCTCAAGTAGTCTGTGGAGAGGCTGATGTGGTGAGGAACTGAGGCCTCTTGCCAACAACCACTCCAACTTGCTGGCCTTATGAGGGAGCCTTCTTGGAAGCAGATCCCCCTGTCTCAGTTGAGTCTTGAGGTGACGCAGCCCAGCTGGCATCTTGACTGCCACCTCATGAGAGACATAAGCCAGAATCACCCAGCTAAGCCACCCATGAATTCCTGACCCACAAAAACTGTGCTTTGGATTGAATATGTCCCCCAAAGTCCATGTGTTGGAAACTTATTCCTCAATGCAACAATGCTGAGAGGTAGGACCTCTAAGAGGTGATTATGTCATGAGGGCTCTGCCTTCATAAATTAATGTTATTATCATGGAGTGGGGTTTTTATGAAAGCAATTTCACCTCCCTCTCCCCCCTCTCTCATCCTTTTTTGCCATGTGATGCCTTCTGCCATGTTATGGTGCAGCAAGAAAGTCCTCATCAGATGCAGACCTTTGATCTTGGACTTCCCAGCCTCTAGAACCATGAGCCAATAGATTTCTGCTCTTTATAAATTTTCAAGTCTCAGGTATTCTGGAGAAGCAGCACAAATTTGATTAAGGCACCCTCTTAGTGGCATTAATGCCCAAAGCATATGCATACATTTCCAGAGGTCAGAGCCCCCTAGAACTTTGGTGCTTAGAAATAGGAATGGATTTCTGAATTCAGAGGTAACACGCTGCCTCATATCACACACTTGCAGCTTCCTTTATGTAACGTACCTTATTGATTTCTATTTAATAATGACTGATGCAGCTCTTGGGCCTTTACCTGATGAATCAAAGCTGTCTGTCAAATAGGAGAGATAGGGCAGGAGTGAAGCATTATTATTCCAAAGCACAGTCATTAGATTAATAGTAAGCTCCAGCAACACCATTAACGTGGGGAGAATCGATGAAATAACAGAGGCAAGGCTGCCTCCAGATAAGATCACTGCTTCTCTAGCATGTGTCCTATTTATAGATCATATGTGTTCACTCTACCTTTGGCTCTTTCTTCCATCGAGGGCTCCCAAGTGAGCTGATTATAATCTTTAAGACTACGTGTCAGCAGCATAAACCACCATCACCATCACTCCTTATCCTTGACCCATCGTCTTCCACCTGCCCACCAGGAAAATTAGACAACACTCTGTTGCTTTGTTTTGGAACAAAGACATTTTTCACAACTTTCCCAAAAGAAATTTTTGTCTCACCATGATCAATCTTTTCCTAGAATTTGGGAAAATAAAAACTTTAAGGCCATAAATAGTAAACTTTGAAAATCATTTCCCCAAATGGATTTCCCTGTGCCCTTCTGTTCACAAACAGTTAGCTCTCCCAATTCATAGCTTGTCAGCAAAGTGACTTTATTTTAATGTCTTTAGTTTTTATCTTCTCGATTTATTATTCAGAATAGGTGGAGAGAAGGGGGGAGAAGACCCTTTCTCTGGAAGGTACTCCTTTCTGAATCTAAGGAAATGATTCTCTAGTTCTGTACTAGAGAGTTGAGTGAGACTAAAGCTGGTGGTGTTAGGAAGGTGGGCAAGGTCGTCACTGACAGCTCTCTTAAGAATCTTAAGCATGTATGAAGGGATGGACAAAGAAAGACCACCAGTGGATGAAACAGAGTCTCAGTGCCATGTGAAAAGTGGCCAGCCTTGAGAGATCCCTTTTAGCCATCACATCCATCCCTGCAACCTGGACAGCACCTCCTCCACTCAGGACCTCCTCCACCTCCTCCACTCTGAGATCCACCCCCTGTCCATGGCTCATTCTGAACCACAGGCTTCTTCCACGCCTCACTCTGCCTGCCATCTTGGCTTGAACCCTCCCAGCCTCTGAGCTCACTGATCATACATTGATTATTTTTCTGTGTCTAGCCTCATCTTGCCCTTCGGACTTGATGCTTTGATAGGATTCCAGTTTTTATCTTGAGCTATTATTGACTTAGTTCAACTTCCCTCTTGGTTCAACTAAGCCACAGCACATTTCCTCTGCCCTCAGTGTCTGCCCCTACCCCAAGAAGAGTCATCTTGCCTTTCCCTTGCCTTTCCCCACAAATAGGACCTTAATAGAGAGATATGGGACCTGGAGAGAGACATCTAGAGTCAAGTCAGAACAGATTAGAGCAACCTGTGGCCCAAGCTGGCATCTCTTTCTCTTGGATGTTCTCTGTGTACCGCTGTCCCTCGATAACTTTACACGTGTGAAGGTAACATTTAAGAAAATAATTTTCCCCCACATCCCGCTCTGTGCATTGCCAATGGTTTCTAATCAGATGGCTTGAGGTCTCCCCTCCACCCCCAATTTTCCTTTATGCTTCATATTAGAACTATGGACTTTCTACTGATGGCCTATTAAAATGTATCTTTTGATTAAAATCATACAGCTCATCACCAAACATGCCAAGCCATGATAATACATGAAGGGTAAAACTTGGGCACGTAACTCATAAATTCTAAATGATGATGACTCCATTCTTCTCTCCCTTTGAAAATTTAAGATCAAAATCCTGTAAAAGTGGAAATAATCTGAATGCTCAACAACAGGGATGGGTAAAGAAATGGACTCGCCCTAGTAAACAATTAATGATCGAGTTCGCAAAGACCACTTGGTGACTGCTGCGTGAAAAAGATGGGATACGAAGACCTGTCTTCCATGTAAGCCCCATTCTGCAGTGGCCTGCAGCCTCACCTGGGGCACTGGCCTGCAGGTCTGGGACCATCTCTATCTTCCTTCCAAGTCTTGCTGGGGAGGGCAGGCCAAGTCAGTTGTGAGAGTGCAGTCTCGATGATGTTAGAAGCGTAGGGTCCTTAGCAGGACGTCAACTAAGGTTGCAGTGAAGGGCTGCAATTTTAAGCCAGGCGCAAGGTGGAAAAAGCCTGTGGTGCTGGTGGGTGGTAGAGAGTTGGTGGTGAGGAGGGGAGTGGGGCAGGGGAGGATAAGAGGAGAGTGGGGAACCACAGGGATGGAGTTGGGGAGGACTGGTCGTCCACAATCACCGTAATGAGAACCTGAACTAGCAATGGCAAGTCTCCTCAGGAGATGGTGTTCAAGCCCTATCTTTACTCTTTGGAGCCTATCTTGATTGTTTTTTAAATGTGATTTTTACAGAGGCACAGAATGAATAGAATCTGTGTCATGCTGACAGTTCACGGGGCTGAGTTCCTGTCTGTTCCATTTCGTGTCCTGCTGTGTCCTAAGCAGGAACACACATCCAGCCCACAGAGACTGGGGAGTGACCACAGAATGGGAGGTGGGGTGTCTGTGGCAGGCTGTAGCTCCCTGGGCTGAGGTTCACTGGATTAAATCAAATAAACAACAAATACCTTTTCTTAGTATAAATATTTGTATTGACTGTTTCTGGCAACCATACCTGGACCCTTCATTTATCAGAAGAAAAGATTAGGTTAGAATTTACCACTTTCATGGAAGGAGGGGGAGAGGGGAGAGGAGAGATGAGAAAGGGGAGGGGAGAGAGGAAAGAGAAAGGAGAGAGAGGAGGGAGGGAGAGAAAGAGGAGAGGGAGGGAGGGAGAGAGGGGGATGTTGAGAGATAAAGAGAGGGGGATGTTGAGAGATAAAGAGGGAGGGAGAGAGAGAGAGGGAGAGGGAAGAAGGAGGGGGAGAAGAGAGGGAAGAAGGAGGGGGAGAAGAGAGGGAAGAAAGGGGCGGTGCAGAAAGACGGAGGGGGAGAGGAGAGAGAAAGAGGGAGGGAGAGAGAGGAAAGCAGGGAGGAAGGGAAAGGGAGAGGTTAAAAGAGAGATTGAGAGAGGAGAGGCTTCCTAGCACTTCTCTCCTCCGAGCGCAGAGCCCTGTTAGAACAGCCTGTCTCCTTTCATGAAGCTTCTCTGCCACCTTCTCTCCCACCCTCCTGCATTTGTCCCTTTTGGAGACAGCACTGGAATTTACCTGGAATGAGCCTTCTCTCTGCTCCCCTTGCACACGGGCTGGCTGCCAGCAGCTTTCTCCACCAGCCTCCGACAGAAACCCTGCAGAGCTTCCATTCTGCGTTCAGCCACCATCGCCTCCCACCCAGTGGTTTCTAAACAATCTCTGAGCAAGATTTTGGTTTTATCAGCCTATTAACTTCTCCCTTTTTCATTTTGGGGAAGGGGTCCACCAACATTCATCTTGTGCTGAACAGGAGCTGTTTTCTGCTCAGCTCTTGTTCTTGGGTGACCTGGCATGGAGGGATATCTCCAGACCTTGGGGAGTCGTCAAATAAGCCTGGATCTGAGAACTGAGGGATGCTAGGGGTGACATCCACACTCAGGAGGGGTGAGGCAAATGCCCCCTTCATTGTGTTCTCATGAATCTGGTTCTTCCAAAGATTTTGTTTACTAAGTTGCATTTATTAAGAAATAATGCTTGTTTTGAAGAATATTATTATTATTTTTGAGACAGGGTATTGCTCCATTGCCCAGGCTGGAGTACAGTGGTGCAATCATGGTTCACTGTAGCCTTGACCTCCTGGGCTCAAGCAATCCTCCTGTCTCAGCCTCCTGAGTAGGTGAGACCACAGGTATATACACCACCATGCCTAGCTAATTAATTTTTTTTTTTTTTTGGTAGAGATAGGGTCTTGCTATGTTGCCAAGGCTGGTCTCAAATTCCTGGGCTCAAGCGATCCACCTGCCTCAGCACCCCCAAAGTGATGGTATTACAGGCATGGGCTACTGCACCCAACCAAAATTATTCTTATTAATCAAATATGTACATCAGGCAATCGGCTCTTCCACTAGCCAGAGCTAAGCAGTGTTTTCCATGAAGTGGATCTGATTCCAGTTGAAGGAATCTAATTAGGCTCTGTATTCTAATTAGGCTGAGTGGCATCAAGCTCTGTAAAAACACAGGGGCTTCCATTAGACTTTTGGAAATACAGAGGTAAGACTAAAAGTCCCATTGCTGTCTGTATGGATGCTGGGGTGGAGCCCAGCTTGGGATAGAAGATGTTAGTGACTCTGGAAGACAGAACTCCAGAAGAAAGGCTTAAAAGCCAGAGTTATTTTGCAGTTGAGGACTTGAAACCTCCACCAGTAAGCACACTATTTTGGTACAACTGAGTGATTAAGTTCTAAGGTTTAACATCCAACTTACTGGGTGCAAATCTCACGCTTGCCCCTTATTAGTTATGTACCCATGACCTCCCTGAACCTCAGTTTTCCCCTCTGTAAAATGAGGCTGATAATACTGCAACTTGAACCAGCTGGGGTGCATGCGGATGCAAAGAACATAAACACTGACGCAAACGGAGACAGCACCTTGTATATTTCCATTTCTAGGCAGTAGTGGCTTCATCATCACATCAAATTATTATTATTATTTGAGACAGAGTCTTGCTCTGTCACCCAGGCTGGAGTGCAGTGGCGTGATCTCAGCTCACTGCAACCTCCACCTCCTGGGTTCAAGCAATTCTCCTGCCTCAACCTCCCGAGTAGCTTGGATTACAGGCGCCCGCCACCACGCCCAGCTAATTTTTGTTTTTTTTAGTACAGACAGGGTTTTACTGTATTGGCCAGGCGGGTCTGAGACTCCTGACCTCATGATCTGCCCGCCTTGGCCTCCCCAAGTGCTGGGATTACAACCGTGAGCCACCGTGCCTGGCTGACATCAAATTATAATGTGGTTGTCAACCAGAACTGAAGTGAGAAGGCAAGCATGTGTCACTTCTGGAAACCCACACAGAAGCTAAAAAAAACCTCCTTTCCTAGAAGCTTCCATTAAAACCCTCCTCAGGGCTCATTGGTCTATTTTGCAAAGCTCATGTGGTCATCTCTGAATCCATCACAGTCTAGGGGATGAGACTACATTGGTCAGATTAGGCCTGAGCTATCTACCCCTTCTCTAGAGCCAGAGGTGGAGTTAGCTCCAAAGAATGTGCCTGAATGAAGGTTGGGAGACTCACAAAGATTTAGGAAGATAACACTGCAAAGCACTAGACACACAGGGAGCACTCCATAAGTGTGAGCTAATTACTGGCCATTATTGTCATCCTGGTGAAATCTGGTTAATCAAGAGTCTTATTCTACTGAAAATGTTTATGTCCATATGCCTCCATCATCCTCACCATCATGATCCCCATCATTATCATCATCCTCACCATCTTCTTCATCATCATCTTCACCGTCATGATCACCACCATCATCACCATCATCTTCATCACCATTCCCTCTTCATCATCATGTTCATCATCATCCTCACCATCATGATCATCATTATCATCGTCATCTTCACTGGCACCATCGTTGGCCAAGTGCCTACTGTGTGCTGCTGGCACCATTTCAGACACATTGCAAACCTATATCTAATCCTTGGGACAACTTGTGAAACAGGATATCACTAGTTGCCTACCCCCAGTGCATTCTCCCCCTTGTTCCTTACGATATAAAATCCTGAGATTTCGCTTAATGTGGCATGATACCAAAGATCTAAAACCTACACTAATAAAAACAAACAAAACCTACTCATCCAGTTGGGCATGATGATGCAAAATTGTGAAACAGTTAGAAATAGATGTAAAATGTCCTATGCAATGAATAGACAAAGAAAAAAAAACCCATACGGTACCAGCTTCCTTTGCAGTTATGTGTGGTCATGTGACATAATCTAGCCAATGAGATAAGAGAAGTCTGCCAGAGACTTCTGAGAAAACCTCACCTCTCTGCTGCAGGCACCATCCGTTCCTCAGTGCTACTTTCCTTTTCTTCCTGCTCGCAACACAGGCCCTCAAAGCTGTGGAAGAGAAACTCTCTCATGATCATGAAGGAGAAAGACACCCACTAAGAAGGACAAAAAGGGGAAGTTTGGGACATTGAGGCTACCATGGACCAATTCACCAGCCCTGGGATGCATCCTCCAGCACCTCATTATGTGTTGAGGGGAAGAAAGGCACCCTCTTTGCTGAAGTCACTGAAGTTGGGTTTCTGCTGCAGACAAGTGAATACAGCTTCTAAAAGGAGATTGCTGGACAAAATGAGCCCTGTCATAGATGAAGAAACCAATGCACAGAGAGGGAAAGCATTTACTCCAAGTATGAAATTCAGGCTCCCAAACCAATGCTCCCACCTTAAAAAGCAGGGAAATTCTGACACAGGCTGCCAAATGGATGGATCTTGAGAACATCCATCTTGAGATGGTGCAAAGTGAAACAAGCCAGTCAGAAAGGACATATAACGTATGATTCCACTTACGTGAGGGACTTGGAGTTGTCATATTCATAGAGACAGAAAGTGGAATGGTGGTTACCAGGAGCGGGTGGAGGGAGAGCAGGAGTGAGTGGCTAATGGGTGCAGAATTTCAGTTTGAGAATATGAGAAAGTTCTGGAGATGGATGGTAGTGATGGTTGCAGAACACTGTGAATGTGCTTAGTGCCTCTGAACTGTGCCCTTAGAAATGGCTAAGATTGTAAGGTTTTTGTTATACGTATTTTATTGCAATAAAAACATATGATGTGGGAAAACTTTACTAAAAACAAAACAAGGGGCGGAGCCAAGATGGCCCAATAGGAACAGCTCCGGTCTACAGCTCCCAGCGTGAGCGACGCAGAAGACGGGTGATTTCTGCATTTCCATCTGAGGTACTAGATTCATCTCACTAGGGAGTGCCAGACAGTGGGCGCAGGACAGTGGGTGCAGTGCACCGTGCGCAAGCCGAAGCAGGGTGAGGAATTGCCTCACTTGGGAAGTGCAAGGGGTCACGGAGTTCCCTTTCCTAGTCAAAGAAAGTGGTGACAAACGGCACCTGGAAAATCGGGTCACTCCCACCCCAACACTGCGCTTTTCTAACGGGCTTAAAAAATGGCGCACCAGGAGATTATATCCCGCACCTGGCTCGGAGGGTCCTACACCCACGGAGTCTGGCTGATTGCTAGCAAAGCAGTCTGAGATCAAACTGCAAGGTGGCAGCGAGGCTGGGGGAGGGGCGCCCACCATTGCCCAGGCTTGCTTAGGTAAACAAAGCAGGAGGGAAGCTCAAACTGGGTGGAGCCCACCACAGCTCAAGGAGGCTTGCCTGCCTCTGTAGGCTCCACCTCTGGGGGCAGGGCACAGACAAACAAAAAGACAGCAGTAACCTCTGCAGACTTAAATGTCCCTGTCTGACAGCTTTGAAGAGAGTAGTGGTTCTCCCAGCACACAGCTGGAGATCTGAGAACAGGCAGACTGCCTCCTCAAGTGGGTCCCTGACCCCTAACCCCCGAGCAGCCTAACTGGGAGGCACCACCCAGGAGGGGCAGACTGACACCTCACATGGCTGGGTACTCCTCTGAGACAAAACTTCTAGAGGAACGATCAGGCACCAGCATTCGCGGTTCACCAATATCCGCTGTTCTGCAGCCACCGCTGCTGGTACCCAGGCAAACAGGGTCTAGAGTGGACCTCTAGCAAACTCCAACAGACCTGCAGCTGAGGGTCCTGTCTGTTAGAAGGAAAACAAACAGAAAGGACATCCACACCAAAAACCCATCTGTACATCACCATCATCAAAGACCAAAAGACTACAAAGATGGGGAAAAAACAGAGCAGAAAAACTGGAAACTCTAAAAAGCAGAGCACCTCTCCTCCTCCAAAGGAACGCAGCTCCTCACCAGCAATGGAACAAAGCTGGATGGAGAATGACTTTGACGAGTTGAGAGAAGAAGGCTTCAGACGATCAAACTACTCTGAGCTAAAGGAGGAAATTCAAACCAAAGGCAAAGAAGTTGAAAACTTTGAAAAAAATTTAGATGAATGTATAACTAGAATAACCAATACAGAGAAGTGCTTAAAGGAGCTGATGGAGCTGAAAGCCAAGCTCAAGAACTACGTGAAGAATGCAGAAGCCTCAGGAGCTGATGCGATCAACTGGAAGAAAGAGTATCAGTGATGGAAGATGAAATGAATGAAATGAAGCGAGAAGGGAAGTTTAGAGAAAAAAGAATAAAAAGAAATGAACAAAGCCTCCAAGAAATATGGGACTATGTGAAAAGACCAAATATACATCTGATTGGTGTACCTGAAAGTGACAGGAAGAATGGAACCAAGTTGGAAAACACTCTGCAGGATATTATCAAGGAGAACTTCCCCAATCTAGCAAGGCAGGCCAACATTCAGATTCAGGAAATACAGAGAATACCACAAAGATACTCCTTGAGAAGAGCAACTCCAAGACACATAATTGTCAGATTCACCAAAGTTGAAATGAAGGAAAAAATATTAAGGGCAGCCAGAGAGAAAGGTCGGGTTACCCACAAAGGGAAGCCCATCAGACTAACAGCTGATCTCTTGGCAGAAACTCTACAAGCCAGAAGAGAGTGGGGGCCAATATTCAACATTCTTAAAGAAAAGAATTTTCAACCCAGAATTTCATATCCAGCCAAACTAAGCTTCATAAGTGAAGGAGAAATAAAATACTTTACAGACAAGCAAATGCTGAGAGATTTTGTCACCACCAGCCCAGCCCTAAAAGAGCTCCTGAAGGAAGGACTAAACATGGAAAGGAACAACCGGTACCAGCCACTGCAAAATCATGCCAAATCGTAAAGACCATCGAGGCTAGGAAGAAACTGCATCAACTAACAAGCAAAATAACCAGCTAACATCATAATGACAGGATCAAATCCACACATAACAATATTAACTTTAAATGTAAATGGACTAAATGCTCCAATTAAAAGACACAGACTGGCAAATTGGATAAAGAGTCAAGACCCATCAGTGTGCTGTATTCAGGAAACCCATCTCACGTGCAGAGACACACATAGACTCAAAATAAAAGGATGGAGGAAGAACTACCAAGCAAATGGAAAACAAAAAAAGGCAGGGGTTGCAATCCTAGTCTCTGATAAAACAGACTTTAAACCAACAAAGATCAAAAGAGACAAAGAAGGCCATTATGTAATGGTAAAGGGATCAATTCAACAAGAAGAGCTAACTATCCTAAATATATATGCACCCAATACAGGAGCACCAAGATTCATAAAGCAAGTCCTGAGTGACCTACAAAGAGACTAAGACTCCGACACAATAATAATGGGAGACTTTTACACCCTACTGTCAACATTAGACAGATCAATGAGACAGAAAAGTTAACAAGGATACCCAGGAATTGAACTCAGCTCTGCACCAAGCAGACCTAATAGACATCTACAGAACTCTCCACCCCAAATCAACAGAATATACGTTTTTTTCAGCACCACACCATACCTATTCCAAAATTGACCACATAGTTGGAAGTAAAGCTCTCCTCAGCAAATGTAAAAGATCAGACATTATAACAAACTGTCTCTCAGACCACAGTGCAATCAAACTAGAACTCAGGATTAAGAAACTCACTGAAAACTGCTCAACTACATGGAAACTGAACAACCTGCTCCTGAATGACTACTGGGTACATAATGAAATGAAGGCAGAAATAAAGATGTTCTTTGAAACCAACGAGAACAAAGACACAACATACCAGAATCTCTGGGACACATTCAAAGCAGTGTGTAGAGGGAAATTTATAGCACTAAATGCCCACAAGAGAAATCAGGAAATATCCAAAATTGACACCCTAATATCACAATTAAAAGAACTAGAAAAGCAAGAGCAAACACTTTCAGAAGCTAGCAGAAGTCAAGAAATAACTAAAATCAGAGCAGAACTGAAGGAAATAGAGACACAAAAAACCCTTCAAAAAATTAATGAATCCAGGAGCTGGTTTTTTGAAAGGATCAACAAAATTGATAGACCACTGGCAAGACTAATAAAAAAGAAAAGAGAGAAGAATCAAATAGACGCAATAAAAAATGATAAAGGGGATATCACCACCAATCCCACAGAAATACAAACTACCATCAGAGAATACTACAAACACCTCTATGCAAATAAACTAGAAAATCTAGAAGAAATGGATAAATTCCTCGACACATACACTCTCCCAAGACTAAACCAGGAAGAAGTTGAATCTCTGAATAGACCAATAACAGGCTCTGAAATTGTGGCAATAATCAATAGCTTACCAACCAAAAAGAGTCCAGGAGCAGATGGATTCACAGCCAAATTCTACCAGAGGTACAAGGAGGAACTGGTACCAATCCTTCTGAAACTATTCCAATCAATAGAAAAAAAGGGAATCCTCCCTAACTCATTTTATGAGGCCAGCATCATCCTGATACCAAAGCTGAGCAGAGACACAACCAAAAAGGAGAATTTTAGACCAATATCCTTGATGAACATTGATGCAAAAATCCTCAATAAAATACTGGCAAACCGAATCCAGCAGCACATCAAAAAGCTTATCCACCATGATCAAGTGGGCTTCATCCCTGGGATGCAAGGCTGGTTCAATATACACAAATCAATGAATGTAATCCAGCATATAAACAGAACCAAAGACAAAAACCACATGATTATCTCAATAGATGCAGAAAAGGCCTTTGACAAAATTCAACAACCTTTCATGCTAAAAATTCTCAATAAATTAGGTATTGATGGGACGTATCTCAAAATAATAAGAGCTATCCATGACAAACCCACAGCCAATATCATACTGAACGGGCAAAAACTGGAAGCATTCCCTTTGAAAACTGGCACAAGACAGGGATGCCCTCTCACACCACTCCTATTCTACATAGTGTTGGAAGTTCTGGCCAGGGCAATTAGGCAGGAGAAGGAAATAAAGGGTATTCAATTAGGAAAAGAGGAAGTCAAATCGTCTCTGTTTGCAGATGACATGATTGTATATCTAGAAAACCTCATTGTCTCAGCCCAAAATCTCCTTAAGCTGATAAGCAACTTCAGCAAAGTCTCAGGATACAAAATCAATGTACAAAAATCACAAGCATTCTTATACACCAATAACAGACAAACAGAGAGCCAAATCATGAGTCAACTCCCATTCACAATTGCTTCAAAGACAATAAAATACCTAGGAATCCAACTTACAAGGGACATGAAGGACCTCTTCAAGGAGAACTACAAACCACTGCTCAATGAAATAAAAGAGGATACAAACAAATGGAAGAACATTCCATGCTCATGGGTAGGAAGAATCAATATCGTGAAAATGGCCATACTGCCCAAGGTAATTTATAGATTCAATGCCATCCCCATCAAGCTACCAATGACTTTCTTCACAGAATTGGAAAAAACTACTTTAAAGTTCACATGGCACCAAAAAAGAGCCCTCATCGCCAAGTCAATCCTAAGCCAAAAGAACAAAGCTGGAGGCATTGTGCTACCTGACTTCAAACTATACTACAAGGCTACAGTAACCAAAACAGCATGGTACTGGTACCAAAACAGAGATATAGATCAATGGAACAGAACAGAGCCCTCAGAAATAATGCTGCATATCTGCAACTATCTGATCTTTGACAAACCTGAGAAAAACAAGCAATGGGGAAAGGATTCCCTATTTAACAAATGGTGCTGGAAAAACTGGCTAGCCATATGTAGAAAGCTGAAACTGGATCCCTTCCTTACACCTTATACAAAAATTAATTCAAGATGGATTAAAGACTTAAATGTTAGACCTAAAACCATAAAAACCCTAAAAGAAAACCTAGGCATTACCATTCAGGACATAGGCATGGGCAAGAACTTCGTGTCTAAAACACCAAAAGCAATGGCAACAAAAGCCAAAATTGACAAAGGGGATCTAATTAAACTAAAGAGCTTCTGCACAGCAAAAGAAACTACCATCAGAGTGAACAGGCAACCTACACAATGGGAGAAAATTTTTGCAACCTACTCATCTGACAAAGGGCTAATATCCAGAATCTACAATGAACTCAAACAAATTTACAAGAAAAAAAAAACAACCCCATCAAAAAGTGGGCAAAGGACATGAACAGACACTTCTCAAAAGAAGACATTTATGCAGCCAAAAAACACATGAAAAAATGCTCACCATCACTGGCTATCAGAGAAATGCAAATCAAAACCACAATGAGATACCATCTCACACCAGTTAGAATGGCAATCATTAAAAAGTCAGGAAACAACAGGTGCTGGAGAGGATGTGGAGAAATAGGAACACTTTTACACTGTTGGTGGGACTGTAAACTAGTTCAACCACTGTGGAAGTCAGTGTGGTGATTCCTCAGGGATCTAGAACTAGAAATACCATTTGACCTAGTCATCCCATTACTGGGTATATACCCAAAGGATTATAAATCATGCTGCTATAAAGACACATGCATACGTGTGTTTATTGCGGCACTATTCACAATAGCAAAGACTTGGAACCAACCCAAATGTCCAACAATGATAGACTGGATTAAGAAAATGTGGCACATATACACCATGGAATACTATGCAGCCATAAAAAATGATGAGTTCATGTCCTTTGTAGGGACATGGATGAAATTGGAAATCATCATTCTCAGTAAACTATCGCAAGAACAAAAAACCAAACACCACATATTCTCACTCATAGGTGGGAATTGAAGAATGAGAACACATGGACACAGGAAGGGGAACATCACACTCTGGGGACTGTTGTGGGGTGGGGGGAGGGGGGAGGGATAGCTTTAGGAGATATACCTAATGCTAAATGACGAGTTAATGGGTGCAGCACACCAGCATGGCACATGTATACATATGTAACTAACCTGCACATTGTGCACCTGTACCCTAAAACTTAAAGTATAATAATAATAAAATTAAAAAAAGTCTGTTTGTATGGAAATAAAACATGTCATTTGTGAAATTAACAAAAAAATCAATTCTTCCTTCATTAATGCCTCAGAAAAAGTGTGTTTTGTTCTGTCTTGCCAAGGGTTTGAAACTCTTGTTTCTATCCCTGTCCTCTCATCCTAGGCTCTCTTGGATCCAGTCAACACTCAGGGTGGCTGAATGAGTGCAGTTGAAGTGGCTTCTGCTATTGGGGCATGAACCTCTCTGCCCATGGCAAGGACTTGGGACAGGTATGGCTTCTACTCATGGCAGTTGAGATAAATGCTGAATTTCTAGAGTCTCAGGAGTTAACAGTTACAGGGTCCAAGTCATAAACTCAGAAATGAAGATAAGTAGCAGCCCCAGACTGGGAGGACTAGGTCTAACATTTCTCCGGGAATGAACTATTTCCAAAGTATATATATTAACATTCAAGACTCGCTGAAAATACTCACAGTGCTACCGAGGTCCTGACTGGGGAGATTCTCTCCCTTCCCCTAAGTGAAAATGTCAGTGTTCAGCTTCCTGAGCGAAGTTTGCAGCTCACATCTCCTCTGACCCAGTATCACTGAGCATCTTAATTAGGTGAAAGGGTCTACATATCTTTCTTTCTGGACTTGAGGTTGTCCTCTGTGTTGCTGTGTGTGAGGGTTCAAGCTGTGAGTCACTTATTTCCTTCTTAGCAGGCGAGGGAATTTTGTATGGAAGGCTAAACAAAGACAGTTTCTCTCCCTGGTGTTTAAAGCAAATCTCTCCAGTATGGGGACAGGTAGAGAAAGAGACCCAGGCTTATTTAGGACAGTGATTCTCGATCCTCACTATCTGTCCCTTAGAGTCCCTGAAGAACTTTGACAAATGCTGATGTCCAAGCCAAACCCACAATCAATTAAAGGACAACCTCTGGGGATGGAACCTAGGCATGCGTTTTTTTTAAAGTGCCTCAGGGGATTCCAATAAGCAGTCCAATGTGAGCACCAGTGTTTTGCAATCTGTGTCATTCCACTTGTGTTCTGTGGAGCAGCAGTGCAAGTATTACCTGGGAGCTGGCCGGGAAAACAGAATCTTAGGTCCTGCTCCAGGGCTCCTGGGTCATCCAGATCACCTGGATCAGAATCTGCATGTCAGCAAGGTTTTCAGTAGAGCTATGTGCACCTTAGAGCTTGGAAGCACTGGGTTAAGTCCCCGTTGGAAGGAATCTTCATGACTGCTGACAGTTCCAAGTCTTCTCACCCTCCACTCCTGTGAGTTGCTTTCCGACTCCTCCCACATTTAGGGAGATATAGACCAGTGATATTGTCCATCCCAGGGGTGACGTGGTGCCTAAAAGTCAACTCTGACTTCTTCACCATCACGTGACACAAAAGGGTTGATTGCAGAGCTTTACAACCATTCTAGTACCAAACGCTGCCCATCAGGCTAGCTAATGACAAGATGATAATGATTAGTAATAATCGTTGCATTTATTGATGACCTACTGTATTAGACAGGGTTCTCGAGAGGGACAGAACTAATAGGATAGATGTATACATAAAAGGGAGTTGATGGAGGGGTGACTCATAAGATCACAAGGTGAGGTCCCATAATAGGCCATCTGCGAGCCGAAGAGCAAGGAAGCCAGTCTGAATACCCAAACCTCAAAAATAGGGAAGCCGACAGTACAGCCTTCAATCTGTGGTCGAAGGTCCAAGAGTCCTAAAGCTGAAGACCTTGGGGTCTGATGGTCAAGGGCAGGAAGCATCCAGCACAGGAGAAAGATAGAGGCCAGAAGACTCAGGCAGTCTAGTCTTTTCCCATTCTTCTGCCTGCTTTTATTCTGGCCATGCTGGCAGCTGATTAGACGGTGCCCACCCAGATTGAGGGTGGGTACGCCTTTCCCAGTTCACTGACTCAAATGTTAATCTTTTTTGGCAATACCCTCACAGACACACCCAGGAACAATACTTTGACTCCTTTGATCCAATCAAGTTACTAACCATCACACCTACTATGTGCCAGGCACGTAGCATAGAGTGCTTCATTTAATTCTTCTGGTAAACGTGTCAATAATACTGTCCTCAACTTACAGATGAGGTAGCAGAGACTCAGAGAATGAAGTCACTTGTCCAACAAGTTTACGCAGCTGGAAAGTAGCGGGTGGTAAGTGGCTGGTTTCCTTTTCTTCACCTCATCGTTCTTAGAAGGCTAACGGTAGGGTGATAAGGAAGGAGAGAAGGGAAAATAGCAGAGGAAGTGAGGGGAAGGAGGGAGGGAGGAGAAGTGCGCTCAGATTAATTAGAAACAGTGAGAGAGGGCCAGGTGCAGTGGCTAATGCCTGTAATCCCGGCACTTTGGGAGGCCGAGGAGAGTGAATCACATAAAGCCAGGAGTTCGAGACCAGCCTGGCCCATGTGGTGAAACCCCATCCCTACTAAAAAAAAAAAAAAAAAAAAAAAAACAAAAATTAGCCGGGCATGGTGGTGCATTCCTGTAATCCCAGCCACTTGGGAGGCTAAGGCACAAGAATCACTTGAGCCTGGGAAGCGGAGGTTGCAGTGAGCTGAGATCATGCCACTGAGTTAGGACTTGTGGTTGCAAGTGATGGAAACCTAACATTCCCTAATGCAATCACAAAGAGGTATTGGCTCATTGAACATGTCCATGGGCAGGTGGACTTCAGTTTCTTCCTGTCTTTTCTTCATCTTTCAGTTCTCCTTTTCTCTGTGATGACTATCTCCCGACAGGCTTTTTCTCGTAGTGGCAAAGATATTCCCTATCAGTATCAGTCCTATGCTGTATTAGTCCATTCTCATGCAGCTATGAAGAAATACCTGAGACTGGGTAATTTATAAAGAAAGAAGGTTTAATGGACTCACAGTTCCACGTGGCTGGGGAGGCCTCAGGCAACTTATGATTATGGTGGAAGGCACCTCTTCACAGGATGGCAGGACAGAGCATGAGTGGAAGAAGGGGAAATGCCAGACACTTATAAAGCCATCAGATCTCGTGAGACTCACTCATTATCACGAGAACAGCATGAGGGAAACTGCCCCCATGATTCCTTTACCTCCACTTGGTCCTGTCCTTGACATGTGGGGATTATGGAACTACAACTGAAGATGAGATTTGGGTGGGGACACAGAGCCAAACCATATCATAAGCGTTGTCAGCTTAGAAACCTAGAGCAGTAACTCCCTAAACTCTCCTAAAATCCTTCATATTGACAGTGGTTGGCCAGGCCCTGGTCATCCATTTCTGAAGGCAGGAGGTGATGATGCCGTGAGAGAGTTGGAGGGGCAGTTCCCCCAAGGACAATTGCAGTACTGTTACCAAAAAGGGGGAAAGAATGCAGGCCAGACAGGAATCCTTAAACTGGACATTCTTTGCTTTCCCCTCCAGATCTACTCTCCACCTGTCTCCTCCCTCCTCTCTGCCCCAAGAGTGATTTCTATGGCTAACATATGTCTGTTTGATATGGTTTGGCTGTGTCCCCACCCAAATCTCACCTTGAATTGCAATAATTCCTTCGTATGAAGGGCACGGCTAGGTGGAAATAATTGAATCATGGGGGTGGTTTCCCCTGTACTGTTCTCATGGTAGTGAACAAGTCTCACAAGATCTGATGGTTTTATAAATGGGAGTTCCCCTGCACAAGGTCTCTTGTCTGCCGCCATGTAAGACATCCCTTTGCTCTTCCTTTATCCTCTGCCATGATTGTGAGGCCTCCCCAGCCATGTGGAATTGGGAGTCCATTAAATCTTTTTTTTAAAATAAATTACCCAGTCTCAGGTATGTCTTTATTAGTAGCATGAGAACAGACTAATACACTATTATTTCCTTAGCTTTAAGGTATAATATACATACCTTACAGTCCATCCGTTACAAGTTTGCAATTCAACAATTTTAAGTAATTTTATAACGTGCTGCAACCATCACCACAGTCCAGTTTCAGAACACTTCTATCAACCCCCAAAATTCACTTCAGCCTGCTTGCAGTAGCTCCTGGCAATGTGCAGAATTTGCCTTTTCTGGACATTTCATAAACCTGGAATCACATACCATACAGTACTCTATATAGTGTGTGGCTTCTTTCACTCAACGTAATATTTTTGACGTTTGTCCCTACTGGAACATGTGTCAGTATTTCATTCCTTTTCATTGCTGCATTATATTCCATTGTATGGATGGACCACACTTTGTTTATCCATTCACCAGCTGATGGACATTTGGGTTGTTTGCAGTTTGGGGCTATTATGAGTAAAACTGTTATGAACATTTGTTTACAAGTCTTTGTGTGGACATGTGTTTTGAATTCTCTCAGCTTCCTAGGAGTGGAATTGCTCGATCATATGGTAAGTTTATGTTTCAACTCGTCCATTGCTGGTGAAAATGCAAAATGGTACAGTAGGTTTGGAAAATAGTTTTAAGAACCTGCCAAACTGTTTTCCAAACCTACGGAACCATTTTACATTTTCACCAACAATGGACAAGAGTTCTGATTCCTGCACATCCTTACCTATATTTAGTTATCATCTGATTTTCAAAAATTATAGCCACTTACTAGGTACATAATAATATCTCACTGTGGCTTTAATTTGCATTTCCCTAATGACTAATAACGGTGAGGTTTTTTTTTTTTTTTTTTTTTTTTTTTTTTTTTTTTTTTTTTTTTTTTCCTGGGACAGAACTTTGCTCTATCCCCAGGCTGGAGTACAATGGTGTGATCTCGGCACACTGCAACTTCCGCCTCCCAGGTTCAAGTGATTCTCCTGCCTCAGCCTCCTGCGTAGCTGGGATTACAGGTGCCCACCCCCCTGCCTGGCTAATTTTTGTATTTTTTTGTAGAGATGGAGTTTTGCCATGTTGGGCAGGCTGGTGCTTTTTAGTCATTTGTATAGATTGGATATCATATACACACACGAAAAAGTTAGGCCCTTAACTCACACCAAAAATAAAAATTATCTCAAAGTGAATCACAGACCTAAATGTAAGAGCTACAGTTATAAAACTTCTAGGAGAAACTTTAGTGAAATGTTTGTTCAAGTCTTTTGCTTATTTTTTATTTGGGTTGTTTGTCTTATTATCAGTTGCAAGAGTTCTTTATATATTCTGGGTACAAGTTCTTCATCAGATACATGACTGGTACATATTTTCTCCCAGTCTGTAGCTTGTTCTTTCATTTTCTTCAAGGTGTCTTTTAAAGCTTTTAATTTGAAATTAAAATGACATCCACTTTATAATTGGCTCATACTTTTGGTGTAATGTCTAAGAACTCTTTGCTTAACCCAAAGCCATGAAGATTTTCTCTTGTTGGTTTCTCCTAGAAATTTTTTAATTGTAGCTCTTACATTTAGGTCTGTGATACATTTTGAGATAATTTTTATTTTTGGTGTGAGTTAAGGGCCTAACATTCTTTTGTGTGTGTGTGTTTAGTATATGATATCCAACTGTTACAATGCCATGTTTGAAAAGAGTATCCCACCCCATTCCATTGTCTTGACATCATTATCAATTGTTTTGACATCATTGTCAAAAATCCGTTGGCCATATACATAAGCGCTTATTTCTTGGCTTTCACTTCTGTACCATTATCAATATATGCCTATCCTTACTCCAATGCCACACGGTCTTGATTACTGTAGCTTTAGAGTAAGCTTTGAAATTGGGTAGGATAAGTCCTCCAGCTTTGTTTTTCTTTCCCCAAATTGTTTCAGCAATTGTATGTCTTTTGCATTTCTGCATTCATTTTAGAACCAGCTTGTCACTTTCTTCAAAAAATCCTGCTGGGACTTTAACAGGGATTACATTGCATCTATAGATCAATTTGATCTATGGATTGACATCTTAATAATATTTAATCTTCCAATCCATTAACATGGAATATCTCTCCATTTATATTTTCTCTCATTTCTCTAAGCAATCCTTTATAATGCTCAGTGTACCAATTTTTCATTTTTCTTGTTAAATTTATTCCAAACTGTTTATTTTTGATGCTATTGTGAATGAACTTTAAAAAATTCATTCTCAAATTGTTCATGACTAGTATAGAAAATTCCATTAATTTCTATATATTGATCTTGTATCCTGCAAAGTTGCTAAATTTACTAGTTGTAGGAGGATTTTTTTTTTTGGTGGATTCCTTAAGATTTTCTACATATAGGATGATGCCATCTGTGACTAAAAAAGTTTTACTTCTTTCTTTCCAATCTGGATGTCTTTATTTTATATATTTTTAGCTTTATTTTACTGGCTCGAATCTTCAGTAAATTCCCGAATGGAAGTGGTGAGAATGAATGTCTTTGCTTCATTTCCAAGCTTTGGGAAAAGCATTCAGTCTTTCACCATTAAGTATAACGTTAGCTGTGGGTTTTCTGTGGTGCACTTCATCAAGTTGAGGAAGTTCCCTCTTATTCCTAGTTTGTGGATGGTTTTTGTCATGAATGGGTGTTGGATTTTGTCGATTGCTTTTTTTGTGTCTACTAATTCACTATCTGAACGTGCCATCTGTTTCCTGCCAGGACCCTAAAAAATAAAAAATGCTCGCTGCAAAGTGAAAATTTATGTGATGAAGGTGGATTCCCTAGTCCCTACTCAATGAATTATTGCACTGACTTGATGCCCATTCTCTCAGCTTTTTAGCTTCAAGAGATTTGGTTTTAAAATATATCCACTAGGCCGGGCACTGTGGCTAACGCCTGTAATCCTAGCACTTTGGGAGGCCGAGGTGGGTGGACTGCCTGAGCTCAAGAGTTCGAGACCAGCCTGGACAACACAGTGAAACCCTGTCTCTACTAAAATACAAAAAATTATCTGGGCCTGGCAGCGCATGCCTGTAATCCCAGCTACTCGGGTGGCTGACGCAGGAGAACCCCTTGAATCCGGGAGGCGGAAGTTGTAGTGAGCCGATATTGTGCCACTGCACTCCAGCCTGGGCGTCTCCAAAAAAAACATATCTATATATCTATATATATCTCCACTAGTAATTTGATACTCCTTCCTTCCAAAATGGAGCCTAATTCTCCTCCTTCTGAGTGTGAACTAGACTCAGTGAATTGCTTCTAGGGAACAGAATATGGCAGAAATGATGGCGTATGGTTTCTGAGACTAGGTGATAGGAGGCGTTGTGGTTTCTACCTCATGATTCACTCTGAGAGAAACCAGCCGCCATGTTGTGACATCACTCAAGGAGCTCCATGGGAAGTTCCACCAAGTGAAGCCTCTGTGACTGAGTCACTTTGGAAGAGAATCCTCAAGTCTTCTGACTGTAGCCCCAGCCAACATCTGACTGCAAACCCATGATACAAATCCAGCCAGAACCACCCAGTTAAACTGCTCCTGAATTCCTGACCCCCGGGAACCACAAGGTAATAAACGACTATTGTTCTAAGCCACTGTGTGTTGGAGTGATTTGTTATGCAGCGTTTGACAATACAAAAGACATTGCCACCTTCTCTCAGAATTTGTTAAGCTCTAAAAATGACAAAGATGGGTCTGAAGGAACAAGGATTTCTGGACCTGGAGGCTCTTTCAGAAGTTAGATCCCATGAGGATGGGGCATTGCTCTAAGAAGAGGTTGGTGAGCATTGTATGTGAAAACACTTCGTAGGTGATAAATACGGCATAAACACATTATTGTTACTGGAAGGTTTGTTATAGCCTTCAAGCTTACACTCGATGTCATCTTAGCCGGCATCCTTCTTTCTATCCCAACACATCAGGTCTTTGATAATTTGTGTTCTTCTAAGAAAGGACCCCCAGGGTCCTGCCCTCCCAGGACCGACATGCTGACCAGGCACTTGATGTGGACATGTCAGACCACCCACATTCTACTTCCTTCAGTTGCTTTTTCTAGAATGCCAGCCAGGAGGGACGGGTACACTCTGAATTTTGATCTCATGTGGGTGGGTGATCTGCTTTCTAATTAAAGTTCCCTGCCCGGCCCCTTCTGCGGAACGTTTCACCCAGGAGAAAAGACCTGAAGCAATTGTGTCAAAGGGTAGGAAAGCATTTACACAGCAAGGGAGATCTTGCTTAGCAATTGGGGGAGAAAGAGAGAGAAAGATTTGCCTCCAGCTGCCATTCTGAACTGTACCGTTTGTACAAAGTGGAACGTAAGTTTCTGTTTTCTGAAAAGGGGACAAGTTGCTATTGATAAAGCAGGAGGTCACATCCATCTCCATTTGCATACAAATTACTTTCTCATCTACTTTCCAAGGGGGAGAAAGAGCTGCTTTATCGTTCTCAGAGGGAGCAAACTCTCCACGGGTTGCCTTGTATATTTGTCAGAACTTTTTGGATGCAAGTGACAGACACTCAACCCAACCCTGAGTAGCTTATGCAAAACTGGTAACTTTTTTTTTTTTTTTTTTTTTTTTGAGAGTTTCGCTCTTGTTGCCCAGGCTGGAGTGCAGTGGAGCCATCTCAATTCACTGCAACCTCCGCCTCCTGGGTTCAAGCGATTCTCCTGTCTCAGTTTCCAGAGTAGCTGGTACTACAGGCGTGTACCACCATGCCCAGCTAATTTTTGTATTTTTAGTACAGACGGGGTTTCACCATGTTGGCCAAGATGTTCTCGATCTCCTGACCTTGTGATCCACCCACCTCAGCCTCCCAAAGTGCTGGGATTACAGGCGTGAGCCACTGCACCCGGACACTAAACTGGTCATTTTTGATCTATCTCATCAAATCACAAAAGTAGAAAAGTCTTTCACTTAATAGGGGATGCAAATGCCATCTTCCATCTTATCTCCTCTTTTATCTAATCAACTGCCTTTATTCTCTCCCCAGAAGCTAAACCCATGGCCACATGGATATCTCCAAACTTGAACTCGAGCCTGCTGTATCCGGCTCTGTACGTGCTATGGCTATTTGGATATCTGGTAGGGCTGTCAAGCTGAGTGTGTTGAAGCTGTTTAGGATCTTGCTCTTGTAACCTGCTCCCCCTCCTCCAGTGTTTTCCTGTCAGAGTAGATGGCTCCACTTGCCACCTCCTTGGGCAGCTGCATAAGCCAGAAACCTGAGCATCACCTCTGACCCCTCCCTCCCTCATCCCCACACAGCCAATGAGTAAATACGACTGGGGTCCAGGTGCCTCTTTCTTACCACAATTTTTATATTTTATCTTAATTTTTATTTTTTTGAGACAGGGTCTCACTCTGTTGCCCAGGCTGGAGTGCAGTGCTGTGATCCCAGCTCACTGCAACCTCCGCCTCTCAGGCTCAAGCAATTCTCATGCCTCAGCCTACCAAGTAGCTGAGATTACTGGAGCACACCACCACACCCCTGCTAATTTCTGTATTTTTCGTAGAGACAGGGTCTCACCATGTTGGCCAGGCTGGTCTTGAACTCCTGACCTCAAGTGATCCACCCATCTGAGCCTCCCAAAGTGCTGGGATTATATGAGCCAACGCGCCCAGCCCAGGTGGCTATTTCTAGTCCCCCTGCCACTCCCTAGTCCAGGCCATCATCCCTGCAGTGTGGACTAGGGTAACCATGTTCCAACGAGTTCCTTTCCCATCTATTCCTGCCTCCCTCTGATTTGTTCTCCATAGGATTGCCATAAATGTCCAGAAAAATGCAAATTAGATCCTGGCAAGCCCCTACTGCATGCTCTCCTCTCACCATTAGGATAAAACTCCAACTCCTCACCATGACGTGATCCCAGCCCTGCCTGTCTTACGCCAGTGGCCACTTTCCTCTCTGCCGTCCGCACAGCAGCAGCTCTGCTCCTGTCCACTCCATGACCTCGAAGCATACGGTTTCCCCTGCCCAAATGTTCTTTCCTCCTGCTTTACCTGCCTAGCTCCCCTTCACACTTCAGAGCTAGAATCCCCTAGGAAACTTAGGTGAGAGGATGGCTTGAAACCAGGAGTTCATCAGCCTGGGCAACACAGTGAGAGCCCTGTCCCTACAAAAACAAACAAACAAACAAACAAACAAACAAAACAACAAATTCACTGGGTGTGGTGACACAGGCCTGTGGTCCCAGCTACTCTGGAGGCTGAGGCAGGAGGATCCCTTGAGCCTGAGAGTTGGAGGCTGCTTTGAGTTGTGATAGCGCCACTGCATTCCAGCCTAGGTGACAGAGCAAGACCCCATCTCTTTAAAAAAAAAAAAAAAAAAATTTCAGTGTTGGCCAGGCTTGGTGGCTCATGCCTGTAATCTCAGCACTTTGGGAGGCTGAGGTGGGCAGACCATTTGAGCCCAGGAGTTTGAGACCAGCCTAGACAACATGGCAAAACCTCATCTCTACAAAATATACAGAAATTAGCCAGGTGTGGTGGAACATGCCTGTAGTCCCAGCTACTTGGGAGGCTGATGTGGGATAATGACTTGAGTCCAGGAGGTGGAGGTTACAGTGAGCCAATATTGCACCATACACTCCAGCCTGGGTGACAGAGCCAGACCTTGTCTCAAATCTACAGATAGGCAATAAATTTAAAATTATTACATGAACTTGTTGACATTCCTCTCTCCAAAATGGAGCCCAATTCGCCTCCCATTAAATGGGGATGGACTTAGTAACTTCTAATAGAGTACTTCTAATAAATAGAAGTGGCAAGGTGTGACTTCTGAAGCTAAATTATAAAAGGCATTGTGTGAATTCCTCTTTGTGTTCTCTCTTGGATCACCGGCTCTGGGAAGAGCCGGCCGCCATGTTGTGAGAACACTCAAGCAGCCCTCTGAGGAAGCCCCCATGGTGAGGAGCTGTGGCCTCCTACCAACAGCCATGCGAGTGAGTTTGGAAGTGGATCCTCTAGTCTCAGTTGAGCCTTTGGATGATGCAGCCCTGGCCAGCATCTTGATTGTATCCTCATGAGAGTCCCCGAGCCAGAACCACTCAGCTAAATCACTTGCAAATTCCTGGCCCAAAGAAACTGACATAATAAACGTGTATTTTTTTAAGCCATTAAGTTTTCTAGCAATTTGTTATACAGAATTAGACAATATAGCAACTTCTTAGATCATTCTTACAGCCTTTATGACATTTATATTCAAATAATTAACTGTGGAATGCATGGTTTGGAAATGTCTGTTGCAGTCCCTGCTGTACCCTCAGGGTCCTGACCTGGTAAATGCTTATAGAACTGAACTTCATGCTGGGAGACAGTGGTATGCCAGGCAAAACAGACACCTGAAGCCCATTGTTTCTAATATGCCTCTCCTCTATAGACAAAATCATTTTCTATCACCATGATGCAACAGATACTGTTTGAATGCAGTAAAATCTCTCTCGTATACACTAACATTTGCACATATGGAACAAAACATGACACTTCTCTGTTCTTTTGTTTTGCTGTTTTAATTGTAAAATAAAAACTCCAAGTGGTCACAAGGAAAGGCAGAATTAAAGTAATTCAAATTCTCTTTGTCTTCATAATGACTGTGCTATTGTTTATTTTGAATCTACTAAACACAGTTGATATGTAATATGCAATGCCACAGGGGATGGGGACCTGAACTCCACACCAACTGAGCCCTAGTGATTCAGAATCTTGGCAGACTTCCTCTTCACATGAACACGTGCTTCTGGGTCCCTGAGTGTTGGGGTCGATTACACAACAGGGACGTCTCCAAATTAACCTCCGCATCGAAGACTATTTTAGAGGACAAGTCATTCAATGTGCTAATCCATAGCGATATTATTAAAACTCAACAGTAACTGTGGCAATTGTCCAGAAATTAGACCAACAAAGAGATTGAGGGGGAGGCATATGTTATCCGTGGCACTGTGTAGAATCACATGTGGTGAGAATGAAAAGCAGATTGATTTTGAGTTGGTTTTGTTTTAAAATTCTCTACAGGCCACGCACTCCCGATCACACCCTCTCCGACCCCCAAGGTGGACGGGCTCCTACTCTTTGTATGCCACTTCTGGAAGAGCAGGGAAAGATGGATCCATTTGTGAGCTATGAGCAAGACACCGTGCTGGGCACCTGCTTTTTTTTGAGATGGAGTCTCGCTCTGTCACCCAGGCCGGAGTGCAGTGGCGCGATCTTGGCTTACTGCAAGCTCCGCCTCCCGGGTTCACGCCATTCTCCTGCCTCAGCCTCCTGAACAGCTGGGACCACAGGCATCCAACACCATGCCTGGCTAATTTTTTATTTTTAGTAGAGACGGGGTGGGCACTTGCTTTTAATGGAACAGGGCTAGCATCCGCCATCTAGTGATTTCTGTGGCATGCTTGCAGACATACTCAAGGACAGTGGTCCAGGCAGCAGTTCCTCTGGGATAACACTGGGCCCCCCAGTGACAGCCCAGGGTGGGGTAGGTCCATCCCCCGATCCAGCTGTAGTTCTGCAGCTCCTGCTGCTCTGACGGAGCCTGGGTCCCGAACGGCAGAGCCCTCCCGGAGCAGAGCAGGGGTTGTTAAAGACACTTTGGATCTTGTGAGGTGACAGCTCCATTTCCCACGCACAGGCTTTAAAATGCATTTAAATATTTCAAATAGTCTCTCAATTTTTTAGAATTCATAAATCTGGAATACTAACAAGATCATAAAAAAGCCCACTCCCAACCAATAGGAAACAGAATCGATGTATTCGTATGTTTATCATTTATTTCCATTTCCCACCTGGATAGTCCCCGGAGATTTGATTTCTTGTTTCCTAGAGAATCTGAAGACAGAAAACAGAACTTGGTGTTAAATAATCTTTAACGTACACCTGTTCAAACTATCGGCAAGACACTAATCATTTGTCCTGATGCACAAACATCAATCCAGGGCACATGAAATTTTAACTATCAATAAATATTCCGACATCTGCACACATGCAGCATCTAATTCCAGCATCAAAATGCAGATAAGCACGAATAGATATTTGGATTTATAGCAAAACGAGTCTCATCTGGAAACCCCTCCCAGGAAGGTCTGGCAGGCTGGGTGTAAGGAATTTGGGACGATGCCTGCATTTCCTCTGCCCGTTTCTACCAAGTCGGTCCAGTAATCCTGTTTAATTAATAATAAACATTGCAGGATTTTTTCCCCCCATTTGAATTATGTTTGAAATGTGATGGCTGGATGCTTCTTATAAAAATGCTTTGAAAAATAAACCGTGTCAGAAATGAGTGATTTATCATCACTCAGAATGCTGGCAGGGGAAATCTCAGAAAAGGAGAGAATTGATGTTGCTTCCTGCCGGCATTTCTACTACAGAGCTGGTCCAATTTGCTTTCTTCCTGTGCCCATGCATGGGGCAGCTTTTGCATGAGGCACTCCCCTCACTTGTTTCGTGTCTTTTTTTTTTTTTTTTCCCTCTCTCCCAGGATCTGCCCAGGCCTTTGGAGGCCAGACCTCCCTGATGGCACAGTGGCAGGCATCTGGGTCCTTGGGGAACTCCCCACGATGCACACCAGGCACCAGCCAACGTCAAAGGTCAGGAGAAAGGAGCTCTTGAGGTCTGGATGACTTCAAATGAGCTGCATCCCACTGAAGCGTTCAGTCTGCCGAGCTTTCAGGCCAAGGTTCCTGATCAGATTCTGTTCAATCACAAGGTACAGCTCTGCCGTCCATAATCTGCTCTGTTAGGAATACAGCAATTATTGAGCACTTACTATGGATCACGCCTTTTTTTTTTTTTTTTTTTTTTTTTTTGAGAGGGAGTCTCGCTCTGTCACCCAGGCTGGAGTACAGTGGCACGATCTCCGCTCACTACAACCTCTGCCTCCTGGACTCAGGAAATTCTCCTGCCTCAGTCTCCTGAGTAGCTGGGATTACAGGCGCCCGCCACCACACCTGGACAATTTTTGCATTTTTAGTAGAGACAGGGTTTCACCATGTCGCCCAGGCTGGTCTCGAACTCCTCACTTCAAGTGATCCACCTGCCTCGGTCTCCCGAAGTGCTGGGATTTACAGGCCTGAGCCACTGCACCCAGCCCTGGATAATGCCCTGTTCTAAGACCTTTGTATGCACAATTGCACTTGATCTTCACCAAAGTTGGTATTCATTGCATCCCCATTTTGCAGATGACATAACCAAGATACACACACAACAAGCAAGAGGCCAAAGCCAGGAAAGTAACCCAAACAGTCCGATTCCAGAACCCAGACTCTTAATCACTTCACTGTGTTATTTATTATTATTAATAATAGAACTAGGTGTGGTGGCTCCTGCCTGTAATTGCGGCACTTTGAGAGGCCGACACAGGACGATCACTTGAGTTCAGGAGCTCGAGTCCAGCCTGGGCAATGTAGTGAAATCCCATTGCTACAAAAAATAAAAAACTTAACCAAGGATCGCAGGCCTGTGGTCCCAGCCTCAGGAGGCTGAGGTGGGAGGATCACCTGAGCCCAGGAGGTTGAGGCTGCAGTAAGTCATGATTGTGCCACTGCACTACAGCCTGGGCAACAGAGGAAGGGCCCGTCTCAAAAATAGTCTTTCTCAGCACTCTATACCAAGTGATATGCCGGGCCCTGCGTAGATACTATGTCTTTACTCTTATATGATTGAGATCATTGTCCTTGTTTGACTGTTGAGGAAACTGAGGTTACCAGAGTGAAGTGAATTGTCTAAAGAAAGTCTTGAACCAACACAAGGACCCAGGTCCTCCCAGATCCATAGCTCATTTTCAACGTACTTACTTAGTGTCAGTCTGCTCGACTGACATGACAGATGGGTGGTGGGGACTGCGGTCTTGGTGGGGAGATCTCTGGAGATCCACCCTTTGGAACAACATAGATGCTCCAGTTTCAGATTTCTCACGTCCAGTGTCTGTTCTGTTTTTTTGTTTTTGTTTTTTTTCCTTTGCTGAATTTAAGCAGCCCCAGCAGAGAAAGCCAACGAATGGCGATGTGAAAAAAGCCGTGTGGACCCGTTCCTCTCCATCACCCATCAGATGGTTTCCAATCAGGAAGCAAAGCTGGGCCAGAGTAAATGTTGGAGTATGTGGAGCAGAGGGAGTGCTCATGCCCTGCTGATGTGAATGCAGATTGATCCGGCCTTGGAGCAACTGGGCAGTACCCAGTGAAGTTGAACCTGTGCGCCCCCATGACCCAGAAATTCCAAGGGTACATGTAGACCAGGAGACATGCATGGCAGACTCATGGTTTATAAATGGGAAACAGTGGGAGACAACACCATGTCCACCAATGGGGGAAGGTGGACCAGACGTGGTGCATCCATAAGATAGACTTCTACAGGCAATTGAAATGGAGAGACTAGATGTGCATTGATAACACAGGTAATTATAAAAAAATTCAATGTCGAGTGACACAAAACAAGTTCTAGGAACCTCAAAGCAGCCCAAACTTTATTATAATATTATAGATTGTTCATGGGTACACCTATAAGAGGGTAGAGGCACATCCCCGATTTGAGAGAGAGGGGAGAGGGACTGACCTTGCAGGTGGGGCTGAAAGGGACTTCACTTGATCTGTGATGTTTTGTTCAATACATATATTTTTTATTTTCTATTTATTTTATTTTGAGATGGAGTCTTGCTCTGTTGCCAGGCTACAGTGCAGTGATACAATCTCGGCTCACAGCAACCTCCACCTCCTGGGTTCAAGCGATTCTCCTGCCTCAGCCTCCCGAGTAGCTGGAACTACAGGCACATGCCACCACGCCCAGCTAATTTTTTATTTTTAGTAGAGATGGGGTTTCACCATGTTAGCCAGGATAGTCTTGATCTCTTGACCTCTTGATCCACCTGCCTTGGCCTCCCAAAGTGTTGGGATTACAGATGTGAGCCACCGTGTCTGGCCCACTTTATATTTTTATAAATATAAAAACATGAAATGCTGGGTGTGGTGGCTCCTGCCTGTAATCCCAGCACTTTAGGAGGCTGAGGCAGGAGGATCACTTGAGCCCTGGAGTTTAAGACCAGCCTAAGCAACAAAGAAGACCCTATCTCTACAAAAACACAAACAAAAAACCAAAACAAAAAACAACAACAAAAAAACAAACAACAAAAAAACAACCACCACCACCACCACCACCACCACAAACAAAACTTAGCCAGGCATGGTGGCATGCACCTGTGGTCCCAGCTACTTGGGAGGATTGCTTGAGCCCATGAGACTCATGTTGCAGTGAGCTGTGATCGCATCACTGCACTCCAGCCTGAGTGACAGAGCAAGACTCTATCTCAAAAACAAAAACAAAAACCCAAAGACAGAAAACGTTGGCATTTGTCAATTTTGGGTGGTGAGAACCTGGGAACATGTTCTGTTATTCTCTGCACTTTTCTGTGTTTTGAACATTTCTAAAAATAATAATAA
The DNA here is from genome assembly GCF_000001405.40 of Homo sapiens. Classification (NCBI taxonomy): domain Eukaryota; kingdom Metazoa; phylum Chordata; class Mammalia; order Primates; family Hominidae; genus Homo; species Homo sapiens. The sequence continues at coordinate 3,143,899 of NC_000007.14, forward strand.
AATAAAATAACCCATGTGAAACTACATACTGAATTTCTATGGTCCTCTTCTTCCGTGAATAGTGAATGTGTTTTGGAGTGGGTCGGGTGGCAGAAGGAGGCTGAAGCCAGCTCCTTAAACAAGTTAATTTCCTGCCAACACGCTTTCCTCAGCTGTAGCACAGAGGGAAAGCAGAGAGCTGGCTGTGTTTGCAGCTTCATCTGGGAGACCTTTTAAAAAAAATCTGGACATTGTAGGCAATATTGATTAACATATACATAGAGGCATGGGGTGGGGGGAGCAAATCAATCAATAAATGCATTTCTTCTGTTCCTGACCTTAGATAATGTGTGCTGATTAAGGGGCATGTCACTTGTTTTTAAAACCAGTGTTAAATATTAATTACAAATCATATGGCTTGACCCCAGGAGGGGCCACTGTCCCCCCTCCCTCGGGGCTCTCCCAGAGCTCTGAAAGCAGCCCACCCTCCTCTGCCTCCGAGAAACCAGGCAGATTTACATTAGGAATCACCATGATTATTGTTCTTTTTATGGTGGCTACTGTGGACAAGACAATTATGGAAACAGAATTCATTGTTCGAACAGGCTGAGCTCATGATATTACTGTGGATTTAAAAAAAATCATTTCTTGGCCAGGAATTAAAAATAGCTCATTCTCCCCCCCCCACCCCTCTCTTTCTCTTGCCAGATTTAGAATCTGAGGGAACCTTGATAGTTTCCCTCCTAGTTAATATTCCTGAGGCAACTTGCATTTGCAACACGGTTGAGAATCATTTTATTTTAAACACCAGTTCTTCCCACTATTCCTGTGAGGGAGTTCCAAGTTATTAGCTCAGTTTTAAATACAAGGAGATGGGAGTGGAGAGGCTTGGGGCCTCTCCCGGGGACCAGGTCAGAGAAGTCTGCATGCTCAAGGAGAGCGGAATCTCAGTCCCTTCTCATCAGCTGCCTTTTCATCTGTCCTCAATGTGTTCTCTGCCACTTTAGCATGTAAGATTTCAATGACCAGGCAGGCACGGTGGCTCACACCTGTAATCCCATCACGTTGGGAGGCCGAGGCAGGCAGATCACAAGGTCAGGAGTTCGAGACCAGCCTGACCAACATGGTGAAACACTGTCTCTACTAAATATATAAAAATTAGCCAGACATGGAATACACCTGTAATTTCAGCTACTCTGGAGGCTGAGGCAGGAGAATTGCTTGAACCTGGGAGGCAGAGATTGCAGTAAGCCGAGATCGCGCCACCGCACTTCAGCCTGGGTCACAGAGCGAGACTCCATCTCAAAAAAAAAAAAAAAAAAAAAAAAAAAAAAAAAAAAAAAAAAAGATTTCAATGACAATTTTTTTTTTTTAAAATGCACATGGAAACAGAACCCCCTGGAGTAGCCCCAGCCAGGAGCAGAACTCAGGAGTCCTGATGCCCTAAGGTTCTTGCTAATCTTCTCCTCTGCACTGGGTTAAATGCTGTCTTCTCCCAAATTCACATCTACTTGGAACCTCAGAGTAAGATCTTGTTTGGACAAAAGGTTTAATTGCAGGTGCAATGAGATAAGACAAGGTCATGCTGCTCACAGCCTCACATTCCAGGGCCACCTCTTGCCTGACAATTCCTACCCCTCTCTTGGTTTGATTTCTTCAAAAGCTGTTTCCTAAACCTCTGCTTCTCAAACATTAACGAGCACACGGGTCACCTGTGCATCTTGTTCCTCAGCATTTTTTTTTTTTTTGAGATGGAATCTTACTCTGGCACCAAGGCTGGAGTGCAGTAGTGCCATCTTGGCTCACTGCAAACTCTGCCTCCCAGGTTCAAGTGATTGTCCTGTTTCAGCCTCCTAAGTAGCTAGAACTACAAGTGTGTGCCACCACACCTGGCTACTTTTTGTATTTTTTAGTAGAGATGGGGTTTCACCATGTTAGCCAGGCTGGTCTCGAACCGCTGACCTCAAGTGATCTGCCCACCCGGGCCTCCCAAAGTGCTGGGATTACAAATGTGAGCCACCGCACCCGGCACCCTTAGCAGTTTCTGATACTACAGGTCTGGGTGGCCTTATTCTGCACCTCTCACAAGCTCCCAGTGACGCCAGGCAGCTGGTCTGGGGACACTTTGAGTAGCCTGGGTCTCACCATCACCTGTGACTCTAGCCCTGGCCCATCAGTGACTTTCTGGCCTCTGGGCTCACCTCCATCTAATCGACAGGTTGCTAACACCACCTGATGTCCTCAGAGCAAAGTACCTATTGACGGCCGGTGATGCAGTAGGCAAGCACTTCAGGCTTGGGGAGTTTAAGCTCTTTTATTGCCATGGCTTTTATGTGCTCTCTGCATTTGAGAGCTTTGCAACTTCATTAGTGTACAGAGTACTGCTGAAAGAATTCCTTGGTCGCCCCTCAGACCTTTTGATAAACAAACATTGTAAATGTAATAATCAGGTCACCACCATTAAAAATTATTATAATTAAAGATGATACAAGCTGCCCGAACCCTTGATGAACCCACTGCCTTTGTTTGGAGCTGTTGTTAAATGAATACATAGGTATTTTTCTTGCAAAGCAATGTTCTTCCTGCTTAGCTGGTTTGAGACGGAGTCTTGCTCTGTCCCCAGAATGGAGTGCAGTGGCGCTATCTCAGCTCACTGCAACCTCCACCTCCCGGGTTCCAGCGATTCTCCTGCCTCAGCCTCCTGAGTAGCTGGGACTACAGGTGTGTGACCACACCCAGCTGATTTTTTGTATTTGAGAGAGATGGGGTTTTGCCATGTTGGCCAAGATGGTCCCCATCTCCTGACCTCGTGATCCACCCGTCTCGGTTTGTAGCTGATCTTCCTATTTGCTTTCTTCCTAGAAGATCTTTCTACAAGTCTGTTCTATTCTGCTGATGTCATTTGTTTTGCATGTAACATTGCTAGGAGTCCAGGGGAAATCTTTATGCTCAAGGGCTGGGGGACGACGTTAGAAGCTATGATACAACTCCGAAATTATAACAGGAAATAATTATTACAAGAGAAGAAATATCACACTTGTCTACACTAATGCACTTGACTATCAAACAAAGAGATCTTTAAGATGATGAAGCACGCACCACGCAGGAGAAAAGTGAGGAAAACGCGGCTACAATTTGTTCTGAGTCATATCTCTTATAGAAGGGATTGCATTCTGCTTTGTCATCATTTACTAAGAAAGTTGTTTGCAAATGAGAGGAAGGATTCAGGCTATGGAAACCGGCTCGAGGTCAGGCGGCGTGGAGTTGCCAGGGCTGCGGTTCTAAGACAAGTGTCTCACCCAGTTCGCACCCATCGCGAAACAGATTCAAGGCACAATTCAGACAGAAGGTGAAAAGGAGATCCTCACTCTGGCATGGGCTGAATATTTAATACCTCCAAAGTCAAAAATAAGAACGGCTATAAGAAGACAGACAATTATAGCCCTAGCAGAGAAATTTCACTGGGCCCTAATACACCCCGTGGGATAGTTTGCATTGTATTTTAGAGCTGGGAAAACAAGCTAAGAAAGGATATCTTCATGAGGTTGCTCAACTCATAGGGGCAGACTTTTTTTTTTTATTTTTATTTTTTGGAGACAGGGTCCTGCTCTGTCGCCCAGGCTGGAATGCAGTGGCACGATCTCGGCTCACTACAACCTCTGCCTCCTGGGCTCAAACAATTCTCCTGCCTCAGCCTCCAAAGTAGCTGAGACTACAGGTGCACGTGACCACACCTGGCTAATTTTTGCTTTTTTTTTTTTTTTTTTTTTGGTAGAGACTGGGTTTGGCCATCTTGCCCAGGCTGGTCTCAAACTCCTGGGCTTAAGTGATCCTCCCACCTGGCCTCCCAAAGTGCTGGGATTACAGGTGTGAGCCACTGCACCCAGTCTCGAGCTTTATCTCTCACATGTGCCTCTATTCAGGATTCCACCCTAGTTTTGAAGAAATAGATTCACATTCTGAGTAGTAAAGTTAAAAACAAGGATCTCAATAAATTTTATGTCACCTACAATTATTGCCAGGTTTTCCTTAATGTCATGTGTAGGCTGCCCAATACTCGATGCTCAAAACAGATTTTAGGGAGCAGAAAAAAGACAGGGAGACAGAAATGGAGACACAGAGGAAGGGAGTTGTTTGATGAGGTTGGCCTATGTTGGTGAGAATACAGCACAGGTGCTTTCAAGCTTCCCCTTCACTAAATTCAGGATGCTTTTCTTTGTTTTTTGAGATGGAGTTTTGCTCTTGTCGACCAGGCTGGAGTGCAGTGGCGTGATCTCGGCTCACTGCAACCTCCACCTCCCAGGTTCAAGCAATTCTTCTACCTCAGCCTCCCGAGTACCTGGGGATTACAGGTGCCCGCCACCACATCCAGCTAATTTTTGTATTTTTAATAGAAACGTGGTTTCACTGTGTTGGCCAGGCTGGTCTCGAACTCCTGACCTCAGGTAATCTGCCCACCTCGGCCTCCCAAAGTGCTGAGATTACAGGTGTGAGCCACCATGCCCGGCTTTTTTTTTTTTTTGAAATGGAGTCTCTCTTTGTTGCCCAGACTGGAGTGCAGTGGCACAACCTTGGCTCACTGCAACCTCTGCCACCCGGGTTCAAGTGATTCTCCTTCCTCAGCCTCCCAAGTGGCTGGGATTACAGTTCCCTGCCACCATGCCCAGCTGATTTTTGTATTATTACTAGAGACAAGGTTTCACTATGTCGGCCAGGCTGGTCTTGAACTCCTGATCTCAGGTGATCCACCCACCTTGACCTCCCAAAGTGCTGGGATTCCAGGCGTGAGCCACTGCACCCGGCCTTTTTGTTATTTGTTTTGAGACAGGGTCTCACTGTCACACAGGCTGGAGTGCAGTGGCTCAATCATAGCTCACTGCAGCCTTAACCTCCTGGGCTCAAGCAATCCTCCTGCCTCACCCTCCTGAGTAGCTGGAACTACAGGCATGCACCACCATGCCCAGCTAATTTTTTGTTGTTGTTATTTTGTAGAGATGTAGACGTCTTGCTATGTTTCCTAGTGTATTAGTCTGTTCTTGCAGTGCTGTAAAGAACTACCTGAAATCAGGTAATTTATAAATAAAAGAGGTTTAATTGACTCACCGTTCCACAGACTATACAGGAAGCATGGCTAGGGAAGGCCTCAGGAAACTCACAATCACGGTGGAAGGCAACGGCGAAGCAGACACGTCTTACATGGACAGAGGAGAAGGAAGAGAAAGAACGGGGAGATGCTACATACTTTTAATCAACCAGATCTCGTGAGAACTCACTCAATATCATGAGAACAGCAAGGGAGAATTCCTCCCCCATGATCCAATCACCTCCCATCAGGCCCCACCTGCAGCACTGGGGCTAACAATTCAACACGAGATTTGGCTGGGAACACAGATGCAAACCATATCACCCAGGCTGGTGTTGAACCCCTGGGCTCAAGCAATCCTCGTGCCTTGGCCTCCCAAAGTGTTGGAATTACAGGCGTGAGCAGCTGCACCGGGCCAGGATGGCTTCTTCTCACAAGGAGTGTCTACTCCCAAACCCAGTGCTGACCTTGTGGCCCTGCTCCATGAAATGCTCCAACACCCACCCACCTTCCAAGCCAGCACCAGGGGAGCTGCCTGGCCCATTGCTCTCCCAACACACATTTCGGCCACCAAGCCCTGGCTCCAAACTTGTCCCTTCACTTTATCCCAGATGCAACACCTGCAAATGGCAGCCGTCCATTGATCCCGACAACAAAAACAGTGAGGCATTGACTTCTCCCAATCTGCCCCCAGCCACAGACCAGATTCAGCTGAAACTGGCATCAGCTGGGTGGGATCCTCTTGAGTGGCTCCTTTTGCCTAACGGGCAGGTTCCAGACAGCCTAGCACGTTTCATCAGGGTTGCCACGACCAGGCCCTGTGGATATCAGCAGGCTTTCCTATTCTCACTGGCCAGTCTCTGGACCGGCCCTGGTCTCCCAGCCACAGCACTTCCTCCTGCATCACCTTTGTGGGTGCCCTTAACAGACGTCTGCACCTTTCCCACCATGTACTTGCAACCTCCCTCCTCTGAGAAGCCCTCCGGTCTCTCTCTGGCTTGCAGCAGGGGGGCTGTGGCTCCTCTAGGCCCCCAGAGCTCCTGCAGCTGCCCCTCCCCTGTTGCAGTCCGCACCTCACCACGCTCCACTTCCTCCTTTCCAAACCTGTTGTTCCCACGGCCCTGTGAGTGCCAGGAAAGATGACACACATCTCCTGTCTCTCTCCCCAGCCAAGACTCTGCCCCACAAACAGGCCTGATGTTTTCACACACCTGGGAGTTACTTTAATCTGCGATGCTGAGACATGCAGACATGGGCATCCCTGCCAGGAAAAAAGGAGTTTACACTCACTGACCCCTGAAAACCGGAGGCAGCCCCCGCAGGGCTGCAGGCGGAAGCACCTGGGTGGGTCATGAGTTAGAGAGATAGGGGACTAGTGCGGCTGTCCCCTTATTCAGACAGCTCTCCAATCAGGAAACCACTGTTATTAAAAGTCCCCTTGCTTATTTCATTTTGCTAAGCCTTACTTGCATGCATCGTGTATCTTTCACATAACATTTCCCCATTTGCTTATGTCACAGGGTTCGCTAACTACAGGCGAGAAAGAAAACATTCCCAATGAGTGCAGACACACGTGCCCTCTATTGTGTTCATTCCGGGTTAAATAATTAGGTTATTGGGAGTCTCTGTTTTTGTCTTTGGTTTTTTTTTAGAGACAGGGTCTCACTCTGTCACCCAGGCTGCAGTGCAGTGGCACAATCACAGCTCACTGCAGCCTCGACCTCCCTGATCTCAAGCAATTCTCCCACCTCAGCCTCCCAAGTAGCTGGGACTACAGGTGTGCACCACCACACTCAGCTAATTATTATTATTATTATTATTTGTAGAGACAGAGTTTCTCCATGTTGCCCAGTCTTCTGGTCTCAAACTCCTGAGCTCAAGCAATTTGCCGGCCTCGGTATTGGTGTTTTAAATGCTCAATGTTACGCAAAAATGCTTGGTGGATTCCCACCCCCCACCCCAATACAATGAAACATGGTATCTCATTCAAAAGCGTTGCCCTACTTGTGACTCCTTTCAAGGAGTGGGTTAGGTTGATTTTTCACTCAGCAATCAGCAATAGAGTTTCAATTCATTATTTTAAACTGCTACATAGTATTCTATAATATGGATATACCTAAATGCATCCAGCTACTCTATAGATGAAAATTTACTTTGTTTCTATTTTCCCCCACTCCAGACAATACTATACCATCCTTGGGTTGTTGTTTTTTCCTCCAGTATAAACCACGCAGTAAAAATCATTCATTTTCCGGCCAGGCTTGGTGGCTTACACCTATAATCCCAGCACTTTCGGAGGCTGAGGTGGGAGGATCACCTGAGGTCAGGAGTTCAAGACCAGCCTCACTAACATTAAAAATACTCTATTAAAAATACAAAAATTAGCCAGGTGTAGTGGCTCCTGCCTATAATCTCAGCTACTTGGAAGGTTGAGGTAGGAGAATCTCTTGAATCTAGGAGGCAGAGGTTGCAGTGAGCTGAGATCTTGCCACTGCACTCCAGCCTGGGTGACAGAGCAAGACTCTGTCTCACACAAAAAAAAAAAAAAAAAAAAAAAAAAAAAAAAAATCATTCGTTTTCCTTGTCCCAAACAGTGCTGCAATAAACATCCTCCTCTATGTTTTTCATGTGTCGTTGGTTTTACTAGTGTAGGACAGATTCCCAAAAGTGAGGTTTCTTGCTAAAGAGCATGCATTTTAAATTTTAATAGACATTGTATGGTTAATTTGTGTAAAGTTGAAAGCAATTCACACTCATGAACAAGGAATTTGAGTACCCAGCTTCGTGTATTGTTGAGGCATTGGAAGTTACTGTTCATTTTCTAGACTAAGAGATGAAAAATAGTATCCCATAATTAATTTTATTTGCACCTTGAATGTGAGGTTGAGCAACTGTTTCTAAGCCCGATAGGCAATTTTGATGCCCCCTTCTGTGAACTGTCTGTTTATATCTTCTTGAACTATTTTTCTCTAAAGTCTCGGTTTTCTCATCCATAAAATGGGGAAATGAGAGTACGTATCTCGCGGGAGTCATGAAGATTTAATGAATCAGTGGCCATAAGGAGCTTTGCGAAGCAGCTTGCAACAGAGAAAACATTATCATTTTCATTACACGCTGGGTGCCAGACACATGGTGGCTATCAAATCTTTTATCTTTTTTCTCCTTCCCTCCTTCCTTTTTATTATCATTATTATTATTATTATTATTATTATTATTATTATTATTATTTTGGTGTTCTCCATACAGAGGGTTGGGCTTGGGAAAGAAAAAGGCCCACTTAAGAGAAAGACCACATGTTGGGCTGGCTGGAGGCAGGAGCCAGACAGGACCACACAGTGGCAGGGGAAATTGTCAGGAGCTAAGGCTGGGGAACTCAAAGGGGGAGTCACTTTGACATGAGTGGTTTTGGGGGTTGAGAAAAGGGGTCTGGGCTGGACATAGTGGCTCATGCCTGTAATCCCAGCACTTTGGGAGGCCGAGGCAGGCAGGTAGCTTGAGCTTACCAGTTCAAGACCAGCCTGGCCAACATGGCGAAACCCCATCTCTACTAAAAAATAAAAAATACAAAAATTAGCTGGGTGTGGTGGCATGTGCCTGTAGTCCCAGCTACTCGGGAGGCTGAGGCAGGAGAATTGCTTGAATCCGGGAGGTGGAGGCTGCAGTGAGCCAAGATCGCGCCACTGCACTCTAGCCTGGGTGATAGAGCGAGACTCCATCGAAAGAAAGAAGGATAAGAAAGAGAGAGAGAGAGAGAGAGAGGGAGGAAGGAAGGAAAGAGGGAAAGAGGGAAGGGAGGGAAGGAAGGAAAGTGGGTCTGATCTTGAGTCGTAACCATGGGAATAGTGAGGATGGACCACCTCCCATGTTCCCAGCACTTTGCCTGGACAACATGCCAGTGATATGGGACCGATCATTTCTCTCCATCTTATGGCTCAGAGGGGCTAAGCGATTTGCCCAAGGTTGCACAGCACGTGAACGGCAGGTCAGAAATGCGAACCCAGGATTGTCTGACCCCCAGCCCCTGCATGCTCCACTACCCCATCTTAAGAGATTGCCTGGCTTCTAAGCAGCCCTGCCCTTTGGTGGAGGAACCTCTGAACACCTGGGTCAGGCCGTGAAGCCCAACCATTGGCATTTCTAGATTCCTCTGCTAGAATTTTAGGAAGAAAGTTGGAAGCCCCCAGAGTCATTGTGCACCCTTCTGCATTTCTATATCAAGTAGGAGATGCATTTGTTACCACGCTAATTAGGGCAGAAATTAACTGAAATGCTGAGTTTTAGCAGAGAGCGAATCGGCTGCAGGTGTCAGTAATTAGCGAAAAATGAGTCATTTGATGTTTGTAGACACACAGCCTTCTCAACTTTGATTCAAAAATAAACTTCGTGGGCACATTGTTCTGAATCACTCCTGCTAATGCATGTGTCTATCTTAATGCTGTAATTCAGTATAAATATTTTAAATAAATCAGTAATGTTGCTTTTCAGTGGCAGTACACACATGAAATTTTCTGTACAAAAATGGAGTAAGAATAAAATATTTTTAGTAAGATCGGTAGAAACCTGAAAAACAGCCATACAGAAATTACTGTTTCCTTGCTCTTGGTTTTTTTCCTCTCTCTTTCTTTTGGTTTCTTGGAATATAAATAATTCACCTCCAATATCCTGTCCTGAGCAGGGACTAAGCAAGTAAAATAAACAGCATACTGGTGAATACCTGCAGGGTTTGGAAATGGAATTAAAAATCCCCCTTAAACTAGACATTCTCCTGTTAGTTCACTGCTTGGGAACAGCCTGAGTTCTGAGGTGGGTGGAGTAAAAAGGAAACTTACACAGAGGTAGATGTAGCTGTGTCTTCTAAAGCAAAATCTATTTCCTTATCAAACTAGTTAAGTTGGCCAATTATGAGATACGAGAGCATCTGTGTGTGGAGCAGGTGGGAACAGAAGCTTGGAAATTATTTTTCCTCATGAACAGCAGTTGTGTGCACATTTGTGTGTGTATGTGTGTGATGTGTATGTTTGTGTGTGTGCATTTTAAGGCTTAGGATCAGTGATTGCATTAACCATAGCCCAACAGGAGACGTCCCCACCATGAAAAATTGAATGCAAGTGTCTCATTGTCTCCTTTTTTTTTTTAGAGACAGGGTCTCACTCTGTTTCCCAGGCTGGAGTGCAGTGGTGCAATCAATCGTAGCTCTCTGCAGCATCAACTTCCTGGGCTCAAGTGATTCTCCCACCTCAGCCTCCCAAGTAGCTGGGACTATAGGGGCACACCACCATGCCCTGCTGACTTTTTACATTTTTTATAGAGATGAGGTCTTGCCTGTGTTGCCCAGGCTGGAGTGCAGTGGTGCGATCGTGGCTCATTGCAGCCTCAAACTCCTGGCCTCAAGTGATCCTCCTGCCTCAGCCTCCTAAAGGGCTGGGATTACAGATATGAGCCCCTGCATCCTGCCTGGTGTCTCACTCTTGAGCAAGAGAGGTGCTGGCCCCTCCCACCCCCTGGCTCGGTTCTAGAGCGTCCTGCTGCTCTGTCTCTGAAGCACGCATCTGCACACGAGCAAGTCTTGGGTTGACCAGGGTGGGGTGTAGGAGGAGACTCTCCTATGGCCTGTGACAAGGTGAGGGGACTCTGGCCCCAGCCAGCCTGACAGCTTTTGTGGTCAGAAGTTGGCTGGTCAGTGATGTAGGAAGAGTTGACTCAACAGATTCTCTTCCATACCATGGCATCCTTGAGGTTAACTAGTTGAATGGTTTGAAACAAAGTGAATGGGTTAAAGTTGGTGAATTCATGATTCGTAAAAAAAGAAGAAAAAAGCTCTCATTGGTCACCTTTGGAGGTCAGCAGGATATCCCCTCATTATTTTGAAAACTGGTCAGTAAAAGGGAAAAAATTTAAGCATTTATCGACCTTTCTTATGGCAACGATACATCAGCGTGACCAAGTGGTTGATAAGGGGAAGGTCCTTGTTATAGAAGTATTCTAGCTAATTAAGGAAGAGGAATGTAGACTTTGAATATCAGCATTTTACATCTCATAATGAACTAATGGATCTAAGCAATCACCATTACAAACCGTGAACAACCTCTAAAAAAGACACAAACCAAGCACTCTGTGCCCCCCAGTGGAAGGACAGGACACTACACCATGAAATATTCTTGTCAAATCCCCAAAACTGAATGTGATCAACCCTAGATCCAACTACTGATCTATAGAAAATGAAGAGGACAGAAGAACCTGTCAAATGACACCATGGAGATGTCATCATCAAAATCCAGACTGTGGCCTGTAATCCCAGCTCTTTGGGAAGCCGAGGTGGGTGGATCGCTTGAGGCCAGGAGTTGGAGACCAGCCTGGGCAACATGGCAAAATTCCGTCTGTACAAAAAATATAAAAATTATCCAGGTGTGTTGGCATATGCCTGCAGTCCCAACTATTCTGGAGGCTGAGGTGGGAGGATAACTTGAGCCCAGGAGGTTGAGGCTGCACTGAGCCGTGATTGTGCTACTGCACTCCAGCCTGGGGCACAGGGCAAGACCCTGTCTCAATAATAATAATAATAATAATAATAATAATAATAATAATAATTCAAGATTGTGCAAGCTGTGGCTAGCTCTATAGGACAAATAATCCAATTTTTTCATTAAGTGAATTGTAAGGAAAAGAGGGAAAGGGTAATAGGTTAAAGAAGGCAGAGACCCAACAGCCCATCGCAACATACGGATCTGATTTAGATCCCCAGGCAGATGTTAGAATAATACAAGAAAAAATATCTATGAGACAAATTAGGGAACTTTGAACACTGCACATTTGATTAAGGAATTATTGTGAATATCTTTAGCTGTGATACTGGTATCGTATTTATGTTTTTGAGAGATGCCTACTGAAATATTTACATGTTAAGTGATACTGGTATCGTATTTATGTTTTTGAGAGATGCCTACTGAAATATTTACATGTTAAGTGACAGAATGACTGAAATCTGCTTCAAAAGATTCCAGGGCTCATCTAAAGTGGGTAGAGGAACAGATGAAATGAGATTGGCCCTGAATTGAAAATTATTAGGGCTGCGCGTGGTGGCTCATGCTTGTAATCCCAGCAGTTTGGGAGGTCAAGACCAGAGGATCACCTGAGCCCAGGAGTTCCAGACCAGCCTGGGCAACACAGTGAGACCCTGCCTGTACTAAAAATAATTTAAAAAAAATTAACCAGGTGTGACGGCTCGTGCCTGTAGTCTCAGCTACTGGTGGGGCTGAGGCAAGAAGATCATTTGACTATGGAAGTCTAGGAGGTCGAGGCTGCAGTGAGCCCTGATCATACCACTGCACTCCAGCCAGGGGAAAAAGTGAGACCCTGTCTCAAAAATTAAAAAAATAAAGCACTACATTTCCTTTCTAGAAACACACACACAGGCAGATGTGTTCCATGAATCCCAATAACTGGGACAAGGAGAGGCGGGATGTCTGCAGTGTGGGATGATTCTGGGCCTCTGAATGACACTGAGCGGTCTGGGTGGAAATCCGCAGATTTTCCATCTTCCAGGGCAGAAGTCGGCATGCTTTCTGTAAAGGACTGGACCGTGAATATTTTAGGTCTTTTGGGCCATATCATCTCGGTCACAACTACTCATGCTGGTTGCACGACAGGGGCCAAAGACAATATATGAAGAAATGGGTGTGTCCCTGTTCCGACAAAACTTTATTTACAAAAACAGGCAGCAGACCGCATTTGCCCTGAGGTGGCAGTTTGACCAGCCCTGTCCTGTTGCTGGACAGAAGAACTTTCTGTGATGACGGAAATGTTATTTCTGTGCCATCCAGTATAGGAGCCATTAGTCACACGCAGTTACTGAGCACTTTGGATGGGGCTAGTCGGACTGAGGAACTAGTTTTTAATTTTTATTTAGCTTAAATTAGTTTAACTTTAAAAAGTCACATGGAGTTAGTTGCTACCACGTTAGACAGCACAGTTCTAGAGAGCCCAGCCCAGCAACTAAAAAGGAGGAGAGGCTGGGTGCGGTGGCTCACGCTTGTAATCTCAGCACTTTGAGAGGCTGAGGCAGCAGGATTGCTTGAGGACAGGAGTTTTAGACCAGCTTGGGCAACACAGCGAGACACCGACTCTATAAAAAAAATTTAAAAATTGGAGAAGTGTAGTGGTGTGAGCCTGTAGTCCCAGCTACTCAGGAAGCTGAGGTGGGAGGACTGATTGAGCCCAGGAGTTCCAGAGGAGCCTGGGCAACACAGTGAGACCCTGTCTCTACAAAAAGTACAAAAATTAGCCATGCGTGGTAGCATGCACCTGTAGTCCTAGCTACTCTGGAGGGTGAGATGGGAGGATCACTTGAGCCTGAGAGACGGAGGTTGCAGTGAGCCAAGTCTGTGCCACTGCCCAGTGAGCCTGGGCAACACAGTGACACCCTGTCTCAAAAAAAACAAAAAGAGGAAGAGGAGATGCAGCCCAGGGAGAAGAACTGATTTGTCTAAGACGTGGCTCCAACCTTTGGGTTCATGCTTCTCCCTGCGCCACGGTATGAAGTTGCCTGAACTCCAGAACCACTAAGCAATGAGGCAGGTGACCTGGGCTCTGATCCTCAGGCTGGGACCTGGGGAAAGCCATTCACCTTTAGTGTTCTGCTGTGTCTCCATGTGTACGAGGACCACACCCCAACCTCCTCGTCCATTCACCTGTGGGGGCCACCAGGGGGATCACAGGAGACAATGTAGGCAGAGGCCCTTTGAAAACTTCAAAGCGCCCCGGGAGTTTCCGGATGTTCTGCATTAATTTATCTAATCCAAGGTAGGAAAGTGAAACGTGGGCTATGAAAGACAGGAGGGAAGTCGGGTGATTCATCGCTCGGCTGGAACTCTCGCGGGTTAAATCTCTGTTTCAGTGAATTTCCTGGGGAGAATTCAGGGCCGTGTTCCAGCTAACAAATTCATCCCTTTGCTTTGACTCTGAACCATATTCTGGGACGGCATCAAAGCCAGCCTCCCAAGAGTCGCTTGGGGACTGTCTGGGCCCCGAGCTCTCCGACCCTCCTGCCTCCACTCTGCAGATGCTCCTGCTCCCATCTCCCCAGCACAGACCCCACCACAGCCTCCTGCCTGGCCCCATCTGCCATCCCTGCGGCTGAGCCCGACTGAGAGTGAAGTCCTTCATTAAATCAGTGCCTACCTCGTCCTGCGGATGGAGGTCATTCTCAGCCTCATTCCCCTTGCCAGAGAAGGATGTGGGGGGAGGCAGGCAGGGCAAAGGCAGGGAGACATCCTCTGGTCCAGAATTGATTCCTCTTCTGAAAGAAAGAAAAGCAAAGATGTCCCTAAAGGGGACATTAAAACTCTCAACAAGACCCTCAGGCTGGGAGTCTTCTTCCCAAGGCCAGGGTCAGGCCTGAGAGGTGTTCTCAAAGACCCGGAGTGAAATCCTCTTCCTAGACAAAGATGATTCCAAGGATGATTCCAAGTGGGAAGGGGAGAGAGGGGCCTTGCACGAGGCAAGTAACTAGGCCTGTGGGAGCAAGTTCGTACCGTCTACCCTCTGTCAAACTCTGTACTTGAAACGGTTCATGTTTTTTAAAAGGATGGGCGTTTTAAATCCCTCCATTCCGCTCTGCCCCGTGATGTAATTTAGAAATCACGAGAGCTCTCAAAAAAAAAAAAAAAAAAAAAAAAAACAAAAACCAGCGAGATGTGCTCACAGACCTTGGTCCGCAAATGTTTTTGCCAGATGCTGAGAACCTAGGCAGAATCCAGAGCAGCTTTTATAGAGGATTTGATGTTTAACTCATCATGGAGAGGTCCCTGATCTCTCCCTGGAGAAAAAGGAAGTCGATGGGGTCGTTTGTACGGCGAAAACTACAGCATGATGTTGGAGGGATCAGGGAGCCTCCTTCAAGGGTTTAGGGGGCTCTGGGTCAGGGCCTTTCTGGACGGTTCTTCCCTTGGGAATAGGAAGCCAGGATCACAGAGGGGAAGGGTCCAGCCCAGATTTGGAGCTGGATACCCTAGTGGGTATCCCTTAAACAGGAGCAGGTGAGCCTGTGTTACAGGACCCGATCTGGACCCCAAGAGAGGGTTCTTGGATCTTATGCAAGAAAGAATTCAGGGCGAGTCCATAGAGTAAAGAGAAATCAAGTTTATTAGGAAAGGAAAGGAATAAAAGAAGGGCTACTCCACAGACACAGCAGCCCCAAGGGCTGCTGGTTGCCCATTTTTGTGGTTATTTCTTGATGATATGCTAAAGGAGGGGTGGATTATTCATGCCTCTCCCTTTTAGACCATATAGGGAACTTCCTGACGTTGCCATGGCATTTGTAAACTGTCATGATGCTGGTGGGAGCGTAGCCGTGAGGATGACCAGAGGTCACTCTGGTGTCCATCTTGGTTTTTGTGGGGTTTTGCCAGATTCTTCACTGCAACCTGTTTTATCAGCAAGGTGTTTAGGACCTGTATCTAGTGCTGACCTCCTATCTCATCCTGTGACTTGGAATGCCTTAACCATCTGGGAATGCACCTAGTAGGTCTCAGCCTCATTTTACCCAGCTCCTCTTCAAGATAGAGTTGCTCTGGTTCAAATGCCTCTGACATCTGGGTGGTAGGGTTGTGCTGCCTGGCTTCTTAACTTCCTGGCTCAGAACCCAAACCTGTTGCCTCTGGCTGCCCAGCCAATGGGACTGTGACAGCTGGGACAGGAGAGCCACTGAGCTTATAAACACCTGTGAGCAGGTATCCGGTAGCCAGCGGGGGGAGAAGCGGTGGATAGACACAGGGCTTCCCAGCTTAGGCAGGAAAGGACTGGCTTCCCCACCCACCCTGTCCCCATACCCCCCTACCACCACCACTTTCTGGAACTTTCCTTAAACAACTGCTGGGCTGTTGCAATTTGCTGCTTCCCTTCTTTTCTTGTTAAAACATTTTATATTTTAAATTTGTTTGCAGACAATTTCCGGAAAAAAAAATAATATGTGTGTGGGCCACATTCGTCATCCTGCAAATTTTATTATTTTTTATTATTAGAGATTGCAACGTGTGCCTCACCATGCCTTTTTCTTCTTAGTAAAACTAAGTTGAGTTTAATTTGGCTAATTAAAAGACACGTAACTCAGATATCTGAGGCATATAGAGTTACCACATTCACAGAGTGTGAATAGGTTACCTATTACCTAAATAGAGTAGAAAATAGGTTACCAGGAGCTGGGAGGAGGGTGCGATGGTTAATACTGAGTGTCAACTTGATTGGATTGAAGGATACAAAGTATCAATCCTGGGTGTGTCTGTGAGGGTGCTGCCAAAAGAGATTAACATTTGAGTCAGTGGGCTGGGAAAGGCAGACCCACCCTTAATCTGCGTGGTCACCATCTAATCAGCTGCCAGCATGGCTAGAATAAAGGCAGGCAGAAAAATGCGAAAAGAGAGACTGGCCTAGCCTCCCAGCCTCCATCTTTCTCCTGGGCTGGATGCTTCCTACCCGCCAAGTTCTTCAGTTTTGGAACTCGGACTGACTCTTCTTGCTCCTCAGCCTGCAGACAGCCTATTGTGGGACCTTGTAATTGTGTGAGTTAACACTTAATAAACTCCCCTTTATATATATATATATTCCATTAGCTCTGTCCCTCTAGAGAACCCTGACTAATACAGAGGGGGAGATGAGAAGTTGTTGAATGGGGACAGAGTTTCAGTTTGGAAAGATGAAAACATTCTGGAGGTGGATGGTGGTGACGGTTGCCCAACACTGTGAATGCACTTAATGCCACTCAAATGTGCACTTAGAAATGGTTACAATGGGCCAGGCACAGCGGCTTATGCCTGTAGTCCCAGCTACTCAGGAGGCCGAGGCAGGAGGATTGCTGGAACCCAGGAGTTGGAGGCTGCAGTGAGCATCACTGCACTCCAGCCTGGGTGACAGAGCTGGACCCTGTCTTTTAGAAAATGAAAATAATAATAATAACAAAGAAATTATTAAAATGGTAAATTTTATGTTCTGTATATTTTAGCACAATTAAGAGAAGAAACATAACTAACAGGCATTTTGGTGCCTTATTAAGATGCTGTGTGTTTAAGCTTTTGTGAGGCTAGTGTGTGTGTGTGCGTGTGTGTGTGCCCTTGTGTGTTTGTTGTTGCTGTGTTTTATTTTCCCTGGCTGACTTGGTGAGCTCTTCATTGAAAAATCAGTCTTTCCATGCCTATTAATATATTCTTTAAGTCTGAGGGAGAAATTATCTTTTTTAACACTGTATTTTTTAAAAGGAAATTTTTCATGGCTCATGAGCTGGACAGCCAAAATTCACACAGGGGCTCTTTGGACCACTCTCCTTTATTTTTTTGAAATGGAGTCTTGCTCTGTTGCCCAGGCTGGAGTACAGTGCCATGATCTCAGCTCACTGTAACCTCCACCTGCTGGGTTCAAGCGATTCTCCCGCCTCAGCCTCCTGAGTAGCTGGGATTACAGGCACCTGCCACCACATGCGGCTAATTTTTGTATTTTTAGTAGAGGTGAGGTTTCACCATGTGGGCTTGAACTCCTGACCTCAGGTGATCCAGGTGCCTCGGCCTCCCAAAGTGCTGGGATTACAGGTGTGTGCCACTGCACCTGGCCACTGGACCACTCTCCTTGAAACAGTTTTGCTCAATCCCTTTTCTCCTCCTGGCAGCGGCCACAAAATGGAGTCAAAACGTTCTTTGCCGCCTGCCTTGTTGACTCACACTTGTAAACCCAGAACTTTGGGAGGTGAGAGGATGGCTTGAGGCCAGGAATTTGAGACCAGCCTGGGCAACATAGTGAGATCTTGTCTCTATAAAAAAATTAAAAGTTTTTTAAAATCCAAAAAAATAAAGACTCCAGAATAGAGTGCCTGGAACATAAGTGTCCTCAGTAAATGTTGGCTATGATGGTTAATCATAGTCTGTATTATTATTGAAATTATCACTGTGACTGGGCATGGTGGCTCACACCTGTAATCCCAGCACTTTGGTGAAGCTGAGGCGGGAGGATTGCTTGAGCCCAGGAGTTTGAGACCAGCCTGGGCAAGATTGGGAGACCCCATCTCTCGAAAAAAAAACAACAAAAAAAACAAGTTAAATCTAAAAGAAAAGAAAAGACATGCTGGCCAGGTGCAGTGGCTCACACCTGTAATCCCAGCAATTTGGGAGGCCGAGGCAGACGGATCACCTGAGGTCAGGAGTTCGAGACCAGCCTGGCCAACATGGTGAAACCATGTCTCTGCTAAAAATACAAAAATTAGCTGGGTGTGGTGGCAGGCGCCTGTAATCCCTGCTGCTTGGGAGGCGGAGGCAGGAGAATTGCTTGAACCCAGGAGCCGGAGGTTGCAGTGAGCAGAGATTGCACCATTGTACTCCAGCCTGGGTGACACAATGAGACTCTAACTCAAAAAAAAAAAGAAAAGAAAAAAGAAAAGAAAAGAAATTCCGTGTGGTCACATCAGACCTAGTGATGATTTCTTTTCTTCTCCACCCACCCACCCAACCAGTTGTATTTCCCATGGAGCCCAGTAGAGGGTAGAGGGTAGCAGCTTGAGCACATCCTGCATGGGTGGGAGGATGATGCAGGATTAAGGAGCTTCTCTTTTTTTTGTCTTGTGTTCTCAACACACTTGCTTTCTCTCCTGGAGGGTATCCTCTCTTACCCACGCTGTGGAGTACATGCCTCACTTTACCCTGTAAGTAGCCCAGCTCAAAAGGCAGCCATTTCTTTCCCATGAGCAAGGGGCCTCCCCTTTCGGGAATTTTCCTTTAGATTGGGCAGACCTGGACATTCCTCCCCTTCTGCCCTCCTTAGGAGGGAGTGCTGTTTAGCTTGGGTACATGAACCCCAGTGATATGGTTTGGCTGTGTCCCCACCCAAATCTCATCTTGAAATCCCACGCGTTATGGGAGGGTCCCAGTGGGAGGTAATTGAATCATGGGGGCGGGTCCTTCCCATGCTGTTCTCATGATAGTGAATAAGTCTCATAAGATCTGATGGTTTTATAAGGGGGAGTTTGCCTGCAGAAGCCCTCTCTTTGCCTGCTGCCATCCATGTAAGATGTGACTTGCTCCTCCTTGCCTTCCACCATGTTTGTGAGGCCTCCAGCCACGTGGAACTGTGAGTCCATTAAACCTCTTTCCTGTATAAATTACCCAGTCTCATGCATGTCTTTAATAGCAGTGTGACAATGGAACAGCACACCCAGAGAAGCTCTTCTCAAGTCATGAGCAGCATGCACATCAGCTGAAAGTCCCAAGGGCATATGCGGATTCTGACTCTGGAGGTGCAGGTTTTAAACTAAGTTCCAGGGAATGCTTGCTGGTGCATGGACAACCACTCCTCCAGCTGCAAGTCTAAGACCTTCAGAGTATCACTGGCCAAGACCCCACAGAACCTCGTGTGTGGGGAAGACACAAGAGTGGGTTCTGACCCCAGACGCTACCCACCGGGTCTGATGGGGAACATTGGCAGGCTTGTCACAGCTCCCAGTCAGCGGAGAAACCCCTCTGGCTACGAGAGCCATATGCTCTAGTTTTATGGTGAGAGAGGAGCCGGTAACCAGGGATGATGGAGTGGACTGGCTCAGAAGCATGCAGGACCAATTACGGGCACTCCTCAGATCCCATGCAACGTGAACTGCCTAGGGCATCAGTAAGGCCCCAGGGAGCACTCCGGGCAATAGAAAGTTCAGGACACCTCACAAAGGCCTGTCTGCTTTCTGTTCTTTGAAATGTTCCCTTCTAACAAGGAAACAGAAGTGACTTTTGCCTTCTCTCTCTGCTCAGCCCAAGTCTAACCAGAACTTTTTCTTTCTTTCTTTCTTTTTTGAGATAGGGTCTTGCTCTGTCGCCCAGGCTGGAGTACAGTGGCATAAGCACAGCTCACTGCAGCCTCTACCTCCCAGGTTCGAGTGATTCTCCTGCCTCAGCCTCCCAAGTAGCTGGGACTACAGATGTGTGCTACCTCACCTGGCCAACTTTTGTATTTTATTTATTTATTTTTTTGGTAGAGATAGGGGTCTCACTATGTTGCCCAGGCTGGTCTTGAACTCCTGGGCTCAAGTGATTCTCCTGCCTCGGACTCCCAAAGTGCTGGGATTACAGGTGTGAGCCTGTAACCCTGAGTTGGGGCTGTGGCGAGCTATGATTGGCCTAATCAGGACTTCCTTGGGTTCACATACGCCTTGCTCCTGGGAGGAGTGAGATGAATTCTTATCTGCTGTGGGATAGAGGAGGGGCACCAGAGCCTGTGTTTTTACACCAAGGACTGCGTGGGGCCCTACAGACCTGCCTTTCCCTGCCCAACCTCCTTCTCTGACCAAGACAAAACTGCAGGTTCACTGTGGCAGGTGATTACAACGGACAGAGGGTTTGTTCCCATACTCCATCTACCAGTGGTGACACTTCCTTTCCCTTCAGCTCACCTGCTCCCCCAACTCTTTGAAGAAATCTCAGTAATTCACTGAGATCAGAGTCTATCACACAAACATCCGAAATTGTAGCACACCGGGGAGCCTGCCAGGAAGGCCTATAATCAGATAACACATTCCAGCCCGGAGACCTTTCCAGAGGAAGGGTTAAGCTCCCAAGGTAGTTAGTGGAAATCAAAGAACTGCATGCTCTCATTATCTCATAACAAACATACCAGGTTAATAGCTGTCGCTGCCGCTCTAAACCACGTGTGTTGTGTTTTGTGAGTGCTGACATGGGGCGTTCTTTCTCCCACCATATCTGCAACTTGACAGTGTCATCGTGGTTGGGTGCTGGAGTCTCCTAAAGTGTTTTGCATACTGTCTCCTGCACGTTGCCTCGAAGGATTTTTAAATAATTGCTGTGTTTAATGGGAACTCCTTCCCCTCTCTAATCCCCTCCAGTAGAAAAGCTGGCCAGTGTGCCAGTGTGCCCGGGGGGCATTTATTTATAGCAGGAACGAAAGTGGAGCGTCCCAAAAGACTGTCTGCTTGTCCTGAGCTGGCAAGGAGCAAGGTTGGATGCCCAGCTGTCCTGGACCACCCCTTCCCATGGCTCCTCCAGCCTCCTCTCTCCTGCTTGCACCCTGGAGCTTCCTTCCAAGCAGGATGGGGGTGGGGGTGACAGAGACAGCCCCAGAAGGCAGGGACTGACTGTGGGGGACCCACAAGGCTTGTCAGGCCCCTCCCTTCCCATCAACCCCTGAGTGATGCCAGGGCCCCTGGGCAGGTGCTGCCAGGGCTTAGGACACAAGGACCTGTGTCCTGTGTGAATTTTGTGAATTCTGTGTGAATTTTGTGAATTCTGTGTGAATTTTGGCTGTCCATCTCAGGACCACTTTGTTCTTGGATAGGACAACGTGGTTGTGAGGACAGGTGTGAGCAAGGCAGCCAGTAGACCTGGAGGCAGGGGCTAGGCAGCCCCCTCGACAGAACCCCATGAAATTCTTGCACGTGGAGATTTATTTGCACTTGCCCTGAAATCCCACAAAACAGCGATGACAAAGATGGTAGCACCTCTGTCCATGAGAGAAGGCTGGAGCGTCAGGCTCCTGGGTGTCAACCAGGTCTGGCCAGTGCCTGTCATGCTTGGTCTGGGTGGCTCTGGGCCTGCCTGATGTCCTCCTGCTGACTGGTCTTGGCTGGCTCCAGGACTGGGACCCTCCTGGGGGTGGCAGAAGCCCCTGAGCCTGAGGCCTAGAGGGCACACCTCTGACAGCAAGGCAGCAGGAGCCTGTGCTGAGGTCAGACCTGGGTGGGAAATGCAGCTCCCATTTTTACCAGCTGTGTGACCTTGAACTACCTTCCAAATCTCTCCTTGCTCTTCTTATGGGTGGCATTGCTTTGCCCAACAAGATAAGTTGGAGTCTTAACTCTAAGACCTTACTCGGAGATAGGGTCTTTACAGAGGTAATTCAGATGAGGTCATTTGGCCAGGCGTGGTGCCTCGTGCCTAGAATCCCAGCACTCTGGGAAGCCGAGGAGGGAGGATCGACTGAGCCCAGGAGTTTGAGATCAGCCTTAGCAACATAGCGAGACCTCATCTCTACACAATTTTTTAAAAAAATTACCTGGGCACGGTGGCACACATGGCACGCACCTACAGTTCCACTTACTTGGGAGGCTGAGGCAGGAGGTTTGCTTGAACCCAGGAGTTTGGGCTGTAGTGAGCTGTGATCATGCCACTGCACTCCAGCCTGGCTCACAGAGCGAGAACCTGTCTCAAAACAACAGCAACAACAAAAAGATGAGGTCATCAGGACGGATGGACATTAATCCAACATAACCGTACTCTCACGCAAAGGAGAAATTTGGACAGAGACGGGCAGGCTTAGGGAAGAAGAGGGCGTGGAGACACAGGAAGAGCGCCACGTGGAGATCACAGTGATGTGGCTGCAAACTAAGGAAGGTCTGCGGCTCCCAGCAGCTGGAACAAGCAAGGGAGAGTCTTTCCCCGCAGGCTTCAGAGGGAGCATGGCACTTGACTTTGGACTTCTGGCCTGCAGAACCATGAGAAAATAAGCATCTGGGTTTTTTTTTTTTTTTTTTTTTTGAGACAGAGTCTTTGCTCTGTCACCCAGGCTGCAGTGCAGTGGCATGATCTCTGCTCACTGCAATCTCCGCCTCCCGAGTTCAAGCGATTCTCCTGCCTCAGCCTCCTGAGTAACAGGGATTACAGGCACCTGCCACCATGCCCAGCTAATTTTTGTATTTTTTTGTTTCTTTGTGGTTTTTTTTTTTGTTGTTGTTGTTTCTTGAGACAGAGTCTTGCTCTGTCACCCAGGCTGGAGTGCAGTGGCGCAATCTCACTGCAACCTCCGTCTCCTGGGTTCAAGCAATTCTCCTGCCTCAGCCTCCCGAGTAGCTGGGATTACAAATGCACGCCACCATGCCTGGCTAACTTTTGTATTTTTAGTAGAGACAGTGTTTCACCCTGTTGTCCAGGCTGGTCTCAAAATCCTGACCTCAAGTGATCCACCTGCCTTGGCCTCCCAAAGTGCTGGGATTACGGGTGTGAGCCACTGCAGCCGGCTAGTGTCTGTTCTTCTAAGCCACCACGTTTATAGTACATGGTGATGGGATCCCTAGGAAATGAATACAGACACAGGTGGGTAGTGCTAAGGAGATGATAATACAAACCCCAGGGTGGTTGTGGAATGATGTGAGATCACAGGACGCACTTAGCATGCTGCTGGGCACTAGAGACAGGCTCTGGAACTGACAGCGTCTATTCCCCAGGGACCAGGGGCCCTTTTCGCAACCTGCTGAATATTAGCTTGACCTTGGAGCTGCACTACTTCCATTTTATTTCATGATATTTTATTTTGCTGACTGGGAGTGAGAGAAGGGCAGGGAACTCAGAGACCCTGCAAGTAAATGTATGTAAAATTTGAAACGCAATTTAGCATGTGGAGCCGAGAGCCCCGAAACGCGAAAAGCACTCCGCCCCACACCCATCCCCATCCCCATCCCCACACACAGGGGTTGCCATTCTGGGTAGGAACCTGGCTGTGGCTGCCAGCCAAAGCTCATGAGAGAGGCGCGGAACAGGACCAGGTAGGTGGCTCTGATCACAGGCAGCAAAGCAGTTACAGATTCCTTTGCAAATAAGCCACCCTGTCGTCTTTTGCTGTCTCCTTTCTGGTATCTCTTCCCTCCCCGACCTCATCCACCTCCCCTTCCTAACAGATCCAACTTGCAAAGATTCCTGGCTTCTATGCGCCTCTTGCAGCAATACTAATTAAATGTTTCAAATGCTTCTTATCCATGGTTAAGTGAAGATAAAATTTTAATGATTTAATTAGCAAGCTCTAGGAAAAAAAATTCATAATGAAGAAAGGCGTTTGCAACTGTCCTAGGCTTTACACATTTCTGCGTAATGCTGCACTGGAGTTGGAGGAGGCTGGGCCTGCAGTGTGCTTTGCCACACTGCCTGGAAACAGAGACACCCCCAACTTGCTCCCCAGAGAGGGAGGGTGTCTCTAGCCAGACTGGCTCTCATCTTTTGAGGGGGAAATGGCACCCTGGAAACGAGGGACCCATTAACTCAGAAATGAAGTGGAAATGCTTGAAAACGGATGCTGTTTTCCAAAGTAGACTCTCGAAATTGGTCCATTTTTCACACGTCCTCATGACTTTTTTTCATTTTCCTTTTAGTGTGTGGCTCTCTTCGTTTCAACATGGGTAACTGATTTACTTCCAGCCACGTGAATGTTCAGAGTTTACTAAGAGAAAACTCTCATGGCTTCAGGGAGGATGGGATTTAAATGGAAAAATTAATTGCCTTGTTTGAAGACTTTTGGTGTTTGGAGCCTCGGGAGGCTCCCACCATTCAAAGTGGTTTTTTGTTTGTTTGTTTGTTTGTTTTTGTTTTTAATGCAAAGTGGTTGACATTGAGTGACCCCATGTGGAACGATCCTTCTCCGAGAGGCGCTAGCCTTCCCTGAGCACCTTGACTTCCACCATCGGGATCCTCTATGCACCCTGTTCTGTTCACTGCCAAGTGGCCTCCTGTGCAGATCCACAAGTTCCCTAAATGGCCTTGGAAGACGCAGGGTGTGCCATGTTGGTTCAGCAGAAAATATCATGTCCCGAGAAGCCAGTGGACGGCATCACCCTGGCCAAGCTCTGGCACAGGGAGCTGCAATGTGTGTGCCAAGCTGCTTGGAGAACTGGCTCTGGAAGCAGAGCCCCTGGTGCCCAGACTGGAATGCGGGACCAGAAACACGTACTTTTCGTCCTCTGGGGCGCGGATGACGCTGGCACGCACTGGGGCTCCTGCTCCACCTGCCCTGAGGTGAGACCCCATGTCCATGTGCCACACACCATGCAGGCAGCAACGAGTGTTTACCCTATTTCCCCTGCATGTGGGACAGGACTTTCTAAACAGGTTGCTAATAAGTAGTTGAATAAATGTGCAGCAGATGCCATCAGTGCTCGCCCCTCGAGCTACCTCTTTGTCCCCTCTGTCCTGACTATTTGTACTCACCACGACTTTCCTTTGCTGTGTTCTGACGCTTTGATG
Source organism: Homo sapiens (assembly GCF_000001405.40). NCBI lineage: Eukaryota > Metazoa > Chordata > Mammalia > Primates > Hominidae > Homo > Homo sapiens. The sequence goes on from NC_000007.14 coordinate 3,168,940, forward strand.
TCTTGGGTCTTGCTGACCCTGGAGGGACTGCGCCTCCCAGGGCTAGCGGATCCCCAGAGATAGTAAATGACTCACTTGTGAGTATAGCTTTCATCTGCAAACCAACCAACCCATCTCTGACCACTTCCTCTGTAGGGCTCTTACACTCTGGTCACCCATCCAACCTGCCCTGACCACCCCAGGGCCAGGTACTGGATAACAAGGGGCAGCTCCTGTGCCCCGGAGCCCGCTGAAATGATCCAAACAGCCAACCTGAAGCCTGCTCGCCCTGCCTCACCTGTGCTTTCCCTCGGAAACCACCACAAAGGCTCTCACACGCTTCCTCCCGCCCCTCTGTCTCCGGACTGACCCCGGGGCTGCTTTGTGTGGCCCCGTGTGACACGTCCTGGAATCTGTGAGTATAAAAAGCCTTTTATCATGACCATCATTTCTGTGTCTGTGTGTCTTACCATACCTGAATTAAGACAAATCCTAAGAAGCCTTAAAACACCGGCCAGGCATGGTGGCTCACACCTGTAGTCCCAGTGCTTTGGGAGGCCAAGGTGGGGCGGACTGCTTGAGGCCAGGAGTTCAAGACCAGCCTAGGCAACATAGTGAGACCCTGTTTCTATAAAACGTTTAAAAATTAGCTGGGCATGGTGGCACGCTCCTGTTCTAGGTACTCAGGAGGCTGAGGTGGGAGGATTGCCTGAGCCCAGGAGGTGGAAGCTGCAGTGAGCCGAGATTGCACACCACTGCACTCCAGCCTGGGTGACAGAGTAAGACCTTTTGTCAAAACAAAACAACAAAAAACCATCATCGTAGTGCACTGCCCTGACTTCCAGCTGCCTGGGGGCCCTCTCTGGCCCCTAGGGTCCAAAAGAGCCTGAGAATGGATGGCCTTCTGCATTCAGTAACACTGAGCCAATGACTGACATATATAAATATATGTATGTGCAATATAACTGATATATACATATATATATATATAATATAAATATAACATGTATCAAAATACAATGTAAGGCTGGGCAAGCAATAATCCCAGCACTTTGGGAGGCCAAGGTGGGTGGATTACCTGAGGTCAGGATTACCTGAGGGTGGATTATCTGAGGTGGATTACCTGAGTTTGAGATCAGCTTGGCCAACATGGTGAAACCTTGTCTCTACTAAAAATACAAAAATAAGCTAGGCATGGTGTCAGGCGCCGTAATCCCAGCTACTCTGGAAGCTGAGGCAGGAGAATCGCTTGAACATGGGAGGTGGAGGTGGCAGTGAGCTGAGATTGCGCCACTGCACTCCAGCCTGGGCGACAGAGCAAGACTCTGTCTCACAATAAAACAAAACAAAAAAATACCAATATAAATATAACTATACATATCCACATATTCCACACACCACGCCAGAGTTGGAATCACTCTGAGGACATGGTCTACACTGAGTCACTAATTCCGAACCCAGCAGGATGAAGCCCAGGTGCCATGGTGGCGGTCGGCTCGGTAACACACTCTCTATTAGAGGCTCCTCCCCTCCCGCCTCACTTCTCTACTCTCCTATCTATGCTTCCCTGGGCCACCTCCCAAATAAACCACCTGCATTGGCATCAACATCGCAGGATCTGCTCCTGGGAAATTTCAAAATCAGGCAGAATGAAAGAATGAGAATACATCATTCCCAGACACGTATCTCCTCATCCCCCATGGAAGGAAGCGTGCCACCTGCCTGGCCGGAGCAGCCCAGAGGCTCTCCAGCGTCCTCTTGTATCATGTATTTTGGTTCCCAAATCTGAAATTCGGTCAATCAGATTCTCTCTTTCTTTGGAATTCAAACAAAGAAACAAGGACTTGATTTGACACTTGGTGGTGAGACCAAAACCATGGAGAGAGGCTGAGTCATGTCCGTGGTGGTGCTGTTACCAAGACCCCTTCTCAGATCAGACTGTGTGGAGGCCGGCCCTGAGAGCTGTGTTGGGTGTGCTTAAGAGCTACAGATATCCAACCCTGTGATCCATCTGCTCCTTTTGACTCTCAGCCCACGAGGCTGATCTGCACGGACAGTATCAATGGCCTACCCTGGTTTTGGCTTCCCACTGGGCTCACCCAATGGGGATGCCCAGAAGCAATTCAGAGGGACAGAAGGAGCAAGGCCAGGGTGTTGATGTCCAGCTCTTTCCTCATGGGGTCGCCTTGGGCCTACCAACCATGGGCCCCACCAACCATGGGCCCCACCAACCACGGGCTCCACCAACCACGGGCTCCACCAACCACGGGCTCACCAACCATGGGGCCTGCCAACCCTAGATCAAAAATATTTAAAAGAAGAAAATACAACAATAAAAATAATACAAATTGCTAAAACAATGCAGTAAAACAACTATTTACAAAGCATTCACATTGTATCCGGTATTATAAGTAACCTAGAGATGCTTTAAAGTATACAGGAAGATGTTTGTGGGTTACAAGTATATAATATGCCCTTTCATATCAGGAATTTGAGCATCTGCAGATTTTGGTATCTGTGGGGGATGCTGAAACCAATCTGCCATGGGTACCGAGAAAGGACTCTAATCTCTTTCTTCAGCCCTTCTTGGACTATCTTAATCCAAATTTACCATCTTTCCTGATAGATCCTGGTGGGGACCTTTTGCTTGGGCAAGCCTGTGTGGGTCTCTGTTTCTTGCAATCAAAGGCATGGCTTTGGGGCTCAACAGATGAGTGTCATCCCCAGAGAGCCCACATTCCAAGACAGCATGAGAACGGGGGATCCTCTCCAGGGGGTCTTGGCTCTTTTATGTCTGCTTTAACTCCTCAAAGAACCCCATTCCTTTTTTCCAGAGAGGAGGACTCAAGGATAAGATATTTCTGCCAAAAACCCTTTTTCTGTCATTAATATGTTAACAAATGCTGTCAAGTAACAGTCGCGGTCGACCGAATTTGCTGTTGGCAGAGGCTGCGCGCTGCCACACAAGGCTGTGTCTATTCCACACAAGCCCGGCTCCCTCCACCAGGAGATCTTGGCATTGGAGGTCACCAGGGCCCACAGTGGGACCTACCTACCCTGTCAACAGTGACAATGTCTCATGTATGAATAATGCCTTCACGGAGCATTTCTAAATTCCTTCCTTCAAGGGTGGCAGCAGAGATTACAGGAGCAGCGCAGTGGGAGGTAGGCACTAGCCCATGCCCGGAGGCAGGGAGAAGTGGGGAGAGGAGGGAGCAAGAGTGGATATGAACGCCAAGCACAGGGGAGAGGGGATGAGGGCAGGACAAGCCAGATCCAGATGCAAGAGATAACGTGTACTGAAGAAAAATTCAAAGGAGATGAAAACGTCATACAAAGGAAATAGGTATTGAAAAATCAATGGTGGTGCTCAAGGGTCTTAAGAATCAATATTAGAATCACATGCAGAGAAACAATGGGTGGAGGTGTTGTGGGAGGTGCAGATGAGCCAGACATGTCGACCAGGGAAGACTGAACCATCCACAGGAATAGGGTGTATTGGTTAGCCACCTCTATAAAACTGCTGCGTAACAAACGACCCCAAAACTCAGTGGCTTAAAACAATAGTTATATAGGCCGGGTGTGGTGGCTCACGCCTGTAATCCCAGCACTTTGGGAGGCCGAGGCGGGCGGATCACGAGGTCAGGAGATCAAGACCATCCTGGCTAACATGGTGAAACCCTGTCACTACTAAAAATACAAAGAATTAGCCGGGCATGGTTGTGGGCACCTGTAGTCCCAGCTACTCTGGATGGAGGCTGAGGCAGGAGAATGGTGTGAACCCGGGAGACAGAGCTTGCAGTGAGCTGAGATCGCACCACTGCACTGCAGCCTGGGTGACAGAGCGAGACTCTGTCTCAAAAAAAAAAAAAAAAACACCAGTAGTTATTTACTCTCATTGGTCAGAGGGCCAGCAGAGGCTTGGATGTGCGAACCTGGGCTTGGCCAGAGAGGCTCTGATCCACGCATCTCTTGTCTTCCTCCTGAGACCGTGGGCTGGCCAGGCATGCTCTGCTCATGATGATGGCAGAAGGATCAGAGAACAAGTACAAAGGCGTGGGTGCTCTTGAAGCCTAGGTGCACCATCACACCCACTTCATTCCACTGGGCAAAGTAAGTCCCATGGGTAAACACAAAGCCAGGGTATGGAGAAACAGATCCCATTCCTTTCATGGAAGAACTGCAAAGTCAACAGCAAAGGGCATGGATACGGGGAGGGCAGAGATGCAGTCTGTAACGGTGGGCCAAGGGGAGAGAGGCAGGCAGGAAGATGACAGCTGGGGGCTCATTTGCAAGCGTGGATTTGCCTGGTTAGCTCTGGTTCTCTGCTCCCTTCTTTCTGGCTCTTTCTTTTTCTGGTTACTGGGCTATAAATTCGCAGAGCAGGACTTGATGACATCCTCCTTATGGCCAGTCTTGGCACCCCAATGGGCAGCTGTTCAGGCAGTCCACAGATATTTACTGTGGACCTTCTTGGTGCTAGGTTCTGTGGAACAGGAGGACAATTCCTCATTCCTTTATTGGTTCAATTATTTAGTATTCCCTAAGTGTGTGGATGACCAAAGGAAGGAAAGATGGGGTCCTAAGTTTTAAATTCTTTTAAACACTCTCAGGGCCGGGATCGGTGGCTCTTGCCTATAATCCCGGCCCTTTGGGAGGCCAAGGCAGGTGAATGACTTGAGTTCAGGAGTTGGTGATCAGCCTGGCCAAGATGGTGAAGCCCCATCTCCACTAAAACTACAAAAATTAGCCGGGGGTGGTGGTGCGAGCCTGTAATCCCAGATACTTGGGAGGCTGGGCAGGAGAATCGCTTGAACCTTGGAGACGGAGGTTGCAGTGAGTGGAGATCGCGTCACTGCACTCCAGCTTTGGTGAAAGAACGAGACTCTGTCTCAAAAACAAAACAAAACAAAACAAAACAAAAGAACCCCCAAACTCTCAGTATCTGAAACGCCTCTAATTTATTTATTTACTTATCTCTTTCTTTTTTTCATACCCTGTGACATAGAAGGCAACGGCCTCTAATTTCTAAAAACAAAAACAAATACAACCCAAAAACTTGGTGTTTGTGGAAATTGGGAGGTGGGGAAATCAATCTACTTTCAAATTTAAACCTTCAGACTTTTCCAGGGGAGGTTAATATGGCTTCCTCGATTTACCAATTGCTCTGAGACCTTCCATCTAAAATATCCTGTCCCCCTACTGTGCATATTCCCAGAAAACATAGTTCCAGTTTTTGTGCTTTCTCTACGATATCTCTCTGACTTGCATTTGTATTCTGAGACCCAGAATAGCTCAAGTCAGATAAGGCTCAAACCCTGGACTTCACAAGCCCAGAGCCAGGAGGTCACGGTATAAAAACGCTCTCTGCCCAGGTCCACGCTGGGTACAACACATTTGCACCAGGACCCGGCTGCAGCCCCCCAACCCGGCTGCAGCCCCCCAAATGCAATCCAAGTAACTCCCCATTCCCCACAGGGGTCCAATCAGTGTAGAATCACGTTATCAGAAACCATCCATTACATGACAGTGAAAAATAATGCCAACGTTGGATTATTTTATCTTAAAATATTAAAGGAGAAAAAATTGTAACTAATAAGAGGACTTTAAAAAAAAATCAATAACAAAAACCTTCATTTTTGCTTCCCTGTGTGAAAAGAAGTCTCCTATTTTCCTACCTGTCCGCTCACCTTCCTTTCCCAGACTTGCCTGGGCTCTCAGCCATCAGGAGTTCTTCCGCCCATCAGCAATGGTGGCTGCTTCCCCACCTTCCCTCTGGCCTGCTGGGTAGCTCTAGGAAGGCTGGAGGACTCACTCGATGCTCCCTGCTCCTCTCCTCCCTCATCCCCGAGAGTCCTCCTGGGAAGGGTTGTTCTCCCATCACTCTGACCCACTCCACCCTCCCCACCCTGCCCCCTTGAAATCCTCCAGGGAAACTTCTGGCTAATAAAATTCCTCGCCTTGGTACATTGATCAAGGGCTGGTTGGGAGCCCTGAGTGTGTTTGGTGTTTTGGATTCACCGTAAACACCCCGCAGTAAATTCAGCTCCGGGATTTGTATCTGAGTGTTGCAAGGAGCAGGTAATGTATTCCAGGGATGACACCCTGTTTTCTGAGCATCATTCGGAAACATTTTCACATGGCTTCCAATCTGTCCACCTCTCGCTTTGCAGCCCCATGTGGCTCCCTGGCGGGAAATTGACTGGGAGAAGCGAGTCAATAAATCAGGGATGGTGCACAACATTTGTGTTTACTCCACTTAAACCGATATTTACTGGGGAGTCCACCTCCCGGGGCCCCTGCCTCCTCTCACACAAGGGTGGGTCTTTAAATGTCACTCACATGGGGCGAAACACTTAGGATCCTCATCATGAGAAAGGATAATTGGACGGAGCAGATGGGGAAATTTCCCAAAGCAAACCTCCTCAGTCCATTACATATTTTATCGATCGGACCCAGGGGTTCTCTGCCTCTCTGCCAGAACCCTGGGAGGGGCTCCTTTTTCCTGCTTTTAGACTTCCCCAAGTCACGGTCATCATCTTTCTGGATTAGCAAGCAGGCTGACAGCCCTGTTCCTCATTTTCCTCCTCCCGAAGGCTGAGGACACAGGCCTCATTACAGGAGCTACTGGCCCACAGAAAAATTCTTTGCCCCCACTGATAGAAAATAAAAAGGGGGCTTTAGAGGCTGCCCAGATAATTGGAGGCATCCACTGTGTCCCTGGGGGTCACTGGTCGCCTCTGCACCATTCATCTTGCTGACAGACCCCAGCTAGGGTGTCTATGTAGGCTGAGCCCACACGCCCAGGGAATTGTACAATTTCAGATCTGTTCGCTTGCAGGCTCTGCTGCAGGGAAGAGGGAAGGCTGGGGCTACAGAAATGGGGCTAGAGAGATTGTGCTGCCTCTTGTGAGGTAGAGTTCAGGTTCTCAGGGCTTCTCTTGGACGAGAGGGTCCTTCCCCAAGTGCAGGGGAAATGTATCCCAAAGCCCGGCCACACAACACAGGGGCTGACACAGAGACCCCAAGCTAGACCTTGACCTCCGCCGCCCCTGAGAAAGCTCGCCCAAATGCAAAGACAAACAAAAGGAATTGATCATTGGCTTTTGAACTTCTTAAGGTCCTTTCCAAGCATCATATTGACTGTACGTGATTTTTACTGTGCAGAACTTTAGTTTTTAGAATCTGAACTCCAGTGAAATTTTGGCTGGGTGTGGTGGTTCACACCTATAATCCTAGCACTTTGGAAGGCCGAAGCAGGAGGATTGCTTGAGCCCAGGAGTTGGAGAACAGCCTGAGTAACATAGCGAAATGCGATCTCTACAAAAAAGCAAAAACAAAAGCAAAACCCACACACAGATAAATTAGCCAGGTGTGGAGGCACATGCTTGTAATTCCAGCTACCTGGGTGGCTGAAATGAGAGGAATGCTGAAGCCCAGGAGTTTGAGGCTGCAGTGAGCTATGATTGCACCACTGCACTCCAGCCTGGGTGACAGAGCAAGACCCTGTCTCAAAAAAAAAAAAAAAAAAAATAGAGACAGAAAAGTGTGACTTTACTGTACTGATTATTAGTTAGCAGCAAAGTCGCCTCAAGCAGTGCCCTGGTTTGGGAAATGTGGGAGAATAGCTTATGATATCCCCAACCTATCCCCTACTCCCTAATCCCCCACCCCCACCAGCGAGTGTGCTTTGGAGGCCTCTGATCAGGGCTGACAAACTCCAGGTGTCAGCAACAGGGGATGAGGCAGGTGGGGGGTCTGGTGGGAGCTGCCAACTTACTGGGATTTCCACCATCAGCCTGACAACTCTGCTATGCAAAAGCCTTCAAAACGTTCGATAACACCTGTGTCGTGGGTTAAATGGTGTCCCCTCAAAGGGGAAGTTGAAGTCCTAACCTCCAGTACGTGTGCATGTGATTTTATTTGGAAACAGGGTCTTGCAGATGTCATCGGGATAAGATGAGTTCACACCACAATGAGGCAGGCCCTAAATCCAATGACTGGTGTTCTTATGAGAAGAAGAAAATTTGGACACAGGGAGAATTCCAGGTAGAGAAGGAGGCAGAGATTGGAGTGATGTGTGTACAAGCCAAGGAACTCACGTGACAGCAATTACTGGAAGCCAGGAGAGAGCCATGAAACAGCTCCTCCCTCAGAGCTTGCAGGAGGAACCGACCCTGCCAGCACCTTGATTTTGGGCTTCTGGCCTCCAGAACTATGACAGAAGAAGTTTCTGTTAAGCCACAGCCCCTGGTAAATTGTTTCAGCAGCCCCAGAAACTGATACAACCTTCCTCTGAGGAATTCCGGCCCCCAAGCATTGGGGGCAAATAGACTCAGAGAATATTTGGAAGGTGATCTGGGGGTACCTGTCCAGATGTCATGTTCTCCTACCTTCTGACCCTGTGGTTCCTCTACCAGGAATTTATCCTACAGATGGATTCACAGAGATACTCAGAAGCATTTCACAGCATCATCTTTCCAGCAGTGTAGAAATTAGCAAAACGACCCCAAGTCCATAGGAATGTGCCTAAATAACGATAATATGTTCACTCTGTGGAATATTATGCAGTCATGAAAAAGAATAAGAAAGTTATTTCTGTGCCAATATGGAACAATATCCAAGACATATTGTTAAGTAATAAAAAAAAAACCCCACATAAAACAAAAAACAAGGTACCAGAGAACAGTATGTTAACCATTATTTTGAAACTAAAATAATTATACACAATAGATTTGTGTTGTTTCTAGTAGCTATGTTCTATAAAGTCACTAGGAACACTGAATTAGCAAATCCTGAACCATTGCTCTTTGGGGAAATACAGGATTATGTTCTTTCAAGCCTCTGGTCACATTTTTATCAACCCAACAATACCTAGCCCCGCTTTATGTGTGTTTCTCTTTAATGACACCTTATTTCATAGATATTGTTGGTTCATTCACACTGAACTCATGGCCAGCAACACTATAACTCACGCCTGCACAAAGCTTCTCTAACAAAAATAATTTCTCCGTGGGACACATCACAGCCTTCTGTGCGTAGGACCCTAGACAGCACTTCAGTGCTATGTTCGAGGGGCATTTACACAGCAAAATCGCTGACAGAAAGCATGAAAATAAGAAAAATGTGGCATTAAACAGTCCTCGAAAAGGACATTGAACAAGAAGGCAGGGTGTCACCTTGCTCAGCCTCAGATGGGACTGTGTATGGAGGAAGACTCAAATCTTTCGTTTCTTTGTGCATGTTTGCAATTGACCTGGAAAACCCTAAGAGCATTAATTTCGGGGTTACAAATAAGTGTTAGCGAGTAGGTGAATTCCCAAGTACAAAATCCACAAATATGAAAGACAGACTGTATGTGCCCATGTGTATAAGCAGGACATGAAGGCATAGCTACAGGTATAGATAGCTCTTCTGAAAGGACACACACATTGGTAACAGTCTCTGTTTCCTTGGGCAGAAGGAAAAGGGAACGGGAGAAGGAGGGTGACTTACCTCTTACTCTATTGCCCCTTTTGTACTGCTTGAAATTTTTACTCTGTGAAAGCAATACCTAACTTTTTAAAACCTAAATGTTTTAGGCTGGGCGAGGTGGCTCATGCCTGCAATACCAGCACTTTGGCCAAGGCAGGAGGATCACCTGAGGCCAGGAGTTCAAGACCGGCCTGGACACCATGGTAAAACCGTCTCTACTAAAAATACAAAAATTAGCTGAGTGTGGTGGCGGGTGCCTGTAATTCCAGCTACTCAGGAGGCTGAGGCAGGAGAATCGCTTGAAGCCGGGAAGTGGAAGTTGCAGTGAGCCAAGATCGTGCCATTGCGCTCCAGCCTGGGTGGTAAGAGTGAAACTTCATCTCAAAACAAAACAAAACAAACAAAACCTAAATTTTTTAAAAAAGTTCTTGCATTTTACAGTTGGTCATATTCTCACTTTATGAGCTGATTTTCAGCTTGCACAGTTTGAAGATGACTCTGGTGATTGTTAAATGAAAAAGAAAAAAACTGATTTCTTGCAAGTCGCTAGCTGCAGGGGGTGGGGAGTTCCGGGTGGATCGGGGGGACATTCCTTGGTGAGAATAGTACTCAAGTCATCCGTCTCGTGACACTGTCCCTGTTCAGCCTGATAACTTGTAGCTCCACACACGTTCCAGATGGTGTCTTGTGTTGGGTGACCCTGGGTGCTGTCTCATCTGGAATTGTTAGCTGTCTCCTGCTGGCTGCAGGCCTGTGGACCATACCCTTCCCCAGCTTGCACTAGGGGATCCTGGATGAGAAGTGTTGACTTCATCCCCGGGACCTAAGAGCCTAAAAGCATCTTTACTTTCAAAGTCTTGCATTTCCGTCATCTTATCTCATGCTCAACACAAGTGAGGGAGGGAGAGAGGACTGCCGTGACTGTCCCCATTTGACAGGGAAACCGAGGCAGTGGGGTTTGGACAGGCTATTGGTGTCAGTGTGAGGTCTTCCACCCGGGTCTCCTGGCTATGACTTCGTACTGTCTCTACAGGGTCCTAAATGGCACTGGCAAACCAGAGATTAAGGCAAGAACTCATTGAGTTGGAATTCTTTTTAAGGTTGTCTTAAGCTTTCCTCTGCTGCAGAATATCATCCGGCAAGCAGCAGAGTGGGCCTTGTAAAATGTAAATTGGATCGTGCACTGCTCTGCTCTGAACCCCTCCACGGTTCCTGTCTCACCCAGAGTCAAGGCCAAAGTCCTTGCCGCGTGCTTTAGTGTCCCCATAGCCTGTCCCTGCTATGTGGTCTGACCTCGTCTGTCCTCTCTTAACTTTACTGCCCCATCACTCCCCAGAAACCTGGTCTTCTTGCTGCTCCTTAACAGGCCTCAGTCTGCACTTTCAGTTCCTGGTCACTGGAGCTCCGTCCCCAGATCCCTGCATGGCTGCGTGGCTGTGGGCTGCAGTCTGCATGGCTGCAGGGCTGCGGGGCTCTCTCTCCAAATGTCACCTCTCTGTGAAGGCTTCTTCCAAGTCTTCGCCGGGTTGTCATTATAAGGTCATTCTCTTTACAATGTTTCAGTGAACTGAGCAATTGTTTTCTGTGTGTTCTGCATGTTAATATTTAAGTGCAGTGGGCCACACCTGTAATCCCAGCTCTTTAGGAGGCTGAGCAGGGAGGCTGACTTGAACCCAGGAGTTTGAGATCAGCTTGGGAAACATAACAAGACCCTGTCTCTATAAAAAAATTTTTAATAAAAAAAAGACATTTGTACTAAGTTTCCAGAATGCAAACTCCATACACAAATCTCAGTGCATTTAGTCCAGCTAAGTCAAAAAGCAAAACACAAAAACAAACAACAAACAAACAAACAAAAACAAATAGTATACTGAATTGGTAGCCGCAAGCCTTTGGAAGTAATTTTTTAGAAGAGAGGACAGCCTAAGAAAACTAATTTTCTTAAGCCAGGCATGCTTGCTCATGCCTATAATCCTAGCAACCTGGGAGGCTGAGTCAGGAGGATCTCTTGAGGTCAGGAGTTCGAGACCAGCCTGAGCAACAGAGTGAGGCCATGTCAATCAATCAACTGAGTAATCCATAAATAAATAATTTAAAAAATGAAAATTTCAAAAAACAAATGTTACCTGTCAGCAAGGCCCTCCCAATCAGGCTCATTACCTCTGCAAAACCACCCTGCACTCCTCATCTGCTTCCTGGCAGTGTCCTTCTAGAATTCAATACCACAGACTTATTATTTCATTTGTCTTTCTCTTCCATCAGTGGGATCAGAGTGTCAGCTCCATGGACACAGGCGTTTGTATGACTTTTGTTCGCTTTTGTATAAGTAACTCAGACAAGAGTGCTCAACACGTATTTGTCAATTTGGGTCTGGCTCTCCTGGGACACGCGCAGAAGCATCTTGCAGTTTCTGAGTGTGCCTGAGCACCATGGGGACAGAGTCAATAGCAGGTTGGTGACAGTTGCTCCTTTCCCCTCTTCCTTCCCTGAACAACGTTAGTGGGTCTGGCCTGTGACCCCACATTTGATGTGGCGATTTGTCCCCCTGCTTCCACCCTTGGACAGAAGAGAAAATATCAGTCTCTGAGTTTCTGAGACCAGCTGCGAGTTTGTAGCTGTGTTACCAGATGTAACTAGTTACCTTTTTTTTGTTTTTTGTTTTTTGCTTTTATTTTTTGAGACAGAGTCTCTCTCTTGTGGCCCGGGCTGCAGTACAATGGTACGATCTCGGCTCACTGCAACCTCCACCTCCCTGGTTCAAACGATTCTCCTGCCTCAGCCTCCCAAGTAGCTGGGACTACATGCACGTGCCACCATGACTGGCTAATTTTTGTATTTTTAGTAGAGATGGGGTTTTGCCATGTTGGCCAGGCTGGTCTCGAACTCCTGATCTGAAGTGATCCACCTACCTCGGCCTCCCAAAGTGCTGGTATTGCAGGCATGAGCCGCTGCGCCTGGCCTGTAACAAGTTCCCTTTGAAGCGGTTCAAAGGTTAAAACTTCCGAGGGCTGCCAGTTATCGTCCTGGTGAGTGCCCCTTCCCGGGTCCGATTCCAAGGTCTCCACTGCAGGCTCTGGTATGTTCAGACGCAGTTCCTGGAGGAGAGGCCCTGCTGGCTCTGAGCCGGGAACCCGCCACGACGTGCAAAGTCGAGATTGCAAAGACAGCGCAGGTCACACATCCTGCCTGACTCCAGATTGCACGTCACCGTTTATTTTCTGTGCCCTGTGCCAGAAAACGAGATATGTGCCATATGCTCGCTTACTTGTGAAGACTCAGGGATTCTACACACATTGCTGGCATTCGCACGCATAGGGAGGTGTGATCGTCGCTGACACTGGAGCTTCCGTGTCTGTGTGCCAGGAGGCTCCGAGATCTTTCCCGGCCACACCCAGCACTCACATATGGTGTTGAAGGTGCTGTAATTCTAGACACAGAGCATATGTCCTCGGAGCAGACAGGGTGCTAAATTAATTCTAAACGTCCGTTGTAAGTTTCTTGCCGAGATGCTCCCTCCCTGTATAAATAGCGTCTGTGCTGCACTTTCCTACAGCAGGCTCCACGGAAGCCTAGATAACCTGATTTCAGCTTTATTTTATAGTATTGAACATTCTTCAAAACAGCCCATCTCCATAAAGGGAAACTGGGGGAAATGATGATATGCTAAGCCGAGGGACATTTGCTAAGTCTAACTGGGTGTTCTCTCCTCTTGTTTCAATAGTGGGCATCTCGGTCCCTGAACCCTGAAGGATGCTCTTTGGAATCTTTTTTTTTTTTTTTTGAGACAGGGTCTTGCTTTGTTGCCCAGGCTGGAGTGCGGTGGTGCAATCACAGCTGACTGTGGCCTCGACTGTGGCCTCAACCTCCTGGGGTCAAGCAATCCTCCTGCCTCAGCCTTCCAAGTAACTGGGACCACAGGTGCATGCCACCATGCCTGGCTACATTTTTGAATTTTTGTAGAGATGGGGGTCCCACTATGTTGCCCAGGCTGGTTTCTAACTCCTGGGCTCAAGCAGTCCTCCCACCCTGGCCTCCCAAATGGCCAGATCTAAGGAGCAAAATTTCATTGTGGTTCTTTCATTCTGTTGTCTGGGAGAGGCTCTGTCCCCACTGAAACCTGGAGTCTGGGCTTCTCAGATGAGTCCTACCTCTTCTTCTGCTGCTGTAAGTCTGCTCCATATTTATACTGGCCCCATGAATCACATTGGGGCCTCCTCTATAAACCTGGAAGACACCAGCTTTAGGACCAGAACAAACTAGAGTCCTGGCCTGAGGGTGCCAAAATGAGATGGAAAATGACTCTGTGTGTGTGTGTGTGTGTGTGTGTGTGTGTGTGTGTTTAGAGGAGTGCGGGACTGACAGAGGGGCAGGACCCTTAGGGCTCAGCCTGAGTCTCAAGGCTTAGCCCCCCTCCTCCCCTCTCCCCACCTCCTGTTCCAGCCTCTAATTCACCACTCATCTTCCCCAGGATGGGATCAGCCAGGACCACAGTTTGTCCATGTGGATATGTTGTGGGAATTAGAAAAAGGCACTCTTCTGGTTGGACACAGCTCTGTGGATGCTTAGCCCAGCAAGTGGTCAATGCTTTCTGCAAAGGAAAAGTCTCTCCTTCCTCTTGGAAGATGCAGCTTCATGCAGGAACAAAGAGCTCAGTGAATGGAGGACAGGCCGGATTTCAGCTCCTACTCGCCTTCTTAGCTGGATGCCTTTGTGCAGTGCACAACTTGGACAACAGTCCAAGGCACGCCAGGGAACATATTAACTTCCTCTGAGTTTAGAAGAGACATTTCCTACTTGCTACAGACCTTTGCAGCAAATTATTTTCTCCAAGAAATGACAGCAACAGCATCTCCCATTTCGTACGACTTTACAAGGACACTCCTTTCCTGTGGAGATAGGGTCTACATTCCATGCCCTTGAATCTGGAAAGGGTACGTGACTACGGCAGAAGTGATGTGTTGTGACTCCTGAGGCTGGGTTATAAACAGTGTAAAGCTTGCCCTTGGTTCTCTGGGGGGCTCACTCTTGGAACCCAGCTGCCATGTTTCAAGGAAGCCCAACTAGCCTGTGTGGAGAGACCATAGGGAGAGGCCACCCGTGGTGTCCCAGCTGACAGATAGCACCAACTGCCAGACAGGCAGGTAAAGAGGCTTCTGGCTCCTTCCTGCCCCAGCCATGGAGTTGGACTCACCCTTCAAGTCTACCCAACTGAGGCCCTAAATATTGTAGGGCAGAGACAAGCCAGTCTGCTGTGCTTTGTGCAAATTCCTGGCTCATGGGTCCATAAACACAATAACATGGTTCTTTTGTGACACTAAGTTCAGAGTTTTAAAAATGACGCAGCAACAGTGAACAGGACAGCCTTCAAAACTCACTGCTCCCTCCTTCAAGAAGTCCTTCCTGATGCCTAGACTATGTCAAAATATTCCTTTTTTCATTTTCTTAATTAACTTTTTTTTTAATTTTTATTTTTTGAGATACGATCTTGCTGTCACCCAGGCTGGAGTGCAGTGATACAATCATAGCTCACTGCAGCCTCCAACTCCTGAGCCCAAGCAATCCTCCTGCCTTAGCCTCCCGAGGAGCTGGAACTACAGACACACACCACCACACTTGGCTAATTTTTAAATTTTTTGTAGATATGAGGACTCTCTGTGTTGCCCAGGCTGGTCTTGAACTCTTGGCCTCGAGCAATCCTCTTGCCTTGGCCTCCCAAAGTGCTGGGATTATAGGTGTGAGCCACCATGCCCAGCCAAAATACCCCTTTTCTGTAGCCTCCCTAATCCCCTCAACCAGGTGACCAGCTCAGAGCCCTTTTCACTGTGCACTGTCTCACTGAGTCCCCACGTCACTCTGTGAGTGGCTGTTACTATCCCACTTTACAGACAAGGGAATGGAAGCTCAGGCTGGGGGCGTTCCCAAGGTCCACAGGGGCTGAGGGGCAGGGCTGGTCTCACAGCTGCTGTGATGCAGAAAGTGAGATGCGTGAAATCCTCCAGTGCCCGAGTCCTGGCCCTTCCCACTGGTACCTGTAGAGCTCCTGGTGAAGACTCCTGACAGAAAAGCATGAAGCCTACAGCCCCTCCTGAATGTAGCACCCCTCCCATGAGGTTAGATCTCCTCCTGCTCCAGAGCCGCCCCATGCCAGTGAGGAGAAGGAGAAATGCATGTGCCGCGTCAAAGCCCTCCACAAACGATCAACACAGCCAGAAGGTGGGTTTCCAGCCACACAGCAGCAAGCCGGGGACGTGGCTCCCACACGTGGCTGAAGGGCTGGGACCTTCTGGTCTCTCGGGACAGCTGGCTCCAGGCAAGGCCAGGGTACCATGAGAGTATGAAATGAAACCCTTATTGTCTTGGAGGCTTTTCTTTGTTTTCACGGACAGCTACAAAGCTCATTCTCTTTATAGCTCTATAGTTTTCCATAACGTGATTGCATTGTGACTGATTTAACCAAATCGTCCTTGGAAACGGATTGGATGGTTTCTAGTGTTTTGCTATTACCATTGCTCCAAATCAACATCTTTCTACTTACTCCTTTGCATATTCATGCAAATGTTTCTTTTCTTTTTTTTTAAATTTTACTTTAAGTTCTGGGATACATGTTCAGAACATGCAGGTTTGTTACAGAGTTAGGAACAAATTGGGGAGGGGAACGTGGTGACTTTGGTCAGGTGCAAAGCCTGGGGCTGCTGGGCTGTCAAGGCCTTGCGGGTCCCTGAGAGACACTGCCCCATTTTCAGGCTCCTCTGGGTGTCAGGCTGAGAAATTAGAACCCTGGCCTTGGCTGGCAACTTCAGTCTCTGAGCTACTACAGGATCCTTCCTGGCTGGGAAATGCATGTATCTGTGGACTAGGCTTGGGAGCCGTAAGGTGGAGCCTCAGGCAGAACGGTCCCTTGGACAATGAAACCCTTTTTTTCCTTAACACATCCCTTTTGTTTTGTTTGTTTGTTCTGTTTCGTTTTGAGATGGAGTCTTGCTCTGTCACCCATACTGGAGTGCGATGGTGCTGTCTCTGCTCACTGCAACCTTCACCTCCCGGGTTCAAGCAATTCTTGTGCCTCAGCCTCCCGAGTAGCTGGGAATACAGGTGCCTGCCACCACGCCTGGCTAGTTTTTGTATTTTTAGTAGAGACGGGGTTTCACCATGTTGCCCAGGCTGGTCTTGAACTCCTGACCTCATGTGATCCACCCACCTCGGCCTCTCAAAGTGCTGGGATGACAGGCGTGAGCCACCATGCCCGGCCTAACGTATCTCTTGTGTATATTGACTTTCAATGTCTTAAGTGGCTTGCATGTTTTTTATAAAGTCACACAATACAGCAATACACTGTAAGAAAAAATTGCAAACAGAGTACAAAATAAAAAGTTAAGGCCAGGCCCATTGGCTCACACCTGTAATTTCAACACTTTGGGAGGCAGAGGTGGGAGGACTGCTTGAAGCCAGGAGTTCAAGGCCAGCCTAGGCAACCAAACAAGACCCCATCTCTACAAAAAAATAGAAAATTAACCAGGCATGGCAGCACACGCCTGTAGTCCCAGTTACTCGGGAGGCTGAGGCAGGAGGATTGCTTGAGCCCAGGAGGTGGAGGCTGCAGTGAGCTATAATTACACCACTGCAATCCAGCCTTGGTGACAGAGCAAGACCCTGTCTTCTAATAACAACAACAAAAAGAATAAAAAGCTTAAATTCCGGCCAGGCATGGTGGCTCACGCCTGTAATCCCAGCACTTTGGGAGGCCGAGGCGGGCGGATCACGAAGTCAGGAGATCGAGACCATCCTGGCTAACACAGTGAAACCCCGCTACTAAAAAATACAAAAAATTAGCCGGGCATGGTGGCGGGCGCCTGTAGTCCCAGCTACTTGGGAGGCTGAGGCAGGAGAATGGCGTGAACCCGGAAGGCGGAGCTTGCAGTGAGCTGAGATCACACCACTGCGCTCCAGCCTGGGTGACGGAGTGAGACTCTATCTCAAAAACAAAACAAAACAAACAAAACAAAACAAAACAAAAAGGCTTAAATTCCTCCCGTATTCCCACTTTCACTTTATAGAGACAATCACTGGTAATACTTTAATCTGCACCGTATAGTCTTTTTTCTACGATTTTGCATAGGTATATGCACACATATGTGTACATTCAGATAAAGGGTTTTATGTAAGTCCAATTATACTATTTGCATTCTCATAACTTTTTTTTTCACTGAACTTTTATTTGTTGTCTTGGAGGCTTTTCTTTGTTTTCACGGACAGCTACAAATCTCATTCTCAGCCGGGCGCGGTGGCTCACGCCTGTAATCCCAGCACTTTGGGAGGCCGAGGCGGGCGGATCACGAGTTCAGGAGATCGAGACCATCCTGGATAACAGTGAAACTCCGTCTCTACTAAAAATACAAAAAAATAGCTGGGCGTGGTGGCGGGCGCCTGTAGTCCCAGCTACTCGGGAGGCTGAGGCAGGAGAATGGCGTGAACCCAGGAGGCGGAGCTTGCAGTGAGCCGAGATCGCGCCACTGCACTCCAGCCTGGGCAACAGAGCAAGACTCCATCTCAAAAAAAAAAAAAAAAAAAAAAAAGCTCATTCTCTTTATAGCTGTGTAGTTTTCCATAACATGATTGCATTGTGATTGATTTAACCAAATCTTCCTTGGAAACGGATTGGATGGTTTTTAGTGTTTTGCTATTACCATTGCTCCAAATCGACATGTTTCTACTTACTCCTTTGCATATTCATGCAAATGTTTCTTTTCTTTTTTTTTTAATTTTACTTTATGTTCTGGGATACTTGTGCAGAACATGCAGGTTTGTTACATAGGTATACACATGCCATGGTGGTTTGTTGCACCTATCAACCCGTCATCTAGATTTTAAGCCCCGCATGCATTAGGTATTTGTCCTAATGCTCTCCCTTCCCTTGCGCCCCACCCACCGACAGGCCCCAGTGTGTGATGCTCCCCTCCCTGTGTCCATGTGCTCTCATCGCTCAACTGCTACTAATGAGTGAGAACGTGCGGTGTTTGGTTTTCTGTTCCTGTGTTAGTTTGCTGAGAATGATGGCTTCTAGCTTCATCCATGTCCCTGCAAAGGACATGAACTCATTCTTTTTTTATAGCTACATCATGCAAATGTTTCTACAAAAGAGGCCGAATTGGCGTCGCGAGGCTAAGGGTGTGTGCATTTACATTTTTATATAACCATAAGTTGTCCTCTCCAGATGCCGTGCTGATGAACACCTCCTCCCGTTCCGTAGGAGAGCGCCTCGCACTCCACACTGCCCAGCCTCACATGTTCTCAACGTCTTCACTCTTTCCGAGTCTAACGGGCCCCAGTTACGTCCCTGTTATTGCTGTTTGCAGTTCCCTATTTAACTGCTTAGGCTGAGCATAATTTCTTGTGTTTATTGACCACTCATATCTCATCGATGACAGCACCTCTTCGTGCCTGTATTAATTAAAGTGCTTTGGAGAGCAGGGAACAAAAAAACCATGACTCAGCTGGCTTGGACAATAAGAAATGTGTCTCCTTTTTTTTTTTTTTTTGTTAGACACGAGGTCTCACTCTGTTACTCGGGCTGCAGTGCAGTGCCACGATCATAGCTCACTGCAGCCTTGACCCCCTGGGCTCAAGTGATTCTCCTGCCTCAGCCTCCCAAGTACCTGAGACTACAGGTGTGCACCACCAAGCCTGGCTAATTTTATTAGTTTTTGTAGAGATGGGGTCTCACTATGTTACCCAGGCTGGTCTGGAAGTCCAGGGTTCAAGCAATCCCTACACCTCGGCTTCCCAAAGTGCTGGGATTACAGGTGTAAGTCACCACGCCCAGCCTCAGTGTCTTCATTTTTTTGGAGATGGGGTCTCGCTCTGTTGCCCAGGTTGGAGTGCAGTGGTGTGATCTCGGCTCACTGCAGCTTCTGCCTCCTGGGTTTGAGCGATTCTCCTGCCTCAGTCTCCTGAGTAGCTGGGAGTACAAGCGTGCGCCACCATGCCCGGCTAATTTTTGTATCTTTAGATAGAGACAGGGTTTCATCATGTTGACCAGGCTGGTCTTGAACTCTGGACCTCAAGTGATCCTCCTGCCTCGGCCTCCCAAAGTACTGGGATTATAGGTGTGAGCCACTGCACCCAGCATCAGTGTCTCTTTTTAAGAATGAGGACAGGCTTTCCTTGCCACCCCCTATACCCCCAGCAGATGGACAAGACAACATCACTGTCTATGACCCAACCTATCGCACTGTGGTGGCCACGGTGAACCCAGACTCCCCAGCATAGCATCTGGGCACTCCCTTGAAGCAAGCATCTGTAGCGCACTGAGGACCTGAGAAACCGGGGCTCCCCTGGGGTGGGGAGGGAGGAACGGCCACTGCCATCAGTAACAAACCTGCTCGCTACCACGGCTGTGGCATTTTTCTGTGGCATTGTTTGTCTTTTTCTTTTTGATTTGTAGGAGCTGTTTATATATATTTGAAAGGAAATATATATTCCTTTCAAAATACATATGTTGAATCATATACATTTTTCTTTGGTAAGTGCTAACAATATTTTTCCTGGCCTATTGCTTTGCTTTGAGTGAATTGTATTTATTTAAGGCCAAGCCTTAACTGGAAGGATACTTTTTTTCCTCCCCAAATCTTGACTTCATGAATAATAACAGCTGCTTCTCTCACTGAAAAACAAAACTGGAGGTGGCAGAGGGTGGGTGAGGTCATCGTTATCGGTTTGCAGGCTTTGAGGCAGAGAGCATCTGTAGGTAGAGGCAGCTGCGGAGAAGATCATCCAGGGAGGCTGCAGGGAGCGCAGTGCTGCTGGAACCTGCAGCAGGGAGACTATTAAAGGGTCCAAGCCACTGCAGCCCCATGAGGAGGGGCCCACGCAGGAAAAGAAACGGTGTTGTTAGAACTTAAAGTCCCGCTGAGATGGTTTCCACCTGGGTTCACGAAGAAGGCTCCAGAGACGGGTTCGTTAGATGACAAGGCTGACTCCCAGGTGGTGATCGCAAACACGAAGACACATCTCAAGCCACAGGGGCTTCCGGGAGCCACACAGGCTGAGATTGGCATGATGGGCACAAGATCTGCCTTTGCAGAGGATGCCCTCCCTGGCGGGGGCTGAGGAAACAGCCCATCACCTTCCTTAGGCTCCTGCCCTCTTTGTATGGCTCTGGGAGGTAGAGGGACTTAGCTGACAGTTGCGTAGTGGAACGGAGGGGATGCTTGGATCCCTCATTGGTCTCATTCAACTGGTACAGAGCTCAGGCGAGCAGGAGGGACATTATTATTTATTTATTTATTTAGTGGAGATGAGGTCTTGCTGTGTTGCCCAGGTAGGTCGTGAACTCCTGGGCTCAAGTGATCCTCCCTCCTAAGCCTTCTGATAAGCGATCCTCCCCAAATGTTGGGATTACAGGTGTGAGCCATCATGCCCAGCCCAAGAGGGGCATTATTTATTTAATGGGGTTTCATCTGTAACCCCAAATCCCCCTTGCCAATGCCTTGATGTCTCTGGATACAGAGGTCTCCCTTCTGGCAGCTGGCCTGGAGTCAATAACCACAGCTCCCATGTATGTGCTGGTCTTGCTGCTCCAGGTACCGTGCTGTGCAGGTGTAACAACTCTATGAGGCTAGAAACACCATTGCCCCCATTTTGTAGTTGGGAAAACTGAGGTAGGAGGAGGCCAAAAAATCACCAAGCAATGCTGCTGCTTTCTCTCTAATCCCTGGTCTCTCCTCCTATTTGTGGAAGCCTTTTTAAATTTTTTTGAGATGATGTCTCACTCTGTTGCCCAGGCTGGAGTGCCATGGCACAATCTCGGCTCACTGCAACCTCTGCCTCCTGGGTTCAAGTGATTCTCCTGCCTCAGCCTCCCCAGTAGCTGGGGTAACAGGCATGTGCCACCATGCCCGGCTAATTGTTTTTGTATTTTTAGTAGAGATGGGGTTTCATCATGTTGCCCAGGCTGGTCTCGACCTCCTGACCTCAAGTGATCCACCCACCTTGGCCTCCAAAAGTACTGGGATTACAGACATCAGCCACTGCACCCGGCCAGCAGAGTCTTTTTGCCAAAACGCAAGGATGGTCTCCAGAGTCCCGGTTTCTCTGCAGCTGGGGAATACTTTTCTGATTTCAGTCTGGAGTACCAGTTTTCTGAAGTGAGGACTGTATCGGCCAAATCTTAGAAGGAGAAGATCACGAAAAAGCGTCTGCAGAAAGAGAAGAAAGGGGTGGTACACTGCGGAGGAGGAGGGTCCACTCCAGAGGCTGCAGGTGACACACGGGACCCCCTCCATGGATGTTGCTATGGTTTAACTATAAATGTCCCTCCAAAATGCATACATTGGAACCTAATACCCAATGTGAAGGTATTAAGAAGTGGACCTGGCCGGGTGCCGTGGCTCATGCCTGTAATCCCAACACTTTGGGAAGCTGAGTTGGGAGGATCGCTTGAGCCCAAGAATCCAAGACCAGCCTGGGCAACACAGGGAGACCTCATCCCAGTAAGAAATTAAAAAGTTAGCTGAGCATGGTGCTATGCTCCTATAGTCCCAGTTACTCGGGAGGCTGAGGTGGGAGGATCGCTGGAGTCCAGGAGGTCGAGGCTGCAGTGAGCTGTGATTGCACCACTGCACTCTACAGCCTGAGTGACAGAGTGAGGCCCTGTCTTAAAATTAAAAAAAAAAAAAGAGATGGTCCTTTTGGGAAGTAGTTCAGTCGTGAGGACCCCACCCTCATGAATGGATTAATGCCCTTGTAATAAAAGATGCTTCAGAGAGCAACCCAGCCTTTCCATTCCTTCCACCGCATGAGGACACAACATTTGTCCCCTCTCAAGGACACAACAACAAGGCACTGTCTTGGAAACAGAGAGAAGACCTTTCCCAGACACCACATCTGCCAGCACCTTCATCTTGGGCTTCCCAGCCTGTAGAACTGTGAGAAAGAAATTTCTCTAATTTATCAATTATGCAGTCTAGGATATTTTGCTATAGCATCATGAATGAACTGAGATGGTACGAGGCAGGGATGCAGACAGGTTCTAACGTGGGGGTGGGGAGGCCAGACTAGAGCTGGGGTCGTGTCTTTGGTTGGAGAACGACAGGCATATTAAACAAAGATATGACCCTTTGATTTCTTGCCCAGGGGTCTCGCTACTTCCTCTCACATCTTGATATGGTTTTGCTGTGTGCCCACTCAAAATCTCATCTTGAATTACAATCCCTATAATCCCCATGTGTCAAGGGCGGGACCAGGTGAAGGTAACCGGATTATAGGGGTGGTTCCCCCATGGTCTTCTTGTGATAGTGAGTGAGTCTCACTGTCATGAGATCTGATGGTTTTATAAGCATCTGGCATTTCCCCTGCTGGCACTCACTCCACGAAGAAGGTGCCTGCTTCTCCTTTCTCTTCCGCCACAATTTTAAGTTTCCTGAGGCCTCCCCAGCTATGCAGAACTGTGAGTCAATTAAACCTCTTTCCTTTATAAGTTATCCAGTCTTGGGTATTTCTCCATAGCAGTGTGAGAATGCACTAATACACATCTGTCTACCAGCACTTTAGCCATGGATGTGTCAACATATTACCTTAAAATTTGTTCACAAGGTACCAGGCTGGGAAGAAAGTGCTTCACCTGTCCCTGACAGCTTTTCCTCCATTTGGGGCATCTGCAAATATCTTGAAGTTGTAGGCAGAACCGAGGTGTGAGTGAACACATGCAGGTATGTGCATTTTTTCTGCAAAAATAATCCACGGCTTTCATCAGCCTTTCAAAGGCATCCTCTGAGAGGCTAAGAAGCATTGTTCTAGGTTAATGATAGTTTCCAAAATGGGCAAGAAACGAGACTCTTAATCTAGAGATCACAGGATTCCAGGCTGCGCCTGTGTTGGGTAACAGCAGGAGAAAGGTCAAAACCACCCATCGACATCCTGTGTGACTTTGGGCTAGTTTACTACCCTCTCTGAGCATTCTCATTTATAAAAATGTAAACAAACACAATACCTCCTTCCAGAGCAGGGGTGGGGAGTAAATGAAGTTATGTGCTTAGAGGCCCCTGCCCGGGGCTCCATCTCTCCACCTGCCTGCTTCCTCTGCTGTCTCCAGCAAAACCTCTCTCCTCTTTTCGGTCTGATCCTCCAGCCTGTGCATTGTTTCTGTATCTTTGGGATTTTTTCTTCCTTCCCACTGCACCCACCCTCTGGTCAATATCACTGCTATTTCTATTTGCAACAGGGCAGGAGAAGGAAGTGGTGAAACTTTCTTTAACTTTACAACCTTGGAGCAGCCACAGTTGATATTTGGGGAGGAAGAAAGCTGAGATTATCAGCACATCCAGGTCTGTGCTTCCCAATATTCCCGATGCTTCTTTGTCTACTGACTCCTCCCTGGTCATGAATAATTAAAACTCTGGCCATGCTCAAATGGCCTAATGCAACCA
Source organism: Homo sapiens (assembly GCF_000001405.40). Lineage (NCBI taxonomy): Eukaryota > Metazoa > Chordata > Mammalia > Primates > Hominidae > Homo > Homo sapiens. The sequence continues at coordinate 3,192,816 of NC_000007.14, forward strand.
CTACAAGAAAACATTGGGGAAAATATCTTACAGGCTCCAGAAACACCACACCCAAGGAAGATATTTGCAAGAGCAGATGGTAACAGACACAGGTTGCCTCTTCAGCCTCATCCTGGCTTAGGGCAGCCATGGCCACACGGTTCCCATCTGCGTCTGGCCCACTGAGGTGAGAGGAGGTTAGCTCGCTAGGCCTGGGCCCATTCATCTCACTCAGGACCCTAATGCTGGAGCACATTTGTGAGCCAATCAGTCCTTGGGCCTTTTTTCCTTTGAATCTCTACTTTGTTAACATTCAGCTCTCATATTTCCTGGTGACACACGAGGTCATATGTATGGCAAAGCATCCTCTGAAATCATATCGTGCTGTATTGATATTAAGCTAAAGATATACTGATCTCGGGTTGGTTATCTGTTCTTAATTCAGATGGGAAGAACAAGACCCGAAGTGGAGATAGTTCAATCCCCTACCCCCAATTTCCCAGCCGCACCGCTTAGGTACCCCCAAGTGGCATCATGTGACCACTTCTGGCTATCACGTGGTGAACCCCAAAACTTGGGTTCACCCTGAGATGCCACATGGGTTCTTGGCTTCATGCAGGAAGGAATTTAAGAGTGAGCTGACAGAGTAAAGTGAAAGCAAATTTATTAAGAAAGCAAAGGAATAAAAGGGTGGTTGCTCCATAGGCAAAGCAGTGGCATGGGCTGCTTGACTGAGTATACTGTCAGTTCTTTGTTGCTCATATGCTAAACAAGGGGTGGATTATTCATGAGTTTTTTGGGAAAGGGGTGGGAAGTTTCCCAAACTGAAGGTTCCTCCCCTTTCTAGACCGTATAACATAATTTCTGAATGTTGCCATGGTGTTTATAAGCTGACATGGTGCTGGTGGGAGTGTTTTTTCCCAAGCTAATGCATTATAATTAGTGTATAATGAGCAGTGAGGATGACCAGAGGTCGCTTTCCTCACCATCTTCGTTTTGGTGGGTTTTGGCTGGCTTCTTGACCACATTCTGTTTTATCAGGGGGGTCTTTGTGAGTTGTACCTTGCAAAACCAGTCCTGCCTATTCTTGTCTCATTTATTCAAGATGGAGTCACTCTGGTTGGAAAGCCTCTGACATGGCCACTGAGTAGGTAGCAGACGTGGTAGGTGCCACCTCTGGGTGGAAGTATTTTAGAGCTGGTGCAAGATGTCCCTGGTCTGTGTTCCCTGCCACGACAATTGTGGGGGCCACAGGTTGAGGTGTTAGCATTGCGAGAAACTGAGAACCAGAGAGACCGATACGGAGAACGGGAGGATTGTTTATTTTAGGTACGCACTGGCTCAGTGGATTCGCATCCAAAAAGCTGAGCATTGAACAACGACTGAGTGGGGTTTTTATAAGCAGACTTACAAAAGTAAAACAAAAGCAGTTAATCATATAGTGTATAATTTGTGGCCTTGTAGCTGCGTCAAAAGAAAAACAAGAACTGGCTAAATACAGACATTTGTAAAACATAATCACGTTTAAGAAGCCTGGGAAAGGAGTAACAGTAAAGTAATTTATCTTTTTCTCTTTTTTTTTCCTTCAACATTGCTCTGGGGGAGAGGGGTGTCTGAAGCCCATTCCTTTGGCCTTGGCTGCTCGTACAGCATTATCTTATAACTGTCCTTGAAGTGTGCTTGCTAGGCAGAGGAAAACTTCTTTTTTTCTTGTGAACCCTTGCCTGTTACTTTTCTTGGAGTGAATGAATGCATATTTATTTTTAAATTTCTGCCTCATTAGAGCCACCTATGAAAGCAGACTGGATCGCTGAGTCACTCAGTGGAAGCCTGTTTCAAAACACAGTGTATCAGTAGAAATTTTGAGGTATAGTGAAGCCAACAGATCAGGAGATGATTGCTATTGAAAAAGTAGTTTGTTACTCACAGTTCCCAGGAGGAGGGGACACCGCCTGCCACGCCACACAGAGCCACACGGGGAAGCACCAAGGTCAGTTAGGAGGTGGAGGGAAAAGAAGGCTTTGTTTGGTTTGGGTGGGTTGTTTGCATCTGAAAAGTGCTGTCATGGCAACTTGTATCTCTAGAAATTGGCTAACTCTAGGGGGTCAGCGAGGCCCCAGATGTCAGAGCATTGGAATGCAGGAAATAAAAGATGTGGTTAATACCAAGACAAGTGTTCCGGAGGGCTGCACAATCTGCACTGGACTTTGTGGGAGGGGAAATTAAACTTTGTTCTGTGAAGCATTCATACTTGGGGATTCATTTACCACCGGCAGTGTGCTACTGCAGGAACACAGGAGAAGCAGGGGCATGTGAAAAAACAGCAGTCTCAGCATAGGCATAGCATCTGCCACACTGACAAAGTTCGTTCATTTATTCATTCCAATATTCAGCCAGTGGTTGTTGAGCACCAGCTGTGTGTCAGGCCTGGGGCTGGGGACTGGATCACAGAGACCAGGCACTAACCCTGCTCCCACAGACCTCTTAGTCTCACGAGAAAGGTGACACATGTGAAAGGACAAGGATGGGCTGGACACAGTGGCTCATGCCTATAATCCCAGCACTTTGGGAGGCCGAAGTGGGAGGTGCTTGAGGCCAGGAGTTCGAGGCCAGCCTGGGCAACATTGCAAGACCCTGTCTCTACAAAAAAGAAAAAAATTACCTGGGCATGGTGGCATGCACCTGTAGTCCCAGCTGCTCTGGAGGCTGAGGAGGAAGGATCGCTTTAGCTGAGTTGGAGGCTGCAGCGAGCTGTGATCTACACTCCAGCCTGAGCGACAGAGTGAAAGCTTGACTCAAAAAAAAAAGAAGGAAGGACAAAGATGATAGAGTGTGAAGACTGCCATGCAGAGCTGGGTCTCCAGTGGGTGGGTAAACAGAGGAGGGAGTGAATCAGGGAGGACTTCTCACAGGAAGTGACACTTAGGGTAGGTGTTCATGGAGTTACATAAGAATTCCCTGTGCAGAGACAATGGGCACAGATGTTCTGGGATGTCTAGGAAGCACATGTATAAGGGCACGTCCAGGTCTGGCAGAGTTCAGTGGGGCTGGAGCAGAGGAGCACTGGGGTATGGTGAGACATGGCTGGAAAGCCAGCTGGGTTGACATCTGCAAAGGCTTTGGGTGCACTGACAAGGGCTGCAGGTGACTGACGGCCATGCAGGTGACATTAGGAGATTGGCAGTCACAGCCTTTCCTTCTTAAATTCCCCTCACCTCCTTCAGTGGCTGTCCTATCAGATGATTAGTGTTCATTTAACCCCTCTTGTTATAGTTGGGGAAGAACCCCATAAGCTCCTCTAATTTAAGGCAGGGATAGTAAATGCCATCCTCCCTTCCAGCACTCAGGGCAGACATCAGCAATCGATCGACATTCTTTGCATCAGAGGCCAGATTGAGCCTCAGAGGCCTTTTCAACACAGCTCTTCAGGCAACAAATATCCAAGGGCCCAAATTGGTGTGCAAGTCGATTTATATGTCATTTCTGTTTTAAGAGGTTAAGGACGTCGTGTTCTCTTTCTAGAAGTATTTTTACTTTAGAAAAAAGAAACTGCAGAGTGAGGACAAAATTTAGTCAAAGAAATTAATAGCTAATGGTAGAATTTTAGTCTGCAGAAGTTTTGGGAAAGGAAGTCTGTGCAAGTCTCTCAATCCTGTCTCCGTTGTCACAAAAAAATGTTTACGTTGTTTATTTTCCAAGGCAAGGTAAACACCATGGAGCAAGAGACAGTTGTTTCCATGGTAAGCTCCACCCACGATGTCTCCCTTTGTATCCCCCACAATGCCCACAATCGTTCAGGCAAAGAATAGGTGCTCACTAAATGTGTATTGATTGAATCTAAATTGCAATTTTATCCAACACCCTCAGGGAAGCCAACTGGAAACTAAACTCACCCCCATATATTGCTGAAACGCATTGATTACCAAGAAGCCAATGTATGACAGCCCCAACTTGTGAGACGCGTTTTTTCCAAAGCCACGTAAATCGCGATGTGTGCAGCCCGTTGCTCATTCTGTGTCATGCACCGTTGCCAGCCATTTGCTCTTCTCGTTAGCTCCGTGAGGGCAGGGGTCACCGTTTTCACTGCTCAGCCTCCTCCTGCTCGGCCCAGCCCAGGGAGACCCCTCAGTCCATACCTGTGAATGAATGAGTGACACTTACTAAGCACAGCGAGATGAATAATTCATCATTCCTATCCTTCTTCCCAACTTCCTGATCCAGGATGGCATAGACGTGTGGGAGGCGCACATGCTGGGAGGGGTTTGAGTCCCCTGCCCGAGGTTGCAGAGTGCCTGGGGACGGGGGTGGGGGCATGCTGGGGGCATTTGCAGAAAGGGCAGTAGGAGAGCAGTTTGGAGGGAGGTAAGGCAGGAAGCACTCAGTCCTGGGCTCAGGGACTGTGACGTGCTGCTGGAACCTGCCTGGGGAGCTCAGGAATGAGGGGAGATGGCAAATAAAGACCTGGCATGAGGCTGGGGGCAGGGACAGAAATCACCCTGGTGTCCGAGGAAGGAAAGTGGAACGCTAAAGAGGTGAGACGACCAGGGAAAGTGAAACAAGAGAGAAAGAAGGGATGTAGAATTGGATTATTGGGGTGGAAAGAGGAAGCCAGGTGGGGGAAGAGTCAGAGGAGGCTCAGGCAGAGGGCAGGAGGGGAATTGGGAGAGGACAGCGAGCCTTCGAAAAAATCCGGAGCTGGCACCTTCAACAGAAGCCATGGAGCAACCCAAGAGGAGCCTGGGAGACAGCAACTTGGTGGCTGCTGAAAGACAGTTTCAGCTAAGGGGCAGGAGTGAGAGCCAGCCAGCACTGCAGAAGGTGGGGGGAAAGGCAAGCAGCCTAGATGGTTCCTTCAAGAGGTTTGTCGATAAAAGGAGCAGTCAATAGGACCCAGGACAGTAAGTTCATTTGTTCTTTTAAACTTTTCTTCTCTCTGCTTCCTTCCTCCTTTCATTTCCTATCCTTTTTCCTTCCTTCCTTCCTTCCCTTTTTTCCTTCCTTCTCTTTTCTTTTTCCTTCCTTTTCTTCCCTTACCTTCCCCTTTTCCCCCCCTCCGCTCCCGCTTCTCCCCTCCCCCCTGAACCTTCAGGAACCCACACCAGCATGTGATCTCGACTCACTCTTTTTCCCCTGCCCTACTGAAAGCTGGCTGGGGACCTGGAGTGTTTGCAACGACGCAAGATGAGAAGCTGGGTCACTGAAACATTAACTCACAGACCAGGGTGGGTTGCAGCTGATCCAACAGGCTGGACAGCCGCATCAATGCTTCCTAGAAGAGGAGATGGGAGGAGAGAGTGAGCCCAGGAGCCTCTGCGTGGAGACCAAGGGGCCGAGGAGCACAGAAAGCCCCAGGGCTACGCATCTTGGGTCAAAAGTCGCTGAAAAGATATTGATATCTACTTTTCTTTCTTTTTTTTTTTTTTCACTGTCTTTTTCTGGTTTTAGTATCAGGGTAATATTAGCTTCATAAAATGTGGTGGTAAGTGTTCCTTCCCCTCCTATTTTCTGGGAGAGATTATGTAAAATTATTGGTCACTATAGAGATTATGACATACATACACAACTTACCACAAGCTACTGGTGTTGACACTGCCACTTTGAGTAAGTGTAGAAACCTTACTTCCATTTAGTTCTCTTTAGCTTCCCCACTTAAAAATATATGTGTCTTGAGTGTGTTCTTTACATATATTGAACATCACATAAGATGCTGTTACAATTTTTGCTTCAATCATCAAATATGATTTCAGATACTCATGAGAAGTATAGTCTGTTGTATTTATTTCTATTTATGTACTTCCCATAGTTTGTTTTTCTTTTCTGGAGCTCCAAGCATTCTTGAAACCAATGAGAAAAGTGGAAAAATCTCAGTCCAGAAATAGAAGGTATAATTTTTAAATAAAAGCTTCTGTTCAGATAACATTCTTTACCCAATCTTTAAAGATACATTTGCCAACAATAAATGCTCTTAGTTTTTCTTCATCCAAGAATGTTTTGCTTTCTCCTTCATTTCTGAAGGATGTTTTCACCAGATACAGTATTCACAGTTGACAGTTCTTTTTCTCAGTACTTGAAAGATGCTGAGCCACTTCCTCTGGCCTCCATCATTTCAGATGGGAAATCCACTATCATTGCAATTAATTTTTCCCATGTCATAAATGTGTTATTTCTTTCTGACTGCTTTCAATATGTTTTTGTCTTTAGTTTAACTATTTAATTATGATGTGGATTTCTTTACATCTAGCCTGCTTGGAATCCACTAAACTTCTTGAATCTGTAGGTTTATGTCTTTCTCCAAATTTGAGAAGTTTTTAACCACTACTTCTTTGAATACTTTTAGTCTCACTCTCTTCTCCTTTGGGACTCAGAAGGTATGGCTGTTAGCTCTTTTCTTATTGTCTCACAGGTCCCTGGGACTGTTATTTCTTCCGTCTATTTTTTTTTTTTTTTGAGACGGAGTCTCGCTCTGTCGCCCAGGTTGGACTGCAGCGGCGTGATCTCGGCTCACTGCAAGCTCCGTCTTCCGGGTTCATGCCATTCTCCTGCCTCAGCCTCCCGAGTAGCTGGGACTACAGGCGCCCGCCACCACGCCCGGCTAAATTTTTTGTATTTTTAGTAGAGGTGGGATTTCACTGTGTTAGCCAGGATCGTCTCAATCTCCTGACCTCGTGATCTGCCTGCCTCGGCCTCCGAAAGTGCTGGGATTACAGGCGTGAGCCACCGCGCCCGGCCTATTTTCTCTCTATTATTCTGACTGAGTGAATGCTATTGGTCTGTTCTTGACTTCACAGGTTCAATCTCTGTCATCTCTACTCTACTATCAAGCCCATCTAGTGACGTGTTTTATTTATCTTTTTCCTGGTTATTGTGTTTTTCAGTTCCTTAATTCCATTTGGTTCTTTTTTATAACCTTGATTTTTATTGAAATTTTCTATTTTTCGTTTGTTTCAAGAGAATTCATAACTACATTTGAAGCATTTTTGTAATGACTGCTTTTAAATTTGTGATAATCCCTCTGATTCATTTGCATTTTGGTGCCTGTTTGTTTTTTCATTCAAGTTGTAATTTTCCTTTTCCTTGACATGATAAATGATTGTCTGCTCTATCCTGGACATTTTAGGTATTATATTATGAGAGTCTGGATCCTATTCAACTTTTCTTTTTTGGCAGACTGTCTTCCTGTTAAGATGTAGCGTAACGGTTGTGTATTAGTCTGTTCTTGCACTGCTATAAAAAAAATACCTGAGACTGGGTAATCTATAAAGAAAAGATGTTTAATTGGTTCACAGTTCTATAGGCTGTACAGGAAGCATAGCAGCTTCTGCTTATGGGGAGGACTCAGGAAGCTTCCAGTAATGGTGGAAGGCAAACAGGGAGTGAGATGTCTCACATGGCCAGAGCAGGAGGCAATGAGAGGGGTGGAGGTGCCACATATTTTCAAACAACCCAATTTCACGAGAACTCACTATTGCAACGAGAACTCCAAGGGGGATGGTGTTAACCATTCATGGCAAACCACCCCCATGATCCCAGCACCTCTCACCAGGCCCCACCTCCAACACTGGAGATTACAATTCAACGTGAGATTTGGGTGGGGACACAAATCCAAACCATATCAGGTTGGATGAGTTGTATATTCAACCTCCCACTGGGCCCCACCAGTGCTATCGTGACAAAAGTGTAGCACTGATTTACCCTGCTTCATTGCAAATGGGTGGTTGGCAGTGAACTCCCATCTCTGCCTTGATGATACCTTCCCATTGAAAATGCATCATCGGCTTGCACTGTCTTATTGTATCCAAGCTACCCTGCTAGGCTCTGCTGACCCAGAGATGGGAGAACCAGAGAACTGGCTCCCACTGTTTTGTTGTGGCAGAGTGGGGCAGAAGCTCAGCTCTCCACTGGCCCCTGCTGGTAACAGGGTAAGAGAGAAGGGAACTCTTATGCTTCTTTGTTGTGTCATGTCCAGAGATTTTTTTTTTTTTAGTTGTAAGATGGTGGACTCAGGAGAAATGGGGCTACTCTATCTTGTCTAGAGTTAGAAGTTCAGCTTTCTATCTCCTCTGTTTCTTTACCTGTAAAATGGGAACAATACTACCTACTCTACCTACACTACAGAACAATTTTCAGAATTAATTAAGAAGTTCATGTGTATGAAAGTACACTGGGAAAATGTTATATCATGTTATGTTAGTAGACTGTTATTTCTGAGACTAGGGTCTGGCAAGATGTAGCTTGAGAAGAGATAGGATAAGTGGCGGGGCACCTCCATATTCATCTATCAATTTAATGTTGGTGAAAACAAACTTGACAGCCAGAAGCCAGCCTTCTATTGTTTATTTCCCTGTTTCTTTTGAGTCTGTGGTGACCTTTGTCTTGACAAGCAATAACCCTGGAGAAAGCTAGAGGAAAAACAAAGATTAGGGTCACAGCAAGGAGAGAGCAATAAAGTAGCTTTAAAGAGCCTAAGAAACCAGGATAATTGAATATAGTAAGGATTGTGGCTGGGACAAGGAGGTGTCTACAACATCATTTTCAGAAAAACAATCACAAAAGAAAAATAACACTGGAGCTGGGAGGGAAGGAACTAGTTGGAAAGGGAACCCAGAGGAGAAAGGAACAGCCTCTCAGAATAGTCAGCAATGACTCTGCCTTACTTAGAGGTTATGGGACAGGGCTACCAATTGGAGTGACCTCAGTATTACCAATCAGGATGACATAGATCTTGTGCACTTTTGGCCCCTGTATTAGTCCGCTTTTGCACTGCTATGAAGAAATACCTGAGACTGGGTAATTTATAAAGGAAAGAGGTTTAATTGACTCATATTTCCACATGGCTGGGGAGGCCTCAGGACACTTACAATCATGGCAGAAGGGGAAGCAGACATGTCTTACATAGCAGCAGGCAAGAGAGAGCGTGCAAGAGCAGGGAAAAGTGACTTATAAAAACCATCAGATCTCATGAGAACTCACTATCATGAGAACAGCATGGAGGAAACTGCCCCCATGATCCAATCACCTCCCTCCCTCAACACGTGGGGATTACAAGTCCCTTCCTTGACAACTAGTGATTACAATTCAAGGTGAGATTTGGGTGGGGACACAGAACCAAACCATATCAGCCCTCATTCCAGGCAGGCAAAGGGCTCTGGATTAAGATTTGGGGGACCCCTTAACCCCTGTGAGCCTCAGGTTTTCCTTCTACAAGATGAAACTGGTAAAGGTGCCAACTCTGCTTGGTTGTTTGAGGGTCAAATGTGGATCACCCAACCTGTTCATGGTTGGCAATCAATATATATAGTAGTTCCCTGCCTGATCACAGCCCCAGAAATTTTGGCCTCTGTCTAGGCTGGACGCTGACTGTGGGAGGTTCCTCTCTAAGAGCTTACGTGCTCTGCCGTCATTTCCTGTGTTTTCTGGCCCATAGTTGGGAGGGGCATGCCAAGGTGACCATGCCCTAATTTCCCTTTCTAAATCGTCTTCATTGCAGTCTTCTGGTTCTTCTTTCTCTTCTTTGTCCCAGGGGTCTCCATTGAACTCACTGTAGGGGGTGGGGACTCTGGAGGCCTGGTCCTGGGGGCTGATCCTGAGGAAGGGGCATTCCTAGGCCAGAGTGAGGTCCTGGGGTGAACCACAGAGGAAGTTCCATCTCCCACCCCACTCTCCTTGTCTTGAGGAAGTTGACTTTAAATAAAGCCCAACACGCCCCGCTAAACTGCCAGCTCAGAAGACAGGGTCTGTGTCTGTCCTGTTCAAGGGTGTCCCACCCCACACCCCTTCCCCCATACTGGAGTGCTGTGCTGGAGTCAGCTCCTGCCAGCTCAGAAGAGTCAATTCTTACATTTTCAGGAATTTTGCAAATTGCTTGTTAAACATAGCCATTATTAGAAATTAGACTGGCTGGGTGCAGTGGCTCATGATTGTAATCCCGGCACTTTGGGAGGCCAAAGCAGGAGGGTTGCCTGAGTCCAGGAGTTCAAAACCAGCCTGGGCAACATAGGGCGACCTCATCTTTACTTTTTAAAATAAAAATAAATAAATACACATAAATAAATGAAAATACAAATTAGACTGTAAAAGCCTACAATTAAATAAATTTTATTGAAAACAAAGATAATGAATATTCAAAACATATCACTCCTTAATTATTTTGCTGTTTGCTCTGCTCTGCTCTTGGGGTTTGCACCTATTATATCCGCAGAGTGGAGATTCTGTACCATGATGTGCTAGCAGGCATCTCTTCCCAAGTCTGCATATAGTGACACCATGTTGGCAGCTTGATATTGGCCATGGTGGGAGTATTCACACCACAGGAATCAGCAGACACTACAAACCAGAGCTTGCCCTATTGTTTGGTTTGTTGTCTAGATTTAAGGAAGGGATGGAGAAAAGTATTAATGATGTAGATTAAACATAAAAGCATGTCATTGTTAAAGTGTAAACAGCACAGAGAATTTTAAAACTGTTTTTCCAGTATTTCATAACTATTATCAGGGCCTGGCACGGTGGCTCACACCTGTAATCCAAGCACTTTGGAAGTCCGAGGCGGGTGGATCACAAGGTCAGAAGATCTAGACCATCCTGGCTAACATGGTGAAACCCCGTCTCTACTAAAAAATACAAAAAATTAGCCGGGCGTTGTGGTGGGTGCCTGTAGTCCCAGCTACTCGAGAGGCTGAGGCAGGAGAATGGTGTGAACCCAGGAGGTGGAGGTTGCAGTGAGCAGAGATCACGCCACTGCTCTCCAGCCTGGGCGACAGAGCCAGACTCTGTCTCAGAAAATTAAAAAAAAAAAAAAAAAGGATTATCAGATCAGATTCAGCAAGGAAGTCTATTATCATATTCAGCAAGGAAGTCTCTCATGTCATCGACAAAGGAGTCAAGTTCCAGCGTGCACTTTTGTTGTTTTACCTTTATCTTACTTGTTAACATAAATGAAAATATTAGCCACCGTAATCATGGTGAGTAATCATGGCAGGATTACTCTCGTAGAGCCGGTTGTTAAATAGTTACTAGCACACTATTGTCTGGTGATTAGAATAGTACCTTGCTTAGAAGACATGCCCAGTTGTATGAGTCTGTTCTCTCACTGCTATAAAGAAATACCTGAGGCTGGATAATTTATAAAGAAAAGAGGTTTAATTGGCTCACGGTTCTGCAGGCTGTCCAGGAAGTACGGCTGGGGAGGCCTCAGGAAACTCACAATCACAGTGGAAGGTGAACGGGAAGCAGGCATGTCTTGGGTGGCTGGAGCAGGAGGAGGAGAGAGGAGGAGGTGCTACACACTTACAGACAACCAGAGGGCCAGGCGCGGAAGCTCATGCCTGTAATCCCAGCACTTTGGGAGGCCGAGGCGGGTGGATCACCTGAGCTCGGGAGTCCGAGACCAGCCTGACCAACATGGTGAAACCCTGTCTCTACTAAAAATACAAAATTAGCCGGCCATGGTGGTACACACCTGTAATCCCAGCTACTCGGGAGGCTGAGGCGGGAGAATTGCTTGAACCAGGAGGCAGAGGTTGTGGTGAGCCAAGACTGCGCCCCTGCACTCCAGCCTGGGCGACGAGCAGAACTCCATCTCTAACATAAAATAAAAAATAAAATAAAATAAAAAAACAACCAGATCTCGTGAGAACTCACTGAACATCATGAGAACAGCAAGGAAGAAATCCACCCCCATGATCCAATCGCCTCCAACCAGGCTCCTCTTCCAACACTGGGGATTACGATTTGACATGAACTTTGGGCAGGGCCACAAATGCAAACCCTGTTACCAATAAGTACCTTCTGAATGACTGAAACCAGTGAAAACAAGCTACAACGGACATGTGGGGCCACCCCACCCCTTTTGCTTTAGCAGCATTGGCCTTGCACATTTTGGGTGCTGTCTGCCTCCCCATTCTTGCTCCAGGCGCCTTTGCCCGTGTTCACTTGTGCTCTGGCCCAGGGCTTCTAAGCTGTACTATTCATATGAAACACCTGGGTGTCTTGAGACAATGCAGGTTCTGGCCCAACAGGTCTATGGCGGGGACAAAGATTCTGCATTTCTAACAAGATCCCAGGTGACGCTGGTGCTTGTCACGGAGCACACATTGAGCAGCCAGGTTCTAGCCACCCTGCCCTCCTTCCCATGTGCCAAGATCAGGGTCTCCACGTGACCTTCGAACTTGCCACAACCTTTACCTGGGGCGCTGTTCTCCCTGGTCTTCACATGACCTGCTTCCATGCAACATTGGGGTCTCTGTTCAGACATCACCCTTCAAAAACAAAGATCTTTTCCTGACTACTCATGCAAACGTAGCTCCCCATCTCAGTTCTCTGCATAATGTTACTGATAGTTTCTAGTTGATGTGTCGTCAGCTTTCCTCCCTAGAATGCAGGCTCCACGGGAGCCCCCCATTCCCACTCTGGTGACTTTACAACAGCACATGCCCAAAAAACAAGTGTTGAATGATCGTGGTGGTGATGTCACAAGGCTAAGGGTGGAGAGAGCTGGCATGATACTGGGGATGGAGGCAGTGATGGAAGGGGGATGGTTATAGCTCAAATGCATGTAATTTTCTTTTCTTTTGTTTTCCTTTCTTTTCTTTTCTTTCCCTATTTGTCTTCTTTTCTCTTTTTTTGTTTTCTTTTTTAGAGACAAGACCTTATTCTGTTGCCCAGGCTGGATCACAATGGCACGATCATGGTTCACTGCAGTCTCTGACTCCTGAGCTCAAGCAACCCTCCCCACTCAGTCTCCTGAGTAGCTAGGACTACAGGTGTAAACCACCATGCTTGGCTAAGTTTCTCTTTTTGTTTTCAGAGATGGGGTCTCACTATGTCACCCAGGCTGGTCTTGAACTCCTGGCCTCAAGTGATCCTCCTGCCTTGGCCTCCCAAAGTGCTGGGATTACAGGTGTGAGCCACCACCCCTGGCCTAAGTTTTTCTTAAATAATAGACACAAGAACCCTTTACTCAATCACTTTTGTTCCTCCACAGTCACGACCCACTACCAAGAGTGCCAGCCCCAGGCCAGGCCAGGCGTGGTGGCTCATGCCTGTAATCCCAGCACTTTGGGAGGCCGAGGTGGGCGGATCACGAGGTCAGGAGATCGAGACCATCCTGGCTAACATGGTGAAAACCCATCTCTAGTAAAAATACAAAAAATTAGCCGGGCATGGTGGTGGGCGCCTGTAGTCCCAGCTACTCGGGAGGCTGAGGCAGGAAAATGGCGTGAACCCGGGAGGCAGAGCTTGCAGTGAGCCAAGATTGAGCCACTGCACTCCAGCTGGGCGACAGAGCAAGACTCCATCTCAAAAAAAAAAAGTGCAAGTCCCACCCCTCCACTGTCCCCATTCACTTCCATGTTGTGTGCAGAAGAAAGAGTAAAGGACCCCGACCAAGGCTCTGAGTAAGGGCTGCAGGGTGCCAGTTCTCATAATGGTTTCTCTAGAGTTTTGCACAAACAAGACGAATGGGGCCACAGACAGGCAGCACCCAGGGGTGCATTCTGGCTGGGCCTTGTGCCCAGGGCAGGTTTCTCCATCGTGTTTTATTTCCAGAACTAAGTTGAGCCATGGCTGGTGCTGCCTTCCACGTCTGACTCTGCCAAGAAGTGCCTGGAGCCCTTGTTTTCGGGGAGGAAGTATCTCTGGTGGGTTTTGAAGTTTCTGTGTGATTTCTCTTAACATTAAATCAATACTGGAAGTGTCTTTTGTTATTTTTCTGTTTATGGAGCCAATGCTTTAACTAATATCAGCAGATACCACATGCTGAATGGCCCTGTTGTATGCCAGGCCTACGTTTCATCTCATTCAATCCTCTCAACAGTTCTAGGGAACCCAATCTCATGTTATCCCATTTTCGAGAGGAGGCACTTGAAGCTAAGAGAGGTTAGGTCATTGGCCTGAGGTAAAACAACAGTTGGGGTTAGTCAGTACTGCAGGGGTCGCAAACACAACTGCCTAGAGCAGTTGTGCTTTGCAGGCCAGACAGTGTCTGTGCAGCTATTCAGCTCTGCTCATGAAGCACAAAAGCAGCCTTGGACCATCTACAAACAAATGAGTGTAACTGTGTTCTAATAAAACTTTATTAACAAACACAAGTGTGGGGCCAGATTGGGCCCATGGGCCATAGTTTGCTGACCTCTCGCCTAGAGAGGCCAGTAGGGAAAATCAATGGGTAAAACAGGCCAGGAGCAAAGAATACCGAGGCGCTTCCTTGTTCTGGCTTCTCTTCTTCCCAGTTTTGATGGAGGCAAGACACCGTGCAAGTGCATGATGCCTGGCTACTGGCACAGTGACGTGTCAGCAGGTGGCAGGAGGTGAGGGTGGTCCCCAGGTGTTCCAACAACAAACAGTAGCCACACCCAACTTCAGCTGCCTGCTGCTGCCAGACACACAGCCAATGTGGCCAGTTTTTAAAAGAAGCCACAAGCCTGGATTTGGGAGTGTGTGTGTGTGTGTGTGTGTGTGTGTGTGTGTGTGTGCATGCATGTGTATGAAATACCACCTTTCTTTCTATGTTGGCTCAAATCAATAAAACAAAACCAGAAATCCTGTGCAAACCAAGTAGAAGACATCCAAGCATCGCCTCTGGCCCTCAGACCAGCAGTTTACAACCTCTGCACTCCGAAAACCCCCCAGACAACGCTGTATTTATTAAGTAATAATTCATCTGTTTCCCATATTTTATTTATCAAAGACCTCAGTAACTGTCAAGTAGAACTTCTTATCATCAGGAACCGATCGGCAGACAAGTGTTACCTCCCAGACTGATGATCAATCTTGGCAAACCGGGAAACCCTGACATTTTAATTAGCTGGAACATTCTTATCAGCCATCAATCCTGAACCTGCCATTTCGCATTGTTTGTGAGCCCCTAATTGGGAATCCCTGATTTGGTTTCCTCAGGGCCACCTCATTCACGTGAACATATCCTCATTACTTTACTGTGGCAGCCACCCCTAGATTATTCAGCACAGAGCCAACACCATCAGAGCGACAGCGACCACCTCAAAATGTGCTCGCCGTGTAGCCTCCTGAGTTGCTGACACTAAAAAAGGAAAAAATGGGCTTCTGTAGGCTGCAGCACCAGCAAAAACAAAAAACAAAAAACAAACAAACAAAAGAAACAACAACGACAACAAAAAAAAAAAAACAGAAAAAAAAAGTTTTTGTGCACAAAACGACGAACGATGCCAGACTCAGCAAGGTGGTAGATGAAACATCTCCTCTTATTTGGGGTCTTGGTGAAGTTTCATAACCCTGTATGGGGACTGTACTGTGTAAAGACACTTTCAGTTACTCTCAATGCACCGTGAAACCACAGATAAAGATGATACTGGCTGGGTGTGATGGTTCATGCCTGTAATCCCAACATTTTTGGAGGCTGTGTTAGGAGGATCGCTTGAGCCCAGGAGTTCAGACCAGCCTGGCAACATAGTGGGACCCTGGCTCTACTAAAAATAATTTTAAAAATTAGCTGGGCGCCGGGTGAGGTGGCTCATTCCAGTAATCCCAGTACTTTGGGAGGCTGAGGTGGGCAGATCACCTGAGGTCGGGAGTTCGAGACCAGCCTGATCTACATGGAGAAACGCCGTCTCTGCTAAAAATACAAAATTAGCTGGGCGTGGTGGTGTATGCCTGTAATTCAAGCTACTCAAGAGGCTGAGGCAGGAGAATCGCTTGAACCCGGGAAGCGGAGGCTGCAGTGAGCCAAGACTGCACCATTGCACTCTAGCCTGGGTGACAAGAGTGAAACTCCATCTCAAAAAAAAAAAAAAAAAAATTAGCTGGCCATGGTGGCACATGCCTGTAGTCCTAGCTACTGGCAAGGCTGAGGAAGGAGGATCCCTTGAGCCCAGGAAATGGAGGCTGCAGTGAGCCATGATCATGCCACTGCACCCCAGCTTGGGCAACAGAGTAAGACCCTGTCTCTTTAAAACAAAAAAAAAAAAAAAGGAAAAGGAGTAAATGAACAACAATAAACCATCGGAGGTGGTTTCATACTTCTTCCGAATAGCCCATGTTTAGTTGATATGGACTTGTCACCTTCCTGAGCCTGCTAGAGGGATTTTCTCGGTCATAGCCATTTTTCGTTCCAGCTCTACCCCCTTGGGAGAGAAACAACCCACTGCTGCCCCTGTTGTCTAAGCAGCCATGGTTTCTATCATGCTGTAATTGCCCAATGAGTTCTTCCTGCCCACTGTACAGACGACCAATTCACTGAGACCTTGACATTGCAATAAGAAACAGTTTAATCGACATGGGGTCAGCCATGCCACATGGGAGACAGAGTTATTACTCAAATCTATCTTCCCCAAAATTCAGAGGCTAGAGTTTTTCAAAGATAGCTTGACAGGCAGGGAGCTAGAAGAATAGGTGCCACAGATTAGTTGGGGATGCAATCACTGGGGTGTGGAAAATGGTCCTCGTGCACTGAGTCCAATTCTGGATGGGGCCACAGGACCGGTTGAGCCAAGACTCGAGGGTCCAGGTGGGACCATCTGGTCATCAGAAACGCAAAAGCCTGAAAAGACATCTCAAAAGGCCAATCTTGGGCCGGGCGTGGTGGCTCATGCCTGTAATCCCCGCACTTTGGGAGGCCGAGGCAGGCGGATCACCTGAGGTTGGGAGTTCGAGACCAGCCTGTCCAACACGGAGAAACCCCATCTCTACTAAAAATACAAAATTAGCTGGGTGTGGTGGCACATGCCTGTAATCTCAGCTACTCGGGAGGCTGAGGTGGAAGAATCACTTGAACCCAGGAGGCGGAGGTTGTGGTGAGCCAAGATCGTGCCATTGCACTCCAGCCGGGGCAACAAGAGCAAAACTCTGTCTCAAAAAAACAAAAAACAAAACAAAACAAAAAAAAGCCAATCTTAGGTTCTACAATAGAGAATTGAGGAAGTTGCAAATCTTGGGACCTCTGGAACCATGGCTGGCAATTGTTTTGTTTTCTTTTAACTCTTATTTTAGGTTTTGGGGGTACCTGTGCAGGTTTGTTACATAGATAAACTCGTGTCATGGGGGTTTGTGGTACAGATTATTTCATTGCTCAGGTATTAATGCTGGGTGATGAAAAATAGTTATTTTTTCTGCTCCTCTCCCTCCTCCCACTCTCCACCCTCAAGGTGACACCAGTGTCTGTTGTTCCTTTCCTTGTGTTCATGAGTTCTTATCATTTAGCTCCCATTTATAAGCGAAAACGTGGTATTTGGTTTTCTGTTCCTGCATTAGCTTGCTAAGGATAGTGGCTTGCATAACTAAGCCTATACTCTAGCAGAATTCAGGCTCCTCTCATCCTCCTAACCTGGTAGACTTTCATTCTTTTTTTTTTTTTGAGATGGAGTTTTGCTCTTGTTGTCCAGGCTAGAGTGCAATGGCACAGTCTTGGCTCACCGCAACCTCCACGTCCCGGGTTCAAGAGATTCTCCTGCCTCAGCCTCCCAGGTAGCTGGGATTACAGGCATGCACCACCATGCCTGGCTAGTTTTGTATTTTTAGTAGATATGGGGTTTCTCCATGTTGGTCAGGCTGGTCTTGAACTCCCGACCTCAGGTGATCCACCCGCCTCGGCCTCCCAAAGTGCTGGGATTACAGGCGTGAGCCACCGTGTCTGGCCCTTTCATTCATTTTATAAAGGCAGTTTAGTTTTGGGGAAGGGCTATTATTTAAACTATAAACTAAATTTCCCCCAAAGTTAGCTTGGCCCTAGGCCCACGAAGGACCAAGGGCAGTTTGAGATTAAGGGCAAGTTGGGGATTTGTTAGATTAGATCTCTTTCACTGTTATAATTTTCTCACTGTTAGAATTTTTGCAAAGGTGATTTCAGTGCAGCCTCACCAGGCCCAGCCCCAGAGGTGAGGGCGTGACAGTGGGCAGCCTATCCAGGGGTGACCAGCAGGCCGCAGTGCAGTGTCACTGGATGAGAGGGGCCAGGCAGAGTCCCTCTAATGGGAAAAACTGAAAGAAGTTGGTTGGAGGTGGGCTCCAGGTCTGCCAGGCCACTGAGTGTGGGCCATCTGGGGGCCAAGTTCAAGGCAAGGTTATGGATCAGCAAAAAGTAGGAGGAGACAGAGTCAGGGAGAAGCTCCAGGATGGAAGGAAAGAGTCACTGATCTCCTAAAGGCCCTTTTTTTTTTTTTTTTTTTTTTTGAGACGGAGTTTTGCTCTTGTTGCCCAGGCTGAAGCGCAATAGTGTGATCTCGGCTCACTGCATCCTCTGCCTCCCAGGTTCAAGCGAGTCTCCTGTCTCAGCCTCCCGAGTAGCTGGGATTACAGGCGCCCGCTACCACGCCTGGCTAATTTTTATATTTTTAGTAGAGATGGGGTTTCATCATATTGGTCAGGCTGATCTCAACCTCCTGACCTCAGGTTATCTGCCCACCTCGACCTCCCAAAGTGCTGGGATTACAGGCGTGAGCCACCGTGCCCGGCCCTAAAGGCCCATTTCTAACATGCTCCTCCATGGAGTCCCTTTCCTTGAGCCTGGCTGGGTGGTGCAGGAGGGCCTCTGTTTCTTATGAATCGAGAAAGCCATCAGGAACAGGCATACCCCAGGCGTTCCAGAGAACCACAGTTCTTGGGAGATCTCGGGAGATCTTGCACAAGGTCGTCCCCCAACCTTGTCAAGTGAAAAAGACACTTGGATGTCATAAGGAGAGACTATCTGAAAGGGTTATTACAAGGGGGAGGGGGATGGCTCTTGCAATGGAGGGAGGGGGATTATTTCAATAGGGGGACTGTTCTGAACATAAAATCTGCAAAAATACTTTTCCTGTTTTTTCTTTAGAGACTGGGTCTCGCTTTGTTGCCCAGGCTGGAATGCATTGATGTGTTCACAGCTCACTGCAGCCTCAACCTCCCAAGTAGCTGGGACTACAGGTACACACCACCACGCCTGGCTAATTTTTAAATGTTTTGTAGAGATAAGGGGTTGTCTCACTGTGTTTCCCAGGCTGGTCTTGAACTCCTGGTCTCAAGTGATCCTCCCACCTTGGCCTCCCAAAGTGCTGGGATTATCGGCATGAGCCACTGTGCTTGGTTTTTCTTTTGTGGGGAGTAATAAGACCAGAAAGACCCAGTGTGAGGAAGTGACATGAATGTGTCCACATGGTAGGTCAGGGTCGGTTTTATCCTAGGGCAGCCGATTCTTAAGGGTCTGCGGGCTTACCCCAAGGGCGGGCCTGAGGAAGGAGGAAGTTTCACCAAAGTTTGGTTCTCAAGCATGTTGTTCCCAGTGATCAGTGGAGACAAGCAGTTCAGCTGATCATTAGTGAGGCAAGGAGTGGGAATTTGGAGGGTCTGTGTCTGGCCTGGTTGTAAGCACACAAGGGGCACCTGTGAGCCTCATTTAAGCATCTAAGTCCTGCTGTTATAGTGGGTGGCTAGTTAGATATGAGCGGCGCGATTAGAGGGCTCCCCACACCCCAGGGTGCGCACACACACACACACACACACACACACACACACACACACACACGGAGTGTTGGGCGACCATCAGGTGATGATCAGGCAGTTTTTTTGTTTTGTTCTTTCAAGACGGAGCCTTGCTCTGTCGCCCAGGCTGGAGTGCAGTGGCATGATCTCGGCTCACTGCAATGTCCACTTCCTGGGTTCAAGCAATTCTCCTGCCTCAGCCTCCAGAGTAGCTGAGATTACAGGCATGTGCCACCACACCCAGCTAATTTTTTTTTTTTTTTTTTGAGACAGGGTCTCACTCTGTCGCCCAGGCTGGAGTGCAGTGCTGTGATCTCGGCTCACTGCAACCTCTGCCTCCTGAGTCCAGGGATTCTCCTGCCTCAGCCTCCCCAGTAGCTGGGATTACAAGCACCCACCACCGCATCAGGCTAATTCTTGTATTTTTAGTAGAAACAGGGTTTCACTATGTTGGCCAGGCTGGTCTCAAACACCTGGCCTCAAATGATCCGCCCCCACCTCGGCCTCCCAAAGTGCTAGGATTACAGGCCTGAGCCACCACGCCCGGCCAGGTAGTTGTTAACTGTTGCTGTAAAGTAATAATTGGTCACAGCTGGTGCCGGGGAAGGCAAGGTCCTAATAGAAAACACCTGAAACTGATCAGCAGCTTCCCAGTAAGATCCCAGGAGCAGGGAGAAGTAACGTAAGGTTCTGGAAGTGTTCCAATATGTAAAATCCCCAGTCAAGGCCAGGCACTCTGGCTCACGCCTGTAATCCCAGCACTTTGGGAGGCCGAGGCGGGCGGATCATGAGGTCAGGAGATTGAGACCATCCTGGCCAACATGGTGAAAACCCATCTCTACTAAAAATACAAAAAAAAATAGCCGGGCGTAGTAGCACATGCCTTAGTCCCAGCTACTCAGGAGGCTGAGGCAGGGGAATCGCTTGAACCCGGGAGGCGGAGGTGGCAGTGAGCCGAGATCGTGCCATTGCACTCCAGCCTGGTGACAGAGCAAGACTCCATCTCAAAAAAAAAAAAAAAAAAAAAAAGAGAAAAAGAAAAAAATTCCCCAGTTAAGAGGCCGAGCTGCATACTTGGTTTCTCAGGGCACCTGCTGGACCCTCTTCCGAGTCTTACTTTCCTTCTTTTCTTGCCTTCCTTTCCTTTCTCTTCTAAAGCTTTGTAATACATTTTCACTCCTGCTCTGAAACTTGCCTCGGTCTCTCCTTCTACCTTATGCCCCTCAGTCGAATTCTTTCTTCTTCTTCTTTTTTTTTTTTTTTTTTTTTTTTTGAGACAGAGTCTTGCTCTGACACCCAGGCTGGAGTGCAGTGGCATGATCTCAGCTTACTGCAACCTCCGCCTGCCAGGTTCAAGCAATCGTCTGCCTCAGCCTCCTGAGTAACTGAGATTACAGGCACCTTCCATCATGCCTGGTTAATATTTGTATTTTTAGTAGAGATAGGGTTTCACCATCTTGGCCAGGCTGGTCTGAAACTCCTGACCTCCTGATCCACCTGCCTCGGCCTCCCAAAGTGCTGGGATTACAGGAGTGAGCTACCTCGCCCGGCCTTGAGCTCTTTCTTCTAAGGAGGTGAGAATTGAGGTTGCTGAGATCTGTACGGATTCGCCACCGGTAACTCAGCTATGTCACACCAGTAACACTGCAGACAAGGGAGTTCCTTGCCATGAGCCGTTTTCCAGAACACAAAAGGATGGGTGGCGGGGAGTTCTTGTCCACGCTGCCTCCCAGGAGCCTGGGGCTCAGGTAAAATTCAACATTGTCTATGGGCATGGTGACCCACTTGTAATCTCTGCACTTTAGGAGGCTGATGGGGGAGGATCACTTGGAGCCCAGAGTTCAAGACCAGCCTGGGTAACAAAGCGAGACCCCCATCTCTATAAAAAATTTAAAAATTACTCAGGCATGGTGGCAAGCACCTGCGGTCCTAGCTTACTTGAGAGGCTGAGGCAGAAGGATCACTTGAGATCAGGAGGTCAAAGCTGTAAAGAGCTGTGGTCGCGCAACTGCACTCCAGCCTGGGTTACAGAGCAAGACCCTGTCTCAAAAAAAAAAGCAAAAAAGACTGTCACCTCCAGGAGTCGCTAAAATATTCCATGCCTTGTGGATATTATACAAAAACAAAATTAGCACATTTGCCAGAAGCCATCTGTTGAATTCTTTAGGCCTGTGGTCCCAGCTACTTGGGAGGCTGAGGTGGGAACATAGCTTGAGGCCAGGAGTTTCAGGCTGCAGTGAGCTATGATGGCACTACTGCAGTCCAGCCTGGGCAACATAGTAAGACCCGATCTCAACATTTTAAAAAGTAGCTAGGCATGGTGGTACACACCTGCAGTCCTGGTACTTAGGGGGCTGAGGCAGGAGGATTGCTTGAGCTCAGGAGGTCAAGGCTGTGGTGAGTTATGATCGCACCACTGCACTTCAGCCTGGGCAACAGAGCAAGACTCTGTCTCTACAAAAAGAGGCCTTCCAATTGTTAAAGTGAACTAAATATGGCCTAAGAATGACTCTGTACTTCTATATCTGAGTCCTTGTGGACAAACTGCAACCTAGCTTAATAGGCAGACAAGACTGAAAACCTAACTTAGGAGTCTGCACCTGCAACAATAGCTGAGTCTTGGCCAATCCCAGCAGCCATAGTTCAACCACTCATACACTGCTGAGTGTTCAAACTGTGTTCAAATAAGGCAAATGCCAACCTGTAACCAATCTAGCTGTTTTGTACCTCACTTCTGATTTCTGTACATCATTTCCCTTTATCGTCTATAAATCTTCTTCTACCACGTGGCTGTGCTGGAGTCTCTGTGAATCTGCTGTGATTCTGGGGGCTGCCCATTCGCGAATCGCTCATTGTTCAATTAAACTCCTTTAAATTTAATTCAGCTGGGCCAGGCATGGTGACTCATGCCTGTAATCCCCGCATTTTGGGAGACCGAGGTGGGTGGATCACTCGAGGTCAGGAGTTTGAGACCAGCCTGGCCAACATAGTGAAACCCCGTCTCTACTAAAAATACAAAAATTAGCTGTGTGGTGGTGCGCACCTATAATCCCAGCTACTCAGGGGGCTGAGGCAGGAGAATCACTTGAACCCAGGAGGCAGAGGTTGCAGTGAGCCAAGATCACGCCACTGTACTCCAGCCTGGGTGATAGAGACTTTGTTTAAAAAAAAAAAAAATGAATTTGGCTGAAGTCTATGGAGTCCTTCTCAGGCCATATTTAGTTCAATTTAACACAGTGATACCCTGGACCCATGGCCTCTCCCCTTTTCTTGACCTCTCCCAACCAACCAACAACAGACTCTGACCCTAGACACCAGGTTCTTTTGAAAAACCCCAAATCGCTTCCATTGTGCAAGTCAGCCTGTAGACCTGGTGCCGGGAACTGTGTTGCCACAGTTGCAGAAAACTCAAACCTATTTCCAAGTGACAATAAAGTAATATGTATTATCCATCTTTTTGTACCCATTGTAACTACTGAAAGTTCCATAGGCTCGACTGTGTGCCGGACACTGCTCAAAGCACATTATCCATATGAATGGATTTATGGGATCTAAACAACAGCCCGTGAAGGTAGAAGGGCTTATACCCATTTTACAGATATGAGAACTGAGGCCCAGAAAAGTTGTTATGGGCCCAAGGTGACAGAGCTGGGATTTCAACCCAGGCAGTCTTGCCCCTTGGCTGGGATATTCTTTACCCCACACTCCCCATTCTCAAGGCCATAGCGTAGCACCACCTTGCTTCCCCTAAATAATTATTTCCCACTTCTCGGCAGGTGGTGTGGAATCAGGATCTCCATCATGACGTTAGTGATGGCTTTTGCCGTGGAGGTGAGTGGGCATGTCTGTTCTCTAAAATGCTGCAGAAAGAAGCATCAGATTACCTCCAACGCACTGTGTCTAGACCAGTATTGGGAACATAGGTGCTTTTCCTTATAAGAGGTTTTCAGAGTAAATGAACTTGAGATTTCATTAAGATAGCTATTGTGTAAGAAAACTGGCCTGTCTGGCTGGACAGGTTTTGTGTTTTGGGGTTTTTAAAGAACTACCTGTTTTAAAATAAGATTAGTATCAATTTGGTTACCCTCTCTCTGCAAAGAAATCACCAGTCTCAGAGGCTCCTACATGTGCTAGGCGGAGGCATTACTGTGGCTGCTGCCTGCAGGCGTTGTGACTTGGGGGTTCACCCTGGAGATAAAACAGTGTCAGTGTGGGGTCAGTTATCCCAACAGTGAGGTCTGCCTGCCGATAATTGAGTCCTACTGTGTGCTGGGCACTGGGTTAAGCCCCTCACATACCTCGTCGCTAACTCTTACGATAATCCCAGAGTGTATCATGATTAAAAACTTGTGCATTGGAGTGGCCCAGAATTGGGCTAAATCCCCAGTTTACACTTAATAGCTGTGTGACCTATAGTAGGTTGCAGTCCCCTCTGTAGACTTCAGTTTCCTCATATAAAAGTGGGTATCCTAACGGCATCAGCTTAACAGGGCTGTTGTGAGAATAAATGAAATCATGCACGTAAATAAAGCATGCCTATAAAGCAATGACTACATAAATGTTATTCTAAAAATAGTCATCCTTATCCTCATTGTGCACAAGAGGAAACCGAGGTTCAGAGAGGTGAAATGACCTGCCTCCAAACTGCAAGGCTAGTAGCTGGTGGAAATGGAATTTGCAGATCCAGATTTAAATTCTAGCATGGAGGAAACAATTAAGCAGTGGGAGTGGCCAGGCACAGTGGCTCATACCTGTAATCCCAGCGCTTTGGGAGGCCAAGGCAGGAGGATCGCTTGAGCCCAGGAATTTGAGACCAGCCTGGGCAATATAGCGAGACCCCCATCTCTACAAAAAACTTAATAAGTTAGCCAGGTGTGGTGGTGTCCACCTGTAGTCCCTCTACTGAGGAGGCTGGGGCTAGAGGATTGCTTGAACCCAGAAGTTCCAGGCTGCAGTGAGCTATGATTGTGTTATTCCAGCCTGGGCAACAGAGTGAGACCGCATCTTAAAAAAATAAGTAGGAGATAGTAACAATGGTAACAGTGACTATTATTATAGGCTAATGGCTGCAGGCCCAGGAACCTGAGCTGACCCCCATCGTGACTAACAGCCTACTGCAACTGCAAGAGTCAGGCTGACTGTGATAAGGGATTGCTGAGGAGGAAGGGCTTGCAAGGTGATTATCAGAAGCAGTGGCCCCTCACCTTGGCTTTGCCCTCTTTATATGCAGGTGAAGCAGAGGGTAAGCTAAACCTTACCTGAAGCCTCAGAATTCTTCTCCATTTACAGACAGCGCTGCTACCCCAGCCTGAAATTTAAAAAAAACCCAGCACACATACTCAGGGAAACACATCAGGAATTTAAAAGATCTTCCAGGGATGATGTGAGACCCCTTGATTGATAAAAATAACAGTGACAGAGAGACCGTGTGGCGTAGTGGTTGGGCTGGGAATCCAGCTCTGCCACTGACTGGCTGTGCAACTTCGGGCAAGTTTCTTTTTTTTTTTTTTAATTTTCTTTTTTTTTTTTTAATTGAGATGGAGTCTTGCTCTGTTGCCCAGGCTGGAGTACAGTGGCGTGATCTTGGCTTAGTGCAACCTCGGCCTCCCAGATTCAAGCGATTCTTCTGCCTCAGCCTCCAGAGAAGCTGGGATTATAGGCGCCCACCACCACACCTGGCTAATTTTTGTATTTTTAGTAGAGACAGGGTTTCACCATGTTGGCCAGGCTGGTCTCAAACTCCTGACCCAGGTGATCCACCCGCCTCAGCCTCCCAAAGTGCTGGGATTATAGCCATGAGCCACTGCACCCGGCCAACTTTGGGCAAGTTTCTTAACCTTCCCAAGCCTCAGTTCCCCCATCCATAAAACGGGGATGATAGTAGTTCCTATGTCAGAGAGTTGGGGTGAGGAGGAAATGAGATGCTTGCAAATGCCTGGCCCCTAACAAAGCCCACAATAAAATTTAGCTATTTGCAAAAGTGAGTCCCTCTTGGCTCCCAGGGAGGCTGAGGTAACACTTGTCAAGGGTGGGTGGGCTGATTCAGGGGTACTACATTCGTGTTGTCTTGTCTGTATGGTAGAAACATCAAGTCCCACTCCTAACCTCTCAGAAGAAAGTGAGTAAATGAAGACCCTAAAGTTACACCAGAGAAAACCTGTCAATTCCCGCAACCTTCCTTTTGCCCTGCACCCTTTCCCATCCCCCAAAGTACACTTGACCCCTCTCTAAAGTGGCTGAATTCTACAGTACTCTGGGGAGAAAGTCAAGTTCTTAGCTATGACGTTGGTCTTTTTTCCCCGCTTTTGTTAAAAGAAAAAATGATGAGAAATGTTCCTTTCTTGCATTCCTGCACCATCTCCTCTTTCTCTTCCTCAATTTCTTAGGAACGAAATCACCCAAGATATAAATAAAATGTTCTAAATAAAGCTCTGCCTAACTGCAGCGTAAGACATGTCTGTGTACGTTTGTGACTGTCAGCCAAAATAAGTTAACCTCCGATGGAAGTCATTTTCATGTAATTAATTATTCTTGTCGCAGCTGAAAGAGACAGGTGCATTATTGGTGTACTTTGGCAGAACTTCTGGGTGAACTTAAGAAGTCTGCATTTCAAACACACCAAACAACTGGAGTGCAGCTTTGGCTTTTGTTCTGATATTGTTTCTTGACTTGGAACCTTTATTTCTCAATTACTGCAAACTGAAAAAAAAATGAAAACAAAAGAACAGACATCAAAGGCATTCTGAAGTACAGGAGGTACGTGATGTGCCAATTAAGCAACAGGAATGCCGTCTATTCTGCAACAGCTGATGTTTTCATTCTCCCACTCAGAAAAGGGGTTTAGGTTGTTTGGGGTTTTACAGAAAAGCCACTTGTGATCGGGTAAGTCTGTTATTAGCAAGAGTTTTCTTTGTGTCATGGAGGTCAAAGTCCTGGCATGTTAACATTTTTGAACAAGAAAGAAACATAGCAGGATGAAAGAGAGACTGGCCAGGTGAATTTGCAGCTTGTTGAATGAAACTGTTCAAATACGGACTATTACGGAGTTGAGGGTCTCTAGCGGAATGCCTTAGGGCTCTTTCCTTAGCCTTCTGAAACTATTTGAGGCTGACCAAAGGGGGAAATGCCAGGAAGCTGAAGGAACAGTAACTGCTGGGTGACAGAATTAGATCAACCCACTCCAAAGACTAGTATGATGGGCCTATTGAACCAGCTGTTTTCCAAAATAAATGTTTTAGAAAATAGCTGTTTTCCGTTACTTTCAATGGCAAAAACTGCAATTACTTTTGTACCAACCTAATAAATTCTTGCCAAAACAAACAAAAAAGCCCAAAACCGAAACCTACAGCATATGAAGAGTTAACTTGAAAGCTACCTTACAATCTTACCCTTTCTAAGACATTTGGTGTTAATTGCTCTTATAAGCAGTATGGAATTATATTTTAAATCCAATTTGATATTTAACAGGTGAGTTTGACCGAATCGCATTTATTGTAATTGCTGTTATATTGGGATTTAATTCTATCATCTTATTTTGTATTTTTCTATTGCTATGTTTGTCTCCCTCTCTTTTTTTTTCTATGAATTGATGAAATTTTTTTATTCTCATTTTTTTCTTCTACTGTTTTGGAAATGACAGCTTATCTTTCTGTTCTTTCATCAGTACCTGTACATTTTTTTAAAATGGGTAGTTTGTGGCCCTAAGAAGGATAAGACATCAGTTTGAAAAGAGACCCTATCAGAGTAGCATGAATTCTGCTAAAATTGAAGCAGGAACAAACATCAAGTTTATGATGAACTTTGGGTGAAAGAATGGTGAAATCATTGATACTTTATAAAAAGTTTATGGCAACAATGCCACAAGGAAATCAGAAGTTTACAAATGAATAAGTTGTTTTAAGAAGGGATAAGATGATGTTGAAGATAAAGCTTGTACCAGCAGACCACCTACATCAGTTTACCAGAAAAAAATTAATCTTGTTGATGCCCTCATTGAAAAGGACCAAAGAGTAACAGCAGAAACAATAGCCCACACCTTAGATATCTCACTTGGTTCCGCTTACACAATTCTGACTGAGGAATCAAAGTTGATCAAACTTTCCACTTCATGGATACCAAACTGTTGCACCCAGATAAGCTACGGACAAGGACAGAGTTTCAGTGGAAATTTTGAGCAAGTGGGATCAAGATCCTGAAGCATGTCTTCAAAGAAGATGAAACATGGCTTCACCGGTAAAATCCTGAAGACAAAGCACAGTCAAAGCAATGGCTACCAAGAGGGGGAAGTGGTCCTGTCCAAGCAAAAGGAAGAGTGAACCACTCATAAGCAAAGGTCATGGCACCAGCTTTTTGGGATGCTGAAGGCATTTTGCTTGTTGACTTTCTGCAGGGCTAGATTACAACAGCGTCTGCTTATTGTGAGGGTGTTTTGACAAAGTTAGCCAAACTTTAGCAAAAAAGCTCTCAGGAAAGCTTTATCAGAAAGTCCGTCTCCACCACGACATTGCTTCTGCTCATTCCTCTCATCAAACAAGAGCAATCTTGTGAGAGTTTTGATGGAAAATTACTAGGCATCCACCTTACAGTCCTGATTTGGCTCATTCTGACTTCTTTTTGTTTCCTAATCTAAAAATCTTGAAAGGGTACCCATTTTTTTTTTCAGTTAATAATATTAAATATACTGCATTGACATGGGTAAATTCCCAGGATCCTCAGTTCTTTAGGAATGGACTACATATCATCACCTACAAACACGTCTTTAACTGGATGGAGCTTGTGTTGAGAAATAACGTTTACATTTCTTATTTTTATCTTTTAATTTCTTTTTCCCATAAAGTTTTTGAAGTTCCTTCATATTTTTATTTTGTGCTCACACTGGAGCAATAACTTATCTGGGTATAGGATTCTAGATTGACAGTTGTTATTTCTCCACAGTTTTGTGTTTTCTGGCAACTAATGATGAGCTGTCTGCCTAATTGTCTTTGCTTTGTAAGTAATCAATATATTCTCCCTGGCAGCTCTGAACCTCTTCCTGTCTATCCCTAGTAATCTGTAGTTTCACTAACATTGTCTATGTGTGAGTTTATTTGTATTTATGTTGCTTGGCACAAGATGCAAAATTTCTAACTAAGGACTTCATATGTTTTCACAAAAATAAACTTGAGCAGATAAAAAGACAACCCTTGTTCTTGGACAAGATGACTCAATACCATATAGATGTCAATTCTCCTCAAGTTACTATGTACATTTAATATAATCCATAAAGGCCAGGCACAGTGGCTCACGCCTGTAATCCCAACACTTTGGGAGGCCGAGGTAGGCGGATCACTTGAGGTCAGGAGTTTGAGACCGGCCTAGCCAACATGGTGAAACCCCGTCTCTACTAAAAGTACAAAAATTAGCCAGGCATGGTCGTGGGTGCCTACAATTCCAGGTACTTAGGAGGCTGAGGCAGGAAAATTGCTTGAATCCAGGAGGCAGAGGTTGCAGTGAGCTGAGATCACACCATTGCCCTCCAGCCTGGGCAACAAGAGCGAGACTCTGTCTCAAAAAAAAAAAAAAAAAAATCCATAAAAATACCAAGTTTTTTTTACTGGAGTTAGACAAGTTGGTTTGAATGTTCAAATGGAAAAATAAACATGCAAAAATAGAAAACCATTTAAAAAGGGCAATAAAGATTGACTAGCCTTCCAGATAGTAAAATATATTACATAGCCTCTATACTAAGAGTGTAGTCCTAGTACATAAATAGAAAGACCAATGGAACAAAATAGAAAATCCAGAAATAGGCACAAGGACATATGAGAATTTAGTATGTGATAAAAGTGACATCTCAAATCACTGGGGAAAAGATAGATTTTTTAAATAAATGATTTTGTAATACAGATTTGAAAAAAAGATAAAATCAAATTCATTGCTCCAACTGTAAACTAGAGTAAATTCAAAGTAGATTAAAAGTTTAAATGTAAATAATAAAACTACACGGCTGCTTTTTAAATTATGGATGAATTCATTTGTAATCTGGATATGCAGAAATCTGTTTTAACTATGATGAAAAATCCAGATGCAATAATTTAAAACCTTGATAAATTCTATTGCGTGAAAAATACACCATGTTCATGGTTTAAAACATTAATGTGAGCAAAGTAAAATCAAAGGAATAAGAAATGAGAAACTGTGGAACATAATTACAACCTATACTACAGATAAGGAGCTGAAAACCTTAATACGTAAAAAACATTTATTTATTTATTACTTATTTATTTACTTATTTATTTATCAAGACAGGATCTCACTCTCTCACCCAGGCTGAAGCGCAGTGGTGCAATCATGGCTCACTGCAGCCTCGACCTCCCTGTGCTCAGGTGATTCTCCCACCTCAGCCTCCAAAGTAGCTGGGACTACAGGTGTGTACCACTATCCCCAGCTAATTTTTTTGTATTTTTTGTAGACAGACTTTTGGCATTGATATGGTTTGGATCTGTGTCCCCGCCCAAATGTCATGTCAAATTGGAATTCCCGGTGTTGGAGATGGGGCCTGGGGGGAGGTGATTAAATCGTGGTTGCAAATTTCCCCTTCGGTGCTGTTCTTGCAATAGTGAGTGAGTTATTGCAAGATCTGGTTGTTTAAAAGTGCGTGGTACCTCCCCGATCTCTCTCTTCCTCCTGCTCCAGCCATGTATGAAATGCCTACTTCTACCTAACCTTCTGCCACGATTGTAAGTTTCCTGAGGCCTCCCCAGCTATGCTTCCTGTTACAGTGTCAACCACGAACCAATTAAACCTATTTTCTTTATAAATTACTCAGTCTCAGGTATTTCTTTATAGCAGTGCGAGAATGGACTAATACAGCCATCTTGCCTAGGCTAGTATCAAACTCCTGGGCTCAAGCAATCTGCCCACCTCAGCCTCCCAAACTGCTAGGATTATATGTGTGAGCCACTATGCCCTGGCCATAAAAAGCTTTTTAAAATGGAGGGATAAAAGGCCACAGACAATTAAAAAATGAGCAAAAGACATAAACATCTAGTTTATAAAAATCAATATACAATTATCCTTTTAGACATTAAAAAGATGTCAACTTTACTCTTAAGGGAAATAGAAATTAAAACTAGTTTACACTGTAGTACAATTTCTTACCTTTCATTTTGGCAAAAATTCAAAACCTTGATATTTTGTTGGGGGGAATGCTGTTTAAGCCCTTGTGCACGTTGCTGGTGGGGGTGCAAAATGTATAAACCCTATAGCAGGGAATCTGGCAATAGCCAACCAACTATAAAACCTTTTCTCTTTGATTCATCAATCCCACTTTTAGGAATTCACCCTGAAGATACACCTCCACAATACGAAGCAAAATATGAATAAGCCAGCTGTCACACCCTTATTTCTAATAGCAAAATACTGGAAACAACCTAAACGCCTATTCATAGGCGAAAGATTGAATAAATTATGATGAATACACACAATAGAATACTATGCAAAAACAATGAGGAATCTCTAAGAACTCTGCTGAAATGATTTCCAGGATCCATTGTTAAGTGAAGAAAGCAAAATGTAAAAGAGTATTATAATATGCTAGACTCTGTGTGTGTGTGTGTGTGTATGTGTATATTTATTTGATTTTTCTTCTGAAATGGAACACAGGAAAGATAAAGCAGAAATTAATGAAGACAATTATCCATGAGGTTTAAGGGACTGGAGTGGAAGTGATAGGAATAGAAATGAGACTCCTCTGAGTACAATTTTTATAGTTGGGTTAATATCTACCATATTTATAACTGTTTTCTATTCACAGCCCTGCTCTTTTTTCTTAATTTCTTTCTATCTTTTTCTTTTCTTTTCTTTTTGGCATTCCCTTCTTTTTATATCTTCTCTGGTTTTAAGTGAGCATTTTATATGATTCAATTTTCTCTTACAGCATTTCAATTATATTTCTTTTAAGAACTATTTTAGTGTTTGCAGCATACATTTACAACTAATTCAAGACCACTTTCAAATAATATTATACTGTTTCATAGGTAGTGCAGGTACCTTAAAACGGAGTACTCCCAATTTCTTGTTCACAACCTTTGTAATATTGTTGTCATACATTTCATTTATATCCATAAGTTATAATCATCCAATACAATATTGCTGTTGTTTTTAACAAAGTTATATATTAGATCAATTAAGAATAAGACAAATAAATGATTTTTTATTTTATCTTTATTTGTTTGTTTTCTAATGCTCATTCTTTCTTCACGTAGATCTGAATTTCTGACCTGTATTACTTTCCTTCTCTCTGAAGAACTTATTTTTAGATTTCTTATAAAGTAGGTCTACTGATGACAAATTCCATCAGTTTTTGTTTTTCTGAGAAAGAAGGTCTTCTTCACTTTTAAAGGTTAATTTTGCTGGATAGAGAATTACTGATTGGTGTATTGTTTTTTCTTATTTTACTCCACTCTCATTTTGCTTGTATAGTTTCTAAAGGGAAGTCTGACATAATTCTTATCCTTGTTTCCCTTCAGGTAAGGTGTTTTCTTCCTCTGACTTCTTTCAAGCTGTTCTCTTTGTTTTCTAGTTTAAATATGACATGCTTAAAGGTTTTTTATTTGTTTATTTTGTTGTTGTAGTTATTTGTCCTCCCTGATATTCTCTGAAGTTACTGAAACTGTGGTTTAGTGTCTCTCGTTAATTTTGGAGAACTCTCATGCATTCATATTTCAAATGTTTTGTCTATTCCTTTCTATGTTTACTCTCCTTCTGGTAATCCCATTACATGTATTTACACCTTTTGTAATTGACCCATCATTCTTGAACATTCTGCTCTTTTTTTTTTTCATTCTCCTGTTTTCTCTTCACATTCCAGTTTGGGAAATTTCTCTTGACATTTTTTCAAGCTTGCTGATTATTTTCATAGCCAAATCCAGTTTACTGATGAACCCATTAAAAAATTATTTCTTTCTGACACAATGTTTTTAATTTCTAGCATTTCTTTTAGATTCTATATTAGCATGTTCCTATCTCTGTTTCCAATTACCATGTGTTGTTGCCTGTCGTTCGCTTTTTTCCATTAAATCCTTTAGCATACTAATTGTAGTTATATTAAATGCCCAGCTTGACGATTTCAATGTCTATGAGTCTGGTTCTGATGCTTGCTTTGTCTCTTCAGACTGTGTTTTATTGTGCTTTTTAGCATGCCTGCAATTTTTTGTTGAAAGTCAAATAAGATGTATTAGGTAATAGGAACTGAGGTAAATAGGCCTTTAATTTGAGGTTTTATGCTTATCTGGATGGGAGTTAGGCTGTGTTTAATGTTTGCTATAGCTGTAGCTATAGGTGTCAGAGGCTTCCTTGTTTTTTTCTCTCCTGTTGTCTTTGTGTTTCCCTAGAAAGATTATTTTTAAATAGAGTCTGTGTCTTGAAGCTGTATCAGTTGTAATCCATTATTATTATCCTGGAACCCTGTTGATGTTGTGGTAAGATACTGAGGAGGGAAGACAGTCTATAATCTTATGATTAAATCTTAGAGTTTTTTTTTTTTTAAAGCAAAACACTGCTGAAAGAAATAATAGATAACACAAACAAATGGAAACACATCCCATGCTCATGGATGGGAAGAATCAATATTGTGAAAATGACCATACTACCCAAAGCAATCTACAGAATCAATGCGGTTCCCATCAAAATACCATCATCATTTTTCACAGAACTGGAAAAAACAATCCCAAAATTCATATGGAACAAAAAACAAGACCACATAGCCAAATAAATTCTAAGCAAAAAGAACAAATCCGGAGGCATCACATTACCAGGATTCAAATTATACTACAAGGCTATAGTTACCAAAACAGCATGGTAGTGGTATAAAAATAGGCACTCAGACAAAAGGAACAGGTTAGAGAATTCATAAATAAAGCCAAATGCTTACAGGGAACTGATCTTCAACAAAGCATACAAAAACATAAATTGGGGAAAGGACACTACCTATTCAATAAATGCTGCTGGGAAAATTGGCAAGCCACATGTAGAAGAATGAAAATGGATCCCCATCTATTACCTTACACAAAAATCAACTCAGAATGGATGAAAGACTGAAATATAAGGCCTGAAACCATAACAACTCTAGAAGATAACACTGGAAAAAGTCTTTTGGACATTGGTCTAGGCAAAGAATTCATGACTGAGCCCCAAAAGCAAATGCAACTAAAACAAACAAACAAAAACAAATAAATGGAACATAATGAAGCTAAAAAATCTTCTGCACAGCAAAAGCTATAGTCAGCACAACAGATAACCCACAGAGTAAGAGAGAATATTCACAAACATGAATTTAACAAAGGACTAGTATTTAGAATCTACAAAGTACTTGAACAATTCAGCAAGAAAAAACAAATAATCCCATCAAAAAGTGGGTAAATGTCATGAATAGACATTTCTCAAAAGAAGATATGCAAACAGCCAACAAACATATGAGAAAATGCTCAGCATCACTAATCATCAGGAAAATGAAAATTAAAACCACAGTGAGATACCACCTTACTCTTACAAGAATGGCCATAATTAAAAAGTCAAAAACCAATAGATGTTGTCATGAATGTGGTGAAAAGGGAACAATTTTACACTGCAGGTGGTCATGTAAATTAGTACAACCACTGTGGAAAACAGTATGGAGATTCCTTAAAGAACTAAATGTAGATCTACCATTCAATCCAGCAATCCCACTGGGTATCTACTCAAAGGAGAAGAAGTCACTATAAGAAAAAGACACAAGCACACACATGTTTATAGCAGCACATTCACAATTGCAAAGATATGAAACCAATCTAAGTGCCCACTGATCAATGAGTGGATAAAGAAAATGTGGTACATATACACCATGGAATATTAGCCATAAAGAGGAATGAAATAATGTCTTTTGCAGCAATTTGGGTAGAGCTAGAGGCCATTATTCTAAATGAAGCAACCCAGAAATGGAAAACCGTATTTCATATTCTCACTTATAAATGGGAGCTAAGTTATGAGGATGCAAAGACATACAGAGTCACATAATAGACCTTGGTCGGGGGAGAGGTTGGGAGGAGAGGTGAATGATGAAAGACTACATATTGGGTACAGCGTACACTGCTTGAGTGACAGGTGCACTAAAATATCAGAAGCTGCCACTATAGAACTCATCCATGTAATAAAAAACCACCTGTATCCCAAAAACTAAAAACATTGAAATAAAAAAATAATAATTAAAAAAATCAGAGTTGTTTTTTTTTTTTTTTTTTTTTTTTTTTAGTGAGCCTGAGGCCCTGTGCTGTGACCTTCAGAAGAGCCTCTCAGGCTTTTTTTTTTTTTTTTCTCTGCTTATGTAGGCAGGGAGCTAGAGTTGGCTGCAGGTATCTAATTGCCCCTGCCTAGATTCCAGAACAGATTCTGGAAGTTTTCCTTGAGAGTAGGACTTTGTTGCTGAGAATAGAATACTCTGGGTATGTATATATATAAAGTGCTGGGATTACAGACATGAGCCACCATGCCTAGCCTGGGTATATTTTTAAATAATTACTTTTTGCTTCCTCCTGCCTGAAGAAAGAGATGTTTCTCCTGTCTTCGCTGGGAGAACCTGGGGAGTCTCCTGGATGTAAAAC
Organism: Homo sapiens; assembly: GCF_000001405.40. Lineage (NCBI taxonomy): Eukaryota > Metazoa > Chordata > Mammalia > Primates > Hominidae > Homo > Homo sapiens. The sequence continues at coordinate 3,227,834 of NC_000007.14, forward strand.
CCATAAAAGTATAGGGGTTCCTAAGACTGGGACCCCAGGAGTTTGTAACTCCCCAGTTATACCATGTTCAGTGTGCATCAATTACTCAATTACATTTTAAGCGTTCCTACCAGTTACTGGCTCCAGAAGCTTCTGCTCCCCATAGGCTGTGATTTATCATATTCACCTGTGTTTCCAAATGCCAAAGCAGCATTCTGAGGCGTGACCTTAATTCTATTACAGATCTAAGAAGAGTTGTTGATTTTCAGTTTTTTCAGCTTTTTTTCTTGTTGTAAGGATGGAGGTGAAAACTTCCAGGCTCTTTATGTGTCAGAGCTAAAACTGAAAGTCTGTTTCCTGTTTTTCATTTCTGTTTTCTTATTCCTGCCTTCTTGTGGTTACTTGGTCATTTAAAAAATTTCATTTTGATTTATTTATAGTGCTTTTCAATGTATCTTTATAGATTTATTAGTTATTGTTCTAGGTATTATATTGTACATACATAACATTTCAGTCTACTGGTGTCGATATTTTAGAAGATCAAGTGAAATGTAGAAAGCTTACTTCTCAGCTGGGCATGGTGGTTCATGCCTGTAATCCCAGCACTTTGGGAGGACAAGACAGGCAGATCACTTGAGGCCAGTGTTTTGAGACCAGCCCGGCCAACATGGCAAAACCCTGTTTCTACTAAAAAATACAAAAATTAGCCAGGCATGGTGGCACACACCTGTAATCCCAGCTACTTGGGAAGCTGAAGCACAAGAATCACTTGAACCTGAGAGGTGGAGGTTGCAGCGAGCCAAGATCACCCCACTACACTCCAGCCTGGGTGACAGAGCAAGGCCCTGTCTCAAAAAAAAAAAAAAAAAAAAAGAAGAAGAAGAAGAAGAAATCTTACTTCTCTTTTTGTCCCTTTATCCTCCTCCTTTTATGATATAATTGTGTCTACATACATTGAGAATCACATCAGAGTTATAATTTTTGTTTCAACCATCAAATATAATTTAGAAAACTCAAGAAGAGAAGAAGTCTATTGTGTTCTTTCTTCTTTCCTGATGTTCCAAGATTTCTTATTTTATCATTTAGGGAAATTCCACTGGCCATTTTTTTAGCATAGGTCTACTGCTGACAAATTCTCTTAGCTTCTCTTCATTCAAAAATGTCTTGATTTCCCCTTCATTTCTGAAAGATATTTTTGCTGGATACAGAATTGTAGATGGATAGGTTTGTTTTTTATTTCAGTGCTTTAAAATGTGCCACTTCCTTCCGGCCTCTGATGAGAAATCCATTGTTAGATGAATTGTTTCTCTTTTGTAGGTAAGGTCTAATTTCTCTCTTACTGCTGTCAAGATATTTACTATTTTCTTTTTAAACCAAAGAGTTTTTATCAACTTGACTATGGTATGGATTGCTTTCAGTTTATCCTATTTGGGGTTTACTTAGCTTCTGAAATCTGCAAATTTATGTCTTTTGTCAAATTTGAGGATTTTTCAGCCATTATTCCTGTGAACATTTTTTAGCCCCACCCACTGTCTCCTCTCCTTCTTGGACTCCAATGACATAAATGTTAGATCTTTTGTAGTAGTTCTACAGAGTTTTAAAGCTCTGTCCTTTTTTTCTTCTCTTTTCTTCAGCGTATTTTCTCTGTTGCTCAGATTGGGTAATTTCTATTGTTGTATCTTCACATTTACTAATTCTTTCCTCTGTCTTCTCCATTCTGCTGTTAAGCCCATCCATTCAGGTTTAATTTTGGTGGTTGTATTAGTTTGTTCTCACACTGCTAATAAAGACATACTCTAGGTAATTTATAAAGGAAAGAGATTTAATTGACTCACAGTTCAGCATGGCTGGGGAAGCCTCAGGAAACTTACAATCATGGCAGAAGGGGAAGCAATCATGTCCTTCTTCACATGGCAGCAGCAAGAAGTGCAGAGTGGAAGGGGGAGAAGCCACTTATAAAACTATCAGATCTCATGAGAGCTTACTCACTATTACGAGAACAGCATAAGGGTATCTGCCCCATGATTAAATTACCTCTCACCGGGTGCCTCCCACAATGTGTGGGGATTACGGGAACTACAATTCAAGATGAGATTTGGGTGGGGACACAGCCAAACCATATCAGTGGTTGAATTTTCCAGCTTTAAAATTTCCGTTTGATTCTTTGCTTATGCCTTCTATTTCAGTGCTGAGACTTTCTGCATTTGCCTGCATTTCAAGTGTGTTCATCACTGCTTGTTGAAGCATTTTATAACGTGTGTGTTAAAATCGTTGTCAGATAATTCTAACATCTGTGTCATCTCAATGCTGACATCTGTCTTCGTTTGCTAGGGCTGCTGTAACAATTACCACAAACTGGTAGACATAAAACAACAGAAATTTATTGTCTCAGTGTTCTAGAGGCCAGGAGCCTATGATCAGGGTGTCGGCAGAGTTGGTTCCTTCTGGAGGCCCTGAGGAAGAAACCGTCCCTTCCAGCTTTCCTAACTTCTGGTGGCTGCTGGCATCTGTGGCTTGTAAATGCATCACTCCAGTCTCAGCTTCCATCTTCACGTGGCCTTCTTCTCTGTCTCTTCTTCTTATAGAGACACTATTGATTGAATTTAGGATCCACCCTAAATCCAGGGTGATTTCACCTTGAGATCCTTAACTAATTATATCTGCCAATACCTTGTTTCCAAGTAAAATAACATGCTGAGGTTCCAGCGGACGTGAATTTTGGGAGGATGCTATTTAACCCACTCTAGTGTCTGTCAATGCTCTTTTCTCATTCAAGTGGCTATTTTTCTGGTTCTTGAAACGATGAGTTATATTTGATTGAAAATGGACATTTGGGATATTATGAGACTCTGGATTTTATTTAAGTCTTCTGTTTTAAGTAGACCTTTGCTGACACTTATTTAGCTAACAAAGGGGATGCTCCCTTGTTACTTCCAGGTGGGGTTTTCCCAAGTGGCCTCCAAGGACACCAGAGGGACAGGTGCTCTTCATTGCTGCTGGCTGAGGGTGTGGCCTCAGCTTCTCCACCAGGCCTCTGTTGACAACAAACTGGCTGACAGGCACATGGGGACTTCCTTACTCCCTTTCATGCGATGTCCACTTTCATGGCATGAAGGTGGCTTTGAACCACTGGATGGTGGTGAATATTTCGATTTTTCCACTTGTCTCTTCTGATACCAGCGCAGCAGTGGGGTGGACGGGCACGTCATCCTACCAGGCATGAGTGGAAGTCCAAGCTCCCCACATGGTCTCCAATGACACTGCTGAGTTGGGCTTTATTACCACTAGGCTGGAGTGCAAGTTCTGGCTTCGCACTCAGCCTTTGCTGGTGGGAGCGTGAGTGGGGCCATGCTTGTTTCTGTGGTGCTTTTCTGGTGTGGAGTGGTTACTGTCTAAAATTCTTTCATCTTGCCAGGCTGCCTCTTTCCCGATCCTCCGGCAAGAAAAAGCGGATTTTCCTTGGCGCTTTGGTTTACCTTTGTCTTTGCCTGTTGGTGTTTCCAGCTTGCCATGTTTTCCCACACCCAATCCGGGATATGAGACACAAAAGGAAAACTTAAAGAACTCACTACTTTGTCATTTCTTGGTTCTGAGGTCCCTAGAACGTCTGCCTTCTTCTCTCCATCTCTCAGTGTCTTTCTGTTTGTTTTATACAGAACGTCCAGGGCTTTTAGGGAAAGTACATCTATGTCATCTTCCCATACGTGGAAGTTCCTATTTCTAGGATTTTAAATTTAAAAAAAAAATCTTTCTTTTTAATTCACTCTTACCTGCCAAGCTTTTGTTCATTATCTTGGTCTCATTCTATGGGTGTTATTTTCTCCTTTATCTCTGAGGATTATACTTACACCTACTTAAAGTCCTTCTTTCGTTTTTTTTGGTGTGTGTGTGTGTGTGTGTGTGTGTGTGTGTTTGAGACAGAGTCTCGCTCTGTTGCTCGCGCTGGAGTGCAGTGGCGCAATCTCAGCTCACAGCAGCCTCCGCCTCCTGGGTTCCAACAATTCTCCTGCCTCAGCCACCCGGGTAGCTGAGATTACAGGCATGCGCCACTACACCTAGCTAACTTTTGTATTTGTAGTAGAGATGAGCTTTCGCCATGTTAGCCAGGCTGGTCTCGAACTCCTGACCTCAGGTGATCCGCCCACCTCAGCCTCCCAAAGTGTTGGGATTACAGGTGTGAGCCACTGCACCTGGCCCTATTTAAAGTCCTTTTATGGCTGCTCTAACATTTGCATGTCCTTGGTAGCCATGAGTTTGTTGATCATCTTCTACAAGGTGTGCTTTGGATTTTAGTTTGAGAGCTTATCTTGAATAGAAGTTGTGTGTGTGTGTGTATGTGTGTATATGCATATGTGTGTGTGTACATATGTCTGTATATGCATATGTGTATGTGTACATGTGTGTGTGTACGTGTGTGTTTATATGCATATGTGTGTGGGTGTACGTGTGTGTGTGCATGTGTGTGTGTGTGTGTGTGCATGTACATGCATGTGCGTCCCCTTCCTAGGATCACTCCTCTCTGACCAGCAGTTTTTCAGTTGTCTCCATCTAGCTCACTGGATTCCTGAGTAACTAGGCCTTATATTGGAGGCTTAGGCTTTTTGTCCCAAGGGACAGGGGTAGGGTATGATTTGGCCCCAGCTCAGCTCATTCCTGCTGCCTTAGGAAACTGCCCTGGGCCACTGCTGCAATGTTCTATTTATGGGTGGAAACAGTTTCCCCAGACTGGACTCAATCCTGGATTATATGGAGACAATTCTGTCCCCCACTACCTTGCAGGATTTAACTCTCAAAGAATCTGCATATTTTTAAAGAACAGTTAAGTCTTATAATATGTTTTTATATTTTATTCATTATTTCTATGATTTTGGAGATGGAATGAGGAAAGTTTTGTGTGAACTCATGATGCCATTTTTATGGGAAGTAACCTTCTCTTCCCACCCACCGCTTTGAACGTGAAGCTCAGTTTCAGGGAGCCTGGATGGCTTTGGTGTTTTGGTGACTATCTTAATTAGCTTGTATGCAGGCATTTGCTCAATAACTATATTAAGTCTGGATAATGATAGCAATCCATTTGGAAGGTAATTTACTGATAACTTTAGATTTTTCAATCAAAAACCTTAAATTGCAAAATTACATATTTTGGGCATGTATTAGGTAACAAAAGTAAAGAGGCAACAAAGAATCTTTGAACAACATTGAACTTCCTGCTCTGAGGCAGAATTATAGTATTTTTGTAAAATCACAAAGAGAATAAGAGGATGTGATTTTTTTTTCTCTCTCTCTCTCTTAAAGGCAATTTTGTTTCTCCAGCATAAAGTCGGGTCTGTAATCCCTGGAGCCACGCAGGGTTCCTGCTACCTGTTTGTCCTGATTGTTCTCATTCAGTCCAGGTGATCAGCCAAGATATGTTTTGATGAAAATAGCAATTTTGCTCACCCCCAACCCACTTGCTTTTGTGTCCCCCGTCACTACCTCAATTTGGCCGTAATTGTACCGCTCCCATAACAACAGCCAAATAACTGGATATTTGTGGAGGGCTTATAACAGGGTTGTCCACAAAGCCACTGGCAACGCCAAACAGACCCTGTATATCAGCATCTCACAAGAGAGACAGCTATCCGGGGGAGCAATTCTTGGCAGCTCCCAATCAAACTTGCAGCTGACTGCTGATTACCTCTGCGTTTCCAATCTGAGGCACAGCACCCCATATTTCTCCCACATTTCCTCCGTTACACTCAGTCTCAGGACCATCATTCCCTCATGGCCTGCCTGGGACATTAAAACAATGCACACACAGAGGAAAACACACAACAAAAACTCTTTCTCTGCATTGAGAGCACCAAATTGCAGCAAAGATCAGGGAACCACGCGGTCTCAGGGCTGTGCTTCAGGTTGTGTGCTAGCTATCAGCACCAAGAATCAAAACATCTTTATGGGTATGGATACAGATTCCCTTTTTGCTGAGCCACTGTGTGATTTTGGGGAGCACGTTCGCTGATCAGGGTTATGAGAGCTGGATGGAGAGGAAGTCGCCTTTGTTCCGGCCTGCACGTCATGTCAAGCGAAGTTAGATATTTCCCTACCGACAGCTATTTTGATCTCTCAGTACTAAAGAGAACCGCTGCAGGTAACCCTGAAGTTGAATCCCACATTCTGTCTGAGTTTAGGACTAGGACTTTGCAAATTGACAGCTCACATACTTTTGCTGGTGTGCGGCCAACACAGAGATGGGCTTCAGTCAAATTCGGGAGAGGGAGGGAGGGCAATGGAGGGGGAGGGAGCGGCAGGGGTGGCAAGAGGAGAAGGCAAGAGGAGAAGGCAGGAGCAAGGGATGGTGCCTCCTGCCCGTCTTCAAACGCAGACTCACAGGGTTTGGAGGTGGCCGCAGTGTCACACCTGGAGCTACAGATGTAACAGCCATCAGAGGGAACTGCAAGCACAGAGCCCAGTCCTCCCACCCCTGCCCCTGAAGAAAGAGGTGGTGGACAACCACCTCTGGTGTCTCTGGCACCCAGGTGGGCTGGGCAGTGGGGTACCTGACACCTGGCAGCAAGGTGGGCCCTAAGGCCTGCAGGCCTCAGGTTGGCCCCTTAGAAATGGGTGTCAAAGGGCTGGGTGTGGTGGCTCACGCCTGTAATCCCAGCACTTTGGGAGGCCAAGGTAGGCAGATCACGAGGTCAGGAGATCAAGACCATCCTGGCTAACACGGTGAAACCCCATCTCTACTAAAAATACAAAAGCAAAATTAGCCAGGCTTGGTGGCGGGCACCTGTAGTCCAAGCTACTCGGGAGGCTGAGGCAGGAGAATGGCGTGAACCCGGGAGGCGGAGCTTACAGTGAGCCGAGATCCACCACTGTGCTCCAGCCTGGGCAACAGAGTGAGACTCCGTCTGAAAACAAAAAAAAAAAAAAAAAAAAAGAAAGAAATGGGTGTCAAATGTGTCCCTTTGGATGAAAATTAAGTTTTTAACCTAAACAGGGATAACGTCAATGTTTCACATTTGTAGGAACTACTGCCGTTTCCAAGCAATTGCTTTGTTTTACTAATGATTTGATCAACTCCATGCTTTTGGCTATATGTTTGCTGTCTGATTGTGCCAAGTGTGGACCCCAGGCCAGCAGCTTTGGTGTCCTCCAGAGCTTGGGATAGATTTGGACTCCAAGGCCCTCCCCAGCCATCCTGAATCAGAACTTGCGTTTTAATAAGATGCCCGGGAGATCCGTGGCAGGGATGAATCATTTCCCTGTAAGATGTGCTTTGGAATTTTAGTTTAAAAGCTCATCTTGAATAAGTGTGTGTGTGAAGCTAGAGGGGTAGGCTGGGCCTTGTGCACTATGATAGTTTGGCTTTCATTTTTCAAAGCACTGGAAAGCTATTGAAGAGTTTTACACAGGCTTGATGACATGATCAGACTTGGAAGTAATCTCTCTGTCTGCAGTGGAGCAATTGGACTGGAAGGGATCAGCATGGGTGCAGCCAGAAGTCATGAGGCTACTTTAGGTGAAATGGGGGTAGCTTGAACAAATGTCATGGTTGTGGTAGCGGTGGTAATGGTAGTAGTGATGGTGGTGGTAGTGGTGATGGTGATGATGATGGTGGAGGTGGTGGTGGGTTGATTGTGGAAGAGTGGTGATACTGGTATGGTGGTGATGGTGATGGTTATGGTGGTGATTGTGGTAATGGTGGTGGAGATGATGGTGGTAGGGGTGATGGTACTCGTGGTAATGATGGTGATGATGGTGGTAATGGTAGCGATGGTGATAGTAGTAATTGTGGTGGTAACGGTGGTTGTGGTAGTGTTGGTGGTTGTGGTAGTGATGGTGGTGATGGTGATAATGATGGTGGTGGTAATGGTAGTAGTGATGGTGATGATAATGGTGGTAATAGTGGTGGTGATGATGGATAGTGGTGATGGTGATTGCGGTGGTAGTGATGTTGGTGGTGTTGATGGTAATGGGAGAGATGGTGGCAATGGAAAGAAGTAGAAATTTACACAATACTTAAAAGGTAAAGTCAACAAAAATTAGTGATTATTGGAAATGGAAGATGAAGAAAAGGTTAAGTCAAATTTATTTTGTAAAAAGCTTAGTGCTGTCTTAAGTTGCTCTTGGTTAGTTGAACATGCACATTTGTTCATCTTCTTTCTATAGACAGTTTAATACTGTGCCTCAAACAGTCACATTCAGTCTCCAAACCACCACCACCAGCACACTACAAGTGTTCTTAGCTGCTGTGGTGGATTAAAGATGACTGCTCATTCTTTGACAATCCTTCCATCAAGAGATGGGGTCTATTTTCCTTTCCCTTTAATCTGGGCTGGCCTATCACTGCTTTGGCAAATCACTTATGGGAGAAGTGATGTGTAGAACTTCTGAAGCTAGGACATAAGAAGCTGTCCAGCTTCTGCTTGGGTCTCTTGGAGCACTCTCTCTGGAAGCCCTGAGCTACCATGAAAGATATCTGACCACCCTGACACCATCAAGCTTGAGGGGCCCCATGTAGGTGTTCTTTTCAATAGTCCTCATCTTTCAGCTGGACTCACCAAAGCCCCAGATAAGTGAGAAACCCCTTCTTGGAACCTCTGTATTGGTTCATCTGGGAGCTGAGTAAAACTGAGTGGCTTCAGTCAAAGCCACATGGAGCAGAAGAATCACCCAGCTGAGCCCTGTTCAAATCAAGCCCACTGTATTGTGAGATAGAATAAATGGATGTTGTTGAAAGCTGCTAAGTTAAAGGGTAATTTGTTAGGCAGCAGTGACTGGAACACCTGCTTTTCCATATGTGACAACAGAATTAGAGTAATAACTCCTATTCTTCCTTACCAAGCCTATTCTTCACCCACTCTGACCAGTAGCATAGCATGCATAAACAAGGGTGTATTCTGGGATGTGAAACAGAACCATTTTAGCTATTAGATGATGCAGATAGAGAAAAACAATACCCAGTGAGTGACTTAGTGGGTGAGGCCTCTCTTCCCTACCCCACCCCTACCCCTGGCATCTTGTTCCCAGCCTGAGGAGTTGAGACTGCTATAGTGGATGATCCAACTAACAGCCTGGTCCCTGGGGGGTGCCATGATCCATTGCCTTGTAACTGGGGGTATTTAAATTACTCAATTGGAACAGTTCTCCCCATGGAGGAGATTAAATTCCAAGTAACAGAAGTGAGGGGTGCATGAGAAGTGAGAGGACAAAAATCTGTCAACAGTGCTATTCCTCACCAAACCTCTGCTCATTGAAACAATGGCTCCTCAGTGATTCTCAGACTGCAAAAGCATATCCAACTTTAGAGGTGCGCAAAATGAGGGAAATAAATTGATGACTGCACCTGGTAACTCTTAAAACCTCTGTATGGTCCAGCTATGTTATTCTTGTTAACATTTTCATTGTAAAATGGCATTTCTTCCCAGGATAAAAGCTCACTGAAACGATGCCTTCCTGGGAGCATATGTACGAACGTCACACTCTGCCAATTTTATATCTGATTAAAACCTCAATACATCAAAACATCCTTTGAAATAATTAAGAGCATTTCTCCATTAGGGGCACGAAGCTAAATGTGTCCAAATATATCTGAAATCAGCAGATGGAACTAAGGGAATTAATAGAGTAGTACGACATTTTGCAATCATCTAAAAGAAAACAGAATTTGGCTTGCAAAGGATATACTTTTTCATTTGGGGTAAAATGAAAAGGATATACTTTTTCATTTGGGGTAAAATAAGGTGCATTTTCCACTCGCACTAAGCACCCCATTCGTACATGAATGTACATGTAATACATGAAGTACAATTTATCTCCAGGTTGTTGAAGGGAAAGCCATCATTTTCAGGGGTTCTGCTGCTCCCTGGGAAGGGAGCCTCCAAGACAGTTTTGATCCATTGATGAGTGCTGTCTAATGTGCTCCCTGAGGTACAGTTTCCCTAAATCTGTTAGACTTTTACAGTCGTCCAGGATCTGCAGTCTGGAGATGCTCCATCATACTGTATTAACTTGACAACGTAATGTACTGCTATCTTTTATTTTCATAGGAAGTACTAGGTTTGACCTTGAAACTCTTAACCACACTTTATAATCCTCAGCCCATCCTGGCAAAAAAGAGGCCATCCTAACAAATCCATCCTGGCTAGACTTGAGTCTGTAAAACGTTGGATTGGAATGCATAGGACTAGGGGAGGTGGGAGAGTAAGTAAGGGTCTTGACAGCTCTGTCTCAATCTTCAGGGGCAAATGAAGTGGGGGAATTGAGGAGACATGAGTTACGTTACCAGCTACAGTTCACTGAGCTCTTACCACGTGCCGAGCACTGTGCTTTACGTGGGTTATTCTAGTCACTTCTCATGAGGCTGACATTGTTCTTGCTTCATATATGAGGGTATTAATCCTTTTTCATGCTGCTGGTGAAGACATACCCAAGACTGGTAATTTATAAAGAAAAAGAGGTTTAATGGACTCACAGTTCCATGTGGCTGGGGAGGCCTCACAATCATGGTGGAAGGTGGAAAGCACGTCTTACATAGTGGCAGGCAAGAGAGAATGAGAGGCAAGTGAAAGGGGTTTCCCTTTATAAAACCACCAGATCCTGTGAGACTTATTCACTACCATGAGAACAGTATTGGAGAAACCACCCCCACGATTCATTTATCTCCCACCAGGTCCCTCCCACAACATGGGGGAATTATGGGAGCTACAATTCAAGATGAGATTTGGGTGGGGACACAGCCAAACCATATCAATGAGGAAACTGAGGCTCAGAGAGGTTAAGCAACTTACCCAAGGTCACCCAGCTAGTAAATGGCAGAGCCCGGATTCAAACTCAGGTCTTTTTGACTCAAAAGCCAAAGCTCTTAAGCATGATTCTATGATGACTCATTCTGCAGTGAAATCTCTGCTCTTGAGAATAGGAAGTGGGCTTGGACTGCACTTGACTGACTTGGTGCCTTCATGGGACATGGTTCAGTCATTCCTTTCACTTGCCATCAGCCCATAGCTGGACATTTCCTTCCTGGGTCCTTCTTGAGGAGCACAGAGTCCTTCCCTGGGGCTGGGAGTTATATGTCAGGTCTTCTTTCCTGCTCTAGAGACACCCCATGTGCCCCCAGAGTGGGAAATTAAAAGGGCCTGAAATGGTACCTTCATGCAAGTCACCTGGATGCTGAGCCTACTCAGAGGGCTTCCCTGTGTGTTTCCCTGGGCCATTTGGTCTATACTCAAGCACTAGGGGACGTCTGAAAGGCCCTGACCTCTGCAGAGAGCAGTGTCTTTGGGTGGTTGTATGGAGACCCCAGAGACCAAGCAGAAGGTGAACAGTCACCCACCCGATGGTAGACATGGGCACTGGCTTGGGGGATTATTGTACAGATCCATGGTGGGTGCTCCCAAATTTGCTTCTTCCTGCAAACCATAAAGGCTTTTAATTATTAAAGAATGATTCTTGAGGCTGGCCAATTTATCAGCCTCTGGCAAGAATAAAGAGTCAACCAGCCATGAATCCTATCTGATTACTAATAAGAACGACATAAAATGACACAAGTGCTGAGAAATGCTCTCGGTTGGGCTCCAGCCAAGGCAGACCTGGATCAAATGAGCCCAGGTTAAACCAGCTCCCACTTTCCCCGGTTGCCGAGTGGATGCGGAACGTTCTGTTCCGAAGGGCAGATGCTTACATGCTCCTAGCAGCAGAGGAAAGTAGGCAAAGCTGGTTTCTGGCATGGGCCACATGGCTCTTCCCTCCCAGGAGCGTTCTCACTTCCTCCACCAACGAGGCTCCCCCGCAGCTGCCTCTGTGCATCTCTTTGCCCCAGGCCTGGGCCCCGGCATTCTGCAAGGGGAACTTGGAGCCAGGACGGCTGGGTTTAAATCACATCATAAACAGCCCCTCACGTGTCCATCCACAGATGAATGGAAAAACAAAATGTGGCATATACATATAATAGACTATTATTCATCTATAAAGAGGTATAAAGCGCTGATACGTGCTACAACATGGATGAAACTTGAAAACATGCTCAGTGTGGCCAGGCACAGTGGCTCACGCCTGTAATTCCAGCACTTTGGGAGGCCGAGAGGTGGGAGGATCAGTTGAAACCAGGAGTTCGAGACCAGCCTGGCAACATAGCGAGACCCTGCCTCTACAAAAAGTTTTTAAAAAAAATTAGTTAGGTGCGGTGGTGTGTGCCTGTGGTCCCAGTTACTCAGGAGGCTGAAGTGGGAGGATCGCTGGAGCCCAGGAGGTTGAGGCTGGACTGAGCTATGATTGTGCCATTGCACTCCAGCCTGGGTGACAGAGCAAGACCTTGTCTCCTAAAAAAAAAAAAAAAAAAAAAAAAGAGAGAGAGAGAGAAAACATGCTAAGGCCGGGCACAGTGGCTCACACCTGTAATCCCAGCACTTTGGGAGGCCGAGGCGGGTGGATCATGAGGTCAGAATTTCAAGACCAGCTTGGCCAAGATGGTGAAACCCCGTATCTACTAAAAATACAAAAATTAGCCAGGCATGATGGCAGACATCTGTAATCCCAGCTACTTGGGAGGCTGAGGCAGGGAATTGTGTGAACCTGGGAGGCGGAGGTTGCAGTGAGCCAAGATCGCCCCACTGCACTCCAGCCTGGGCAACAGAGGGAGACTCCATCTCAAAAAAAAAAAAAAAAAGAAAGAAAAAAAGGAAAAAAAGAAAGAAAGAAAGAAAAGAAAATATGCTAAGTGAAAGAAGCCAGACACAAAAGGCCACATCGTGTGCAATTCCTGTTATATGAAATGTCCAGAATGGGCAAATCCGTGAAGACAGAAAGCAGATTGGTGATTGTCAGGGGGCGGGGGTGGGGCGAAAGGAGGAACGACTGATGAAGGGGTAGGAGTTTCTCTTTGGGGTGACGAAAATGCTTTGGTGCTAGATAGAGGCGTGGCACAACATCATGGATGTACTAACTGCCACTGAATGGTTCACTTTAAAATGGTGAATTGAATGTTATGTGAATTTCACTCCAATAAAAAACAGAAACAAGTCACATCAGGGTGCTCCTTCAACAAGCACTTCCTGGGGAAAAGCCTTGAGACCCACGAGCGGTGAGCCCTAAGGCAGGCTGGGATCTGGGAGCGCCGTCGTGTCCTGGGAGAAGTTCAGTCCCAGCGGGCTCCACCACCCACACCCGCTCCTTCCTCCTTTGAACGCAGAGGCTCTGGCGACGGTGGCAGGAGCCACGCAGAGCGGTGGAGCTTCCAGCGTGGAGAGGGGCACTACAAGGACCTGCCTCCATGCAGCTGCTGAATCCACGCCCGTTGCTTGGTGTCACCACCTCCTAAGTTTTTGTTATTGAGAAGAATAGATTCGTATTTGTTGAAGGCACACTGAGAACAAGTCAACAGAAGCAGTCATCTGCGAGAGCTTGCTGTGGGCCCCGTGGGAGACTCGCAATATGGTGGGAGACGGATTTAGAAACAAACAGTGATGATTTTTGTGCATTAAGTGCAACGCGAGAGCTGGAATCAGGCTGGGCCCGGTGGCTCACGCCTGTAATTCCAGCACTTTGGGAAGCCAAGGCAGGCAGATCACTTGAGGTCAGGAGTTCGAGACCAGCCTGGTGAACATGGGGAAACCCTGTCTCTACTTAAAATATAAAAATTAGCCAGGCATGGTGGCGGGCATCTGTAATCCCAGCTACTCAGCAGGCTGAGGCGGGAGAATTGCTTGAACCTGGGAGGCAGAGGTTGCAGTGAGCTGAGATCGCGCCACTGCACTCCAGGCTGGGCAAAGGGATCGAAGCTCCTTCTCAAAAAAAAAAAAAAAAAAAAAAAAATAGAGCTGGAATCAGAGGCATGTAGGAGCCCAGAGAAGGGGTCCCTGACCATCACCCAGGTGAGGGGCCCTTAAGCCATGGAAGGCTTCCCTGAGTGCCTGAGGAGAGTCTTGGGGCCTGAGGAGGAGCGGGAGGTAGCAGAGAACAGAGATGACAGTCAGAGAAAGGCCTGGAGGAGAAACCCTGAGTGGCCCACACAGGAGCCCAGCCACCTATGCAGGAAACAGATAACCAGCTCGGCTTTGCAAGAGTGTAGTGTGCATGAGATTTTTAAAACATTAACATCAATATCTACAATCTTCTGGCCACCCTCCGTGCTGGCCTTTGCCATGCTGACCTGGGCAAGGGGTGGAGGGGACAAGGTTGGAAAGCCAGGGCTGGCTGCATGTCTCCACCTGCGGAAGGAGAGGAGGTGGGCTTCAGGGAGAAGAGGGGGCAAGGGAGTGGCATTTGAGGATTAATGAAGAGAGACAAGGAAATGAGATGAGGGGCTCCCGTAAGGACTTGGGCTTTGAAGGGAGAGGTGTGAAAAGTGGGTTTTTAGGACAGCCCTCTGCAGCTGTAGGTCTTCCGAAAGAAGTTGTTAGTAAAGACTCTCACTAGGTCAGTGCTTTTTGGAGGGGGATTTTCTGTTGGTTGCACTGCTGGCTGTTGGAGAGAGTCCCTATTAAAATAGAAAATAGAAGGCCCAGTTTCCTTTGGCTTATGGTGAGGTACAAGGCAGGGCTGAAGGAGGTGAGGCAGGTGGATACACAGAGTTTCACACCTCAGAGGATCTCTTGGGCCTGGAACTTTTCTGTACACAGAAGGGAACTTTGGGATCTTGAGGAAATTTTAGCTTCTCTAATGCTCAGTTTCTTCTTCTTTTTCTTTTTTTTTCCTTCCTTCCTTCCTTCCTTCCTCTCTCTCTTTCTTTGTTTCTTTCTTTCTTTCTTTCTTCCTTTATTTCCCTTCCTTCCTTCCCTCCTCTCTCTCCTTCCTTCCTTCCTCTCTCTCTTTCTCTTTTTCTTTGTTTTCTTTCTCTTTCTTTCTTCCTTTCTTTTCCTTCCTTCCCTCCTCTCTCTGTCTCTCTCTTTCTTTCTTTCTTTTTTCTTTCTTTCCTTCTTTCTTTCTTTCGTTTTTCAGGGTCTTGCTCTGTTGCCCAGGCTGCAGTACAGTGGTGCAATCATGGCTCACTGTAGCCAGAACCTCCCTGACTTAAGCAATTCTCCTGTCTTGGCCTCCCAAGTAGCTGGGACTACAGGCACACATCACCGTGCCTGGCTAATTGTTTTATTTTTGGTAGAGATGGGGTCTTGCTATGTTGCCCAGGCTGATCTTGAACTCCTGGGCTCAAGCAATCCTCCCACCTCAGCCTCCCAAAGCACTGGGATTTCAGCGTGAGCCACCACACCCGACCAGTTCCTTCTTTAAAATGAAGATCATAATGATCCCTGCACTATAGTTTTATTACAAGTATTACATAAAACCACACGTGAGAATAGAACTAACCCACTTCCCGGCCTGGAGCAGGCCCTTCATTCAGGCTTATTGAATCTGGACCTGCTTTGGCCCCACCCAAACCGATATGCCCCAGGTCCTGTTTATTTATGGACAGCCCTCACCCTATGGAGCTGATCCAGTGTTTGCCCCACAGCATCATAATGGCATAGGCAACAGGACAGTGTCACATTTCACAGCAGCCTTTCTTCCCTGTTCTGAAGGAGGGAGCCACATGGACGTTTTAGTGGACAGAGGAGAAACACACACATGCTTTGTGTCATGACAAGGCTCTGCCATTGCACTGGCTCAAGATCAAGGGCCTAAAGTGAGGAACAAAAGGCCAAGGCACACCAATGCAATAGAACAGTAACAGCATGTACCGCTGACTCAGGTCCTCTGCCTACCCTGGGCAATGTCTCCCTCAATCTTTGCAACACCCCTATGACATGGGTCAAAAAGTGCTCCTTTTTTTTTTCCTGAGACGGAGTCTCGCTTTCTTGCTCAGGCTGGAATGCAGTGGCACAATCTCAGCTCCGCCTCCCAAGTTCCAGCTATTCTCCTGCCTCAGCCTCCCTAGTAGCTGGGACTACAGACATGCACCACCACGCCCAGCTAATTTTTTTTGTATTTTGAGTAGAGACGGGGTTTCACCATGTTGGCCAAACCTGTCTCGAACTCCTGACCTCAAGTGATCCGCCCACGTCGGCCTCCCAAAGTGCTGGGATTACAGGCCGTGAGCCACCGCGCCCAGCCTCAGAAGTGCTCCTTTTTTACCAATGGAGAAACAGCCCAGAGAGGAAAAGCGATTTGCACAGAGTCACGCAGCTGAAGACTGGCAGATCCAGGCTGTTTGCTGTCAGTCTGAGCTCTCGAATTCTAAGACGAGCCACTTCTCTCGGGAAGCCAGGAAGGCTCCTCGCAAATCCTGGTGGAGAAGTGGTTACCTCAAAGCCCTTTAAGCACAGTCATAAACTTACCTTGAAGGGCCAGGTAATCCGATCATAGAGTCGGCGTTCAAAAAAAAAATGAGGTATTGATATGTTTATCCTCACCCTCATAACCTGTTCTATTCAAATAAATTCAGTGTGCTCAGTTCTGCAGGGAGTGACAGAGCTGCCCCGAATCAGATGGTGCCACGCACATCCCATTTCTCTTGCGGGATCATTCCTGGAGGAGCTTCCTGCAGCCAAATGACATCGAGTGTGACCATTTCAAAGTACAAACAGGA
The DNA here is from genome assembly GCF_000001405.40 of Homo sapiens. NCBI lineage: Eukaryota > Metazoa > Chordata > Mammalia > Primates > Hominidae > Homo > Homo sapiens. The sequence goes on from NC_000007.14 coordinate 3,244,320, forward strand.
TTAAAAGGAAAACATCTGTACCTTACTAGGCTGCACTAACTCAGTTACAAACAAGCTGTGTAGATATCCAAATGCGCAGTGACTTTTGCTGCAGAGGTGGGTGGTGACCATCTGGACTGGGCATTGATTAGAAGATAACTGGACATCCGTGTGACTGCATCCTTGGTGGGGGTCAGGGCACAGAGATATATGTTTGATTCCACAATGTCAGTGTGACTCAGAGACCCTTTTGTTGTCGTTGTTTATATTACAGTTAGTGAGTCACCCACTACACCTCCCTCCTGGGATGAAGTCCTGAGCTGTAGAATGACTCCAAACAGGCACGACTGCTTTATTAGCAGGCTTTGACTCCCATACAGGGCTCTGAACATCAAACAAAGTTGGCCAGGATTTGATCCTCAAAAGAGAAGATGGGATCCCATCAAGATGTCCACATGCCTAACGCCTGTTGGTCCAAAAGAGTCTCATTTTGTAGGGGGAAGAAACTTAATTACCAGCGCAGGAAGAGACTCTCAGAACATGTGGTTTTCAGTTTTGCCAAGATTCCAGGCCAACTTATTACTCTATTATCATTGTTGTTAATCTTTGCTTGAAAGATGCATGAAGTCAGTAAGTCCCTTTCTTAAGGACACCAAAGCTGGGAGTCTCTGAAAAACAGGACCAAACAGTGGACCACTGGTCAGAGGCACGATGTGAGTAAAGAGTAGCAGAAATATTTTTGTCATGTATCCACATTAAAGGGTGACTATAAAGTATGTTCCACAATGGCTTTTTTTTTTTACCCCCTCAGCAAAGAAATAGCACTCTATTTTGTTTGGAAAACCTACTTTGATGCCTCAAAAAAATAATGTGCTTTTCTGATTCTGATTTTTCCTCTTTTCTTTCAGCAACTGTGTTCTGCCTGTCTCTAAACCAGTACTTGGAAGGAATGTCTCTCTCTCTCTGTTTATATTTCTATGTTTCAGAGTCAACGTCATGGCTAAAGGAGACGTGATTTGCAAAAAGGCTTGTTCTCCAATAGCCAAGGAAAATATGTTTTTTAAAAATCTTGGTAATGCATTAGTTTTGGCATCTTTAAAACTCCTTTTTCCTTTTCTTTTTTTAGGGGGTAGGAGGACAGGGTCTTGCTCTGTTGCCCAGACTGGAGTGCAGTGGTGCAATCATAGCTCACTGAAGCCTTGCTCAAGCCTTCACTCCTGAGCTCAAGTGATTCTCTTTCCTCAGCCTCTCCAATATGTGAGACTACAGGCATGTGCCACCACAACCACCTAATTTAAAAAAAAAAAATTTGTAGAGATGGAGTTCTCCCTATATTGCCCAGGCTGGTCTTGAGCTGGCTCAAGCAATTCTCCCGCTTTAGTCTCCCAAAGCGCTAGGATTACAGGTGTGAGCCACTGTGCCGAGACTTGTTTTTCTCCTCTTTTTGTGATCCCTCCCAAAATTTGCTGTCAATAAACTGTGTGGTCCTGTGAGTGACCCAGGGCAGAGACAAGCATTGTAGCCCTGTCACCAACTGGCCAAAGATGGCTGCTACATGATTTCCCTTATCCAATCTAAAGGGGGCTATTGGAGGGGGACAGAGGGCCATCTGTGTCCACAAAACGAGCCCAGAGTTGGGACTGCTGGGACTATACACATGTGACCGTATGTCCAGTTGAGAGTTGTCATACATAACCAGACAGTGGAGGAGCATGGTGGTCAACCCAGAAATGATGAGTTGGGTTCTAGGGCTGACAGACTGAAGGCTTTATGAATGACCTTTTCACTTCGTTGACACATAGGTGACCCCTGTGTCCTCTAAATGGTGCAGGCCAGGCATCTTTTCCGAGACCTAATGGTTCCTTCTCTTTTATAAATGGCCAGATCGAAGGGCATTAGTGCTCTCAGGCACAATAGGCCTCAAAGGCCCCTGCCTCCTTCCTAAATGGGCCTTACTGCAAAACCCTAATGCACTTCCTCACACTGGGACCTCAGCTGGCTCTGTGCACAGGCCTCCCTGCAGCACAGGCCCTCCCTGCAACCACAGCAGTCACTAATGAATATTTTATCAGTCGCCATGCCTCTCTGTGCAGGCTGTATCTGGAAGTCATCTTTGCTGATTTGACAGCCTTTCTGCCTTAAAGGAGCCACCAGCAATGATGTGTTGCCATCTGTTTAGAAATGAGGACTCAGCCAGCCTCCCAGTTAAGCTGGAAAGCTGATCCTCCTTAGAACAGATATTTGAAAAGAGGGCTTTGCTCTCATGAAAGCCCACAGTCTGCCCCTGCAGTTCCCTTGTTACTAATTCCAGTGGGGGAAAAAAAATTAAGAAAATGTAGACCTAGAAGATCAGAAGATTGCCTCTTCAAAAGGCACTAGTTTCTAAGAGTAGTATTCCTATTATTTTATTTTAGATCTTGGGTGAATTCATTTATTTCTACAACAAATGTTTATCTAGTTCCTACTTCATCAGAAAAAACACTGGAACTCAGCCCGGAACAGGAAGAAGCTGACTTTGCCCTCGGAGAACAGACAGCCTAGTGAGGAATTCACTGACTTGCACATTCATTTATTCAACACCTATTTACAGAGTGACTATGATGTGCCTGGCATTGCTCCGGGGACAGGGATACACAGTGAACAAAACAAACAAAAATCATTCTGCTGGAAGACAAAATATAATCACACAATGTATATAATTATTAAATGCGATAAGCACAATGACAAACATTTCCTTACAAATGCCTTTCCTGAGATTCTATATCCAGCTAAACTATCATTCAGCAGTAAAGACAAAACCGAGACATTTTCAGATATACAACAAATAAGAGAGTTTCTTATGAGCAGGTGCTCACTGTCAGAGGAAAGTGAAAAAAGTGAACAAAGACGAAAGAAACAAGAGGCAGCACAAAAATCCAGGAAATACATTAACAAATGCAATGAATGACTGCAATTTTTGTATTTTAACAGAGAAAAAAATGAACATTCCTGAAAATAGTAAAATAGAAAACCAAGATAAAGGAGAAAGGATTTTTAAAATCTGACTTTTTAGTCAAACAAAGAAAGCAAACAAGCCTCTAGCAAGATTGACTTTTAAAGAGGGGTACAAAGGCATAAATAATAGCAGGAATAGGGCCAGGCACCGTGGCTCACGCCTGTAATCCCAGCACTTTGGGAGGCCAAGGCAGGTGGATCACGAAATCAGGAGTTTGAGGCCAGCCTGACAAACATGGTGAAACCCCGTCTCTACTACAAATACAAAAATTAGCCGGGCGTGGTGGTGCGTGCCTGTAATCCCAGCTACTCAGGAGGCTGAGCAGGAGAATCGCTTGAACCCGGGAGGCAGAGGTTGCCGTGAGCCGAGAATGCACTACTGCACTCCAGCCTGGGTGACAGAGTGAGACTCTATCTCAAAATAATAATAATAGCAATAATAAATAAAAACAGATGCAGTTGAGTTTTTTTTTTTTTAATTAGGAGAATGCAATGAATACCTTTATGCTAACAAATTTGAAAACTTAGATGAAATGAATAATTTTATAGAAAAAGACTACTAAAATGGACCCACAGCCTGGGCAACATAGTGAGACCCCCATCTCTACAAAAAATCAAAAAAGTTGCTGGGTGTGGTGGTGTACCGCTGTGTTTGGGAGGTGTACTCAAGAGGCTGAAGTGGGAAGACCGATGGGGCCGAGGAGTTCAAGGCTGCAGTGAGCTATGATCACCCCACTGCACTCCAGCCTGGACAACAGACCAAGACCCTGTTTCAAAAAATAAAATCTCCCAGCAGTTTGGGAGGCCAAGGCGGGTGAATCACCTTAGGTCAGGAGTTTGAGACCAGCCTGGCCAACATGGTGAAACCCTGTCTCTACTAAAAACACAAAGAAAATTAGTCAGGCATGGTGACACACGCCTGTAATCCCAGCTACTCGGGAGGCTGAGGCAGGAGAATCACTTGAACCCAGGAGGCAGAGAGGTTGCAGTGAGCTGAGATCAGTCAGAGGTTGCAGTGAGCTGAGATCATGCCATTGCACTCCAGCCTAGGCGACAGAGCAAAATAAAATAAAATAAAAAATAGAGCCAAGAAGATCTTTTAAATATGAAATAAATCAACAACTATTAAAGAAATTGAACTGGCAATCAAAAGTTCTCCCACAACCACTCCCACACCTCCCCCACCCCTCGCCCCCACCATACACACAGACAAAAGACAGATTGTTTTCCAGGCAAGTTACAACAAAGCTTTGAAGAATAGAAAGCCCTCATTTTATGAAAACAGTTTCAGAGACTAGAAAAAGGGGGGAAGGTATTGAAAGAACTTGATAAAGTTAGTATAATCAGGAAGCCCAAACCAGAGCCTCATGGTGCCACCAGGAGAGAAGGTCCTAGCACCTTTGTTCTATCAGCTGGGGCTCTGCCTGTCACGCTGGAAACAAAGGTTTCAATTACACAGAGTAACTGTCAGGAAAAGGCAGGTTAGCTGTTGGCTGTCTTTCACATCAAACTATGTGTTAAAGTGGCAACTTTCTTTACTCCGCACAGATCTCACACTAGACCTAGATGAGGCTGGGCCAGAAGCAGGAATTTCAAAGAGGAGCTTTACCAAATGCATCCTGGTTTATGTAAATGCAGGTGCCAATAATATCACTGGAACGGTGGCTCATGCCTGCAATCTCAGCACTTTAGGAGGCCAGGGTTGGGGAATGGCTTAAGCTCAGGAGTTCGAGACCAGTCTGGGCAACATGGCGAAACGTCATCTCCACAAAAAATACAAAAATTAGCAGGACATCATGGCCCATGCCGCTCATCCCAGCTACTCAAGATCCTGAGGTGGGAGTTTTGCTTGAGCCCAAGAGTTTGAGGCTGCAGTGTGTCAAGATTGCACCACTGCACCCTAGCCTGGGTGAGAGAGCAAGAACTTGTCTCAAAATAATAATAATCATGTCACTTCACTAAAAATGAGAAATCTGGAGCCAGATACAGTGGCTCACGCCTGTAATCCCAGCACTTTGGGAGGCCAAGGTGGGAGGATCACTTGAGGTCAGGTGTTCAAGATCAGCCTGGCCAACATGATGAAACCCCATCTCTACTAAAAATACAAAAATTAGTCAGGCGTGGTGGAGGGCACCTGTAATCCCAGCTACTCAGGAGGCTGAGGCATGAGAATAGCTTGAACCTGGGAGGTGGAGTTTGCAGTGAGCCGAGATTGCGCCACTGCACTCCAGCCTGGGTGACAGAGCGAGATTAAGTCTCGAGAAAAAAAAAAAAATGCTGGGACAAATGCTAGACGAAATGGGACGCCAGGACAACCGGTAAAAGCCAGGACTCTGCTGAGCCAACCAGGAAATGAAGGTAAATCTCACTCTAGCAAGAGAGTTAATGTTCTGGACGTAAAATCAAAACACCAAGTCAAAAGCATCCCTCCATAGCAATAGAAACCACTTAGAAAGTGTAATAGAAGGAAAACACACATGAAGGTATTAAAGGAAAAACACACACAACAGCCACCGAAAGTATTTATGGCCGGGCGCAGTGGTTCACACCTGTAATCCCAGCACTTTGGGAGGGCAAGGCGAGTGGACCACTTGAGATCAGGAGTTCAAGACCAGTCTGAGCAATATGATGAAGCCCCATCTGTACTAAAAATACAAAAATTAGCTGGGCGTGGTGGCATGGGCCTGTAATCCCAGCTACTCAGGAGGCAGAGACAGGAGAATGGCTTGAACCCAGGAGACTGGGGTTGCAGTGAGCTGAGATCATGCCACTGCACTCCAGCCTGGGCGACAAGAGTGAAATTATGTCTCAAAAAAAAAAAAAAGTATTTACACCAACTGTGAATGTATCTACTTTAAAAGAACTTTATAAAGAACAGTATAAAACATGATCAGAAAAAAATATTTTTAAAAGCATCCAGAAATTATATCAAGCATACCTGGTCTTGTTGTACTTTGCTTTATTGTGTTTTGTGGATACTGCATTTTTACAAATTGAAGATTTGTGGCAACCCTGCATGAAGCAAGTCTATTTGAGTCACTTTTCCAACAGCATTTGCTCACTTTGTGTCGCTGTCACAGTTTGGTAATTTCCCCAATATTTTGAACTTTTTCATTATTATTATGTGTTATAATAATCCATGATCAGTGATTTTTTATTTTTTATTTTTTGAGATGGAGTCTCACTCTGTCACCCAGGCTGGAGTGCAGTGCCACAGTCTCTGCTCACTGCAACCTCCGCATCTCGGGTTCAAGTGATTCTCCTGCCTCAGCCTCCCAAGTAGCTGGGATTACAGGTGCCCACCACCATGCCTGGCTAATTTTTGTATTTTTAGTAGAGACAGGGTTTCGCCATATTGGTCAAGCTGGTCTCAAACTCTTGAGCTCAAATGATTCATCTGCCTCGGCCTCCCAAAGTGCTGGGATTACAGGTGTGAGCCACTGCATCTGGCCCGATCAGGGATCTTTGATGTTACTATTGTAATTGTTTTGGGGCACCAAAAACCACGCCCATATGACAGCAAACATACTCTGTACATGTTGTTCATGTTCTGACTGCCCCACCAACTGGCCTTTCCCTGTCTCTCTCCCTCTCATTGGGCCTCCCTCTCCCCTGAGAAACAACAATGTTGAAATTAGGCCAATTAATAACCCTACAATGGCCTCTAAGTGCGCAAGTGAAAGGAAGAGTCACACATCTCTCACTCAAAATGAAAAGCTAGAAATGATTGAGCTTAGTGAGGAAGGTGTGCTGAACGCCAAGACGGGCTGAAAGCTTGGCCCCTTGCACAAGGTAGCCAAGTTGTGAATGCAAAGGAAAATTTCCTTCCTCTCTTGAAGGAAATTAAAAATGCCGCTCCAGTGAACACAGGAATGATAAGACAGGGAAACAGCCTTATTGCTGATATGGAGAAAATCTGAGTGGCCTGGATAGAAGATCAAACCAGCCACAACATTCCTTTAAGACAATTCCTAACCCAGAGCAAGGCCCTAACTGTCTTCAATTCTATGAAGATGGAGAGGTGAAGAAGCTGCAGAAAAAAAAAGCTGGAAGTGAGTAGAGGTTGGTTCATGAGGTTTAAGGAAAGAAGCTGTCTCCATAACATAAAAGTGCAAGGTGCCAGGCACGGTGGCTCACACCTGTAATCCCAGCACTTTGGGAGGTTGAGGTGGGTGGATCAAGAGGTCAGGAGTTCGAGATCAGCCTGACCAACATGGTGAAACCCTGTCTCTACTAAAAATACAAAAATTAGCCAGGTGTGGTGACACACGCCTGTAATCCCAGCTCCTCAGGAGGCTGAGGCAGGAGAACTGCTTGAACCCAGGAGGCAGAAGTTGCAGTGAACCGACATCACACCACTGCACTCCAGCCTGGGCGACAGAGTGAGACTCTGCCTCAAAAAAAAAAAAAAAAAAAAAAAAAAAAAAAGTGCAAGTTGAAGCAGCAGCAGATGCTGATGGAGAAGCTGCAGCAAGTTCTCAAGAAGATCTAGCTAGAATCACTGATTAAAGTGGTTACACCAACCAACAGATTTGCAGTGTAGAGAAAACAGCCTTTCATTGAAAGAAGATGCCATCCAGGACTTTCATAGCTACAGAGGAGAAGTCAATGCCTGGCTTCAAAGTTTCAAAGGACAGGCTGGCTCTCTTGTTAGGGGCTAATGCAGCTGGGGACTTTAAGTTGAAGTCAATCCTGAAAATCCTGGGGTCCTTAAGAATGATGCTATATCTACTCTGTCTGGGCTCTGTACATGGAACAGAAAAGCCTCAAAGACAGCACATCTGTTTACAGCATTTTTTTTTTTTTCTTTTTGAGATGGAGTCTCGCTCTGTCACCCAGGCTAGAGTGCAGTGGTGCAATCCCGGCTCATTGCAAGCTCCGCCTCCTGGGTTCACGCCATCCTCCTGCCTCAGCCTCCCAAGTAGCTGGGACTACAGGCGCCCACCACCACGCCCAGCTAATTTTTTGTATTTTTTAGTAGAGACGGGGTTTCACCGTGTTATCCGGGATGGTCTCAATCTCCTGACCTCGTGATCCACCCTCCTTGGCCTCCCAAAGTGCTGGGATTACAGGCGTGAGCCACTGCGCCCAGCCTACAGCATGTTTTACTGAATATGTTAAACCCGTTTTTGAGACCAATTGCTTATAAAAAAAAGATTTCTTTCAAAATATTACTGCTCATTGACAATGCACCTTGTTACCTGAGAGCTCTAATGGAGATATACAGTAAGACGAATGTTGTTTTCATGCCTGCTAACACAACATCCATTTTGCAGCCCATGGATCAAGGTGTAATTTTGATTTTCAAGTCTTATTATTTAAGAAATACATTGAGTGAGACCGTAGCTGCCATAGATGGTGATTCCTCCAATGGATCTGGGCAAAATCAACTGAAAATCTGGAAAAGGTTCATGATTCCATGGCTATTAAGTACACTCAGTATTCATGGGAAGAAATTAAAATAGCAACATTAATGGAAGTTTGGAAGAAGTTGATTCCATCCCTCATTGAGGACTTTAAATGGTTCAAGACTTTACTGGAGTAAGTATTTGGCTGGTGCAAAAGTAACTGCTGTTTTGCCATTACAAGTGCAGATCCGTGGTGGAAATAGCAAGAGAACTAGATACAGATGTGGTAGAAATAGCAAGAGAACTAGAATTGCAGATGTGGTGGAAATAGCAAAAGAACTAGAATTAGAAGTGGAGCCTGAAGATGTGATGGAATTGCTGCAATCTCATGATCAAACTTTGTTACAAAAATAATTTTAGACTTTTATTTTAGATTCAGGAGGTACATGTGCAACTGCATGATGCTGGGGTTTGGGGTGTGAATGATCCTGTCACTCAGGTAGTAAGCATAGTACCCAGTAGGTAGTTTTTCAGCCCTTGCTGTCCTCCCTCTCTCCCATCTCTGGTAGTTTCCCATGTCTGTTGTTTCCATCTTTATGCCCATGTTTACCCAATGCTTAGCTCCCACTTATAAGTGAGAACATGCAGTGTTTGGCTTTCTGTTCCTGTACAATTTGCTTAGGATAATGACTTTCAGCTGCATCCATGTTGCTGCAAAGGACATAATTTCATTTTTTTATGGCTGGGTAGTATTCCATGGTGTAGATGCACCACGTTTTCTTTATCCAATCTGCCATTGATGGGCACCTAGGTTGACTCCATGTCTTTGCTATTGCAAATAGTGCTGCAGTGAACATACAAGTGTGTGTGTCTTTTTGGTAAAATGATTTATTTTCCTTTGGGTTTATATCCAGTAAAGAGATTACTAAGTTGAATGGTAGCTCGTTTTAAGTTCTTTAAGAAATCTCGTAACTGCTTTTCACAGTGGCTGAACTAATTCACATGCCCACCAACAATGTATAAAGCGTTCTCTCTTCTGTGCAGCCTCACCAGCATCTGTTATTTTTTGACTTTTTAGTAATAGCCATTCTGACTGGTGTGAGATGGTATCTCATTGTGATTTTGATTTGCATTTATCTGATGGTCAGTGACGTTAAGCATTTTTTCATGTTTGTTGGCCGTTTGTATGTCTTCTTTTGAGAAGTGTCTGTTGGCCAGGTGTGGTGGCTCACACCTGTAATCCCAGCACTTTGGGAGGCCAAGTCAGGAGGATCACTTGAGCCTTGAACCTTGAGGAGTTTGAGACCAACCGGGGCAACATAGGGAGACCTTGCCTTTACAAAAAATGAAAAATTAGCCAGGTGTGGTGGTGCACTCCTGTGATCCGAGCTACTTACGAGACAGGTGGGAGGATCGCTTGAGCCCAGGAGGTTGAGGCTGCAGTGAGCCGTGATTGCACCACTGCACTCCAGCCTGAGCAAGAGAGTGAGACCCAGTCTAACAAGAAATACCCAAAAAGTGTCTGTTCACATCCTTTGCCCACTTTTCAATGGTGTTGTTTGTTTTTGCTTGTTGAAATTGTTTAAATTTCCTACAAATTCTGGATGCTACACCTTTGTTGGATGCATTAGTGGATGAAGAGTTGTTCCCTATGGATGAGCAAAGAAAGTGATTTCTTAAAATGGAACCTACTCCTGATGAAGACATTGTTGTAGGAGCTAAGAAGAGAGTTCTCCTTGGCTCTGTGATGGTTCACTGAAAAAATCACCTCTCAAAAGGCAGATTAACTGGAGAAAAGACATGCACATTTATTTTAATTGTATACAAGGAAACTTTTAGAATGAAGACCTAAAGATACAGGGAAAATTGTCTGTTTTCTTTTCTTTTTTCTTTTTTTGAGACAGAGTCTCACTCTTATCACCCAGGCTGGAGTGCAATGGCATGATCTTGGCTCACTGCAACCTCCACCTCCCGGGTTCAAGTGATTCTCCTGCCTCAGCCTCCTGAGTAGCTGGGATTATAGGCGTCTGCCACCGTGCCCGGCTAACTTTAGAGACAGGATTTCACCATGTTGGCCAGGCTGGTCTCGAACTCCTAACCTCAGGTGATCCACCCACCTTGGCCTCCCAAAGTGCTGCGATTACAGGTGTGAGCCAGCGCACCTGGCGTCCATTTTCATGCTTACATTCAACAAAGTATGCACAGCCATGTAGAAACATGATTGGACAAAAAGTGTGTGATCTAATGGTAATAGACTTAGTGGAGAAAGCCAGCGAGACCTATCTGTCTAGATTCTTCTAGGCCTCTCTGAGAGTGAATTCCTTAGGGGGCAGGACACTTTCTGGAATGGGACTCTTACGACCTACAGTCTAAAAAGGTAGATCAGATAATTTCTTTATCTGATCCACCTTTTTTTACACAGATAGGGCAGAGGGAAAGTTAAGTAATCTTTTTCTGGTTTTATGGCTGGCTTGGGGGAAAAAGGGGTTCTGGTTTCTATGACCTGCTTTGGGGAAGAGGGATTCTAGTTTTTGTGGTGCCTCTGGGGAGAATGGGACTAAAAGACAGGCAGGAGGGCAGAGAAAAACCTTTTGCTTCTGAGGCCCTCATCTTGGAGTATTGTTTTCTGAGTCCCAACACTGTAAACTTTGTTGAAATGACAACAGAGGATTTATTAATAGCACAGTATCATGAATAAACTCAACATAAACTTAGTTGATAAAGCAGCAGCAGAGTTTGAGAGGATTGGCTCCAATTTTGAAAGAAGTTCGACAATGGGTAAAACACTATCAAACAGCACCATATGCTACGCAGTAATTTTTTGTGAAAGGAAGAGTCCATCAAGGCAGCAAACTTCATTGCGGTCTTATTTTAATAAATTGCCACAGCCAGCCCAGCCTTCAGCAACCACCACCCTGCTCAGTCAGCAGCCATCAACATCGAAGCCAGACTCTCCACCAGCAAAGAGATTATGACTTGATTAAGGCTCGGATGATCATTAGCACCTTTTAGCAACAAAGTTTTTGTTTGTTTGTTTGTTTAGATGGAGTCTCACTCTGTCACCCAGGCTGGAGTGCAGTGGCATGATCTTGGCTCACTGCAGCCTCCACCACCCAGGTGCAAGCAATTCTCCTGCCTCAGCCTCCCGAGTAGCTGGCACTACAGATGCACGTCACCATGCCCAGATAATTTTTTTTATTTTTAGTAGAGATGTGGTTTTACCATGTTGGCCAGGCTGGCCTTGAACTCCTGACCTCAAGTAATCCACCTGCCTCAGCCTCCCAAAGTGCTGGGATTACAGGCATGAACCACCATACTGGGCCAACAAAATATTTTTTAATTAAGACATGTTCACTGGTTTTTTAAATATACATATATATATATTCTAAAATTCTATTGTGCACTTAATAGACTATAATATAGGGTAAACAAATTTTGTCTGCACTGGGAAACCAAAACATTTGCATGACTTGTTTTATTGAGGTGGCCTGGAACTGAACCTATGATATCTCTGAGGTATGCCTGTACGAGCTTGGGAATCCTTAATATAATAAATTCTCTTCCAACATAATATGATATAATCTATAATTATACATAATAATATAATAATTATAGTAGTAGGATAGACTAATTCTCTCCAATTAATTTATAAATTGAATTCAATCCCAAGATGGTTTATCAAGGAACTTTCAAAGCTTATTAAAAATGTTATATGTGCTTTGGAAGGCCAAGGCCAGAGGACTGTTGGAACTCAAAGTTCAAGACTAGCCTGGGCAACATAGCAAGACCTGTCACTATTCAATTAAATAACAATAAAAAAAGAGTCTGGGCACAGTGGCTCACACCTGTTATCCCAGAATTTTGGAGGCCGAGGTGGGCAGATCTCTTGAGCCCAGGAGTTTGAGACCAGCCTGGGCAACATGGCGAAACCCCATCTCTACTAAAATACAAAAATTAGCCAGGCACGGTGGCATGCACCTGTAGTCCCAGCTACTTGGGAGGCTGAGGTGCAAGGATCACTTAATCCCAGGAGTTGGAGGCCAGCCTAGGCAACATAGCAAGATCCCTTCTCTACAAAAGAGTAAAAAAAAAATTACCTGGGCATGGTGGTGTGGGACTGTGGTCCCAGCTACTTGGGAGGCTGAGGTGGGAGGATCACTTGAGCTTGAGTGGCAGAGGCTGCAGTGAGTTATGATTATGCCACTGCACTAAAGCCTGGGCAACAGAGTGAAGCCCTGTCTGGAAAAAAAAAAAATGGATAAGACTCAGAAATAGCCAAGTGGAAGAGGTGCCGAGGGTGGGGTATGGGGAGCGGCGTGGAGCTTCCAGCCCTCTTCTAGGCCCACCATCCTCCCAGCACCTCCATGTGTCCATCTACCCAGAAGCTCTCTGAACATCATCCTTTAGGGTTTTTATGGAGGTCCCATTACATGTGCATGATAGGTAAATCTTTGGCTATCGATGATTAGCTCAATCTCCAGTCCCTCTCCCCTCTCAAGGTGAGTGGGGGGCTGGGGGAGTGAGGCTGAAAGTTCCCACCCTCTAATCACAGGGTTGGCTCTTCTGACGACCAGCCCCCATCCTGAAGCTATCTAGGGGCCCACCAAGAGTCACCTTATTAGCATGAACTCAGGTATGGTTGAAAGAAGTTTGTCATAAATAACGAAAGAAGCTCCACTACCGCTATCACTCAGGAAATTGCAAGGATTTTAGAAGCTCTGTGTCAGGAACCATAGGAAGACCAAATATATATTTCTTACTGTGTCACCATGCGCTGTAGGAGCTCCTACACAGCTTCATAGTAACACAGGTCCAAGAAAGTCCATTGCATTATTGTTTCTAATAATTCCCAAATGCTCTGTCAGTAATGATAACATAATGTTCAGCTGCTAGTGATGGAAGTGTATCTCTAGAAAGGTTTATTCTCTCAAGTTAAAAAAAAAAGTTGAGGCCTGGTGCAGTGGCTCACGCCTGTAATCCCACCCCTTTGGGAGCCCAAGGCAGGTGGATTGAGATCAGGAGTTCGAGACCAGCCTGGCCAACATGGTGAAACCCCATCTCTACTAAAAATACAAAAATTAGCTGGGTGTGTTGGTGGGTGCCTGTAATCCCAGCTACTCAGGAGGCTGAGGCAGGGAATTGCTTGAACCCAGCAGGTGGAGGTTGCAGTGAGCCAAGATCACACCACTGCACTCCAGCCTGGGCAACAAAGTGAGACTCCGTCTCAAAAAAATAAATAAAATCAATCAATCAATCAATCAATCAATCAATCCAAGGCTGGGATGAAGGCTCCACAAAGTCACCAGGGACCTGGTTTCCTTCTGTCTTCCTGCTCTGTCGTACTGAGGAGGGAGGCTTCATCCTCAGCATCACTGCATGGTCTAATGTGGCTGCTGGAGCTCCAGCTATCAAATCCACATTCCAATCAACAGAAGAGGGCGAGGGAGGGAGGAAGAGCAAAAGCGAATGCCCCAGTCTGTCCCTCTTTGGAGAAGCGCTCTCATATATCCTCCCCTGAAAGTTCTGTTTATATTGTGGTGACCAGAATATATGTGTAGCCACACCTGGAAGCAAAAGAGGTAAAGAAATGTAGGCTTTTAGCTGGGCACATTGTTGCTTTGCGTATCTGTTACTAAAGGAGGGAAAAAGTATTTGGGAAGCAACCAGTAGTCTTTGTCACTCAACTTAAATATCTTTAGGAGAATGGATAAATAAATTACAGTGTATTTGTGCGATGGAGCACTATATAGTAGTTAAAATGAAGGAAATAGAGCTACGTGAATCCACATGGATAATTCTCAGAACAAAATCTCTTGCCCGAAAAAGCGAGTTGCTGAGTTCCAACTCTACGATGCCATTCATATAAAGTTTAAAAGCCTGCAAAACAACACAATGTATCTTTGATGGCTACATAAAATATATATGTTGGGAAGGTATAAAAACATAAATGAAAATGAAAAATACTAAACGCAAGATGATGGTTACCTCTGGAGAGGGAGAGCAAACAGTGTGATCAGAAACAGAGACATCCAGGCTTTCGATTACTACCTGTGATGTTGTATTTCTTTAAAAGACAAGAAAAAATTTGGAGGAAACAGCAAAATGTTAAGGCTTGTAAAAGTCGAATTGTGAGTACGCAGCATTTAACCCACCATTCCCTATATGTTTCTGTATGTTCCACATTTGTCATTGTATATGAGCTAGATAAAGAAGGAGATCAAGATCATCTAGAGGCATAACTTAATGAGATGTAACCCACATATGGCGAATTCCCACCTCTCAAGGATACAGCATGATGAATCTTTACAGAGTGAATTCCTCCAGAGAAGGGTATAGAATCTAGCATCCCAGAAATTTCCTCTCAGTGGCAGCCCCAGCAAAGAAAAAACACTATTGTGATATCTACCACCATTGATTGTATGGTTTTTTTGTTTTGTTTTGAGACAGTCTTGCTCTGTCTTGCCCAGGCTGCAGTGCAGTGGTGCAATCACAGCTCACTGCAGCTTTGAACTCCTGGGCTCAAGTGACCCTCCGGCCTCAGCCTCCCAGGTAGCTGGGTCTACAGGCGTGTGCCGTGACACCTAGCTAATCTCTTTTATTTTTTTGCAGAGATGGGGTCTCACTATTGTGAAACCCAAAAGTCTGAGACAGGTCTCAGTCCATTTAGGAAGTTTGTTTTGCCAAAGTTAAGGATGCGAGCCCATGACACGGCCTCAGGAGGTCCTGGTAACATGTGCCCAAGGTGGTCAGACCACAGCTTGGTTTTATACATTTTAGGGAGATGTGAGACATCAATCAACAAATGTAGGATGAACATTGGTTCAGTCCAGAAAAGGCCAGATGACTCAAAGTAGGGAGGGGGCTTCCAGGTACAATTGGTTGTATTCTACTGAGTTTCAGATGAGCCTCTCCAAAGGAGGCATTCAGATACGCATTCATCTCAGTGAACAGAGGAATGACATTGAGTCGAATGGGAGGCAGGTTTGCCCTAAGCAGTTCCCAGCTTGACTTTTTCCTTTAGCTTAGTGATTTGGGGGCCCCAAGATTTATTTTCCTTTCACGTTGTGTTTCCCAGACTTGTCTGGATCTCCTGACCTTAAACCTCCCTCCCTTCTTAACCTCCTAAAGTGCTGGGATTACAGGCATGAGCCAGCATGCATGGCCTGCGTTTTGTCTTTTGCAAGAAGGAATTGTCAGACGTGTGTGAATGAAAGCAACTCCATCTTAAATAGGAGCTGGGTAAAATGAGGCTGAGACCAACTGGGCTGCATTCCTAGATGGTTAAGGCATTCTAAGTCACAGGATGAGATAGGAGGTCAGCACAAAATATGGGCCATAAATACCTTGCTGATAAAGCAGCTTGCAGTGACGGAGCCGGCCAAAACCCACCAAAACCAAAGTGGCCACGAGAGTGACCTCTGGCCGTCCTCACTGCTACACTCCCACCAGCACCGGGACAGTTTACAAATGCCATGGCAACGTCAGGATGCTGCCCTGTATGGTCTAAAAGGGGGAGGCATGAATAATCCACCCCTTGTTTAGAATATCATCCAGAAATAACCATAAAAATGGGCAACCAGCAGCCCTCGGGGCTGCTCCGTCTATGGAGCAGCCGTTCTTTATTCCTTTACTTTCTTAATAAACTTGCTTTCACTTTGCACTACGGACTAGCCCTGAATTCTTTCTTGCGCGAGATCCGAGAACCCTCTCTTGGGGTCTGGATCTGGACCCCTTTCCTGTAACATATTTACGGCGATCACAAAGGGATTAAAGTGCAGAAACCCTACAGAATCACGCCAAATCATACGGTATATTCTCGTGAATGGCTGACTTCATTTTCTCAGCAGTATGTCTCTGGAGTTCCTCCGAAGAAGCCGTTTTCTAATCTTCAGCACTCATCCAATCAGAAGGCTGGAGCTCTGCGCTCGACATAAGGAAGAACTTCATCATTAACTCCCCGAGCCCTGCAAAGCAGCTGGGAGGGAGATCTAAGTTTTTGGAGTGGATTTCAGGATCCTTTGTACCCACAGCTGTTTAGGGAGCCGGCGTCCTGCTGACAGCTGTAGGTGGATTTGAAAATGTTCCCAAATTCCCTCCTGGCCCTCAGTTTCCCATTTCTCTTCCTCTCCTGATGTCGGCTCTAAATAAAGAAAAAACCAAGTGTCAGGGGCTGCAGAGAGGCTCCTGAGAATGCTCACATCTCAGCTCTCAGACAGCTCACAAGGGGTGTTAAAATAATTAAAGCTGAAAAGGGAGATGTAGGTATTATTTTTAGACAAGCGTCTAAGGTTTACCTGTTATACGTGCCCTTCATTCCTGTCCCTCATTCACTGCCAGCATCTTTTTTTTTTTCATTAAATAGAACAAAAATACACTTAAATTTTATGGCATGGCTAATAAAAAAAAAGGTTAAGTTGAACTCATTTCATCAAAGATTTGTGGTGGGATGACCCACTGTAGTTTTGTTGATGTGTTTGCTTTTTTAACAGACTTTATTTTTTAGGGTGGTTTTAGGTTTACAGCAAAATTGAGCAGAAGGTACAGAGAATTCCCATATACTGTCTGCCTCTCCAACACACACACAGCCTCCCACGCTATCAACATTCCTGCCATCGTGGCACATTTGTAATGGAAACCAAGAGTCTCTGAGACAAGTCTCAATCAATTTAGAAAGTTTATTTTGCCCAGGTTAAGGACATACCCATGACCCAGCCTCAGGAGGTCCTGATGACATGTGCTCAACCTGGTCAGGGTACAATTGGTTTATACATCATAGGCAGACATGAGACATCAGTCAATACAGGCAAGATATGCAATGGTTCAGGATGCGAAGGTGAGACAACTTGGAAACAGGGGCGTCCAGGTCATAGGTAGATTTAAAATTTTTCTGATTGGCAATTGGTTGAAAGAGTTATTATCCGTAGAAAGGAATGTCTGGGTTATGATAAAGGGTTGTGGAGACCAAGGTTTTGTTTTGTTTTGTTTTGTTTTTTGAGATGGAGTCTCGCTGTGTTGCCAGGCTGGAGTGCAATGGCACGATCTCAGCTCACTGCAACCTCCACCTCCTGGGTTCAAGCGATTCTCCTGCCTCAGCCTCCCAAGTTGCTGGGATGACAGGTGCGTGACAGCACGCCCAGTTAATTTTTGTATTTTTAGTAGAGACAGGGTTTCACCATGATGGCCAGGATGGTCTCGATCTCTTGACTTTGTGATCCGCCCGCCTCGGCCTTCCAAAGTGCTGGGATTACAGGCCTGAGCCACTGCACCTGGCCCAGATCAATGTTTTATCCTGCAAATGAAGCCTGTAGATATCAGGCTTTAGAGAGAATAGATTGTAAATGTTTCTTGTCAGACTTAAAGAGTCTGTTTTATCAGCAATTCCAAAAGGGAGGAGGGGATAATGAGGCATGTCTGGCTTTCTCTTTCCAACATGGCCTGAACTAGTTTTTTCAGGTTAGCTTTGGAATGCTCTTGGCCAAGAGGAGGGGTCCATTTAGATGGCTGGAGGACTTAGAATTTTATTTTTGGTTTACAGAAAAAATTGATGAACCTTACACTGTACATCATCATCACCCAGAGTCCAGAGTTTACATTAGGGTTCACTCTTGGTTGTGGTGTGTTTTCTCTGGGTTTGGACAAATGTCTAATGACATTGTAGGATCATACAGAGAGGTTTCACTACCCTAAAAATCCTGTGTGCTCCCTGCCAGCATTTTTTAACATCATCTCTTTCAAGTTGTTTTTGTCAAAAATGTTAAATTACCAAACAATGCGGCGATATGTTCTTGCAAAAGTAAAGGCTACAGATACGTGCTGATGGGTTCTCTCCACTGGTCTGGAAGCATGCAGCACTTACAAAGCGTCCTGACATGGGATCTGTTTCCTGCGTGTGCAGTGGTTGGTGGGTTACACTCTACCTGTCTGCTTCCCCATGTGTGGGAACTACAAGGTGGGCCACAGTTCCTGGTCAGCCACCACACCTAGCCAAAGACTTCCAGAGACTGCTCACAGGTCCCTGGAATCCATCCGTGAAATTGTCAGAGGCATTTGAACCAGAGCACCTCCATCTTGAAGAGGAACTGGGTAAAATGCGGCTGAGACCTACTGGGCTGCATTCCCAGATGGTTAGGCATTCTAAGTCACAGGATGAGGCAGGAGGTCAGCACAAGATACAGGACATAAAGACCTTGCTGATAAAATATGTTGCAGTAAAGAAGCCAGGCAAATCCCACCAAAACCAAGATGGCAACAAGAGTGACCTCTGGTCATTCTCACTGCTACACTCTCCCACCAGCATCATGAGTGTTTACAAATGCCATGGTAACGTCAGGAAGTTCCCCTATACGATCTAAAAACGAGAGGCTTGAATAGTCCACCCCTTGTTTAGCATATCTTCCAGAAATAACCATAAAAATGGGCAACCAGCTGCCCTTGGGGCTGCTCTGTCTATGGAGCAGCCGTTCTTTATTCCTTTACTTTCTTAATAAATTTGCTTTCACTTTACGGGCTCATCCTGAATTAATGAATTAATTCTTTCTTTCTTCTTCTTCTTCTTCTTTTTTTTTTTTTTTTTTTTTTTTTTTTTTTTTTTTTATGGAGTCTAGCTCTGTCGCCCAGGCTAGAGCTTGGCTTACTGCAACCTCTGCCTCCTGGGTTCAAGGGATTCTGCTGCCTCAGCCTCCTGAGTAGCTGGGATTACAGGTGCAGGCCACCATGACTAGCTAATTTTTGTTTTTTTTTTTGTTTGTTTGTTTGTTTTTTTAGTATAGACAGGGTTTCACCATGTTGGCCAGCCTGGTCTTGAACTCCTGAACTCAGGTGATCCACCTGTCTCGGCCTCCCAAAGTGCTGTGATGACAGGCGTGATTACAGGCGTGAGCCACCGTGCCTGGCCCACCTGGCTAATTTTTGTATTTTTAGTAGAGATGGGGTTTCACCATGTTGGTCAGGCTGGTCTCGAACTCCTGACCTCAAGTGATCCTCGGCCTCCCAACCAGGTCCAAGAACCGTCTCTGGGGGTCTTGATCAGGACCCCTTTCCTGTAATATCTTTCTGGTGTCCACAGAAGGGACTATACTGCAGAAACACCCAACCCAAAGGCTAATTTTGGGTAAGTGGTGGGATCCAGTAACAAAATTAATGGACCGACGGAAGTCCAATCCAAACTACAAAAGTAACAGAGACTTGTATAAAACACATGCACACACAGAAACACACACTGCACGGAGCCCCACAGAGAATTCCATTTTTGAATTATTCATTTTTCACTTCCATATTGTCATTGTTTTATCTGCAGTGGAGGGAGAATTCCCTGTTGCTGGTGAAGTTCATCAGAGTCTTATATGCTATGATCGGTGGGAGGGTGGATCACAAAATATGACAGTCTGAATTTGACTGCCAGATCTATTTGCCCACGCATTTAAACCCCATTCCCAACTTAGCTAAAGAAATTATCTCATAATAGTTTTGTTTTTGCATTGTGCAAAAGGACAGCACTAATTATCCAGGTAACTCAGGGCCTCCTGAAGCTCAGAAAACATTCCTGGAAAGAACACAATGAATAGTCACCTCTGCGAGAGGGGAATGCAGAGAGCTGCGATGCTGACTGGGAGAAAAGAGGAAATGCTGCTTGCCTTAGTGAAGCCGATTCAATCTCTGTGCAAGGGAGATACTGAGCTTATTTCAACAAAGAAGCAAAAATGAGATTGAGTTCATTCCCCATTCTGTGTAACCCAAACTGCATTCAAGGATAGTGTCTATTTGCTTGTAATTCCTCTTTGACTTGAGAAGGAAGAATCATGACTCTGGAGAAAGGAAGAATGGAAGAGAAGCAAGGTGCTGATTAGATGCTGGCTGAATTATGGAGAGTCTGTCCAGAAGAGGGGGGAGTTGGTGTACTTGAAGATTCAGCCAAGGAGAACAGTGGAAACCAATAAATTATTTTTGGCTTCTGAGAATAAGGACCTGTTGGTGGAAAAGGTTGGGAATGGAGTACCTGGGAAGGGAGGGAAGGGAGTGTTGTCCGATTTCGATGCAATGCCAGCATCTCTAAACTTGTAAGAGACAGCAGGCACAGTGGCCAGGACTCAGTTCCTCTGTCTGCAGCTCCCTGGGGCCACACAATGCAGTCCAGCTTTTGCCTTTGCCACCTGGAGTTAGGAGAGAAAAGCTTCGTGTTAAAACTTGAGGCACTCGAACGTTTATCAAATCTGAGATCTGCAAGTGTGTGCCTGCACCAGGGATTAGCAAACAACAAAATGCCATTAAAAGCTAAAAACAACAACAACAACTCTCTTTGCAGCATGTAGGTGCCTTTGCAAAGTTCTCTCTAAGCCAAAGTTCGTGGACTTCCAATCTTGTCAAAATCACTACTAATTAATACCTTTTCACTTCCCACTGAAAGAAAAACAATTCACCATTAAGTCAGGCAGCCTACCCATAATCACTCTAACACCTTCTATGTATGTTTTGAAACGTGCTCTCACATTTCATGATCCGTTTATTTTACAAGATGGGTAAACTGCAGACAATTATGGTGATAATACGGCTGAGGTGTTTGGTTTTTATCTGTTCGCAGTAAATTGTGGTTGTTCAAGCCTTCTCAGTAATGATTTCCATCCCTCTCTCAATCTCTTCCTATCACCTGGCGATAAATAGAATGTTTTTAAAAAAGAATGTTAGTTTACTATCATCATTATCACCTATTCAACTAGCAATATAATTAAATAATTTCTTGGTAGGTATGACTCAATTAAATTAATTACACTAACAGATATTCCATGGTACACGCCTCTAAAAATATAAAGCGTATTCACTGTTGTGTGTCATTTTTCTCTGTATAGGCAGGAAGAGCTATCTGGATAATTGAGCAGGCAATTTTGCTTTTGAAAGATGCTATCAAAGTACGCAAGGATTTAATTTCAGATTTTTTATTAGAAGACAGTGCCTTCTGCATGTAATTCTCCGCGGCTGATGCATTTCAGAGGTTCATGAGCAGCGGACACGAAGATAAAAACTGAAAGCCAGGGCTATGGGAATAGCTGGACCATCAGTGGAGTCTTGGCATCTTAGACCTGGTCTCTTGACTGCCTGTTCCTTCTGAAATGTCCTTAGGCCACTTTGGCCAGAGGCATTCTCGGACTTATGAAAAGGGGAACCTGTAGGCTGTTTGTTGAGGTCTAAAAGGATTAAGATTTGAAGGTGACACCCCTGTTGGGATAATCTCCCTCAAAACTCTTCTCTAAACAACTGAAGATAATATCCTTATACCTTTTGCCTGTGGTTCTCTCCAGGGGATGGTCTCAAAGTGTTCTTGAAAATGTGTTTGAAGAAAATAGGCAATGTATTAGTGTGATTTAAAGATTCCCTCCCAAAATTTTCACTTCCACGGGGCTCAGCGGGAAAATAGGGTAATGTAGAGTGAGCCTCTCTCCCTGGTGACATAGGTGGCCTCCTATTAATTAGGTTAGGGAAATGCAGAACTAACTTGCCATTTGGAGAAAGTCACATGAAATAGACTTCTTTTTTTCCGCCTCCAGAATTTTGAATTCATTGAACATGGCCACAGCAAGAGTCATTCTTTACAATCCTCTGACATTTGAAAGTAAGAAGCTTTAGACTTTATTCTAACGCTCTTTTACCTTCTTCCCGGTCCCTGACAACTGTCACACCAGGTCCACAGAGACAGCCACAACTCTAAAAGGGTCAGTTATATGGTAATAATGACAGCTAAGCTCCGCCAGTAGCACTCTAAATTTTGCAAAGTGGCTTTGCAAATATTAGCTCATTTGTTTATGAACCCAAGATCCCTAGCACTTAGCAGGGGTGGTGGTGGGGGTGTGAGTGGGAAGTGTGTTGGATTTCATTTATCTTTTAAAATCCTAACTGGGCTCAGTGTGGTGGCTCATGCCTGTAATCCCAATGCTTTGGGAGGTGGAGGTGGGAACATCACTTGAGGTCAGGAGTTCGAGACCAGCCTGGCCAATATGGTGAAACCCTGTGTCTACTACAAATACAAAAATTAGCCAAGTGTGATGGCACACCCTTGTAATCCCAGCTACTCAGGAGGCAGAGGCACGACAATTGCTTGAACCTGGGAGGCAGAGGCTGCAGTGAGCCAAGACTGGACCCCTCCACTCCAGCCTGGGCAACATAGCAAGACTCTGTCTCTACAAAATATAAAATTAGCCAAGCATCGAGGGGGTCTTAGCATCTTAGACCTGGGATTAGTGGTGCACGCCCATAGTCCCAGCTACTTGGGAGGCTGAGACAGGAGGATTGCTTGAATTCAGGAGTTCAAGGCTGCATTGAGCTATGATCTCACCACTGAACTCAAGCCTGGGCAACACAGTGAGACCCTGTCTCAAAAAAAAAAAAAACTAATAAATAAAAAATAAAAATAGGGCTGGGCTCAGTGGCTCATGTCTATAATCTTACCACTTTGGGAGGCCACAACAGGAGGATTGCTTGAGCCCAGGAGTTCAAGACCAGCCTGGGCAACATGGTGAGATCTTGTCTCTACTAAAAATAAAAAATGAGCCAGGTGTGATGGTGCACACCTGTGGTCCCAGCTACTTCGGAGGCTGAGGTGGGAGGATTGCTTGACCGCAGGAAGTCAAAGCTGCAGTGAGCCATGTCACACCACTGCACTCCAGCCTGGATGACAGCACAAAACCCCGTCTCAAAAAAAAAAAAAAAAAAAAAAAAAAAAAATATATATATATATATATATATATATATGGCCAGGCACAGTGGCTCACACGTGTAATCCCGGCACTTTGGGTGACTGAGGCAGGCTTATGACTTGAGGTCAGGAGCTTGAGACCAGCCTGGCCAACATGGTGAAACCCCGTATCTACTGAAAATACAAAAATTAGCCTGGCATGATAGTATATGCCTGTAATCCCAGCTACTCAGGAGGCTGAGGCAGGAGAATCGCTTGAACCTGAGGGGCAGAGGTTGCAGTGAGCCAAGATTGCACCACTGCACTCCAGCCTGGGTGACAGAGCAAGACTCCATCTCAACAAAATAAAATAAAATTAACGAATTTAATTAAATAAATAACTAATTTAAAAACAAGATCAACCATAATAGGAATCAAAGCAAAGGGAAATCTACCCATTCTTCTTTGTAGAATGTTCTCTGCCTGTCTCTCTCTCTCTGCATTAATTTCAAATCTGTATTGAGTTCCACGGGCTCTGGACAGATTTTATTTGGGTGCTATGCTTTGGGGCCAATGTGCTCTCTGTAGTGGTGCTGAAGGTCTGTTGCAGGTAACCACGTCCTGCCTCTTTTGCGATCACCCACTCTGAAATGTGATCTAGCTCCCTTCTTCTCCCATCCTTATTACTGATGGAACAGATTTATCACTGTGAGGCCAGCACAGCTGTTTCGTGACTCACGGGAATATCATATTTAGCATGTGTTCCCTAGTGAATGTATTTATTTAGATGACACATAATATTGTTGAAAAGCCAAGTCTGCATTGCTCTTAAACCCAGCCTTATGGATGAACGCGGAGGAGTGCAAAAGGCAGAATGAGCTCATTTGGGAGAGGCAGCTGGTCAGAGAGTCCTTTTGGGTCATTCATGCAATGAGCTCACACTAGAAATCTAAACAACAGGGAAATCGACCCTGGGTGCTGAACTACAGGGCACAAGAATAGGAAGCAGCCTTATAAAGCAGCTCATCCTAAGCATTTGTGGCTCACAAACATTGCCACTAAGCATGGGGGACCGTTGATGGCACACCAGCCTTCTAAAGAGAAAACCACAGTCATCTACCACTTGAGTTGATAGAGTAGCATCTTGGGAATTGATAGCAGCATTATGGCTTTTATCCTCTCTTGAGGTCATCCTCTGGAAGGTAACAAGGCCATTAGCACTGAACAAGCCAGATGGCCCACTTAGCTGACAGCGGGCTCCCCTCTTAACGCCCTACCCCCCACCCCCAATTCATCTTCCCAGTCTTGGTGTTGCTGTGCCTCACTGAGCGAGGGCTCAGAACATCTCCCCAAACACAGGGTATTGGAGGGAAGGTGTGCTAATGAAGTTAATGTGTGAAAACATGAGCAACCTTCCGGCTGGGCGTGATGGCTCACGCCTGTAATCCCAGCACTTTGGGAGGCCGAGGCAGGCAGATCACTTGAAAGTCAGGGGTTCGAGACCAGCCTGGCCAACATGGTGAAACCCGTGTGTCTACTAAAAATATAAAAATTAGCCGGGCGTGGTGGCACATGCCTGTGATCCCAGCTACTCGGGAGGCTGAGGTGAGAGAATTGCTGGAACCTGGAAGGCGGAGGTTGCAGCGAGCCGAGATTGTGCCATTGCACTTCAGCCTGGACGACAGAGCAGCACTCCGTTTCAAAAAAGAAAAGAGCCACCTTCCCATTATGTTTTTAATATCCTTCTTGGTGATGTCTGGAGCCCGTGACTCTGCCGAGACAGCGTGCTCAGGGCCAGTCTCCAAGAGCTCCCATTTTCTTAAACACATCGCCTTGAACTTACTCACATTTGATCTCATCTCCCTCCTTCCTTCCCACTGATACAGAGTCTTCAGATCTTTCTGTTTTCCTGTCATCCTTTGCCCAACCCTCATCCTTTCATCTGCAAACCCAGAGCTTTCTCTGCTCCCCCCAGTCCCACCTCTTCCAGCTCTTGTAAAAGAATATTAAATAAAACCAGGGCTGGCACTGATCTTTCAGAAATCTTACTCTTGACACATCCCTATCAAAAAAAGTCTCTGTCCCTTCATCCCTGGCATTTATTTTTTGCTCTTTAGTATTCTCTGATTGTGTCACTGTAGCTCCCATTTCAATCAATTGGTAGTTCAATTATCTCCAAATTCCTCGAAGTCATGAAAGTTCAAGTAGGTATTTTTCAAACTTTTTTGCAGCAGTGAAACCCTGTTACCCTGCTGTTGTGCTACCACTAGACATCCAGAAGAGTGTGAATTTGTAGATTAAGACCAGAAAAAGTACTCGAGCATCTTGTAGCTGATTGTGAATATCAGCCCAGGGAATGTGCAACACAGAAAACAGCCCTTTCAGGCTGGGCATGCTGTTGCACACCTGTAGTCCCAGCTACTTGGGAATCTGAGGTGGGAGGATCACTTGAGCCCAAGAGGTCGAGGCTAGAGTGAGCCATGATTGTGCCACTGCACTCCAGCCTGGGCCACAGAGTGAGACCCTGAAAGAAAGAAAGAAAGAGAGAGAGAGAGAGAGAAGGAAGGAAGGAAGGAAGGAAGGAAGGAACGAAGGAAGGAACGAAGGAAGGAAAGAAGACAAAAAAGGAAAGAAAAGAAAAAAAAAGGAAAGAAAAGAAAAGAAAAAAAAAAAAAGCCCCTTCCTCCTCAGGTCGTCTTTGAGGCTTTGCAGAAATGGCCTCAGATATAGGATATAGAGGACCCTATCTTCCCCAGGCTGCCCTTCATCTTCCCTTTTCTACCCACTCCCAAACCAGGGTCTTGACCACCAACTTCTGATTTCCTGCACAGTCAAAGTCAGGGAAACTGACTTTTTCCTGACAAAGTCAGGAAACCATATATATATATACATTTTGTATTTTTTGAGATGGGGTTTTGTGCTGTCACCCAGTGATCATGGTTCACTACAGCTTTGACCTCCTGGGCTCAAGCAATCCTCCCACCTCAGCCTTTCTTTGTTCTATTCTGGAGAGCAAGGGAGATTGCCACAAATTTCTGTGGGTGTAGTGGTAGTGATGGTGGTGGTGATGGTGATATTGTGGTGGTGGTGGTGATGATGATGGTGAAGATGATGATGGTTAAGATAATGATGGCAATGATGTTGGTGGTGATGATGATAATGAAGATGATGATGGTGATGATGATGGTGGTGATAAGGATAGTGGTGGTGAGGATGATGATATTCATGATGATGATATTTGTGTTGGTGGTGATGATGATGATGGTAAAGATAATGATGGCAATGATGTTGGTGATGATAATGAAGATGATGATGGTGATGATGATGTGGAGATAATGATGGTGGTGGTGAGGATGATGATGTTCATGATGATCATACTGATGGTGGTGGTAATGATGATGATAGTGGTGGTGAGGAAGATAATGAAGATGATTATGATGGTGGTGATAATGATGATGATGATAATGGTGGTGGTGATGATGGTAGTGGTTGTGGCGACAATAAAATAGTGATGATGGTTGTGATCATAATGGTAAAGATGATGGTGATAATGATGATGGTGGTGGTAATGATAATGATGATGATGATGCTGGTGTATGTATTAGACAGGGTTCTCTATAGGGACAGAACTAATAGAATATATATATATGGGAGTATATAAGTACTCTTTAATATATATATTAAGGAGTATTGACTCACACAATCACAAGGTCCCACAATAGGCTGTCTGCAAGCTGAGGAGCAAGGAAGCCAGGCTGAGTCTCAAAGCTAAAGAACTTGGAGTCTGATGTTCAAAGGCAGGAAGCATCCTGCATGGGAGAAAGATTTAGGCTAGGAGGCTAAGCCAGTCTAGTCTTTTGACATTTTTTCTGCCTTTTATTCTGGCCTTGCTGGCAGCTGATTAGATTGGGCCCACCCAGATTGAGGGTGTATCTGCCTTTCCCAGTCCACTGACTCAACATCCTCACAGACACACCCAGGAACAATACTTTGCATCCTTCAATCCAATCAAGTTGACTCTCAATATTATCTATCACGGTGGTGATAATGATGAAGATGATAAAGGTGGTGGTGGTGATGAAGATGATGGTAGTAGTGGTAGTGATGATGATGGTTGGGGTGATGATGAAGATGATAGTGATGGTGAAGATCATGGTGGTAGTGCTGGTGATAGTGGTTGTGGTGATGATGGTGATGATAATGAAGATGATGATGATGGTGATAATGATGGTGATGATGATGATAATCATGGTGGTGATGATGGTGGTGGTGGTGGTGGTGGTGAAGATGATGGTGGCCGTGCTGGTAATGGTGGTGGTGATGATGTAGTTGTGATAATGATGATGACAGCAGCAGTTAACAGTGTAAGGCATCATTTGTAGTGGTTTGCATGTATTAGCTCAGGAAGTCCTTATCAGCCAAGTATTATTAGGATGATCTACCCCATTCTACAGATGAAGAAACTGAGCCATAGAACCATTAAATAACTCCCTTAAGATGACACAGCTAGTAAAGGCGGAACTAGGACTTAGACCCAGGCAGTCTAGCTCTAAAGCCCACACTCCCAGCCACTCACTAATGGTGCAAGTGGTTTAGAGTCTTTGGGGTGGTAAATCTAGAAGCAAATGAACTTGTATTGCATTTAAGTAGAACCATCATTAATTATGTTAAATGACCTCCACAAGCAGTAAGGATGGAATGGAAGGTGAGGGGACAGAGAATCCCACCATGATATACTTTTTCACAAAAGGAATCTTTTTTTTTTTTTTTTTTTGAGATGGTTTCTCACTCTGTCACCCAGGCTGGAGTGCAGTGGCGCGATCTCGGCTCACTGCAACCTCTGCCTCCCGAGTTCAAGCAATTCTCCTGCCTTAGCCTCCTGAGTAGCTTGGATTACAGGTGCACGCCACCATGCCCGGCTAATTTTTTTGTGTATTTTCAGTAGAGATTGGGTTTCACCATGCTGGCCAGGCTGGTCTCGAACTACTGACCTCGAGTGATCCACCCGCCTCAGCCTCCCAAAGTGCTGGGATGTCAGGTGTGAGCCACCGTGCCTGGCCGAAATCTTATGAAGAAAATAATTACAAGTAGAACTGTTTGAGGGGAAACAGGTAAGGGGGCTGGACCCTTGTTTCCTGATCTCTCCAATGACCCTCTGCAGAGGCCCCAAAGGCTCTGCTTCCAGAGACCCCAGGGCTCTATAGAATTCAGCTATACTACTCATCAGTTCAGATATGGTAGATAATCCTTGCTCTCACTTATGACCCTCCTGCTAGGTACTTTTCTTATCAGTTTTAATCCTCAGAACTGCCTTTGGAGTGAGGTGTGATTATCCTAATTTTACAGGTGAGGAGAATGAAGCTCAGGCAAGGTTTGCAACCAGACCAAGTTCACAAAGTGTAAGTTGGTGGCAGAGCTGGGATTTGAGCCAGGACAGTATGACTCAGAAAATGTACTGTTTTCCAGATAAATTGGCTGCTTGCTGTACATCTCCCATGTAGAAATTAGATCCATCAGTTTTCCTTTGTACACACACTGACTCACCCTCTTGGGCCTTGGAAGACTCTAGCACAGCCATCAAGTATGATTTCTCTGGGCAGCACCTGCGTGGCAGCTCTTTCTCCCACTCTCCATTCATTCCCTGCCCTGTAGGTTATTTTTAAGTCCACAGGCTTCTCTCTTTTATTTCAACTGCCACCAGCTTGGTCCAG
Source organism: Homo sapiens (assembly GCF_000001405.40). Classification (NCBI taxonomy): domain Eukaryota; kingdom Metazoa; phylum Chordata; class Mammalia; order Primates; family Hominidae; genus Homo; species Homo sapiens. The sequence goes on from NC_000007.14 coordinate 3,273,014, forward strand.
ATGGTGGCTGAGAGCTGACTCATCTGCGCTGTAATTCCCCAGGCCCCTCTGAGCCACTCTTATGGCCAGGGTCACATCTGTGAGCTGACATCCTCTCCACTATAGTGGCCTTCTGGGCTGACAGTTCCCACATTCCTGCCAATCAACCATCCCAGTTTCATCCATGAGCTCCTGCAGCTCTCTCAGGTGGATGCCATCTGCTTGCAGTGATTGATCTGCACTTCATTCTTTCCAATCTGGCTTAGAACATCCTGGTATTGACCACGGTGTGATCTAGTACCTGTCTGTGTAGAGGCTATTCAAATAGCCTCTGTAGACCCAGGCTAGAAGTCCATTCAATCCATTAACTGTTTTCTTTTTATTCTTTCCTCTGCAGGGAACATCTATTAGTTACACCATCCTTTCCAAAAATGGAGTGAGCAACTGAGTTGGTGGTTTGTGCTCTCCTTGCAGGATACTGACCTTATACTGTGATCAGCAGGTTGTGTTGCTTAGTGAATGAGAGTATCGGCATTAGAGTCAGGCTGACAAGAGCTGAAGTGCTGTCTCCATCACTTCCCACCTGTGAAGCTTGTCTGGCCAGTACCACTTTGTCTCTCTTTGGGGAAATGATCTCCTCCACACGCCATCATGGTAGTTGCACTGGAGATCACCAATCACAGTACACATCCTCCTTGGCCACAGAAATTAGCCCAGGGATGGGTCACTAGAAGCTTCCCTGAAATGTTTCTAACTGGAGCCCATGGGGGATGCTGTTTCTGATCATATGGACAATTCCAGAGCTACTCCTGACCCTTTTCTCAGTTTTCCAATGGAGAGACATGTTTGAAGCACATAAGAATGATGCCAATAAGCACAGAGAATGAGAAGCAAGAGATAGGGGGGAAGAGAGACATAGGGCATGATTAGGAGAGTGTCATCCCGAGAACTCAGCATCTGTGGTCTCCCAAATCAGCTCTATCCCTTGCCTTTCCAGGCATATGAGCCAATAATTCTTTTTCTTTTTTTTTTTTTTTTTTTTTTTTTTTTGCCTGAGCTAGTGTGAGTTGAGGTCCTGTAGATTGCAGCCAATGTCCAGATCAATGCAACCTCACGATGAGTTTCTTGCTGAGTCTCTAGAAGTCTTTCCTCTTCAATATCACTGAAAGGTCTTTTCTCATGCAATTGGTTTGAGAATCTCTTGCAAGCTACACAACAAAGTCTTGGCCAATTATGTCTGGCTTTGCCTCAAAGGATTCTCTACTTCTGTTTGAACAACTTGTCTTTTTTTTTTTCTTTCAGTGATCTAAACTATTTACAAAGCACTTTCACACCCTGTGCCTCAGTAAGTGCTGCCAACCACCCTTTGAGACAGGAATCTGTTCATTCAGTCAACAGCCTTTCTAGTGCTACCACTGTTTTTGGCACTGAGAATATACTGGTGAATTAGACAAAGCTCCCACTTCATAAGCTTACATTTCAGTGGGCGAGACAAACAAGTGAGTAAATACATAAATAATATAACTTCTAGAGGCAGTAAGTCCTCTGAGAACAAATGGCGTGGGGAGGTTGGGTGCCATTTTAGACAAGATGAACACAAAAGGTGATAGGTAGTCATAAGTGATTGTAAGGTGTATTAGTCTGTTCTCATGCTGCTAATAAAGACATACCTGAGACTGGGTAATTTATAAAGAAAATGAAGTTTAATGGAGGCTGGGTATGGTGGCTCACACCTGTAATCCCAGCACGTTGGGAGGCCGAGGTCGGCAGATCACCTGAGGTCGGGAGTTCGAGACCAGCCTGATCAACACGGAGAAACCCTGTCTCTACTAAAAATGGAAAATTAGCCAGGCGTGGTGGTGCATGCCTGTAATCCTAGCTACTCGGGAGGCTGAGGCAGGAGAATTGCTTGAACCTGGGAGGCAGAGGTTGCAGTGAGCTGAGACTACGCCATTGTACTCCAGCCTGGGCAACAAGAGCAAAAACTCCAGCAAAAAAATTAAAAAACAAAAGAGATTTAATGGACTCACAGTTCCACTTTGCTGAGGAGGCCTCACAATCATGGTGGAAGGCAAAAGGCACGTCTTACATGGTGGCAGACAAGAGGGAATTTTTGTGGGGAAACTCCCCCTTATAAAACCATCAGATCTCATGAGACTTATTCACTATCAGGAGAAGAGCACAGGAAAGACTCACCCCCAAGATTCAACTGCCTCCCACCAGGTCCTTCCCAGGACCTGTGGGAGCTACAGTTCAAGATGAGATTCGGGTGGAGACACAGCCAAATCATATCGGGAAAGGGTTCATAGAAGGCCTTCCTTTTTTCCTTGCTTCCTTCTTTCCTTCTTAAAAATTTTTAAATGTTTTTTGGAGACAGGGTCTCACTCTGTGTCCCAGGCTGGAGTGCAGTGGCACAATCATGGCTCACTGCAGCCTCAACCTCCCAGACTCAAGCAATCTTCCCACCTCAGCCTCCCAAGTAGCTGGGACTACAGGCATGCACCACCATGCCCAACACATTTTTAAATTTTTGTAGAGACGGGGTCTACCTATGTTGTCCAGGCTGGTCTTGAACTCCTGGGCTCAAGTGATTGTCCTGCCTTGGCCTCCCGACGTGCTGGGATTCTAAGTGTGAGCCACTAAGCCTGGCAGAAGGCCTTTCTGAAGAATTGACTTTCAATCAGAGATCTACACAGAGTCAGGGAGTAAGCCCATGAAGAGTATTCCAGGGAGATGCTACAACAAGTCCAAAGGCCCTGAAGCAGGAAAGAGATTGGCGTGATCTAAGAAAGCAAGGCCAGCTGGATGGCGTGAACGTGAGGAGTGAGTCTAGGCAGCTTTTAGCCCATATGGTACAATTACGTTTGTTAGAAAAAGGTGCCCTTTCTGGGTAGACTAATTACCACTGACATCATTGTTCAGGACACACCTGGACAACTGTACCAGTTAATTGTGGAGACAGACTTAGGAGACAAGGTCAGAGAAGGACGGGAGCCAGAACATTGGATTTTACTCTAAGCTGATGCTGCCTGAGAAGAACAGAACATGATGTTCTGTATGTAACTTAAACTTTTCCAAAAGCCACATTGTGAAAAAAACAAAAAGAAAGAGGTAAGGTTGGGCGCAGTGGCTCATGCCTGTAATCCTAGCACTTTGGGAGGCCAAGGCAGAAGGATTGCTTAAGTTTAGGAGTTCAAGACCAGCTTGGGCAACATAGTGAGACCTCCTCTCTACTAAAAATTTAAAAAATTGTCCTGGTGTAGTAGGGCACACTCGTAATCCCAGCACTTTTGGGGGCCAAGGCAGGAGGATTGCTTGAGCCCGGGAGTTCAAGACCAGCCTGGGCAATGTAGTGAGACTCCATCTGTAATAAAATTTTAAAAATTAGCCAGTTTCGGTGGGCCATGCCTTAGTTCCAGGTGAGGTATGAAGATTGCTTGAGCCCAAGAGTTTGAGGCTGCAGTGAGCTATGAACGTGCCACTGCCCTCCATCTAGCCTGGGTGACAGAGCAAGCCCCGTCTCAGGAAAAAAAAAAAAAAAAAAAGAAGAAGAAGAAGAAGAAGAAAAACAAGAGGTAAAATAATTTAAATAATATGTTGTTTAGCCAGTATATCTAAAATGTTAACATTTCAACATGTGATCAATGTAAAAAAATTACGAGATATATTTAACTATTTTAAAAATAAAATTTCTTCAAAATCTGGTGCATACTTTTATACTTACAGAACTTCTCAACTAAAAATAAAAATAAAGGAAAAAAAGAAAACTTCCTAACTCAGGTATTAAATTTTTTTTTTTTTTTTGAGATGAAGTCTTGCTCCGTTGCGCAGGCTGGAGTGCAGTGGCGCGATCTCGGCTCACTGCAATCTCTGCCTCCCAGGTTCACGCCATTCTCCTGCCTCAGCCTCCAGAGTAGCTGGGACTACAGGCGCCCGCCACCACACCCAGCTAATTTTCTGTATTTTTAGTAGAGACAGGGTTTCACTGTGTTAGCCAGGATGGTCTCGATCTCCTGACCTCTTGATCCGCCCGCCTTGGCCTCCCAAAGTGCTGGGATTACAGGCTTGAGCCACCAAGGCCGGCCTAAATTTTTATCAGAAATGCTTAAGCAATATTTGGATTTCTTAAGTTTATGGTGAAAAGTAGATTCACATACCCAGGTTGTTCCAATTGTACTTAAACAGTTTCAAATAATAAAACTGGACACCAATTTTTAAATTTAAATTAATTAAAAATAAAACTGACTTAAATATTTCCTCAATTGCACCAAGCCACATTGCTTTTTTTCTTTATTTCTTCATATGTCTTGTAATAATTCATTATTTTCAGATTGATGACAATTTTTCATGATTGTTATACGTGAATTGGAAGTATTTGTCAAATTTTAAGGTGACAACATTGACATTCTTGTTTTCATTCTGCTTTGATGAGTCTGTATAGAACTTGCTTTTTGTTTTTTGTTTTTAAATTTCAACTATTATTCTAGATATGGGGGGTACACGTGCAGGTTTGTACATGGGTATATTGCACCCAGGTAGTGAGCATAGTACCCAATGGTAGTTTTTCAATGCCCCCGCATCCTTCCTCTTCTTTCTAGTAGTCCACAGTGCCTACTGTTCCCATCTTTATGTCCATGAGTGGTCAATGTTTGGCTCCCATTTATATGTGATAATAAGCAGTATTTGCTTTTCTGTTCCTGCATTAATTTGCTTAGGATTACAGCTTCCAGCTCCATCCATGTTGCTGTAAAGGACATGATTTCATTCTTTTTCATGGCTGCATACTATTCCATGGTATATATGTACCACACTTTCTTTATCCAGTCTGCCACTGATGGGAACCTAGGTTGATCCCATGTCTTTGCTATTGTGAATAACGTGGTGATGAACATATATGTGCATGCATCTTTTTGGCATAATGATCTGTTTTTCTGGGTATATACCCAGTAATTGGCTTGCGGGGTCAAATGGTAGTTCAGACACTTCTCAAAAGAAGACATACAAGCAGCCAATAATCATATGAAAAAACTCCCATCATCACTATTCAACAGAGAAATGCAAATCAAAACCACAATGAGATACCATCTCACACCAGTCAGAACAGCTACTATTAATAAGGTCAAAAAACAACAGATGCTGGTGAGGCTGCAGAGAAAAGGGAATGCTTACACACTGTTGGTATAAGCAGATGGGTGGTGGGGATGGAAATGAGTTCAGCCACTGTAGAAAGTCGTTTGGAGATTTCTCAAAGAACTTCAAATAGAATTTGTTTTTAAAAGCATACAAGCCATGTTTCAAGTGCTCAATAGCCACTTATGGTTGTTATCCTCTTGCACAGAGCAGGTCTAAGTGTTCTGGGGGCCACTATACAGTTGAGAATAGGGAATGACATCATCTTGTTACCTTCTAGAACAGGGTGTCCAATCTTTTGGTGTCCGTGGGCCACACTGGAAGAAGAATTGTCTTGGGCCATACACAGAATGCACTAACACTAATGATAGCTGATGAGCTAAAAATGAAAAATGTAAAAAAAACTCATAATGTTTTTTGTTGTTGTTGTTGTTGTTTGTTTGTTTGTTTTGAAACAGAGTCTCACTCTGTCATCCAGACTGGAATGCAGTGACGCGTTCTTGACTCACTGCAACCTCCGCCTCCCGGGTTCAAGTGATTCTCCTGCCTCAGCCTCCCGAGTAGCTGGGATTACAGGCATGCACCACCACAGCTGGCTAATTTTTGTATTTTTAGTAGAGATGGGGTTTCACCATGTTGGTCAGGCTTGAACTCCTGACTTCAAGCAATCCACCCATCTGGGCCTCCCAAAGTGCTGGGATTACAGGCGTGAGCCAACACGCCTGGCCTAAAAATCTCATAATGTTTTAAGAAAGTTTATGAATTTGTGTTGGGCTGCATTCAAAGCTGCCCTGGGCCACATGTGGCCTGTGGGCCATTGGTTGGACAAGCTCATTCTAGAAGAATTTTTCTGGAAACTGCATGAAGAACAGACTTGTACAGGGACCAGAATGAAAGCAAGAACGGTGGTAACAGTGCAGGTGAGAGGAGATGAGGACAGTGCCGGGTGTTAAGGTGGTGCTGAGAGTGGTCAGATTTAGGATCTATTCTGAAGGCTGGGCTCACAGCCTCTGCTACCAAAATAGACATCTCATGGAAGACAAAGGGAGAGACTGAGAAGGGAGAAAGAGAGGGGAAGAGAGAGGGGGGAGAGGGAGAGAGGAGGAGGAGAGAGAAAGAGAGAGAGGAGAGAGAGAGGGAGAGAGAGGGGAAGGGAGGGAGAGAGAGAGAGAGATGGAGACAGAGATAGTCAGAGTTGGGGGAGAGAGAGGGGAAGAGAGAGTGGGAAAGAGAGAGGGAGGGAAAGAGGGAGGGAGAGTGAAGAAAGGGGAGAGAGAGGAAGGAGGGAGAGAGGGAGGGAAAGAGAGAAAGGAAGAGAGAGAAGGGGAGACAGAGCAGAGGGAAAGAGAGAGGGAGGGAGAAAGAGAGGGGAAGGGAGTGGGAGAAACAGAGAGGAAGGAGAGGGAAAGATGGGGGAGGAGGGAGAGAGGGGAGAGAGAGGGAGACAGAGAAAAGGGGAGAGAGGGAGACGGTAGAGAGACAGGGAGGGGATGACCAACTGTTAACACTTAAGCACTTCGCTCTGTCAACACTGTTAAGTGTTAAACTGTTAACACTAGGAGAAAGGTATATGTGTTCATTGTACTAGTGTTTACACTTTTCCATAAATTTGAATTTCTTTTTTTCTTAAGAGCCACTGACTTTTAAAGCCACTTGGCCTTGACTTTCTGTTCAATGAGCAATTTGTCCGGCCCATGGCCAGGCAGTGGGAAATCAATGGTCGCCATCAATCCCGGGACTCCCGTGGCCACATGGCTGCTCCCAGTTAACGTTTCTCTCCACCCTGCCGTCCCGACGGGTGCCTGGCAGTGTGCGTGGAGGATGGAGGTGTGGGTGAGGAGTGCAGCAAATTCCCTCTAGGACTTGAGTTAGGATGTCCAGTCCTGGGATCCCCTAGTGCATCCTTCAGTGGGGCAGGTGCAGGGGCTCCCCTGATGTTTATGTCATCCTTCTCCAAGCAGGGTTTCTCCTTCCATTTGCCTGTCCCTCTTTTTTTTTTTCTTTCTTTCTTTCTTTTTTTTTTTTTTTTTTTTTGAGACAGTCTTGCTCTGTCACCCAGGCTGGAGTGCAGTGGTGCAATCTTGGCTCACTGCAACCTCTGCCTCCCGGGTTCAAGCGATTCTCCTGCCTCAGCCTTCTGAGTAGCTGGGACTACAGGCTCATGCCACTATGCCCGGCTTATTTTTGTATTTTTAATAGAGACGAGGTTTCGTCATGTTGGCCAGGCTGGTCTTGAACTCGAACTCCTGACCTCAGGTGATCTGCCCACCTCAGCCTCCCAAAGTGCTGGGATGACAGGCGTGAGCCACCATGCCCGGCCATGTTCCTCTTTTTCTTGGGCGGTTTTTGGCCTAGAAGCTCATCTCATCAATTGTTCTCCTGCCACCAGTTCTCTGCGATGCCAGCTATGCCAAGATCTCCATTTGCTGCCAAGGAGCTGTTCAAGCCACCCTGTTATGGAGGCTCCTGGCATTGGGATCTGCAGCCTGGCTTTGTTTAGTTTATCTGCTCTCTGGTTACCTAATGTCTCATTGAATAGGTCAGCTTCTGTCTCTTCCAATTATTTTCTTAAGAAGGCAACAAGGCTTTCCTTTTGGCCTCTCTAACAGATGCTTCATCAATCTTGATCACATACTTAACCCACATTCGCTGGCTTTCTCCCATGTTATTATAAGTTTAGAAAATCCACAGTAATAAATGGCAGATCTTTTTAAACTCTTGTAATATATCCTCTCTTAGCTGAGATGTGACTTCAGAAGGATCGTTTGTATCCTAATTCATTGTTTCCCTGTGTATATTCCAAGCCGTAAGTTCTCTGAGGACAGGGATTTATTCTTGTCTGATTCTCTGACCCTTAAACTGTGTCTGATGCATCGTAGAAATTCAATAAATGTTTGTGTAATGAAAGAAATGTCCCTATTGCTACAACCATAACCCCTTGTTAATTGGGCCATCATTCAGAAGGAACAAGCCATTTCCCCGGAGACATAAGACGGTTAACAATTCACAAAGACTTCTCTGGCCTCTTCAGCCTTCAATGCCATTGTTATGCAAAAAGTATTTGCAGGGGATATTTTTGGGCAGGCTACATTTACTCAGCGACTACCCATCAAGCGATTTTGCTTTCATTTCACAAATACTTTGGGGAGCCAGGGAGCCGAGCACTGTGCTGACCTCCAAGGATAAAAGATGAAGGGCGGAGGATCATTTGAGGCCAGGAGTGTAAGACCAGCCTGGGCAACATAGTGAGACTCTGTCTCTACAAAAAATTGAAAAATTAGCCAGGCATGGTGGTGTGCGCCTGTGGCCCCAGCTACTGAATTGGCTGAGGTGGGAGGATTGCCTGAGCCTAGGAGGTTGAGGCTGCAGTGAGCTATGATCTCACCACTGCACTCCAGCCTGGGCAACAGAGCAAGACCCTGTCTCCCAAAAAAATTAAGACGAAGGGCCACTTGTTGCTCTTAAGGTATACCCAGCATCTTAGGGGAGGAAGATCCCAACACACAAATGAGAGTCAGGCAACGCAGAGAAAGATAAATGCCATGAGAAGAAAGGCGAAAACATTACCTAGATAGAGTCCCACTTCTGAAACGATCTCAAAAGCTCTCAGGAAAAGAAATTCGCAAAATAAAAGAACAATGATATTTGTAGAGCTTATTATGATCCAATAGCCTTTGACAAGGCAGAGATTGTCATCACCTGTAAAGCACAAAATGTACTCCTCATTCCGTAGAGGATTCCGAGGCTCATGGAGGGAAAGGGACCTGGCCTGGATCTCACAGCTGAGAAGGCGCTAAGCTGGGACCCCGCCCCACCAACCTCACTTCCCCACTGGGTGGTTCTGTCTGGGGGGATTTGGTGTGAGGCACTGGTTTTCAGTATTGGTTGAACAGTAGACTCTCAAACCATCCCTAAATTCTGACTCAGTTGGCCTGGGGTCCTGCTGTTTCTAAAGCACCCTGAAAAACAGTAATGAAAATTACTGTGCATTAGTGATGTCTTTTCATTCTGTATTTAATTAATTATTAATTAATTAAGAGACAGGGTGTCGTTCTGTTGCCCAGGCTGGAGTGCAGTGGCACGATCACAGCTCACTGCAGCCTCAACCTCATGGGCATAAGTGATCCTCCTGTCTCAGCCTCATGAGAAGCTGGGACTTAGAGACTTAAGCCATTGTATTCTACCTGGTCCTCAAATCTATTTTAAAGCCTTTAGTTAGGATATTATGCAGTGAGCATTATGGGCTTATTCAATGAATCTAAAAATGACTTAGAGACAGGGAATAATAAAGAGGCCACTCTGGCAGGAACAGTTTCATCTGTGGGGACCCTGGTGTGGAGCACTGCAAGTGATCTTGTGATGTTTTTGCAAATGCTCTGGAAGAAAATGTGCCCAGTGAAGTCACTGACGCAGCACATGACCTTGGACCTTCCCGGGTGGTAGGATGTGAGGCCAGTGGAGACCAACATTAGGAGGTGTTCCGGGCTGAGCGTGTGAGCAGGGAAGTGGCGAATAAGCTTCTCTGAGGCAAACCCTGGAAATGCAGCCAGGGAAAAATAACTTGGAGATGTCAGCTGCAACCCAAGGAAGGAGCGAGAAGGCCCTGTGCAGTCCTGCTGGAACATGTCAGCTGAGATGAGATCAGAATGCTGGACCTTAGCAGGCAGGGCATCAGGTCATTGGAGGACAGAGTTCATTATTCCATTGCTTTCGAAATGCCTCATCTTCCATCATTTCCTCCCCAAACCCTGCACCCCAGTACTGGTGGCTCCTCTTAACTTTTTGTTTTTTTAGATGGAATCTTGCTCTGTGGCCTAGGCTGGAGTGCAGTGGCATGATCTCAGCTCACTGCAGCCTCTGCCTCCTGGGTTCAAGCGATTCTCCTGTCTAAGCCTCCCGAGCAGCTGGGATCACAGTCACCCGCCACCATGCCTGGCTAATTTTTGTATTTTTAGTAGATGAGGTTTCACCATGTTGGCCAGGCTGGTCTTGAACTCCTGAGCTCTAGTGATCCTCCTGCCTCAGCCTCACGAAAGTGCTGGGATTACAGGTGTGACCCACTGCTCCTGGCCATCCTCTTAACTTGTGTAACTGTGCTTCTGAATATCGTCTTTCCCTCCACAGCAAGTACCTCTATCTTGCAAATTTCCAGCACCCTTTAAATCCCAACTTAAAGGCCTCCATTGAGCTGGAATTTAAAGGGTGGAATTTAAAGGTAGAATTTGCAAGATAGCAAGTAGCACTACCTTGCAAATTCCCAGCACCCTTTACATCCCAACTCAAAGGCCCCCTTCTCTAGGAGACCTCACACAACCATGCACCGGGCCATGACTGCTCAGAATGAATCACCCCAACTCTGCTCAGACCTGTGGAAAGTGCATTAAAATGATCTGTTCAATGTTTGCGTCATGCACAGTGAGCTACTCATAAGCAAGGGGTGCATCCTACACAGTCAGTACTCAATACTTACTTATGGGATGCACCAATGGAGAGAAGATAAACTGTGTTTCAAGACAGACACACAGAGCTGGGAAAGGTCCCAAGTCAGCCACGATGACCTTGGGGAGGGAGGAGCCACCACAGAGATGCATGTCTCTTCAGGATGGAAGAAAGACGGCTAAGATAGGTGCAAGAGACGCATCCAAATCCTCGAAAGGTATGGAGAAGGTGAATAAGGCCAGCTCACCACATCACAGAGTCCTGGAAAAAGGAGGCAACTTTTGATGTTTGAAAAACACTTTAGGCTGGGCCCAGTGGCGCATGCCTGTAATCCCAGCACTTCCAGAGGCCCAAGCGGGAGGATTGTTTCAGTCCAGGAGTTCAAGACCAGCCTGGGCAACATAGTGGGACCTTGTCTCTACGAAAAATTTAAAAATTAGTTGGGTACGGTGGTGTATGCCTGTGGTCCCAGCTACTTGGGAAACTGAGGTGGGAGGATCACTCAAGCCCAAGAGGTCAAGGCTGCAGTGAGCTATGATTATGCCACTGAACTCCAGCCTCGGCAACAGAGTGAGATCCTGTCTCAAGATATAATAAAAGAAAAGAAAAGCTTAAAATTTGTTTTTTCAAATGAATGAAAGTGGCCATGAATCATTGTGGGTACAAAGTATGCTTTAAAAAAATCAGCTTTGTTTTTGTAAATTACATACAATTAAATGCAACTATTGTGGTCATGTAGTTCCATACATTTTGACAAATGTATACACCCACGACAACCATGTAACCATCACTGCTATCAAGACAGGGACTATGTCTATCACCTCTTGTACCCCTTTAAAGTCATTCAGCTGCATCCCCCACCTTGGGCAACCACTGATCTGCTCTCTCTCACTCTAGATTAGCTTGTTCTACAGCCTCCTGTGTGCATTTTTGAGGCTATATTAATTCCTTCATCATTGTGTTTTTGAGATTCATCCCTTTGGTGTGTATCAGGAGTTGGATCTTTTCCATTGCTGCATATTATTCCATATGGGCCTTGTTACAGTTTATCCATTTACCTGTTCAAGGTATTTCCGTTGTTTCTAGCTTGAGTCTATTAGGTATAAAACTGCTGTGAACATTGTGTACACGTCTTGTTGTGGATGAGACACAGTGTTAATTAAAAAAAAAAATGAAAGAATCTCAGAGCTGGGCCCGGGTGCGGTGGCTCACACCTGTAATCCTAGCACTTGGGGAGGCTGAGGTGGGTTGATTACCTGAGCTCAGGAGTTTGAGATCAGCCTGGGCAACATGGTGAGACCTCCGTCTCTACTAAAAATACAAAAAATTACCCAGGGGCATGGTAACACATGCCTGCAATCCCAGCTACTCAGGAGGCTGAGGCAGGAAAATCACTTGAACCTGGGAGGCAGAGGTTGCAGTAAGCTGGGATCATGCCACTGCACTCCCGCCTGGGTGAGAGAGCCAGCCTCTGCCTCCATTAAAAAAAAGAATCTCAGAGACTCAGAGCTGGAAGGGAGAGTTAAGCAGGACGTTAACTTGCTAAATCCAACCCTCTTCCTGCTGCCTTCCCTCCTCTATCACACCCCTAAAAACTGGCTATTTGGTCTCCATTTGCCCCACTGACAGGGAACTCACTACCTCCTAAAATAGCCTATTCAGTGAATGCTTCCATTGCTAGAAGGTTTTTTTTTTTTTCTTTTTTTTTCTTTTTTGAGGCAGAGTTTTGCTCTTGTTGCTGAGGCTGGAGTGCAGTGGCGCGGTCTTGGCTCACAACAATCTCCGCCTGCCAGGTTCAAGTGATTCTCCTGCTTCAGCCTCCTGAGTAGCTGAGATAACAGGCACCTGCCACCAAGCCTGGCTAATTTTTTGGATTTTTAGTAGAGACAGGTTTTCACCATGTTGGCCAGGCTAGTCTCGAACTCCTGACCTCAGGTGATCCCCCTGCCTCACTGAATTGCAAATGGCCAGTAGACAGGGTTCGCCCTCAGTGGTGCTACAGTGAAATCTAACTTATCTACATAGTCAGATATTTGAAAACAGCCTCAAATTCACCTCCAGTCTTCCCCCATTTAGGCTACATGTCCTTTGTTCTGCCAGCCACTGCAACCAAGACTGACTCTAGCTCGTGGCCGTTCCTTTTGCACTGCACCATGAGGAGCTGAACACATTGCCCCAGCCACAGCCAGGCCGGCTCAGTGCTGGCCAGAAATCCCTGCTTCTGCCCACCATGCAGAAGTGACTCTCGCTGGGGACCACCACCACACATCGCTGACTCCCACAGAGCTCACAGGCAGCACCACAGCAGCCTCCGGGCGTTTCTCACATGCGCTGCTATCAAACCATGGCCCCACACCCTGTGTTTCACACAGTGGGGAGCAGATTTATGGAAATGGAACAGGCTTGCAAATACAGATAGCTTCAAAAATGACTCAGACAACTTCATGGTTGAGAGACCCGTAATGGCTTATTACGGCAAACTGGGATGTTCTGTTGTGTATTTCTTGTTTTTCCGGCTGACATCAAGATAAATAACTGTGTTGGACTGATGGTTTCTGAGGCCCCTTCCAGCTCTAAAATTCTGTGACTCTTTGTCCTCCCACCAAATGTTCTTTGGTGCCAATGTTGGCCCCAGAATGAAGCCAACTGGACCAGGGACGGATTCAATTGTAACGTTCTCTGCAAGGAGAAAGTAGAGGAAAGAGAAAGGAAGGAGAGGGTAGCAAGAGGCAGCATTACTAAAAATTCCAAACACCATTCAGCATGAGTTGGACAAAGTCTGTTCTCCTGCATCTGGGGGAAGACAGTTGCCAGCACCACCCACACATTAAACCATAACTTACTGGAGTTTCCTTACTGTTTATTATAAAGTGAAGTGTATTCATCTTGGGATTTTTAGAAGCAAAAGGATAATTTTAAAGAAAAAGACCACCTTTAATTCTATACAGGAATGACTACCATTAATATCTCAGTGCATTTCAGCCAGATGTGGTGGCTCATGCCTGTAATCCCGGAACTTTGGGAGGCCGAGGTGGGCGGATCAGGAGTTTGAGACCAGCCTGGCAAACATGGTGAAACCCCATCTCTACTAAAAACACACAAAAATTTAGCCAGGCGTTGTGGCTTGTGCTGTAATCCCAGCTACTTAGGAGGCTGAGGCAGAAGAATTGCTTGAACCCGGGAGGCGGAGGTTGCAGTGAGCTAAGATCGTGCCACTGCATTCCAGCCTGGGCGACAGAGTGAGACCAGGTCTCTCTCTCTCTCTCCATGTGTGTGTGTATATATATATGCATTTCCTTCCAATTCTTTTTAAATGTTTATTTATCTTTAGATCAATCTATCCATCTGATATAGTTTGGATCTGTGTCCCCACCGAAATCCCAACTTGAATTGTAAACTCCAGTGTTGCAGGTGTGGCCTGGTGGGAGGTGATTGGATCCTGGGGGTGGGTTTCTCATGAATGGTTTAACACCATCTCTCTTGGTAGTGTCCTCACGATAGTGCGTGACTTCTCGTGAGATCTGGTCATTTAGAAGTGTGTTGCCCCTACCCCCCCTTGCTCCTGATTTCACCATGTGACATGCCTGCTCTCTCTTCACCTTCTGCCATGATTGGAAGCTTCCTGAGGCCTCCCCAGAGGTTGAGCAGATGCCTGTGTTATGCTTCCTTTACAGCCTGAGAACTGTGAGCCAATTCAACCCCTTTTCTTTATAAATTACCCAGTCTCAGGTATTTTATTTATGGCAAGGCAAGAATAGCCTAATACACCATCCAACCCATCAACATATGCCCATGTATTCCAATTTTTGCAAGAGAAAAATGGCATAAATGATTTTCCCAACTAACACTGTCTTCACCATTTTCCCATGCCATTAAAATTTTTTTTTAATTTTTATTTTAAGTTCTGGGGTACATGTGCAGGATGTGCAGGTTTGTTACACAGGTAAACATGTGCCATGGTGGTTTGCTGCAGCTATCAACCTGTCACCTAGGTATTAAGCCCAGCATGCATTAGCTATTTATCCTGATGCTCTCCCTCCCCAGACCCCACTGCTGACAGTCCCCAGTGTGTGTCGTCCCCCTCCCTGTGTCCATGTGTTCTCATTGTTCAGCTCCCACTTACAAAAGAGAACATGTGGTGTTTGGTTTTCTGTTCCTACATTAGTCTGCTGAGGATGATGGCTTCTAGCTCCATCCATGTCCCTGCAAAGGACATGATCTCGTTCCTTTTTGTAGCTGCATAGTATTCCATGATGTATATGTACCACATTTTCGTTATCCAGTCTATCACTGATGGATATTTGGGTTGATTTCATCTTTGCTATTGTGAATAGTGTGGCAAAATATTCTTTCAAAATGTAAACTATTCAATAGCATTCCATGAAGTTGATAAACTGTAATGTGTCTCATTTTTCAGCTCCCACTTATTAATGAGAGCATGTAGTGTTTGGCTTTCTGTTGCTGCATTAGTTTGCTAAGGATAATGGCTTCCAGCTTCATCCATGTCCCTGCAAAGGACATGATCTCATTCCTTTTTATGGCTGCATAATATTCCATGGTGTATATGCATCTTAGACATTCAGGTTGCTTGTAATTTTTTCCTATTACCACAGTGCAGAGACAACCATTCTTGTACATGGATCTTTGTATTTTCAGTTATTTTAAAGATACATTTGCTGAAATATAATTTGGGGCCAAAAAATATGAACTTTCTTAAGACTTTTCATATGTATGTGTCACCCACTTATTCTCCATAATCCCTCTGTGCCTCTGCAGTCATGTGCTTCCTTCCTCTAGTAAGTTTTCAGAATAATGGAGCAGGTCAACTCTCAGTTTTATGCCCTCATTGAACAAAACCCAGAAGAGTGAAAGGTAAAAATGACATGCAAAATACTAAATTTCTCTCCAAGGATTCTAGGCCTCATAAGTGAGGGAAAAAACACAAACAGTCAGAAAGAAAACTGGAGTTAAACTGACATAATTGAAACAACCACATACTAAATATCCTGGTGGAAGCCAGAATGCCAAAGAGCATTGTTATGTCAAGAAAATGTCCCTTAAGCAAGAATGGCAGGTCCAGTACCATTAATGCCTGGCAGCTCTTAGAGACGGTGCCCACATAGCTAAAGGAACCTAGTCCCTTGCTGTGTTAGTTAGTGAGGGCTGCCATAGCAAAACACCATAGACTGGGAGGCGTAAACAACAGACATTTATTTTCTCATAGTTCTAGAAGTTGGAAGTCTAGGCCCAAAGTGTTTGCAGGGTTGGTTTTTCTTTGGCCTCTCTCCTTGGCTTGTAGATGGCGTCTTCTCCCTGTGTTCTCACATGGTCCCTCTGTGCATGTCTCTGTCCTAATTACCTCTTCCTTTTTTGGGGGGCAGTGGGGGGAGAAGGAGTCTTGCTCTGTCGCCAGACTGGAGTGCAGTGGCATGATCTCGGCTCACTGCAACCTCCACCTCCCGGGTTCAAACAATTCTCCTGCCTCAGCCTCCTGAGTAGCTGGGACTACAGGCACATGCCGCCACGCCTGGCCAGTATTTTGTTTGTTTGTTTGTTTTTGTTGTTGTTATTGTTGTATTTTAGTAGAGACGGGGGTTTCACCATGTTGCTCAGGCTGGTCTCGAACTCCTGAGCTCATGCAATCTGCCTGCCTTGGCCTCCCTAAGTGCTAGAATTAGAGGCGTGAGCCACCGCACCCCGCCCTAATTTCCTCTTTTTATAAGGACACCAGTCAGATTGGCTTAGGGTCCACCCTAATGACCTCGTTTGAACTTACCTCTTTTTGTTGAGACAGTGTCTTGCTCTGTTGCCCAGGCTGGAGTGCAGTGGTGTAACCATGGCTCACTGCAGCCTCGACTTCCCAGACTTAACCTCAACCTCCCAAGTAGCTAGGACTACAGGCATGTGCCACCATGCCTGCCTAATTTCTAAATTTTTTTTTTAATAGAGATGGGGTCTTACTGTGTTGCCAGGTCTGATTTCAAACTCCTGAGCTGAAGTGATCCTCCAGCCTTGGCCTCCCAAAGTGCTGGGATCAGAGGTATGAGCCACCATGCCCAGCCTTAACTTACCTCTTCAAAGGCCCTGTCCCTATGTAGTCATTTTCTGAGGCACTGGGGATTAGGGATTCAACATATGAATTTTGGTGAGACATAATTTAGCCCATAATCCTCACCTAGTAGAAGGACTGGTTTATGTGGACAGGGCTTTGTGTTTGTAATCTGGTTTCACCAGCTTCTAATGCAGGACCCCAGGCCCTTGCAAAGTACCCTTCCTTCAAATATTTCTGGGAGTCCTTCAGGGAGTATCAAGCAGATTGTACTTTCCATGATGGCTGCAACACTATCTCATATCTTATTAGCTATTCTGCAGTGTGACCTTGCCTTTACCCACATCAAGACGTAGAGCCTAATATCCATTCCTCTGGAGTCTGGGCTGGCCTTGGTGACTTGCTTGCAACCAACAGAGAGCAGCAGAAATGATGCTCCATGATCTGTAAGGCCAAGTTAGAAAAGGCCGTGCAGCTTCCAGATATTCCCTCTTGGAGTCCAGCTGCCATGTTGTGGGGAAGCCCAAGCCACAAGAAGCCACAAAAATGCACTCTGGCTCATAGCCCACACTGAGCCCAGCTAGCAAGTGATCCCAGCTCAGGCATCCCAGCTGAGGGAAATCCCCAGCCACTTCCCAGCTGTGCCCTGAATGGATTCCTGAGCCCCACAACCTGTGAGCATAGCAAAATGACTGTTTTTTTTTTTTTTTTTTTTTTTTTTTTTTATCATTTTTGGATGATGCAGCTAAAGCCTAAAGAGGTACTGCTGCTCGCTTAAAGTTATTTTGCTGATTAATGGAGCTGGATTAAAATCCAGACCTCATAAATTTTCAATCAGAGCTCCTTCCACCATTTATTCTTTCAACAAATGTTTACTGTTACTAGGGCTCCACGTGCTGTTTTGGGCACTGGGGAGGTGGCAGTGACTCCTGAATCTAGCTCCAGAGGACAGAATGAGGACTGATGGGTGATCCCTGTGGAGAGGCTGGTTACAATTCGGTGTAGACAAGACCTCTGGAGCAAGGAGAACTTTCTGCAAATGGAATGACCTTGAGGGGTGACACAGAGGAGCTGGATGTCTGGGACAGATGATTGGATTTAATAAGCATTGAGATCAGCCCCAACTCTCCCTTCCAACTTGGGGAGTCTATTACTTGCAAACTTTGTTTCTAAAAGGATTTAAAGCAACTTTATTTTATTTGACTCACAACTACCTCTTTTCTTTTCTTTTTCTTTTTTTTTTTTTTTTTGAGAGATGAAGTCTTGCTCTGTTGCCCAGGCTGAAGTGCCAGTGGCACAATCTTGGCTCACTCCACCTCCTAGGTTCCAGTGATTCTCCTGCCTCAACCTCCCAGGTAGCTGGGATTACAGGCACACGTCACCATGCCCAACTCATTTTTGTATTTTCAGTAGAGACTGGGTTTCACCATACCGGCCAGGCTGGTCTCGAGCTCCTGACCTCAGCTAATCCATCCACCTCGGCCTCCCAAAGTGCTAGGATTACAGGCATAAGTCACCAAGCCCAGCCAAAACTACCTCTTTTAACCAAGGTGCTCTTTAAGAAAGAGTTCTTCAGTCAGTGTGGTGGCGGGCACCTATAGTCCCAGCTACTCAGGAGGCTGAAGTGAGAGGATCACTTGAGCCCAGGAGTTCGAGGCTGCAGTGAGCTATGAATGCATCACTGCACTCCAGCCTGGGTGACAGAGCGAGATCCTGTCTCAAAAAAACAAAAAGAAAAATAAACCCAAAACCAACCAAATAAAAAATATTAAAAAAAAGAAAACCCTTCTACTAAATTTTATGATGTCGTCTGTACAATATTTGTCTTGCCTACCCCCAAAGTAGAAGACAGCATCAGGAGACATAGGTTCAAATCCCAGCTCCACCTCTCACTAGCTCGGTGGCCCTGGACAAATGATTTAATATCTGAGCCTCAGTAAAGTGGAAAAACACACTTCCCATCACACAGGGATTGTTGTGAGGATTAAAATACTTATGTAAAAATCAGGTGGAGAGATGTCTGTTGAATCTGTTGCTAAAGCCTCTCCTTTTCACCAAGTAAATATCTCAAACTTTCTACATCTGTTCTGCCCTCAAAGGCTCCCAATTCCCTCCTTACCTCACATTGAACAGGTGACCTAGCTATTTTAGAGAGAGAGCGAAGAAAACATCAGGTGCATCTCCCTAAATTTCCCCTGATAATTCTTCTAACTAAGCTATGACCTCTCCCTGGTTCTTTCTGCAGTGGACTAGATAGTCCTCCTCCACGTAAGACTAACCCTCCACTTCACAGAACGTTCCAGAGATTTGAGGCTGCTGAGCTGTTGGTGACCAACCCATTCTCCTGGGTCCCCCTTTCTACAGAACACAAGCCCATATCTTTCCTGCCATCTTCTGTCTAACCTTTGCATTAAACCTCTTGAAAATGTCATGTCCGGGCCCGGTGCAGTGGTTCACGCCTGTAATCCCAGCACTTTGGGAGGCCGAGGTGGGTGGATCACGAGGTCAGGAGATGGCGACCATCCTGGCCAACATGGTGAAACCCCATCTCTACTAAAAATACAAAAAATTAGCCAGGCGTGGTGGCACACACCTGTGTAGTCCCAGCAACTTGGGAGGCTGAGGCAGAAGAATCGCTTGAACCTGGGAGGCAGAGGTTGCAGTGAGCTGAGATCACACTACTGCACTCCAGCCTGGGCGATAGAGCAAGACACCATTTCAAAAAAAAAAAAAGAAAATGTCACGTCCACCTCCAGCTCATGTCTCTACCACCTGGGACTGGCTCAGGCACCCATCAACACTGTGCTCACGGGGTCTTTGAAGGAGCTCTCTTGCTCAGCCTACAAGTCACTTTTCAGTCCTTCACTCCTTGTCTGTGTTGCCCTTTTTTTTTTTTTTTTGAGACAGGGTCTCACTCTGTTGCCCAGGCTGGAGTGCAGTGGCGCGATGTCAGTTCGCTGCAACCTCCACCTCCTGGGTTCAAGCAACTCTCATGCCTCAGCCCCCTCCGAGTAGCTGGAATTATAGGCATGCGCCCACCAAGCCCGGCTAATTTTTTGTATTTTTATTACAGACAGGGTTTCGCCATGTTGGCCAGGCTGGTCCTGAACTCCTGACCTCAAGTGATCCACCCATCTTGGCCTCCCAAAGTGCAGGAATTAGACGTGAGCCACTGCGCCCGGCCCAGTGTTGCCTTTGAAGTCATCTTCCTCTGCTCCTTCCTTCTCTGCATTATACCCAACATCCACATGTCTAATGATCGTATCTGCCTGAGGATGTCCTGCTGACACATCACATTTAACAGATTAAAATCAAACGTGGCACTGTCCTCCTTATCCCTCCAAACCTTCCCCTCCACCTGTGTTCTCTCCCTTCAGAAACAAAATCGCCATTTTTCCAGTTTCCTAAGCCAGAAAACAGAACGTTATCTGCAAACCTCTCTTTCTTAGCTGTGGATTCTCTCTCCAAGATAGCTTTTTTGTTATTGTTGTTGTTGTTGAGAGAGAGTCTTGCTCTGTGGCCCAGGCTGGAGTGCAGTGGCATGATCTTGGCTCACTGCAACCTCCGTCTCCTAGGTTCAAGCGATTCTCCTGCCTCAGCCTCCCAAGTAGCTGGGATTACAGTGTGGGCCACCATGCCCAGCTAATTTTTTTGTATTTTTAGTAGAGACGGGGGGGTGTTTCACCATGCAGGCCAGGCTGGTTTTGAACTTCTGACCTCAAATGATCCGCCTGCCTCAGCCTCCCAAAGTGCTAGGATTACAGGCGTAAACCACCGCGCTTGGCCATAGATAGCTTTTTAATCTGCCACTTCTCTCTCGTCCCAACTGCCACCATTACTTCATATTTGAATTGCTGCAACGGTCTCCTAGCAGATTTCCTGGCTCCCAGGCTTGCCCAATCCCAACCTAGCCCACAACCTGAATTACTTTTCTTTGTCTTTTTCTTTTTTCCAAGATGGAGTCTCACTCTGTTTCCCAGGCGGGAGTGTAGTGGCTTAATGTCAGCTCGCTGCAACCTCCGCCTCCCTGGTTCAAGCGATTCTCCTGCCCCAGCCTCTGGAGTAGCTGAGATTAACAGGTGCGTGCCACCATGCCAGGCTAATTTTTGTAATTTTAGAGGAGACGGGGTTTCACTGTGTTAGCCAGGCTGGTCTTTGAATGACTTTTCTAAAAGTCTTTGATTCTGTGGTTTTTCAAATCCCCATGCCTCTCCATTGTTCTCATGCTCAAGTTCAAACTCTGGGCTTCAAACTTTTGGCAGGTGCTGTTCCTTCTGCCTGGAACACACTTTCTTCTCCTGACTGTTGAGGGATGAACTCTTAACTCGTTCTTCAGGTCTTAGTTTAGACACTACTTCCCCTGGAATAGTTTCCCTGATTCCTCAAGGCTGTTAGATCCCTGCTCTGATATTCCCTTAGGTGATTTCACTTATCATATGAATGCAATTACTCTAATTGTTTATTTCACTCTTGCCTAGTGCTGGGGCAGGCATCAATCAGTTATCTGACAAACACTTGCTGAAAAGTAGGCATGGAAGGAATTGCTTTCGACTATGGGTATCAAGCTTGAGTGTATATCAGAAGCACCTGGGCCGTGCATGGTGGCCAACACCTGTAATCCCAGCACTTTGGAAGGCCGACGCTTGTGGATCATAAGGTCAGGAGATTGAGACCATCCTGACCAACATGGTGAAACCCTGTCTCTACTAAAAATAGAAAAAATTAGCTGGGCATGGTGATGCATGCCTGTTGTCCCAGCTACTCGGGAGGCTGAGGCAGGAGAATCGCTTGAACCTGGGGAGGTGGAGGTTGCAGTGAGCTGAGATGGCACCACTGCACTCTAGCCTAGGGACAGAGCAAGACTCCGTCTCAAAAAAAAAACAAACAAAAAAAAAAACAAAAAAAAAAAAAAAAAAAGAAGAAGAAAAGAAACACCTGGTGGGCTGGTTAAACCATAGCTTGCTGGGTTCCACCCCCCAGAGTTTCTGATTCAGTAGTGTGGGGCGATGTCCAGGTGATACTGATAACAGCTGGTCAGGAAACTCTGCTTCTTGCAATTTAAGGCACCCCGAGAGCTGAGGGACAGTTACTATTAAAGGCAGCTGGTAGGCATTTTTGGAAGCTTGGTACATTTCTGGTACCGCTCTTCTTCATAGCTTCCTTAATAAGAGCATTTAATCGGATTATAGCTTTTGAAGATATCTCAGGAAACTAGGTAACCAAAGCACGCGCCCCATTAGGGCTCAAAGCTGCACCTGGAACTGCGCCCTGCTTGTTAATGGGTTGCCAGGCAACAGAACAAAGGTGAGGCTGAGGCGGGATCAGCAGTTGGCAGGGATCTGAGAGTGAACCACTGAGGCAACTAGAGGCTGGAGTTCTCATCAGGACAGGACCTTAGGGACCAGCCATTAGGGACCCCCAGGATGTGGACTGGGAGCCTTGCATTGCACACGGGAGAGCATCACATCCCCAGGTGGACAAGTGCATGTTGTAAGTTGGCCTCTGATAGGATTGGGGATTATTTTTCTCAGAAGTAGAACCATGGGAACCCATGGGGGAGATTTCCTAACGACTTATGGGTAAGAAAAAACTTCTTAGGCTCACCACCTTCCGCTTCTTAAAAGCAAGCTTTATTAGTGTTTTGGTTTTTTTTTGTAAATTATGACATACACATTCACATTTGGAAATATAAAAAGTACAGGAAAGATCCCGCCACTGCACTCCAGCCTGGGCGACAGAGCGAGACTCCGTCTCAAAAAAAAAAAAAAAAAAAAAAAAAAAAAAAAAAAAAAAAGTACCGGAAAGCACATAATTCCATGTCCCCTGAAGGAAATTATATACATTAGGCATTCATCCTTTCAAAAACAAAACAAAAAAAAAGACATAAATGAGATTATATATTTGCTCCATAACTTTTAAAACACAGAACTGTATATAGCAGACATTTCTACATCAGCACTTTTAACAGTCATCCAGAAATGTATTGTGTGGATATGCCATATTGCACTTTTTTTTTTTTTTTTGCTACTAGTGATGCTGCACTGGACAACCTTATCCATATGTCTTTTTGCATGTGTGAGGTATAATAGATCAAAGACAATTCATATTTAAAGTTTAACTACCGGCTGGGCACAGTGGCTCATGCCTGTAATCCCAGCACTTTGGGAGGCCAAGGTGTGTAGATCACCTGAGGTTGGGAGTTCGTGACCAGCCTGGCCAACATGGTGAAACCCATCTCTACTAAAAATACAAAAATTAGCCAGGCATGGTGGCGCGCCTCTGTAATCTGAGCTACTCGGGAGGCTGAGGCAGGAGAATCGCTTGAGCCTGGGAGGCAGAAGTTGGGGTGAGCCGAGATCACACCACTGCACTCCAGCCTGGGTGACAGAGCGAGCTCTGTCTCAAAAAACAAACAAATAAATTTTAACTATGGATTGCAGGTTTCTCTCCACGGCAGCTGTTTAGTTTGTACTTACACTAAGAATAAATGAATGCTCATTTCCTCATAGTCTTACCACACATTTGCCATTATCAGTCAGTCCTTAAACATTTTTTACAAGCCTCGTTGCTTTAATTTTTCACTGTTAAGATCAATTTCTGGCTGGGCGCGGTGGCTCACGCCTGTAATCCCAGCACTTTGGGAGGCTGAGGCAGGTGGATCACTTAAGGTCAGGATTCAAGACCAGCCTGGCCAACATGGCAAAACCCCGTCTCTGCTAAAAATACAAAAATTAGCCGGGCATGGTGGCATGAGCCTGTAATCCCAGCTACTTAGGAGGCTGAGGCAGGTGAATCGCTTGAACCTGGGAGGCAGAGGAGGTTGCAGTGAGCCGAGATCACACCACTGCCCTCCAGCCTGGGTGACAGGTGAGACTCTGTCTCAGAAAAAAAAAAAATCAATTTCTTGGTGCATCTCTTCATTTATTTTCTCTTTATATCTCTCTGCCTGTTACTATTCTTTGGTCTTTTGTTTTTTGAGATGGAGTCTCGCTCTGTGGCCTGGCTGGAGTGCAGTGGCACAATCATGGCTCACTGCAACCTCCCAGGCTCCAGTGATCTTCCCACCTTAGCCTCGAGGGTACCTGGGACTACACACACATGATAATTTATTTATTTATATATTTTTTTGAGAGATGAGGGTCTCACTATGTTGCCCAGACTGGTCTCAAACTCCTAGGCTCAAGTGATCCTCCCTCCTTGGCCTCCCAAAGTGCTGGGACTACAGGCCTGAGCCATCACACCCAGCCTCTGCTCATTTTTCTATAGGGCTTGTTCATCTATTTTTCTTATTGACTCATAAAAGCTGTAAGTCTTATTGACTAACATAGATAGTAACATTTTCTCCAGTTTGTTAGTTTTTTTTCACAGTGCCATACAGATGCTTTTGGTTTTGAATTGGTATACAGTTCAAGCTACTGATGTTCTAGAAAGTTGCAAATTGTCCTTTTAAAATAAAAATATTTCTATCATTTAAAAAAGGTTCTCTTTTATGTGATGGCCCATAAGAAAAAGGAGGAGAAAGGACAGAATGAAGCAAAAGAGGAATGAGGGCTCTATTATATTCCTCAGACTCAACGGGATTGATGAGTGATTTTCGAACTTTCATTTACACAGGAATCACTTGGAGATCTTTGAAAATGCAGAGTATGAGTCAGCAGGTCCGGGACTGGGCTTGAGATTTTGCATGTCTAACAAGCTCCCAGGTGAGGTAGATGGCCCACGGGCCATACCTGGAGCAGCAGGCTTTAAATCACAACAAGGGAAAGCACTGCTGGTTTCATGGATCATCCTAACGACGTGAAAATTATCATCTGTTTTGAAAACTCTTCCTTCTCTCTTTTTAATTAAGCAGGGAAAATTCTAACTTCTTATTCTGGAAAGTAGGAGATGGCCAGGGCTCATTGGGGGAAGGAGAAGAAGAAGGAGAAGGAGAGGAACAGGAAGAGGAAGAGGAAGAAGACAAATAAGTGGAAGAGGAGGAGGAAGAGGAAGAAGAAGAGGAAGAGGAAGAAGATGAATAAGTGGAAGAAGAGGAGGAGGAAGAGGAAGAGGAAGAAGAAGAGGAAGAGGAAGAAGACGAATAAGTGGAAGAAGAGGAGGAGGAGGAAGAGGAAGAAGGAGGAGGAGGAGAAGAAGAAGAAGGGGAAATAATAATAATCAGTTTTCATGGAGTAACATCCCTCCACCTCATGGCCTTTAGCGTATATGGTTACAATTTTTAATGGCAAGTATGCAGGTATAAAATGCTCACTTCTTGAGGCCCTCTTGTAGGGCTGGGCAAAATGAAGTTGAGAGATTCACTGGCCTTAAGGGCAGAAATATTCCAGCCCCCTCCTGGCTGTCTCCCCTCCCCAGCATTATAAAGGGGTTTCTCTGTATTATTGTTTGAGAAAGAATAGCTGTAGTCTAAACACAGGCCCCAAAATGGTAACCTAATAGGTCCTGTGAAAAGCAACATGGTCGGGGCGAGGAAAAACAAGTCTCAGAACAGGACTCAGGAGAGCTGGATGCTTGTTCTGGCTTTAGCACGGTTGCTTCGCATGTATTAAACTTTCTAGGCTTGGCTTCTCCAACTGTAGAATGGAGATTAGAGTAGAACCTTATTTCTCAAGGCTGATATTGGGATAGGAAGAAAAAAAAATTTCTTGGAGAGGTTTCCAGACCTTCTGTAGTAACAGTGAGGTCACTGATCTGTCTTTTTTTTTTTTTTTTTTTTTTTTTTTTTTGAGACAGAGACTCACTGGGTCACCCAGGCTGGAGTGCAGTGGCACGATCTCGGCTCACTGCAACCTCTACCTCCTGGATTCAAGCGATTCTCCTGCCTCAGCCTCCTTAGTAGCTGGGATTACAGGCGCCCGTCACCACGCCCAGCTAATTAATTATTTATTTATTTATTTATTTATTTTTTAACTATAGATGGGGTTTCATCATGTTGGCCAGGCTGGTCTCATACTCCTGACCTCAAGTGATCCACCCACCTTGGCCTCCCAAAGTGCTGGGATTAAAGGCGTGAGCCACTGCACTTGGCCTGGTCACTGATCTCTTATAACCTGGTGTATACTAACTTGGCTTTCCAATTTCCAAGCAAGTTTCCACAAAGCTTTCTGCTACCTGCAAAATAAGTCATGGCAAAAGAGGCTCTGGGTAATTTTGACGTGTCCTAAAGTCAAGAAGTTGCTTGAGTTATGTTCGTGCCTATGTGGACTGGAGCGGTATATGGGCACAGGTTTCTACGTGAAAGTGGTGGATATAGATCGATACTGGAGAGGAAAAGGTTAAATGTGCAGCAAACTCAAATGGCGGGGAGAGCAAGGGTAGTTTGGGACAAGGATTGCCACGTTAGTAGAGGGAAAGGAAAACCAGCATTTACTGAGTGTGAATTATCTCACTCTGTCTACTACCCTGGAGATGGGAATTATTCCTAACTTTTTACAGGAACTTGGAGTCAGCGATTTGCCCAAATTTCACAACTACAAAGGGCGGAGCTGAGTGAGACCTCAAAGCCCCATGACTCCACTCTTGGATCACCAGCCTCTATCTCCCAGCAAAGCAGAGGTGGTTGGGGTGAAGAGGAAGGGAGGTGAGCTCCCGACCTTGGGCAAAACACTTCACTTCCTTTATTTATTTATTTATTTATTTATTTATTTATTTATTTATTTATTTATTGAGACAGAGTCTCACTCAGTCGCCCAGGCTGGAGTGCAGTAGCAAGGTATCGGCTCACTGCAACCTCCACCTCCCAGGTTCAAGCAATTCTCCTGCCTCAGCCTCCCGAGTAGCTTGGACTACAAGCGCACGCCACTACGCCTGGCTAATCATCTTCTTCTTCTGTCTTTCTTCTTCATTTTCTTCTTTCTTTTTTCTTTTCTTTTTTTTTTTTTTAACTGCAGACGAGGTTTCACCATGTTGGCCAGGCTGGTCTTGAACTGACCTCAAGTGATCCGCCCGCCTCGGCCTCCCAAAGTGCTGGGATTACAGGTGTGAGCTACCGCGCCCGGCCCACTTCTTTATGCCTCAGTTTCTCCATCTGTACCAGGGCCAGCACCTCTCACACAGCAGGTAGTGAAGCTGCTGCTGCTGCTGCCCTGGGCTGGCCTACAGTGAGTGCTCACTGCACAGGAGGTATTGCTTCCCCCCGCCCAGCAGGTTCTCATTATAATCTTGCAAGTTTGAAGAAACCCAGCCTTGCTACCAACAGAAGATAAAAACAGACATGCCTCTCTGCCTCCAGTCTCATCCCCATGTCCTTGGGGAGCTGTCCTCTTCCGGCTCGTCCCATCTATGCGCCCTCACTATATCCTCAGAACAGGGCACTCCGTGGCTCCTTTAACTTTTTTGCCCCTCCTAGCATGGTGTGGAAAGGGGGCAGATGGGAGGCCTCTTTCTGAAACCACCTCCTGTTCGGCGGCTGTACTTGGACCTCAGTTTCCCTGTTTTGTTCACGTGGTCATTGTTAAGTCTTAGGGGACGTGTACAGAGGCTAATATTGAGCCACCAATCAGTTATTTGACAAATACCATAGGCGCTCTGTGAGCAGGAGCTGGCTCCTATCCCAGACCCCAGCCCTGTGACCTGCTCTCCACTCGCCCGGGGTCTTTCTTGGCTGGGACAATAAACCTACTGCATCAGGTGATTCCTGGGGAGTCAGCCCCGTGCTGGGCTCACACCCAGCCCCTCTGCGTTCATCTCTTACATGATCTCATGCGACCATCATCACACGTCCCCAGGCTCCTCCCGGGCCAACTCCAGAGGCAGTGCGTGTCACCTCCAGCTCTCCTCCCACAAAAATGCTGGCCTTTCAGCCTCCAGTGCGCTTAGTTCACCCCATAAACTCTGCTAATGCTTACCACATGCTGAGCGTCGGCGCCCGTCCCCACCCCCAGCCCCACAGGCTCCCGGGTCCCGCCCTGGGAGACCCTCCCACTGGCCGACCCTGCCCCAAGACTCGCCCACTCCACGGTGGGAAACCTGCAATGTGTCCCTCCCTACCCCGCCCTCCTCCAGCGCCGGCCAAAAGTGACCTTGGACGCTTCTACAATGCCATATCCACTCCTCTGAACAGGAGGCGAGTTTGCACCCAGTGGTGCCTTTGGTTGCTAGAAATTAAAAACCCGATTGCGCGTGTTTGCAATTACGGTAACTTGGCGCGTCACCCCCAAGCACTGAGCTAGCTGGTGGTAGCCGGGCGCCTCTCGGGGCGCGCCCTATTCCGCCCTCGGCCCTGGGCTGCCGCACGATCTGCGCGTCCTGCTGCACCTGAGCCCTTCCCACTCGGGCGCCCGCACCGCTGCGGGGCCGGGCGAGGATGCACCACCCCCGCCCGCGAGCCCGCCACGGGAGCGCGTGCCGAATCGACGCCGCCTGCAGTCCCCACTACGGGTCCCTAGGGGGCGCAGCCGGCGCGGGAAGCCGCCCGAGCCAGGCGCCGCGGCCGGCACAAAATTGCAGGCGGGCGGGCGCCGCGACTTTGAAAACAAGCGAGGGCCTGGGGGGCGGGCCCTGGGAGCGGGCGCCGCCTCCCTCGGCCAATCAACGGCGGGCGGCGGGCGGCGGGCGCGGGCGGCGCGTGCGGCCGGGCTGTGAATGGGGAGCGGCGGCCGCGGCAGCTGAGGGCGAGCGCGACCGCGACGTGCGGGCGGGCGCACTTTCTTCTCAGCGCCGGGCGGGGGCGGCGGCGGCGGCGGCTCCTCCGCGCCCGGCGGACCCCTCGGAGCTAGCGCGGCGGGCTCGGGACTGCGTGAGCGCCGGACGCGAATTTCCCCCGTTGACAACTTCTTCTCGCCCGGCTCGTCCCCGGCCCGCGCCGCGCCCCTCACGCGGGGACCCAGGACGCCGCCCCTCAGCGCTGGGCGGCCGCTCACCTCGGGCCGGGGGGCGCCGCGCCTCCCGCGGAGTGGCCGCGCCCGCTCGGAGCCGTCCCGCCTGTCCTGCCCGCCCGTCCGTCCGGCGCGGCGCTCGGGGTGGCGGCTGCTCGGCATGGCCCGGGGCGCCCGGCCCTCGGCGGCCGGTGGCGGCGGCGGCGGCGCGGAGCCCCCTGAGCGCGCGGGCCCCGGGCGGCCGCGGGGATCCCCGCCCGGCCGCGCCCGCCCCTCGCTGGCGCCGCGCCCCGGCCCGGAGCCCTCGCGACCCCGGGCGGCGCCCGAGACCTCCGGCGGGGACACGGCGGGCGCGGGGCGGTGCGGCGGGCGGCGGGCGGCAAAGTTGGGGCCGGGCCGCCGCGGCTGGTGGGCGCTGCTGGCGCTGCAGCTGCACTTGCTCCGGGCGCTGGCGCAAGGTAGGTGCGCGCGGGGTCGCGGGCCGGGGGCGTCGCCTCGGGGCGCGGAGGCGCGAACTTGAGCAGCGAGAGTGTGTCCGGGGTCCCCCCGCTTCCCGGCCCGGGTCGGGATGCGCCTTGCTGGGGGCTCTAGGGAGCCCAGGGGCTCCTCCACGCCAGACTCGGAGGAGAGGGAAACGGAGCCCCGTAGAGCCTGCACCCCGTCTGCTACTTTGCGTTTTATTTTTTTTATACCGCAGTAGCACAAACAAAAATTTTTAAGTTGAGGACCCATTTCTCAGCTCCTTAAAAGGATGCCCGAGTCCCCTTCCCATTGCATGGATGAAAAAGGGGCTGGTCTGTACCTGAGTCTTCGCACCGCAGGGTCTGGTTTCCGGTGAGTGACATCCAGAAGACTTGGAAATATCAAGTGCCAGTCGCTGTGAAAAGCCTTTTCCAGCCCCTCCCCAGGGCCTCGTCCTCTCCCCAGCCCCCGCCTGCTCCTGACTCCCCCAAGTCCCAAAGCCCGACCCCAAGTGGGTGCTGCGCGGCCGGTGGAGCAAAACTTTCAGTGCCCACAGCTTTTGCACTTGGCTTTGTTTTTCTCCCTCTATTGGCTTCTGTTTAGAATACAGTGGTGAGCTCTGAAATAGGGAAAGAGGATCTGCTGAATGGAAATGACCTTTTGAAACGAGAGATGGGATCTCTTGTGAAACGAGCTTTCCTTCCCAAATCTGGGCTTCCCTCCACCCCCTCCCCGCCCCCGACAAAACCCGTAACGTACCCCTGCCAGCTAGCATCGTTTTCTTTTGAAGTTTGCTGGTCTTTAAACCAAAACACCCCCCTCAACCCAGAAATAACTATTTTAATACGTCCTTTGGTAACGTCTTTAAAACACATTAGTGAACTGGTTTTGCTGATGGTAGTTTTAGGAAAATTAACTTAGTTGTATTCCAAGATACAGCTAACGAACAATCATGGTAAGGAACTCGATATTCTGAGATTGGCGAAGATGAGAGCATTAAACTTAAATTAGCTGTGTTCTGTGTCCTGTGAAGATGATTTATGTGTAGTAACATGACTTAAATGTTGTAACATTTTAAAGGTCTGAGCTCAAAACTATCATCCAATAGCTTAACAACGAACTCATACTTTTTTTTATTGATGCTTATGTAACGTTATCTAAATTGTGCCCCTCCACCCCCCTCCAGCTTTCATAAATGCTCCCTCTTATGTTTTACTACATGAAAACAAATTGCCATATTTCTGGTTAATTTAACTCCTCCATTACTTGGAAAATTTTCATTTCACTTATTTGTGCTTTTTGCTTAATGACTTACTCTGGAAGAAAAGCATTTATTAAGTCATTTTGTACAGTGGGATCTGTAGATTGTTAGAGCAACCAGGTTCAAGTGAAGAAATCTAAATCACTTAGGATGACCTTTAAAATAATGTGTTTATTAAGTTTTCTTTTTTTAAACAGTGACTTGCATTTTGCACTAAGACCTGTACGTTCATACATTTGAAGATTGGTGCACAGACTGAAATGGTGGGGAAAAAATCTGCCAGTGGCTTTGTTTTGAAGTATATTACATAGATTTCAAGTTTTTATCAGTTGCACTTTGAAGGTTGTGTAAAGCATTGCATTTTAACAACTGAAATGTTAATGAAAATACATTTTAAAAATATATTAAGGCAACAACCGAACTTTGTTAGGAATATTTTATTCCTTTTTGGCAGTAAAAACATTGGTACCTGTTTTACATTTATATGGCTTATGAAAGTGTACAGATCTTTTAGTGTAAAATTTCAGATAGGTTGTCACAAATTTTAAGTTCATTGACGGGTTTCTGTTCTCTTTGCTCTGTGAAATGTGTAATATATCCATCTTTTTTTATATCGTATTGAAAATTCATATTACAGAGGAGATGTCACCATTTGACAAAAGCTCATGTATCTTGAAAATGAAAATTCTGGTGCTGTTATAAGAGATTTCTGATGGGATGATGAGTTGGTCATATGTGCAGGAGTGCATTCTCTTGAATCTTATCAGATGTAACATTCTAAATGGAATAGTTACCACTACGTTGGAGCGCCTCCTAAGTACCATATTATTACATTGTAGCTAGGTGAAGCTATGACTAATTTCTCTGCACCTCATGTAAGTAGGCTAGGTCGTGTATTTTGAGAAAAAACGTGCGACATTGATCAGTAAAAGTTACATTTTTATAACCTAGGTTACAGACCCTCTATGTAACTGATCATGATGGGAACCGCCAGGTTCAGGTCTTCCAAATGTAACTTTAATATGCCCTGGAGTTTCTTCTTTCTATGCGGTGATGAGAATTTCTGAGTTGTATGCTCTGCTTATTGCTGTGTGTTTAATTGCTTGTGACTTTCCCGGATTCCTAAAAAGCCAAGTCTTTAATTCTGGAAGGCAGGTGGCAACACATGCTTTCTTTATGCCATCCACCAAGGAGCCAGCTGTGAGTGGTTTGGAAGGATGACTTCTGAGGCTAAAGATGTATAAGCAGTCTTATGTGTGAAGTCCGTGGTGCCTTTAGCTTTACTGCTGGACTCTTTACAGGCTTACTGATTCTGGCAGTGTTCAGTAGACCTCCTAGATTCAGCTTGCATTCCTCAGGCCTAGAAAGGATAGGAATGTTCTTGTCCATGGGGCTGTTTGTTCATAGTCCTCAGTTTCTCATTTGAAATTGTCTCCACTTGGACCTATGGTTCTCCAGCTTTGGTATGTGTTAGAATCACCTGGGGAATTTGATGAAGCTGTAGAGTACCTACTCTTCCTCTTCCATGAGCCACATTTGCTTTCCATGTGATTATAATACACATTGGAATTCGAGAACTACTCACTTATTACCTTGTGTTTCCCCCTATTCCAGACACCTGCTGACTTCCTGGAAACTCTCTAGCCCAGTGTTTCTCAAACTTGGTTGCACATTGGAATCACCTGGAGCTTTAAACTTCTGATGCCTGGATGTCACTCCTAGAATTGGTTTTAATAAACTTGAGGTTTGATCTGGGCATCAGGATGCTGAGACACCCCCTCCTCCCTCCAGGTGATTCTCATGTTTAGCCAAGTTTGAGAACCACTGCTCTAATGGTTTTACGTGAGGCCACATGGCTTGATTTCCCTTTCATGCCTTCCTGGGCTTATTGTCCTCCCCCAACAATTGCAGTGACTTTTATGGACCTTGGGCCTGTGTTCACTTACACCTGTTCCAGGTTCATGATTTGAAACTCAACAGAGTACACTAGCTTTTCACTTATGTATCGTTTATTCCTACTGAAACTGTTGAGCCCCTGCTTTGTGCTGCCTGAGGTGTACATCGGAATCACTGGTGAAAATTTAAAATACAGTTATCTGGACTCCACCTCAGACCAGTTGGTTCTCAGAAGCATGCATTTAAAAACTCCTCAAGTGATTCTTGTATGTTTGTGTTACTTTTTTTATTTTTTATTTTTAATCCTCGTGTTGGTTAATCCCATAATGTCACTCAATTTCTCTGTCATCCTTAGCCTGATTTTTCTGTGGTCTGGGTCACTTTTCTCAGGCCAATTCCCAGCCTTGGACAGGGTGTACTAATTAGGCATTTCTGCCACTTGTTTGCTAGAGTGTTGAGTTCACTACAAATCTAGCTTCCTTTTGGGCCCATGTTGCTTTCCATTAATCCAGAAGTACTTTGCTTCCCCTCCTCCTAACCTACTCCCTTTACAACTTTGTAATTTGAGTTTCAACTGGAACTTGAGTTCTAGACTCCCTTACTTGAATATCATCTTAATAAAGAGTCTTGCTTAGTGAGTGCTCAGATAGTTAATTAAATTTTATTAGGCCACTGGGTATTTAACAGACAACTGGTCTCTTGGTTGGTTACTGTCTTCCAAATCCAACAATAAGCAGTTATTACCCTCTATGCAGTCTGCATAGCCACCTGTAGCTGTCCTTTATTGAACCTTTACGTGCCAAGCACTAAGTGCTCATTTATTCTTCACAGCAGCTCCTGAGAGGTAGACAGCATTTTTGTTCTCATCTTACCTATGGGAAAACTGAGGCATTCAGATGTTAACTAACTTTCCTGAGGTCCCAGGACCAGGAGTGGTGATGCCAGAATGAAAAGTCTGATCCAGAGTCTGAACATAACTTGAGTTCATAACCCCTGGGCTGGAGCGTTTCCCATGTAGCCTCTGCCTTTATAAGGAGAGGGAAAAATGGGCAGCAATCAGATCTGTACCAAAGGGAAAGACGGTGGTTGATATTTTCTAAAAACAGTATTGAGTAATCTGACCTCAAGTTTTAGATAAACCTTATTTACGATTATGATTGCAAAATAAAAATTACATAATTTGGAAAATAGAGATGAGGGATGTATGTAACCCCTTCCATCTACACATTCGTCTCCTCTAAGAAAATGACTATCACCATTTTGATGTATTCCCCTACCCCAATTTTTCTTTCATAACATAACATGAATTCCAGCTTCATGATGGTCTGTTGGCAGAGATTAGACCACCCCAGAATGGACTACTGGGAGTGCACCAACTATTTATTTGAGGAACATTTGGAAAATTCTTTTATCTGCACTGAAGTGTATGAATTTGAGTCCTTTAACTAAAGGAGGTGGAGTTTGTAAGGTACTGATCTTTTATTAGTTTGCCTTAGCACACATTTTATGTAAACAGTTAAGTTTAGGCTATACTGGGGTTTATACCTAACCAGAAGTTTCCTGGGCCCTCAAATACTGAGATAAAACAACGTGGAAGGCTGCAAGTTAAGTGGGTAATTAAGTGATATCAGGTAAGACTGTGTAGTTTAATTCTCCCTACCAGTTGCCTTTATGTTATTTCCATCCTCAGAGCCCCTGTATTGCTTGTATTGGAATACATAGGATTTGGCGTCTAAGGTGGCAGAGGTGTGTGGCATGTAGTGTCTTTCTGCCTGCCTGCCTTACGGTGTCCCAGAGATCAGAGACTGGTAATGTCAGCTGACTGAAACTAGAGAATGGAATGGACACAAAGTGAGGATTCTGATTAGGTCACGGCTTAAATTTCTCTAAGAAGTAAAGAAAGTGGTAGTTATGAGAGTAGACCTCCAGGTCCAAATGCGTTGAAAGTTGAATTAAGCTCAAGGTGGGGAATGAAAATCACATTGAAAGGTGTAGTATAAAGAAAAATTAAGGTTTATTTACAAAAGAAAGCTATTGATGTTTTGTTATTTGATTAAATACTCCTGGTACCCAATTATACATTTAACCCAAAGTAACCGAGCATTTTAATTTGCATAGTTTCTAAAATTTTATTTGACTTCATTTCTGTAAGGCATTATCTTAAATTTCCCCCTAAGTATGTACACCTCTTTTTTTTAAAAAAAGGGCATAAACGTTCGTAGCCATAATCCTGAGGGAGGACATATTTTGTCAGTTGGGACAGCAAATATGGCACCTCCTGCCATCCTATGGTAGCAAGTAGAAAGAAGCTATAGGTTCTTCAGTGAATCCCTGAAATGCAAAAGTCTGTCACAGTTAGATACCTACCTGCCAGTTATTGATCCTATACCTGAGATCTGTTCTGGAGAGGTTACTACTCTTAGAGCTTCATTATGTGAACAGTGTTGCCACTAAATCCAAATACAAAAATCATGATTATTATGGGAGCATTGCTGTAGGGAACCCTTGTTTATGTATGTGCAATTCTAGTGTTTAGGTGGTTGGCTTCCTGACAGAAAGCTCCAAAGCCAGAAACTCATTCCATCAGCCTGATACCAATCTCCTGTGGGTATTGTGGGAATGAAAGCAGTTTTTATAAAGCTTTCCTAGAAACATGGATATAGTAAATGGAAAAGACATTGGGCTAAGTATCAGTAGGCCTCGTTTATACTTCATTCTGTAACTACTGTGCAATATGAGGAAGTCTATTAGTCTCTCTGAGTCTGTTTTCTCACCTATAAAAGGAGGGATTAGACTAGATGTTCAGAATTGTTCTACTCTGATTCTCTGATCTTCTATATGTTGTCTTCCTTTCTGCCCTTCACTAGAGTCTGCATGTGTCTCCTGTCTGGGGATTCTGTAACTCCATATGTCTTAGCTTAGAACCTAATTTTCTTCATTTTACTTTTCTCAGAGTATTTACAATGTTGAAGACAACTAAGATGCAATGTAGTATTTCTCCTTAGGTGCTGCCGTCTAACACATGATATATTTACTCTAGCCTAAAAATGGTTCATGTTCAAAATTTTAGGTTCTGTAAAACAAATTGGTGCCATAATTTATCAGTATAAGCCTGAAATTTGGAGAAATAAATTTTCTTAAAATGTGAGATGCTTATTTATATACATGGCTGGAAGAAGGGGCAAGGCTAACAAATCTGGAGGTAATTAATGCAGTGAGAAACTTAAAAAGATATGAGAAAATGGCGATGGATGAGAATGTTTATATTTACTGTACAGTGACCATCAGTAATGAAAGAGATTAGTAGATGTCTGTTTTTGTGCTTAACATAATGTTATGTTGGTTTAATTGTCTTCATTAGGGGCTTTTAGTAAAACAAAGGGTCTTTAAAATTAACACAGTAATTTTTCACTTTAACAGGCTTAACTGGCACTTTATTGATATACAGACAATGTCTAGTGAAGATAACAGCTATCAATTAAATAGTCCAATTTCTTGAAAACAGATAGTCAGGTAAATCTATTTCTGATTTTTGGAGATTAGGTAGATGAACATGGGTAAGACTATAGTTTCTGCAGTGTTTTTGGCTTTGGTTCATTTTCAAAAAAATTTTTTTTAAATGGATAAGGCTAGGCTTTAGAGTTGTGGGTTCAAAGAATGGGCTAGACCCTGGGGTCCATATTATTACGTAGAATTAGTCTTTGTGCAGTGTTTGGTTGCCTTTTCTCCTTTCTATAACTCTCCATGGTATTCTAGACCTAATTCTTTACCTTGAGGGGGTTGGAAGCTCTCAAGTGTGTAAGCTTAATTTTACAACGATGAATAGTCTTTCCAATGAGAAAAAAATAGAGGGAGATAACCACGTAATGACTATGGTGATTTGGGGAGGAATATGGAAACTTGGGGAGCTCTGGTAGTTGCCTTTATTAAGAATAGTTGGTAGCAGGAATTTTAGCAACCCAAGCAGGCTAATTAGAATATATTTCAGTTTTAGAGTAAGGAGGGATTTTGTATCATAAAGGTATAACCTATCATACTTAACTAAGGGTGCTGATTTCCACAGGTGGTAGTATTTGTGAGTCCCTCTCTCTGGTGTGATCCTTAATTTATTTTGTGTGTTTGTGAGCCTGTTTTCAAAGTGAAGGTCAGTTTTGTCTTCTCTCTAGGTGTTAGGCGCGATGCAAAAAGAATGAAAGAGATTTTGATAGGGTATGACCAAGCCCTTCTATACAATGGATGTCAGTGTTGATTTTTATACACAAACCACCAGATGGCAACAGAAAAAGTGTTCATATAGGATATAATCTGTGGTTTCCACAGCCAAGTTTTTTTTTTTTTTCCTTCCATGATTCACCACTTTTTAGTATGCTTAGGTAACATGTACAATTTCTGGCTAAGAGCAAGGCGAGTTTATAATACCCAGCTATGTGAAATCAAAACCAGGTAATAGAATAGTGGCAGAGTGTCACTAGAAAAAGATTTTTTTTTTTTTTTTTTACATGAGTGTATAAACTGTTCCCAAAGGGAGCAAGTTTCCAGGGATGCAACTTTGATTTATATTATTGTATAGTCATGCTTTTACTTCTGATTTTTTTTATTCAGCATTTATTCAGCTCTTACAGTAAGCTGTAATGATTTGCAGAACATAAAAGAAAACATGGCTGTTACCCTAAAGCATTTTATGTAACACCTTTAAAAGGAAGAGATACATGAGTTCACAAACATTAAGCATATTTATGTATTTGCCGGCCAAAGGTATTTTTACTCTATGTAGAATTTGTTTTATTTTTGCCTTGTAGGCATATTCCCTTTTTCTAAGCGTGCTGTCTTGGCTCTTCTAAAATGGTTGTCTTAGCTAAAACTCCTGGTTGCAAGCTAGAAACTCAGTCTGAACTACTTAAGAAAAAAAGGATTTTATTGTAGGAGTCCTGGGGTATCACAGTATAATTAGGAGAATTTCTTTACATTTGGCAAGTTTAGTATTCACTTCCACCTAGGGAATAACTAGAGCCACATGCTCAAAAGCTCCCGGGTACTGTCCTTTTGGCCATCATCTCTCAGTTTGCTTCTGTGTCTGTGCTGGCATCATTCTGGATTCACTGGAAATTGCTTTCTTTTTGTGGCTGAAACCCAGCTGTCACCACTCTTTGCATTCCTATTGCTTCAGACCCTCAAAGATAGACTTAAAGCTTTGGTGCTGAGTCCAAAATCTGTGAAATGATCAGATTTGTATTTTAAAGTCATCTTGAGTGGGGGGAATAAACCATTATTTTTGTTGCAAAATTGAGAATGGGTTGGAAGAAACCAGAATGAATGACTGTAGATGTGTTGGACTGTAACAACAATTGAGGTGAGAGAAAGTAGCAGCTTGGGCTAGGTGGTGGTGCTGGAGATGGAGAGAGGTAGATGCACTAGAGAGGGATTTAAGAGGCAAAAAATACATGGGATTTGGTCATGGGTTGGGTATGGAAGGTGAATGAGAAAACATCAAAGGTGACGTCCAGGTTTCTGGCTTGCATGACTAGTTGGCTAGTATAACCATTCACTGAGGTTGGACCACCTCTGGGCAGCATGATCATTAGTTTGGTTTTGAATTTATTAATGTGAGGGACCTTTGAGGCATCTAGACAGAGCTGTTAAGTTGTGTGGATAGATGAATTTTGCAACCAGAGGAGGGTCTGGGCTTTTGGTATAAATATTTGTGGAGACAGTATAGCATACTGTTTAAGAGGATAGGCTTGGCATAAAATAAAACAAAGTTAACCACTTGCTAGCTTTGCATCCTTGGGTTGGCTACTTAATCTTCATTAATCTTGACTTTTCTTATCCCTGAAGAATTGTGTAATGATTCTGCCTGCTTCCTGTAGTTGTTGTGAGGGCTGATTGATATGATTGTAGGTAAGGTGTTTTTATCGCATTACCAAGTACATAGCATGCATCCAGTAAGTGTTAGGTGGTGTTATTTATTCTTTTGTGTAGAGGAATCCTGCCTTATTTATCTTTTCTTTTCCTGTAATATTAGGGAGTGATGAGTCACGGTAGTAGAGTGGGGAGTATGGACAGTTGACATAACTGGAGAGGTATTATACTAATATTAGCCTGGCTGGGATACAACCTGGATAAATTGCAGGGCGATGGGCCTGGGGGGAGAGTAGAGTGATGGAGATGAGTTAGGGAATGGTTATGATAATATAGAAATAATATTTGAACTGCAGTAGTATTGGGATGGAAAAAATGGAATGGTCAGTCTTGCTTAGAGAGGTAAATAGATGAGAACAAAAGGCCATTGGATTTGTTGATTACATGGGTAATGGTGATCTTTTTGAGCTCAATCTCACTGGAGTTCTAGGAGTATAAAGTAGATTGAAGTTCATTATGGAATGAATGGGTAGGGAGAAAAGAGTCAACCGGTATGTTCTTGTTCTATTGAAATTCTCAAGGAAAGAGAACTATGGAGGCATTTGAAATGCATAGTGACAAAAATGATCTTAAAATACCTTGGGAATATTTTTTCCAAATTTGAAATCTATTATTGAGGCTGGGAAAAAAAATTGTCATTTGGCAGAATGGTAAGTAATTATCACAATTCTCTGAAGTGATCATTTCTGTTTCATATGTTGCGACTCGTGGAGGCTTCTAGCAACATTGTCACCAAAGCTGAATGTGGAGGACTCCCTTCACCACCCTGCTATAAACACACAGAAACTGTGGACAAAATATAACAAGAACAAACAAGCGTTTCTGAAGTTTAAAATACCAGGGAATCCCTAGGTGCCAGCTATGAACAGAAAATTCAGAGCTAGGGCGTTAATCAGGAGCTCAAGGCCTGTGGTGGTTTCTGATCTGAATACACGCCCCAATGGCTTAGTCCTGAGGGTCTCATGGAGGAGTAGGAGGCATGGCCTTGGGTCTGCATAGACTTGGAAGGTGGAGTAAAGGTTCTCTAGCATCAAACCTTGAAGGGCTTTTCCATCTGTGAAAAGAGAACTAGAAAAACTTTGCCTACTGGTTTGGGAAAGTGTAGGAAACTTGCTGTCCTCCTGGGGTTGTGATCATTAGGAATAAAAAAGGGACATCTAAACTCCAAGATTGCACCTCATAATTGGGGTGGATTCAAATTTAACATTTCTTATAGTGCAACTAACCTTCAAGCTGAGACAAATTAGCATAAAATCTGGTCTAGAACTATGGAAATGAATAGAGCCCTCAGGTCTGAAACTGACCTGCAGAGCAAATTAAAAATCTAAGACTCTTGCAGAAGAAACAAGTCATGCTATAGATGAGCTTGCAATACAAAAATTGCCCAGCTACACAAGGAAATGAATCACCGTGAAGGAGAGTTAGCAGATGAATAGTATTCCAGGAGATTGAGATGATAGGATATATGAAAGAGATTAATTGCTTAAAATTATGAGAGATGAAAGGGGTAAGATCATAATGAAAGAGCACAGATTAGAAAAATAACATGGAGTTGGAAAAGAACCCAGTAGGACTTCTAGAAATGAAAATAATGGTCATTAAGTGTTTTTTTTTAAAAAAAATAACCTCAATGGACAGGTTAAAGAGCCAGGTAGATATAATTGAAGATAAAAACTGTATTGAAAAATCAATAGATTTTTAAAGGAGATCTGAGGAAATTTCTTCGAATACAGTAATAAGGGATAAAGAAATGGAAAATGAGTGGTTACAATTCATGAACTTTAGAATGAGGAAGTCTCATATTACCTTCTGTGAGCTTCCAGAAAGAGGAAATAGAGTAGGAGAGACACTATTAGAAGATAGAATGGCTGAGAAGTTTTCATAATCAATACAAGTTCTGCCTGAGCTCTTAGTTTCAAGAACCGTAGTAAACCCCACACAGGATAAATAAAAATAAATTCATACCTAGACATATTGTAGATGAAGCCTTAGAAAATAAGAGGAAAGCAGTCTGAGGAAAGTTGATGTCTAGACTGGCAGGCATTTTGTTCATAGCAGAAGATGATTGAATAATAACATCAAAGGCTGGAAGTGGAAATCCACTACCAACCTAGAATTCCATGTCCATATAAAGTATTATGATACTCAAGAGTAAATGAAATGGCTGGGTGTGGTGGCTCATGCCTGTAATCCCAGCACTTTGGGAGGCCAAGGTGGGCAGATCACGAGGTCAAGAGATCGAGACCATCCTGACCAACATGGTGAAATGCCATCTTTACTAAAAATACAAAAATTAGCTGGGCACAGTGGCATGCACCTGCAGTCCCAGCTACTTGGGAGGCTGAAGCAGGACAATTGCTTGAACCCTGGAGGCGGAGATTGGAGTGAGCTGAGGTTGCGCCATTGTATTCCAGCCTGGCGACGGAGCGAGACTCCATCTCAAAAGTAAGTGAAATAAAGGTTGTAGATAAAAAACAAAGTTGATGATTAGTAGTTGGAACTACTAAAAAATGCACTTCAAAAAGAAAGAAATTGAACCCAGGAGTGAGGTACAGATTGTAAAGTGCTAAATGATAGGAAGCATTGTTGCAATGTGCCCCTTAAATTTATATGTAATTGCTTTGCAGTTTGAGAAAAGTGTCAGCAGTTTCCACTACAAGTACTCATACTGCAGATTAACGGATTAGCGAGAGTGTAAGCAGTAGGGACGGGTTTGGGAGATGTTGGTCAAAGGATACAAAATTTCATTTAGAAGGAATAAATTCAAGAGATCTGTTGTACAACATGGTGACTATAATTAATGATAACTTGTTTTATTCTTGAGTTGCTAAAAGTAAATTTTAAGTATTCCTACCACAAAAAAGTATGTGAAGTAATACATATAATTAGCTCTATTTAGCCATTTCACAATATATATGTGTCAAAACATGTCGTACACAATAAATATATACAAATTTTTGTCAAAATTTTAAAAATGTATGTGAGCAGGAGTTAATTCATCTAATGCCTCAGTGAATAAAGTGCTGTGTTAAAGGTATAGTGATCAATAACAGTTGCTTCCTTCAGAGAGCTTATAGTTTATTAGGGCATACACACCAAAAAATACAGCGCCAATGTGCAGATGACCCTGGAGAGCCCTTTAAGCCATACAGGGGATTCAGCATCTGGTAGATAAGTGTTAAATAGGACCCTAGCAGGGATACATATAGGCAAGCCATGTTGGAATCTGGGGACTCAGATTGGCACGTGGAAATACAAAGATGAAGGATTCAGGTGGAAAGCTGCTGATCAACAGGAGTGAGGAACCCAACACCTAGATCAGAACAGGATTCTTGCCAAAGGACCAAACATCAAGACCTTCATATTTAGCCAGTACATTCCAAGTGACCTTTACATTCTGAATTAGGGTCTTATTGTCATAGCTGTAGGAAATGTGGACTTGGATCTTGGCCAGCAGAGAGTTAGATTAAATGTGCAGGGTGAAGCACTGTTCAGAGCTGAGATAAAGCATACACAAAGAGGCAAGTGGTTGAGATGGAGCAGCTCAGTGGATGAGAGTTAGTTACAGATGAGATTGTAGCCATTTGCATTTTTGTGGCAACTTGATATGATTGGTTGATGCTCATCAATTCCTGAATTTTGAAAATTACTTATATCTGTATCATGGAATGTTATAGTTGGAAAGACAGAGGCCATCTGCATCTCTAACTTTGCTGTCTTCTGTGGAATGAAAAGCATGAAATATAAGTTGTGTTATGCTTTTATATAGATGAATACTTCATAGCAATTAAAATATTATAATCTAGTGTTTTATTAGATGTAGAGATGCCTTAAGAGGTTTTATTTTAAACCCACAATTGCTTTACTTCAAAAATTGCTCTTTCTTGGGTGAATAACGTGAATTTCATCATACATCCTATTGGCAACAAAAACTTTTTTTTTTTTAAAACTAAACCTCATTTGGCCTGTGAATTGTCCCAAATCAGCCAGTGAGGAAACATTGGGAGTCCTAACCCACTCTGACTTTTTCCTTACTTTAGGGAGCAAGCTGGGTTGGCTAGAGTCCTCCATCCCTATCTGTGTTCGTCAACAGCAGGTGACCTTCACAAATGATGAGGACCTGAATGCTTCTGGTGGCTTTCACAGTGGCTGATGTGGCACATGAGAAGACTACAATGTTAGTATTAAAAAGGATGTTTAGAAGTAGCTCTAATTGACATGGAAGGATTTCTGAATATATTAGGTGAAAAATGAGGTTAGAGTTCTTTGTAGAGTGTACTAGCTTGTTTTTACGGAGTGCTTTTCTTGGCATCAGGCATTGTGCTAAGGCCTTCAAGTTATACAGTATCATACATCCTTACAACCCTATTTTATAGTTGAGGAAATTGAGGTCCAGAGAAGTTAAGGTCACTCACTTCATAAGTGGTGGAACTGATCTTTGAGTGCACCCCTGTCTCTGGAGCCCCTGTTCCTAGTCCTCTCCACATGAACAGCCCTTCCTGGGAGTCTCCAAGTACCAGCTTTCTCTGACATAGGGTCACGCATGCACATGCAAGTAGAAAAGGGTGTGGAAGTCGCATATTATAAAACAGGTAAGAAATTACTGTTTTATAATATGATGCAGTGAGTATGATTAAGAAATAGACCAGCCTACTTAATGTGCTTATCTCTGTTATAGGGATTTCTCTTTTTTTCCTGAATGTTCTAAGTTTTCAAACATTCAGCATTTATAACTTTTTAAAAATTATGAAAGCAATTAGAATTATTTACCATAATGTATTATTACTGGATTTTAGGAAGAATATGGTACTAAAGTTGTTTAGTGGTTCAGACTGAGAGTGCATTAATGGGAACCTGGGATTTTGTTTGTTTGTTTCCTATTTGAGGGAACTTGAATTATTGTTTTGGGCCTTATTTTGTTCATCTGTTGGAAAAAAGCATGCCATATTTTAAGTTACAGGCTCATTATAAGAATAAAAAACTCCTTTGAAAGATGGATTGATAAACACATTTGTACCATCGATTTCTGGTTAGTGCTGTTTAATCTTTATGATTCTAGTGTCAAATTCTCCCCACAACTCTAATATAGAGTCAATTCATACATTCAAGTTAATGGTAGATGGTAGATAGTATGCATAAAAAATTTGAGGCATGAAGTTGTAAATGAAAATTAGGACTAAATTTAAATTTAAATATACATAAATTTTGTATTTAAAACTTTCAGTACAGCCATGTACCCTATAATGACATTTTGGTAAGTGACAGACTGCATATATAAGGGTCCTGAAAGATTATA
Organism: Homo sapiens; assembly: GCF_000001405.40. Classification (NCBI taxonomy): domain Eukaryota; kingdom Metazoa; phylum Chordata; class Mammalia; order Primates; family Hominidae; genus Homo; species Homo sapiens. Next base: position 3,316,261 of record NC_000007.14, read on the forward strand.
ATTCTGTATGTTTATGGTACCTTGTCTCAGTTCAGATTTGTTTAGACACATAAATACTTGTGGTATAGTTGGCTCCTGTGTTCAGTACAGTAACATGCTGCACAGGTTTGTAGCCTGGGAGCAATAGGCTATATATCATATAACCTAGGTGTGTAGGAGGCCATAACATCTAGGTTTGTGTAAGTGATGTCTGTGATGTTCGCACAATGACAGAATTGCCTAATAGTGCATTTCTTAGAGCTTATCCCCATCATTAAGTGATGCATGACCTGTATATTCAATATAATATAAATGTAAATTGGAGCATTATGTATATATGCTGTAGTGTAGTAGGCAACAATTGGGTAGTGCTTGGATCACAGAAATGTGCCACTTTCTGAGAATGCCCTAGTAGATGTACACAGCAGGGGCCTCACTGGCCATTTTTCTGCCATGTCATCTCTTGGCCCTTTTTTATGGAGCTCTACAAATCACTGCAGCGTGGAACTGGTTCTTGCCCATCCCGAGGTTTGGATGTTCAGTTTCTCCTGAAGTCTACAGTATTTGTTTTCAATTGTATCCCCCTTTTTTGCTTAAACTAGACAGAATTGGTGTTTTTGGGCAAACACTATTTAAACCTTTTAAAAAGGGTCTGGGGGTCTGGGTACTGTGGCTCATGCCTATAATTTTGGCATTTTGGGAGGCTGAGGTGGGCAGATCTCTTGAGGCCAGGAGTTTGAGACCAGCCTGGGCAACATGGCAATACCCTGTCTCTACACAACGTACAAAAACTTAGCTGAGTGTGGTGGTGTGCACTTGTCGTCCCAGCTACTTGAGGGGCTGAGGTGGGAGAATCACTTGAGCCTGGGAGGTCAAGTCTGCAGTGAGCCATGACCGCACCACTGCATTCCAACCTGGGCAACAGAGTGAGACTCTGTCTCAAAAAAAAAAAAAAAAAAAAAAAAAAAAGGCTATCATGGGAGTGCTTAATAAACATTGCTAGCAATTTCGAATCCTATTTTACATAAAAGATTATAGTAATTTTTAAAGTAAGGTTTTTAAGGCAAGCAAAGGAACATGTATTGATTTCTGAGTATATTGCACATTTAATTACAACAAATGAAACTGGTCATCTTGTGTTTTTATTTTTGTTTTCATCTATCTGCTTTCCAGACTAATTGGGGAGCAAGAATTCCTTTTCCTTTCCCTGTTTCCTTTAGATGATTCTGCCCCTTCATCTTCGCTCCTCATTTCTGTAGCTTGACTTTGTTCTGTAGCTGTGTGCTGTTCCCTGGGTGCCTGCCAGGAGGGCGCTTCCTTCTGCCTATTCCTCTCTCCATTCATTGACTATCTTTAAGTGGCGTTTTTTCCTTCCCTACCTGTATTAAGATTTTCTACTTGCAGACTCTTCTCCCATGTTCACAGGAGCTGGTTTTTCCTTGTTGTGCATGGAAGCACCTTTGGTTCATGTTTAGGATATGAGCATTGTTGACAGGCACTGTTAACAGGTGAAAACATCTCAAAAGGATGCTTGATTAAAATAAGTATTTTGTTGTTCATAAGCCTCTTTATTTGGCTTTGGTAAACTAGGAGCCTAAGGTAACCTTTCATTCCAGTTTTTTAAGTTTTTGTGGTTATATTATGCAGTTTTTATTATGCAGTGCTTATTTCTTATGACAAAATATGAGTAGGTTAAATTCATACCATATCAAAATGTAGTAGTGAAAGTCTCTACTTTTCTGATCCTCAGCCCCCTAGTTCCCCCTGCTTGAGGCTATCACTGTTTCCAGTTTCATGAGTATTTGTTCGCTGATATTTTATGCATATACAACTATATATGTCTTTCCTTGCAACCCTTTGACATTATACAGATGGTAGCATACTCTTAGCTTGGAGGCTAGTCCCAGCGCATTTTTCGCCTATATTGTGTCTTAGAGATCATTTCATATTAGCACACATGGGTATACCTTGTTACAAACATGCACACACAGAAAATAAGCTTTAAAGCCGTCTGCTGTAGTGCATTGGCATTATAACATAGTGTCATGAGTCGTAGAGCTGGATTCAAATCCTGACCCTGCCATTTAAGAGCTTGTGACCTTGGGCAAGTTGAATCACTTGTCTGTGTTTCAGGTGCTCATTTGTAAAGCAGAGTTAATCTCTCTCTCACAAGGTTTTTGTAAGGATTAGAGGAGATAATGTATGTAAAGTATTTAGCACAGTGTCTTGCTTAATAAATCATAGCTATTATTGTACTCATTAATTTATCAGATCAAATGAACCCCTAATGTGTTTCTCCTTCTCAACTGAAATACACAGAAGGCATTACTTATTACTTGTTTCGTGACCTTTTGTCTTACCTTGGTTGTCCTTTTCTTCCAATTCCATAGTTTATCTTCTCTCCTACTTACCTCCTGAACTTATCCCCAACAAATGTTACATATTTCTTTTACTTTTTGAGTTTTCTTGGCCTGTTGATGAATATATTGACCTAGCATAGCCCTTGCCATTGCATTAGGTACCATCATTGTTGGTTTTAGTACTAGAAAAACTCAACAAAGAAGGAATATTTTCTTGGTGATGCTCCAGAGTGAATTTAATATTGACAATCAAATTTATTCAAGTCACTAGACAGGATGATTCCTTTTGTGATTGGGATTTCAGCTGGGATAGAACTGAGATTTGGATACAGATGGTACCTGGCAGACGGGAATAAATGTGGGGCTGAAATGCCACAGAAGCAGTTAGCAGTGTGGGCCTATCTGGGGGTGGCCTGAGGAAGGACATTCATGAGGGGGGAGTAGGTGGGGATGGGAAGGACAAAAAACCGCATTGTTAAATTAATTGGCATGACAACTCTGGCAGTGGGGCCTCACGGAGAATGAATGATATGCAGGGTGTGGTGTATGTATGTGTGGAAAATAGAAAAATGTGGTGTGTAGAAACTGGAAGAACTGTCTCCCTGGGTTATTTTAACGTTCTGCTTCAGAGTACAAGCAGTTTAGCTGTGGGAAGCCCCCACCCTTTTCCACAGGAGAGGGATGGCTCTCATTTGACACAAGCTGTCATGCTTGTAGGAGTCAGGATTGTTGCACCCAGAAATGCTTGTGGAGGGTCTTGTAAGGGGTTGAGTGCCTGTAAGAGCATCTGGGGGCTTAGACCGGTGGCCCTCAAGGTATTAATTCCTTATCAGTGTGTTCCCATCTACACCCATGGCTGGTGTGGCCTAACCAAGCTGGCTTACCTTTTAGAAGTTTCTTTTTATTATCTCCTCAAGAGTACATGCTCTGGCTTCTTGGCCTGGCAGGCTTTCATTACTTACATGATACATATATGTACTCTTTGATAATCTTATGTTTTTGTCCCTTGTAAGTTTCTGCAATTGTATACTGCATTGATGAAGGAGGGTCTGCTCTCCTCTCCCAGGGTGTCTAGTGATGGCCTGCATGTCTCTGGTCTGTTTATTGCCAACTCAAGTACCTTTTTTGCCATTCCATCGTGAAAGAAATCAAAATATAGCATTTTGAAATACATTTGAAATGTTCTGTTTAAGGATTTCACTTTAGTTATACTGTTTCTACTTTATATTACAAATCTGGTTTCCTCTTCCATTTGCCTATATCTAACCCATTCTTAGTCTTTTTTTTTTTTTTTTTGCATTTGCTTTTCTGAAAATTTGAGCATTGAAAGGGAGGGCAGCTTGATCATGGACCAGGGCTTTCTGAGAATGCGAAAAAATGAATTTCACCTTGCCAAATAGAATTGCCTGGATGTGGTGGAGGGATATGATGAGGCAGAATCACAATTCTTCTACACTTTTGAAATTGTTCTCCCCAATTTATTCCCCCTTTCCTCATTCTCTTCTGATGTATGGGTTTAGGAAGCTCCGGATGACTGTTTCACACACGCACTCCCCTCTCATTCTCTCCTGCCCGTCCTTCCCACCGCACACATGCGCTGAAGGAGGTGAGCATTCTGGAGACCTGAGTCTCATTTCCAGATATCTTTGCCATCGTTTGCAGTTACAGCTTTTTTTTTCTATTTTTTTCCCCCTATCTCTTGTAAGTTCTCATATTATACATACTTTGAACTGTGGAGATAGCCACAAGTAAAATAAAAGTATATGTTTTTATATTCTATGGAGTAAGAACTCATGTTACTATAGTAACATGCTGCTCTGTAGCAGTCAGAATTGTGTATTTCAGTGTCAGAGTTCCCTGTTAAAAAATTAGCCTTAATATTGATTTCCTCCTGCTCCCACCTTGGTTGGTATATGAAAACCCTAAAGATGAAGCATTTTTAACTAATTTTTGTTCTTTACACATAATCAGAAATCAAACTAAATCCATCTGTGATGTTAGCTTATGGTCTTTCTAGATTTTAGCCAAAGATCTTGTATATTTTAAGCAGTTGCCCTGTTTTAATATTAATCATGGCCATCCCAGAATAAGTCCTGCTTGACACAGGGCATTTGTTCAACTAGTTATCTTTGTTAAAAAAGAAAATACCATAAGACCAGTCATATTTTGCTGCATCTAGAGTGAGACCAAACTTTATAATATAGTGATAAGCTTGACCAAAAAAATGTTTAACAATTTTGGTATGTTTCAGGAATTGGAGAAATTAGTATGTTGGTACTGTAAGGAAAAATGTGGGTTAAAAAAAAAATCCAGCTAGGACTCAGCAGTCTTAATTTAAACCTTGTGCTTGACAAAAATTGAATGTTGCCTGTATACTCCAGACACAATCGTGAAGCTCAGTTTCTGTATTTTTCTTCTGAAATTTAACTTCTGCTAATATAACATAGGATATGTGGATGTCTTGCAATCCTAAAATTTTAAGATATTTCAGGGCTTATCAACTGAAGGCTCTTGAAATGAAAACTACTACATGTATTCATCATACGTGAAATAAAATCTTTTTGAAACTAAAAATCCTTTAAAAAATTCACAAGCAAGATGATACTATAGAATTTCTTTTGACAGATTCCTTAGAAACGTCAAAATCAAAGTGAAAACAAGTTGGAAAATCCTCTTTGATTTTGCTGGGTCACTTAATTTGAGTTGATTTCTTCAGAGCACATAACGTTTCTTAAAGTACAGTACTAATGACAGAGTCCCAGGTGGCCAGCCTTGTGAGCTGCGAACTTTGTCCTGTTGTACTACCTCTGGCTCTAGAGACTCAGCCTAGGAATGTGAATTGGTGAGAATATGTCAGAACCTGGCTTCCTATTGTAGGAACTCAGTGCACTTATTTGGTTGATACTGAGTCGCTATAAAAATCATTGACATGAATGACAAGTTGTGTTTTTTTCCCCAACAGTTAAAGACATTTTACATACAGTATGTGAAGTTACTTTCCAAAGAAACATTCTTCATGTTTTCGCAAGTTTTTTTTTAAACCTAATATTTAATGCAATGAATGTGGGTTGGTTTCTCTTCTTCCTTCTTCCTTCTCCTCCTCCTCCTCCCCCTCCCTCTCCCCTCTCCCTCCCATCCCCTCCCCCCTCCTTCCCCTCCCTCCCTTCCTTCCTTCCTTCTCCTTCCTTCCTTCCTTCCTTCCTTCCTTCCTTCCTTCCTTCCTTCCTTCCTCCTTTTCTCTCTCTCTCTCTCTCTTTCTCTCTTTGTTTCCATTGTAAACATATTTGCAGGATTCAGAGGTGAAACTGTAGCGGAATGTATACACAGAAGCTCTGCTTATACCTTTGTTCCCCCAGCCTGTTTGCCCTCTCCCTCTACAGGTCATCATTTTTATTAGCTTCTTTCTAAAGTTTTTTTTTTTTTTCACTTAGGTGCCACACAGCATCGAGTGAACTATTTTAAAGTGAACAGTTGAGTAGTGTTGAATACATCCAGAGTGCTGTGTGATCACCACCTCTAGTTCCGGGACAGTTTCATCCCCCACCAAAGGAAGTCCCATACGTATTAAGCAGCCCCTAATGACCATCCACCCGTGTTCTGCTTCTATGGATTTATCTATTCTGAATATTTTATATACAGGAATAAGACTTTGTGTCTGGCTGCTTTTGCCTGGTGTGATGTTTGAGGTTCATCTGGGTTGTGTTTTGTCATTACATCATATCTTTTTATGACTGAATAATATTCCATTGTATGTATGTGCCACAGTTTGTTTATCCATTCATCTGTTAATGGATATCTGTGTTGTTTCCACCTTTTGGCTATTGTGAATAGTGTTGCTGTGAACATGTATGTGTGTTTGAACACCTGTTTTCTCTTCTTTTTGGTATATGCCTAGAAGTTGCATTACTGGGTCATATGGCAATCCTGTGTTTCACTTTTCAAGGAACCACCAAACTCTCTCCCACAGTGGAAATGGAACAATTTCCACCAACAATGTAGAAGAATTCCAGTTGGTCAGATTGTTGCCTACACTTACTTTCCTTTTTTAAAAAAAATTCAGTGGCATTCAGGGATCTTCATAATCTGAGCTTTGTTTTCCTTTGCAGTGTAATCTCTTCCTGGTTTCACATGCCACTTTCAGAATACTGGATTATGGTAATTGCACTCTTTTGCTCCCTTCTCTTCACCTAATGTGTTGTCCCCACCTGCCCTTTTCCCCCACCCATAAGACCTTGTCTCTGTCTCTGTCGCCCAGGCTGGGGTGTGGTGGTGTGATCACAGCTCACTACAGCGTCTACCTCCCAGGTTCAAACAGTCCTCCCACCTCAGCCTTCCAAGTAGCTGGGATCACAGGTGTGTGCCGCCACACCTGGCTCATTTTTGTTTTTGTTTTTGTTTTGCCATGTTGCCGAGGCTCGTCTCAAACTCCTGGACCCAAGCAAGCTGCCCATCTCGGCCTCCTAGAGTGCTGAAATTACAGGCGTGAACCAATGCACCAGACCAGGTTTTGCCCTTTTGTTTGCAGGTCCCTTTAACTGTGATGCTGTCTCCTAGCCCCCTTCCCCCACTCGACCGAGGGCCAGGCAAATTCCAACTCATTTGCTGAGTTTCAGTCTTCACCAAGTCTGTGAACTTCAAAAGACGTTATTCATTGTTACATTCCCTGCATCCGGCACAGTACCTGATGTCTGATGGGAACCCAATACATGTTTGAGTGAATGAATATGTTGTATAATTCTTTTTTCTTTATCACGATTGCTGCTGGTGCCGATTGAATTTCCAGAGCTTGCTGTAAAAGATAGGAAGAAAATATGTGGTAACATTGGCCAGTGTTTGGGCCATAAGATGTGTAGAGGTTCTAAGGAAAAATACACTTCCAAACTCATTCACATTGCTGGTCATGTTCAGTTCCTGTGGCTGTAGGACTGAGGCTCCTGTTTTCTTGCTGGCAGTCAGCTGGGGCCACACACTGCTTCTAGAGGTCAACTTGAATTCCTTTTCGTGTGCCCCACTCCATCTTCAAACCAGCAATGGTGTGTCAGGTCCTTTGTATGCTTTGAGTATTTCTGACTTACGTTTTTAGTTGGAGAAACTCTGGGTTCATGTACCTAGATCAGGTCCACCTTAATTATTTCCCTGCCTTCAGGTTAAATGTGCTGTAGAATATGACATTGTCACAGAAGTGAGATCTCATCTTTAGTTACAGGTTCCAGAGTATGGGGCAGAACATTTTTGAATTCTGCCTAGCACAGTGTTTATAGTTTATTGATCTGTAGATAGGTTGGGTAAAGGTTCTTCTTCAGCCAGTAAAATGTCATCTTCTCTGTCTTTTGATTGCAGGGTTTCTATTACCTATGTCCATTTCTTTAAGCCGTTTGGTCTCATATTCCTCTGTGTGTTACAAGAATTGTATCATGTTATCTATTTCATGTAGAAGTAAGCATGAGAGAAATGAGTGTAAATGGGCTGTTGGCCCTCACAGTAAAATCTGGTATCTATTCTAGGGAGATACTCATGTTTTTCTCCTTTTTCACATTGCTGTCGTAGGGTCAGATTCATTTTTCATGGTCATTTTTCTGGTTCTCTTTTAGCATTTGAAATTGAGTAGATTGTTTTGATTGTAAGAATGTTTTTTAAAAGTAAATTTTTATTAAAATGTATATATGGAAAGGAAGACAAATAGTATATTGCTTGATAAATTTTCACAAAGAGACATGCACATGTAATTAATACCCAAATCAAAGCATTAGAATATTTACTAGTACCCTAGAAGCCTTACCTACTCAATAGCTCCCTTAAAGGCAGTTTTTTGCTTGCCTGTTAATTTGATGAACTTTCAGCCTTTGAAAAGTCGTTACAAAAAGCCGATGTGTAAAATGTTTGGAGGATAGGATAAGAATAGGAGGTGGCTCTTGGAAGTTTGTTTGCTCCTGAGTATGGGACCTAGTGATCAAAGATGAAGTGGAACTAGATACTTTATCTTCCCTGTAATAGGAAATACACTCCCATTGTATAACTGTAATTTTTACTCATAAAAATGGGTTTTGCACTCAAAGCAAAAGTAGGCTCTTACTTTTACTGTTAAAATAGAAACTGGAAAACTGTTCTTTAGAAAAGTCATCCTAATGGGTTCAATTTGAGGTAGTTGCTGGTTTTTATATTTTTATTTTTTTGACCAGTGCTTTAAGTTTTTCTCCTGTAATTTTATTAAACCTATGCCCAGGAAAAAGTAAACGGCAAGATTTCAGAATCTGAAAGTTTCTTACGTTTGAAAGAAAGTCCTCCCATGCTTCATTTTTCCTAACAGAAGGTAAACTTTCCATGCTGAACTTGTCTCTATTTTTAACAGAGGACAAGCTTTAGGAAACTGTATTCAAGCCACATATAGTGTGGTAGATTCTGGTGGTGGAGCAGCTATTAGTTATGTTTCTCTGGAACTGCATTTATCATCACTGTTACCAAAAGCATCCTAGGTTCCTTGGGAAGAAGATCTTAAAGTTCTCTACCAAACCACTTTTTTTTTTTGGTGATGCTTCAGTCTCACAGGTGATGCTTAAAACACAGATTCTGATGTGGAGATTTGAGATCTTACAACCATAGACCATATGTTAAACATTGACTACACAAGGATTCGTGATCTGAGCATTAATAGCCTGTTTTTTTCCTAATTGCATGTTTTATAGTAATCCTAACCTTTAATATATAAGATCCTAACCTTTATATTTAACGTCTTAACCTATTGCTCTGTATTTCTTTAATGCCATGGATTATTGCTTACAGTTATAAATGAAATAAGTAATTTTACTTTATATTTTCATTGATATTCAACGAATACCAATTTAAGGAGAGAAACATAGATATACTTTTAAAGAATTTAAGCGTGGCACTTAAGATTCTTTTTATTATAATAAGCATGTGAAGAAGCTCTTTTTCTGTAATCCTAGTTCCCAGGGGCCAAAATGATGATTAATTACAGACAATAGGTTTATAAAAGTAACCGTTTCCATCATAGAAGTGTCATAAAAGATTAAAGGGTGTATCAACAAAATGAACCAGCTTCCTGTGTAAAATTATTAATATTGCTAAATAATGTAGCCTTATATCTGTTACAAAAGTACCAGAAAAATTGCTGGATAATGTGTTACAAATTTTTTACAAATTACATAGATAATCCTCAGTTCTGTTGAATTTCTCTGACATTCTGCTCAACTAGTTTTTCCTGTGCAGAAAAATCTTAACAGGTTGATGTTACAGGAAAAGTGGCATGCTTTTAGAAACCATGACTAGGCTGCCTGAATCAAACATCCTCCCCTTTGAGAGGCCTAGGAAAGAACCATCTCGCTTGGTTGTATCCAGGGTACACTCTCATAGGGATAAAGAGCCAACCAAATAAAAGGGCAGACATATACTTAGCTGTACCTATCTATCCTAATGTGTGTATATATAGTGAAGCTATTGTACAATATTTCTTAATGTAACTTAATAAGGTAGTTAGTTTTTTAGCCTCCTAATGGCTTAGTGTTTATAAAAATGATACTCGTTCACTGCAAATTGTAGAGTATATAAAAGTGTAGAGAAAGTAGAAATCAACAGAAATCCTTTTCCCTCGAGATAACCGTTGTGAACATTTTGGTGAACATGTTTCTAGAAATCTCTATGGTTATATACATATGTAAAAGTGTACATATCTAATGGGATCAAATTATATGCTGTTTTGTATTCTCTCAGTCCACAACTTGCCAGTTTTCAAATCTGTAAATGTAGATATATATTATTTTCAATGGATGTATGCTCTTCCACTGTGAGTCATAGTTTAGTTTACTCTGATATCACTAGACATTGAAGTTGTTTTAGTTCTTCATTATAAACTATGCTATGATGAATACAGTTGTCTGGTAATTCTGTTAGTTTAGGGTAAATACTTTGAAGTAGGATTGCTGGCTCATACAGTATGTCTTGTTTCCCGCCACAGAGCTGCCCTTTGGAAAGGTAGTGTTAGTTTACACATCCACTGAGTCCTCATTGCTACATCTTCTCACCAACACTGCTTTCTAAATTAATTATTTCAATTCATTTATTTTTTATTTAATTTTTTATCATGGAAAATGTAAATACATGCAATGGTAGAGTATGCATCTATCACTCAGTTTAAGTAATTTCAACTCATGGCTAATTTTGGTTCATCTACATCCCACCTGTTTTCCTTCTTTTCATTTTGTGAAGCAAGAGGCTTCTCAGGCTGTCATTTAACCTGTGATACCTCACTTTTATTTACATCTGTTTATTACTGAAATGAGTATTTTTTAAATATACTTACTGGGTACAAAGTGGTTATAAACTTTAATAGTGAGTTAATTGATTTTCTTCCTGTGGGTTTACACCAATTGCAAAAGTGTAATTTAGCTCTTAGGTTGAATAATCTTAAGCTGATTTAATCTTAAGTCAGATGTAAAGATAATGTTCAGTTCCAGAAAGGTAACCAGACTCTGAGCTGGTTAGGTAGCAGCTGCAGCGTTTGGTCCTGGGTGTGACATCTTAAGAAGAATATTGACAAATGAGCATTTCCAGAAGAGAGTGACCAGCATGGTGATATTAGAGAATAGTGTCACACAGGGAATGGTTGAAGGAACCAGGTGGGGATCTTCAGTTTAGAGAAGACAGAAATTTGAGGGAAGAGGCTGATGAATGGAGACAGCTATCTGCAGATTTGTCATGTGGAAGGTTTCAGGGATAACAAGGAAGAAGCTGCTAATTAAGTAGCAATAAATTTTATCTCCTCTCTGGCTGCTTAGCTTTTATTGATTTTATTTATATACAGCTGCTGGAAGCAAGCGACTGGTTTTGTGATTAAAATGATGCTTTTGGGTTTCTAGGAAACCCTGAGATGATCTTTGTCAGGTTTTACTTCACATACCCATCTCTCCAAACAGGGATTTAGCGTTGAGATTTAAAGCGGTTTTGCCATATAAGAAAATATTTTTCAGTAGAGAAAAATAATATTCCAACTGAAAGCTGTCCAGTATAGGCCCAGAATCCCATATCTGTAGTTCCAAAATAAAAAAAAAATCCTGACAGCAGAATGTTTCCTAACTCATTTAGAAGCAAAACTTGACCTGAATGACTGTGTCTTTATTTATCCTACTTGATGTGAATATTCATACATTTCTTTGCAGAAATAGTAATGTGTTTGATTACGGTATGCTTTTCCATACCCCAGGAATATTATGTAATGCTGTAATTACCCATCGAAAACTCATGTCTGAATTCTTAACACTTCTGGCACAGAGGGTGTGTATACCTATAGTTGTCGTTCTGTCGTATGTTGAATTATATGCGGTGTATTTTGATACCCTATCACTATGCATGTGTAAAAAGGGAATGATAGTGCTTTTCCTGTTTGTCCCTCTGGAGGCTGTGAAAATTAGATTACTATGTGGAGCATATTCAGAATAGAACTGCCTAAAAATAACGTGTTACTGGTATGGTATTCTTATTCTGTGTGTGTTTAACTTTCTGCCCGAAGATAATTGGGAAGAATAATGTGGAAATCTGTAGTTGAAATATTATAACTGTTGAACAAAGAGATGTCTTCCAGAGGCAAAATGACAAATGATATTTAAAAAATATTTTCACTTTATCCAATCTGATTAGTATATTGTGGTGTTATTTTGAATTATTTGAAATGAAGTAATATATCATAAAACAGAATTAGGCTTATTTTAAGGTCTACACTTATGAGCTCTTACAATTTGCTTTTAGATATATATATTGAAGTTACTTGTAAATGATGATGATGATTTCATTTTAGATCATGCTAACATTCTAGTTCAGATGATCTGGGTTGCTTGTATTAGTGTGGCAAGACCCAAACTTCACACAGAAAGGAAAGGCAGTATGATTTCTAAAATATTTACTTATATATATAAAAAAACTTGGTTAAAATCAAACAGCAGAAAAATGTATTACATAAAAGTCTCCTTCCCCTAATCCTTGTACTCAAAGATAACTGGTATGATTTTTTTTGTGTATTTTTTTCATAAAATCTTTTTATGTTAGTATATATTTCAAAAATTCATACAAATAGGATGATGCGCTCTCCATTTCATCCCTCTTTTACTTATGTGCCTTAGAAATCTTTCCATGACCACACACATAGATCTATTCTCCTTTTAGTGACTGAAGTATTCCACATGGACTATACAGTTCAGTTAGTTCAGGTCATGGGCTGTTAGGTTGTTTGGTTGTCTTTTTTGTTTGTTTTAAAGTAAGTAGAAGTGATCATGCAGTGAACAACTTTGTGCAGTTTGACATATTTTTCTAAGAAAATCAAAAGGTAGATTCCTAGCATGGAAATGTAAGGAATCATTTAAATATACTGATAATGCTGGATTACCCAAACCAAAGGTCTCATCAATGTAGTCTTTTACGATGTTCACCGATGCCGTTTATCCCCTCTCTTGCTACTGCTAGACATTATTTAAGTAGGTACGTCTTTAAATGCATTTTTCATTTAAATTAATTTATATTTTGTTAATGACAAATTAAATTTGAAGAAAAGGTTATATATGTATGAGGCATATCATTTTACATTTTGCAGATAATGGTTGGTACTCATTTAAGCTCCCAAAACTCTTGGTTCTAAACCACGTCCATGAGGCACTCTTTGATGACTCTGGGGAAAAGCAGATTCTTTCCTCTCTTCTCATTTTGATCTCCTTGGGAGGAAACAAGCTCCTTTTTCACATACTTTTTTGAAAACAGCTTTATTCAAGATACAATTCACCTACCATATAATTCATCTATTGAAAGTGTACAATTCAATAGTTTTTAGGATATTTAGAGTTCAGAGTTGTGCAACTCTCAGTAGTCAATTTCAGAGTATTTTCTTCTCCCTAAAAGAAGCCTCACCCTTCTTAGCTATAATCACGCCACATCTTCACACCCTACCCTAGGGGAACCATTAATCTACTTTGCGTCTCTATAGATTTGCCTTTTCTGGACATTTCATATAAGTAGAATCATCCGGGATGTCATTTTTGACTGGCTGCTTTAACTTGGTGTGCTGTTTTCCACACTCATCCATTTTGTGGTATGTATTACTACAGTTGGTTCTCTGCATTGGTGCATTCTACATCTGGTGTTCAACCACAGATTAAGAATACTTAAAAAACTGCATCTGTACTGAACATATGCACACTTATTTTTGTCATTATTCCCTAACCAATGCAGTATAACAACTACTTATATAGCATTTATACTTTATTAGGTATTATAAGTAATCTAGCGATGACTTAATATATGAGAGGGTGTGCATAGCTTATATGCAAATACTATGCTGTTTTATATCAGCTACTTGAGCATTCATGGATTTTGGTATGCATAGGAGGTCCTGGAACCAATCCGCTATGGATACCAAGTAGATGTCTATACTTCATTCCTTTTTATGGCTAAATAGTATTTCATTGTATGTATATGTCACCTTTTTTTTCCCATTTACCAGTTGATTAACAGATATTTGGGTTATTTTCACTTTCTGGTGTCTGTGAATAATGCTGGCACATACTGATTTCATGTGGACATATGTTTTCATTTCTCTTGGGTATGTACCTACAGGTGGAATTGCTGGGTCATATAGTAACTGTTTAAGCATTTGATGAACTGCTAGTTTCCTAAGTGGCTGCATTAGTTTACATTTCCAATACCAGTGTGTGAGGGTTCCAATTTCTAACACTTATTTTCCTTTTTTAAAATAATCATCTCCTGTGGTTTAAATGTGTTCCCTAAATTTTATGTGTTGGAAACTTCACCCTCAAATTCATATGTTGATTGGAGGTGGGCCTGTGGGAGGTAATTAGGATTAGATAAAGGTCATCAGGGTGAGGCCTCCATGATGAGACTGTTGGCTTTGTAAGAAGAGAAAGAGATTTGCACTGACATGCATGTGTTTGCATTGTTTTGTCATGTGATGCGTCTTGCCATGTCATGATACAGCAGGAAGGCCCTCACCAGATGCCAGTGCCATGGTCTTGGACTTCATAGCCTCCAGAACCATGAGCTATGTCAACTTTTCTTTATGAATTACCCAGTCTAGGGCTAGGCACGGTGACTCATGCCTGCAATCTCAACACTTTGGGAGGCCAAGGCAAGAAGACTGCTTGAGAACAGGAATTCGAGACAATGTGGGCAACATAACAAAACCATTTCGCTTAAAAAAAAAAAAAAAAAAAAACCAGGTGTGGTGGTGTACCTGTAGTCCTATCTACTTGGAAGGCTGAGTTGGGAGGATTGCTTGAGTCCAGGAGGCTGCAGTAAACTTTGATCCTGTCATTGCACTCCAGCCTGGATGACAGAGTAAGACCCTGTCTCTTAAAAAACATAAAAATAGGGCTGGTTGCAGTGGCTCACGTCTGTAATCCTGCACTTTGGGAGGCCAAGGCAGGTGGATCACGAGGTCAGGAGTTTGAGACTAGTCTGGCCAACATGGTGAAACCCCGTCTCTACTAAAAATACAAAAATTAGCTGGGTGTGGTGGTGTGCGCCTGTAATCCTAGCTACTTGGGAGGCTGAGGCAGGAGAATCACTTGAATCTGGGAGGCAGAGATTGCAGTGAGCCGAGATTGCACCACTGCACTCCAGTCTGGCAACAAAGCGAGACTCTGTCTGAAAAAAAGAAAACAAAAAACAAAACACCCAGTCTATGGTGTTCTGTTACAGCAACAGAATATAGACAAGTGCATGATCCTAATAAGTGTGAAGTGGTATTTTGTGGTTTTTACTTGTACTTCCTCAATGGCTAATAATGTTGAGCATCTTTTCATGTGCGTATTGTCCATTTGCATATCTTCTTTGGGGAAATACATATCAGATCCTTTGCCCGTTTTTTACATTAGTTGTCTTACTGAGTTGTAATAATTCTTTTTATATTAGATATAAGTGCTTTATCAGGTATGATTTTCAATCTGTGGGTCCTCTTTTCACTTTCTTGATGGCATTCATTGAAGTGCAAAAGCGTTTAATTCTGATGTCCACTTTATCTTTTGTTGTGCTTTTGGTGTCATATCTGAACACAAGTCTTTAAAGGATGAATTTGCTTGGTGAAACACCTTTCCTTTGGATACCAGGTTCATAAGATTGGACACAGTCAACATTTTTTTTTTTGATCTCAATCACTTATTCCTTGAAGATAATCTCAGATGCAGCTTATTTTAAGGCAGTCCCAATTAGTTGACTTTCAGATGTGTTATTTGGAAATACTTTTAAAGGTATTTTGATAAGAAAATTTAAGTTTTACAATAAAATGTAACCTTGCAATGTAGCTTTGCATTTTATGGTAAACATTAGTTACTGCTTACTTTACAGGTACTAAAAATCAACTACTTCAATTTCAGAATGTAACTTTCTCATGCCTTATTTTATTTCGACCAGTATTAAGCCTCTTTATGCTTAGAAGATGGTGTTGAATCTGTTTCAGGTTAAAAAATACTTTATTCAAACTATTATTTTCTTAAAAGTTAATATGTCTAAAGTTTTTGAAAGACACTGATCACTGAGATGTTTGGAGATTTAAACTGGTTTATTTTTGGTTATCCATGGAAAACTTTAAAAAATTTCTTTATTGAATTATAGTTTTAAGTCTCCTTATTTTATTCTCGATGATTAATGTACAGGGCGTGGCTTACTTATAAGTGTGACTAAAGTTGTGCAAATTAATCCTAGCAGGGCTCCATCCTTTAATGTCAGTGCCGTCAGTTGTTCTCCCCTTATTCCTATTATTCTGGCATTATATCTTATCTGTATGTAAATTCTTATTCTGTGGGTGAAAAGGGATATGGTTCAACAGGATCCAAGAACTTAAAAATTGCCCTTTTTCACATTTCTCATAAGTAGTAAGTCTCCTAAAGCGAAGTCAGAGTCATTATAAAGGCATGATAATGGAGTCTGTTATCTATTTGGAAAAACAACTTTTATTGCCATTTATAATAAATGTAAATGGCCTGCCATTTATTTTAGAATTACTCTGTTTCTAGGCCCTAGAAAGGCTCTGCATTTTATAATTAAAGTTAGTAGAGGCTAGAAGAACTTATAGGAATGTCATAATGTGCTGTAGGGGACAGTGATACTTTTAAAGGTTCTGACATTCAGCCAGTAAGGTGCTTCTAGTTCCAGATAACTTCTTTTCCCCCCAGGAATAGATACAGAAAATATTTTTGGTAAATCTGCCAAGTTTTTTATGTGATTCTCATTATGTTAAATTTTATTATCAGTGCCTAAATAATGCTAACATTTTAAGTTAAACAGTTATTCAGCTTACCACTTTGACATTACCACTGATTAGAATTGAAGGCTAAGTTGAGCCTGGGGAACGAGCCTCTTTGTCCAGAAAAGGGCTCTTAGATTTTTCCCTGTCAGTGTATTGTAACCTTTTATAAGGGCAGCGCCAAGAAAGGAGAAGCTGCTACTTGGGGCATTGTGTTTGACTTTGGTATTCTCACAGGTATGCTGTCTAGGAAAGAGTTCAGGTCTCCTGCTTAAGAAATTGGGAACTAGGCTGCTTCCTGTGGTTCTGTTGCTTTGTCGGGGGAGGGAGGGTACCTGATTTCTACTGAAGGCCAAAATGCAGAGTCAATATGGCCGGTTATTGGCAAAAATTATGATATTTAGAAACTTTTGGAATGTCTGCAATGTTTTCTAGACATTCTAGGGAGGTCACTGGTGTTTGGAAAGTACATACAAATGGTGTATGAAAGGAGTGTGCCATTTTCTGCAGAGGTGTTCGTTACATTTCATAACCTTATGTTGCCATTTAATGAGGTCAAAGAGGTTTCTTGACTGTGACTATGGAATGCTTATCTTTTGTTCTGTCTTGATCTCCTCCTGTCTGTGTCTCTCATTATCTCTGACTACTTGTATGTTGGCAGTGGCTTTATTTCCTTTCACACTCAGCCTGGATTCCAGGCTCATCTCTAACTCCTACATCAGAACCCTGAACTGGCTTGTCTGTTTTGTAATCTGCCCTACCATGCATACCCCTAACCTAGCACAAACGCCCTACCCTTCCCTTCTCTTGTACCCATGTGGCTCAGCACTTCTGGATAAATTAGAACAACTTTGACGATGGTATTGGTCAGGGTTCGATTATCGAGGACAGACTCTAATTCTTCCTACTTTAAGCAGAAAGCAGTTTATTACAGGGAATTAAATTTCTTGGTGAATTGTTGAGGGTACTTAGAAACGCTCCTAGCAGGTTGTGCTAGAGTATAATTCCCAAGGCTGCCCTGTGGAACTGGACTGCCAGGGTGGCCAGCATCCTAGCCCAGGCATGGGGCTGCTGATTTGGCTGTTGCTGCTCCACTGCTGGCCCCAGAACCACACCACCTTGGCCGCTGTCCACAAGAGTAAAGTGGCTACATCACACTTAGTTTCTCTCCCCACTTAGTTCAGTTTCATTCTTAACCCAGTTGGACCATACCATTTGTGTTTTGCATGGTTCATGTTTATCATGATCTGAAGGAACCTAAATCTAGAGCAGAACCCCAATGTGGTTTTTCAGCTTTCCAGACTCTGCAGAGCTAGAAGGTGGGAGTAGATTGAAGTGAGTCAATCTGCAGTATTTTCCACATTTATGGTTTCCGAGTATAGCTGGCTCTTCAAGATTGTTTTGTAGTCCTTTCACCTTTCCTTGATAGGTTGACTTGTTTGCTGATGAAAGCAGCAGTTCTCATTCTACGCTGGCCTCTTTCATTCTCATTAGATGGTGGAGCCTACGCTTGAGAGAAGAAGCTGTCGGGTACGAACTCCACTTAATTGTCCTCCTGTTCTTCCCTGCCGTCCCTTTCAAATGACCACAGGTAGCTGTCATAGCCCCGTAGAGAGTGTGAGAAAGCACAGGCAGGAGTCAGCAAGGTTGCTGGGAGGACTGAGGCTCTCGGAGGTGGATCCTGGAGGTGAGAGGGCCAGGTGTGAGGACAGGAGCACGTTCCAGAGGCCCCACGACAGCCTCGCCCAGCACATGGCACCATTCTTCACTTACAATCCAGGGCACTCTACTTTCCTGTCTTGCTGGTGGCAGCTCATTCTGTTCCCTTCGTTGAATCTTCCCTTCCTATCCTCAGGTTCAGTCCTTATTCTGTTCTTGACTTCTCTTTGTGGACAATCTCCTTAGTTTATCTCTAGCTTCAACCTTTCCCAGAAGTCTAGAGGTATATTTCCAATGGTCGGTCATCTTAGATAGCTCATAGGCTTCTCACATCTAATATGTTTGAAACCACTCTTGATTTTTCTTTTTTTTCAAATCTCTCTCACTTAGTGTCTCCCATTTTAATAAGTGGCTTTATCATTTACCCAGTAACTCAGGCCCCAAATCTTGGAGTTATCCTTCATTTTTTTTCTTCTCTAATTTATCACCCTGAATCCCATTAGTAAATTCTGTTTTCTCTGCTTTTAAAACATACCCTGAAACCAGTCACTTATAATCAGCCTTATTGCTGCCATTCCAGGCCACCATCATCACTAATAAGCCTTATAAATGGTGGCCCTAACTTTTAACTTCTGTATCCAGTTGCCAGAGTGACATAAACCTAAATCATGTCTTTCCACTGCTCACTTAGATTATAAATACTATTGCACTTAGAATACAATTTAAAATCCTTGCTGTGGCCTACAAGGTTCTGTGTGGATGGTCCCAGTTATCTTTCTTTATTTACCCCCTAAGCATTATCCACCTGGCTTACCAAGTTACTTCCAAGCTGTCTCCTGATTGTTCTCTATTTAAAACAACTGCTTTATTAACTTACTGGGATAAGATACATAATGGTACTTATCTTTTTTTTTTTTTTCTGTTCCCCAGTAGACTATAAGCTTCATAGGTAGGAATGTTATTTTGCTTCTTGTGTTATCTTTTCTTCACCTGGTACATAGTAGGTGCTCAAATATTTGCCAAATGGAAGATGGGGACAGGGAAATTATTCTACAGGTCTTGTCTTAATTGGAAGATTGAAGGATAAGAGGGTCTTTGTGGAGAAAGTAGTCTGTAAGAAATAGTAGTAAAATATGGGACTGATCACTACTGCCAGGAAGAGGAAAGTAAGCACTAGAACTTTCAAATTCACAGAAGCAAAAATGAAATGAATAGTAATCCAACCAGACCAGTGGGAGTCAGGAAAGGAAAAGTAGAAACTGCAAGATAGAAAAGAAAGATGAAGAAATGGGAATGGGCCAGAGATTTACTGTCTTACCAAGGTGGAGCAGCCCCATTTCTCTCTACCCTCTTAGGACTCAAAATCCCTGGACTTCATATAACAAAGAAGCATAGGAAGATGCTGAAAGGTGGAGAGAAGACTGTGGCCACTCTAGAGTCCTGGGGACTTGAGAAATGACAAGGGTGTCAGTTCCCCTCCTTACTATCTCCCACATGTCTAGTACAGGGCACTGCAGAAGCCTCCATCCCTGAACCACCAGTAGGCACAGACAGCAAAACTCTGAGAAGAGCCTGTTCCCCATAGCCAGAGGACAGGGGAAGGGAGGGTGGTCTAACAAAACAGAGCTTTTGTCAGTACTCACTCTGCTCCAGCTAAACCAAGGAAACTGCCCTCCTCCCTTCCCAGGCTTCGAGAGCAGGCAGCATGCTTCGGTTCCCCACCCAGAGGCTGAAGGCATGCCTGAGCAGAGAGTTAATCTTTCATATCCTGCCTGGCAGAAGCAGGTGGTACTTCAATTCCCCTGTCAGGTGGTGCTGACAGCGCCTAGTGGGGAGCTGATCTTCCACCCTCTGCCTGGTAGGAGCAGGTGATGCTCTGACTTCTCTGCCAGGGTAGTGTCAGCAAGGCCCAGGTTAGGGCCATATCCAGCCCCCACCAGCCACAATGAGGTGGTGCTAGCAGGGGGCTAATTACCATTACACTTGACCTCTTCCATCCCCATCATCCCCTGGTGGGGAGGTGTGAGCCTCCACACCCACTGGTGGCAAATGAGGTATGGAGGAGCGGAGCATGCTGGCACTCCCCACCTCCCCGCCCCTCCTTTGGTATAAATAGGGCCCCCGGGGGTCCTGAACTTCTGCTCCTGGATGCAGCAACAAACTGGCATGGCTTAGCCCTTGGCTTTCCCTTCCCTGTGGTAGCTTGGCCCAGAGGGTAGCTGATCTTACACAGAGGCAACAGAAATGGTGAGTTGGAGCCACACTTTGGCTGGGAAAGTGTCAGTGAGCTGAACTCTCACCCCATCTGTCTGCAACAAGGCAATGTGAGTCATCACCCCACTTTTGTCAGGGTGATGGTGGGGAGTGGGGGGCTAGTGGGTAACTGAATGTGCATACCCACTCATCCCTGGTATTAATGCCTTTTTAGCAGGGAAGCTGCCCACTAAAAGATTAAATTTGATCTGGGGTCTCTTAATATCAAAAACATATAGGATACAATTCATACCAATTTATACAATTCTACAGATCACTCATACCAAGATCCAGGAATATCACCTATGAATGAGAAAGGACCATCAGCAGGTGCTAACTGATTTATCTGACAAGGATTTGAAAGCTGCTATGATAAAATGTTTCAACAAGCTATTACAAATTCTTTTGAAACAAAACATTAGAAATTCTCAGCCAAGAAATAAAAATAATTTATTAAAAACCAAAAAGAAATGATAGAACTGAAAAATAATGATAGTTTAAAAATACTGAATGGGCTCAATAGAGTGGCAATGGCAGGCTGAGAATCAGTGAACTTGAAGACAGAAAATTAGAATCTGCCCAATGTGAAAAAAATAGACTGGAAAAAAAAAGTCTCATAGACCTCTGGAGTGATGATAAAAGAGATAACACTTGTGTTGTTGCAGTTTCAGAAGGAAAGAATAGAGTGGGACCAAAAAAAAAAAATCTGAAGAAATAATCTGACTATAATTTCTCAAATTTGGTGAAAGACAGAAAGCTGTAGATCTAAGAAGCTGAGTGAGCCCCAGACAGGATCAACCCAAAGGAATCTGTGCCAAGACACATCCTGATTAAACTTGTGCAAGGCAGATACAGGAAAGCTACTGAAAGTAGCTGGAGTTTAACAATGTGTAATTTGTAGGGGAAAACCAGTCCAAATGAGAGGAGCCTTCTCATCTGGAATGATGGTGGCCAGAAGAAAAGCAGCACAACATTTTTCAAGTACTGAAAGAAACAACCATTAACCACCAATTCTATATGCAACAAAAATGTCTTTCAGGAATGAGGGGAAAAGGAAAACTTTCTTGCATGAAGGAAAACAAGTTGTGGTTGGTTACCAAGCATACCCTTAAAAACTAGGTAAAAGTTCTTTAAATGAATGGAAACGAAAACATAAGGCTCTGAATTTCAGAAAGGACTGGAATGGGCAAATATAGGGGCACATGTAATAGACTTTTTATGAGTTATATTTGGTTGAAGCAAAATTTTAATGTAATATGATGTAGTAAATATATGCCGCGGAAATATTTAAGACATGCTTAAAAAGTGGGGAAGGGCCTTTTGGCTGGAACCAACCATCTTCTGTTAATTTGCCAAAATGATGAACGACAAAGAGAAAAGGGAGAGGCACCTGGTATGTTCTCTAGGCCTTTTAGAAAACATGGACTTGTTCTTTTGGCCACATACCTGCAAATCTATAAGAAAGATGATATTGGAGACATCAAGGGAATGGGTACTGTTCAGAAAGGAAGCCCCACAAGTGTTACCATGGCAAAACTGCAAGAGTCTACGATGTTACTCAGCATGCTGTTGGCATTGTAAACAAACAAGGTCAGGGCACGACTCTTGCCAAGAGAACTAATGTGCGTGTTGAGCACATTAAGCACTCTTAAGAGCCAAGATAGCTTCCTGAAACATGTGAAGGAAAATGATCAGAAAAAGAAGGAAGCCAAAGAGAAATGTACCAGGGTTCAGCTGAAGAGCCAGCCTGTTCCCAGAGAAGCACACTTTGTGAGAAGCAGTGGAGAGGAACCTGAGCTGCTGGGGTGTCTCTCC
The DNA here is from genome assembly GCF_000001405.40 of Homo sapiens. Classification (NCBI taxonomy): domain Eukaryota; kingdom Metazoa; phylum Chordata; class Mammalia; order Primates; family Hominidae; genus Homo; species Homo sapiens. The sequence goes on from NC_000007.14 coordinate 3,338,584, forward strand.
TATGAATCCATGGCATGATAGGTGTTAAAAACAAACAAACAAACAAACAAAAAAAAACACCAAAACAAGAAAATACTCTGGACTGTGTTTAAAGAAAAAAAAAAGTGGGGAGAGTAAAGGCAACTTACATGGAAGCATGGAAGCCTGTTTTTCCTATTTTGCTTGTGCTGGTAAAAATGTTGATACCGGTAGAGTGTGATAAGTTACATATGCTTACTGTAGTCCTTAGAGCAGCCATTATGAAAACTGGTATACTCGAGCACTATGAATAAATGAAGGTGGAATTATTAAAAAATTGACATAATCCACAGGAAGAAAGGAGAAACAGAAGAAACAAAATAACAGAAATAATTAAATGGCAGGCTTAGGCTTGTCATACTAATAATTGGCTTAAATATAGATGATCTGAATACACCAATTAAAGGATAGAGATTGGCACAGTGGTTAAGAAAACATCCAAAACTGTGTTGTTCAAGAAATTCTCTTAAACCAATGACACAGGTAGGTTGAAAGTAAAGGATGGAAAAAGATATGCCATACAAACATGAATTTAAACAAGAGTGGCCATATTAACATTCAAAAATAATTTCAGAATAAATTAATAAAGACAGAGGCATAAGGATCAAATAATGAACACATTAGGAAGACATGATGATCCTAAATATGTACACACCAAACAGAACCTCAAGATACATGAAGCAAAAACTGAGCTGAAAGGAGAAATAAATTTAACAAATACTATATACATATAAATAAATGTAATAAATAACTGAAGTCTTAAACACCATATTCTTAGCAATTAGTAAAACTATACACCAAATCAGCAAGAATATAGGACTTACACAATTGACCAACAGAATCTGACATTTAGAACAATTTACCCGAAACAATAGAATACCCTACTTTTTAAGTGCCCATGGGACATCATAGACATTATTCTGGGCTATAAAATAAAAAACGTAAAAGGATTGAAATCCTACAGAATTTGTTCTGTGGCAATAATGGAATCAAACTAAAAATAGTAAAGGCAACAGGAAAATTTCTAAATAACACATTTATAAATAATTCATACGTCAGTCTCAAAGGAAAATATTAAACATAAAAATGAAAATATGTTATTAAATATGTGGGATGTAGCTTAAAGCAGTCCCAAGAGGGAAATTTATAGCACTGTTATAAATTAAGTTGAAAAGTGGAAAGGTCTCAAGTCAATTTAAGCTCCTACCTCAAGAAACTAGAAAAGAGCAAAACAAGCCTAAGCAAGCAGAACGAAGAGCAGAAGTCAGTGAAATTGAAAAGAGGAAAAAGAAAAATCATAAAAATCATAAAAAGTTATTTCTTTGAAAAGATCAATGAAATTTAGCAAGACTGACACAGATAAAAAGGAATAAGACCCAAATCAGTGAACAGGAATGAAATAGAGGATATCACTACAGAGGCTGCAGCCATTGAAAGGATAATTAGGAAATCCCACAGATAACTTTGTGCTCATAAATTTGACAATGTAGAGGAAATATCTTTAGTTTTAATTAGCTTTTTATTTTAGTTTTTCTCAAAAACTAAAACTTAATAAAACTCAACCAAGACAAAATAGACAATCAGAATGTAGGCATACCTCAGAGATGTGGCGGATTTGGTTTCAGACTACTGCAATAAACCAAATATGGCAATAAAAGGAGTCACAGAAAGTGGTTTCCCAGTGTATATATATAAAAGTTACATTTACTCTATGAAGTGCAATAACATTTTGTCTAAAAATACACACAGTAATTGTTGCTAGAAAATGCTGACACAAAGTGAGCACATGCTGTTGGAAAAATGGTGCTGATAGACTTGCTGAAAGCAGCGTTGTCACTAATCTTCAATTTGTAAAAAAACAAGTAAAATTAAAAAAATTGGCCAGGTATGGTGGCTCACGCCTGTAATCCCAGCACTTTGGGAGGCCAAGGTGGGTGGCTCACGAGCTCAGGAGATCGAGACCATCCTGGCTAACACGGTGAAACCCCGTCTCTACTAAAAATACCAAAAAAATAGCGGGGCATGGTGGCAGGCGCCTGTAGTCCCAGCTACTCAGGAGGCTGAGGCAGGAGAATGGCATGAACCTGGGAGGTGGAGCTTGCAGTGAGCTGAGATTGGACCACTGCACTCCCTGGAGCCTGGGAAACAGAGCAAGACCCCGTCTCAAAAAAAAAAAAAAAATCATCTATGAAGCACAATAAAGTGCAATAAAACAAGGTATACTGTAATGTTAAAGCCATTAAAGAAATTGAATTCTTAATTGAAATGCTCCCTTAAAAAAGAAAAAATCTCTGGGTCCAGATGGTTTCACTGGACAATTTACCAACATTTAAAGAAGAATTAACACCACTTTTATTCAGTCTCTTCTAGAAAACAGGAGAGAAGACCTAGAAAACAGGAGAGAAGACCTACAAAGTCATTTTGTGAGTCTAGTATTACCCTGACAGCAAAATCAGAGACAGCAAAAAAGAAACTCCACAGTTCAGTATCGCTCATGAACTTAAAGGCAATGATCCTCAAGAAAATATTAGCAAATCAAATAGAGTAATTAATAAAAAATATTTAACATGACCAAATGAGATTTATGCCAGCCATGCAAGACTGGTTCAACGTTCGAAAATCTATGCCACCCACCATATCAACAGACCAAAGAAAAATCAGCATCTATCAGTTGACCTATAAAAAGCATCTGACAAAATCCAACATTCATTCATGATTAAAAATTCAGAAAACTAGCAATAAAGAACTTTCTCAACTAAAGAGCATCTAACAAAAGCCTTCTCCAGCTAAGACCATACTTCATGATGAAAGATGGAATGTCTTTCCTCTCAGGTTGGGAACAAGGCCAGGATGTTCAGTCTTACCTTTGCTGTCCAAAACAGTAGTACTAAAAGATATCCAGACCAAAAAGGAGGAGCAAAACAGTCCCAGTTTACGGATTACATCATTGTTTATCCTAAGAAATCTAGAAAAAAAACTTCTTGAACTGAGGAGTTCAACATAGTTGCTGCATACAGGATCAACACAAAAACCATGTTTCTATACCCTAACAAAAAATATGCAGAAACTGAAATTAAAAACACAATGCCATTTATGTTCTAAAAATTGTGAAAAAGATACAAACTTCAACATGTGTAGGATATTTGTGCTGAAAATTACAAAACTGATGAAACAAATCAGAGGACCCAAATGTTGCCACAAACCATATTGACATACTGGAATATTCAACACGGTAAATGTGTCAGTTCTCCCTGAATTATCGTAGCTTTTATGCAGTTCCTATATAAAATCCCAGCAAAGATTTTTGGTAGATACATAAAAAGGTTATTGAAAAACCTGTATGGAAAGGCATAGGCCCCAGAATAACTAAAACGATCTAGTAAAAGAATAAAGCAGTTGGAATCACTCTACTGATATTAAAGCTTTCCCTTATAGTGATAGTAATCAAGATACACAGATCAATGCGGTGGAACAGAGAACTAAAAAAATACATAAATATGCCAAATTAATTTTTGACAAAGGTGAAAAAGCAATTCACTGATAGATTATTCTTCTCAACAAATGGTGTTGGAGCAGAAATTGGACATCCATAGACGAAATGATCAACCTTGATCTAAATTTTATATTTTATACAAAATTAACTCAAAATAGATTATGGACATAAATGTAAAATTGTAAAACTCTTAGGCAAAAAAGGAGAAAGTTAGCCAGGTGCGGTGGCTCATGCCTGTAATCCCAGAACTTTGGGAGGCCGAAGTGGGTGGATCACCTGAGGTCGGGAGTTTGAGATCAGCCTGACCGACATGGAGAAACACCGTCTCTACTAAAAATACAAAATCAGCCAGGTGTGGTGGCACATGCCTGTAATCCCAGTTACTCAGGAGGCTGAGGCAGGAGACTCGCTTGAACCCAGGAGGTGGAGGTTGCGGTGAGCCGAGATCGCATCGTTGCACTCCAGCCTAGGCAACAAGAGCGAAACTCCATCTCAAAAAAAAGAAAAAAAAAAGGAAGTCTTCAGAATCCAGAACTAAGCAATAAGTTCTTAGTCTTTACACCAAAATCACAATCCATAAAAGAAAAACTTGGTAAGTTAGAACCAGTTAAAGACTTTTTCTCCATGAAAGAGCATATTAAGAGGATGGAAAGACAAGGTACATACTAGTAGAAAATATTTTCATCTGTCTGCCAAGAGACTAATACCTAGAATATGTAAAGAACTTTCAAAATTCAATAGGAAAAAACAATCCAGTTGGAAAATGGACAAAAGACATCAACAGACTTTTCACCAAAGAGGATATTTAAGTGGCAAATAATCACAGAAAAAGACATACATTCAGTATTACTAGCCATTAGGGAAATGGAAATTAAAGCCATAGGGAGAAAACTTCTGCTAAATGGCTGAAAAAAAAAAAAAAGCACCAAATGTTGGTGAAGATGCAGAGAAACATTGCTCATACATTGCTAGTGGGAATGTAAAATGGTACAGCCACTCTAGAAAACAGTTTGGCGGTTTCTTATAAAACTAAACGTAGAACTATGATACAACTTGGCAAGTGTACTCTTGGATAGTTATCTCAGAGAAATGAACACATAATCATGCAAAAACCTGTACACCAATGCTTAGAGAAGCTTTATTTATAATAAATACCCCTACACAGGAAACAGCCCAGATGTCCTTCAGTGAACGCATTATTGAACCACAGTACTTCTGTATCATGATTACTTCTCACAATAAAAAGGGCCAAAGTATTGATGCACCTACTGTGAATCTCCACATCGAGTGATAAAAAGCCTATTCTAAAAGGTTATATGTTGTATAATTCCATTGATGTAATATTTATGAAATGACAAAATTCTAGAACTGGATTAGTGGCTTCCAGTGGCTAAAGAGCAGAAGAGAGTAGGACGGACATGGATGTGGCTAATGAAAGAGTGACATGTGGGATCCTTGTGGTGGTGGAAATACTCTATCTTGGCTGTATCGATGTCAATAATCTGTATGTGGTATTGCACTAGCTGTTCAAAGTGTCATTGTTGTGGGAAACTTGGTCAAGGGTGAATGGGATCTCTGTAGTATTTCTTACAACTGCTTGTGAATCTGTAATTATCTCTTAATAAAAAGTTAAATATGAATGGACTGACTTCTATTAGAAGACAAGATTGGAAAGTGCCTTAAAATACAGGTGATAACAAGTAACTCTTCAATTGTTAAAGGGGAAGATGAAAGTGAAGAGATGGGCAAAAAGATACCATACAAACAAAAAACAGAATGGCAGTGTTGATATCAGATCAGTTGAGACTAACAGTTGAAAGCAGTAAACATATTACGGACATATTATTGATAAAAGACATTTATGAAGAGGATAAACTGTGAAGGTGTACAGACACTAAACCATAGTTGCTAAACACATACAACCAAAAAAAAAAAAAAAAAACTAGAAATGCATGTATATTTTCACTAAGTTTAGTTAGATCAAACAAAGCAATAAAAGGAATATTTTGTACCAAAGCCTATGGACACAGTGAAAACTGTGTGCAGGGGAAAAAATCTACAGAATTAAATGTCTTCAGGATTAGAGAATACAAAGTAAAAAGTGAACAATGAAACTCCCTACATGTTCAATTTTAAAAAATGTTTTAAAAATGGTGGTAAAATATATCCTAATTTTTCATCTGAATCATTAAGTATACAGTTCAGTAGCATCAAATACGTTCACATTGTCGTGCATCTAGTCTCCACAGCTACTTTTATCTTGGAAAGCTGAAGCTCTGTACCTAGCTCAGGATCCAATTTTTTTTCTCGTTAGTTGTATAAGAAAATTCCGACTTACTTAAGTAGTGGCAGTTATTAGCTTTTGAGAACAGTTTCTCTTGCAGTTTCAAGATGTGCTTTGCTTATGTTGATATGGAAGCTTAAAAGAAGAATTGTAGACAGTTTATTTCCAGGCTGAATAAAAATGTGACAGTTGCTCTTGTTATCATAAATAGAAGATACCCCAAAATTTGCAACAAATGTTAAAACTGCATTACCATTCTCAGAATAGGTGGATATCGTGTTCTTCTTCGTTGTTGCTGGACTGGACGTAATGGCATGCTGATAGCACGTTTCAATCAGATGGGCCTGAGCCCTGTCTAGTGTATAATTTACCTTTTCATATATACTGCAGGAGTGTCCCTGGTAGTAAGTTCTGAGAGAATGAACGTAAAAGTTCAGCAGTCCTAAATTCAGAAAATGATGAGTGGTGAGCCTTTGTAGTTAATGACATGATTACTGCCAGTCTTACTGTTGTACAGTAATAACAAGAGATGCTTCATTTCCAGGTCCACACAAGCACAAATTGACCTACCACACAGGGTAGTGCTTTGGGGACAACTTATGTAAAAATCTGAATAGTACCCATCTGATTATGACTGTTGTGCTTTATTACAGATTTTAAAACATATTGCAAGAAGTTAAGCGTTTATAGAAGTCTTTGAAGTCTTGTTGTAGAACTTCGGGTCTCCACGGAATGTGGTTTGATCACTGCTGCATTGAAGTACACAGAGGGCATGTTATTAGGAACTGCATTTTGGATTTGGAGGATTTTATTTTCAGATAACTTACGGATTTTATAGTGAAAATGCTTATGCTGATACCTATTTCCTGGTTTCTCTGGGACCTGACTTCTTCCAGATAAATAATATCTTCAAAAGAATACATTGAAAAAAGATATTGGGACATGACATATGTTAGGAAACAAAAAGAGACTGAACTAACCTTTTAATATAAACGTAGTATGTCAGCAAACCAAAGTAGCTGTCATTAAGAGATGAGAATTTCCTGAAAAAAATTACGTAAAATCCTACTCAGTGATATTAACACATTAAATATATTTAACTTAGACATTCTTACAATAAGCATGATTTGCAATGCCATTTTATTTAAATGGCAGAGAAACCCCACCATTCAATAACATGAGTTATCTTTTTTTCCAGGAAATTATTTCTGATTTGAAGATGGGAGTATAGTAACATATCAGGGCTTGTAACATGTTTTCAGAAACCCAAATTCCAGGATGGTGGCACGGCTGAAAAGACTCCTCAGCGTTATCTGTTTTCCCAGGCGATGCCTTGCCGTCTCTTTCCTGTTTCAGTGCTTCTCTAGAGTATTGCCTCCTCAGTAGTAAATAATGTTGTTCCATGAAATTTGAGATTTTTCATATTGAATAGCTTCTCGCAGTAATGTTTGATCCTTTATGATGCAGGTCACCCCATCTAGATGACACAGCTTGGGCTGCCGTGACATTGGTAGTCAGGCGTTCAGTCTGTTGGAATTGCAGTGTCATCACCCACTGCAGTTATTCGGTTCTTGTTTTCTGTCTTTTAAGCATAATAATTAAAACAGTTCTTTTAGAATAACCCCATTGTTAGATGTTTCTGGCACTTGTACTCCTGGATAAAATGTTTTTGGGTCTAATTTTTAAGATTTAGAGTCTCAGTTTTTCCACATTGCAACTTGTGATACTGCATCCTCTTCTGCTTAAAATCTTTCAGGGAGGTTCCTACTGTCTTAAGAATAAATTTCAGACTCCTGTGCATGCACAAATGCTGCTCATAATAAAGCTGATTGTGCCCTGCATGTGGGCACCAGCGAGAAGAGGAGTCCTGCCAGCTTGTCTGCAGCTCTGGGGCTGGTTTCGGTGGGTGGGGACCTTTCCCCTTCACTGAGAGGTGTCACCTGGGCTAGTGGAGCTCCTGTGAGCCTCCGTGCAAGGCTGTTCATCTAGCTTCACTTTCTTCCTAGGCTTGTCTCTCCTTCCTGCCAGCACTACAACGTACGTATGGTCCTGATCGATGAAGCTACTTCAGATTCCACAAGTGTGCTGTGCTTTCTGGTGCCCTTGTGGTAATAACAATAGAGTTAACATTTATTTATTTTTAATTTTTTTAATAGTCAAGGTCTCACTCTGTCACCCAGGCTGGAGCTCAGTGATGTGATCATGACTCAACTGCAGTCTCCAACTCGTGCTCAGGCAGTCCTCCTACCTTAGCCTTCTGCACCCCCACACCTGGCTAATTTAGTTTCTTTTTTTTTTTTTGGTGTGTGTGTGTATGTGTGTTTGTGTGTGTGTGTATATATGTATACATATATATATACACGTATATATATGTGTGTGTGTATATATGTATATATGTATACATATATATGTATGTGTGTGTGTGTGTGTATATATATATATATATATATTTTTTTTTTTTTTTTTTTTTTTTGGTATAGCAGTGTTTTGCTATGTTGCCCAGGCTGGTCTCGAACTCCTGGGCTCAAGTGATCCTCCTGATTCTGCCTCCCAAAGTGCTAGAATTATAGGCATGAGCTACTGCACCCAGCCCTGAGAGAATTATTTATTCTCCTCCTTCTCTGCTAAACTAATTGGAGAGAGTTTCACTTCATACACCAAAGTCTGCAGTTAAATTCTTGCTGTTCCCTGAAAGACTTTGCATCTTCGTGCTTCTGTTGGTTGCCCATGCCATTCCCTCTGCTTGCTTTCACTGCCTCTTGCATCCAGACGTTAGCCGGTTAAGTGGAGTTGTACTTGATGCCACTTCTTCCAAGAACTCTTCTCCAGGTGCACAAACCAGATTTTTTTTTATATTCTTTTAGCAATTTTGTAGTACTCTGACAACACTTGGCACATATCTTCTTATACTCTTTTGTATATGGAGCAGTATTTTTATAGGTGAAAGAGTCTAATTTTGCATTATTAGTGTATATATGATATGTTGGATACCAGTTGGAGATCTGGTGATGTCATAAAGCTGTTGGTCTTACTATGCCTTTCCCAGAAGTACCTGATGAAGTTGGAACAAAATAACTTTTCACCTATTCTCTGATTACTACAGTCAAGGCTCCAGAACCCTAGCCATTGGGCTCAAATGTGCCGTTGAAGGTGATTTTCTGTTCCTAGATATTTTCAACCTCCCTGTTTCATTTCTGACCAATTTTTAGGGCCAGAGGCTAATCCACTAGAACAATATTTCCCTGTGGCATGGTTTTTAATTTTGTTCTGAATTTAGTTTATATTCCTAAGTGGCTTTACAAGTTTTTTCTCCCCATGCCCTCAGAGGAAGTTATGTTCTTCTGAACCTTCTGGGTACCATTTTAGTAAATTAAGAATTCAGTTCACTGAATGCTACCCCTGTGGCCTGAAAGAGTTAATACAAGTTTCTTAAGTACTTTATTAATTCTCAGGGAATAATTTATGCACTAGAGCGTGGCTTAGTATCGAGCCAGTTACAAACACATTAAATATGTTTTTTTTTTTTTCCTTTTGTGTAGTAAGTCTCTGAAAATAAGTGGAGGTTCACTTTAAGTGTAAGTATTTTGCTTCCTAAGTACTTAAATATGTATAATTCCACAATGAGAGAAGGAGTATTATAACAGAGGATGAGGTGGATTCAGGTCCTAGCTCAGCCCTGCACTTCTGTGAGGCCTTGGTGTGTTTACCTCCCTAAATGTCTCTCACCTCTAAAGTGGGGACGATGTTTACATCACAGACAGCAAAGCTCAATGATGATGCACTTAGGTTTTAATGCATAGCCCAGGCTTACTGCTTGGGTTTGATTCTTGGCTTCACTACTTGATAACTGTGTGATCCGAGGCAATTTTATTACCCTCTCTGACTCAGCTTTTTCCACTGTAAGCTGGAATAATGCTAGTACCTGACTCACAGTTGTTACGAAGGTAAGTGTGCAGTAAATGTGAGCCATTCATATACATCATGGACTACTATGCAGCCATAAAAAGGAACAAAATCATGTCATTTGTAGCAAGGTGGGTGCAGCTGGAGGTTGTTAGTGAATTAACACAGGAGCAGAAAACCGAAAACAACATGTTCTCGTAAGGGAGAACTAAACATCGAGTGCATATGGACATAAAGATGGGAACAGTAGACACTTGAGACTACTAGAGCGGGAGGGAGGAAGACGCAGGGCGGTGAAAACCTACCTGTTGGGTACTATGCCCACTACCTGGGCTATGGGCTCGTCTGCACCCCAAACCTCAGCATCATTTAGTATCCCCATGTAACCTGTGTATGTACCCCCAAATCTGAAATAAAAGTTGAAATTGTTTTTCAAAAAGTGAGCTGTTATTTTTTTTAAATACTCATTTGGAGGACTTTCTGAGCTGATCAAGTGAAATAAAATAAAAAGTGCCAAGTACTATGCCTGGAACATGGCAGCAAACAGTGAATAGAGGATGACTTTTGCTTTTATTAACTACTTAAGGTTTATCTATAGCAAGTTCCAGTCTTAAGATGCACATGTGAAAAGCTGCCTGTCACATGAAAGAGTTTGATGCCATGTAGCTTGTCATGTTGTCAGACTCTGTCCCTGGAGTGTGCCCCTCACGTTTTTGTGCATGTCACTGTGGCATTTATGTGACTGGTCTGCGCTTCTTTCTCCTTTTTACCCCTTTGGCTGCAGGATGTTGAAGTGCACTTCAGTTTTGTCGTTCTCATTTCCCTTCTGGATTCTTGCTCCTCTCCTACTTCTGCTGCCTCCTTCCTCAGTCCCCCATTGCCTTCAGCTGCCCTGTGGTTGCAGTTTAAAAAAAAACAACAAAAAAAACACAACAAAACAAACACACAACAGCCTATTTAGATGTATACCTTTGACTTTATGAGGGCTGTGGTTTTGTGGGAAGAGCAGGGTCTCACCCTTATTAGACTGTGGTTCATAATCACTTAAAGAGAACGTCATTCTTGGAGTTACTCATCTGAAAAAGAAGCCTGCTCCTCCAACTGGAAGGGGAATGGGGCTGGGGAGGGAGGGGGTTACTGTTGGATGGAACTGTGCTTGGCTATTGGACCTGAGTGACTGAACACAGTGTCCATGAAGGAGCTGGCTAGGCATGTGTTCTGCGGGGACCAGCCCTGTGAGGGCAGAGGACTAAGAAGCGAAGGATATGGGCAAGGAAACTGTGGAAGTCATACCTGCCTTTTTGGGCCAGAGTACATGTATCTTTTATTTTTTTTTGAGACGTAGTCTGGCTCGGTCGCCCAGGCTGCAGTGCAGTGGTAAGATCTCGGCTCACTGCAAGCTCCACCTCCCGGGTTCACGCCCTTCTCCTGCCTCAGCCTCCCGAGTGGCTGGGCCTACAGGCACCTGCCACCACGCCTGGTTAATTTTTTTTTGTATTTTTAGTAGAGACGGGGTTTCACCGTGTTAGCCAGGATGGTCTCGATCTCCTGACCTCATTATCTGCCCGCCTCGGCCTCCCAAAGTGCTGGGATTACAGGCATGAGCCACCGTGCCCGGCCTAAGAGTACATGTATCTTAAGACCACATCCTGGATTGGTAGATACAGAAGGTTTACTCCTTGGGCAGTGCTGGACTCTTGATGAAGTAGCAGGTAGAGGATGAAGTTTGGGGACTTTGTGCCTCTCACATTTATGCCTGCTTTTTAATGTAGCCCAATAACAAAAGGTCATGCTATTGGTGATGGGTGGGTAAGGTACCTACTAACAGTAAGTTTAGCTTAGGGAGAGGTAAGCCATTTTAAGTCTATCAGTATATAATGGATCACAGAAGGAGAGAGTGGGAGACACTCAGTCTATCAGAAAACATAGGATGGATGTGCCACAGAGGAAGAAGTTGTCACTTAACAATGAGTGTGGAAAAAAACAAAGTTTATCAGTGTCTGTGTGGGCGTTATTTATTTGGGGACAGCATCCTAAGGCAGGCATATTCCCACAGTGGAAATGGATGTGGTGTGATGCCATGAACTTGTGAAGCAAGTGAGTCCCTTTGTTGTGATTCCAAATTTACTCAGCACATAACTGATTATTATCTGCTCCCCAGTGTAGTTGTAGTGGGACAGATTACATTGCCCAGAAGAGTTCAGTATTCAGTCTTCTTGGTGGTTATTTTGTTGTAAATTAATAATACTGATAGTATGTCATTTTGCTTTTTATAATTGATTGTCTTTAACTTTGCCCTGAGGCATTTTTCCTAATCAACTCTAGACCATGATAGAGCCTTTGGGCCACAAGACTAACAGTCTTACCTTGAACCACCAGTCAGTGAGGTGTTTGGGAAAACCTTTTCCTGGTGATGTCTCATCTTTTCCTTCTACAGTCACCAATGTCATATTTACTGTGTTAAGATGCTAGGCTTTGTACTGGCTTGTTTACTTCTCACGATTTATCTTGCAGTATGATAGTTTGTGTGACACTGAAAAAAATTAGTAGGACTGTTAAAATAGTTTTTTCCCCCCATTAAAAGTAGAATGACACCGTTTTGCTTCTGAAGAATTTGGCTTTAACTGGTTTATATTTTGAGCTGGGTATTAAAGGAGAATTATGGTAGGGTAAACACAATTAGTGACATCTGGTTGCCCCAAGAATCAATAATATCTGATACTACATACATAAATAGATATCTATGTTGTGATAATATATCTTAGTTTCACTGGGTAAAACTAGAAGAATAAAAAATTTGAAAACAGCTTGGTTACTGACTAAGCTGCAGCAGTTCTGAGAGCCTACTGTTGTCATTTTTAATGGGCAGCCTTGTACTTCCATAGATTGGTTAATCTTAAAGGCCAGATGGTAGTTGTATTGTAATTTCATAAAGATTTTATGTCCTATGTTTTGCTTTCAACTAGAAGCATGAGAATTTAGGAAAGTTATATTGAGACATATAAATAATAAAAATTGGTGAATCATTTTACCTAACAATTTATTGATATTACTCAACACAAGGAGAAAAATTAGAAAATGGACCTTAACACCACTGTCTACTATGAAGACAGTATAGAGGAGGCAGGAAAAACAGAAAGCACACAATAACATGATAGCTATAAATTCAAGTGTCAGTAATTACAATAAATGTAAATAGACTAGAGGATTCTGCTAAAAGACACGTCAGATTGGATTAAAAACATCTGAGATACTAGGTTTACAAGAAGCATATCTAAAAACAAAGATACAGAAGGCAAAATAATGGAAAATTTTATTTCAGGCTCACTTTAAGCAAAATAAAGCTGGTATAACATGTTGATATCAGACAACATAGAAATCAAGGCAAAAGGCATTAGAGATGAAGAGGATCACTGCACAGTGGTAAAAGGTTCAGTTCAGATATAGGTACATATTATATAAAGCAAAAATATACAGAAACAAGAAAAATAGCTGAATGCACAATCCTAGTGGGAAGTTAACATACCTTTCTGAATAGTACAACTTGCAGACAGAAATCTTAGGATATGGAAGACTTAAAGAACATGATCAATGAACAAATCTGACCTCATGGACATTCATAGAATGTTACAGTTCCTGTATAATCCATTCTTTTCAAGCACATGGAGCATCTGACATTGATTACATATAGGAATATAAAGCAAGTATTGATAAATTTCAAATGATTGAAATCATGTAGAGTATTTTTCTTACGGAATTATAGAAGGAATCAACCAAAAGATAACAGGAAAATCCTTGTATGTCAATAAATTAAGAAGTATATTTCTTATAATGTATAATATATAATTTTATAAATATATAAATATATATTTATAAAAGTTTCATTTAAAAAGTTTTACAAAATGGAAAAATCTGTCACTTAAATACAAAATCACTGTACTTCTGACCCTACTAAATGTAAAAATTGTCAGGATTTGGGAGGTTTTTTTTTTGATGTCCAAATACTTGATACACGTTCCAGAGATCCCCAATATTTTTGTGAATTCTTCTTAGGAGGCTAGTGATCATGTATGTGGGATTAGGAAAGTAATTGTTTGAGCTAAATGGGGGAAGAGATCATTCCTGCTGGTAGCAGGGAGGGTGTGCCACGACGAGAGATCTGTGGATTTACTGAAAACACGAGATTTACATCCAGAGCTTAGTTCACAGGCTGTGGCTCCTGTTTTTATTCATTTAGAGGCTGATAGACCAGCTGTGCCTGTAGTTACGTGTTCTTTGGCCAGACACCTAAGGAAATTTGAGGCTCAGACAAGCTGAAGTAGATATTTCTGTTTCCATGTTGAATAACAGAGCCACTCATGGGCTGTCACAGATACACTGTTTGGGGTTTTACCATTCCTTCCCATTTCCATTCCTGAAGGAAAAAGAGAAGAGATTTTTCTTTTTTTTTCAGATTATTACTGTGTTGGTGACCTAGGGAAACCCTTTTTTTTTCTCTTCTCTTTTCACAAAGTTCTGAGGAGCATGAAAAAATTGAGGTATTCACAGTGTCTGGGGAGGAAATGAGTTCTGTCCTGTATTTTCCGAAGAGTGGGAATCTAAATCGGAACAGGCACCAGGTTGAAGAAATAATTTGTCACATCATGGATGCAGGAACAAGCTCTACATGGGAATACTTTGTTGTAGTTAGGGTCTGTCTTGAGGGAAAACAAGACATAAAGGGTATGTGAAATGTTTTCTGGTGATCATATCCCACCGTGTCATTAGTTCTTTTAAAGTACTTTTTCTATATTATCCCAATTTAGCTTTTTTTGCACCCTGCAGCAATTCTATTTCTATTTTGTTTCCTGTTATCATTGTTCCCTTTTCTGAGTAGAGGATAGATAGGTAAGTGGTGTAAGTAATGGCATGGAAAGATCCAAGAACCATTAAGTAGATTATATCCCTTTTTACTATCCTTTTCTTAAAGTGCTTGACTTAATTCTGAATAGCCACTTACAAACTTTGATGAGTATCTTTCATCTTGGGGGTTATTTTGAAAATTGATGGCATTTGGAATAAAAGTTGCTATAACCTTAGTGTACGTTTGGGTTTATAAAATATACTGAACATAGGAACTCACATGACTCCCAATTTTTGAAGTAACCATAATTTCTAAAAAAAATTCAAATGAGCTGAGTTACATTTATACCACTCCTGGGAATTATTAGAATAGCATATGTTCTCTGTTTATGCTCTTTGTAAAATTGGAAAAGTAATGTGTAGCTCTTTTTAGTAGTGCCCTGTGTGTAGTTTCTGTAACAGTTCTGTAACTGTAACTTACCATTCCAGTCTATTTCTGAATGGTTAGTGGAGCTGCCCGTCAAAGCCAGACCTATTACAAGGGATGATATTTCCCCTGTCATGAATAGAAACTATTGATGACTCGATTAACATACAAGGATGATACAGTTCATGGTTAAAGGGAGCATGCTTCCTTTTGCTGGTGAAGGAACATTAACTGTAGATTTCATCTAGAAGATCACTAGAAAAAGCAGCCTCCCATGTTTGAGCGTGTCCTGCATGTCAGTTTCCATGCAGATGCTTTCTGTACGTCTTCACGTCCTCCTCATCCATGAGGTTGGAGGTGAAAGTTACGTAACTGACTTGCTCAGGGAACACATTTCATGTTGCAACCGGGCTCCATAGCCACATTTCAGACCATTTTTCTTTTCTTTTTTTTTTTTTTTGGGACAGACTCTCGCTCTGTTGCCCAGGCTGGAGTGCAGTGGCGAGATCTCGGCTCGCTGCAAGCTCCGCCTCCTGGGTTCACACCATTCTTTTGCCTCAGCCTCAGCCTCCCAAGTAGCTGGGACTGCAGGCACCCGCCACCACACCCGGCTAATTTTTTGTATTTTTAGTAGTGATGGGGTTTCACTGTGTTAGCTAGGATGGTCTTGATCTCCTGACCTCATGATCTGCCTGCCTTGGCCTCCCAAAGTGCTGGGATTACAGCGCCTGGCCTGACCATTTTTCATTTAACCAGCATTCAGATTATTAAGTCAAACGGAAAAAAAAAACAGGGATATAAACCTATTAGAAACCAATGTGACTGTTTCATGCCTTACATTTATGTCTGGAAAGTTGAATATAAGGAAAAAGTTGTTTTTTGAAATAGTTTTTCATTGGTTCCAATGATTATTCGAGAGTTTTCCGTGAAAGAAGTATAGGTAACATAATAAAAGTTAAAGTTAACAGTCTTAACACTTCAATTGTAAGAATATTTTGTGGTGTCAGTGTATTAATAGCTCCTGAAAGAAAATTGTCAAATGTAATCAGTCTACATTTTTTTCATGTGTATCAAAGCTACCCATTTATTAAATCACAGAAGTTAATTGTGTTTCATTGGGAATTAATATTGACTTTATAGGTCTTGGGTAGATTATTTAAATAGCCCTGCTAGCTAATATGTTAACCCCTGCCCTTATTACAAATACATCCTGACGGATAAGGGCAAAATATTATTGACTAGATTATGCTTGAATATCTCAAAATGAAAACAGAATGAAGCAGCTAACCAAGGAAACGATTGGACTTAAAGTGTACGTACTTGATCACGTTAAAGAGGCCTCACTGCTGTGTAACAATAGATGCTTAAAATAATCCACCAGCCAACACTCACTACATGTGAAAGTGGTTTACTTTCTTGTGTCTGTGGGGAAGCTCTAATTATATGATTATAATTAAGCTACAGTTTATTTTCTCATTTTCTCTGATTAAATTGTGGTGGGAAATATCTGGCCAAATCTAGTCTTTTCTTAGTCATGTTATTTGTTAATTCCATTGACACATCTTATTAAAATTTGCAGCAAGGTGTTTTCCTGTTAAAGTAATTGAAGATTTCAGAGTATCTTATATCTAAAAATTGTGAATATTCTCTGAAACTAGACCTAAAGTTCTTAAAATATAAATGCGTCATTCACGTAGATTATGGAGTTACTTTTAAAATGTAGCTATCCACTGAAGAAAATTGTGAAAATGTCCCATTAACGATTTGCAAATTTATTTATTTAGAGATGGGGTCTTGCTTTGTTGCCTGGGGTGGAGTGCAATGGTGCGATCGTAGCTCGCCATGGCCTCCAACTCCTGTGCTCAAGCAGTCTTCCTGCTGCCTCAGCCTCCCATGTTGCTTGCAATTACAGGCCTGAGCCACTGGGCCTGGCTGCCATTTGTAAATTTAAATCTTAACACTTATGTGGTGTTTCCAGTTAGATTTCTTCTCCGTTCTTTGCATCACCTTCTTAGATCTTCCCCATTCTTCTCAATCCCCTGTTCCCTCCATCTTCACGGTACCTTTCATGGAGGAAATAGAAGCCATCACTGGGAATACCCTCAGCTTTCCACCGACAAATCTATTCCTGCAGACACCCGTCATTGCAATTTATATTTTAACAAAGGCTTCTGATCCTAATTTCAGGAAATAGCCTCTAAACTCATCTATTAGTCCCAAATTCTTTACCCATTTAATCTGCTATTTTATGCCTCCTATATTCTTACCTTCAGATGTTGAGAGGTTGGGGCATAAAACTTTGCAGCATGTCTGCAGTCTTCCCTCTAGAGTGAACTTGATCCTGCTGTTTGTTCTTTTTATTCTCTTCAAAGTTAAATCATGTTCCAGCATTCATGGTATTTCTCCAGCTTGTCCTCCACGCTCACCCCATTGTCATGAGGACTGCACTGAACAAATAGACACCTTATAGTGCTTATAGGCCATAGTTGCTGACAGATAACACGGTTTAAAAAGGAAGTTTCACAGCCTTGTAGCTTATGAATTCCCATGTCAGCCTCATTAGCTTTTACAAGCTATTTTCTTAGCTTGTAAGAATGTTGCTAGGGATTCACAGTTAATATAAATATCTGTAGTTTTGGAAAATTGAGACAGTGCTTGCCCTTCTCTAGTCATCCTGTACCTTTTAGATTTGACCTCTTTTTTGGGGGGTGGGGGTTGGTGGTGAAATATAACAAAGTGCATAAAGCAGATGTACAGTTCAACCAACTGTAAAATAAACATCTGGGCAGTTGCCGTGCACATCAAGAAGTAGGACGCTGCCAGCTCTCGGAAGCCCTCGTGTTTGTTACCGCTCTTTAAAGATTGAGGCAGGTGTTCCATGACCTTATCCCCAAGTCTCTGTGTTATAATTCATACGAGTTGGGAGGCTGCAGTATATTTGGATGATCTAAGACCTCCTCCTTTATTTTTGCTTACCATTGGATTTTAGTTTTCTCTTTCCAATGTTTATTTTCTGTGTGTATTCTGAAGATAATTTTATCTGACCAAGAAAGTAGGTATAGAACTAAGTGTGTTGTCTGTAATTGTTTGTTACAATATAATATAACTAAGGAAACTTTTTCAATTTTTGCAAACCCAATTTTATTCTGCTATTGTTTCCTGATAGGAATTTTGGGAATTTTAGAGATCCCTGCGTTCTTTTGTACAAAAAATACATCTTTCTGAGGCCAGGCACGGTGGCTCATGCCTGTAATCCCAGCACTTTGGGAGGCCGAGGCCAGTGGATCACGAGGTCAGGAGTTCAAGACCAGCCTGACCAACATGGTGAAACCCCATCTCTACTAAAAATATAAAATTAGCTGGGCATGGTGGTGCGTGCTTCTAATCCCAGCTACTCAGGAGGCTGAGGCAGAAGAACCGCTTGAACCTGGGAGGCAGAGGTTGCAGTGAGCCGAGATAGTGCCACTGCACTCCAGCCTGGGTGACAGAGCGAGACTCTCTCGAAAAAAAAAAAAAAAAAAAAAAGATACTTCTTTCTGTTAAACATTTCCTTTAAAAATCTAAACTCATCAGAAAAATACCTGCTTGACCACATTAATTTCTTGAAGTATCTCTTTCTTTTCCTTTTGGAATCATGTGTTTGTAAAGTCACATGATTTAATCTTCTAGAGACTCTGGATGCTTCTGTTGTTGATGTATATGTGCACACTCACAGTCTTAAGGAATTTGGCATTTTATGTTTCACTGTCTTTTTACTCTTGCTCCCCTTCTTTTAGTGTTTTTTTTTTTTTTTTTTTTTTTTTTTTTTTTTTTTTTTGAGGCAGGGTCTCACTCTGTTGCCCAGGCTGGAGTGCAATGGTGCGATCACGGCTCACTGCAGCCTCAGTCTCCCTGGGCTCAGGTGATCTTCCCACCTCAGTCTCCCTGGCATCTGGGTTTCAGGTGCATGCCACGATACCTGGCTTAATTTTTTTTTTTGTAGAGATGGGGTCTTGTTGTGTTGCCCAGGCTAGCCTTGAACACCTGTGCTCAAGCAATCCTCCTCCCTTGGCCTCCCGAAGTGCTGGGATGACAGGCATGAGCCGCACGCCCAGCCCACTCCCCTTCCTCACCAGTCTTGAGCCTCCTGTTCTCCTTTTTCCCCTGTCTAGGCCCTCACATCCCTCCACTTTTCTCTTTTTCCCCATGACTTGGTCATGACACAGAAACAAAGTCCCCAGTGACAGTATCTTCTCAAAAACCAAACAGTAAACTCTGAACTTTCTTTGCTATTGGATTCATGATTTGTGATTAAGCGTATTTTCCCCTTTGCAGGCTCTTAGTTATGTGTGGTAGATGTACTTCTAAATTACATTTGCTTTAAAAATATAAAAAGTATAGAGTAACATAAATGATGTAGCATAATAAAACTTTAAATCATTAATGATATTCATAGATTGACATATAAGCTATTCCCAGTCATTTTCTTTTTTTCTTTTTTTTTGGGGGATGGACAGAGTCTTACTCTGTGTCCCAGGCTGGAGTGCAGTGACAGGATCTCGGCTCACTGCAACCTCTGCCTCCTGGATTCCAGCGATTCTCCTGCGTCAGCTTCCTGAGTAGCTCAGACTACAGGCCCATGCCACCACCCCCAGCTAATTTTTGTATTTTTAGTAGAGGCAGGGTTTCACCATGTTGGCCAGGTTGGTTTTGAACTCCCGACCTCAAGTGATCTGCCCGTCTCAGCCTCCCAAAGTGCTGGGATTAGAAGCATGGACCACCATGCCCAGCCCTCATTCATTTCTTGTACTAGAAGTGGTGATCTTTGACAATTTGTTTTAATATGAAGTTGTTTTAATGAGGGGCAAATATTTGGAGCAATTAGCTAATCATTACAACGTTTTTTTTTTTTTTCTTGTTTTGTTTTTCTCTTTTCTTTTTTTCCCCCAGCTACTGCTCCTCGCAGAGCAGGGCTAACCCATAGGTAGTGTGCCCAGAGTCAGCCATCATTACATTGTTCACGCTTACAGCATAAGTTAAGGTAGGACTCAAAAAATTTTTCTGTAAAGACAATCTCAGAATTAAGTGCTTTCAGGAATTACTATGCAGCTAGAATTTTCTGTAGGATTGAAGGTTCTAGCAGCTTTGAGCATTGATACTGATCTTGAGAATGAATCCAATTGGCAGTCATCCCCTGGAAGACTTAATTTGAGGTCTTTATACGTACTTGCGCTACAGTAAATAAGAATGTGTCCTAGATGGAGGCAAAATGGGGTGGGTTTCAAGCATTTAATAAATGTGTTAAACATTTTAACTATTATTTCCTCTTTTCAATTTCAAATAGTGTTAAATGATTGTTATGGGTAGGAATAGGGTAAACCCATTTCTAGGGCATGGTTTAGAACATTGGTGCAGTTTTTTTCCCAAGAATATCTTAATCACAGCCCTGGTTTTTAGTCTGTTTTTCTAAGAACTCCGGGAGTTATGCTGGTTTCCTCAGGGATTGTTTTTGGCATTTTCCTCATCATAGAACCTTATGGCATCACCTTGGAGACACAGCGTTAGTTTAAGGAATGGACATGTGATCACGCAGGTCAATTGGAGTCCCATTTGGTGCTTTTCTGTAGGAGTAGCAGGGAGAGACTGCCTCTTCTGGTTGGATTGCTAGTGGTGTGTGGGCTGCCAAGTGGCCCCCTTCCTGGCACCAAGCAGAATGCAGCACACACAGGGAGCAGAGCCCGGAGGCTTGAGCCTGATGGCACTTGAGGAATCTGGGTCCTGGAATGGTAGATGTCCTCCATGCTACCCACTTGCATAGTGAATACATTGCCTTTTTGTCTAAGGTTAAGTTTTCGTTGTTGTTGTTACATGCAGAATTGAGAAATATGGCCAATATCTTAGGGAAGGTGGCAAGTTAGGAACTGTACTAGCAGGCTATTAAAAGAATCACAGAGGCTAGTAGCCTTTAGTTTTTAATTTTTTGATTGTCTATTTTTGCTTGTTTGTGATGAGTATTTCTACACCTGGCCAGGGATGCATTCAGATAAACATTTTGGATACCTCCTCTAAAGTGTCTGTCCACACCACAGGATCACCGCCTGGTCCCTTAGTGCTGACATTCCACTCCAGGAGATGCTGGGCTCCCGGGTGGCGCGCTGTGAGGATGCTCGAGCTGTATCAATTGTGAACCTCACTTTCAGGAGTTCAGTAATTGTGAGACGGTATCTTCAGGCATTGTGGAACTCTTTGGGGGATGTGACATTCCAGGGCATTCTGGAGAAAGGAATAATGTTCAGTAATAAAACCCTGGAGACAGGAATTCTTACTGTACCTGTGACCCATGAAGTCTTAGGGCAAATGTAGAAGGCTCTGTTTGGCTGAATGAATCTTGAGGCATCCACCTTGCCTTGGAGTTACTTTATTTACAGCAACAGACACACTCACAAAGAAAGTTTGTAAGCAAAATATTACAACACTTTGTTTTGCTTCTGGTTCTGCCATTCTGCTGTCATCTTTGCAAGCTGCAAAATGTGAGGGACAGGAGAAGAGAAGTTTTTTTCCTCTTATGTCATGGCCTTCAGCATTCTTAGACCAGAGCCTGCTTTCTTTAACACTCTAACCACTTTTATTAGTTTGCTTATTCAGTGGTAGAATGTAAACTCCAAGAGGTCAGGAGTCACACTAGTCACTATATTCCTGGATAGCCCCAGCCAAATACCTGACACAGCAGGTGCTTGATAGACAATCTGTTGAATTATATGCAATCTGTTGAATGAAGCTCTTAAGTTATCTAGATTTTAGGAACTACTGGGGCAGATTCTCATCAGACAGGTGCAAAGAATGGGTATTTTAAAGCAATTAGATTTAACAGAACATCATTATGCAAATGTAGCTCTGGGATGTCCCACTCAGATGCCAGGCTTATAATGTTATTGAAGTGTTACATGAATTTGTGTGTGTTTGTGGGCGGAGTGGATTCTCTTGTTAATATTGGGCCTCAGGTTTATTGATATTTTCGATAGAAATAACTTGAAAATTGCTGATGAAAGATACAAATGTTTCTTTCCCAGGTGTTTTAAATTTTCTTAGGAATATATGACAAGCTGGCGTTGGATTGCGTGTCCTAGGTTTTGTTACCTTGGCCCAGTGCTGCTGTCACTATCCCAACCACCTGGTCTGTCTGATCCTGGAGCACTGGGTGAGAAGCTGTTTATTCTGTCAGTCTGACTGTATTAGCAGTCCCCCCTCCCCACAGAGGCAGAGAAGACTCCACTCTGTTATGTAATTGTGAGTGCTGGGAGATAGTGGGGGGAGTTATAATTTAGGGAATTTCCATATTGGAGATAGTACTGCCTATGTGTCATGATGCATTTGACATCATATGGGTTATTCATCGATGGGTTATTCAACACGTTTGAATAGTAAGGCCTCCAATTGCCATTTATAGCATATGTGCTAAAGAAACAAAATGGTGTGTTGGGAGTTACATCCATCATCTTTCCCCTTTGGTTGAAATTTAAAGTGACAGACTGTTGTACTTTAAAAACCGTATTGATCAAATCATCTTAAACACATACTAAATTCCTAGAAAAAAATCTGCAATTGATACTGTAGTTTTTTCTATATTACAATTATTTATGGCCAGGTGTGGTGGCTCATGCCTGTAAACTCTTCGGGAGATTGAAACGGGAGGATTGCACTCGCATCTGGATAACAGAGTGAGACCGTGTCCCTTAAAAAATTCATTTTAAAACCCGAATTGAAATTAGTCGTAAATTTTTAAACACTTATGGTGAGAACATTTGCATTTCTATCATAGGACCTCTGTGTTCCTTGTTCTTCTATTCCACTTTCTTGTCCCACCTTCTGGTAACTGTGGTTCTTGCTTTTTCTGTTTCAAGTTCTTGCCCTTGGCTTCTCTTCCCTTCCCAGCATCTCTGCCTGCCTTGGGTTTCTTTCTACTCTCTCACCTTCGTTTCCCACATCTTCTCTATTTGTTCTCCGCCCTGTGATTCACTCTATATTTAAATCTACAATTTTACCCTCCCTCGTTGGTTTATTTTTTAATTGTTTCTAAATCTCAGTAAGCAATTTGAAATAAGAGCAAGGTGTGGTGCCTGATCAATTACCCTATGGCTGCCACCTCTTTAGAACTATTGGCTTAGAAATCACCTTTGGTCACACGAAATAGGGCATTTATTGCAGGTTTATTAGTGGGGAGAAATAACAATTGTTCCATGCACAGTATTGGTGCGTTTCTATTCTCAATCAATCAAGAATAACCGGTGAATTTTCCAAGATGGTTATTTAAAGTGCTATACTAATAATACTGAAAGTAAGCCATATGCACAACCTGGCAATTTTTTAAAATATCTTTTAAGTACTATATATCTAAGAGCAGATTACATTTTCAGTGGCAGTCCTCATTTTCTCCACATTGAGTTATGTCTTGGTACCACGCTTTATTGCAAAACTCTCACAACTAAAGGATTTAAAGTTTATTATTGCGATTTTAAAGCAGGATAGAAAGGAAAGGAGAGAAAAATAATTTTTCTGAGTGAAGGGACCTAGTTCTTATAATAGCATTTTGATCTGAGGACTGTGCTGTGATAAATAACTCTTACTGTAGAATCTAGATGAAATTAACCCTGGGAGAACCCTATATATCCCTGAGGCATTTGGTGGCCGACTACGACAGTGTGTAATCTGTTTTCACATAGTATAGTACACAGATGTATATGTGAGCTGAGTGTAAATGCAGACTTCTTTCACCTTTTTGAAGACTATCTTTTTGAAGACTTTTCTTGGAGAGGATTTATCTAACACCTGTTTGAATCTTCTCTTTTTGTTATCGTGGTGATCTTATTTGAGTAGTATTTTGGTGATTGTGTTTGATCATAAATATATAGCAGCAGAAAATTTTTGCAGCACCAAACTCATAATTCTTGGATTTACCATATCTAAAGGAATGCCAATTTTGCATATTTTTTCCTATATCTTTACAAGCCTCATTAAAATATTAAACTTAAAAATTTTTTAAAGCATAATTGCGTTTTTCTTTTCAAACTTCTGAAGAAATGTACAAGATTTAAAATTAATTTTGATAAATTAATTTGCATTTACTTTGTAAGCCAGCACTTTGTAGTGTGAAATAATATTGAAAATGGGAAACAATATGTATTGATAATTAAATGAATATACAACCAGTTTTCTTCCCGGAAGACATTTTCATGTACCATGTAAAAGGTACTTTTTGGAATTATTTATACTTTTATAGTTTTCCATGCGTGTGTGATTAGACTTCTGAGAAAACCTTGGATAATTTTACGATGATAAACATTTATATTTCATTTCAGTGTAGTTCAGTCACTTAAAAATATCCACTTAATTTTATTTTGGGGACAACTGTAGATTCACAAGCGGTTATAAGAAATAATACAGAGAAATCCTCTGCCCCCTTCATCAGTTTCCCCTTATGGTGGCATCTTGTTAAATGTGGAGCAATGCCACATCTAGGATATTGACTTTAGTACAGTCAAGAAACAGAACGTTTCCATCACCACAAGGATCTCTCATGTTGCCCTTCTGCAGCCACACTGACCTCTCCTATCTCCTTCCACACTGCTCGGCAACCATGAATCTGTTCTCCATTTCTATAAATTTATCATTTCAAAAATGTTATATAAATAGAATTATACTTTGGATATTGCTCTTTTTTCATTCAGCATAGTTCCCTGACGATTCATCTAGATTGTTTTCTATTTCAGTAATTCATTTCTTTTTTATTAAGTAGTGTTCCATGGAAACTGTGTACCACAGATTGTTTAACCATTCACCTATTAAAGACATCTGGGTTGTTTCCATGTTTCGGTGGTTACAAATAAAGTCGCTATAAACATTTGTCTATAGATTTTATTGTGTATCCATTTTTTTCTGTGATAAGTGCCTAGGAATTCAGTTGTTGGCTTGTATGTTAATTGTATGTTTGTTGTTTAAGACAGCGGCCCCCAACCTTTTTGGCACCAGGGACCGGTTTCTTCAAAGACAGTTTTTCCATGGACCAAGGGTGGGAGGTGGTGTGGATGGTTTTGGGATGAAACTGTTCCACCTCACGTCATCAGGCATTAGGTTTTCACAAGAAGCACGCAGTCTAGATCCCTCACCTGTGCAGTTCACAGTAGGGTTTGTGCTCCTATGAGAATCTAATGCTGCTGCTGATTTGCCCGGAGGAGCTCAGGCGGGAATGCTCCTTCGTCCACTGCTCCCCTCCTGCTGTGCAGCCTGGTTCCTAACAGGTCATGGACTGGTAACAGTTGTTGGCCTGGGGGTTGGGGACCCCTGGTTTAAGAAACCTTTTTTGAAGTGTTATACTATTTTACGTTGTCACCAGAAATGTGTGAATGTGATCCAGTTTCACATCCTCATCATTATTTGGTGTTACCATTATCTTTCATTTTGGCCATTCTGAGATGTATGTGGTGATACCTTATTTTGGTTTTAATTTGCATTCCCCTAATGTTGAACATTGTTTTTTCATGTGCTTGTTTGTCATCTCTATATCCTCTTCAGTGAAACGTTTATGTCTTTTATCCATTTTCTAACTGGATCGTTTTTCACTGTTGAATTTTAAGAGTTCTTTATATATTTTAGATACTAGGCATTTGTTGAACATTTGGCGTACAAATATATTCTCACTCTGTAGACTCTATTTCCATTCTTTTAACAGGGTCTTTTGCGTAGAAAATGTTTTTAATTTTGATGAAGTCAGATTGATAAGTTTTTTCTTTTATGGGTCATGCTTTTGCTGTCGAGACTAAGAATTCTGCCTAGACTTGGATCCTGAAAATTTTCTCGTGTGTTGGTTTCTTTTAAAAGTTCTGTAGTTTTATGTTTCACATTAAAGTCCATGGCACATTTTGAGTTAACTTTTGTATATGGTTGAGGTTCTTTTTTTGCTTTTAAACCCATGGATATGCAATTGCTCCTGCACCATTTGTTGAAAAGCCTATTTTTTCTCCATTGAATTTTTTTTGCACCTCTCTCAAAAATCACTTGGACATATCTGTTCATCTGTTTTTGCATTTTCTACTCTATTTCATTGATCTGTGTATGTCCCCCAGCTGATAATATATTGTCTTGATTACTATAGCTATATAATAAGCTTTGAAATCAGGTACACTGATGATTGCCCCTTTATTTTCTTTTTCAAAATTGTTTCTGGTTATTCTAGTTCCTTTGTCTTTTCAGATAAATTTTAGCATACACTTTTCTGTATCTAGAAAAAAATCTTGCTGTGATTTTGATAGGAATTGCATCAAATCTTTGGAAGAATTGACATCTTTACTGTGTTGAGTCTTCCAATCTATGAACATGGTATGTCTCACCATTTGTTTACATCATTGATTTCTTTCATCAGCATTTTTAGTTTTCAGTATATGAGTCCTGTACATGTTTCGGTAGCTTTACACTTAAGAACTTAATTTTCTTTGGAGCGATTGTAAGTAGTATTGTATTTTAAATTTTGGTGTCAGTGTGTTCACTGCTAGCATATAGGAGTTTTTATCTTATATCCTGTGACCTTGCTGATTTGAGGCCGCAACTTCTGCAGTGTAATGTAAAGCCATTGAACATGGAGAGGGCAAAACAAAAAAGTAAATTGGAGTGCCTCATACAGGAGTAGATTGTTTGCTAGAGAATGGTGGTAGTGGACATGTGTCTCAATTGTATTCATTTTCAGTTTGAGTGAGTCACTTTTCATCTTGTGCTTTTCTAACACCTGGAACCTCTTTTCCAAGAAACTCTGGTTCCTTTTAGGGGAGAATAATTTGAAAACCAAGATTCTGGGTACCATTGCAATAGGAGGCCATTACTTCAGAACTCTTTCAGTGGTCGGAACTAAGAAATAAAAATAATTGAGTTTGTATCAATGTTTTCAATTCAAATTTAGCAGAAAAATTCTTCCCCTTAACTTATTTCATTATATATTTCTATTCATTTTCTCTTACACTGAAAATAGTGATTTCTTAATGATATCAACTTATTTGCTTTATCTTACTATACACATAAATGTTTTAAAATTGCTGTATTAAAATTAAAACTATTGAATAAAATTTAAGATTTCCTTGCAGGTTTTTTTGAAGGGCATAGTCCTTTCAATATATACTGCTGAGGATGTAGAGACAGAACACTGACTTTAGAAGTCTCTTCAAGTCTTTTTTCCAGGCTGGGCGTGGTGGCTCATGCCTGTAGTCCCAGCACTTTGGGAGGCCGAGGTGGGTGTATCACCTGAGGTCAGTCAGGAGTTTGAGACCAGCCTGGCCAACATGGTGAAACTCTGTCTCTACTAAAAATACAAAAAAATTAGCTAGGCGTGGTGGCGGGCACCGGTAATCCCAGCCACTTGGGAGGCTGAGGCAGGAGAATTGCTTGAACCTGCGAGGCAGAGGTTGCAATGAGCCGAGATTGTGCCATTGCACTCCAGCTTGGGCGACAAGAATGAAATTCTGTCTCAAAAAAAAAAAAAAGTCTCTTCATATATTTTTTCTGTGTAGATATTTTACCGATTCGATGTTAATAGTGGTTTATTTCTGTTTCTCTAATTCTGAGTTTTCAATTTCTGGATTAATTCTTTCCATATAAATAGGTTTGAAGTCAAAATTAAATAAAAAGTTCTACATAGAGAAGCATTCTCTGTTTTCATTCTTCCCAGTATCACCCTATAGGTAACCATTTTTATTACTTTTTTGTTGTAAAAGAAAGTACTTGCTTTTTCTTCCTTCTCATACACAATGTAGTAGTCTATGGTCTCTGGTCTCCTCCTTTCTTTTTTTTTTTATTTCACAATATATTTTGGAGATTACTCCATTATAGCACATAGAGATCTTCCTCACTCCTTTTTACAGTTACATTAAGTACTGGGTAATTTTGCCATGTGTACTTTTATTAGATCCTGCAGAATTCCCCTTTATGGGGATTTTATTTTGTACTTTCATCAACAGTGTTTGTGACGTTCAGTTTCTTCTGAGGCTTGTCACAAGAGCAGATTTTTGCCAGATAGGTGAGAAGTGCTATTTCAGTGTAGTTTTTATTTACATTTATGGGGATAGTTGAACATCTTTAAAAACATTTAAAGACTTTTGTCTTTTTGTCAACTGTTGGTTCATGTCTTTTGCCTATTTGTATATTGGATTTTTGATAATTATTGTTTTTATTTTATTTATTTATTTATTTTGAGACAGAGTCTTGCTCTGTCACCAGGTTGGAGTGCAGTGGCGTGATCTCAGCTCACTGCAACCTCTGCCTCCTGGGTTCAAGCAATTCTCCTGCCTCAGCCTCCCAAGTAACTGGGATTACAGGCATGCACCACCATGCCCAGCTAATTTTTGTATTTTTAGTAGAGACAGGGTTTTACCATGTTGGCCAGGATGGTCTCGATCTCCTGACCTCGTGATCCACCTGCCTCAGCCTCCCAAAGTGCTGGGATTACAGGCGTGAGCTACCGCGCCCGGCCTATTGTTTTTATTTCTAAAGAGGAAGGAAGATTATTTATTTGGAAGATAAGTTGTGAAAGTTACTTCCCAGTTTGCCATTGGTCTTTTGACTTTGCCTACAATTTTATTTTATTTATTTATTTATTTATTTTTATTTTTATTTTTTGCCAGGAATGAGTTTTAAAGAATGTATCTTTTTTATATTTGTAATTTGTCATCGTTGTAATTTCATGTGATCTGGATCTTTAGGTACATGTTTCACAATGGATGGAATAGAAAAGTTAGGAATTTTGTGTAGGAAAGCAAGGAATAGAATAGAAAATAAAATAGAAAAGTTAGGAATTACTTTTTATGTTTGCATTCTCTAGCTGCTCACTTTTTTTGACTATATTTCAAGCCAACTGTCACAGGGCATCATTCCAGGTCCTATTTTGGTTTCTTTCCTCAGTCAATACTAGAAAACCACAGAGTGCCATTCCCGGCATTTCATCTATCCCATACTTGTCATTTGTAAAACAAGTGCCTAGTGATGTTAATTATTTCTGTAGAGTTGCATTTATGCTCTTTTAATTTTTCTGTATTTGTGCTGAATTTCCATAGTCTGTGGACAGATTTGCTCTGGGTGCTATAGTCAGCTGAGTTGGAGTCTAGACCATTTATAACTTAACTCTTCGACCTATTTAACTGTCTGCTTCCTTGCTCTTAGTTTGAGTTACTCAAATTCCAGTTGCCTTAACTGTAAAATTGGCTAGTAGAGCCATGTACCTCCAGGGAATTCAGTGTATTGTTTAGATGATGATTAGGTCTTATTTATGTTTTCATATAAGCTATTATAACAAAATTGCAGTTTAAAATGAATATATAGGAAAATGTTTTCTTTAGAAACTTAGAATAAACCAGAACATTCTTAAATTTCCACTTATTGCATGTTGATGGAGCTTGACTCTCTTCCCTGTAAGGATGAACATTGCAGAAAGACTGTGAAAAAGTGGTGCCATCACATCATCAGATCTCTTATTGCAGAAGTTATAATTCTAAGAGAAAACAATCTGCAATAAGGAGTTCTATCATATTTTTGTAAGTATATTATTGACTTCCAATTAAAATTAGTCCTAGTAATAATGGCATCTGTGAATAAGGAAATCTGAAACCAATAACGTGTAAAATTGAGTTAAATATTGTTGAGCCAGTTATATAAGTCATGTTAATTTCTAGGTGTTACAAACAGAAGAAAGTGTTCTCAAGCTTCTCCGTTCCCCAGACAGAATCTGCTGGGTTCCTGCTATTGACATCAAAGTTACTTGTTCTCCCATTAGGCTGCTGTTAAAACGAACACTTAAAAATTATCTTTTGTCCATCATACTTTTGTGGGAAACATTTTTCTCCAATGGATTTCAAATCCCATATCTCTTACTATGGTATTTCCATCCAATTTTCATGGTTTTGAAGCAGAGCAATCAGTATGGAGTAGGGGGATGGAGTGAAAATGATAACTTTATAATTAAAATCGGCACGGAAGGGTTTGGATCACGGGATGGTGGGATTAAAGGTGTAACCTGTGAGGACAGTAACAGAGGAGACCCACTGGAAACATTGTAGGACTTGGAGAGCCTGTCGGGTGAGTGCCCTGGGGATCTTTATGTGCCCATTTGTCATTTTCACTTCTAGAAGTGAGAAGCATCAGGACACTGTCTGTGCCACCTCTGTCTTCCCACTCTATTCCAAACCTCCTGGGCTGGTAGGAGGGCTGAATGAGATAACACAAAGCACTTAGAACCGTGTGTGACATGTATTAGGAACTGAAGAAGAGTTAGCTATTACACATAACATTTGATTGGTATTAAATAATATAAACATTGCTTCCTGTACTCTCTATTATATAAATAAAGAGCAAGGAATGGTGTGTAATTCTGTGAAACTGTGTAGTCTCAGATTTGGATCTGTCTTTGCATGTGCTGCTTCCTCCTGCCCCAGTTAGTAAGTGTCAATAATCATGTAAATTCTTTTTTTTCTTTCCTTTTCTTTTTTCTTTTTTTTCTTTTTGAGACAGAGTCTTGCTCTGTTGGCCAGGCTGGTGTGCAATGGTGTGATATTGGCTCACTGCAACCTCTGCCTCCCAGGCTCAAGCAATTGTCATGCCTCAGTTTCCTTAGTAGCTGGGATTACAGGTGTGTGCTACCATGCTTGGCTGATTTTTTGTATTTTTAGTAGAGACGGGGTTTCACCATGTTGGCGAGGCTGGTCTCAAACTCCTTAAGCAGTCCACCTGCCTCGGCCTCCCAAAGTGCTGGGATTACAGACGTGACCCAGTGCACCCACCAATAATGTAAATTCTTACTGAAACAGTCATGCTTGTGTAGGTACTGTCTGTGGTCACTTTTGTTCTACAATGACAGAGCTGTGTAGATGTGACAGAGATTATACAGCCTGCAAAACAAAATACTTAGTATCTGGCCTGTTATAGGGCAAGCTTGCCAACTCTTACATACAGAGTGTTCTGATCCAAGGAAAAAGTAATAAAAAGTACCCAATTATAGAGCAGCTTCCTGAAATCAACATTTGTTCTTTCTTTTACATCTCCTATTGAAGAATAGGATGTTGTATATAAGAGGATAGCACAAAATGTTTCCTCAAGTTTTCATTTATGTCACTGAAGAGTTGACTTTAAAGAATTATTATAAATTAATAAAATGTAACCATTTGGAATAAGCTATGTAAATGAATTTGAAAGTTTGAAGTTGTTGCTTTTCTTTAGTAATGAAAAACTAACCCATGAAATGTGTGGTAGATTTTTCACTTATTAAGAGTAAATATGCGCATTTATGGCGTGCAGTGTTTCACTTAAGAAAGTGGGTATTTCAGGGCAGCACCTAGCCACTGCTGGTGTACAGTGCGGACTGGGAGCACAGTGCCCTAGGCACAGGCAGCCTGTGAGTATCCGTGGCAGTTCGTTTCTAACTAGCAAAGGAAAAGGACTTCTAAAATCAATACTGGTTTTAAAATGTATCATTACTGTTATTTGGCTCAGTTGGATTCAGAGCCATAATAAATAGTATGAACATCGGCCTAAGTTAAAGTTTGCATTTAGACCTGATTGTGAATGGAAAGATGTACATATGACTTGAGAGAGTATGGTTTTGACAGAGTGGTTGTTAATGCCTCAGAACTAAAGAGGTTTCATGAATACATAGGTTTTCAGTACAGTCTCCTTACCGGCAGGGGAATATCAGACAAGTGGTGTTTTTCAGACAGTGAAGCAGATGGCTCTTTCTCTTCAGTACAGGGTGTACCAACAAAGAGAGACAGTTACACAAATGTTAACCCCTGAGGGAGAGAGAAAACAATTGCAGTCAGTTGTTCTTTATAAGTCTGTATCTTGACTTCACAGTGGTGTGAAAAAGTAATTTCTTCTTTTATAAAAAGCATTAAATGCACAGGAGCAGCCTGTAATCTGAGTCCAACTAAAATGGTGGAAGATGATGTAATCACTTAAAAAGGAAACAGACTGTTATGTTTGACATTTCTGGAGTAACGTGGTGGTGGACTACTTGGGCCCGATATACCGCTTCCAAATTCTCGTTAAAACGTCCAGCAGTTGTGCTATAAAGCAAATTGCCATATGCCAAGATCTGGGCAGAATGTTCTTCAATATGGCTGGTGAAACAGATTGCGAATGGTCTTGGACTATATAGCACATGTTCTATTCTCTGAACTAGAACAAGACAAATGCCCCACGCTGGGTAGGACATGTTTTAAAATTCATGTACACAGTGTGCATAGCTTTGGGAGGCCTTGGGTCATGCTGAGTGGTCCAAGTTTGTCATTCCCAGTCTGTGGAGCCAGTCATACCTGGGTCCCTCACCTGCTCCTCCTCTGTCTCCACTAGCTCCTTTCTCTCCACTTTGACTTAAAAACCCAAACTCCCAACATGCAGCCCCGCAGCAGGAGGCAGAGGGAGGTGCTAAGGGTGCCGTCCAACCCTGACTGCAAATCACTTAAAAGCTTTTTGAAACGGAGGAAGAGCCGTGCATCCCCGTGTTTCGTGTACAACATATGATACATGTGACAGTTGACAAGAGTGCCTGAGTCTCAGAGCAGGAAGAGTTATCCTGCCTCCACATGCATTGAAGGGAATATATGTCACACGTTACTAGCCAGGCTCAGAGGAGAACACATCTCATTTACAAGTTCAAATCTGAAAGGGAGAAATGTGCTAGTATTTAGTGGATCTTGAGGAAACTAGGGATGTGTTACCCATCTGTGCAGGAACATTAGATCTAGATGGGGCTCTCCTAGTCAAAACGCTGAGCATGTGGCGTAGGAAAAAATTTCCAGGATGCAGGGGAAGGACAGAATGACTTGGAGGACAGTGTCTCTCTCTGAAAATGGTTACATGTGAAACACAGGTAACAAATTTAGGATAAATCTGGTATCTTAAAAAAAGAAACATGACTTTGGGAAAAGAAGAAACCAGGGGGCCCTAAGGGGGAAAAGACTGAGATGAAAACAGAAACATACAAACAAAAAAGCTGATCGAAATAAAAGAATGCGAGGAAACCAAAACTGCAATGAGACTTAAAATCCCTACTAAGATAATCAGAAGACTTGATCTCCAAAAATAGAAGAGGAGTATGGATGGCAAACTTGGACACTCTCAGGATGCAGAGGAGAAAAAGATAAAAGTGGGTAAATACGAAAGGTAGACGTGGAGGACAGATAATGGATCCTTCACCCAAGAGGAGTTCCTGAACAGGAAACTGAAGTCATCTGGAAAACCACAATTAAATTGACTGCACTGCAGAAGAGTGTGAGTAAATAGCATAAGAAACCCTGACAGTCGGCCAAAATTAACGAACAGAGGTTTCTACTTAGATCTATCCTCACAATTTGAATTTTTAGGATAAAACAATCCCAGGAGATAGAGCAGGTTGTGAAGAAACACAGGTTAGGTTTGTCTCAGGTATCTTGTCTATTAAATGCTAGGAATCTGTAAGGCTGTGGTTCAGTAACTGTCATCAGCTACGTTGTTAACATACAGTTTACAGGCTATTCAGATGTAAAACAACAGCATTTATGTTCCATTCACCCCTTAAAAAGCTACATAAATATGAGTTTCATCCACGGAGGAGACCACCCTTAGATTTTAGGTTATGTCTCTGACTTTGAAGGGAGAGAGTCTGGAGCAGTGCGAAGTCTTACAGCTTCCTGACCTTTTGGGAGGTTGGGAAATATTTATGTGTGTCCTGTGACTGGTAGTTAGCAGAAAAGGCTCCCAAGCTAGTCCAACACAACTGATCAGGAAGTTGGGTCATCCAACAGAAAATGTAGCCCACGTTACAGTTAGAAAATTAAAAATCCAGGGCTAGGCAAATGCTTTCTTAAATATGATATGAAAAGCACAAGCAATAAAAGGAAAATGATAAATTGAACTTAATCAAAATGGAAAACCTCTGTGCTTCAGAACACGCCCTATTGCCTCTTACCCTGTGTAACTAGGAGGGAGCCCATCTGAGGACAATTCAATACCTCAGGAGGGCAGAGCGGAAGAGGGCAAGACCCTGAGCTTTGAGAACGTCACTGGGCCCCCAAAATGAACCCTGTAACTTGCTGTACCTCTGGGTTGATTGTTGTGTGAGATGGTCAGTTTCTCTGTTGTGAGAGTTGGAGTTTGTTACTTGCAGCTGACTACATCCTTAGTGATCCATGCTGAAAGAAAAAGTTAATGCCAGCCCAGGAAGAGAGCACACAGTGTAGGAGAGCGTGCATTGCAGGCTTTACTGGCAGAATTGCAAATGTGTAAAGGTGATGGATTTTATTTCAAAAGCCAGAGTTACCTAAATTCTCACATTGTAGAAACTTGCTTCAGTCTGTTTCTTATATTCCCAATTTTAAAATACTTTATACAAGACATAGGAAAAGAAAAATGCAGGCTTTTGATGCTGAAACTTAAATTTTGTAAACTAAAATCCAGTGGTTAATTTGAAAAGTAACATCAAGTAGAGTTTATTCTATGCTCAATATTAAGAATTATTGCTTAGTATTAAGAAATTTCCTATACGGATGTAGTGTGTTTTACAGTGGCGCTATGTCCTTATAAACTGATAAGCTGAAAATATTGTAAGTTGAAAATGCATACACCTAACCTACTGAACATCATAGCCTAGCCTACCCTACCTTAAACGTGCTCAGAGCACTTACATTAGCCTAGAAGGGCAGAATCACCTAACACGAATCCTGTCTTATAATCAAGTGTTGAAAGTCTCATATAATTTATTGAACACTAAGCGAAAGTGAAGAACAGAATGGTTGTATGGGTCCCATTGCAAAGTTGAAAAATTGCAAGTCAGGTTCTCTCTGTAATTCAAATTATGAACAAGTCAATGACAGAAAACCATATGGTCTCAATAGATGTTAGGGAGGTACTTGACAAAACTTAACATCTATCCCTTCTAAAAAGAAAATCCCTTAGTAAAAGGATTGAAAGGTGTTTTCCATCTTAACATAGTCAAAGGTGTGTTGCAAATTAATAGTCAACATCATTTATGACAGTGAAACCCTAGAAACATTTAAGCTTCCCAAATAAGGTTGTTGGCAACACCATTAAAAATGTTCTGTTCTTTTTTTTTTTGGATGTGCGATACTTTACTTGGCACTAAAAAGTAAATACTAAATGACAAGAGAAAGCAAAATTGTTATTTGAAGATATTATATGATTAGAAAAACAAAGGTCAACAGACAAATGGTTAGAAGCAATTTAATAAAAGTGCTTGTTCACAAATTCAGTGTACAAACTTCAGTAGCTTTTGTATATATTAACCATTTATAATCAACAACAAAGAAGACCTCATTCACAATCACAAGCCCAAAAACTTGAAATAAACTTGATAAGTACATGATTTATATGAAGAAAACCATAAAACTTTAAAGAGGATCTTTAAAAAGTTTGAAAACATGAAGTCATACTTTGTTTTAACATAAGAATAGCTAACTTTGTAAAATGCCATGTTTCTTTGCTCTGTAAATTAAATGTCATCTCAGTCCAAATTGTGGATTTTTCTTTTTTTTAACTTGACACTCTGATATCCACGGTAATTGGAGCAATGGAAGTCTTGGATTTGCTGCAGTGTGTTTTGCATAGTTGAAGGACTGGGGAATTGGGGGAGAGCTGAGTCTGGAATCAGGAACCCACTGTTGCCTAAAGTGGCTCACTCCTTATGAGCAATACCACCCCACTTAACTGATCTGAAGTTTTCCACTTGGGATATGTTCCTTTTCTGGAAGACTTGTGACTTCTGCCCCCAAGCTGTGCACAGGAGGACTCACTGTCATCAGATGCTGTGGTTACACAAAATATTTTTTTCTACAATTGATTTTCTTCACATAAATCGTGTACTTGTCAAGTCTTTGGAGGTTGGGTTGCCTTACTGTAGTGTCATAGCCAGTCACAGACCTGGCAGCAGTGCATTGTAACTCTGAAAGCCCTTCAGTGGCTGCCACCAGAAGGTCTCTCTCCTGCATACTCCTTTGGCCACTATACAGGTCTTCCAATTTAACCTACACTATATTTTTACTGGCCTTTTTTCCAGTGCTTTGAATAAGGTACGTTTTTCCCCACCCCAGAACCTTTACATATTCTGTTCCCTCTGCCTAGACCAATTTCTAACCATGCTCTGCTCCTCCAGTCCCCACTACACACACCCACACCCCCACACCCCCGGTCAACTCTAATTCACCTTTCAGGTCTCAGATTCAGTAATATTTCTTCAAAGAGACTTTTTAAAATTTTTCAGAATTGATTAGGTCCCCTTGTTATGCCCATTATTTCAGATTGTATGCTTTTTTTCCCACAGCACTTAGGTGTAATCATGTATTTTATGCAGTTTCTTTATAGTCTGTCACTCCCATTGAAGGACACAGACTGTGTCTCTTTAGTTCACTATCGTATATCTAACACCTGTAATTGTATGTGCCACATAGTAGACATTCGTTAAATATTTTTTAGTGAATTAATGTGCAGTGATTTTAAGCAAGTATTAGTTGAATAACGTTTTACATGTTTAATGATGCTGCATACGCATTTTCCGATAGTGTCTACCACGGTTTATCACAGAGGCCAGTGTGGGCTCTCACATGTAATAAAGCTAATCTGAAGTTAATTTGCAAAAAAAAAAAAAAATTGTGCATTGTGAGAAAATTTTAGAAAACAAACACTAGTGGAGACTTGCCTTTACATGTCACAAACTTATGCTAAAGCTGTAATTGTTAAATCAGTATAATACTGACCCAGGACTAGACAGAAAATGAAATAAAGTCTAGAAGTAAGCCCAAGTACATATGGGGGTTTAGTGTGTGTTCAATGTATTTCATTTTAAAGTAGTGTAAAATAGATGGTTGGTTATCAGCCTGCAAGTTGGCTCCCAGTGATCATTGCCTTGTAGTATTCTTATCCGTGTATAGACTCTCCTTACATGTGTAGGGCTGACCTGTGTAACCAGTAGGATAGAATGAAGAGGATAGTGTGTGACTTCCAAGGGTAAATCATACAAGACATTGTAACCTCTGTCTTGTGCTCCCTTGCATCATTTGCTCTTGGGGGAGCTGGCTACCTTTCGTGAGGACACTCAAGCAACTCTGTGGAGAAGTCCTTGTGGAGAGGAACTGAGGCCTTGGTCAACCGCCACCATCAACTTGCCTGCCATGTGGGTGAGCCATCTGGGAAGTGGATCCTCCAGCCCCAGGGAAGCCTTCAGATGACGGCAGCTCTGGGAGGCATCTTGCCTGCAACCTCATGTGGATACAGCTAAACCAGAGCCACAGAACTAAGCTGCTCCTGAATTTCTGACTCACAGAAATGGTGTGAGAAAATGCTGATTGCTGTTTTAAGCCATGAAGTTTTGGGGTAATTCATATACAGCAATAAGTAACTGATCAGATGGATTATTCAGTCAGTGGTGTGGGGATAGCCAGCTAGAATTGGGGAAAAAATAAGTTGGATTCTTACTGAATTCTGCATCAAGAAAATTCCAGATGTGCTGGGCATGGTAGCTTATGCCTGCAATCCTAGTGCTTTGGGAGGCTGAGGTAGGAGGATTGCTTGGGCCCAGGAGTTTGAGGCTGCAGTGAGCCATGATCATGCCTCTGCACTCCAGCCCGGGTGACAGAGTGAGACCCTGCCTTGGGGGAAAAAAAGAAAATCTCAGATGGATCAAATATTTAAATGTAAAAATGGAACCGTTAATTTATTATAAGCCTGAAAAATTTTAAACTTTTGGGGTGGAGAAGGATTTCCTAACTATGAATATGCAATCCCCAAGCCATAAATTAAAATAACAAACCTTATAAACAGGGTGAAAGATAAACCACCAATTAGGAAGATTTGAGCAACCTGTATTACAAAAGGCAGTGTCTCGGAGAACTCTTAAAAATCAGTAAGAAGACTCTATAAATGGGATGGCTGAGGACACGAACAGGCAATTCACAAAGTAGAAATAAATGTATGAACAGATATTAGCCAAGAAATATAATTTAGAACAATGAGAGGTCACATTGTATTTACCAGATTCACAGAGGTGAAAAAGACCGACAAGGTTAAAGAGATTCCTTGATTGGCAGGAAGATTATACGGTGTGGGTGGGGACACAGATTTGTCTGACTTTTCTGGAGGGCAGTCTAGTAACATGTCTCAAAATGCAAATACCAAATGAGTGCACATTGATTCAGCTATTGTGTAAATTTATGCTAAGGTAATCGGACACACACAGAAAGATGTGTATACTGTTAAAAAAAAATCCCGAATTTCAAAAATGTCAAATTTTCTTCCTTTTTCTTTTCTTTCTTTTTTTCCTCTATTTCCCCTTCTATTGTCTCTCTTTCCAGTTCCTCTTGGACTTTCCTGGATCTGTCTCCACTTCTCAACATTGTACTCATACCTTTTAAATCTTGGTTTCTTCTCAATATTAGTAATTTCTTTAATTTTAACTTCCTTGTTGCCAACTCTCTATTCTGAAATCGATTCTAACATTCAGCCCTGCTTCGAAAAGTTTATTTTGGCAATTACTTTTGCAAAACTAATTTCTGATAAATTTTTTCTTTTAGGATTCTGTTCTGTAGTGGGTGTATAGCTGTTCAATCTCTCTGAGGATATGAATTAGAGTTTTAAAAACTTGCCTTAGACACGTTGATTGTGGCTGTTTCTCCCAGGGTTTGTGGCTGTGTGTCTTCATCTTGCTCCTTCCCTCCCATGCTTTAAGATCTTCAAGTCCTGATGGTCCTCAGCTAAATATCCATGTTTAACGATAAAGGACTAGGTTAATTAATACTGCAGCTGCCGCAGGTTTTCTCTGTAGTTGTGTGGACATTCCAGCTGCCCCCTGCGCTAAATGGAGGATGGACTGCAGGCTCTGGAATGTGGTCAGGTTGCTTGGCAAGCTTCCCCGTGGGGTGCTGTTTGGGTGGGGAAAGCTGGGTTCCCCCCACACTGCTATCATAAGCAGTACTTGGTCAGGAGGTGCAGCAGTGTACCCTGTCAGGCAGAGCTGCTGCTTTTCATCCCACGACTCCCCGTCTCTGTGTCTGTTGTAACAGTTCTGAGTTCCCTTTGTTCTCTCTCAAGCCCTAATGTCCACACCTGAAGCTCTCCACAGAGAACTCATCCATGTTGGGTTCCTTTTTCACTGCCACACACAGGGCAGGGGGCTGTGTGTGGGGGTGCTTCCTAGCCACGCTGTTCCAAACTATATTTTTATTTTATCATTTATTTATTATATATTTATTTTTGGAGACAGAGTCTCACTCTGTTGCCCAGGCTGGAGTGCAGTGGCACGATCTCGGCTCACTGCAACCTCCGCCTCCTGGGCTCAAGCAATTCTCCTGCGTCAGCCTCCCGAGTAGCTGGGATTACAGGTGCACGCCACCATGCCCAGCTAATTTTTGTATTTTAGTAAAGATGGGGGTTTCACCATGTTGGCCAGGCTGGTCTTGAACTCCTGGGCTCAAGTGATCCGCCTGCCTCGGCTTCCCAAAGTGCTGGGATTACAGGCATGAACCACTGCGCCGGCCCCCAAACTCTATTTTTAAATCAACTTCTTGTTGAGCCACTCTTGCCTGTATTTGTTGGCTCTGAGCTTCTCTTGGATCCCTTGAGAACTGCTCTCAGTCATCTTTCGGGGGCTACAATTAACATTGTTCTGTCTTCCAAGAGTCCCTCATAGTTTTGGTCTCACATATTTTGTGTTTTCTAGGCATTCCATAAAATATATGGTCTGCTGATGGCACTGGTTTTTTGTCTTGCAGGATTCTTTAATTCTACTTAAAAACAAAAGTCCTTGTTAGTTCATAAGACCTTGGGTGGGACGGGAGGTAGACATTTGTGCTCAGATGACCTGTTCTTTTTTCTGTGGGTGTTATCACTTGCGTTTCTTCGAGCATATTCACTTTGACATTTTCTTCTGCTTACTGTATCAGCCATGTACCCAGGGGTCAGGAGTGTACACATACACATGAGGAAACCTTGAGGTCGGGCAGGGATTTGGATCCAGGCTGTGACTCCAAAGCCTGCCCTCTTAACCTCTCTGCTGTCTCTTCTGTTTGTGCAGTGGGGGGCCCTCTTTCATGCTGTTTGTTTACTTCAAAGGCTTGGTGTTTCTTGTATTTCTGTTCACATTTGTAGGTAAGGATCTGCAACTCAGCGTTGCGTGAAGGTTCTCACGCAGGAGCTCAGCTTCAGGTGACTTTGCAGGGGAAGGGCAGGGAGCATATAGCGGGGCAGGGTATTCACTCTGCTGCCCTGCTCGCTGGGGGGCCGGCGGGGTGGGCTTCTGCTCCACGGAGTTGGTCACTTTGTCGGCTCTGCTGTCTTCCTTGTTAGGACCTCTCATCGGAGAGTTGCATGCATGCTCACCGACCTCCCACCCCTTCCCCGGAGCAGACCCCTGAGTCAGACAGTTCAAACGAGGACTTGCTCAGCTCTTCCAGCTTCTCGTTAATTACTTGGCCAATTATCTATGGCCTGCTTCTCCTGGCCTGTGCTGCACTGATAATGGGATTATGCTGAGCTTCTGCTGAGGAAACTTTTCAACTGACATGGGTTCCTTCTATTTCTTTAGATTTGCCATCATTGGTCCCGTCACTTTTCTAGAAATTTAATCTGTTCCACAACTCTTTATTGTGCGGGGCAATGTGCTGGGCATTAGAAAATAATGGTGAAGAGAAGACCTGTCACGATGGAGCTTATGTATGGTCTTGTTGGGGAGACAGGCATTAAACAATTAATTTGCACACACGTAGTTCTTGTTCTGTGAGGAGAAGTTGCCCTGCGCTGAGGGGGCATATGAAAAGGCTAACTTACTGGGAGAGGGGTTGCCATGGAAGTCCACCTGGAGCACGTGTGACAATTGACCTGAGATTCCAAGGAAGAAAAGGAGTGACTCAGTGACCGGGAATGGGGATAAGAGTGTTCCAAGCTTTGGAAACAGGATGGGGAAAGACCTTTATTCGTAGATGGAGGGGAACGGGGTCTGCCAGCATCACTCCTCAAGGACATTTACTATTGCTGTGGTTCATTTTCATTCTGTATTTTTCTTCTGTTTAATGGGATTTGGGAGGAAGAAAAAGATGAACTTGGTTTTGATCCAAGTAACCTCAGAGAATAATGACGTGGGAGCATTTTACAATGCAAACAATAAATGGAAAAGCATGAATTTATGTACTGTATGTGAAATATATAGACACATACATACATATAGGCTGAACATCCCAAATCCGAAATTTGCAATGTTCCAAAATCCAAAACTTCTTGAGCCACCTACATGATGCTCAAACTGAGTGCTCATTGGAGCATTTCAGATTTCGTATTTTTCTATTTGGGATGCTCAGCTAGTTGATATGAGGCAGATATTCCCAAATCTGAAAAAGATTCAAAACCTAATCCAAAAATCCAAAGGCTCTCTGGTCCTGAACCTTTCAGATAAGGGATTTTCAACCTGTATTTAATATTGGGAAGCAATATACCAATACCAAAAACGTTGTCTGTGAGAGGTGAGATGACAAATGATTTTTATTACCTTTTTAAAACTCCTAATTTGAATTTCAACTTTTCTATGACTGTGGATTGTTTTTATAATCAGAAAAAAAGTTCCTAAAATGATGTTTATCTTATGGTTTGGCTTATGTAAATGCAGAGTTTGTCACTAGGTCAATATCCGCAACATTATAAAGATGTTACTGTGTACTTACTGGAAATGGCCTGTGATTGGTGACAAAGCTGACTTACACAAAGGAGAACATTATCCTTAGGAATTCTTGCTAGTATCTCATAATGTAATTGTTTTAACGTTGTTAAATGGTTCACAGTGATCAGAGACTTAAAATCTTTGTCTCCTACACAGCGTTTTAAGAGTTACAGAAAAGCTATCATTTTGAGCTACCTTGAGACTGAAGTGTCTGCAGAATAGCACTTACATATTCAGGCTGACAATATGTGTTTGAGGAATTGGCGGTTCAGTTTGGCCAACTTTGGTGTTGTAACACTTGAGATTGTATTAAGCTGCAAGTAACAAATTCAGATGAACAGTTGCTTAACCAAGTAACTTAAAGGCACAAGCTTTAAGCTTTTAACGTTTTCAAGTTCAGGTCATGTAGGGGAGCTATGTCATTAAGGAGACTGACTCTTTCTGTCTTCTTGATTTACTGTAGAGTACGGCTTTTGACCTCATCATAACAGAGTGGCTGCTGCCCCTCTAGAAACTCCATCTGTGATTCAGGCGAAAGGGAAGGGCCTGCTAGTTGGCTTGTCCTTTTTATTTTTTATCAGAAAAATAGTAGCTTTCAAAGAAACCACCCCCATTAGACTTCCGTTTATATTTCAGTGACCAGAACTGTGAGAAAGCCGTCTTTAGCTGCAAGGAAACCTGAGAAATCAAGCTTTTGTGGTTATGTTTTTCAAACTGGAGCACATTGCTGTTCAAAACAAAATCAGAGTTCTGTTAATAAATAAGGAGAGAATGGATATTGGTAGGCAACTTGCTGTGTCAGCTGCAGGAGTTATGTGCTTAGAGGTGGTAATTGAAGTCAAGAGTGTGATTAACATTACTCAGGGGGAGTATACAGAGTAAGAAGAGAATCCATGAAGGGACTGAAAGGAAGTTTAGTGTTGAAGAGACTGGCAGAAGAATAGGTATTCTCAAAGGGAACCAAGAACGAGGGGCAAGTGGGAGGAGGTGGTCACCTGGAGGGTGTGGACCAGTGGTACACAGGTTAGGAGAGGGGGAAGGGCAGAGTTTACATTGCCCGTATGCTGGCGAGTGAAGTCCACTAGGAACTGAGACATGAACTTGAGGCT
This sequence comes from Homo sapiens, assembly GCF_000001405.40. Classification (NCBI taxonomy): domain Eukaryota; kingdom Metazoa; phylum Chordata; class Mammalia; order Primates; family Hominidae; genus Homo; species Homo sapiens. The sequence goes on from NC_000007.14 coordinate 3,381,358, forward strand.
TAGCAAAAGAGAGCGACTTAGAGAAAGAGCACCCGCACTGGTGACTGTGGGCTGCATGGTGAAGGGGGGCAAAGCAGTGACAGCGGGAGTGAGCCCCTCTCAAAAACTGATGCCAACTACGCAGGACAGAGAGGGGGCGGGGAAGGGGGAGTGACCTGAGGGAGACTGGGGCTCAAGAAAAGCCTTTTTGTGTTGGTTGTTTTAAAGGCTGGCGATACTGTAGCATGCTTAGTTCTAAGGAGAGGAAGGGCCATTAAAGACGTTTGAGAAGGATCCTAGAAGGATTGTATTTTCCAACGGAGGTGGAAGGGGTTGAGATCCACAGCCCAGGGGATATGCTTTGAAGGAAGGAGAAAAGCACCTCTCCTTCCCTAAAAGAAGGCAGGAAAGGTGTGTGGACAGAAATTCTAGAGAGCATGAAATGCGGGTAATTGGGCTGCAATAAGAATCCAGTCATGGTTAGAGAACCTGAATTTAATTAAGGTCAGTGTATGTCTGTAGAGTGCCATTATCTTACATAGAAATTATTTTTGAAAATTTTAGTTGACATTTTTGAATGATACCTACTAGTACTACAGATAATAGAAGCATAAATATGCACAAAAGCAGTTAAAACTTAACCGTTCGTCTTAAAGTAATTTATAACTAATACTTATTGATGCCCTACTCTGTCTCAGTCAAAAAGCTAAACACCTTCCCTATGCACAAGAAAAACCTATGCAGTAGGCGTTACTAGTTGTCCTCATTTTATTTTTATTTTTTATTTTTTTTCAAACTTAAACATTTTTTTTTGTGTAGAGACAGGGTCTACCTTTGTTTCCCAGGCTGGTCTCCAACTCCTGGGCTCAAGTGATCCTCCCGCCTCTGCCTCCCAAAGTGCTGGGATTACAGGCATGAACCATAGCACCCACCCTTTATCCCCATTTTAAAGATGACAAAACCTAGGCTCAAAGAACTTAACATGTTCTAGATCACGTGGCTAGTAAGTGGTGACACCAGAATTTGAACCACGTATCTGACTCCAGAGTGGTGGTGCCAGCTGCTGTTCTGTGGATTGAGCCATATGAAATTGACTATTTAGCAAGAGAAATATAAAACATCGGCATTTTTATATGTCTCTACCTAATACACTTCCTCACCTCAATCATTGCCAAGGTCAGTGGACTGCTTACTTGGTGCCAGGCATTGCCCTAAGTGTTTTGATTGCCATAATCTGTTGTAATATTTTGAAATATTTGCAGTCTTAATTGTCCTGATTTAAAAAATCATGTTTTTGAATATGATAATATACTTTAAATGAGTATGTTTGATTAGCGATGTTGCTTTTTCCTATGTTGGCAAAATTATATTTTGAGGAAACGATTAGAAATATTGGCAAAACATAGAGAAAAATCATTACACATCTAGTGTCTCACAACATGAATAGTTTTTTGGGGCATTTTTCACAACATCTGATTCATTGAGTGGTAGTCCCCCAAGAGATACCTGTGAATTGGTTTTTAATTCAGTAGATTTCTGTTTTATTGTATATTTGTTGACTTGTGATCAACATATATTCTCTTCTATTTTTGAAGCTTATTTTGGGTAAAAAGAAAGATTACCTTTCTATCTTCTCACTTTATCCCCAACTTATGAATACCATAGGTATCAACCAGTGATATTACTAGCAAATCACCCACTCTCCCACTTTACTAATAAAATGTTGTCTTGAATTCTTGCATTTCCGCTAAAAAAAATCCCATTCAAAATTATGAATTTAGAAATGGGATGAAAGCTGAGTGCAGTGGCTCAGGCCTATAATCCTGGCAATTTGAAAGGCTGAGGTGGGGGGATCAATTGAGCCAAGAATGTGAGACCAGCCTGGGCAATAGTGAGACCCTGTCACTACCAAAACATAACAAAAATTAGCCTGGTGTGGTGGCATGTGCCTGTGGTTCCAGCTACTAGGGAGACTGAGATGGAAGGATCACTTGAGCCCCAGAGGTTAAGATTGCAGTGAATTATGATTGTGCCACTGCACTCCAGCCTGGGTGACAGCGAGACCCTGTTTCTATTAAAAAAACACATGGGGTGATTTCCCTCTCCCCAGTTTGGAAGTCTTCAATAAAAGGATAAAAAGATGTGAAGCGGTTTTAGCCATCTCTTTTTGGCCTCCATGTAATCAGATTTTGTGCTTATTTGAGACACTTAAAAAGTATCTGGCTAATTGTGCTCTCTGTTTTGAGGACCTGATCTTAAACTGGATGGTCTTGATATTTTCGTGTAACTTTTAGTTCAGGTACAAGAATTCTTTAAAGAGGCATGGACAATTAATTACACGACTGAGAAAAATAATTTCCCCCAAGTTAATTGCACAAATTACTGTAGCCCTAAAAGGTTAATGATTATCAAACATCTTTGATGCATAGAGCCTATTAAATGCCAGTATCATTTGAATAATTTAACTAGAGTAGTCCTTTCACAAATGGGTCTCATCCAAAGGACAACAGTAAATAGTGCCTTTAAAAATATTTTCTCTTTAGAGAAACGTGTTCAAACCCTTCAGCTGGAGTCAATCTTATGGGTCACAACACATTCTTACATTTCAGAATATAAGACATTAAAACATTTTATATTTTAAATGATTTAGATCATTTATTATCCTTATAGAACTACTGAGGTTTTACTTGAAGCTTGTAAGTTAAATTTTTGTATTTTATACAGAGTTAGCTTAGGCCGTGATTAGGTAGAAATAATGGGCAGTTATCACTGTATTTATTTGAAATGAAACTTCTTTTACAGCTATTCATGGAAGAAAACTTTAATATTGTATTAAAGCTTTTATTTTATCTTTAAATGCCAACTTTATTATGTATTTCTTAAAATTGATCTTCCAGTATTTTTTATGTATACTTTTTAGTGCTTTATAGTTATTAGCAGGTTCCACAGTAGTAACTGAAATATACTCTGATTTTCATTTTTATTTTATAAAACTTTGATTTTTAATAACATATGCTGAAGGACACTCTGAAGAGTACTAATTTTTTTCAGGGATGCTTTTCCAAAAAGGATTCTGTGGTTCAATAAACTTGGGAAAGACTGCGTCCTATATGCTTTTAGAAGAGTCACAGTGTATACTCACATACTGAAGGATTTGAGAAATGCTAGAGCAAATAAATCTAACGTTGTCTAACCCAGTGTTTCCCAAGCTTGTCTGAAGACAGACATTTCCACTCTTGTTTTACATCATACCCTCGAACATCGAAGGACTTCGCTGATTTGTGTTCTACACAACCGTCTTGAGATACGCTGTTAGATTAGCTGTAGCTTCCCTTGCCACATCGCGAATTTCCAGCATTCAAATGCAGCAGGCATGTTTATCTGCTGCACTTACACCTACGTGTACATATGTATATAAATATACCAGTATACATCAATATGTACATTTGAAGCGTATATGCACACTTACATAGGTACACACATATATGTATGCTTGTATTTTTATTTTACTTACTGCAGTACCCGTAGTATATAGCAGATAGTGAAATCAGAAAATAATTGTTGAGTAAATGGATGAGAGAGTTTCACCAGTCTGTGGCATACGCCCTGCTGCCTTCTTCAGGATGCAGAAAACCCTGTCCCCTGGCTTAAAGTGTGACATTCTGGAGAAAGTAGATGTGCTCTCTCTAGAGACACCTGAAACATCAAACACAAACAGTTTGTCAGTACTGTTTCAATATTAAGTCTGTCAGAGGGAAAAGACCCTGAATTTTGGGTCAGGAGACCTGGGTTCAGGTATGGATTCTACCACTTTCCACTCACGTCATCTTAGGCAAGTTATGGGCTTTTTCTGAGCCTCAGTTTTTCTCCTCTATGAATTGATAATACCTTGTAAGACTGTTGAAATATCTATAGAAGACATCAAAAACTTATTTTTAACCAATTGGAAGGTACGCTGTGAATGTATTATCCTGATACAGGTGAAAGCTTTATTAAAAAACAAATGTAACTTAACATTTCCATTTCATATATATAGGGGAAGAAAATTCCCATTTTTTGGTGAAGATACTAATTTTCATAAGTAATGAACATAAAAAAATATATTTTTTTACTGTTAGCAGACAATAATTTTTTTTCTACTGTTTAAAAACTTCCATCCTTTTTTTCTAATAAAAAAACTCCAGAATCTTCCTGGATTAGCCTCAGACCCATCGCACCTGCTGGTCTCTCTGCCTGGAATCTTCTTTAAAACAAGGTGACTTGCCATTTCTTTCCATCTTATTTCAGCTCTCAGTCAACCTCTCACTTCCCTGCCCACCAAAATACAGCCCCCGTATGTATCTCTTTATCCCTTTACCTACTTTATTTTCCTTTATAATTCTTATCAGACATTTTATTGCACATATCATTAGTGAGGTGAGATGGAGATCATATTTTGTGGCGATTAGTAAGGGATTGTAATATCTCTCAATAACAAAATTGCTTTAGACCAAATTTTTGTTTGCTTATATGATTTTTACACCCATTATTTCAGCACTTTAATGACTCTGTCAGATGTATAGGTTAGTTAGTAGTCATACTTCTGTAAAATTCTCTAGTAGAATCAAAATACATGTGCTCTCCCTTTCCTCTGCATGGATTTTTTTTTTCCACATGAGGGAAGCTGTGGTAAATAATGTTATAGATTTTCACTCGTTAGTAATATTACTCAAATAAACGATGGGAAAATGTTTCTCTTGACAGGATTGAGTAGGTAGACATAGGAATTCATGGAACCACTTATGTTAAAATTGATAACTTTAAAAAAAATTGGATAGCAGAAATAAGACTTGTTTTATGTATTAGCATCCAGCCAAATTATCATAACTGATTGTGTAGTGTAAGGTTAGTGATACAAAGATGTGCAAGATTTGGTTTTATACTTTATCTATTAGAAGTTTGGGTTTGGTGATACTTTTAATACCATGCAGATTGCAGTTTTAGCTATCATGAATTTCTGAATATTTTATGTAAAACAAAGATGTTGCCTTTAAAAGAGTTAAAGTTGAAGTTTTTTAGGCTAGAATGTGATTTAGCTTTATATAGCTTTTTGTCAGACTCTTGGAATCATTTCAAAACACACTCATATTTTGTTTAGAGTTAACAGAGCTGTCTAGAAGTAATTTCTAGTTTCTCCTAGGCTACTCATGATGTTTGAATTATTTTCCGTATTCTCTGCTGAGAGATTCTTGTGGAAGTAGACTTTCTGAGCTTCTATAAACATTTTCCTTCTGGAACTATGCCCAGTCCACCTGTTCACCATTTACAGGGAAATGCTGCTTTCCTAATGAAAATCAAGCCCAGATTTTCCAGTTCAGCTTCTGTAGGTAGGGAGTGCAGCTGTACTGGGCAGCCTCCAGTGAGTCCCGGGGACTTGACTTCTTGCAGGTTTTCTGCTGATGGCAGCTGCTATCACCATGTTTATCTTTTGGGGGACTGGATGCTGCTCCTTCTTCAACGTTTTGGCCCAAGAGTAGACAACATATGTCATAACTAACACAAGGCTGTCATGTTTAAAGACATCTTTACTGAATGCTGCAGAGGAATAAAGAGAGGAAAACCCAGAGAGCTCCATGAATCATGAATTCAGGCATTCTAACTTTAGAGCTATGGCACATTCATCTTCAGTTAGTTGAGATGGTTGCTTGCATGTAAGTGGCTTTTCACATTTCAAAAATGGTTTCCCAAGTGAGCATATGTTTACTCTTGGCTGACACGCCTCTGAACCAGCCCCAAGTTGGTGTGCATGGTGCTAGGGCATGATTTCAGGCCCGACTCATACCCCCAAGCTAGACACCTTTGTGCAGAGTACATCTATATGTGTACTAGGGATTGCCTACTGAGGTTTTTCCTAGTTCTCCCTTTACCTTCAGAAGGCATAGAGCACCTTTAATAGCCCTCCTGCCTTGGCCCTCATCCTCCCTCCCCACCAACCCCTGAATTCCTTTAGAGATTCCTCATCTCCTCAAAGTCCAGAGGTGGGCTGTCTTCTCCCACCTCCTTGTAGGAGCTCACCCTGATGAAGGTTATTTCATTTCTGAAGCTCTGTCTCCTTTTTGGCAACTGGCACCAGCAAGGATCAGATCCTTCTAAAACTGTCTCCTGTTTATAACAGAATCTGACACTTCCAACATCATGTAAGAGCTGCATATGCCAATCACAGTGGAGTTTTTAATCCTGTACCCAGGTCTGTTGTGAGGATAAATGGTAATTCCCATTGCATTTTTGTGTGTGATAAAGTATATTGCTTAAGAGAGTTCTGGGGATGTATAGTGGTGATGATTACACAACGATGTGAATGTATGTAGTATCACTGAACTGTACATTTAATGTTTAAGGTGGTAATCTTTTGTTACCTGTCTATTACCACAATAAAAATGGAAAAATATATTGCTTAATAAAATAATACTTGATAAAGTCCATGCAGTGTTTACTACATGTCAGTACCATTTTGAACATTGTACACGTTGCGGTTTACTTAATCCTCACAACAACCCTGTTAAGTAGCTAATATTATAATCCTTATTTGACACATGAGAAAAATGTGCTACATAGAAGTTACATAATTTGCTATTAAGTGAGAGAACGAGATTCAAACCAAAGTTGTTTAGCTCCATAGCTCATGCTGTCAACCACTATGTTAATACAAATCTGCATTGTCCTAATTTTATTCTATATTTATGTTCAGATAGAAGGCACTCTGGGAATCTGGAGACTGGGGTTCTCAGTTCTGGCTCTGTGACTGCACCACATTTGTGACTGTGACCAGAGTAGCTTCTCTAGTCTTCAGTTATTTTAGTTATAAAATGAGATGGGATAAGGTTCACTGTTAAATTTCTATTTATAAATGCTGTGGATGTGTATATATTTTTATGTATGTAAAGTTCTGAGGTTGAATAAGCCTTATTTTCTCTGTGGTCTAAACCATACCTATGGAATCTCATCTGTCAAACGCTATGTGATTGAAGATTAAAAAAAAAATCTCATCTGTCAAACGCTATGTGATTGAAGATTAAAAAAAAAAAAGGAAAATTTTATTTGAAGAGACTGGGTCTCATTTTGTTGCCCAGACTTGAGTGCAGTGGCAAGATCATAGCTCATTGTATTCTCAAACTCCTAGGCTCAAGCGATCCCCCCATCTTAGCTTCCCAAAGAATTGTTATTAAATCTCATTTAGAAAAGTTGAATTTCTCAAATATTAACTTTGATGATATAATACTCACCACATAAGTAGTAGTTGTGTGTACTTTCTAGTTTGAAACGTATAAGCTGTTTCGTGCATTAGTGGAGATGAGATATTAAAAATTATTCCTTGACATTTTTAAGAGTTGATAAAGGGAGAATTTTATAAAGTATGATATATGTAACTATATTATATTATGGGATGCAATTTTAAATGAGATTTCTGTCACACTAAGTCAACGTGTGTTTATCGAGTACCTACTGTGTCAGGCACATGCTTGATGCTAGAGTATACAGATGATAAAGAGAAGGTGGCCTGCCCAAATGGAGTTTACATTCCAGTGGGAAAGCTGGTAATCAACAAGTAAACAAATGAGAGAATACAATTAATAGCAGCCGTGATACCTGCTGGAAAGGAAATAGCATTATCCTGTGATACAGAATCACTGATGGGGTCAACTTTTTGGTAGCGTAGTTTGGAAAGGCCTCTCAGGAAATGACATTTTAAGTAAAAGCTGACAGAAGGACCACAAGGAATGAGTGGTGGGAGGAATAAGGGCAGATGTAAAGGAGTGGGGGGAGAATAGCATTCTAGACAAATGTGGAAGGCTAAATAATGTTACCCCAATGATGTCCAGGTTCTAATTCCTAGAACCAGTGAATGTTACCTTCAGTGATAAAATGAGACTACAGATATGATTAAGTTAAAGATTTTGAGATGGAGAGATTATCCTGGATTATCTGGGTGGGCTCCAAATACAATTACAAGTGACCTTATAAGAGAGAGGAAACAGGATATTTAACTAAAGAGAAGACAACTACGAGACATAAACAGAGCAAAGCAGAGTCAGAGAAAATGCTACACCTCTGGTATTGAAGTTGGAGGAATGGGCCATGAGCCAAGGACAAGGGAGTGTAGCTCTACCATCACCTTCACTGTCATTCCTTTAGACTCATATTTTGGACTTCTGGCCTCTAGGACTGTAAGATAATAAAGGTATGTTATTTTAAGCCATAGGTCTATTGTAGTTTGTTACAGCAGCAACAGAAAACTAATACAGGATAGGTGTGGTGGCTCAAGTCTGTAGTCCAAGCTACTCAGGAGGCTGAGGCAGGGGAATTGCTTGAGCCTGGGAGGTAGAGGGAGCAGTGAGCTGTGATCGTGCCACTGCACTCCACAGCCTGGGCAACAGAAATAAACAAAAACAAAAAACTAACGTGGAAGTTGGTACCTGGAGGTGGGGTGCTGTGGTAACAAATATCTGAAAATGTGGAAGCAGCTTTAGAAGTGGTGATTGAGTAGAGGCTTGAAAAATTTTGAGGTACATGATTAAAAAACCCCAGGTTGCCTTGAACAGACTGTTCAAGTGTTTAATGTAGATATTAAAGACTGCTGGTGAGGGCTTAGAAGGAAATGAGCTTGTTATTGGTAAGTGGGGGAAAGTGGATCATTGTTATATAGTGGCAGAAACTGTAGCTGAATTGTGTCTTAGAGCTCTACGGAAAGCAGAATTTGTAAGTGATGAAGTTGGCTATTTAGGAGGAGATTTCCAAGCAAATTGTTGAAGGTACTGCTTGGATTCTTCTTGCTGCTTATAGTAAAATGTGAGAAGAAATTCTAACTGTGGTCTGCAGCTTCAGCTTCATGCCGGAGGGTTCCAGGGTGCCCTTTCTGACAGCCTGCCCTACAAACTATACTTTGAATAGCAGGGTTGTAGAGAATCATATTTATTCATTTAGAATGTCAAATATATCTCTATAAAAGAGTTTAGCTTTGCTCATCAGCCTTTTAAATGTTTACCACTGACAGTGACTTCACTGATCTAATTACAGTTATCGAAGCCAATATTGTAAGAACTGTGCATCCTCTTATTGTGCACAATTGATCTGGAAGCATCTTTCCTATACCGAGTTAAATAGTGTCACCCCAGAAAAGTTATTTTCACCTATGAATGTGAGTTTATTTGGAAATTGGGCTTTTGCAGATGTAATTAAATAAGATGAGGTCATACAGGATTAGACCGGACTATAATCCAATGACTAGTATCCTTATATGATGAGGGGGCTTTGGACATAGGGACACATAGGGAGAGTGCCATGTGCAGATAGACGCAGATATTGGAGTTATGCTGCCGAAGTCAATAATGCCAAGTATTGTTGGAACCACCAGAAGCTAGGAGAGAGGTGGAACAAATTCTCCCTTTGAGCCCTCAGGAAGGAACCAAAGCTACTGAAACTTGATCTTGGACTTCTGGCCTCCAGAGCTGAGAGAATAAATATCTGTTGTTTTAGGACATTCAGTTTGTGGCATTTTGTTATGGTAGCCCTAGGAAATGAATATGTCTTCTGACAAGTAAAAGTAAAATAGTGGACTCTAACAAATTAATTTTTAAGCACCCAACAGAAAATGTCACTCTTCCACAGAGCCAATGTCTATACTATGGCTGTTTTCCAGTTTTGGAGTTCTGGAAGTTTGTTAGCTACCATTGCTCTTTGAGTAATTCTTAAACCTTTTATACCAGGTCACATTTAGAATAGAATATAAAAACCTTGGACACAAAATCAAAGTTCATACCAGATCAAGAGGGGACAAAAATGGACTAGAAGGAAGGTTACATAAAGTGGTACTATGTCTTCTGCAATTTGTTTGTTTTCTTGTAATATTTGCCCTGAGCTCACCAGCGAAATAATAGATAGACTCCATAGAAGTCAACTCTTAAAAATGACTTTTCTGTCATTCTTTACCTCCATCCTATCAAGCACACATGACCTTGGTTCCATTGTGCAGGACTTAGGAACACACTTTGAATGTAAGCAGTTTCTTCTAGCATTGCTGGAAGTAAAAGGATGCCTCATCTTAAGGAATAGAGTTGTTTCTGGAGGTCTTGCTTAAGCGTACATTTGGAAGTGATTTTTTTTTTCCTTTACGTTTTCTGTTGTAGAATAAAAAATTTCTTTCCACAAAGGAATTATTATACCCAAAATATGTTTAAAAACAATTTAAAAGTATATATATGTACAGTGGCACTGGCTTTCAGAGAAAAGAATAAAAGTATATACATGTATCCTGTTAACTGATTTTTTTTTTTTTTTTTTTGAGACAGGGTCTTGCTCTGTCTCCTGGGTTAGAGTGCAGTGGCATGATCATGGCTCACTGCAACCTCCGCTTGCCAGGTTTAAGTGATCCTCCTGTCTCAGCCTCCCGAGTAGCTGGTGTGTGCCATAATGCCTGGCTAATTTTTGTATTTTTTTGTAGAGGTGAGGTTTTGCTATGTTGCCCAGGCTGGTCTCAAACTCCTGAGCTCAAGCAATGCACCTGCGTTGCCCTCCCAAAGTGATGGGATCACAGGTGTCAACCGCCATGTTTGGCCAACAACTGAAATATTTTTAAAAGTATGTATATCATGTAATATATATATATATATATATATGCATGCTACCTAAGCTTAAATGCAACAAAGACCATACAAGGCTTTTATGGAGACAAATAAATGCACCTGTGTACCACATTCATGATAGAAAGTATTAGTATTATAAAGATGCCCATCATGTCCACATTAATCCATAAATTCAGTTCTAATCAGTAACTGAACGCTTAAAACCTTTGCATAACAGACATTTTCAAACTTTACAGAAGTAAAGAGAAAAGCATGATGAACCCCATGTACTCTAGCAAATTCCACTTGTGACCAATGATTTCTTAGAAATGTATCATTATTAACTTATGAGACTTTAAAATACACTTGAGGTATTTAATTCATGTCATTCGTTTTTATTGAAACTCAAATTGTCAAATCTTTGTCCAATTGTGGTGCCTTTAAGTTGGATCTTGTGACCTTTTGACATGACTCCATTAGTTTTCTTTTATATATACTTTTATGGTGGTAAAATATATATACACACATATAGCATAGAATTTGTCATTTTAACCATTTAAAAAGTGCAGTTCAGTGACATTCATTGTATTCAGTGTTGTATGGCCATCACCATTATTTATTTCCAAAACGTCTTTGTCATTTCAAACAGAAACTGCAACTTCTAAGCAATAATTTCCCATTTCTTCCTCCCTCCAACCCTGGTAACTTCTAATCTCCTTTTTGTCTTTATGAATTTGTCTACTCTAGGTATTTATGTAAAATCATACAACACATATCTTTTTTTACCTAACTTATTTAATAATTTTATTTTCATGATGTTTTCAAGATTCATTCATATTATAGCATGTAACAGAACTTAATTCCTTTTTTGGCTGAATAATAATATTCCAGTGTATGCGTATATCGCATTTCGTGTATTCATTCATTTGTTGATGGACACTTGGGTTGTTGCCTCCTTTTGGCTATTGCAAATATTGCTCATGATGAACATTGGCTTACAGGTATCTGTTTGAGTCCCTGTTTTAAATTTTTTTTTTTTTTTTTTTCTTTTTTGAGATGGAGTTTTGCTCTTGTTCCCCAGGCTGTAGTACAGTGGCGTGATCTCAGCTCACTGCAATCTCCGCCTCCTAGGTTCAAGCGATTGTCCTGTCTCAGTCTCCTGAGTAGCTGAGATTACAGGTGCCTGCCACCACGCCTGGCTAATTTTTTGTATTTTTAGTAGAGGTGGGGTTTCATCATGTTGGCCAGCCTGGTCTTGAACTCCTGACCTCAGGTGATCCACCTACCTCAGCCTCCCACAGTGCTGGGATTACAGGTATAAGCCACCACACCCGGCCCCTATTTTCAGTTCTTTTGGATGTATACCCAGGAGTGAAGTTGTTCAATCATATGATAATTCTGTGTTTAGCTTTATGAGGAAATGCCAAAATGTTTTTCACAGTGGCTGCACCATTATACTACTTAACAGAAATGTTTGAGAGTTCCAACTTTTTTACATTCTTGCCAACATGTTATTTTTAATTTTCCTTTCCTATAGCTATGTGAAGTGGTATCTGTACAGAAATGTTCATTGCAGCACAGTCAAGTGAAAAACAACTCAAGGGAATATCGGGAAAGAGTAGATAAAACTGGATTATTCGCAGATCAGAATACTACGTAGCAGTTAAAATGAATGGGCTACAAGTTAAAATGAATGTGATTCTGTTGCATTCTTCAGTACTTCAGTTACATTTTTCAACTCCAGAATTTCTGCTTGATTCTTTTTAATTATTTCAATCTCTGTTAAATTTATCTGATAGTATTCTGAATTTTTTCTCTGTGTTTTCTTGAATTTGAGTTTCTTCAAAACAGCTATTTTGAGTTCTTGAAAGGTCATGTATATCTGTTTCTTAAGGATTGTTCACTGTTGTCTTATTTAGTTCAGTTTGTGAGGTCGTGTTTTCCCGGATGGTCTTGATGCTTGTGGATGTTTGTCAGTATCTGAGCTTTAAAGAGTTAGGCATTTATTATAGTGTTCATCATTTGGGCTTATTTGTACCCATCCTTCTTGGGAAGGCTTTCCAGATATTCAAAAGGAGTTGGGTAAGCCATATCTGCATTAGGGGGCACCCTAAGGCCAGTAACACTGGTTCTTGCAGACTTCTATAGGTACTGTCTTGGTAGTCTTGGATAAGATCCAGAAGAACTCTCTGGATTACCAGACAGAGATATTGTTCTCCTCCTTTTCTCCCAAACACATGGAGTCAGTCTCTCCTCTACTTCTCCCCCGACCCTCATTTTGAGTTAACTTTGTGTAGGGTCTAAGATCATCTTTTTGCATGTGGATATCCAATTGTTCTGGTTTTATTTGGTGAACGTATTATCTATTCCCTAGTGTATTGCCTTGGCATGTTTGTTAAAAATCAGTGGATAATAAATATAAGAATTTATTGCTGGATTCGTAATTATGTGCCATTGATCAATGATTTTTATTAGTACTATAATGCTTTGATCACTGTACCTTTATATAAGATTTGAAATTTAGAAAAGACCTCCAGTTTTTTTTCAAAATTGTTTTGATTATTCTAAATGTTTTGCATTTTCATTTGCATTTTAGGACCTGCTTATCAATTTCTGTGGGAATAAGCCTCCTGGAATTTGATAGGGATTATTTTGAATGTATAGATCAATTTGGGGAGAATTGCCATTTTAACAATATTGAGTCTTTCGATCCATAAATATTGAATGTCTCATCATTTAAAAAAACTTGAATTTTCTTCAAAGCTTTATAATTTTTACAGTACAAGTCTTGTTCTTATGTTACCTTTATTTGTATGTACTTTTTTAATGCTATTGTGAATGTGTCTCTTAATTTTACTTCCAGATTGTTTATTGCTTATAGAAATATAATTGATTTTTATATATTGATCTTGTATTATATCCTGTGAACTAGATGTGCTTTTTAAAAATTAGTTCTAATAGTTTTTTTGTGGACTCTTTGGGGTTTTCTATATACAGGATCATGTCATCTTCAAACAAAGACAGTTTTACCACTTTCTTTACAAACCGAATGTCTTTTATTTGTTTTTCTTGGGTGGTTAGAGCTTCCAGTGCTGTGCTGAATAGAGGAGATGAGAGTGGACATCTGTGCCTTTTACCCTGTCTTAGAGGAAAAGAATTTGGTCTTTCACCAATATGTATTATATTCACTGTAGGTTTTTTGCACATGTTACCAGGTTCTATTCTAAGGTTGCTGAGACTTTTTATCTTGAATGCACATTGGATTTTGTCAAATGTTTTCTCTGTACCTGTTGAGATGTTCATTTGGTTTTTATTCTGTATTAATATGATGCATTACTTTAATTGATTTTTAGCTGTTAAAACCTCACATTTCTGGGGTAATTAAAAAAGATGGCTTATCATCTTTTTTTATATGTTGTTGAATTTGGTTCACTAATATTTTATTGAGGATTTTTGCATCTGTGTTTGTGAGAGATACTGGTTTGTAGTTTTCCTTTCTGGTAATAATTTGTCTCGCTTTGCTATCAGGGTGTTATTGCATCCCATAATGAGTGGGAATATTCTAGAATGAGATGTGAGTAATATTCTTAAATCTACTTCTTATACTTCTCGGAAGAATTTGTGGAGTATTAATATTATTTCCTCCTTCAGTGTTTGATGAAATTCCCCAGTGAAGGAATCTGAGCCTGGACTTTTCTTTGTGGGAACATATTTTAAAAGCTCATTTAATTTTTGTACTTGCTGTAGATGTATTGAGATTTTCTATTCCTTCTTTAGTCAGTTTTGGTCATTCGTGACTTTTTAGGAATTTGTCTATTTAAGTTGTTGAATTTGTTGGCGTAAAGTTGTTAATATTTCTTTGTCTTTCTAATCTGTGAGGGGTCAGTGGTAATCATCTCTCTTTCATTCCTGATTTTTGTGGTTTTCTTTCTCTCTCTCTTTGCCAAGGGTTTGCCAATTTTGTTTTTAAAGAACCACCTTTTAATTTTTCCTCTGTTGTTTTTCTGTTTTACATTTCTTTAATTTCTCCTGTCATCTTTATTTTCTTCATTCTGTTTTCCCTTGATATGGTTTAGTCTTCTGTTTTCTACATTTTAAAGGTGAATTCTTAGATTATTGATTTGAGATTTTTTTCTTTAATATAGGAATGTTAACACTATACGTTTTTTTCTAAGTCTTGTGTTAGCTGCATCTCATACACTTGGACATGAGTTGTATTTCTATTATTCAGATTAAAATACTTGCTCATTCCCCCTTGTAATTTTAAAAAAATTTTTCTTTGACCCGTATTTAGAAATAACTGCATTATTGTTGGTAAATATACTTTATACGATTTTAATCCTTTTAAATCTGCTAATGCTTTCTTTGTGGTCCAGCATATGACTTATCTTGGGTTCTATGGCAGCTTGAAAAGAATGATTATTTTGCTGCTGTTGTGTGGAGTGTGCTTTAGATGTGTGTTAAGGTAAGTTGATTGGCAGTGTTATAAGTCTTCTGTATTTTTGTTGATCTTCTGTCTACTTGTTCTATTCATTATTGAAAATTGAAATGTTCAACTATTGTTTCTCTTTAATTTTGTCAGTTTTAGTTTTATGTATTTTGGACCCCTGTTACTGCATACATATTTATAAATTGTTATCTTTACCTGCTGAATTACCCTCTTATTATAAAATTTCCTTTTCTTTCTAGTAACAATTTTTGTCTTTAAATTCATTTTGTCTGATATTAATATAGCTGTCCTCTGATTACTGTTTTCATGATATATCTTTTCCCATCCTTTTGTTTTCAACTGATCTGTATCTTTGTATCTAATGTGAATCTCTTCCAGACAGCATATGGTTGTCAAGTTTATTTTTCTCAGTCTATACTGTTAATCTGCACCTTTTGATTAGATGGTCTAATTCATTTATATTTATTTATATTTAATGTAATTATTAAGATTTAAGTATACCTTTTCATTATATGTTTTCTATAAATGTTATATATTTTTTGTTCCTTCATTCCTCCATGACTGCTTTCTTTTGTGTTAAATGGATTCTTTTCTTAAATGCATCATTCTTGTTGTTTCTTTTAGTATATATTTTGAGTTACTTTCTTAGTGGTTATCCTGGGGATCATAACAAATAACTTAAAATTCAGTTCAGGTTAATCCTGGCATAATTTCAAACATACACAGAATTTTTTCTCACTTGCATGCTTTTTTTGCCTTATAAATTATGTATTTATATGTTATAAGCCTATCAACAAAGTTTTATAATTATTGCTTTATACAGTTGCCTTTTAAAACAAATAGGAGAAAAGCGTTCTCAAAAACAATTATATTGTATTTTATATTTACCTATTTAATTGCCTTTATTGGTACTTTCAAATTTTTTTCATATGGATTTGAATTACTTCAGCTGGAAGTAATCCTTTAGTGTTTCTTGTAGAGCAATTCTGCTGGTGACAAATTCTCTCATTTTTTCTTTATATGGGAATATTTTAATTTTCGTTTTTGAAGGATAGTTTTGCTGGATATATAATTTTTGGTTCGTAGTCTTTTCTTTCCCCCCCCCAGCGCTTTGAATATGTCACATCAGTGCCTTCTGGTCTTTATGGTTTCTAACAAGAAGTCAGCTGTTAATCTTATAGAGGATTCCCTGTAATATGCAAGTCATTTTTTCTGTTGTTTTACAGATTCTGTCTTTGAACATTTTGTCTTAATGTGTGTTTGACTCTTTGAGTTACCCTATTTGGAGTTCATTGAACTTCTTGGATATGTAATTTAATGTTTCTCATCAAACTAGACATTTTTGGCTATCATTTCTGTTGTAGTGTTTTTGCGGTTTTTAAAAATTTGTTCTTAGGGTTTTTATCTCTGCTTACATTACCCACCTCTTCTTGCATGTTTTACACTTTTTTCCATTAGAGCTTTTGGCATATTAATCATAGTTATGAATTTCTGGTTTGATAATTACATAATCTCTGCCATATATGAGTCTGATTCTGATGCTTGCTTTGCCCCTTCAGATTGTGTGTTTTCTTGCCTTTCAGCATGCCTTGTAATTTTTTGTGGAAAGCCAGGCATGATGTACTGAGTAGCAGGAACTGAAGTAGTAAATAGGTCTTCAGTGTGAGGTTTTGTTTATCTGGCTTGTAGGTTTAACGTTTTCTATAACTGTAGGTTTAACGTTTTCTGTAACTGTAGGTTTTCTGTAGCTGTAGGTTTTTCTGTAACTGTAGGTTTCACAGGCTTTAGTTTCCCGTAGTATCCTTGCTTTTTTCTCCTTTATTTTCTTTGGGCTTCCCTAGAAATACCGCCTTAAGTAGAGTCTGTACCTTGCAGCTATTTTAGTTGTAATCCACTGTTGTTCTATTAGAGCCCTGTTGATGTAGTGATAAGGTGTTGCGGAGAGGAAACATTCTATAATCTTGTGATAAACCTCAGATTTGTTTAGTAGGCCTGAGTCCCTGGGCTGTGACCTTCAGAAGAGTTTCTTAGCATTTTTTTTTCTCCTCTTCTGTGAGACAGGGATGCTAGAGGGGACTGAGTTGTATAATCACCTTCCCCTAGGTCACATAAAGTTCTGACAAAGTAGTTTCCCTTGGGAGAAGGCCTTTATTATATAGAACAGAAGGCTCCGGGCATATTTCAAAATACTTTTCCCCAGATGCATTTTGGCATGCTTACTTTTCCCCTTGCCCTTGCTGAGCACATGATTTATTTATTATTTTATTTTTATTTTTATTTATTTATTTTTTTAACCTCCAGTCTTCACCAGGAGAACATAGTGGGACTTCTGGGGGTAAAACTTATGAAAGTGTATGGGTCCCCTAAGACTGAGCCCCCAGTAGTTTTTTTTTTTTTTTTTCCTCAAGCTAGTTTATACTCAGCCTCCAGCAAATAGTGAGTTACCACTTAAGTGTTCCTACAGTTATTTCCTCTAGTAGCGCTCCTCCTAGTAAGCTGTGATTTTGTGTCTCCAGTTTTCAGTGCAACTATTTGCCCTGAGACCTCAGTTCTCTGGTGTATCTAAGAATTGTCCATGTTCAAGTTTTCCACTATTTTTCATGTTGGGAGAGTGGGACTTCCGAGCTCTTTACATGTTGCAACAGAAACCAGCAGTATTATCTCTTCAGTTATTCTTTCTCTCTTCTTTTAGGACCCCAGTTATGTGTAACTTCATGCACTTGGGGATGTCCCAGAGGTGCCAGAGATTCTTTTCATTTTTTTTTCATAATTTATTCTTTTCCTCAGACCACATAATCTCAATGTATCTTTGAATTTGCTGGGTCTTTTTTCTGCTCATTTTTGTCAGCTGTGGACTCCTTACATGAATATTTCCTTTCAGTTATCATACCTTTCAATTCCAGAGTTTTAATTTTGTTCCTTTTTGTGATGTCTGTCTCTTTCTTGACATTTTTTATTTTGTGAGAGTTAAAGAATTAAAGGAAAGTATGAGCATGATGGTTTCCTTTAAAGTTTACGTCTTAAGTTCAACATCTAGGCTTCATCAGGGACAGCTTCTATTGACTCCTTTTCCTGTGTATGGTCTGTACATTCCTATATCTTTGCATGCTTCATATTTTGGTTAAACACTATAAATTTTAAATTATTTAATGTGTAAACTTTGGAAGTTCAAATTTGTTATCCCCCCAGAGTATCATCCTGTTGATAAGGCTGCTGTTACTTCGTATAGTGACTTCTCTGGACTAATCTCATAAAGTTTATTTTCTTCATTGTGTGGGGACACTGAAATCTCTGTTGGGTTTGATTAGTGGTCAGTTGATGATTGGACACAAATCCCTTTTACTAAGTCTCCCATCCTTCTGTGAGGGGCTCTGTATATGTGTTGTGTATGGCTCTTTCCTCGGCTTGTATATGGCCCGGTACATGTGTGTGGAGTTCCAGATACCCACTGTGGACATCTCATTTCACAGGTCTCCCATTTAAATTTTTGGCTGGACTCTTGGCTGCCCAACTGGTATGGCCGACTTAATAGCTGTGGTGTTAATCAATTGCAGCTGATTGTTTTTGACAAATGCCCTAGGGTAGAGGGCTTCTCCTGCTTGGTGAGCTCTGCATGACATCAAGTAATGATAATGCCTTGTGAATGGGGCTTCCCTGAGAGCTGTGAAGCAGGTCAGACAGTGACAGTGCTCCAGAGAGGGCGCTTTTGGGGAAGTCTGAACTGGGTCTGCTCCCTCTGGTGGCTACAGGACTACACATTTTCACATTGTTAGGGAGGCTGCTGGTTCTTAGCCTACTGTGAATGGAGCTTAGGAGAGAGGGATGGAGTAGACCAAGTTAAAATGCCATGAACCAAGCCTTTCTAGCCAAGATTCAGCAGCTTTCCTAAGATAATGCTTTAGATTGTTGTACAGCTTTGGTTAATTTTCAGAATTTTCAAAAAAGTTGATTTTGAAAATTGTGGCAGCATTTTCATTGTTTTTATGCATGGGAGCGTTTCCACAGATCTTCACTCCACCATTCTGAGAGTGCCCCCAACTTCGAATGGATGAATTTTTATAACAAGTGAAAAAGTAAGTCCCTGAAGGTTACATACAGCCTTTACCCATTTTATCAACTTAGAAACAATGAAAAGAACGTATGTACTTATAAATACATAAAAATATACACAGTATTTGTATTACACAAAAATAGATAAACATAAAACTATAAAAAGTAAAGTACAGGATTCTGGATAGTGGTTACCTCAGATGGTGGCAGACCAAAGGATGGGAGTGGGGGTTACCTAGAAATATATGTGTCATAATTAAGGTCCAGTTTTATTTTGTAGTTGGTGGGTTCATGGATTCTTATGGCGTAATTAAAAATATATACACAGGCAAAAACATTTTATGGTTGTGTTTGCCTTCATGTTAACACATGAGATGAGGAATCTATTATGCAACAGAGCTTTATAAAGGAGCTTCAACCTCAGTTTTCAAAGCCATTCTTACGGCCAGAGGAATTGCTTATGGAGCTTATCTCTACCCAGTCTCGTGTAGGTCTGCCTCAGCTGGCCGAACTCCAGTGTCAGGACAGGACAGTGATGATGAGAAGGGAAGGGACAGCAGCCAGTGCCAGTTCGAGATGAGTAGTCATCTAATACTGCCTCTGCGTGGGTCCCTGCTGCCATCCGCAGCCTCATAGCCCTCAGCTCCGTAATGTGTCCTGATGGATTTAGAAGATACATAGGGAGCTGTCATTGTGAGTCTGAAAAATATACAGATCACGCTTCACTTACTAAAATCCATACTTGATGATGTCAGCCACTTACACGAGCATTCAAGAGGTCTTCTAGAATAATCACATGACAAGATTTGGGGGAATACACAGAATTCCAATCAAGATGAGTTGAGCATAATATCATGGAGGCAGGATCAGAATGGAAAGGTAACTGATAACTTGGAAGTTTAAACAATTACAATTTTCCTGTTTACTGTGTGACAAGAGCATTATGGGGCCTTGAAAATGGCAGTGTCACCACTGGGTAATATATTTTATTCAAAGACTTTTTGAGAGAGAGCATCTGTAGAGTCAAATGGTACTTGCCAAACTATTCCATGTATGGAACCCATAGGACTTCATAATTTTATGGTTTGCTGGGGGAAAATAACAAGACCACTCATGGCCCAGGTGAGTCTTGAAGAGGCTGTGGCCACAATATACTGAGCCAGCCGTAGTTCACTGGATGGGAAGACCCAAGTTTGACTTCCAGATTTACTTCTTACTTGCACTTTGGGCAGTTACATTACTTCTCTGAGCCTTATTTTTTTTTTTTATTATGGAGATAATGCTACTGATGTGTAATAATTTTGTATCTACTAGTATTAGAATGTATGAATTACCCCTTAATTTTTCAAATACTTAAACTGTTAACATCTGAATCTTGGCCAAAATGAGCACAAATGGCATTTGTATAAATGCCTAGTTATTAAATGTTATCACTATTTAACTATCTGGATTTGAAGACCAGTGCATGGCGTTTGCTAGGAGTTTATATCATGTTCTTACGTATGTGTGTAGCTGTCTTTACTGCATCTGTCGATTAGGAGGTAAGAACACCTGCTGAATATGTACCTTGAGCTAGCTATTGTGGGAGATATAAAAGAAGCACAAAACTGGATCCTGTCCTCATGGAACTCAATCTGGTTTCTGAGGTTTAGCTTTTATGTGACTCACAGATAGAGCAATGTCACAGAAAATAATATGCGGAAAATAAATGCAAAAAGAACTTGAGAAAGCTTCATGTGGCTCAGTATCCTGCACTCAGTAGGATATGTGGAGGATATATATAAAATCTAATTGAGATTCTTAGGAAAGGCTTTAATGAAGACTGGAGAATGAATGATATCTGTTATAAAGGATGGTGAAGCTTGGCTATTCAGAGAGTAATGGAGGAGGTACTTCAGTAGTTTTTATTGTGTCTGCCCAAGAAATTCACTCGGAAGCACAATGTTTATTTCTGAAGAGGCAAAGACCAAGTTTTAGAAAATAAAGTTCTCCTAAATACTATTATAAAGTTTGAGTATTTCTATTATGATTTTATGACTTCCCATCTGTGGTAGGTGTTTTATTGAAATTATTTGAATGTTATCAAGCTGTGACAACAATGCTTTAAAGGTCATACACAAAGCACAATTAAATTTCCCAAGTGAAATAAGAATGTGCATTGTGAAAGGCAGAGAATTTCAAGTAGTTCAGTTTTGTTGTTGCTTTTTTTCATCTGGGCCATTTTTGAGGTGTTTAAATCAAAAAGTTGTTTTTCTTCTTGATTGCAGTTTTCCCTTAGTTATTTGTGTAGCTTAAAAATGGAAACCAATGTGTTTAAGTTGCAATATTTTTGAGTCTATTAGTTAATATAAACTTTATTCTACACTCAACAGTAGATTGCATTATAGCTATGTGGAATGTAAAGATTATTTTGCACTTATATAAATGTGATAGCTTCTGATTGATACAGATTTAATTATGCAAACTTTGGCTTATTATGAATTAGATGAAACATTTCTATTCCTCTGTTTCTTTCTTTCTTTCTTTTTTTGAGACAGAGTTTCACTCTGGAGTGCAGTGGTGCTATCTCGGCTCACTGCAACCTCTGCCTCCCGGGTTCAAGTGATTCTCCTGCCTCAGCCTTCCCAGTAGCTGGGATTACAGCTGCATGCCACCACACCCAGCTAATTTTGTATTTTTAGTAGAAACAGGGTTTCTCCGTGTTGATCAGGCTGGTCTTGAACTCCTGACCTCAGGTGATCTGCCCGCCTTAGCCTCCCAAAGTGTTGGGATTACAGGTGTGAGTCACCATGCCTGACCTATACTTCTGTTTCTTATGAGCTTACTTATTAGAAGATCTCTAAGATTCCTGTAATTTAAAATTTTGTAATTTCATTTCATTTTACCCATTTACATCATTAAAGTGATGAATGGTTGCTTCTTTCAAATGGTGGGAAATGAATTTTGGAGAATTGTTAGTTATTATTGCTCATTTAAGGTTATTTGAACGTTTTGACTATTTGATGGTGTTTTTTGTTTGATTTGTGATGCTGACTCATAAATACCATGAAAAACAGGTCTTTTTGTTCTAACCGAAAGAGGGATTATTTAGCAGCTTAATGACTTTGGTAAATAAAAGTTTATTTGCACCTATGAGAAAGATGACAGGTAATATCTAGATATCTGAGTAAAGAGTAAAGAGAGCACAAATACAATAAGATATGGAGACTCAGTATCCTATCAGCTTTTTGATGTAAAATGGTACAGTAGTTACTACCTAAGAGAATAGTCTATTTCCATGCTGGTTGCTCACTTGTGTGCTCTTCTGAAAGAGTGAGGGCACTGTGCGTCTGACTGGATACTGGGGTACTCTGTTTCCAAGCTGCATTACAGGGATTTGAAATATCTTACATATATATATATATATATATATATATATATATATATATATATATAATATATATATTTATTTATATTATATATATATTTATTTATTCCATATACAGGCATACCTTGGAGATATTGCAGGTTAGGGTCCAGACCATTGCAATAAAGTGAATCACACAAATTTTGTGGTTTCCCAGTGCATATAAAAGTTGTGTTTATGCTATTTTGTAGTCTGTTAAGTGAGCAATAGCATTATGGCTAACAAGAGTACATACCTTAATTAAACATTTTCTAAAAAATGCCTGCACAGAGACGTGAAGTGAGCTGATGCTATTGGAAAAATGGCATCAATAGACTTGCTGGACATGGGCTGCCACAAACCTCCAAAATTTGTAATTTTACAAATTAAAGCCCTCAATTTGAAAAACATAATATCTGTGAAGCACAAGAAAGCTAAGTGCAGTAAGACAAGGTGTGCCTATATATGTTTCTGTGTATATTTAAATAACTTATATTAATAGCTGCAAACAGTAGATTTCTTCCGGTGTATGGCTTTGTCATTGTTATCACTGATTTGTAATAATTTACCTCTTTTTTGTATGTTTTATTATTTTCTGCCATGGTTGATAAACAAGTTAATTTACTCTCAGAACAGAGAATCTGCAGTATTATTATTAATAGTGACTGTTGACTTCTTTTGTCATCTAAACAACTTGTTAGTCTGCCCTTAGGCTTGACATTATTTTTGTTGTGAAAGAATATTCAGTAAAAAGTTTTGACATGTTTAAAATCATTAAATACTTCCAAACTGGTTTGGAAAGCTTCTCTGGGCTGAAAGCCAGTTGATTCTTATCAGTCTTTTTGCATGACTGAAGTCAATTACTTCAGAGCTTGAACAACTGCAGCCTTGGTAAATGGTCCAGTACTGTCCAGTAGTACAATATGGGAGGCTTTTAAATGCTACTGTAATTGGTAGTTTAACAGATGTGTTTTGGTTGGACAAGAATGTAAAAGCTATTTTGGAGCATTTTCAAAGGCATGAAGTTTAAAATAATGTAATGTTAATTTTGTGCTCTGTAATGTATATCGTAAGATTGAGGTCTTAATGTTTGTATTAAGTAAGTGAAAATATTCAAATGAAACTTGTGTAGAAAAGGAACTGCCTGTGTTCAGAAAGATTCTGAACAAAAACAAGTGAATTTTCAGAACTGAACTAACAGTTGCCAGAGGGTGTGGGTTCTGACGATGTCCTACCTGAGGCAGGCTTTGTGACTTTGGAAAGCCTTGGTTTTCTTATTTTTAAAGAGGATCTAGTCCAACACTGGTCTACTCAGACTTCCTCATTTGTAAAAAAAAACCAAAAAAAAAAACAAAAACAAAAACAAAAAACACTTTCCTTAATCTTGGAATGCTTTTCACAAGAACTAAGTGTGGCATATTGGTGGCTGTATGAGTACTCTGGTATTATAGGAGTTGAAGTGTGAGGTGGAGAGTAAGAGTAACTGGGGGTAAAACTTAGACCCAATGTGTCCAGAAGATTCAGAGCCTTATCACTGCACAAAGGAGCACAGATTTTAAACACTGAAGTGCCCAAGTTGCATGCAAACAGGCTGTGGGCTGACCACCGGTTTTTGTATTTATTCTGAATATAGTATGCCACAAAATTTGAATGTATATGCTTTTACAGATCTCTGTGCTCTCTCTAGCTCCCCCAAAATCTCTGCCTGTCTTTAGTTTCATGCTAGACTGTTTTATCTGTTTGTTGCCTTTGAAAGCTTTTGGGTTTACCCCATGCTGGAGTAACATGTAGATCTAGAAGGATTTTGAGCAGGAGGTAGTGTTATCAGATATGGTTATAAGGAAAGCTCACTTTAGCAATAGAGCTGACACAGTAGTAGCAGGTAGTGAATTCTGCAAGAGAATTAATGGACACTAGTCATCTTGATTGTACTTAGTTATTTACTGCTTCAGTGTAGTTCTGTTGTGCTTAATTTTCTTTTCTTTTCTTTCTTTCTTTTTTTTTTTTTTTTTTGAGAGAGTCTTGCTTTGTCGCCCAGGCTATAGTGCAGTGGCATGTTCTCAGCTCACTGCAACCTCTGCCTCCCAGGTTCAAGTGATTCTTCTGCATCAGCCTCCTGAGTAGGTGGGATTACAGGCATACCTCACTATGCCCAGCTAATTTTTGTATTTTTAGTGGAGACAGGGTTTCGCCATATTGCTCAGGCTGGTCTCAAACTCCTGACCTCAAGTGATCCACCTGCCTTGGCCTCCCAAAGTGCTGGGATTACAGGCGTGAGCCACCGCTCCTCGTCTGTTGTGCTTAATTTTCTAAACAAACTCTAGAACAAGTTAAGTGGTTAATCCACGTGATTTTTGTTCTCATTTAAAATCCTATGCATTCAAAATGTGAACTCCATTACCATCTCTCTGATCCGCCCTTGGCATAGAATTTGGATGTGTATATTACACTGGACTCTTGGCTTTAAAAACCGTCTATCTGTATCTGTGGGAAAGCTTTTCAGATAGCCCAGACAATATAAATAGCCCTAGATTTACCCTTAAGTAACAAATGTGTTTCTTTCTGTGGAGTTACTCGTTGTGTCTGAGGGATCCTCCCTGGGTTATTTTTTTCCTCTCCAATGGACTGGCTTGGCATATGATTGTCAAGAACAGGCACTCTGGTCGGACAGACCTTGTTTAAATCTTCTCTCTCTCTCCAACTGTGGGCCAGTTCGTTAATCTACTTGAGCTTTGGTTAGTTATTCTATAGATCGTTTTGTGGATTAAGTGAAACATCATACTGAAAACACTTAGTTTTATCATCCAGACCAGGGCACTAAACGAGAATAAACCAACCTCCTAGTTTTTGGATGTGTTTGACACGAGGGGATGTTTAGGGGAAAATAATATTTGACCATCAGACTTTTTGAATGCTGGAGAAAGCATGCACAATGTCCATGTAGGAACATACCCATATATACAGGAGACTTAAACATGTGCGTGTATACATCCATATACACAAAATGAATTTAGGAAGTTAATTGAATCGAGGAGTTTCTATTTTATAAGATAAATGTGAACAGTACATTTGTAATGTAAGCAGTCTACTTTTTTACTCAAACAAGCAGAAAATATCCTTTTTTAGTTTTAAACTCTTTGTAGACAAGATTGAATAAACTAGAGTGGATGAGGCACAGAGAATTGGTTGCCAATGGGATCAAGAATGCTAGAGGAAAGGGCAGAGATTATCCTTTCACCCAGAATTGCTCTGTCTCTCCCTTACTAGGTAGGAAAACAAACAAATAACAGAGACAAGGGCTACTGCTCTGCACTAATGATGCGTGGGGTGAAAGAAGTCCTTGCACACTGGCTCCTCTTTCCTGCTTCGTTCACAACCTATTCAGCACTTTCTGGAACTTTGCGTGAAAAATTTCATAGATCCCAGCAGGAATTTTGTAAAACACATAATCTTTGCTCATAGCCATTACCCAATGTTGTGTTCCTTCAGGGGCTGATTGAAAACAGAGCTTTCACAAGGTCTCTTGCATGATGCTAGCCTTCATGGCATTTGCATCCTGCCAAGTGATACTTCTGGTGACCATCCTGCCAAGTGACACTTTTGGTGACAGTGCCTTGGTTGACTGGTCTCAGCAACCTGCTTTAATCTCTGCAATTAAAAGGTATGAATGAGTGAACCAGTAAAATGAAGGAAAAAATCAACATAGTGGCGGGATACTTACATCCAGAAATATGTTATCTAAGGGTGTGATACTGGGCAGCCAGCTTTCATTTAAGAAATTAGACGTATTTTTAGGAAACCAGCTTTCTGCTAGTGACCTACATTATAAAATATTATAAACTCCCAAGCTGGATACTATAAATTGAAGATGAAGTTCTTTCATTTTGCAGTTACACAATGGAATATTATGTGTCAGGTACTGTTCTAGGCATTGGGTATACAAGGATAACTAAGAATTTGTCCTTCTCCTCAAGGAGTTCCCACTTTTGTGGCAGAGAGGGCCTTGAAAACAAATCATTTAACTGCCACTTACTGAGTGACTAGCACAGGTGAGGCATCCTACCAGGCTCTGGAGAAAGAGGGAAATATAGCCCTGCTCTCAGCAAACACAGGTGGATGAGAAGGGTATAAGCAGGGGGCTGGGAAGCAGAGAGAGAGAGAACCTAAAAAGACTTAGGCAAAGGCGAGTGTATGATAAAATGGAGAACGCCATAGTTCATTCTTTCATTTTTTTTTTTGAAGTAGAGTCTTGCTGTCACCCAGGCTGGAATGCAGTGGTGCGGTCTCGGCTTACTGCCACATCTGCCTCCCAGGTTCAAGCAATTCTTGTGCCTCAGTCTCCTGAGTAGCTGGGACTACAGATATGTGCCACCATGCCTGGCCAATTTTTTTTTTCATAATTTTAGTAGAGATGGGGTTTCACTATGTTGGCCAGGTTGATCTTGAACTCCTGACCTCAAGTGATATGCCTGCTGTGGCCTCCCAAAGTGGCTGGGATTACAGGCAGAAGCCATGGTGCTTGGCCAGTTCATCCTTTAATTTTGGCTCTAATAAATTCACTGTATGACTAAAATGTTACTTTTTCTTGATGTTATTATTAATCCTGTTTAAAATTAGAGCATTGGCTTTAATTATTTTTAAATTTAGACACTGGTTATTATTTCTAAAGGAAGTTATAAACAAAATTTCATACAGCATGCCATTTGACAAATTAATGAAGAAATATTTAATACATGTGAGTATCTCATTTGTTTTGTTATTCAAGGGGATTTTAGCTTATTGCTTTTTGCTTTCTGTATGTTGAACTGATATTCTTTTTGGGCACCTGTTTGTATAAACGTATCAATTTGACCTGTACTTGAATTAACTGTTTATTTTTTATATGTTGGACAGTACTACAAATTGCTCTATTTATGAACTGTATGTTTTTCTTCAATATGCAGTTTGGAATCCTGCTGTTGGAACCTTATTTGCTTCTGTATGCTCACCCTTATTCACTAATGTTTGATAATAATGCATTATAAAATAGCAGTGCTACTTCTTTATCAAAGGCTTGCAGTATTTATTTAGCATTTGCAGTTTCGAAATAATTAAACAATGCTGATGTACAGTTCTTATTGCATTTCAAAAACCTAACCAGTTAATTAGCTTAAGTGGTTCTCTCAGCCCTATTGACAGTTGGAGACACATAGTGCTGGCTTGTCAGGCTGCTAAAATGAAACATAAGAATGGCATAACTGTGGTTAGCTTCTTTTCCCCCTCACCCTTGAGATATGAGTTGGCTTTCTTTTGTGTGAGATAAAAACAAAACCAGATCATATGAACTGACACTTCTGCTTCAGATTAACATGAGCCTTGTTATTCAATTTCATGTTGGTGTTTCTACACTCCTTTGCCTCACTGAGATTTCATTAATCCTCATATCCTTAATCGCCTCCCCTTTCCCTTATGATGGTCTGTTTTAAGATTCTATTATGGTTTTTTTTTTTTTTTTGGATGCCTTTGAGGCCATCTGAACAATACTCTTGGTTAACCTGAGAATGGATTACAATCTGATCACATACTTACTGCTGTGTTTGTGTCTCGCTGCCTGTACAGTCAGGTGGCTGTTCTGCCTCTTCACCCTTGGCTGACTTTCACCCATGGACTTTGAAGTGTTACTGCTTCTATTTTCATCAAATTTTATACAAATTACACCGTTTTTCCGCAAATGTACATTTAGTGAAGTTTGTTTGGCTCCAGAATCCAGTCCTTTTGCAGGACAGGAGCAGAGGAAATGGCAGTGAAGGAGAGGGAAGTCCACGTAGGAAGAAATCCCAAGACTGGAGGTGGATTGGAGACAGCAACAGAAGAGAAGAGCGTTGGGGATGGCTCTGAGTTGAAGCTAGGTGACTGTTGACCCAGAGAAAGAAGTTGAGAGGAGAACCACGCTTTGTATTTAGGTGGGCTGTGGTGGGGTGGAGGGGATTGAGGTGTGGAGTTTGATTTTTGACATTCTTGTGTTTGTGTTGGTAAGACACCTTGTGGAACTCTCCTAGCAGAGTTTAAGCGAATGAGCGTATATATTTGATGAGGTGTATATTTGAGAGTGACAGCACAGAGGTGATCATAACAGGAGCCACTATTTGTTGAGTGCATACTAGCTACAGTGATAAGTGCTTCACAGACATGCTGTCTGTGCTTCAATGTCCTCACCTGTAAAAGGGATTTAATAGTAGGATTCTTGTGAGAATGAAATGAATTGATATATATAAAGTCCATAACAATGTCTGGCACATAATAAGTAATACTTAAGTGTTATCATAATCACATTTTAATTCAGTATCCCTTTGGAAAGAGGTATTATTGCAGGTTGAACATCCCTAATCTGAAACATTTTGAGCACTGACATGACACCTCAAAGTGGAAAATTCTACACCTGACCTCATTTGATGGGTCACAGTCAAAACTTCATTTCGCGCACAACATTATTAAAAATATATAAAGTTAGCTTCAGGCTGTGTGTAAGGTGTTTATGAAACACCTTATGAATTGAATTTCATATTAGACCTGTGTCCCATCTTCAAGATACCGCATTATGTATATGCAAATATTCAAAAATCTGAAAATATCAGAAATCAATCACTTCTGGTTTGAGACGTTTTGGACAAAGGATACTCAATTTGTGTACACATCTTATATGGGGGAAGCTGTGACTGGAGCAATGTAACTACTCTGCCAAAGGTTGCATAACTCATAAGTGGCAGGTGAAATGATATCTTTTTTTTTTTTTTTTTTTTTTTTTGGAGAAGGAGTCTTGCTCTGTCGCCTAGGCTGGAGTGCAGTGGCACGATCTCAGCTTACTGCAACCTCCGCCTCCCAGGTTCAAGCAGTTCTCTTGCCTCAGCCTTCTAAGTAGCTGGGGTTACAGGCACACACTACCATGCCCAACTAATTTTTGTATTTTCAGTAGAGACAGGCTTTCACCATTTTGGCCATGCTGGTCTCGAACTCCTGACCTCAGGTGATCCGCCTGCCTCGGCCTCCCACGGTGCTGGGATTACATGTTTGAGCTACCACGCCCAGCCCAAACCATATTCTTAACTCTGCTTGTCTCTCACCTGCCTTTGTGGAAATAAACACCTCAACAGAGGCTTCATGGTGTAGAGGAAAGACAGGACAAAATACCTAACACACAAGGAAGCTGTTTTGCTTATTAAATGAACAATATGCTTTTAAATCGTGTAAGAAGAGCTTTGTAATGAAAATCATCATTATAAGAAAGAAAAACTTACAGAAAGGTAGGAGTGAGGCTTGGTATTTGAGCTCCTGCGGAAGACCAAGAGGGAGAAGGGAAGATCAGTGTAGGGCAAAGCAAATCCAAGAGAGCCGGGAAGATAAGAGGAAGAATCATGTAGTTTCTGCATTTACGGACAAAAGCGCTTCCAAAAGTACATAAGGGTTGATGCTATCAAGTGCTGCATGGAGGTCATTGAGAGTGAGAACTAAGAAAAGGCAGTTGGAGTCACATTTTGGTGTTAACCAGATTAAATTTCCTTTTGGAGCAAAAACGGTTGACTACACATACAGTTATAAGAATCAGGAACATATGATCCAATAACATAGATGAATCAGGAACTGAAATTTGGGGTGTAGATTTATTCCTTTGACTTTCTCTCCCTTTTTCAGTTCATGTTTTACCAATAGAGTATTCTGGTAGCAGCACTGTCTGACATTTGTCAGCTTAATTAGAGATCAGTTACAAACTTGGCTATCTTATGGATCTGTGATACTTCCCAGCAAATCTGAAATGCAATACGGGCACTGACATGAAATGATGAAAAATATGCTAATTTTAACCTGAAAAAGCTCCCTATTAATGCAGCAATTTCTCTTATTCATACTAATTCTCATTTTTTTTTCTGCATCCTTTGTGTCTAGTCTCTCCACAATTGAAAAGCTGTTTTGACCACCACTTAAGAGCAATAGACTATAAATTCTGGAGTTTAATTTGTTTAATGTCTGTGAGGGCTTGATGGGGTTGGGACTTTGTTCACTAGGTATGAACCCATTGCCTAGAAATCTGAAGAAGGGTATATTGCAGGTTCTTACGGGTATTCCTAGGAAGAAGAAATGATTTCCAAACAGAATTAGCATGTAGAGGAGAAACGCACAAAGAAAAGGAGATTTGATTTCCACAATGTAAGGAAATGTAAAATTTCATTAGAAGAAAGGGAAAGAGGACATTGCCAGCAAAGATGGAGAGAAAGAAGGCGTGTTTAAATAAGCTGGTTTCCAATTTAGCTGAAACATTTGAAAGTAAACAGAAGTAGAGCTAGATTTAGGGGTGTAAGATGTGGGCAATTAATACATTTATATGGCTCAAAATTTGAAGAGTTGGAAAGCATCTACAGTGAAAAGCCCCTTTTCCTGCCCCATTTCCTCAGCCACTCAGGCTATTCCCCAGAGTCACTGTGCATAATTACATATATAATACAAACATGTATACTATTTCTCTTCCCTCTTTTATTTTTCCAAAATGGTATCAAACTGTATATATTCTTCTGCACCTTGCCTTTTTTCTCACTCAACATGTTTCTTGGAGCTGACTCTCAAGCAGTTTGTGACTATGTAATTAGGACATAGGCAGCTCCTGCTTTTTTTGTTAAATGGCACTGCAAAATGTTCCTTTATGTGTTTATACCATAATTTATTTAACCAGTCTCTTGTTCATGGACATTATAACCTTTTGCTCTTACGCAGAGTGCTGCAAAGTGAGCAGTCTTTTCCACGTGTCATTTCACACATGTGCAAGTAAAGCTGTAGGATAAATTCCTAGAATGGCTGGATTAAAAGGCAGGGGCAGTTACGATTTTGAAAGATGTAGCCAGGTGGCCTTCTCCATAGGTTGCGAGTGTATGAAAGACTTACTTCCAAGCCAGTCTCTTCTATGCTGCCTGCTATAACTACCAATTAGGAATTTATTTGGGCTAATAAGTAACCCATGCCTGGAAGATTTAAGGAATGTGACCTTCCTAATGCATATTATTTTTAATCACTGTGCTTTCAACCTAATGACCAGTTGAGATTAAGCCACGTGGTACATATTTATTGCAAACCTACTATTTGGTTCTAGGGAATCAGCAAGGAGCAAGGTGTTACTTCTCTCTTGGAGTTTATATTCTGGTAAATAAACAAGATTATTCCAGAGAGTGATAAATACTGTGAAAATAATACACATGACAATATAATTGTAACTTGGCAGGGGGCAGGCTAATTAGAAGGAGTATACTGGTTATGGAAGGCCCCCTGAGGAAGTGATATTTCAGCTAAACCTGGATGATGTAAAGGAGCCAGAAATGTGGAAATCTTGGGTGGCAGTAGCAGGAACAACAACTGCGAAGATCTTGAGCCAAGAGTAGGCCTAGTGGTTCTAGAAACAAACAGTAGGGTAGAATAGCAAAGGGACTATCATGAGCAGAGGGGAGCAGGGCATAGCCTGAAGCTAAAGAGGGGCAGGGGTCAGACCAAGTAGATCCTCACTGTGGTAAGGAGTTGCAAGATTTCAAATATGGATGTGATGTTGAGATTTACTTGTTAAAAAGATAACTTGGAGCCAGGTGCAGTGGCTCACATCTGTAATCCCAGCACTTTGGGAGGCCAAGGCAAGTGGATCACTTGAGGTCAAGAGTTTGAGACCAGCCTGGCCAACATAGTGAAACTCCGTCTCTACTAAAGGCATGAAAATTAGGCATGGCGGTGGGCACCTGTAATCCCAGCTACTGGGAGGGCTGAGACAGGAGGATCACTTGAACCCAGGGGGCGGTGGTTGCCTTGAGCTGAGATCACACCACTGCACTCCAGGGCAACAGAGCGAAACTTCATCTCAAACAAACAAATAAATAAATAACTAGGAGGCTGTGCATGGTGGCTCACACCTGCACTTTGCGAGGCCATGGTGGGAGGATCACTTGAGGCCAGGAGTTTGAGACAGCCTTGGCAATGTAGCAAGATCTGCCATCTCTACAAAAAATTAAAATATCAGCCAGATGTGGCACATGTTTGTGGTCCCAGCTACTTGGGAGGATTGCTTGAGCCCAGGAGTTCAAAGTTGCAGTGAGCAGTGATTGCACCATTGCACTTAAGCCTGGGTGATGGATGAGACCCTATCTCTAAAAAATAAAAAGATAACTTGGGCTGCTGAGTGGAGAATGGATTGGGAGGGGGCAAGGGATTAAGTGGAGAGAGTATGTTTTGGGCTGGGCTGTAGTGGCAGCAGCAGAGATAGCTATGCCTTGGAAGACATATTTTTGCAGAGGTGGAACTGTTAGGATTTGTATGCCTTATGGGTGATAGGCAGAAAGAGGAATCAAGGACTCCTAGAATTTTGGCTTGAGCAAGCTAGGCATAGAGGCAGGAAGAGACAAGGTTGGGGTGCGGAGGAGGAGGAGAAATTTGAAGGGTCCTAGGGCATTTTCTGAGACGAGTGGCCTGGAGAATGTGACGGAATGGACTGTTTGGCCCAGCCCACGGAGGAGGAGAGTGCTGGGTTTTAGAAATGGGGCATCTGAGAACCCTGACTTCTGTCATGGTGCCTGGAGTCTAAAGTGGGGAGCAGAGCATCCAGCGAAGGTGGGTAGTGTCCGAAAATCTGGAGAATGTTTGTTTCTTTGGTATGTTTTAGTTTTTTTCTTTTACATGAATATCTATAGATCTTCCTTGATCACAAAAAATGAAGTTGGCAAATTTATGGAACTGTGAAAGTAATACCTTATGTTTTTGTGAAACTTTGAGAGATAATTTGTCTACTATAAAATTTATTTAAAATTGCACAATTGTGATTTTTCACATAATCGTAAGGTTGTTCAACCATCACCACTATCTTGACTGCAGAACATTTTTATCACCCCAGAAAGCAACCCTGCGCTCACTAGCAATTCCTCCTACTCCTCCATTCCCCCAGCCCCTGGCAACCGCTAATCTACTTGCTGTATTCTGGACATTTTTACAAATGGAGTCATATAATGTGTGTTTTTTTTGGTGTGATTCTCTTCTTTCACTTAAAATAACATTTTAAAGATGCATCCATGTTGTAGCATGTGTCAGATCTCCATTCTTGATGGCTGAAAAAATATTTCCGTGCACGGATATACCACATTTTATTAATTTATCAGTTGATGAACATGTTGGTTGT
Source organism: Homo sapiens (assembly GCF_000001405.40). NCBI lineage: Eukaryota > Metazoa > Chordata > Mammalia > Primates > Hominidae > Homo > Homo sapiens. The sequence goes on from NC_000007.14 coordinate 3,414,993, forward strand.
TTTGACTTTTCGGCTATTATGCATAACACTGCTATGAACATTTGTGTAGCAGTTTTTTTGTGGACACATTTTCTTTCTTTTGGTTATACACATAGGAGTGTAATTGCTGGGTTTTGTTAACTTGATTTTTATCTTTTGAGGTTGTATCCAACTTTATATCATTTATTTATCACAGTAGCTATGAAAGGAACCTGAAGTACTGAAGGATTTGATGGGCTAGAGGAAAAAGTGCATATGTTACAAAAAATATTTAAAATGAGGTTCATTCATGCATTGGTTAAAATAGGGCAGACCTGGACACATAAATGTGTCAGGAGAAGTAAACAAAACGTGTAATACTTATATAGTGGAAGAGTGTATTGCAGGTGTATGTGTGTAGAGAAGTGTGTAGAGAAGTTATATCTATATGTAATCTCAACAGAGGTAGATAAAAAACAATGAGAGGTAGGTTAAATGAGAAGTAGATTAAAAAACAACGGTGAAAAATGATTAAAAAACAATGATGAGTGAATAAGTGAGTTGATACCATTTATGTAAGTTAAGAAAACCACAAAGTAATACTATGTATTGCTCATAGATGGAAATGCCCATATACACACACAGAAGTACAAAAAGGATTGGAAGGATACCCACAAGTCCATGATAGTAGTTGCTTTGTATCCCTACTTCTGAGCTGCAAACCCATGCCAGTTTTCCTTACCATATATTTATATATAAATTATATATAAATGTATATATATATATTCATATACAAATCATTTCTGTTACATGACTGTACATTTCTTCGGAGTAGGGACTATGTTTTCTTCACCAATTTCCATTGCCTAGCACTTAAGTGTGAACACATATTTTTGAATGACTAACTGAATGAATTAAATGATTTTGGGAACAAGATAGGGCAGGACTAATGAATAAGCCACTCTCCCCCATCCTGCTCATTGTCTCTGCTCCCTACCTTCATATTCTGTTAGTGTTGTCATAATATGAGGCTTGCAATTACCAGAGCAGTTCCATATGACACGACATGCTAATAAAGCAGATGGTGTGTGCAAATAAGCAGGATAAAAGAGGTCTTTGCTGCAAAAGTCATTGCTGTCTCCTTTAAAGTATGAAGTATTTTATGATTTCTCAGTAGATTTTATCTTCATTGTCAAGGTAATGATTATGGATCGTATAAATCTTTATGGCTTTGTTGTATCAAGTGTCAAATTACACAGCTTAGGTAGTTGTAGAAAGAAAGATGTCTGTGATCAGATTAGGAAGTCATATTACTAAAAGTTTTTGCCGTTCAGGGAGGAGTTGGTCTCACTTTTTTGTGTTCAGATAGTGGAGAACTGTGCTCCCGTTCTAGGGCCCTCCCTCCTTTCTCTTTATTAACTTCTCCCCACGGGAGAAAGAATGGCAAATTGGAAAGCTCGGGGCTTGACATTAATATGAGTGAAGTCACTGTATTTCCACATGGCTTTCGTTCTTTTTTTTTTTTTTTTTGCGGGGGAAACAAGGGGTGGAGGCCTGCAGAAAGGTGCCAGCTATCCTCTACTTTTTGCCTGCTGTCTTCAGGCAATAAGGAGATTAGGGAGGTGTTCCCCTGGCAGGCCTAATCTGGTCTATACTTCTTCTAGTCCAGCCTTTGCCTGGACAGGTAAATCAGTTCAGGTTTGCTCTGTGAACCTGGCCACCTTCAGGTCTGGAAGAAGAACATAGGAAGCCCTGCTGACGTCAGGCTTAAGCTGTATTCTCCAGCACATTTACCAGAAGCCTCTGGGGTTGTGTGTGACCATGCCTCGAATAAAGCCCATGTTCTGATCCCCATCTGTCTGTCAGATGTTATTTGTGGATGTTATTTGTGGTTATGCCCAGTTGGTTAGAACCTAGAAAGTGATAAAAGTGAGCCATGCAGCCGGGCACGGTGGCTCATGCCTGTAATCCCAGCACTTTGGGAGGATGAGGTGGATGGATCACCTGAGGTCAGGAGTTCAAGACCAGTCTGGCCAACATGGTGAAACACTGTCTCTACTAAAAAATACAAAAATTAGCTGGGCATGATGGCATGCGACTGTAATCCTAGCTACCGGGAAGGCTGAGGCAGGAGAATCCCCTGAACCCAGGAGGTGGAGGTTGCAGGGAGCCGAGACTGCGCCACTGCACTCAAGCCTGGGCAACAAGAGCTAAACTCTGTATAAAAACAAAAAATAACAAAAAAACTAGCGAGCCCTACAGCTGCAGGCTGAGGTTCTAGTTTTGGCAATAAGCTAAAGTGTAAATAATTTTACATTTAAAACTATGGAACAAATAGAGGTGGGACATGGGCTGCCCCTGCCCACCTCTCCAGCCAGTTCCCCGACTCTTCGTCTTCTTTCTGCTGCATGTGGTCTGACCATCTTAGTTCTCAAGTTTGCCAAACTTTTTTTCAGCCATGTGTCCTTTGCCTATGCTGTTTTCTCTGCTAACTTTCTCTTTTTTTTCTCTCTCTTACTTGCTGCTTTTATGGTCAAGTTCTAACTCTTCAAGCGTACACTTAAATAGTACCTTCTCTGACCCCGTAGGCTAGGTTGATTGCTTCAGTGTACTAAGGCAAAAATACCCTGAGTATCTGTGCTCATTAACCTCTGTGTTTCCCTTTTGTAAGATTTATCACAATTGTAATCAAATATTTATGCTATGATATATTTGTTGCCTTTCTAGATTTTCTAACAGTCTTCTTTGCATTGTTACATAAAGTGTTTAGTGCAGAGCTGGGCACTCATATTTGGTGCCTGAGGGAGATTTGTTGAGTGAATAAAATAGCAGTGTCCAGCAGCGACATAGACTGCTGAGATATGGCATGTCAGAGTCTGAAAGGCTTCTGTCCAGTTGGCAAGTGGAATTCATTGGATGTTTTACAAAGAATAGTTTTAGTAAGGTGGTGGGGACGGAAGTGAGTTTGCAAAGTATCTTATAAAAAGCTAGACTTAATTACTCATTTACGCAACATTGGAACCCTTACAAGTGATTTCTCTACTGAGAGCAACTTTTCTTGAGTTTTACTAACTCAGTAGACACTGTCAGAATCTGCCAGATTACAACAAAGGGGTAAAAATTCCTGATCACTTGAGGTCAGGAATTCAAGACCAGCCTGGGCAACAAGGTGAAACCCGATCTCTACTAAAAATGAAAAAAAAAAAAAAAAAAAAAAATAGCTGAGCTGGGTGGTGCGTGCCTGTAATCCCAGCTACATGGGAGGCTGAGGCAGGAGAATTGCTTGAGCCCGGGAGGCGGAGGTTGCAGTGAGCCGAGATTGCGCCATTGCACTCCAGCCTGGGCGACAGAGCGAGACTCCATCTCAGAAACAAACAACTCCCAAGGCATTATACTATGACTCTTTTCTCAATGGGTAGTGAACAGAATGGAATATTCACTTCACTGCAAAGAGTCACTGGCAGGTGGTGCAGAGCACTGTGCTCCAGAAAGAGCAAAGAGCCTAGAGGTTTCTGATCTCTGCTTATCACTCAGCCAAAAGTACAGTCATTTGCTTAAAAAAAGACAGGTGGCATAAAAAAAAAAGTATTCTTTAATCTCTCTGCTCTACAGGACTTGAAACATAGCCTTAAATGACTAAGTCTTCACGTGAGCATGACATAACCTGGAAATCTTCCTATAATGGAACTGGCCTTGTGAAGGTATTTATTGTTAAGACTTTCCAGGGTATATTTTGGGAGGTGCCATGGGCAGATACATCGGCGATACTGTTACATAGTCCAGGATGTTCTACTTTTGAAAATTAACAATAATTACACTCAAGACCTTAGGCAAGTTGACTATTCTCAGCACTTTATATATACAGTCGTCCCTCATTGTACACCGGGATCTCCCCTACCCCTCGCCTATGGTCAAATCTGCACGTACTCAGTCTTACAGTCAGCCCTGAAGAACTCGTATATGTAAAAAGAGGGTATCTCTAGGCAGTGAGGTAGCTTTCTGTTAGCTCTTGTAGGGACCATGTTCTTGTGGACTTGACAAAGAATGTTATATCAAAAGTCGTAACTCCTTTTTCCTGATTTAAAGATGACATTTACATGGTTTTTGTGTCCCATGAATACGGTATTTTTGATCTGCATTTGATTGAAATGCATTTGAGCTGCTCAGTTGAAACCTGTGTTGTTCAAGGGTCAGACTGTATTAACCTATTTAATCTTTGCAGCAAATCCTGTAAGGAATCAGTCCTTTTACAGAGGAGGAACCTGAAGCTCACAGAGCTTAAGGACTTTGCCCGAAGTGGCAGAATTGGCATTTGAACCTAGGCATCCTGGCTTCAGAATCCATGTTCTTCCCTTTTAGGTTATACTGCGTCTCTGTGGCCACTTGATGATAAAGTCAGTAATTAGGATCCACTGTTGTTCCCTCTTGTGCCTCTGCCCTTTTGCTCATGTTCTCCTCCCTGACACTAGAGCACCTGCTCCCCCTTCACCTGCAGTGAGTGTCTCGGGGAAACATCAGCACAGAGGCTCTGCTTTCTCCCACCCGGCAGGTCCGCAGGGGGTTGCTGTTTCGAAAGTATTGAGTGCTCTGGACACCATGATCTGTTCTGTAGGATTCTTCTGTAGCAGGAGCTTTGTCATGGACTCAGTTGCCTTTTGAATGCTGGTCAGGTATCCTAGTCATCTTTCACAATGTCGATCATATGGGAAAATATGTTTCTAGTTCTGACAACTGAATTACATGTACACCTTTGGAACATAATCTGTTTTTAGGTTGAGAACTACCTGTGTATTCATCAAGTACTGAAGTTCCCAGTGTTCAAGAAATGCCCTATGCTATTAACAGAGAATTAACAGGTTTCTCTAAAGAACAAAACTAAGCTTAGTATGGCCTGGTATTAATCCCTGTCTAGAAGTTTCACAATCAAAAGGGCAAAATGTGGAAAAGCAAAGATAAATAAGTAAAATTGGAAAATACGCAAAGCCGTTAGAGATGTACCAGTGGCTCAGAAGTAGGTAATAATGAGAAATGCACCCAACCTCTGTGACTGTGAAACATGCCACCCAAGCTTTGGGTTTTTGAAATCTGTCTCTGGCACTTGAATCTCCTTGTCAGTGGCAAACTGGAGAGCTTTCCATACTTCTGTGCAAAGGAAAGCATACCCCAGAGCAAAAACAAAATAAAATGCTACTTAATATTCAATGTGGTGTCCTTTGAATTTAAAAGTTGTAGTGATACTATTATAGCAGAATTAACATTATTGTCATATTAGCATTGGAACTTTCCCATTTATTTTTGGCTTGGTGAATTTGAAAGTGTTGTTTAACAGAAAAGATTTTAAAAGGTTAGATGCAATAGCATTTATTTTGCACAGTTTGATGGATTGCCAGCAGCAGGGAAAACTACAACTCAGATCGTTTCAACAACTTTCTGTTCTTGGATTTTTCCTTTCTCACCAATTTTTCTTTCAGAGCAATAATCATTTTACTGTATATGAAAGAGATACCTAAATATCAGGTATCTAGTTAGGTGCTAATGAACTCCTCCTGCCCATTTTTTAATTGTTTGCTTTATCATAGCTCTAAGTAGTCGTGCTAATCTTTTAGGGGGAGGGTTAAGGAAAGATTTTACTTAATTTTGGGATTTACTTTGTCTTTTACAGAGCTTGATATGTGGCTTAACAGTAAGTAGGATTATAGCAAGTTGTTATTTTAGAGAAAGTAAACGTTATCTCATTATATTCTTTTTTAACATAATGAGAATCTTTATGGAAGAATTTGCGACAGCTCAAGAACATTTTTTAAAATTTAATTTTAAGTTCCAGGATACATGGGCAGGGTGTGCAGAGTCGTTACATAGATAAACATGTACCATGGTGGTTTGCTGCACCGATTAACCCATCACCAAGTATTAAACCCCACATGCATTAGCTATTTATCCTGATGCTCTCTGTCCTTCCACACCTCCCTGATAGGCCCCAGTGTGTGTTGTTCCCCTCCCTGTGTCCATGTAAGAACAGTTCTTTTTAAAGGTTAGTACTTGGATTGTTTTATTGTTGTACTGTTTAAGCAGCTTTGTTGAGAAAGAGTAAATTAAAGCTTTTATCAATTTTTTTTTTTTTAACAGCAAATCTGTACTCTCCTTTTTTTTTTTTTTGGTGGCCCAGGCTGGAGTGCAGTGGCGTGATCTTGTCTCACTGCAACATTTGCCTCCTGGGTTCAAGTGATTCTCCTGCCTGAGCCTCCTGAGTAGCTGGGACTGCAAGTGTGTGCCACCACGCCCAGCTAATTTTTGTAATTTTAATAGAGACAGGGTTTCACCATGTTGGCCAAGCTGGTCTTGAATTCCTGATCTCCAGTGACCCGCCTGCCCTCCTCGGCCTCCCAAAGTGCTGGGATTACAGGTGCAAGCCACCGAGCCTGGCCTGCACTCTCACTTCTAGTTATCAATGTTAAATTTATCATTTGTCACTAAATAATTATGATATTCATAATTACCAAAGCCTTTTAAAACTGCATTTTTATAATTTTTGCTACTTGCTGATAGAAGACCTTTTGACTTAAATATCTAAGTTTTAGATTGACATTAGTTTTGATATATAAGGTTTAGTTTTCAGTATTGAGCTGCTATCTGTAAACTAATTATATTTTGAAGTGAAATTAGTGGAGAATGGACATTTTCTACATTGCGTGAGCGTCTACAGCTAGAGAGTATCTCTAGGCAGTGAGGTAGCTTTCTGTTGGCTCTTAGATGGGATCACATTCTTTGGGCTTGACAGTGGATGTTATGTCAAAAGTCATAACTCCTCTGATTTAGAGATGACATTTAGAGTACTGTAGGTTTATGAGAACCTGCTCTTAACCTTAAATAACAGAGCTGCTGCCAGGGCTGCTGCCTTCCTTCCTGGTTTTTGGGTGCTTGAGACTCTTGGAAAGTGGGCCAGATGCAGTGGCTCCTATCTGTAATCCCAGCACTTCTGGAGGCTTAGGCGGGCATATAGCTTCAGTCCAGGAGTTGTGAGATTCTTGGAAATGTAAAGCATAGTTGATGAGAGGGGGAATTAAATAGCAGACCGGATGGTTCTCAAAATAAAATAGGAAATTAGAAGATATGAGGCCTTAATAACAACAACAGCAAAAATGAGATGTATCTATCTATAATGAGATTTCTGAATGTCATAATACAGAGACAATTCTGTATCCAATTAGAATAAAACTTGTTACCTTCAAGTGGAATGAATCAAATGCAATAATTCTATACCCAGCCAAACTACTCTTACATAGGTGGTCAGAGGATCAATATTTAAAAACCTGCTATTATTCTAACTTTGAATCCTTTCAGGAAAAAAAAAATTTAGAAAATACTTAAGGCATTGGTGAAGTCAAGAGTGAAAACCTCATAGGAAAGAATATGTGGCTTATATGCAACCGATTAACTTGAGTCAAATCTAAATAAATGTTAGTAGGTTGTGAAGCTAAGTGGATTCATTGACATGAAAAATACTATAGAATATAACCAACTTTTCTTAATACTGGAAGTCCTTTTGAAAAATCAAATTATTGCTGGGTGTGGTGGCTCATGCCTGTAACCCTAGTAACTTGGGAGGCTGAGGGAGGAGGATTGCTTGAGCTCAGAAGTTCGAGACCAGCCTGGGCAACATAGCAAGACCCCATCACACACACCCAGAAAACATCAAATTATTTCTTTCTGTAGCTCTGAGTTTATATGCATATCTAATGAAATGATTGAAAACCCTACTCTGGCAACACAGGAGTTGGGCTGGCGATAAAAGGTGGGGGAAAAGCAGGAGTACTTAGGATGTGGGAGAGGAAATGATACAAATATGATAGACTGTTAATTCCTGGGAAAAATACCAGAAACAGCTGATCTGATTTTCAGAAGTAATCATAAAAATAGATAGCATTTATTGAATGTTGCAAGGCCTTTGCTAAGTACTTAATATTGTTACCTCATTTTACCCTGTATATCAGAGATATTAATGAGCTGGCTAATTTATATACCTGTAGAATGTGTAATGAACACTCATTAGCATTATAGATATGTTAGTTTTAAAGTGTATCTGTGTCCTTTTAAAATATTTCCTTTTAACTCTTAAATTGAAAAGTCTAGGGAATAATCCTAATCAAGAAGGAGTTGCAGGAAACTATTGTAAATCCAGGTTGTAAAGAGAAAATAAATTGGTTGGTGAGAACTGTCACCTTTTCCATAAGATAATTTAAGCACAAATGATTACAACAATTTACGTTTTTTATTGTGGCCAATATAGTTGACTTGGTTTAAATCAGACAGGAGAAAAGAGGAAAATTTTTATTGATTAACCAGGCCCTGAATTTTCTGTCTTAGGAGGAGGAAATTATGTAGTTAAATTGTATGATTCCTGTCAAAAGAACAATGAACTTTTGAGCAGATTGGCTGAGCAGAGAGAATACAAAGCAGGGCTAATGATTGTCTTCATCAAAGAGAACTTCTTGGGATAAGCAGATTTCTATGCTTTTATAAGATAGATTTTTTTGGGGGCAGTGAGAATATAAAAACAAATTCGGGAATGAGAGGTTAATCGATAAAGAACCTGAGTTGTGTTTTAGTCATGGAAACAGTGGCTTTTTTTTTTTTCAGTTTTGTTTTTGATAAAAAGTATCCTAAATATAAAGGAGGTATATTTCCAGGTAGGACTGTGCTATGTAACTCAGTAGTCTCTAAACTGATTTTAGTTTTGCTTTTGATATCTGAATGGATTAGGAAAATTCCTTCCAAGAAACCAGAGACCAGAAGATCAGACAAATACCATATCAGTTTCTCTGCTTTGAAAATTATAATTCAACCTTGTAAAATTTTTCTAACGTTGTGTTCTCTGTAAATAACACAGAGTAAAAATAAGTCAAACCATTTGTTTTTTCCTCTAAATGTTCTGAACATTAAACAAATGGTTCTTGGCAAACACATACTATTTTTTTTTTTTTTTTGAGATGAGTCTCTATTGCCCAGGCTGGAGTGCAGTGGTACAATCTTGACTCACTGCAACCTCCGCCTTCCAGGTTCAAGCGATCCTCCTACCTCAAACTCCCAAATAGTTCGGACTACAGGTGCGCGCCACCATGCCTAGCTAATTTTTGTATTTTTAGTAGAGATGGGGTTTCACCATGTTTGCCAGGCTGGTCTCAAACTCGTGACCTCAGGTGATCTGCCTGCCTTGGCCTGCCTAAGTGCTGGGATTATAGGCGTGAGCCACCATGCCCGGCCATACTAATTTAATTTTAGGAATGTTGTATTATAGTTCATTTTGAACAAATTGTAAGAAGATTATTTTGTGCCCATATGTGTGATAATCAGAATAGCTTGATGTAGATATTTGGTATCTTTTTAGAATAATTATGTTTAGATAAATCTTTTCTGTGGAAACATATTCCTAAACATTTAAGCCTAGTTATACCACCCTCAAATATAAGAAGTTTATGAACTTTGTGGGCTGATTCAGGAAATCTTTTCACACTGATAAAAACAGGAGACTTTAATATTATTTTGGGAAGAAAAATGAGAAATTTGAAGATATGTCTCTTATGAATCTTGCTGCATCAGTTTGTTTTCTGCTGATAGTCTGGTTGATGCACAATTTAGTTTTCAAAGAATTTCTCTTCAAAAATACCGGCTAGGCACAGTGTTCACACCGGTAATCCCAGCACTTTGGGAGGCAGAGGTAGGAGGATCGCTTGAGGCCGGGAGTTCGAGACCAGCCTGAACAATGTAAGGAGACTCTATCTCTACAAAAAATAAAAAAACTAGCCAGGCATGGTGGCGTGCACCTGTAGTCCTAGCTGCTTGGGAGACTGAGGCATGAGGATCCCTTGAGCCCAGGAAGTCAAGGCTGCAGTGAGCTATGATAGCACTACTGCACTCCAGCCTTGGTGACAGAGCAAGACCCTGTCTCAAAAAACAAATATTTTTCATCCTTGGAAAAATAAAACCTAAAATAAGAAGAGCAGCACAATATTTTTCTTTTTTTTGAAGTAGCAGGGCTGACCAAAGCCATTTCTAGCCAAATAAATTATTTATTAATCAATATCGTTACCACATTCTCTATGTGGAAAAAGTATTCAAATCTTGAGGCCTATGTTTTTTCAAACTTGAGAGTCATACAGTTGCCAGCTTTTTTTTTTTTTTTTAAGTAGTAGACAAATTGTAAGAACTACAAAACTGAAAATTACCTTCTGTTTTTCTTCCCCATAAGCTGCTGTTGAAGTGAAGTGAGCTCAGGGAGACAGGCCTGTTGTTATCTTCCTATGGCACTGATTTACACTTTTACAGAAGGGAAATTTATGGCCCTTATCTGTTGAGGACTTTTATGAATGACTGGTATAAATCAAGAATTGAATGAATATTTTTCCCTTTAAGCATAAATCTGTGATTGGGAGATTGATTTCTGAGTAACTCTTTGGTAACCCATTTAAATTGTCATCTTCCAATTTTCTGTATTTTGGCATAAACTGAATAACTAAAATATAACTTAATACCAGCATGATAGATTTGTTTTTCTTCTGTTAGATACTTTAGAATTCATCTAGACTTCTCACAGACCTCGATAAATAACTCAGCAGTCAGAATGGAAAACAAATTTATATAGTGGAAATCTCATTAATGGGAATGAACAATACAACTGTATTCAAGGTTTAGGCAGGAGAAGGAAAATGATAGAAATGTATTTGTTTAATTTTAAAGATTCTTATGATAAAATGATCATTAATTAGGGAAGATAAGTAGAAAAAGACAGTCCTTTCTGGGACATTTGAAGACTAACAGCCTTTTATTGAAAGTCCTGGAAAAGTATGTGTAAAAAGCCAGCCATGATGATCTTTTACCTACACTTCCTTAGGAGACTTTCCCTCAGCAAGATGTGTCTTTCTAAAAACAAAAGATAAGAGACAATAGGAGCCCACATAGGATGGAAAGCTAGAAATCAGGTGGGTTAAAAATAATTTCATCTACACTATCTTCCCCTTCTCAAAAGATTTTTAATCTGTAAATGGCAACTTATACATGGAAGGATTATAAAATACATAAAATTACTTTTTATTTGTCTTCTCAGATATATGGCGTGTTCTTTATCTTCCCCTTGTTCCAAGTAATTTTGTTAAGCAGTAAACAACGTGGAAGACAGGTTGGTCAGGAGATAAGCAGTTGATTCCGTGTTTTTTGAAGAGAACTTTTATGATAGTAGGAAGAGGAGGGCAGTGCTGGTCCTGTAGTGCAGTCGTGTAGTACTGTTTGCTGTGGGACAAGAGGAAGGAACAGACTGGCAGGAAGGGACTGCAGCATGGAAGGGTGCTAAGTGCGTCACTGAGTGATAAGGGTGCTAAGTGCAGGAAGGCCCACTGGATGGGCAGGGTGAGAGTGGGTTCAGGTTGTAGGTGTGGAGTTGGACAGGCTGGCCTTGTTCTAGCAGCACCATTTACTAGCTGTGCCACCCTAGGCAAGTCACCTTCTCTGCTCCTCATTTCCCTTCTCTCTAAATGGTGATAATAAGAGAAGCTACCCTCTGAAGTTGTTAGGATTAACTGAGCTGATACATAGATGTAAAACCCATAGGACAGTACCTAGCACGTTGCATCCAACAAGTGTCAGCAAAATATTAGCCTAGCCAGTCACCTGTGGCCATTATCAACATCTGTCTCCAGTTAGTCACCACCTTTGGTCAATTCTGCATTTGAATATTTCTTAAAGATGATTTATCTTCTCTGCCCTCATGGCCATAGCCTTAGTGTACAGACTTTTTAACTCTCAAATAAATTAATTCCGTTTATTCTTTTAGTCAAATTTTACTAAAATCCATTGTGCAGAAAATGACCTGTTAATTTTCTAAAATGCAGATCTTGCCCTGCCACTCTGCTTAAATCCCTGTCATGGTTTTCTGTCATCCTTAAGGAATTTATAATTAACTTTCAGCATTAAAGGCATGCAGAGTTCTTCAAAAGTTAGCTCTTGCTTGCCTTCCAACCTCATCTCTCATCAGATACTTTATGAACATCATATATTCTAATTCTTACTATACCTTTCCAAAAGGCAGTCCTCATTTTGCACAGTGATGCAGGACTGTAACAGTGATGGTTCAAGCTGAACTACACACAACAATCTTAATAACAGTGGGAGCAACTCCAGTATTCCCATGACCTTTGAATGTTTTTGTTAAAACATTAAAAATTCTCTGTCAGTGATAAATATGTATGGAAATGAAAAAGTAAAACTGGTATTGATGTAGTATACTGTAATGTAAAACATTAGATGAAAGGCTCACACCTGTAATCCCACACTTTGGGAGGCCGAGACAGACGGATTGCCTGAGGTCAGGAGTTCGAGACCAGCCTGGCCAACATGATGAAACCCTGTCTGTACTAAAAATGCAAAAATTGGCTGGGTGTGGTGGCGGGCACCTGTAAATCCAGCTACTTGGGAGGCTGGAGCAGGAGAATCACTTGAACCTGGGAGAGGGAGGTTGCAGTGAGCTGAGATTGTGCCATTGGACTGCAGCCTGGGTGAGAAGAGCGAAGCTCCATCTCCCAAAAAAAAAAAAAAAAAAATCAGAAGAATTGAGAATTAAAAACTTATCAGGAGTAGTTTGAACAGTGCTTGTCTTCTTCATCTTGTCATACGATATAAGATGGGCCTAGCATCTTTTCTATGACTTGGTGAATTTCCATACTCCTTTCTAAGTTTGGATCAGTTTCCCGTATTTCATCCTTTGTGCTTTCAGTGAGTTTCATTAATGTGAAGTTTTTTTGCTGGCATCACTTCCTCTGGGACGTCTTTATTCTTTTGCTAATTTATGTGAAGCTGCCTTCACCAAGCTCCTGTGGCTGCACATCATTGTCTCTTAGATGTCGTTAGTGTCTCTTAGATGTCGTTAGTGTCTCTTAGATGTCGTTAGTGTCTCTTAGATGTCGTTAGTGTCTCTTAGATGTCATTCCCATAGTCAGCTATTTCTTCTCTAAACGTCGTTTATGTTTGATTCAGATTTCACTTTGAGTTTACCAGTGTTTCAGTGCTGTACTTTCATCTTTGCTGCCCAATTCCCTCTTTGGATTACCCATTTTTGTAAAATGTCAAGTGGGTTAATCACTGTGAGACATGGTGGCAGCACAACTATATGCTTTTCTGTCTGTGTACCAACTCAGATGCACAGTGACCAATCACTGACAGGCTTTGAAAGAAGTGACGTGATTGGTCATGGATCATGATACAGATCTGTTATTTACTCAGTGATTGGTGCACTGAATAGCTAGTGGTGAAGTTTCTTTTATGTAATTATTATTGATTAATTTATCATAGTAACTGACATTTGAGTCTTATTATTGGCAGAATGATGTTAATTAAACTGTGGTAACTGAAATTTATGCATCTCAGAACTGTGCAAAGCAAGGACTGCGAGTATGTTATAACCATTTCACAAAGTCTTAAAGGTTAAATGGCTACATACAGCACATGGCCAAAAAGTGGCAGAATTACATTAACATAACTTTTCAAATATCTTTGATATTTATGTTATAAGGAGGCACAATCTGTCTCTTAATGCTTCTGTCAAATTAAATACTCATGGAGTTCAAATACAAATGGATTGTCTTCAGAAAAAAATTATTAGCATGTGTATTTAGGTCCATAGCCCTATAGGAACTCTGTCTGTGCTTAGCTTGGGCTAACCATGTAAGACTGCCAAGATTTGCATAAAAATCCAATTATTGTAAAGAGCTACTCAAAGCTAGCAACATACCTGACCTTATCTGAGGTTATTTTTTGGAATGAATCAAGAGTCCCCAGCCTTGGAGTGATGAAAAGACCATCATTTTTATTTGTTTTATTCTGGAACAAATAAAAAATCCCTGGAAAGGAAAGGAACATCCCGTAGTCAAGTGGAGAAAACTGGTCTAAATAGTTAGCAGTGGAGATATTGAGATACTCTGCTTAGGATGAGAGATCAGCAGCAGTGGGTAGGGATGTTAATGACTGGACCTTAAGCTTCAGGGATTCAGAAATAAGTTCAGTTAGTTCTCTTAGGAATAAGTTAAATAGTGTCTGCTCAATTCATCTGGCCGGCTGGTAGTCAGAGTCCACAGTAAGTAGTCAAATTTGAAAGTTGTAAGATACAATCCAGCTTCTGCAATAATGAGAAGGCTCAGTTTGGAGCATCTAAAATTGTTCAGGGTACAAGAGAACTGAGATACACAGATGGACTAAAATAATACTCAGTTGTGGATAGATGAAGGCTGAGAAAAAATATGATAAAAGGCTTTTTTTAAGTGCCTCTAAAATGCCAGGTCTTCTAGATTACTTTTACTTATTTGTAATGTAATTCTTATAAACATCTTGTTAGCAGGTGTTATAGTTGTTATTTAGAACTTTTCTGAGATTATAGAGCTAGTAAGTAATAGAGTTGGGTTTTTTGTTGTTTTTAATCCAGGCCCTTTTAAATATATAACTCCTAAATGAAAGATACCAGACCCAAACATTATGAAAAGAAGGATATTTGGGGAGTGCATCTCTCATTTTTGATCTTGCATGTTGTGTTGTATGGACCTTGGAATGTAATTTTCTGTAGAAATATTTGAAAATGTAATTTGATACCCAGTCCACACTGCAAAAGCCTATTTTTTTTTTTTTTTGTCAGGGTCTTGCTCTATCACCCAGGCTGTAGTGCAGTGGCACAATCTCAGTTTACTGCAGCTTCAGCCTCCTGGGCTCAAGCAATCCTCCCGCCTCAGCCTCCTGAGTAGCTGGGATTACAGGTGTGGGACACCATGTCTGGCTTTTTTTTTTTTTGTAGAGACAGGTCTCACTATGTTGCCCAGGCTGGTGTTAAGCCCTGGGTTCAAGCAGTCCTCCTGCTTTGGCCTCCCAATGAGTTGGGATTACAGGCATGAGCCACCATGACAGATATAGAGACACATATGGAGACACATAGAGATGTGCATGTAAAATAGGCCCAAAAGCCTATCCGTATGTGTCTCTCTATCTGTATATACATTTCTTTCTGTGCTATTTAAAATACATGCAGTCACTGTGTGACATATTACATTTCAAGTGCCAACTTGGGAATGGTGGAACTCTGCCTCTCACCTTGAGGACAGCCCTTCTTTGCAGCACAGTCAATGACTAGGAGGACAGTAGGCCTGTGTTTACATCTGTGCAAGAATGGCATCTGCCTTCATCTCCGCATGCTCCTAGAGAAGGAGCCGTTTCAGCGAGTCACTTCTCAGGTATTCTAAATTTGGTAATAAAAGGACTTGATGCACTCCAGGTGCAGTTTCTCTGACCATATCAATGTTCTTAATTTTTTTTTGAGGGGAGGGGACTGTGTCCTAATTAGTAATTAAGGTTATTTTGATAGCAAGTGTTAGAAAAATGCTAATTCCAAGACTACAAGCGTATTTCACATTCTGAAATCCAGGTATCCTAAGGGACCATGGACTGGAACTCCACTAGATACTACTCAGAAGCTTCGTCCGCCTCATCTGTCTCTACTTTTACCTCTGTGACCTAGAGGTCACTTGAAACAAGCTTCCTCCTGCTCGTCAGCTTCATTCCTCTCTTTCTGATGACTGTCTTTCTCTAGCCATCTGAGCCTCCTGTCCTATGTGACAGTCTCAGCTCATGACTTTCCATCCCCTCAGTTTCAAGAGTGTGTCTGAGACCTGATTCCAGAATCCCAAAAGGCAGAATGACATTGACTGACCCAACTGGAGTTCGTTAGGTATCCGTGGCTTGTTAGGAATCTATCTCTAGTAGGAATGTCTGCTGCCCTGGGGGCCGAATCCTGCCTGTGCATGACCTGCTAGGGCCCATGCCTCCGGTGGATGGAATGAAGCAAGGATGGGGGCTGCCTGCAGAGCTGTGTCACTCACTTGTATTCAGCTTTCCTGCCTCTGGCTCTCTGTCTTTTACCTTTTTTTGTTCGTTTGTGTTTTGAGATGGAATCTCGCTCTGTTGCTCAGGATGGAGTGCAGTGGCTAGATCTTGGCTTACTGCAACCTCCGCCTCTCGGGTTCAAGTGATTCTTCTGCCTCAGCCTCCTGAATAGCTGAGACTACAGGCACATGCTGCCACGCCTGGCTAATTTTTTTATTTTTCATAGAGACAGGGTTTCACCATGTTGGCCAGGTTGGTCTCAAACTCCTGAGCTCAAGTGATCCGCTTGCCTCAGCGTCCCAAAGTGCTGGGATTACAGGCGTGAGGCACCACGCCTGGCCTTTTATCACTTTTAAACTAAGAAAACAATGATCACCATACATGCTCTGCTTCCAAACTATACTTTCACATCCAAAGTACCCCCAGATCATAAAGTGCCACCAAAGAGCTGTGATATGAAGAAAGACCCCGGGTAGAATCACTCTGAAAATGTGGGAGGTTTTTTTTTTTTTTTTTTTTTTTAAAGCAAATTCATTTTACTTAGCCAGAATCCTAATAGCCTGCTGATTTTTGTAGATGATTACTCTGAAAACATATGCATTGGTGTGGTCTATGAGTAAGGCTCTGCCTTTTAAGTCACATTCTTTGCTGCTTCATTGCAATGAAAAATACCAAAGGTGAATACCAAATCAATTTTTTTTAGTATTGTACTTGTAAAGACAGTCCATGAAGTGGTGAGTGGGAGAATCAAACTTTTGTGGTAATCTTTTATTGTAATCTACTTTCAGCTCAGAGAAGCAGCATAGCCTGGTGGACTAAGGGAGGATGGGGAGTTTGGAGCTCTGAGATATGAACTGTTTTGCAATGACTAGTTTTGTGACCTTGAGAAAGGACCTTAACCTCTGTCTATGTCTTCATATGTAAAATGGGATCTACCTGATAGAAACATAGGTGCATTCATATGTGAGCAAACTGAATAATTAGATCTCACATAAATCAGGAGTGATTTTTTTTTTAAATGGCTGAAGCCTGCGGTTTATAAAAAGATTCTCCCTAGAATTCCTTTAAGACCTAACCTTTTCTCAGGGGTGTTTAAACTGTGATTAACAAATGTTAAATTATACATCCCAGTTTACAAAATATACCCGTTGAATAGAGTGAGACTAACATGACTTTTTGTCTCATAAAATTATGACAATAACTCAGTCAGTCTGTGTGAAATACTTTGTAAACAGAGCTTTGCAGGCTGCAGTAAAAAAAAAAAAATATATATATGTATTTTATATTTAAAAAATATATATTTTTATATATATATATATCCCCATACCTGAAGATTTTGGGGTGAACTTTTTCCAGGTTAAGAATGACATTAGTGCCAACTGTGCTGTATTTTGGCTATCGTGATGACATTAGTATCATCAAATTGGTCGTGGCATTGGGACACTGGCAGCATGTCATCCTGCCCCAGTCAAGAATGACTGTAGGCAGTTTCAGTTTATCTGTTGCTACTAGAATTTTGATGTAGCAGTGTCAAAAGGTTGATTTGTACTATGGCAATCTTATTCCTAGATGTGAATTCTCCAGGGGGCAAAATATCCTAAAAGCTAACATGTAAACAAGCTCAAAGGATTAATGTAGTAGGAAGAAATAGTAGTTTGTTATATATTCATGTTGAATTTAGGTAACTATTTTAGTTATTTAAAAGATTACTACCGAAGGGAAGAAACATATTTTGCTAGGTTTCGCATAGAAAAACCTGTGTCTGGCTCAAGGTAATACTTGAATTTTAATAGGAACCTAGGTTTGCTGTCTTCCCAGTGTAGACTGTAGCCTGCACTGTCATAGAAGAGTGTTGATTGATCCGGTTGTGAAATAGATGGATACCCACATTTAAGTTGCTTTTGAAAGAGTCAGTTTCCCTCCACAAATATGGCAACAAAATTCTTTTATAATCCACAAATAGAATTTTTCTTCATCTGAAAGAGATTTCTCCTAAACCAGCCTGAAAAATTGCTTTTCTAGGAAGAATTTCATGGCTGAGCCTCATTCTTGTACAGATTCATAGCATGTTATTACTAACTTGTAAATATTCACTTACAGAAGAGAGTGACTAGAATCTTTGAATTCTTTTATATTGGTGTTGAGGTTTCTATCCAAGTTACGCAGTTTTTCATTCATTTTAGAGGAAGATTTTCTCAAACAAGGATTCTTCGTGGTTGCAAAACCTATCCCCAGAGATTCCAGTCAACATAATTCAAGTTGACCAGTGGATTCTAAGTGTGACAGTACGGTGTTTAGCAAGTCCAAGTGAAACCAGATGGAGGTCAGAGAATATGCCTGGCTTCGTCCACATTATCTAGTTATCTGCCTCAACCCTCTAGTTTCAACCAGCTTCAAGTGAATGTTAAACCAGACTGCTGTAATCTACACATGCTTTCACACTTCAAAAGGTGTGTGTTAGTTGATATTTGGTTTAGTCATTTCGTCTCTTGAGAGGAGGGGTTGAAGTTTTTATTTCCAGTAGTATTTTATTTTATTTTATTGGATGAAGTTGTTTTTATTTCTTTTCTCCAGAAGAGGTAAGGAAGGTTCCTGGATTATTGTATTTGGTTGGTAAACTCTCCTCTTTTTCTCTTTCTGTGTCTGCATCTCCTCCTTTTTCTCTTTCCCTATTTCTTCTTCCTCTTCCTTAGGTTTATATGAAATAGAAACAATTTTCTAGCACAATGACTAAGTGAATTGCTACATTAAAGACTGGCTGGCCAAGAAATGGTTAATCTTTGTATGGCAGGCTTTAGGGACCAACATCAAATACAAACATGTTGGAAATCTTTTTGTCATTCCAGCTCAATTGATTCAGAAAAATTTTAAGAGCAATAGTCAGTGCTTGGAGGAAAAAAGAATACTATTGTAAATTTGAGACGTTCTCATCTTGAACATGGCTCTTGTAAATCACAAGCTTGACAACCTTACAGAGTACATACAAGCCGTGGTTGACTTCAGAAATATGTGTTTTAGACACAGTTTTACATGAAAGTCATGATATTGTAAATATAATGATTTATTAATAAGTTTAACTTTTGTTAGGATACTTTGCGCATAACTACCGCAATGCATTAAGAAGGAAGTGTTAAGAATTTTCATCCCACAGATCTGATGATTTAAAGTAGTGTTCCATTTGTGCAGTCAATAGAAGGAGGTGCAACAATGAAACAGAAACAAGGCAAAATCTATCCATATGGGCTCATCTTATGACCTGTTCTTGCTGGTAATTTTGGCGTATTTTGTGATGATTTTTTTTTCCTCTCTTTTTGAAGGCTCAGTAGCTGTACTACTCACTCTACCAGGCCAAAGAGTCAGCGTGATGGAGAGAAGATTAGGAAATCATGTTTTAAAATTCTTCTAATGCAGATGAATATGTCAACATGATTTTTCTTTCATCAGGAGCCTGTAAGAGAATTTCCACCTTGTTCGCCTTGGTTTTGGTATATGAGGTGGACTTTTTACTTAGGTGTCCTCCCTGTTGTTTTGAGGCTATGTGCCCTACGCCACTGTGGTTTACCCTGAGGAAGTTTGCGTAGCTCGCGTGCCAACCACTTCTCTTGGAGAAGACGGAGTGTCATAACTACAGCTAACATTTATTAAGGATCTTGCATGTTTTTCATTTTAATCCTCACAGCTCCTTAAGTATTATCTCCATTTTGTAGATGGGACATCTCTGGCTCAGGCTCAAAGATGTTAAGTAGCTCACCTAAGGTCATTTTGCCAGCTAAGTAACCAAGCTGGGGTTTCAGCCCAAGCCAACTTTACCGAGTGTGGATGGTTTTAACCAGTTCTCTCGATTTGCCTCCCTGTGAGGTGTGAGTTGTTGCCATCATTAACCCAGGCCTATCTGCTTTTGGGGTTCAGAGTTGGAACCATCTGCAGGGAGTGTAGATAGAATCATGGGGGGGGACAGAGCACACCCTAGTGGAGCCTGCCAAGACTCCTCATTGAGCCCAGAAAACTGAGATACAGGTTAGAATTGGCCATTTCATCGCAGTGTTTATTTCATGTTTTCTCATCTCACAGGTGAGTTTTCTAGAGGAAAGATGATGAAGTAAAATTTTACAACAATTTTTGAATACTTTTCCTAACTGTCAAATCTCCGTCTGGATCCCATTAATAAGATACAAAGTTATATCCCAAAAGTACCAAATTATGTAATTCTTTTTCTGATTAGTTCATTGCAACTTGTTCAGCTTCAAATAAATTAAAGATTTCTTAGTTATTGTGATTCTTAATAATTTTGCAAAAGTCTCTGTATTTTTTTTTTTGAAATCTTTTTCTCATTATTTATGGAAGATAGTGATTGGGAGAAAGCAAAATATTAGGCATTAAAACAGATTATACTGGAGAGATCTATTCCAGTGTGATCACCAAATCCACCTATTTTGATACTTGACTTATGAAGGGGACTGCCTTTTTTTTTTTTTTTTTTTTTTTTTTTGAGACGGAGTCTTGCTTTGTTGCCCAGGCTGGAGTGCAGTGACTTGATCTCAGCTCACTGCAACCTCTGCCTCCCGGGTTCAAGCAATTATCCTGCCTCAGGCTCCTGAGTAGCTGGGACTACAGGCACAGACAGTCACGCCCAGCTAATTATTATGATTATGATTATGATTATTATTATTATTATTTTGTATTTTAGTAGAGACGGGGTTTCACCGTGTTGTCCAGGCTGGTTTCGAACTCCTGAGCTCAGGCAATCCGCCCGCTTCGGCCTCCCAAAGTGCTGGGATTACAGGAGTGAGCCACTGCACTCTGTGGGGGCTTTTAAAGAGGAAGTGAAGGGTAACTCATCTCTATCCTACTTTACATGCCCCACCTAAGTCCAACTCCCACTGCCTGTCTTCTAAGGGACATCTTGTGGCTTGTTCTCTGCTCTGCTCGTATTCAGTCTCTACGTCCCTCATGCTTTCTCATGGATTTACAATGATTACTTACTCTCAAACTTATATTTCCAGCCCTAACCTCTCCAGTGATCATTTGTTAACAAGATTGTGTTAAAGGAAGCAACAAAGGTTCTTCTATTGGATGTAGTTGAAAAAGCAGAACTGTTGCTCTGGCCTAAACATTAACTTTGGAGAGGTTTAAATTCTGTTTAGAAGTTATAAATGAGCTTAATATCATGTGATTTGCATGATAAGTTATTTTAAAGAGTTTAAATCCATGATTGTTCAAAATAGGTTGTTTTATTTTCAATATAATATGGTTCTTAATTGTAACATTAATGAACACTGAAGACATTTTTAAGATTCATTTATGTAAAGTGATTTGATGAAGTAAGCTGACATTTGATGGACTTAGTGGAAGTTTAGACCCAATTTGCATTTCAGTGGTATTTTATGGCTGACTTTAGAAAACTTTTTAGATAGGATTTCTCGGTAAATTAAAGGATTTAGAGGGATGATTACGAAATAATTGATTAAAAAGTGTGCAATATTGGTTTTCATTGAACTTAAGCTTGTATGGGTTCAATTTAAAACCTAATTCAATACATTTTAGATTTTATATTTCCCTGAACCTCTTCTGCTGTATTAATTTTGTCATGCTTGTCATTCTAATCTAATGATGATTTAATGTTTGCAAACCTGAATAAATCTGTATGCAAGGAGTTTTGCTGTGTTTTTAATCAATGAAGATTGAAATTTGGCAACTGAGGTGATAAAAAATGAAAAATTTTAAATAGAAAATGAAAATAATGATTATACTTTAGAAAGTACTCTTATTAATGTTCTTGGCTATGAACCATGTAATATTTTTCTCTTATTTTTATCGTGTAATATTTTGAAGGTGACTGAACCTTAAAAGAAGTAATTGCCACTAAATCGTGAAGAATGTTTAAATTAGAACAGATTCTTTGTCCTCACTGTCTTCCCCTTTCCCTGAAATCTGTAGTCTAGAGTTGTGAATAAGAGCCAGAAGAATGTTAAACTGCCTTTTAAAAACTCGTCTACCCTCCCCAAGAACCTACATAGACAATAGAATGTTCTGTAATGAAAGTGTATCTTTACCTCATTATTTATTTATTTTATTGAGCAAAAAATGTAGAACATAGAATGTCTAACGGATTAGTCACAATAAAAAAAATTTCCTGGGTTATATATGTAAGGGGCAGCGGCTGCTCCTCTATCAGTCCAGGAGAGCCTGGTCTGATTTCACATTGCTTTTCTTTCCACATGATCTCATGACACTAAAAGACGATTAATACATCCTTTAAAAATCAATACGGGACATTTTACTGTAGTCCTTCACCTTTATTGTTCAGTACCCTTCAGGGGTGAAAGGAGATATTCCAATGCAAAAAATATGTCTGAAAACCTGAGTGGTAAGTAATAAAAGTTTTTTTTTCTCTTAAAAAGTCTTATAACATTGTTATTTCCCAGATTTGAGGGGTGGGCCTTGGGGTGGAATTAAAAAATCAGTGTAATCATTTGTAAGGACAAAATGCGAGTTTCTATAAAGAATGTTTTAGCATAATGTCACTAATGTTTTGCAGTGTGTAGAGAGCAAACTTTAAAAAAAGATGTGAAAATTTACAAACCAGTAATCCTCTATTTCATGTGCCAGCAGTCAAAATTACGTGTGATCGGCTGGGTGCAGTGGCTCACACTTGTAATCTCAGAGCTTTGGGAAGCTGAGGTGGGAAGATTGCTTGAGGTCAGGAGTTTGAGATCAGCCTGGGCAACAGCAAGACCCCTTCTCTACAAAAAATAAAGTTAGCTGGATGTGATGGTGCGCGCCTGTAGTCCCACCTATTTCAGGGGGCAGGGCTAGGAGTTTCAGGTTTCAGTGAGCTGTGATCGTGCCACTGCACTCCAGCCTGGGTGACAGAGTCGGATCCTGTCTCTGCCAAAAAATTAATAATACTAAAAAAATTAGATATGATTAAGGATACCAAAAAATTATTCAGATACCTTAGTGGAAGCTTTGGCTGAATAGAAGTTCCATCTTTTGTAGTACTGAAACCAAGTGAAGGGATTACGTAGTTGACATCTCTGAAAGAGAGAACGCAGTGGTAATGAGAATACTCCCCCTACGTTTGTGTATGAGCCTTGGCAGTTTCTTTTACACTCTCTCATTTAATCCTCTAAGACCTGAGACATTGTTGGGGCAAGTGGAATTATTCTGCATTTTATAGATGAAGAAATGGACTTGGAATAATTAAGTTATTTACAGCTAACCCGCACCCCAGATCTCTTGACCTAGCCCCCTGCATCCTGCCTTTGCCCCAGAGTGCTTTTAATGTTCTGCATTGCATGGTCTTTTTGTTCATTTTATTTTATGTATCATAGTTAATACTAAACTGAACGTTTGCTGCTAAGACCTATATTATTTTATATTCCCAATGAATATGACTTCTGCATAAAAACATTTAACTAGGGTAATCATTTTATAGTATGTGCCTGTTGTCTCTGCTATATCTATCACCTTCATGTGAAGACAGAGAAAATAGAATATGCTGTGTATTCGAAATAATTTCTTCTTTACAATGATGTATTCTAGATTCTAACATTTACATATGAGAGAAGCTTCATAAATGTTACGTTTTCTGTGGCCGCTATTTCTGTCTTATCTGTGCTGTCTACACAGTGAGGACAGCTGCAGAGACACTGCCAGTCTCATGAAGTGTCCATTGTGAAGGCCCATGTGTCAGTGCTGCTGATGGCATGCAGGAGTTGGTCAGTAGGATGGTTAAGAACATGGGCTCTGGAGTGGACGGTGTCTGGCTTCAATCTGGGGCTGTCACTTAGTTGGTGTGGGACCTCTCATCTCTATTGCCAACCCAAGTTTTTGATTCTTTCTTTCCTCAGTAAACTCTTAATCTTTCTGTCCTTGGAATCTTCTCCTTTCACTTCAAACAACTCATCTGTCTTTATCCTGAAAAGTTTATACTTTACTAAGTTCCATCATTGGCAGCAACCCTGTTTTCTTCCCCTTTGTATTAATATTTTTTTTTTTTTTTTTTTTGAGATGGAGTTTCACTCTTGTTGCCCAGGCTGGAGTGCAGTGGTGCGATCTTGGCTCACTGCAACCTCTGCCTCCTGGGTTGAAGTGATTCTCCTGCCTCAGCCTCCCGAGTAGTTGGGATTACTGTTGCCTGCTACCACGCCCAGCTCACTTTTGTATTTTTAGTAGAGATGGGGTTTTACCACGTTGGCCAGGCTGGTCTCAAACTCCTGACCTCTCGTGATCAGCCTGCCTCAGCCTCCCAAAGTGCTGGGATTACAGGTGTGAATCACCATGCCCGGCCCCCCTTTCTATTAATTATCCAACATCTCAAATGTGCAGTTCATCACATTTTTGGGGTGGTGGTTAGACACAATATAGTTAACCTATTTAGATAAATAAACTCTTTTATTTCCCCTGAGTGAACATTTCATCTAAAACGTGTGTCGCTTTCTTGCTTAAAAACCAATAAAGCTAATGTTTCTCAAGTCATCATATATGAGTAGCATGCAAGCTCCGGATGCAGCTGTTCCTCTAGAGACTACTGTTGCGCTCCTTACAAGCCTCTAGAGCACTAGTGAAGAGTAATGTTAGATTGTTTCGGGTTTGGTCAACCTTTCCTAAGACTCAGTGGACAGCAATCAGTTAATGTGCCAAGAAGCATAAGCTAAATCCAGATTGCAACATACTACTCATTCTGAATCTGTAAGGGAATGCCTCTGTGAGTCACTGTTGTGGGAATGTCCTGGGATGGCATAGTTAATACTTTCTAATGGGATTTAAAAAGTCAGTACATTTCTCTTTTTGAATTTGTTTCTTAATGATCTGATGCACTTTTGGATAAGATACAGCTTGCTTTATAGAACAGAAAAAACATTGTCATTTATACATGATTTAGCTTTATGATCATGATTTAAAGCCACCAGCTTTGTGGGAGGAAGATAGTGAGAATGGCCATGACAGCTTTAACTACACCCTTGAAGACCTCCTTGCTTACTAGAGGGCACTGTGCTGTCCTCAGATGCCCTGAGGCAGGTCAGATTGGGATAATAATTACATTAACTCCCAAACTACCCTGTGCTGGACTTTTTTTTTAAGTTATAGCTCTATGGAGATATAATTGAAATATAGTAAATGGGAAATATTTAAGATATATAATTTGATATGCTTTGACATATTCACAGTAGTCCCCTCTCACCTGCATATTCATTTTTTTGTAGTTTCAGTCACCTGTGGTCCGAAAACATTAAATGGAAATCCGGAAGTAAATAATTCATCAGTTTTAAATTGTGCACCGTCCTGAGTAGTGTGATGGAATCTCGCACCATCCCTTGTGCCCTGTAAAATGAAGGTGTATTCCAGAGAACAAAGGAAGGATGGAGCTTTTATAGAGCATCTTTCTGCCCAGGTTTGCATTCAGGTATATTTTTTCAAATGAAGGAGTCCACCTTGCTTAGTTCAGGTTGCTCAGTGCAAGTGATTTCTGATTGGTTGGTGCAGGCTATACAGTCTGTTGGTTCAGGTGGCCTGAACAGGAATGGTAAGCTGCGAAGGTTCGGAGTTAAACAGATGTGTAGGTTTTCTGGAAACTTGGGGTACATGTGTGACCATTAGACTCAGTTAGCCCCTCAGGATTCATCTTGAGGGATTTGCTCTTTGAGGTTCACAGTGATCAGATCAACTGTTGCAGTATCTCAGTGCTTGTGTTCAAGTAACCCTTATTTTAATTAATAATGACCACAAAGTATAGGAGTAGTGTTGTTGGCAATTAGGATGTGCCAGAGAGAAGATAGAAAGTGCTTCCTTTAAATGAAAAGGTGAACGTTCTTGACTTAAGAAGGAAAGAGAAAAATATGCTGAGGTTGCTAAGATTAAGAACAAATCTATCCATGAAATTGTGAAACAGGACAAGTAAATTTATGCTGGTCTTGCTGTTGCACCTCAAACTGCAAAAGTTATGGCCACAATGTGTATTAAGTGCTTAGTTAAGGTGGAAAGGTAAATTTGTGAGTGGAAGATACGAACCAAAAAGATGTTCCAATTGACAGCAATGTGTTGTGCCAGAATCATTCAGCCTATATGACGACTTGAGCAAGGGATCCCTTGAAATGAGTTACACCAAGTGAGGGATAGTTACACAGATTCAAGAATACAGATAATCAGTAGTAGCCTAATGCTGCGTCACAATGCATACGTCTTTCACCCTACTTCATCTCATTACATAGGCATTGTACCATGTCACATCATTACAAGAAGAAAGGTGAGTATAGTACAGTGAAATATTTTGAGACAGCCCATGTTCACATAACTATTATTACAGTATGTTATAATTCTATTTTATTACTAGTTATTGTTAATATTTTATTTTATGATTTATAAATTAAACTGTATCATAGGTAAATATGAATAGGAAAAAACAGTATATATAGGGTTCAGTACTATCTGGTTTCAGGCATTGACTGGGGCCTTTGAATGTATCTCTTGCAGATAAGGAGGACTCTTGTACATCATGACATGTGTGGATCCAAAATCTCAAAAAAACAAAAAACAAACAAAAAAAAACCAAAATCTCTTTTTGTGTGTGTACATGAATTGTTCCAGCACCATTTGTTGAAAAGGCTTCCCTTCCTTCACTGAATTGCCTATTCACTTTCTTGGAAATCACTTGTCCATGTATGTGTGGATCTATTTTTGGACTCTGTTTTGTTCCGTTGATACATTTGTGTCTCTTTGCAACCACTCTATTTTGATTGCTGTCACTTCATCATAATTCCTGAAGTCAGGTATCATTAGCCTCCCAACTTTGTTTTCCTTTTTAGAAACAGCTTGTTAGTTTCTACCAAAAGATATCCTGAGATTTTGACTGGGATTGCATTGGATCTTGTAAATCAATTTGGGTAGAATAGACATCTTAACAACATCGAGTCATTTCTGAGTCTCTCACATGTAAAACCATTATCTGCGTTTAAAATGTAAACCACTCAGTGTCACCGATCATAAACCAAAAGTGATACTTAGGGTACCTTGAAATTACATTAAGCAGAACACTGGGAATTGGTCTTTTTGCTTGATTTGCCTGAGTGATTCTCCACAAAATCCCCACTTAATATGATAGGTATGAATACGGGATGCCTTATCCAGAGCAGCTCTCCACAAGCATCCTCACGCCACAGATGCCAGTTGACCGTTACGTGTACTCACCTAGCCTGCTGGTACCTGCCAGATGGTGGGCATTTTGGGTGAGATTATGATAGATTTAAGCCAGAGGTTCAGGAATATCCACATTCTCCAAAAAAGAAGATTAAGCCATTATTATTGGGAGCAGCCTAATTCTAGTTATGAAGGAAAGAGATCAGGGTGCCATATGTACTTAGATAGCCATGTCTTTTATAGCACATAGCCTTTCATGTTAAAGCTCCGCATTTTTCTAAAGGAGTATTGATTATAGTAAGGAAGCCAAGGTTCAACTCGTGTATGTGTCAGGTAGCTGGATCATTCATTACCACCATAGGTGACACCCATGTTGATCAGTTACATAAAGACCACAAATGGAATGGTAACTGGGTCATTGCAAATTAACCCTTTCTGAAAGACAGTTCAGGACATATTTATCCTTGAGAGTGAGCCTACACTATCCTCCTAAGACCTCTCTTTTAAGTGGAGAATATACATTTTGGAAACAAGGTTGTATTGTGGTTGAGGGCATGAAGTCAACCTGCCTGAGTTCAAATCACCACTCTGCCCTTTTCTAACTTTTCAAATTTAGGGATTCACTTAGTTTCTCTAAGCCTATTTTCTTTGAGAATATGGAAAATTATTATAGTAACATGGGGAAATTAAAAGTGAGTAATTGTACAAGTTTAGTGCACTTGATATGTTTTGTTTTTAGCATATTTTCTCCATTTTTCCTTTTTCCTTTTGTGTGTTCTTGTTGCCAGTGACTACCTGTGAAATGTAAACTGTTGAGTGAACTGCTTTTGCTTTACTTTCTGTGAATTACTTGTTCTACTCACTGTGTTCTGTCTCTTCCATTCCCTCCGAACACTTTTGATCTTTTCGTTTTGCCCCAGTCTTCTTTCATTTAAAAACTAATTTCTCCCAAGAAGCCTGCTCTATAAAGGATGTGTAGATTAGATGAGGTGTGGGAAGCATGTTTACTTATAAAGCAACACAATACCCTATCCATATCCAGCCTGTAAAAATAAAAATCTAAGTGCTTTTTTTTTTTTTCCCTCCCAAGTAAAGAGAAAAGTTTCAGGGTTATATCCTTAACATGTAATTAAGAGAGTTCAAGATATTTTATGTTCTATATAGCAATGCAGAGAATATTTAATAAGCATTAACAAAAAAACTTAACCTTGTGGTAGATAGCATTGTACTAATTAACAGTTTATTTTATTTAGCTACAAGAACTATGTCAGCATGAGAGCTAACACTACTTATGTTTGACAATTTTAGAATAGGAATAAGGTAAAAATACTCAACAGAGATAATGGTAGCTTGCAAACCGTTTATGTCAAATATATTAAAATTTGGAATAGTTGAAGACTAGAATCCAAATTCAAGAGTAATTAACCAAAATAGTTGACAGATGTCAGCCATGCTAATAAAATTTGTATACCCTGAATATTTTCCAGCTTGTAATTAACTGCACAGATGATGTGATCTGATTTTGTCACTAACTGCTTATTAATGAAGGAGATGATGACTAGTTACAAAATCCATAGTGCTAGCTGAATTCCAAGTTTAAATGTTTCTCATACAGCCGGCATTAATTGGAGCCACACTAGCCTCCATGCTGGTTTGATTTGTGCTTACTTTCTTCATTTGTAATTGCGAAGGGGAAACTGAATTTGTTAAATTCAGCTCTGAGTGACCTTGAAGATAGTAAATCTGTTTTTATTTGGTGGTCAGCAGCGTAATGGCTTTTATTTTTAGATTCTTTCTTATAAATGTATTGTCATCAGGCTAGTGATATCACCATTGGAAGTTGTATAATAAAGTGCAAACTGATTATTTCAAGTTCAGCTAAACCACAGCAGAACATGATGTCAATATGACTGAAGATGTGAACACAGAGTGCTATTAACAAATGGTTTAATAACAAAAGAGCATTATTTATTTCTATCATATACATAGCACGGAAGCCTGAGAAGAAGCAAAAGGATTCAAGAGAGGCGGTTGTGCAGCCTTCCTGCCTGCGCCAGCTCTCTCCCAGACTCCTATACTGCTCTTCCTTCTTTACCTTACGTTGCTGTTTCCCTTTTTACTTCTTTCCCTGGAAAGGGCGGGTTTAATTCTGTCCTTATTTATAAGACAGAGATGTTTGCTACCTCCTGAGCCCAAGTCTGCCAGCTGTTGGCCTTCTTCTTTGGGTGGTCTCCCTGGCAGTGTGGTCTTACAGTATTTATGTCTGCCTGCTAGCTGGTTTTGCCTGTTGGACATCTCCACTTGGATGTCTACCAGACATCCCCAACTTCCATGTTCTTAGTGTCACTTTAATTTTCCTTTCCCCAAATTATTTTCTCTACCGTAGTCTCTTCTTTCTTATTTTTGTATTTCTGTGTTTAGGAGTGCTTAATGAATATTTATTGAGTCAATGGGTGATTTCATGATACAATTATAGTAGCAGGTAGTACTAAAAAGAGGAACTATTTTCTCCTTATTTAAGAACTTTTTATAAGAGAACTCTAGTTTTTCAAAATTCTGTTTAAAATGGGCCACCCAGAACTGGACACACTCTTCTGTTGTTCGTTAGTGTTCGCCTTAGATGGCCCCACCTCTCTGTCCCCTCTCTCTAGCTATGTATATTTCTTTTCAACAGTCAGTTGTTAGATTGCTGTCCTTGATTGGTTTTCTGTTTTCAGTAGGCCAGTCCCCAGCTAAATTGGGTGACCAACTTGGCTAATGTCCAGTTTTATCTAAAGTGATGTTCCCTGTTTGCACAGATGACTTTTTAAAATCTCCTGCAAATGTGATCCCCTTTAGAGCCCTACCTGCATGGTTTGAATAGCCTCAGTAGCCAATTTCACAAACAAAAATGTAAGGTCTATGTGATGTAGAGTAATAAGATAAGAAACTATTTCCTACTTACAAACTACTTTGAAAAATTTTGAAAGATGAGTTTAAAATGTTTAAAACATTGGTAATACCAGCAGAGTCAGTAGGCATATTTGTAGGATACTTAGTATAAATTTTGGTGTATTTATTTTCTTAAAATAAATCACAGTGAAATCATATTATTGTATCTTATAAAATGCCTTACTCTGTTGAAAAGGCAGATTTATATTAAAAACCTACTAGCTGCATTTATATTAAAATTGTTCACCTTATTAACAGGTCAAACAATATATTCTTTTAAGAATTCACATTTTAACACTTGGGTTTCAGCTGATAAAACTTATATGCATTTGGGTATAATCTTAGATACCTACAAAACAGCACCAAGACAAAAATGGGCTCAATAATAATGAGAGAGCAAGTATTTTAAAGAAAACAGAATTTACTGACTTTTACCATGGTTAGGTTAAGTTAGGTTAAACTGTGGAAGGAAATTGTGCTGTCTCTCCCCTAAAAAGTTTAAGAGCAAATTATCATCTTGAATGGTTTAGTTATTCACATGACTGAAGTTAGGAACCATTCCTTTTAACTTTTTATTTTGAAATAATTATAGATGTGTAAGGACTTGCAAAGATAGTACAGAGAGCTCTTTGTGCTCCTCACCTGGTTGCTCCTAATGGATATTGCTTATATAATTTAGTACACATCAAAATCAGAAAACTGACATTGGTACAATGTATATGTGTGGTTCTATGTCATTTTATGAACCTTCCTTGAACTCTTCTTACCCCACACTGTTTATAACTGTCTTACATATTTCTTCTACACACATTAAGAATCACATTAGACAATATTATTTTTGTTTCAGCCATCAAACATAATTTAGAAAACTCAAGAGAAGACAGTCTATTGTGTTTACCCATATTTTTGCTTATGTTTTTTCTTCCTTCCTTTCCTTCCTGATGTTCTAATATTCTCTTATCACTTTTGTTTTTTTCAACTTTCTTTACATATTCTTGAGGGTCGGTCTACTGGAGACAAATTCTCTTTATTATTTCAACTGAGAATGTCTTAATTTTTATCTTCATTTGCCAAGGATAATTTTGCTGGATATAGAATTTGCAGTTGACAGCTCTTTTCTTTCAGCCCTTGAAAAATGTTCTATTGCTCCCTTCTGGTCCTCTTTAGTTTCTAATGAGAAATTCTGTCATTTGAGTTGGTTTCCCTGTTAGGTAAGATCTCATTTCTTTCTCAAGACATGCTAATAATCATAAGATTGGTTATTGTAATTCAAGCAGCTACTATGTGCTTGGCATGGTGTATGCTGTCTGTAACCTTGAAACCCTCTATTATCTCTATTTTGTGGATAAAGAATCTGAAACTCATGCAAGTACATTAACTTAGCTAAGGTCACACAATTTAGAAATGTTTGAGTTAAGGTATGAACCAAGGCTTGTGTGCATCTAAAATTTTTGCACTTTATCATACAATTGCGGAAAGTTGGAGACAATCTTATAGTTGATAAGTTTTCTACCAGCATCTTACAGCAAAAATTACAATTTTTCTGCCAGTCCTTTCTTTGACTTTGAGTAGAATCTTAAAAAGACACTGTGTAAGAGCCACGAAACTTCCTTGCAGAAGCTGTATCATGCTAAATGTTTTGGATCAATTCAACTCAATTTAATAAGTCTCTGCTTTTAATTTCATTTTCTCACCGTGCATTATAAAATAGCATTTGTAGAATAAGTTAATAATAATTTTAAGCAATACCTATTTTCAAACAAGACAAAATTATTATTCTATTTGAATTCAATCCCTAACAAATAACTAGTATCAAATCAGTGGTACTGCAAAGAATAGTTAATATCCAGGGTATTGTTTTAGCTGCAAGTGTTTGTGGATTACTGAACAGTCAAGTGGGTTTGCTTTGAGATTATTGCTTTCCCATGTGTTTATTCTCTTCACAGTCTTTTTCAGTTGTTGCCTGGTTCATCTTTTTAGACATCATGTAATTGGTAGAACAACAGTCAAGAAAAAGGTTGAAAAAAAATACAGATGAGTTCTCTGGAGATACGATGAAGCAATCTGAGTGAATCATGATGTGCAGTGGGCTTTAGGTTTCTATTTTTGTGCAAGGGACCGATTATAGAGCTCTGAACTTGAAATCTTATTAAAATCTCTGAAGATGCAGTAGAATACATCTCATTTAAGAAGTGTTCTCTAAGAGATTTATAATTCAGTATTGTTTATATATGTCTTAGTATATTAGATATTATTCATTAACCTATATTAGAGGAGACAATATTTTACTTAATATTTTCTTAAGTTACAAAAGTAAAATAACTTAATAGTAACAATTGGAATGATTAACATATTGTGAAGCGAAACTTATCTTTACCCTAGCTGATTGTGTACCATCTCTTCTCAAATAATGTGATATTAATCTCCAACTGATGTTAACATTGTAGGGTGTATCTCTTCATACTCTTCCCCATGCTCAAACAAGTACACACACACACTCACTTACTCTTCACATGTGTTGGACTTCAATAATAATAAATGTATGCTTCATAAATTGGACCATTCGCTAAGTTGCCCCCCACCCCATTCTTCTAGGACAGTATGTATAGAACAGAATCACTTAAAATTAACTGGAGTGTATTCTATAGTATGAATGTACTAATTAATTCAGTTATTGCATATTGATGTACATTTGGGTGGCTTCCTGTGAGGTATTGTTTTTTGTTTCTGTTATAAACAATGAGACGGTAAATATCTTAGCTTATATATCTTTTTTTTTTTTTTTTTTTTTTGAGATAGAGTTTCACTCTCGTTGCCCAGGCTGGAGTGCAATGGCATGATCTCGGCTCACCGCAACCTCTGCCTCCCGGGTTCAAGTGATTCTCCTGCCTCAGCCTCTCGAGTAGCTGGGATTATAAGCATGCGCCACCATGCCTGGCTAATTTCGTATTTTTAGTAGAGACAGGGTTTCTCCATGTTAGTCAGGCTGGTCTCGAATTCCCGAGCTCAGGTGATCCACCCACCTCAGCCTCCCACAGTGCTGGGATTGCAGGTGTGAGCCACTGCACCCGGCCTATATATCTTTATTCTTACACAACAATGCTTTGATTTCCAGAGGGTAGGTTTCTGATAATGGGACTGACAGTTCAAGGGATATGTATACTTAACATTGTATAGATATTAGTAGATTTCTTTCCTAAATGTTTACTGCAGTCTTGTATAAGGTTCATTTTATCACATCTTTAACAGCACTAGGTGTTATCACTCTTTAAGCAAATGTGATCGGTGAAAACTGCTATCTCGTTGCTTTAAGTTGCATTTGCTGAATATTGGTGAAGTTGAACGGCTTATGTTTATTGGCCATTTCAGTTTTGTCTTGTGTGAATTTCTGCTCATATTATCTGGCCATTTTTCTATTGAGTTGCCTTTTACTTACCAGTTTCTGGGAGTAGTTTTTATATTAGGGATATTAACTGTTTGGTTATTTATTTTGGAAGTTTTCCCAGTCTATGTATTTTTGAAGTGGTTTAGGGTATTTTTTTTTGCTCTAGAATAAATTAAAATATATGTAATCACATTGATCTATCTTTGTTTAGGTTTTCCATCTTAGTTCTACAAATATTTGCCTAAATTCTCTTATGAATGTTACTGTCTTATTTTTTATATAAATATCTTTTAATTCATCTGGATTTTACTTCTATATATGGTGAGATATGTGAGTCAAGCTTTGCATTTTTGTAGATATCTAGCCACTTATTATGCTAATGCCATTTAGTAAATAAACCACCCTTTCTTTCTGAATTTAAATGCCATCAGTACTTTAAAAAAATATTTAAATGGTTACATTTTTCCCCAGCTTAACCCATTTTCAGTAAGGTAATGACTTTTTAAAAGCAGGATTTAGTAAGTTGAAAAGGTTATTTCTCTTTGCTCAAATGTCAAATGCTACCTGTTACTCTTTATTGTTTCTGGCTAAAATTGCGAGCACAGGAAGGATTATTCCTGCGAACAAATTCACTAATCAGCTTGCAACCTAACAATTTTAAGACCCTGGGGAAAAAAGGGAAAGTTTGGGATATTTACTCATTTCTTCTGTAAAAGCAATAACATGTAAACATAGTGAAGAAAGGCATTTATGGAATCTAAGAAGGAAAGCTCTTTGCTTTTCACATACAGAGAAATTAGGATTCATTGAGTCCTTTCTTTACAACATAAGCTCTGTAGGAATGGTTCTCCAAGTAAAGCTGTGTGTCACGTTTTGGGGCTAGGGGTGCCTCAAAGCTGCACCTACAGAGAGATCTGAAGGCAAATTGCCGATTTCACACTTTTATTTTGGGCTCATCCTTTATGCCCTGCACAGAGCGATCAGATCCATACACATCTTACTTTCATTCATTGTGGAAATAATGTCCTCAGGCTTGGTGGTACAAAATCGTGCTTTCTACAGTCTTCTGCTAGGAAATGTTTATTGGATTTAGCTGCCATTATACAAATGATGAAGGAGAGGCAAAGTAACTCCAGTATCTCTAGCCAGGAGTGGCTTGAAGAATTGTATCAGTTACAGATTTGAGAAGATTTGACTATATGTTGAATTAGGTTAGATCATCTTTATAATTAGAAGTAGGCTTTTGGAGTACAAAGAATTCTTCTGTAAACACCTTGAATATTTAACAGGAAGGCCATAAGGAAATATAATGTGCTACATTCCTAGGATAGAATAACATGCAGCTATTAAATAGCACATTTTGTGAATATTTAATAGTAGCATTTAAACCCAAAAGACACTGAGCGGCAGAGACCTGTGTAACTAGTTTGTTCGTTCATTTCTTCATTCAGCCAATATTTACTGAACATCAGCTGTGCTTTCAGCATTTTGTGAGGCTCTGGGGAATAAAGATGAAGGGTGTAGTCTTTGCCCTCCTATAGCTTAGGAGCTAGTGGACACTCAGGTTACATCATTGCAGAACTGTTTATTAACAATTAGCCACGTGTCCAGGATGCCATGAAAACGTAGAGGGGAACACACAAATCAGACTGGCTGTTGGGGGGTCGACGAGACTTCATGGAAGTGGTCACATCGGAGCTGCGCTCCAGAGGAAGAAAGGAATTAACCAGGCATAAAGGTTGAGGGTGGTTGGAGGGAGAGGAGCTTTCAACTAGGGGTGAATAGTAAATATAGACACTGAAGAAAAATGGAAATGTGTGTGGTAAAGTCCGTTATTCTGTATAATTGGATCATATGTATGTGCACATGTGTTCATATTTATCGATATGTGAGAGATGATGTATAGAGTTTGGTAATAGTGAGGAAGACCTCTTACCCCAAACTAAGGTGACTGGTTTTGTCTTGAAAGTGGGTTATAGTAAGTAGGGGAGTGGTCTCTTCACTGCTGTTTAGAAGGACTTCTCTGGACAAATGTGTGGATGAGGTATTATTAAGCCCAGGATCTTGAAGATGAGTAGAATGGTAGCATAATAATCTGGGTGAGAAATGTTTGGGGCAGATAATAAAGTGGGATGTTTGAGAGAGATTTTAAGAAGTAGCAGTGCTAGCATTTGGGATATAAAGGAAGGGAAGGGGTCTAGGATGATACGTAGATTTCTAGTTTGGAACAAGTAGACTTGCAGGGATTTGGTTTATGAAAACGAGGGGAGGAATGAGTTTGGGAATGGGAAGCTAGTGAGTTCTGTTTTAGACTTAAATGTTTGGAGGCTTTTAGGGTTTTGTGGGGACAAATGAAGATCTTTATTGGTTGGCTGAATAGATCTGACCTTAGCTCATGTGAAAAGAGTTGGAGATTTTGACATTATCAGTGTATATAGGTGGTATTTTAGTCATGGGAGTATATGAAATTGCATAGATGGAATAATTGCATGAAGAGAGAAGAGGGATGAAGATGGAGACATCTAAGATGTAGGCAAAGGATCACAAGAAGACACTGAGAAGGAATGGCAGGAGACATAGGAAGAAAATAGGAAGAGAGGAGTTTTGCGGAAGCCAAAGGAGGAGAAAGTTTCATAAAGGAAACGATAGTCATTGCAGTCAGATGGCACAGAGATTTCACATCAGCTCATCCTCAAACCTGTCTCCTGGGTTTGGCAATAAAGAGGTCATCAGTGGCTCAGGCAAGAGAATGGGAGGCAAAGTGAGAGGAGTTTATAGGTTGGCTGCTAAGTGGATGATACAGTAGCTGGGAGATGATGTAGGGCTGAGCGAGGGTGTGGGTATGTAAGATGAACAAGACGTGAGCAATGTCCTAAATCTAGGGATGGGGGAGAGGGTGAAAATATAGGAGAAAGGGGCAATTGTTGTGAAGTTCCAAGAGACAAGCCCGGAGTTCCAGGAAAAATAGGGACCGCTTTCCCACTGAGTCTGGAGAGAGGAAGGAACGTTTTAGGATTTAAGGCACAGGCAAGTTTGAGGTAGGGCAGAGTAGGCCAGGGAAGAATGCGAATAGCTGCGTTTTTGTTTGTGAATTAAAGGGTACATTCTGAGGAAATGGAGGGAAGAGAGAGGGTCAGGGGACTTGGACACGGGGAAGGGAGCTGCCTTGCACTGAGGCCTCTGCAGATGATCACACTGCATCAATGTGATCAAAATGACGTCAGTGTTATCAGCAGTAGAATCAGAAACAAGTCGATTTCATCTAATTTCCATTATCTTTCACTATGTGAGATATTTTTATCCTGAGGATTTACATGTAACATAGGACTGAGTGATTTACTGAAATTTAAGCTACAGCCAATATTTGATTAACAATACAGGTATGAAATTAAACAGTACTGTCGGCCACCAGGGGTTCTACTCTGCGTGATCACTTTCCATTTTGCTCTCCTTCAAAACGTCCACATTTTTTCTCTCAGTCATAAACATTTAAAAACCAACTGTACTGGGCCAATCAAACTAGTGTAGTAAGTGAAAGACTTAGAGAAGTGTATGCAGGTGGTGTTGGGCAATTGCAAAGAGACTAGCCTCCAAATGGGAGTGTTAGCATAGCACGCAGGCTTCTCTCCTTATGAGCTCTGACTCCAATATTGACTCTTTTTTGTATACAGAAAACATAATCTGTTCAGAACTCATTACAGTGAAGGAACTTGTATTTTAAAAACAGAGATAGAGAACTAAATTTGTATTGAGTTAAATTGTATAAATTCTTTAAGGATTTCAAGGGTAAGCCGACTCACATGATTAAAGTAAGTTATGAGCATTTTTGTTTATCTGTTCAGTGTGTTTGGGGCTTTTGTCGTGTCAGCTTTCTTTAGGACAGGTAGAATTTTATCTAACCTCTTAAGAACAAGTGGTTATTTTCTCAAGGACTCTAGGATGGTGCTAGATACCCCAGATTCTTAGGTGCTGGCTTTATGTGTTGCCTTTGCTAAGCACTTGGTTGCTTTCTGCCACTCTTTGGAAGCAGGTGATTGATACTAGAAACTGACAGGTTGTGAGTGATGTACCCTTCCATTAAAAACAGATATACTAATTTGCTTTTCAATTGTAGAGAGCCTCTTACTATAAACATCCCTGTAATAAAGGTAACCTTATAATTAGTATGTCAAAAAAGCAAGAAAGTTATGATGAACATGCATTAATAACAAATCAAAACCTTTACTAATAAAATGTCACATTGAGAGGACTTAATTTTGTGTACACTTTCATACTAATATAAGGCACTCTTGCTAATAGTGAAAGATGGAAATATTTGCCAACCAGCTATGTTATAGAAGAACTTCCTACAATATTGTCCTATGTACGGTGACATTTAGAATTCAAGGAAATATACATAGTCATTGACTTTGTGTGGAATTTCCCTCCCCTCCTCCACCACCCTGTTAGAAATCCCCGCTGTTGACTGTTTCCAGAAGTCTTGCAGGGTGTTGTGATAAGAGTCCAATTCCTCTTCCCATTCCTGCCTAGGTCATCTCTTTCTTCCCTCCCTCCTTTTGTTCTGTGATTCTTTGTTTTATTTTTCACCACAGAACATACTTCATTATGCTGCCCCTGTTAAAATCAGTTACCCTATTCCACCTGATTCATCCTTGAGAAAACTACTCATGGCCATTGTGGGTTTTAATGCCACTGCCATCCCCGTCTTGCCATTGCCTCCTCAGCTCTGTCCTGCTACCACGATAGAGTGGACCCTGTGTCACAGCACCATTGGTACCCATCCTGCCACTGGTGTCTAGAACTTTGAGCAGTTTAACCCCCCCCGGTTTTCCAACTCTTTCCCTCACCAACTTGTGAAGCCTCTGAACTGGTATCTGAGCAGAGCCAGTGCCTTGCACTGTGGGAGTTTCCTGTCCTAATGCTTAAACAATGGCTCTAGAACTTGGCTGGGCATGAGGAACATCACTGGCTTGTAAGGGATGCAGAGCCCTGGTCCCCTGAATAAGTTGCCCTGGTGGGCCAAATAATGTTATTCCTCACATTTGGTATCCACATCAAATCCCTGGAACCTGTGAATGTGACCATTTGGACAAAGGGTCTTCGCAGATGTAATTAAATTCAGGATCTTGAGATGAAGAGATTATCCTGGATTATCTGGTGGACCCTAAATGCCAGTACAAATATCCATATGAGAGAGAGACACAGAGGGAGGGGAAGAAAGGAGAGGAGGCACTGTGACTGCAGGCAGAGATTGCAGTGGCGACCACACAGGAAGGAATGCCGACAGCTGCCTACTGTAAGAGGCAAGGAGCAGATTTCCCCTTAGAGCCTCCAGAGGGAGAGCAGCCTGGAACTTCTGGGCTCAAACCATCCTCTTGCCACAGTCTCTCCACTCACTGGCACTACAGGTGCACCACCATGTCTGGCTAATTTTTTTTTTACTTTTCATAGAAACAGGGTCTTGCTATATTGCCCAGGCTGGTCTCAAGCGATCCTCCTGGACTCAAATGATCTCCTGGACTCAAGTGATCCTCCTGCCTTGGCAGTATTTTTTTTAATGGCACTGAGAGACAGTATTATTTCCTCCCGGCACATTTGGATTGACTGTTAAGTAATCACATTCATTTCCTGATTTTGATACAATGTACGACTGGTTTTGTAGGAGAAAAAGAATTGGGAAGTTTTAGGAATTAGAAGTTATGTAGATTTTTAAACATTGAGAACTTTGTCATTTTCATTAAAAGGCTAACTTTTTTGTTATAACTTATTTCCTATTCACAGTACATCACCAGCTGCTTTTTTACTTATATAAACTTGGACCCGAGATCAATTGGTTGCCTGCTTACTCATTCTATAAAAATTTGGAGGCACCATACAGTAAGAATACATAAAAATAATTTACATCAAGGAAAACCAGGTCCACAAATAAAATCGATACAGCTAGATTATGAAAATCAACTCACTTTCTAGAGTTTCATCTTTATCATTCATTTTAATGTTACGTTTTTTCAGTTTTCCCATTTAAAAATGAACTTTTATTAATGCATTTCGATTTTTTCGTGTTCCCCAAGATTTGTGTGTGTGTGTGTGTGTGTGTGTGTGTGTGTGTGCTGTGTACATTTAAGTCTATGCAATTCTGTTACAGGTGTGGGTTTGTGTTTCCACAGTCAAGATACAAAATAGTTGCATTACTGCAAGAGTCCCTTGGGTTGTCCTTTCATAACTATCCCTTCCCAATCTCTGATCAGCTGCAATAACACATTTGTTTTCCGTTTCTATAATACGGTATGTAACCTTTTGGGATTTGCTGCTTTACTCAGCATAATTCTCTTGGAAATAATCTGATTTGTTGTGTTTATCAACAGTTAATTCATTTTTATTGCTCAGGAGTATTTCATGATATGGAATATACCATGGTTTGACTCTTAGCCCTTTGGAGGACATCTAGGTTACTTTCAGTTGTTGAGCTGCTGTGAAAATTTCCATGCAGGTTTTTGTGCAGACATCACTTTCCATTTCTCTAGGATCTGTGCCCAAGTGTGTAATTGCTGGGTTGTATAGTAATTGTGTTCAGTATTATAAGAAACTGCCAAACTATTTTCCAGAGTGACTGTACCATTTTACTATTTCACCAGTGCTTGAGTGGTACCGTTTCTCTGTATCCTTGCCTGCATTTGGTGTTATCCTTATTTTTTTATTTTAGATATTCTGATAGGTATGCAGTGATATCTTGTGGCTTTAATTCACATTTTTGTAATGGCTACTGGTGTTGGATATCATATGATATCTGTTCGTGTCATTTGTCCATTTTGTAATTGGATTTTTGTTTTTTTTTTACTGTTGAGTTTTAAAAATATATATTCTAGATACTTGTTCTTTGCTGGATATGTGGGTTGCAGATATTTTCTCTCAGTCTGTAGCTTGTCTCTTCATCATCTTACGAGGGTTTTCACAAAGCAAAATTTTAAATTTTGATAGATCTAATCAATTTTTTCTATATGGATTTGCTTTTAGAGTCAATTCTAAGAACTCTTTACCTACCATTAGTTCCTGAAGATTTTCTTTCCTTTTTTTTTTTTTCTAAAAGTTCTATAGTTTTAAGCATTACATATAAGTGACTCATTTCAAGTTCATTTTCTATAAATGTGAGACTTGGGTGGAGATTCATTTTTCTTTTTAATTGTTCAATGGATGCCTATTATGCCAGCACTGTATGTTGAAAAGACCATTCTTGCCCTGAATTGCTTTTTCATCCGTGTAAAAAATTAGCTGGGCATCTTACTGTGTGTCTTTCTGGCTTCTCTACTCTGTTCCATTGATCTGTGTGACTCTTCCTCCACCGATACCACACAGTTTTGATTATGGAGCTATATGGTAGGCCTTAGTATTGGATAGAGTGATTCTTCTCACTTTATTCTCTGTCAAGATTGTTTTAGCTATTCTAGGTTCTTTGCCTTTTCATATAAATTTTTAAATAGTCTTATCTGTGTCTGTAAAAAAACTTTGCTGAGATTTTGATAGGAATTGTGTTAAGCCAATAGATCAATTTGGCGAGGAGTTGACATTCTATAAGGTGACATTCTATGCATATAAGTTGACATTCTATGCTTAGTCACAAATTCTTTCAGTTTTCCTTGTCTTAGAATGTTCTTATTTGTTGTTCATTCCTCAAGGGTGATTTCACTGATGTAGAATTCATGGTTGACAGTCCTTTTCTTTCAGCACTTGAAAAATGTGTTGAAAACCTTCTGGTCTCCATGGTTTCTGTTGAGAAGTCTGCTATTATTTGAATTGTTATTCCTCTATAAGTACAGTGTTGTTTTTCTCACTGATTTCAAGATCTTTTTCTTCAGTTTTTATTAATTTGTCTTGCTATGTTTTTCCTTGAGTTTATTTTGTTTGGGCTTCACTCAGCTTCTTGAATCTGTAGATTTATGTCTTTTGCTAAATTTGGGAAATATTTAGCCATCATTTCTTTAAATATTCTTTCAGCCCCAGCAACTTTCTCCTCTGCTTTTGAAGCTCTACTGACATAAATGTTGGATCTTTTGCTTTTGTATTACAGGCTCTGAGGTTCAGTCATTTTTCTCCCAGTCTGTTTTCTCTCTGTTGTTGCTGGTCAATTCCATTGCTCTATCTTCAAGTTCACTGATTTTATGCTTTGTTATCTGCATTCTCTTATTGAGCTCATTCAGTGAGTTTATCTTTCAGTTATTGTATTTTTCAGTTCTTTAACTTTCATTTGTTTTTAAAAAAATAACTTCTAGTTCTAGATTTTTTTGTTTTATTTTTTTCCGAGAGAATACATAGTTGCTTGTTGATGTATTTTTGTGATGGCTGCTTTAAAATCCTTGTCAGATAATTCCAACATATGTCTCTTCTTGGTGCTGGCATCAGCTGCTAGCTTTTTCTCACTCAAGTTGTGATTCCCCTAGGTTTGGTTGTGATGTGTGACTTTGAAGTGTCTCTTGGACATTTTGGCTGTTATGTTAGGAGACTCTTGGTCCTACTTAAACCTGTTATTTTAGCTGACAGCCCCCTTAGTTAGGTTTAGCACTCAGGTTCTGGCCTGCTTTTGTGGGTGGTTCCAATGAGACCTCAATTTTAGAGCGTTTGTCTTGCTGTTTGGGTGTCTTTTGTTCATCTGCTGCCGATAGGACTCCCCCGATCCTTGCAGGTGCCTCTCAAGGGTGCACAAGGTGCTTCCGCAGTCCTGGCTGCCTGGGAACTTTAATGGGGGAAGGGAGTCTGGAAAGAAGTGCTTCTGACCACTGTTGTCAGTGCGGTTCTCTGTT
This sequence comes from Homo sapiens, assembly GCF_000001405.40. NCBI lineage: Eukaryota > Metazoa > Chordata > Mammalia > Primates > Hominidae > Homo > Homo sapiens. The sequence continues at coordinate 3,457,110 of NC_000007.14, forward strand.
GTCCGCTTTTCTGGTGCCACTGTGCTTACTTGGGTGTCGTTACTGGGATTCTGTTTGGTCCGGGCAAGGAGTGAGCCTGCCTTAGCTGCTGCCTTTGGTTGTTTGTAGGTCAGGAAACACGGGGCCTGGTTTGCTTTCTTCCCTTAGGTGAGGTTCATAAGATGCCCTGCCATTACGTTGTCCCTTCAGTCTTGGCCTTCCTAACCAGTTAGTTTGCCTCTTTCCACCTTTCTTCTTGCAGGAAGAAAATTTAACTTTTTTTTCTGATTCTTGTGCCTTTCCCGAGCCAATCCCCACAGACACTATACACAATGTCTTCTTATCTCCCTTTACCTTCCCACTGTCACAACTTGTGGTTCAATCATAATGTGGTGTGTACATCCTTATGACTATTAATTATTGGTCATAGCTGACCCATACAGCATACGATGAGGATAGCTCCTCTCTTTCCAGGTTTCTGTTTTGCCTGGTTGGATTCTATGTATTTATGATTAGCTCATCTCTAAACTGTATGAATTTCAGCTTAATATGGCCAAACTTGTTGACTGGCTTATTATTTCCTTTTCCTTTTCTTCCTGGAGATCTTCCTCTAAGAGCTACACATCAGTATGAGCTGATTGTTCTCTGGGTCTTCCAGACAGCTCTCATCTTGGCACCTCACACCACCACCTTCTCCCTGTCTCCTTTGTTGTTACCCTGATTCCTTGGACTCCATGTCTCTCTCTCTTTCTGGTTTTACTTGTTTATTGGAGCACACCTTCTGGGAGTTTCCTGAGAATGCATGTGTAAGAAGTAAATGTTTAGACACTTTTGATCTTTGGAAATGTCTATATTTTACTCTCACACTTGTCTAGGTAAAAAGTTCTTGGTTGAAAACCATTTTCCTTGAGAATTTTATATTGCCCTTTGCCTTATAGCCTCCAGTGATTCTCTTGACAATGGAAGTGACACTTGGATTCTTTTTTGTGTGTGTGTGTTTTTCCCTGTTGGAATACTCTTACTTGTCTTTTTCTTTGATGGTTTGAAATTTTGCATTGATATTCGTTGATGTGGCATGGTGGCCTTGATCTGGGTCTTGGTGGGTTATTTAATCTGGAAACTAATGTTTTTCTTTTGTGGGAAGATATATTATTTTCCCAGAAAGAAGTAATAAAATTATTTCTTTCCCCTGTTGTCTCTCTTTTCTCTTTCTGAAATTCATTTAGGATATAAGCTCTAAAAGTAGAGGGATTTTTGTCTATCCTAAGTGCCTAGAGCACTGTTTCCATAGAGTAGGTCCATATAATACATGTATTGCACAGATGAATAAATGAACTCCTTCTATGTGGCTGTTAAGTCTCCTGGATTTATCTTCAAATTTGTTTCCCTCTTTTATTGCTCAGTTCTTTTTCAGGCCATCTACCCCCTTTTTTCTTCAGAATTTTTTTTTTTGTACTTTTTTGTACCTTTTCTAAGGTAACAGTTGTGGCAAGAAACAGAACCATCTACAAGTATACAACCTACCTGGAATGGATTTTTACAATTCCAGAGTAGGAGGTAGATAGAGGTCATGATTTATTGTTTTCTATATAAATGTCTGTTTGATGCAGCATCATTATAATTAACATAATCATCCTTTCTCCAGTGCAGCGCAGTGTCACCTTTGTCCTAAATTGAGTGACTTTGTAGGACTCTTTCTACTTGCTCCAGGAAATACAGATTACGTTTCATTGGTCTGTTTTGTCTACCTATGCACCATTATCACCGTATCTTAATTACCGTAGTTTTACAAATAGTCTTTATGTTTGGTAATGAAAGTGCTCTAAATTCATTGTTCAGGATTGTCTTGATCATTATTTAATGGGGGAAAGAGTTTTAAGTTTCCATGTAAAGTTTCCATGTAAACTTGTAGAATCAATTGTCAAATGACATACACGTAAACACAGACCAAAAAACTCTGCTCAGATTTCGAATGAGATTGCATTAAATCTATAGATTGACCTGGGACAATTGACATCATTATAGTATTGTATCTTCTAACCTATGATTTTTGTGTATTCTTTTTGTTGTAACTCTTGCATTTTATCTGAAATTGCATGAGAAGTTTTGTCTATTCTTTGAAGTACCTTGTTCATTTCATAGGAATTTGGTACTGTATTTGTAGTACCTTTTTATACTCCTCTTTATGTAAGGTATGCTTTCAGTTGTCATACTTTTTGTATGGCTCATCACTTTTAAATGTTGCTGGTTTCAAAAGACTTGAAATGCACAAATCGTTTGCTGTTTATGTATTAGTTTTTAACATTATCTGATGTTGACAGGCAGTCGATATAGTGCTGGATGTAGCCACTCCCCAGTGCCATGAAGAACCCAGTTTCTGCCTGCCTTTCTGCTTCTCCTTCCTTAATGTGTTAATTTTTGTTCTGTGCTTTTGCCTTATAGTTGAAGCATCACTTTCCTGTTTCAAGAAGGAAGTGGGGAGGAGGACAAAGGGACAAAGGAGATGTCTGTAGAATGTATTGGCTCTCTTTTTTAAAATCAGGGAAGAAAATGCTTTTCTAAGTCCCCACCCCATAAATTGCTTCGTCGCATATTGTTGGGAAGACCTTGGTCACATGAACCTCCTGGTCGATCATGAATCAAGGGTAGTGAGATGGCTCCACTTGGTTTAGACCAGTTGTGATCCATGTCCTTGGCCTGGGGTAGGGGCCTTCCCTTCCTCTCCAGTACTGTTTGAACTGATTGGGATTCCTTGAATAGAAAAGGAGAGAGAAATAATGTGTAGGTAAGAGAAGGTATCTCTCGTGTTTATTGAGGCTTTTCAATATGTAATTTGCTTTTAATTTTAAGAAACTTGCCTGCCTCTTGGATAGCAAAGAAAGTGATTTTTATTTGTATTGGTCTTGCTTTTGCCAAACATTTTAAAATTAAGTGATTTGGGGATAAGTATTTATTTTGAAGTCTATTTTATTGTTTATTAAGATATATTTCAAAGTGGTATAATAAATGACATTATTATTTTCATAAACTATTGCTTCCTGAAGTGTTTCAAGCCAAATAAACATTTATCTTTTTGATGGGAAAATGCTTTCTAAATTTCCCTCAGCCAAGTTATAGAATGGAGCCAACTGCAGTACATGTGGGTCACAACCTGCTTGCCATAGTTGTATTCTGGGATGATTGATTAATTTATGCCTTTCATAAGGATGCTCTGAGAAAGAAATGAGTGAGAAGATTTAATTACTGAATTATTAACTTTTAGGAGCTCCACTTTGGAATGTGAGTCAATATCTATTACAGACTGTACGTGTTTATGCTATTGAAAATATGAATTAAGAATTGTCTTTGGTTATTTGACAACTCAAAAGATTTTATAACTTTTTGTGCAGCTTAAAAAGGAATTTAGAAATGTACTTTTAGAAGGGAAGGAATTCGGATAATTTATATGTCAGTGTGTCATAATAATTTATTTACACCAAAATCTCATTCACAGATTCCAGATTTAATGACCTGAATCTTGCCATTTCTTTTCTTTAGGCCTACCCTTATTTTATAGGTTCTATAAAATAATCGGAAAGGAATTAGAAATAGTTTTGTGTGTGGTGTCAAGTGGCTTTGTTTAATCATTGGGAATGAATCAGTTAAAAACTTATTTTGGGGCTAAAAACAGCCAGCCCAATTGTTATAAATTGGAGAATGAATGAATATGAAAATCTACTTACAGAAACCATTTTAGGTTATTCATATTTCCTGCTTGCTCTGTTTCTTGTCATTTGGTATTTTAAAAATAAGTCTTAGACTAGATTCTTGACTAAATAGCAACCTTTTTATCTTTGACAGAGACACGTTTCTTACATTATAAAAACATGAACATTCAAGAATAAATCACAGCCAACTTGAGGACCATACATATCTGACTTGGAAATTTGCTAATATATACAGATTTAACGGGATTTTACACATTTTCGTGTTTTTGAGGGCTTGTAAGGTTTCAGTTTGATTCTCATATATGATGGTTGATGTGTTGTACAAACCAATTAGGAGAGCAATCTAGCAATCCCTTGTTGAGTTAGAAGTGTGCAGACCCTAGGACCCAGCATTTACCTTAGGCGGTCTTACTGTTGTTGCATCTTGGCTTTGTCTAGTTTCTCTTGATTCCTGTCCATTTTTGGAACCTTGTTTTCTAGTCACTGTGACAATTCTGTGAGCGACATGGTCTGTTTCCCATAAATTCTTTGTCTGTTTGATATAGCTGAAGTTGTATTACTTCAAACCGTAACTCTGAGTGGTATAACAAAGATATCAAATTTTAGATAACACCCACATCTTCCTGAGCATCGTGTGATTTTAGTAGCTAGAATTTCTTTGTACAGAAGTCATTGTGGAGGGAAATGATGTGAAGAAAAGAAAGAAAATCCTGAGAACAGAGCAACAGTTGCTGTGGAGTGGCGTGAGGGCCGAATTCAAGTATAAAAATCTGGATTAGAATCCTCCGGTCACTTAGTAGTTGTGTGACTTTGGTCATTGTTGAACTGTTGTGAGGTTTCCTTTTCAGATCAAAACTTTCCCTTTTCCTTCTCTCATTCCCATCTTTTCAACAGATGACATCACCTTATATGTTACAGAGAAACAGAAGCCATTAGATGGAAAAAACCTCAATATCCAACTTACAGAAATGACTGACCTGCATTTATCTTCAGCATTTCCTCCTTTTATTAAATATCTGAGGTCAGTATCTCCACTTGGGTTTTGAGTTCCATCTTTTTCTGTCTTCCTAGGGAACATGTACTATCAATTTATCTTTTCCCTTTCTTGAATACCCAACTTGTTGCTCTTAACCAGATCAGTTTCATCGGCATTTAAGCATGTTCAAGACTCTTCTGTATTAAAAAAGAACCACGACCTCCCCTAACCCTTCCCTAATCTAACTACTGCACCCTACCTCTTCTCTTTGCATTTACAGCAAAGCTCCCGGAAAGAGTTGTCTGCTCGCTGCCTCAGCCCACACCTTTTTCATGTGGTTTCCGCTTCTGTCATTCTATCAGAATTGCTCTGCAGAGGCTGATCAGTGACTTCAGTGAAACCAGGCCTAAAGGATGCTCTTCAGTTCACATCTCACTCCTCAGCAGCATTCTTCACCGCTTGCCGCTCTATCGTTTTGAAATACCTGTAACAAGCATGCTGCCTTGGTTTCCCTCCTAAATGACCTCTGCTCCCTCTCCTCTCAATATCTTTCTCTCTTCCCCCCTGCCCCGCCGAGGTTGAGTATCATTATAATATCATTGTCTACCTATTATTGAATGTTAGCATTTCCCAAAGCTAGACCTAGTTCTGTTCCATTCTCAACCTACAATCTTTTCCTAAGCTATTTCATTCATGTACATAGTTTGAATTGTCCTTTTATGTAATATTATAGATGATTCAAAAATTTATCTGAGCTCCCATCACGTCTATCTACCTGTTAACTTGATATTTCTACTTATATCTTTCTAAGCCATCTCAAACTCAACTCGAACTAGACCAAACTTACCTATCTACCTAGTCCAGCTGTACCATAAACTTTGATGCCTTATTCTTCTTGATGCCTCATCCACATTAACTCCACTTATCACCATATTTTCACCTCAAACACCTCTGTGATCTCTCCCCTCCTCTCTCTATTGCCGCCATCCTAATGCAAGCTGTCATCATCTCTTTCTTGGCCAACTGTAGTAGATGTAGTCTCATCCATTGTGGTTCTTTCTAGTCTGTCTGGGACTCATGACATCGTGCTTTTGGGAAACAGAAGTGATATCATGTTACCCCCACCAGGTTATCCTTGCTTGCCTTCTCATTGCTGTAAGGATAAAGACCACAGACCCTCACATGGATTTTACCTCCCTGGGCTACCCCATTTGGCAGCTCCCCCGTGTGTTCTCCCTTCCTTTCCTCTGAGAGGTGAATTGTGCCTTGTTCCCTCCTGCTATGGGGCTTTGCACTTGTTTCTTGCCCTTCCTTCATCAACTTGTTATCTAACTCTATCCTGTGCTTTAGATCTTAACACAAGTGTCATTTCCCTGACTCCATGGAGATGGGGTCGAGATTTGTAGGCTTTGCTTATTCTTCATAGTCCTTTAGGTTTACATTTAATTTTGTGAGGATTTGATTAATATCTCAGTAACCATGATAGCAAGAATATCTTTTTGTTTTTGTTTTTGTTTTTTCACCATTTTAACTTTGGTGCTGAAAAATACTTGTCATATAGTTAGGACTCACATATTCATGAATGAATGAATGAATGAATGAATGAATGAACATAGATTGAGTTTTGAGCCCTGCACTTAACACGTTCTTTTTGTGTGACCTTGGACAAGCTTTTATAGAGGTCAGTTTTGCTAAAAGCCTTGCTTCCTCACCTGTTAAATAGGGATAATAATTATATACAATAATATAATTGAATGAAAAGTGCATAATTTAGTGCCAGTAAATGGGATCATTTAGCCATGGGATCATGGCTTTCACTACTGGAGTATTTACAACTTCTGTTTTGCTAAAGTAGGTGAGTTTTCTGTGCCTATTTAAACTACTTTATATCCCTCAGGAAAAAACGATGGAGCCAGGGCTTAGGCCTTGTGAGGAGCCTCATTCATTTCCCCCTCTCTGCTGGTCTCACTCCTTGAATGCTGGTCTCTCCATACATTTCTCTGCCTTAGTGTCTGATGGCTTTTAACATGTTCCCTCCAGGACAGGCCATAGGAGGAGGGTCTAATGCAATGGTGACTTTGGAACCTGAATTGGCTTCTTGGACACATTCCAGGCATAAGGGCCCCAAAGTTCTTTTGTTCTGCCTTAGGCATGTGTAACCTCAGGGCTTTTTCTCCCAGCTCTGGAGCTTCATTACCCAGAGGACCAGGCAGATGTCAAATGTTTCTCTTACAGTTCATTTATATTTCTCTGATAGCTTTAATCTAAAAATAATCAAAATCGTTGTATATTTTTACTGTGACTTAACCAATTGTAAAAATTATTCTAAAAATACGCAGTTATTTCTGAGAACAATTACACTGACGCATCGTTCCCTGAGTGAAACCTATACATACATGTTCCAAGTATATGAAGCAGTTTTTTGGGGACAGAGTAACTTTTTTTTCCCCTCTGTTGAAATAAGGTATTGGGCCAGGCATGGTGGCTCACGCCTATAATCCTAACACTTTCGGAGGCCAAGGCGGGAACATTGCTTGAGGCCGGGAGTTCTAGGCCAGCCTGAGTAACATAGCAAGACCCCATCTTTACAAAAATTTAAAAATTGGCCCAGTGTAGTGGCATGCCTGTAGCCCCAGCTACACAGGAGACTGAGGTGGGAGGATCATTTGAGCCGAAGGGCTCAAGGCTACAGTGAACTACGATTTCGCCACTGCACTCCAGCCTGGGTGATAGAGTGAGACCCTGTCTCTAAAAATACAAAGGTATTAAAGTTAACACTTGAAATGCCTTTCATTCTGTCAGTGGCTCTTTTTTTGTTTGTTTTTGAGAAAAGCTGTTTTTTCAAGTCAACATTTAAAACAAGGATAATAAATGAAGCATGAAGCAAATATGTATAATACATTATTCCCGTTCATTGTGTATGTATGTATATATATATATATATACACACACACACATATAAAGTACTTTGGCAGAAATATATTTCAATTTTGACTTATTTTTCAGTTCAGTTTAACAGGACACACTAATGTCGGGACAGTCTTTAAAAATTTGGACAAATTTTTAAAGAGTAAGTTGTGACAATGATATTACATGTTAAATTTGTCCTTGGGAAACATAGACATTTATGTGATTTTTTTTCCCTTTAGTATTTGACATCAAACTATAGCTTCCACTGAGTAGTTTTAAAATAATGTACTTCGTGCTGCTAAGGCTAACATTGTTGCTAACCAGAGGAACCACAGAGGAAGACTTTTGAAAGAGAGGGCACAAACTCTTACAGATGTCAAGAGTCAGAATTTACATGTGGTGGGGCTAATCCGTAAGTGAGATTACCGTTAGGGAGCTCCTTGACGCAAATTGGCATTGTGCCTGCACTTCCGTGTGACAAGTGGGATTCTCAGGGTGAGCCCTAGAGTGTGCTTTTTGACTTGTAGCATCTCTGGATTCTGGGCTCAAGCAGAGGCCCTCCTGCCCAGTTGGCCAACTGCGACAATGAATGGTATCGTCTAGAGGTCATCATAATTCTCCCCAGCATTTCCATAACACATACAAATTAAACTATGAGTAAAAAAATACTTAAACCAAAAATAAAAATGAGAAGAAATAGGCATATGAAACATAATGAGTAACGTCAGCATAATTTGAGATTTTGGCAATGGAAGACTGAAGTTGAGAAGTGTTTCCACTAGGGATACTCTCTTGTGCCTCACATTAGTGTGTCCTGTTATTTAATACCCACAGAAGCTTCCTTTTCTTCCTTGAATGGCTTTGCACTGCTCTCATTGCTAGGTTCATATACTGTTGGGTGATGGGTGGGATCAAGTCCCCTGTGTGCTGTGAACACACGCATCCTGATTCACCACTTTACTGAGGGTGGGAAATGACAGAGGTTGGGCCTGTGTTCTCTTGTCACCTCCGTATATGATCATTCAGGCGCGTGTCTGGGAAGGTGTGAAGGAGTGTCCTGTCAGCCAGTTGAGACCACTGTGTTGGTGTTCTCTGAATGGCTTTGCAGCCTATGATGGAGTACTTTAGGGAGTCACCTTTTGGGTTGGCCATCAGTCTAACACTCCAAGCAGCCATAGGGACGTGCAGAGGATAAATTCATATAAACTACACCTAAGGCGTTCACACATGGTCCAAGTTGTCTGTGAATAAAAAGTGTTGCTGTAATTTTCCATCACTCTTTTTGTTTGTTTGTTTTTCTGGAGTGATAAAGATGGACATGGAACCCTTTGAATGGTGCTTCAGGAGGGGCTGGTTTTTCTCTTCTCAGATGGGCAACTCAGCTAGGGGAGGTGAGGTTTTGTTACAGGATATGCCTTGACTACTACCATGTGGAGCAGGACTGCTGGACATGTTGCCAGCCATGACCGAGCACCTGAAAACCCTGTGGGAAACTACCTGCCTTTCATCGAGTTATTGGAATAGGGAGAGCCTTAGGAGTCCTAAGGCAGATTTTCAGCTTTATATGCTAGTTCTGGGAGCCGTGTTCTGCAGGCTCTGCCAAAAGACTTTGACCTCACAAGTGAGATGTTCCATCCTGAAGTCCTGGATGCTGCTTCTCAAAACATTAATAGGAAGCGTGACATCAAGCCATGCTGGCTCTCTGAAGTTGGAGAAATGCTGCATGCTCACTTGGCTAACAAGGTGAACATTACTCTGTCACCACATTTTTATCTAGTATGCGTCCTAATCTCAAGGATCCAGCTAAGTTGTGTGTTGTCAGTTGGAGACATTAGCTTGGGCAGTAAGCTCAGCCTTGCACTGCTTCTGGCAGGTTTACTCATCTTCATCCACTCTTATCTCGATATGAGGATATCTGTTTTTTGAGCATGTTCCATATCCATGTTTCATGTGAAATTGCTTGTCATTCTTGCTTATCACTTAAAATAATAACTGGCTCCCTTCTTTTGTAGCATTTGCTAATAGTGGCAGAACTATTTATACGATTATGATAATCTGTCAAGAGGATTATGCAAAGTATCTCCCCCCACCCCTTCTCTAAAGCAGAGTTAAATTGAACACTGTAAAGGACATTTTCATAACCAAGGATTTTTACCAATTATTTACTGTGGATTTAAATTGATACTGAATGACTGGAGGCATTGATTTTTAAAGCTGGAAATATTTACAAACCATCCAATTCTTTTTCCTTAGTATTTTGTCTCTAGTTACTTCGAAATCTCTCTCCTCTCTCTCTCTACACACACACACACACACACACACACACACACACACACACACACACACACAGAGATGTAAAACATACACATAGAAAGACTTTAAGGAAAGACATCAAAATGGTAAAAGTCATTATACCTGGTTGGTTGAATTGAAGTTATTTTATACTTCTTTATACTTGCTTTCTTCATGGGGAAAGTATTTTTATGATCAATAAAAATATTTTTCTGTAATATGTATGTACTACTTTACAATATTAAAGCACTTTCACATTTTTCCAAAAATTAAAAGCACAGTGAAATTTGCACATTGAGAAACATTTGGAGCCAATTAAATGCCACTTATGTTTCTCTAAAAAAAAGGAAACTACTTTTATTCATGTAATTAAGAGCCCCACTCATGAACATTAAAGAATTGTTGCCCACTGTACTTTTGGTATATGTAGAAATATAAAACCAAAAATGTATAGTATAAAAATAAAAAATATACAAAAAGTAAAAATATACCAATAACCCAGTAAAACAGGATTTTGATTGGTATTTGGAGAAATTAGCTAGATGTTTATCTGAATAGATTTTTTTTGCTTTTTAGATATTTAATAATTATAGTAAATTATTTTAAAGTCAGTATCTGTACTAAAGTATGATAGAAGTTGGAATTTATGTTTTGCAGCTATTAAATTTTCTTAAGAACAAAGTTTGTTTAAACCTTACATTCAATTTCTTCGTTTGTGATTTCTTTCCATAGTTTCTTTGTATTACAAATTGAGATAAAATTAAAGGTAAACTTAATTTTTTTAGTAAAGCATTTGAGATTGGATAGTGTTCAATTAAAATTTGTTCTCTAAATGGAAATTTAGTCTTTTTCCCTTAGCATTAGACTTTATTAGCTTGTTTGCTGATAAATGCTTGGAGGAATCTGAAAATGCATCACAAGTTTATTAGAGATCTTTTATGTAGTTATTAGGTTTTCTGGCTTTCTAATTATCATATATAGGTGATGTAATCATTGTTGTCATGTTTTTTTAATGAAGATTTTAAATCGTTTTCCACTGTAGACATTTATAATGTAATCTATGCAAGAAATGAATATTTATCTCAGTATTTTAAAATGGAAAAAATAAAGCAGAGAGAAATCATAAAGCAGAGAGAAATCATTCATTTCAGTTGTGAAAAGTTCAGAGATATGTTTGACATTCCTTTAGTCTTAACTGCATCTGTTATTCATGCTTTTCTAGATAACTGTATAATATTTTCTTTTACTACTAATGAAATGTGATTCTCTCATGTCCAGTGATGTGTTTTCTGAAATGATATAAACAAAAAGTGGTTAATATGATTTTATTAACTGTGTTGGGACTCAGAAAATATCCCAAAATGAAGGCCTCAGAAGAAGCCTTAGAAGCAAGGCTTTCTCTGACCTTCTCCTGCCCTCCTGTCTCAGTCGCATTCTCCCCCGAATCTACCCATAGAAACTAGAATTTGTCTTCCCCAAGGCAGATCATAGAAACCAGAACCCCTTTCCCCATAGCCAGCCATAAAACCTAAAAGTATTACTCTAACTTTTCCTCTGCCTCTCTGTGTAAAAACTAGCCAGAAGAACATTGTCTGACCTACGGTGTTTGACTGTAGGTCATAACACCCTCATTCCAGAGAGTGTCCTCCCTTATACCCAGAAGGAAGGAGTATTGAATACATGCCCAGAGAGGCCAGGAAGAATCCTGCTGGGTTTCCGAACTCAGTCTGTTAGCATTAGATCGTACTGTCTCTGTTCAATAGTATTTCTTGAGTGTTGTCCGTATTTTGTTAATCTTAAGCATAAAAGTGGACAACTTCCCTAGTATCTTTGGGTCTTCATTATGAAGGCCTCTGTGTACACGTTAATAAATTGGGATGCGATTTCTCCTATTCATTGTCCTCTCATCAGTGATTTTTAGCATACCTTCAGAGGGTGAAGGGGGTAGGTTTCCCTTGACTCCTACAACTTTTAACACAATTTAGGTATTTCCCTAATTGCTGAAGTTACCATATGAAATATTCTTATTAACAACGTGTTAGGCTTAAAGGCCAGTTTTTGCTGATCATGTCATTATGTACTGGCTGATTTTATTTATTTATTTTTAGAGACCAGAGTCTGTTGTGATTTGAAATTTCGAATTTCGTGTCAATTATGTAATTCCATCAGAAATTCCCCAAAGGACACACCTGTAATCCCAGCACCTTGGGAGGCCAAGGTGGGAGAATTGCTTCAAGCCAGAAGTTCGAGACCAGCCTGGGAAAGAAAGCAAGGCCCTTTCTCTACAAAAAATAAAACAAATGAAACATTAGTCAGGGGTGGTAGCACACACTTGTCGTCCCAGATACTTGGGAGGCTGAGGCAGGAGGATTGCTTGAGCCCAGGAGTTCAAGGCTGAAGTGAGCCATGATTGTGCCACTGTACTCCAGCCTGGGTGACAGCAAGACCTTGTCTCTTAAAAATAAATAAGAAATTCCTTGGAAGGAATTAAGACCTGCAGTAAATAGCATGAGGTGATGTACACTTCTTTAGTATTTCTTAATATTTGCAGAGAGCTTGTCTAAATTGTGACTTAGTTTTCCGGTTAGGGCCTATTCCTAGGTTGTTTTTGCAAAGAAAGTTTTTGTGTATGTATGCCTAGCTTTTCCTTATCCAATGACCTTTGTAAAGACTTTGTATTCTCCATCTAACGTCTAGTTACTTAAGGATTTTCTGAGCAGTTTGCTTGAAGTCTGTTTTTCCTTCCTAGCCATTGACAGAAAACACATCTGCCTTAGTGAGGCCCCTTTGATCTTCAGAGAGCTTTATCTAAAGAGAGATTAAGAATAAATCTGTCAGGCATTTTCCCAAAGAAATTGAAAATGCTTCCTAAGATTTCAGATCAGGTAGGTAAAGTGTTTCTCTGAATTAAGACATACGAAAATAAGTATGCTAGTCAATGGTTTCATCCTAAGTTATAGATTGCAGAGATTTGCTTCTGGCATGAAGGAATATTTTTTATTTCACCCGAGACACAAAATGCATGCAGTAATATCAATGGCCAGAAGCAACTGCTTTTCTTTCATTCATTTTTCCATATTTAACACTAGCAGGGTCTGTGGAGAAGATACTAGAGAGGGTCCATTTGTTCTCAGCCTTTTTGGGGCTTAGCATCACAGGAAGAATTTTCAGCTGGTCTAGTTTGAATCTACATACTAAAAATTTCCAAGATCCATATGCCAACCTCCTTTCTCCCTTCTTCTCTCCCTCCTTTAAACAAATATGCACAGAATGCTTATTTTCTACCAAACTCTGGGTTCATACTATTTACTAGGAGCAAACCTAACAGATAGGTATAGGATCTGATACACTGTGTGCCTCAGAGATAGTCAAGGTACTACCCTGAAAACGTGTACAACTATTTAAAGATCTCATGAACACCCTCAGTTTTAGTATAGAAATATAAAATTTGTAATCAAACAATTTAATTTTTGATACACTATTTTGACCTTTTAAAGAGTTACAGCTAAGAACAGCTAATGAGCTGTTAATTTAGAAAATAAAATATATACAGAAGTCTGCTTTGAGGTTCTTAGTCAGTAAGAAAACCTTGGGGAGAGAGGTTAAACTAGGTACGCTGGAGACTTATTATGACTTTGGCAGTATGAAAGGACAGGAAACAAAAGGAAAATCTTACAAAGAGTTATAGTCTGATTTCTGAAATGAATGTTTACTTGAAAGGACACAGAAAATAGGGTGCCAGCAGGAGAATCCAGTTTTCCAAATTCCTTTTCCGAAATCCCAGGCTTTTTATGAAATTTTGAGAGAATGGCTTAGGCTTATGTTTTCCATTTTGAGCTGCTTAGAAGCAAATATCATATAAATGCAAATTTCTACTATTATCATTTACTCACCTTGTATTATGTGCTTAAGGAGTTGGAGAATTCAGAAGCTGTTTAATATACAAGGCATTGCCTATAAAATATTTCTTTGTGACATAATTTGCTTATTTGATAAACAAGTATCTTTCTTTCCTCCTCCTTATAAACACCCCAAATTAGTTTCTGAGTTGACCAACAAGATTCCATCAGCATCTGGCAATTATTTTATCTGTTTGAGGACTATTGGTATATGGGACATGAGTTGCTATTATTTGGTAACATTTTGATGTCCTTCATTTCCTTAATTAGTTTAGGAAAACTATTTGGATTTTATGTACAAGTGCTTGCTAATTACTTGAGTCGTGAGAAGACTGAGTGAGGTCCAAGTGTCCTATTAATCCCTTTGAGTCTGAACATTTTCTTATAATTGGTTTGGCAAGAGGAATAAGTGAGACTAGTTGCTAATGAGGAGATAAGTATGTAATTTTACCATGATATAAAGCTGTGATTGTCAGTAAGTGGTATTAGGAATCTAGATTATTTTTATTAGAACTTATTTCTTTCTGCAAAATCATTATCATCTCCTGATATTGTAAATTGGGTTATTTCACACCATTATTTTTAATATGTGTTAATCCTCAAACTACAGGTACTTAAAACCTTGCTAATTAAGGAGTCATTAATAAAGTTAGCAATATGAGCCGTCAGTTTCGATTCTTCACACCATTTAGACGCAATTCAATTTTGCGTATTTACACTATGTTTTCAGTTTGGCTCAGATGTTTGAAGTAAGTCAAGAGTAAGAAGTGTTGTCAACTTCAGATCCATAGGCCAGCTTAGCTTGTTTTCAAGATGAAGGACTGATAACATTGTAAAGAAACAGAGAAAATACTGCTTTTCTTAGCCAAGAACAGAGTAAGCTTTGTATGGTTTTACTTTTTATAGTCTACTCGGCTTTTCTGTTCTTAAAAGTTGCCTGGTTATAGTAGTTTAAAACACTCTTTGGGACTTTATCCATTGAACTTCAATGTTCTCTGAAACAAATATTGAAGTGTTTTGCATTTGATTTTGAGGAAAGGTTTATTTTCCTTTTGAAAATAATCAAACTCTTTAAGTTGTTCCTAACCATAGTCACTTTTACTTGAAGGATGCATTATAGTCTTGAGCATTTTTTCACTTTTGTAATCGGTATGACCCTCTTGTGTTTTTGCTGATGAGATGGTAGCAGTGCTGTGGTATTGTTTGCAGGTCCTTTCTTATCCTTTATCTGTGTCTCCTTCCCACTGTGTTGTGGGTTGGTAAATGCATAGTTCCCTCCATTACTTTTTCATGGCTGAAGGGATTGTAAATATTGTTTTGCATTTCTAGTTTTTTTAGATGTCCATAGAATTCCATCTTTAGCCATAGTGCTTTTATAATTTTGTAATACCTTTGACTAGCTGGGGAGGGGGTATAGATAACAGTTTAGTTTCCACATATTACTCATTTTGTGCAATTTTATTGTGCTTCTGATATATGCCCAGTATGCTATTAGGTGCTGTGAAGGAAATGGAAAAAAAATTAGTAATTTTTCCTGCCTGAAGAGGTTTACGATCTAATTAGAGGGACAAGGCTAACTAAAAAGTTAGAAAACAATACATGGTGAAGATAATGTGTTAAGATATGTTTTAAAAGAACAAATTTATGAGATTATTATGGGTGTATCTTAATAGAATAATTATAACTGATAATAGCTGGTTCTACATTTAGGTAAAAATGATTACTTCCCTATGTCAAGGCCTGAAATACACAGGATGTTACATTTTGAATTTTAAAACAAATCAGTATCTCATTAAACTTTATGGAACACCATGAAACTTTCAAAATTTAGAACTTTAACCTAGATTACTGAATTTGCATTTGAAGACACTGAGGCCAGTGACGTCCTGGAGTTTCAGGTCTGGCTAACAGTACCAGCATGAGAACATAGGGTAACAGCAAGTTGCTTGCCGTAGTTTTAGGTCTGGCTTACAGTACCAGCATGAGAACATGGGGTAACAGTCAGGGGCTTCTGAGTAGTTGGCCGCAGGAGGTAAAGCTAGTAAGCACTGCTAACATAATAAAATGAAAGGCATTGCACACAGACCAGTGGTCTGCTATTTGACCCTTTCCCTTCCTCCTCTTCTTTTTCCCCATTTTCCTTTTGCTGCTCTTCTTCCGCCATCATCATCAGCATCCTGACATTTGCATGGCTTCTTACGATTTTGAAATTGTTTTCATATGTACACATTTACCGGAGCATCACAACAGCCTTGTGAGGAAGGTCAGCATTGACTCTGATTGAAGATGAGAAAACACACCTGCAAACCAGTGAACTAATTTACAAGAGTAAATGGAGCAGGACCTCAAACCCAAATTTCCTACTCCAAGCCTTTCACTGTACACACTGCCTCTTAGAAGGCTGGTTCCACCCCAAATCCTTTCCCAAACTGGGGAATCAATTAGAAGAACAGGTAGAAAACAAGGAGTGAAGTTGTGTTCAAATGCTTACAATAATTACTTGGCTTGTACCTTTTAAAATACTTTATAGATTTACTTCTTCAATAATCCTTGTAGATGTGTGTTTAGTGTATTGTTAGGAATTGTATAGCATTTACAAAAGTCTAGGCTGGTTTAAACCAGTAGTTTGTGGAGCTTTTAAACCCTGAGAGACCAGCCTCTAGATAGGACTCTTGCAGTATGTGGGACGTTGGCTGTCCTAAATGACCTCCAAAAAGGCCTTTTAAATCTACTCCTTGCTTCCATGTGCTTTATTCATGACTACCTTTTATTTCCTGGGTCCAGGTACTAATACATCTTGAATTATTTTTTTTTTTCCATTTTATCTTTCTAGTTACCTTCCTTCTACTTCTTGCTGCTGCCTCCTACACAGAGCCCTGGCTCCCACAGTAGGTTAATATGTGTAATAATGTTCAGGGAGTGTGATGAACATGAGCTGAAAATTTTAGACCACCGTATGGTCTGCCTATATTTTTCTAATTTTTTTTTCCTCTCCAAATTCGCGTATGTTCCTAGCTACCACAGCAGTGAAGGGTAGTGGAAGGAATGTGGACTTTGGAGCCCAAATAGTTTGGGCTGAAAGACCAATCCTTTCAGGCTCAAATGCCTCGATATTTTTGGACATCCACCTTTAACCTGTAAAATGAGGGTAGCTGCCTGCCATGTGGTATCATGCGCCTGTCCCTTTACCTGTCAACTTGACATCTCTACCAGATGGTGTTTTTTTTTTTTTTTTTTTTTTTTTTTTTTTGAGACCGTGTCTCTCTGTTGCCCAGGCTGGGGCGCGGTGGCTCAATCTCGGCTCACTGCAACCTCTGCCTCCTGGGTTCAAACAGTTCTCCTGCCTCAGCCTCCCAAGTAGTGGTGGCGTGCGCCACCACGACCAGCTAATTTTTGTATTTTTAGTAGAGACGGGGTTTCACCATGTTGGCCAGGATGGTCTCGGTCTCTTGACCTCGTTGTCCGCCTGCCTCAGCCTCCCAAAGTGCTGGGATTACAGGTGTGAGCTACTGTGCCCGGCCATCTCTACCAGATGTTTTAAAGACACCTCACATCCCTCCTGTCCAGTACCAACCCCAGTATCTCACCACTCAGTCTCTCCCTCCAGTCCCTTGGCCTACCCTTGACATGTTCATTGTTCTTTAATTCCTTTAACAGTCTTCTATCACATTGGACGTTTACCTCTCCCTCACACTTTGTGTCTTACCTGTTACCGTCTTGCCACCTCTACTTCCTACATTTCTCTGTAACCCATCCATGTCTTTCCACCTCTAATGTCATCATATTCAAATTATTGCCATCTCGCACCTGGGTCATTACTTCTATTTTTATTTTTTGAGACAGGGTCTTACTCTGTCACCCAGGCTGCAGTGCAGTGGCATGATCATAGCTCACTGCAGGCTGGAACTCCTGGGTTCAAGCGATCTTCCTACCACAACCTCTTCAATGGTGGGGACTATATAGGTGTGCACCATCATACCTGGCTAATGTTTTAATTTTTGTAGAGACAGGGTCTCCTTATGTTGTCCAAGCTGGTATTGAACTCCTGGGCTCAAGTGAGCCTCCTTCCTGGCCTACCAAAATTCTGGAATTGCAGGTGTGAGCCACCGTGTCCAGCCCTGACCCATTGTATCATCCTAACTGATACCCCTGCATTCACTTGGTACTCTCCCGTCCATTTTCCACATGGCAACCAGGATGATAATTTTAAAACACATTTAATCATGATATCCTCTTGCTTAAAGCTCTTTGATTCCTTCCCCTTGTTCCATTCTCTCCCTTATGTAGAAGCTGATGACTAGTTAGTTCCAGGGTCTGGAACCTGAACTCTCCCTCCTGCTCTTTAGTGTCACTTGCTTCTTGTTGTCTTCAAGGCCTGGCCCTTCCTTGGATACTTGTTCTCCCCTCTGTCTGGAAGTGCTGCTTCTTGCTCTCTGGAGCCCTCCCCAGCCCTGCCCCTTAACTGCCCCACCTATTCGCACTGGTTCATAGCAGCTCATTCTCCAGTCTTCCTCCTTTGAGCCCCCTCGGGTGTGGGGCTCCTCCAGAGCAGCGTTTCCACCCTTGGAGCACGTCTCTCTCACTTGGTGCTGCGATGACTTGATTTCGCAAAAATCAAGCAGGACAAAGGAGATGCTTCACATCCTAGTTTTCTTTTTCCTCTAACGTCTTTTCTAATTGTGAAGTTTATTTTGATTATTAATGTTTCATTGGAAAGAAATTATTTCTCATTGATTGTATAAAAATCAAATGACATGATTATGTTATGGCCAGGTTTTCCCCCTCCAGATGAAAGTCCAGGGGAGAATGGTATTAAAAGTAAATAAATTTACTTAACTCTCAAGTCAAGATTTATGAATCATTGACTCAAAAGAATGAAGTATATTATATTTGTACAAGACAGTCTTCCACAGATGCACGGTTTCATAGTGGAACTGCATTTAAAAATCACCTGAGCTGCCTCTCTGGCTCTCTGTGGCATCATGTGGTACTTCTTATTCATTGCGACATGGGATTCCTGCCCAAACCATTAATTAAACATTTTGACTTTCCCTTTAAAATTCTGTTAGCATTTAGTAGCTTTAATTTAGTTTTAAATGCTGTTTATACTTCCTGCTTATTATCTTTTGGTAATTAAAACTTTTCCTATTCATCATCAAAAAGTCTGTATTTTTAAAACCCATATTTTAAAACTCAATTTAAAACCTATTTTCAAACAATTTCTCTCTGTTTTAGATTAAGTGACTAATTTTCTTTATATTCCGTTTCACTCATGAAAGGTTTTGGAGAGCTTCCTAAAAGGTACGATATGCATATGAAAACTGTTCCTGTGCTCTTACTCTTCTGATCTGCTTTCACCTTTTATGGCTTTCTTTAATGCCAGTGACTTGAACATTACACAGGATTCCATCACCCACAGCTGTTTGCTGTTTATACATAGACAATATTTTTCAGTTGCCGTTACCGCTCCTGGTCGCATCTAACACTACCAGGGCTATGTCTTCAGCAAAAGGTGAGTGGTAGTTCCAGTACTTCTTTTCCTTTAACCAGACATTACTTTTTCCTAGATTATTATGCCATTGTTCTCATTGTAATCTATTTCTACATTTCTGCCGAATGATACAACTTAGTGAAATCTTCTAATACCTTATTACCAAAAAGTTTGGGGTCATATAGGACTTTATCATTATTTTGTTTCAGAATACATATGTGTTTTCTACCTATGCCATTGTTTTTTGATTCTGTTAATGGTGGATTTATTTTATATGTTGAAATTTAGTATTTTTATATAGTTAATTTTGTCAGTCACTTTGTAGTGAACTTTTCCAACCTCGAATTTTTTCCTCTGTAACCGTTCACTGAGGCTGGAGTTTGGTTTGGATGACCTCATCCCCAGGCCCAGCGATTGACCCTAGTCATACACCCAGCAAGGTGGCTGACTGGGAACTCAGGCCTAATCTAACTAGCGGGTGGTATTCGTGACTATTAAGAGATGGGTGTATAACTAGGGCTTTTGGCAGTAAGTGGGGAAAGAGGAACTCCTCTAACTGGTGAGGCATGCAGGCCTAAGGACGGAGACTCTGTAGGCGTGAGGGAAGCCATATGGCTGAAGAAGCTAGCATGTGCAAGAAGAGGGCAGATTTGAGAGAATGGCAGAGAAATGGAACAAGACTGATCAAATGAGTCTGATTGTGACCTTCCTCTGTACTTTGGAATTACATGAGCCATTAAAGTACTTCCTTGTTTAAGCTAGTTGAGATTTCCTATTTGTAGCTTGAAATATCCTAACACTTCATTTTTGCTTTATGGTTTTCTCCTTTTTTTTTTTTTTTTTTTTTTTTGAGCCAGAGTCTTGCTCTGTCGCTCAGGCTGGAGTGCAGCGGCGCGATCTTGGCTCAGTGCAGTCTCCATCTCCTGGCTTCAAGCCATTCTCCTGCCTCAGCCTCCTGAGTAGCTGGGATTACAGGCGTGCGCCACCACACCTGGTGAATTTTTGTATTTTTAGTAGAGATGGGGTTTCACCTTGTTGGCCAGGCTGGTCTTGAACTCCCGACCTCAGGTGATCCACTTTGGCCTCCCAAAGTGTTGGGATTACACGTGTGAGCCACCCTGCTCGGCCTATGGTTTTGTTTCTTTCTTTTTTCTTTTTTTTTTTTTAAGAGATGGGGGTCTCACTCTGTCCACCAGGCTGGAGTGCAGTGGTGCAGTCATAGCTCGCTGCAACCTCAAACTCTTGGGCTTAAGGGATTCTCCTGCCTCAGCCTCCTTAGTAGCTGGGACTTCAGCACACACTACCACACCCAGCTAATTTTTAATTTTTTTGTGGAGATAGAGTCCCACTATGTTGTTCAGGCTTGTCCCGAACCTCTAGCTTAAAGTGAACCTCCCACCTCAGACTCCCAAAGCACAGGGATTACAGGTGTGAGGTACCACACCTGGCCTGCTTTATGGTTTTTTATATATAAAACGTATCATGAGAAGTTGGATGGAAATTTTATCTGTATTTCCTCTTACTGATTTGTTCGTTTCACAGGTGTTTGAATCCTTACATACAGTGTTTTGTCCTATGGTGTGTGTTAGAGATCTGCCTTTACTTTTTTTCCTAAACAGTTTCCCATATGTATTGAATTATATCCTTCCTATTGATTTGCAACATACTCCTTAGGAAACTTTAGGCTGTTGGTGAATTTTCTGTTTTGTTCCACTAATCTGTCTTTAAATCACTGTATCAGTAAAAAATTATAAAGTATTATCCTTTTGTAATATATTTTAATGTTTTCAGGGAAAATATCCCTCATTATTTTCCTGAAGTTTCATGGCCATTACCTCCCCTTTATTCTTTGGGATTAATTTGGGAGTTATTTTATGTTTTATGAAATAACTTCTTGGAGTTTTGATTAGAAGTTTATAAATTTTATAAATGATGAGAGTGTTGACTTATTTTTTGAGATAGATTCACTCCATCCCTTTTAATGTATTTTAGGCATAATATATTATTAGTGCTCTTATAAATGAGAGCTTCATTTTCTTATTTTTCAATTTGGGGAAAATTTTTGAGAACATAACTATGGTAATTATTAGAAAAATAACCTAGGAGTATCATATTTACATATTCTCTTTAAATATATTCAACTTTAAAAATAACTTTATTTTTAAAGTTGCATATTCAGTTATCACAAATTTTATGTGTATCTATAAGTCTTTTTGCATTTGTGTGGGCCTTTTTCTTTGTTCTTGATCAATGTTGCTGGAGGTTTATTGATTTTATTAGACTTTCCAAAGAATCAAAGGTTTTATTGAATTATTGAATCTTTATTTATTTTTGCTCTTTTATTATTTCCTTGATTCTACCTGATTCATGTTTATACTGTCGTTCCTTTCCTAATTGTTAAATTTGTTGAATTTGATGCTTAGCTTGTTTATTTTCAGCCTATATTCTTTTATCATTTGAACATTTAAATGTGTACGTTTTTTTCTAATCACTTGCTGCTTAGTTCCAATATATGGTGTTTTTATTATTTTTCATGTATACTTTAGCTTTATGATTTCTTCTTTAATCAGTGGATTATTTAGAAATGTGTTTTTATGTGAAAAATGTCATAATGTTTTTTGAAATACTGATTTCTAACTTGATTGCATTGTGCTTAGAGGACTTGAGGTGTATTAAACTGATTGTTTAGAACTTGTTGAGACTGACTTCATGGTCCAGTATGTGGTCACTTTTCATAAATGTTTCACATTTGCATAAGCATATCTATTGTTCAGGCTGGGTGTGGCAGCTCACACCTGTTGTAATCCTAGCACTTTGGGAGGCTGAGGAGGGCGGATCACTTGAGGTCAGGAGTTCGAGACCATCCTGGCCAACGTGGCAAAACCCCGTCTCTACCAAAAACATAAAAATTAGCCAGGCCTGGTGGTGTGTGCCTGTAGTCCCAGCTACTTGGGAGGCTGAGGCAGGAGAATCGATTGAACCCGGGAGGTAGAGGTTGCAGTGAGCCGATATTGTGCCACTGCACTCCAGCCTGGGTGACAGGGTGAGACTGTGTCTCAAAAAAAAAAAAAAAAAAAAAAAGAATATCTATTGTCCAATTGGTGGATACAGGGCTCTAAAAATATCTGTTAATCATATTGTCTAAATTGTCAATATATTTAATGATTGTTTTTGCTCTGATTAGCAATTAGTGAGATATGTTAAAATTACTTCACTAAGGCCAGGCATGGTGGCTCACGCCTGTAATCCCAGCACTTTGGGAGGTCGAGGTGGGGGGATCATGAGGTCAGGAGTTCGAGACCAGCCTGGGCAACATAGTGAAACCCTATTTCTACTAAAAATACAAAATTTAGCTGGGCATGGTGGCGTGTGCATGTAGTCCTAGCTACTCAGGAAGTTGAGGCAGGAGAATTGCTTGAAACTGGGAGGCAGAGGTTGAAGTGAGCCAAGATCGTGCCACTGCACTCTGGCTTGGGCATCAGAGCGAGAGTCCATCTCAAAAAAAAAAAAAAATTTTTTTTTTCATTAAATGAGAGACCTCTAATTTTCTCCTAGTTCTTTCAATTTTTTCTTTATATGCTTTGAAGCTATGTTATTAGGTACTGTGATAGGCAGAATAATGCCCCCTCACCTGTCCACGCCCAAAGTAAAGATGTCTACATCCCAATCGTCAGAACCTGTGAATATGTCCCTTTACATGGCAAAGGGGAATTAAGATAGCAGAAGGAATTAAGCTTGCTGATCATTTCGTTTTCAAATACAGAGCTAATCTTGGATTATCCAGGTGGGTCCAGTATAATCACAAGTCCTTAATGTGAAAGAAGTAGGCAGAAGAAGAGTGGTGTGACATGAGAAGGATTCAGCAGGTCATTGCTGGCTGTGAAGATGGAAGGGGGCGTGAAAGCTAGCGGTATCAACACAGAGTGGCTCATGTGAAAACCTAAGGAAATGGAGCCGCGAGGCCATGAAGAAGGCGCCCTCGTGCACATATGCTCATGTAGGAACTACTGGAAGAACTTCCGTGTTCCGGATAAGCTGCCTGCCTCCTGCACATACGCTCATGTAGGAACTACTGGAAGAACTTCCGTGTTCCAGATAAGCTGCCTGCCTCGTGCACATACGCTCATGTAGGAACTACCGGAAGAACTTCGGTGTTCCCGATAAGCTGCCTGCCCATGGACACTTGCCTCCTTCCAGCTCCTGCAACCAGAGAGCTTTGTCTCAAGACAGCTCATGTGGACTTCTCATTTTTTCCTTTTAAAAGCTTCTCTTGTCTCAGCCTGTTTGGATATACCTATGGGTCTGCCATAGCGTGCATATGGATTGTAGTCCCCTGCTATTCCTGAATAAACTGTTTTGGAAAGCCAGTCTCTCGTTTATTTTACGTTGACAGGGGCTATGAGTCAAAGGATGCAGGGAGCCTCTAGAAGCTTGAACAGGTGAGGAAATGGATTCATCTCTAGAGCTTCTGGAAAGAAAGGCAGCTTTGTTGGTTGTAGCCAGTGACGCTGGCATCGGACTTCCAGTTAGTGTTTCTCTGGTACATCTTTCTTCCTTCTTTTAACCTTCTTTCTGTTGGTATCCTTGTGTTTTAAGTGTGTCTCTGGTAAGCATTATGTATGTGCATTATGTATATAGATTTTGAATTTTTTACCTATTCTGACAATACTTGTTTTAAATCAGAGAATTTCAAAGAGTTATACTTACTATGATTACTAATACATTTGGAATTATTTGAATTATTTTTACCATTTTATTTTGTCCTTTCACTTTTTAAAACTATTTTACTTAAAAAATTTTAAGAGGCAATTTAAAAAGTTGTTTTTTGGGCAATAATCCTTTACAGTAGGTATTTTTATTCCACTTTGCAGCTGAGAAAACTAAGACACAGAGGGTTAAGTAACTTGTTCAAGATCACACAATTAGTGTGTGGCAGAAGCTGGACTTGAACTCTGTTCATCTGACTGTAGTGACTGCATATCATCCTGGTACAGTTTCGTTTATTGAGTGTGATAGATTTAAAAAAGGCAGAATTGTCAGTCAAGGATGTGCCGATGTCTTCGATGTACTCCTCTAGATATGCCCTCTACACGCTGTTCTGTGCTCCCAGAGTCTGACCTCTTTGGACTGTTAGTGAGCCTCCTGCCTGGTGGCTACCAACTGGGTCCAGCCAGTGAGAAACGAGGGCAAAGAATTAGGTCCAGGTATTTATTCTGACCCTTGAACCACCCTTCCTTCCCACATACAAGCCCTTCCTGTGTACAGGGTTACCTCAGGGCTCACTGTGTCCCTTGGGAAAGGTCACGGCTCGTGTCAGGGACCCTGTCCACTCTGTCCTCTCAGCATCTAGTTTCTGCTTCCCTGCTCTTATGCCTTAAGGCCTAGGGGTGCAAACAGCAGTTGTCATTTGCTCCAGGGCATGGCATTATTTGGTTTTACTAAACTGTCCTACCTTTTGTGAAATTCCCTTTATTAAATGCTTTCCAAATTATCCCTGTTGATTGCACAGTCTGTTTTCTGCCAGGACTCTGACTGATACAGTGAGAAAGGAATGCTTAATCAAATCAGCCGTCCTTTATGGAAATAAATTATTAAAGCCCTGCCTCACATCAAAAAGCAAAGCTTGAAAAAAATATAATAAGGGATTAATAATCAAAACATATAAAAATGTCAAACATCTATTAAAGAAAAAAGGCAAGCCATGCAAAAGTAAAGTTCAGGGACATATCCTACCAGACATTGTAAAGCTATAGGAATAAAATAGGGTAATACTGGTGTGTAAAAAACACATAGTTTTACAGTCTATTCATCGATCAGATACCTTAAACTACCTACCTACTAACAACAATTAAAAATATTAGAGGAGAGATGTAAAAAACTATTGAAAATGTATTTCTGACCAGGCAAGAGAAGACGGAATTGGCAGGGTGAAAAAGGGCAAGCCAGACTCTAGGGAGGGCAGCGAGCTCTTAGACTGCCTTCACCGTCTTTCTGAACTCAAGGGCCGGGAGTGTCTGCTTTGATGGCTGCATGGGACTCCGGAGATAGGCAATAAAGCCCATGGTTTCTACAAAGTGGGAAGCTCCAAGATTTATTGCTGAATAAATCTGGAACCCTAAAGTCCGTAATGTAAAAGGTGAATGAGAAAGAAATCTCTGCGCAGAAGAGAGAAGGAAACAAGCCTTAACTCACTGGAGTAGCAAGGAAAGCGCTTCTCTGAGAATTGATGACCACCAGAGGGCCTCCCACAGGTCTTCCCTGCACATTCCTGCTATCCTACTGGGGAGGTCCAAAACAACCTCCAGCAAACAATTCAACGTGGTCTTCAAGTAGTTGTGTACCCAGGCAACTGGCAAAAACAAATACAACTCCTCTCTGGAGGAAAGCAGCTTCCACCCAATATTCAAGGCATTACTGAAGGCAACAAAACAGGAAAACAGGTAAAGGATTCTCAGGCAACTCACAGGACATAAAATGTACATCTTGATTACGAAATAATCTGTGTAATAAGCTTAGAAAATTGCCTGACACGTAATAAGTGCTAAGTAAACGTTAGCTATGATGATGCTGGTGACAACAATGATGATTTCAAGTCTTTTTAATTCTCTCCTATTAATTGATTTCTCTTGCTTTGTTAAAATCACACCAGTTTAATTAACACTTGTCATATTGTAAACTTTTTAAAATGTTCAAATTTTTTCATTGTTCTTTTTAGAAGTTTTCTTACATATTTTATGTGAGTTTTAGGATTGGCTTGTCAAGTTCCTGAAAAATCATGTTTGAATTTTGATGAGGATAGGGGTTACCTTTATAGATTACTTTGTTAAAAACTGACATCTTTACAGTATTGAGTCCTAGCATTTCTGAATAGAGTATATCTTTTAGTTTATTCAGGCTTCTTTTATGTCCTTTAGTCAAGTTTTATAGTTGTCTTCATAAAGATCTTGCCACCTTTTTTTAGTTTTATACCCACTTTTCCATTTATGTTGCTCTTTCCTATTAAATGCTTAAATTGGCTATATTGAAGATGTAAGAAGGCTGTTGAGTTTTGTGTTCACCTTGTATGTTTTGCGCTTGCCAAAATCCCTTACTTTTTCTGATTGCCTCTGATTTTCTAGGTGAATAATCATATTGTTTGTAAATTGTGATAATCATTTCCTTGTGAATATTTCTGTCTCTAAATTTTTATCTTATTGCAATCCCTGCACCACTACAATGCGGGATTTTAACAAGTGGAACAGATATCCTTGTTTTCTTCTTCATTTTAATGGATGCTTCTAATATTTTACCATTAAATGTAATATTTTCTCTAAATTTTTGATATATACCTTTTATCAGAATTTGCTAAGCATTTTTGTTAGGAATGGGTGTTCAGTACTATTAGATGATATTTATTTCAGTCTCTGATAGTTACATGATGTTTCTCCTTTAATACATGACTATAGTAAATTCATTGGAACATTTCTTTTTTCTCCTCTTTATCATTAAAATGTTTATATATACGTTGGATAAGCTCTACATGGCCATAATACTTGTCTAACATTTTAAAATTTATTTTTAGTTTTTAACTAATACATAATAGTTGGACATATTTATGGGGTACATGTGATATTTTGATATACGCATATGATGTGTAATAAATCAGGGTAATTGGGATATCTGTCACCTCAAACATTTATCATTTCTGTGTGTTGGGGATACTCCAAATATTCTCTTGCAGCTATTTAAGAAATGCCTTACTTCAGTATATGTGAGGGGTTGATTCCAGGGTCCCCTGTATAACCAAAATCGAAGCATGCTCCAGTCCACAGGTGGCCCTGCCAAACCCACGGATACAAAATTTCACCTTCTGTATCCATGAATTCACATCCCTCCAATACTGTACAGTTTTGTAGGATTTGAACTGCATGGGTCCATGTATACACACATTTTTTTTCAACCAAACATAGATCGAAAATACATATTCACTGGATGCGAAACCTACATATATGGGGGCTGACTTGTTGAATATGAGGTTCCACAAGGCCGACTTCGGGACATGAGTGTGTGAGGATTTCGGTAAACATGAGGGTCCTGGAACTAGTTCCCCATGTAGACCGAGGAACGGCTATATTTTCAGTTTGGTTGGAAAAATATCCTTGTATAAGTGGATCCTGGCAGTTCAAACCAGAGTTGTTCAAGGATTAACTGTACAATAGTTAACTATGGTCTCCTGCCAGTGCTGTTGAACACTAGAACTTATTCCTTTCCTCTAACTGTGGTTTTGTATCCATAACCAACCTCGCCTCACACTTTCCTCTCCCCTGCCCTTCCTAGCCTCTGGGAAACACTGTTGCACTCACTACCTCCACAAGATCGGTTTTTTTTAGCTCCCACATAGGAGTGAGAACATGGGATATTTGTCTTTCTGGGCCTGACTTTCGCTTAATGTCCTCCAGTTATAAACGTGTTGCTGCAAATGACAGCATTTCATTTTTTCAGTGGCTGAATAGTATTCCTTTGTGGAAGCATAACATATTTTGTTTGTTCATTCATCTGTTGATGAGCATTTAGCTTGATTCCATATCTTGGCTATTGTGAATGGAGCTGTAGTAAACGTGGGACTGCAGGTCATCTGTTTGATAGACTAATTTCCTTTCTTTTGGGTATATACCCAGCAGCGGAATTGCTAGATCATATGGCAGTTCTATTTTCCATTTCTGGAGGACCCTCCATACTGTTTTCCATAATAGTTCTGCCAATTTACATTCTCACCAAGACCGTATGAACATTCTTTTTCTCTGCATCCTAGCCAGCATTTGTTATTTTCTGTCTTTTTGATAATAGCTATCATATCTGGGGTGAGATGAAATCTCACTGTGGTTTTGATTTGCGTTTCTTAATGACTAGTGATATTGAGCATTTTTTCCCTAGACGTGGTGGCCATTTGCAGGTCTTCTTTTGAGAAATGTCTCTTCAGATACTTTGCCCATTTAAAAATCAGATTATTTGCTTATTTGCGATTGAGTTGTTTGAGTTCAGTGCTGGGTTCCACCGTGGCAGGGCTAACACCTAGTTCCAATGCCAAGTCCCACACTCACTTTGCTTTCCCTACCCCAAGCATAGGTGTTTTCCCTCCAGGCTGTGCTGCCTGGGGATGAGGTACCAGGGTGTAGGTAATGTGAGACTGTCTTCCCTACCCCTTTAAATGCATCTTTTCTTGTTAAGCTAAAACCAGGTCCTGTCATCTCCCATCTGATTTTTAGCTGTTATGAAAATGCTTTCTTGTATGGATAGTTGTTCATTTTGATGTTTGTGCTGAGGGGATGATCTTTGGAGGGTTTTTTTTTTTTTTTTTTTTTTGAGCCATCTTGCTCCACCTTTCTCTCTGGTAATTTTTAAACTTTATTTAAAAATGTTCCATCTATATTCATAAGTGCTATTCCCACGTAAGTGTGTTTTCTTATTATATTTATGAATCCAACTATGGTGGCTTTCTAAAACATCTTAGGTTTTTAAAAAATCTTATTCTTTGTCCCGTTAGGACAGTTTATATAATATTGGTTTTATCTATTTTTTGAAGATTTGAAAAACTCTTCATTAAAACCATCTATGCCTAGTGCTTTTAGGACACTATTAGGACAGTTTATATAATATTGGACAGTTTATATAATATTGGTTTTATCTATTTTTTGAAGATCTGAAAAACTCTTCATTAAAATCATCTATGCTTAGTGCTTTTTTCCCCCCTGAGTTAAATTATTACCTGTAATTTTGATTTCTTCTATGGTTATTTGGTCTTTTGTTTTCTTTTTTCTTATGAAAATTTTAGAACATTCTTCTAGTATCTGTTTTGCTTAGCTTTTAATGTTAATTAAAATTATATGGAGTTAAATTTTAAATCTTTAATATCTGAGGTTGTTTTCTTTTCCATTTCTATTGTACTTTATTTGGATCTTCTTTCTTTTTTCTTAGTTAGACTTGGCAAAACTTAGCCAGTTTTATGGGTCATTTCAAAGAACCTGGGTTTCAAATGTGCTGGTATTTTTGTTTGGTTTTCTAATTCATTTCTTTTTTTATGTCTAATAATTTATTCTACTTTCCTGTTTGGTTTTGTTTTTACCCCCCTAATTTTGTAAGTTATAAACTAAGTTTACTTATTTTCAATCTCTTGTGTTTTCTGGTAAATGCATTTTATGCTATGATTTTTTCTGACCCTGCTGTGGCTGTTTCCCAGTCTTTATTTTGTGCGCTTTATTTGTTATGTATGTATGATGAAAATGGAAATTTTTCTTCAGTTTTTTTTTCTTCATCCCAAAGCACAAGTAAGGCGTTAAATTTCAATAGGTAGATAGATGTAGAGATAGTAGATTTTTAGCCACGTTTTAATTTTATCCTATTACATTTATTTTAAAAGATTTGGAAGACTTGTATTTTTTTAATTTGTAAATATATCCTTTTGTCCTAAAACTTAGATAATTTTTGTGAACATTCCACATGTTTGATAAGAGGGTGCATTACTCTCTGCCTCTCTTAACTGTCTTATTCTCTACCAGTTTATCTTATATAAATATTAAAACTATTATTACATGTGTAAAGGTTATATTTGCTTTGCTAAGATTGTATTAGCTATCTTTTTATGGTCTGGAACAGAGGTTGGCAATTTTTTCTTGTAATGGGCCGGATGGCTTCTGTCAAAACCACTCAGCTCGCCATTGTGTTGTGAAAGTCGCCTTACACAATATGTAAATGCAAGTGCAGCTCTGTTCCAATAAAATTTTATTTACAAAAACATGTGGCAGGCTAGAATTGGCCCACTGGTCTTAGTGTGCCAGCTCCTGGTCAGCATAAGCCTTATGACACTCTGAAATTTAGATATTAAGTTTATGTAATATCGTATATGTCTGTTAACCTTTTGGGTAGTAATTTGTTGAAAAACATACAACTTTACCCATTATTTTGGTATTTCTGGTATTCTCCCTTTTGAATCACTATGGAAAATCCTTATTTTTCTAAACCATCGTACTTAACATTAATGCTTGTATTCTCAACAAGCACAATATTGTGAAAATTGGTTTGGGTCAGGAGGAGGAAAAAAAAATCTTAGAAATTGCAATGGCTGTGCATGGTGGCTCATTCTGGTAATCCCAGCACTTTAGGAGGCCAAGGTAAACAGATCACCTGAGCCCAGGAGTTCGAGACCAGCTTGGGCAACGTGGTGAAGCCCTGTTACTACAAAACAAACAAACAAACACCCAAAAAATTAGCCAGGCATGGTAGCTTGCACCTGTAGTCCCAGCTATTCGGAAGACTGAGGTGGGAGGATCAGTTGATCCCAGGAAATTGAGGCTGCAGTGAGCTGTGATCATGCCCCTGCATTGCAGCCTGGGCAACAGAGCAAGACCCCATCTCAAAAAAAAAAAAAAAAAAAAAAGAAAAGGAATTACAGTGTCTTGTGGCTCTCCAAAGCTCAGCCCAACAAAATCATACCTTAGCATTTATTTACAAGCGGAGGGTGTTGAGCAAGGCAGGTTCCTTTGGGGGTTGATAATGAAAAATAGGTAAGGTATTCAAGTTTATTAATGTAATGCTCTTTTAAGTGTTTGTAGCATCTGTGTCTGTGGTATTGTTGCTACACATTTTGCTTACTCCTACTTTTGCAATTTGTATTTTCTGTAATTCTTATTAGACTAGAGGCTTGTTTCCCCCACACCTTTCAAAGAAGTCTCTTGGTCTAATTTTTCAGTTCAACTCTTGTGCAGATTCATCTCTTTACCTTTTATCTTTACTTTGCCATTGCTGTGTGTTTTCCGATGCCTTTAATTGAATGACTAATTTGTTTTCTGCCTCCCGTTCCCTCTGCCACTCCTCCTCCCCAATTTTATGCTGTGTCTTTTCCTCTAATTATAAATCTGGGTTTATTTGCTTTTTTCTTTTCTTTTCTGTGCTTTCTCTTTCTTTAACTTCTTTTTTTGATATGCAGCGTCCTTACTGTCGTTATTTTCTAAAGATTTTGTAATTGCTTGTTTGGCTTCTTTGAGACACGATTTAATATTAGTGGAGGATTTTTAAAACATTTCCCTTCTTTAGCTATTTTTGGTTTGTATTTTTGTCCTGAATTTCAGTTTTTATTGCATTATCTTCAGAGGCTGTGATCCTTATAATTAATCTTCTTTTGACTTGAGGCTTAGTTTGTGGCAACATATGTCATCAAGTTTTCTAAGTCTTCCATGATCACAAAATGATAGTTGAAGTCCCTTACAATGCTCATCAGCTAGGATGCTTTCAGCTTCAGGTAATGAAAAACCAACTGAAAATGGCTTGAATAGAAAGAACATTTATTATCTACATAAGAAGTCCTGGAGTAGGGTAATTTTAGAGGTTGTTAACTGGGGGCCTCAGTAGCATCATCAAAAACCTACATTCAATTCTTCCCTACTCAATCTGACAGCTTGGACTTGTCTCATAGGCTGGCTGTCCTCAGGGTCTCAGGATGACACTCACATGAGAGGTTGCATGTCCCCTTTCTAGCACTTCTCTCTTTCCCTTCATTCCTCCCTCCGTGTGTGTGTGTGTGTGTGTGTGTGTGTGTGTCATTCACAGAAGTTTCTCTTAGATCCACAGCTCTTTCAATGAGTGGAATGGTGTTACATGTCCATTCTTAAACCAGTCGTTGGGAATGATATCACCAGGGGTAGTAGAGTGCAATGTTGATTCATGGCTTGAGGGCCAGTCCAGGCTAGCGATACAGAGTGGGTAATATTCTCTCCCTGCAGACATAGCCCCTGGACCCAAGTGAACAGAATCAGAGTTCTCACTGAATTTAAGGCTAGGGGTGGGTGCAGGCAGGTACAGGGAAGGCAGTTAGGCAGGCACCAGTAGTATCATCTGCACAGTTGAATACTTTATTAGCCATAACAATGTGCAAACAATCCACACACTTCATTTGGGATATTTATTCCTTCAGGTGTAACTTAAGCATCTTTTTTGACTCTAAACAATTGAGCGTATTGTGGAAATTTTCCGGTGATTTTTGTCTTAAATAAGTAATTGCTGCAGCGCTGAAAATTATTACTATAAAATTCTACTCCTGTTAGTATATCAGATATATATATTTTTACCATTTTCTTTATAATTCAGAATTTTAGGATTTTGAGCAGCCAGACATTGTGTTGTCTTTATTGTTCTTCCAGCACTGAGTGCTGAATTTCCAGAAACGAATGGTAATAATGAAAGGTGCATATCTGGAGATAGATGGAAGTGTAACTCAAGATGTGATTAGCTACCCAGTTTGTTTTTATTAAAATGTTATTTTTTTCTGCATATTTGTAATTCAGGGAAAGTTTCTAATGTGAAAAATAAAGTAGCTTTTCTTAAGGCAACGTATAAAAAATAATTGGTTTAACAGCATTGTGTGAATACAGATGAGATGGTCCTATTAAAATTTGATCACAAAGTATACATGGTAAATGCAGCAAGATTCATGCTAACTAATTACTATTTCAAGTTTGGAGTAAAATGCTGAATTATGGGATGCTGTAATGTCACTAATGAGTCCTGTCATGGAGAAATGATATTGCCAATTACACATAAAATAGTCAAAGGCTAATACATTTGGAGAATTGTCAAGATGGGTTTTTTTTTCCCCTCGTGCTTACTGGTTATGTGTTTGCATTTTTGTTGAGAGAATACACAGAAATGATCTACTGTCACTTGCTTTCAAGCTGGAATTATTCTCTTCATATTTAGGCGTAGGTACCAATTAAGTGAAAAGAAATCTGTCTTAAGTGAAACTATGGACTACTAGTATAGTGTATCTTGTAGCTGTTTAATGTTGTAACTGCTAGGTTCTTTACTTTGCATCCAGGTAATGTAATGTGAATGATGGATTATTAAGTTCTTTTCATAGGAAATAGGCATATTTTAAGTTAATAGTCCTTATCACTGATACCAATTAGCCGAAGAGAAATGAATTCCCTGGATTTACATTTCTTAATAGTTCTTTCAGGATTGCTTTGTTACTTTTGAGGAAGGTGTATGAAATTTGGCCTAGGCACTGTATCCGGTGTGAAATAAATTTATGCATTCAATAAGTATTTATTGAGTGCCTGTGATATGCCAGTCATTCCTGTGTTCTGTATATCATTTTAAAGATTACCATTCGTTTTCTTCTGATATTTCTTTAAACATCTTATTTTTTGTGTCAAGAACTTACCATATAGAATTCTGTGACTTCCCGCCACTTCCATTTAGCTTTATATCAAGGATAGAATTCAGTATGAACACATGAAGACCTGCATGCTTAAACAGACTAATTGAAATGGTTGAATGGGTAAGAAAATGCTCCCTTGAATCCACATCCTTAAATGAGGCCAGGCAGACTTGGAGGGGTCTGTGAGCCCCTGAGCTCCTGTCTTACAGTCTCAGGCTATTGGAGGGGGCTGCACATCCCACATTTGGGTAGATGCCCAAATTCTCCTTTTAGTATATACTCTCCCTTTTCTTGGGTGTTCTTGGAACTCTGGTAGAAGACAGGGAGAATGATAGATTTTCCTTGCCCTCCACAGACACAGGCAAACTAGTTTCTGTTAGGCATTCACTCTGTGTAACATTCATCCCAATTGCAATGGTGATACAGCTACCGTCAACAGACTGATCACCTTGCCTGTGCCATGTGCCCTGTGCACATTTACTCTAGTCTTCACAGTAACCTCCAGAGAGGTGTTATCCCATTTTATAGATTACAGCCGAAAAAGGTTAAGGACCTTGTCACTGAACTGCCCAGTAGAAGTTCAAGCATATGCTCATGGAATTTGATTTTACGGAAGTATGTACCCTTTAGGGATCTACAGTTAGGTGCCCTCTAGGGTGTCTAGAATTGCTGAGGAGCCCATCGTTCCTTAAGCACCTGTGCTGCGTTGTATTGTAATCACCTGAGGGTGCTTTAAAGACTATGAATAATACTCAGACTTTCTTCTCCAACCATTTACATCAGAGCATCTGGGGGTGGAACCCAGGCATCAGTATTTTGCAAAGTTCCCAAACGATGTCAGTGTTTAGCCAAATATGAGACCCACTGGTTTAGAGCTGTAAACAGTGCAGTTGCTACTGTTTTATGGTAGATGTTACAGAAATATGTCGTTGAATTGCCTATAAAATGAATTAAAGATTGGAGCATTTCTTTTTCCCCTATTCATAAACCATTGTGATCGCAGTCTTCTATAGAAATTACCTATTTTGCCTGATGAGATTTACTTAGAAAGGGAAATAAACACATAGCTATATCTCTCCTGAAGTCTTCTTGCAGTTACTAATTAAGGCAGTACACACATTCTCAGTTGAGCTAGAACTTTAGCTATTGTCTCTTTGCTCTACTGAAGGTAACCCGAGTGTTACGGCTTTTTAAATGAGCTGGAACAATAAATACAAATTTCGTTGGCAAGACAAATACTTTTTCTCATATGCCAACGATTATGTAATCAAAGTATAAAGTATCCATATAAAGCCTTGCTTTTGAAAATAATTTCAATTTAAAAATTAAAAATAGTAATTAACATTGGTAACAGTATATTGATGACCACTGTTTAGCTGATACAGTGAATACAGGTGTTCATATAAAACATCATTTAAAATCGTCTATCCATATGGAACACATTACGTTTTCTTCCAATTTACATTGACTTCCTGTTGGTTTCTGAATACAACTCAAGGTGTTAATTTCGTTTTCAAAGCCAGATGTTATTTGGCAGGATAAAACTTAAATTTCCCCTAATAGATATTTTTAGGCACTTAGGATGCTAGGGAACTTAGTAAGTGCTTTTTAAAATCTAGAGCATTTTCAAAATGCTCCTTTCTGTTCAGTCTTTCTTCTCTGCTAAAATTGTTATGTGCTAGGGGAGATTTGTGAATTTTAGAGTAATATCTTTAAGAAGCCTGACAGAGTAGATCGAGACCATCCTGGCTAACACGGTGAAACCCCGTCTCTACTAAAAATAGAAAAAATTAGCCAGGCATGGTGGCAGGCACCTGTAGTCCCAGCTACTCAGGAGGCTGAGGCAGGAGAATGGCGTGAACCGGCAAGGTGGAGCTTGCGGTGAGCCGAGATCACGCCACCACACTCCAACCTGGGCGACAGAGCGAGACTCCGTCTCAAAAAAATACAAAAACAAAAACAACAAAAAAACCTGACGGATGTCAGTGAAATTGGGGGATACTAAATAAAGAGTGGACAGCAGTGGCGGGGCAACAAGCAGTTCTTCAGTGTTCCTGTTCCTCAGCGTAGCCAACTTGGTCCTGTATCTCCACAGTTCACAGGTAACAAGTGCCCTGTTGCTTCCTGGTTGACTGATGCTCTCTCTGTTACATAACATCCCTGACAACCTGTTAAGTTTGTAATTATTGAACAAAGTCCCACCTCATTGGCAATAATGGCAAACAGAACGATGCAGCTGTTTAGCTTGCTCTTGATTGAACAGAGGACATAAGTTGGCTGTTAGTTGACTAATGACTAAAATTTTGATAAAGATAAGAAAACACTAGGCATTTGAGATTCATGTAATAAGTAGCTTATGCATGTACTGTATTCAAAGAGAAGATTTATTTTATTTTTTTATTTTTCTATTTTTTGAGACGGAGTCTTGCTCTCTCGCCCAGGCTGGAGTGCAGTGGCGTGATCTCTGCTCACTGCAAGGTCTGCCTCCCGGGTTCACACCATTCTCCTGCCTCAGCCTCCCCAGTAGCTGGGACTACAGGTGCCCGCCACCAAGCCTGGCTAATTTTTTTGTATTTTTACTAGAGACGGAGTTTCACCGTGTTAGCCAGGATGGTCTCGATCTCCTGACCTCATAATCCTCACACCTCGGCCTCCCAAAGTACTGAGATTACAGGCGTCAACCACCATGCCTGGCTGAAGAGAAGATTTAGATATATGTCTGTCTGTCCATCCATCTCCCTACCCTTCATCTAACTGTCCATTCAGGACATTTCTTCACAGCTAAACTCTACCTCAGTTTTTAATCTTTAAGTCCAGAGCTCAGTCCATTGATTTACTGTATTCATCAGATTTTAATGGATGCTTATAGTTTTGTTCTCAAAGAAAATTAAAAATATTACTTCTAGTGTGGTGTGCTGTTCTCACTGCAGAGTACTGTTTGTTTTGTTTTTAATTTACATATATTTACTAGGAAGTGCCCACACTGATAAAACAGTCAGTAGTAATCAAGAAATGTGACTTTCTTGCACTATTATTTAACTAAAGGAAAGCAGAATTATAGAAAAGAATGTTAGGAATGTTATCTTCATGAGTCAGGGCTTTTGCAATGCTAGGCCTTCTCACTTTCAATTTCTCTCTTGCAAGGTTAAAAGAATTATTCTTGTGTTAACTCACAATTACTGCATTTGATCATCCTTTCTCACTTATGACATAGCTTCTATGACTTATGGAACATTGGATTTGCTATAGTAGACCAGTCTGAATCTGTCTCTACATGGAATGACCAGATTGAATTGGCACCAAAGTTCCACTACAAATCCTTCATCCAGTCTTCCAGTTTGAATTGGAAATATCAATTCAAGCAGCTCACAAGTCATCAAATGTTTCAGTGGTTTTGTATAGCCAGAACAGGCAGAAGAATATGTTCCTGTATAGACAGTTCATTGAAACAGTTTATTCTGTATTATACCTAGGTGAGTTTTGAAAAGTCAGATTTTTTTTTTAAGGTAAACTCTGATCTCATTTATTTAGAAGTCAGACATGTTCCAAGAACCTAGAGGAAAGCAAAGTGAAACCTCCCTCCTCCCCACTGCCCCAACATTCAAAATAGCTATTATAAAGCCATTTTTTATTTCATTAGGAAAACTTTTAGGAGCTTTTATTTTGAGTCAGTGTTTCTATTTTATATATAGTTTTAATAACTTTTGTTATTTTAATCCAGATTAAAGATAGCAATTTAGAGATGGGTAGAGCAGGTCATTAGAAATGATACGGGTATCCTACCTGGAACAGAGTGAAGAAATTTTAGTCTTGGGACATTTAGGGTGGTGGCAAATAACTCTGCAGTGTAACAGCGCTTGAATACAATGATGACTTGTAAGGGTATCAACATTATGGGAAGACAGTGTTAGAAATTACAGATTTGTGAAAGAATTTTTTTTGTTTTCATTTTCTGAGAAATAGATATGGGGTGCACAGTGATGTTATGTATGAAGTGTGGGATGATTGAATTAGCTCATTAACATATTCATCACCTTAAGTACTTAGCATTTATTGTTCCTGTCTAACTGCAACTACCAACCCTTCCTCATCTCCCAACAATTATGTTTTATATACTCTGTTAAAGAAGTCAGAGAATATATTGGGAAAACACTGAAGTGGTTCCAATTTTAACATTGTGTTTGAGAGCAAATGTTTGTTAAGTTTTGGCTAATTAGGTCACCTCATTGGTTGATTATGCTGTGTAACTGAGGGATTTCTACACACGGTTTATTTGTTAAAAACTTAATGTGTATAAGAAGTGATGTGAGGATTTCTTTACACTTCTGCTCCCATGGTTTCAAATGTGTCTCCTTCTCTCTATCTGCAACCATGACCTCCCTCTTGAGTTACAAGCCATTATTTCTTATGGGTTAACAGTTAGTGCAGCTGTTATCTCCTGTCAGAACCATAAACCTGGTGTTGATTCCTTCATCTAATTTCTTCAATTTGTCTCTCTAAAGTGCTGTTACTCTGGGGTATTCCCTGTCTTGGTTGATGACAGATGCCACCATCCGTCAGTCTCTGAAGCTTGAAACTGCAGTGTAACAGCGCTTTTCTTAGTTGCACATCCTCCTGATCATGCATTGTCATGAATCCCTCAGAACTGTCATTTCAGCGAGGCCCCTTTCTGTTCTGAGCTGGAAAGCATAATGGTTCTTTTTTTTTTTTTTTTTTTTTTTGAAGCGGAGTCTCGCTCTGCCACCCAGGCTGGAGTGCAGTGTTGCAATCTCGGCTCATTGCAGCCTCTGCCTCTCAGGCTCAGGTGATTCTCCTGCCTCAGCCTCCTGAGTAGCTGGGATTACAGCCTGTGTGACGCCACACTGGAGTAATTTTTGTATTTTTAGTAGAGATGAAGTTTTGCCATGTTGCCCAGGCAAGTCTTGAACACCCAGCCTCAAGAGATCCTCCCGCCTCAGCCTCCCAAAGTGCTGGGATTACAGGCGTGAGCCACTGCTCTGGGCTGGAAAACTTGGCTCTGATGCTGTCCCTGTGTTCAGGCTCTTTGCAACATTGATGAAATTACTCTTCTTAAAAACAAAAGTAATGATGTCATGCTTCCCATAAAGACTGTCACCAACTACTCCGTGTGGTTCCTGCGTCAGTCTTCAGTGTTAGCTCCCTCCCTGCCCTCTCCACATGCCACGAGGCGAGACAGCAAGTGCTCCTTTGTCCTCGTGGACCCAGTTCTACCACAGCTCTCTGCCTTTGCACGAGCTGGTCCCGTGGCCTGGGTGCTCCTACAAAACGCTAGAGCCAGGAAGAGAGATGCCAGCGGTCTCCTGAGTTAATACCGTATTCTAACGAAGATCTGTTTCACACTTTTCAAAGCTTCAGTTCACAGATTCCAGAAGAATTTTGCATACAACTAGAACATACTTATCTTTTCTCAGTGGCCCGTCACTATAACATTAAATAAGATCTTAATTGTAAAACACACTTAAGTGATACACTTTTTCCCAGGAGAGAGCTGATAACGGTCTTTAAGAGCTTGGACCCTGGAGATGCGTAGTGTGGTCTTGAATTCCTGCTCTGGTGCTGAGCAGCTGTATGCCTTTAACTTCTCTGTCACTGCTGCCTCCTCATTGAAATGAGGCTAGCAGTGGGACCTGTCTCGTGGGATCGCTGGAGGGTCAGATAAGTTAGCATATCTGAGGCTCCCAGGATAGTGTCTGGTGTGGAAGCATGTGTATGTTTTAGCTGCTGTTATTATCATTAGTTTCAATTCCCTGGCAATAGCACTGTTTGGAGTCTCACTGTGTATTATTTAACAGATTCTGAATAAAGCCATTTTATCTTCTTTTTATTCTTTATAGATGATAAATAATGTTCCTACAACTCGAGGTATCACGCTGTGTTTTTAACTTTTTTTTTTTTTAGCATTACTGAAAGAAGTTGTATGTACTTTATCTTATTTTGCTCCCTAATTATAAAATACAGGGAAAATCATATTCTTTTGCATGAACAAATGAGCTATTTGAAACAGGTTGCTTGGTGAAAGTGAAAATTTAAAACAGGATTCAGGTCAAGTATAATATATTGGTTTACACTTAACAGAGTTCATAGTGATTTTTATATGTCTCCTTTCTTTTTGATGAAGAATGTCTGTGTTCCGACTACTTTACTTCTCCGTTCATTTTCATTTGTTACATTCTGAAAGCATAAAACGTGCCATTGGTTAATCAATTTAGTCTAGTGGAGGTACACAAATTCAAGGTAAATTTGGCTAATTTCTCCTGCAGGCTAGAAGATAAAATCCTTTCCCCCCACCACAGTTAGGTTAGTAGTGCTTGACGTGATCAGATGCCTCTTCAGAGGTCACCTGATTTAATTGTGGTTGTGAAGCAGCCAATCCAAATCCCCATATTTTAATTTCTATCCCTCCACATTCTCGGCACAGAATAATTAAGAGTATAGTTTTTGCTTATGTCATTTATCCAGTGAAAAATGTTCCTAATAAATACGTGACAGTTAAAATTGTTCTAGAGAAGAATGTTTATTAACAGACAAGACAGTGCTTATTGCCACAGCATCATTTTAATCTAAGACTTAACTAAAAAGAGAAACTCTTTTTAGTTAGAAGAATGCTCCAACAAGGCTGTTACCACTCAGCGAAGGCAATGGTTACTCTTTTATTTTTTAAATTGGTTTGCCCCTAAGGTAGGCATTCCCAGGGCTAAAACTGTGAAATAAAATGTACGCAAGGGGACTGGTGCTTATAGATTTGTGTGTATAAATGTAGTATTTGTGGGAAATGTCAAGCTATGTACTCTTCTTTACCTTTTATTTTCTCCTAGATGATGTTTATCAGTCTTTTTGTAGCTGTCTGCTGCAGACATCATTGCGTCTTTATTATGAAAGTGCTATGTGTAGCTTTCCAGTCATTGCTATTCGAGAGTGAGTTTGTGAAGCAGCAGGAGAGAGATGATTTTGCAAATTGCAATATAATACCATATATGATCTTGTCTCAACCTGTAACACACACATCTTCACAGAAATAACATTTAATTATGGTAATATCCTCCCTGATATCAGACACAGTATGGCGCCTGTTAAGATTATATTGTTTGTAGTAAGATGGAGTAAAAGAGGTTTAAAAATGAAAGAATAAAATCACATACCTTGATAAACCCCTTAGATGCTATTTAGGCCATGGAGAGCTTTTGATTTTGTTTCCTTTCTTTCTTCCCAAAATAAAAACGCACACAATAATTTGACAGACAAACACTGTCACACACTGTAACCCCATCTAATCCCCTCACTGCACATCTTAATCCCTGATGGACTTTTCTCAGCTATGTGGGCTATGAGGTTAGGGAGTTTCTGGATGTGATACTTTTTCCAAAGTTTCCCAGTGACAGATGCAGTGACCTTATCACGGAGACAGCTTTATGCAGTTTGACAGTTCAGCCATCTGGCTTGTATCGATTATAATTGATTTAAAGAAACTAACACTCCAAAAGTTGGCCACTTAAA
The DNA here is from genome assembly GCF_000001405.40 of Homo sapiens. Classification (NCBI taxonomy): domain Eukaryota; kingdom Metazoa; phylum Chordata; class Mammalia; order Primates; family Hominidae; genus Homo; species Homo sapiens. Next base: position 3,498,070 of record NC_000007.14, read on the forward strand.
ACCCTAAGGCTAAATTGGTCTACATTTAATTTGAAGTTTCAAAACTTTATTCTTAAAACTAATTTGGGCCTCTTTGTAAAATTCAGCCAACTTCTTTTCTGTGTGGGGTTTTGGGGTGAAAACACTCAAAGCCTGCCTTGAAAAAAGTCAACTTTTATGAGAACTAAAGACGACATGTGTACTCATAGACATAGATTTTATCTCTTCTTAGATTTTGCTAGAGTTTAAAACTTAGGTAGACTTCGGTTCTAGGACTTCAAAAAGTTTAGAAACTTTTAGGCTAGTTTCTTTATTTACCAGCCTTCTAGACGTGAGCTCATTACCTGACCTTTTAGAGTCTTGGTTTTCTCATCTATAAAATGAATGATGATAGTAGCTTTCTCATTGCATTTTTGGGAGTATTAAATGATACATGTTAAGTGCTTAACACATTGCCTAGTATATTGTGGGTAATAAAGATTTATTTTACTAATGATTACTGCTACAAATTAGTAGCTACCATTGATAGCTATTACTTCTTCCTTTCTTGGTTTTCCATCTGTCGGCTTCCTCTTGTTTTCCTCCAATATCACAGACACAGTTGCTTAGTCTTGTATGTGTTTCTTCAGCTCTCTGCATATTTGTTACCGGAATGTCTCAGAATGTTGCCTGTAGGCCTCATCTTTTTTTTTTTTTTCCCCTTTACTCCCTCCATATACATTCTCATCCACAATCAAGACTTCAGCATGTTCTTGTATGCTGATGAGTTCCACATGGTCATTTCCAACTGAAGTCTCTTTTTTGGGCTCATCTGAAAGGCATTTCTTATCCTGCTACATGACACTTTAGGGGACCCAGTGGGCATAAGGGCAAGTAAGCATCAATTTGGGAATGAATACTATTGATCTGGCACTAACTTTTATTGGTTGATTGGTAAGAATTTGCAGAAATCTAAAGTTTAATTAAAATTTTGTTTTATACTTTGTGTTTTAAAATCTGATGTTGCATATCACACTGTAATACAAATGCATTCAGTAAAGTGTGCCCTTTCTACAACTCTTGATTTTAATGTAGTTACTGGAATTATTTGTTTGGAAAAACCTGGCTTTCTGAATAGCTGAAATTTTACGCATTTCAGCAATAATGGTGTCCTTAAGATCGACATCTTTCCGGATTCATTTTTTGTATTGATTTAATTCAACAATCATTTGTGCAACAGTAACTTGCTTACAATGCCTTCTCAGGCACTAACTTGCTATATTAAAATAGAATTTATTAACTGACCATTCCTTAATGACTTAGCCATTTTTTGTGTGTTTTTTTTAATTGTCAGATGTATGCCACATAAAGAAAAGTATTAAAAATGTGTAGTATGGTGTAAAGAATAGCAAAGTTGAGCTCCAAACTACCCAACTTCAGGTTAACAACATTGCCAGTGTCTTAGAAGCCCCATGTGTTCCTCTCTCATTGTTTCCGTCTCTCTCAGCCTCAGAGGTAAACACGTCAGGTTTGCTAGCTCTTCTTTATGGACTAACCACCCCATTGTTGTTTTGCATAAAGCAGTGTATTGTTGTTTTAAAAATGGAGTAACTTGTATACCCATCGCTGTGTAAGGGCACGGCAGTGTTGCCACTGCAGGCTACTATAAGAAGAGAAACGGAGCTGAGTCTGGGTCATAGCCGGGCCTGTTTTTCCCTGGAGTTTACCAAAGCCCCTTCTGTGGAAGTTAGTGGCCAAGGGCAAGAATGGGTCCTGGGAAACACAGGGCTTAGCATAGTCCGAACAACTAACAGGGCTGTTTTGAGGGTCATGTGTCACATGTCTGACAGAAGTATGTTTGTAAGTTCACTATGAGTAGATCAAAGTGGGCCATTATAGGGTGAAAGGAATGTCCTCAGCTGATAGTGACATCAAGGCAGGGCTGGGAATTGACGGAGATAGAGTGGGAACTCCATTAACAGGTGATTAGGACAAGTAGCCATAGGAGTCCTGGTCAGGCTCACTGGGGTGTCTTGTCTTCAGGTTAAAAAGGTGGTTGGGTGGGTGAGTGGGGTTTAGGGGGGGTCTGGTGACAGCCCTCAACTTGTCTATCGAGTCACATTGCCGAAATGTGGGCCTATTCTCTCTATATCTGTTGTTTAGCTCTGATCCTGTGATCACATTTCTCTGTGTTTTGAGGATTCCATTTGCTTCTTATTTGTACTGAGTCTCCTTTCTTATATCCCCTATTTTCTCCTTCTTGGACTACTCTTGTGTTAGTGGAACATGTCATCTGGTATCTTAAAACGTCATGAGAAATGCATTCTTTGAGATCTTGTAAATTCAAAAATGTAGACATTTTTTCTACCCTCTTTCTTAGATTTACTGGGTAGAGAATTCTTGGTGGGAAATAATTTTCCTCACTTATTTGAAAGTATTGCTCCATTGACTTCTTGCTTCCAGTGTTGCTGTTGAGAAGTTAAGAGTCATTCTGCTTTCTCATTATTCTTATGTGATCTTGCTGTTTTTCTCTGATTATTTGTAAGAATTTCTGTTTTCTCCAGTGTTTTGAAATTTCACAATGATACAGCTAATTGTAGATCTCATTTTCCTTTGTGCTCGGTACTCAGTGGATTCTTTAAACTTGGAAACAAATTTCTTTTATTTCTAAGAAGGCTTCTAGAGTCATTTCATTAATGACTTCATCCTTTAATTTTTTCCTCTCCTTTCTTTCTAAGACTCCTGTTTGGAAGTTTTGCCTCCTATACTAGTCCTCTGTTTTTCATGTTTTTTTTCATTTTTTATTTTTTGACATTTTACTTTCTGGGAGATTTCATTTTCCAACTGATATTATTTTCTTCTATCATGTTAATTATTAAGAATTCTTTTTCTTCTTGCAGCATCCTATTCTTATTTAATAGATGAAGCATTTTTTAATATCTGATAATTTTAATGATAGATTTTTTGAAGTTTTCTCTGCATACTTTCTTCTTTATTACTGTTTTGATTTCTAACTTCTCTGTTAAAGGCTTTTCTTAGATGACTGTTCATTGTATATGTGCTTATAATGCAAAGTGGCAGACTAAAACATTGAAAGTCTTGAGCATGCAGATTAAAGATCTGGGCATATTATTTCATTGCAGGGTGATCTGCTTGAGCTCTTTTCTTGGGGTAACTTTTGTCAGTATCTTTTCTTAGTATCTTTAGAGAATTCCTCTTGGACTGATTAGATTCCTTAGGGAAGACTCCTTCAGTTTTCTGCTTGGCTATTAACTGTTTTTACTATTCTTCCCTCTGTTTTCTCCAACTTGCTCTTTCCAACTTGCTATGGGCTAGGGAATCAGGAAAAAGAAAAAAAAAAACTGATCAGGACAGTTTCAAAGTAGAACAGTTAGGTTCCGAGTGACAGCCTAAGGGATTGGCCTGTGCGTAAAATGCTTTAATGTGTGGAATTTATGACATTGATTTTGATGACCCAGGAGCATGTTTTTATTTCGTGCTCCTGATTATATTGTGGAAAGGTGATTTAGTCATACAACAGAATTCTAAGTAGATGAAGTATTAATGCAAACTGTTATAGAGTATTTGTTTTTCTTAATCCATTTCATTTGATCCACTGTGTGTACTTTTCCAGTTGATTATAAATTGATTTGTTCATTAATTTGTTCTAGTTACTGGTCCATAATTATCATAATGTTTTTATTTTTTGTTGAAGTATGTGCAGTATTTTGGACTTTTTCCAGTTATGATGGACTATCAGTATGTTCTCACAAGTAATGGGACACTGTATTTTACAAATATTTATTACTCTTGATGTTCTCTAAGATTCTGTATTATGAGCTCTTGTTGATTTACAGACATTTGGAAATGTAACTATTTGATTCTTATTCTTGGTTAATGTTTTATCCTCCTAGACCAAAGGTGTTTATTCTTTAGAACTTTATATGTTTGTTTTAACAGCTGGATTTCTAGTGATAGGCAAACTTTTAACAAAAATTCCAATTACATATAAGCTTACTGCCATTTGATTTCTATAATTAAAAATATTAATATTATTAGTGGGGTTTAGTCAGTCACTATATTAGACAAACGTGTGAGTTAGAAATTCAGGTGTACACAAGGATTATTAATTGGGGCTTCTTCAAAGAATTTTGACATTAGTAAAATTTTTCTTTTTTTTCAAAATGTTTCAAAGATTTTTTTTTAATTAATTAATTAATTTATTTTTAGACAAAGTCTTGCTTAAAGTCTTGCTCTTGGCCACCAGGCTGGAGTGCAGTGGCAGAATCTCGGCTCACTGCAACCTCTGCCTCCTGGGTTCAAGCTATTCTCTTGCCTCAGCCTCCCGAGTAGGTGGGATTACAGGTGCCTACCACCATGCCTGGCTAATTTTTGTATTTTTTGTAGAGATGGGGTTTCCCTATGTTGGCCAGGCTGATCTTGAACTCCTGACCTCAGGTGATCCACCGCCTTGGCCTCCCAAAGTGCTGGGATTACAGGCGTGAACCGCCATTCCCAGCCAGGATGATTTATTTTTAATAGCACCCCTAATGTATTTAAAGCATGATTGCACATACAAAATTTGGATTTACATACATTTTCAGAACTACCCGTTTTGTGTAAGTATACACTTATATTTTTTAATTTTAAAAATATTAAAATTTTGACAATTTTATGTGTTATTGGGGTACCGTTTGGTATTTTGCTATGTGTTTACAATGTGGAATGAGTATATCAGGCTAATTAACAACACATTTCTTACACGTGAGAGGGCTGTTTTTTAGAAATCAGCTTCAGCTTTTGATTTTCTGAATGACCTTGAGCAAATTGTTTTCTTGTTCTGTAACATACTTTTCTTGGCCATAAAATTGAGATGAAGATGTTAATGCTGATCTAACCAAATGATTTTGATATTATAGGGATTAATGAACTGTTTGTAAAATATTTTGTTGTTCTTGGAATTACTTACACTGGTGATGTTATTAATATTATGTACTATGTTCACAGTGGACTAATGATGCCATTGTATTAGCTAATGTTTTAGATTACTTTTAATTAAAATTGTATGGAGACATTGGTGTGCTTGCTGCAATCTTGTCCTCCTCTGCAAATGGCAAGGGAGTATTATCACAAAATATTTAAATTATACATAAATTCAAGGTTTTTAAGAATTTGTCAACTCCCTGGAAGAAGAAGAAGTAAGAAATTACTCATTAAGACTCAGGAATCTCAGCATCCCTATTTGGAAGAATTGGATTATTTGGCTTATTTATAAATTTCAAAATGATACATTTTCAGCTAATGATGATTGAATCTTGTCAGACACCTTACACAACTGTGAACATTCCACAAGTTAAGAAAACAACTTCAGGTGGGGTGTGGTGGCTCATGCCCATAATCTCAACAAGTTTTGAGGCCAAGCAGGAGGATTGCTTGAGCCCAGGAGTTTGAGACCAGCCGGGCAATATAGTGAGAACCTTCCTCTATAAAAAGTTAAAAAATTAGCCAGTTGTGATGGTGTTACTTATAGTCCTAGCTACTCAGTAGGCTGAGGTGGGAGGAACACTAGAGACCAGGGGTTTGAGGCTGCAGTACGCTATGACCATGCCACTGCACTCCAGCCTGGGTGATAGAGCCAGACCTTCATATCTTAAAAAAACAAAACAAAATGCATTTATAGTACCATTAATAAGAATGATATACTTAAGAGTAAACTTTAAAAAGTTCAAGACTAGTACACTGAAAATTTTAAAATATTGTTAAATCGAAGATGTAAGTAAATGGAAAGGCGTGATGTGTTTATGGATTGGAAGACTTAATAATGTTAAAATATGTAGATAAAGGCAAGGCATGGTGGCTCATGCCCGTAATCCTAGCACTTTGGGAGGCCGAGGTGGGCGGATCACGAGGTCAGGAGTTTGAGACCAACTTGACCAACATGGTGAAACCCTGTCTCTACTAAAAATACAAAAATTAGCCGGGCATGGTGGCACGTGCCTGTAGTCTCAGCTACTCGGGAGGCTGAGGCAGGAGAATTGCTTGAACCCGGGAGGCAGAGGTTGTAGTGAGCCAAGATCGCGCCATTGCACTCCAGCCTGGGCAACAGAGCGAGACTCCTTCTCAAAAAAAAACCAAAAAAATTATATATATATATATGTGTGTGTGTGTGTGTGTGTGTGTGTGTGTAGATAAAACACAATTCATATCAAAATCCCAGCTGGATGCTGCTGTTGTTGTCGTTGTTGTTGTTGTTGTTGTTGTTGTTGCAGAATTTGACCAGCTGATCTTAAAACCACACAGTGATAATACAAGGGACCCAGAATGGCCAAACAGTATTGAAAAAGAAGATCAAAGTTGGAGGACTCATATTTTCCAATTTCAAACTTACTTTAAAGCTACTATAATCAAGATGCTGTGGTACTGGCATAAAGAAAGACATATATGTTGGTGGAATAGAATTGAGAATCTAGAAATCTTTACATTTAATAGTCAATTGATTTTCCAGAAGAATGCTATTAAGACGGTTAAACTGGGTAAGAATAGTCTTGTCAGCAAATTGTGCTGGGACAACTGGATATCTACAAGAAAAGAATGTTTAGATCCCTACCTCACAGCATATGCAGAAATTAACTCAAAGTGCATTATAGCTAAAACTATGAAACTCTCAGAGGAAAACATTGGAGTAAATCTTCATTACCTTGGGTTAGGCAGTTGTTTCTTAGACATTACACTAAAAGCACAAACAACAGAAGGAAAAAAAAAAAACCATACTTGGCTGGTGGGGGATGTAAAATGGTGCAACCACTTTGGAAAACAGCCTGGCAGTTCCTGAAAATGTTAAAATACAATTAATATATGACCTAGCAATTCTACTCCTAGTTATGTACCCAAGAAAAATGAAAACATAAATCCCTGCAAAAACTAGTTTCCAAATGTAATGGAGATAGGCAGTCAGTAAACAAAATATATAAAATGCCCAGTGGTGATACAACTCCTGATGTTTCATTTCATTCTTTTTCTATATGGTAAGCCCCCTTGACTATTAGAAAAATTGTACTTAAAAAATATAGCTTGTACATACTTCGTCAGAATAAAGTAGGAATGTTACTTTTTTCATAATCTCTTTTAGGTCAATTGAATATTTTAAAATATATCTGTTTTTGTTTTGCTAATTAAACCTATTTTTTTTTGATCTAGGGTTTACAATACACATCTGTAATTTATTGTTCAACTGACTGAGACTGGGTTTCACTCTGTCACCCAGTTTAGAGTGCAGTTGCATGATGAGAGGTAACTGCAGCCTCAAACCCCTTGGCTCAAGGAATCCAATCCTCCTGCCTCTGCCTCCCAAGTAGCTAGGACTACAGGTGCATGCCACATCTGGCCAGTTTTTGAAATCTTTTTGCAGGGATGGGGTCTCACTCTGTTGCTTCAGCTGGTCTCAAACTCCTAGGCTCAAGCAAACCTCCCACCTAGGCCTCCCATAGTGCTATGGTGATAGGCATGAGCCACTGCACTTGGCTTATTGTTTATCTTAATATATCTCTTCACATAAAATATAGTATGCTTAAAATAGTATATAGTTGGCCCTTGAAAACATGGGTTTGAATTGCATGGGTCCACTTGTATGCTGATTTTTTTCAATAAATAAACTCGGCCCTCTATGTCTGTGAATTCTGCATCCACAACCAAAAGTGGCTCAAAAATACAGTATTCCTGGGATGCAAAACCTGTAGATGTGGAGAACTGACCTTTTGAGTATGCACATTCTGCAGGGACAACTGCAGGACTTGAGTATGCTTGGATTTAGTAGCCATGGGAGGTCCTGGAACCAATCCCCTTTGAATACCAAGGGAAGACTGTTGCTTTTATTTCTTCCTTCCTGCCCCTTGTGCAATTACTGTTATGCATTTTATATTTATTTTTATGTTTGTTATAAGCTCTACAATACATTTTTATTTTTGCTTTTTACTGTCAGTTTTCTCTTAAATTTAAAAATAAGAAAAAAATTCATTTGTAGACACCCACATTTACCATTCATCATATTCTTTATTTCTTTTTGTAGATGCAAGTTTTCATCTGACAACACTTTCTCTTTGCCAAAAGAACTTCTTGTAGCTTTTCTTGCAGTTCACATCTTCTGACAACTAGTTCTCTCAGATTTTGTTTGCTTGAAAAAAATTTTGGTACTATTTTTGAATGACATTTTCATTGTATGTAGGATTCCAGGGTGATAGTTTTATTTATTTTTTCCTGAACTTTGAAGATGTTCTTCTATTGTCTTCTGGCTTATATTGTGTCTGATGAAAAGTCAGTAATCACTCTTACCTATTCCCTGTGTAAGTTGTATTTTTTCCCTTTGTTTGCTTCTATTTATCACTAGTTATCAGGAATTTTCTTTGTTATTATTCTCTTTTGGGTTTCGTCTTTTAAATATATGGTTTCATGCTTTCATAAAATATAATTTGCCAAATTTTTAACATTGTATTTTCAAATGCTTTACTCTCTTGACTCTGATGACTCTGATGTACTTTGATGACATGCATATTATATTATCATATTATATTGTTTGCTGTTTTCCCTTTTTACTGAGAGTGTTTATTTCTTACAGTCTTCCTCCCCCTGCTCCCCAACCTTCAGTTTATGTAGCTGCTCTTGTGTTGTATTCAGATTCACTGATCTTTTCTTCTCCTATATTTATATGCATTTAACTATATCCAGGGAGTATTCCAGTTCAGGTGTTGTATTTTTCAACTCCAGATGTTTGATTTTTTCCTATACTTTATTTAAATACATTACATGTCTTGTTTTTTTTTTTAAATAAACACACACATTTATTCATTTGAATTCCTTCCTTATTAATTCCATCATCTCTATCATTGCTATATCTGTTTATATAGTCTAATTTTTCTCTTGGTTAAGGGCTGCATTTTCCTTTAGAGGGTATTTGTTTTTATTTTTGTGGGAAGCTACCTTACAAGTATGTCAACTTAGTCTCTTCAAGCCGGGGTTTTGAGTTTTGTTTGGTGGGTGAACTGTGTATTATCATATGGTTTGTTTAGCCCTAATCCCGGTACCTGGTCTTCTAGGGTGTCTGCTGAATGCCCTAGGTGTTTACTGAAGTTCCAGTGGGACTCTAATGTCTTCAACACTGTGTGTACTTCAGCATTTACCCAGCTTAGTTCTCTCTAGTAGTTGTCGTTTTTTGTGTTGTCTCTTGAAATCTCACCCTACACATGTGCAGCGTAGTATTCAGACAAAAACCAAGGGGACCTGTATGCGGATTTCTGGACCTCTTTCTTTGTAGAACTCCTTCTGTTTTTGTATTCTCCCTTCAAATTGCTCTGATCTCTGTGTTGTCATGTAACAAGACCATTGTGCTTTTTTGGGGTAGCCAGTACCTACAGCATGGTGCAGTAAATGCTCGGAATAATAGTCTAGTGTCAGGAAACCATTGTTTCCCATATTCTGCTTTCTGGTTGTTGACTGCAGGAAGGACTGATCTAGTGCTAGTTACTCCACAGTGGCTGACAGTCCCCTCTGTATTATTATTTAACCTGTTATTTTATAGTCCATTAATGCAGAAATGTTTCCATCCTTGCTGTACTCTCATGTCCACAACAAAGCCTGACACATTCTAAGTGGTTAGTAGCCATTTACTGAGTGCTGTATGCAGTAGATTATCTCTCCCTTTCTCCTGCATGGTCAAATTTTTCCTTCAGTGCGGGACTCCCTCCAATTAGCATTGGAATATGTGTTAGTCTCCCTTTGTCTTAAACCGCCATATCTGGACCTGCCCTTATCTAATTCCCAACCTGCTTCAGTGTTGCTTTCATCCAGCAGTTCCATTGCAATAATATTCACAAGTGTTATTGATGACTCCCCTATGGTTTAAACCTATCTCGGTCTTAATCTCACTTGATTCCTGGTGGCATTTGACACTGCTGACTGTCCTGGAATCCTCTTTTCCCTTACTTTCCTGACCCCATATTTTCTACTTATTTTCCTTCTGGCTGTCCCTTTGTCTGTCTGGCTTCTGTTTCTCTGACCAGGCATAAACTGCTACTGATAGTCAGGGTGTTGTCCATTGTCCTTGTTGTTCTACAAACTGTTGCCTTGTAATCTCGTAATTACCATCCAGAAGCTGGTGTTTTCTGAATATTTTTTTTTCTGGTTTCAGATTCATGTGGACAGTTGGCTGTTGACTTCTCTGTCCCTGAAGCTCTCAAAAGTATGCCCCAAATTAAGCTAATCATTACTCTTTCCTCTCTGACATCATCATTCTTCTTCTTCTTCTTCTTTTTTTTTTTTTTTTTGAGACAGAATCTTGCCCTGTTGCCCTGGCTGGAGTGCAGTGGTGTGTGATCTTGGCTCACTGTAACCTCTACCTCCTCGGTTCAAACAATTCTCCTGCCTCAGCCTCCTGAGTAGCTGGGATTACAGCTGCCCGCCACCATGCCTGACTAATTGTTGTATTTTTAGTAGAGATGGGGTTTTACCATGTTGGCCAGGCTGGTCTCGAACTCCTGACCTCAAATGATATACCCGCCTGGGCCTCCCAAAGTGTTGGGATTACAGGTGTGAGCCACCCCGCCCAGCCTTACATCATCATTCTTGAGATTGCAATTTAGATAGCTCTAATTTCAAGAGACCTTTCCTGATTCTTCAAAGTGTTCTGTACCTTTTCCATCTTGACACTTCGAACCCTAGTATTGAAATTGCCTTGTAGTGCATTGGCATTGCCCCAAACCTGTTTATTTCCCTCACTAGGCGTGAAATTCTTTGAAGGCAGGAATGGCTGCTATCAGTAGGTGCTCAATAAGTATTTGGGGATGGATAAATGAAGGAATGAATGATATTATAGGAAGTGAGTATTTTATTCAGTGCAGGATTTAGTTTGTTTTTCTGCTCTTAAAGGATAAACATATCTGCACTGTTTTAATAGAATGTTCTAGTAATATCTGTGGCAGTGATGGTGGGTCATAGCAGGCAGGCAGCAGTTGTGAACTCAGCATATCAGGGCAGCCTAAGGAAGGTGGGGTGTGTGTGTGTGTGTGCGTGTGTGTGTGTGTATGTATGTACATGCGTGTGATACTCAGACACACAGACATCCATCCATCTTAAGGTGTCAGAATATTAAGTAAGATTAAGTTGTGTTAGACAATGGAGTCTTACACAGTGACTTGACCCCCAGGATACCACTTCTGTTACAGATGCTTGGGGAGGGGTCCTCTGGTTTTTCTGTTTGTGCTGGATTTCTAATATTCATGATAGGAGCTTCTCAACCTAATCCTGGAGCCGGAGCTGCTTGGGTTTGAATCCCAGCTCTGCCAACATGTGACCTCAGGCAAATACCGTTACTTTTCTGTGTGTGTTTCCTCAGTTGTAAGACAGGGTAATGATAATACACACCTTCTTAGAGGTAATGTCTGTAAAGCAATTAAAGGGTGCCTGGCACGTGATAATTGCTATGTAGGGGCTTATTAAATACAACCACAATGTTTGGGGCCGTTGTGTTACCTCCATTTTACAGTTCCCAAAGTGAGACCCAAATAGCTGAGTGTTACGAAGTGTCCCTCCAGTAGCAGAGCTGGTCTGTCTGTCTCTGGGCCCCTCTTCCTCAACTGTGCTTACCTGCATCTTCACTCAACACTTAACCTCTGTTTAATGTCACAGGGCAGGCTCAGAGAGCAGCAGCCAGACATGGGTGTTTTCTACCTTCGGCCCTGCAGAGGATTTCTGTAAGAAAAGCAGCATGACAGAGAGAGCCCCCCAGGACATACAGAAAATGAGTACTTAGAGTCTAAATTATAGAGAATGGAATGTTAAGTCAGTGGTTCTCAGTTCAGACTGCACGTTAGAATCACCTAGTGGGCTTTTAAAATATACAGATGCCAGGGCTTCACCCCAGACTCATTAAATGAAGGTCTCCGAGTCATGAATAACATCGGTGGGTGGGGGCCAAGGACTTTCCAGAGCTCCCCAGGTAGTTCAGATATGCAGCCATGGTTGACAACCATTGACTTAGAACTGGGAGGGGGCTCCCTTATTCTCTTGTTCCTCCAGTGTTTCCTAAGCGTCGACCTTATCAAAAGTAGGTCTGACAGTGTGTTCCCAGTGCCTGGACCTGGATATTTTTTACTTCAGCTTTAATTCAAACCATTATGTGCTGCTAGTCACTGTGGTGTGGGAGCAGCAGTGCACAAGGTGGTGAGGAAGCCAGCCTGCCTCAAGGAGTTTAACATTTCCTAGGAAAGCAGTGTCTGAATACTTAGATGATTCTATAACTGACTTGCACAGACGTTCTGCTGTCACAGTAGGTATTACTGAATAATGTGGCTGCTCCAAGTTTTTTAGTTATGTTCCATGTAGTTGTGAGTCACTGCCAAGGCACTCGGTCTTCTAAAGGGTCTCTGAAAAATCACTGACGTGAGGCGGATTAATAGGCAAAAAGGCATGGGATTTATTTAATGTTTGTACATGGGAGCCCTCAGAATGAAGACCCAAACCCCAAATGAGGAACAGAAACTTCTGTGCACTTTTGAGGTTACAGAAAGAATACAGGCTCAGAGAATGGCCCAAGACAGGTTTTAGTGGCAAGACAAGTAATGGGAGGGAAGAAGGGGGGAGGCTTGGCTAGCAAAGGTGGTCTTATTATACAGATGAAACCTCAGAGATAGCAGTTCTCAGAGAGAACAGATGATAGATGTTTCTTTTCAGACGTTTAAAGGCTGCAGACTCTCAGTCTCTCCTACATCCAAGACAGGCCTGGATACGTTCATGGAGATTCTCTGTAGATGTAAATTACCCCAACAAAAGATGGCATTCCAGAGGTGTTTCTGTCTGCTGGCCCTGCAGCCGCCATTTCAAAATATGTCAAATTAAAATATTTTGATTTCCTTCCGTGGGAAGCCATCAGAACAAGAAGAGATGAGATCAAACAGCAAAGAATTGCCCTGGCTGCTGTCTTGAAGAGTGTAGGGGGACGAGGGTGAAAATGGAGGCTGTCACAGCAGACTAGACAAATGGTGACAGTGGCTTGGGCCAGGGTGGCAGGGGCATCTTTGAGAGTAGAGCCAGCAGGATTAGGATTCCACGGTCTGAGAAAGGAACCAAGGACGACTCCATGTTACACTTGTTTCTGCTCACCATAGTCTGTGTTAATAGGTGATTTAGAATTTCATATTTTCCTTCTTGGGTACTTACAAGATAATTTAGTACTTCTGAAAACTTTTCTATAGTTAGATTATTTTTGCTTTCTTTTTAGATGCAGAATAATATCTACCTATTTACGTGTGTTGAGATTTTGCATTTGATTTCAGTGCTAAAGATTTTAGATAAAGCTCCAATTCAAAAATAACCTGAATTCTTGGAAGTTTAAATTACTTAAAGTTCAATAAGTTGATTATTTAGGTCATTTTACTTACTTTAGTGCTTTACATTAAAATTTTCCTGTTTAATGAACATTTAACTAATTAGGAAAATTTATTAGTCAAATTGTCAGACTCTGTTAAATGGCTTGTCAAAATGTTTGTTTAGCAGTTATTCCTGTCTTCTTAACATTGTTGATCTTTCTAACCCTCTAGTTCAGTTTTTTCTGGGTGATTGTGTTAAGTGGTAGTATTTACCAATTATTTTAAAAATCCTTTATTATGAAAATAAGTCACTGTGGACAGTTAAAGCATAAAAAGTTTAAAGAAGCAAAAAATAAGCATACAAAATCAACCATTATTTTACCATTCTTAGGCAGCCACTGTTTTTTTTGTTTTTTGTTTTTTTTTAACTTTTTAGAGCAATTTTAGGTTCACAGCAAAATTGAGTAGCTGGTACACTGATATCTCGTATGTCTCCTGCCCCTGCACGTGCACAGCCTCCTCCATGATCACCATCCCCCACCGGAGTGGTATGTTGCAACCATTGATGAGCCTGTATTGACACCAGGATCACCTGAAGTCCATACTTTACATTAGAATTCACTCTTGATATTGTACATTCTCTGGGTGTGGGTGAATTTATGAGGTGTGTATTCATCATCACAGTTTCCTACAGAGTCCTTTCACTGCCCTTAAAATCCTCTGACCTCTGCATAGTTATCTCTTCCCTCTAACCCCTGGCAACCACACGTCTTTTAACTGTCTCTGTAGTTTTGCCTTTTGCAGAATGTCGTATCATTGGGATCATACAGAATATAGACTTTTCAGACTGATAACTTTCACATAGTAATATTTATTGTTTCCTCCCTGTGTTTTCATAGCTCATTTGTTTGATAACTCACTTGTTTTCAGTGCTGAGTAATATTCCATTGTGTGGCTATATCAAAGTTTATGTATTCACCTAATGAAGAATATCTTGGTTGCTTCCAAGTTTTCGCAATTATGAATAAAACTGGCATAAACATCTGTGTGCAGGTTTTTGTATGTGGAAATAAGTTTTCCATTTCTTTGGGTGAATACCAAGGAGTGTGGATCATATGGTACGGGTATGTTTCGTTTTGTAAGAAGCCACCAGGCTGTCCTCAGAAGTGACTGTAACATTTTACATCCCCAGCAGCAATGACTGAGAATTCCCATTGCTCCGCATCCTCTTTACCATTTGGTGTTGTCTGGATTTTGGCCATTCTAGTGATATGTTGTTGTTGATGAAGTATCTATTAAGGTCTTTGGCTCATTTTTTAATTGGTTGTTTGAAGCAACTACTTTTAAAGGTATTATTTCCTTCCTGTCTTTTTATTTTTATGCTTTTTTATGTGAGTGGTTGAGATTTGGGGTAAATATTCCATCTGTTTTTTTTCCATTTAACGTCACGATGAAATCTTTTTCTGTTTTGTTAAAGTGCATTATGTCATTGTAACAGGTATGTAATTATAATGAGATTTGACATTCACCTATTCTTAGAAATTTTGGTTCTTTCTACCTTTGCAAAATTATAAACAATATTGCCATTGAGATGATTGTGCCTGAAAACCTCCCCTGTGTTTTGTGTTGTTTTCTTAGAGCATATCCTAGAAGCTAAGTGACTGGTTTGGAGAACAGAGACATTTTTGAGGGTCTTTAAACATATTATGAGATTACTTTCCAATGTTTATATTAATAAAAATACTAGCAGCTAACAGTTACTGAGCTCTATGTCTGTGACAGACACTAGATTTAGTCTTTCAGATGTTTTTCAGTTCTCCCAGCACCACTGTGGGTGGACTTAGGACAGTTCTTGTTTTATGGGTGGAGAAACTGAAGCCTAGAAAGATGGTAAAAGTGGCCAATAAGAGACAGTAATAATGACAGAGTCGAATAAAGAGATATGCTATATAGAGGAAGACTATTTTTTAAATTTCGGTTATTCTCAAGTTGATTTACAGTGTTAACAGAGTTCCAAACAAAATCCCTTAATTAAGGTAAAATATAGACGTTAATATTTATCAACTTTTTGGATGATGTTTTTAAATTTCAGTGCAATAGAAGAAATCATATAAGACACAAAGAAGAATTAAGACTGATGTGGCCAACAGATGAAGGAATGGCAAACAATATAAAGAAAATATCCATATTTAAATTGTTTTAAATTATTAGTGGGCATTTTTATTCTATACAGTTCGTAATAGTTTTAAAATAATTTCAACTTTTATTTTAGATTAAAGGTATACATGTGCAAATTTGTTATGTGGGTCTGTTGCGTGATCCTGAGGTTTAGGGTACAGATGAGCCCATCACCCAGGTAGTGAGTGTGGTGCCCAGCAGGTTTTATAACTTTTCAGTCTAGTCCCACCCACCCTTAGTAGTCCCCAGTGTCTGTTGTTCACATCTTTATATCCATGTGTACTCAGTATCTAGCTCTCATTTATACGTAAGGATATGTGGTATTTGTTTTTCTGTTCTTGCATTAATTTGCCTAGGATAGTGGCCTCTAGCTGCAGCCATCTTGCTGCAAAAGACAAGATTTTATTCTCTTTTATGGCTGTGTAATATTCCATGGTGTGTTCCTACCATGTTCTCTTTATTCAGTCCACCATTGATAGGCACCTAGGTTGATTCCATGTCTGTACTGTTGTGATGGAAAATATTCATATTTCAGAAGTAAGGAAAGAAGAGAGGGACGACAAGACAGGTTATCAGTGTTTCAGAGCAAATGTCTTTAGACTGCCTGTCTCATGGAGTTTGTATGTTTTTACTCTAAATCTCCAGTCTGATTTTTGTGTATAGGAGATTTACAATGGACATTTCTGCATTTTAGAAGTAGACTATGTTGTACAGTCTCCTGTTATTTCTTGGGTGTGTCTTTATGTGTGAATTTGTGTTTTCTGTTGATGAAACAAGAAAAAATATATACTTAAAACACCCAAATATATCTGTAGATAATTTACATATCAGTTGATGAACTATTACTGTTTTTGATAGAAAATCCATGTGGCTTAAGCAAGGGAAAGGTTTGTTTCTCTCTTAAATGTAGAGAGGTAGATAGTCCAGGGTTGGTTTGGCGGTCCCACAGCCATTAGGACTTGGGCGTCTTTGTCAGTCACTGCTCGCCATTCACCTCGTGTGTCTCGTCACTGTCCTAGGTCAGTGCTCTAGTCTGACTATGATGCATTTCAGCATGCACGAAGGAGGAGAGTAGTAGATGAAAATGGGCAGGAGTGGAAGGGAGCATATGCTTAGCTGTCATTTAAGGAGGTTTCTGAATATTGCCAAGTAGTACTTAGACCCCGTCTCCTTGACCAGAACTGTAGGTACGTGGAACAAGGTACATTGTTTTATGCCCAGCTGAAAATCAGGATTTGTATTACTAAAGAGAAATGAGAGAATGGATATTGGGCAGTGTAACAATCTTTGCCCCATCACGCGTGCATGCGTGCATGCGTGCGCTCTCTCTCTCTTTCTCTCTTTCACTCATTTAAGTGTGACAAGAGCAAAAGAAACATTTCTAATACAAATCAGAACAATAATCACTTGGGCCCTTTTCTCTGCTGAATGTAAAGTTTTCATAATGAGGCATTATTAGGCTTGGAGGGTGCCTTTGGCACTAGAGTTCCCTTGACATCATCCAAGATATTCTGCGGGTAGAAGGAGCAGGTGAGAGAAGCGGGGAGGCTGGTCTTGGTGGGGAGGAGACAAGACCTGGAGGTGCAGTCAATTCTCATTCTGCTGTTTTGAGCAACCTTCTGAAGAAGAGCAGGGCTGTGCAACTGAATACTGACTCTGAGCCCATTGTGACCCTGCTGAGAGAACACCTCTAGGAGGAAAGAGTTCTGTATTTTAGAAAAAGAAGAAAATTCGTTCTTCTTTTGTTGTGTCTATATTAAATTCAGAAAGAAGTAAGGCTGACCAGCAAGACTTGGGAGGGCACAAATTACATCCTTCTGAATTGCTAAGCACAGGTCCATGTGATAGGCACTTAGTAATTACTTTAATGACAGTGATGAGATGGTGCTAAAACTATCATAATTTCTAACTCTGTAACTTCATGAATGATTTTATTTAAAAACACACACTGTCCTTTTTAATTTATGCTTACAGTTGTATTTGTGATCAAATCAAGTGTTCTCTATAATCTAGAATGTACTCTTAAAATAGTAGACTTCTCTTATGCTCCAAAATTTAAAACTGAAGGAACAAGTAACTTTCGTGTTTTAGTATTTGGAAGTCATTTCAGAATCATATAAGGAGGTTAGCCAAAGAGAAATGTTGATGTAAATTTTGCTTTGTACATTTTGTGCCATTTTTCAACTCGATTTTACTGCTGAAATTACACATGCATTATTTAAAAATCCCAGTGGTACAGTCTCAAAGACATAAATCACCTTATTTTGATCAGTTTTTGAAGATTGAAACAAAACTAATGAAAAATATTCTTCACTAATGAAAAATATTCTTCACTATGTGGAAGAGATTTAGCTGAAATTTTTCGTTTTTGACCTTTGAAAATGTTCATGTAGTATAATTAGGGCTTTCTGCACATGTCATTTCTTTGCTAATTGTTTTATACTTATAGTTCATCAGATGAGAGCTAAAGTGTTAAATCTTCAATGCATGAAGTTGAAAATGTAAGAAAATTGTAGAACTCACCTTTGTTCCTGTTCTTTAATTCAGAAGATATTTTCTTTTTTTTTTTTTGGTATACTCAAAAATATACATTTGCATGTATATAAACATATATACATGCACATACATTTACACACCTATATAATGTATAACATATAGAGGTTATATATTATGTGATATATACATAGTATGTATACCATCAATTTATAATACACATATATACTATGTTTACTTATACATGCAGCTGTAGATCATAGGATACACAGACAAACCCCAGGAATGGCAGCTACCTATGTCATACCATCCTGCTGGGTGATGCTTTTCATATTCTTTTAACCAACAACTAACTTTTATAATTTGAATTACTTTGTCACAGGCTAATTATTGAAAGTATAGGTAATTTTTAGGTGTTCTACTTAAAGAGCTATTTTTTACTGAGTGTATTTTAAAAAATTATTATGAAATCTTTTATGAAACTATTCTCCTGATTACTAAATGAAATATTTTTAGAGCTTCCATGACCTCTTAAGGAATTCATTTTCTGGTGTGCTACTAACAGTATTTTCACAAAATGCTTTAAGCATACATTAATTAGGTTGTAATAGTCTTTTGGATGAATTATGTGTTTGTATAAATGATAATTTGGAAAAGTTCATGGAAGTCTGATGTGAAGAACTCTATTGTTTGACAACAGTTTGAAAGATACTGAGTATTAGACATTTTTACTTTAAAAGAAATGGAGACAAAATCATTCAAAGGAACGCACTCACTTAAGAATTCATTAACTGTAATAGACTTTATCACCCATTATTTGGGGACATGAAAAAGTGCTCATTTCAAGGGTATTAAGTGCCATGTTGGGTCAGATCTGCCTGCTGTTCTCAGATGTTGATAACCAGATACTTTATCTTTTTGGTGAGGTGATGAGTGTGTGTGCCTTTTATTGTGTTATCTCAGAAGATTAGGGTTATAAGCAAACATTCCTGATTTTTCTCTGTAGTCTGTATTTTATACATTATTCATAAATGTATGAAAATCATTACTGAACCTAGTTACATTTTTAGTCTGAACCATTTCTGGAAGGAATTTCCTAAGCTTTCTGAAAAAAGTAGCAGCATGTGGTGTGATAGGAAGCTGTATTATTAGGTTTATAAGAGTGCCCAGTAATTCACGCATGTTCATCATTATGTAAAAATTTCAGTTATTCCCTATTTATTATTCATTTTGTAGAGCACTAATGTTTAATCTGTTTTCATGTTGAATGCATATCCTCTTAATTATTTTAGCTGATTTTTGTCTAGTGTACTTCATTTCCTCTTGAGCTATACCTTTGTAAATTCTGTAGAGTATTAGAGAGAGAGATGCATCATGGTTCTACAGAACAGAAACTCAAGTAGTGTTTTGTGTTTTTACTCCTCTTCCTGGCAATACTCAACACTTTTGCTTGCTTCCTGCAGGAATGTATTGACCTGTTGCATTAGGAAATAGCCCACAACGACTTAGGGAGCCAGGCACATATCACTTTTCATGACTTGCAGCTCAGAGCCTGTCCCGCCTAGAGTAAGGTGGAGGTATAATTTTGGATGTGTTGCTGCAGGTTGTCCATGTTGATGCCCACCATTGTTCTGCTAAGGCTTTCAGCTGTTCTGTGTTGTATCATCTGTTCGCCTTGAATTGTATTGCCACTAGTGCTTCCTTTTTCCAGCACAGGTAAAGAATTGCCTGTGCATTTCCTCTCCTAGGTCATCATTACATAAGACCATTTTAATACCTCACACTATAGTTAAAATTGCTCTTTCTGGAAAACAAATTCCTTTTTATTATGGTATCTTTAGCCCATTCTCAGTGACTAAGTCTTTTTTCTCAGTTTAATGGTAATTCATTTGAAGTTTTTTGTGTTTGTTTTTGTGACTTCTCTCTCTTTAGTGGAGAAGCTTACCAGAAGTACTTAAAGAGCCAATTAAGTTACAGTTTTAGGCCCTTATTTTGTCAAAGCATTTATTTTTCAAAGTGTTTTAGTAAGATATTTATAGTTTTTATGTTTGTTTCCCCTAGAAGATAAGATGAGCTTATATAGCATACCCAGTTTGAGTATGAGGCAGGAAAATACATTGTTTAGAGGTGAATAATTTATTTTGTACTATTCTTTCTGCAGATAAAATTAGTAATATGTATTAAAAATTTTAAAGCATGAGCCTTTTCTCTTCAGGACATTGATCTGGGAAATAATTTTATGAATAATATCTCAAAAACACAGGCAACAAAAGTAAAAATAAATGGGATTATTTCAAACTCAAAAGCTTCTGCACAGCAAAGGAAACAACAGAATGAAAAGACAACCTACAGAATGGGAGAACATATTTGCAAACTGTTCATCTCAAAGGGAACTAATATCCAGAATGTACTAGGAACTTAAACATCTGAACAGAAAAAAAAAAGAAAGATTAAAAAATGAGCAAATGATCTGAACACACATTTCTCAAAATAATACATATACATGAGCAACAAATATATGAAAAGTATGCTCAACATCACTAATCAGGGAAATGCAAATAAAAAACCACAATAAGATATCATCTCATCCCAGATAGGATGGCCATTATTAAAAAGACAAAAAAAAACATGCTGGCAATGATACGGAGAAAAGGGAACTCTTACACACTATGCAGGAAAGTAAACTAGTATGGTCACTATGGAGAGCAGAGTGGAAGCTCCTCCAGCAATCCCACTACTGGGCATTTATCCAGAGGAAAGGAAATCAGTTTATCAAAGAGATACCTGCACTTCTGTGTTTATTGTAGCACTGTTCACAATATACAAGATATGGAAGTAACCCATGTCCAACAACAGATGAATGGATAAAAAATGTGCTATATATATGCAATGGAATACGCTATTCAGCCATAAAAAAAAAAAGGAAGTCCTGTCATTTGAGACAACAGGGATGGAACTGGAGGGCATTATGTTTCTTGAAATAAGCCAGGAACAGAAAGTTAAACACCACATATGTTCTCATATGCAGAAGCTAAAAAGAAGTTGATTTCATAGAAGTCAAAAGTAGAACAGAGAATAGGAGGGTTGAAGGAAGAGTGGGGGATAGGGAGAGAGTTGTTAAAGGATATGAAACTCCAGCTAGATAGGAAGAATCAGTTCAAGTCTTCCATAGCACTGTAGGGTGGCTATCATTAACAATGATTATGGTTTAAATATGTAGGAGGGTATTGACTGTTCCCAACACAAAGAAGTGATAAATGTTTGAGATGATGAATTATGCTAATTACCCATTACTATATATTGTAATGTATCAAAACATTACTGTGTACCCCATACATATATATGATTATTATGTGTCAAATAAAAATAAAAGTGTGAGCCTTGCTACCCAACAATTACACTTTTGGGGATTTGTTGTATGAAATAAGAGTAACAACAATAATAGTCAACATTTCTGTATTGCTTGCTATGTTTTGGGCATGATTTAAAGCATTTGACATACATGTACTTACCTAACTCATTGAAATCCTGTGAGTAGGTACTGTTATACCAGTTTTATAAAGAAATTGAGGCAGAGAAGATTAAGTGATTTGTCCAGTTTTAGTCTGTCTCTGTTACATCCAGAGATACGCATAAAAAATATGTAGAGGATTAGTAATTTTAAATCCATTTATATTTCCACAATAGAGGTTATCATTAAATAAGAGGAGACTCATATAATAGAATTCTATGAGGAGATAAAAACGGCAAGTCTAGCCTTCTGTAATGCTAAACTTATAAGAAGTATAATTCTATTTTAGTAAAAAGGATGTTAGTATACATATATTGAATGCAAATATTGTGTGTATAAACTAGAAAGCCATGCAAGAGAATATTAATAGTACTGATGAACTCTGGATATTGGGATTAGGAGTGATTTTATTTGTGCATATGTTTTTCTATTTTACAGTGCTTTTTCATTGAGCACATTCTGCATTTGGGAAAGAAAGGTTATTTAAAGTTGTTCTTATTAAAGTTACTGCATTTAATTCTGTTTTTGCCATTGTGTCAGGCAAGTAAAAATGCTAGATATCAAGTTACCAGAATCTTCTCTGGAGCCCTTCCTCTGGGGGTTACATGTATATGCTGCCTGTCTTTTGGAATAGTGATTTGTAAGTGACATGGTTTAAGGGTTTGGACCAACAGGTTCATAGTTTCACCCTGCTTTCTTTTAGAGCTGCTGGATAAATTCTGTCCGGTTTCAATGATTTATCTATATTTAGGTTGTCAACCTAGGTAAGAACATCCTGTGCAGCTCTCTGTTTGCTCTATTGAGTCCTTGTATGGTTATCTTGTTAGTATAGTGCTAATGATAACAGGCTGTGTGTAAAAGCTCTCTGTACACAGCTGTCGAACTCTGCTGTGTTTGGTGGTGCAGACTACACCCTGAATCCTGTTAAAGAAAACCTTTGAGATCATAACAGGATGTTTGGAAGTTTTAATATAAATCTCTTACTTATATCAAAAGCAGTTGAAGCAAATAGTCTTAAAATATAGTAGAATTCTAATGTATCTGACCTGCTTCCTTAAGAATTCAGTTTGGCTATGGTAATCTCTGCAATCTTCTCCTTAAATAAAAACTGAAACATTAAGTCTGCCCCTTTTCTTTAATCCCTGTTCAAGAGGGTATGTCGATACTTGAACCCTTTTACCAGCATTTAAAGAACCAGCTGCTGCTGGCATAGCATGTCTGAGATTGCATTTTGTCCTGCCTACCTTTTTATTAGACCTTGCACAGCCATATTTGTGAGTGGATTAGTTTCCTGTTTTTGCCATAATAAATTACCACAAATTGACCAGTTTAAAACAACACTCATTTATCATTTCCCAGTTTTGTAGGTCATAAGTCTAGGTAAGGTATGGCTGCACTAAGCCTCTGCCCTCTCACAAGGCCAAAATCAAGGTGCTGGTAGGGCTGTCTATGTTCCTTTCTGGAATCTCTGAGGATGAGTCTTCTTCCAAACTTACTAGAATTGCCTGAGTTCAGTTTCTTTGATTGTCGGATGGAAGCCTCCATCTTCTGCCAGCTCTTGGCCAGGGGCTGGTCTTTGCCCATGAGGCTGCTCACATCCCTTCGTGTTTTCCATGTGACCCTGTCCAGCAAGAGCAGCTTGAGAGCCATTCAAGGGAATCTTTTACTTCCCTTCTGCTACATCTTTCTGCTTTAAGAGATCATGTGATTAGATTGGGGCCAGCCAAGTAATCCAGAGTAAGCTCCCTACTACATTTGAAAGTACCTTTTGCTTTGTAAAGTAACAGATTCATGGGTTCCAGGGATCCGGAACATGGACATCTTTTGGGGGCCACTCTGCCTACCACAGTGAGCCTGTTCTCATGTATACAAACATACTCTTTCTATCTGTTTAGCACTACAGTGGATACCCAGACCATAAGCGTCATAGTCCTGACACACGAGTTGGTAAAAAACTAACTGGGAACTTGTGATAAGCACTTATGTTAGTGTTTTAGGAGTTTAAAGGAAAGAAAAATTAGTGAAGATGGAAAATAGCAAAGGCCTTATAGAGGAGGAAGCACGTGAATTTCGCCCTTGAAGACTACTGTGGATTCGATAGTCTAATGATTGAGGAGTTACAGAAGTGGGGGAAGAACTTGATCAACTTGAACAAATAGGATGTAGGATTGGGCCTGATGTGTTTAATGTGATAGCAGAGAGGCGATATTAATTAGGAGGAAGTAGTAAGGAATAAAATATACAGTTGTACAAGGTTTGGAGAGGCATGCAGTGGAATTTCAATTTGAATTCCTGAAAAGGGATTTTAGTTCACCAAGATTTGAGCGAGATAGTAATATAGGAAATAAGTGTTTCATAAAGATGAGTCTGGGAGTGATCTGCAGGACAGAGAGAAGGTGGAGAAGATGGAGTTAGCCAGGTGAGCATACGATATGGGGTTTGGGCCACCACAATCAGGCATCTTCTTATTTAGATCATCTTAAATCTTGACTTCATAGGATTGTTACCATTTCAAAACATAGGCTTTAAGTGACTACTTCATTAACTCCTTCATTCACCTTACTATCTTTGGTTTTATTGTATACAATAACTTTTTTTTTTGAGGCCCTGGTGTTAATCAGAATGATGCATCTTTCTCCTCTGTCAGGCTTTCAGTGCTTCACATACTTTTCAGATAGTCTTCAGAACTCCTTCAGGACAGAGAGAACTGCTTTTCCTATATGAATATAGAGAGAGCTAAAAATTCAGAAATTTGAAGTGATTATATGAGGATCACCCAGCATGTCAGTGTCTCCAGTAGAAGTGAAATTCCAGTCTTTAATTCGGAGACAATGCCCAATCACTGTGGCTACTCTTAGAAACAATTTAAGAGAATCTTCAGACCCACAGCTTAAAATAACTCACGTACATGGCATAAAATAAATACTTGGGAGTTCCTTGGATGCAGGGTGTTTGTCTTGATTATCTTGGGTGCCCCTTCAGCTTATTATGGGTCCTGGCTCATAGAAGGAGCCCTGATATGTTTATTAAATCAGGGATTGATGATTGGGACCACCTGGGCTGACCTTTGAACGACTTCTTACTTCCTATAGTCTTCAAAACTGCCAGAGGCTGGGGGGATAGTTGACAAACCGGGGGACGTGCTATCCTAATCTGCAGAGGTGCTATCCTAAATCACTGACCAATTCCAGCTTTAAGGTTCACAGAACCTTTTGAAAAACATGATCTGGTTTTAAAATTGTTTCCGTGTTGATCCATTTTGATGGGGGGTGAGGTTCGCTATTCACATCAGTGAGTATGGCCAGCCTTTGTCTGCGGAGATCTGATTAGTTTGTTAAATTCAAAGTAGCATTTTAGACATGATTTCAGTAAAGGTTAGGGGCACTCTTTGGCTCTTAAATTTTAATAGTTTTATAAAAACCCTCTTCAAGACAAAGTTGTAATTTAATACAAAATCGTAAATTGGTAAACCTGTAACATTTGTATCATGAAACAGGTGATGTAACTGAAGATTAAATAAATGTAAAAAATTTAGATATTGCTTTTGAATTGGAAATGGCAATATTTGTATATTTTTGACAAAGCTTGAAGGAGCAAAATCTCATGATAAACACTATATGCAATTGACCTGAATGATGTAATGTTAAAGAGCCACTGCAGAAGCATTTGCAAATCATAAATTAAAGAGCTCTTTCTCAATTAACAGTTACAGATGTCTTCTCAGTGCAGGGAAGTGTGCTAGGGACTGCATCCTAGAGATACAGTCTGTGCTGGCATAGGGCTTCTAACCTAGTGGAGGTGACACAGATACAGGATGTAGTTTCCAAAGTAGTCTACCACGGGTCCAGCGAGAGCATGCAAACATTATTAACACAGGGTAAGTTACCACTGAGTGCTAGATTAGTGGATTAAAATGACCTTTCTACCCCTCTCTGCCTGGTGAACGGCTGCTAATCTTTCAATGTTAGCTAAAGCTCCTAAGACTCCTGTAGACGGTCTTTTTCGACCCCATACAGCCTTTATTCTCTGCGGTACTCAATGTGCGCTGCTTTCCAAGCATTTGTGATACCTCAATGGGCATAGTCTACCAGAATGAGTGCAGGATGGGGAAGTCTGGGACTCCCAGCCTCCCAGAGCACAAGAAAAACTTGTAACTGTCAGAAATCAGAATTAATCGATTAATAATAGCAAATATTAAGTAACAAATATTAAGGTTAATTTTTTAAATATTCTACCAGCCAATTTAGTCTCTTTGTTCTAATTTCATCTTCACCAAGCAGTCTTATGGTTGTACATTTGGTTTTCTACCCCCTTATGTGGCAAAAATATTGCTGTGATTGTGGTTATAGCCCCTGCTGTCAGCTTGAGACTTGATGTCTGTACATTCTCCTTTGAGTCTGGATCCTTGATCCTGGCCTGTGATTCCATCTCAGGAGTTAGAAGCCTGTGGTGCCTGGCCTGAGTCAGCTCATTAGCTTCATTGACAACATTGGTTCGTTCAACAAATATTGCCTGAGAAGAAGACATTTAAGCAAAGACCTGCAGGAAGGAAGGGAGTTAACTAAGTGGATATGTGGGGCAAGAACTTCCCAGAATGAAGAAACACCCGCATTAATTGCTTGAGGTATGAGAGGTGAGGTCAGGGGCACCAGTTTGTATAGGGCTTTCTAAAACATTATTTGGAGTCAGATGACAAGCTATAGAGGATGCTGAGTCAAGGTGGAAACAACAAAATCCTACTTAGGTTTTAACAAAATTACTGTGGTTGCGGTGTTGAGAATAGTGAGATGGTGGCAAGGATGGAAGCGGGGAGATCAATTAGGGGGCTGTTTAAATGATCCAAACAAAAGATAATGAGGTAATTGGATCAGGTGATAGCAGTACAGATGGCAGGAAGTATAGGATTGGGGAATATATTTTAAAGGCTATGCCAAACAGGCCTTACTGACAGATGGGTTATGGAGTGTGTGTGTGTATGTGCGCGCTCATGTACACTTGTACATGTACCTGTAAATAAAGGAGAGAAAGAACAGACAAAGGATAACCCCAACGTTTTTAGTTGAGAAATTGTGTTTTCACACACACTGAGATGGGGAAACTGAGAGCAGCATGTTTGATAGTCAACGTTAGGAGCTCACCTTTAGACATGTTCACTTTGAGAAGTCTGTTAGGTAGCCAGAAGGAACTGTTGCACAGGCATTTCGATGTACAAATCTGGAGTTATACTCTGTAGAGGTCCAGATTAGAAAAAAAATTGGAGGGTCATCAATCTAACAAAAGGTTTAAAAACTGTGGGAATGTACTGGGTGCAGTGAGTCACATCTGTAATCCCAGCAGAAATGAAGATCATGCTGTAAGAGAGTGGGATTACAATTGACCTCCCCATGTCTCAGGTTCCACATGCACAGATTCAACCAATTGTGGATCAGAAATAGGTGGAAAAAAACCAATACAACAATAGAAATAATACAAGTAAAAAAATATAACTATTTACGTAGCATTTACACTGTATTAGGTACTATAAGTAACCCAGTGATGATTGGAAGTGTACAGGAGGATGTGCATGGGTTATTTGTAAATACTATGCCATTTCCTATCTGGGACTTGAGCATCTGAGGTTTTGGGTATTCTTGGTGGGCCCTGGAACCAATGCCCGTGGATCCCAAGGGATGACTGTATGCCTGTACGTGATGATGGGCCTCTCTCCATGAATTTAAGTCACCAGGACTGGGTTTGGGGAGTGTCAGCTCATTTTCTGCCTGTTTATCAGCAGACACAGATGGGGTAGTTTTCTCACTTGCACCTACGGAAAATCCTCCTTGCTCCTGGGGTTGTTTGACTCAGTGTCTCCCTTTTCTTGTGTCTGGGAGGTTGATGGCATAGTACATTTACTCCCCAAGTAGTCTGTGAGTGTGGTTGGTTAAGGTGGCTGAACTGAACTCGGCATCTCCCAGCACCACCAACCTGGAAAGTGTTTTTGGTAGGTGCTGTGTGTACAACATCCTTCTGATTGCAAAGGCCTGTACTCTAGCATTAGGTCGGGTTAATTCCTGTCAGGTCTTTTTTTTCTCTTAGAGCCCCATTTCTAATGAAGGGATTAATTTGGCAGGTGATATCAACTTGCAAGCCAAATTTAGAGTTGATTTTCCAAATGACTTCTCCCAAATGCCCTATTATTTCCTGTCTCCATTGTAAAATATTTCTTCTTCCTGGAATTCTCTAACTCCCTCTTCTTTGAGAAATAAAAAAATATCAATTTTAGTGTAATAATTTGTCTTATTTAATTTTGTTACTTAAATATCATTCACATTTTACCAAGCACTTAAAATTTGGATAGGAATAGAGATTGAGATAATATAGCTCTACTCTCAGGTAATTCACATTGTGGGCCAGGCGCCGTGGCTCACACCTGTAATCTTAGCACTTTGGGAGGCTGAGGCAGGTGGAATCACCTGAGGTCGGGAGTTTGAGACCAGCCTAACCAACATGCAGAAACCCTGTCTCTACTAAAAATACAAAATTAGCGGGGTGTGATGGTGCATGCCGGTAATCCCAGCTATTCAGGAGCTGAGGCAGGAGAATTGCTTGAACCCAGGAGGTGGAGGTTGCTGTGAGCCGAGATCGCATCACTGAACTCCAGCCTGGGAGACAGAGCGAGACTCCGTCGCAAAAAAAGAAAAAAAAAAATCACACTGTGACCTTTATAGGATATCTTTTTACTGTCCAGTTTTACATATAATTTACCATGGATTTTTTAATTAGGATACCTATTTTATTGTAATCTGGCAATATTTTTCACATATTGGAGATAATTTTTGAAGTCAGTTCTTTGTCTATGATATATTATAACTTCCATTTAATAATCATTGGTTTTAGATTGGAATTGTGTCAGCTCCCTTTCTATAACATATAGTTTCCATGTATAAAGTAATCTGAGTATATATCTTATGTGTGAGTGTGTCTCTGAATTTTTTTCATTGCAGATAGTTTGGTGGAATTCTATTTTTAGTTATGTTTTTTCTCCATCACTTTGCTTGGGAACGCTGGATGAAGTGGTTACTTTCATTTCTCTTTTTCACCATCATGATTGTTTCCTGCAGTCCCATTTATTTTTGTCAAGTTTTTCTTCATGCCATCAATCTGTCTCATTTGTGTATCTGTTCTGTTTCTTTTTCTTTTTTCACAGCTGCGAAGAGCCATGGATGGTCTTTTATTTGGTTGGTTTTCATTCCTGATGCATATACAAACCACTAGAGTATGCATTTTTGAATCTTATATATATCTTCCAGATTTAGCTTTATATTATGAAGATATTTGTCATTTGGGCAGCTGAGAAAGGCTTTTTCCTTGAGACACTCTCTGCTTACCTTTTATAATGTTCAGACAGGAGGTTGTCAGTTAACTTGCTATAAATCTACCTTCAGCTTCAGTGTGATATAATTATATAAGTTCTATTATTAATGATGCATTTCTGGTTTGGTCTGCTCTTGATAGTGCTAGTGGTCACCAGCCCTGCTATTTTGGCATTTATAGTGAGCACATATCTTCTGATAATTATATTTCTCTTTTATAAAATGTTTTATATACACATTTCTTTTAATGTGTCAGCATAGCAAATATTTTCCAAATGTCCACAACGTCTGAGGCATTGTTGTAAGCAATGGGAATGCTATGGTAAATAAGATGCCATATACAAATTACATTCTAGTGTGGGAGAGAGACAGCAAGTAAGAAAGACACTTGATAGAGCTGCAGAGTGTTGAGTACTGTGAAGAACACGAAGCGCGATGTGAACGTGGAGATGAAGGCATGTGCTGTGGTCATGGAAGGCCTTTTGGGGGAAGTGACTTTCAAGCAGAGACCTGATTGATATGATGCCATGAAGGGCAGTTTAGGGAAGGGAGCAGCAAGTCAAGAGGCCCTGAGGCTGGAGTGTCTCAGGGCCAGCAAGAAGGTCAGAGTGCCTGGATGATAGTTGGCTAGTGGGTGAGTGGTAGGAGTTGAGGCTGGATCATAGCCAGTTAGAGGGTGAGTGGTAGGAGATGAGGTTGGATGATAGTCAGCTAGGGGGTGAGTGGTGGGAGGTGAGGTTGGAGGGATAGCCGGTTAGCAGGTGAGTGGTGGGAGGTGAGGCTGGATGATAGCCAACTAGGGGGTGAGTGGTAGGAGGTAAGGTTGGATGATAGCTAGGGGGTGAGTAGTGGTAGGTGAGGTTGGATCATAGCCAGCTAGAGGGTGAATGTTAGGAGGTAAGGTTGGATGATAGTCAGCTAGGGGGTGAGTGGTGGGAGGTGAGGCTGGATGATAGTCAGCTAGAGAGTGAATGGTAGGAGGTAAGGTTGGATCATGGCCAGCTAGGGGGTGAATGGTAGGAGGTAAAGTTGGATGATAGCTAGCGGGTGAGTGGTGGGAGGTGAGGCTGGGTGTCAGTTAGCTAGGGGTTGAGTGGTGGGAAGTAATGTTGGATGATAGTCAGCTAGGGGTTGAGTGGTGGGAGGTGAGGTTGGATCATAGCCAGCTAGGGGGTGAAGGGTAGGAGGTAAGGTTGGATCATAGCCAGCTACGGGGTGAATGGTAGGAGGTAAGGTTGGATGACAGTCAGCTAGGGGGTGAGTGGTGGGAGGTGAGGCTGGGTGTCAGTTAGCTAGGGGGTGGGTGGTGGGAGGTAATGTTGGATGATATTCAGCTAGGGGGTGAGTGGTAGGAGGTGAGGTTGGATCATAGCCAGCTAGGGGGTGAATGGTAGGAGGTAAGGTTGGATGATCGTCAGCTGGGGGTTGAGTGGTGGGAGGTGAGGCTGGGTGTCAGCTAGGGGGTGAGTGGTGGGAGGTGAGCCTGGAAAGGTAGCAGAAGTGATCCAGGATCCTAAGGTGTGAGAAAGTGCTTAGATTTTATTGATTTTCTTTTAGGCATAAGAGAAGGCCATGGAGGATTTTGAGTAGGGTTGGGCTGTAAGCGTGTTTGCATTTATTTACAAAAAGATTACTCTCCTTGCTGTCTGGAGAATCAACCATAGGATTGCAAGAGAGATCACGTAGGAGATTCTCATAACAATCTTTGTAAGTGATGAAGGCAGCTTGGATTGTAGGATCACCCTGAAAATGGTGAGAAGTGGCAGGGCTTGGGTTTTATTTTGAAGGCGTAATACACAGGACTTGATAATGGATTAGATCTGCAGAATGAGGGAAAGAGGTGAACCTACATTTTGCCCTGAGCAATGGGGTGAATTGTGCTATTTATGAAAAAGTGGAAGACTCAGAGAGAGAGGTAGGTTTGGGGCTGAAAATGAGCCCCATTTGGGCTTTTTATGGGCTCTTCCTGATCTCCTTCTCTCCCCTTGCTTTTGAGGTATTACCAGCTACAGGGGCTGAAGAAGGAGCAATCAGGCCAGGGTTTAAAGGGGCACTGGGACTGAGCCAGGGAGGTAGCTAGCATGAGTGGTAAGTTGTTTACATGCAGGGGATTGAACAAATAAGTAAATATATTGAGGGTAAAGGGAACTAGGTTTATCATCAACAGATAAGGGATTTATAAATGTGGAAAGGGG
This sequence comes from Homo sapiens, assembly GCF_000001405.40. Classification (NCBI taxonomy): domain Eukaryota; kingdom Metazoa; phylum Chordata; class Mammalia; order Primates; family Hominidae; genus Homo; species Homo sapiens. Next base: position 3,529,112 of record NC_000007.14, read on the forward strand.
AAAGATTAAAAAGAACCTTGAGGTGTTAGACTAGAATTGGAAGTATTAATGTAAACACATGGTTTTGGAAACATGTATATATAGGTGATAATATAGAGACACACTCATATACACACCCAGAAGGCCTAGGAGCAGTCAATCACTTATCAGCAGTGAGTTTGCCAACTGCCTAGATTCTGGTTTGTAAATTCCATCCTCTACTAAAAGGGAAGGGAACCAAGGCTCCTTGAAGGAATAGTTAATTCCAGGATAAGTACAAAATGACCTTGGAAAACTATCTGTGCTAGAAAGTAAGGAAACACTCAGAATGATGGGAGCCTTTCAAGTTACAGGTCCCAGCTTGAAGGGACTCTCACTGGCCAAATTTTGGACAATTTGAGCAAGAGAGTAAATGATGGCGATGGATATACATTAAATAAATGGGAGAGAAGCAAAGTTTGTTGTTGTTGTTGTTGTTGTTGTTTACGGTAGAATGGCTGAGGAAGGAAGGAGTAATGGAGTGAAAAAAATCACCATTTGGCAACCACTGTGGTGGTGGTTGGTTCAAGTGGTAGTTATTAATAGACACTAACGTTGGTGTGAGGATGTTTGATGAGAAACAGAATATTGATGTAGTCTTGAGATATCTCCCCCAAAACATGTATTAATTACAGAGGGAGAGCTGGTGACCAGGTGGTCGAGGGGTGGGCTATGCTCACATCACGTGCCTCCCAAGGAGAAATACTGAGATGGGCACCGCATCCTTGCTGACAAAATTGTATTCCTGACGACATCCCAGCCTGAGTCTGGGTACGAGAAAACACTGACAGACTCTGGTTAGGGGACGTGGCAGAGAGGGACAGGCCTGAACTCTTACTATTATGTGATAAGTACCTTTGTGGATACAAGTCTGTATTTAAGAGTATTCCTTAGAATAGAGTTCTAAGAATGTAGTAACTAGATCAAAGAACAAGAAATTTTAAAGACTCTCAAAAAGTATAATCAAATTATGTCCCTAAACCTAGCACCAATTTATATCCACACTAGTCATACATAAAAAGGACCCATTATATTAGCTCAAAATAGCAGTGAGTTTATTTGCACACATTTTAAAATAAAGATACAATAAACCATAGAGCCTTAGAAACGACCCATTTCAACTTGCCTGAGAGTAGGAATTAGATATTTCTGATGCAAGAATATCATCTGTGGTATCCTTCACAGATGTTCCTCCCACCCCCCGCATAAACATTTTCAATGAAAGTTTATGGATTTTATGTGTTTCATGGTGGCTAAATGATTATTAAAATTTTAGGGCTTCCCAAATTACTAAAGGAAAATTTGTCTTTTGTAATGTTATTAACCTGTGCAATAACCTACAGAAAACATCTACTGATAATGGGTTCTCAAAATGTAAGGAGTTGATAGAACTTAAAAATTCACTCATGCTTTGTAAAAGAAAAATATATTGATAGAATGAACAACAGAAGGAGTAAATAGCATTTCTGTTGTTTATTTGTGATAACATTAAAAATACTTTCACATAGATAGGCATGTGAAATATATTATGTATTAATATTTCAGAATTATTGTGAATATGAAGTTAGCTTATGTACATAAATAAGGAAAATGTAGGCCAAGGTAGCTAAATGCAAACACAGAATATCAGCATTCATTTACCTCAGGAGAAGTTACTAGTGAGTCTTTGAATTTCATCTGTGAAACAATTTGTGTGATAACATATTTTCTGAAAGAATTAATCACTTATTTCCCTATGCATAAAAACATTGTCCACAAGTATCCATAGGTCAAGTCTAAATATCATTAAAATTTGATTTGCAGTGAGAAGTCTTTATCGTATAGTTGATAACGTCTGTTGAATTTTCATTGATTTGGAAATGATGTGGCTTGTGTTTGGAATTAAGCTATTAGAATATTCTGTCACTATAACTCTGCTTCATATACCAGTGAAGAAATCATCATTCATTTAAGAGTCTAACAAGATTTGACTAATATGAACTCTGCTTTGAATTTTGGACATGTTCCTGATTGTCACACCAGAATACCACCCTCAAACTACATAGGGTTTGCAGTTGATCTTCAGTGTGGAACTTTTGATAAGTTCACGTTTTTACTTGATCACATCGAGCATATTTGGGGTTGATCTTTATCTGTACGCTATGCTAATGCTTAACATAAGTCCTTTATTTACCCTTGGTTTTGTATTGAAATGTTCACGCTTATTTCGACTTAGGTTATTTAGTAGTAAGAAATATGACAGACATTATCTTCATTTGAAAAATAAGCATTTGAAAATTTAAATTTTTTATTTTCTTAAATTTTGCATATTGAATTTAGCTACCATGTCCTTTGGACTTTTTCACTGAGACCCCAGTTTTCCCAGCCATATTCCGAGTCCAGCCCAGTAGAGAATGTAGTTTGGTTAGAACATAGTGTGTAAGTAATTAAATTTGTGCCACTACCTAAGTATGTCTCAGATAGTCAAAAATAAGTGATACAATGTATTCATTATTTGCTATCAGCCATACTATTTTCTCCCACATTAGTGTAGGTTATTGATTCCATTATCTATTTTTGTCGCCTCACCTAGGTAATGACAATAAAGTGATACATGGGAGAGTTTATTCTTAGAAAAGGAATGATTTTGGGTTACTATTTATGATGCTTATCTGAACAATGTAAAGTGTTACAGAGTCATATTTTAAATATACAAAGAGTTCATAAGGAATACTTTGCGGTTCAGGTAAAAATAAGCTGTCTAGAAATTAAGTAGGCTTTTGTTTTAAACTTGATTCATTTATTTGTACTAAAGTAGCAGGTTCAGTAACACACCATTTATCTGGTCATTTTCCAGAATAAGATGGAATTTTCCAGGTAACTGATCATAAATTAGTTTTCCAGGTAACTGAATCTTAAACTTCAAGGACTGAAATCCTATAAATTTAACTATTGTTGATGGAAATTTTTGTAGAACATACTTTCTACCTTCTTACTTTTCTGTATCTTTTCAATCAGAGGATACTCAATAAAATTTGATCTGTTTTCTGGCTCAGGACTACTGTTTTTTCCACCTCCAGTACCTCTTCTTTCTCCCTTAATGAGTTTGCTTTTTATTCCCAGTGGCTTGTGAACCCAAAGTTGTTAGGAATTGTTGTTTCTGGTAAGCCAGGATCCAGGGAGGCTCAGAGTGAGGGTGTAGGGAAGAAAGAGTATTCTTTAATGTTGGTCTTTTTTATTAGTTGTTATCAGGCATTCACATCTTCCCACTTTGGTTCTGGCTTTGGCGCTTTGCTCTGGAAGGCTGCTTAATGGGAGGTCACTGACTCCTGGTACGTTAGGTCTCACCTGGTAGCTTTGCCTCCTCTTCATGGTGGAGTAAATTGAGCCCTGAGAGTATCATGGGAATCACTCAAGCTCACACACACTAAGTAGTGATGGAACCCTGGGTTTAAGACCCAAGTCTTCTGTCTGCAAGTCTAGTGTTTTCCTACTATAACTGTCATGTTAACTCCAGGTCATTATTAGGAACATAGTTAGTAGTCTTGATAAATAAAGAAGGCTCTGTTATTTCTTAGTGGGATTCTTGCCTCTCACTTTCTTACCTATGTTGGAAACTAGAGTCATCCTAGACTCCTCTGCACTCTGCATTCGAAGGGTGACTAAAGCCTTGTCTAGTTTACAGCCTATGCAGCCTCTAGCATCTTACCTCCTCTGCGTTCTTGTCACATGGCCCTCTTTCAGGCTCTTTTCGTCTTTAGCCCTCTTTCCCTCCTTGTTCTCCTCCCTGCCTCTGGACTCATTGTCAAACACACCATGCATCGGCACTCAGAAAAAAGTAGCAAAAACATGGTAGTGGAGAGGAGAGACTGTACAAACATGAACAGCTGAAGGGCAGAGAATAAGTACCAATGAGTAGAAAAATCAAAACAGTCCAATTATTCTATCAAATTATACATGTATTAGATCAGAAAGAAAATGATTCCAGCACTGTAGCCAACCTAAACCATGTGATTCAGGTGGAGTTTGGTACAGTGCAAACCTTGAGTGCATGTGGTGTGTAACAGAGACATCTCTCTTACCACTCTCTGAAGATTAATGTCACTCCTGATAAGACTCTGATTAGAATCCTATTTCCAACATGTGGTGATGCTAAGTAAACAGTACTGACAAGGCTGAAGGATGTGAGCTCTACTAAGTGAATTGAAAAGTTGGATAAAAAGACTCGCTGATAAAGATGAGAGGACACTGATTACTCATGAAAAGGAAAGACCAAGGGAGGACTTCCATTTGACTTCAAAATAACATGAATTTTATTATTCTGATAGTGCCACCAAAATAAATCCTATGTATTCTCCAGGCAGTAAGGGCTTATGTTATAGGCATTGTTTTAAATGTAAATATTTTTATCAACCGAATATATTTAAGATGTGAAATCAGTTATCCCTATAAGTCTGTAATGAAAAATGGCAGTACTGGGTACTCTGTTTATCCTTAAAATTTAGAAATTCATGTTCTGAGAAGTTTTTTTGGTATTATTTCTTTGATAACTTTCTTCTCTTTTTGTCTTTTATCTCTTTTAAGAACTCTTGCTAGTTTCCTGTTGAATTTGCTGGATTGATCTTCCTGTTTTCATCTATTTTTCTTTCATCCATCTCTTTGGCTGCTTCCCCCGCCCCCCATTCCTTGTTTCACGATAATTTTTTCTTAGTTATGTGAATATATTCAATATATTTCCTTTTGCTTTCTTTGTTGCCTGTTTCATCTTCCATTTATTAAAAAAACTGTTATTTTCTTGTAAAAACCCTTAACATGAGATCTACCCTCTTAGCAGATTTTTTAAGGTGTACAATACAGTATTGTGAATATAGGCACAATGCTGTATAGCAGATCTCTGGAACTTGCTCATATTGCTTTATTGGAACTTTTTACCTTTTGATTAGCAAATCCCTGCATTTGGCCTCCCTGCCCGACATTGTTCTGTTCTCTGCTTCTATGAGTTTCACTATTTTAGGAAGCTCATTGAAGTGAAATCATGCAGTATTTGTTCTCTTTGACCAGGTTATTTATCTCCCTGAGCATAAGTCTCAACCATCTTGTCACATATTGCAGGATTTCGCTCTTTTTTTTAAGTTAATATTCCATTATATGTATATACTACATTTTCTTTACCCATTCATCTGTCACCAGGCATTTAGGTGCTTCTGTGTCTTGGCTATTGTGGATAATGCTGCAGTGAACATGGGAGTACAGATGTCTCTTTGACTTCTCAGTTCCTTTGGGTACATATCTGGAAGTGAGATTGCTGGATCATATAGTAATTATATTTTTAATTTTTTGAGAAACCTCCATACCATTTTCCATAACGGTTGTACAGTTTTGCATTCCTAGAAACAATATATAGCATTCAAATTTCTCCACATCCTCCCCAGCACTTGTCTTTTTTTTTGGTGGTCCCATCCCAACAGGTGTGAGGTGGTGTTGCACTGTGGCTTAGCTTTGCATGTTACTGCTTCCTTTTTTATTTCTCTCGGTCTCTGCCTTTCACACTAGAGGCTTTCCTCGGTTGTTTGTGATACAGGTGTTAAGAAATTACTTAGGTAGATAGTGAGGGTATGGAAGTCCTCAGTAAGGTTTTCCATTTAATGAAAAGCAGCCCCAAATCATTTTCCTTTCTAACAGAAAAATCTGTGAAATCAAGCTGGAAATAGATGCCGGCAGTTGTGCCAATCATGTTCAAAATGGTGGCCCCATCTTCCCTTCTCTTTATCAGCCACGTGTACATGTACAGTAAGGAGCAGACAAGACAGCGCCAGTCAGTGGACAGCTCATTTGCATAATAAGATTAGGGTGGGGTGGCCAGCCTTCCCCGTGGGCTGTGTAAATGTCATGCAGTGGCTCACTCCTGTAATCCCAGCACTTTGGGAGGCCAAGGTGGGCGGATCACCTGAGGTCAGGAGTTCGAGACCAGCCTGGCCAACATGGTGAAACCCCGTCTCTACTTAAAAATACAAAAAATTAGCTGGGCATGGTGATACGCACCTGTAATCCCAGCTACTCAGGAGACTGAGGCAGGAGAATTGCTTGAACCCAGGAGGCGGAGGTTGGAGTGAGCCAAGATCACATCATTGCACTCCAAGAGTGAGACTTTGTCTCCAAAAAAATAATAAATAAAGAAAAAGAAAACTGTTAGGCTATAAAGAGTCCCTTTGTTTATCTGTTAGCTTAATTTAAAAGTAAAACATATACTATTCTAATTACATGCATTAATGTTGAATGTTACCTTCAAAAGTTTATAGCTCTTATCCCTAATGCCAACAACATCTGATTACTTTGCACCATATGGCTGCAGTGTGGTGTATGGAAAGAAAGCTGGCTGGGGACCCAGCCAGGCTCAGTCATACTATTCTTTAGTAGTGTGACCTTATGCAGGCTTCTTAACTTCTTTGCTTGAAAGTTTTCTCAGCTGTAAAGCGCGGGCCTTCTATAACATGGTCCCTTAGCATCCTTATATTTGTAATATTCCCTCATTGTATGAGAAACTATGTCTATATTGGTCGTTCTTTTTCAGTTAGTAATCAGATGTTTTCTGTGTATGTATATGCGTGTCTACATACACAGCGTGGTTGAAAATACATAAATACATGTAGTTAAAACACCACCCCCACTCAAAATAGATTTAGGCTATATTTGCTAATGGATCCTCATAAGTTCTTGCAGATATTCTCATCCATGTGTCAATATTTGCACATAAATCATTATCCAGGCACTATATCATTTTTTCTCACATCTTAGAAATGCTTTTATGTAAACATATTCCTGAACATATTTATTACTAGTCAATATCTAGTACTATAATTTATAAATTAATAAGAAATTTAAGTTTTTATTTTTTTATCTTTTTTTAAAATCTAATTCCCCCCCTGCATGTTTGACTTGTGCTGGCAGAATAATTTTTTTTTTTCTTAGACGGAGTCTCACTCTGTCGCCCAGGCTGGAGTGCAGTGGTGCGATCTCGGCTCACTGCAAGCTCCGCCTCCTGGGTCCACACCATTCTCCAGCCTGAGCCTCCCAAGTAGCTGTGACTACAGGCGCCCGCCACCACACCCAGCTAATTTTTTTTTTGTGTGTGTGTTTTTACTAGAGACGGGGTTGCACCATGTTAGCCAGGATGGTCTCGATCTCCTGACCTTGTGATCTGCCTGCCTCAGCCTCCCAAAGTGTTGGGATTATAGGTGTGAACTGCTGCACCCGGCCACTAGCAGAATAATTTTTTAAAAAATCTATGCATGGGGCTCGTTGGCTCATGCCTGTAATCTTAGCACTTGTGGAGGCCAAGGTGGGCAGATCACTTGAGGCCAGGAGTTGAGACCAGCCTGGCCAACTTGGCGAAACCCTGTTTCTACTTAAAACAAAACAAAAAAACCCCACAAAAATTAGCCAGGCATGGTGGCTCACCCCTGTGATCCCAGCTACTTGGGAGGCTGAGGCACAAGAATTGCTCGAACGTGGGAGATGGAGGTTGCAGTAAGCTGAGATTGTGCCACTCCACTCCAGCCTGGGCAACAGAGTGGGACTCTGTCTCAAAAAAAAAAACAAAAACAAAAAACAAACCTATGCATTGAAAAGTGTCTGAAAGTAAATAAAGCAAATGTTAACAATACTTGTATTCGTTGGAATTTGAAGTGATTTTTCTGTGTATTTAATATTTTTAACAATTGATATTTTATTGGGAAAAATCCATTTTAATAAAAGTACCATGCTATTATGAAGTAATTATGAATCAGTAGTTGTTTAGTTGAATTATAAAACCATATTCTTTATTGACTATTAAATCACACATCATTAAAAATATTTTTTTCTTCAATCTCTCTATTTTTTTAATTGAAGTATAATTTACACATATTAAAATGCACAGATTTTAACTATACCCTCTGAGTCTTTTACCCACTGTACTTAAAATATAAAACATTCCAGTAATCTCATAAAATTCCCTTAAATCCCTGTTATCCCTCTTAAATCAGTCCATTCCCTCTTCGCAGACAGCTACCGATCTGATACCTATCATCATGGATTAGTGTTTTCTGTTTGGAACATTGAATAAATGGAACTATGCACTCTTGTGTCTGACTATCCCATTATCCATTTGATCACTGCTTACAGATCTTATGACTGTCTTAAAATACCCATTGTTCTTCTTTTCTTAATGTCTATGTAACTGGCCCTAAGTCACACAGCTGGGAAGTGCTAGAGCCAGGGCCTGGCCTCAGGTCCATGTGCCCCTGAGCTCTTTCCCCTAATCCTGTGTGTGCCGCTTTCCAAGGCCCCCGACTGGAAATCCGCTTGCTGGGGAGGGTTAGGTTGGACTGTAAATCACTTTGTCACTCTAAGGAATTTGTTCCTTATTCCTCATATATGGATTCTCCATTGTGGCACCATGACTCTTTGGGGTTGAAAAGAATAACAAACTGCAAGCTTGTTTAAAAAATAATCCAGTTTTTCTTCAGTGACTATTCATCAGGCAGCAGCTGTGAGTCAGATACTGTTCTAAGCAGGCTGCTGACTGCGCCCTGGATGTGGGATGATCTGTCTGTGCTGTGGAGTCCAGGAACTTGACTCTTGATGTGTCGGCATTTTGAGGTGTTTCCCCTTGAGCTGGTCAGGTTCCCTGGAGAAGACTGTATTCCTCTTCTGCCTAGAAGGTGATAGCCTGGCTGCCAGTGTTCAGGAAGCAGAGTTGGGGCCTCCGTGCACAAATCCAGGTAATCTCCCTGTTTTCAGTGAGGCATCCTGGTGGCAGATACCCCAGAGTCTCCCTCTGCAAAGAGTGAACCTCCAGTGCTCCTCCAGGGTGGAGAGGGCAGTCACCTAGTTTGCATGTGGGGAAAGGGATCCAGGCACTGATGGTTTTTTTCCTGCCTTTCGTGGAGTCTTTCTTATTTTGGCTCTCCTGGGTGGGAAGACATGACAGACCACGTGGCCTTAGTCCCCACATTATAAGGAATAAAATCCAGATTTCTTAGCATGACATCCAGGATGTCATGGGTGGGTAGGTGGATGGGGTGGGGCAGATTTTGTGTTGGCAATTACATTGGCCATTTGTTTGTCCCATTGCCAACTGCGGCTTTGGGCCTCTTGGGTCAGCTTTCACACCTCCCACTGCTGTGATGTTTTCCAGCTGTCCGCATTTTGTCTTTTCTTGTGTTTCCACCTTTAAAAGAAAATCCTGTGCTTTTTTTTTGTTTTTAAATCTTGGAAGGCCTTTTTGAAAAAATCAGTTCAGGTATAAATTTCTTTTCATTAATTTTGCCTTTTAATGTATCCTCTTCACTCTGAGGCAAGTTCAGAAATCTGAATTTCCTTATTTACCGTGAATCAATGTCATTTCGACTCCAACACTTGCCTGTTTCCCTGTCAGCAAATTATCCTTATTTATGCTTAAGGTAAATCTCCCCACTTACCTAGGCAGGCCAATGCTGTCCATATCTTGGATTCCATGTTAAGGAATTTGTATTTTATTCCTTCTAATGGGAGAACTGACCAAGTCCACATGGTTTCCTCGTGTCTGCCCACCCGGCTACTTCTGTGCCAGGCTTAGGGCACAGGAGTTTATACTCTCTATGCAAACCCCAGAACTTCATGAACCTGGAGTGGGGGCAGAAAGGCCCATTCAGGCCCAGATCAAGAGGAAGTCACTCTGGTGGCTGGATGACATTTTAAGTAATAGAAGAGGGCCAAAGAAAGTGTTCCAAAAGCACACTTATGCTGTCGGCATGATTTTATGGTTGTCCACACAAAGAGGCAGACGGAATCTTCTTGAAAGTTTTTTGCTGGATTCCTTTTCTTGTTCCTGTCCCATCCCCCAAACTGGCATGTCTCTTCAATGCAGTCACTAACTAGTGTGGCTCAGTTCATAGGAAAGAGTGTCTGGTTGTTGTTTGTTGAATACTTTCTGCGATCATTATGCAGACAAGAAGACCAAAAGCAGACAGATTATATTAGCTCTGTCTTCTTTCCTCATGCCACCTGTTTGCCAGGTTGGTCATATTTTCTATCCCCAAGTTAGGGGCTGTGGGGAGATGGAGGCCAGGGGATCTCACTTGGACCTATCAAGGAGTTGGAGCATGGCTATAAATACTTTTTCCAGTTGCTGCTTAGTTTTTAGCAATTCCTTCAAAACTAGATAGAGAGAGTTGGTGCTTAGTTTTTAGCAGTTCCTTCACAACTAGATAGATAGGTAGGTAGATAGACAGAGCTTAAAACAATTATTAGCAAGTTTCCATGGGATTTTAATGGGAAAAGGAGAGAGGAAATGTTGGGCCTTTGCCTTTATTACCTGGAGTACGCAGAAGAGGGTTTCTTGAGGAAGTTTTAGGCTAGAACAGCTGAGTTTCTGCCCGCCTTGAAAGTCCACTATCAGAGAGATCCCTGCTGCCTGGAGCTCAGTGGAGATGGATGGACTTGCCTGGCTCATTAAGAGCAGGGCCGTATCACATCTGTCTTTCAAAACCTTGCATCTGACATAATTCGTGATGTGTAATAGGTGCTCAATAAAGGGTTGTAGATTGAATGACTAAATGAGGCAGCGATCACCATGGCAGTCATCCACATCAGGGTGAGTAGTGGAAATGAATGAGGTTAGGAAGAATTATTGCATTAATTTTTAGGGCTCACCAACTCAGTGCTTACAGGATCCAAATGAAAGAATAAACACTGCCCATTCTAGGATGATAAATGACAGCCGAAATTTGGCCTCAGTATAGGGGCAGAGAGTGGCAGCCTGGAGGGCACATGCCTCATCTGATGGGAGCTGTTGCCAGCTGCAGCCAGTAGGCATAATGACATACCTCCTAATTTTTTTTAGATTTAAGTAAAACTCTGGATGGTAGTGTGAAATATCTTTACTTTTCATTTCAAATTTATGATATTTTGAGTCACAAAAAAAACACATATGTGGATCACATTTGATTGAAGGCCTTCTCATTGTCCTCTCTGGTAAACCCAAAAGAAGAGGGAGGCCGGGTGTGGTGGCTGACGCCGGTAATCCTAGCACTTTGGAAGACCAAGGCAGGTGGATCAGCTGAGGTCAGGAGTTCAAGACCAGCCTGGCCAACATGACGAAACCCCATCACTACTAAAAATACAAAAATTAGCCAGACATGGTTGCAGTCGCCTGTAATCTCAGCTATTCGGGAGGCCGAGACAGGAGAATCGCTTGAACCTGGGAGGCAGAGGTTGCAGTGGGCCGAAATTGCCCCACTTTACTGCAGTCTGGGTGAAAGAGTGATACTTCATCTCAAAAACAAAAAAAGAAGAGGCCTGGGTTGCTGGGAACCTTCATTTAAGGGGCAAGTGGAAGAAAAATAATCCTTCAACAAGACTGAAAAGGCGCAGTTAAAGAACCAGAGAGAGAAGTGACTCTGAATCTAAGAAGAAGACTTTAAGGAAGGCTGGTCAAGGTTGATGGACATCTGCTATGATATGTGCTATGGGGAAGTCAGAGAACACAGTGAATTGCTTATGAATGCAGGGAGAATGCACATTCACATGCAGCTATTTTGGGTCTGACACAAGCATGGTGCAGTCTGTGACACTGGTATCACTTGGACCAAACTTGCTTTTAAAGTTGTTTCCATAAGGCTCTGGCAAGAAAAGAGTCCAAGATCATATAAATTTTTATGTTGAAAGCCATCATTCGTATATCTATAATAAAGGACTTTAAAGGAGTATTTAAAATATTTCAAGGAATTTACATGAAACTGTCAAGGAATCACTATTTTTATATCTTCACCATGATAGGGTGGACCTTCGTCTTGTCTTTTGGGGGAAGTTATGACAGTAGATCCTATTCCAGGAAGTTTTATTTTACTGGAGGAAAGCCCAGTTAAAATCCCAGTGTTAATTTCCTGTCATGTTAACTACCAAAGAACAGATTTCCAAAGTGTCTCAAACATTTGACACAATCATTTCCGTTTTCTAAACTTGATCTGTGTTTCTTGGGTGATACATGCATTCTGATTCGAAATTGAACAAAGTATATTCTTAAGTATAACTATATCCTGTCTAAGGCAGTGGACTCATGGAGTATGTTTTCATTTTTATGTTAATTGTCGAGAGTTTATAAGTCATTGTAAATTAGTCTGAGTGCTTTGTGTGAGTTAGAAATTGTCTAGTAGAGCAAAACCCTTTTACTAAACTCCTCCTGTGTGCTTCCACTTGCTCAGAGCCATGCAGGCAACTTCTTACATGCAGAGGAGGGCGTAATCTAAGCCATACGCTGGTCATTGGGTGGACTTCCATGCCTCTATGCCTTTCTCATGTGTGTTTGCCTCTGCCTGTAATTTTCCATCCATTCCCAACCTCTTTTCCTTCTCTTCCTTCTTATGAAGTCCTAGTTATGCTTCAGGGATGATTTAATATGTCAGTCCTTCTGTAGAGATCCCTAAGACCTTCTTACCACTGTACCCATGAAACTTTATATATAACTATGGATATGGCACTTATCAAATAATATATTTGGTATTTATTTTTCTCTTCCACATGACTGTGTATATCCTAAAGTCCATGTCACTAATTTCTGCATCTAGGCATGTATCTGACATAGGGGAGCTTTTCAGTAACTGATGGTTGAATTAGGTGGAATTCCTCCAATAAGACATCACCCCAATGCATGACTTAGGCAAATAAGGTATTAACCCTGTGTGGTGTTGAAGAACCATTAAGCTTAAGAGTATTAAGGAGCTAAATGCCCTCTTATGTTTTGTTATGTAATTTAAACAGAGGAACAAAAAATAAAATTCTTTAAGAGAAGAAGGACTAGATATGTCCGTAAGCCTTGATAAACTAATTATAAAACTTGTGGGTGCAGCACATCAACATGGCACATGTATACATATGTAACAAACCTGCACATTGTGCACATGTACCCTCAAAATTAAAGTATAATGATAGAAACTTGACACAATTATATTTTAACGTATTTCACATTGATTTAAAATTTAATTGTCGATAAGTCATCAGCGGCAAACCCAAACTGTAGAATTTTAATTCCCAATGATAGATTTTTCTAATCTGTAGTAGATTTCTTATTATGTTATGGCCTGATACACATAGCTTAGATGTGCCTTGAGTAAAATCATGACCCTGAAATCTAGCGACTGTAGATGTTTTACATATTAGAACTTAGGGCATAATTTTTCTCCCCAACAGCAGGGCTGGAAAGGTGATTACATTTCAGAAGGGTCCTTTCAGCCTGTGCCTTGTAGCGATTTGGGGCATGACCCTTTGCTTTACACCTGCATAGCTGGTGTGGCCTTTTCTCCCAGGCTCCTGGGCTGGGCCTTTCCTCTTTCAGAGAGAAGGACCCAGGGAAGAGGGGCTGAAATGGGAGACATCGTTGTGTGCCAAGCATAGGATCATGCCTGGCCTATGGTAGGTTAGCATTTAATAAGTGTTTATGCAATATTGCTTGATTAAAATAGCATTGATCTTTTAATCAATAACATTATTAAAATAAAAATGTTTTAAAATGTTAAAAATATTTTAATATCTTTACAATAACTATTGGCTATGCCTTACAGTACTATTGTCTCTCTTTAAACCTCTCTTAGAAACTGTGTGTTAGGTTTGGTTTTATTCTTTGATTACTAGAAGTGCTTTTAAAGAAGGTACAGAGCTCTAAAAAGGGCTTCTTTCAAGTGTAGAGAGAGAAATTAGAAAAAACATCAAAGACAAAGACTTCTAAGAAGGAAAATAAAAATTGATTTACCTTCGCTTTAGAAGCTTCCCAAAAGGGGAGACTAGGAAAAATAGCAGACCAGACCATACTGAAGGCTTCCTTTATTCCCTCTGTTGTCTCATTCCCTGGTGCCAAGAGCCTCTTTGGGGAGATTACACTTTATGGCAAGGTTGCATTTGTTGTTATTTTGTTCTCATCTCCATCTGGGACAAGCTTAGGCATAATTCCTATTTGTATTTCAAATTTTCCTGCCAAAAACGTGTTGACCTATGTCTCCAAAGTAACGGAGGTTATGCATCATTTCTACTCTAGTTGTGGAAATCGACAAAATAATGTTTCTACCACTAGCAAGAAAAATTGAGATGTTACTGTAGAGAACTTGCCATTGAAATGGCATTAGTGATAGGATTTGACGTTTTGAAAAAATAGATCCCATTCTTCTTGGCTTCCTGTTATACTCCTTGCTTAATTTCTGTTTCATGGACGCGATCACTATCTGTTGCAAGTGTGAGGATGAAGCCACAGATGGCTAGACTCTGACCCCATAGGGGAGCCATTCTTACTAAAGAGATGGCTCTTAAGACCAAATGGAGCACTGGTAGAATGGGTGCCAGGTGAGTGGGAGAGACTGCCTTCCTCATGGTCTGCTCGTGGCTGGTAATATCCTTGCAGGGGCCACCTCTACTCGTAGGGAATAAGGATGACACATAGCCACATAAAGGCAGGTCTGGAAACTCGCAAGATGTCCACCTGCTTACTTCTGAGAAAAAAAGTTTGGAATGGTGCACTCTGTATGTTTCTCAGCAGGCAGAGCGCTGGGTTTGTTGAGTGAGATTGTGTTACACGTACTCATAGACACAGGCAGGAGTTACCTGGACTTCATGTTTACAGTGTGTTTTAAATTCTATTGATGTTCGTATGTTGTGAATTCCATTTTGGGTGTATTCTGTACGAAAGGATGATCTTTTCAGAGTATGTAATGAATATTAACTTCTTAGTGACTTCAGAAGACCCATTTATTGGTTACTTGATAGTACAAACACCAACAGCCATCTGAGTTCTGTAAATTGTTACTGAGATGAGCTTTTTTATTTTTGAAAAACGATCATTTCTCTATGCATAGATTATTATCACTGGCCATCTCTACTACTGCTCAACTGAATTCCTTCCTCAACCATAACCATTGTGTAGTTTTTATATTTGATTATTTTCCTCATATATCGTTATCCTTGACTAAAGGCCTTTCTCCTTAGGAAATGCTTTAGACTACCTGGCCTTATAGCATCAATTTCATTTTTAAATGCCTGTGGAGACATGCTTGACTGCATATGAATTTTCTAGTAGAGTTCTGTAAGAATTCTTCACCTCCCAAAGACCATATGTATCCATCTTGGTTCCCAACAGTTTATAACTGCCAGAATAATTTAAAAGACATTTTCCCTTTGCAAGTTAATTTAGAATAGAACATATTTTGTCAGAGAAAGTGGTGTGGGAAACAGCTTGGATCAAGCAGCCACAGACCTCTAGCGACCTCACAGGCAGCATGGGGCCTGTAGAGGGCACTGCACCAGGAGTCTGATGATGTGGCCTGGGTCCCGGCCATGCCCAAATGAGGGGCGAAGTCTTTCCCAGTCACTTCTGCTCTCTTGGCTTAAGTTTCTTCACATGGAAAATGAGTCGTTGGCCTAATGATGCCCCAAAGTAGCGTTTAGATTTTAAAATGTCATTGATTCTAGATTTTAACATCTACAAGTTCAACATGAACGTCGACAGCTCATTTAGTCTTCATAATCCTCTTTGTACCAAAGCAGATTTTGTGATCGCATTCTGAAAACATCAGGAAAACTAGGATATGCTACAGCACTTACCAACCATAAAATCAGGAAATCTAGGTTATGCTACAGCACTTACCAACCAAGAAATCTCAGTGGCTTAAAGCAAGTTTATTTCCTGCTTAGGGTGCACAGTTAGTGTGGGTTGAGTGAGGTGTCACTGCTCGTCACAGTTACCCAGGGACTCAGGCTGATGGAGCAGCTGCCATCTCAGATGCTGCTGATAGCTGTCAGAGGGAAGCAGTATGGTGGATTTGTATAAAACTCACGGACTCCTGAGCCTTGTACTGTAACTGAGTCCCTAACTTCTGCCTGCCTTTCTTTTCTGCAGCAGGTGACCATCACTGATGGAGGGGGCAGGAGAGTGTGCTCCTACCAGGACTGGGAGGAGAGCTGGTGCTATGTGGTGGGCGGCAGTATTGGCACCACATGTTACAGAGGGCTGCTTCTGACCAAAGCCAACTTTAGGAGAGAGTTTTAATTGACGCCTAACAGACCTTTGCTGGGCTCATTTCCATACTGTGCCCAATGAGAAAGAACTATGAGGAATGGGGAAAAGGCCTCAGGTAGAAAGTAGAGAAGAGTCATGGGATTGATGCAGGGGTCAGAAAAATGGTGGGGCACACCAAATAAACATTTTGGCAGGCGGTCAAAAGGCCTAGAGTTAATGGCTAAAGTGAGGCCAAGATGATATTGAAAATGTTCATCTTTCATGTTGAAAGACTAATGTGCAGTCACTTCTAGCATGATGGGGATCGTGGTTTTCCTCATAGCTGTCCCCTGTAGAAGTCTCAGTTACTCCTCATCCTTCAAGACTTAATGCAAATATTTATCTGCGTGTATTTTCTTTTCCTACTGAAATGTGAATGTTTCCAGGACAAGGAGCCATTTCATCCTAGCACCTAGTTTACAGGCACTAAGTGAATATTACATGATTGAAATGAAACCACCTGGCAACCCTCTGCTATGGTGCCCATGTGCCTGCCATCCTCTGGCTGGTTCAGCATTTTACCAGGCCAGAGCTGGGCACAGAATTGGTTCTGTAGAAGCAGCTAAAGCAAGATGACATTTCTGAGACTTCTGGCCGCTGTTCTGTTAATTTTGGTGCTGTCAAGCGAAAGGGTAATCAAATAGTACTTTGAAATCTGAAAAGTGAAAAGAGAAAAGTAAACTCATACCTAAAATATAATTTCTGTTCTGTATATTCTAGTTTCCTTCTTTTGAGTTGCTGTCCATTTAGTGTAGTGCAATCAAGAATACCTAAATCAGTATAACCTCGTCATTGAAAGAAAGACTTTAGTAACCTATTGATATTTCTGTCTTCATTATTTTATTATTATGAAATTGCTGAAAATAATTACACAAGTGATATAACTTTTAATCGTTGGGATGCAAAACAGTGGTTCTCAAGCTTCAGAGTGCCTCAGGGTTGCCTGGAGGGCTTGCTGGGGCCCCACTCCCAGAGTGTGCATTTCAGGTGGTCTGGGGTGGGGCCTGGGAGTCAGCATTTCTGTGGAGTTCCCTGAGGATGATGACACCGCGGGTCTGGGAACCACACTGTAACGAACAATGATGTACAGGAAAGGGCACTGGAAACAGAAAAGCATGGGTGTGAATCCTCCATGCTCCCTAATAACCATATGACAGTAGGTCTCTCGGCCCCTCTAATCCTCTGTTTCCACCTTGTGGAACGTGAAGGCCCTAGTTGACCTAACAGATGATCAGATGAGGTTGTACACTAAAGCCGTTTTTAAAAAAATAAGGCTCTCTGAAGGTATCTTCTTACAATATCCTACAGATTGAGAATCATGGACACTTGTTTTACATTCAGAGTATACACAGCTCTGTACCAGGTAGTGGAAAACAGGACATGGAAAGAAAAAGAGAACAGGAGAAATGTGGCACATGCCAAGCACCAAAATGAGTGATGTGACTGTTTAAAATTAAGAGAAAGACACGCTGTGGTGGGCTGCCCAGGGGGGACGTCTCCCAAACTGTACTGCGTAAAGACCATCATTTCACAAGGAACCTGTGGTCACTTTGTGTTCCAGGATGGCTTATTGCACGGGTAGCGTCCTGGAATCTAGAAATCTCTCATATTAGTGCATTTGGGTAGTTTATCTTTTCTTGGACTCAATCTCAGGTTACCTACCCGTTAGAGTTTATGAAGTTAAGAGTTTAAAGTTCCTCATTTTGCAAGCATTTAAAAGTCATCATCTCAACAAGGAGGTGCTACTGTAAATATAAGTATCAGAAAGATCTATGAAGTCATCTTTTCACACTTTTGATTTAACTAATTGAGGGAGGGGAGGAAAATCTGAAAATCTCAAGGAATTTTTAATCTTAAGATTAAAAAATGTAGCTCATACATAGTTGACCAGCACTAGCATTTTTCTTTTAAGGTGTGTGACCTTGTCTACACTTAGAGTTTTAGATAATTTTTATTATGATTTAACCCTAATGTTTTAAAATTACAATTAATAGTAGGTTTAGAAATTAATGTTGTAAGTAATATATTAACATTTTTACTCTACTTTAAGTGCTTTGATAGCCACATATTTAAGGTTGGATAAAAACTGTAATTTAACAGTCATAATTATTATAATTGATCTGAATAAAAATATGAACTAACTGTATTGGTCAAAGCAAGTTATGTGGTAAATAAAAATTAACAATAAAATTGAGGTTTTAAAACTTACCTTGGGCAAAGACTGTATCTGGGTGATAGATTGAGCTCTAGACAGTGAAGTGTACCTATGGATACTAACTGCCGTTATGATTAATAAACACGTTGTTATACTTCAATTGTAATAGCATTTTATTATGTATTATTTTTCACCAAAGAATACTAACAGGCCAGTTACCACTGTGCAGGTTCTGTTTAAACTCTTGGCATTAAAAAAGGAATCCTCATTCATACTTGAAAAAGATTGGAAATCCCTGACCTAGTCCATGCTTGTCCATGATACTACCCTGGCCCTTCATCTTGACTGACTCTGTAGATCACTGTTAATGTTGGTTTATGTATTTCTTACCCTTTTGGATAGATACCTTTTCTAAAGGAAGCAATGATGGAAAACTGGCTGTTAGCTAGGTTGAGATGTGTGCACACTTCATTACACTCTTAACAGGCAGATACCCGTCAGCCTTAAAGGATGACTTTTTGCCACCCTGCTTTCCTTTCTGCCTGGCCATCTGCTTCTTAGAATCTTCCCTGACCATGCTGTATGTTCCAGTACCTTCTTTGTTGAAGAACGTATTGGAAAGCATAGTCAGTGTCTTTTAACCTGATTCTTCCTTCTGTTCTTTTGAAGACAGCTTTGATTGTTTCTAAAGTGCCAATGGAAAAATAAATCCAAGAATTTGTCTCCCCAGTTTTTGAAAAATTGTAGTGTAGGGCAACTGTAAAACACATACTATGTACTATAAGTTTCCCACAATTAAATCAGTATGAATAGTTGTTGAAATGCATCAGTTGAATAGATTAGAGATTCAAGTATATATGAAGATCTGAAATGTAATAGACCTGGCAAAACTCAGTTCATGGAAGGTGGTTGATTCAATAAATATCATTGATATAACTGATTATACATCTGGAAAAAATAATTGTAGGAACCCTTCCCACACTGTATACAAAAATTAATTCTAGATGAATTATTGTTCTAAATGTTCTAAAAATACACAAGTAATAGAGGTAGGTCTTAAACCTGGGTCTGTCTTACTCCAAAACTACTGAGCTACATTTTAAATGTTAATAGATAATGCGAGATTACGAGTCCCAAAGATGAGAGGAGAGAAACATTTTCTTTTGCTAACATTTGACTTTTTATTTTTTGTCGTAAACAATGCTGAGATGAACATCCTAATGTCTACATTGGTAAGTGGATACATGATTATTTTCTTTTTAACACATTCCTGGAAATGAAATAGCTGTGTTTGAGGGCACCCAGGCTTTTGAAATAAACTTCCAGATTGCTCTCCAGAAAGGCTGTGCTAAATTAGTGACTTTATTCTTTTGTCATGTTTAATATCCCACTATTTTTCTCTTCAGACCATCTTTTGTTATGGAGAAGGATTGTACTCCCATCTTCCTTTTATATTGGCAAGTTTCTAATTAACCTAGGGCTTCCTGTGAAATAGGGAGAAGCTGATATTTTGTATCCTTTTATCATCTATATTAATAAGCTCATAAAGAAAGTATCACTTTGACCTCAGATATCTCCTTCTCTAGCATTAATCGGAGACTTCTGTTAAGATCCAGCCATATAGAACAACAACAGTAGGGTTTTACTCTCCCTACTATCAATATATTGGCTGTGCTGGAGGTGAGGCGCCCCCCTTCCTCCTGCAGCCAGAGAGCTGCATCCCTGGGAAGAACCTGCTCTTACATGACTTTAACTACTTGCCATTCAATGTAAGTGCAGCATATTTCCAAACTGCGTAAAAAATGAGCTGTGTGAAGGCTTCCTCCTGTCTTTGTTATCTTTCATGCAAACAGTTCTTTTTGATAGAATTTGGAATTTACCGAATTCATTCCGAAGGCTGTGAAATGTGATCTCTATGAGTTATAGTCTTCCTGTGAGGATGCGTTGTTTTTGTGGAAGGCACCACCGGGTTGACACAGTATTATTTATTTTTCTCCCACATACTTCTTGTACCTTCCTCTGTAACCAATATGAGACTGTATTGAAGAGAAATAATCTTGCCAAGTATTTGATATACATAGAATTCTTTGTGAGTTGCTATCTTAACTTAAAAATTTTAATATGCTAAATATCCATGTGCCAAAGGAAAATAAAAGTAAGTTCTTTTCAGAGCAGGGACTTTTATGTCTTACAGTATTCAGTGTGAAGTAGGATAGAGGTATATCATCGATCACAGTGCACACCAGACAGAATTTAGAGTGTTTACATCTGCGATCAGAGTTACCTGGTCTCAGGGCAGAGCATGTTTTGTTTTTTTTCCCTACTTTTTAGCAAAGACTTAGGCTATTGTAAATAAGCTGAAAATTATCACAGAAATTGTTGAAGTTGGCTCTGAACAAGAATGCTTGATCTTTCTATAAACAGCTTTATTAATGCACGTCAAGGCACTGTTCTCTACCATTTCCTTCTGCTTGTTGCAGACCAGCTAATGTGTTAACAGAGATCTGAATCATGACCTTTTTTTCCCATAGGCATAGGCCGACTCTTTCCTTGAGCTAAAATTTAGCCAGAAAGGAAAAAAAAACCCATTTTGGTGCATGTGGCATGAAAATGAAACAATGCAGCTTTATTTAGGGTCTCCTTTAACCTACATCTTAAAAATATATTTTAAGTCTGTAATATGCCTATTAAACATTAGCACAGTTATCAAAATAATGATATTTGTAAAATCAATGTGAATATGTGAAATTTGTAGCTTTATATACAAATCATATACATGGGCATGCATGCATACATATTTCAACATATTAATATGTGTCTATCTCAATATATGCATATCTCAAATTTACATATGTATATCTTATACATATATAATTGAGATAGCACCAATTATAAAGGATTTCTTAAAGAGGCTGCAAATTTAGGCATTTGTCATTAAATAATCCCATAATATTTCAGTGCCTGAAATCATTCTAGCCTTTATATTGTAGTCATTTGCGTTTTCTTCCCTTTTCTAAATGTAGTCTCCAGATGAATTAATATACTCACAATCAACATACTGTGGCACGAGTAAGAACTATGTGTATTAGACAAGTTCAAAGCAGTCCTGACGCTCACTTGACTAAGGCATGTGCCTCATGTCCCCTTTACCTTCAGCTCTTCTGGGCCACTGCTGGGTGCTCATTGCTGCTCCTGTGCTGACTGTCTGCAGTGTGTGCCGTGGAATACTTCTTTGCCTATTTATCATATCTTTGGTTCCTCTCCATCCTTAATGCTGAACTTTTAGAGCATGTAGAACAAATCAGAAGTCTCTTGTGCTGATTATATCCATTTGACAGATGTGTTCAGAAATTTTCTTGCACTCATTAAAATATAAAGTAAAAATTGAAATGCTTTATATGATATTAATATGGATATTACTATGACAAGTGATAGCTTACAATGAAAAGATTTCTTTTAAGAACTCTTGCCATATTTCCTTCTATTTTCATGTTTTGATATTTCTAGAAAATGTTTTTACTGTATTCAAGATTAGGGTTTTGTAATTTTTAGCAATACTGCTGTGGAGCCTAGTTGAAATTAGTGTATTACTTTAGTTCAGACTTTCTTCTTATCATTCTTGATTGTTAAAAGAAATAAAGGTTTACACAGAATGTATAGCAGTGTTGAGTGAACTCAACCAGCTTTTAATATATTTTTTAGAAGGTTAGGAGAAAGATTAACCTATTTAAGGACCTAACCTACTTTTACATCCTGCAAACTATTTTTTTTAAATTTTAAAACATTTTTCGTTTTTGTTCTTTTGTATTTTGTTTATTGTAACCGTAGTTTGTCAGGAGTTACAACCCGGCCAACACCGGGGGTGGGGGGCCCAACATCACACATCTGTGTTTGTAATGTAGTATTTATTAATACAGGTCATATAACATTAATGTGTCAGCACCTCATGGATATGTGAATTATTTAAAATGAGCATCTGGGTACTATTTTTTGATATTTGAAATAAACTGAATTTTTAATGTTCATATGTTATACGATATGCCAAGATTATCCTGGTAAAGTTTTCATATCCAACTGGGGAATCAGCAGCAATGTTTCTCCCTCATTTCTTGGGTCAAGCAAGCCTAAAGTTGGACACAACCTTTAAAATGAGCTGATTATGGACACATTTATACATCATTTTGTTAATAAGTTGTGCATCAGTTAAACTGAAAGCTTGCTTTGCTTGCCTCATTGGTTTTTTTTTTTTTAATTTTTCTGGAATTAAAACCACTGAAAAATAAGTCCAGAAACATCAATTTGGCTGACCTTAGTTTCCCCCTAAATTTAGTAGTTTTATACAGCAGAAAACTTGTAAAGTTACTTATTTACAGACAGGCTCTCAGTGTGTCACCCAGGCTGGAGTACAGCAGCACGATCACGGCTCACCGCAGCCTGAGACTCGTGGGTTCGAGCAGTGTTTCCACCCTGGCCTCCCGAAGAGTTGAGATTACAGGCATGAGCCACTGCACCTGGCCTAAATTTTTTTTTGTTGTTGTTTTTAAGGAACAATTTTCTTTACAGAATTATTTAGAATTAGAAATTGTGAATCACATTATCAAGCTTTTAAAAACTCTTAATTTAATTGAGAAAATTAAGTATTAATACTATGGCCTGGGTCGTTCGGGTTGTAGTGTGATACAACTCCTAAACATGAAAGATTTTACTCTTCTTCTTCTTCTTCTTTTTTTTTTGAGCCGGAGCCTCGCTCTGTCGCCCAGGCTGGAGTGCGGTGGCGCAATCTTGGCTCACTGCAAGCTCCACCTCCCGGGTTCATGCCATTCTCTGCCTCAGCCTCCTGAGTAGCTGGGACTACAGGCGCCCACCACCAAGCCTGGCTAATTTTTTGTATTTTTAGTAGAGACGGGGTTTCACTGTATTAGCAAGGATGGTCTCGATCGATCTCCTGACCTTGTGATCCACCCGCCTTGGCCTCCCAAAGTGTGGGGATTACAGGTGTGAGCCACCGCGCCCAGCTGATTTTACTCTTTTGAACCCTGTGGTTCCTGGAAGTTGAAGTCCTGTCCCCCAGTAGATGCTTGTTGAATGAATGCTCACTCAGCCACTCTTTTTGCCAGAGGCTACTAGTTTCTCACCTACCTCTTCTCCCTCTCATCTAGGCTGACATACTCTGAAAGCAAGGCAGAATTTGCTCATATATTCATTTATGATCCATATTTTTTCCTTGGAAATAATTATTTTCATTTTGCTGGACCACGTTTTAGAGAGCCTCACTTCTGTTGATTTGATTCTGAGCAATGTTTCTGAGCTGGACTGACCACAGAGTAAGATCTTACCTTATTCATGGCTGTGAATCATATTGAGCCATTTGTCTTAGCTGTCATGCAATTTGCTAATTAGGTCATTCTAGGGGTTGAGGGAAATGAAAGACTTTGAAATAATCATTACCTTCTCAGAACAAAGCAGCAGCAGTTAAATGCTTTTGCCCAGTCATTTTACTCTGATGTTCAATAAATTCAGAAGTGGAAGGTAAGTTGGGATCTTACTGTTGCATAATTATGCTTTCCAGTTTATCTGAAGATTGTGCAGAAGATATTTAAATCAGTGTCTTACACAGTTATAAGTTGTATATTTCTGTTTTTCTTATTACATTTTTTATCATAAAACTAAAACCTATTAGTTGAAGAACATTTGGAAAATACAGAGAAATAGTAAATAAAAAATTTAAAAGTACTCCTCATCCTACCATCTAGTATAATTATTTGATGGATTTCTTTCTGGTCTTTCCTATTCATATATTTTTCATAAAACTTAATTATTGCCTTATATTGTACAACAATAGCTGACATTTTCTGAGTGTCTATTTCATAGCAGGCAGTGATCTAAGAGCTTTAAATGCATTATCTACTTAATGTTCATAGCAATCTAGGAGGCAGTTATTTTCCAATGATGAATCTGAAACTTAAGATTTTGCTCTATGTCAAAAAATGAGAAATTTAAGACTTCTAGCTTGGACAAAATGGCACAGACCTGTTTCTCCCACTTTCTCCCAACTAAATACAATGATAGACCCCAGAAATAATGCAAGAAACAGAAGGAGAACTCTAAAACTTGGTAGGAAGAAGTCAAGATGGTTTGGGGCCCAGGACTAAAGGACTGACACAATGGCAGGGCATCTCACATTCCCTCACCCATCAGGAGAGGCAGACCTGGCCTTTCTTGACCTCTGAACTAGCAACCGAGATAGTCCAGGGAGGCTGCTTCCTTTTTTTATTCAAATGGAAGCAAGCAAGCAGCCAAGGGAAATACTCTTCTTTCTTGCTGAGATACCCTTTTCCAGTGTGTGATACCTGGGCTTCTGTGAAGCAATTGTTAGAAGGATCCCACTGCAACAAATGGTCCAGCTGAGTAGCTTCTTTGTCCTCATGCACCTAAGACCACCTTCTTCTGCCCAGAGAGGAATAGGTGGTTAGGAAAGCCTAATCCATTCTGTGGGCCTGAACACCACCACTCCTTCTACTGAGGGACACTGGGCATTAGGCCTGGGGAAGTCCCTTCACTCCCTCAGGCAGCATCAGCAGGGACCCGTGGGAGCCCCCATCAGAACCAGACAAATGAAGCGGGCACAAAGAATGCTGCAAAGGCTCTGAAAATTAAGCTGGCCCTGGAACCATAGCCCACAAAAGTAGACCAGGACCCACATACTAAGCCTAAACAGGGTGACTGCCTAGACAGGAAATCAGCAAGGATGTAGAAGGTCTGAACAACACAATCAAGCAACAGGACTAAATTGACGTTTCTGGAATACTTCACCCAGAAACCACAGAATACATAGTCTTCCAAAGAATTCGTGGGACATTCACCAAGACGGCGCACATCCTGGGCCATAGAGCACTTTTAAACAACCAAACTCATGCGGAGTGCACTCTCTGATCGTAGTGGAGTCTATTAGAAATCAGTAACAGAAAGACAACAGGAAAACCTTCAAACAGGTAAAAATGAAACAACACACTATTAAATAATACATGATTTAAAGATCAAGTTTTAAAGGAAATAAAAATACATAAAACTGAAAGCAAAAACAGAACATACCAAAATATTTGGGACGCAGGTAAAGCAGTTCTGAGAGTGAAATTTATGGCACTAAATTACTACATTAAAAATGAGGAGAGATAGAGAAAGATAGTTCAATAGAAGCCTCCAGAGATTGTACTCACTCCTCCATAGGATCACCAAATTACCCACAGAAAAAATCATCTTCATAAGAACCAAGAATCAGGTGAGCAATCACAGTACCTGGTTTTAGCATCATACTAAGGAAAGAGGCACTGAGGAGAGTAGGAGAGATAGTCTTCAATCACCTAGGCCACCTTTCCCTCATCCAAAAAATATAACTGATAAACAAATTCATTATAGTTGCTGAATACAAAATTAACATCCAAAAAGGAGTAGTATTTGTCTATGCCAAAAACAAACAATCTGAAAAAAGAAATCAAGAAACTAATCCCATTTACAATAGCTACAAAAAAATACTAGGAATTAAGTTAACCAGAGAAGTGAAAAATCCCTGTAAGGAAAACTATAAAACTTTTTGCAAGAAATTGAAGAGGACACGCAAAAAAATGGAAAGATATTACATGTTTGTAGATTTGAAGAATCAATATTGTTCAAATGTCCATATTACCCAGGGCAATCTATAGATTCAATGCAATCCCTATCAAAATACCCATGAATTCTTCACAGAAATAGAAAAACAATCCTAAAATTTAAATGGAACCACAAAAAGCCAAGAATAGACAAATTTATCCTAAACAAAAAGAACATAACTTGAGGAGTCACATTTACATGACTTGAAGTTATACTACAGAGCTATAGTAACCAAAACAACATGGTATGGGCATAAAAATAGGCAAGTTGACCAGTGGAACAAAATTAAAATCCAGAAATAAATCTATACACCTACAGTGAACTCACTTTTGACAAAGGTGCCAAGAATATACATTGGGGAAAGGACACTCTTTTCAGTAAATGTTGCTGGGAAAACTGGATATCCATATACAGAAGAATGAAACTAGACCTCTATGTCTCATCACATACAAAAATCAAAATGGATTAAAAACTTTAAGATGTGAAGATTATGAAACTAGTAAAAGAAAACATTGGGGAAACTCTCCAGGGCATTGGATGGGGTAAGGATTTCTTGAGTAATACTCTACAAATATGGGCAAACAAAGCAAAAATGGACAAATGAGATCACATGAAGTTAAAAAGCTTCTGCACAGCAAAGGAAAACAATCAACAAAGCAAAGAGACAATTCAGTGGGAGAAAATATTTGCAAACCATCCATCTGACAAGGGATTAGTAACCAGCATATATAAGGAGTTCAAGCAACTCTATAGGAAAATATTTAATAATCTGATTAAAAAATGGACAAAAGATCTGAATAGATATTTTGCAAAAGAAGACATACAAATGGCAAACAGGTGTATTAAACGTCATTGATCATCAGAGAAATGCAAATCAAAACCATTATACAACAAGGTATCATCTCACTCCAGTTAAAATGGCTTTTATCTTAAAGACAGGCAGTAACAAATGCTGGCAAGAATGTGGAGAAAAGGGAATCCTCATACACTATCGGTGGGAATGTAAATTAGGGAAACCACCATGGAGAGCAGTTTGGAGGTTTCTCAAAAAAGTAAAAATAGAGCTACCATATGATCCAGCAAAGCCACTGTTAGGTATATATGCCAAAGAAAGGAATCAGTATACCGAAGAGGTATCTGTACTTCTATGTTTTTTGCAGCACTATTCACAATAGCCAACATTTGTAAGCAACCTAAGTGTTCTTCAGCAGATGAATGGATAAAGAAAATGTGATACATATACACGATGGAGTATATTCAGCCATAAAGAAAAATGAGATCCTGTCATTTGCAACAACACTCGTTTTGTTAAGTGGAGTAGGTCAAGCACAGAAGGACAAACTTCATGTGTTCTCAGTCATTTATGGGAGCTAAGAAAAGTAAAACAATTGAACTCATGGAGATAAAGGGTAGAATGGTTCCCTGAGGCTGGAAAAGGTTGGTGGGGGTGCAGCAAGTAGGGATGGTTAATGGGTACAAAAATATAGTTAGAATGAATAAGATCTAGTATTTCATAGTACAACAGGGTGACTAAAGTCAATAATTTATTATACATTTAATAACTAGAGGCCAGGTGTGGTGGCTCACACCTTGTAATCCCAGCACTTTGGGAGGCTGAGGCAGGCTGATTATCTCAGGTCAGGATTTTGAGACCAGTCTGGCGAACCTGGTGAAACCTCGTCTCTACTAAAAATACAAAAATTAAGCCAGGTGTGGTGGTGCACACCTGTAATCCCAGCTACTCTGGAGACTGAGGCAGGAGGCAGTGAGCCAAGATCACGCCACTGCACTCCAGCCTGGGCAGCAGAGTGAGATTCTGTTTCAAATAAATAAATAAAAATAAAATAACTAGAAGAGTATAATTGGATTGTTTGTAACACAAAGAAGGGATTAGTACTTACGTGATGGATACCCATACCCCGTTTACCCTGATGTGATTATTACACATTGTATGTCTGTATCACAATATCTCATGTACCCCTTAAATATTTACACATACTGTAGACTCACAAAAATTAAAAATATTAAAAAATAAGGAAAGGTCTCAAATCAATAATCTAAGTTAATACCTCAAGAAATTAGGAAAAGAAGAGCAAAATAAATCCAGAACAAGCAGAAGGAAAGAGATAATAAAAGCAAAAGTCGACAAAACTGAAAATAGGGAAACAGTAGAAAAAAAATCAATGTATCAAAAACCTGGTCCTTTAAAAACTTTAATAAAATTGATAAATCTGTAACAAAATCGAGAGGAAAAGAGGACACAAATCTGTAATATCAAGAATGAAATGGGACAACAGTACAGATCCTAAAGCCACTAAAGGACTCATAAAGGACAAGATTACACTCACACATTTTCCAACTAAGAAGAAATGAGGTCAGTTTGTCAAAAACTGCAAACTAATACTCAACCAGGATGAAATAGATAATCTGAAGAGTCCTGTAACCATTAGGGAAATGGAGAGAGGGTAGTGGCTATGGTCACAAAAGAGCAAGACCAGGGGTCCTGATGGCAATAGAAATGTTCAGTGTCTTGATGTGGTGATGGACACAGGAACCCACACATGTGCTAACATTTTATAGAATTAAGTACACACCTACAAGTAAATATCAAACTGAGGAAATCTGAGTAAGATAATTGGATTATATCCATGTCAAAGAAATCCTGGTCCCAGCATTGTACTAAGGCTTTCAAAATGTTGCCATTGGGGATAACTCAGTAAAGGGTACTCAGAATCTCTTTGTATTACATCCTATAACTTGCATGTGAATCTGTTATTATCTCAGTTAAATTTTCGATTAAAAAAAGCTAGCAGCTTGTTACTTTAGGAGTTGAACCCTGACTGTATGACTCCAGAGACCTTGTTCTCATTCACACGTCTGCATCTCCATGTTATGTTGAGACATTGCATTCCTAGTAGTTTTACATGATCACATGTAGATCATACCATATGTAAATAGAAAAGTATGCTTGTACATTGTCTTTAACAGCAATTATCAGTATTAGACAAAGCATAGTTTTGTTTCCCTCCCCCACCCCCCGACCCTGTTCCTGTCTCATAGTTTGAAGTTTCCCTTAAGTATTCACAGTTATAGTCCCCAAAGACTTTAGATGCCACGTGGCATGCGTAAAGCCAGCATATTCTATTGAAATGGCCGGTATAGTTGCCGAATCAGATGTTTTTAGCTTACAGAAATGACAATTTCATATGACATTTCTTTTCATATGTTCAAAGAAATTACTTGAGCAAAATGGGAGATTTCTGGAGTAGGCCATAGGATCAAAGGAGTTGCTGGAGGGGACAAGAGAGCTCTAGTATCCTCAGAGTTTGGAACCTAGGACACATTCTTTTTATTTCCATCTCATACTTTCTTCTCCCTGGATTTTGGCACATACTGCCTGCAGTGGAATCATTGGTGGTTTCCAGTATCTTCTTTGACCAGTCCTGCAGTCTGAAGGAAATAACTTCTGTATTCCAGGATTTGTTTGAAAAGATCATAGAGAAGATTAGAATTAGCCTGGCTTGGATCACAGCCCTACACTTTTCCAGTCACTGGGCAAGAGGCAGTGATTGGCCTGGTACAGGCCATGTGGACAGGGAGGGAGAGGTTATTGCTCTGTGAAGGGAGTAAGAGCTGGGAGGGGGCAGAGGGGCAATGCAGACACAGCTGTTAGAGCGACCGCTGGGATCCAGCAGCTGCTGAAGCCTGTGTCTGAGATTATCAAGTCAAGATATCTAAATGGCAGTTAAATCATGAACATAAAAATAATTTTCAAAGTATGCTTAATTGTTCAGTTTTTTAATTCAGCAGAATTTTTCTCCTCTGCTAATGACAAGGCAGTCTATATTAGAGACTGTCAAAATTATTTCTTAAGAAGCATTTAAACAAATAATTTTTGTAGACTGCTATATGCATTTCATTAGACAAATGTATATTCTGCTACAAATTCACATAATCATTTTTCCCTCACTCTACTCAAGACTACTTAGATTGTTTGAAAGAAGGCTTTGGCTAATGGGTATTGGAAGGAATGGCTGATTGTTTTAAAATATCCTGTTGCATACAGGATGTATTTTTTTGAAGGGTTAAGAATGAAAATAGGAAGCAAGCATGTTCCCTCTGACTGAAATTACTTTCCTTGAAGCCATTAGTGTGTAAGTCAGATGCTGAACTTACGATATATAGATATTATATAATATGTTACATATATACTTGAAAATAAAATTCCAAACAGAATAATGACTGTTGCATGGATATATAATGGAGTAATTTACTATGATGAAGTCTGACTTGATAGCACATCAACACAGTAAGCCTCATTTTGAACAGTTCTGCTGTTTCCTTTGTGAAATGGTAGTTGGAAGTATTGTCCGCGGTTATGCAGCATGGTGTTTATGAAGACCTTTGTGGACTCTGCTTGGATCCATTTCCAGGAAAAAAAATTTCTCTGCCAGTGAACTTTTATGTTTCTTTTGCCAGAAAATGGAGAAAGATGAATGTTTCAAATTTTTTTTTAAGTGCCAGGATACTTAGAAGCAGCCTGGTTCAGTGCCAAGATGTAGTAATCAGCTTCCTCAGATGTAGTCATTCATTGACGCTCTTTTCTGATTCACCACCAGTGTCTTGCAAGAGCTTTCACTTTATCTGCCTGCAGCCCTGTTTTAACAGTAGTGTTGACACAACTCACCTGTGTCCATTTGTGATTTCTAAATAGTTTTTAAATCATAAATATTTGAACCTCAAGGTAACGCTGTAAAGTATGAATAGAGATGACATTGTATTTTTTCAAAAAAAAAAAAAAAACACAAAAATCTAAACGGAAACAAGCACAGATGAACTTAATGTCAGTGTAAATTGTAGATTATAGACTTCACAAGGCTGGTCTTTGTTTTGTTCACTGTATCCCTTGCTCCTAGTATAGTGCTTGACAATAAATGTTTCAGGATGATTGATGTTGAATAAACTTAAAAAGTACTCAGCACCTCACAACTTTGAAGAACATGGAAACACTTGTATTGGCAGAAGACAGAAATGTGTAGCCCCAGGAGACAGGAGATAGCTCAAAGCAACCTGTCATGAGCACATTTCTTTGAAGCCTGGTGTTTTATCTTAATAACCCATACAAAATTGAATTCTTCTTTGTATTAGGAATGTTTGTTTTATCATAGAGATTGTTTTAAATGTTACTTATCATAAAATATTATGCTTCCGCAAAATACACTGTTTATCTTGAATACCCTAGCGTATCTTTAGAAGTACGTACTTCTATTGCTTTTGAAAAATACAAATGTCCAATTAATTACATTTTATTGATGTACTGTCTATATGCTGATGATATCCAAATGTATGTCTTTTATCTTTATTTCATCTCTGTAATTACCATTTTAGTTAATGGCAAGTGTGTTTTTCCAGTTGATTGAGAAAAAAAATTCTAAGTCATCCTTGATGTGTGTTTTGTTTTTTTTTAAACTTATATCCAGTGTGTTGGATAGTATCATTGGGTTTGACTTGAGAATATATCTGGAATTTGGTCATTTTTAACCATTCCTACTACTGCTACCAATCTGCCGCCATTGTCTCTTACCTGGATTCCTGCACTGGGTTTTTAGCTGGCCTGTGGGTTTTCCCTTGCACCCCACAGCCCAGTCTCCACACAGCGTTGGCACGATCCTGTAAAAACATCAGAGCAGGTGGCACCCTTCTCAGCACTCTCCAGTGGCCACCCATTTAAACAGAGTTCAGACCCACGTCTCCACTGGGCCTGGCAGAGCCCTCTCTGTATCCTCCTCTCCTACTACCCCTCCCCAGCTCTGCTCTTCCAGCCTCTCTGGCCTCTTTCCTGTTCCTCCAACCTGCCCGAGTTGCTGCTGCTTCTGGGGTCTGCATTTGCTCTTCCCGAAGGTGTCCAGATGGCTGTTTCCTACACTTCCTTTGAGTCTTTTCTCAAAACATTTCAATGAGGTCATCCCCATTCATTCCACCTACAATTTCGCACCAACCCCCAAACATAAGGTCCTTTCTCACATTTTTTTTCTTTTGGCACTTATCACATCTAACATACTATATGTTTTATGTGGTGAGGATATTGAATTTCTTTCCTTCCCTTCCCCCTTCCCCACCCCTAGTGCAATGCTAGATTGCAAGCTTGATGAGGGTAGGGGAGAAAGGCACCTGTTACCTAAGAGACCTGCCAGGAAATCTTTGCTTCATCCTGATCTGTCTCCACAGTTCTATTAGAATCCTTCCTTTTTACTCTCCTTGTTTTTCTTCAAGGGCAGGGGGTTGATCCCTAACACCCTCAAAAGACTGCCTCTTGGCTTTAGGATATTAAGCCAACTTTTTGACAAAAACACATCTGAGCTGCTTTCCTTGGGCGTCAGGGATGGAGCTTTTATTGAAGAAAAGAAAGACACTGTCTCCTCTCTGGTCACTTGTTTGTTCCTGGGTTTCATAGGTGTGTTTCTACGTGTTAGACTCCACAAGCAGTGAAACTCGGAGATCTCTGAGAACATAAGCTTTCTCATGAGCACTGTTTTCCCTGTGGGTAGGCCACCCCTAAGGTGGTGGTGGTGGTGTTTATTTCCCTAAATGGTAGTTACGGGTCAGGTGTGATTCCTGGCACATGGTAAATGCTCAGTAAATAATTTCTGAATCAAGACTGGTTCCCTCAATTTTAATCTGATGACTTATTTTCTCCTTATATGGATTATACTTGGCCTTCCCATTTTAACATTCTGAAGCTGCAGGAGATATTATTAAAGGCCAGGCTACAAAGAGCTCACGTTCCCTTCCAGAATACACTGTTTCTAACAAGCAAGCTGAATAAATTTCTCTGAATCTGGATTTAAACAAAATTCATTATAAGACTGGCCTTGCATTTGGAACATGTTCTTATAAGGAACCTGTAAGTCATGAATATTTCACTTTCTTTTCTAAGTTTTCTTTTCAAATGCACATTTGCTTTCATTTTCTTGTTAAAATGGATTGAGAAAGATTAACACAAATGCTGGTGGGAAAAAATATAGAGGAAATAAGCATTCATAAATATTTTAGGCCTCCGTTTTTCAACAACCCACAGCTGTGTGTACATAGTTGATCTGGGACAGAATGCCACGCCTTGTCTCTACAATGTGTTGCCTCAGAGCCAGTGTTCACCTGGGGAATAGAACTTGGATGTTTCGGAAACTGCATAGCACCCTAGTGAAAAATGCTTCCAAGTGCAAGACAGACTCTTATCTCCAAGGATTCCAGACCGTATTCTACCGTTTCCAAAAATAACCTGCCATCATCAGCTTTGATCCCTACCTTTAAGATAACATTTTATTTTCTATTTGTTCAAGTAAAACATGTTCATAAAAAGTACTTTGGCCTTTTCTTCCATAGATTGTAAGTGTAAAAATTTGCCTAGGTTTCGGTCTCAGCCAAGATGGTCAACTGCATATACTACTGAGTTCTGAATACCATGTTAGCTATTGAGAAAGAATAAAAGCTAGAGGGATGCATGGGTGCTAAAAACTAACAACAAAAATGCTAGGAACCCCTTGGGAGACTGAAGTGGGCTTTAGCTTCTGTATAGTGGCTAAGTAGACGGGTAGCTGCAGCCTGTGGACGAGGCAGCCATAGGTGTCTGGAGAGTCTGGAGGAAACTGGTTTTTAAAACTATTTTTTCTAAGTTATGATAAAGTATACATAACATAAACTTACCATTTTTAAGTGTACTGTTTGGTGGCACTAAGTGCAATCACGTTAAGTTCTGCTTTTGCCTCTCCTATTGCCTTCCCTGAATTTTATTTCCAGCCCAATTGTCACTCACACGTGAGGATATAAGAAGTATCTTCAGCTATACAAGACCTTATAAAAGTTTCTATATAAAGAGCCACACTGAAACATGCTGGGAGGAAATACTTAAATATGAAGGGAAGCAAATACACGGGCAGCTACAAGAGATAGGGGAGGTAAGGGGGATCAAGTCCCCTGGCAAAGTTCATTGATGTCTTGAAAAAGAAGGCTAGGACATAAGAAAACAGAAAATACATGCAAGTAACCCAGAGCTAAACTTCTAGATGTTACCGTTATTGAGTGGAGGAGAAACCAAAGACGGTAGGGATGAAGAAACATACAGATGGATCTGCTGGGGAGACATTGTGAAAATGAAAAGCAAGAGGTGCAGCTTTTAAACCAGCAGAAGAAAATTGGATCTAGCCAATCAAAAATAGGAAAGGGGAAGTGGGATGGAAAGAATAAAACAAAAATAAAATACAGTAAATGGAAAATATGAAAAAAAGCTGGAAAAGTTCAAGTTTTAGAGTAATTACAACGTATATTCCTGGATTATCCATCGTAAAGATGTATTCTCAGATGGGGCGGAAAAACAAGATACAAAAAATAGGTTATAAGAGACACACTTCAAAAGAAGTTGGAAATAAAAGGATGGAAGAGAGAGTACACAAATATGAACCAACAGAAAGCAGTGGTAACTTAAATATATTATTAAAGATGAAGAGGAATGCTATATATTGATAAAGGGAATATGACAAGAAGATGTAACCATAAAAAATGGTAATCTGCAATATAGTTTGAAAATATATCCAGCAACAATTGACAGAATTGCAGAGAGACATCAACAGTTGTAGCTGAAATTTTTAACACACTGTTCTCAGAAATTAGTAAATCCTACAGTTGAAAAGCAGGCAGAGGTGGAGAAAACTTGAAAAATACAATTAATAAGCATGAGCTGTTAGGAATACACCTAAAACTGCATACTTGAGACAATGTGTATTTTTTAAGCTCGTTTGGAGTGATTATAAAAATAAACCGTGTATTATGCCATATAAGAAGCCTCAATTTCCCAGGAATGAAAGCAATAACAAATTAGGTTCACTCAGTATAATGCAATAAAATAAGAAATTACTAATAAAATGATAGTCCCTAACTCCCAAAAAACCGCTTGTGGTTACAAATTAAATAACATATTTCTAAATAGCTATTGAATTAAAAAAATAAAATTATGATATATTTAGAACTGAAAGACAGTGAAAACATGACATTTCAGATTTGTAGGATGTAGTTCAAGCAGTACTTAAAAGGACTTTATAGCTTAAATAAACATAGTTTATTAAACATATAGTTTATTAAATATTAGGAAACAAGAAAGATAAAAAATGAGCCAAAAAGTTGGTAAAAAGAACACAAAGCAAATTTCAAGGAAACAAGATAGAAAAATAAAGGTAAGTACAGAAAGCAATGAAATACAGAATAATAATAATAACACCTGACATGATAGAGAAGGTTAAAATCAAAACTTGATTCTTTGAAAGATAAGATAGACCTCTGACAGACTCAAAAAGAAAGAAAAGAGAAGCTAAAAATAAAATACAGGACAATGCTGGCACCTGTAGTCCCAGCTGCTTTGGGAGGCCGAGACAGGATAATTGCTTGAACCCAGGAGGCTGAGGTTGCAGTGAGCCGAGATTGCGCAACTACTTTCCATCTTGGGTGACAGAGGGAGACTCTCAAAAAAAAATTTATTTTAATAAAAAATACAGGACAATGACAAAAAAGGAAATAGCTGTAGACCAAAGAAATTTTCAAATGATTTTATTGGAACAAAATGTATACTTAATAAATTTGGGGGAAAAGCTAAATAAAATGAATAAATTCTCAGAAAAAAATATAAAATGTAAAAATTATCCTAAGAAATACAGAACATGATTTCACCAATACATGGTAAAGAAATGGAGAAAGTAGTCAAAAGCTTTCCTCCCAGAAAGCACCTGAGAGAATTTTATGGTTGAGTTCTACTAAACTTTAGAAAGTTGGTTCTTTTATGAACTAATCCAGAAAACAGTGAAGAGAGAGATGTTCAGCAATTTTCTGAAGTTAATGAAACCTCGATTACAGTACCTGTGAATGTAACAGTGTACATTAAAAGAGTGAAGGCAAAAATGCGATTATCTCAAGCAGTCACTGTTTAGGAGACAAATCTGGATTTCCAAGCAGAAGGAGATATAATATAGGGGATCAGGTACTTTAAAAGTTGTAAGCGTTGGAGAAGCAGTTTTGGGTTGTGGGGTCGGTGGTAAGATCACATGACAATCCAGGAGACAGGAAGTTGCTACTACTGTCACTTTTATTACTTTTTTTTTTTTTTAAACCTCACAAGGGGATAACTAGACACTGGAATATAGCTGGGCCCAGCAAACACATCTCTCCAGTCTTGCTTTCTTCCATCCGCTGTAGCAGGAAAATGGCCTCTACTTCACCTCCCTCTTCCGGAGGTCATGATAAAGCATCTAAATTGCATCCAGAACCTTAGCTACAAAGGAATCTGGGAAATATGGTTGTTATCTGTCAGACCTATTCAACAGAGGGAGATTGAAATGGAGTTTGAGAGATGCACTATAAAGTATGTACCACAAATGCTCATTACCTCTGCTGCTACTTAACATAGCGTTTTCATTTTATGTCCTGATCAGTGCTATCCAGGAAGTAAAGCAAGAGGCATATGGATCTAAAGGAATAGATAAAATTGTCATTACTTATAGAAAGTATGGTCATCTTAACAGAATTTAGTAAACTGATTACTAGAACTAAAGAGTACAATGACATTACTGTGTATAAACAGTCATCTCTTGGTATCTGGAGGGGAGTGGTTCTGGAACCTCCCTCAGATACCACAATTCACAGATGCTCAAATCCCTGACTTAAAACAGCTTAGTATTTGGATATAACCTGTGCGTATTCTCCTGTGTACTTTAAATCACATCTAGGTAACTTATACAACTTGATATAATGTAAATGCTATGTTAAGTAGTTGTTATATTGTTCAGGGAATAATGACAGGAAAAAGAAGTCTGTACATATTCAGTACAAATGCAATTTTTTCCGAATATTTTCCATCCACAGTTGATCAGATCCATAGATGTGGAACCCACAGATGCAGAGGATGAACTGTACATATGATCAAACTATAAGAGTCAATTTATTCTAGTAGTATCCAATTAAAAATGAATAAAAACATAAGATACGACTTACAGCAACGAAAGCAATATAATATCTATGAATTAATAAGAATGTATAAAAATCTCTTCAGGGTAGAATTTAAAATGCTAATAAAAGACCAAGATTATCTGAGTAAATAGAGTTTTTATTCTCTTGGAGGTAGTCGTAAAAAGGTGTCAGTTCTTCACAAAATATTTAAAATTAAACCCCAGCATTTTTATTGTATGTTTTTGGGAACTTGATAAACTTCTTCTTTTTTTTTTTTTTTTTTGAGATGGAGTCTCGCTCTGTCGCCCAGGCTGGAGTGCAGTGGCGCGATCTTGGCTCACTGCAAGCTCCCCCTCCCAGGTTCACGCCATTCTCCTGCCTCAGCCTCCTGAGTAACTGGGACTACAGGCACCCGCCATCACGCCCAGCTAATTTTTTTGTATTTTCAGTAGAGACGGGGTTTCACTGTGTTAGCCAGGATGGTCTCGATCTCCTGACCTCGTGATCTGCCTGCCTCGGCCTCCCAAAGTGCTGGGATTACAGGCGTGAGCCACCACGCCCGGCCGATAAACTTCTTAAAAACATAAAGCAGTAGAGGAAAATTGATCCACTTGATTTTATCACCATTACAGATTCTGTTCAATGAAGGTATCTGTAGACAGATGGGCAGATGACAGAATGGAAAATGATGTAGGTGTATGGAATGTCCACAACTTAGATTAACAGGAAATCTTTGTCTAGAACTGCAAGAAACTACTGCCAAAAAAAAAAAAAAAAAGTGATTGCAATCCAAGGAGAAAAATAAGAGATATGACCACACACTTCACAAAACAGTGAACGCAAAAGGCTAACCAGCATAGGAAGAAATCTTCAAGCTCATTATTACCGAGAGAAATAAGAATCGAAGCAGTAAAATGATATCCTTATTACACTAGCAAGAGTTGGCTGAGGATGGTAGATACAAGTGGGGATGTGTGAACATAGGAATTGTCATGCACTGGTGGTGGGAGTGTAGACTTGGCACCTATACTGGAGAACAGAAGTTGCTGAATTAGGCCCAGAAATACTGATCCCACATTTATTTTCCCGGGTACGCATCCTAGGAACACTTTTAGATAATTGAATAAGGGATATGCCTGAGGTATAGCATCATTAAGGCAAGCTGCCCTTGTCGTGAAGTATTTACATTGTTAGGTTTTTTAAAAACACTGAGGATTTGGTCACTTTTCGTGTTATCTACTTAAGGAGAACAGTGCTTTGATGTTTGTTTATTAGCTTTGCAACCTCGACAGGTATTTATCCTCCATTCCTCAGCGGCTTCGTGGGTTGTTGTGAGAATGAAATGGCTTGATACCTGCAACAGGATTAGAAGTACTTGTGAGAGTAAATGCCTAGTCAGTAGCAGCTATTATTGTGGAATTATTCCTAGAAGCCGAAGCACTGAGTTGATTGGTATGGACTTTCCAAAGGCTCATCTTACTTTGAATATTTATTGTGTGCTACTATGTGTCTTGACGTTTAGACTAAGTGGTCAAAAATTCTTGTCCTGGTGCTAGAAAACTACCACAGTAAATGGAAAAAAGGTAAATGAGGTACATGCTAGTCATTGCTAACAGATGAAGCTGCAGTTGGAGTTAATGGTAAATGTGCTTAACTTTTGGGTTATCTGATCTGTTTTAATTCTTCGTTTGTATCATTCCAGAATTGTCAGGAGGAGATGGTAAACCTCTGAGGGTTTTCTTTGGTTCTTTTTTGGTTCCTAATTGAGACAGGCTAGAGGGCTGTGCCTTTGATGGCTGCATAACATTCTACATGGTTCTTTCTTTTTATTTTCTATTTTATTTATCTTTTATTCATTTATTTTTCTTCTAAGGCAGGGTCTTGCCCTGTTGCATAGGCTGCAGTGCAGTGGTGCGGTCATAGCTCATTGCAGCCTCGAACTCGTGGGCCCAAGTGGGCTGATCTTCCCACCTCAGCCTCCTGAGTAGCTGGGACCACAGGTATGCACAACCATGCCTGGCTAATTTTTTGATTGTTTTTTTGCAGAGACCAGGTCTCACTATGTTGTCCAGGCTGGTCTCAAACTCCTGAGCTCAAGCAATCCTCCCACCTTAGCCTCACAAAGTGCTGGGATTACAGGCATGAACCACTGTGTCCAACCTCCGTGGTTCTTTGAACAATGATCATTAAGAGATTTGTTGTTTGAACCAGTGTCATTATTGATAATGGATAAATGCATTTAATATGTAGTTTAATATGCATTTAATTTAATATGCATTTAATAAATGCATAACTTCATATGCATTTAATTGTAGTCAGCTACTTTAGGTAACTGATATACTCTAATGTCCCAGCCTCCCTCCAGATGAAAATAATGTTGTTCTTCTCAGTGTTCCCACTGCTCTTTTTCCCTCTATTACCATAGTAATCACTGTTCTTCTTTATATTGTGGTATATGTATATTTTTTTCTCACTAGATTTTAGTTTCTTCTGGCCGGAGACCATGGGTGATTCACCTTTGAATCCCTAAAATGATTAACATTCAAGAAGTTTTTGTCAAATTGAATTCCCTCCTTCCCCCTTGGTATCATTTGTGCTCTCTTCTGGGAAATATTTAAAATGTCTCCAAGGTTATTGATCACTACATTCTAGAGGACCTCAGAAATGGTTCTCACCAGCCACCCATGTTAAAGGGCAGACCTGTGGCAGACAGAGCCATTATAATTTATGACTCTTTCTGTGGTGACAGATAGATGTGGCCTTTGGTAGGCTCCCTGATTCAAAATGGTTTATCCTGAGCTGATGTCATCTTTGGGAGTACCTGTAATGGATCTGATCACCGGATCCCTTCAGGCACCACACAAATTCCAGCAAGTTTTGCCCCTAGCTAGGAGCATATATTTATTCTACATTGCTAATAGACAGAAAATATTTTCCCAAAGGAATTATAGGCAATTTGCTTTAGTATCTTTATTTACTATGCAAATAAACATTTATTTTTAGTTTAAGTTCTCTAATTTATTGCCGAATATTTAGTGTGGCATATGTTTTTTTTTTTTTTCTAGTAACTCATTACCATGAGTGGTTCTTGGGCCTTAATTTTCTCATCTGAAAAATTAACGAGTCTGTATTTTTTTATATTTACTCATTTAAAATTTATATCTCGCTTAGTTTTAAATGTTTTAAAAAGTGTTTAAAGTTAGTGAAAAGAGTACAGAGAATACAAAAACAAATACTATATCCAGTAAGTTAGAAGCGAGAAAAACAAGGAAAAACAGAAGTCGGAATTCAAACGAGAACCAGAAGTAAGGCAGATAGACAAATGCTGAGAGCCTGGTTCATCTGCCAGGACCGTGCATGATTTGAGTGATCTGCTCTCTAGCAACTACCAGGGAAAAGGAATCCCAGTCAGTCACCTGGTTCCCAAGGTTCATGAGATAATCTCTGAGAAGTACAACTAATCATGGTGCTGGGAGGAGAAGGATATTTCTCTTGAGAAGTCTGGAGGAGAGCACTGTGATTGAATGAGCCCGAGGCTCTGCACTTCACGGCCCCTCAGGCCTGGCAGTATTTGGAGATCCTCTGCTGCTGAGGCCAGGGTGTCTGTGCCCACGGTTCATCATTGGTGTCTGCTTTGCATTCTTCAAGGCAATTTTCACTTCCAACGTGATCTACAGAAGTGCTCACAAGAGCAGACCCTCAGGAAGTGGCAGCCATGACTATAGAATTATTCCTGGAAATCAAAGCACTGGGTTAATTGGTATGGATTTTTTTTAAGGCTCATCTTACTTTGTTTGAATATTTATTGAGTGCTACTAATGTGCTTGGCTTTTGTTAACTTTCGGAGGAAAAATTTGACCTCAGGCTTGTTAGAGTCTGTCCTTTGTGACACGCAGTTGGTACGTTGTTTATTTTATGGTTAATGTGTCCACTTGGTGCAGCTTGTGTTTGATAAACCACCATCTCCTTTTCCTCTGTCTCCCAGAAGTTCAGAGTGTTTTTCTCTCACTTTGGCCTTAGGACCATTATTTTCTCTTACCAGTCTGTTTTCTTTATAATTCTAAATCACACACACCAGCTCCATCATTTGAGAGAGGTGGGGACAGAAACAACTGGCTCCTACTTCTCTGTGTCACCACCAGTGTCCAGTTGGTTTGGGCCAAGCCTTGGACTGCATGTTTCCTGGCTTTTTAAGTATCCCTTGACTCAACCTTTTTGGCATCAGGACTGGTTTCATGGAAGATAGTTTTTCCACAGCCCAGTGGGCAGGGAGGTGATGATTTGGGGATGAAACTGTTCAGATCATCAGGCATTAGTTAGATTCTCATAAGGAGTGTGCACCCTAGATCCCTCACGTGCACAGTTCACAGTAGGGTTTATGCCCCTATGAAAATCAAACGCCGCCTCTGACCTGACGGGAGGAGTTGCTCAGGCAGTAATGCTTGCTTGCCCACTGCTCACCTCCTGCTGTGCAGCTGGTTCCTAACAGGCTATGGACGGGTACCCGTCCACAGCCCGGAGTTGGGGATCCCTGCCTTAACTAAGGGATCCCTTTCCCCCAACTCTTCTCTGCATCTTGCTGGATGAGGAGGTTTCCCATTTACTCCATTACTCTTTCAAGAAAGTCTCCAATTCTGTCTTATCTGGAAATACTTCTTGTTTTCTAATGATAGGTTAATTCATAACAACATGATCATTAACTTATGTCACAGTCGCAGATGGCAGTGGCCCGGCCATATCCTGCAGTCTCACGTAACGAGGCCTGTGAGAGTCGGTGTAATTTACTGCACTGATGGGTCCCTAAAGGCATTTCAGGCTTTGCTCCACAAAGTACTCTCTTTTAGCACAAATTAATGTTCTTTGTTTTGTTCAGTGACTTTTGTCAATATATAAATCTTAG
Source organism: Homo sapiens (assembly GCF_000001405.40). Taxonomy (NCBI): domain Eukaryota; kingdom Metazoa; phylum Chordata; class Mammalia; order Primates; family Hominidae; genus Homo; species Homo sapiens. Next base: position 3,570,860 of record NC_000007.14, read on the forward strand.
AATTTATTATAATCACAGTTTGCTTGCTTACTTTTCATGCATGCTTCTTTAATCCAGGGTGATTTATGTGTTTATGCATGAATTTTTCTGTCAGAATATGAACTGAGATATTTGCACTTAAAGTACACACGTTTGTTTTACATTTTCTCACAGAGCTAATACTTTGTTTTCCCAAAATACATTTACTTAATGAAATTCGGATCTTCATGTTGAGATGTTCATTTTTAAAATTTGACTTTAGTTATGTTAACCAAGTCTGCGTTACTTAATTTAATTTGGAGTCGACTTACTGAAGTTGATAATTTACTTAAATGTAATAGCTGAACTGCGTAAATTTTAAAAACTTATCCTAGCTATTTGATATTACCAATCTATAAAATCTTGATTTTGATGTTGTTGTTCTTACTGTAGATTATCTTTGTTATTAAGAGAGCAGCTTTTTAATTTTTAATTTTTTTTTGAGATGGGGATCTTACATTGTCACGCACGTGGGGGTGCAGTGGCACAATCACAGTTCACTGTAACCTCAAACTCCTGGATTCAAGTGATCCTCCAGCCTCAGCCTCCCAAGTAGCCGGAACTACAGGCCCGTACCACCATGCCCAGCTAATTTAAAAATTTTTTTTGTACAGACAGGGTCTTGCTGTGTTGCCCAAGCTGGTCTTAAACTCCTGAGCTCAAGTGATCTTCCTGCCTTAGCCTCCCAAAGTGTGAGATTACAGGTGTGAGCCACGACATCTGGCCTGAAAGCAGCCTTTTGTTTTACAGTTTGTTCTAAGGGAATTCAAAGCTCCACATCTTTTAACGATTATTACTATTTGATCTAAAACCTTTTTGAAGTAATCTGCTTTGAATCATGTGAGGAGCTCAATGAATATAACATTCTTGGTAATCAGAGAATGGGATTAAATTTTTAACTTGGATGGAGCAGTTCCAGCATGAGTTATGACGAAGTGTCTAGTGACCTGTTTTCTAAATGTTGAATTAAATCTGCTATCTGTATTTTAAAAGCTAATCGGTATATTTCTACCTAGCCCTTAAAAAGCCATCACTCATACTCTCTTTCCATCCCATCCCATCCCTTCTCTTACCTAAGTTACTTACTTGCTATCTGCTGTTAGGAAAAATTTTAAAATCCACTTATTGAACATGTACGTACACAAGATTACTTGGCTAACTATCAATGCCAAACAGTCAGTGAAAGGACACCCTTTAAAATAAGACTTTTACATCAGCAAGAAATGACTAGTATATTTTATTCAACTCAACAAACATCCACTGGGCACTTATGTTCAAAGTACTGTGGGTGATAGAACTAATAAGTTAGTAGTTTCTACCTGGAAGTAACTCACATTCTTTTTAAAATTTTTTTGGTCTGTTTCTTTGTCAGACCTTTAGTTTGTTTAATGGAATGTCACAAATTTCGGTCAAGTAAGGTGTTTTTGATTGATGGCAGTTCTAGGCAAAAACGCCTCAGTGAAGATGGAGAGCCCATTTGGGATCAGGATCATCCAGCCCCTCAGAGCAAGAGTATGGAGATCATATTCACAGTGGGTACCAAGACCTAGGCTTGGCGTAGGCATCACTTCTGACTGGGGAATTTCCTATAAACTGCGCAGACCAATGAATGACCACAGAGGAGATAGCTGGCGTGTGCGAGAAAGAGCAAAGATTAAGTGAGCCCAACATAAGAGTGCCTAGCAAATCGTCTCACTGTGTGTGAGCCCAATGCATGGTGGCTTCTATTATTATTATTTTATTCTGACGAGCTTTACTCAGTGAAGATAGGCAACTATTCAGTCATCTATTTGTCAAGTGCCTGTAATGTAACAGGCGTGATACTAGGTATAGAGGATTTAACGGTGAGCTAGGCAAATCCAGTCATTGCCTTCACAGGACTTTCACTTAGCAGGGGCTTCAGACAAGTGCGTGGGCTAAACAGTTGAGTAAACGTAAACATGGTGAAAAATAGAGGGTGCTATTGAAATGTATTCACCTGAAGAAGGGAGGAAGAGATTCCTGGAAGAATTCCATTGGAAGACATGTTTCAGTTGAAAAGTAAGTAGGAATTGATTAGAATAGGAGGTGGAGAGAGAGGTGGACAGTGTTGCAGGCAGACGGAGCATCTGGGGTGACCACCCAAAAGTGAGGGACAGTGCCAGGCCCCAGGAACTCCTTTATGCAGCCCAGGCACAGCCAAGTGGGGCTTGGTGTGGGCCCTGACCCTCAGTTTGCTATGAAAATGTCTGGGCTTTATCCCAGAGCAGTGGGGTGCTATAGTTGAGTTTTAAATGGGGTGCTTATCTGATGAAATACTTAGGAAGATTACCCTGGTCTCAGAGTGGAGACTGTGCTGGGAGGGTGGAGGAAGAGTGGCAGAATAAAGGCATTGGTGGGACGATGGCTGGAGCTGAGCAAGGGACTGACAGTATGGCCTGCACAGGCAGAAGAACACATGTGATTACGCAGAGGCGGGGCCGGTGGGGCCAGAGAGAGCCTCAGGGGGCTGAGCAGAGCACCCTTCTCTGCTGGGCCAGCCTTGGGATGATTTATCAGCAGAAAACTGGATGGATCTGTTTGTTCAAGGGCCCAGGGAAGACAGGCTTTGGGGAGCCCCCATCACAGGCTGAGGACAACAGATGCAGCTGCCCCCTGAGAAACAACAGCCTCCACGTGTGCACCTCGGGAAGAAGTGAGTCACAGTCTTCTCAGTCACACCCAGCACCTGCTTAATGGCCACTTCTTCCAGAGCCAGCCTTTGAATATGAAAAAACAATAATCAAATGATCTTCTTCCCAGGAGTTGAGTCGGTACTCCTGATTAGCTCAGGGCCAACACTAAAACTAGAAAGCTGGAGGCTTTCTGGGAGCCAGGCTGCGTGGTGGCTGATGTGGCCACATAACATTGTGATTTTTGACCCTTCCTTTTCTAAGTCATGCTGAGAACCCTTGAAGCCCCCTGCTGTTCTTCTGTTTTCCATTTTCTCCTTCCAGTACTCATTAAAAAATAAATAAATAAACTGAATGTGTAATTAAGCACTATGTTTTGTGTCCTTTTTATGACAGGTTCATCAATTCTACATGCATTTACTGAATGCTTACTAAAGGCAGGGCTGTATTTTACATATCATTCTTTGTGAAGCTACTGTTTTCACTTCGGTTCTGCAGATAGGTTGGGTGTTGAAGAATTTGTAGCTGAGGATAGACTTTGCCTCTGCAGCTATCCTTCCTGATCAGACTAGACATATACCTGATTTTTTTTTTCTTTTTTTTTTTGAGATGGAGCCTCACTCTGTCACCTGGGCTAGAGTGCAGTGGCACAATCTCGGCTCACTGCAACCTCCACCTCCTAGATTCAAGCAATTCTCCTGTCTCAGCCTCCCGAGCAGCTGGGATTGCAGGCGCCTGCCACCATGCCCAGCTAATTTTTTGTATTTTTAGTAGAGACAGGGTTTCACCATGTTGGCCAGGCTGGTTTCGAACTCCTGACCTCATGATTCGCCCGCCTCAGCTTCCCAAAGTGCTGGGATTACAGGCATGAGCCACCGTGCCCGGCTCACATACCTCATTTGACCCTGTGGTGTGAAGTTGCTATTCCTACTGTTGTTAACTGATGGCAGAACGTAGGTTTAAGGTAACCAACGGGGCTAGCATGCTTGTTGCTGAAGTATATGAATGCGGGAAAAACTCCTGGCCTCCCCACTATGCCCTTGGCTCTGGTCAGTGCTGGGTGCAGCGTGCCTGCCATTTGCAAAGCAAAACCTGTAATCCCAGTCCGCATCATTCCCCTCCACGCATACATTTTATGCAGCTAAAGTAGTGTATAAAGTAGCTGATGGAATACTGTACTGCCTGGCTTCTTGAAATTTAGAAGGAAAACATTTCATTTAAAGTTACGAAACAAACCAACTACTCAAAGGCAGAAATAAGGAGACAGATGATGAAAGGTGACAGAAACTTGACTGATATGACCATGTTAGAATTACAGAATTAAGAAGAGAAGTACCAATTTTACAAATTACACGAAAGGCATTTTCTCTGAGTTGTAGAAAGTGAGTGTGAGCTGTTGTGTGGGAGCCTCTTGGTAGCTGTGAAGTACGGGTAGTCATGTCTGGAGTTACCCTTTCTGCCCCACTTCCAGTTGCTGGAATCATCACAGCCTCCCATTCCTGTGCAGCCTAAAGAATGCCTCCTTTGCCTCTTACAAGACAGATTCTTACGTTGAAGTTGACATCTGCCACCTGACTGCCATAACCAAATACCCTAGACTGGGTGGTTTAAGGCTGGGAAATCAGAGTTCAAAGTGCCACCAGCTGAGTTTCTGGTGAGGGCTCCCTTCTTGGCTTTTGTAGGTGGCTGCCTTCTTTCTGTGTCCTCACATGCCTTTGCTTGGTGCATGCATGTGGGAAAAGGGAGACAGCACGCATGAATTCTCTGGTGTCTCTTCTTGTAAGGGCACCAATTCCATCATGAGGGCCCCTCCCTTAGGACTTCTTCTAACCCTTATTATAATGCCTCCCAAAGGTCCTATCTCCAAAGGCCATCACATCAGGGGTTAGGGCATCAAACGAATGAATTTTGGGGGGACACAAACATCAGTCCCTAAGAACATCTAATTTGATGTTTTTATTTAAGCTAAAAGAATGCATTTTAACATTTTCGGGTTGGGGTGAGGGGGGACACCCACATTGGCTGTAGATAGTGCTTTTTGCTGGGTTTTGATTTTTCAGGATGAGGGAAAATCGATCTAGAGAGAAACAATGAAATTTCATTAAGAACTTCAAAGGGACTGTCTTCATAAAGGCAATAGATGTGTTTAGAGAAGGTTTGGGGGATCAACTTATAAAGAGCATTCAAACTCTTCATTTTTTTTGTTCTCCCAGATTTATGGGAATGTAGTAGAAACAGGCTTCCCAGTCTATCATGTGTCATTGAAACGCAAAACACAATAGCGTTTGTCTTGTTACAAACCAGGAGGCTGTAAATCTATTATTTATTTTTTATTAAAGGTGCAAGTTCCAGAGTGAGGCTCATGAATAGCCCAGAGAAATAGGAGATGAAGCCTTTCATCTCTGTTCTGTTCTTCCCCATGTGAGCCAGGTCACCAGTGATTGAATGGGCTTTCTGCTCTTGTGAAATATGTTTGTTTACCTGGACTATGTTCAAAAGGTAAAGAAACAAGAAAAGGGAAAGATGAGGAAAATCACAAACCTGACTTTACATTTCAGATCCAGTTTCAAATTGTAATTAGAAAAAGCAACATTATTTCCAGCTGTCATCAGAATTTTCTACTAGACCAGGTGTGCTTTGGATCTCTTAAGGGATATTATAAATAATGTAGAATAATAATGCTGTGCCATTCAGACTTCTCTTTTATGCTCATCACCCCCAAATAGGCTCCTTGGCGTCACCGTTGTTTACGGAGTGCTGACAGTGGCCACACCCAGGTGAAAGCTTCTGGAGTTACACTGTGTACTTCTGTGTGACTCTGAGCTAGGTGGGGCCATCTGCAAGTGAGATAAGCTGTGTGTTACCTGGTTAGAGAAAGCCTGTGACTTCCTCAGGGGAGTCGCAGGTACACAAAACATTGAGCAAAGAAGTCCCCGTTTGCAGTGGTCCAGTTAGAGATGTCTTGCTCCTTGCTATGTTTGCCTTTTGAGGAACTGATCTAGTTCATGGCTATCCAGAAAATAATTGGATTTTTTGGTTGTACTTTAGTAAATCTGCCAGTATCTTTAATTTCCTAGAAAAATGTAAGTCATAATATATTCTGTCATTTTTCTCCAGTGTAGGCAACGTTATCGATACCCATGTGACTTATGCATGGTGTGTATGTGGCTGCATTTTGCCTGTGTTGAGCCACGTGCACAAACTAAGAAGTGTTTCTTATTTGCTAGAAACAGGAGCTTCAGCATTTTGTTCCTGATGCTTCCTTGATTCAGGCAGAAGGTATTTACTTGTAAATTATATACAGTGCATAGTCTCTGCAAAGCAGAAGTTGGTTACTATTTGCCGGGACTGCTTAAACCTGCCCTTTAGAGTAGCAGTTTAGTTTCCTCATAGCTGGTCGGGCACCTGAAGAAATAGTAGACTTTTGATGTGTATCCTTTTGCACTTCACCACGGTGGATGGACTTCCATCATTTTTCATCGATGCCCTTGTGGCCACCCCCTGACATGACTCCTTATGCCCAATCCACCTTGCAAAGAGAGGACAGCACACACATCCTCCTGGAGCCTGGCCATACTGGAAGATTTCGCCTGCCTCTGGGCCCCATTCTAAATGAAATCCACACACACTCCTCCATCTGGAATCGCAGACCTACTGCAAGACCCCCATAGCCCACCTTTTTATTCCCTTTCCTTACACTACTCTACAAATCATCACATGGTCCCAGTAACAATGAGAATAGCTAATAGCAGCGCTCTGAGATTGGTTCTGTTATTTACACCATTTTACAGACAAGGAAACAGAGACTTGAAGGATAGGTATCCAGGCCAAGGTTTTACGGCCTGAGCGTCATAGCATCAGAGTGGCCCATGATGTCTGACCATGCAGGTCTTCACTGAGACGTGCTCCCTTTACTGTTGCCCCTGGACTTCATGGGCTTTCATGCCCTACAGGATGGCTCTTTTCATGCTCTTCCCTCTTTCTTCATTGTTTGTGCCTCCACCTCAAGGGTAACCTTCTGTGCAGTAGGTCCATGATGGAACCTCCCTCCAGGTAATCCTCATGGAACTCACTTTTGCTTCTGCTCTTTATTGAACCTGTTTTGTGTCAGATACTGTGCTAGGAGCTGTCAATGTCTGTTAGGTTAAATTACAAGGACATAAACTGAGAACTGAGCCCTTGAAGTGCTGTGAGGAAGGCATTTTCTGTGTTAGTAACGAGTGCACTGGCTTGCATTCAGCTTTTGTATGGTCATATTGTCCCCCAACCATGTTAGAAGCTTCCTGAGGGCAGAAACTCTAACTTCCTCATCTCCTGCATTGCCTGGCAGCTCCTGTCATGTCCGTACGCCTTAGAGGTGTGCGGTGACTGCATTGCTGATGTGGTTTAAAGGAACCTGGAGCTCTTAGAGAAATGATTAGAAGGAGCAAGAGCTGAGAGACTAGTGAAATTTATTCTTTCCACTCAACTTACAGTGAGAGAGGTGGCAATGTTTCTTTCTTTTCCTCCTTCCCTTGTTTTTTTGTATTCATCTTGTATATTTTCTCTCTCTAATTTGCATTATTTTTTATCAGGGGAACCCACCCCCAATATTTCAACATAGGTTCTTTCTATTTTCCATTAGCATACAAAGAGAGGAATTTTACAGTTGGGCCGCCGGGGGTGACATCACATATCGGTAGGACCATGATGCCCACCTGAGCCGCAAAACCAGCAAGTTTTATTAAGGATTTCATTAAGGATTTTATTAAGGATTAAGGGGAGGGGGTGCAAGAACAGGGAGTAGGTCACAAAGATCACATGCTTCAAAGGGCAAAAAGGAGAACTAAGATCACGTGCTTCTGCGGAAACAGGACAAGGCAAAACAGAACTACTGATAAGGGTCTATGTTCAGCTGTGCACGTATTGTCTTAACAAACATCTTAACAGAAAACAGGATTCGAGAGCAGAAAACCAGTCTGACCTCAAATTTACTAGTACAGGGTTTCCCAATCCTGGTAAGCCTGAGAGTACTGCAGGAGACCAGGGTGTATTTCAGTCCTTATCTCAACCGCATAAGACAGACACTCCCACAGCAGCCGTTTATAGACCACCCCCCAGGAATGCAATTCTTATCTTAGGGTCTTAATATTCCTTGCTAGGAAAAGAATTTAGCAACACCTCTCCTGCTTGCACATCCGTTTATAGGCTCTCTGCAGGAAGACAAATACGGCTCTTTTTGCCTCACCCCACAGGCAGTCAGACCTTATGGTTGTCTTCCCTTGTTCCCTAAAATCGCTGTTATTCTGTTCTTTTTCAAGGTGCACTGATTTCATATTGTTCAAACACACATGTTTTACAATCATTTTATACAGTTAACCCAATCAAAGTGGACCTGAGGTGACATACATCCTCAGTTTATGAAAATAACAGGATTAAGAGATTAAAGTAAGACAGGTGTAAGAAATTATAAGAGTATTATTAGGGAAGTGATAAATGTCCTTGAAATCTTCACAATTTATGTTCCTCTGCCGCGGCTCCAGCTGGTCCCTCCATTTGGTGTCCCTGACTTCCTGCAACAACTTTTCCTATATAAAGGGGGCTTATGAAAGTACTATCTTCTACTGAAACTATTCCAATAAATTGAGGAGGAGGGATTCCTCCCCAAGTCATTCTATAAGGCAGCATCATCCTGATAGCAAAACCTGGCAGAGATGCAGAAAAAAATGACTTTAGCCAATATCCTTGATGAACGTTGATGGAAATATCTGCAACAAAATACCTGCAAACCAAGTCCAGCAGCACAAAAGGACTCCACCATGATCAGGTAGGCGTTATCCCTGGGATGCAAGGTTGGTTCAAGATATGCAAATCAGTAAATGTGATTCATTACATAAACAGAACTAAAGACAAAAATCACATGATTATCTCAATAGGTGCAGAAAAGGCTTTTGATAAAATTCAGTATCCCTTCAAGTTAAAAACTCTCAATAAACTACGTGTTGAAGGAAAACCTCAAAATAATAAGAGCCATCTATGACAAACCCATAGCCAACATCATATTGAATGGGCAAAAGCTGGAAGCATTCCCTTTGAAAACTGGCTGAAGACAAGGATGCCCTCTCTCACCAATCCTATTCAAGATAGTGTTGGAAGTCTTGGCCAGTCCTGGTTGTGGAAACAAGGGAACACTTACACCCTGTCAGTTGGAATGTAAATTAAACCATTTGGAAAGCAGTGTTGCAATTCCCCAAAGAGGTAAAAACAGGCAAAGAAAGGGCATCCAAAGAGAGAGGAAGTCAAAGTATCCTTTGTTTGCAGGTGACATGATTCTACATAAAAAAACTGGGTAAAGTCTGCCACACCCAGAGGTGCCTTGGGTGAGTCATCATCTTGGCCCAAAGTGTTCTTCAGCTGATAAACAATTTCAGCAAAGTTTCAGGATACAAAATCGGTGTATGAAAATCATTAGCATTCCTATACACCAACAACATCCAAGCTGAGAGCCAAGTAGGGAATGCAATCCCATTCTCAATAGCCACAAACATAATGTAATACCTAGAAGTACAGCTAACCAGGGAGCCAAGAGATCTCTACAAGGAGAATTACAAAACACTGTTCAAAGAAATCAGAGATGACACAAACAAATAGAAAAATATTTCATAGTCATGGTTAGGAAGAATCAGTATCATTAAAATGGCCATAATACCCAAAGCAGTATACAGATTCAATGCTATTCCTATCAAACTACCCATAACATTCTTCACAAAACTGGAAATAACTATTTTAAAATTCACATGGAACCAAAAGAGAGCCTGAATAGCCAAGGCAATCCTAAACAAAAAGAGCAAAGCTGGAGGCATCATGTTACCTGACTTCAAATTATACTGCAGGGCTACAGTAACCAGAACAGTATGGTACTTGTACAAAGACAGACACATAGAACAATGGAACAGAATAGAGTACCCACAGATAAGGCCATCACACCTAGAACCATCTGATCTTTGACAAAGCTGACAAAAACAAGAAATGGGGAAAGGATTCCCTATTCAATAAATGGTGCTGGGATAACTGACTAGGCATATGCAGGGGATTTTTTTACACCATGTAAAAAAATCAACTCAAGATGGATTAAAGACTTAAATGTAAAACCCAAAACTATAAAAACTCTGGAAGATGGGCTGGGCGTGGTGGCTCACGCCTGTAATCCCAGCATTTTGGGAGACTGAGGCAGGCGGAGCATGAGGTCAAGAGATTGAGACGATCCTGGCTAACACCGTGAAACCCCATTTCCACTAAAAATACAAAAAATAGGCTGGATGTGGTGGTATGCGCCTGTAGTCCCAGCTACTCGGGAGGCTGAGGCAGGAGAATCGCTTGAACTGAGGAGGCAGAAGTTGCAGATGAGCCGAGATTGCACCACCACATTCCAGCCTAGGTTATAGGGCAAGACTCCATCTCAAAAAAAAAAAAAAAAAAAAAAAAAACCAAAACAAAACCCTGGAAGACAATCTATGCATTACCATTCTGGACATAAGAACTGGCGTTAATTGTATGATGAAGATGCTGAAAACAATTGCACCAAAAGCAAAAGTTGACAAATGGGATCTAATTAAACTTAATAGCTTTTGCAGAGCAAAATAAACTATCAACAGAGTATGCAGACAATCTGTAGAATAGGAGAAAATATTGGCTAACTATGTATCTGACAAAGGTATATCCAGTGTCTATAAGGAACTTAAATTTACAAAAAAAACCTATTAATCGAATATGATAAATCAGTGCTATGAACTAAACAGATGCTAATCACTATTATTAATTAGTGGGCAAAGGACATGAACAGAAACTTTTCAAAAGAAGACATATGCAGCCAACAAGCATATGATAAAAGCTCAATATCACTGATCACTAGGGAAATGCAAATCAAAACTACAATGAGATGCCATCTCACATTAGTCAGAATGGTTATCATTAAAAGTCAAAAAATAACAGATGTGGGCCAGGTTGTGGGGAAAGGGGAGCACTTACACACCGTTGTGGGGAGGGTAAATTAGTTAAACCATTGTGGAAGGCAGTGTGGTGATTCCTCAAAGAGCTAAAAACAGAACTACCATTCAACCCAGGAATCCCATTAATGGGTATATACCCAAAGGAATGTAAATCGTTCTACGACAAAGACACATATACATGGATATTCATTGCAGCAGTATTCACAATAGCAAAGACATGGAGTCAACCTAAATGCTCATCAATGTTAGACTGGATAAAGAAAATGTGGTACATATACACCTCAGAATACTATGCGGCCATGAAATAGAATGAGATTGTGTCCTTTGCAGGGACATGGGTGAAGCTGGAGGCCATCATCCTTAGCAAACTAACACAGGAACAGAAAACCAAATATCACATATTCTCGTCAGTGGGAGCTAAATGATGAGAACACATGGCCACATAGAGGGGAACAGACACCGGGGCCTACTTGAGGGTGGAAGCCTCCCTCAGGTAGGCCTGTCTCAGGTAGATCTGTCTCAGGTAGGTCTCCCTCAGGTAGGCCTGTCTCAGGTAGGTCTCCCTCAGGTAGGCCTGTCTCAGGTAGGTCTCCCTCAGGTAGGCCTGTCTCAGGTAGGTCTCCCTCAGGTAGGCCTGTCTCAGGTAGGTCTCCCTCAGGTAGGCCTGTCTCAGGTAGGTCTGTCTCAGGTAGGTCTCCCTCAGGTAGGTCTGTCTCAGGTAGGTCTCCCTCAGGTAGGTCTGCCTCAGGTAGGTCTCCCTCAGGTAGGTCTGTCTCAGGTAGGTCTCCCTCAGGTAGGTCTGTCTCAGGTAGGTCTGTCTCAGGTAGGTCTCCCTCAGGTAGGTCTGTCTCAGGTAGGTCTGTCTCAGGTAGGTCTCCCTCAGGTAGGTCTCCCTCAGGTAGGTCTGTCTCAGGTAGGTCTGTCTCAGGTAGGTCTCCCTCAGGTAGGTCTGTCTCAGGTAGGTCTCCCTCAGGTAGGCCTCCACTCTCAAGTAGGCCCCAGTGTCTGCTGTGGAGGGTGGAGGGTGGGAGGAGGGAAATGATAAGAAAATTAACTATTGGGTACTAGGCTTTGTACCTGGGTGACAAAGTAATCTATGTAATGAACCCTCGTGACATGAGCTTACATAACAAACCTGCACATGTAGCCCTGAACCTAAACTAAAGTAAAAAAAAAAAAAAAAAAAAAAAAAAGGTACCATCAGGGCTAGTCTGAGACTTCAGGGACTTAATTCCTCATTGTAATTTTGCAAATAAAGGAAATAGAGTTCCCTTTCACGTTCTCCAGGCTCTTCAGCCTTTAGTCTTCCCCAGCAACCCCTACCTGCTGTTTTCCAACTCAGAGCGTGGCAACAACTTTATCATTAAGACCTCAGAGATGCTGAGTGGAAGAGAAGTGTGTGTAGGAAAAGGGGGGCAGATAACCAAGCAATCGTATAGGTAATGATCATGCATCTAGAACTCCGAAGTGTGCTGCAGAGTGCATTCCCAAGTCCTTCCTTCTGTGACCCAGGTCTAGTCCTAAATGCAGAGGGCAGGGGTAGGGATGGGAGTAAAAGCATTTGGACAAGGAAACTGATGTTGGAGACCGGAGGTATCGGTGTCAACACTCTGCAGGCCTCCAGCTGGTTCCTGCGTGTAGGCCATGCAGCAGCTCGACCTTGTTTACAGCTCTCGGGCTAATGAGGATTATCATTTATGCCTGAGAGTATGTAAATTTGGCAGTTCCTGCTCTAAAATAACATTCTCCATCTTTCCGGGAGTAAACTGCTTTCTTAGTAAACAAATTTTCAGTGCATTATGTTACCATTTAGAAACTTTCCTCTTCCGGTGCCAAATTGCTCTTAAAGGTGAGTGATTCATAAAGGATATTTTATTTACCTTGAACTCAGCTTCTGTTTGGAACAGTATTAGAACACAAGGAGAGTCAGTAAACCATCGCTGGAAATATGTGAGGAGCTAAGACATTGGAATCCACATCTGTATTTAGATCTTGAGAGGTTGCATCTGTCTAGTTCATAGCACTGATTTCTTTATCATTCACTGAGTAACTAGTAAGTACAAAACCCTCTACTTGGGGAGTTCCTTGAGATACAGAAATGAATAACATATCAGTCTCTGGCATCTGTGCTTCTACACTTTGGAGAGGGAAATAAAACAAGTAGTAAGAGGCAGGAGTCCCAGGTGCCCCCTGAGAGGCATGGCATGCCACAGAAGGCATTGGCAGGAAGACTGCGTCCACCTGCTTGCAGGGTCCTGTGAATGCCACCGAGAGGGCGGCATCTGCAACAGTAGAATTTATTTCACTGGAGAAAGAAGGTGGCAGGCATTTCAAGTGGAGGGAACAATAAGAGCAGAAGAAAGCATGGGACTTTGTGGAGCACAGAGAGGCCTTGTTTGCTTGGAGTGAAGGTCCCGTATCAGCAGACCAGGAAGGAATAAGGCTGGAACCCCAGTTTGGGGTCAGACTCCACCCCAAGTCCACACCATTCTGGGAGGGAACGGAATGCCAATCTAAGGTGCCAGGGAGAAGTGTTTGAAGTTTGTACAGCAGGGGAAAGACATCGATTTGAATACTTTTTCCCTTAGTATGTTTTTGCAAACCTATTTTGGGGTATTGTAAAAAGATTCTGTGCTTATATGAATTTGGGAATAAACAGGTGCTTGCTGTAAGGCTTCTTAGGGCCCTTAATATGCTTTGTGACTGTAGGAGGGGATATGTTGTGTCATCTCCAAACGTATTTGACCATGAGATCTATTTGAATACAAACCTAATGCACCTCTTTGGATTTCCTTGGCTTCCTCCTCCTTGCCTGGCGTTCCCTGTCTAGTTTCACGTGAAACCCCATCCCTTCAAGCCCCACATGACCCTTCATTCTGGACCTTATTCTGATTGAGCTTTCACTTCGTTTCTGGACTTGGATAAAATGCTGCAAACAGGGTTGCTAAGCGGCCACCAAGGGCTGCCTGGCCCCACCTGAAGTCCCCTGTGGGGCCGCTCCTTGAGAGTTGAACCTTTATCAATGGGAACCAGGAAGGATCCTGGCCAGGTGCTTTCCCATTCTTTGTTGTTCCACGGACTGCTCCAAGGTATGCTGGCTTCTGAGAGAACTTTCCAGAGAAGTCGCACGTGCTTGGGCGTGTCCGCTGAGTGAGCTGGTGTGTTTTTGGGTCTGTGCCCTTGCTGAAATTGGGGTGACCCATGACTTCACGTTATTTTTTTTTTTTGAGATGGAGTCTCGCTGTCCCCCAGGCTGGAGTGCAGTGGCGCGATCTGGGCTCACTTCAAGCTCCGCCTCCCGGGTTCACGCCGTTCTGCTGCCTCAGCCTCCCGAGTAGCTGGGACTACAGGTGCCTGCCATCACACCTGGCTAATTTTTTTGTATTTTTAGCGGAGACGGAGTTTCACCGTGTTAGCCAGGATGGTCCCGATCTCCTGACCTCGTAATCTGCCCTCCTCGGCCTCCCAAAGTGCTGGGATTACAGACGTGAGCCACCGCGCCCAGCCAACTTCACGTTTTGAGTGATCCACTGCCTCACATTTTTCCTTGCTTCCTGTGCCTGTTTCCCTACATCCTGCTGCCCTAGTTTTGTACTTCCGAAATAAAACATCAGCATGTAATCCTTGCCTCAGCCTCTGCTTTCCAGAGGACCTGAGCAAAGATAGACTCTGACTGAGTGCTAGAGACGGGTGTTTCACAGACTCACTTTGGAAAATGGCTACGTAGGCTGAACTCAGACATTGAGCTTTAAGAGTGGCTGGTTTTGTAATAGACCAGACAAGAAATAAAATAAGGAGAGGAAACAGGTAGTTGATGAAGTGAATCAGAACTTGTAATAAAGCTAGAGTAATGGATTTAAGAGTAGGTCTCATAGAGATAATTGATGAAAGAATGAGCGTATAGGCTGCATAAGTTGAGGGGATAGGTAGAAAAAAGAGATGACAACATTAAGCATGGAAAGAGAGAGAAGGAGGCGCTCTTGATAAAGGACTGATGGTAGCTGGAGGAGTGGAGTGCCAGGGCACAAAGCTGCAAGAGCCCTGAAGAGGAAGAGGAAGAGGGTCATGAAGAAGGAAATTGATCAGGGTCCTGGATTCCTGAGGTACATGGTCAGTGGTAACAGAGAACAGAGGGGGCATACAGCAGGTGTGCTGAGGTGGCTCTGAGAGACGGGAGTTTGGTAGGGGAGGGAAGAAGGGTGGTTGCTAGACAGTACATCAGGATTGAGCACAGCATAAGAGATGAAACGGGGGAGAAATCTAAAGACAGGTGTGCCACTTTTGCCTCTAAACATGTGGTATAATTTTTGTCAGCGAGGAAATAAATCTGTTTCTCTTTTCCATTTTCCAAGAAGGGAGGGAAAGAGATTAGAAGTAAGACTGACATCTCAGGGCCTCTACCATTTCTTTGTTGCTAAAGGAGACACAGTATGTGGCTCTTTGTTTCAGCAAAACACTAATCAGCTTTCGGATATGCAAATATGGGCTGCAGAGCTGATTGAGTGGAAGAGAGCTACATTGCTGTGCTAAGTAAAGGAAGAGGAATTGCCTTTGATGGTGGGGCTGGCCCAGGAGAGAAGCAGGGAGGTGTGTAGAGTCGCTGGGGGAGAGAGCGCTGAGGGCTTCACCATTGCCTAACTCTCAGTGAAGTGTGCCACACCCAGAGGTGCCTTGGGTGAGTGTCTTGGTGGAAAGGAAGAGAGGTAGGATTTAAGTCATACAAAATGGGCTAAGTTACTGGGTCAACATAGACCTCCGAAAGAGCCCGCCCTAGGCCAGGAGTCATGAGTGGGAGGAAGTGCACCCAGTGGAGGTGACCTTGAGAATGTGTTTCTTAGGAATTCACAGCAAATTGAGGAGGGCTCGAGACCCCCCATGATATATAGAAATAGAGGACAGGGCCGGGCGCGGTGGCTCACGCCTGTAATCCCAGCACTTTGGGAGGCCGAGGTGGGTGGATCACGAGGTCAGGAGATCGAGACCATCCTGGCTAACACCGTGAAACCCTGTCTCTACAAAAAATACAAAAAAAAAAAAAATTAGCTGGGCATTGTGGCGGGCGCCTGTAGTCCTAGCTACTCGGGAGGCTGAGGCAGGAGAATGGCATGAACCCGGGAGGTGGAGGTTGCAGTGAGCTGAGATCGTGCCACTGCACTCCAGCCTGGGCGACTGAGCAAGACTCCGTCTCAAAAAAAAAAAAAAAAAAGAAATAGAGGACAGAAGCAATTTTGTTACAGTGTCTAAGGACAGAGTAGCCTTAACTGTCATCTGGGTATCATGTGGGATGTCTTTATGTTTTGGGGGCAAGGGGAAAGCACTCACTGAAGACAGAAGCTGCCACTTGAGCAGGGAGGTGACATGTGCTGGAGCTGTTGTGAGAGCCAGCGTATTAAGGGTTCTGTAAGAGATTTTTTTGGTAAGCGTTGAGAGTGCATACAGAGTGAGCAGGCATTGTGGTGAAGCAGACAGCATAGTGCTAACTTGAGGTGGAGGAGGAGGAGGAAGGACCCTGGGCACAGTGCAGACATCTGGGCTTTGGGCTGAGGCCCTGTCAGAGAGTGATTCTTGGGCATGTGTGAAAACCTTTGTTGAAAGGGTCCAGAAACAATGGCTAAGTCCTAACAGAACTCTGCTGTGGACCTAGGGAAAAGGAAAGAACTAAGAATTTAGCGGTCAATTTGAGGCCAAAGACAGAGGAGAAATTGAGGGTCAGAGGGGATTTAGAGTTTGAGATTTTAAACATTTGCTGTTTGTATTAGTCAAGATTCTCCAGAGAAACAGAACGTGTGTGTGTGTGTGTGTGTGTGTGTGTCTAAAGAGATTTATTAGAAGGTGTTGGCTTACGTGATTATGGAGGCTGAGAAGGCCCATGATCTATCAGCTGCAAAGTGGAGACCCAGGCAAGCTGGTGGTGTAGTTCAGGAGTGTTAGAGCCAGAGAGCCAAGGGTACAGGTTCCAGTATGAGTCTAAAGGCCTAAGAACCAGGAGTGCCAAGTACAGGAGAAGATTGATGTCCCCGACTGAGCTGTCAAGAAGAGAGAAGGCAGTGTGAATCCAACTTTCCTCCGCTTTTTCAGCCCCCAATGGACTGGACGATCCCTACCTACATCGGGGATGGCCGTCTGTTTTACTCAGTTCACCAATTCAGATGCTGATCTTCTCCGGAAATACCTTCACAGACACACCCAGGAATGATGTTTAATTAAGTATCTGGGCACCCCGTGGCCCACTCAAGTTGACAAAAGTACACTGCCCCTTGGCCTTTCCTGAGTGTTATCTAGCTTTCCATGGGTAGACATCAGCTCTCCACATCTAAATTGTAAGCTGCTCCAGGGCAGGGGCCAGATCTTCTCCTGTGTGTTCTCAGTAGCTGACACAATTGCCTTCCATGTACTAAATGTTCAGTAAACATGTGTTGGATGGTTCATTGATCCAATAGACTTATGTCTATGCCAATACAGGCTTGCTCTTGAAAAGCTGCGGGTAAATCAATTCTTTGTAAATTGAATCTTATTTCAAATGTAGTAGGGATGTTCAGCATTTCAAGGAATCCTAGGTCAATCTTTGGTGGATCTACGAGCCCTGTATTCTGCCATTCTCGTTTTACAGGTAAGGGAGCTGAGTTACAGAGAAATTAAGTGACTTATTATAATCTGATTTGTCAGTCAAATATAAGGTTTCTTCAAGCAAAACATACCTGTTACTTAGGTCAAGAGGGATTTGGTGAAAAGCCTAGCTATGAAATTTATAACATCAGATTAATAACGTTATATTTTCAGAAGCATTTATTTTTAGTCTGCAGATATTTATTAAGTTTGTTTACAACAGTCTTTTAGTTGTATACTAATGAGTAAAGGCTATGCTAAATTGTGTTGCAGTTTATGTCAGATTAGAAACAAAAAACAACAGACACAAAGTTTCTGGTTCAGAAAATTCACCTCTGAAAGCCCCCAGCTCGAAGTGTTTAGTTTTTCTTCTGTGAGGTGTGAGAGGATGTTGAATGTGCTGGACAGGTGCCAGGTCCTGCGATCCTGCAGGGTGCGTTCCTAGATTCATTGTTGAGGTGATGAAAGTCTCTTCAGTCAGTGGCTTAATGTTAAGTGTGAGAAAGATGTTGGAAAAGATTTAGGGAGACCTTTTGGGCACCTCACTGATGGAATTATTTTAAATTGAGCAGGTTTTATCAACATCTGTATTGGGTTGATTTAGTTTCTCCTTGCTATCAGTTCTAGAATAAAATAGTTTATTATATGTGAGAAAATTGATAAAAGTGTAAAGCTACTTTGCATCACTACTTTGGATGATCCAAATAAAGGAAATAAAAGAATCAAAGCATTGGATTTACTCTGCTTTCCTTTCTCTTCATAGTCATTTTTATGTGTTTTGGCTTATCAAAAATGAGATCAAAGTTGTTATATACTACAAAAGAAGCTGCTTTTTTATTTAGGATTTTAGTATCTTGACATGGAGCAGTGAATCAGATGTGGGGACAGGAGATAATTTGTATTCATATTAGATCAATATTAGCTAACAGCTGTTTTACGGACATCAAGTCAATTCTGCAACTCAGCAGGGAGAAATTATTACCCCCTTTTTAGAGATTTGGAAACTGACTTCACAGTTAATGTGGGCCTTTTGACGTCAGTACTGATCTCACAGTTGGCGTGGAGCTTTTGACGTTGGTACTGATCTCACAGTTGGTGCGGACTCTTTGATGTCAGTACTGATCTCACAGGTGGTGTTGGCCTTTTGACGTCAGTACTGGTCTCACAGTTGGCGTGGGCCTGTTGACGTCAGTACTGATCTCCCAGTTGTCATGGGCCTTTTGACATCAGTACTTATTTCACAGGTGGTGTGGGTCTTTTGATGTCAGTGCACAGACTCTTCCCGTGCACCAGCACCACCTCCATGGCGCCTCCCCATGTCTTTTAGGTTTTGCGTATATTACTATTGGCTGCTGTGAGCACCATTTTTGGAAGTACATTTTCATATTGCATGAAGAAATACCTGAGACTGGGTAATTTATAAAGAAAAGAAGTTTAATGGACTCATAGTTCCACATGGCTGGGGAGGCCTCACAATCATGGTGGAAGGCAAAGGAGGAGTACAGACACGTCTTAAATGGAGGCAGGCAAGAGAGCATGTGCAGAGGAACTGCCCTTTATAAAACCATCAGATCTTTGAGGACTCACTGTCATGAGAACAGCATGGGAAAAAACCACCCCCATGATTCGATTGCCTCCCACTGGGTCCCTCATGACACATGGGGATTATGGGAGCTGCAATTCAAGATGAGATTTGGGTGGGGACACAGACAAACCATATCAGAAGACAGTTATAATATTTGCATAATACCCAGACTGTGAGGAATAAGCCAAGTAATAAGCAATAACAGATGGAATATTGAGGTTATGCAGAGTCTGTGCTGTGCATGTCACAGCCTGCACTTGACCTGAGTCATGTGCTTCCTGAGCTCTTTACAGGGTGCTAGGCCAGGATATACGTGAGAGTTACAGTGATTGGAAAATTAGTTTTCCTATTAGTGTAAATACGTATGTGTTAGGGGATAGATGATACACTATTACAGACTTATAAAATGGAAAACTAAAATTGGAATGTAAAGCTTATAGCAGGTAGCCTCAGGCTGTGCTCCCAAACCTTTGGGTTCAGTTTCTTTATGTTTCTTCAGTTTTCTGTTACGGATACTGGAGCAGAAGTTGAATTTTAGTGGATTTGATGTAAAGAAATGGGTATATTTCAACTTTCACCTCCTTTCCTGTTCCTTTTTTTTTTTTTTTTTTTTTGCTTTGAAGTGTGAATGAATAATACTATAGACAAAATACAATAGCAAAGACAAATTATGGATAAATTGGAAAATCAAACTCTGCAGAACAAAGATTTTTTAGTTTTACATCATGTAACAAATTTAATGACAAACTATACCAACAAGTGAATTGACGATTTAAGATATTTCATTTAGCTTCCAAAATGTGAATGCTAATAAGTTTGAAATCACTAAATCACAGTAATTCCTTGCATTGGGCAACAGAAATCTATTAATTAAAATGAAAAGTCTAAAGATATTTTGGGGAAGATTGCAAATTTCAAATAACTGTATGTGGTATCCTCCAGTTCCTTTTAATAGTCTCATCCTTAGCTGCGCATTTACTTCACAAGGGAAACCTTAAAAATACTGATAACAGAGCCTCACTGCTGGACCTTTAGATTTAATGGGTCTGCAGTGAGGGCTGAGTATAGCACTTTTTTTTTTTTTTTTTTTTTTAAGGCCTGGTCTTGCTCTGTCCCCCAGGCTGGAGTGCAGTGGCATGATCGTAGATTACTGTGGCCTTGACCTCCCAGGCTCAAGCGATCCTCCTGCCTCAGCTTCCCAAGTAGCTGAGACTACTGGCATGTGCCACCACACGTGGCTAATTTTTGTATTTTTTGCAGACATGGAGTTTTGCCATGTTGCCCAGGCTGGTAGAGCATTTTAAAAAACTCCCCAGGAGATCCTAATGTGCAAAGTTAAGAACAACGGTTTATATGATAATCATTCTTTAATCATATTATTTGTTTAAAGGTAGATTCCTGTATTTTAACATTTTAACTTTAAGGTTGTGATACTCTGATGAAGGCAGCTCCTATCAACCTGTAGGCAGTTCAAGGTGTTAACCTTTATCTTTAATGTTTTTATGTGTCAGATGGCAGTTAGTATAAGGATTACCTTTTTCCTTTTGCAGTGTCATAATACTGAGTGCCAGGACCTAAGTTTTTGAAACCTCCCAGTAGCCCCTTTTTAAACTGCTCTGAGCCTGCAGGGCACAGCATGACCTAGCTGTTAATTTAGTACTTTCATCTGATTGACCTGGGAAGGATCACTGGCCGCCTAGGGGAGACCTTCCCATTATTAATTCCTGCCTGGATGTCCTTTATGTGTCTGCACAGAGGTTTCGGCTTTGGCCACGTTGTGAAAGTCATAAAATTAAAGAAATATTTTGCACTGGCTGTTCACATTGACATTCAGAAAAACAAATTGCAGTAATCACTGGGGCCTCTTCCTTTGAAAGAACATGCGACCAGTGCCTTTTTAGTTTATATCTTGGTAGATTTGCAGTGGGTCTGCTGTACGTTGATGGGTGGGAAGTGTTAATGATCACTGTGGGCCCATGGCCGCTGGAAGCTATTTGTATTCTTTGCACTCGTGTGGGGCATGTGTGTATATGTGCAGAGGTGTTCATATATTGCTTTTGTTTGCATTTTAAACATGAAGCTCATTTTTAAAGTACTTGCAAAATTTATCCAATGGGAGGCAAACCTTTAAATTAGTGATTCTCAAACTTTGAGTGCATAAGGATCAGATACAGGGAACCTGGGGTGGTGTCTGAAGTTTGAGAGGACTGGGGTCAATAAATTTCCACAAAAGGTGACTTCTCTTAGATGCCCGGATACAGATGACAAACAAGGCTACAGATAGTTCTATACAGAAACAAATGAATATATTTTTACCATTTGTGGAAATTACAGTTTTGAAACTGGGAAGCCCTTTGTATCACTATCAGCTCTATTTTTGGAAGTAATGGAGGAAGTATTTCAACCTGATTACTGCCTGTGGAGTGAGGAATTTCTTAGTGTTTGACTGACCGCCTGCTGATACTTTATTTCTTTAGAGCTCCTCAAGTCATTATAAGAATCACCCAACAGTGTGAAATCAAAATGATTTCTTACTATAAAATGTCAGCTATCTATCGTAAAAGATTATGTGCCATTTAAAAATATAATTGCCGTTTCTCCCCTCTCCCCCACCTTACATTCAGATGTTCCAGAATAACAGAATCCCTGCAAAATGAGAAGGAATCCCTGCAAAATGCAAGGATCTAGCCTGTGCAAATTTCAGAAACCGCCTTCTACTTTAAGTCTTTTAATAGTCCAGATAATTATCACTCTGCTCACTGCCCTTTTCTTTCTCTCTACCTCCTCGTCATTCTTGCGACATTTTAATGATGCTGTTTGTGTATTGCTGCTGATGAATTCTGCCCAGTGAAGGTTATTTATTTATTTTTCCCTGAGCTGGATTTTACCCTCTGTTTACTTATGTTGGTGTTCTGTTTCCTTTCCTAACTGCTACCAGACATTCGTTTCCATGCCTTTGTATAATGCACAGCAGGCTGATGAAGCGTGGGGACTCGCGCTGTGGGAATCCTGCTTGGGTAAATGTCACCGCTTTATATAAAGAACTTTGCTCTATCGTAGCTCCAGAATCTGCTCAGATTGCCACACCTTAACATATGATCTGATTATTAGGAAGTATATGTTTGTTGTGTTTTGAAACACTGATGGGTTTTTAATGCACTGCTGATTAATATGTGAAAGTGAAAACCAGCCAGTGAATAACCTGGAGTCCTTGTCCTCCTGCCCTCTGCAGGCTTGCAGGGCATTGGGCAGCTGGGACTTGTACCTAGGACAAGATTACCCATCTGTGGAAACGCATTGCTGACACCTGGACAAAACGAGTGTTGCAAGTGGAAATCAGTGGAGATGCAGAAGAGAATTTTGCCTCTGTCCTGCTAATGGGGAACATATTTAACTTGGTGCAGTATCTGCAGTAAGCTAGTGTGTTAGGTACTATTTGAAGGAGTCTTACTCATCATCAAGTTAATTTCTTGACTTTAAGAACGTATTTATGCAGCAGCCCTTTTCTCAGCACCTCTGGACTTTTGAAAAGTGGCCTTTTGTCTTATTTCTACATAGAAGCACTGCCCCTGTGCTTCCCTTTCTGGTGTAGGGCGCATGGAGCACTGGGGACAAGGTGGGGCTGTTTCTCAAATCTCCTGCCCCCAGGTCTGGGGATAGTATGTGATGCACATGAGCTTCACCATGCATCAGCTGCCCCGTTCTCCAAACCTAGCTTTACTCAAAGACCTTGGTGGTTTGGAAGTGCTCAGCTCATCTTTGTATACTTCTACTTGTTTTGGAACATCATTCCTTTGAAGAAAACTTTGAAGACAGCTTCTCAAGATGTTTGTCTTTCCTATTGCCGTACTGCATTGACTAGCCTCAGCTAAGGACCTGGACTAAAAGATAGGCACCCATGCTTACTGGGGAACCTCTTGAGTCTTTAAGAATGTATATGCAAGCTTCAATCAACTGATGGATGATTCCCCTCCAATCTCCCTTCCCTTCCTCCTGCTCACTGGCCACTGGCGACACCCCCAAACAAAAAGCTGTGTATACGCAAGAGGGCATATGGCACAGTGGGTGAGAACGTAAGCTCTTGAGACAGGTTCCGGGTTCTGGCTTTGCCACTTCGCAGCTCTTTTCTCTTTCTGAACCCCTGTGTGCCCGTTTTCTCATTTGTAAAAGAATGAAGATAATAGCACTTACCATGCCTAGCATAAACTGTTGTTTCCTAAATATATCATTTTAACAACTTTATTGATATATAATTTACAGCCATAGGGTTCACCATTTTAAAGTGTGTAATTCATGATTTTTAACATGTTTAGGGAGTTGTGCAACCATCATCATAATCTAATTTTAGAACATCCCCAAAAGAAACCATGTACCTACTAGGAGTCACTCTCTATCTCCTCCTGCCTCTCTGCCCTGCTTCCCTATTTCCCAGGTAATCACTCACCTACTTTGTATAGATTTGCCTACTAGGGACATTTATATTAATGTAATCATACATAGACGGTTTTTGTCACTGACTTGTTTCACTCAACATAGTGTTTTCAAGGCTCATCCATGTTGCAACATGTGTCAACACCCAAATTCCTTTTTATTGCAGATTAATAAAGTGTGTGGATATACCACATATTGCTTATCCATTTATCAGTTGATAGACATTTGGATTGTTTCTGCTTTTTGGCTATCATGAATAATGCTGCTATGAGCATTGATAATACAAGTTTTTGTGTGGATGTATGTTTTCGTTTCTCTTGAGTATATACCTAAGGATGGAATTACTGGGTCGTATGGTAACTTGATACCTAACATTTTGAGAGACCGCCAAACCATTTCCATTTTACATTGCCGCCGGTCATGTATGAGGGTTCTGATTTCTCCACATCCTTGCCAACACTTGTAATTGTTTGTCTTTTTGATTCTAGTCACTTTACTGGGTGGTTTGGGTGGGTTACCTCATTAATTGTGACTTTGATTTTAATTTTCCCAGTGACTAATGACATTGAACATTTTTCCTGTGCTTATTAGTCTAAATATACTATTGATTGTAAGAAAAATTGCTTACTGTTTTAGAGATAATACTGATATAAGAACCATCAGTCCCTGCTTTCATTAGAGGGGCAAGAGTGAGGATAGTTTTAAAATCAAGCATACTTAAAGAATCATACCTGCATCTCATTAAAAGAAAATGTTATTTCTAGGTAAAGCTAAATCATCATTAATGTATAGGGTTTACTGTTTTTCTAGTAGGTTTATGTGTAGAGCACTCATTTTGTTTGGTTTAATCTCTAGTTGCTTTTATGTTTTAATTTAACAAAAATGGGTGATTGGAAAGATGGAAAATACCCTTGTTGCCACCACAGTGAGTTCCAATTTGATTTCAGCAACGCGTAGAAGATTGAAGTCAGATGCAGCCAATTTTCTCCCGATTACTTTTTTTTTGAATCTTGCCTGAATAATGTGAGCTTTTTCAGCTAGCTAATTAACACTGTTTTTTTCTGCCATATTGGTGACTTTATGATATTTTGCTTGTAATTATATATATATTCATTTATATACTTCTACCCTATTCGTAACTTTATGATATTTTGCTTGTAAAAAATTATATATAAATTCATTTATATACTTCTACCCTATTTATTAAATGTCCCCTGCATGAAATATATATTAATAGCTACTGCATGGATTATCTTTGATTGCTTTTCTAATAACAGTTATCTGGACTTTGCTTGGTCTTGGGTAAGAGGCATATTTGTATGTATATTTTCTCATTTTTGAAACAGAAACATAAACTGTTGCCTCCGATATATTTAATAAAACTCACCAGCACTACTGATAATATTTAATTATGCAGTTATAATTCTATTCATTTTTAGTTTACATTCTGAATCTTAGGGGCAGTGAGGCAGAGTGACATGATCATGGAAGTATTTGTACCACAGGGGTTTGACCTTGACTCTGCCACTTCCTGCGTGACTTTGAACTAGTCAAAGTTACCAGTTCAAAGTTAGACTTTGAACGAGTCTAATTGTTAGAGAATGGCATGAACCCGGGAGGCGGAGCTTGCAGTGAGCCCAGATAGTGCCACTGCACTCCAGCCTGGTCGACAGAGTTAAGACTTCATCTCAAAAAAAAAAAAAAAAAAAAAAAAAAAACAACAACAAAAAAGGAGGTTACAGTCTGTTTATGTTGTCTAGTTACTAGTCAACACTAACCACTCTGGCTCGGTGTTTTAACCTGTCTAATGGGTATTTTTTTTTTTTTTTTAAGTCATACCATCTACCTGATGCGGTCGTTGTGAGAACATTTCAGATAGTATTTATTAAAATATTTCCTCCTTGGTATGAAGTAGATGCTCAATAATTGTTAGGTAGCACAGATTAATTATCCTTTATCTAAAAATTCCAAATCTGAAATGCTCCAGTGAGCATTTCCTTTGTTGGTGCTCAAAAAGTTCCGCATTTTGGAGCGTTTCAGTCTGTCGTTCCAGGGGTAGTAACAGAAGCTGTCATCTTGCTGGCTCTTCCATCTGGCTGGGTTGCATGAGAGTTAAACAGTAATAGGAGAAATGAAATTTCAGTAATAGGCAGTCTCCTTAGCACAATAATTGGTACAAGAGAGTAAGTCTGACAGTGCCAGTGACCATCAGAACAAACCACAGTCATTGTGGTAAAGTTGCTCGAGGCAGTGACTGAGGAAAGTGTGTCTCCATTTCTGTAACAATGGGTAGATGTCTGCTCTAAGGATTTTTAATTGAGGTAAAATGTACAGAAAGCATGAAAAGAATTTCATAGATGTTAAGTGCATAAGCCGGTAAGTTTTGACAAACGCATGGACTTTGTGACCACCTCCTCACTCCAGATGAACGTCTCCATCACCCCTGCAAGTTCCCTCAGGCCCTTCCAATTAATCTCCATCCCTGTAGGCAGTCGTTTTTCTGATTTCTTTTCAAATAGATAAATATTACCTGTGCTTGAATTTCATATGAAGGAAATCAAAATGTTAAAAGAAGAACTTCAGACAAAGGAAATTTAGCAGAGTTTAATTGAGCGAAGACTAATTCTGGAATCAGAAGCCCCCAGGCTAGCCTAAGTTCAGAGTAACTCATGCTGCCACATCATCAGATAACACTTATGAACAGAAAAAGGAAAGCACCATAAAAGATAGAAGTGAGGTACAGGTACAGAAACAGCTAGATTGGTTACAGCTTAGCGTCTGCCTTACTTGAACACAGTTTGAACACTGGCCGCCTGTGATTGGCCAAAACTGGTATAAGAGTAGGTTACAGGCTGAGCGAGGTGACTCACACCTGTAACCCCAGCACTTTGGGAGGCCGAGGCAGGCGGATCATGAGGTCAGGAGATCGAAACCATCCTGGCTAACACGGTGAAACCCTGTCTCTACTAAAAATACACAAAAAATTAGCCGGATGTGGTGGCGGGTGCCTGTAGTCCCAGCTACTCAGGAGGCCGAGGCAGGAGAATGGCGTGAACCCGGGAGGCGGAGCTTGCAGTGAGCCCAGATCGCGCCACTGCACTCCAGCCTGGTCGACAGAGTAAGACTTGGTCTCAAAAAAAAAAAAAAAAAAAAAGAGGATGTTACAGTCTGTTTATGTTATCTAGTTACAGTTCACTTTGTACTGAGAAAACTTCTCCCCTTTTGGTCAACTTCTCCATTTTCACATCACTCTTTCAGTGTCATAAAGAGACTGAAACCTCAAATCCCACTGGGAAATAGCAGAACAGTGGGTTTTGTAAGATAGAAACAGGACACAGAACACCGGCGGCGGGGAGGCCACCTGTTGGTTACTTCAGGTTGCTTTTTCGAAAGTGTTAGAGAGAACTTCCTTATTATGCTGGAGTGTCCCATTTTAGGAGGAAAATAACCTGCTCTGTTTTGAGATTGATCTGTTTCCTTACAGTCTTAGTTTGATTAGGTCGCATTTAGCTCAGTGACTTCATTTTGGTTTGGTCTGGTCTGTCGGGGCCTAGGGGAGAGGGGCTCAGTGCAGTGCAATGGCCTCCCATAATTTTGTTGGACAATACAGTACAGACAGTTTTGTTTTTGACTTTTTTCACCCATCAAAATGTCTGTGAGATTCCTCGATGGTGCTGAGTTTACCAGTTTGTTTCTTTTTATTGATGTACGTCTCTGTCGTTTTCCATGTAGGGCACTATAAATAACAGTACTTTGACCGTTTATAAAAAATTACTCGTGTGGATGTATGCTTTTTTTCCTCTTGGGGGAAATATCCAGGCCTGGAACTTCTGGATCATTGTGTAGGTATTTAATTTTATGATAAATTGTAAAGCCTTTTTCTAAAGTGGTTGTACCATTTTTACATGTTCACCAGTAATGTATGAGTTGCAGTTGCTACACCTATTTGCCTACATTTAGTGTTGTTTGTATTATTCAATTTAGCCACTTATAGTTTCTGATGTCAAATGATGTTGAGCAGCTTCCCATGTGCTCGTGGGCTGTTTGTAGATCTTCCTTTAGGAAGTGCATGTTCAAGCCTTTTGCTCATTTTATTTATATATTTCCATTTGTCTTTTCTATCATTGATGAGTAGGCATTCTTTATAGACTCTGGATATAAATTCTTGCAAGATATGCATTATCAGAATATTTTCTCTTACTCTGTGGCTTTCTTATTCAACTCAACAGTGTGTTTGTTCTAAATTAAGCTTTTTATTTTTATTTTATTTTGAGATCATTGTAGACTCAAATGCAATTGTTAGAAGTAATACACAGAGATCCCGTGTACCCATGTAGACTCTCCCAATGGTAACATGTTACAAAAGTATAATACGGTATTACAGCCAGGACACCAGCATCAGGGCAGTCAAGACCAGAATATTTCTGTCAGCACAAGATCCCTGCATTGCCCTTTAATTGTCACACCTTCCTCATTTCCCTTGTCCCCATCCCTGGCCCTGGCAAACCCTAATCCCTTCTCTATTTCTATACTTTTGTCATTTCAAGAATATTATATAAAAGGAATCACACTGTGTGTGACCTTTTGGGATCACATTTTTGTCACTCAGCAAAATTCACTGCAAATTTATGGAGGTTACTGCAGGTATCAATAGTTTGTTCCATTTTATTAGTGAGTAGTAAACCGTGGTGTGGACATATAACAGTTTGTATACCATTCACCTTTTGAAGGACGTGGGCTGTATTTAGCTTTTGGCTGTCATGACTAAAGCTGTTACCTAGGAAGGTTTCTGTGTGAACATATGTCTTCATTTCTTTGGGATAAATGCCCAAGAGAACAGTTGCTGGGTTGCATGGTAGTTGCATGCTTGCTTTTATCAGAAACCACCAGTCTGGTTTCCAGAGTGTCTATAGTACTCTGTGTAGCCACCAGCAATGTGGGACTAATCCACCTTTTTTTTTTTTTTTTTTTTTTTTTACATCCTCACCGGCATCTGGCGTTCTCGCTGTTTTTTACTGTAGCCATTCCGATAGATGTGCAGTGATATCTCATGGTGGTTTAATTTGCGATTCTCTAATCGTTAATGATATTGAACATCTTTTCATGTGCTGATTTGCCATCTGTAGATTCTCTTTAGTGAAATGTCTGTTTATATCTTTTGCTCATTTTCTATTTGGATTGTTTGTTTCCTGCTACTGATTTCTGCGGATTCTTTGTATATTCTAGATGCTAGTTCTTTTTCAGATAATGTGGTTTGCCTGTATTTTCTCCTAATCTGTGTCTGTCTTCTCATCTCTCCGTAGAGTCTTTTGAAGAGCAGAAGGTTTTAATATTGATAAGGTTTAATTTGTCATTTTTCTTTTGTGCATTATGCTTTTTATGTCAGGTCTAAGAGTCTTTGCCTGGCCCCACATTACAAATATTTTCTCCCATTTTTTTGAAATGTTTTATGGTTCTACGTTTAAGTTCCTGGTCCATTTTGATTTAATTTGTATAGAAGGTGTGAAGATTAGGTAAATGTTTGATTTTTTGCCTTCTAGGTATTCAATTGCCTAGCATCATTTGTTTAAAAGTCTGTCCCTCCTCCACTGAATTTTTCACTTTTCTCAAAAGTCAGTTGGCTGCCTTGTGTTGAGTGTTTGCCAGCTCTCTATTTTATGTCTTTGATCCCTCTATGAATACCATACTGTCCTTATTACTGTAGCTAGATAGTAACTTTGAAATCAGGAAGAGTGATTCCTCATATTATTTTGTAAAATTGTTTTAGATATTCTACTTCCTTTTTTCATATAAAGCTTAGAATAATCTTGTATATATCTATAATTAAATATGCTGGTATTTGGACAATAATTCCATTACACCTGTGTGTCTGGTTGCATAGATTTTACATTTTTACTATGTTGAGTCTTTAATTCTATGGACATGGTGTGTCTCCTCATTTAATTCAGTCTTTTTGATTTCTGTTACCAGCATTTTATAATTTTCAGCATACAGGTCATAATTTCTAAAGTTTATACCTAAGTATATCATTCTCTTTGGAGTGATTGTAAATGGTATTATGTGTTTCATTTTGGTTTCTAAATGTTCATCGTTTATAGAAATGTGATTGATTTTGTGTGTTGATCTTGTATCATGTGACCTTGTTAAACACATTAGTTCTAGAAGGGCTGTGTGAGTGTGAGTGTTTAGCTTCTTTGGGATTTCCTACATAGACAGTAACATCATCTACAAATAATAACAATTTTAGTTCTTTCCTTCCAGTATGTACATCTTTTATTTATTTTTATTCAGTGGCGAGACCTTCCTATACTATGTTGAATAGGAGTGATGAGAGCAGACATCCTTGATTCATTACCAAGTTTACGGAAAAATCGTTTTGTCTTTAACTGTGTTAAGTGTGATATTAGATGTAGTTTTTTTTTTTTTTTTTTTTTGAGATGGAGTCTCGCCCTGTTGCCTAGGCTGGAGTGCAGCGGCGCAATCTTGGCTTACTGCAAGCTCCCGGGTTCACGCCATTCTCCTACCTCAGCCTCCCATGTAGCTGGGACTACAGGCACCCACCACCACGCCCGGTTAATTTTTTGTATTTTTAGTAGAGACAGGGTTTCACCGTGTTAGCCAGGATGGTCTCGATCTCCTGACCTCATGATCCGGCCATCTCGGCCTCCCAAAGTGCTGGAATTACAGGCATTAGCCACCGTGCCTGGCCAATGTAGGTTTTTAAAAATTGATTTTTAAATAAGATTGACAGAACTCCTCTCTATTCCTAATTCGGTGAATAGTTTTTAAGATCATGAATGTTGTATTTTGTCAAATGCTTTTTCTGCCTCAATTGATAGCTCACCTAATTTTTTTCCTTATCCCATTGATGTGGTAGATTCTTTCTTTTTTTGTTTTTTGAATGTTGAACCAGCCTTACATACCTAGAAGATACTCTACTTAGTTGCATATACGTTATTTTAATACATTACTGGATTTCATTTGCTAATATTTTGTTGAAGATTTTTGGGTCTAAGTTTATGAGAGATACTGGTCTATAGTTTACTTTTTTGTATTTGTCAAGATTTTATATCAAGGTAGTAATAGTCTTCAAGAAATGAATTGGGAGATGTTTCTTTCTCTACTGTTTTCTGGACAAAATTATGTACATTGGTGTTGATTCTTCTTTAAATGTTTGGTAGAATTCTCCAGTGAAATCAACTGGGTCTGGAGAATTTTTATTGAGAAGCTTTTAAATTATAAATTCAATTTCTTTAATTGCTTATGGGACTATTTGGACTATTAATATTTCATTTTGGCTGAATTTTAGTAGTTTGTAGTTTTCTAGGAATGGGTTTCTATCTTCTAAGCTGTTAAATTTGTGAGCTTAAAGTTGTTCATAGTATTCTTTTTTTAATGACTTCAATATCTGCAGTGATACCATTGTTGGTGTTGATGATTTGTGTCTTCTCTCTTTTTATTTATTTTAGTCTTGCTAGAGGTTTATCAGTTTTTTTCTCAAAGATCCAGCTTTCTTATCAATTTATTTATTTATTTAAATTTTATTTTATTATTATACTTTAAGTTTTAGGGTACATGTGCACAACGTGCAGGTTTGTTACATATGTATACATGTGCCATGTTGGTGTGCTGCACCCATTAACTCGTCATTTAGCATTAGGTATATCTCCTAATGCTATCCCTCCCCCCTTCCCCCACCCCACAACAGTCCCCAGTGTGTGATGTTCCCCTTCCTGTGTCCATGTGTTATCATTGTTCAATTCCCACCTATGAATGAGAACATGGGGTGTTTGGTTTTTTGTCCTTGTGATATTTTGCTGAGAATGATGGTTTCCAGTTTCATCCATGTCTCTACAAAGGACATGAACTCATCCTTTTTTATGGCTGCATAGTATTCCATGGAGTATATGTGCCACATTTTCTTAATCCAGTCTATCGTTGTTGGACATTTAGGTTGGTTCCAAGTCTTTGCTGTTGTGAATAGTGCTACAATAAACATACGTGTGCATGTGTCTTTATAGCACAATGATTTATAATCCTTTGGGTATATACCCAGTAATGGGATGGCTGGGTCAAATGGTATTTCTAGTTCTAGATCCCTGAGGAATCGCCACACTGACTTCCACAATGGTTGAACTAGTTTACAGTCCCACCAACAGTGTAAAAGTGTTCCTATTTCTCCACATCCTCTCCAGCACCTGTTGTTTCCTGACTTTTTAATGATTGCTATTCTAACTGGTGTGAGATGGTATCTCATAGTGGTTTTGATTTGCATTTATCTGATGGCCAGTGATGAGGAGCATTTTTTCATGTCTTTTGGCTGCATAAATGTCTTCTTTTGAGACGTGTCTGTTCATATGCTTCGCCCACTTTTTGATGGGGTTGTTTGTTTTTTTCTTGTAAATTTGTTTGAGTTCATTGTAGATTCTGGATATTAGCCCTTTGTTAGATGAGTAGGTTGCAAAAATTTTCTCCCATTGTGTAGGTTCCCTGTTCACTCTGATGTTAGTTTCTTTTGCTGTGCAGAAGCTCTTTAGTTTAATTAGATCCCATTTGTCAATTTTGGCTTTTGTTGCCATTGCTTTTGGTGTTTTAGACATGAAGTCCTTGCCTGTGCCTATGTCCTCAATGGTATTGCCTAGGTTTTCTTCTAGGGTTTTTATAGTTTTAGGTCTAACATTTAAGTCTTTAATCCATCTTGAATTAATTTTTGTATAAGGTGTAAGGAAGGGAATCCAGTTTCAGCTTTCTACATATGGCTAGCCAGTTTTCCCAGCACCATTTATTAAATAGGGAATCCTTTCCCCATTGCTTGTTTTTCTCAGGTTTGTCAAAGATCAGATAGTTGTAGATATACATGCAGCATTATTTCTGAGGGCTCTGTTCTGTTCCATTGATCTATATCTCTGTTTTGGTACCAGTGCCATGCTGTTTTGGTTACTGTAGCCTTGTAGTATAGTTTGAAGTCAGGTAGCGTGATGCCTCCAGCTTTGTTCTTTTGGCTTAGGATTGACTTGGCGATGCGGGCTCTTTTTTGGTTCCAGATGAACTTTAAAGTAGTTTTTTCCAATTCTGTGAAGAAAGTCATTGGTAGCTTGATGGGGATGGCATTGAATCTGTAAATTACCTTGGGCAGTATGGCCATTTTCACGATATTGATTCTTCCTACCCATGAGCATGGAATGTTCTTCCATTTGTTTGTATCCTCTTTTATTTCCTTGAGCAGTGGTTTGTAGTTCTCCTTGAAGAGGTCCTTCATATCCCTTGTAAGGTGGATTCCTAGGTATTTTATTCTCTTTGAAGGAATTGTGAATGGGAGTTCACTCATGATTTGGCTCTCTGTTTGTCTGTTATTGGTGTATAAGAATGCTTGTGATTTTTGTACATTGATTTTGTATCCTGAGACTTTGCTGAAGTTGCTTATCAGCTTGAGGAGATTTTGGGCTGAGACGATGGGGTTTTCTAGATATACAATCATGTCGTCTGCAAACAGGGACAATTTGACTTCCTTTTTTCATAATTGAATACCCTTTGTTTCCTTCTCCTGCCTGATTGCCCTGGCCAGAACTTCCAACACTATGTTGAATAGGAGTGCTGAGAGAGGGCATCCCTGTCTTGTGCCCGTTTTTAAAGGGAATGCTTCTAGTTTTTGCGCATTCAGTATGATATTGGCTGTGGGTTTGCCATAGATAGCTCTTATTATTTTGAGATACGTCCCATCAATACCTAATTTATTGAGAGTTTTAACATGAATGGTTGTTGAATTTTGTCAAAGGCCTTTTCTGCATCTATTGAGATAATCATGTGGTTTTTGTCTTTGGTTCTGTTTATATGCTGGATTACCTTTATTGATTTGCGTATGTTGAACCAGCCTTGCATCCCAGGGATGAAGCCCACTTGATCATGGTGGATAAGCTTTTTGATGTGCTGCTGGATTTCGGTTTGCCAGTATTTTATTGAGGATTTTTGCATCGATGTTCATCAAGGCTATTGGTCTAAAATTCTCTTTTTTGGTTGTGTCTCTGCCAGGCTTTGGTATCAGGATGATGTTGGCCTCATAAAATGAGTTAGAGAGGATTCCTTCTTTTTCTATTGATTGGAATAGTTTCAGAAGGATTGGTACCAGCTCCTCTTTGTACCTCTGGTAGAATTCGGCTGTGAATCCATCTGGTCCTTGTATTACTTTTCTCTGTCCCTTTTTACTGATTCTGCTCTTACCTTTATTATTTTCTTCCTTAAATTTATTTTCACTTTCCTTCTTTTGAGGTAGGAAGGTGGGTTATTGACTTCAGGCTTTCCCTCTTTCTAATGTAAGCATTTTAGTGCTATACATTTTCCTCTCAACACTTCTTTAGCTGCATCTCACACATATTTTGATATGCTGTATTTTCATTGTTTTGTATATTTTCATTGTTTTATTTATTTTTTATTTAATTCCAGACTTTTTCTTTTTCTTTTCTTTTCTTTTTTTTTTTTTTTTTGAGACAGAGTTTTGCTCTTGTTGCCCAGGCTGGAGTGCAATGGTGTGATCTTGGCTCACTGCAACCTCTACCTCCTGGGTTCAAGTGATTCTGCTGCCTCAGCCTCCAGAGTAGCTGGGATTACAGGCATGTGTCACTACGGCAGGCTAATTTTGTATTTTTAGGTGAGACAGGGTTTCTCCATGTTGGTCAGGCTGGTCTTGAACTCCCAACTTCTGGTGATCTGCCCACCTCGGCCTCCCAAAGTGCTAGGATTACAGGCATGAGCCACGGTGTCCAGCCCCAAACATTTTTTCTCTGACTTGTTTATTTTTAAAAATTCTGTCATTCAGTTTCCAGGTCTTTGGAGATATTCCTGTTGTCTTTTGGTTTTTGTTTTCTAGTTTTATTCTGTTAATACTATGGCCAGAGGATACACTCTGTATAAATTTAGTTCTTTTAATTTTTTTTAGGTTTGTTTACTAGTCTAGGATGTTTTCTATCTTGATTAATGCTCTATAGCACTTGAGGAAAAAAAAAACAAGAAACACACACACACACACACACTAGGTGTGATGTCTACTGTATAATGTAATTGTTTTCCACCTTGTGGTTTTGGCATTTGAAAGAACAGTTAAATAATCCAAAGGGATATATTGTGGAATTTTAGGCTGTCAGGAAGTTTTTACTGTATAATTCTATCTGTAAGGAGAAAGCATACGTAGCTCAGTGCTTATTAGATTGTTTTATGGTTTGAAGAAATAATGTTTCACTTAAGGAAAAATATTCTCAAGGAAAAAATGCCCACAGTCGTCAGTGAACTGCTGAGTCTCATCTACTTCATTGCTCAGGCATGTAAGACCTTCCTGTTTACTAATAATGTTGACTTTTCCTTCTTATTGGGAAGGAAGCTAAAGAACAGCTTGATGGTTTAAAATGATGCACCTAAATTATTGATTCCATTATATATTTAGGCAGTACATTTTTCTCTCTTGAATAATAGAAATGTCACCTACTATTTAATTTTCCTTTTTTTTTCCAGAGTAATTTTCACTATGTCTGATTACATAATTAGATTTGGGATACCAACTGGGTATACTTGGTAAGAAAATGAGAATTAAAATGTTTCAGAGTAAAATTATTTCAGAGCTTTTGCAAATCTTTATTTTAGATAAGGTGATTTCTATTTTTAGGTTTGTTTTTGAAATAGTCTAGGACATTTAAATTTTAACTTCTGATCAAATTAAGTTGTTTTGGTTCATTTAATTTGTATGTTTCATGTCTTTGACAAAAGTTTTTTTTTTAATTGATGATTTTTTAAGATAAAATTTATGATTTGGAATGATCCAATTATCTAATTCCAGATGTTACTTTTGAAAGATATTAATTTCTAAGGTGTTAATTTTGCATTTTTGTGAAAATAACATACACTTCATGAATCTAACTGCTAATTTAACAGCTCTGTGTGGATGTCTAGTGGGTATTTCAAACATCCTAAGTTCAACACTGAGCTCTTGTTCTTTTCCTCTGAGCCAGCTCCTTCCATCATGAGTTCCCATTTCGGGAAATGACAACTACATCTTTCTGGTTTTTCTGGCCAGAAATTTTGGTATCATCATTGATTCTTCTTTTTCTCTTATGCTTCACCCTTAGGCCCCAGGTCTGATCAACCATTGCCACCTTTACTGCAACCAGTTTACCAAATGACCGTCCTTTCTCATCTGGATTAACAAGATGGCCTCCTGAGTGGTCTCCCGGCTTCAGCACTTGTAGCCCAGTTGCATCAGGGTTGAGTGCGGAGTGAGGTAGTGAAGTCAGAACTTATCAAACTTTTGCTAAAATTTCCCCATTGGCTTCCATTGTCCCTTATAAGTCCAGGGTCCCATAAGACTTCTTCCTCTTACTTTTTACCCTCATCTGTCATCCCCCGCACTCACTGCACTTCATCCACCCTGGTGTCACTGCTGGTCTTAGAACACAGTGGACTGACTCCCACATCAGCGACTTTGTACTTGCTTTTCCTGCTGTCAGGAAACCTGAGTGCATGACTCTCTTCATCAGCTGCTTCCCTTTCTTACTCAGATACCCCGTTCTCAACGAGGCCTTTTTAAAACAATCTTCCTTGTTGAAAATTGCCACTTCTTCCCCAGATTTCTTTTTTCCTCTTCTTCCTTTTATTTTTTCTATAGCATTATCATTACATTATATAAAGGTGTTTCTGTTATTATTCTGTATGTGTCTTCCTGAAAAAAAAAATCTGTGAAATCATAAACCAAAATAACACAACTTATGAAAAAAGTTATGTACAACACTGAAAAAAGTGTTATGTACAAACCTTCAAAAATCTATGGAATTTTGCAATCAGGACACTAATAAAGAAATAATACTACTAGTAACTTTCTTCATTGATTTGCTGTTTTGATAAAAAGAGAAAGGGCTTCCAAGATGCACCTTCAACTTCTCTCAATAGTGTAATGTCATAGAAAGTGAAGTGGTTTGTGAAGCCCCTAAACTGGCCACTAGTCACTACCTGCACTACACAAAGGAAGGCCCTTTTTTTTTTTAGTTTTTAAAATTGTAATTTGTTGTGCTGCTGCTGCTGATCATTTCCTTTTATTTTAAGGCTCACCTTTGGGTTCAGTGATAAAGCTTGTTCATAAGCACCTTAGATCCTTAATATTCCAGGGGGAAATCATACATAAATCACTACAACTTCTGTGTTATACAAATATCAGTTCCTATCTCTCAACCACATATGAAGTAATTTGAATAAAAGAAATATGTGCGTTAGTAAAACCGACTATACTATATATTTTCTTTGTTTCCTGTTTATCTCCCTAAACTAGAAGATAAGCTCCATGAAGGTGTGATCCTATTCTGTGTTCCTTTTTCAAAATTCTCATTTGTGTTCCCATTTCATAGACGTTTACTAGGTATTTAAGAAATATTTGTTGAATGACAGAGCAAATAATCAAACCAATATCTAGACTTCTCTAGAATTCTGAAGTAATTGAAAGTATGAATGCTTTCTTTTCTTTAAATTGAACAACTTCTTTGGCTTAATAGTTAGTGACATTTAAGACGGTGGCCTGATTTATGTGTGTTATTTAGAAAGCCAAAAGTAAATGTGTTGTGGATGAAGTTCAAGATCCAGCATTCTGTAGGAAGATGCAATTTCATTCTGTGACAACATGTTTTAATAGGAACTAACACGTAGATTGTGCTTTTCTAGCAGGTGCTGGCGTAAGCATTCTGCACACATTGGGTAATTTAATCCTTGAGACAAGTCTAGAGCAGCAGTTCCCAAAGTGTGGTTCAAGAACCTGTGGCAGACCCTGAGCCCCTTTGCAGGGGGCGGCCACAAGGCCAAAATCATTTCATCAGAATAGACCTTTGTACTTTGTCCCCTTGTTGAGCTTTTGGCAACGATTTAAAAGCAGTCGTGAGAAAACTTCTGGCACCTGAGCGCGTATCCCGAGGCAGTGGTGCCAAACTACACCAGCTGGTGTGTTACTCATCCGTGCCACACACCTATGAGTAAAAACCAAAATCTAGCTCTCTCAAAAATAGCCTTAAAGTAGTAAAAATTATTAATTCTATTAAGCTTTGACTCAAATAAAATTATTAAAATATTCTGTGTCGAAATGTGAATTACATATAAACTCTTCTGCTGTACGCCAAAATGTGCCGGTTGTCTCAAGGCAAAGGATTTGGGAGGTTGTCCGAGCTGGGAGTTGAACTGGCTGCTTTTTTGCATGGCACCCCATTTTTACTTGAAGTAGTGACTGACAGAAAAACTATGGTAATTTAGACTTGGGTATTTTGCAGGATTTTCTTGAAAATGAAGAAAATAAGCTTGTTGCATCAATGAAAACAACTGACAGTATTTGTGGCTAAAGATAAAAATTGAGCTCATAAGTAAAAATTAGCATTTTGGAAACCTTGAATATGCCCACCATGAGCTTGACACTTTCGCATTATTTAAGGAGGTGTCTGATGAGATAGGTAGCTGTGTTAATTTGTGATATTTTTTACATTGTATAATGAAACGTGTCAACGTTTGGAAGGTCTGCATCACTCAGCGAACCAGGAAAGACATGTGTATGGATAAGATCCATTCCAAGTACAGGACAGTCTGAAAGATGTTAATGTAACAAAGCACCAAAGTGTCATTTATGCGGTTTCAGAGTCCGCGTTGCAACTAACCTTTATGAAACTGACACTTGTTTAGTTTTACTAAAGTATTAACAAAAATATTCACAGCTGTTTGAAAAGGCAATTAAAATACTCCCCTCCTTTCCAGCCATGTATCTGGGAGGCTGTATGTTATTAATATCCTTCAACTGAAACAACATATTACAAGAGACTAAATGCAGAAGCAGGTGTGAGAATCTAGTTGTCCTTTATTAAGCTAGACACTGGAAAAATTTGAAAAAGGGTTAAACAGTGCCACTCTTAAGAATTTTTAGTTTTCTTTTGGATAATATAGTTATTTTTCATAAATGTCTTTTGTATTAATAATGTAATGACTTTGATTTTTTAAGGAATTAATAACTTTTTAAAGTTCACAGGTTTACTCTCTAATATGATAAATACAGAAAGAAATAAGTCACATAAACAAGAATTTAGGTGTCCTTAATTTTTTTGTATGTTGCAAAGGGATCCTGAGACCAAAAACTTTGAGAACTGCTGCTCTTGAAGAAGTTGGTGCTATTGCTTTGTTGATTGAGAAACCCAGACATAGGGGTTAAGTAGATTGTCCAAGATCACAGAGCTAGTCAGGGGAGAGCTGGGATTTTTCTTTTTCTTTTTCTTTTTTTGAGACAGAGTCTCACTCTGTTGCCCAGGCTGGAGCGCAGTGGTGTGATCTCTGCTCACTGCAATCTCTGCTTCCCGGTTTCAAACGATTCTCCTGCCTCAGCCTCCCAAGTAGCTGGGATTACAGGCACGTGCCACCATACCCGGCTAATTTTTTGTATTTTCAGTAGAGATGGGGTTTCACTGTGTTTGCCAGGATGGTCTCGATTTCCTGATCTTATGATCTGTCCACCTCAGCCTCCCAAAGTGCTGGGATTATAGGCGTAAGCTACGGTGCCCAGCCTCCCCACCCCCCGCCACCCAAGACAGAGTCTCACTCCCTTACCCAGGCTAGAGTGCAGTGGCACGATCTTGGCTCACTGCAACCTTTGCCTCCTGGGTTCAAGCGATTCTCCTGCCTCAGACTCACAGGTAGCTGGGACCACACGCACACACCATCATGCCCAGCTAATTTTTGTGTTTTTAGTAGAGATGGGGTCTTGCCGTGTTGGCCAGACTGGTCTCAAACTCCTGACCTCAGGTGATCCGCCCACCTCAGCCTCCCAAAGTGCTGGGATCATAGGCAGGAGCCATCATACCTGGCATAGAGCTGGGATTTGAACCCAGGGCTCCAAAGTACTTGCTCTAAACTCAAATCACATATTATTACTTCTTGAGAAACCTCCATGGTTTGTAACTTTGCTAAAATCAATAAGCTTTGGTTGGACTTAGATGTCCTTTCAAGTTATTTTCTCATGTAATTTCTTGATATAAAATTAAACCTTCACCATGTGGATATCTGTTACATCTCAGTTTTTATGGCAGTACATATTTGCCGTAAACTCACCAGCAAACAGATAAGCAGGAGAAGGTAAATCATATTTGAGATTCTTTTCTTGGACCTTTCAGTTTTTTATTTAATCAGGGTTGATTTCTTAAGATTATTCGAAAGAATCTTTGAAAGAAATATTGTGCCATATTCAAGAATAATGTTGGTTATTTCTGATAACCTTACTCTTATTTTGGTTGGTCATACTTTTTCACTACAAACCATAGAAATGACAGTTCAGTATACTTCTACTTTGAAGTAAAATATTGGAGAGCTGGAAGCTTATTTCAGTTTGGAGAAACGGGAATTGTATTTATCCCACTGTGTCTTATTAATTTATATACTGAAATAGATTAGCACAGTGCAAGATAAAACTAGTACATAAATATAGCCATATATGTTTCTACCATCAGCTTCAATTGTGGATTAATCTCACTGGAAGCTTGAATGGTTTCTTAGGGGAAAATATTGGAAGGGTAGGTTTACCCCCAGAGTTCCCTTAAATATGGTGTTAATTTGCATTGATTTCAGAGAAAACAGAGAATCAGTTTGACTTCCCCACTGGCTGACTGCATAGGCAAACTATTCACAGTGCTGTTTAATGGAAATCTCAGGGACCCTCCTGCTTTCTCTGTTTTCACATGGACTGACTCAAATATGGAGAGGACACCAGGGACAAATTACTTGGAGAAAATCCCACACTTGTTAGTCAGATTTTTGAGTACAAAATGATGACTTTGTGGTGAGATCAAGGAATACGCAGCACAATCTTTGACTTGTGTTAGTTTTTTTGTTTGAAATAAGAGATATATTCTTTCAATTGTAGCTGCCTTTCATCCTGAAATGTCTGACATTTATTTTACAAGGCAGTAGTAGAGAGAGATAAGGTAAAATACAGAGAAGTTGGGTGGGTAATTTATTTATTTATTTTTTAGATTGACAGAAGATGATGGTACATCTAAGTATATTTGAAAGTCTACCACTGGGAAGTATTTAGAAATATTTATGATAAGCTAAAGAAACAAAGCCTGGGAATTTGCTGTGATAATAGAGCCAACTCTTTTCACTGGAGGGAGAATTACATAGTTTGGGAATTAGTATGTACCATTCGTTTATGTCCTTTTTCTCCTTTCTCCTCCTGCTCTTCCTCCTCTTGCACCGCCGCCTCTAGTTCACATTTAATAACCAAACGACTTACTTGGGTGGTGACAAAAAGGGCAGCCTGAACTGCCCTGTCCTCACTGCCTTTTCTCAGCTTAGCAGATAGAGGACTTTGTCCTAAAACAATCATAGGTCTCTTTTTCGTGTAATGCCTTCTTTTCCTCTGGGTAGATACCCAGGAGTGGGATTGCTAGATGAAAGGGTAGTTCTACTTTCAGTTCTTTAGGGAATCTTCACACTGTTTTCCATAGTGGTCGTGCTAGTTTACATTCCTAGCAGCAGTGTAAAAGTGTTCCCTTTTCACCACGTCCCTGCCAACATCTATTATTTTTTGATTTTTGAAAAATTATGGCTATTGATCAGGAAAATGCAAATCGAAACCACAATGCTATGCCTCCTTACTCCGGCAAAAATGGCCATAATGAAAAAATCAAAAAATAATAGATGATTGTGGTGATGGGGTGAAAAGGGAACACTTTTACACTGGTGGTGAGAATGTAAATTAGTACGACCATGGAATACTATTCAGCTCTGAAAAGGAGTGAAATAATGGCATTCACAGCTACCTGGCTGGAACTGGAGACCATTATTCTAAGTGAAGTAACTGGGGAATGGAAAACCAAACATTGTATCTTCTCACTCCTAAGTGGGAGCTAAGCTGTGAGGATGCCTAAGAATGATACAATGGACTTTGGGGACTTGTGGGAAAGGGTGGGACGGGGGTGAGGGATACGACTACACATTGGGTACAGTGTACACTGCTCAGGTGATGAGTGTACCAAAATCTCACAAATCACCACTAAAGAACTTACTCGTGTAACCAAACACCACCTATTCCCCAAACACCTATGGAAATAAAAAAATTAAAAATCCTATCATAGGATCCTCTTACAGCATCATAATGTGGACCTGTCTATATTTGCATATTTAACTAGAGTGGCACATATCTAGTTATCTATTTAAACCTCACCCCAGAAGTACATTTGAAAATCATAATTGTTGTCCTTAAAAAGATTGATATTACTATTATGAAGAAAGCACATTGCACTGTGAGATTAAATTCCTGGCTTCAATAGGTATACATAATGAACTGCCAGCAGCTGAAATTTGAATGACTACACTTACCAGAAAAGGATCTTCTACCCACATTTCTCAGAATAGTTGTTCACAAATGATACATTCTGCCCTGTGCTTTTGTTTCTCCCTGGAATTTGAAAAATAAAACTTTTCGCTCATGGTAAATTCATAAGCTTGGGGCATGAAAATGTTTGAATTTGATATAAAAGAAGTTTTGAAAGGAAGATTAGTGGTTTAAACTGAAAGATTAGTCGCCCTGGGAAATTCAGCTGTGGCAAAAGCGGAGTTCAGTAATAACCTGCCCTGGCTGATTACTCCATTCACACTGGCATTCTGGTCCTCCCGGCTGGACTCGCACCTGATTGACGGTGCTGATTATGATGGCTTAATACAGCTCATCGTCACTTCACCGGGACACGTGGACTTTGTGGGCTTCACAGACTACCCCCCACCCCCCTTGTTTGTGGTACAGTTGATTCTTCTGCTAAGTGGAGGTTGATTATTTCTTTATTCATTATCTCTTTAAAATGCAGGAGAAAAGGGCAAATTATCAAATAGGTGATGATTATCCTAGTGGAAGCTCTCTTGGGCAGAGTCAAAAGAAGAACTTGCAGTTCAACTTGCTTGATACCTCATAGTTGATTCCTATTCATTCTGCCGTTGAAGGGTTTCAGATGATACGACTTAATTTTAGCTGTTGTGGAACAGCAATGAAAATCCATCGCAAGACCCCCTTTCTTGATGTTAGGGAAGCCGGGGGACGCAGGATGAGGTAGTAGGCTCCAGCTGCTGCCCATGTGAATGATTTTTCCTCTGCAGATAGATGGGTCATGGTCCCTTTCTAGATGAGCAGAAGATTATTCTCACATTGGAGAGGTAACATTAAATACATTTACATTGGATCTGAAAACCTTAAATGTTTACTTAGGGAAGTGTCATCTTCACATAAAATTATGATGTTGTGTAAGCCTTCCTTTTTCTCCACAACCTCTCCAGCACCTCTTATTTTTTGGCTTTTGAGTTACAGGCATTCTAACTGGTAGCTTATTTTGGTTTTGATTTGCATTTCTCTAATGGTGGGAGTGTAAATTAGTTCAGCCATTGTGGAAGACAGTGTGGTGATTCCTCAAAGACCTAAAGACAGAAATACCGTTTGACCCAGCAATTACATCACTGGGTATACACCCAGAGGAATATAAATCGTTCTATTATAGAGACACAAAGACACATATGTTCCCAATAGCAATGACATGGAATCAACCCAAATACCCATCAATGATAGACTGGATAAAGAAAATGTGGTACATATACACCATGGAATACTACGCAGCCATAAAAACTATGCAGATCATGTCCTTTGCAGGGAGATGGATGGAGCTGGAGGCCATCATTAGCAAACTAACACAGGAACAGAAAACCAAATACCACATGTTCTCCTCCTATAAGTGGGAGGTAAATGATGAGAACACATGGACACAGAGAGGGGAACAACACACATTGAGTCCTGTTGGAGCGTGGAGGATGAGAGCGGGGAGAGGATCAGGAAGAGTAACAATGGATACTAGGCTTAATACCTGGGTGATGAAATAATCTGTACAACAAACCCCCATAGCACAAGTTTACCTATGTAACAAACCTGCACATCCTGCTGAACCTGAACTTAAAAGTTAAAAATTATGATGTTGTCTTGAGACAATGTTAAGTCTATTCCTGTCCTTTGGGCAGACCTTAAACCTATATTATCCACACAGATGAGACTCTCTCTTTCATAAATGATTTATGTTCTATTTTAAGAATAGAACACTTTCTATATGAAAATGGAAATTTCACTTTTCCTTAGTAATTTATTCTAGGGTCTTCTAATGTTCGTTGTTAGAATACAGAAGTATTCCTAACGTCTGCTCATTTTCCTGAGGAAGG
Source organism: Homo sapiens (assembly GCF_000001405.40). Lineage (NCBI taxonomy): Eukaryota > Metazoa > Chordata > Mammalia > Primates > Hominidae > Homo > Homo sapiens. The sequence goes on from NC_000007.14 coordinate 3,614,383, forward strand.
GAATGTCTATTATTATTTGAAATACACACACACCCTTCAAAGATTAATATGTGGGCCATTGGCTTTTCCCCAGGTCAGAGTTTTATAACTTTACCTTAGAGGCAACTCAATCATTTTCTTTATGAATCATTTCAGGATGTTCTCTTTCCCATTTAAAGTATGTAAAGATCAAATGCTTTTGCAGGGCATCTGTGCAGACTTGAATACTGATCCTTCTTTCTCCCTTTCTGTCCCCAAAGTTTTGTGTTTTGTTACCTTAATGCCCTCTTTTAACTTGTTTACCTACTGTATGTATTTCAATGGTAAATAGTGCTGGGCTCAGAGAAGTGCTATTCCCCACCTTGGCTAATCTATGTCAAAATACGTGTCGTTATGATTTTAATTTGAACGCTTAAAATTCCAGGGTGTTGACATATTTTCCCTTCCCTTCTCCTTATAATGAATGTTAGTGTCTGTGCTAACCATAATTTTACGGCCATTTGGATCTCGAGATATTTGCTTGCCAGCTATATGAAACCATTCTTTAAAATGAGCTTTTTTTTTCCTACCAGCTCACAGTATCCAGCCTTATAATTTGTACATGGTATAGGCATGTTTGTTTAACTATAAAGTCCATGAAAAATTGAGTTGTAGTATCATTTTAATTCAAATCCGTTGTATACTATATTAAAATGATGATGCTCTATCAATAGCAAAACCAAATTCAGATTTTTGAGTTTCTATCTCGAAGCTTTTCCCTTTCGAAAAGATGTATGTTTTCTATGACTCATTCGTGTAGGACACTGGAACCATATGAAGTGGCATTTCTTTTTCTGTTGTTAAACAGAGTGCAAATGGCCAGACATTAATAAAGCCTGTAGCTCAGTAAATCCCACAGGATCAAAGCTACCTCCATTGCAGTTCAGCTTTATTAGACTGTTTGGGTAATAAGAGGAGATGATTTTTGCTGAAGTACATAGGAAAAAGGAAATTGGACACATGGCTACATTCAAATTTAAGAATGCAGTTGATATACAGCTTAACGCATGTCAGTTGCAGCAGAAGCAGGCAGAACTCTTGGAACAGGACAAGGCTCGACAACTCCTGACTTTGAGTTACATGTGCTGTCACAGCATCTAACACTTTACTGCTTACATTCCTGCATCAGACCTAGATTATAAGCGCTTAAGGGACAGCGACTGTGTCTTACACTTTGTATTCTCAATGCTGATTACAGAGGCTGGTACATAGCATCAGTGCATGTTTATTGAACAGAAAGTTGTACAAGTCAGAGACATAAGAATCCTTCTTGACATCTCCCTCTCCCTCACATCCATAACCAATCTATCACTGAATCTTTTTCCCACCTAACTATTGCTTTAAAGCGGATCACTGCAGTGGCCTCTGGACTGGTGTCCTCCCACTATTCCACGCCCTCTTTTTTTCCTTCTCACATTACAGCCAGAATGTTCTTTTAACAACACAATCACACAACCTCTTCAAAGGCTTTTTGCTGTCTTTTTTTTTTTTTCTGAGACAGGGTCTTGGTCTGTCACCCACACTGCCAGGCTGGAGTGCAGTGGCACAATCACGGCTCACTGCAGCCTTGACTTCCTTGGGTCAAGTAATCCCTCCACCTCAGCTTCCTTAGTAGCTGGGACTGCAGGTGTATATCACCACACTGGCTAATTTTTTAAAAAACTTTTTGTGGAGATGGGGTCTCACTGTGTTGTCCAAGCTGGTCTTGCACTCGAGCTCAAGCAATCCTTCCGCCTCAGCCTCCCAAAGTGTTGGGATTATAGGCATAAGCCACCACAACTGGCTGTCCTTTTGTAGTAAGAGCTAATCATCATCATCATCATCATTATCATATTGACAGTACTTTTTACAAGGTTATAAATAGGGTGATCACACACGTTGTTAATACTCGGACACTTGAATGTGAGGTGGGCAGCATGGACAGTCACGCAACGATGAGGTGGGAACCAGAACACGTGTGGCCCTGCCTGCAAGGCCCTGCACAACCTGGCCCTGCTCATCCCACTTCCAGTCACTCTCTTTGCACCTGCAGAAAGTCTTGCTGTTCACTCTTTCGTACTGCCCAAGGGTACTCGCCATGTTTGCTCCCACCAGAGGGCCTGCTTAACGGTTTGGAGTGCTGCCAACACTTTTGTTCTCAGCTCCTGCATTTCATCTCATCGACTAGGTTAAATCTCCTACTGTAAGTTCTTGCCGTACTCATAGATGCAATTTAATATTTATTTATTTGAATGAATAAATGAATAAATACTTGTGAGAGGTTGGTAATATTGTATTACTAATATACCAATTATGATGGAATATAGTGATCAACAAAATGACAAAATAACCTATGTATTTATATTTAAATTCTATATATTCAGTTTATACACTATAGTTTAATGTGCAACTAGTTTCAGTGTTAACATTTCTAATGTGCTACTTGATGTTTATTAAATGTACAGTAGTTTATAAGAACAGCTTAGTAATGTCACAAATAAATTACCAAAAATTTAAAGTTGAGTATGACTTCTTGAAAAGAAATTTTCCGTATTAAGGAAATATGTGACATTTGGAGTCAAAATATATAGAATTGGTAGATTCTGGAGCTAGATTATCTGGATTTAAATCATGACTTCACTGCCTACTGACTGGGTAGCATTGAGCAAGTTATTTAACTTCTCCATGCTTCTGTTTATTCATTCTTAAAATGGGTATAATGATGACATCTATGTTATAGGGCTTTTGTGAGAAATAGGTTAATATATATATAAGGCATTTAGAATGGTTTCCAGCACAAAGTAAATAATAAATACTAGCTATTGCTGATATTAGTGTTATTATATTTATTCATTCAACAGATATTTATTAGCTATCCCCTTAGTTCCTGGCATTGTTCTAGGTGCTAGGAATTCAGAAGTGATCAAGACTAATGTACTGTAGAGTAACCTACAAACACTTTAATTTCAGTATCTGATAACTATTGTAAATGGAATAAACATAATGACTTGTTAGAGCATATTGTGCAGGAGGAGCTTTAGTTAACCTGAAGGATGAGCAAAGATGAGCATGCACAGAGCATCCTAGGTAGAGGAAAGACCAAGTGGGAAGGCCCCACAGTAGGTGTCTCACTCCGTTTTCTGCTGCTGTAACAGACTGGGTGATTCAAAAATGATGGAAGTATATTTGACTCTTGGTTCTAGAGGCTGGACAGTTCAACAACATGGCAGTTCATCTGGGGAGGCCCTTTGTGCTATATCATCCTGTCATGGAAGTCAGAAGGTCAAGGGAGTGCATGAGACAGAGGATGGGGGCCCAACTTACCCTTTTTATTAGGACCCCTCTCCCTTGATAACTAACTCCCTCCCACAGTATCAGCATTAATCCATTCCTGAAGGTAGAGCCTGCATGACCTAATCATATCCTCAAGGTCCTGCCTCTTATTACTGTTAGAATGGCCATCACATTTCATCATGAGTTTTGGAGGGGACATTCAGACCGTAACTCTAGGAAAGAGCTTGGCTTGGGTTTAAATGTGCAAGAAGTGAAGTGTGCCTGGAGTGCTCGGTGTGAGCAGAGAGGGGAGGAGGCCTGAATGAAAGTTAGAAAGCTGATTATGCAGGTGGATCTTGGGGACTTTTGTAGAAAAATGACGAGTCATATAATCCTGTTTATTTTGCTGATAAAGAAACAAAAACCTGTAAGTCCTGATGAGGATCAGGTAGCTAATTAGTGATGCTACAGCTAGAAGCCAAGTGTGCTGCATCCATATTAAAAAATGTTATTGAAACAGATCTACAAAACATTGACAAATCATATCTAGTATTCTCTCCATTTTCACAAAGTAAATGTACCTTTGTAACCACATCAGGAAATAAATTTTGACCTGCTTTTCATAAGCCATCCCATTACCTTCACCCCCGTCGCTATCCCATCCCTCAGAGGTAACCCTTATCCTTAACCTCTGACACCATAGATTAGTTTTATCTGGCTGTGAACTTTTATGAACTTTTGAATAGTAGCACATGCTATAAGCTTTTTTGAAAATTCTGTCTGGCTTCTTTCACTCGGCTTGATGTGTGTGGGATTTACCTGTGTTGCTATGTGTAGCAATTGTTGCTGCATTCTCGCTGCAGTGCGCTGTTCCATTATGTGAATATACCATGAGTTTCCTGTGTTGTATCCCATTGAAAGTCACCAGGAGAGACCATTTCCACGTGTGTATGAAAGGAAAGCTAGGTTGCGATTCATGTCGTTTATGTATGTATGTCAATCTTGCTTATCTTACTTTTTTAAAACCAATTGAAGGTTATAGAGGAAACTTCTCTTTTATAGCCTGCATACACTTGACTGTTTTCTCGCAAATAGATTGCCTAGTTAAAACCAAAAGCTTGTATGTACAGGGATTGTCCGATATGTCCCTTCAATAAGCTATTAACCATAAGTGGAAATAACTTGGATGAACCTGTCAGATGCTTTCAAATGCGGGTATCATTGAGCTTTCAGCTTTTTGAAATATTATCTGGGGTATTGCATGTTTCCAGGGTTTGGTAAAGGATTATTTACTTCTTAATTGGGCCAAACAGCCATCACTTTCATTTTAATATTACGTTTGTTTAAATAATAGATTTATTAAATTAGATGAGTGCCACTTTCATGCGTACTTCAGTTTTGTTTTGTTTTGTTTTTTAATATTTCAGATGATGTTGCTCCATATTTTAAAACGGAGCCAGGCCTACCACAGATCCACCTGGAAGGGAACCGCCTTGTTCTCACCTGCCTTGCCGAAGGGAGCTGGCCTTTGGAGTTCAAGTGGATGCGCGATGACAGTGAGCTCACCACCTACAGCAGCGAATATAAGTAATTGATCGCTTGAAAAAATAAGATCCCATTTCAGTTGATGTGTTTGGAATACTTGCCTTACTGGTCATAATAGCACAATGAGTGAAAATATTGGATTGAATTTCTAATGCATTCAAGATTAAAGGAATAGATTTGAATATGTAATTAGAATGTGATTTACTATTCTGATATAGGTTGTACTTACACCTAGGAAGTCTATCATTATATTTGTAAAAGTAAGCCCATTAGTGAAATTATCAGTCAACAAAAACCTATGGTTACAGAGCAATGCCAATAACAGCTTTGGTATGATACATTTACTTTCCAAGGGCAACAGCCCTACCCACAAGTATTGCTCCTGTCTAGGCACAAATGTTTAAACAGATCTTTAGTATGGTAGCTTCTGGAGCTCTGAGTAGTCAGCAAAAGTCTTTCCTAGCTGTTTTCAAGTGGAGATAGGGATGGATGGAATCATGGAGAATGGGCATGCATACAGCCTGTATATTCAGCAGCAATAAAACAGTATATATTGAAGTCCTGCCATGTGCCCAGCACTGTGCCAGTCACCAGGGATCTGATGCACTGGGGTGGACATGATGTGGGGACAGAGGGCCTGAACCTGTGGCAGAGCACAAGATCAGGGTAAGACTGAGGTGTAGATTCACCTGGAGGCAGTAGCACAGCCTTTGGAGCCTCAGGGTCTTACCACGCTTCAGAGCTTTCCAGGGGTATACTTTTGAGGATGATAATATTACATGCTGCAGTTCTGTGCAGGATGGAGAACTAGCATGCCAGAAAAGTCCAGGAGGCCTCACCATCAGCAAATCAGCAAAATCATCGCTGCCATGCTTTTCTTTAGATGAAATAAGAAAGAGTGGGCTGTATAGAGGCATTTTAAGTGGAATAACAAGCTTCTCAAATGGGGAATAGCCCACCCACTCACTCTCTTTACCTCTGAGGTTGTGATACGGTGGTCCGTGGAACCACACTCAGCCTGCCCAGAATTTATGTGTGTGTCAGTTGTCTGTGTGTTTGTATTTTAAAAATCAATTAAAAAAAATATGAGAATGCTTACAGCATTTTTTTTTTTTTTAATTTGAGACGGAGTTTCACTCTTGTTGCCCAGGCTGGAGTGCAGTGGCGCGATCTTGGCTCACTGCAACCTCCACCTTCTGGGTTCAAATGATTCTCCTGCCTCAGCCTCCCAAGTAGCTGGTTCTACAGGCGTGAGCCACCACACCTGGCTAATTTTTGTATTTTTAGTAGAGATGGGGTTTCACCATGTTGACCAGGCTTGTCTCAAACTCCTGACCTCAGGTGATCTGCCTGCCTTGGCCTGCCAGATTGCTGGGATTACAGGTGTGAGCCACAGCATATTTTTTTATTAGCTGCCAACATTTGACAGTTCTAAGATTTTCTGTAAAAACCTTGCTTCCCAGCCTCTGCAGACCAGTCAGAAGGCCTGGCTGCCTGGTCTGCAGCCCCAATCAGGAGCAGGCGGCTGAGCAGAGCTGCCCCCATCAAAGGCATGGACACTCCCTGGTTCTCCTCGGTGCTCTCTGGCAGCCCCGTCCCTTGTAGCACCTCACTTGCTCTCCCCATTCCCATTACCCACCCACACTTTAGACAAGTGAGTGTGTGACTGCTTACATTATTGGGCCTACCCTGTTGGAGGATCTACACTCGAGGAAAAGTTTATCATAGTAGATCATAGCATGTTGAAATCAAACAGTCCTGAATCCTAGGACTGGCAGAATTCAGCTCCACCACACCTGAGCAATGGTGTTATAACTTTAGGCAGGTGACCCATGAGCCCTCCCCTCCCGTAAGTGAAAAGAGAGTGACGTAAGCGTTTGCAAAATGGGAAAGATCCCTCCTCATTTGCAGTGTTGTGAGCATTGAAGGCTCTAGTGATCGTAGGCAGCATTATACATTATTACCATGTGACATTGTAAGGCTCAGTTTGTTAGAAGGGGTGTAAGAAAGCAGAAACAGAAAAAGTGAACTTAGAGTTGAGAACCATGTTTGAGTAGTGACTGATAACAGAAGACTGGAGTTCAGGGACTTGCTCTTCAACTTACCGGTGTGACTTTGGACAAGTTATCTAATGTTGATCTTTTTCCATTGGAAAAATGAGTACAGTAAGGCCCACATCACCCTCATTTTTATGAGAGTTCTCTTAAAAATTAAATTACATAGTGCTTTGTATGCCCCAGAAAGAAAGGAATGGAGTTTCAAAGAACCCAGATTGTTCTTCCTAATAAGAAGTAGGCATGATGTGGACAGTGTGTGACAGTGGCCTGGTGGCCAGGCTACACGCCTTGGATGGCGGGAAAGGAATTGTTTCCTAGATCTTCAGTTTCCACATGGATGTTTTCTGAAACTGAATTCCCCAAGAACAGGCCTTTGTGTAGGCACCAAGCCATTTCTCTTTTCCGACCACCTGTAATAGTGGTTTCTCCTCCATCCCAGGAGAAAGCGCACCTGTACCTTATCTGAGTCTTCCTGTGGAACTCTCTCTGGGGGGTGCAAGAGTAAGACAGAGTAATATCAAAGTTCCCACTATTAAAGAATTCTTTTGATTTTTAAATGGATAATATGGGTCTCAAACTATTATTTGCAAATCGTTGAATATACAGAGGGTCCCCAACTTACGATGGTTCAACTTAACAATTTTTTGACTTTACGCAGTTGAGAAACCCTTCTGTTTTTTACTTTATAGTATTTAATAAGTCACATGAGATATTCAACAGTTTATTATAAAGCAGGCTTTGTGTTGGATGATTTTGCCCATTTGTAGGCTGATATTAGTGTTCGGAGCATGCTTAATATAGGCTAGGCTAAACCGTGGTGTCTATGAGGGTAGGTATGTTAAATGCATTTTTGACCTAGGGTATTTTCAACATACGCTAAGTTTATTGGGACATAACACCTTCATAAGGCTAGCAGCATTTCAATTTAAAACAATTTTGTAGGCCCGGCGCAGTGGCTCACACCTGTAATCTCAGCACTTTGGGAGGGTGAGGCAGGCGGATCATTTGAGGTCAGGAGTTCGACACCACCAGCCTGGCAAACATGGTGAAACCCCATCTCTACTAAAAATACAAAAATTAGCCAGGCATGGTGGCGCATGCCTGTAATCCCAGCTACTTGGGAGGCTGAGGCAGGAGAATCGCTTGAGCCCAGGAGGCAGAGGTTGCAGTGAGCCAGGATCGCACCACTGCACTCCAGCCTGGGCTACAGAGTGAGACTCCATCTCCAAAAACAAAATTTTAAAAAAATGGTGTAACGGCTTTATTTTAAATGCCAAAGTGTACAAAAAACTGTTATATATGCAACCTTTCAGAATTATAAGACAACTTGCAGTCAACTTAAAACTGCAGGAAGAGGTGGAACACTCTTTGTATTCTTAAGAGCCCTTGCATATGTATTTGTTCATTGGAAACACAAGAAGACAAAACGTTGTTGGTTGTATTGAAGCAAGATTGAGGGAGTGACTCGTTATATGTGGACTATTAAAATAAGCTATGTGCTTCACTACTATGACATGGGAAACGTAAGGAGGAATGGGTGATTCTGAAGCAAGAATTGTTTGGGGTATTTGTGATAAATTATATTATGTTCCACGAGGGCCTCAGACACTTAGATGGGTTATCAGGAATCTATCATAGCTTGCTTTTTTTTTTCCCCATGATATAAAACCTGTCTAAAAATCTCATACTATTTTTTCAAATTACTCTTTCATCTACTTCCTTCCAGTAAGCATGTTCATTTATCATATGTTAGCCTTCATGAGACCTTTGTAAGTTTCAAATGAAAAAAACATGGATACTTTATGAAAAAGGTAGTTGTTTCCCACCTTAACAGGACCCTTATTTTTCCCCACTTTGGTGTCAGTTATGAAAATGCTAACCCTGTAAAGAGCAAATACTACACATTTACTTTTTCTAGCTTTGACTTAAAATAACATTTTCTTTGCTGTGTGCGTTACACACTGCACAGTGAATTTCAAGTGTTGTATTTCTTTTTTTTTTTTTTTTTTTTGATGTGGAATCTCACTCTGTTGCCCAGGCTGATGTGCAGTGGAGCGATCTCGGCTCACTGCAACCTTCGTCTCCTGGTCTCAAGCGATTGTCAGCCTCCTGCGTAGCTGGGACTACAGGCATGTGTCACCACGCCTGGCTAATTTTTTTATTATTAGTAGAGAAGGGGTTTCACCATGATGGCCAGGCTGGTCTCACACTCCTGACCTCAAGTGATCTGCCTGTCTCAGCCTCCCAAAGTGCTGGGATTACAGGTGTGAGCCGCTGCACCCGGCCTCAAATGTTACATTTCATATTGATGCTCATGTCTACATTTTGGTGGCACAGGTGACTACATTAGCAAGTTGACGGTAATTCAGCAATTAAACTAAGTTTGCATAGATATCTTAGGTGGATTTGTATTCTTTCCAGAAAGCATTTAGTCTAAATTATTTTCTACTTTGGAATGAAAAAATCTTTTCTAATTATATTCAACATATACATACACCTAAGCCGAGAATTTCTTAATGCTAGGCACAATATTTATTATTGTAACAGAAGGAATAATTGTATACTCTAAACTCCTAAAAATTTTATAGTTTTCTTATGTAACCTGCCTCTGTGGTTCAATTTCTATGACAATATAAAAATAGAAATTTGATGGATGTTTATTCTTGCTTTATTCCAGGGAAAATAAGAATGGTTAAGGGAAAGGTTATTTTTTTCTTTTGTTTTATAAAAAGGCAAACATTTCACAGTATCAATAAAAATTATGAAATACCTGGGAATAAGTTTTATAAGAAATGAGTAGAACCCACGTGGAAAGTGCGTAATGAGATATAAAAGATGATACTTATGTAGGAAACCCACTTGCTATAAAAATTACAGTTCCTTTGAAGCCATCATAGAATTTTAGCCTAACATCAGTAGAACTTTTCAGAAAGCTAATATCAATAGCTGATTTTATTTTGCTGAGATAGGGTCTCACTCTGTTGCCCAGGCTGGAGTGCAAGTGGCCTGATCATGGCTTACTTCAGATTCAGCCTCCTGGGCTCAAGCAGTCCTCCTGCCTCAGCCTCTCAAGTAGCTGGGACCATGGGACCCACCAGCACACCTGGCTAAGTTTTCTATTTTTTGTGCAGATGGGGTTGCACTGTGTTGCCTAGGCTGGTCTCAAACTCCTGGCCTCAAGTGATCTGCCAGCCTTGACCTCCCAAAGTACTGGGATTACAGGTGTAAGCCACCACACCTGGCCTGGATATTTTAATAAAAAATGCCAATGGGATTTTCTGGGGAAGTAACTGATGAAGTTTTTCTAAAGCTCATCTAGAAATGTAAACAGAAGAATACCAACAAATTTTCACAACATTAAGTGAATAATGGGGAGGAACTTTTTTTTCTAAAACCCAAGGCATATTAGAATGCCATAATAAGTAACATGTTAATAGTATAAAATTAAACAATATGCCAGAGGAGCATTTTGAACCAGACCATTATATTTATAAAAAATATATGATCAAGGCCAGGCATGGTGGCTCACACCTGTAATCCCAGCACTTTGGGAGGCCGAGGGAGGCGCATCACCTGAGGTCAGGAGTTTGAGACCAGCCTGACCAACATGGAGAAACCCCATCTCTACTAAAAATACAAAATTAGCTGGTTGTCGTGGTGCATGCCTGTAATCCCAGCTACTCGGGAGGCAGGAGAATCCCTTGAACCCGGGAGGCGGAGGTTGCAGTAAGCCAAGATCATGCCATTGCACTCCAGCCTGGGCAACAAGAGCAAAACTCTGTCTCAAAAATAAAAATTAAATTATATATATATTCAAATGAGTTCTCAAACCAATGCTAAAAACAACTTTTTGCAAACATTCAAAATAGATCCTCATTAAACATCAAAATAAATTTTAGATACAATGAACAATTAAATATAAAAAAATGGAAACATAAACAAAGGGAATATTTGAATGATCTCAGATTATACCAGGAGAAAGTACAAAAGCATTGAGAAACTTCATCAGAAACCGATCACAGATAAATTTACAAATATTTACAAGTTTTGTATAAAAGATACAAAATTTTTAATTGCCCATTTGCTTAATCTTATAAGTTAAAAGGTAAGCAACAAACTGGGACAATATTTGCAACAAATCAGACAGTTCTGTCTCTAATAACTTGGGATCTCCTGATGACAGTGGTGGAGACAAAGCTTGGCTCTCCTTCTTTGTTTGTGAATGTCATCCCAGGAAGCAGGTGTAAAGGCAGGGGAATGAAGCAGGGAGGAAGGAAGCACCAGTGCAGGGATCCCTTATCAAGTTGGCAGTCACTCTAAGTGGCTGGAGCTCAATCTTGTTTGCAACGTCTATGGAGTCTTATGAAATGCATCTCAGAAGTGCCCACTCTAATGGGTGAAAGAGGAAATTATTTATCAGCTCCTGTACTTGGCTGATAAATATGGGTCCCATGGTTATTAGCCTTCATTTCTAATTAGCTCAAGCATTGGTAAGCAGCTAAACCTGCTGGCTGTGGTGCCAGAGAATCCCCAGGACAGGAAGCAAGAAATAGGAGGCATGGGTTGAGGCAAAGTGATGCCAGCTGCGCCACCATAAAGCTACTCAGGGCTGCCTGGAAGTGTTGACCACAGCAGCAGCTCAAGTAAAAGGTAGAGCCAGAAGGATTTTTCTTTCTTTCTTTTCTTTCTTTTTTTTTTTTTTTTTGAGGGAGAGGGTCTCACTCTGTCACCCAGGCTGGACTGTAGTAGTGTAATCATAGCTCATTGCAGCCTGGAACTCCTAGACTGAAGTGATCCTTCTGCACCAGCCTCCCTAGTAGCTGGGATCACAAATGGGTGCCACCACAACTAGCTATTTTTTTTTTTTTAGACACAGGGTCTTGCTATGTTGCCCAGCCTAGTCTTGAACTCCTGGTCTCAAGCAGTCCTCCTGCCTTGGTCTCCCAAAGTGCTGAGGTTACAGGTGTGAGCCACCACTTCCAGACCGAAAGGATTTTTAAAATAGAGAGTAAGAGGACAAAATTGAGTCTATTCCTTGAACCCCTCAGTGTAACTTGTACCTGCTGTTAAGTCTAATTCATGAAAGAGTCCCTTCTAAGAAGATAGTCAGCTATAGTTTCTAACAAGGACTTTATTCAAGAGAGTTAGTAGAACAAGCTATTTTTCTTACTGGACCAAGTCTCAAGGCTATAATTGGTATTTATGTTCTCCTGCCCATTTTAGGTATGCATAACTCTCAGCCTGCTCTTCAGCTAGTCGAATTTGCTTGGTGCTGGGTGGCCCAGGCCCTCATCTCACCTTTTAGTTGCCTTGCCTTTGTAGGGCCATGGATTCTCTAATTACAACTGGTCTTGCGAGTACTAAGAGATACCCCATTGACTTCTCTCCTCCTCACCTCTGCTGTGTGGCACCAGCCCTAGTGTCTTAGAGTGATTAGAGTCATTTACCTCCATCAGTGTAGTAACGCCTTTCTTTTTCACCAGCCCACTGGCATGAAGTTCACAAAGTGAGTAGGATGAATTAGAGTCAAATTCTCTGGGTCCCTTTTTCTTCTATAGGAAATCTCCCCCACTGAGAACTCAGATCTGTAATCCAAAAGAGCCTAAAGTTGGGAAAAAAACAAATAGATGGCCAGAATAGGGGCCAATCATATCTTGACCTCAGGTTCAACAATTTTTTTTTTTTTATTTTGAGACGGGGTCTTGCTTTGTTGCCCACGCTGGAGTACAGTGGCACAGTCATAGTTCATTGCAGCCTCGACCTCCCGGGCTCAGTTCATACTCCCACCTCAGCTTCCCACGTAGCTAGGGGTACAGGCACACACCACCATGCCCAGCTAATTCTTTTATTTTTCTGTAGACACAGGGTTTCACTATGTTGCCGAGGCTCGTCTCAAACTCCTGGGCTCAAATGATTCACCCAGCTTGTCCTCCCCAAGTGCTGAGATTACAGGCGTGAGCTGCCATGTCCAGCCAACACTACCAGGCATTGTTCCGAATCCTATTATCCTATTAGTGTGGCTACTTCCAGGTGATGTAATAGCTACTAGGACTACCGGATCCTCTGGGGAAAGTGCCTGTTTTCATACCTCCTTCAATAAGTACAATGAGTCCCTGATCTGGGACAATTCTGTGCAGGCTGCCACGTGTATAGGAGGTATTCATGCTTCCAGATTGCGGTGCTGGCCTAGTCAATGAGCAGAGAAGGCAGATCCATATCCAGAGGAGATCCTGAGTTTGATTAGGAAGAGTCACTGCATGTTTCCGTGGTAGAAAGGTCAAATATAAGCATCCAGTCCCAAGTGGCCAGCTTGAAGAATTGTGTCGCACTGAGGGCTCAGCATCAGTCTCTGCCGTTGCCACGTTTGGCATCTGGCATTGGCAAAAGCTAGATTAGCTTTGGTGAGGAGGAGCTGTTGCTTTTGGATTCATTCATAGCCTCAGTCCTTGCCAACATGACCGATTGATGTCCCATTTTATTAGTTGAGAAGAAATCTAAATGACACCCACAGTTGAGTCATCCTCTTCAACTGATCGATGAGTGCCTTATCTGAAGTGGATGCTCTCTAGTGATATAAAAAATCCACATATTACACCCACCCCCATTGGGCTATTTACATATGACTTTCTTGTTTCTGAATTTCCAGTCCTGTTTCTCCCAGGCCTCTTTCCCATCAGCCAAGCCATTTGTTACTGCCCAAGTGTCTCTTTATATCCATTCTCAAGCCATTTCTTTCTCAAATCTCTCCCTATTCAAAGTTAAGGACCAAAGGTACTACTTGCAGCTCCGTCTGCTTGGAAGGCTCTTCCTTAACTGCGCTCCCTTTGGCCACGCATGAGTAAGGCCATAGTGTGACATCTTCATTTTCCGGATCAAGTTGACTCATGTATAATCCCAGGCCTGAGTGTTTAACTGTTCTATCAATTGGTGAGGCCTGTGTATAACTGAGACAGTAGTCTTACTCTTGTGGCTACATAGTTCTGTTAATAATTCCCTCATAATGCTTATCTCCAGTTGCATATTTTCTTTCTTTCAAGATAGAATCTTGCTCTGTTGCTTAGGCTAGAGTATATATATATGTATATACAAAATATATATATTTTGTAGAGATGGGATCTCACTGTGTTCCCAGGCTGGCATATTTTCTTAATACCTATGGGGTCAGGACTTCAGTTTGTCCTAAGGACATCAGTGTATGTAGTTCCCTTCTGCAGAAGGCATGATCTTATTCCAGGACCTTATGGATGCATGTTTGACTCTTCTTTGGGGCTACTAGAGACTCCCCACAACATCCTTATCCACAACAGATATCTCTGGCAACATTCTATATGCTGGGATACGTGGCTTATGTGAAAGGGCAGCTTCTAGAACTATTGTCTAATTCTATGGCTGAGTCCTGTCTTCCTCTTTGTCTCCCTAAAAACTGGCAACCTGGGTCAAGATAAAGTAACTGGGATCTGATTTACTGCCTCATTTGAAACAACTGTAAAACTGGACAAAAATATGAACAGTTGTTTTCAAGACATTGGATATCAGGCAGTGAAAGATTGTGATCGCTGAGAGATGGAAGACAAACAAGGTGAGCCCTATGTTTGCCCTCTGCTTACTGCCTTGAGGGGATTTCTAGGCTGTGGCACAGAGAAGGAAAACCCAGGCAGAACCTAGAGGACCTTCTGAGTTGAAGAGAGCTGAGAGTTTGGAAAGATCAAGGCAGCTAGATTTCTTAGGGCAGGGTACTGGATAAGAGAGCACTACAGGCCAAGCGCAGTGGCTCACACCTATAATCCCAGCACTTTGGGAGGCGGAGACGGGCAGATCACGAGGTCAGGTGATTGAGACCATCCTGGCTAACATGGTGAAACCCCGTCTCTACTAAAAATGCAAAAAAAAAAAAAAATTAGCCGGGCATGGTGGCGGGCGCCTGTAGTCCCATCTACTCGGGAGGCTGAGGCAGGAGAATGGTGTGAACCCAGGAGGCAGAGCTTGCAGTGAGCTGAGATCTCGCCACTGCACTCCAGCCTGGGAGACAGTACAATTCTCAGTCTCAAAAAAAAAAAGAAAAAAAAGAAAAAAAAGAAAAAAGCACTACACAGAGAAAGAATGCTGGAATCCTCCAGAGGGTCCCCCTTTAATATTTGGCAGAATATTCGTCAGCACATTCATGTGAGAAAACTACCCCAGGCAAGGGAAAGGACTATCCAAGAAGATTAGAGGCAATAGTTCCCTGTGCTTACACAGGACTCGGCGGAGTGTCTGTTCTCACCAGCCAAATCGTAAAACCTCATATTCATGAGTTTATCAGATAGCCTGCACAGAGGTGTCTTGGGTCAGGAGAATGATTAGCCCTAGACCAAATACTGCTCTGGTTCTGCCTAACAAGTCTTGAAAAGCAAGATCCAAAAGGATCAAACTGTTGCTCAATATCTTCACAGTATCAGAGAACAAAGTTAATGAATATTTATAGGAATGCAAAAATTTCCAGTACCCAACAAGGGAAAATTCACAGTGTCTAGAATCTAATCAAAGATCATCAAGCATATGCAGATGCAGGAAAGCATGACCCATAATCAGGAGAGAAATCAGTTGATTGAAACCAAGCCAGAACTGACACAGTTATTAGAGTTAACAGAGAAAGATAATGAAACAGTTATAACTGTATTGCATATGATCAAAGTAGAGACACGAAAAACACAAAAAAGGCAGAAATCTAACTTATAAGGATGAAAACTATAATGTGTGAGATAAACATTGGATGGGACCATCAGGAAACTAGACATCACAGAAGAAGATATTAATAAAGCTATAGTGATAGAACTATCCAAAATAAAAGGCAGATAGAAAAAAAATCAAACATAATGAAAAGGGCACAAATGAGTTGTGGGAAAGCTTCAGATGGCCTAATAGATGTGTAGTTGGAATCCCCCAAGGAGGCAGTCAGAGGAAAAATATTTGAAGAAATAATTTTTTCAAATTTGCAAATCCCAATTACTGGAGTTACCAGCCAGTGCAATAAGGCAAGAAAAAGAAATAAAAGGCATCCAGATTGTAAAGAAAGAAGTAAAACTGTATTTTCAAGTTACATGATCATTTATGTAGAAAATATATACTTTTAAAAAGCTGCTGATAAGTGAGTTTAGCAACATTACAAGATAGAAGATCAACATATAAGAATTAATTATATTTCTGTGTACTAGCAAACAAATCTGAAAATTACATATTTAAAAATTTAAGGTAGGATGGGCATGGTGGTGCATGCCTATAATCCCAGTTAGTTGGGAGGTTGAGGCAGGAGAATCCCTTGAACCCAGGAGGCAGAGATTGCAGTGAGCCGAGATTGTGCCATTGCCCTCCAGCTTGGGTGACAGAGCAAGACTCCATCTCAAGAAGAAAAAAATTTAAGATAGTACAAAAAAATCTGAAGTAAGGATAAATCTGACACAGGGTCTGTAAGGTCTTTACACTGAAAACTACAAAACAATGCTGAAAGAGAGAAGAAAAAGAAGACCTAAATCAATGGGCAGATACACTGTGTTTATATATCTGAAGGCTTAGTATTATTAACAGATCCATTTTTTCCAAACTTATCCCTTGGTGATATTCTTTAGGCCCGAGACCCTGAGACAAATTACATAACTAAAATCTAAAATTCATCACTAAGCTGTGGGGAAGATTTCTCTACAAGATTTTTTTTTGTTTTTGGAGACAGGGTGTCACTTTGTTGCCCAGGTTGGAGTGCAGTGGTGCAATGGTTCACTCCAGCTTCTGCCACCCCAGCTCAAGTGATCCCCCCATCTCAGCCTCCCAAGTAGCTTGGGACTACAGGCACATGCTGCCACGCCTGGTTAATTTTTGTATTTTTAATACAGACAGGGTTTCACCATGTTGCCCAGGCTGGTCTCGAACTTCTGGGCTCAAGCGATCCACCCACCTTGGCCTCCCAAAGTGCTGGGATTACAGATGTGAGCCACCACACTCAGCTTCTAATGCTTTCTGTTTTATTTTCTTTTAATCTATTGAGCTCTCTCTGTACTCACCAAGAAGAAAGTCTATTATATTTAATTGAGAACTCTTTTCTCAGTTGGTTTCCTCATCACCCAACCTAATTGTGTGTAACTCCCATCTACATCTTCGTGAAAAGGGCTTAATTTCTCTAGTTGTCCATCTTGATGTTCAGCTTTCATTTTCCTAAACTTGGTTTATGTCAGCTCTCTTTTTCTAGTTAACTCCTCTTTGCTCCTGTCCTCTATGAATTGCCTAGCTTTCAACAGCAAGGACAGCAGGTGCTATCTTATTTAATTTAGATCCATAATATTAATGCGGTGTGACCTCATGTTCATATTCTCCCCACAAAGTTGAGTGTTTTTGTATTTCTGGCTTCAGTTTGACTGCTTTTTGGAACTCTGTATGGTCATAACAGATATGAATGTTTATGGAGAATCTCTGAGGCAGAATTAGCATTAGGCTTTTTAAGGTTCTCATTGGTAAATGATTTGGATTTAGATAATTATTGGTTCTTTGTTTAGGGATCATTGTGGAAGCTAAGTGAAGACCTTGCCAGAATTGACCAAACTACTCTGTAACATAATTCATTGTTGACAAATACTCCCGAGTGAGACAAGTGGGAGCTTTTAAAATTTATATTTTTAATTTGCTTATGCTTATAATGTTTAATAGAGTGGTTTAGGTCTTTTTTCCATTATGCGTTGGAATGGATTTTTTTGATTATGTAGAAACTAACATTTGCCTTCATACTTTAATCCTTGATATAATGGTCCCCAACTTTTATGTTCATAGAGAACCTGGCATTATAAAGAATTAAGTCAACAGACATGCAATAAAAGATTTTTATCCCTAAGAAAAGGCAATGTCCTCTTTCCTGAAGGTTTTCTGAAATTCCTTTTTTACCGACTTGAGAGAGCAATTAATGCTCACAGTAGATTTGACAGACGGTTCTAGTCATCTGTGCTTCACTAAATATGGATTGCACATTTTCTGCCCCTGATTTAATAAGGAAAAGTAGGAATGAATGACGAATGCATAATCCCCAAAGCATTGTTTATTTTAGAGAAAATCACATAAACGGGAATCCCAGAGGAGGAGTCTTGGGAACATTTCAACATTAATTCTTAGGTCTTTGGATTGGCTTTCATAACTATTAATGAAGATAAAGTTTAAATGTAGTCATTCATGGTATGGCATCAATAAAAAGTTATCGAAGATTAACATCTAATTGATACCAGGAGAGCTTATATTCATTCACCAGATTTATATTCCCAAAACCAGTGCTACAGATTCCATAGACCCTCCCACACAGGGACCTGTTTATTGCCCTTCTCAAGTTAATATGAATTTTGAAATAAATAATACACAGATTAAATAACTTTTACAAATATTGTGTTCCCTTTGTATAGCTTCCATCGTTACCATACTGTTTAATTTAACTTCATATTGATTACTTCAATTGTTTTGAAAGAACTAAAAACATAACCTCAGCTTGCCTGATGCCTAGGGCCTATTAGTGAGCTGTATACACCATCAAAGTCACATATATATCTCTCTCTTAACAAATTTCAGTTTGAATTGTCCTTGTGTTTTTCTGAGACAGCTTGTTATGGCACAGTCTGGGTTTTTCATTTCATTATTTTGCTTTAGGAGAAAACCTGCTATAGACTCATCCCACTTTGGATTTTTTAAATTTCATGTAGAAAACTTACAAAAATAAAATTGAAAACAATTATTTATCATGCCATTCCAAAAAGAGAATTGATGTATTTCCAAGAAGGACATAAATGGCTTACAGTTATTTTTACCTTAACCCATATTTTTTTTTCATTTTAAGGATAAGAATAGGCTTTGGTCCAAGGTATGAAAGCTTATTATAGAACTTGGTTGCTTATTTTCATGGAAAATAGATATTTTCATACCAGCATAAAAATTAAAGTTGTGGAGAATAGTCTTATCTAAAGTGACATAAAATGGATATTGACAGTCCCCCCACCACTGAAAGAGAAAAATCTTACATCTAATTTTAACAAATATGCAGATTTTTTTCTTATGAATCAAATTAAGTTCCCTGACCACCTAGGGGAAGTATAAATGTTCTCCTCTGCACTGACGCTGTGGTTTTGGCCTGTAACAGGTAGATTCGGTCATATCATCTGGCAGTGCTTGGAAAGGACTGCTGAACAGTATTCTAAAATAGTATTTTGTTAGATGTTTTCTAAAATTTTAGTGGCTCATACTCAAGAGAACTTCTTATAACAGGTAAATGTGTCCCAGTTTAAGGGGATTCTTTATCTTCCCATGATTTTTAGTGGTTTACCAAGAGCCATGTTTTTTTGTTTATTTTTTCTTTTTTCATAAAAAAAGAAATGATTCTACGATATATTATTTAGGTTTTGCTATGACCGTGGTGAGCACCTAGTAACTTTAGAATATATTTCAGCCAAAATTATTTTGGCTATGTTCTAGGGTGTGGAATTTTGAAGGGTTCTAAAACCACAGAAACCAACTTTCTCTTGTGTGAGCTGTTGCATGGATGGATATTGGGGTGCCCTTAGAATCAGCCTGGAGATTGGGCAGGAACAGAGTGAGCCACAGTCACTCTGGAACTGGTCCTCTGAGGGTCCTGCTGCTGGCCCCACCAAATACTGGCCATCACTGCTTGAGCCACTGCCCTAGTTGGCACTGGACACTCCCCTACTCCCCTGGACTAGGGCTCCACTGTGCCCCCACCACCGCTGCTGTCAGATGAGTTCTCCTTTAGCCCTCTTCCTGGGCATCACCAACCCCAGATTTAAAAATCCAGAGCAAATGTGTCTAATTGGCCATGCTGTGTCTCAGAGCTGGTACCTGTAGAGGCAGGTGAGTGGTCTGGGAATATCCAGATGTGGTCTTTTCAGCCTTTAATTTGAGATAAGCCCCATCTCCACAAAAGCTCATAGGGTGGCAGATTCTCCAAATACAGGGAAGTGGTTCAGATCCTAGGTAGACTGAAAATGTCAGATGACTAGTCCCAGCAGTTGTTCCTGGGCTGAGATGGACCCGATGCTGCCTCATAAAGAAATTCTAGGGTTGGTCCAGTGGTCCACTCAGAGATGCAGGTCACAACTGAGGCTTTCTCCTATTAGCAGAAATGGACATTTAAGCCTTTGGTTTTTGTTTGGATTTTGTGTTTTATTTTCTTTGCCATTCCTGATAATGAACTGGTCCTGGAAAACACTGTGTTAGTTGAGTAGAATTCTGCCTTGATAGAGTGAATGCAAACATTCCCTGCTGTGTTGATTTGAAATAGGAACAGGCATTTTCTATACTTTAGTGGCATATGGTGCTAAGATTTTATCATACTTTCTTATAAAGAGCCAGGAAACTTTGCCTGCTTAAAAATGTGTGTTTATAAACAATAGACTTACAATGAATATTCCCATCTGTTAGGTGAACATAATTTGTGTAGGAATTCCCATAATAGGTGGAGGACTTTGCAACTTTCTTCATATTTTTTCCTTGGTGAGACATTAGACTAAAGAGATGGTACAAAACAGCATATGCTTAATATTCAATTTTGTCTCTATTTCTGCTTCTTGTTTGAAAGCAGTTCTATTTTTGGGCGTTAGTACGGAGGATTACTATAGAAATTCATAAGAATTTAAGACCTATTTAGGTATTGAAAAACAGGAAAAAGTAGAATGAGCAATCATATAAATATGGTTATGTTGCAGTGATAAAACTGTCTTTGTAATGTTTCAAATACATACTGCAATTACTTGTGCTATTTCTTCCCAAAAACTTTTGTTGACTTTGTTTTAAGCTAATCTCACAGCTCCCCTCTGTTGTAATCACAGCATGTAATAATCAAAGCCGCACATACTCCTGGTCTGGATTTGTAATTTAAATAAATGGCATTGGCTCTTTGCATTCAATTTGACATTATTGTGATTGTATTCAATAATTAATTTTGTTTTAGATGAACCATTCCACATAAAAGAATAAAAATTTTAAGATTAAAACTCAACAATATTTTTTCTCTTTATAAAAGATTTTATTAATCCTTCCCTAGGAGCTCAAGAAGATTATCAGAGGGGAAAACATAGTTTGATTAATTTTTGTTTAATCTTGAATTACCTGTGTTGTCCAAATGTTTTAGTCGCTTAAAATTATGCCTATCAGTTCCTTTTTCAGGTTGCCTAATTGTGCATACTTGAATAAAAACATGAGCAATTAGTTGAATATAAGTGATTCAAGATATGCTTGGGAACTGAGCAAATACAGCGTAGCATACACTTTGTCTTTTACTCGATTTTGAAAAAGTTTCTCTGGTTATACTTTGTAAAAGGAAATACTTTTAAATTGTGGACAAGTATTACTGGAACATCTTTTTGGGTGGGTAAAGTGTACCGTCACTCTGTTTTCTTCTCCCCTTTTTGGAAAATAGTCTTTTCCTATTTGAGCTCCTTTTCTTTTCTTTTTTCTTGAGACAGGATCTGGCTCTGTCACCCAGGCTGGAGTGCAGTGGCACGATTTTGGCTCACTGCAACCTCCACCTCCCGGGGTCAGGTGATCTTCCCACCTCAGCCCCTAAGTGGCTGGGATTACAGGCTCACACCACCACACTTGGCTAATTTTTGTATTTTTTGTAGAGAGACGGTTCTGCCATATTGCCCAGGCTGGTTCCTTTTCTTTCTTACGGTAGACACCTTCCCATATGTGAAAAGCATCCAATCCTCATGTCTTACTCTTTTGTTTTTTGTTCAAATATGATGTACCTTATTCAACTGCAATGTGCATATATTCATTTTTATTTTTTAATACGATCAACATAGAAAAAGCTGTACATATCTAATGTATACAGCTTGATGAGTTGGGAGATAATTATACGCCCATGAAACTTTCACCACTATATGTGGCATAAATCTCTCCATCACCTCCAGAAGTTTCCTCCTGCCCTCTTCATTATTATTTTTGTGTGATAAAAACACATAAAACTTACCCTCTTAGTAAACTTTAAAATATGTGATACAGTATGATTCCTGTAAATGCTATGCTGCACAGAAGCTCTGCAGGACTCACTCATCTCATATGGCTGAAACTTCCTGCCCTTGGATTCCTCCCCGCTTCCCCTCCCCTGTACCCACTAGTGGCCACCATTTCACACTCTGCTTCTATGAACTGGACTATTTTACATTCCTCTTATAAGTGGTATCAGGTAGGATTTGTTCTTCTGTGTCTGGTTTACTTCACTTAGATGAACCTGCATGACGTCATGCTATGTAGCAAATGCCAGGATTTCCTTCTTTTTAAGACTGAATAATATTCCATCGTGTGTATACACCACCTTTTCTTTCGCCATTCCTCAGCAGACTCCTGGGTTGTTTCCATCTCTTGGCTAATTGTGGATAATGCTGCAGTAGACGTGGGAGGGCAGACATCTGAGATTCTTCTTTCAGTTCTTGGGAAATATACTCAGAAGTGGGATTTGGGGGTCATGTGGTCATTGTGTGTGTAATTTTGTAAGAAACAATTTTTCCATAGTGGCTACACCAACTTACATTCCCATGTACAGTAGTTCCTTTTTCTCCACGTTGTCAGCAACATGTGTTTTTCATTTTTCGATAGTAGCCATCCTAACAGGAGTAAGATGACATCTCATTATGGTTTGGGTTTGCATTTCCCTGATGATTAGGGACATTGAGCTCTTTTTCATATACCTGTTGACCATTTCTGTGGCTTTGGAGAAATGTCTGTCTAGTATCTTTGCCTTATTAAAATTAAGTTGTTTTTTTAAGCTTTTTTTTCCTGATGCAGAGAGAGAGAGAGAGAGAGAGTGCGTGCGCGCGTGTGTGTGTGTGTGTGTGTGTGTGTTTTGAGAGAGTGTCTTGCTCTGTCACCCAGGCTGGAGTGCAGTGGTGCAATCTTAGTTCACTGCAACCTCCGCCTCCCGAGTTCAAGTGATTCTCCTGTTTCAGCCCCCCAGGTAGCTGGGATTACAGGCGTGTGCCACCACACCTGCTAATTTTTGTATTTTTAGTACAGACTGGGTTTCACCATGTTGGCTAAGCTGGTGTCAAACTCCTGGCCTCAAGTGATCTGCCTGCCTCGGCCTCCCAAATTGCTGGGATTACAGGCAAGAGCCACCACGTCTGGCCTCTCCTGTATTTTGGATATTAGCTCTTAGCTATATAGTTTGCTCACACCTTACTCTTAATTTGTCTGTGAACGTGGCTGAGAACTCAATTACTCTACCATCTTGGGCAGCTTAGAAGTTGTGGGCTCCGGAGTTGTAAGACGCATTTCGAGTGGCGGTTGGTTACCTATCTTTACTTGCTGGTGGATTTTAAAACATCCTAATTTACAAAACCAGCAGTAAACCTAAGGCAAGGCTTTTATAGAAACTGTATCTTTTAATTATTTTTTTCCTTTGAAATTGTACTAAAAAATTTAGACAGGCATGGATTTGAAGGATGATTACTTACAGTTACAGAAGTGGAAAATCCAAAGGAAATGACTTTTTAACCTCTGAAAAAGTTTTTAAAGTTAACATCAGGGAATACGTGGAGAAGTAAGGAAAGGAAGTGAATACATTGTGCTGAGAGATGTCCACATTGGTGACTGGAGAGAGACGCCCTGATGGCATTGCTTTCTCTGCCTTGACGAGTTCTGTATCTCATCCTGAAAGTGTTGTTTGCCTCTTCCTGTGGAGTGACACAAGACATCGTGTTAAGACTGTTGCCAGTTCTAGGAATCTTTGGAAATTCTGATGTTCTACAGAGAGAGAATTATAAACGATTTTTGATTGAGAGGGCTAGTTTAAATGCAGTGACTTTTAATTATATAACCTTTCTCATTCAACCAGTTGTGAGTTATATCTCCTGTGTGCATGGCACTGTGCTAGATACCATGGTTACAGTGATGAATAAGACAGAAGTAGATCCTAGCTTTGGGTGATATTTAAAGCCCAGTTGGGGAGACAGGTATCAGTGCGATAATCTCAGAAATAAAGAAATACCATTTGACCCAGCCATCCCATTACTGGGTATATACCCAAAGGATTATAAATCATGCTGCTATAAAGACACGTGCACACGTATGTTTATTGTGGCACTATTCACAATAGCAAAGACTTGGAACCAACCCAAATGTCCCACAGTGATAGAGTGGACTAAGAAAATGTGGCACATATACACCATGGAATACTATGCAGCCATAAAAAATGATGAGTTCATGTCCTTTGTAGGGACATGGATGAAGCTGGAAACCATCATTCTCAGCAAACTAACACAAGGACAAAAAACCAAACACCGCATGTTCTCACTCATAGGTGGGAATTGAACAGTGAGAAAACATGGACACAGGAAGGGAAACATCACACACCGGGGCCTGTTGTGGGGTGGGGGGAGGGGGGAGGGATAGCATTAGGAGATATACCTAATGCTAAATGACGAGTTAATGGGTGCAGCACACCAGCATGGCACATGTATACATATGTAACTAACCTGCACGTTGTGCACATGTACCCTAAAACTTAAAGTATAATAATAATAAAATTTAAAAAAAAAAAGAAATAAATGGTGGTTCTAGTTAGTGTCATGGTTAGGGAAGGATTGCACAGATACTAGGTTACCAAAAATAAAATATTTGTTGAGCATATACTAGATGAGATGCCAGTGCTGTTTGATAAAATAGCATCTGATGGTTAGATATAACCATGAAACACTGGATATAAGCATTAACACTTCTTTTTGCTATTCAACAGGTACATTATTCCATCTTTGCAGAAGCTCGATGCTGGGTTTTACCGCTGCGTGGTGCGAAACAGAATGGGAGCACTCCTGCAAAGAAAATCAGAAGTTCAAGTCGCATGTATGTGTACAGTAAGGAGATGTCCAAATGTTAAAGAACAAAGTGTCGCTGGGGAGTCAATCAGAATCACTTTTCACCATTGTAGGAACTGAGAGTTTATCTTTGGTTCTATTTTGAGTAGAATAATTGCAAAACTCAGTGAGAGATAAGTAAGCAGCCAGCGTGGCTGGCCAGGTGAGGGGCTGTTGAGGCAAAGGGCACTTTTCTTCATTTGAAAAGACTCAGGACCCTAAGAGGCCCTGGGGAGGACGAAAAAGTGAATGGGGTGCCTTCTGTTTTAGGAATCAGCTGCTCTTAGCTTGTACTATGTTTGGATTCAAAATGTTTTTAAAGTATAAAGTTCAACCCAATTAGGTCAAAGTTCGTCATTGTCAGTTCTTTCCAGTGACGATTTGTTTAGAAATCATGCTGCACCACAAAAGGTACATGGATAGTGAGCGTCCCCGATGGCATTCATGTGATAGTGATTTATTAATTCTTTATTCAGCAGATCCATTTTGGAGAACGAAACTTTTAAAAGTAAACAAAGGAGATATCAAGAATGCAGGAAGCTTAAATTTTCATGTAGTCTTGAGGAGAAACAGGAGAGCGAACTTGGCCTATGAAAGTATTTAGTCCTTTTTCTAATTCAAAATCTATGAAGAGTAAAAATGGACTGTCTGCTTTATTTTATGTACATATGTGTATATATAATAGAGACATAACATATATAATTATATGTCATATATATGTTATATATATAAATAAATATATGTTTGAGATAGGGTCTATCTCTGTCTCTCAGGCTGGAGTGCAGTGGCACAAACATAGCTCACTGCAAGCTTGAACTGGGCTCAAGTGATCCTCCCTCCTCAGCCTCCCGAGTAGCTAGGACCACAGGTGTGTGCCACCATGCCTGGCTAATCTGGCTAATTTCTTTTGTTTTTGGTAGGGGAGGGATCGCACTGCATTGCCCAGGTTGGTCTCTAATGCCTGGCCTCAAGTGATCCTCCTGCTCCATCCAGCCTTCCAAAGTGCTGGGATTACAAGAGTGAGCTTGGCTTGTTTTACTATATTTTGAATGTATTACCAAAATTTCTCTTTGTTTAAAAGTAAGCAAAAAAATGTTATAAGATGTTAAATTACATTTTAATATATCATTATAAACTTTAGAGAACAAAAGAGCTCCTGAGTTGGGCTGTACTATTTGGTGATGACAGAATTTCCTCATTTGTCATTTTAACCCCAATTAAGTCTTGTAGCTTTCAGTGTGAGTAGATGAAATAAAATAATATCTAGTTATTTTACCATAAGCCTAATGACTGAGTGAAGTGGAGATGCTATACATGTTTGATGCTTTTTAAAATCACTAGGAAGGCTTAAATTTTTCTAAATTGTGATGCCGAAGAATGTTGCAGAATAATTGAGAACTTTTATTCAATTGAATGATTGAAAATGTAATCATTAAATAGAGTGAAGACGAATACCTAAATTATATTTTAAGAAGAGCTTCAAAATTATTAAACTCTGTTTTATAAAACTGAATTTTGCTTAATTATGTTTTTGTTTCTGTTCTGTATCTCTAGCTCTTCAATTTTTTTTTTTCTTTTTTGAGACGGAGTCTGGCTCTGTCACCCAGGCTGGAGTGCAGTGGCACAATCTTGACTCACCGCAACCTCCGCCTCCTAGGTTCAAGTGATTCTCCTGCTTCAGCCTCCTGAGCAGCTGGGATTACAGGCACCCACCACCACACCCAGCTAATTTTTGTATTTTTGGTAGAGATCGGGCTTCACCATGTTGGCCAGGCTGGTGTCAAATTCCTGACCTCGTGATCCACCCGCCTCGGCCTCCCAAAGTGCTGGGATGACAGGTGTGAGCCACTGTGCTCTGCGTTTAGATTTTTTTTTTTTAATCTTTCTTTTCTCCTTTGCTTTGATAACAAATTTCATTTTCTTTTGAAAAAACTATGAGTATTTTTCTAATCTGTTTTGTTGGTTTGTTTCATCTTTTCCCTCAAGTATTAGACACTGTCACATAGAAAATGTCTTTTGACTGAAGAAGACATTGATAATAGAGCACTTCTGTGGACTATTTCAAACTTATTTATGTTTAAATAAAAATACACTATTTTGCCATATCTGTTTGTATATATATTTACATCTGACCATAATATGGAATCTTATTCAAAATTTTCAAATGTTACAAATTTTAAAATTAGCCTTTTATACCTACATTCTAATAGCTATGTTTTGTCCTATGACCCCATTTTTTAAATTTTTTTTATCAGTAGAACAAATACTGGAACAAAAGCTAGTTGCCCCAGATTAAGTCAACAGTATGAGAGTGGGAGAATAGTATATAGACTCTTCAGTGGTTAGGAAATATTGCTCCCAAAAGATCTGTGCAGGAGACAGTGACCTCACAAATGAAGGAAACAAGCTGAAGAGAGCAAGGGCCGGTGCCGGGCTGGAACGAGTTTGAAAGATTTAGGAGCTAGGAGATGTCTGGACACATTTTCTGACAGTTTCTGAGAAAACTGCTTCACGTGGCTCTAGGATGGCTTCAGCATTTCATTTCAGTGTCACAGACAGTTGCAGACATTTCCTTGTATTGTCAGGTAGGACAAAGACCATGTGGCTTTGCTGAGGAATGTGCAGCGTGGGCGCTTTGGAGGCGCGTGGCTTGCCCGGTGCTTCACTCGCAAGCAGATCCGCGTTGGTCAGCGCTGCCGTGCAGTCTCGCTCGTCCTGGTGTGAAATGTGGCAGCATCAGTGACTTTACTGTAACACTTACCTGTTTCCATCTGTGACCCCTTCCCTCCCCCAAAAATGTTTTCTAGAACTTGAAAGCACTTCTTTTTCTCTGCAGATATGGGAAGTTTCATGGATACGGACCAGAGGAAAACAGTTTCTCAAGGACGTGCAGCGATTCTAAACCTGCTGCCCATCACCAGCTACCCCAGACCTCAAGTGACTTGGTTTAGAGAAGGGCACAAGATTATTCCAAGCAACAGAATGTAAGTTGCTCCAAACGTTAAAGCTTCAAATACAATTGTAATGTCACTTGCTGGCACCATCTACACAGTAAGTGTACCAATTAAGGTTACCGATGATTTAAAAAGAGCAAACTAGTCTAGGAGTCCTATCCTAATTTTTAATAAACAGCTATTTGAGGACTGGCTTGAATATTTTTAACCAGTTTAAGCAAATAACTGTCTAATATTATTCTTCAGAATGTTGCATGCCCTAAAACTAAAGCAGCCTTACCCAACTTTGCAGTCCATTTTTTTCTTTTCTGAGTGTACTTTTTAAGATGTCATTGTCATCCCTGAGTTGGGTTTGCCTCCTAGTACTAATTTAATGAGTGCTGGTATTTACTTACAGTGCTGTGGGGTTTTTTTTCCCCCTCCTTTTATTGAGCCATGTTTGATACTGCTTTCTCTGACGATAAAACAGTAATTACTGCTTATTTCTCTTTATCCTTTTATCCTACCATGACAGTTTTATTTCTCTTCATCTAATTAGTGGTTCACCCATCTATTGCAGAATAGTTGCTTTGTGATTAGTTAGGCAAGAACATCTTGAAATAATGCTTATCTCACATTCAAGATATTTATCTAATGCCCGACAGGTTTTCTTCACTTGGAGCTTTAAGTGATTAAAAAGAACACTTGGTATATATTTCATAACTGGACATTTTACAACCTAATTTAAAGACAATATTCCAAACATAAAGGTTTCAAGGCTGAACATTTCCAGAAGAATCATGAAATGCTATAAGCTTAGGCCAGAAGTCAGATATTTATGCCATCCAGTGGTTGCACTCAGATAAAAATTCATCAGGAGCAAATACTATTGTTGTGCTTTTTCAAAAAGAATATGTGTGAGGTCATTTGCCAAATAGATTTTACATCTAACTGTGAAAGTCACTGTGGGAACCCACCTGCTCTCTCCCCTACCTGAGCATCTGTGGAATCCCTTCCCGAAGCCTTGTGATTCTCATCTCCAACCCTACCTGAGCATCTGTGGAATCCTTTCGCTAAATCTCATGATTCTCCTCTCCACCCCTACCTGAGCATCTGTGGAATCCCTTCCTGAAGGCTCATGATTCTTGTCTCCCACCCCTACCTGAGCATCTGTGGAATCCCTTCCCTAAACCTCATGATTCTCATCTACCTGAACATCTGTGGAATCCTTTCCCTAAACCTCGTGATTCTCATCTCCCACCCCTACCTGAGCATCTGTGGAATCCTTTCCCTAAACCTGGTGATTCTCGTCTCCCACCCCCACCTGAGCATCTGTGGAATCCCTTCCCTAAAGCTGTTGATTCTCGTCTCCTACCCCCACCTGAGCATCTGTGGAATCCTTCCCCTAAACCTGGTGATTCTCCTCTCCCACTCCCACCTGAGCAACTGTGGAATTCCTTCCGTAAACCTCGTGATTCTTGTCTCCACCCCCACCTGAGCATCTGTGGAGTCCCTTCCCTAAACCTGGTGATTCTCCTCTCCCACCCCCACCTGAGCATCTGTGGAATCCCTTCCCTAAGCCTCCTGATTCTCTTCTCCCATCCCCACCTGAGCATCTGTGGAATCCCTTCCCTAAACCTCATGATTCTCATCTCCCACCCCTACCTGAGCATCTGTGGAATTCCTTCCCTAAACCTGGTGATTCTCCTCTCCCACCCCCACCTGAGCATCTGTGGAATCCTTTCCCTAAGCCCCATGTCTCCAGTCTTCTAGTTCTGGACCAGGATCTGGCTGGAACCTAAATAATAATAATTATTATTATTACTATTAATAATTATATAATACTTATAATTAATAATTATTATTTTGAGACAGAGTCCCTCTGTCACCCAGGCTGAGGTACAGTGGCGTGATCTCAGCTCACTGCAACCTTTCCCTCCCAGGTTCAAGCGATTCTCCTGCCTCAGCCTCCTGAGTAGCTGGGACTGCAGGTGTGTGTCACCATCCCCGGCTAATTTTTGTGTTTTTAGCAGAGGTGAGGTTTTACCATGTGTCCAGGCTAGTCTCGAAGTCCTTACCTCAAATGATCCACCTGCCTCGGCCTCCCAAAGTGCTGGGATTACAGGCATGAGCCACCACTTAAGCTTATTTCACAAATGTTTCTATTTTGGTTATTGGGAACAAAAATTTATATATATATATATATATATATGCATGCAGCATATTTTAAAATTCTAGTAAAAATACCAGTTACCTTAGAAGATGGGATAATTGCTATCCTTTTTTCTTTATTTAATTACAAGTTACTTAGGTATCCACCTTTATATTGATTCCAATAATAAAAGATGCCTCGAGTTTCGATGAAACAAAAATGAAGGATCAATTTTTCATTCTTAGTAGACTGTTAGGCTTTAAAAAGGCAGGTAAGGGCCATTTGCGGTGGCTTGTTCCTGTAATCTCGGCACTTTAGGATGCTGATTGCTTGAGTTTAAAGCAATCTGGAGTTTAAAAACAGCCTGGGCAACATACTGAAACCTTATCTCTACTGAAAATTAAAAAAAAATAGCTGGGTGTGGTGGCACGAACCTGTATTTCTAGCTATTTGCTACTTGGGAGGCTGAGGTAGGAAGATAGCTTGAGGCCAGAAGTTGGAGGTTGCAGTGAGCTACGATGGTGCCACTGTACTCCAGCCTGGGTGACAGAGCAAGACCCTGTCTCCAAAAAAAAAAAAAAAAAAACAAAAAACAACAACAACGGCGGGGCAGGGGGTGGCAGGCAAGATACATTCTTGTATAAATATTCTAGAAGTTTCCAGTGCTGACCACAGTATGACCAGGCAAACTTAGGATAAATGTTGGGGGAGAATTGGTACCAGGGATGGGGGGAGTTAGATTGAATTAGGCTTTCCTCTCAAGCACTGGAGCTTTTAATTAACGTCAGTGGCAGCAAAATTCATGGTGGAAGAATTCTTTCAACTTAGCAGCAAATAAGTCTGTATTAATCTACCTGTTAACCTGTGTTCTCACTATATGCATGAGACAGCACTTATTCACGAGTATGACAGGGTATAGAATGAAAGAACTTAATTTCATAAATTTTTTAAACTTGCAAATACATGCTAAAGCCTGTTTAATTCCTGGTGAGCTAATAAAGTAAAGATGCTAGAAGGGCTTTAACTTGGTGTAATATCAAACAAATGGTCTGCTTACAAGCATGAAGCTGTTGGTAAATCTCTAATCTCAGGAAAATAATGCAGTATACCATTTTTTAAAGAGATGAGATGAGGCTGATTATGGATATTTACACTTTTACAAGGCCCTTTAGTTTCGTATTTTCCACCTCATCATCACCCCAAGTCTATTAAGTACCTGCTGTGCAAGATTACATAAATCAGTATGGATATGTGTTTTTCTCCACAAATTTATACATCGTCCAAAGACATATAGCTTTCACATCCCAAGTACACTGATTTGATCTTTACAAATTATATGAATATTAAATGATCACATGTACCCTGAAACTATGTACATCTATTATGCACTAATAAAAAGTTTACCTGTTTAAAAATTAAAAAATCTAGATGCGAAAACCCAATATATTGCTTTCCATGTCTAAGAAAGTACAGTTTTTGACTGAAGATGGGAGGGTATCTCTGCATTCCTCGCACCCACGGGATTGGTAGCACAAGTCAGATGGCATCATATTTGTTATATACCCACAGAGATGCCATTTAAAAACTAGAGCATTTGACTCAAGGTGCTTCCCACATATTGAAATGCAGGTGAAGTTTCTGCACCTATTTTTTTTTTATTTTTATTTTTTGAGATGGAGTCTTGTTCTGTTGCCCAGGCTGGAGTGCAGTGGCCCAATCTAGGCTCACTGCAACCTCTGCCTCCCGAGGTCAAGCGATGTTCCTACCTCAGCCTCCTGAGTAGCTGAGATTACAGGCGCACCCCACTATGCCCAGCTGATTTTTGTCTTTTTAGTAGAGATGGGGTTTCACCATGCTGGCCAGGCTGGTCTCGAACTCCTGACCTTGTGATCCACCCACCTCGGCCTCCCAGAGTGCTGGGATTATAGGCGTGAGCCACCACACCCAGCCTTTCTGCACCTATTTTTAACCTCCTTGTGTGAGTTTGGTTCCCTAATACGTGCACCTTTGTCATGTGGTGAAAGCAGTTCATTTTCTCTCCCCACCTCCATGTTTAAACATTACCTCATTATCTGCCTTTAAAATGTGGGCTTTAGGCTTATAATTAAATGATTTTTTTTTTCATTTTCAAGGGAAACAGTAAGTCTAATGTTTTCTAACTTGAAAAATAAGTTGAATATCCTATTAATAATCTTAACAGGAGCTATTATTTATTGAGTACCTACTTTAAACATATCTTCTCTAATCCTCACAATTGCCTTCTGAGGCAGGTATAATTAGCTCTATGTATAGTTATCAGAATGGAAGATTATGGATGTTAAATTACTTACCCCAGGGCCCCCAGCCAATACACACAGAGCCAGGGTTCACACCCGGGTCTGCCTGACACTCAGTCTCATGCTCACTTCTGGATCAGCCTGATTCTTTCCACTTTATTGGCTGATAATTTTTTATGTTTTTGATTATTTTTTCCATACATTGCTCTAGTCTTTCTCATCATTTAGAAGACCAGCTTTCAACTTGAAAAGACATGGATTAACCTGGGTTTGCATAGAGGGGTTGAAAAGTGTCAGAGGCTGGTATGTTTTGAAAGTAGAGACAATCTACAATTATCTCAGATACTATGTTTAATTAAAAATAGGTGGAAAAGGTTAAATACCTTATGATTCCACTCACACAAGATAATTAGAGTAGTCAAATTCATAGAGACAGAAAGCAGAACATTGGTTGCCAGGGACTTGGGGGAAGGAGGGAGTGGGGAGTTATGTTTAATGGGTACAGAGTTTCACAAGATGGAAAGATGTGCTGAAGATGGATGATGGTGATGATCGCACAACAGTGTGAATGCACTTAATGCCACTAACTATACTTAAAAGTGGTTAAAATAATTAATCTTAGGCCACGGATGGTGGCTCACACCTGTACTCCCAGCGCTCTGGGAGGCCAAAGCAGGAGGATGGCTTGAGCCCAGTAGCTTGAAGCTGCAGTGAGCTGTGATCACGCTATAGCAGTCTAGCCTGGATGGTAAAGTGAGACCCTCTCTCTATTTTTTAAATTATATTTTACCACGATTTTAATTGTCTTTTTTTTTCCAAAACAAAAAATAACGTCTTCCAAAGACTTCCCACTGTGTACAGATTAAAATCCAGATTCCTTCCCACATTCTGGGGCTACAGGGCCAGAGTCTCTTGCAGTTTAGCAAATACATCAAGCTCTTTTCTGTTTTGAAAGTTGGAGACAGTCTTGCTCTGTCTCCCATGCTGGAGTGAAGTTGAAGTGGCATGATCTCAGCTCACTGCAACCTCCAACTCCAGGGCTCAAATGATTTTCGTGCTTCAGCCTCCAGAGCACCTGGGATTACAGGCGTGCGCCACTATGCCTGGCTATTTTTTTTTGTATTTTTATTGGAGACTTTGTTTCACCATGTTGCCCAGGCTGGTCTCGAACTCCTGACTTCAGGCAATCCACCCGCCTCTGCCTCCCAAAGTGCTGGGATTACAGACCACCGTGCCCGGCCAGTTTTAGGTGGTTTTGACCACCTAAAATGTTTTTGTTTTTCTACCTACATTTGGCCTCTTGGTATGCATAGGAGATACACAGTGCTGGAATGGCTGGATGAATGAATGTGAAGAAAAGTCGTGTAATGTCCACAGACATCTTCAGCAGAAGGGGAAAAAAAATGAGAACAAACCTCAAGGAAAAACGCTGTTGATGAGGCAGAAAAAATATCTTGGAAAGACGAACAGTATATTGAGAGAATTGAAAATAAGTTATATTCAGAATTTGAATAGGTAATTACAGGTTTTATCTGAGAAGTTGAAAACCCCATACATTTATTTTTCTGATTTACTGAGTCCAAAGTTTGCTATCTTTGCATATCAAAGATGAGCTTAGCTTTGTCATATAAATACAGTCTAATTTGATAATAAAATTGTTCTGTGTTATTTTGGTTTAGATATATTTTCTTTATTTCCATTTATTTCTCAAAATATGAAATGTGAATATCGATGCCATGCTGTACTTCTCTTTCCTCCACGACGTTATTTATGTTGGTAGTTATCAGATTAGAACACAAAATCTTAACTCTGTACAGTGCCATTCTTGTGCTTAATTGCAGGTTCTTGTGCTCAAATTGCATCCTGTAGCCTACCTGACAGGAATGTGCAAGCACAAGTATTCTTGAATGTTTTTTTCCTGGAAATGCAAAGTTTATAGATGAATGTTTCAAACCTTCAGTCAGCTTTGCAATAGACAACTTGCCAGTAATGATCTGGATTGTGAAGTATGGGCAGTAAACAGCATCCCAGGTGACTCAGAAACAGTCTGATTCATAATTGTCCATGCTTAAATACTTGAACATCCATTAACTTATTACCATTTCATTTCAATTTCTTCAAGAAAGATTTGTTTAAATTAGCGCTTGCATTGGAAGTCACAACTTAATGCTCGAATGAAGTAGATCTGGTTGTAATAATGTTTTTATAGTTAACTAGGCTTTCAAAATAATGTGCTTTTAAAATTTTATATTTTATAGGCATTTTGTGAATGTTTATAGAGTATATGTGTGAACCGAGCCATATTTGGTATAAGTAAAACAGACGAGTAGATACGGGTTCCAGGCCTGCTTTCACCGTAATTCTGACCTTGGGAAAATTACTTATTCTCCCTTTGCCTCCATTTTGCCATGTCGATGAAAAGGGTTTTCTAATCACTTCTGCAATCCTTTCTGGTATTAATGTTCAGTGCTGCTGTTAAGGAAGGGGGTGCCATGGCAGTTGTTCTTCCCCTCCCTCTCTTTCTTCCTTCATGCATCCATGGACATTTCCTGAGCACTTAATTAGTGCCAGCCACTGTTCTGCTTGCCAGGGACAGAAAGGGGAATTGAGGCATCCCACGTGTGCCCCTCAGTGGGTGTGTTCTGATATGAAGCAGGTAATACACAGGACACTTTGGGGTGAGGGTCGTGCTGCCACGCTGAGAAGACATGGATGGGTGGGAAGAGAGTCCTAAGCTGGAGGGGGTTGAATTGAGTGACTAAGGACAGGTCCTCTGTGGAGGTGACATTTTAAAAAACACCTTATAGAGTTATAATTTGTATATAACAAAATGCGCATTTTCAAAGTTCATAGATGGATGAATTTCAATAAATATGTGCACAGAAGAAATTGCCATCCCAATCAAGAGAGTTCGTGGGCCCCTCCTGCTGTTGGTATGCATTCCTGCAGCTCTGCCCTCCTGCTTGTCTAATTTCTATTACTGCAGGCTAGATGACCTGCTCTAGAATTTCACACAAATGACATCATTGAATATGAAATCCTTTTTCTAGCTTCATTCATTCAACATCATTTCTGTGGTATTCTCAATGTGATCCTTAATAATAATAATAATTAATGATTTTTGAGTGCCAGGCACTGTTTTAAGGATTTTATTTATAACAATTCACTTAATCTTCACGGCAGCCCAGCGGTTTAGTACTGTTATTATCGTGGCTTTCCTGATGAGAACTAAGGCAGAGAGAGGCCAGCAGTTGGCCGGCGTGGGAGCCACTTGACTCCTAAGTCCACACCGTTCCACCGTGTATATGAGGCTGTTCTCCCAGGTTAATGTCTGCAAGATGGGAAGGAGCCAGCCCTGTAGAGCCCCAGAGGATGAGTGTTCTAGGCACAGAGGCCAGAAACAGAAAAGAGCTTGATGTATTTGCTAAACTGAAAGAGACTCTGACCCTGTATCCCCTGAATCTGGGAAGGAATCGATTTTATTCTGTACACAGTGGGAAGTCTTTGGAAGAGGTTGCTATTTTTTGTTTTGAAAAAAAAAAAAAGGCAATTAAAATTGTGGTAAAACATAGTTTAAAAAAAATAGAGATAGGGTCTCACTTTATCATCCAGGCTAGACTGCCATGGCATGATCATAGCCCGCTGCAGTTTCAAGCTCCTGGGCTCAAGCCGTCCTCCTGCTTTGGCCTCCCAGAGCGCTGGGAGTACAGGTGTGAGTCACCATCCCTGGCCTAAGATTAATTATTTTAACCACTTTTAAGTATAGTTAGTGGCACTAAGTCCATTCACAGTGTTGTGCAATCATCACCATCATCCATCTTCAGCACATCTTTTCATCTTGTGAAACTCTGTACCCGTTAAACATAACTCCCCACTCCCTCCTTCCCCTAGTCCCTGGAAACCACTGTTCTGCTTTCTGTCTCTATGAATTTGACTACTCTAATTATCTTGTGTGAATGGAATCATATGGCATTTATCCTTTTCCACCTATTTTTAATTAAACGTAGTATCTGAGATAATTGTAGGTTCACATACAGTCAAAAGAAATAATGTAGGGTGATTTTATGTACCTTGTAGCTAGTTTTCCTGAGTGTTGAGATCTTGTTAAACTGTGTTACGGTATCACAACCAGGATACTGACTTTGATACATCAACAAACAGAAGGTTTCTGTCAATACTAGGATTTCTCTTATTAACCTTTTATGGCCATAACTACTTTCCTCTTGCCCTCATCCCCTTCTTAAGCCCTAATAATCACTAATCTGCTTTTCCTTTCTAAAGTTTTGTCATCTCAAGAATGTTGTGTAGACAGAATCATGCAGTATGTGACCTGTGGGGATTGGTTTTTTTTTTTTTTTTAACTTAGTATAATTCCCTGATTCATCCAGGTTATTGTCTGAAGCCTAGTTGGTTTCCTGTTGTTGTTGTCTAGTGTTTCTTGGTGTGGCCATAATGTGTAGTTTATAATCATTCACCTGTTGAAAGCAATCTGGATTGTATCCAGTTTTTGGCCATGATGAATAAAGTTGCTATAAACATTCTTGTTCCTTTTTTCTGTGCATGAACATAAGACTTCATTGTGTTCATACACACACATGCCCAGGAGTGGAATGACTGGGCTGTATGGTATTTGCATGTTTAGTTTTAGTTTTTTTTTTTTTTTTAAATGCCAAACTGTTTTCCAGAGTGGCTGTACCATTTTGTAATCCCACCAGCAATGTACGAATGATTGCGTTTCCCTGCTTCCTCACTAGCATTTGGTGTTGTCATGATTTTTTATTTTAGTCATTCTCATAGGTGTATAATGATATCTTCTTGTGTTTTTAAATTTTCACTTCTCTAATGGCTAATGATGTTGAACATCTCTTAATGTGCTGATTTTAAAAAGAATGAAATTAGAAAAAAGCAAACTTCTTGTTGTGAGAAATGTGTTCATTTATTTGAAAAGTCAGTTGAATGGGTGAAAGAGCAGACAATATGCAGCTAAAGTGAGACTTATTGTTCTGATCTGAAGAAATTACTCAGAATAAAACACAGAGGAAAAAATATGGAAAATCTAGAAGGAAGGCCAAGAGATCTAGAGGACAGAGTAATCAATAGACGTCCGATGGAGAAAATGGGGGATAGATACTATGCAGAGACCAATGCTATGACGTTTCCTAAGATGATGACTCTTCACAGTCCAGAAGCAGAATGAGCTCCAAGTAAGATAAATAAAGTAAATCCAAATCTATACATATTATGGTGTAACTGCAGAACATCAAAGACAAAGAAGAAACCTTAAGACAACCATACATGTAATTCAGGTTGCCTCAGAGGAACGGCAATCAGAAGATAGCTGAGAGCAGTAATAGAGAACAGAGGGGAATGATGTCTTCGAACGCCAAGGGATGGAACTGCTGCCATGGAGTTCCGTGTCAGCTAAGCCAACGATCCCAAGTCGGGGAGACAGGACGGTATTTTCAGACAAGCCTGAGAATTTATATTTCCGAGAAGATTGCTGAAGGATCTATGAATGAGTTTGAGGAAGAAGGATACTGAATCTAGAAGGCAATGCAGGGTTAGAAATATTGGCCTCCGTTTTATGTTCTCTAGTTAGGAAATATTTAGTAATTGGAGTGTTTAAATATTTAGATATTAGATGAGGAAGTGGAGACAGCAAGTTGAGACAACTCTTTGGGCATTTTTCTTGTGAGCGGCTGCAGAGAAACCGCGCGTGTCTCTGAGGACACGAAGTCAAGAGAGCTGGTTTTTTCTTACCATGGGGGATCCCAGCTATTATTTATGTATTAATGGAAGTTCTCCAGTAGAGAAGGAGAATGTGAAGAGCCAGGAGAGAGTGAGGATGCCAGGGGGAACAAAGTCCTGGCAAATGTGACCTGGACATGCACAGACAAGCCTGGGAAGGAGGGCCTGGAGTCATGTGGCACGGCCTTCATGGTGGCATGCGGTGGCCCCTCATGGCCTCACAGCTTCCACTCTAACAGGACGGAGCCAGAATATGCGCACGGATGCATGTGGTTTGGTAAACGTGCTTGTGGAAAATTGAGAGATTTCTCGTGGATTTTTATTTTCTCTATGAATATGGGGATGAGTTTAGAAGTTTAGAGTGAGGGCTGGTGTGAGAAGAGAGAGTATTAGGTTATCATTCAGACAGTCAGAAGCGAACTAGGGAAACATGCCAGACTTATGGGGACTTTTGAGAGCAAGGGCACAGTTGCAGTTTGTGGTGATGGATATCTTCAGTAAAGTTTGGAAGTTCTGATGCCACTGTAGAGAAGGCAGCTGATTGGGTTCACACAAGGTTGAAGTGTAGCCTAACTACCATGTGGAATTCAGAAGCGAGGGTCATGTTGAGGCTGTCTGCAAGGGAGTGATGAGTCTCGATTGTCTCCGAGCTTTATAAGAGAGGAGGTGAAGGATGTTCCAGTAGGATAGAATCAGAAGACTGCAGGAGTCTATTGACTGGAAGAATAATTGCAGTGGGCAAAGAAGTGGGTGGACTGAGCACCTCACGTCCTCTCTTCCTCACTTTGGCTATTCCATTCAGTGCCAAACAGTGGACTTCTCCCCCACTTGGAAGGAATCTGGTGACGCAGATGAGAAAAGTCGCAGGCTTAAACTTGTGTGGGGTGAGCTTGAATCCTTAGGGAATCAGCGAATGCTTGAGTGCAGGTGGATCAGCAGACAGATTACTGACGCCACCCCAGCTGACTGTTAGGTGACACATAGCTTCGTGCAGCCTCTCTGAAGTCATCCTGTGGGTCACCCCTCCTTCCTCTGTGCTTTCCCCTTCCCTCCTCACTCCAGGGTCCACGTGTAAGCTGTTGTAGGCGTTCTGTTTTCTTGAAAAACTCGGTTGTCACTTGGGGTATTTGAAATCTAGACTTAGAATGGCACTTTTGTTGGGATTGACAAGGTTTAGGGAGAGACCATGAGGATGGGGGCCAAGATTGCATGGAGGGGCAGATCAGTGGTGGTGAGAAGTGTAAGACTCCAAGGCCACAGTGTTAGAGTAGATGGTAACATGGATGTAAAGCCACCAGGGAGGGTGGCAGGAGAAGCCAGTGGAGGAAGGTAGGGATTCCAGGGCTACAGTCCTCAGGAAATGGAGAGGGAAGGAGGAATTAGAACCTCAGTAGGGAACAGCATTGAGAATAAACGCATCCCAATCACATGGGCCTCAGAGGAACTGGGATTTGGAAGGTGGAAGAGGAGAAACGGGTTGGGAGTGCTGGCTCACAGCTGTGATGAGGGTTTGCTCTAGCTAGACTAGACAAAGTGAAGGCCTTCTGGAGCTGCTCCTTTGGGTATTTGGCTGCAGGACCTTGCAGCTTAGAATCTCACCTAGTGGGTTTCTGCTCTGTTGCACTTCAGCTTCACTTATGAAGCAGAGAGGATGATCTCTTCCTCCTGGAGCAGTTGTGAGATTTAACAGAAGAGAATGAGCAAGAAAGTGGTTTGCCAAGTAATGTTCAGAGATGGAGAGTATATGCTATATGCCGCCCCTCAAAAAAGGTATGCAGGGGTGTTCAGGTAAAAAACGTTCATCTTTCTGTGGCTCTCTGGCTGGCAGTGCACGTAGCTGTCTCTGTAACTTAGAGAGGACGTGGGAGGAAGGACCCTGGTGTAGAGAATATGCTGGAGCCATGGGCAGCCCCTGTGCCCCACCGTGCTTCTGTAAATGTCACACTGCTCCTCCAAATGCTGGTTTGTAAAATCTAGAAAGTTCTTTTCGTTGTTGTTCTCACCACATCCAGGAAGATGGGGCACAGCGGGAGTCCCCTTGTCTGAACTGCTCTTATCCTGGGGCAAATTAGTGTCCCTCAACGTGAGTAAGAAGATGGAAAGCGCCACATTGCTTTCATGAATAGTCTGCAGACTGCTGATGAGCTCCCTGTCACCGCGCTTTATTCCAGAGCCTCACCGTGCAGAGCGAGAGGTGGACTCCGATGCTTGTGAGGATTTCGTGTTTTCTTTCAGATTGTCAGGTAGTGCGATAAAGGGTTACCTTATAAGCAATAATAGGTCAGGATATGGGCTGTTGCCCACAGTAAGTTTGACATCTACACCATCACATGACGCAGTTGGACTTAATGAAGGTCACTCAAGTGTCTTCTCTTTTGGTGATGCTTGTTGGGCACCTGTCTGCAGGTAGATGACACTGTCCCTGCTGCTTCAGGAGAAAGGGCACATCACAGATAGAGAAACGTTTCTGTGCCAAGTGAATAGCCCAAGAGCATGGGGGATGGGGATCGTAGAATTGCTTGGTTCCATTCGAGTTGGCCATGTAGTATCTAACTTAAATGACAGGAGTTTAATATTCTATGTACCAATTTTTCACTGGAAATAAAATACTTCATTTCACATGAGCATATCTTGTGACAATAATGCATTTCTTTACCAATATTAGCCCATTATACATCTGAAGTCAGTTGCACATAATTGCAGTTCACCAACTCTACATAATACTTTAATTAAAACTAGGATAATTAAAATACAGTTTTAATGAACAATAAATTCTGAAGTTGCCAGGCCTGGAATGTGTTAGTTGAATCATAGCTTGCTTTTTTTTTTTTTGGCTCTTAAATCTGTACCCACATTATATTTTGAAATGGCAATGATCACAATCAAGAGGCATTTTAAATGCATATAATAGTATGTACTAAAGGCCAGGCAGGTGACTCACACCTGTAATCCCAGCACTTTGGGAGGCTGAGGCAGGCAGATCATCTGAGGTTGGGAGTTCAAGACCAGCCTGACCAACATGGAGAAACACTGTCTCTACTAAAAATACAAAATTAGCCAGACGTGGTGGCGGGTGCTTGTAATCCCAGCTACTCGGGAGGCTGAGGCAGGAGAATCACTTGAACCCAGGAGGTGGAGGTTGCGGTGAGCCGAGATCGCAGCATTGCTCT
The DNA here is from genome assembly GCF_000001405.40 of Homo sapiens. Classification (NCBI taxonomy): domain Eukaryota; kingdom Metazoa; phylum Chordata; class Mammalia; order Primates; family Hominidae; genus Homo; species Homo sapiens. The sequence goes on from NC_000007.14 coordinate 3,655,401, forward strand.
CCAGCCTGGGCAACAAGAGCGCAACTGTCTAAAAACAAAACAAAACAAATATATATATATATATATATATATATATATATATATATATATATATATATATATATGTATGTATGTATATAAAATGTGCTAGTAAATCATATCTTTCCTATGGCTGTCTTATATATCTGTCTATCCCTCTTACATACACTTGCTTATTTGCTGCTAATTGTAATCCCAGAAATGAGGAAAAGGTTTTATTTTTGAAGGCCCAGCAACTTAAAACAGCACCTGGTCATACTAAGTAGTGAATATTTATTGAACAAATAGATAAGTGTTTCTTGGATGAATATATAAATAATAGCACATGGTTTGTTCTGGGGAGATGGTGTGAGACTAAGTACACTAGATCGAGACTCAGAAAACAGGTTTCAGTCCCGGCCCTGCCACGTGGTCGCTGTGTGACCTTGGGAAGATCAGTTAGCTATTCTCAAGGAAGTTGAGATAAGGGTATATATCAAATGGAAATAATGCTGGCCACCTCACCAGTGTCTGGGAAATAGGATTGGGTGCGTTTATTTGATAAATTGAATATACATGTGGAAACCCTGTCTAAACCGTGAAGTACGCATGGTGTGGTGGGATTGTGACCCCACCTCTGCTCACGGTGTTCTCCAATTGTCTACATGAGCACACATTAGTATTCACAGCCAGCTGTTTCTCAGCTCATTTGGAACTTTGTATGTTTTAGGTAGTTTTTGCATAATGAATTTTCAGCCCTTGGTTGGTGATACCTTGTAAGTAGATATGCCCCCTCCATCCTTCCCTTCTCCTTTACTTCCATCCCATTTGTAATGTCCTTGGGAAACTCAAGTGAGTCCCACTGCTGTTGGCTCCTAAGAGAGACATTTTTGCTGCCTGTGTATCTGCTAGATAGTTTGTTTCACAGTCAAATATAAGTGACTTTTACTAGCTTTTTTCTGGACTATTAGTGTCAGTGCTACTCTCCCCAAACACAGGTCATTTGTTCCTCTGACAAATACCTCCTTGCACTGACATTTTCTTCTGGAAGTCACTCCCGAAGTGCAAAATTCCCTCAAAAGCAAATGTACTTTGGACTCTAAGGGGGTACTGCTGGAGTCAAAAATTAAGAAAACTTTGTAATGCTGTTTAATTCATGACCCAGACCCAGGGCAGGGTCCTTAAGAGCTGCTTCTGGTGACACTGCAGGATACATCTCACCTGTACCCCTGTGGAAAGCCAAGGGTCAGTGGGACTCAACCCATACATGCTCCTTGGGAACTCTCTCTCATGACAAGCCTGGTCTTATCTGGTCTTATCTCAGGGTGTTTTGGTGGAAATCTTTTTTTTTTTTTTTTTTTGAGACGGAGTCTCGCTCTGTCGCCCAGGCCGGACTGCGGACTGCAGTGGCGCAATCTCGGCTCACTGCAAGCTCCGCCTCCCGGGTTCACACCATTCTCCTGCCTCAGCCTCCCGAGTAGCTGGGACTACAGGCGCCGGCCACCGCGCCCGGCTAATTTTTTGTATTTTTAGTAGAGACGGGGTTTCACCTTGTTAGCCAGGATGGTCTCAATCTCCTGACCTCATGATCCACCCGCCTCGGCCTCCCAAAGTGCTGGGATTACAGGCGTGAGCCACCGCGCCCGGCCTTGGTGGAAATCTTGACTGTCAAAGTTACCTTCTCCCCCACAAAGGAGGAGGGGGAAAGCTGCCGTCTAGAAGGAACCCTAGGGAGAAAGGGATGTGCTTGGAGGTCAAGAAGAGTCACAGGGTGTGTGTCCCACCCAGGGCATTCGTGCACCTTAGGGCTGGGGCCATGAGGAGGCTGTAAACTGGAAAGATCAAGGCAGTCGTACAAAGACAGGGCAAAACATGCTAAACAGATGAGAGGCAGACAGCTGCAGCTGTCTGGAGGTGCTGTCACAGTTGGCACCCAGTGTCTACAGGGTGGGTTCCCTCTTTGTGGAAAGGGAGGTAGCATTCCCGGGTGGGGCACAGCACACCCTGCCGAGTCCTGGAAAGAGGGTGAGGAGCGTCACTGTCTGGAAATTCAGGGTCCTACCCAAATGTGAAGTGTGTGGAGGCAGGGTGGTGTGGAAGGCACACTGGATTTAAAGCAGGAAGAGGGACTGTGAGAGCCAGCTGTGCTCTCTCGTCACTTTCTGCCTGTGAGCAAGCCTGACTTAATGTTTAGGGGACTCGGGTTTTTTTCCACCTGTGAAATGGGGTCAAGCCATCTGTTTGGCCTCTGAGGAGGTGTGGAAGGAGCTGGCCATCCTCAGGAGGGGGACATTCCTGGAGGCAGGGCCAGGCAGCGTGCAGCCTATGCAGATGATGTGGAGGCACGTATGTTTTTCTTATCTTTCTGCGAGACTACTCTAAATCTTCACGACATGCTAGTAAAGAAAGCAGAGGAAGTCTTATCACACCAATTTTGTGGATGACTGCAGGGGGAAAGAAAGTGGCTAAATGATATAAGGTCAAGTCATCTGTCAGACATAGAGCCGAGGATGGAGGTTGGCATTTGAATGATACCTTTGTCATCATTTTCGTGAATGTTTATGACAAAGTGGGTCTCAGCCTGCCCATGAGGGTGGTGAAATGGCCAAAGGGTCCTGCACAGGCCTTGGGCCCCGTGATGCTTGGTGTCTAAAGGCAAGTGCCCGACTTCGGTGGGGCTCCTTCTCTTCATCTGTAGAGTGCAGGTGATAACACCCTGGCTTGCCCGCCTCACAGGACTTTTACTTTGGTGCGTGATGATCACATCCCCTCACAGGTGTTAAGAGCCCTTTGTGAATCATGAACTGTCATAGCCGTGAGGTGGAATCATTTTCTCATGAGGGCCCATTCTTTGCTGTAATGAGATCTGACCAAGCCTGGTTCTGTCTAATTCCTACAGCATTTGCTTCCAAGTGACAGCCCCTAATATCGAGGTCATCCTTCATTTATTCTTTCCTCCAGTCAATCAGTGAGCACTGTGCTAGGCTCTGCGGATAAAAAGATCAATACAATGAGTCTGGCTTCTGAAGGGCTCACATTCTGCTGAGTGGGATACAGCCATCTTTTAGTTCATCTCATGTAGTCTTTAAGGAAAAAAAAAAACTTTATTGAGATGTAATTTACCTACCGTAATGTTCACATTTTCACAAAAGCACCTAATTCAGTGGTTTTTAGTATATTCACACGGTAGTAGAGCTGTCACTACTATCTTCTTTTTTTTTTTTTTTTTTTTGAGACAGACTCACAGTCTGTCATCCAGGCTGGAGTGCAGTGGATCGATCTCCACTCACTGCTGCAACCTCCACCTCCCAGGTTCAAGAAATCCTCATGTCTCAGCCTCCTGAGTAGCTGCGACTACAGACACCTGCCACCACACCTGACTAATGTTTTTTGTATTTTTAGTAGATATGTGGTTTCGCCATGTTGGCCAGGCTGGTCTCAAATTCTTGACCTCAGGTGATCCGCCCACTTCAGCCTCTCAAAGTGCTGGGATTACAGGTGTGAGCCACCATGCCTGGCCCATCACCACTATCTAACAGAATATTTCCATCACCCCAGAAGAAAACCCTGTACCCCTTGGCAGTCACTCATCTTTCTTCCCACTTCTCAGGCCTGGCAACCACACATCTACTTCTCGTCTATATGAATTTGCCTATTCTGTCACTACCTAACATGTGACCTTTTGACACCTTAAATAGCCTTTACCCAGTTGTCTTTTTCGCTTTCTTTTTCTTTTGTCCTTTACTGATCATCATTAAATATTTCACCGGGTTCTTTTTTGGTGCCTTTCCTGGACTACGTTCTGTGGGGGTAAAGAAGGGACATTCCTTCTTTCCTTGAATGTATGCTTCCTGAATGTCAGCTGCCCTGGTCGGTACTGGTATGATATCACATAGGTTCCTGTTCTCAGAATTTCCAGCCTGGTAAGGATAAACTGACCAAAAAATGGGCAAAAACCAAACACATAAAGAAAGTCAGGTGATGAAAGAAAACCCTGTCCACAGATATAATATTTATACCAAAATTTGAAGAAAGGGAAGGAGCCAGCGACTTGAAGAAATGGGGCTGGACATCTGCGTTTAGTGTTTGCAAAGGAGCTCAGGTGGCAGAGAGCCTGGTGTGTTCCAAGGCCGAAAGGGGGCCTGTGTGGTACATTCTCCGAGGAGAGTGGCCCAAAGTGACGTCGGCAGGGACTAGATTGTGCTGGGTTTTGTCTGTGGAAACGAGTGAATTTTCTCCACGTGTAGTGGGGTGGATTTATACCAGGAGAAGGCCATGATCTGATTGGCTTTAAGAAAACCAGGCTGCTTTGTGAAGAATAGAGAGTAAGGGGCAGAAGGAGAAGCGGAGAGAATACGTAGGAAGCTTCTGCAAATGCCCCGGCAAGGGGGACTGGCAGCCCAGATGAAGACAGGGTGGATGACGTGGAGAAAAGTGGATGAATGAAAGTGTAGGTTAAAAGTAGAATCCACAGGGCCAAAAGAGGGATTTGGGATGTAGTGGAGTTAAGCTTCTTGCTTCTGATTAGAGCCCTTGGGGGAATCTTTTACAGAAATGATGACAACTGGATTCAGATCGGATATGGGGCTTGTTCAGTTTGAGATGCCCGTGAAGTATCTGGTGACAACAATTAACCAGATGTTTGTAAACACACGAGTCTTTAGCTTAAAGGAAAGATCAGACCGGAGACAGAATATTGGGGACAATTTGTATGTAGGTGATATTTAAGACCTTGGAAATGGTGAGTTCTTGCCTGCAGAGAGATTTCAGACACAGCAAAGAAGAGAAGCAACTGCTGAGGAGCTCTACCATGCAGAGCAGGGTAGAGAAATAAGACACCCATGAAAATATGGAAAGGGACAGCCAGAAAGGGATGGGGTAGCCAGGAGGGCCCAATACCATGGACCACCAAGAAGAGAGCTTTTCACCTGATTCTACATAAGCAGCTTGAGAAAAGCTTGAGTCAACAGGACTTGAATTCCAGCACTAAATAAGTAAACAAGCAAACACATAAATAAAGTAAGAGATCAACAAAGCATAGAAAGAGAATGGGGAAATAGGAGGGAGACAGAAGTGGAGAGAGAGAGAAAGAGAGAGAGAGATGGGAGAGCCTATCTTTCCATATCTTTTGTCACCTTTTGAGTAAAACCTGCCCATAATGGGCTCAGCTCCGCAGCCAGGTTGAAAAAAGGTCCTGTTTCACGCCCCAACATAACCATAAATTAGAAAGCCTTCTGGAAAAAAATGTGTTGTGGACAGATGAGAAAGTTTAGGATCAAACAACCATAGCAGCACTAGCTCATGCTTCACCCAGGATGATTTCTCTTCATGTTTTAGTGCTTGGTCTTTGTCATCGCTGACGGAACTGCACTGTTTTACCTTGGAAGGTTATAAATGGGGAGGCATCCTTAGAACTTATTTATCTTTGAGAGCATGAATCTTTTCTTCTTCAATCTAGACTTGCCCATTCATTATTAGATGAGGTAAATTATTATATCTGAGAGATACATTATGTCCTTTGGTGATATGTGTATACTTTAATAGTCAGGGTCTGTAGTTTAATGAGTGAAGCAATTTTGAGAATTACCTCTGCTGAGTAATTTTTGGTATTTAGAAATTACTTATGTGAAGCCTGTCCGTGTTCATGGTCATTTCAACACCTATCTCTCACTCTCTAAAATCATTGAGAATCCGTTATTGCCTACTCCAGTGATCTAGATAACCATTTACCTGAGCTTTGTTGAGTTCAGTATTCTAGCTAAAATCCTGTATCACACCAAGTACTTTGAACAACTAATTGACTATACATAACTTTATTAACTTTTTTCATATATTTTTAAGTAATGGTTATATGCAGAGAAACCATGGTTTGGTTTGAATCTGCTATGTATGGATTAACATTGCTGGATTAAATTTTAGTTAAATGTAAGAATTTTGTCTATGGAAATGCATGCAAAACAGTACTTGTGCTAATTAAAGTTGGAGAGAAAGGGGACATTAACAACCTGCCGTTGGCTTATCTCTGATCCTCTGTTGTGAGTGGAATGTCTAGTTGTGTAGTACCCCGCCTTCATCTATCACACGCTATATGAATTTAAATAAGTTGTAAATGCCCTGGATTTGATTTAGTCCTTTCTTTGATCTAGTGATGAAATAAGGAATTGTGGCTATCATTGAATTTTTGAAAAGCATCTACTGATTAAAAATTTTAAAAACTGTTTCTAAATTCTTAGTGTGAAATGCCCTCGGTTTAGCATTTTCCATTATTTTGCTGTTTTTAACATCTTCAGGAATATATATGATTTGGAAAAATGCAGTATAAAATGGTGGCTAAGAATGTAAACTCGGAAACCAGGCTGTCTGGGTTCAGACCCTGGCTGTGATACCTAATAGTTGTGTGGCCTCGGGCAAGCACCTGGGCTTCCGGGCACCACACTTTCCTGTTGTGTAAAGCTGGTGTAGTAATAACACCTGCCTCATAGCATGGCTGAGGGGGTTACCTGTTTAAGCACGTGCAACTCTAGAGGGCTTAGACTACTACCTGGGTGTAGTAAGACCGTTATTACCATTAGTGGTTCTGACAACTCTCATTATTATTACCACTTACTCAAATGTTTCAAATAGAGGAAGAGGCAACGGTTGTATTTTTTTTTTTTTTTTTTTTTTTGGTGTTCCCTTCAAGGAAATCTTGCAGAGAAAATTGCATTCTGTATATCTGGTTACTTTCATCCCATCTGGAGGCACAACAATTATTTTCTTAATCCTTTATTCGAACAAAAGTCCAAATTCTCAATAACAATAGGTAAAATGGAACTGATGGATCAGTGTTGAAATGGGTCCTACGGGAAAAGTTGTAACTAAGTTATGCAGGTTTGAAAGGTATCATCATCTGAACATCTCACAATACTCTTCAAAAAGACATCCTGTCTGGTTACACAAAAGATGGAGCATGAGCATTTTTCACAGCTCAGCACTGGGAGCCAGGGACACATCTTTGCCTAGTCCCCTGTCCTTGCCTGATACATTAGTCCTGAAAGTGGGAAACCCATGACTGTAGACAACTCTCCTAGATTCTGTTTGTCCTTTGAAAAGCCCCATTTAGCAAGGCAGAGAAGGCAGTGAGGACCCAGGCTGTCTTCCTGGAGGTCCAGAGAGAAGAAGGGTGCTGACAAGGGCCGCTGCGGGGACGATTGGGAGCTCACAGGCTTGGGTTCGGAGAAATGGTTCCTCTCTTAAGAGCACAACAGCAACAACAGATGTTTCGGGTTCTTTGTCTTCTAAATGTGTCTCACAGATGTACAGTGTTTATATACGTATATACAAATTATATACAGGTTGAGCATCCCACATCTGAAAATCTGAAATTTCAAATGCTTCAAAATCTAAAGCTTTTTGAACATCAACATGATGCTCAAAGGAAGTGCTCATTGAAGCATTTTGGATTCGGATTTCAGACTTTGGGATCTGAGATGCTTAACCCAGTATGCATTATGCAGATACTTGAAATCTGAAAAAATCTGAAATACGAAGCACTTATGGTTCCAAGCATTTTGGATAAGGTATGCTCAACCTGTAATATGTATTATGTATATGCAAGTATGCATGCATGCATAGATGTGTATGCATATATGTGTGTATGTATCAATCAGATAGTACACATATTTGATCTCATTTTGGACTTTGAAGGAGTGCATAATTAGATTATTTTGTTTCCATATTTGAAAACAAAATCTGTTTTCAATGGTAAGCAGAAAAATTGTTGAAACATCTGTTACAGTGGCAAAAGGCTCTGACTCTTGTTTAAAATGAGTAAAATTGTGATACTTACTTTTAGAGTAAGATATATAATGATAATAGTACAGTGTCCTACATCAGAGAAATGAACATCCATGTTTTTGTTTTCAAGTGGGATAATTGTAGGTGGAGTGTGTAAAAACTGAAGCTTATTTCATGCACACATAGTATCTGTTCCCTTCTGGTGTTTTTAACTAAATGAAATATATAGGGAAGTGGGATTCATGCTTGCGATGTATCTTCTCGACTTGGGGCTTGTTCTCAGGGCCTTGCTTGTTTGCATTCTGTGATGTTGTCCGCTTAGAGGTTTGTTCTTCAGCTGAGGGACCTGAACAACACAATGATGGGTAAGATGAGAGAGATTGCTGTTTAGACCATGTGGCCAGAGAGGGGGACAGTGTGTGTGACATGCAGGGTAATCACCTCATTCTGGTTTGTCCAGGACTGTCCCAGTTTTAGCACTGAGAGTCCCCTCAGTCCCTGGGCAAACCGAGATGGCTGGCCACCCTACTTGTTTATAGCTACTGTGGGTATAAAACTTGCCACACTAGAATTATGTGTTGTCCCTACCACTGTCAAAGTCTGTACATCTAAAAGGAAGTATGGAAAGTAGAAAACTAAATCTAAGATTAGCTAACTATCCTGTAAAGGCTAAGCAAGGCAGAAAGGTTTCATGAACAGAACTGAATTTCTTTTCAAAGCATTTTTCTTAGGAATGTATCATTGTCACTGTAGGAAGAAGTTGATACACTTCCATGGTATGCTAGGCTTATAAATTTGAGAAAAATTAACCACAAGATATTTCCGGGCCCCTAACATCTCATTTTGGGTACATTGTACCTTCACTCTAGTTTATTTTCCCTTTGTTCTTTTTCTGGACAACATTCAATGCTTGTTGAAACACACCTGTTGGAATTAGCCCAGTGAGCATTTCTCAGTTTGCCACTGGGAGATATTTTTCTTTCTTCTTGGTGGAATGCTTGACAAAAACATACATACCTTGAAGGGAGTGTAAAGCATGAGGCAAGTCAGAGGTGTGCGGAGGAGCTCCGTCACTGGGAGGGTCTTGACCATGGCAAATGTTGCAATGAAAAACACCAGGCTGTTAATTACCCCACAACTCAGGGCAACTCCAGCTAAAATGCCATTGCTTTGTGGCAAAGTATAACAAGAAACTCGAATCTGTGTACTCTGGTCCCTGTATGTATATTTTCTTCTGGAATATTACAGCCTTTTTCATTGTGCTTATAAATTTGAGAACTAGCATCCGGGCACAGTGGCTCACACCTGTAAACCCAGCACTTTGGGAGGCCGAGGTGGGTGGATCACTTGAGGTTAGGAGATCGAGATCAGCCTGGCCAACATGGTGAAACCATGTCTTCTACTAAAAATACAAAAATTGGCCGGGCATGGTGGCGGGCATCTGTAATCCCAGCTGCTTGGAAGGCTGAGGCACAAGAATCGCTTGAACCCAGGAGGCAGAGGTTGCAGTGAGCCGAGATTGTGCCACTGCACTCCAGCCTGGGCAACAGAGCGAGACTCTGTCTCAAAAAAAAAAAAAAAAAATTGAGAACTAGCAATAGTCTGATAGAGCTTTTGGTCTGCTTTCAAATCTGCATGTGTTCTAATAACTTGGCATCTTTCTTACGGCTCTGAGATGAAGAAACATTGCCTCCAAGAAACAGAAACTGTTACTTTCATATCTTATTTGAAAAATGGCAATGATTTTGGAGGACAGTCTGTCATTTTCCAGAGGAACAGATGTGACCCATATCCACAGCAGGATGATTCAGACCATTATAAACTTTGAGTAGGCTCTTCTGAATAACTCAGAGATCCTTGAGTTTACCTGAAAGTAGAGAAATGAATTAATGATGTAAGTCTGTAAGAAAGAGTGGACTCTCTGGCTGTTGTTTTTCTGAAGCCTATGAAACCTCGTAGATGGGCCCTTCCTATGTGAAGTAGGTCCCAGGTGTGAATGCCCTCTGTGCCTCCTCAACAGGAGACCCACACATGGGGACCACCCTGTGCACGCAGAGCAGTCCACTATCATCCCCACCTACAGTGATGCCTTGAGCCCCCTCTTTCACTATATTTTCCCGTGGCCTCACCTACAGGAACAGTTTGAGCAGATTCTGCAGGTTGTTAACATTAGAGAAAACTTGCATGAATCTACATATCAGTTAAAATAATGAATAGTTCTTTTAGTCCTGCTCTAGCCTCTGCTGCCTTATATCACATTTTGCAATTCTTTGAGGGTAGGGATTGATTTTTGTTCACCTTTGCATCTCTTGTATACAACACACCATAGCACACCACACATATTGATGTTCAAGAAGTATTTGTTTGGTTGAATGAATGGAGCTTTGTCTTGTGCCTGACTAGTTAATAAATATTTTTATGTTTGTTTCCTTGTCCTTCTCTTTTTTGCATGGGGAGGGAGTGCCACAGCAAGAGGCAACTAGAAGTAGTATTTCGTGGTGACTGCAGGACATGTCGTGCCATTCATTGAGCATTGGTGCTTTCTCTCACGTGGATCCTGCTGCCATCTGCAGTCTTTGTTTATGCTCCCCTTGCCCTCCAAAGTCTGGAGACAAAAGTGATAAAGTTGATTCATGCTTGGAGTATCCAGCGTTCCTTGTGTTGCTTTTCTCTCTTTATTAACAGATGTAGATTGACTTAGTGATGAAGATGTTTCCTCAGTTGGTTCCATTTATGAAGGGCAGGGAAACTCAGAACACCTTCTACCATCTTCCCACAATTTCTCGGTTGGCTCACACTTCCTATTCCAATTAGTCAGGGGGTTCACTCTTTCTTCCTGCCACCACCTTTGTTCTGGCCATTGGCATAATTCTGCTTAGATTCCTGCAGGAAATCTCAGCTGATCTCCAAGTATCCAGCTTTGTCCTTTATTCACCTCCTAATCCAGTTAACCAGATGTTTCTGAAGGTGGCATATGACACCCCCACCCCACTCACCTTTAAAATCCTTTTAGTAGTTTCCGGGCCTCAAGATGAAGTTCGAGCACTGGTCCTCCTGGCCTTGTGCCGCCTGCATCTGGCCTTGTCTGTCGGGCTTGTTTCTCCTTTTCCCTTCACAAGGCAGCCACGCTCAGCCTTGTACACTGTCCCAGCTGCCCCAGGTCTCTTGTCATGGGACTTTGCACATGCCGTCCCCCTGCCTGGAATGCCATCACCATGCTGGATTTTACTTTTAGCTTCAGATTTTATCTTACATTTCAGATCTCATCACTTTCTCTGAGACCATTTCCCAGGCTCCTGCCCTCACCCTGCTGCCGACACACAGCAGGTTCAGTGTGGTTTCCCTGGGGTCTGGCGACACCTCTCCCTGTTGCAGGTCTTGTCTGCCGTGTGCTGCCATGGCTTGGGCCTTGCTTCTCTGTATATCATAAGCTCCTGAGGACAGACACTCTGTATCTCAGGCCCTAAAATAGTGCCTTGTGCGTCGTTGGCGATTGGTATTTGTTTGAATAAATTAATTGTTTTATGCCTAATATTAATTTTCTTTTCATAATTACCTGTCAAAGTACATTTGTGAAAACAAAAAAAATCAAAGGAGAGACATCCTTTAATGATGTCAGTGGTGAGATCAGGTGGTCCATGCCTTCCTATCTCAGGTCTTGCAGGGTGGAAACGAGGGATAAATGCCTGACGTTTCCCCTTGTCTGCATCTGCTATCCGTCACAAGAGGTGTTGGCTGGTGCAGTCACATCACACTTTTCTAAACTCAGAATTGAAGTGAGTTTTTTATTTACTTTTTTTTTAAGGACTTGTGTTTGGTGTTTTGGGGTGTTCTTACGGTTTGGGAAATTTTATGCTAAGGACTTGTTCTTTCCATTAAGTGCTCCTAGAAGAAAAATAAATGACAAAAGAAATAAAAATCCCAATGAATTGTGACATATTGTAATATGTCTTGTGCATATCTGTGTACCTTGGCAGATTATTCTGACCTAACTGTAGCTAATTTTCATTTGAGAAATACATGTCCATGAAGTTTATATAGTGTGTTCAAATGTAATTTTATTATAACCATATTATTATAAAAAACACACATTTGTATAGAGAACACTGCAGCATCTACTTATTCCATTATTACAATGGTAACACCATTTATTTTTTATGAGTCACTTGTAGAATGACATTTTGGCAATAAGTCAATGAGTTTATCATGGAAAAGTCTTCCTCCCAACCTCCTCCTACCCTGAGGCTTTTCTATTCAGAGGGAATATCTTTTTCACCCTCATGCTTAAGATTCAAGGATAGAATTCACTCTTTTTGATATATAGCTTGATGAATTTTGACAAACATACAGTGTTGATCCACTACCACAATCATAAAATATAAAATAGTTCTATCACCGCCCAAATTCTCCCACACTCCATTGTGATCAACTCTTCCTCCACCAGGAGACCCTGGCAGTCACAGATCTGTTTTCTGTCCCTATAGTTTTGCATTTTCTAAAATATCTTATGAATGGGATCCTAAAGTATTTAGCCTTTGAATCTGGCTTGTTTCAGTTCTCGTAATGCATCTGGTACTCATCTCTTTGTTGCACATATCAGTACTTTGTTCTTCTTTATTCATAAGTAGTATTTTATTGTGTGCATGTACCACAGCTTGTTATTCTATTCCCCAGTTGAAGGGCATTTGGGATTGTTCCAGTTTTGGCCATTTGCAAATAAAGATGCTAGAAACATTCACAAATATGTTTGCACATGAACATAAGCCTTTATTTTGCCCAGTTACATGCTTGGAGTAGACTTTCTGGTAAGTGTATGTTTATTTAACTTTATAAGAAACTTATAAGAAACCTCAAAGTCCTCAGGGAAATAATCAGAAACTTAGCTTGCTATACCTAACAAAACTATCATTTGAGGTAGGGGACAGAGGGATAATGGCAGTTTTAGACATGCAAGCCATTCTCATTATGTTTTACTGCTTAATAAGCTGCCCTGAAACCCATCTTAGAACAAAATAATCAGGTGTTTTGTACACAAATCTGCAATTTGAGCAGGAGTGGGAAGGCTTATCTTTGCTCCACCTGGTGTCAGCTAGGGTGGTTCCACTGATGGCAGTAGATTCCTCTTCCAACACGACTCACTTTCATGGCAAAAGTTGGTATTGACTGTTAACTGAGAGTTCATCAGAGTTAATGACCAGAGACCCCAGTTCCTTTCTACATGGACCTCTCCATGGGCATGGACTTCCTTCAAAGATTATATGCTGGGTTCCAAGGACAAACATACAGAGAGAAGCTGTCACATAAAAACTATATTGCCTTGGGCCTGGTGCAGTGGCTCACGCTTGTGATCTCAGCACTTTGGGAGGCCGAGGCAGGCAGATCACATGGTCAAGAGTTCGAGACCAGCCTGGGCAAGAGACCAGCCTGGCCAATATGGTGAAACCCCATCTCTACTAAAAATACAAAAATTAGCCGAGTGTGGTGGTGTGCACCTGTAATCCCACCTACTCGGGAGGCTGAGGCAGGAGAATCACTTGAACCTGGGAGGCGGAGTTTGCAGTGAGCCAAGATGGCGCCATTGCACTCCAGCCTGAGTGATAGAGTGAAATTCCTACTCAAACAAAACAAAACAAAATACTATATTGCCTTTTATGATGAGCCTTGGGAGTCACAAAGTGTCCATTTTCACCATTGTGTCACTAGCTGAAAGAGTCACAAAGGCCTGCCCAGGTTCAGGAGAAGGAGCCATAGACCTGTCCCTGTGTGACGTCATGGGAGGCTCTGGCAGAGCATGTCTGGTAAGGAATGTTGCTGTGCCCCATTTGAAAAGGACAATTGGCCACATAAGGGCTCAAGAAGTTTACCACTTACCAAAGCTCTTTGAGAGAATCTAAAAAGGACACATTCCAGGGAGAAAAGTAAATCTGAGAAGAAGTAGAATATTAGGAGTGATAATGAACAAATAAGGTGGTAAAACATATTGGTTAGTGTAAATGAATGTTGAATATTTTGAAAAGCAAAGAAATGTGGAATTGAAATCCCAAATTATAAGAGCATGGAAAGCAGTGTAGGAGCAGAGGGGATTAAAAACCTGTTAAAGTTACTGCTTTGTCTCATAAACAGATACAGAAACAGATTAACTACAGACCTTGTTGCAGAATTTTTATATTTGGAACATGTTCAGGTTTTACAGCACCTTCTTACCCCCTTTTCATTGAACTCTTGAAGATCTACTTCTGCTCCCACCAAAACAGAATCATCTTTGAGTTCTTACTCTCCTTGAACTTCGCTGGTATTGACTGTTCGGTTTACTTCCACCTTCTTTAACCACTCTCTTCTTTTGAATTCAATAACACAACACACTCCTGCTCATTTTTTCTGGCTCTCTTCTTCTTAGACCTCTTTGCCAACTTGCCTTCCTCCACCTGTCTTTAAACCTTGGATTTCCTCAATCCTTGGTCCTAGCACTTCACTACCTCCCACCTTATTCTCCCTCCTTAGGTAAGTTCATCCAAGCTCATCAGCTCACATACCAACTATAGCACTTGCAGATGACTCACAATTTTACATCTCCAGCCCACATCACTCCTTTGAGTTTCAAACCTATGTATTCAACAGCCTATTCATTGTATTTTCCTGGAGTTTTTTCAAAGGTGCTTCATACTCAGTAGGTTGAAAACAGAACTCTTTTTTCTTCATTGACCCTATTTTCCCTGCCTTACTCCTGGCTCTCCTTTCTTAACATAAATGACACTGCCATCCAACAGTTGCCCAAGCAAGAACCAAGGAATTATCCTTGATACTTCTTTTTCTCTTCCACCACATCCAGTCAATCACCAGTTTCTCTTATTGTACCACATGTTATCCCACAAATCTACTCACATCATTGTGTGTCCACCTCTGCCACCATTCCTGACCAAACTCTTGCCTCTTTCATTGGTCTCTACCTTGTTTCCCTATGTTTATTTTGTCTTCTCTCTCCATTCCCCATGCTGTGGTCAGAATGATATATTAATATGAACCTGATCTTGTTACTCTGTTCCTTCAAATCCATTAGTATATTAGTCTGAGTAACCAAATCCTTAATATAAACAGCAGGGTTTGTGTAATTCAGTTCCTTCCCTTATCTACCTAAATTTTTTCTTCCATCTCTTTCCCTCTGACGTCCAGCCACAGCCACTTTGGTATATTGGTTACGTTCTTAGTTTCCCGGATCAGATACCTGAGTTTGAATCTTAACTTTTCACTTACTAGGTATGATCTTAGACAAGTTCTTAAACAAAACAAAACTTTTATTAATGGACAAGTTCTTGAACCTATGCATCAGTGTTCTCATCTCTGAAATGCAGTTATTAGTCTCAGCTTCTTAGGGGATTTGTGTGAATTAAATGAGATGAAACGTGTGCGGTGGTAGCACAGTGACTGACAGTTAATAAGCCCCCAGTAAATGTTAGATTATTTGCTTAACGAACCACCTCCCTTCTTGTCTCTGGGAATTCTCGTTGCTCTCCCCACTTATACAGGATACCCACCCGCTTGCTTCCCTTGCTTAGTACTGACTTATCCTTCTGCAGCAAAGGACCTTACATCCCAGCTGGCTCAGGACAGACCCAGTTTATGTCTGTTGTAGATCAGTTAACATTTACTGTTTTTAGGTATCCCCTTTTACTACTGGTTTGTGAAATAAATTAGATGATCACCCTTTTGTGCTCAGTTCAAGAGTAACCTTTTTTAGGAAACCTTCTTTGATTCCTACAAGGACAGGTCGTCTATTATTTGTTCTTACAGCACATCCTGTAACTTTTTTTTGCCATAGTTACCACGATTACAGTTAAAACAGTTCATTGCATAACTAGTTCCTTGAGGTTTGTTTCTCCTATTGGGCTCTAGGCCCTTGGAGGACTGGGACCTCAAGGCGGGGGGTGTCTTGCCTTACCCCTGAGTTTTCAGCATTGGTCTTATCCAAGTCATTACTCAGTATATTTAGAGGAGACAAGAAACACTGAACAGGATCTGGTTTGGACTTCGTGTCTGTTTCTGACTTTAAATGTCAAGTCACTTCCTCTCACTGTCTCTTCATTTCTTCATCTTGTAAATTCAGAAAATTAAGCTTAATGTTCTCTAGAATTCCATCGGCCTCTACATTGTGTGAGTCTAGCCCATCAGGGACATTTTTTAAACCAATTTTTAAATATTTATAGTCACAAATTTAAGAAGGAAATGGAATCAATGTACATCTCCCCAAAGACAGAGTAAAATACTTTGTTGCTCATTGAATGAAGCTCTGGTCATTACCCTTTTTGTTATTATGATTCCTAATTTGTAAGCTCTGATGTTATCCCTTCTTTCTCAATATAGCTGAGACAAATGTGTAGTCTGTATGATCATATCATTGCTGTTATACCTATTTACAAGTTTAAGACTGAGTCAATAGAAAAAAATCCAAGTGAAGAGTGTTTAAAATAAACTTGTGTTTCTCCAGGAAGTTAACTAATCAAACACTTTTCATTGTAGATGTTGTCATTCAGTACAAAATAATCCCTGAGACAGTCTCATGAAAAACCTAATGCATTTTTTGGTGAGTTTTATAATGAGATTAAAAAGAAATTAAGAGCAGGAAGTGAAATTATAACGCCAGTGGGAAATCTTTGAAACCATTTTATAGTTTTTTCCTTCTTATGTAATATGTCTGTGAGATTGGGCAGGTTTTTGTTTGCTTGCTTGCTTATTGTTTGTGTTTATAATGTGGAGGAATCAGCTGAACTTGACTTATCCCTTTACAACTGATCCATGCCTACACAGTAGTTGCTTGGAGCTAAAAGCAGGAACACATGGACCCTGAGGCATAGCTGCTCTGAAGTCCTGGCGGCCTCTGGGAGGGCTTATCCATGATATGGGACACAGGGTCTCCTGAGGTCTTGGAGGAGTTTTCCTGGTAACTCTGAGGAGTGGCGGGTCATGGTGTGGTGACCATTGGTCTAACCTGAAGGACTATAGGAATGAGGGCAGGGAGAATTGTAGGGAGGCAGCCGATGCTGCTGGTGAGAATGAAAACATCCTCAGAGTGGCTTCCATACCCATCCTGTTTCTGTAGTGCCCAGTTATTGTGAATACCCATCACACGTTATTCTATCACAGCAAGCAGCTCATCTACCCTACTGCACCCCCAAGTTCTTGAAGTGTCTCTCTGTTTCTTGCCGTTACTGGAGGTAAGCCAACATGAAAGATGAAAGCTGTGTTTATACTTCTACTGCAAACTCTTGAGGAAAAAAACAGAGGCATTAGCCAAAAGAGATAGGACATACAGGCAAAGAAGAAAGATGAGCTGGAAACCAGTACCTAAATAAGTCCAAAAGCAATCTATTTATAGATCCCAGAGTGAGATCGATAAAGGAGATGATGTGGAGAAATATATATATATAATATATATATTTATATAATATAATATATAATAATATATATTAAATATATATTAAATAAATATTAAATTTATATATAAATTTGTTATTAAATAAAATTTATATTAAATAAAAATTAAATTTATATTAAATAAAAATGTAATATATATTTTTATAATATATAATTTTATATATATATATATATATATATATATATATATATAAAAAATACAGAAAGCTCTAAGTATGCACAGATCACACTTTTGCCAAAATAGGCACCTACAATGAGGGCCCCATCCCCACCCTTGAGGGTTTGGAGTGATCTTTGGGTAAAAGCTCTATTCTAACTCTTGAAATGGTTAAACTTTTTCTAGATGCATCTTTTAATATTACTTCCTCTTTTATTCCTTTTTTCTATTTTTTTTAAATAAGCATCTTTGCTTTACTTCTTTTAGCTATGAAGCAGCTCTTGCTGATAGTAAATAAATACTTAAAGTATGAAGATACTTCCTTGTAGCATTTGACCAATTTGTAAGGCAGCGGTTCCTCAATTTCAGTGATGCACCAAGCTTTTCCGAAAATGAGTTCCAAAGGGAATTGATTTTTATCTGCAATACTCTCATCCTACAGACAGGATATTGACTACACTTGATAGAATGGAAGTGTAAATCCAGAATGAAGCATTGCAGGAACAAATCCCATGGGGGCGGTTCATGATCAACAGAATCATTCATTGGACGGAAAGATCGGAGAGCTAGACAGTGTCAATAGAGACAAAAGGGGAAATAAAAGCATTCATTTCCTGAAAGAGTCTTTTCCTGGAAGGTTTTTGTTGACTGGCTCTTCCTTTTAGTATACTCTCTATTCCTAGTTGTTTATCAGCTTATGTGAGAACCTTAAAACTCATAATCATTTATAATCAATGTTTAAACATGGAAAAATAAAAGTACATACCATAGGCCCCGCCGGCCTGTTATTACATGAGTTTATTAACATTCACTGTGAGATGCCTTGGTATAGACTTACCCCTTTTTATTTCTGTCTCATGTTGTTTTGGATATTCTGCTTTGCTAATGCATTAGGTAGTTTCGTCTTGCTCTGCAAAGACAAAAGCTCAGTCATTGACCTGGAGGGCCCAAAACTGCGCCCCCTGCTGCCTTGTGTATTTGGTGGCTGGCATAGTCAGTTCATTATGTGGCAGGCAAAAGTTTGCATTCCAAGGGCGGAAGACATACACATTGGTTTTGTTTGAGAATTATATCATAAAACTGAGTTCTAAGTACTTCTTGAACATTGAGATTATTATTGATGAACTGATTATAAAGTATTCTTAAATATAAACCCAAAGCAAATTTTATTAAAAATAAATAGAAATTTGATTAAGAATAAGAGATAATTTCTAATAACTTTTTGGTAGGTGACAGCAGGGAGATTTGTTTGATCATGGAGTTTTTAAATGCTTTTAAGTCTTGAAGTCCATTAAGGCATAGAAGAGAGAATAGGAGAAAAAAACATCTCTGAATGGCACAGACCGATCACATGTTGATTGAAGCACAGTCAATGTGTATACTGAAATTGTGAGTCAAGAGCTATATCACTAAAAGATAAGGGAAAGACAGCATCAGAAATTGACTACAACAACGAAGGTGTAGTGGGAGATAAAGTTAGACGACATGAGATTCAGTGTTACAGATGGAGGCAATTTGAGAAGAGGCGGGTGGAGTGTAGTGAGCATGGTAATGAGAAGGAAGGAGGGCATCTACCCCACGTCCAAGTCCAAAGCAGGGTGGGAGAGACCTAGAGAGGGCTGCTAGGGCATGAGTGTCAGCAGGGGAGGACCAGCCTTCCTGTTGAGCAAGAAGAAGAAACATTTAGAGGAGAGGGTGACAATACAGGGGCCTTTGCTGAGGCTGGTCTTTGAGTCACAGAAAGCACAATGGAAGTGGTTAAGGAGTTTTGGTTTGGTGAGGGATGTAGTGTGGAGTAAGAGCTGTTCATGGCTGTTTGGGGATTCATATACAGGAGATGAGGGATGAATTGAGATTCTAAGACTTTATTCCATAAATACGGACAAAGGGCAGTGATGTGTTGTTCAGTGTTTGATAACTATAACTGGCTCTTGGCAGGGAAGAGCCCTGATGTGTAGCTTTTTCCAATTTTCATGGTGTGAATACTCCCACCACAGTGTATTCCAGGTGACCAACATGACGTCTTTCTATAAGGAGTTGGACAGAGATCCACAAGATTGGCTCTGTGTTCAGCACGCATTGGGTAAAGGGCATGGCTGGATTAATGCTGGTAGACTCAAGCCAATCATTAGGCAAGGCTGTGAGTGGTAGGGAGTAGAGGGCATTTGGTATCCTTCCTGACCCCTGTGGATAGAAGCATAGTGACCTGAGGAACAATAGTCTTCTTGGTGTGTGGGCCATATAAAAACAAGCCTGCATCAAATTCTGTACATGGGTTAGAGTTTGCTAGCCACGGCTGTAAACCTTCTCATGCCCGTGAGCCATCTCCACGTGTGAATCTAACAGATATCTCCAATGTTGATCTCCCTCCATGCCCCAAACCTGCTCCACCCATAGTCTATATCATATCATTTCATGGCAGCTTTATCTTTCAAATGGTTCAGGCCAAAACCTTGATCTTTCACCCATAGCCACAGAAAAACCTGTTAGCTTTCCTTTCAAAAGCTATTCAAAATCCAACATTTAGCTGTTTTCACTGCTACCACTTTGGACCAAGTGATGGTCGTCTACAGCTGGAATTATTATAACAGCTTCTGGTCTGTGGTCTAGTCTTCTTGCTTGCTTGTATTCAACACTTAGCTAATCTTTTTTTAGAATGTAAGTTAGATCATGTCAGTCTTCAAAATCAGAAATTTCCAGTTTCCTGTTTCATTCACATTAAATGCTGGAGTACTTAAAGTGGCCTACAAAAGTCTACATAATATGCTCCCCATTACCTTTCTTCCTCCCCCTACTCCTTTTTGTTTGTTTGTTTGTTTGTTTGTTTGTAAAGAGATGAGGTCTTGTTCTGTCACCCAGGCTGGAGTATAGTAGCATGGTCATAGCTCACTGCGGCCTGGAACTCCCGGTCTCAAGCCATCCACTTACCTCAGCCACTACAGGCATTTTTGTAGAAACTGAGTCTCACTGTATTGCCCAGGCTGGTTATGAATTCCTGGCCTCAAGTGATCCTCCCACCTTGGCCTCCCAAAGTTCTGGAATTACAGGTATGCCATGCCCCGTATGTCTTCTTTTGAGAAGTATCTGTTCATGCCCTTTGCCTACTTTTTAATTGGGTTGTTTTTTGCTTGCTGATTTATCTAACTTCCTTTTATACGTTCCTTATATGTTCTGAATATTAGACATTTGTTGAATGCATAGTTCCTGAATATTTTCTCCCATTCTGTAGGTTGTCTGTTTGCTCTATTGAGTTTCTTTTTTTGTGGCACTATCACGGCTGACTGCAGCCACAAACTCCCAGGCTCAAGCGATTCTTCCACCTCAGCCTCCCAAGTAGCTGGGACTACAGGTGCATGCCATCACACCTGGCTAAATTTTGTATTTTTTTGTGGAGACGGGGTCTCACTATGTTGCCACCTGGCTAAATTTTGTATTTTTTTGTGGAGACGGGGTCTCACTATGTTGCCCAGACTGGTCTCAAACTCCTGGGCTCAAGTTATACTCCTGCCTTGTCCTCCGAAAGTGCTGGAATTACACGTACCACACCTGGCCTCTTCTAGTACTTTTTTTTTTTTTTTTTTTTTGAGACGGAGTCTTGCTCTGTCGCCCAGGCTGGAGTGCAGTGGCGCAGTCTCAGCTCAGTGCAAGCTCCACCTCCCAGGTTCACACCATTCTCCTGCCTCAGCTTCCCAAGTAGCTGGGACTACAGGCGCCTGCCACCACGCCCAGCTAATTTTTTATATTGTTAGTAGAGACGGGGTTTCACCCTGTTAGCCGGGATGGTCTCAATCTCCTGACCTTGTGATCTGCCCACCTTGGCCTCCCAAAGTGCTGGGATTACAGGCGTGAGCCACCACGCCTTGCCCTCTTCTAATATTTTTTAAGCTTGAGGTCTTATATTTAAGTCTTTAAACCATCTTGAGTAAATTTTTGTATATGATGATAGAAAGGAGTTCAATTTTATTCTTCTGCATATGGATATCCCATTATCCTAGCAACATTTATTGAATAGGGAATCTTTACTCCATTGCTTATTTTTGTTGACTTTGTTGATCAGATGGTTGTAGGTGTGTGGCTTTATTTCTGGGTTCTGCTCCATTGGTCTGTGTGTCTACTTTTGTATTCATACCATGCTATTTTAGTTTCTTAGGCCTTGTAGTATAGTTTGAAGTTGGGTAATGTGATGCTTCAACTTTGTTCTTTTTGCTTCTCTAACCTCATCTTTTACCTACTTCTGTTCCCTGGACATACCAAGGATTCCTGCACCTCTTGGCCTCTGGGATGTTTGTTTCTTATGACTTCTTCAAGAAATCTGGGTGGCTAATTTTGTACTTTTTTCAAATATCCTTTTCTTAGTGAAGACTTTTCTGGCCACCCTACTTAAACCCTTGGAATTTCCAACTCTCCCACAGGGATTCTGCTCTGTGTGCGAAGGGGTATGTGTGTATGTGTGTGTGTGTGCATGTAGGTGTGTACACTATTTTTATTTAACATACGATAAGCATCTTTGGCCCTGGATTCTTCTTTTTTAGATGTTAATATTGTTGTATTAGTCTGTTCTAACACTGCTAGTAAAGACATACCCAAGACTGGGTAATTTATAAAGGAAAGAGTTTTAATGGACTCACAGTTCCACATGGCTGGGGAGGCCTCACAATCATGGCTGAAGGTGAATGAGGAGCAAAGTCAGGTCTTACATGCTGGCAGACAAGAGAGCTTGTGCAAGGGAATTCCCATTTATAAAAGCATCAGATCTCGTGAGACTTATTCACTACCACAAGAATGGTATGGGGGAAACCACCCCCGTGATTCAATTATCTCCACCTGGCCCTGCCCTTGACACATGGGGATTATTAAAATTCAAGGTGAGATTTGGGTAGGGACACAGCCAAACCATATCAATTGTTAAATGTAAAGACAGTGTTTATGAATTGAAAGATTCAATATGTGAATATATATTTTATATCTTAATGTGATCTTAAGACTTACTATGTTGCTGTGGTAAACAAGACAGTGTGGTATTAGTGGAGGGATAGACACATAGTTCAGTGGATGGAGTAGAGAACCCAGAAATATATTCACACATGGATAACCAGCTGATTTTTTGACAAGGGTACAAAACTCCATAGAATCTGATCAGAGGCTGATGTCCAGAATGTGTAAAGAACCCCTACAACTCAACAACAACAGAACAAACAAAGTATTTCCCCAGAGAAGATATACAAAAGGTCAGTAGGCTCATGAAGAGATGTTCAGTGTCATTAGTCATTAGTGGTCAAACCACAGCAGGTCATGACATTAACAGGTCAAAACCACAATTAGACACAACTTCACACCCCTTGTAACAGCTAATATAAAAAGTAGAAAATTAACAAGTGTTGGTGAGGATGTGGAAACAGTGGGGTCCTTGTGCATTGCTGGTGGAAATGTAAAATGGTTTAGCCACCGTGGAAGACCGTTGGTTGCTCAGAAAGTTAAAAATACAATTAACAGCAATTTCACATCTAGGTATATACCCCAAATAATTGAAAGCAGAGACCTAAACAGACCTTGTACACCAATGTTTATAGCAGCATTATTCACAACAGCAAAAATGTAGAAATAATCTAAGTGTCCATCAGCAGATGAATGGATTAACAAAATATGGTCTGTAGGTACCATGGACTATTATGTGCCCATAAAAGGCAGGAGCTTTGAAAAATGCTGCATCACGTGGACGAACTTTGAAAACTAATCATTCACTATGCTAAGTGAAACAAGCCAGACATAAAAGAACACCCATTGTGTGGTTTCACTTACATGAGGTCTCTAGAATACGCAAATTCATAAAGTCGGAAAGTAGAATAGAAGTCATCATGGCCCTGGGGGGAGGGAGAGATGGGAGTTACTGTGTCACAGGTACAGAGTTTCTGTTTGGGATGAAGAAAAAGTTCTGGATAGAAATAGTGGTGATATGCACAACACTGTGAATGTACTTAACACTATGAAATTGTAGACTTTAAAATCATTAAAATGATAGATTTCAGGCATATTTTACCACAGTTTTTTAAAAAGCAATTCAGGGGAGGAAAGGTGATCTTTTCAACAAATGGTGCTGGAGCAATTGGGTATCAACAGGCAAAATAATGAACCTGACCTAAACCTCACATTTTATATCTTTAAAAAAACTTAAATGAACAACAACAACAAAATGACAAAACATACGAGAGATTTAAATGTAAAATGTAAGGTTATAAAACTTTTTGGAAAACACAGGAGGAAATCTTCAGAGCCTACGGATTAGTGAACAATTTTTAGCTATGGCACCAAAAACATGATCAATACATGAAAACAAAATAAATTGAATTTGATCAAAAGTGAAAACTTGCTCTGGGACAGATGCTGCAAAGAGGAATGAAAAAACAGGCTGCAAACTAGGGGAAAATATTTGCCAGCCACATGTCTTTCAAAGGACTTTTATCTGAAATCTGTGAAGAACTCCTAAAATTCAATAGTAAAAATTCCTATTAGAAAATGGGCAAAGGAGGCCAGGTGCGGTGGCTCATGCCTGTAATCCCAGCACTTTGGGAGGCCGAGGCGGGTGGATCACGAGGTCGGGAGATCGAGACCATCCTGGCTAACATGGTGAAACCCCGTCTCTACTAAAAATACAAAAAAATTAGCCGGGCGCGGTGGCGGGCGCCTGTAGTCCCAGGTACTCGGGAGGCTGAGGCAGGAGAATGGCGTGAACCCGGGAGGTGGAGCTTGCAGTGAGCCGAGATCGTGCCACTGCACTCCAGCCTGGGCGACAGAGCGAGACTCCATCTCAAAAAAGAAAAGAAAATGGGCAAAGGAGATTAATAGACATTTCATGGAAGAGGATATACAGATGTCAAACAGGTATATGAAAATACCTTTGCCATCATTGGCCATTAGGAAAGCGCACTTTCAAACCACAATGAGATTTCACTTCCTACCTATCAGAATAGCTAAAATAAAGAGACAGTAACAACATCAAATACGTCGAGATGTAAAGAAATGGGATCAGTCCTGTATTGCTAGCTGCTGTGTAAACTGGCATATAGCCACTCTGAGAAACAGTGTGGCAGTTTGTCTAAAAACAAAACATACGCTTACCATATGACCCTATCGGTCACACTTCTTAGCATTTATCCACAGAAATGAAGACCTGTATTGACACAAAAATGCACACGCAAATGTTCACAGAGGCTTTATTTGTAATAGTCAAATTTTAGAGATTTATTTGAGATTAGTAAAAAAATCAGAAACCACTCAGATGTTCCTCAGTGGGTGAAAGAGTAAACAAGCCGTGGTGCATCCGCAGCATGGAATCCTTTGCGGCAATAAAAGGAATGAATGAATGAATGAACCAGGCAACGACTTGGCTGGATCTCAGGGGCATCATGCTTAGGGAAAAACCCAATCTCCAATCTCAAAAGGCTTTAGACTGTGTGAGTCCATTTATATTGCATTCTCAAAATGACTCAATTACGGAGATGGAGAAAATATTAATGGTCGCAGGGAGTTAGAGACGTAGGAGAGCTTGAGAGGGGAGGTGAGGGGAGACGGCTGGATGTGAATTTAGGTGGACAGCACAGGGGATCTTTGTCGTGGTAGGACAGTCTGTGTGTTGATTGTAGTGATGGTTGTATAAATGCGCACGTGATAAAACTGCATAAAACTATATGATTGTGCACACACAAATGAGTACATGGAAAAATGATGAAATCTAAGTGAGGTCTGGGTGTTGTTCCAATGACTATGCAGGTTTTGATATTGTACCATAGTTACATAAGGTTTTACTTTGGGGGAAATTAGATGAAGAGTACATAAGACCTTTCTGTACAATTTTGGTATCTTCTTATGAATTATTATTTAAAATCTAGTGATTT
Source organism: Homo sapiens (assembly GCF_000001405.40). Lineage (NCBI taxonomy): Eukaryota > Metazoa > Chordata > Mammalia > Primates > Hominidae > Homo > Homo sapiens. Next base: position 3,680,652 of record NC_000007.14, read on the forward strand.
TAAAATACAGGTTTGCATCTTTTAATTATTGTCAAGTAACTATTTGCATATGAATGTCAAGAAATGGAACCTGTGGCATCTGAGAATCCCTAGGTTTGTTGTCTCCAGATGCAACTCCTCTTCCTCTTAAAGGCAACAGCTATCCTGACTTATGCGTTAGCCACTTTGTATTTCTTATTATTTATTTATTTATTTATTTATGTATTTTTTGAGATGGAGTCTCGCTCTGTTGCCAGGCTGGAGTTCAGTGATGCTATCTTGGCTCACTGCAACCTCCACCTCCCGGGTTCAAGCGATTCTCCTGCCTCAGCCTCCGGAGTAGCTGGGACTACAGGTGCACCCCATCAGGTCCAGCTAATTTTGTGTATTTTTTAGTAGAGATGGGGTTTCGCCATGTTGGCCAGGATGATCTCGATCTCCTGACCTTGTGATCCACTGCCTCAGCCTCCCAGAGTGCTGGGATTACAGGCGTGAGCCACCGCGCCCGGCTGCCACTTTGTATTTCTTTATAGTTTCACCATCTGAGTATGCCCCCGAGTGCTATAGTTTAGTTTTTTGACTTTATGTAAATGAAATCTGACTGTGTGAATCCTTGTGTTTCTAACTTCTTTGAACATAGTTTTTGTAGCATTCGTATTTGTTCTGGAAAGCATTCGTTTTCATTGCTGTTTAAGATTCCATTGTGTGTACACCCCAGTGAGTTCATTCATTTTAATGTTAGACTTTTCCTGATGAGATGATTATAAACTGCTGCTCTGACCTTTCCTGTACACATCCCTGGTGTACTTGTGGACATCTTTCTGTTGAGTTTTACCTCAGAATGGAATTACTGGGTCATAAAGGTAGGCAAGTCTTCAAATTTATTTTTCAAAATGCCAATTTTTCAAAATGATTTTCTTAACTGTCCATTTCTTTCAATAACACTTAATGTCTTTTGACATATCATACTTACTTACAGTGTATATTATGTGTCTCCCATCACTAAAATATAAGCTCCAAAGATCATGTGCTTTTTTTTTATATTTTTATCCCAAGTATCTAGAACAGAACATGGGACATAGTAGGCACATAATAATTACTTGTTGAATGAATACATTGAATCTATGAATGCTGCAGCCAAAAGATAGCTTTCTATTTATTGATTAACTTTCCTTTCACATGAATTGGATTAGAACAAACAGAGGTATAACATTTTTTTCCGAACCTCTTGGGACCAGATATGTTTTAGAATTCTGAGTTTTTATTTTTCATATTTTGGAAAGATTATACAGTCCCTATACTGTATGTAGCCCAGTATCACAAGAATGGTCTCTGAGAGCATAACATAATCAAATGTTTTAATGTTCTGCAGTGAAAAGTAAATGGGAGAAGAACAGACTCTAAACAGCCTTATATCAGTTAAAGTAGTTGTTTAGTTGGTAGAATTTTGAAGTATCTGCCTGTCAGACGACCAGTGAAGATTATGATGCTAAAAATTACACATCAGCATTTACAAAAATGGTTTACCTCTCTCTACCACTCTGTGAGATGATAGGCAACCCAGGTATTATTATACCCATTTCACAGATGATATTATGGAGGCACCAGAAAATGGGACTCTCACCCCATGGCTTACTAAACAGCAGAGCTGACACACAAATCTTGTCTTTCGATTCTGTCCAGTGCTTTTCAACTATGCCACAGTTGCTTCTTATTGAGGAAAGCAGCAATTTTTGAGATTTGTAAATTAACATTTCCAGAGGGGAAGAAAACTCCTCTATAATGAAGCTGTCACAAATCATGCACTGTCGTCCTGGTATCTGGAACAAAGCTAATGGCAGCGTTCCCACGGAGGCGCTCGTATGCACTGAACTGTCCAGGGTCAGAACTCACGTGTCTGCTGCAGAGACAGTGCTGAGCCCCCATGCATGGGGCAGTGAGCCTTCAGCACGGCTGGCCTCTCCTTCCTGTGTTCTTCCTTTCTTGAGAATTTTTTTCTTTTTACATCAGCTTCATAGAGCTGCCTGTTATACTCCAACCTGCTCTCCTCTCTCAGAAGGGGGGATCTCAAATCAAGCGTTTGGATTTACAGTTTTTTTTTTTTTTAAACAGAGTTTTGCTTTGTCACTCGATCTGATGGAGTTTTGCACTGCCAGATCATGCAGTGGCGCAATCTCAGCTCACTGCAACCCCCACTTCCCAGGTTCAAGTGATTCTCCTGCCTCAGCCTCCTGAGTAGCTGGGACTACAGGGGCCTGCCACCATGCTAATTTTTGTACTTTTAGTAGAGACGGGGTTTCACCATGTTGTCCAGGCTGGTCTGGAACTCCTGACCTCAAGTGATCCACCTGTCTCAGCCTCCCAAAGTGTTGTGATCACAAGTATGAGCTACCACGCGCGGCCTGGATTTATAAATTCAATAGCAAATATTTCTGAGAGTGATTTTCAGGCACAGTATTACCGAGCAAGGCATTTACGCTGAGTGGATTGATTGGGAGTGAATGTAGTGTGTGCAGTCTTCTTTCATATGATATTTCTTGCTTTTTCGTCTGTCTTTTCCACAGGTAAGCTACATGAGTGTATAGCTTTGTATCTGTGGTGTTTTCTGATGCTTCCCCAATGTTGATAACAGGACCCAGCACATACTATGCACTTGCCAAATACTTGCTTAATAAATGAATAATTATTTAAGCCTTTTATCTTTAAAAGATAATGCCTTTCAGCTCTGTTAACAAAACTGGTTTAGACAATAGGAAGCAGACAGGGAGATTTTTGAGGCGAGTAGGTAGTTTTAAACATGCCCTGTGAGAATACTCATCAGAGGTTATTATAATGATTTTTATGTAATCTTCTGTTAAGATTTTGTTCACTTCATGAGGACAAGAAACTCACATATACCTGGTGCATAGTAGGTGTTCAGAAACTATTTACTGAGCTCACGTTCCATCCAGGTGGAGCAGCCCCGTTCCTCCCAGGTCCTCCACCTCACAGCTAACATTCCCTGCGCCTAACATGGCAAGCGTGGAAGACTCTGGAGGGTGAAAGGAGAGGCAGCTGCCTGGGGACCTTGGGACTTGAGGCATGAGGTGCTGGTGGTTCTCTGAGTTTCCTTGTTGCCTTGTTGCCTTAGACACATGCATTACACGGCACATGTCCTAACAAGGAGCTGTAAAAACCTCTAATCTGGAACTAGCAATGGACACAGACACAAAATGCTCCAAGAACAGTCCTGTTTCCTCCAGGCATAGGGCTGGGCAAATTGTGGCCTAGTAACAAAAAATGTGTTGGCCACTCCTGTCCCAATGCAGCCACACAGGAATGAGAAAAGCACCCCCTTCATCACCTGGCCCTCCAGCTGGTTTCAGCGGGCAGAATGAAAGGTAATGTGCATCTCCACCGCTGCTCCACTCAAGCGTTCAGGTGCTCAAGTTCCGCTGTGGGGTGGTGGTGGCAGGCCTCAGTAGGAGCTGATCCTCCATTCCCTGCTCAGCAGTGACAGGTGGTACACTGATCCCTGCAACCCGTGCAGTCTCAGCAGGTCTAGCGTGGAGCTAAGCCTCTACCCCAACTCAGCATCAGGTACTTAAGGAGGGTGAGAGAAGCTGTGCAAGTTAACTATTAAGCATCACCCCACACACCCTTTCAGTCAGGCACAGGGAGGAACTGACCTTCAGTCCCAAGCTGCAGCTACAAAGCAATGGGAGTCAGCCTCCCCTCCCCCTTCCTGGTGGTTGTAAAGTGCATACTGAAGCTCACCCCTCACTGAGAAGCAGCAAGGGGAGAGGAGTCAGTGCTTCCCTTTTGCCATGATAGTGTTGGAGAAGCCCAGCATAAAGCTGAACACACATACCCAGCCGGCCTTTATGCTCCACATCCACAATGGGTAAGCCCACTAAAAAGAGATGCATAGGATGCAAAGGTCTTATTATATCATACCCAAAATATGTGGGATATACCTGAAGACCATTTATCATACTTAGAACCAGCAGAATCACAACTTGAATGAGAAAAGCCAATTATCAGATGCTAAATCAGAGATGAATGTGATGTTGGAATAATCTGGAAAATATTTTAAAGCAGCTAGTCATAAAAGTGCTTCGGTAAGTAATTTTGAATTCTCTTGAAATAAATGAAAAAAAAAAATAGAAAATCTTAGCACAGAAATAAAAGAGCCAATGGAAAGCAGAGAACTGAAAAATAGAATAACCAAAATAAAATACTCATTAGATGGGCTCAATAGTAGAATAGAGATGACACAGAGGACCGAATCCATGAACTTGAGGACAGGTCAAGAATGTAGCCAATCTGAACAACTAAGAAAAAATAGATTGGACACAACAACAATGGACCCAAAGGGACCTGTGGGACAAGACTGAGAGGTAACATTGGTATCATCAGAATTCATAAGGAGATGAGAAAGAAGGTTGGGCTGAAAATGTTTGAAGAAGTAATGTTTGACAGCATCTCCGATTTGGTAAAAAGCCTAAACCTATAAATTCGGGAAGCTGAGTGAACCTCAAATAGGATAAATGCAAATAAATTTATACCAAGACACATCATAAATAAACTTGTGAACATTAAGTTAAAAAAAAAAAGAGAGAAATGAGGGAATACTTATAAGGGCAGGTGAAAATGACAGCAGTCATTCGAAACTATGGAGGCTGGGAGGAAGTAGCAAATTTTTCAATCACCAAAAGAAAAGAACTGTGTACAGCAAATTTTGCATCTGGTAAAAACATCCTTCAAAAATGAAAGGAAAATCAAGATGTTCCTAAATGACAGAAAGGTAGGAAAAGATGTTAGCAAACCTGTCCTATTGGGGAAGAGCTGCATAAAATATTCTAAACAGAAATAATAGAATAAAAACCCGGACTTTAGAAAGAAAAGAATGTTGGAGCGCAGAAAAATAGGGGCAAATATAATACACAATCAAACTTCTGTTGAGGTTCATATGTGATGGTTGATGCAAAAATTGTAACTTTATGTGCTACTCAGTGAATGTAGAAGAAATATGTAAAACAATTACATTTTAGAAGTAGAAAAGGAAAGGAACCTAAATGGAAGTAAGGTTTCTACACTTCAAAGTATCATATATGTACATTGTGATACCCATATAACCACTAAGAAAACTATCCAAAATGAGATACAGAAAAACGTTAGAAATAAATCACAACGGACTTCTAAAAAATACTCAACCTATAGGAAGATAAGAAAAGAGAGAATAATAAGAATATAGGAAAATAATAAAATGGCACGTTTAACATGCATATCAATAATTATGTTAAATGTAACAGATCTAAATATACCAATTAAAATACCTAGATTTATAGAATGAATGAAAAAAATGACCTAATAATATACTGTCTACAAGAAGCTCACTTAAAGTGCAATGACATAAGAGGACAGAAAGTAAAAGACTAGAAAATGACATATGAGGCAAACTTTTTTTTATTTTATTTTTTGAGATGGAGTTTTGCTCTTGTTGCCCATGCTGGAGCACAGTGGCATGGTCTCGGCCCACTGCAACCTCTACCTCCTGGGTTCAAGTGATTCTCCTGCCTCAGCCTCCCGAGTAGCTGGGATTACAGGCATCTGCCACCATTCCCAGCTTATTTTTGTATTTTTAGTAGAGACGGGGTTTCACCATGTTGGTCAGGCTGGTCTTGAACTCCTGACCTCGGGTGATCCACCTGCCTTGGCCTGCCAAACTGCTGGGATTACAGCCATAAGCCACCATGCCTGGCCAAGGCAAACGTTACTTTTTTAAAAATGCAGGAGCGTCTGTATTAACATCAGACAGAGCATATTTGTATTAGGTGTCCAGGGCTGCAGTAAGAAAGTATACTCATGGGCTGTACAAGGACACATATGCCTGTCACTCACGCATACATACATTGCCAGTGATAATGTAAAACAGGACAGTCAATGTGGGAAAGAATTTGGCAGTTTTTCATAAATCTAAATATGCAGGTACTATATGCTGTGTTCTAAAATTGAAAGATTGGTTGGGTGACAGGACACAGCGCACTGACCCTGAGTTAGAAAGAAGCTACGACTCTGTTGCTGACAGCTCTGAAGGAGAAGGCCAGGCCACCAGCAGGACCACATGGGATCAGGTAATGGCAGGCAGGAGCTGCAGGGGACGAGGTCAGCTTATGTATGGAAAGCATTTAGTTAATTTTCTCAGGATCCCTGTGGATTGGAGAGTTGGAATAATTTCAGTAGGTTCCAGGGCACTGGGGCAGTCCCTTGTTGTCTGGTGCCTGGCCCTGGAGCAACTGGGGTAGGCAGGTAGTGGCCCTGGAGTGTGAGTGCCCAGTAAGGGAAGTGGTTGGGATGGGAACTTCAACTTGATCTGCAGCTCAAGAAGGGAGATCTGAGTGGCTTCTAGCCAGAATCTCCAAACTGGGTTGGGATAGCATCAAAACACACACACACACACACACACACACACACACACACACACACACCACCCTGTATCACATGGGCATTGTTTCCAAGACAAATGAAAAATTATGTTCACACAAAAGTCTGTACACAAATGTTCTTTTTTTTTTTTTGAGATAGAGTCTCTCTCTGTCGCCAGGCTGGAATGCAGTGGTGCGATCTCAGCTCAGCCTCCCAAGGAGCTGGGACTACAGGCACACGTCACCACACCCAGCTAATTTTTGTATTTTTAGGAGAGATGGGGTTTCACTATGTTGGCCAGGATAGTCTCCATCTCTTGACCTCATGATCCACCCGCCTCAGCCTCCCAAAGTGCTGGGATTACAGGCGTGAGCCACCCCGCCCAGCCCCATAGCATTTTTATTCATAATCACCCCAAACTGAAAACATCCCAAATGTCCCTCAGCTGGTAACAGATATCGAACCGCAGTCCATCTGTAATGTGGGACGCTGCTTCGCACTGAAAAGGTGTGAACTGTCGATGCACACGGCAACTTGGATGCATCTCCAAGAAATGGCGGTGATGAAAAAAATTCAGTCCCAAGAGATCGCATATGGTACGGCTCCATTTATATGGCATTGTGGGAATGACAGAATTATCAGAGTGGAGAACAGACTAGAAGTCTACACGGGTCAGCAAAGCAGCGGAGAGAGGATAGAGCTGGATGCGATCATCAGAAAGTAACACAAGAGGTCCTTGCGGTGATGGAAACGCTGTGTGTCTTGACTGTGTTAATGTCGTATCCTGCTCACAGTGCTGTTCTATACTTCCGTAAGCTGTCGTCATTGCAGGAACCTGGATAAAGGTACCCAGGATTGCTGTATTTTTCTTACAGCTGCATGTGAATCTGTGTTATCTCAAGAGCTTAGAGTAAGGGAATGAGAGGAGAAACATGGCACCCTCAAAGATTATTAGAGAAGGTTCTATTTCCAAAGATTAGAGGATTTCCAAGAGGAAACTACTCTGGAAAGGATTTTTAATTGCATTTAGGGAAGCCAGTGTACTAAGAGCTGAGACAATCAGTGCTCAGTGTAGTAATGATACAGCTACTTCCTAACTCCTTTCTGGGTGCTATAAAGACAAAGTTAATTGTATCATTACTATTTCAAAACAACTGAGGCTTTTAAAGTGTTTCTTAGGAGTGTTACAAGCCTGTCTGAAGTCCTGGAGAGCAATGAAGTGTAGATCCAGGAGGCTGCAGTCAATGCAGTGTGGTGGTTGAGAGACCAGGCCCTGAAATCAGACCTGGGTCAAATTTCGGCTCTACCAGTTTCTGGTCTTACGCCCTTTGGCAAGTTAGTTAATCTTTTGAGGTTTAATTCTTACATGTAGTATGAGAACTGAGAAGTAATAACTGTATCTATACTGAAGGAGTGTTATAAAGAATAAATGAGATAATTAACACAAAGCACTTCATAAATGCTCTACAAATGCCAGCTTTGCTGCCGTTGTTAGTATTATAATTAGAAGCAGGAGCAGTAGTGGTGCAGAGGAATCCAGAGACAAATTTCGTCTTTGTTTCTAACAGCATGATTTCTAGAAAGTCACTTAGCTTTGCAGACCTCAGTTTCCTCATCTAGAGTTTTAGTATGTTGGAGTAGATAGTATGTAAAGTATCTTCCAGTGTTTATCTTCTTGGATGCTACAGTGAACTTTTTAGAGGGAAAATACTACAGCGGCTGAAAGCACAGGCTGAGGAGTCTTTCAGGCCTCAGTTTGGATCCTGCCTCCATTCTGAGGCACACACCGCTCATGGCCAATCCATGTCCTGTGTCCTCTGCCTTCCTTAGAGTTTGCCATTTTGTTCAGAACAGCACTGTGAGCTCCCTCCCACCTCCCCGACCCTATGATGAATCATGATTGCTCTAGGACAGGTCAGCAGACTACTGCCCAAGGGGCCAATCCATCCATGTTCCCACCTTCTGCTATACTTGCGTTCCTGTAAATAAAGTTTTATTGTAACACAGCCACCCATTCATTTATGTGTCACTTGTGGTGGTTTTTCCAGTTCTACATGTGGAGTTGAGTAGTTGTGACAGGGATGGACCATATGGCCTGCAAACCCTAACTGTTTGCTATCTGGCCCTTTACAGAAAATGCTTGCCACCCTCTTTCCTAAGAACGTTATGATAACCCTGCTTCTGTCAGGTTTCCAGCTTCCCTTGCAGCTATGGGGACCTGATGATTCACCTCTCCCACAAAGATGTCAGCCCGAGCCATTGGAGCCTGCTATTCTCCCTCCTCCCTGTTCCTGTTGGATTGTGTGCAGTTGTTTCTAAGTCTAGTGCTTATAGGTGTAGCTACCATCCTGCCGTTATAAGACAGTAAACCTGGTACAAGCTAAGCAGGGTGGAACAGAGAGAGGGAGGGGCCTGCATTCTTGACAGACATTATCAAGTTCTTGTACTGGCTCTGGATTCCCTACGTGTAGTATTTTTTGTTATATGAGAAAATAATCTCTTGTTTTTTAAAAAGGACTTTTAAAATTATTTGTTGTGGCTGCCTGTAACTAAATGCCATCCACCTATTACAGACTTTTTACTACTGGTGAAATTTTGAACAAATTATTTAATTTTACTAGGCCTCAGATTTCCTCTCTGTTTCTTACTTTAGTAATGAGGATTAGGTTAGATGAAAAATATAAGGCTTTTGCTCCGTTCCTACTACAGAGGAAGCAAATAATTGGAAGTTATTATTTTTATTTCCCAATGAATCCATTCATAATTCTAAATTATTTTGAGTCTGTGTCTACACAGGCCCATATCTGCCAAATTACCTTTTGCAAAAAACCATGTTTTATTTAGAAATGCTTTGACAGCCAGAACATGTGTGTCTATTGCAAACAAAAATATTTTCAGTTTAGAAATACTTGTTTTGATCATCCGTGTGGAAATGAATGTTTTGTATTTGAGTTGTTAAGCTACAAAATATATTTGCTAAATGTTTTTGCAAAAATATTCATCCATTTCTTAGAATAATGCCTTAGAGAAGCACCCAGTGGTAATTATGTTCTTAGGCATGTTTATGACACAGAACAGATCGAACCTTTTGGAAAAATCTGGAATGGAAGCTGGGACTAATAGCCCAGTGACTCTAGATGCAGGGCGTCACCTACCTCATCACGACGCTAATGTTTCCAGGGCTTGCTAGTTGAATTTCCACATGACGATTAGCACAAATCCAGAACTAAATGACAGGTTATACTTCTGTCTCAAGCATCATATGATATTGATTTTTTTTTACTGTAACTAGAAATTTTTTTCCTGGAGGGTCATGAGAAAAATTGTATTTTTTGACAAAAGTATAATAATTTACTTGAGACTTATTGTTAATGTTCAGTGATAGTGGCAGGGATTTATCCTTTTATAATCCTTACATTGTTTCTCTTTCAAATTTTTCGTGTAGGGATTATAAAAATAAACCCACTGGATAGCTTGTACCTTTTGCTGGCATTTAGGATAAAGAGAAACCCAATAAATCTTGCGTCGAGTGGCCTCACTGATATTGATTGAATTATAAGATCATAGTATAGCTTTTACAGATAAGTCACCAGGAAGACATCACACAATGTTGTTTATAGAAAGTAAGAAAGCAGGTCTTCTTTTGTAAGATTCCATATTAATCTTAACCCCCGTAACATTATACTGATATATTTTTCAAGTTGATTATAACTCTCTACTACAAGGTCAAAATAAACCTTATATTAATAAAAACCATATGACTTGTCTTTAGACATCCAAGAAAATTTAAAAGTAATACTTTGCGTGTATATAAGAACTTTCATAATAGACAGTCTCAAAACACTTCAGAAATAAAATACACTCATATTATAGCCTGGATGTCTATAGGCATTCACTGGGCTAATGTTTCCTTCCAGGACTCTGTGACCTTCTAGAATTACTCAAAGACAGTGTGTTTGCCCTCACTGGTTGATTTTGTCCTTCAAAGAAAATTATTTGGAAGAAAAAATTTTCAACTTATTAGAGAAAAATACTCATTTCTCATTTTCTTATCATTTGACAGGAAGCTTACCAATTTATTGTAGATAATTACACCAATGTTTCATTCCTTAGAATCACCTTTCAACATGAATTCAAATGTATACGAAAAGCAATAGAGAATTCTGGACTTTAGATTTGCAAGAAATAAAAAGGCTCCAATTTTCTTAAGTTGTTATGATTACCACAGAGTAAAAAATGCCATAGAATGAAAATGTCTTATGTTGATAGGAAGAGGTCAGGGCTCTTACTCGAAGTACAAGATAAATCACAGGCTTAATTTTGGATCACAGTGGACCCCTCCCTCCACTTCAGCTGTGGAAATACAAAGAAAAGAGTTGCATTGAAGAAACAACTGGAGTCCAAGTAGCACTTTGCTTCCGTTACAGGACTTGGAGCATGTTATAAATGGCTCAAAAAGTAGGATACTCTCTCCCCTTTTCAGGGATCTGTATAAGGAGGCAGTCATATTCAAAATACAAAGTAGAAGATAAATGTTTTCTGCCGGCATGATATTTTAAAAGGAAAAATATGATTATCTACCATGATGCATTGTGAACTGATATTATTGATTTTTCCTCTTGTGACCTTGGTTGCACAGCACCAACACAAACACACACCCCTTGCTGGAAGGTCTAGTTTCAGGTGTGAATGCGTAGAAGTCAGAGATTTAAAAAATAGGGGGCTTGTAGTATTTGTTTTTGCCTTAATTAAGAGTTAATACTTGGCTTATCTACTTACTCATTCAGACAGCGTGGGTTGAAAATGTATTATAAGGCAGGTAATGTGAGGCAATGGGGGTGTCTTTAAGAAGGTAATAGCTTATCTGAGCCTTTTATCCTGCAGGATTCACTATGACCTTGCTTTTCCACTCCCCTCCCGCTGGGTCTTTCAGTCTGTCCCCCTTTATTTTTGCTTACTCATTCATGAGTATTCATTAAACTCCTACAATGTACCAGGCACTCAGAATATAGCTGTGAGCAAGACGGTTATGCTTCCTACTCTCATTTAGCTTATAATTGAGTTGGAAGACAGACATTAAGTAAATACTTATATTAATAATTTTATTGTAATTATGATTTCTGTTCAGAGACCCAACATAATTTCAAGTTTCCATTTTTTCTTAAAAAATTCTTTCTGATTCTAAAACTTTATAGACAACTAAGAAAAAAATAGGAATAAATCAGGAAAAAGTAACCTAAGATATCCCACCAGCCCAAAATAACTTGTTACTATTTAAAATGCTTTTTCTTGCACTTTTCTTTAGTGTGTATATGTGTGTGTCTGTGTGTGTGCACCTGTGCCCATGTGTATTTAGAATTTGGGATCATACTATATAGTTAGTTTTGCTATTCTCTTTAAATGATCATTAAACAGAGAGGATTTCTTATATTACATATTTTTCAATAACATATTTTAAGCTTGTTGAATAATTTGTATTTTAGTTATGTAGCATAAATTATTTGTTTATTTGGGTACATTTCAGTTATGTCCTTCAATTTTTGTGCTTATTTAAACTGATGTGATAAAAATATAAACTCTTGGCTACATGTTTTATTTAGTCTACTAGATAATCTAGAATTGGAATTACTTGGTCAAAGGGTATAAATATTTTTGAGGTGATTCATATATTTTATGAAACATTATAGAATATTTATACTCTTTGATCTATTCAATGTAATATACAATATGAAACATTCCCCTGTATTCTAGAATCGCATCGATTTATACATGCCTTCAAGTGGTATTTGTGTCGAGTTTACGTATCCTTGGCACCATCGAGTATTGCACTGGCAAATACATTTCTATTTTAATTATATATTAATATGATAGATAAAGGTAGCATCTTGGTAATTTAATATTTTCATTTATATATCATCCAGTAGTATTTCACGTGTGTACCTGTAATATTTGCCAGTTTTCTGTTGAGATGATAGCCTTTTTTACAAAATAAATGAACATATTTTAGACATATAATAAAATTTTAGATGCCATATTATATATTAATATGACTTAATATCTTATGTAATAGTGTAGACATATTTCTTAACGATATTAATAATTTTTGTTTTTTTACAAATAAAATGTTGTATACTCATTTATAATGCTACTTTGAGACTGTGTGGTTATATAAACACCAAATTTTTTTCTTCATTATCTCTGTTCTTTTGTAAACCTGTTTTTCTTTTACTAATTTCCCTTTTTGCATAAAAATGTCGTAATATTCATTATTCCAAATCCCTCTCGTTATTTGGTTTGTATTGTTTCATAGTGTTACTTCCTCATTCTTTGGACCAGTTTCAAAATCACAATGGACAGTTCAAAAAACATGTTAAGGATTTTGATTCGAATTACATTAAAAGTATAAATCGGTTTGAGGAGAACTGACATCTTTACAACATTGCCCCATTTCCTCCAGAAGTATTATCTGTCCGTCAGCTGATCCATGCTTTTCTTTGTATCTTCCTGTGACCTTTGATATGTTTTTTTCATAGATGCCATGTTTTTTGTGTGGCTAGATATTTTATATTTTTGTTGCTATTATGAATAGTTTCTTTTTATTGTTTTTTTCTGGCTATAATTGTTATCTTTCTCTCTTGGAGATCATCATCAACTAAGTGCAAGATAGTGACAGGAGGTCTAGTTTCACATCCCTGGAGTATCTGGGAATCTATTGTTATAGCCTCTAGATTCTGGCACTGGCCTATAATTTTTACCAGCCTAATCTCTGCTATCCCCTAGCTATGTATACTGAAGCTGCAGTGAACACCTGGTCCCCGCAGCCATCTCATTTTCTCCTTCCTGCACATTTGTCTCTGCCTTGACCCTGACCTCTGCCCCAGGACTGTGTCCATGCTCTGACACTCAGCTGCATGCTGCCTTGCTCCCTCACTCGTCCCACCTGCATGTGACTGACTCTTCCTCCAGACCTTTGTGGCATTTTGTTTGTATCTTTCTTGGGAGTATTTGTCATAGTTCACCTTTTATGATTTATGATTATACCTGTCTTGCCCAAAAGTGTGCCCGATTGGAAGGCAAATTGTAAAAGACTAAGCACTGTGACAATGGGAAAGTAATTTAGATTGCTCTTTGCCTCAGTCTCCAAACTCGTATAGGAATACTAAGTTGTGCCCTGCCCACTGCATAAGACTTCGTGAAAGCTCTTTGAGATGTGAGAAAGGCGAATCTAAGAGATGGCCACCGGGAGGTCACTTCCCCTCCTAGGTTGGGCAGTGCATGAAGGCAAGGCCTGGCTTTCACAGTACTTCATGCAGGTTTCATTTAGCTCAACACCCTCCTCTCATAGACACTCACAGTTAGATTGAATCAGAGGGTGGCCACGCTTGGCAAGCGGGGAATAGCAGCCAAGTTGTAGTGGACTTGGCCGTGTACAGAGAAGGATGGATTCCAGGTAGTGAAATTAGAAATTACACCTCAGTCGGGGACCTCTGGTTACCTCTGGCACTTACATTGGTCTGGAAAGAATGTATTTATGTTGGTGGGGGGGGAAAAGCATATGAAATTGAGACAGTAGGTGATCCAGTGGATGTTCTAAGACATTCCCTGGAAAACAATGCCACTGTCTTGGTGTGTCTGATGTTCTGGGGAACATTTGAAAAACATCCGTCTCTGGGCCACATCTCGAGTTTCTGATTCCATAGTTTGAGCCCAGGAACCTACGTTTTTACAAACATCCCTGGTAATTCCTATCGTAAGTTTGTGAACCATTGCACTAGAACAGGATTCTTAATAGTGACATGCAGGCCTTACTGAAAATGATTTGTTCTGTGGAATGAGAAGCTAACAAACACACGTACAAACACACAAGCACATTTCCTAGAATAGGCATTTCTGTTCTGTAGAATTTCTTCAAGTGTCTTCTTATTGATCTACCAAACATGAAAATATTTCCAGGATAGAAATGCTTTCCCAGAAAGCAGGTATAAAGGTGTTTCATTGGGAAACATATTAGAGACTCTACATATTAGAGACTAACAGTTGTTATGATGTGAATTTTTTCTGTATTACTACATAAGTCACTCTTTCTTAATTGCTAAAAATATTTATCAGTACCTGATCACAGAATTCTTACAAGACAGCATGGTCTACTTACACTAGGCGCCTCACACAGCAAATTAAATAAGTATTTCCGTCTAAGAATTTGCATCCTAAACACTTGCAGGAGGATAGGAAATGGATTCTGTCATTATAATAGGATTTAATTATTCCTTTCCATGATTTTAAATATTATGCCAAATAGATGCTCATCGTAGTATACAAGTGCTGAAGAATATGAGTAGATTAAAATCACTCATAATCCTGTTTTCTATAGGCACCCATAAGCATTTTCTCATGTCTTCTCTTTCTCTTACATATGTTTTTTGTTATGGAGTTCCTACTTGATAAGCTGCTTTGTAAAGATTTTAAAATTCAGATTATATCATAGGTGTTTTCATTTATCAAAAACTTCGTTAAATGTCCTTTTAATGGGTGCATAATAGTTTATTATATTGGAGGTACCATACTTTGATATGAATATCCTTGCAGTCAGAACTATAAAACATGGAGAATTACATTGTTAGTGCATTAAGCATTTCAACTCAACACAGTTAATTGAGACATTTATATCATGTGTACATTTTCCTTATAACATGCACTTATTATTCCGGTGACATAAATCTTCAGAAGTAAACAGAGAAGGCAACCGCTAGACGTAGCCTGTATGTGCAGTAGAGGGCAGAGGAAGACCAGCAGTGTAATCACCTGGAAGTCATCACCCAAATTACCTTATTTCATTCTGCAGTGATGACACAATCAAAGCTAATGAGCAATTTTACTTTTCACTTATTTCGGGTTTTGCAGCATTTGGAGTTGCTGACGCTCATTGGCTTCCTGGCATCTTCTTTTTTGCTTTCCTCCCACCGTTCTTCCCTGTTTCCTCCTTCGTTCCTCTCAGCCTCTTCTCCGCGTTCCGGTTTTCCCACTTGTCCCTTGTTCTTATGCAATACTTGATCCTCTTCTCACTCTAAACTGTCTCCTGGCTGATTTCCTCTTGCTCCCATGTCTTTAACTTCCTCCTAGAGATGATGTCCTGCCAACTTAAATCTTATTGCCACTCTCTCCACTGTGAGACTCCCCTAAGCTCCCACCACTCACTGTGGTCCTTGTTCAGATCCATGCTCCACTGTGTGATCTTGGTCATCCTCCACTCCTTGGATCCCCCAATCACGTGATCTCTGCTTGTACACATTGCACCGTATATGTTTGCTGTGCCCTGACGTCCAAGGGACACGTTGCATATGTGGAGAGCAGTGGCAAGGAATGATTGATTGCTTGATTGACCAGTAACTGATTGGATCACTAACTGATAGGCATGAAAACTCCTCCCTCACTAATTCCTATATAATCCTCATCTGAGCCCAGGATTTGGTGATGGTGCTCTGTAATATGTAGTCCAACTTTCTCTTTCTCACAGAGCTTACATTTCTCTGTGTTTGTGTGTGTGTGTGTGTGTGTGTGTGTGTTGTTACCTACATTTAAGGTTACTCAAAAAGCAGCAATAATTGTATCTTATGTAATTATTGTCTAAATTTCTAATCCTTTGGTGCCGATTTCTGAAACAATGTTAACAAAAGTAATCAAAGGATGAAATAATATATATTTAATTATTTTTGAGTTGTGTCAGTTCTTATATTAAATAGTGTATTGAATTTAGGGACTAAAATGTAATTATAACAAAGCAATTCACTCTAAGAACATTTGATTGTTTATAATACTGTAGGGTGTCTAACAGTAGATAGGAGACCTCTGATATTTACCATAGAAGTTCCTTTAAAAAAAAAAACTCATAAGTAATACGGTTTATGGAAAAATTCATCTTGTTTATGGAATGGTAGTGCGAAATAGAACTTGTATTTTAGAAATGCTTTAAAGATCTTGAATGAGATATACTCTCTCAGGTTCTTAAACATAAGAATCAGAATATGAAAGGCATGTTTTATTTTCTAGATTTTCCTTCTCTCGCCATTTGACTAATTCTTACAGTAAAAGTAGGGGAAGTGAATGAAGTGAACATCAATGATCCCATGCTAGGTTTGTTTATCTTACTTTTGGAAAACAATGATAATGATTCTGTGTAGGGCTGTGGTTTTTAAATTGCTTGTCTGCTAATTATAAGAAAAGCCAAGATATTGAAATTTGTGTAGTGCTAATTACTCATCCCTTTCTTTCCCGCTGCAATTTACAGTGTGTCTTCAGGGTGTCAGTCACTGATTTGGAGCTTCTGCCTCTGCTTCTTCTCAGCAATTAGGTCTCATCTTCAACTAATGGAATTGAGTGACGTTTAGCTAGTAATATGGGGAATCTGTCTTCAGCTCTGCTTCATTAGAAGTTGGTGCGAGGCCTTGAAAAAGGTTTCCTGTTTGTTGCTAAGACAATGTGATTTGAACTTACTCTAATACCCCTTTTTTTGAGTCATTTTTGTCTCACTGTCTTCTTACTGCTTGCCCCACATGATTCTTTGACCATCTTCATCCCCAAATCTGAATTTTGCCTTAAGCAAGATGTGCAAAAAGTACTTGGTTTTACTTCTAAAGCTGATGTGGTTTATAACTTACTCATTTCCTCTCCCCACTTCACTCCTACAGTAGGTTTTGCTGCTTTTATTGTTGTCACCAGTATTTCTATGTGGTAATGATCCTTGAATCTTATTTTGCTGATCATCAATCTGTGGAAGAGAAAGACTGTTAAAAGAGGCCTCTTAACTCGCACTTTCAGAAAGATGGAATTAGATGGACTTTTCCCTTTTTGTCCTGAGTACAGCTAAAAACTGTGAACATTATATGAAAAGCATAGGAAGATACTGAACAGTGGAGAGAAGAAGGCAGACAGACTGAGGACCTTGAGACCTGATGAATGGCACAGTGCTGGCATCTCTGAGCTTTCCGTTTCTCTCATTTAGCTTGCACTGGGTGTTGAGAAGCTAACAGTCCAGTTGCCAGTGGGCACAGACAAGAAAAGCACCCCCAAACCCTCCCCTTCCTCCCAAAGGACCACAAAGGAGGCAGCTTAGAATGACAGAAAACTTTTGGACAATAACCACTCTGCTATAGCCAAATACTACCGAAGAAAACTGTGGCCATATTCACAAACCCCCAAGCAAAGGCTGAGCAGGGAGCTTAGACTTTCAGCGTGACCCCCATCAGAATGGTAAGAAAGAAGGATGGGTGTGGGGCCAAGGCTTGTGTCTCCTCGGTGTGGTCACGCGTTCCCTCTCACGGTATTGGAGAGAGCACCTGAGGCGCCTGAACTTCCACCTTACCTGGTGCTGTCAGGGTGTCCCTTGTCCTCCCCACTGGGGTGATATCAGAAGAGGCCTAGTGGAGAATCAGGATTTTCCCATCTTCTCAGTGGTGACAAGGGCCCTCCTCACTCAGAGCGTCAGTGGAGGCGTATAAGGAGCAGTCACAGAACCCTCTGCACCTCTATCTCAGCTCAGGCTGCTATAGTAAAACACCACAAATACTGGGGCTTAGACAGCGGACGTCTATTTCCTCACAGTTCTGGAGGCTAAAAGTTCAAGGTCAAGGTGCTGGCCAGCTCATTTCTTGGTGAGGGCTTTCTTCCTGGCTTGTAAACAACCACCTTCTCGCTGTGTCCTCACATGGCAGGTAGAGAGAGAGAACAAACTCTCTGGTGTCTCTTCTTATAAGGGAACCAGTTTCATCATAAGTGCCCTGTGCTCATAACCTCATCTAACCCTAATTAGTTCCCAAATGTCCTATCTCTAAATGCCATCTCATTAGAGTTTAAGGCTTCAAAATACGAATCAGTTGGGGAGGACACAAAGGATCAGTCTATAATAACCTCCTACCCAGGAGAGACATCAGCAGAGAGGCCCAGGGGACGCTGGAGCTTTCACCCAAACCTGGGAGGAACAAGGAATCAACTTCCCACTCCCAGGTGTCAAGAGAGGCCAAGTGGGGCTCCTGGATGTCCACCTGCCACCTGGCAGAAATGAAGGGCGGCACTTCTCTTGGATTCCTACTAGTGCAGTGTCAGAAGAGGCCTGATAAAATAGAAGGCTAAAGTAACATACACAATCTCATAACATGATATCCCCTAATGTCCAGGTTTCTAGTGAAAATCATTGATCATAACAAGAACCAAGAATATCTCAACTTGAATGAGGAAAGACAAGAAACACCCACAACAAGATGATACAGATGTTAGAGATGTCCGACCAGCATTTTAAAGCCAGTCATAAAAATGCAATCAATGAGGAATTACAAACATGCTGGAAATAGAAAGAAAAAAGAGGCCATTTCATCAAAGCAATCGAAAGTCTCAGCAAAGAAATAGAAGAGATAATAGAGTACTGAATGGAAATTTTAGAACTAGAAAATTTAATAAATTCAATTAATCTTGATGATGTACTCAACAGCAGAATGGAGAGGACAGGGAAAAGAATCCGTGAACTTGAAGATAAAAAAAATAGAAAATACTTGATCTGAACAACAGAGAAAACAGACTAAACAAACAAACCTCAGAGCCTCAGAGATTTCTGGGACTACAATAAAAGATTTCATGTTTGTATAGTCAGTATCCAAGAAGAAGAGAAAGAGGGTAGAGTTGAAGAATTATTCAAAGAAATAATGGTTAAAGATTTCCTGAATATGGCATTTTAAAATATGGCAAATTCGTTGAAGAATTGTTCAAAGAAATAATGGTTAAAGATTTCCTGAATATGGCATTTTAAAACACATAACCTTTCAAGAAGCCGAGAGAATCCCAAGATCAAAGAAATGCACATCAAGAAACATAGTAGTTAAACTTCTAGAACTAAGGACAAAGAAAAAAAATTCTAAATGCAGCCAGAGAAAACAGTACCTGACATATAGGGGGAAACAATTTGAATGTCATCAGATGATCTCTCATCAGAAATTGTAGTGACCACAAGAAGGTGGCAAACATTTTTCACTTACTGAAAGACAAGAACTGTCAACTGCTAATTTTAAAGCTGGTGAAACTATCCTTCAGGAATGAAGGGGAAATTCAGACATTCTCAAATGAAGGGAAAACTAAAGGAATGTGTTTCTATAATACCTACCCTTAAAGAACAGGTAAAGGAAGCACTCCATAAACGATTTTTTATTTTTATTAAGATGAGAGTTATCTTGGGACATCAAGAAAGAAAAAAGAACAGAAAAAGCAGAAATATAGATAAATAGACTTTTCTTTTCCTTTTGAGTTGTCTAAATTATGTTTGTTGGTTGATGTAAAAAGTATAACATTGTCAAATGTAGTTCACAGTGATATAGAGGAGATGTTTATGACAGTCATACTTGGTGTAGGATAAGGGACTTAAAGAATGGTAAGGTTTTTATACTTAAACTGGTAAACGTTGATACTAACACACCATAAGCCTTGTGGATATAATGCAATAATTAAAGCAACCACTAAAAAGCTATCCAGAGAGACACAAAAATGCCATAGGTATGTCAAAATAGAATTTCAATAAAATGTTCAAGTAACAGAAAAGCAAAAAAGAAATCAGGGAAACAAGAAAACAGAGAACACCCACAACAAACAAACAAAAATGGTGAACTTAAGCCCCAGAATGCCCATAATTATAGTAAGTGTAAATGGTTTAAATACACCAATGAAAATGTAGAGACAATAGAGAAAAGTCGATTCATCTATACTTTTGCACTTTTTGTTCTTTCTTCTTTCCTTCCAGATGACCCCAAATACCTCCCACCTTTTTTCCCCTTATTTCTATTTTTTTGGTGTGCTTCCGTCAGCTATTCCTTAAAGGTGGGTATTATAGGAACCCATTCTCTTAGTTTTTCTTCACTGATAGGAGATTGGTAGAGTAAAGAAAAAAAATGTGGAGAGCGGACATCTTGTGGCTGTGTCGTGCGCGTGAGCCCCATAGGGCTGGGGAGGAACCAGTTGCCGCGCAGGGAGGAGGCTGAGGCTATCTACGTAGAAAATTCCAAGGAATCTATTTAAAAAAAACTCAGAATAAGTTCAGTAAGATCAACATACAAAAATCAATCACATTTCTATACAGTAGCAGTAAGCGTGGAAATTGACAGAGAATACAATACTGTTTAAAATTGCTTTAAAAAACACTTAGGTATAAATCCAACAGAACATATACAGCACTTGATGTTGAAAACTACAAAATACCGATGACAGAAATCAAAGTGCTAAATTTGTGGCCAACATGCCGTGTTCAACATGTCCATGTCTATAAAAAGTGGACTATGTGTCTATAAAAAGTGAATTTTTCCCAAATTGATGTATAGGTTTAATGTAATTCATATCAAAATCGTAGCAAGACTTTGTGTAGGTACAGAAAAGATTGTTCTAGTTGGGAGTGGTAGCACGTGCCTGTAGTCCCAGCTACTTGGGACCGTGGGGCAGGTGGATTGCTTGATTCCAGGATTTGGGGTTGTAGTGAGCTATGATCGTGCTACAGTGCCCTAGCTTGGGTGATAGAGCGAGACCCTGTCTCAAAAAAACCCAAAAATATAAAAGATTATTCTAAAATTTATGTGGTTAAGCAAAGGAGCTGGAATAGGTGAACAGTTTTGGAAAAGACGGATAAGGTACAAAGGATCACTCTATTCAATCTGAATTCTTACAATATAGGTAATGTAATAAAAACTGTGATATTGTTGTAGGGATAGACACATGAATCAATGGAACAGAATGGGGAACATAGAAATAGGCCCACATAAGTACAGCCAAGAGATTTTTGACAAAAGCATAAAAGCAATTCAATGGAGGAAGAATAGTCTTTTCAACAAATGCTGCTAGAGTGGTTGGACGTGCATAAGCAAAAAAAAAAAAAAAAAAAAAGAAAAAAGAAAAATTGTATCTTGACCTACACCCTAATCTTTATATAAAAATTTACTTAAAGTGTGTTGGATTAAGTGTGAAATGTAAAACTGTTAAACTTTCAGAAGAATAAACCTCTGGGGTTTAGAACTTAGTGAAGTGTTCTTAGACATGACACCAGAGACACAGTCCATAAATGTAAAAATTCAATAAGTTGGAATTCATTAAAATTTAAAACATCTGCTCTGCAAGGGGATGAAAAGACAAACCATAGACTGTAATAAACTATTTCTAAGCTACATATTTGAGAAAGTGGCCATATTTGGAATACATAAAGATTTCTCAAAATTCTACAATTAAAAAAATCTAATGCTAAAATGGGCAAAAGACGAGACATTTTACTATTGTACGTTTTCTTGTGGGAGCAAAGTAAATCTTTTTAAAAAGCAACTGTGTCTTTTTCAACTCACTTCTTGGAAGTGATGATGGAAGTGTGTATTCGTGGCTCCTGCAGAGGTTTTAGCTGGACTTTCCATACTGGACATGAATAAGCACCCCTCTCCCCCTCCACATTAGGGCCGGATAGCATTCACCACTCTCACCTGCTTAGTCTTCTGCCCCAAACTGCTTCATTCATACCTGCTTCTGGAACATTTTCTCGTACACTGACTCCAGCACAGAGGCTGTTCTTTCTAAGTTCTCCCTGAATTAGCAGTGATGAGATGCCTCATGACCCGAGAAACCTGGCCTTGGCTGTTCCCCATGTTGGACTAGTATTGGAGATCACATAGTTTATTGTTTCACTTGTCATTGACTAGAAAATAAATTAGAAAGATGGTTCAAGTTCAGCATTTTTACTCATGGTACTCCTTGACTTCTGCCTGTTTTGCAAAAGAGGGTCTGTAGATGACAAAAACATGAAAAAGACATTCAGTGGAAATGCAGATTGAAACCAAAATAAGAGATCACTAGCTATTAGAACAGCTAAAATAAAAAGTAGTGACAGTACCAAATACTCAGGAAGATGCAAAGAAATTGGATGTTTCATGCGTTGCTGGTGGAGATATAAATTGGTGCATCTAGAAAATATTGGAAAATAGTAGTTTCTTTAAAAAGTAAATGCGAGACTCTGTCTCAAAAAAAAAAAAAAAAAAAAATGTATGCCGACGATACGACTTAGTTCTCCTGAACGTTTGTCCCAGAGAAATGAAAACCTGTGTCTACACAAAATATGCTTCTGGACATTCTAGAAGCTTTCATTGTAATGGCCACAAATTGGAAATAACCCACGTATTTTTCAATGAGTGAATAATTTTACAAATTATGGTGCATTCATGTCATAGAACACTACTCTGCATCATAAAGGAGTGAGCCGTTAATAATGTAACACTTGGGTGAATGAGTCTGAGGGGAATTACACTGAAAAAAAGCCTGACTTGAAAGGTCACATGTTGTATGATTACATTTATGTAACATTCTCAAAATGAGAAAATTATATAGTTGAACTAACTAGTGGATGCCAGGTTGGGATGAATGGGAGGATTAGATGTGTCTATTAGAGTAGCAAGAGGGAGGTGTGTATGGTGATGGCAGTTTTGTGGCTGGACTGTAGTGGTGGTGAAGTCAGCTACACATGTGATAAAGTGACAGAGCTATACTCACACATTGCACTAATTTCAATTTCCTGATTTTTCAATGCATTGTATTTCCTTAAGCAGTATCCATTAAGAGAATCAGGGTAAAGGGCGCCTGATTTTCTCTGTTCTATTTTTCCAATTTCCTATGAATCTATAATTATTTCAAAGTAAAATACTGTTTTTTTCCTTGAAAAAGGAGACTTCTCCAATGTCCTTCAAAAATATCTGTCGTTGGCTTCCCAAGACGTGTGAATTTGTTGTTGTTTTATTGTGTTTTTGTTTTGTGTTTGTTGGCATCAACCAATATTTTCTTTATTTTATTTCTGCACATTTTACTTTTGTTTTTCATCTTTTTATTTCAATAACTTTTGGAGTACAAATGGCTTTTGGTTACATGGATGAATTGTATGGTGGTGAAGTCTGAGATTTTAGTGTACCCATCACCTGAGTATTGTACATTGCACCCAGTTTGTCGTTTTTTCTTCCTCCCCTTTCTGAGTTCCCATAGTCCATTATATTGCACTGTATGCCTTTGCGTATCCACAGCTTTGCTTCCACTTATAAGTGAGAACATATGGTATTTAGTTTTCTATTCCTGAGTTACTTCACTTGGAATAATGGCCTTCAGCTCCATTCAAGTTTCCGCCAAAGACGTTATTTTGTTCTTTTTTTTATGGATGAGTAGTATTCTATGGTGTATATATACCATTTTTTCTTTATCTACTCATTGTTTGATGCCACATTTTCTTTATCCACGCATTGTTCGATGGGCACTTAGGATGAGGATCCATGCCAATATCGATTTTTTTTTTTTTTACTTTTTAATAATGGCCATTCTTGCAGGAGTAAGGTGGCATCTCACTGTAGTTTTAATTTGCATTTCCCTGATGATTAGTGATGTTAAGTATGTCTCTTGTATATCTTCTTTTGAGAAATGTCTATTTATGTCCTTTGTCCACTGTTTGATGATGATATTTGTGGTTTTCTTACTGATTAGTTTGAGTTCCTTGTGTTTTCTGGATATCAGTGCTTTGCTGGATTCATAGTTTGCAAATACTTTCCCCCATTCTGTAGGTTGTCTGTTTACTCTTGATGATTGTTTCTTTTGCTGTACAGAAGCTTTTTAGTTTAATTAGATCCCATTTATTTATTTTCATTTTTGTTGCATTTGCTTTTGAGGTCTCAGTCATGAATTCTTTTCCTAGGCCAATGTCCAAAAGAGTTTATCCTAGGATATCTAATAGAGTTTTATGGTTTCAGGTCTTAGATTTAAGTCTTTCACCATCTTGAGTTGATTTTTGAATAAGGTAAGAGACAGGGATTCAGTTTCATTCTTCTACATGTGGCTAGCCACTTTTCTCAATACCATTTATTAAATAGAGTATGCTTTCCCCAATTTATGTTTTTGCGTGCTTTGTCAAAGATCAGTTGATTTTAAGTATTTGGCTTTATTTCTAGGCTCTCTACTCTGTTTCATTGGTCTATGTGTCTACTTTTGTATCAGTACCATGCTGTTTTGGTAACTGTAGTTTTGTAGTATAATTTGAAGTCTGGCAATGTGATGCTTCCAGATTTGTTCTTTTTGCTTAGGATTGCTTTGGGTCTTAGGGCTCTGTTTTGTATCCATATGAATTTTAGTATTTTTTTTTCTAATTCCGTTAAAAATGATATAGGTATTTTGATAGGAATTGCATGCAATCTGTAGATTGTTTTGGATAGTATGGTCATTTTCATGATACTGATTCTTTCAATCCATGAGCATGGGATGTGTTTCCATTTATTTGTCATCTATGATTTTTTTCAGCAGTGGTTTGTAGTTCTCTGAAGAGATTTTTCACCTGCTTGGTTAAGTATATTCCTAGTGATTTTATTTTATTTTATTTTATTTTATTTTATTTTATTTTATTTTATTTTATTTTATTTTATTTTATTTTTTATTTTATTTTTGCAGCTTTTGTAAAAGGGATTGAGTTCATGATTTGAGTCTCAGTTTGGTGGTTGTTGGCATGTAGCAATGCTACTGATTGGTATACATTGATTTTTGTGAACTGAAACTTTACTAAATTCATTTATCGAATCAAGTAGTCCTTTAGAGGAGTCTTTAGGGTTTTCTAGTTATGTGACCATGGCATTGGCAGACAGCAATAATTTGACTCTCTCTTTTCCAATTTGGGTGCCCTTTAATTTTTTTTTTATCTTGCCTGATTCCTCTGGCTAGGACTTCCAGTACTGTGTTGAATAGAAGTGGTGAAAGTGGTCATCCTTGACCTATTTCAGTTCTCAGGGAGAATACTTGCAGCTTTGTGCCATTCATGATGCAACTGTCATGATGTTGGATGTGGGTTTGCCACAGATGGCTTTTATTTTGAGGTAAGTCCCATCTATGCCTAGTTTGTTGAGGGTTTTTATAATAAAGGGATGCTAGATTTTATCGAATGTCTTTTCTGCATCTATTGAAATGATTATATGGTTTTTGTTTTTAATTCTTTTTATGTGATATATCACATTTATTGATTCATGTATGTTAAACCTCCCTGCATTTCTGGAATGAAACCCACTTGAGCATGGTTATTATATTTTGATGTGCTGTTGGATTCAATTAGTTCATATTTTGTTGAGGATTTTTGCATCTATATTCATCAAGGATATTGGTCTGTAGTTTTATTTTTTGTTGCTGTTATGTCTTTCCTGGCTTGGTACCAGGGTGATACTGGCTTCACAGATGAGTTAGGGAGGATTCCCTCTTTCTCAGTCTTTTGGAATAGTTTCAGTAGGATTGGCACCAATTCTTTGAATGTCTAGTAGAATTCAGCTGTAAATCCATCTGGTCCTGGGCTTTTTTGTTGGCATTTTTCTTTTTTATGGAGTCTTGCTCTGTCACCCAGGCTGGAGTGCAGTGGCACGATCTCAGCTCACTACAAGCTCCGCCTCCTGGGTTCACACCATTCTCCTGCCTCGGCCTCCCAAATAGCTGGGACTACAGGTGCCCGCCACCACACCCGGCTAATTTTTTTGTATTTTTAGTAGAGATGGGGTTTCACCATGTTAGCCAGGATGGTTGCGATCTCCTGACCTCGTGATCCACCCACTTTGGCCTCCCAAAGTGCTGGGATTATAGGCGTGAGCCACTGTGCTCGGCCAGCAACTTTTTTTTAAATTACTCATTCAGTCTCACTGCTTGTTACTGGTCTGTTTAGAGTTTCTGTTTCTTCTTGATTTAATCAAGGAGGGTTATATGTTTCCAGGAATTTATTCATTTCCTCCAGATTTTCTAATTTGTGTGCACAAAGGTGTTCATAGTAGTATCAAATGATCTTTTGTATTTCTGTGCTGTCAGTTGTAATGTCTCTAGTTTTATTACTAATTGAGTTTATTTGAATCTTTTCTTCTCTTGGTTAGTCTAGCTAATGGTCTATCAACTTTGTCTTTTCAAAGAACAAGATTTTTGTTTCATTGATATTTTGTTTTTGTTTTTTGTTTCAATTTTATTTCATTTTGCTCTGGATCTTTGTTATTTATTTTCTTCTGCTAGCTTTGGGTTTAGTTTGTTCTTGTTTCTCTAGTTCCTTGAGATATGACATTAGATTGTCAATTTATGATCTTTCAGAATTTTTTGTGGAGGCACTTTATGCTATAAACTTTTCTCTTAGCATTGCTTTTGCTGTATCCAAGAAGTTTTGATAACTTGTGTCACTGTTATTTATTTCAAAGAATTTTTAAATTTCCATCTTGATTTCATTGTCAATTCAAAAATCATTCCAGGAGCAGGTTGTTTAATTTACATGTGTTTGTAGTTTTCAAGGTTCCTTTTGTAGTTCATTTCTCATTTTATTCTATTCTGATCAGAGAAAATACTTGAAGTGATTTTGATTTTTAAAACATTTATCGAGACTTGTTTTGTAATCCATTATACGGTCTATCTTGGAGACTGTTCCATATGCTGATGAGAAGAATGTGTATCTGCAGTTCTTGGGTAGAATGTTCTGTAAATATCTGTTAGGTCCATTTGTTCTACAGGAGTTTAAGTCCATTGTTTGTTCGTTGACTTTCTCTCTTGATTGTCTGTCTGGTGCTGTCAGTGGGGAGCTGAAGGCCCCCCCTATTATCGTGTTTCTGTTTATCTCATCTCTTAGGTCTAATAGTAAATGTTTCATGAATCTGTGAGCTCTAGTGTTAAATGCATAGAAACTTAGGATTGTAATTCTTCTTGTTGGATTCATCCTCTTATCATTACATAATGACCTTTTGTGTCTCTTTTTTTCTTTACTGTTGTTGCTTTAAAGTCTGTTTTATGTGATATAAGAATAGCTACTTCTGCTCACTTTTGATTTCTATTTGCATGGAATATCTTTTTCCATCCCCTTACCTTGAGTTTTTATGAATCCTCATGTATTAGTCTCATTGCTATAAAGAAATACCTGAGACTGAGTAATTTATTTTTTTTTAAAAAGAGGTTTAGATAGCTCATGGTACTGTAGGTTGTACAGGAAGCGTGATGCTGCTCAGCTTCTGGGGAGGCCTCAGGAAACTTACAGTCATGGCAGAAGGCAAAGAGGAGCAGGCACATCTTACATGACAGGAACAGGAGCAAGAGAGAATGAGAGGGGAGATGCCACACACTTTAAAATGACCAGATCTCACGAGAACTCACTCACTATCACAAGGACAGTACCAGGAGGGGTGGCACTAAACCATTCATGAGAAACCCACCTCCAAGGTCCAGTTACCTCCCACCAGGCCCTCCATACCTCCAAGGTCCAGTTACCTCCCACCAGGCCCTCCATACCTCCAAGGTCCAGTTACCTCCCACCAGGCCCTCCATACCTCCAAGGTCCAGTTACCTCCCACCAGGCCCTCCATACCTCCAAGGTCCAGTTACCTCCCACCAGGCCCTCCATACCTCCAAGGTCCAGTTACCTCCCACCAGGCCCTCCATACCTCCAAGGTCCAGTTACCTCCCACCAGGCCCTCCATACCTCCAAGGTCCAGTTACCTCCCACCAGGCCCTCCATACCTCCAAGGTCCAGTTACCTCCCACCAGGCCCTCCATACCTCCAAGGTCCAGTTACCTCCCACCAGGCCCTCCATACCTCCAAGGTCCAGTTACCTCCCACCAGGCCCTCCATACCTCCAAGGTCCAGTTACCTCCCACCAGGCCCTCCATTCAACATTGGAAATTACAGTTTGAAACGAGATTTGGGCAGGGGCACATATCCAAACTCTATTACCTTACATGTCAAGTGAGTCTCTTGAAGACATCAGATATTTGGTTTGTATTTTCTATCTATTCTGCCCATGTGTATCTTTTAAGTGGAGCATTTAGGCCATTTACATTCAGTGTTAATATTTAAGTGAAGCACTTAGGCCATTTACATTTAATGTTAATACTGCATTCATGATACTCTTCCAGCCATCATGTTAATTGTTGCCTAGATACTTTATTTTATTTATTGCATTATTGTTTTATAGGCCCTGTGGCTATTATGCTTTCAAGAAGTTCTATTATGGTGCATAACAACCTTTTGTTTCAGAATTCAGAACTCCTTTTAGCATTTCTTGTAGGGCTGGCCTGGTAGTGACAAATTCTCTCAGCATTTATTTGTCTGAAAATTACTTTATTTCTCCTTCAATTATGAAACTTAGTTCTGCTGGATACAAAATTCTTGGCTGACAGTTATTCTGTTTAAGGAGCCTCAAGATAGGACCCCACATCCTTTGGGCTTGTAAGGTTTCTCCTGAGAAGTCTGCTGATAGAAGTCAGGAATGGTTTCCCTCCATCCATGCTGGAGACTGGGCATGCATGCAAGGCCCTTCCTTCTGCTGCTCCTACTTAATATTCCCCACCCCTCCCTGTATCAGGTTCAGCACTAGGTAGGGTTAAGGCTTTCTCTGTGGACTGGATTGCCAGGTTCCCTGGAGGCAGTCCGTCCCACTGTCATACTCACAGTTCTTCACCTGGCTCATGGTGTAGGCTGCAGCCTGCTGCTTCTTTCAAAGGGTCTGTGGTTTCTTTCCATTTTTCTGTTAAATTCCTTCATTGTTTCTTGGAAGAAAGTTAATGGTGTGTCTCTGCAGACTATTTTTTCTTTCCAAGGGGGAGACGCATGCTAACACTGCCTCCAATCCACCATATTGAAAAAAAGAAGTTTTCCTATTTTTAAAGTAAAATCCTTTTCTTGAAATTGGGCTTTTGAAACATTTGCCTAGGTACTTTGCAAGATGAACCAAACTTCTAATATCAAAGGGAACTTGGCCCACCAAAGGGTAGAAGCTGTAGGCTCTCTCCTCCTGCTGTTTGTCATCAAGGCCCACACAGGGGTCCTGGCCCCAGCTGCAAGATGGGCTTTGTGTGAGCTCACAGGAGCAAAGCACGTGCCAGGTGCCCCGAGACTTAAATGTTCTCTCTGCTTTTATATC
This sequence comes from Homo sapiens, assembly GCF_000001405.40. Taxonomy (NCBI): domain Eukaryota; kingdom Metazoa; phylum Chordata; class Mammalia; order Primates; family Hominidae; genus Homo; species Homo sapiens. The sequence goes on from NC_000007.14 coordinate 3,709,979, forward strand.
TTTTCATCATTTCATAGTTTCTGAAATTATTTGACATATTACTTGACTATAAAGGAAAAAAAATCAGAGATTTTATTAAAACTCTGTAAACATTCCTAATTAAACCTCACATGTTGTTCACAAACCTTTTATGTTTTAAGCTGCTTCAGGACAGAGAATTGATTCTCCTCTCATTTTTCACTGACAGATCTGGTGGTACTTAGAGCCAGTAACATGCAGCAGTTAATTATGCTGCTGTCCCACATGTGTACATTTTGTTTTCTTGCCTGTATTTGTTATAAAGAGGGTTCATGTTACATTCCTCTGCACCCTCCAGAATGATTAGGTGGGCGTGAGATCCTCACATACTGAACACACACTTAGTAACTTTCTTGTTGACTGGTTATTCTGTTGTTTCATGTTATTTTAATGAGACTGGGAAAAAAGCCATTGCTCAAATCTGGTTATTCTTTATTAAAGTTCTCATATTGGAATTATTAAGGACTAATGTCATTAGGGACATTTCTACTTTTGATATAGAAACAAGCTGCTTAGGGAAAAATCTCCTGTTTTCATGCTTGACAGTGTAGTTTCTCGTAGTTAAAACAAGTCTTTATGTACTGTTTTATCTCCTGTGCTAAAACAGAACGGTGAAATCTAAGGCAAACATTGTGTGTGTGCTTCGACACTCTCGTAAATTACTCTTGCCATTAATTTAACCACAGTTGTGTTATCACTTGACCTAAAGGGGCTCCTGGATGATTGGGAAACCAGCAGAGAGGCTAATGGGCCAACAATCTTGGCAGCCAACCTCCGTGTATGTCTTGGAAAATTCCTTCAGGATGTTTGCTTTGGCATTTGATTGTTCCTATCTTCAGATTACCTTATTTTATAGTATATTGAATGTTGCATCATTAACAAATACCTGGTTGATATCTTTATTACTGTGGCTTCAGGCAGTAATACAAAGATTTTTCTCTAAAATACAAAGTGTATTTGAAAGCTTTTCTTTACATGTATATCAGTTTCAAACTTTACAATTAAATTTTATTCCCAGGAAACTCTCAGGATGTTCTTTTGTGTATTCATAAGGTATAATTTGATGGCAACTTATATTATTTTTCAGAAAGGAAAATAGTTTCGTATCCAAAAGTTTGAATTGTCTTATTTAAGAAAGTTGACACACTTTAATCACAGGAAACAGTATGATTTGACTTTTCTAAACCACATAAAAGTATTTCTAAATATTTTTGCAGATCTCTTCTTCTCTTTAAAGTGAGAATAATCTTCTTTAATTTTGGAGACTGTGCTAACCATTATCTTTGCTATTAAGGATTAGTTTTGTAACTAAATATGTGTTGAGTCCTGGGCTCACACTTCAGGGATACATCAGGAGACAAGTAAGGCCTCTGACCTCGTAAAATTTACCTGGGAGAGACAGGTAGTTCCAAGTAAACAAATGAATAAACAAGATGATGATAGATGGCTGTGAATTCTATGAAGGAAACAATGACTCAGGTCATGGAGGTGATAGTTTGCTTTGGTGGGTGATCGGGAAGGCTGCTCTAGGGAGGTGACATTTGCATAGCTTCCTAAGTATAAGAAGGAGCCAGAGATGCTGCTGGTACCAGGGCTCAGAGCATTTCAGGCCATGGAGTTGACATGTTCAAAGAGCCCAAAGCAGAAAAGCTGTTTGGTCAAGAAACAGGAAGAAAATGACTGTGGCTGTAGTATCATAAGCCAGGCAAAGGGTCAAGGCAGGGTGGGAGAGTTAGGCAGGAACCAGATCCTGCAGGCCCTGGAGGCCATTGAGGTTCTTCCCATTCTGAGTACAGTGGGGAGCTTCTGTATGCCTGGAAGCTGGGGGCGTTGTGATCTTTTGATTTGACTCCTGGGAGACCAGGGAGGAGCCCTGCCATGGTAGACTTCCAGGGGAAACATCTCTGTGGCTGTTTTCCTGTGCGGGCAAGTTACTTTGTCTAAAGCCCAGTTTCCACATTAGTGAACAAGATTAATGATGGCATCTACACAGTAGGGTTGGTGTGACAGTTCCATAAGAACATGCATGTGAAACGGTTAATCCAGTGCTTGGAGAAAAGCAAATGCTCTACAGCAGAGGTCCGCAACCCTTGGGTAGGAACCAGGCCAGTCCATGGCCTGTTAGGAACCAGGCTGCACAGCAGGAGGCGCAGGGTGGGCAAGTGAGCGAAGTCTCATCTGTATTTACAGCCATTCCCCATCACTTGCATTCCTGCCTGAGCCCCACCTCCTGTCAGATCAGTGGCAGCATATGATTCTCATAGGACCGTGAACCTTATTGTGAACTGTGCGTGTGAGGGTCCTAGGTTGCACGCTACTTATGAGAATCTAATGCCTGATGATCTGTCACTGTCTCCCATCACCCCCAGATGGGACTGTCTAGTTGTAAGAAAACAAGTTCAGAGCTTCCACTGATTCTGCGTTATGGTGAGTTGTATAACGATTTCATTATGTATTACAGTGTAATAATAATAGAATTAAAGTACACAATAAATGTAATGCACTTGAATCATTCCAAAACCATCCCCCAACCCTCTGGTCTGTGGATAAATTGTTTTTCATGAAACTGGTCCCTGGTGCCAAGAAGGTTGGGGACTGCTGCTCTACAGCATTATAACGATATTGTCATGTTGTTTTAAAGATGGATAGGACATTTCACTGCCTTCCTGAAGCGCATGGCAGTGGGCATATGAACAGACATTTACTGGGCAGTAGTTACCTTGTTAGAGAAATGGGTACAAGAGTATACCTGTTCACCTAGGAAAGAAGTTCATTCTGAGGAAAGGGTCAGAAAAGTCTTCCTAAAGGAGCAGAGTCTAAATGTGGCTAAATAAACAAGGAATGGCCCTGCGACTTGGCCCAGGTGCCCCCACAATATAGACCCCTTGGACCTTCAGTGGTGCCATTGGATTCTCTCCTTTGGTTAGTGCACTGTTCCCTGAAAGCTTCTGTGAGCTGCAAACCCATATGCCTGACACCCAGGAATGCTGATTGCTGTTGGCCACAAGCTTGTCTTAAGGGGATGGGCACCAAGGCGTGCCCATGTGGCTGGGGCATGGCAGGGTGCCAGGAGGCAGGTGCTGCGTCCCTGGAGAAGCAGATCTTGCACAGCGGGGAGCAGGCTGAAGGCACCAGGAACCCTCTGCCAGCACACCCCTGAGATAAGCACTTCCTTCAAAGCTGAGTCCGGCTGCTCAGCGAATTGATGGATGATGAAGACATTGTCTTCCTTTGTTAGGATAAGAAGGATAATGATCTTTCTCCTTCCAAGTCGTCTGGGAGCTCAGGCTCTGTGTTGTGATAAAGTACAATTGGGGTTGTTTGTCTTTCCATGCTTACAGAAATCCTATTCCTCAAGAAAAGAAAGAAAGAGCCTACAAAGAACTTAAAACTAAGTAAGGACTTCAAAAAAGAAAGGTGGAGAGAGGGGAAAAGATGACTGCTACACATTTTCCCTTTGCTTCCCACGGGAATGGCTTCATTCTTGCCTTGAGTGTCTTAGATATGTCTCTCCCCCACCCGCAGCACTGGCTTTTCTGTCTTTTACCATTGAATTAGGCCTGGTCTAGACTTCAGTATTTATACCTGAGAGTACAGAAAAGAGGCTTTTCAAGAATACGTCAGTTCTGTTAGAATAAGATCCCATCCGTCATCAGATACCTTTCTACAGCTTTCTGTCACAGTATTTGATCACTGATCATAGAACCTGGACTAGAGATTTCATGTGGAGAATGTACTCCCTTCAAAAGGAAAACCATTCAACAATTTAATATTTAATTGATTAAATACATGTGATTTGCTAATGTTAAGGTATTATAGTCACAGCCCCTCACTTGTTGACAAGTCCTATATCAAGTAATCATAGTGATTAAAAACAAAACCGAGAGTCAGGAATCAGCAAATCAGGCTTTCCACTGCCAAAATGAACATTATATTAATTCATGACTTTATTTAAAAGAGAGAGCACCTCAGACCCTAATTCAAAGACTGTTTCATCTCAGCCCACAAACATCGAAATATCAGATGAGAAACATTTTGAGAGGCAGGTGTGCAGACGGCAGCAAGTCGTGAGCCGGCTGCCTGACAGCAAAGGAGGAAGCGTTTAAAGTATGGAGCCAGGAATTCAAAACAACAACACGTTGACGCCATGGTGCACATCCAGGGCAACAGAAAGAGCTCTGGACTTAGACTCAGAGGGACGGGAAAAACTCAGAGGCTGCAGATAGACCAGGAGGTAGAGGCCTTGATCACTCCTTGTGTAGCCAGACCCGTTGCTTAAAATCTCTGAACTTCCTTATTGTAAAATATGAAGGAAAATCATTACTATTCTTAGAATTAAATATTTGTGAAAGGAGCTTTAGAATGATAGAAGTACCATAGGGATGTTATTATCTTTTTTACTCTCTTTTCAACCTGTCAATTACCTGTTTAAATATGAACTAGTTATTCGCCCTTCCAGAGTCTCAGTTTCCTCTTAAATTAAGAATAATAAGTTTATCCCATTTGCTCATTTCACATCAGTCCTTTAAGTGCTTTGCATTTTGTTACATCTTATGTAAGTGGTGATATTAGCATTACTACATTGTAACACAGTACACAACATCTGAAAATGGTCCTGAGGCCTTCAAAGTTTAAATGTCGTTTAATACACTTTATTGAAGCAGGTACAGAACTGCTGTGTAATTAATTTCAAGACACTTATTTTCTCTCAAAAGTGCTTCTAAAACAAGTTTCCATGCTTGAAGCGTTGAGTGTCAAGTATCTGGGAGATTTGCTTTTGTAGGACGGTTCATTTCCCACTTGTGCCAGAATGAGTCATTTTGTGTGTAAGTGTCAAGCTTGGAGAGGTTCTAATTAAGTGCAAATTACAATGAAATTAATAAATGACACCAATTTTTAGATTTTAAAATGTGCTTTGAGAGAATGCAATGTGGGCTTAGATTGATGGTAATTCTCATATTTTAAGTTGTGATTCAATATTATGTAGCATTAAAACTCAATTAAGTAAAAAATAAATGAAGAATCAAGTAGAGAGAATACTCATCTCTCAGATGCCTCAGCTTCTCCAATGATGGCTTAAAATCTGTTAAATGCTAAGGTTGTAATTGTCCTTATTGTTCACTATATTCCAAAATAATTGCACATATAATTAGCTTATTTAGTGAGAGATACTAAATCACCCTGTTCACAAATATACTAGATCGTCATAAATTGTACAAATGTAATTGTAAATTTAAGGTTTTATTTTACTTTTTGCAGATGAGCTGCAGACTATATATAAATTCATGTATGTATCCACTTACCAGAAATTTTATTAAATCAAAATATATTTGACCCAGCATTTTCCGATCCGTTTACAGTGGGAGAAGGTAGGCTACGTAGGTTCTTCCCTCCTCAGGTGGCACTAGTCAAGACTGACAGAGCCACCAGCAACTGATAGCCCAAAGATATCCTCTCAGCCTACCGAACCAGACACCCCTCACCTTCTACCTGGTGATGCAGGGAAGCCCAGGGAAGTGCGTTCTGTCCCACAGGAGGCAATAGCAGGGATAGAGAAGGATCCCCAGACCCTACAGAACAAAGGAGACCAGGACAGCTCTGAAAAACACATTATCATTGGAACTACAGCCCAAAAAAGTAGGCAAAGTCCTATACCCTAAACCCATCAGGCAACTGCCATCTAAAATAAAAGATTTAAATAGGACAAGGAGTCTTAACATAATATCGAAAACGTCCACAGAGAATGGAAAATTACTGAACATACAAAGAACAAGGAAAAATCACAACTTGAATGAGAAGACACAATCAACTGAGGCCAAAATTGAAGTGAGTCAGCTGTTGCAATTACCAGACAAGGATTTTAAAGCAGCCATCATAAAAGGGCGTCAGCAGCAAACTATTCATTCTCCTTGAACAAATGAAGAAATAGAAAAATCTCAGCAAAGAAGAAGAAATTATTTAAAAAGTGAAAGTGAGTGAATTGAAACATTCCATAACCAGAATTAAAAACTAGCAGGATTAGCTCAGTAATAAAGTGGAGAAGACAAAGATAGATCGGTGAATATGAGGATAGATCAATAGAATTTGCTCAGTCTGACCAACAATGAAAAAGGTAGACAAAAAAAAAAAAAAAATGAACAGAGGCTCCTGTGAGGCTGTAACCAAAGATCTAACTTTAATTTTATTGGAGTTCTAGTAGGAGATGAGAAAGAAAATTGGGACTGAAAAAGCATTCAAAGAAATAATAGGTGAAAGCTTTCTAAATTGGGGGAAAAAAAAAACTCCACAAGCCTACAGATTCAAGAAGCTGAATGAATCACAATAGACCCTAAGAAATCAATTTGAAGACACTTAAACTTCTGTGTTGAAAATAAGTAATTTCTGAAAGCTAAGGAAAAATTAGAACTCTGAAAAAAATCTGTCAACCATGAATTCTGTATTTGGCAAAAATATCATTCAAGTATGAGGGGAGGCCACGTGTTATCACGTGTAATATCAGACCTGTAATCCCACCACTTTGAGGGACATTGATGAGGGAGGATTGCTTGAGGCCAGGAATTTGAGGCCAGCCTGGGCAAGGTAGTGAGACCCCATTGCTACAAACAAATCAAAAAATTAGCCAGGCGTGGTGCACACCCCTGTAGTCCCAGCTACTCAGGAGGCTGAGGTGGAGAACTGCTTGAGCCCAGGAGGTCAGTGCTGCAGTGAGCTATTACGGCGCCATTGCACTTCAGCCTGGGTGACAAAGTGAGACCCTGTCTCACCAAAAAAAAAGAAAAAAAAAAAAGAAAAAGGAAAAATCAAACTAAGGAAAAATCAGATAATGTGTTGCTATAATAGTTAAATGAGGTCCTCCAAACAGAAAGAAGAAAATGATCAGAGAAGAAGGCTTGCAACTACAGAAAAGAAAGAAGAACAAATAAGTGGATAATAGGGGTAAATAAAATACACTACTTTTCACTTCATGAGTTTCCTAAATTATATTTGAAGTTTGAAGAAAAAAAATTTAATTCCATCTCAAGCAGTGTTAAATGTATGTAGCAGAAATACTTAAGACTATTAGATTTTAAAAGTGGGGAAGGGAAAAAGATTTCAGTCCTTCCTTTGAAGGAGTGGAATGAGGATACAAGTAGGCTGTGATAGGTTATAGATGCCTCTTATAACAATTAGAGGAACTAATTGACCGAAATAGACCATATCCTGGTTCATAAAATCTCAATGAATTTTAAAGAATAGAAATGCATAGTATGTTCTGTAAAAATAAAGGAATCAAACTAGAAATTAACAGAGAGATAACAGGAAAACTTTAAACATGTGGATATTAAACAACTTCTAAATAATCCATGTGTCAAAGAAAGTATCTTAAAGGGAATAAAGGAAACACTGAACTGAATGAAAAATCAAAATGCAAAACACCATAATTTGGCAGATGCAACTAAGGGCATGCTGAGAGGAAAATTTATAGCATTAAATGTGTATATTAGAAAGAGGGAAGTCTCAAATCAATAATTTAAGCTCCCACCTAAGAACCTAGAAAAAGCAGATAATAAGAGAAAAGACACAAATCACTAATGTTGTAAATGAAATGACCTATCACTATGGTTACTGTAGCCTTTAAAAGAATGATAGGAAAATACTACAGCAGGTTTATGCCCATAAAGTTGAAAACTTAGATTAGCTGGACCAAATGCTCAAAAACTACAAAGTGCCAAAAACTCAACCTATAGATATATAACCTGAATAGTCTTAAAGCCCTTAGAGAAACTTAATTTGCAGTTAAACCCTCCCCACTTGATATCCTGGCAGAGATCATTTGACTTGAGAAATTTGCCACACATTTAAAGAAGAATTTAAATCAGTTTTACAGGGTTTTGTTTATTAAATTAAGAGTAGGAAACACTTCCCAATTCATGTTGTGAGGCCAGTATTATTCTGATACCTGGAACAGCCAAAGACAGCATTTAAAAAAAAAAAAAACTGTAAACCTTTATGTCTCATGAATATAGGTGCAAAAATTCTCAACACAGTAATGGCAAACTGAATCCAGCAAAGTACAGGAAGAATTAGACACCGTAACCAAGTGGGTGTTATTCCAGGCATGCAAGGCTGGCTTCATATTTGAAAATCAACTCATGTAAGTCATACTAACAGCAGTCCAGAGAAGAAACTTTATGAGCATATCCATTGACACAGAAAAAGCGTTTGATAAAATCCAACACTCAGCTGGTTGCGGTGGCTCATCCCTGTGATCCCAGCACTTTCAAAGGCCGAGATGGGTGGAATCACTTGGGCTCAGAAGTTGGAGACCAGCCTGGGTGACATGGTGAAACCCTGTCTCAAAAAAATAATAAAAATAATAAATTGGCCAGCTGTGGTGCCAGGTGCCTGTAGTTCCAGATACATGGTGGGCCTAAGGTGGGAGGATCGCTTGAGCCCCGGAGGTTGAGGCCCGGAGGTTGAGGCTGCAGTGAGCCATGTTTGCACCACTGCACTCCAGCCTGGGTGACAAAGCAAAACTGTATCTCAATAAATAAATAAATAAATAAATAAATAAATAAATAAATAAATAAATAAATAAATAAATAAATAAATATCTAACACTCATTCATGCTAAAAATTCTCAGCAATCTAGTTATAGGGAGTAGCTTCATCAACTTCGTAAAGAGTATGTACAGAAACTTACAACTAATACACTTAGTGGTGAGAAGGTGAATGCTTTTTCCCCAAAGTTGGGAACCAGGCAAGAATGACCGCTCTCCCACTCTTAACAGAGTACCTAACCAGTACAATAAGGTAGGAAAAAAAAAGGCATCCAAGTTTGAAAGGAGGAATAAAAGTGTTCTTATTTGTGGATGACATTATTGTCTTCATTGAAAATCCAAAGGAATTTACAAAAAAGTCCCAAGCTAATAAGTGATTCCAGCAAGCTTGCAGTATACAAAATCAACACATAAAAATCCATCACGTTTCTATATAATAACGCGTGGAAACCAAATTAAAAATACAATAATACAATGCCATTTATAATTGTTCCTTGCTTTTCATCCTAATGCCTAAGTCCTGGGAACAAATCTTGTTTGTAGATATACCCAAATCTATATTATAGGTATACCCAAGTCTGTATTTCATTTGGGGATAAATCTAACAAGAATAGAAACTATTTTGAAATTTACAAAATGCTGAGAAATGGAAGAAATCAAAGACCTAAAAAATCAGAGAGACTTTGGGGATCAGAAAACCCAGAAAGGTTTTTTTTTTTTTTTTTTAAATATAGGTACTAGACCTAGACAGTCTCATTCTGAAATGTAGATGGCATAGCACAGGACCTATAATAACTAAAACAACTCTGAAAAAGAAGAAAAAAGTAGGAGGAATCATTGTTTCCAGTGTTAACGCTTACTGTATCCTGACAGTAATCGTGACTGTGTGGTACTGGCAAAGGAAAAGAGACATAGGTCAGTAGGACAAGACAGAGAACCCAGAAACAGACCCACACGAATATGCCCAACTAATTTTTGACAAAGGTGCAGAAGTGACTCAGTGAAGAAAAGGTGGCCTTTACAATAATTGTAGCTGGAGCACTTGGACATTTAGGACAAAAGTGGGTGGAACCTTGACCTAAAGTTCATATTTCATTAAAAAGAAAACTCAAAAAAGTATCACATAAAATAAAAACTGTAAAACTTTAAAACTTTTAGGAGTCCGGGTGTGGTGGCTCACGCCTGTAATCCCAGCAGTCTGGGAGGCTGAGGTGGGTGGATCATGAGGTGAAGAGATTGAGACCATCCTGGCCAACATGGTGAAACCCCGTCTCTACTAAAACTACAAAAATTAGCTGGGTGTGGTGGTGCGTGCCTGAAGTCCAAGCTACTCAGGAGACTGAGGCAAGAGAATTGCTTGAACCCGGGAGGCGGAAGTTGCAGTGAGCCGAGATCGTGCCACTGCACCCCAGTCTGGTGACAGAACAAGACTCCATCTCTTAAAAAAAAAAAAAGAAAGAAAAGGAAAACTCAGAGTATCTTTGGGATCTAAGACTAAGAGAAGAGTTTTTAAATTTGATGATACCAAAGGTACGATTTACAAAAATAAAATCTTATCACAATTAAAAACTTTTATGAATGACCTTATTAAGAGTATAAAAACCAGCCACTCGGGAGGCTGAGGGAGGGGAATTGCTTGAACCAGAGAGGTGGAGGTTGCATTGAGGCAAGATTGTGCCATTGCACTCCAGCCTGGGCGACAGAGCGAGACTCTGTGTCAAAAAACAACAACAAAAAAAGTATAAAAACAAAAACTGCAGACATGGAAAAAAAATTTGTAAACCACGTACCTGATGAAGAACTAGAATATACTAGAATATATTGAATATATAGACTACTCTTAGAACTCAACATTAAAAACCTATCAGAAAATGTGCAAAATACATACACAGATATTTCACCAAAGAGGATATACAAATGGCAAACAAACATGTATAAAGATATTCAACTTTACTAGCCACCAGGAAAATATAAACTGAAACCACAAGGAGATATCACTACAAACCCATCAGAATGGATAAAATAAAAAAGTTGATAGCACCAGATAATGGCGTGAGAATGCAGAGAAACTGGATCACTCATATATTGTTAGTGGGAATGTAACCTGGTACAGCCACTCTAGAAAATAGGGAGTTGAGAATTTCTTCCCAACTTACTCTGTGACCCATGGGTGCTTACTTTATGATCCTTTGCAAGCTACTGCATTCTTGGGCATATCTCAGAGAATGAAAACTACGTTCACACAAAAACCTGTACATGAGTGTTTCTAGCACCATTGTTTGTAATAGCCCAAACCTAGGAAAAGTTCAAATATCTTGCAATAGACAAATATTTAAAACACAGTGTAGTACTTCCATTCCATCACACATCGCTCATAATAAGAAGTGATGGGCTTCTGATACACACAACTGGGATAGACCTCAAGAGAGTTATATTGAGTGAGAAAAGCCAATCTCAAATGGTCACAGACCGCATGAGTCCATTTAGATTCCATTTATTTAAGATCCCTCAAGTTACACAGTTACAGCAATGGAGAAGAGATCTTTTGTTGCCAGGAGTTAGGCTTTGGGATGGAGAGCAAGGGCATGGGTGGGGCTTAAAAAGGGAGCTGGAGGGAGCTTGGAGGTGATGGAACTGTTCCCTCTCTTGGTTGTGGTGGTAGTTACATAAAGCTACGCGTGTGATAAAATTGCATAGAGTGTATTTACACCCATCCATGAGTGCAGGCACTGCTGGTGTCATCTGAATACTCTCTATGAATTCTCCCAACATCAGTTTCCTGGTTTTGATGTTGTTTGGTAAACTGTAGTTACTCAGCACGATGTTGGCACTGGGGCAGGTTGGGTGAAGGATGAATGGGTTTCACTGTACATTTCTTTGAACTCCTCGTAAATCTAATTATTTCAAAATAAAATGAATTAAAGACAATATGAATGAGAGAACATCAAATAATAAGGCTTTCACAGTACAGCGTAGGCTTCTAAAGTTTGGGAGGAGGGCCTTGAGATGATTTGGTAACACCTCTGTGGGTGCACCCTTCTGACGCAAATGACCCTCTGTTGTCTCTTCTGCTCTAACCAGGCATCAGCTATGTGGGTGTCTGGTGTTTCCAAAGGAGGGTAGGATGAGATCAGAGAGTGCATTGTGTGCTCACTGAGGAAGGGGGAGGAATAATGATCTGTTCCCAGGATTAAGAAAGAGGAAGAGGAGATACAGGACCATAAGAAAAGAGAACCCAGAGCTGAGAGCTTGTAGGAATGTCTCTGCTCCATTCTACTAGGGCTTAGACCGGTTGGCATAACAACTTCATGAACTGTCGGCCATCCTTAAGCTCTCCTTTAGGTACCAATTATCTCCTGATTTTCTCTTCATTATTAACAGTAAATTATTTTCCTTTCCTCTTTCCTTTCCTTTCCTTTCTGACAAAGTCTGTCTTTATCACCCAGTCTGGAAGGCAGTGGCAACGATCATGCCTCACTGCAGCCTTGACCTCTTGTTTTTTTTGTTTTTTTGAGGTTATTTTTGTAGAGCCAGGGTTTCACCATGTTACCCAGGCTGGTCTTGAACTCCTGAGCTCTAGTGATCTTCCTTCCTTGGACTCCCAAAGTGCTGGAATTACAGATGTGAGCCACCAGGCCAGCCCAGGTTAGCAGTAAATCTTGCTAAGATTGGCCCATAAAGAATACCCTGGCTTGGTAGACTGTACAGAAGAAGGGGAGACTCGGAGACCACGTCCTATGCCATAGCCACTATTAGAGAGACAGGAGCCCCAAGAACAGTCGAAGAGGAGTGGAGTTTAGGAAACAATCAGAACAATCTCTCTCCCCTGGTATGGCAGCCGCAAGGAAGGGGCACCCTGGGGAGTCAGCCCAGGGTAGAGAAGTACATTTGGAGCCTTTAATCAGGGAAGCTTGCAGGGCTGCGGCACTCACCGCAGGGGACACCACCAGGGGGAAAGCAGGCAGGAGCCATTTGCCTTCCCTCCTCTTCAATCCTGTATCTATGTCCCTGTGCTGCTGAGGTCCAGGAGCTCCTTAGGGATGCACTGTGTGTACGCGCCTTAGCACGCTGCACAATTCCGGACACACGGGGTGCTTATAAAGCGCTGTGGTGTATTTAGCAGCATCCTGTAGCCACCACATGGTGCCCAGACAGCTGCAGGCTGAACTCAAGTGCCCCACCCCCTGGTGCAGAATCCTCAGATCCGGGGACTCGCGCGGGTGGCTCAGCACCGCCCTCTGTCTGTTCTTAGGTCTTGCTCAGAGGCTGAAGCAGGGTGGGCTTTCTGGCTCACAGGGCCATCTGACCACTCCCCTCCTGGCCATTCCCCCTCCTCTCTCAGGACATATGCTTTCCCCAAGATGGAGAGGAGAGCCAGCCTGAATCCTTGGTGTTTGTAAACTCCTTTCACCTGGAAATTGCTTTACATGTTTTAAACTTCACATTACTCTTTGGGAGAAGAAAAGAAGTAACAAGTAATATTCAATTTCACACTTGGGAAACAAACAGTGAAGTTAAGTAACTTTCATAATGCCAGATAGCATATCTGTGTTAGGAAAGAATGTGTGAGTCCATATAAAATTCTGTCCTCAGACGTTTCTCAAGTGTGTTCTAAAATAAAAGGCTTCTGTACTCAAAATTGAGCTTTGTCCCTGTTGAATAGTAAATTAAGAGTTCAAAATGAGACAGTAAATAAGTTAGACCAAGTAAGTAAGCTGCCTTTGAGTATGGAGGTAGAGACATAAATTCGTATGATTACCATAGAAAACAGGCAGCACTTTCCTGAAAGAAGAGCAATTTTTATATCTTAAATATAAGCCTTTGAAAAATACGGTATTTGTTGATAAAAGGAAACTTCTAAGGGCTGCTACTATATCTTGATGACTTAATAAGGGGATCTCCCTGTGGATGGGGTAAGTTAAAAGAGATTATTTCTTCAGTTTTTCTTTATTCACACACTAGTAGCAAAATTAGAAACATCAGTGAGAAAATTATATCTGATTTGTTGATATAACCTTATGAACTTTCCATTATAAAACCTGAAATTAAAGTATATGTTGTTTTCTTTAATGAAGTTTAAAGAATTGGAAGAAGACATTTCATTCAGTTAGTAAGTAAAAGTTGTGTGTGTGTGTGTGTGTGTATACGTGTATATACACGTACATATACATATACACGTGTATATACACGTACATATACATATACACGTGTATATACACGTACATATACATATACACGTGTATATACACGTACTTATACATATACACGTGTATATACACGTACATATACATATACACGTGTATATACACGTACATATACATATACACGTGTATATACACGTACATATATATATACACGTGTATATACACGTACATATATATATACACGTATATATATATATATATATAGAGAGAGAGAGAGAGAGAGAGAGAGAGAGAGAGAAAGAGAGAGAGAGTCTCACCTGTTGCCTAGGCTGGAGTACAGTGGTGTGATCTCGGCTCACTGCAACCTCCGCCTCCCGGGTTCAAGCGATTCTCCTGCCTTAGCCTCCCAAGTAGCTGGGATTACAGGCGTGTGCCACCATGCTCAGCTAATTTGTTGTATTTTTAGTAGAGACAGGGTTTCATCATGTTGGCCAGGCTGGTCTCGAACTCCTGACCTCAGGTGATCCACCCACCTTGGCCTCCCAAATTGCTGGGATTACAGGTATGAACCACTGCGCCCAGCCAAAAATTGCTGTATGAAATAGTTATCAGTCAGGAGCAGGAGCTCACACCTGTAATCCCAGCACTTTGGGAGACTGAGGCAGGAGGATTGCTTGAGCCCAGGAGTTTGAGACCAGCCTGGGCAACATAGTGAGACCCTGTCTGTACAAAACATAAATAAAATAAAATAAATAGTTGTTATTCTATTGTACCATCACCTTATTATGTCTGAGCAGTATTTGTTTGATGTAGGCTAAAAGGTGAGAAGAGAGAAACAGAAAACTGTGATCATGATTATGCCTTCCAAGGGGCCTAATATTGAACTGTACTAGGTCGACTATTAACAGACTAAAAATGTTTGAAAGCGCATATGCAACAAAAGTGGTTTTTATCCCAAGAAAAGCCCTGGATAGGCTGCCTGGTCCTTGGGTTGCTGTCTTCCATGAGGTGATTCAGAGACACGGGCTGCTTGGGTCCTGCAGTTGTACTGTCTACCAGCTCGCCTGCAGTCAGCTTTCGGAAGGAAAAAGGAATGAGGAGGGAGCCCACCTACCTCTTACAACCCTGGACTGGCCTGGCCCAGAAGCATCCCATGTCATTTCCACCACCCTTCCACCGAAGAGAACTTGTCACATGGCCATGTGGCCATGCCTACCTGGAAAGAGGGTTGGAAATACAATTCCTGGCTGGGGTTTAAATGTGTATTTTAGAAATGAAAATAGATTTTCGTGGACAGCCAGCTCAGCTGCCTCAGAGGCCTTCTTAAGCTGCATTAGCTTAGACTTTCTTATTTAGCCACATCCTGATTCAATGTGAATGGGCCTAGTTGTTACTTTTAAGAGAAAGATAGATCTACAGAGCTGAATCCTTTTTCAGTAGATAGAGGAAGTAACTTTCTGAATAGAGTTCAGTTAAGAAGGAATTGCTAGGGACTTTCTTGCTAGAAGAAAATCTGCCCTCATTTGTACTAGAGAGGTAAAAGAATGCAGGGTTCAAGGAAGACGGACTTTCACATGGTACTCCCAGCAATTTCATGAGATCCAAAGCACATGGATCTCAGGACTTTGAGTGAGGAAGGAACTGTCCTTCTCAAAGCATTGCAGCCTGATAAGGGCTGAAAAGGAGGAGGGACTTGGCAGAGGACCTGTTAAGTAATCCTCTGGCTGTTCGCCTTGCAATCAGAACATTGTGTAGGTTTGATAAATTTCATGTTTTTCAAAAAAATTCTCTATTCATAGTTACACAAGAAACTGTGATGAGATCCCCTTAAGAGAATATTAATGCTATCAATACAGTTACTATTATTCCAGCACCTTTAGCTCACTCTTGCCACTCTTTGGCGCTCTACTTTTTAATATAAACCATACATAGAGAGACAGGAGCCCCAAGAACAGGGAGGCTGGCCAAGCTGGAAAAATAATCAAAGCATTCTCTGTCCCTGGAGCCCCAGCCGTAAGTGGACAAACTTCAGTTGCCGGAAGCCAAGACCACTGGAGAGAAGAAAATTGCTAGTACCAGTGTGGGAGTTGTACTGTCGTCTTCTCTTTTATAAGCATGGTCACGAATGACATGTGATTTGAAACCACAATTTACTACCGTAATAAAGTTTCTAAAATTACTGCAGTCGGACTCCAATCGTATTGAACAGTCAATTGATTCTGGGTTAAAACATGCTTACATCACAAAATAATGACCGGTTTGAGAAAAATAAGGTTGTCTTCAGGAGCCAATATCTCAGTGCAAGACGGACACTATTAAAATTCTTTAGGGGAAAATAAATTGCTGATTTGCTAAGTGTGCTTGAAGCAATATCACCTTACATCTGCCTAATGTTCTTTCCTCACAGCCTCCCAGTGAAATAGGTAAAGCAGGAATTTCGACTTTATAGAGAAGGATCTAGGGATATGAGAATCCATCATGTGAGAACATTTTAGATAAGTAGCGGAACCCAATTCATAAAACTCTTTACACTGCTCCAAGTAAAACAGGGCAGCCAGTGGATTGACACACACTGTTTTTAAAGACCAGATTTAGAGGTATGCTCACTCAAATCTGTTAATTCTGATCAGTGTGAAGAACGAAGTTAGTGCTTTTGGATATTAAGATAGTTGGTATAGGCAAACAATGAAATTTAAAAGCAGTCACTCGACTGTAAGTATTTCTTTCTTACAGGAAACTGTTTTTGCAGTCTTATGGCAAATTTTGAGGCCCAACTCTCACCCTTTTGCATGTTTTCCTGTAGGAAGTAAATGAATTCTTTGTTTTGTATTTTGTTAGCACTTTCTAAAGTATTTGTTTTCATTTGGTTTTATCCATTGCAAGGCAATTGTTACTGATTTTATTCTTTGTCGTTGAATCATCTCCAAGGTTATAAGTTATGTTAAAAAACAACTTAGCCTTTAATGCTTCAAAAACTTTAAAAGGTGGGTAGTGGGAACATCAACCACTGTGTTCTCTCATATAATCGGGAGCTGGGAGAAATCACAGCAGATTTTGACAGTGTCCTCAGTACCAGCAGACCTTCCTGCAGAAGGGTGTCCAAACTTCCTGGGCTTTATTCCTCTATTAAATGTTCTACCAACTCCCCCAACTCTTCTCTTTACTCAACCCTTGACATGAAACACCTTTCTACTGTGTAGTCCATTAGGGTGTAAATCACACCAAAGAATTTTTGCTCAACCACTTTGCTAGATAGATTGGAAAGAAACACCATTTATTGCATACTAATCAAACTGTAATTGCCTGTCTTCCTGATAAATTGACCATGAATAAGGTAGGTCTCTTTGACTGACAGTCTTGGGAATGTGCATTGCAGTCTTTATAGGCATGACATGCTTCTGATAAGAAAGCAGGCTTGCTGTGAGGAAGGAAACAATGTTTCCCTCTTTTGAAGGGACTGATTTTCACAATTTTCACTTGCATCATAAATAGGTGTTGGCAAAAGTATCACTCACTGATTATGTACATGGCAGATAGAGAAGCATGTTACTTTTAGTTTAAAAAACAACCTTGTTGCCATGTTGATTTAATCAGAGTTCTGTTTGTTTGTGTCTTCTCATCTAATGTGTAATCAGAACCCCTTAATAGGAAGTGGTTTCATTCCATTGCTCTGTATTCTGGAGAGAAAGTCTGATGTTGGATTTATCATTAACGTTTGCCATCAGCTTGTCACCACCAAAGCCCTCTGAATTATTTTCTGTGCTCTCTATAAGGCTGGTTCTGCTCTGCCATCCTCTTTTTGCCAGGGAGAGAATTTTCTTTTTTTTTGAGACGGAGCCTCGCTCTGTCACTCAGGCTGGAGTGCAGTGGCGCCATCTTGGCTCATGGCAACCTCCACCTCCTGGGTTCAAGCAATTCTCCAGCCTCAGCCTCCTGAGTAGCTGGGATTATAGGCACACACCAGCGCGTCCGGCTAAATTTTGTATTTTTAGTAGAGACGGGGTTTCACCATGTTGGCCGGGCTGGTCTCGAACTCCTGACCTCGGGTGATCCACCCGCCTCAGCCTCCCAAAGTGCTGGGATTGCAGACATGAGCCACCGCGCCCGGCCGAGAAATTTTAAAATGAGTCACCAGGAATAAAATATATTAACCAAGCGAGGTCCACCGTTTATTCAGATTTTCCTAGTTTTTGCTCAATGCCTCCTTTCTGTTCCAGGATCCCATCCAGGATACCACATTACATTTAGTCACTGTATTTCCTTAGGTTTTTCCAGTCTCTGGCAGTTTCTCCAACTTTGCTCGTTCTTGATGATCTTGACAGTTTGAAGGGGCACTGGTTAGGTATTTTGTAATATGTTCTTCAGTTGGATGTTTCTGATGTTTTTCTCATGGTTAGACTGATGATGAGTTTGAGGAGGAAGACAGCAGAAGTGAAGTCCCACTCTCATACCATGTGAAGGGCCCATGCCATCAGCATGGCGTGTCACTGTTGATGCTGAACTTGATCACCGCTGAGGTAGTACTTATCAGCTATCTCCACTGTAAAGTTACTCCGTTTCTCTTTGTTTTTGTACTACTTCTACCTATTTTAACTCTAGCTGTCCTGCAAGTGCTGTCTCAGGGTTCACTCCTTCTGGGTATCTTCTCTTAAATCTGACCAACTTAGTGGAATGTTTCACCACAGACATAATTTCAAATAGCCCAGTTATTGAGAATTGCATTAGGAAGGAAGGCGGGATGTGCTCACCACCTCTTAGCTGAGTGACTCCCTCTGTGATTCCATCACATCTCACAACTGTAGTCTTTTACACATGAATAAATCCCCAAAACTCTTCCCAGCATTTCTTTCTGGTCAACAGTGGAGAAAGGCCTTGTGACATTGAGAAGAGAAGTTGGCCATGTAGTCATGAGTTAGCAAATTCCAGTGGCTGTTTCTTTTTTTGAGACAGAGTCTCACTCTGTCGGCCTGACTGGATTACAGTGGCACGATCTCAGCTTACTGTATCCTCCACCTCCTGGGCTCAAGCAGTTCTCCTGCCTCAGCCTCCCAAGTAGCTGGGATTACAGGCATGTGCCACCATGCCTGGCTAATTTTTGTATTTTTAGTAGAGGCGGGGTTTCACCATGTTGGTCAGGCTGGTCTCAAACTCCTGACCTCAGGTAACCCGCCCACTTTGGCCTCCCAAAGTGCTGTGGGTCCGTGAGCCACCGCACTGGACCAACAGTGGCTATTTCTAAGAGACCTATCTCTCTAAAAAAAAAATCTCTAGAAAAACTTGTATTTAAAAATTATGAAGGCAACTCGAGGGAGAATATAGGATGCCAACGGTGTCTCCTGACCTTAGCCTTTGCGATTAGGTGCTGATTGTGTGAAATCCGGCTTGATCATTTGCTTTAACCATACTGGGCAACATTGTCCTTGCCTGGAGGATGTTTATATTTATTTTACCATGGCATCAAACTTTTTAGGATATTAATAAAGTTTGGATGTAAGATCTAATGAAATTAAGTGTTCTTTATCTTAGGAAAACATCATTTTGTTTTGCATTTGCAGGCGGAGTTAGCATTTAGATATTCAGGTTTGGGACTATGAAGGTCTATTCTCATTCTGGCTAATATATAATTCCTTAACTTAATGGTTCTGTTGTTGAAAGTGCTTGCTCTAGCGCTGTATTCCTACACAGTAGCCTAGACTATTGGTCGAGGGGGAGGATTTATCCCTTAGGAAACACTTAACAATTTCTGGAGACATTTGTGGTTGTCACAACTGGGTGGGGGCCACATTTGCCATCTTGTGAGTGAAGGCCAGGGATGCTGGTAAACATCCTGAAATTCACAACCTCTCACAGCAAAGAGTTATCTGACCCACAATGCCAACAGTGCTAGATATGGGAAGGTTAATTGGTTGGCCACATTACCTTTGCTTCTTGTCTGGGGCAGCTTTCCCTAGACCCTGAGGCATGTTGTATATATACTTAATTTTGTTAGATCATCCCAGAGAACATCTGCGGCCCTAGGTCAGCTTCACAATGAGTCTAACTTCTAGATCAGTGGTTTCCATTGAGCCTGTGTGAACACGAAGATCTTTTTTAATGACCAGAATTTTTAGTCTTATAATTTTTGAGCTCTTATTATTTAAGAACCGAGAAAATCCTCGGTTCTCGGCCTTTTGGCTAAGATCAAGTGAAGAACTGAGAAAATGTGTGATGATGCTAACATACATGCTATCTCGCATGCAGTGGCTGTGGATTTAGTAACATATCTCGAGTAATTTTCATTTTGTTGAACATAACATTTGGAAAACAGTAGTACATATATATGTATATATGTGTGTGAGAGACCCATTATTTCATTATTCATTCTACAGATAGTACTTGGGTACACATGGATTTGATGGCCCCTAGCAGGAAATATTTGTCCTCATAGAGAAAACAGCCCACAGCTTAGGGACCATTGCTGATGAGGATCCCTTTGAAACAGAGATGACTTGGAGAACACTCACATCTGTAGCTGAAACAAACAGTCTAGGAAATAGGGAAGGGCATCTCAGCCTCACATACAGTGCCCACTTATTAAATTTCTGCAAATGATGGGAGGTGCTCTGTTGTGGTTTTCATGCCTGTTGTTAAAGGAATCTGACAGCCGAGGCATCAGGCTGCTTTCTTCAGCCCTGGTGAGAGTAGGAGCTCTGGAGTGAAGCCAGTGAATAGAACTTTGCCAAGATTCTGAATCTTCTGGGACCATCTGTGTCTACTTTTTCAAAAAGCAGATTGTGTGAAATGACAGGTGGGTAGGACACAGAAGGTAATAGAGATGTGAATGAGAAGACTCTAGGAAGGGAGAGAGCAAGTACGGGTGCCAGCGGGAAGAGCCCAGCAGAAGATTGAGTGTCCTGGCAGCAGGACTGAGAGGATGAGGTCACAAATGGCTTTTTTCTCTGGGAAGGAAGCCAGTGGTGTGTGAGTTGTGGCTTGGGTTCCAGATCTTAGATCAGTTTTCCTTACACACAATATTAACGTTCATATTCCTTCCAGGAAACTATCAAGAGTAAATGGATCAACAGGCAGCCAATTGGAAGAGCCTCAGACATAGCAAGAGGGTGGCATGGAGGGAGAGGACATATAACCCTCTCTTTGGCAGCTGTGCCTACCACACTCTGGCCTTGAAGATTCTGCTTTGGCTCCCAGACTAGAGACCCTTTTGCATCTTTGCCATCAGTCTTTTTGGAATACAGCATCAGGCCTAAGGTCCCAGATGAACCTTAGGACAGCTTTCATTTTGAAAATTTTGGTTCTCAGTTCACATTTTCTAGCTTTCCATTGAGTGGTGTATCAGTTAGCTGTTGCTGTGTAACAAAACCCCTCTCAAATTTAGTGACTTCAAAGAATAACTTTTTGTGATTTGTGCCAAGCCTCTGGGTTGGCTAGGTGTTTCTGCTAGTCTGCACTCACTCATGCATCCATCACCGCAGTGGCAGGGTGACGGGCGGAGAGCTGGTCAAGGATGGCCTCCAATAGATCCCTCATGTTCTTCCTTCCACTTCTTTACATCCTTCCATAAGGTTCACATGGGCATGTTTTCCTGGCAGTGGGTCCAGGAGAGAAAGAAAAAACATACAAGTGCTTCTACAAGCTGCTGCTTATGTCCAGTTTGCTGCTGAACCATTAGGAGGCGAGCCCCGGGACCGTGCCCCGAGTCAGCGTGGGAGGGCACTGTCACAATGTGGAGCCACTGATCCCATCACTCTGCCATTGCTGGTGAAATACAAGGAAGCCAGCTGACAGCTTCCGACGAGTTGCCAGATGACGTTTCTTCTGCTATTCTTTCATGTTTAGTAGTGTCGCTTTGTAGCAACACGTTATGTCTTAATCTGTTTTGTGGTTGAGATGCACCTGAGCAGGCATCTGGACTAGGTGTTTTAAGTAGCTAATTTTTCTATCTCTTGGTCATTTTGTCGTCTCACCTATTGTGATGGTGATAGAGCCCCAGGAATACAAACACCATATTCCAATACAGCATGTTCAGAAGAACTGAATAAAAGGCATACAGATTTAGGAAGAAGGAGAAAAAAATTCTCCATGGAGAAGAACCTCCTGCTTATTTTAGGTTTTATTTTATTTTATTTTTTTGAGACAGAGTCTTGCTCTGTCACCAGGCTGGAGTGCAGTGGCGTGATGTTGGCTCACTGCAACCTCCACTTCCCAGGTTCAAGCGATTATCCTGCCTCAGCCTCCTGAGTAGCTGGGACTACAGGTGCCCACCACCACGCCTAGATAATTTTTGTATTTTTAGTAGAGATGGGGTTTCACCGTGTTGGTCAGGGTGGTCTCGATCTCCTGACCTCGTGATCCACCCGCCTCAGCCTCCCAGAGTGCTGGGATTACAGGCGTGAGCCACCACACCCAGCAGTAATTTTATTTTTAAGATGGAAGGGTGAATGAAGGAATATTTGTTAGCAGTGACTACACAGAGTTCCAGTGGGCTTTCTCTGTGTTGAAGTAGGTAGGAAGGTGTAGGGAATTGGTAAACTCCGACTATTTTTTGTTTTGTCAGTAGAGCGTGGGAAAACGGCTGATTTTCAAATTGTTGTGATGAAACGAATGCTGGGGTATTTATAGGCATGTGTAAATAAGAAGAATATATCTTTGTCAAAAAACAGCCACCATGTTATTTGGAGCTTTTTTAGGTAGAATAAAGTAGAACTTTCTAAAAGTCCGAGGAAAGATAGAGGAAGATTTTTTAAAAACTTGACACCATTAATTTCTGCTTTGTCCAATTCATATTTATAGCATTTGCATCCATCATCTCTTTAATAGTTCGGTTCGGTCTGAGCTAGTTATTTCTTTCACATATTTCCTTTTTTGTTCAGTGCTAATAATTACACTTTTGTTCTCTTACTGGCAAAACATTGCATTGTCCTCGGGAAGCATTCAAAGAGACTGAGCAGCAAACGCTAATTAATCCTCGCAGTGTGTCTCCTTCATTCCTTTAACTGAGGCGCTGAAATGTCTAGCCACACATTTAATGAAATATAATTTGGTGACAGAGAGGGTACGAAAACTTTAATTCAAGATGCCATAGCAGCTTCAATAAGCCTCATATGGCCATGGTTGTGAGGCAGTTCAAGGCTTTAAATATCCTTGAGATGCAGGTGTGGTGACTAGATTATCTTTCTGTGTTATTCTCCCTTTCTGACAGCAGTCATCCTGACTTGCTGTGGAGAATGAGTTTATCTTGAGTGGAAGTTATCCTGGAGTCTAGGGAGGCAACCTAGTTTATAGCAAGTAATCTTGGGAGTTACAGGCTTGTGTTTTGTTTCCGTTTTTGTCAGTTGTCTACACGTTGACAAGTGACTTCATCCCTGGGAATCATTATTGCTTATCACCAATTAAACACAATGGATATTAGGTAGTTCAGTGATGAGCTTAAAAGAGTTTGACAAGTTTCTTGGAAAGAACGTTAGGTAACTATGGATGGCTCCCTGTGCAATGTCTTAAGTCTTTAAAGAATATTTTAATTTATTACCTTATGTCCTTAAATAGGTCCCTTGAACCAAATTTAGTATCCCAGAATATGCATTGTCCTAAGAACTTTTGCAGGATGACATGGAAACAGATACTATAATTGGGAAGCCTCCTAAATATGTGCAGGTAGGTAGTGGTTATAAATTATCTGTAGCGTCTCATTCATTAGAGACTATCTTATGAGTTAGTGTGCATGATTGATTTGTAGAAACTACAGATAATAAGAATGCTGTCTTTGCTTTAACCGGATTCATACAGTCTTCTATCCAGGGCTGGAAGTTACAAGTTGCCCTGCTCTGGAGGTCCGAGTGCTGAGCAGTGAGTGACTGTAGACGTGTGGCAGGCATTCCTCCCTCCTTGAATCCCATGTTTAAGGTCTGTGTTTACCTCTAGCCCGCGAGTTCCAAAAGCTATGTCTGTCTCACTTGGCTTTGTTTTTCTAGCCCTTACTACAGTGACTAGTAATGAAGTAAGTGCCCAAACACAGATGTATGAAATAAAGAGAGAAATGAAAGGGCAAATAAGGAAACTGGACGTTGCTTCTCTCTGTTGTACTTAAGGCCTGTTGCTTCACGGCCCTTCCCTACAGGAGGCTGTAACACTCATAACGCCGATTATGACTATTGTGAGAACAAATTGGCTTCCAGATCTGAACAGAATCGCACATAAGAATCACCTAGGAAGCCTGTTCTGGAGTCTGCCCAGAGCTACTGACCGAGATCTCCAAAGACTGAGCCCGGAGAGCTTTTTATTTTCAAAAGGCTCCCAAGATGATTCAGATGTAAGTGCTCTGAGGATTCATGCTGGGAACAGATCCAGATCTGCTGTAAGCCCTGGCTGTGCCCTGGACCCACAGCTCCTTTCCTTGCCCAGGCTCCCCGTGAGATGAAGGCTCGTGGAACACATCTCATCTTCTTCATGGCAGGTAATTGGAATCAAGGAGCTATAGTTCCCTTACCTATAGTAACATGCTGAAAATTAAAACCATAGTTGTTCTTACATTTCTTTGTATCATTAGGTGCCCCACTGCCAGGCCTATTAGCAGAGACCTAATACATAATTGGTGTTCTGGAAGAAATGGAAGGATGGATACATGAATTCTGTGACTTAAAAATGAAATCCACATGGACATACCTAGATCAGGAAGAATGTTGAATTTGTCTTTACACAAATTAGCATGAGGAAATACTTCTACCCCAAATTAATAATAGGTCCTGAAATCCATTTTTAGACTTTAATCCACTTATAGATGGTGTTAAGAATGATCCTTGAAAAGGGATGTACTTTAGTATTTGTCTGTTGTAGAATTGTTCTTTAACTATCAAGTCAGTACTTCAGGGTTAAACATTACAAGTTCAAGATACTATCTAAGATTAGTTACCATCTGCAGCTTAAATAATGTGTCCCTTCCCAAACTCCGTCAAATGAAATAACCATTAATTAAACCCCGGTTCTTTTCCAATTGGAGGAAGGCTGCAGGCCAAATTATTTTTGTGATGTATGGGACATCTGTAATGAGTGCCGCTCAAGTGTACCTGAAGCCCTTCATCCTCAGTGCATAGGACTGGAGCAGTTGAACAGCCTCTGTCTTATAAACAGATTATAGTATTGTTAGGATTAGCCAGCTTTTCTTTGGCAATTTTTTTCATCTCAAGTAGTCCATATTTTCCAAGTTCAGCACGTAGCAAGCAGTCAGTCCTGTTCTTGGCTGAAGTAAGCAGTCTGCCTTGAGTGCCCTGTGTCCTTCATTCTCCCGACGTGCACATCCCCTATGTGTTCCTCATTCTCCCCATGGGTCAGTTAAGACCTCTGTAATTACAGAACGCTCCCTCAAGCTAGTGGAGAATGTATAATTTGGAATGTAGAGGTATCTCCAGAATCATAGGGCAGGAGTCCAGCTCCATTAATTGCTTTTACTACATAGCAGCTTGTTTCTTCTCAACTTAAAAAAAAAAATTAATTGTGGTAGAATGTTCATAACATAAAATTTATCATCCTAACCATTTTATATATAATTCAATAGTGTTAAGTATGTTCCCATTGTTGTGCAACCCATCTTTAGAACTTTTTTACCTTGCGAAACTGAAAATCTGTACTTGCTAAGCAGTGACTCTCTGATTCCCCTTCCCCCACAGCCCCAGGCAGCCATCATTCTACTTTGTCTCTATGAGTTTGACTACTCTAGGTACCTCATATAAGTGAAGGCAGAGAGTATTTTGACTTTGTGTGACAGACTTATTTCACTTGGTATAATGTCTCCAAGGTTCACACATGTGGTAGCGTGTGTCAGAACTTCCCATTTAAGACTGAAGAATATTTCACTGGATGCATAGGGCACGGTGTGTTTACCTGTTTATCCCTCCACAGACACTAAGGTTGTTCCCACCTTTTTGCTATTGTGAATGATGCCGTTATGAACGTGGGTGTACAAGTATCTCTTCAAGACCCTGTCTTCAATTCGTTTAGATAGATACTGAGAAGTATTGTTAGATCATATGATAATTCTATTTTTAATTTTTTAAGGAACCTCCATACTGTTTTCCGTAGTGGCTGCACCATTTTACATTTTACTTTCCCACTGACAGTGCACAAGATCTCCAGTTTCCCCATATCCATGTCAACGTTTGTTATTTTGTTATTTATTTATTTATTTTCTAAATAATGGCCATCCTAATGTGTGAAGATGAACCTACTCTCTCATTGCGGTTTTAATTCCATTTTCCTGATCATTGGTGCAACTTAGCATCTTCTCATATGCTTTTTGCTCTTTTGTAAACCTTCTTTGGAGAAATGTCCATTCAAGTCCTTTGCCTGTTTTTTAATCAGGTTATTTGTTTTTCTCTTGTTGAATTGTAAGAGTTCTTTATATATTCTGAATATTAACCCCTTATAAAATATATAATTTGCCAGTGTCTTTTTCTTATTCCGTAGGTTGCATTTTGACCCTGTTAGTTTTGTCCTTTGATGGCACAGAATTTTTAAATTTTCATGTGGTACATTTTATCTACTTTTATTCTCACACTTAATATATAATCTAGTTACTTCTTTTATTTTCTGTTCTTTTAAAAACTTTATAATGAGACATTAAGGTTTTGTTTTGTTTTGTGAGACAGAGTCTTGCTCTGTCGCCCAGGCTGGAGTGCAGTGGCACGTCTCGGCTCACTGCGAGCTCTGCCTCCCGGGTTCACGCCCTTCTCCTGCCTCAGCCTCCCAAGTAGCTGCCATGCCCAGCTAATTTGTTCTATTTTTAGTAGAGATGGGTTTCACCGTGTTAGCCAGGATGGTCTTGATCTCCTGCCCTCGTGATCCACCCACCTCGGCCTCCCAAAGTGCTGGGATTACAGGCGTGAGCCACCATGCCCGGCCACATTAGGGGTTCTTTTTAGCTGCTATCCCCAGTTTAATTCCTCTCTTCCCCACTACTGTGGGAGTTTTTCTAAGCTTTACTGAGGTATAGTCATATATATGATTATATATATAAGGTATACAGCGTGATGCTTTGATATACATATGTATTGGGATATTATTATCAAAATTAAGTAGGCACATTCATCACCTCACATAGTTACCATTCTTGTGTGTGTCTGATGAGAACCACTAAGATCTACTTTTCTAACAAACTTCAAATGTACAATACAGTATTATTAACTGCAGTCACCACGCTGTAGCTTAGATCCTCAGAACTTTTGCATCTTATAACTGAAAGTTTGTACCCTTTGACGAACATCTGTGCCTCAGCCTTGGCAACCAGCATTCTACTCTCTGTTTCTAAGAGTTGTACTTTTTTAGATTTCACATATAAGTGAGATCATACAGTATTTGTCTCTGTCTGATTCCACTCAGGAGAATGCCCTCAGGATACATCCATGTTATCACAAATGGAGGGATGTCTTTCTTTCCTTATGGCGGAATAGTATTCTAGGTGTGCTCTGCAGCCTGGTGGAGTGGCAGGCTGTGCCCTGCAGTCGGGTGGGGGAACCCTGACAGGACCCCCTGCTGGGCAGGGCCATAGGCTGGGCTCCGCAGTTGGACCGGACTGCTGTCTGGGCTCTCTGGTCAGGTGGTCAATGGGGTTGCTGGTTGATCTCCCTGTTTGGGGGTGGCTGCAGGCTGTGCTCTGCCGCTAGGCAGTGCTGTGGTCTGAACTCTGTGCCCTGGGTGGTGCAGGGGGGCGTCCACTGTGTTCCATAGCTGGTCAGGGTCTCTGGCTGATTTCAGGCTATGCTGCTCTGCTAGGTGGGGCTTGGCTTTCTGCCTGAGGAGAGCTGTAGGCTGAGCCCCAGGGCTGAGCCAGACTGCTGGCTGGGGACTGATGGTGGGCAGAGCTGGTGACTGCCCTCCCTGGCCAGATGGTGACACTGGTTCAGCTCTGTGGGTGCAGTGCCACTGGCTGCGCCTTCTGGTCAGGCAACTCCACTGGCAGGGATTTGGTGCCACCACTGAGATACACGAGCTAGTTGCTTTGAGCCCCATCCTTCTTTGTTCCTAGCCAACCCCAGGTGGTCTTATTTTCCCAGTGTTCCTGTGAGACAAGACAGAAGGAGGCATCCTGGGAAGTACCCTGCAATGCTAGGGAAGCTGGATGTCCACCTTAGGCTCTCTTTTTCCCTACTGGAAAAACATAGCTTAGGGGAAGTCTCTTTGTCTAGTGCTCTACCAGACTGGGGAGGGGCAGCATGACCAAACCAAATCCCTCCACTCTTCTTACCCTTCTAATGAAACTTTTCTTGGTTTCTGTGGTCCAAGGGGTTGGTTCTGCCTCATCCCCTTATTCTGGGATTTCCACAAAGGTGTTTTGTCTATAGATAGTTTTGCTAGTTGGTTGTTTTGTGAGGGGACGAAAGCTGGGGACCTCCTCTTCTGCCGTCTTTCTTTTGTTGCCTGTCCTTTTCTTGTTACATCCAAGAAATCACTGCTAAATCCAACATCGTGAATCTTCTCTCTTATGTTTTATTGTAAGTGCTTTCAATTTTAGGTCTTAGGTTTAAATCTTTGTTCTGTTTTGAGTTAATTTTTGTATGTGGCGTAAGATAAGGGTCCACCTTCATTCTTTTGCATGTGGATGTGCAGTTTTCCCAATGCCATTTACTAGAGACTGTCCTTTATCCATTGAATGGTCTTGGCACCTTTGTCAAAAATCATTTGGCCCTATTTGCCAGGGTTTATTTCTGGGCTTTCTAATCTATTACATTGGTTTGTATGCCTCTCTCTGTGCCACTACTATGCTGTTTTGATTACTGTAGCTCTATAATTCATTTTGATATCAGGAAGTGTGGGACTTCCTATCTTGTTATTCTTTTGCAAGATTGTTTTGGCTTTTTGAGGTAACTTTAAATTCCATATGGCTTTTTTATTTCTGCAAAAGAAAATGCCATTAGGAATTTTAGCAGGATTGTATTAAATCTGTAAATCATTTTGGGAAGTATTGACATCGTAATAATAAGTCATCTGATTTGTGAAATGGGATGTCTTTCCATTTGTGTCTTCTTTTATTTCTTTCAGAAATCTTTTGTAGTTTTCATAGTATGAGTCGTTTGCCTCCTTTCTTAAGTTTATTTTTAAGTATTTTACTCTTTTTAATACTATTGTAATGAAATTGTTTTCTTAATTTCCTTTTATTTGTTGTTAATGTGTAGAAACACAACTGTTGTTCATTGTGTTGATTTTGTTTCCTATCATTTTGCTAAATGTGTTTATTCTAACAGGTTTTTTGTGGAATCTTTAGTGTGTTCTATGTATAAGATCAATTATTTTTGTTTTTTTGTTTTTTTAAAATATTTCCTTATTTTTTTCTTATATAAGATCGTTTATCTAAGAATAGAGGTAATTTTACTTCTTCCTTTCTGATTTGCATGCCTGCATAGCTAATCCTTGGTTGACTGTTTTTATTTCTGAACTTTAAATAGATCATCCCATTGCCTTCTGGATTCCATAGTTTCTGATGAGAAGTCATTCATTCATCTTATTTGCTGTTCTTTTCTTGACAAGTAATTGTTTTCTTACTGCTTTCAAGATTTTGTTCTTTGCCATTTAACAGCTTTACTTTTATGTAGCTGGGTGTTGATATCTTTGCATTTATCCTTCTTAGAGTTTTTGAGCTGCTTACATATACAGACCATTGTTTTATATTAAATTTGGTAAGTTTACTTCATTATTTCTTCAAATACTTTTCCAGTATTCTTTCTGTTACTTTCCCTTCCATCTTCTATTTCTATTAGTTGTGTGTTGGCACACCTGTTGGCATCTCATATTTTTCTGAGACTCTTCCTTTTATTTCTCTTTGTTCTTAGGATTGAGTAATTGCTATTAGCCTGTCTTCAAGTTCAGTGATTCTTTTTCTGCAGATTAAAATATACTGTTGAGTCCCTCCAGTGAATTTATTTGTTATTTTACCTTTTAACCAAAATTAATACTTTTAAAATAATTTTCATCTTTTAATATTGTTTGTTGAGACGTAGTTCTCATACTTTAATTCTTTAGAAATTATTTATCTTTTAAAATATAATTAGGATAGCTAATTTCAAGGTTTTTTTCTGTAAAGTCTAGCATACCTTAGGGGCAGTTTCTATTGATTGCTTTTTTTCCCCCGTGTATGCTCCATACCTTCCTATTTCTTTGCATATTTCATAAATGTTTTTTAACAACTGGGCATTTGAATGATATAATATGGCAATTTTGGAAATCAGATTTCCTACCCTATGCAGAATTTACTTTTTATATTGCTTCTGTCTGTTAAGTGACCTTCTTAAGATAATTCTGTAAGATATATATTCTATGTATGTTTAGCCTCTGAAGTCTCTTGTCAGTTAGCTAAGTGGTCATCTAATAACTGGATACAGGTTTCTTTAAATTATTTGAGGGATAAATCTCCAAGCCTTTGGGAAGGGACTTGTGTGTGTGTGTTGAGGCTTGCCTGCTATGTGCTGGCAGGCAGTTTACAACCCTCCACTTGCTTGCTTAGAGCCAGAGGTCAGTCAGAGGTGACGTACACTGTACGTCAAATTGTATGTCAGTCTGTCATGCCAGAGGTGAGATATTAGAGCCTTTTCCAGTGCTTTTTCTGGACATGTGCTTAGCCCTGTACATGTGTGTGACCTTCTGAATTTCCAGGAATAAGTCAGAGCAGTTCAGAATCCCCTATGGCCATGTCATTCTCCAGTTTTTCCATTTAAGGTTTTTGGTCTGTTGCTTGTTAGCCCCAGTTCATATTGCTGCCTCAGGGAACTGTGATATTGAGCATGTGTCACAGATTGTTTGCCCTAGGGATAGGGCTTTTTGCACAGATACAGGTCAGATTTAGGTCAGATACAGGCAAGCCTAAGAATGGAGCTTTTGAAGGCAGCTTCTTGACAGATAAAATAGTAAGAATTATCTGTACTATCCCCCTTAGTGGCTTCAAGGCTATTGTTTTTCACAGCTCCTGTAGTTGCAAGACTGTTGGTTTTCAAGGGTCCTGTGGAACTAGTGGAAGGGGTATGGGAATAGGGCAAGTTAAAACACTTTATAGTTTGCTTATTCTTAACAAGATTCGTCTGTTTTTCTTGAATAAACAGTACTTAGATTGTTGCAAGCCTTTGATTAATTTTTAGAGTTCCAAAAATGTTGATTTCACAATTTTTGTCCATGTTCTCATTGATTTTATGAAGGAGATGATTTTCAGAGACTTTTATTCTGCCATTCCTGAGGTCCTTCTTTTCTCAGATGACATTTTGTGGTTCATAGCAACCATAGAAACATTCTGTAGTTCATCAGGTGTGGACACAGGGAAGGGTCACTTTGTATAGAAAGGCTATCAGGGACCTATCCTTGTGATTAATCTACCTGTTGCCTCCCTCTGGAGCCTCATGGAATGTGGTGTCTGTGGATTATAGAAAACTTGGCTTCCTTGGCCACATCTCCTTGAAAATTCCATCCTGCCACCTCCTGTATACCAAGTGGATGTGCTGAGCACTCTCTGAAGTGCTAAGAAATATGTCAGAGAGCTTGCTGGGACAGTCTTTCCCTCTAACCATGGGACTGGCCAGTGTGTTTTGAGTTTTTCCAGCCAATTTTTGGAGTAACCAAAACTTTAGGAAGGCCCTGTCAGCCCACCTCCCTCACTGGCACACTAAGCAGGAATCCCCAGCCCCCTGTTCTCCCAGCTCCCAGGGGATGCTCTTCATCTTTGCTCTGTGATCCTGCAGTGGTCTCCTTGTGTGGGAATCGTGCACCCCACTGGCCATGCCATATCTGTGTGAAGCTTATTTTAGCTGTCCTAATCAGAGCATGATTAAAACAATTGATTTTTAAAACTGTTGTGTATGTATTTTATCTGTGTTATTCTTGAATATTGGATTCATATTAAATAGTAGTTTGCCCTAATTAACTTTAATACTACAGATTTGTGCTTTTTGAACTCAGCATGCAGATTTATGTAAATTGCATAAAGCCTTTAAGCTAGGAGTGTATCATTTACATTTACAATCCCATTTATCCCATGTCTCCATATCACTGACTCTTCAAAGAAAGACAGGAACTATTGGGATGGACGTACTTGATTGTTTCAGTTTCACTCCTGTGCAAACCAAAGAACAAGTAGTAAATGACTTTTCCACATAAACACACACATTCACACACACACACATAGATGCTTGTGTGTATATACGTGTGTGTGGACCTATCTTTGGATGCTCATATATGTGCACTTAGAGAATCAAAAGCAATATCCAGGTATCTTGACCATAAGCCCAATACCCTGTCTATTTTTTTGAGTGGCAATTTGTGTTCCCATATTGTAGTGTGCATATATATATATATATATATATATATGCTGTATTTTTAAACTGATTTTAGAATTAGCGCTTAAAATAGAAAAGACAGAGCACAAATTTGGGGGGGGAGCAGTTTAAATTTTGTTTTCATACATCTGGTTGTATTAAATTCTCTGTTCCTCTTTTTTTTTTTACCCCCATTTCTTTGCCCTTCTTTCTTCCCTTTCCTCCCCAATGTTTTCCGTATCTCTGGCAAAGTTCATGACATAAAGGGCTGTAAGAGATCAGATTATGTTACCCCAAAACACACCACTCTGGCATACAGATTACATTGAGCTGAAAACAGTTAAGAAAAAGACACAAGATGAGCTCTCTGCCTTTTCCCGTCTGCCTGAAACATAAAATTTTCCTTGTGAACGTGTTCCTCCCAGCTCTACTTCCGGTAAGGAGAATTTCCCAGAAAAGGAGTAACAGCCTCATTACTGGAGATGAGAGGACACCAGAAAGGGCTTACACAAACCAGCCCTAGGAGCCAGCCATCATCTCCCATCAGTTTCTCCCGACATTTGCATATTTGCCTTCATACAGTCTGCCACCCCTAGAAGTTCAAAGTCCATTTCCTTTGCCATGTCACTTCTCTTTAGCATTTTTGTCTTTTTTCCAAATAGTATAAAAGCTTCCAAGCACAGCCATTCTTATGAAGTCCTCCTCCCACCCCTTTCTGTGTAAAACTTTTAACACCAAATAAAATTATATACTTTTTATTCCCTGTTTGTCTGCCTGTTGTCAGTTTATTTCACAGACCCAGTCACAGAACCAAAGAGGGTGGAGGAAAGTTTTTCCTTTCCTACAAGGTCAGTGTCCTTTTGGATAGAGGTCGAATGGATCGGTTATTGGAAAAGAAACCCACAGAGAAATATGTTAGAAAGGAATTTTTGCAAGCAAAGAACCAAACAAACAAATAGCAAATTGTACGTCATCAGTGGAGACTGGTTTTCTACCAGATGAATGACCCTCATTAACATGAGGAAGCATGTATGGATATTCAGTACACATGGTCCTACTTATTGATAGGCATGAATTTGATTGTACGGAACTTTCCTGGAGCAATGTACGTGTTGTGTGTCAGGAAAGGCTCTGTTCAGGAATGCGATAGGCCTTGGGTGCCTTGAATGGGAGAGTAATACGTAAGCAGACCAACTGATGGGAAAAGTCTCAATATAGAGGTAAGAGAGGGTGGGGAGACTCATGTGAGGGGTAGTTTAAAAGAGGCAGTCTGTTAAGCTTATGCCTGGACGTAAATAGCAGATGAATTTGGAGTTAGAAGAAGTTTCTTGGCTTTCTTGGTGAGGTTTGAGACTCGGGTTCTGTGGCGGTACAGTCTTGCTAAGTCACAGATTTTTGAACCCAAAACATTCAGCCCATTCTCCTTGTCACAACTCTCTTACCTCTTTTCTCATGTAGGCTTCTGTATACAGAGCTAGAACTGGCAAGTTAGAGTGGACCTTTTACTTTAATTGTGGAAGGAGGGCAAGCAGCCCCTGAGAAAATAAGAGTCTCTAACAAAATGCACTTATACCCTCCAGACCTGTCTACTTTACCAGAATGGGTGTGCCGGGATACAGAATACCCTAGTACCACAAAATAACTTCAACTGCAAACAATTAAACTAGTAAGTATTTAAGGAACATTTGCTATGTGCCAGAAACTGCTTAGTGCTGGATATGTATTAGTCGTTGTAAGTAGATGTCGGAGGAGGAGGAAGAGGGTATATATCACCACTGTGTGTACGAAAAAAATGATATAAAGAGTTGAACCGAGTGGCATGATGAGAAAAACTTCTGCTTGGATATCATTGTATGAAAGGGCGATGCCTGGACCTTACTGGCCACAAGTTAGCAGCTATCTGCCCCCATGAATGGATCATAAAAGATGTCTTCCAATGTGCTGACATCATGTAGCCACAGGACCAATGCTGGAAGAATTTCCTGTGGCGTTATTATCCTGTGTAATTAATAAGACACTATTAATCAACAGCTTGACTCACAGATTCTGTGACTTGCATCCAAAGCCCACTACTGGATGTCTCAAGTCTTTGCCATCTCTCACTTTATTTCAATAGCCTCCTAGTTTGTTCCTGCCTCAGGATCCTTCCGCTTGCTGTTCATCTGCCTTGAATGCTATTCCTAAGATTTTTCCATGGCCTGGTGCCCCACTTTATTTAGTTGGTTTCTCAAATGCCATCTCCCAAGAAAGGTCCTCTTCATCCAAAATAGCCCCCCTCCCCCCATCTCTCCAATTACTGCCGAACCCCTTACGATACTTTGACTTTCTGCATAGCACGTATCACTACCTTTCTTTCCATATATACATTTAGCTTCTTTGTCTGTTCATTGTTTGTAATGTCTATTCTATTATAATATAAGCATCATTTTGGGCACAGACTTCATCTGCCAAACATATACTAGGTATCCAGTAAATCCGATCAATGAATTCATACAGTATAACCTAGCAAGGAATATCATCAATGAAAAAAAGAAAAGACACAAAAGACCTAAAAGAAATAAGAAGACAGGCCAGGCATGGTGGCTCACGCCTGTAATCCCAGCACTTTGGGAGGCCGAGATGGGCAGATCACAAAGTCAGGAGATCGAGACCATCCTGGCTAACACGATGAAACCCCGTCTCTACTACAAATACAAAAAAATTAGCCAGGCGTGGTGGCGGGTGCCTGTAGTCTCAGCTACTCGGGAGGCTGAGGCAGGAGAATGGCGTGAACCCGGGAGGTGGAGGTTGCAGTGAGCGGAGATCACACCAATGCACTCCAGCCTGGGCGACAGAGTGAGACTCCATCTCAAAAAAACAAACAAACAAAAAAAAACAAAAAGAAAAAGAAAAACAATTTAAAAATAGAAAACAAACAAAAATGTATAGTATATCCAAAATAAAGAACTGCTTTTTTTGTGGTTATGCTTTTCTTTTTCCCTCACGAAGGCCAAATCTCCTGTGTGCTTCAATAGAAATCAGTGATGAGAAAAAAGTAGCAGGTATCAGATTAAACCGGCCTCCATGTGATGATCATCTGTTAGCTTTAGTATTGTCTCAAATGAAAAACTCACAAAACACTCCAAGTTCCCTGCCATTGCTGAATTTAATCTTTGGAATGTTTTGAACCCCGTGCATGAATTATATCAATTTTACTTAGGGAAGGTCCTGTGGTATCTCAAAGTCACTTAGCTCAGTTTCTCTAGGTTTTGTGGGAATATTACCCTTTAGGTATGTAAATAATATTTATTTCAAATCAAAATCATAAGTGAAATCCTAAAGCATTGCTATTAAATGTCTAGGCTAAAATGAAGATACCTGCTTTTGCCACTACTATTTTGAAATGTAGACTCACAAGAAGTTGTAAAAATAATGCACAGAATCCTATAAAACCTTCACCCCACTTCTGCCAGTGGTGAAATGTTGCATAACTGGAGTGTGGCATAAAGACTGAGAAACTGACATTTATATAATACTGTTAACTAGAATAGAAACGTTACTCAGTTTTCACTGGTTTCAGTATGCCCTCATTTGCATGTGTGTGTGTGTGTGTAAATAATTCTAAATTCTATACAATTTGATCCTACGCATAGATTCATTTAATCGCCTCCACAATCAAGATGTGCAACTGATCCGCCATGACAGAGGAACTCCCTCGAGCGACCCCTATAAAACTCCCCTGTTGCACCCCCTCCCACCTCATTGCCCCTGCCGTTTAACATTGTTTTCAAATGTCTAGCCAATATAATTAGCCAAGATAAGTAGTAGTAACACTATTGGCAAAGAAAAGTGAGAATGAAACATATCATTATTTGCAAATGATATGTTTATCTCTTGAGAAAAATCCAAAATAATGGATTGAAACTATTAATTTGAGATTTTCTGTATAATTATGATTAAGAACATACACTCTGAAGCCTGCTATGTGGGTTTGGATCCCAGCTCCACCACAGACTAGCTGTCAGTCCTCTGGGAAATCACTTAACCTCTCTGTAGAGGTTTCCCTCATCTGTAAAGCAGGGCTAGTAAGAGTACCTACCTCACTGAGTTGAGAGGATTAAAGAATATAATACAGGCATACCTCTAAGATATTGTGGGTTTGCTCCAGACTACCCCAATTTGCAAATATTGCAATAAGTGAGTCACATGAATTTTTTGGTTTCCAGTGCAT
This sequence comes from Homo sapiens, assembly GCF_000001405.40. Taxonomy (NCBI): domain Eukaryota; kingdom Metazoa; phylum Chordata; class Mammalia; order Primates; family Hominidae; genus Homo; species Homo sapiens. The sequence continues at coordinate 3,746,172 of NC_000007.14, forward strand.
ATAAAAGTTATGTTTATACTATAGTTTATTAAGTGTGCAATAGCATTATGTCTAAAAATTTACATACCTTAATTCAAAAATACTTTATTTTAAAATATAATAGCAATCACCTGAGCCTTCAGCAAGTCTTTTTGATGGTACAGGGTCTTACCTCATTGGTGATGGCTGCTGACTGATCAGTCTGATGGTTGCTGAAGGGTGGGGTGACTGTGGCAACTTCTTAAAATAAGACAACAGTGAAGTTTGCCCCATCAATTGATGTCTTCCTTTCACAAAAGATTTCTCTGTAATGTGCACTGCTTGCTGCTCTTTTACCCATAGTAGAACGTCTTCCAAAATTGGAGTCACTCCTCTCAAATCCTGCTGCTGCTTTATCAACTAAGAGTATGTAATGTTCTAAATCCTTTGTTGTCATGTGAACAAAGTTCAGAGTGCCTCCACCAGGAGTAGGTTCCATCTTAACACATCATTTTCTTTGCTTATCCATAAGAAATACCTCATCATTGGTTACAGTTTATTATGAGATTGTAGCAATTCAGTCATGTCTTCAGACTCCACTGCTAATTCTAGTTCTCTTGCCGTTTCTACCACATCTGCACTTACTTCTTCCACTGCAATGCTGAACCCCTCAAACTCACCCATGAGGGGTGGAGTCAGCTTCTCCCAAACTCCTGTTAATGTTGATATTTTGACCTCCTCTCATGAATCCCGAATGTTCTTGATGGCATCTAGAATGATGAATGCTTTTCAGAAGGTTTTTGATTGACTTTTCCAAGACCATCAGAGGAGTCATCATCCGTGGCAGCTATAGACTTACAAAATGCATTTCTTAAATAGTAAGACGTGAAAGTCAAATTTACTCCTTGATTCATAGGCTGCAGAATGGATGCTGTGGCATGAAACCAACATTCATCTCCATGAGAACTCTTGGGTAACCAGGTGCATGATGTAATATATAAATTAGGAAACTAGGAGAGAAAAATCCAGGCATGATAATAGAAAATTTTGCAAACAGTGTGACACAGAACTACCTAGGTAAATAGATGGAAAAAGTCATTCTCACTGGTAATTAGAAATGTATTTTATACCATAACCAACATTTAGTTTCTACTACCCAATAGGCAAGTCTTTAGAAAATAATGACATAACAACCACTGTCTGTGTGTACTTGTAAGGGTGGAGTAACATGTTTGTGCTATTTTCTTGCAATATTTATTGAAGGCATTCAAAGTGTATGTAACATTCTGACAGTTAAATTTTAAAGAATTCTGAGAATTGATTAGATGCACTGTGGCTTTTGTTTACTAAGATTTTATTTATAGTCATTCTTTTATTTAGCAAATGCTGTCGTGGGCCTTGTCTATGCAGGACAGCATGCTAAGCACTAGGAATAGAGTAGTGATGAAAACAGGAAGACAAGCATTAAATAAATCATGGGGCAAAGGGAAATAATCACTAGTGTTGAAAGAGGAAGTATTGTACTAGGTAGCTGAGGGCCTGTAACTAGAGGATTTAACTTAGCCTGGGGTGTGTGTGTGTGTGTGTGTATGGTGAGGGGTTTTCACTGAAGAGTTGATGAATGTTGAAACGCAGAGGAGTGGTAAGAGGCAGGGAGGAGGGAAGGGAGGATTAAGGTGTGAGGTAACCAGCAGCAGACCCTGTACAGGGAGGCTGGAGGCTGGAGCAGAGAGAGGACATGACGGGGTGAAAGGTAACTCTGGAGATATAGGAAGGGGTCACAGCACCTTTTAGGAAAATCTAAGATTTTAGCCAGGAAACTGATACGAAAAATAATGTTTTCAAGGGAGATTTAGTAATACAATTATAATGATAGAATATTAGTATATATTTGATTATACTGTATATCACAGTTACTATATGTGTTATAGTATGTATCATGATCATTATATACTATATAACCATTAAATGATATTTTAATGATAAATGATGACATAATAGTTAATGCTATAATATTAAACGTTGAAAGCAGGGTACAAAACAGCATGTTTGGTTTAATCCTAATTTTGAAAAGGAAAAATGATGTATCTAACATACACTGAACTCTAAATTGTTTTTACGGTGATTTTTCTGTGTAGCAGGATAGAGGCTGCTTTTTTATAGTTCCTTTATTTCCCGGATTCTCTAAAAATGAATAGGTGTTACTGTTTACTTAGAAAAATTGTACTATTTGAGAAAAACAGATTTAGTTTATCTTGGAACATTTCATTGAATAGCCTGTATATATTATAACGGGCTTATGGAATAATACTGAAAAATATCCATTAAATGGCGAGTAGTCAGGTCCAGTGTTGGCTTTTGTCCCTGTGAGGTCTCCTTCACTGTGTATGTTTCCATTAAGGACCCTTAAGGTTCAGAGTTTTTGTTGAAATACACTATTCAGTCACATGGATCTGGGAGGAAAACTGAAACCAGCTGGCCTTGGGCAGTTGCTTTAGAAATTCTAATACATGTTCAGTTTCCTCATGCTTCATGTATTGAACTGTAAAAATTCTCTTTTGGTTACCATCACACAATCACAGGGCAAATTAAATCTCATCCCTGTTTCATTTGACTGGGAACAAAAAACAAATCTTAAAATTTAAGAGTACTTGGTACAACCCTATAATTACTATACATAAATCCAAGGTTTCAGGTACCGAATGCTTTTGTTTTGAGATTACAGCATCACCGTTGTTCAGGTAAATATGATTCATCCTGTCCAGACAATTTTTTGTTGTTGTTCTACAGGAATTCATTGACAATAATAACATTCTAGTTTGTGGTAGGTTTCAGTATACTAGGAAAAAAAATCAACCAACCAACCAACCCAACTCACACTTAGATGGAGACATGCCAGTAATGCGAATATTTTCAACAGAGCATATTCTCACTATTCTTTGCCTTCAGAATTTAATCAGATGATATAATAGATAAGTACATGAAAGAAGGTTAAGGAGAACATCACCTCTTTTTTTTTTCTTTTGAGAGGGAGTCTCGCTCTGTCACCTAGGCTGGAGTGCAGTGGCATAATCTCTGCTCACTGCAACCTCCGCCTCCTGGTTTCAAGCAATTCTCCTGCCTCAGCCTTCTGAGTAGCTGGGACTACAGGTGTGTGCCACCACGCCCAGCTAATTTTTTTCTTTTTTGAAATGGAGTCTCGCCCTGTCACCCAGGCTGGAGTGCAATGGCACGATCTCAGCTCACTGCAACCTCTGCCTCCCAGGTTCAAGCAATTCCCCTGCCTCAGCCTCCTGAGTAGCTGGGATTACAGGCGTGTACCACCACGCCTGGCTAATTTTTTGTATCTTTAGTAGAGACAGGGTTTCACCATGTTATCCAGGCTGGTCTCGAACTCCTGACCTCGTGATCCGCCCGCCTTGGCCTCCCAAAGTGCTGGGATTAGAGGTGTGAGCCACCGCGCCCAGCCGAACATCACCTCTTAATCTGATGTAAGAAAAGTAATCAAAGTTCTGATACAAGGATAGAAGTGACTGCTGCCCTTCAGCCTCTTGCCCCTGTGCCAGCTAGCTCATAGTTAAACCTTGGTGCAGAGAGAGAGAGAAAGCACCTCGTGGGCTGGCATTCTAGTGTTCTGGTCTCCTGTATTCTAATGGTAGTCATGGACCCTACAAATCCCAAGGCAGAAGCTGTCTTGGTGTAAAATAGCAGCAATAAAAATTAATTTAGACTGAGTCAGTACTGTAAAGAAGAAACAAAAATGAAAACAAAATCTCACCTTTCCCAGCTGTGTGAATCAATATAAATTGGTTCAACATGAGCTCTTGTTAGAATCTGGGTGTTTTTCACACTTTGTAATACAAAGCTCACATAGGCTTTACAGATGATGGTTAAAACGTGTGTGTTAGGGTCCAATAAGTGACTTCTTTGCCTAGCAGAAAATTCACCTCATTTATTGAACAAAATTGGCAAAAAATGTTTCACTCTGAATGTTTGGTTATTTTGACTGGTTCAATTAAAAATCACTTCTTCGTATTTGTTTATCATTGCAAAAGAGGACTGGAGAGTTAGAACTTACATCTCTAAAAGAAGGTGTTTGATTTAATCAGAAAAGTGACTATTTGGAGAACAAGGACTGGGAAAGAGGTGTTAATTGCATTGGAGAAGAGTGGCAAGGAAACTAAACCATTTAATTTCGAAGTCTACTATCCTGTGCTCAATCCACAAGCAGGTAAAGAATGTAAATTTATAATTTATATGCACTGCCTTCTATAAGTAATGTTAGAGAATCAACTCTTCAGTGATACTTGTTAAAGACCAGTAAGGAAGACTTTATTTAGGACCATTGCAATAGGTATAGGAACAGCGGGATTTTGCAGTGGGCGAGAGAGATTGAGAGGGATTGCAGAGAGAGATTGAGTTCAACTCCAAAAACAGCATAGGCCAGTGGGAATTCATAGCCAAGGAGTAGTGTGGGGGTCAGCGGATGGAAAATGAGCAAGAGGAAGCATCAGCGCTCTGACTGAACTGATTTAACTGAGTTCTTTGCTCAAATTGGATTTTCCAAAGAAATATGCAGATAAGTCTAGGAGAAGGTTCAGAAGCCCCACTGAAGTTTGGCCATGCAAAGAATCTTTGTCAGTAAATACTAGTGAAATAAATGAAATCTGATAGAGACAAATAGGATACGACAATCTCTAATCCTGCCATGTCTTTACACCTTTCTCTTTTGCACTGATCCTGCTTCAGTTGTGAAACTGTGCCTGGATGTAGCGCTAACAGCACAGAAGAGGTATATGTCAAGCCTGTCCTCTTTATGCGACTGTTTTACCTCCCTGCGGGTGCAGAATCTTTACCTTTTGAGAACTGTCTTTTTCCTTCCCAAGAGTGGGCCTGCCCCCCACCATCAGCAATACCTTCGAGCTCCACCCTGCAGCCACTGTCACAAAGGAAGGCTGGGGACCTTCTTGCTGTTGTTGGTCCCACTCTTCCTCCAGTCGCTGTGTGGCTACCAGCCTGAGGGCTCTTGCTCCTGGCATTACAGGACATTCAAGCCCTTACTAAAATAAAACTGACATTTTAGCCTGTGTTTTTTATGAGTATTTCAGTCTTCTGAAGGTCTGATGATCCTTCTCAAGGTATCAAATAAGAGAGCTAATAAACTAGGATGATGCCCCTCTTTACTTCCTGTCCTGTAAACCTTGAAGTCAGCACCTCCCTTCATGAATCCTTGCTGCTGCGTCGCCCTCTCCAAGATGCTGCCTATGGCAAACTAAATGTGAGAGATAGAACCAGAGGACAAGATAGAAGAACTTCGGCGGGGGGTGGGGGGAGGAGGGAGGAGGGAGGAATGGGGAGCAGGGACAGCACTCTGGAGAGTGGTCCAGTGCCTCCAATGCTTCAAAGCCTGGCCATCCCGTCATTGCCCAGTAAGGATGCTTTTTACAGGCCTGGATCATGGTCAGGGACAATTCTGATAGCCACACCGACTTCCTCTTCAAAGGTCCTTTTTCTCAAAAGAAACCATTTAGCCTTTCAGGGACTGCAGTACCGAGCTCTGTGATCCAGCACAGCTGACAGATGCGGAAGGGGGTTCCAGTCAAGGAGGCTTCCAACCAGTGCCCTGAGGTCACCTTGCCTGGTGATTGACACCCTTGGGCTCCAGATAGCCCTCCCCTTCCATTTCCTCTGAGGACCGCTCCCTTCTGAAAGCCCTGGGAAACTGGTTTTCTACTTCCTTTCTTTTTCTCATTCCGTGATGAAATTTGTGTGGTTATATCTAATATTTTGAAACATTACAAACAATGGGGAAGAGACGAAAGATAGTGTTTCATGGGAGGTGTATTTGAGATAGGCAGAAGAGGAAACAAGCTTTCAGCCAATGGGAAAAGTACTCCTTTGGCCTTCTATGATTGACATTTCAGAACAAGCTTTTGGGAGAAAGTTAACCAATAAACACTTTCTAAGTTACTGCCTGTATTATTGAACGTATATTGCACTTTTCGTTTTCATCTTGCACAACCTGATAGGTGAGCCTGAAATTGGCTCTGTTAACTGTTCTCCATTAGCTTTTATTCACTCTTATTAGGGACTGCAGTCTATGTAATGAATTTATTGGATCAATTATTTGTATCTTAATGCATGTTTAGGACTTCAAAGACCCCTTTCTTTTGATTTTTTTCCTCATTTAAATAGTTTTCTGAACATCACAGTTTTGGTGCCTTCACTTTGATACATAATTACTATTCTGCAAGTGAGCTTAATACTTTTAATGCCATCTGACCTCAAGATTTTAATAGAATTAAATGCAAACAAGATGAGGAAAGAAGAGTCATGGGGAAACTTGACTTGTTACTGAGCTTTGGGAAAAACTTTAAACTCTTGGTCAAAGTGATTTTCTGTTAAGAAATCAAAAACGTGCCAGCAGATGCCTTTAAAGACAACATTTATAGAAATTATTTTTTTTTGAGAGTTTGATTTTAGTATTCTAGCATGGATTTACGTCATCTGATACTGGATAGTATAATCTTTTTTCCTCATCCTCTAACCCTCAATTCTTAAAACTCCGTGAATCCATTTCTTTCTTTGCATTTTTATTATTGTGCATCATGAGACTCATCTTCAAAGGCAAGAGCCTTATTATTGGGAAACAATTGTGTAGTAAATGCTTATTTGTTATTTCTCTCTATAGTTTTTTCTCTATATAGTATAGTAGTATCTCTATTATCTTAACACAGTCTTGGAAATACCCACAGTATTTGTAATAAATGTATAATAAGTATGTCAAATTTATTTTCTATCTAAATTTTGTTGTTATCTCAGTCTTAAATTCCATCCCTCCCAAATTGCTATTTCTCCACCCTGAAAGATAAAGGGTAGCCCACGTTGATACTACTCGGTGTCTGCCCAATCACAGGAAGGCACTGAGATCTTTCAATGTACTGCCATCACATCACTAAGATGGGTGAGGTGGGGATCAAAAATTGAGAGAACTAGGATGGCGGCAATATTTTCAGGAATGGTCATTAATAAGCTAGTTATGAGATTGTCATATTTAAATTTCATGACTGTTTTTCAACCTGAATGTATGGAAATAAAAATTATAAACCCTCTTCATTTTATGAACCTTATTTTTGAATTTCCCTGGAATCTATTGCTATTAAAGCCATTAATTCCTTACTGTAAAACGTCACTATCAAGAAAAAGCTAAAAACATCACCATCAGTATTAGAGATGCAAGCATGCAGGTTTCCTAAACTGAAGAGACATTGCCCCTTAATGAGCCTTTACAAAACAAGAGAAGATCATTTTTGAGCTTAATATTAGAACCAAAAAGAGAAATGCAAGGCAGTAGCCCATTGCAAGAAAGAAAACAGGAATGCACTCAGCCAGGTTGCAGTCACCCCCAGACAGGAAGGTTCTTGCCGTTTATTGCAGTTGCCTCTGATTCCTCCCTCGAAGTCTGGGAGCCTTAAGGGTGAACAGCCTACAACCAAGCCACGTTCTCCCGACAATTCTGTAAACCTGTTTATCACAGGCAAATTTTCAGGTGTCTGACTATAGTGGGATTTTTTATTATCAATGAAATGCATGAAGTGACAGGCCTTGGTTGGTGAAGTGGCTTTTGTAGACTGAATATGGCTGAGTATGTACAGCCAATAATACATTTTAAAAGGCATGTTTCCACGTAGCTAGAATTGAATACTTGGTATTACTGTCCTTATTTTCTTCTTTTTACTGTATTTGATAAAATACGTCCATGAGAATTCAGCATTCTCTATAAAATAAAATTTTGAAGGAAAGTAGAATGAAAAATAATTAATGATTTGATGAGGAAAATCTAAAAGAAATGTGTTATTTCTAGGCAGGTCCTCTTGGCTTTCCATTCAGGACTTCTGCCCAAACCATGAAAGCAAATGACTAGGCCATATGGAAATTGGTTGTAAAAGATGTTTTAGATTAGCCAGTCACTCCAGGAGCCTTTGATGTTATGCAGGCTAATGAAGTTGGCTCTTGGAGAGGTTTTTATTCAGCTGAACTGAATTTCTGAGAGATTCATATTACATTTTCATACAGTTGTCTTGCTTCATACCCCAGGGATTTATTAAGTTATAATTGAATATTGTGTTTTTAAGAAAGTTTCTTAATGTATTACACCCTTCAGCAAATTTTGCTTGGTATTGTTTTGTCAAGATAATTTAATTTTACATTGGCTAATTTAGCCCATATTAATATTTCCCCTGAAATTCAGGTAACTTAGCAAACTGTTACAGGTGGTGAGAAAGAAAACTCTTTTATTGAAGCATTAAAATGTTACATTATTGTGAGGTGAAATCTTTTATCAGCCTTTGGAGATATTCTATCAAGGTCAGTAACATTGTATCTGTCAAAGAAAAGTTTTACTCCAAAAGTTGATTCTCCTTTCCTCAGTATCCCCTGTTCCCTGCATTCTCCAGTGTTCCTCCTTCCTCCCATCTCTTCCTGTCCCAGGGAAGTTCTCCCCGGATTGCTGACTGGAGAAACAGCATGACGTGGTTTCTAAGTAAGGGGAAGGGGGGTGGGGGGCGGAGTACTCCCTTGTCAGTGGTAACAATAGGCTGTGAATAATTCAGACATGATGAAAGAAAGTCTCATTTGACAAGATAGTACCCGATTCACTAAACAGCTAGTGTGGAAATAATGATGGCGTTAGTTAGGGGAATACAAGAAGTTCAAAAGTTTTGGTGGTTTTGAAAGGGAATCGCAGCACAGGGGCCTTCACCAGCTTCCCTTCTAATGTTCGTTTGTTACGCCTGGAGTTTCTTACATTACTGATTACGTCTCACTTGGGCGATGTTTTATCTAATTTCTGGAAAGGCTTTGTTTTATAAAGTGGGCTTGCTTCTGTGGAAATAAACAAAGACCAAATGAGAACAAACAGAGGCTATTTATTCAGAGCTTGCTATACCAAGGGAGCCATCCTTTGCTCTTGGCAGAGACTCAAAGGCAGCCAGAGGGGTGGGAAAGCTTCCAAGTGAAAGAAGGAGGCTTCCAGCTCACTCTGATTGGAGGCTGTTGGCCTGGGGAAGCCGGAAGTGGGCTTACTAGAAAGGGGGCGTGTTGTGTGGTTGGTGTGGGGAGCGTATTTGGCTTCCTCTGATTGGCCTTGAGTTGGAAAGGGTTGGGGAGCGAAAATAGGGACGACTCAGTCACTGGCCAAGTGCTGACTGTTCGGTGCCCATGACTGCAGAGGTTGTGTTTTGGCTTCCTGGGTTTCTCACGCGGGTGGGAGTTGACATACACGGTCTGGCCATTGTCTGTCTGCATAGTCCGCCTCACTGGATACTGAGAAATTTGCCTGGCAGTGTATGAACTGGATAAACTTGAGTGGGAAGTCTAAAATTATGAAGGATATTTGGACAGAATACTTAATTTTTTTAATTCGTACCCCACACTATTCACTCTTTATGAGGAACAGAGTCTGATAACCACCTCCACAGCCAAAATACAGAACGTCATCTCAAAAAAGTTCTCCGTGTCGTTCATTTGTAACCAACTCCTTCCCCCCAACCCCTCACCCCAAACAAACGCTGATAGGTTTGTTTGCCCCTGTAATTTTGTTATTTTCAGAATATCACATAAATGGCTACATGCAGTATGGAGCTTTTTGAACCTGAGTCCCTTCACGTGGTATAGTGCATCTGACACATGCATGTTGTTGCATGTTTTGAATCTGACTCCTTTCACATGGCATAGTGCGTGTGACACATGCATGTTGTTGCATGTTTTGAATCTGACTCACATGGCATAGCACGTGTGACACATGTATATCGTTTTAACTCTGACTCCTTTCACATGGCATAGCACGTGTGACACATGCATATCTTTGATGTTTTGACCCTGACTCCTTTCACATGGCATAGCACATGTGACATATGTATATCGTGGTTTTAAATCTGACTCCTTTCACATGGCATAGCACATGTGACACATGCATATCATTGATGTTTTGAACCTGACTCCTTTCACATGGCATAGCACATGTGACACATGCATATCATTGATGTTTTGAACCTGACTCCTTTCACATGGCATAGCACCTGTGACACATGCATATCTTTGATGCTTTGACCCTGAGTCCTTTCACATGGCATAGCACGTGTGACACATGCATATCTTTGATGTTTTGACCCTGACTCCTTTCACATGGCATAGCACGTGTGACACATGCATACCATTGATGTTTTGAACCTGACTCCTTTCACATGGCATAGCACATGTGACACATGCATATCATTGATGTTTTGAACCTGACTCCTTTCACATGGCATAGCACATGTGACACATGTATATCGTTGTTTTAAATCTGACTCCTTTCACATGGCATTGTGCGTGTGAGACATGTGTGTCATTGCATGTGTGTCAATAGCATCACTAGTTTATTCCTTTTTTTTTTTTAAAGAAAATGCTCAACTTTATATTTCATTTCAACAATTTGCTCCTAATGCCCTTTTCCTGCCCCAGGATCCTATCTAAGACCTTGTGCGTGTAGTCATGTCTTCTTGGTCTCCTCCAATCTGTGACCATTTTTACTCTTTCTGTACTGTCTACAACTTTGACCCTTTTGAAGAGTCCTCGTCAGGCATCTTTGGGTCGTGTCCCTATATTTGGGTGTATCTGTTGTTTCCTCATGCTTAGACTGGGGTTATGGATTTTGGGGAAGAATCCCACAGGGGTAAAGGACCCTTTTGATGATATCATATCGGGGGCACCGGTCATCACCATGACTTATTCCTGGCGATGCGAACCTTGACCCTTTGGTGAGGGTGGTGACAGTTAGGGTTTTCCACTATAAAGTTACCATTTTTTTTTCCGTATCCTATTCTTGAAAGGTTTTCTTTTCTCACCAGCTGAATATGTGGTGTTTTTCCATACTGATTCTCCAACTCTCTGACACCAACTGGGTGTCCTGCAATTCAACTGAATTACAAAACCAACTCCCAGCGTTAGCACAGACCCCACACATTGAGGGCTCAAAACTACCCCCACTTCAGATCCCAGGTGTCCTCATATACATCTGACAGACTTTGAATCGGGGTTCCCAAAACCCCCTCCTTGGGCTCAGTAACTCACTAGAACAGCTCACAGAACTACTCAGGAAGTCACTTTACTTACTTCCTTTTTTTGAGACAAGGTCTCTCTCTGTCACTCAACTCCTGGTCTCAAGCGATCCTCCCTTGTCAGCCTCCTGAGTAGCTGGGACCTAAGGTGCTACCATGCCTGGTTAATTTTATTTAAAATTATTTTTAATAGAGATGGGGTCTCACTGTGTTGCCTAGGCTGGTCTCAAACTCCTGGCCTCAAGCAGTCCTCCCACTTTGGCCTCCCAAAGTGCTGGGACTACAGGTGTGAGTCACCAGGCCTGACCAGGAAGTCACTTTACTTTCTATGACCAATTTATTATAAAGGATACAACTCAGGAATAGCGAAATTGAGGAGATGCATAGGGCAGGTGTGGGGGAGGGTGCAGTACTCCCAAGCTCTCTCCAGGCGCAAGGTGCCCCGTCCTCCCAGTACCTCTGTGTGTCCAACACCCCGGAGGCTCTTCCAACCCCATTGCTGGAGGGTTTTCATGGAAGGTTCATTATAGAAGCATGACTGATTAAATCGTTGGTCCTAGGTGATTGAACTCAACCTTCAGGCCCCCTCCCCTCCCAGGAGACTGGGGAGTGGGGCTGAAAGTTCCAAGTTTCTAATCAAGGCTTGGTCTTTCTGGTGACCAGCACCCATCCTGAAGCTATCTAGGGGCCTGCCAAGAGTTGCCTTGTTAGAACAAAAGACTCCTATAACCCTTATCACTCATGAAATTCCATACGTTTTAGTAGCTCTGTGCCAGGAACTGGGCACAAAGACCAAACGTATCTTTCTCATTATACCACAGTTCCTTAGAAGCAAGTTGTCAAGTCCAGCCCACAGTCAAGCAGAGGGCAGTTAAGTTCCACTCTGCAGGGAAGAGTATCAAAGAATTCGTGGGCATATGTTAAAACCGCCACTGTACTTAATAAATATTCTGAGGGATATACTTTGAGGCAATGCAAATATCTGTTTTTCCTAAACTTTCAGCCACCCATTTTAGCATTCGGCAGTGGCTCTTGCTTACAGCATTTCTATCGTAATGTTCTAACGGTGATTTTTCTCATTTCCCTCATTCTTCCTACATTTGTTTTTTGGAATTTTTCTGTAAAGGAAATCTGTCCCATCTCCCATTTATATATTCAATCATTTATTTATATCATTTTGGATATATGAATATTTATGTTATTCTCTGGGTTATAATCTTCTATTTAGGTTGGTGCAAAAATAATGGTAGTTTTTGTCATTAACACTAATGCGAAACTGTAATTATTTTTGTACCAACCTAATAGATTTAATTTGTAGGTCAAATGGCTCCTACTGTGGCCTTGAGAGCTTTCTCCAGTTGGCCACTGTGTTTGTTTGACGTGCTCTTATCTTTTTCTTTTCTTGGCACTTACTCTGCACTGTGAGATCCTCCAGCCTTGTTCTGTGTGTCACCTGCACCCGCCCAGAGTCAGCCATTTCTTTAAGAACCCTGGTGCCTTTTATGGGGAAATAGGATTAGAAACCAAGACTGAAGCATGGAGTGTGCTTGTAGCCCCTGTGCTGTCACATCCTCTAGGCCTCTCAGTGGACCCAGCTAGGAAACAGGTATATGTATTCCAACCCATGTATACACACAAGTCTCTGTTCCTGTCTGTATCCATCTGTATCTATTTAAAAATAACCGTGAGTTTCTACAAGTATTTCTGAGTCTAATCCAGTACCATGGGGTTCATTCTGTTTTCCTCCCTTGGTTACTTGTAATTTATTTCTCTGACAGGGAGAAACCTGACTCGCATTATCCACAGTTTATTTAGGTGTTCAATGGTAGCATTTGTGTAAACTACCCTTAGGATTGCTGACGTGTATCCTGCGAGAAACAAATTTACCAACCAAAATACAGGCTTTACCTATGGCTCATTTTTCCTTTATCCTGCAATAATCAGTCAAATCACTGTTTCCCAAGGGGTTTGGATCATAATTCTGAAAGAAATGCTGTAAAATGCTGTACTTTCTGAAGTCTAAATCCCAAAAGATCAATCTCTAAATAGAAAGTGGGAATGTTTAATAGGGAATGCTCATGTTGGTGGCTATTGAATCATAGAAACATTTTTAAAAGAGCAGTGCTATATAGAAAATAAATGTGTATGTATTTTCTGAGGAGAGCCATGTCCTATAAGAAAAAAAGTAGCTGTGCATCCTGATGCATGACTTTAAAGTATTAGTTAATGATGGTGAAAGCCAGCGACTGTGGACTGTCTCCCTGCAGTTACCCATAATCTGTCCTTGAAATACGCTTTTATCATATGTTGAATTTTCTTTTTAGTTTTCTCTGTTTTTTCTTTTTAAATTTTTTTCATTATTATTATTATTATTATTATTATTATTTGGAGGCGGAATTTTGCTCTTGTCGCCCAGGCTGGAGTGCAGCCTTAGCTCATTGCAACCTCCACCTCCCGGGTTCAGGCGATTCTTCTGCCTCAGCCTCCTGAGTAGCTGGGACTACAGGGGCATGCCACCATGCCTGGCTAATTTTTTGTATTTTTAGCAGAGACGGGGTTTCACCATGTTGGCCAGGCTGGTCTCGAACTCCTGACCTCAGGTGATCCACCCACCTGGGCCTCCCAAAGTGCTGGGATTACAGGTGTGAGCCACTGTGCCCAGGCTTTTCCCCATTATTTTAAGTTGTCCGCATTCTTTTGTTTTACAATTTGCTGTGCTATATATTTCCTTTTCCCATCATTTCCAATACTGGGGGTATAAATTTTGTAGAGACCTTGAGAGGGCTCTGATTTGTTTTATGTATTTTTTTTTCAAATTTGACTGCACAAAAGAGCATTATCATAACGTTGACTGTTTACGCATTGTGCATGTTTGTAAAAACATGGAAAATTCCTCCATAAATAAAGAGATGTCTTTTTTGCATATCTGCATTTGTGAAAGATAAAATTTCTCGAGGTCTCGGCCATTTGGGTGGCTGCATATACAGTGATGATCCAGTGCAGTTTTTGATCAATTTCAACAGAAGACTCAGGTTGTCCGTCATGGTATTTCAGATGACCACAGTTACAAAGCTGGGTGCACACAATTACCAACCACAGCAATGTGCATGCATACATTCCCCTTGTTGACCTGTTACCTGTTTCTTTCTGAATACAGTTTGCTCATAGCTCTTATTCTTGTGTGACTGTCATTAGTATACCTGAATGTTTATCCTTGCAAAAAATGTATGTTATTATTGTTCATTTTATTGCACAAAGTGACCTATGAAGTGTTCGGTCACGTTTTTATGTTTGCCAAATAAATCTCTTTTTGTACATGTAAATAAATGTCTTTTAAGGAATTAAAACATTTTCCTCAGAATAATAGTTTTGGAATAATTTTGATCTTTCAGGATTGTGATTTGGGGGACTTTTAGACTTCAGGGATTTTGATCTTTTGGGATTTCTGCATTTGGATGTGGTGTTTGGGATTGTGTCTTTTGGGATGATAACCGGCTCCTGGCAACCACTGATCTGTTTCTGACTTTTCCGTTTTTGCCTTTCTCAGTAGGCAATATCATTAGGATCATACGGCACGTAGCCATCTGGGTGTTTAACTTAGCAGAAAGCATTTAAGATCTATTTATGCTGTTGTGTGAATCAACAGTTCATTCCTTTTAACGCTGAGTAGTGAAGTATTTCATTGTCTGGAATGTATCACAATTTGTTGAACTCTTCATCTGTTGAAGAATGTTTTGGTTGTTGGGATGGTTATGAATTAAGCTGCTATGAGCATTTGCCTACATGTAATTTTTTGGGAACTTACATTTTCAATTCACTTGAGTTAGATACGTAGGAGTGGGTCAGATAAGTATGTGTGTAATTTTTATGTAAAGATTTGTAAATATTTTGTGAATCTGTAACAGAATGAGTAGCACTTTTTCCAGGTGAGCGTGTGGATTGCCAAGTTGCATAGAGCTTTTTAAGTTGACTGATTTTTTTCTAATTTCATTGAAAAATCCAGTAGTTTTTTTTTTATCAAGCCCCCCCTCCTTTTTTTTTTTTTTTTTTTTGCTCTTGCTGATGATCTATTTAGTTATTAGGTGGCAACTCATGTCAACAAGTGAATTCACATGCCATTTCATCTTTTCTTGCCTTAACACGGTGAAACCCCATCTCTACTAAAAATACAAAAACTTAGCCAGGCGTGGTGGTGGGCACCTGTAGTCCCAGTTACTCGGAAGGCTGAGGCAGGAGAATGGCCTGAACCCGGGAGGCGGAGCTTGCAGTGAGCCGAGATCATGCCACTGCACTCCAGCCTGGGCGACAGAGTGAGACTCCATCTCAAAAAAAAAAAAAATAATAATAATAGGCCTAATCATTGTACAAGGATGAAGGTAGGGAAAAAAAGAAATAGGAAGAAGCAAAGGCAGAAAACATCTAGGATGCTGGAGCGCAGAGAACACAGGAATGACTCAGGAGTTTTGATACAAGTTTGATTAGAGAAAATATGCAAGTACTGCAGTGACTAAGTAGCAGATTATAGTTATGAAATCATGCAGGACAGGAACGCTGAGGTTAAATACAAACTGACAACAAAAATCATAAGAATAATATGTAAAAGCAAGTATGAAGCCTTTGTATTTGCTTGCGACTTGCAGTTTGAATAGCAAAATGATCTTTCACATCAGGCTCAGTGTGTTAAATCCAGCCTTAGGCAAGAATAAGCAAATATTGTTTCCATATGACAAGCCTTTAGCTGCTAGTGAAATGCTTTCTTTGTAGTGAACTGTAGGCACAAACTATCAGCAGATGACTGTGTATCTGAGCATATCTTTAACCACAGTTAGCTACAAATTATTTATAGAGGTTAAATAAATGTTTACACTGAATGATTCAGGAATGAGCACATAACAGCGGTTTGGGGGATTATATTTCTGCTATTGAAATCTAAATACTCCTACAACAATCCTTTCAGCTTAGATCCGTGGTTTCTAGTTGAGGAAGCAGTACCTCCTATGGGACATTCTGGGTCTCCTATGGGACGTACTGGGTGTTCTGTGGGCATTTTTGGTGGTCCTGATGATGGCATTTGTGGAGAGGACAGAAAACAGACTGCACCTGCTGCAGCGCTTGGATAGTCCTGCAGGATGAAGGGCGGCTCTGCGCCCTCATAGATCTCCTGCACGACCCTCTAGATGTTTACGTAGGTAAAAGCAAAAAACAACAACAAAAAACTAGTACTTCATTTTTCTTAAACATGCATGGTATTTTTGTGGTATTTTTAACTTTCACCGATACTTGCTGCAAATGCAATTACTGAGTAAATTGAGGGAAAATTGTGCTTTGGTTGGTTGGGTACTTTTAGCGATAGCCATTCTCCATTTCAGCAATGCCCTTGTGGTGTTTGAGCGGCCAGTGCAACACCTGTGAATCAGTCTTCATTTGTAGCTGTGGCATGCAAATATTTAACAGAGGGGATGTAACATTCACTGTAATAGACTTAAAACCAAATATGTTTTAATTAGATGAAGACCATGAAGTGTGAAGAGACCACTGACTTTTACTAATAGTTTTTAAAAAATCACTGTCATTTATGTAGTTTTTGTTTCCGTAGTATGACAGTATGAATATGTTATAAAATCACACATTTAAATGATTGATTTTTGAGGTTGCCTACAGGTTTTTAGTCTTATGCTGATGTGTGCACAAGTCTACAACATAACTGTGTTCTAGCCTCCTGGTTCTTTCCCTCTTAAGCATCAGAGACTGGATCTTTTGCTTGGCACGTGATAGGAATTCAAGATAGGAGAGTAATTTTCTGGGATCCTTTTTCAGTACCCTATCCTGTGTCAACATAGGACATTATTTTGACACTTCACTTAAAAATAAGCCTCCTTATTCCTGAGAAAGCCATAAATTTCTTTTTCTTTAATAATGAGTAATTTGTCTTGGATAAACTGTCTTTAATAAATTTTTTTGTCTTGTCATTTACAAATAAGCATAGTCTTATTTTTTCTAATCTTAGTACTTTTGATTGTTTAATATTTCAGTTTTTAAAATCAAGGCATAACTTACATGTAGCAAAATACAGAAGTCTTAAGCATACAACTCGATCATTTTTTTCAACATTTTATTATAAACATTTTCATACGTACAGAAAAGCCAAAAGAATTGTAAAGTGAACATCCATATACTCACCACCTAGATTCTGCAACGAACATTTTGCTATATTTACTTCATCGCATCTATACATCTTCATGTCCCTCCATTCTTCCACCAGTCCATCTTATTTGATACATTTCAAAGCTGCAGGCATCAGTACACGTTGCCCCTAAACACTTCACCATGCATATCATTAGAGTTTCATGTGTTTACTTGTTAAGCTAAAATTTGCACACAATAAAATGGATAAATATTAAACATAAAATATTGAACATAAAACACATATTTTTATTATTCCTTTCACATGAGATTCATAGATGCCAGAATAACAGTTACCTTTTTAGGGGTGGTGGTAAGAATGCAAATATTTTATATCTCTATCTAGGTGGTGTTTTCATGAGTGTATAGTTTAAAATTCATTCATGACATATTCATACATTAGAATAGTATTTACTGATAATAAGCAACAAACTAACATATAAATGCTCCTCACATGATTTTACGAATGTATGCATCCGTGTCCTATAAGTCCATTAAGGTATGAAATATCACTGCCACTGTTACCTCAGACAGTTCTCTCATGCCCCTTCCCAGTCAAACCTAACCCTAACCCAAAAGGAAACCACAATTTTGAAAATTTTTGCCATAGAAAATACAGCCTTGGTATGGGGATTTGTGGATGGTCTGGAAACCCTTCAGGGGACCCTGGGGGTCAAAGCTATGAGTAGTATTGTTATAATACTCGTATTTTTATAATTCTACTTTGGCATTTTCCCTTTTCTATCTCATTCTGTTGTGAATGGGGATTTTCAGATGCTACAGTAATTTCTTGCATTGTAATATTTTTGCTCCTAGGTTCTGTATTTAAGGGAGATTGATGAGCTGAGGAAAGAATGAATGCTTTAAAACTTGATCTAAGGCGGTATTCTCCATCCTACTGGACAAAATACCCCCCTTTTTTACAACAAATATTTAATCATGGCCCTATTATTCTCCTGCGATGCAATTCATAGATTAAAATAACCATCCTAGGCCGGGCACAGTGACTCATGCCTGTAATCCCAACACTTTGGGAGGCCGAGGCGGGTGGATCACCTGAGCTCAGGAGTTCGAGACCAGCCTGACCAACATGGTGAAATCCCGCCTCTACTAATAATACAAAAATTAGCTGGGCATGGTGGCCCTTGTAATCCCAGCTAATTGGGAGGCTGAGGCAAGAGAATTGCTGGAATCCGAGAAGCAGAGGTTGCAGCGAGCAGGGATTGCGCCACCGCACTCTAGCCTGGGCGACAGAGTGAGACTCTGTCTCAAAAAATAAAAAAATCTAAAAAAAAATAATCATCCTAAACATACAATTTAAAAAAAATCAATATAATATTCTAGCTTTGATATAAAGGAGACATAAAAGTAATTCATAATGAATATGTATTTTAATATGTAAATTGAATTCAGAAACAGATAGGAAAATCCAGCTGTCTTTTATTAAGCTAAACATTAAAGGCATTTTTAAAAATAAAAAGTGCCATACTTTTACTTTGTTTTGGAAAGTATTATTTTTCATAAAACATGTTATATAGTCTAATATGTAAGGTTTATTGTCATTTTTAATGAATTATGAATCTCAAGTATCTCAGTATAAAATGTAATATGGTAAGTGTACATATATAACAACATAAAACAAAACTTTTTGGTTTTCTTTTAATAATTATAGTTTTTAAACTGTATAAGGATACTGAGAGCAAAAAATTTGAGAATCACTGGTTTAGCTTGTACTAGAACAATATAAGTGAATTATATAGTGTGTGGCTTTAAAAAAAAATCTAGTGCTTATTTTACTCAGGATAATGTTTCTGAGATGCATCCATATATTAGTAGTTTGTTCCTTATTATCAATAAACAGTATTCCATTGTATGAATATACCACCAATGAATTTTAAAATATATGCCCATGAAAATACCATCCAGATAGGGAAATACAGTATTTGCATCCTTACCACCTTGCCCCTAAAGGTGACTGTTATTCTCCATCTAAGAATCTCACATGCAAGGAAACAGAGTTTGTTCTTTTATGTCTGACTTCCTTGGCTCAACGTTATGCTTGTAAGATTCACCTGCGCTGTGGTGAATGGTTTGTTTTCTTTCCTTTTAACGCTAGTTCTCGTTGTAGTGTCCACCTGTATCTGTGCTCTTTTGTTCTCCTGTATTTTCACATGGAATAGCTTTTAATCTTCTACTATTTCTACATCCAGACATACTCATTATACGAAGGTGGAAGTATCTAACAACTTCATTATGCTTTCAGTGTAGTCAGCCATCAGAATTTACATATTGAAATGCAAAGTCATTATGAATTGCCTTCTTTGGTTTCTCCTTTACATCACTGTTAGGGCATTATATTGATTTTTTTTAAAAATTCTATGTAAAAGGCTGGCTGTTTTATCTGGATTCTATTTCAGGGGATTAAAGGAGGCATTATTAAATATTAGCTGTTAAAAAGCAAGGGAATATTGAGTCCAGCAGGATTCAGACTACCTCCTTAGATCATGTTTTAGAGTATTTATTCCCTTCTGATGTCACCATCCTCCATGAGATACAGAACCTAGGAGCAATAACATTGTAATACAAAGAATTGATCACTTGCTTCACAAGAACATGCTTTTAATAAGTGTATCATTTATTTTACAAATGGCGTTTTCCCAAGAGATGACATTTCTGGCCGGTTGACCAAAATTTTTGGTGATGAGTAGAAACTTCATGTTTGAGGATTGACATCTTGAATTTTTTGTGCAAAATTTGAATATTAATTTATAGAGGACATTATTCTTATCTCCACAGTATCTCATTTGCATTAGTTAATATTAAATAAGTAAAGTAGTTGTCCATTTTTCTCAGTCTTAACACTTTCTAAATTCATGCCTCAAGAAGTTCTTTTATTCCAAGAAAATGATCCAAACGTTATTAATTGCAAAGTGTACTCACTTATTTTTCACTTCGGGGAAAAAAGCAGAATGATAACTAAAAATGAGGTCTCTGAAGTTAGACTACCTTGATTTTTAATCCAGCTCCCCTACACCAGTCACTTCCTTGTATGCCTCAGTTTTCTTATCTAGCAAATGGGGTAATTGTACCTACTTAATACTACTAAGTGTACCTGGTTAATATGGTTTTTGTAGTTATTAG
Source organism: Homo sapiens (assembly GCF_000001405.40). NCBI lineage: Eukaryota > Metazoa > Chordata > Mammalia > Primates > Hominidae > Homo > Homo sapiens. The sequence continues at coordinate 3,766,553 of NC_000007.14, forward strand.
AGGGAATAATATAACGTGAGATACTTAGAGCAGTACTTTTAGTAAGGATTTAGTAAATAAGCTTTAGTAAGGACATGCAAGATCTGTAAAGAATAGCTTTTGGTTATTATGGGCTATTATGACTTCAGAAATAATAAATATAAAGCTAATATTAATACTAGCTGTTACAACTTTAGAAATAGGAACAAATGATGAGATTAGGGCTTGTTCCTTTGAATTTTTTGGAATTAGTTTTCTTAGCAGTCAACAAGTATATATGGACTATTAGATGTGGATACTTTGGAATTAAAGATATAAATGAGTAATTAATACTCCTTAGAGTGAGCTCATGGCATTGTCACTTTAACAATATGCCCAAAAGTGGTTCTATTTAAATTCCACACAAGAGAAGTAGCAATGTTATATAGAGCATTGGGTTTTCGTAGCTATTTGGATTTGGAAATTAGGAGCATATTAGTAATCTTAGTAGGACAAGCCAGAGGAATGAAGAGCTAGGAAGGAAGTAGGGATTGTGTATCCAGCTGGGAGAAGTTTGAATGAGCATGGAATAGAATGGGCATCTTGGAGGAGATCCTTCTCTAAGGCATCTAGAGGAGAAGGCAGTGAACTTCACACACTGGAGGGCTGACTCCTGGAGGTGACTATGGAGGGAGGGGTGGGCCCTCAGGTAGAGTCAGAAGACCACTCGTGGCTGCAGAGGGACACTTGGACTCTGGGACTGCCTTTGGTGAGTTGACCCAGGGACTAAGGGGAGAAAGTTTGAAATTGTGTCTAAGGGGATTGAGCAAAGCAGCCTGGGAATGTGTAAAAAAGAACACACAAATAAACAAAAAAGTGCCGAGTGGTCCTGAAAGCCCACGGGATGAGACAGTTTACAGTGTGAGAACATGGTAAGGCTTTTAAAAAAATTGTTTTTTCTCTTTCATATTTTTCTTGTAATTGCTTATTTTAACACAAAATGAAATTCATGATAGCTAACACTTACATAGGCTTACTCTATGCCAGGCACTGATCTGGTGTAAATACTTTACATGTGCCAGCTCATTCCATTCTCCCACTAATTTTCAGAGCTAGGTAATATCCTTCTCATCACTTTACAGATGAAGAAACAGAAGCACTGAGACATGAGGTAATGTAGTTAGGAGGGGAAAATAGAATCTGAACCCAGGCTGTCTGAATCCCAAGTCTGTGTTCTTAATTATCTAATGATGGTATTTTGCCTCAAAAAACAAACAAACAAAAAACAACTTAGGAATCATTTGGAAGGAAACAAAAAAAATAGCACAACAAAGTATTATGCAGGTCATTGATTATCATAAAATGACTGTCTCCCAAAGCAAGGAGAGATGATTATTGAACACTTACTTTGAGCCAGTTACTATCTTAAGCCATTTACTTTACCATCCCCATTTTAATCCTCATAACTCTAATACGTAGGTGCTGTTACTTTCATCCCTGTTCACACATGTGGAAAGCAGCAGGGCATTAATCTTTCTAAGGCCACACAGCCAATAAGAGGCAAAAGCATGGCACAATCCCAGGCTCTTGATTGTCTTAGGGATGGTCATTAACGTGCCATTTATTATTCTGGTTGGTAGTTTAGCAACCAGCTTTCTAATTGCATTTACTATTCTCTTTAAAGCAGCGTTGAATATAATAGACTGCAACCATACTTCTCCTCTACCACCTAAGTTGCAACAGAAAAACTGTTGCTTTGAAGGATGTGCAAGAGCATAGACATGGCCCGCATAAAGCAGAGTGTGAAGGTCCCCAAAACTCAAGGACAGTATTGTCATGGATAAATACAGCCGATTGAGCATGCTGATGAAATGTTGCATTATCATCTTGAACCTTAAACTTTAAGGAAAATAAATAAAAATCAGTAACTTCAAAGAGCATTTCATTAAATAGACAAGTCTTTATTATTAAGCCCTCAGCATTTCTCAGCTCAGCAGCAGTTCCTGAGACTGTGTCTGATAATCTGAATGGATAGTGCAGGCATGTGCTTTACATTTGGAATGTCTTAGAATTGCTTCTTGGAAGCTCCAGTGCCACCAGCTGACTGGAATAAATTACACGCCTAGTCTCACATATTGTCAGAAGTTTTCACGTGTGCATCGGGTACAGCCTAAAGGTTTGGCACAGAGCTGTAGGTACACGTTTATGCTCAACACTGAGAAATTGACCAGAAATAGTCACCAATGCTTCACACTTTCTGAAACTCCCACGTGTATTCCTCTGAAGTCCCTTTCTCATTCTACCCTCTCCATGACCCAAATTGTCATTTTCCATTCAGTTTTCCTTCCCCACTCCTTTAGATCCTGTTTGGTAGACTTGCCGTAGGAACACAGAACAAAATGAAACATTTTCTTATGAATATTCGTAAATTTCTGATGGTCTTGCCCTGTTAAGACCAAAATCTATAGGTGTGCCGGGTGACATCTGTAAAATGGTTGTAATTATGCCACGTTCTCTTGGTGCCCTAAAACCTTTGTTGAATTTTTTACAGTAGAGCTTTTTAAATAAGACTTTTTATTTGGAAACAATTATTGAATTGCATGCACTTTTAAGAAGTAATACAGAGAGATCCCATGGACCCCTTTACCTAGTTTCCCACAATGGTGATTGTCTTTGTCCATTTCCTGTTGCTTAGAATACCTGAAGCTGGGTAATGTATGAAGAAAAAGAATGTATTTCTTAACAGCTGTGGAGGCTGAAAGGTCCAAGATCAAGGGTCTGCATTTGGTTAGAGCCCTTTTGTTGGTGGGGACTCTCTTCAGAGTCCTGAGGTGTAGTACAGGGCAGTATATAGTGAGGGGGACTGAGCCTGGAACCTCAGGTCTCTCTTCTTACAAAGCCACAAGTCCCACTCCTATGATAACCCTTTAATCCATCCACTCATTAATATATTAATCCATGGATAGATTAATCCACTCATGAGGTCAGAGTCCTTATGATCCAATTGCCCCTAAGCTCCCATCTCTCAATACTATCACATTGGGTATTAATTAAATTTCAATATGACTTTCGGAGGGGGCACATATTCAAGCCATAGCGGTGACATCTTGCAGAATTGCACTGGAATATCAGGACCAGGATATGGACATTGATAAAATCTACCATGTCAGTGGGACTCCTGTTCAACTCAGATGAGGGATGAGCCTGCCTGGACTGCCTTCTATGGTAGGTTAGGGGTTAGGAGTTACCAGGCCTGGCTTACTTTCTGCTGTTGGTGAGGGAAGGAAGGTAACGTTCTTTGTTGCGATCTTCCTCCAGTCCTGGGGTCCCTAGCCAGTTTTCCTGCTTGTTCACAATAGGTACTAATTGATGCTCAGCTGAAAGTCAAACACTCAGATTTTCTCAGTGTTATTTGTACTTATTGTCTGTGTGTGTGTGTGTGTGTGTGTGTGTGTGTGTATTTACGGCTATGTAATTTTACCACATGTGTAAGTTCACATATCCCTACTACAGTCTCCATTCATGGAGAATAGGTTACTGGTTATGAGGAGTGAGGGAGATGAGACAGGGCCGAAAGTGGTGAATGTATTTATAAAAGGGCAACAGAAGGGATCCTTGCGGTGATGGAACTGTTCTGTATCTGGACTGTATCCGTTTCTATAATTATGTCATTTCAAGAATATTCTCTAAATGGAGTCATACAATATGTAACCATTTGAGATTATTTTTCCCTCTCAGTGTAATTCCCTTAAAGTCCATACAAATGGCTATACGTATTAATAACTCATTCATTTGTATTGCTAAGTAATGGGTCATGGTATGGATGTACCACAGTTTGTTTCGCCATTCACCTATTGAAGGACACCTGGGATATTTACAGTTTTGGGCTTCTGTGAACATTCATGCACAGGTTTTTACATAAACATAAGTTTTCATTTATCTGAGATAAAAATCTCAGAGTATAGTTGCTGCGTTGTGTGGTAGCTATATGTTTAGTTTCCTAAGAAATTGTAAAATTGCTTTCCAGAGTGCCTGTAGCATTTTACATTCTCACCAGCAACGTCTGAGTGGAGTAGAGAGGCTTCCCAGCCTGGGCACTTGTTGTGGAGAGATTCCCCCTTGCTGTGGCTGCCCAGCTGCCTTGTGTGTGTTGGTGAGAAAGGAGTCTCATGTCTAGTGGGGAAGGAACATCCTTCTGTCTCCTGATTCTCAGTGGGCTGCCAGTTGGTTGATCCCTTGCCTGTGCTGCCAGGCTTACCTTCTGTTGTCAGTGGGACTCCTGTTCAGCTCAGGTAAGGGATGAGCCTGCCTGGACTGCCTTCTATGATAGGTTAGGGGTTAGGAGTTACGAGGCCTGGCTTAGTTTCTTCTGTTGGTGAGGGAAGGAAGGTAACATTCTTTGTTGCCATCTTCCTCCAGTCCTGGGGTCCCTAGCCAGTTTTCCTGCTTATTCACAATAGGCAGGTATTGTTGCTCATGAGCCTCTGAATTGGCTGGGTGTTTTTTCTGGTCTTGGCTTTGTTTGTCCCTTGCACTAATTGATGCTCAGCTGAAAGTCAAATAGGTGGCTCTGCTGATCTGGACTGAGCTGCCTCACATGTTTGGAGATCAACTGGCTATGGGCTCATCTAGCATGGCCTCAGCTTGCACAGTCATGCTCTTCTCTCTGTGGTCTCTGATTCTTCAGCAAGCCCACCTGGGCTTGTGCACATGATGGTTGCAGGGATCCAGGATAGTGTGGAAGTGCACAAGCCCTCTTGGAATTGGAGCTTGGAGTTGGCAAGCCATCACCTCACTTGCGTCGAGTGAACCAAAGCAAGTCACAGGATCAGCCCAGAGTCAAGAGGAGAGGAAAGGACGTGCTTCCTGAAGGCAGGAATTTCACATTCATATTGCAAAGAGCAGAGGTACAGGGGAGCATAAAGAATCGAGGCCGTTTTTATAATAAACTTAACTCACCCTCATTGTTGTGCATATGTATGACTGAGTTCATCTCTTGGGGTTCTGAATACCTTTAACCTGTCTGTACTTTGGTTACAGGGACTGACATCTGAGTCATTTCTCTTTGATTCATAGGATGGATTTAATTTTTGAAGCCATCCATCATGGAAAGAATATGCTTTGTCTTCTCAGAAATTGTTATTTTTTTCCAGATTATTTCTTGACATGTTTCTGCATTTTTCAAATGTCCTTTTAAAAGTATGTAGCTTTGTTTTCCAATTTTTTTTTACTGTGGTAAAATACAGATAATCAAAAATTTACTGTCTTAACCATATTTGAATGTATACTTCACTGCCATTGAGTACGTTCATATTGTTGTACAACCATCACCCCCCATCCATCTCCAGAACTCTTTTCATCTTGCAGAACTGAAATGCTAATCCATTAAACAATAACTCCTAATTCCCTTCTTCCTTGAGCCCTTGGCTGGCACCCTTCTACTTTTTGTCTTATGAGTTTGTCTACTCCGTGTACTTCATATAAATGGGATCATACAGTATTTCTCATTTTGTGACTGGCTTCTTTCACCTAATGTAATGTCCTCAAAATTTGTTTGTACTGAAGCCTGTGTCAGACTTTCCTTCCTTTTTATGGCTGACTGATAAAGAGGGACCTGCTTCCGTCATGTTGCTATTCTTTTTCCTATATGTCTTATCACTTTTTTGGTTTTCCATTTCCTGCATTTGTCTGCTTTTGTGTTTAGTTGATTTTGTGTAGTGACATGTTTGAATTTTTTTCTTTTTTTTTTATATTCTACGTCTGTTTTTCTTGTAGTTACTATGCAGATGACATTTGGTATCCTAAAGTCAAATACTCTTAATTTGGATTTATATCAGCTGAACTTCAATATTATACAAAGTGCTGCTCTTTTATATCTTCATTCCCACTGTTTTCAGTTGTTGATGTCACAAAATCACATACACGATACTTCCAAAAACATCAATAATTTTTAAAAATGCATTAGCCTTTTAAATAACATAGAAATCAAAATGTGGGGTTAAAAACCAAAGTTACAATGATACTAGCTTTTAGACTAATAATTGCTTTTAAAAAAAGTATTAGCATCTTAAATCATATAGAAAAAAGTGGAGTTACAAACTAGTGCTAAAATAATACTAGCTTTTACAATTGCTTATGTATTTACCTTTACTGAAATCTTTATTTCTTCATACAGCTCCAAGTTACTATCCAGTATCTTTTCATTTCATTCAGAAGGGCTCCTTTTAGCATTTTTTGCAGAGCAGTCTACAGGTAACAAACTCCCTCAACTTTTGTTTATCTGGGAAATCTTAATTCCACCCTCACATCTGAAGTCCCATTTTCCTAGCTGTAGGATTCTTGGTTACAGGGTTTTGTTTTTGTTTTTTCAAATTTTCTGATAACAAATCTGCTGATAATTTTATTGAGGATCCCATGTATCGTGATGAATCACTGCAGTTTCACTGATTTCAAGATTCTGTCTTTGTATTTGGCTGTGGGAAGTTTAATTACAACGTGTCTCAATGTGGATATCTTAAAGTTCTTCCTACTTAGAGATTGTTAAACTTCTTAGATGTTTGTATTCACATCTTTCCTCAAATTTGGGAAGTTTTCAGCCCTTATTTCTTCAAGTATACTTTCTGTTCTTTCTCCCTCTCTTCTTTTTCTAGGACTCCCATAACACATATGTTTGTCCTCTTTATTGTGTCCCTCAAGTCCCTTTTGCTCTGTTCACTTTTCTTCAATCTTTTTTCTTTCTATTCCTGAGAATATTTTCCTTTGCCCTATCTTCACATTCACTGATTCTTTCTTCCACCTCATTAAAATTGCTTTTGAATCCCTCTAGTAAATTTATCACTTCAGTTTTTTTTTCTGCTCCAGAATTTCTTTTTGGTTTCTTTTTTGGTTTTCTGTCTTTATTTATATTTCCATTTTGTTCAAACGTTGTTTTCTTGGCTTTCTCCACATCTGCCTTTATTTCTTTGAGCATCTTCAAGACAGTTGTTTTAAAGTCTCTGTCCAGTATATTAGCCATCAGGGCTTTTTCAGGGACAGTTACTGTTGTTTTATTTTTTTTCTTTAAATGAGTGATACTTTCTTATTTCTTTGTATGCCTTGTGATTTTTTGTTGTTGTTGGAAAGTGGACTTTTGAATCTAATGAGGTAATATGGAAATCAGATTTCCCCCTTACCCAAAGTTTGCTGTTTTTGTTTTTTGTTTTGCTGGTTGTTGTAGGCTGTTTCTGTGCCATGGATCAGCCTAAGGTGTATACTTAAGTTCTTCTCAGGTCTTTTCTGAGCCTCTGCCTTTTGCTGGGCATGCACAGGCACTTCCTAATTTTCCTCATATATGCAGTTGCTTTTGAATATCCTAATCTTCAATGTCTGCTTCCTAAAAGAAGAGAAAGAGAAAAATTAGGGGATAAAAGAATACTGGCCTTTGGCCAGGCACGGTGGCTCATGCCTGTAATCCCAGCACTTTGGGAGGCCAAGGTGGGTGGATCACGAGGTCAGGAGATCGAGATCATCCTGGCTAACATGGTGAAACCCTGTCTCTACTAAAAATACAAAAAAATTAGCCAGGCATGGTGGCGGGTGCCTGTAGTCCTAGTTACTTGGGAGGCTGAGGCAGGAGAATGGCGTGAACCCAGGAGGCGGAGGTTGCAGTGAGCCAAGATAGCGCCACTGCACTCCAGCCTGGGCGACAGAGCGAGACTCCATCTCAAAAAAAAAAAAAAAAAAAGAATACTGGCCTTTTAAATCTCATGGAAGTCACTTTAGGTGGTTGGTAGAGGCCTACAACAGTGGGGGAAGGTGCAGCAACAGCGGCCACTGGCCTCTTTGTCTGCACCTCTGTGATCAAAAGCAGCAATCAGTGATAAGAACAGATGTCTTGTGTTTGGAGGACAGTGTCCTTTTTGCCTACCAAGGCTCCTGCAAACCGTATGCCAAGCTGCTCCAGGAACATGTGCACAGCTGCCTGCCATGGGACTGGGGCATGGGATAGGTAGCTCTATTATGCCAAGAGCTGAAATTAACTGAAAATAACTTCAATTTACTGTCCAAGCCTTCTTCTGGAAGTTGGAAGCCTTAAGTAGCCTCCAGAGTTCCAAAATAGTTATACTGGACAGATTCTGCCAGTGCAATTGTTGTCCAGGTGAGAATACAGACTCCTGGTTCTCTCTCCTCTGCCATCTTCCCAGAATCATCCTCTGTATCATTTTTATAATCTGAAAAAAATAGTTGTGGAATTTGGAGGTATTTTTCTAGGTTTTATGATCTTCTCCTGAATGTTACTCTTTGTCCAGCCTTATAAATTTTTGGTATTATTATCCAGACAACCATGATCCTACAAGTCTGACAAACCATGCTGTGACTACTTCTAATTGGGACTGTTAAATTATCACACTCATGCATTCCTGTGAGGGAAGCCTTTTGCTTCTATGGTGGGTCCTCTGTGGAAGGTGCGTCTGCCGGGGACCTGTGAAGGCTGGGCAGTGCCCCAGGGAACTGTGAAGGCTGGACAGTGCTCGGCGCTGATCGATGGCAGGGTCAGCTTTTTGAGAGCCCTGTTTGTGTTGTCCCACTCCTGTTCCTGGAGAAAATCACCTTTACAAAGGCTCAACTGGCAATTTTGGAATTACTTGGGTCATTGTTCTGAATGTGCTATTGGTTTTCAGTAAATAAAGTTCAAATTAGAAGCTTAGAAATAGTTTAAGGTGTTTGGTTTTTGAGCTCCTAATAGTCTTTCTTCACTATTTTGGCCCTCTTGGTTTCTATTAAGTTGGACCATATGTAATTGTCATTTTGTAAGTCAAAAGCAATGGAATAGTGGCAACTGCCTATGGTTCAACCTAATACTTTACATTTTACCTGTAGCAGATTGTGGCTTTGTTTTGTTGCCTTCTCAACTTTCAAAGAAAGCCTTTTTTTTTATTTTATTTTTTTTTTTCTATTTGAAGGCTGTTTCCCAGACCAGATGTATCTCCAGCTCTGACACATATGTGCTTGACTGGTCATTCACACTGATGTTTCTAAATCAGCCTTTCATAACATTTTTATTTATTAGTACCTCTTTTTTTTTCTTTTTTTTTTTTGAGACAGAGTCTTGCTCTGTCGCCCAGGCCGGACTGCGGACTGCAGTGGCGTAATCTCGGCTCACTCCAAGCTCTGCTTCCCGGGTTCACGCCATTCTCCTGCCTCAGCCTCCCGAGTAGCTGGGACTACAGGCGCCCGCCACCGCACCCGGCTAATTTTTTGTATTTTTAGTAGAGACGGGGTTTCACCTTGTTAGCCAGGATGGTCTCGATCTCCTGACCTCATGATCCACCCGCCTCGGCCTCCCAAAGTGCTGGGATTACAGGCGTGAGCCACCGCGCCCGGCCTAGTACCTCTTTAAATGAAAAAATTATTTGATAAAGTCTTGACTGTCTTTCCCACAGTTGTTTGTGACCAGTATTTGCACTGATTCTCGAAACGAGTGAATCTTCCACCAGTCCCTAACTGTGATCCTAATCACGTGTAACGTATTTCCCACCCTGCATTGTCCACAGGATTCTTCATTCATCACCTACCACGCATCAAAGTGCCAGACACTGGAGTCAGAAATATGATAGCAACTCATGTATGCTGTGTGATCAGTAACTATCTGTTGAATGAATACATGACTGAGTGTAAGTTAATGAACGAATGAGTAGCATTTGCTTTGGAGGAGCTGTCTGTCTTCAGAAGAGAGAAACTTGTAAGCAGACATTGTCAATTTGGTGTGCAAAGGACAATCATAGATGTGTATGCAAAGGGCCATGGGAACACTGCAGAGATGTTAGTTTTTCATATGCACTGTACCCACATTCTGTTTCCCAGTTGCACGGTGAAAATCTATTCTGTCAGATTTGTGTTTTGATCACTTAAGGCTTCTGTTACTATCACCTGAACAAATTATGCAGATTTCTCAATCACATTTGACATTTCTGGTTCAATATTATGAACCCGATCAGATCCCATTGTTGTGTAACATTTTCTGGATATATGTCTTCGTCACCTATCTCACAGGTTTGTTGTGAGGCGTAAATGAAGATAGTATGTGAATATGTATAAACCACTATGCAGAAAACATGGAGGTTAAGCTGTCACTCTGGATGATAGTTGTTCATCACTGCCTACAGTAACTGACCTATAAAACAACCACTAGGAAAAAGAAAAGAAGATATTTTGCTTTTTTTTTTTTTCTGGAAGAAATACAGTAGATACTCAAATTGCCTGCCAATAGAATAGTTTCCTGGACAAGGATGAATCTAGAAAGGACATTTAACAGAGATTGACCTTGGTTTTGTTACAGTGACCTGAGAATGTCAGTCAGTAGTCTTGCATAACCACCATATAGTGAAACTTCTCAAAATCTCCATGGTAACATGCAGAGAACTGTATCATAGAGCACGGTGTATACCCACACGGACTGTGATCCAGGAAGAAAGATCTGTTTCCACCCCCACACACACTTGCTCACGTTCACCTCTCTTCTGCCCCAGCGCCTCAGATACCTGCTTCCTCACTGGTAATTGTGATGATATTTTTCTCTAAAATCTATTTTGTAACTCATTCTTTCTGATTTTACTCTCAACCCCCTTGGCGCTTACATTGGATGAGATAAAAGTGTCACTGTAGGGCTGTAAACTTTGTTGTGATGAAGACTCTTGAGACGTAAAATGTATGCTCTAACTGCAGACCTGTGCAGAACGCGAGTTTGATCTTCAAGTGACTTTCGTTCCAGCCTTGATATTCAGATGCAGTGCACTAATTTGCCCTTATTGGCATCCTGTTTAATAGATATTCCTAAGCCTTTTTCCAAATAGTTGCATGTTTGAGGAAGACTTTATGGCTATCAAAGTGTTTACTCATATAATCCAGTTTGATCCTCACCTTGTGAGATCGTCAGGGCCGGTAGGATGGTTGTCATTTTACAGATGAGGAGACATTTTCTGATGGGAATTAGCCAACCTGTGGCTGAGCTGGAACCAGAACCCAGGCCTGTGTCCTTGTACTCAGGTTGCCACAGCATTCCTCCTGATGTGCCCAGCAGCAGGCTTCTAAAGGACCTGAGCCCCCTCTGCCAACAGTGTCCCCTCTTAGCTACTGGTGTGATATGTAGCTGTGAGTCCAGGGTGGGTATTCACATATTTTCGATTGACCACCAGCTTAAAACTTCCCATGCCACACCACACTGCCCATCTATATATTACTTTGCAATCATTATCATAAGCTTAAAACTTCCCATGCCACACCACACTGCACATGTATATATTACTTTGCAATCATTATCATAAGCTTAGAGACTTTACAGAAAGTCGTCCTTAAAGTGTTGCTAAAAAATATAGGTCAATTACAAAAGGAGACATGGTCCTTTTCTTTTTTCTTCTCCCCTAATTATAAACAATAAAAGCCACAGCTTCATGCTGAGAAAGGATCAGCAGGGAATGATGGACATTGTGATTTGGCAGCTGACATTTTCTAACATGATTTTGTTTTACATAAGTAGTTTGAAGTTTTTGTTGGTTATTGTCTTGCCTTCCTTTCTGACAAAGTAACATTTTTTTTGCCCATAAAAATCAAGTAGAGCAATGCATTTCCCATGCCGTCGTGTCTCCCATCTTGTAGCAACCAGTAGTGTATAAAATGAAAGTCTTCCCACCTTTAAGCAAATGTTTGTTTTCCTTATTAAGAAAGAAGTTTCATTTGAAGCTGGAGGTTTTTTTTTCCTAACTTATATTAGTCCATATTTTAATAGTAGTTTCCTAAAGAAAATATCTCAGCATGAAAAAGCAAGGTGATACTATATTTTAGAAAATGCCCTCATGGCTTAGATTTTAAAACTAATGCTTTTGTTAAGTGTTTTGGCTTTGAACAAAAAGCCTCCTTGAGAAACGCTATTTCCCATTGCACGGTTTCTTAACTCTCTGGGTTAAAGTTCGTATTTTCTATCTTTTTACATCTGGCAAATAGACCCAGAGAATGTTTTTGTTTCATCTAACAGTTATTTCTACAGATCTGACCAGGCTGCCTGCACACATCTATATTTTTACACTGACAGCATAAGTGTATGTTTTGTATTTCATTGTAGCGAAAGCACTTCACGTATGCTTATAGTAGGTTGAAGTATTTTTAGATCAAACGTGAATCCACCATGTTCCGTAAACTAAAATATATTTAATCTTAACAGAGTATACTTGGCGGAATGGCTGACTTTAAACATAAGCTTAAACAAAATGATGAGTTCATAATTATTTAATGTAAACTGAATAAGGTTGAAGGGCCCTGCAGGGTCGATTTCAAAGTGCTTCAATGATTACAAATTATAGACCGCCTTTCCAGTAAAACACTACTCAGGTGGGAGACTAGCTGGCAGCACTATAAAGTACCTAAATGGTTTCAGACTAAAGAATCTGTTAGTTTTGTAGGTTTAACATCCTTGACACTTAATAGGATTTGAGATTCCATTGTAGCAGCAGCTTTTATTGCATGACACTTTAATTGAATGCCTTAGAGTAAAATGAAATTAACAAAGGCAGTATTAAATTATGGATGTTCCTTTTTTATCATTTGGCTAAGAATTCTGCGGAGTTTCTTTTCTGATTATATTATTTTAAATTGATTGATGTGAAAAAATAAACACACTATCTTTAGGACTAGGTATACCATCTGGTCCAAGAAATTGTGAATAAAATGAATACAGAGCTGGAGTTGGCCAACTTGTCTCTCCTACGCTTCAGAAAGCAATTACGTTAGGGCTAGAGTAGTTTAAAAATGGCCTGCAATAAATCCCCATTCTTGAGTGGATAAGAGCAAGGCAGCTCCGTCTTTTGCATTGTAGCTACCAGAATGACAACGTATTCTGAGACAGATGGGAGACATCGAACAGTAGTTGATTTTTGTTTGTGAAGTGGTGTGGCAAAGCCAGTAACCTATTTTTTTTAAAAAAAAAAAACAAGGACAAATTTAACCAAATCTGACCTGTTTATATTTAAACATCGGTGATTGGAAAACCGTTTTCATATTTGGATATTGACGATCTTTATATTGCTTCTCCTTTTCTCTAATACTATTTAAAATAAGAATCTGCAACTAAACTAAAATATTCAAAAAATAATAAAGTTAAGATGATGAGTCCGGGCGCGGTGGCTCACGCCTGTAATCCCAGCACTTTGGGAGGCCGAGGCGGGTGGATCATGAGGTCAGGAGATCGAGACCATCCTGGCTAACAAGGTGAAACCCCGTCTCTACTGGAAATACAAAAAATTAGCCGGGCGCGGTGGCGGGCGCCTGTAGTCCCAGCTACTCGGGAGGCTGAGGCAGGAGAATGGCGTGAACCCGGGAAGCGGAGCTTGCAGTGAGCCGAGATTGCACCACTGCAGTCCGCAGTCCGGCCTGGGCGACAGAGGGAGACTCCGTCTCAAAAAAAAAAAAAAAAAAAAAAAGATGATGAGCATGATGTCAGCAAGATAGTGGAATCAGAAGCCTCAGTCTCTACTCCCCTGACCCCCACACACCAAAAGGTGAACTTGCAGCTGTCCACAGACTAGAATATCTTTTTGAAAATGTCAACACTTGGAAACGAGCCTGAGATACCTGTGTGATCTGCATAATTCAATGAAATCTGAATTAGGAGAGTGAGAAGAATGGTCTCACTCTGACCACACTGCCCCTTCCCATCTCCCAAGTTGGCACAGTGCCAGACTGAGAGGATTTCCCTGGACCAACAGTTTCTGCCACAGGGAAAGAGAACCAGAGGCAGTCATCTAGTGATGCTAACGTTCCAGGATGCTTCACAAGAAGCCCACTCTGGTCTCACCTCTTAGGAAACACTAGGAGAAACAGCATGGCCACAGTGCCTAGGGTCAGGTAGAAACAAAGAAAGGAGGCAGAGGTCATGGTTACCAGCACATGGATCTTAGAGGTACCTCTGTGTTTCTGGCAGCTGTGGCTCCCAATAGCAGATACCAGTCAACTTCATAACCCACATTTAAAGCTAAGCTGGTTGCCTTCATTAACGTGGTAGGAATTTCTACCTAGCCTGAGTTCCTAGAATGCTATTCTCCCTGGCTAGCTTCAGAGCCCACCCAACAAGCCTGCACAGGCAGGAAGACATTCACCTCCTCCCATTTCAGGGAAGCAAAGGGGCTAGATCAGCTTGACCCAGAAAGTCGAGCTGTGGCTCCACCTAGCTAGAAAGCCCACCCAACCACCCTGTGCAGGCAGAGACTCCCACCTCCTGGCATTTTGGATAAATGCAGGGGCTAGTCTTGCTTGATCTAGAAAGTCAAGCAGCAGCACTACTCAGCCAAAAAGCCTGCCCAATGACCCCACCCTAGCCAGGAGACTCCCAGCTCCACAGATTTCAGAGAAATGAAGGGGTTAGATCAGCTTTACCTAGGAAGGCAAGCAGTAGTTCCACTCAGCCCAAAAGCCCACCCAGTGACCCGACGTAAGCAGGGAGACTCCCACCTTCATGGATTTCAGAAAAGCATAGAGGCTAGACCTGCCTGACCAGGAGGTCAAACAGTCACTCAACTCAGTCAAAAGCCCACCTCATAGCTCCACCCTGACAGGGAGGAAATCCTGAATCATGAATTTCCTAAGGAACATAGCCTCTGGTCTGCTTGTCCCAAGCAATGACTTTGCTAACCTCAGAGAACAGCCTATAGCCCTGCCCAACTGTAGATCTCAATAGTGGCCAAGGAATACATCCTGTAACTGGCCTGACCAGAAGTCATTGCAGTACTTAGCCAGCAATCTCATCAAACAGGGAAGCCAGGCCCACAACCCCACCTGACATCAGAGCAAAAGCAGCAGCCCAACTAAGTTGTGAACTCTCATGAAGCTCTGCCTGCCCAGGATTATCACCAGATGGCCCTTCCAGAATCACAGTCTAGATTAGATAGTGGAAATCTATTCCTGTCAAAGAACACCTGTAAAGGCCAGAAAAGGGGACTGTCTTCTCAAATGTGCAGATAACACAAGGATTACAATGACTCAAGGGAATCATGACACCTGCAAAGAAAACTAATAAAGCTTCAATAGTAGACCCCAAAGAAATGGAGATCTGTAAAACTGTTGACAAAGAATTCAGAATAGTACTCATAAAGAAGTTCAGTGAACTACAAGAATCTATGGATAGAAAATTGAATAAAATTTGGAAAACAGTACACAAAGAAAGCAAGAAATTTGACCAAAAATAGAAACAATAAAAAAAAACAAATCTTAGAGATGAAAAATACAGTGGCTGAGTTGAAAAATTCAATAGAAAGCTTCAGCAGAAGACACTGTCGAGCAGAAGAAAGAATTAGTGATCTGGAAGACAGAACATTTGAAATAATCCAGAAGAGCAAAAAGATAAAAGAATGATAAAGAATGAAGAAAGCCTATGAGAGTTATGAACACTGTCAAGAGATGACACCTTTGTATAATGTGAATTAAGGACAGCAGAGAGAAAAAAGCACCAGAAACTATATTTAAAGAAATAATAGCTGAAAACTTTTCTAATATAGGAACAGATGCCAATACCCATGTTTTAGGCTGTTGTTGCATTGCTGTAAAGGAATACCCAAGACTGGGTAATTTATGAGGAAAAGATGTTTCATGGGCTCATGGTTCTGCAGACAGTACAGGAAGCATGGTGCCAGCATGTGCTTCTGGTGAGGGCCTCAGGAAGCTTACAATCCTGGCAGAAGGCAAAGGGGAAGCACTTGTCTCACATCGCTAGAGCAGGAACAAGAGGTGATGGGAAAAGGTCTCCAACTCCTTCTAACAACCAGATCTTGTGTGAACTCATTACCATGGGGAGAGCAGCAAGCCACTCATGAGGGATCTGTCCCCATGACCCACACACCTCCCATCAGGCCTCACCTCCAAGAACGTGGATCACAGTTTACCGTGAGATTGAGAGGATAAATGTGAAATCATATCAACCCAAGTACAGGAAGCAGAGTTCTCCAATCAAATTCAACCCATAGAAGAGTTTACCAAGGCACATAGTAATACAATTATCAAAAATCAAAGACAAAAATTCCGAGAGCAGCAAGAGATAAGAAACACTTCGTATACAAAGGAGTACCAATACTACCATCAGTGGATTTCTCAGCAGAAGCCATGCAGACACTGAAAGAACAAGATGGTATATTCAAAGTGCTGAATTTATATTTATATTTTACAATAAAGTGTTGAATATGTAACGCAAGGGTATCATACTGCATATTAGTAGTTGAGAAAAATATTAAAATTCAAAATTTGAATTTAATATGTATTGCTTTTGCATTATTGTAAAGTTGAAAAATTCTAAGTTGAACTTTTATAAGTCAGGAATTGTCTGTACTTCCAAAAATCTTTTTACAAAGCCAACATTACCTTGGTACCAAAGCCAAACAAGAACATTATAAGAAAGAGAGTTAAAGGTCAGTGTTCTTGATGAACATAGATGCAGATTTCTCAACAAAATACTAACAAACTGAATTCAACAACACATTAAAGGGATCATTCATCATGATCAAGTGGGATTTATTCTTCGATACAAGGATGGTTCACCATACACAAATCAATAAATGTGATATATCACATTAATGGAATGAAGGACAAAAGCCATGTGCTCATT
Organism: Homo sapiens; assembly: GCF_000001405.40. Lineage (NCBI taxonomy): Eukaryota > Metazoa > Chordata > Mammalia > Primates > Hominidae > Homo > Homo sapiens. Next base: position 3,783,132 of record NC_000007.14, read on the forward strand.
TTGTTAGATGCCGAAAAAGCATTTGACAAAAATTCATCTTTTTATAAAAATTCTCGGCAAATTAGTTGTAGAAGGAGTGGACTTCAACACAACAAAGGCCGTGTGAGAGAATCCCACAATTAAAATTATACTCAGTGGTGAAAAATTGAAAGCCTTTCCTCTGACATAGACAAACATGCCTATTCTTGCCACTTATATTTAACATAGCATTGGAAGTCCTCACCAGAGTAGTTAGGCAAGAAAAATAAATAGAAGGCATCGTAATAGGAAAGGAAGAGCTGAAGTTGTCACTGTTTGCTGATAACATGATCTTATATATATAGAAAATGCTACAGACCCCACCAAAAAAAAAAAACCCTGTTGGAACTAATAAACGAATATATTACAGTTGCAGGATACAAAATCAACACACAAAAATCAGTGGCATTTCTATATGCAAACAATGAACTATCTAAAAGGTTATCAAGGGAACAATTTCATTTACAACAGCTACGAAAATTACTTAGGAATAAGTTCAAACAAAGGAGTGAAGACCTTTACACTGAAAACTAGAAAATGTTGATAAAAAAGTTGAAGATACAAATAAATGGAAAAATATTTTATGTTGATGGATTGGAAGAATTAATATTGTTAAATGGCCATACTACCAAAACCAACCCTACCAATTCAGTGCAGTTCTTATCAAAACTACATCATTTTTCATAGGAATAGAAGAAACAATTCTAAAATTTATGTAGAAACAAAAATACCCCCAAATAGCCAAGGCAATCATGAGCAAAAGAATAAAGCTGAAGGCATCACACTACCTGGTTTCAAACTATACTACAGAGCTATAGTAATTAAAACAGCATGGGACTGGCTGAAACAGATCAACAGATGAAACAGACTAGAGACCCCAGAAATGAACCCATGCATATGATTTAAATTTATTTTCTTTTTCTTTTTTCTTTTCTTTGTTTTTTTTTTTTGGTTAGAGAAAGGGTCTCCCTATATTGCCCAGGCTAGTCTCAAACTCCTGGCCTGAAATGACTCATCCCTGAGCCTGTCAAAGTGTTGGTATTACAGGCATGACCCCCATGCCTGGCCTATTCAACTGATTTTCAACAAAGATATTATGCCAAGAATATGCAATAAGAAAAGGATATCCCCTTCAATAAATGACTTTGGGAAAAGTAGATATCCATACACAAAAGAATGAAGTTAGATTCTTACTTCACACCATATATTAATATAAAAATCAACTCAAAATGGATTAAAGTCTTAAATATAAGATGAGAAACTATAAAACTAATCTACAGAGTAAGAAAAAATATTTAGAAACCATACTTTGGATAAGGGGTTAATATCCAAAATATATAAGAAGCTCAAACAACTCAATAGAAAGAATACAAAAAATTCTAATTAAAAAAATGGACAAGGGACTGGAATAGACATTTCTCAAAAGAAGACATACAAATGGCTGACAGATACATGAAGAAATGGTCACATCAGAAATCACTAAGGAAATGCAAATTGAAATCACAATGAGAAACTACATCTCACACCTGTCAGAATAGCTGTTTTCAAAAAGACAATATAACATGTGTTGGCCAGGATGTGAAGGAAAGGGAACCCTGTTGGTGGAAATGTAAATTAGTGCAGCCATTGTGGAAAACTATGTGGAGATTCCTCAAAAAAAATGAGAAATAGAACTGCCATATGATCTGGCAATCCCACCTCTGGGCATTTACCGAAAAGATTTGAAATCAGTGTGTTGAAGACGTGTGCACACCAATGTTTACTGCAGCATTATTCACAGTAGCTGAGCTGTGGAATCAGCCTAAGAGTCCATCAGCAGATAACTGGGTAAAGAAAACGTGGTACTTACACGTAATGGAATACTATTCATCCTTAAAAATGAAGGAAATGCTTTCATTTGCAGCAGCATGGATGGAATCAGAGAGCGTTATCCTCAGTGAAAGAAGCCAGGCACAGAAAGACAAATATCACACAATCTCACTCATCTGTGAATCTGAAACAATAACTCATAGCAGCAGAGAGTAAAATAATGGTTATCGAGGCTGGAGGGTGGGGGGAATAGGGAGGTGATGGTCCAAGAGTTAAAAGATCTCAGGCAAGAGGAATTTTTTTTTTAGTTTTGTTGCTGAGCATGGTGAATATAGTTAATAATAGAGAATTGTACACTTCAAAGTGTCTGAGAGTAAATTTTAAAAGTTCTCACCATAAGAATCATTAAATATGTGAGCTGATGGATATGTTAACGAGATTGATTTAATTATTCCACATTTTATTAATCAATCATAACATTACTTTGTACCCCATACATTTATGCAATTGTGAATTGTCAATTTACAATTAAAAAGTATTTTCAAAGATTTTAAAAAGTGGAGGCTGGACTGCTTAGGACATGTGAAAACAGAAGACAAAATATAAGAAAACATTACAAATTAAATAATTATTTTCTTAACAGACTATTGGTGTAAATGCTTTATAAGTAACTGTCTACTGGATGGAAAGGGGGAAGAAATTTGAACATATCTGGTAAATTACTTAGTAAATTTAGGCATTTATTTAAAAAAAAATACACTTGCTCATGATTATAAGACTTCTGAGCTCAGATTGTGAGTGTGAGGAAAGAGGAGACAGCCTCTTAAAAAGGTCCCAAGCATGACAGATGCAGATCTTGGTTGAGAGTTGTTGCTTCTGCTGTCAGTCACATCATCATCCTGTTAAATGTGAATTTATCTTTTTTCCCCTATGCAAAATAGTGAGAGAAATATTCCTTGAGGAAATGTGGTCTTTATTTCAAATTAACAGTTTTAGCGATTGCTTGCTTTTATTAGGTCATGCATCTTGTTTTCTGGATTTGTCATATAATGCAGTTGTGCTCGTGTAGGTAACACAAATGTGGTCTCTTTGAACATAGAAGCTGGGATTGCAGTGAAATAGAGAGAGCGAAAGTGCTCTCCTTAAGTCCTCCTTGTTTGTTCTCTTTCTTTTGGGTTCTGTCTGTTAATTTATCTCTTTTACTCTTTCCCTTCTTCCTTCCATCCTTGTCAAAAGCATTTATGTACTGGACAGAAGCATGTCTTGGATGACTTAAAGTGCAGCCCTGTTTTGTAGTTATTATCTTCCTGCATAATAAGTAATCTCTGTTTTCCACTTGTTGCAGAGTTAAACACAGCTTTCTAGTGAATCCTCACCCTAGAGTAGAGGAATACGTGATATTAATTGAAATAGACTTCCTACAGGGCATTTTGTAGCTTTTCTCCTCTTTCTCACTTAAAAAACATACCAGATAGTTTTGTGTTCAGGACCTTAAATCCTAGCCTAGCAACGGTCATACATTGTGAAACAAATAATGAGAGAGAAGGTTATAGTTAATACTCTTATAAGCCTCTCCATGTACAAGAATACAGACAAAAATGCAAAGAACAGCACTGGATGTCTTCTGATTAATCAAATTATTTCTGTGTCTCAGTGAATGGACTGAAATACAGTACAGCCTATTTGCCTTAATACCGATGAATTTTTATACAGTGAGTACGTTCTCTGGTCTTTTTCTCGCTGATGAAATGGATGTTTGTGTTAGGGCTAGAGGGAGAAAAGAGGCGTGATTTAACTGTTACCTGTGCCTGTGCTTTACAGTTTTCCTTTTTAAAACAAGTTTTGAGGAATACACCTCGGTAGTACTACTGTACAGCTGGCACCCTACAACTCCCTTTGGCTCCTGCAGCTCCCCCACACCCCCACCAACACACTAATCCATATAAAAGTCATATTACTGGAGCTCCACCTCATCTTTTTCAGATATCAAAGCAAATAGAAGAAATAGAGTATAAACATTGTTCTCTTACTCTGACAAGCAGAATTGATAGACATCTTTCCCCATACACTTTAGTGGTGGTTGACATAAACATTGTTTTTGTTTTCAGGTTGGAAATAGGAAATGAGACTTGACAATATATTCGTGTCACTAAAATTCTTTATTCCAGAAAAGACTTAGTATTGAAATCACACACACACACACACACACACACACACACACACACACACTCCCATACAGAAAACTTTTCTCAGTGGACTATTGCCGTTAGTCTTTCTCCTTTTTCCCACCTAATTACCTGACATTGTTTGAAAGATAATTATAATTGACAAAATTATTTTTTCTATACATAAGCATCTAAACTCTGATTAACTCAGGAAAACACAAAGAAAATAGTTACTTCATTTGCAGAAAAGCAAAGGTGACAGAGCGTAGCAACATGATGCAGCTGATCACACTGGAGCCTTGTGCACACGCTGTGTTCCTCCCATTTGAGCTTACCCTAGAGATGAACCTGTGTAAAAAGAGGTAAATACCAACAGGAACTGAGAGCAATTCTAGAAAAACTAATGGCATTGGTTAAAAAAAAAATCCCTTCTCCTCAATTTCTGTGTCTAAGTGATTCCTAAAGTACCATTTTATAAATACGAAGTATCATTCCTCTGGAAGACCATTCCTTTTTGTTTTTTTCAGCTGGCCCGAGCCCTACCTGTCCTTTCCTTATAAAATACTGGCCAGGTCATCAGAAAACAGTTAACTCAGAGATGCTCTCTAAAAAACTCTCTGAAGTTGACCTGCATGGCAGAAGTGTAGCAAGTCAACTCTCTCTGCTGTCCCTCACCTGTTCTGTAGCTTTGTGAAGTCCTGCATGAAAGCATTTCAACATAAGACGTGGTTTCATTGGGGCCCTTCTACCTCAGGACCGCTGGAGTTTGTATGGCTGTCAGTGTCACATGCGGTTGCACAGAAGCCACTCTCAGAAGTCTGAAGAGAAAGGAACTGAATAGGAGAGTTAGTTTCTTAGAGAGCCCGTGGGAGGACCGGAGGGCAGGCTCTTGGAAGTGACTCTGAGAATCATGCCAAACAGCTCGTGTGCTCCGGGGAGTGGACAGTCTCAAAGCTGCAGCCCCACCTCCCGGCCCGGGACCTCACTCCTTCTGCTTCGATTGAAGCAGGAAGCCACTCTGCACTCACTGGCTCTGGGAGAGAGTGCTCGGGCACCAGCTTCTTCAGCAGTGTCCCCGCCTCTCAACAGTCATGGGTGGCTACTGCTGCCGGACACCAGACACCTTCATACGCACGCTTGTCAGAACAGCAGAAACCTGGTCTCACCTTGTGTCTCCCTCCATCGCCCATAACAGGGTGTGCGGTCAGTGTGTGAAACTCCACAAGGAGTTTGAGAAATGCAGTCTCGTGCTTTCTAGCTTCTGCCAGGCCGGAGAGTCTGTGCAGAGGGGATAAGGTGGGGTAGAACAAGTCTGTCTGTGATATCTACCACCCAGTCTGCATTTGAAGTGGAATTATCTCCCGAAGGCAAAGAAATCACATGTCCTATTAGAATTCTGCATGCTGTGTGATTCTGATGCCATGATTCCTATACCTTTTGGTCAGGGGTGTCCAATCTTTTGGCTTCCCTGGGCCACGTTGGAAAAAGAATTGTCTTGGGCCCCACATAAAATATACTAACACTACCGATGGCTGATGTGCTAGGAAAAAAATCTCATAATGTTTTAAGTAAGTTTATGAATTTGTGTTGGGCTGTGTTCAAAGCAGTCCGCGGGTTGGGCAAGCTTGCTTTAAGTCATTTGTGTGGTGTGTCAAGTAGTGCTACCCAAAGGTCCCTCAAAAAGCATCATTCGCCCTTGCCTCTCCCAGTTCCGAGAGAGGAGACAGAATTCAGGGCTGAGCCTGTAGGCTGCGTGAGTCTCCTGCTCAGTCCTGAGAAGAAGACCTGGGCATGGGATGGGATTTAGATGTAGAATAGAACTGTTTACGGGGGCTCCCCTCTGTTCCCTGAGCATGGGTTGTCATTGGTTGGCACAAGTGCCACGGCTGACAAGCTCCTTTCTGAGGGAGCAGAGCTTGACCATATACAAGATATGATAATACTGTTTGTCAAGGATACAGCCTGAAAGAATGAAATAGATTGACCCTAGGGAAGGCCACTAACCGGGGAAAGTAATTCCACTTGTAGCTGCTTTTTTTTTTGGACGGAGTTTCACTCCTGTTACCCAGGCTGGAGTGCAGTGGCATGATCTCAGCTCACCGCAACCTCCACCTCCCAGGTTCAAGCGATTCTCCTGCCTCAGCCTCCCAAGTAGCTGGGATTCCAGGCATGCGCCACCACGCCCGGCTAATTTTTGTGTTTTTAGTAGAGATAGGGCTTCTCCATGTTGGTCAGGCTGGTCTCCAACCCCCGACCTCAGGTGATCCACTCGCCTCAGCCTCCCAAAGTGCTGGGATTACAGGCGTGAGCCACTCTGCCCAGCCTGTAACTGCTTTTCTACTTTACAGGTATAAATAAGTGTTCCTAAGCAACCCTTCTTAAAATTAGTTATTTTAATGGGACTTTTTGTGTTAGGTTATTTTAGAAACATTGGTCACGTGTATATACTTTGGGAATTAAAAAAGAAAAGTGGTGACAGGTTGGAAAAGTGTATCATCCAACTTCTGATCAAACATGGAGCATTAACTCTACACTTATATCATCTCTTCCTCCTGAAACCCCATGAAGATGATAGAAAGACAAGAAGATCAAGTGTGAGGTACGAGGGAAAAGGGATTGGAGAGGAGGCAGCAGGAGGCTGTAGATGAGATGGCTTGTGAGACCTTTGCAGGATAGAAAGCACTTGGAGACACAGGAGCTGACCAGCGGAACGGGGACTGTTGCAGTCAGAGAGCCTGCAGATCAGTTTACCCGCGCACCCTGGACAGGCTCGAGGACAGGCTGTGTTGGGGGGTTGGGGGCGGGTAGGGGGCAAGTGGCAGGAGTGGTGGGAAGTTTACACACAGCATGGTCGCCAGCTAACTCTGCACCATTTCCTGCCACCACCTCTCCCCCTTCCCGAGGACCAAATAGTTATTCAGCGGAGAAGTTGAGAAAGACCCCGTAGTCCAAATGCCAGGTGTAGCAGAGTGGGAGGTGAGGACCTGAGAGGAGAAGTCTGCAGACTGAATGGTGGGGCCACTATCCTATTTTCTGCCGTCCTTCCTCAGACACCAGCAACTGATGTTTATGTCACAGTTTAGAAGCCAGGGGGCTGTCTCTGAAGAAATGGAATGGGTTCAGAGAGAGGACTTTCAGATATTTATATCTGAAAACAGAAATTATACTAGGTATTTCAACAGAGGGATTTAACACATGGTAAAGCCCCTCTCCCTTTTCCCGCCCTCCAGTCTCCTGTGGCTGCTCAATGGCAGGTTCTAACGAGGAGCCAGCTGGCAAAGGGGCCTGCAAAACCAGTCTGCAGAGAATAGTGTGGAAAGGTGGGTTTGGAGCTGAGAAATCAGAAGCGAATGGCCCACACAGAGGCAAATACCAGATCACATGGTTAAAAAGTCTAACAGTCGGCCAGGCGTGGTGGTCACACCTGTAATCCCAGCACTTTGGGAGGCTGAGGTGGGTGGATCACTTGAGGTCGGGAGTTCGAGATAACCCTGACCAACATGGTGAAACCCCATCTCACTAAAAATACAAAATTATCTGGGCATGGTGACGCATGCCTGTGATCCCAGCTACTCGGGAGACTGAGGCAGGAGAATTGCTTGAACCCGGGAGGCAGAGGTTACAGTGAGCTGAGATCATGCTATTGCCTGGGAAACAAGAGCGAAACTGTCGCCAAAAACACACACACAAAACCAAGTCTGGTAGTGGTTGCTTTTGGGCTGTGGAACTTGGGGCTAGGGAGGTTGGGACAGGGGAATATTCATTTTGGGGGCAGAAGCTAAAGTGTGTAGAAATTAACTTGACAGTAATCAAAGAGGTAGCCACCCTGCTTGGTTTGAATCACAGCTCCGTCACTCACTTGCTGTGTGACCTTGGGCAAGTTACTTAACCTCTCTGTGCTTCAGTATCCTCATCGGTAAATTGGGTCTAACAGCAGTGCCTAGTTCCTGGGGAGTGACAAAAATTATTTAATACTCTTAAAGCTCTTAGAACAGTGACTGGTATGTAGTAAATATTACATAAGTGGTAGTTTAAAAACAACAAAAAAAAAAACACCTGTACCATTAAGGGCTGAGATGGCAGACAAAACCTGAGCTTAGGTGAAGAGGAGTGTAACCTAGCAACATTGTGCTGGACTAGATGAATCCGCCTCGTGGAACTACAGCCAGTGAGTAGGAGTTGTGGAAACAGATTTAATCTTTGGGAACTGTTTTGAATTATTTAGGTATCGGGGCTCCGTATTTTACAAGAAGCTGAGGCAGAAGCCATGTCATATGGACCAGCTCATCATGGTGTGAGCATAAGGAAAGACTGACTTCGTGGCAGATGGTCATTCTAAGGTTCCCTCAGGGTCATCAGTCATGAGCCCAAAATAGCACGATGCTGCAGAGGCTGCCATCCTGAGGGATGCGGCTGCCGATGTGGTTGCTGCCTGGCCTTCATCCCCTCAGTACCCAGGCAGAGACCGAGTGGGATGGTACCACTTGCTCCCTTGGGTGGGGAGGACGATTGGAGAAGGATGAGTGGGCTCACAACAGGTGCCCACTCAGCGGAATCCAATTTCCTGTCTCTGAAAGGAGAATCAGTTTGTGAAATTGACCTTAATCAAGGGTGATCTGTTCGGAGAGTGCTCTATGGATGCCATTCTTTTCTGGGTCTTTTGGCCAGTTATGGAACAAAGCTCCTCAGTACCTGGCATTGCTTTGACACTGGCATGGAGTCAGGCATGGTGGCTCATGCATGTAATCTCAGCGCTTAGGGAGGGTGAAGCGGGAGGGTCACCTGAGCCCAGGAGTTTGAAACCAGCCTGGGCAACACAGGGAGAGTTTGTCTTTCCAAAAAATGCAAAAAAAAATTAGCCAGATGTAGTGGTTCATGCCTGTAGTCCCAGCTACTCAAGAGGCTGAGGCATGAGGATTGCTTGAACCCGGGAGTTCAAGGCTGCAGTGAGTTATGAGTGCACCACTGCACTCCCGCCTGGGCAACAGGACGAGACCCCCTTCCTAAATAACAAAACAAAATAACAAAAAAAACCCTTGCATTAACCTTAAACTGGGCCTCTCATAACTGCCTGGCTCCAGACCATTCCAGCCCCCCACTTCCATGCCCTAAAATGTCCAGATCCTGACCTGCAATTGCCTGAGGCCATGGGTCCTGAACCCCTTCACCCCTTCACCACAGACTCAACTGCATGTGCCTTTCCTCCTCCCTCTTTGCTTTCCTCTTCTCTTTCTTCCATCATTTCTAGTGAACATTAGATAATTAATTTTGTTGTTTTCCTAAGATCTACGTTCTTGAGGGCATGCACCGTGACTTATATAACTTTATATTCACTGTTCCCCTGCCCAGGCAGACCCAGCAGAAAACTAACCTGTGTCATTCATGTTAGTTGATGAATAAGCGAATAATGCAAATCAGGCTTTTATGCTCTCACTCTCTAACCCACTGCCATCAGGTGCCTGAATATTGCCTTCTCTCCCTTTCTCCCTCCCATCCATCCATCCATCCATCCATCCATCCACCTGTCCATCCATCCATCTAACTACTACCCCCTCCTCCTGCAGTCTCCCATCCATCCATCCATCCATCCATCCATCCGTCTGTCCATCCATCCGTCCAACTACTACCCCCTCCCCCTCCAGTCTCCCATCCACCCATCCATCCAACCCATTTGCTTCTCTGTACCTCTCACTCTTGAGCTTGTTGACTTAACATCAGGACCATTGATGGTTCCTGCCTACAGTCCCCATCACCTTCCTCTAGCACTGGCGTTTTAACATAGAAAGCTTAATGAGTGCATTCAGTTCTGCTTTGGAACAATGAAATGTTAACTTTGTAATAACTCAAGCCTTTCACATAAGGGGGAGGAAAAGATTCATTTCACAATGATACTGAGAATTGTGTAGGAGCTAATGGAAAAAAGGTCAAAGGATTTTAGATCCTAGAAATGGGACAATGACAAAAATTAGTACTATTAAGAAGAGTGATGTGCTGTTATGAAAAATATCTACCCAAATGTCCCTTTAAAAAGTTATATTTCCATGTAAGGGTTATAATTTTAATATTTTGGTCTGTTTCCGTAAAAGACATTACATTTCTAAATTTGAAGGCAAATTTCCAATATTAAAAGATCCTGTCAATGATTCATTTACTCAGCTTTAAATCTTGTCTTCCATTCCTCTTTGAAAAGACCTGATTATTATTAATAATCAGCTCTGCCTAAGTTGTATTCTCCTTGGATAGAAAAGCTATGTATTTGAAGATCTTATGCTCTACAAGAAAATCCTGCCCAGCGATTGACGTGACAAACGCTGAATATTTCAGTGCACAATGACGGTGGCTTTCAGCTCATGAAAGGCTTCCTCGTGCCTTAGATAGTCTTCAGGTTTCTTTCTTAGTGCAAACTTTTAAGTGGACCCGTGATCCTCTGCCCTTTACAGCTTTTGTATCCTTCTTGTGTCGATTCTATAGCTGTTGTCAGCAACTAAGCAATCTTGTTTTTTCTTTAGATTTGGGAAGCTACAAACTGTATCTTTCTAAACCTTCCACTCCTCTGCCACTTACTGAGCTGTTGGAAGCAAAGTTTAAAGTATAAATGCAGTGTCCACATTCACAGTACTGGATTCTTTAATGGCAGTGAGTGTGGTTATTCTGGCATCACAGAAAGGGAGTGGACTTATGCAGGGGTGGGGGTGGAGAGCCATATTTCTGCACAATGGCAGTCACCTTGGAAGATGTAGGTGGATCTACCTAAGCCTGATGAGGACCTCATTGGTGTCCGGGAGCAGGGTGCTCCCTGCCCTGTTCTGGGGAATGTGAAAATCCTCTACTGCTGAAGGCCTTTTGTTCTAAGGGCACCTCCAACCCCCACATCCTAGTAGTCGGCTGCCCTCAGACTTACCACATGCCAAATATGTTTCATCTTTAAGAAGCATGCTATCTTTATACAATTGAATGCACTCTTTGAATCTATTTTACGTTTTATGATTTTACCTTTTTTAAAAAAAGTATCATGAGGTATTTCAGATATGCAAAGCAAGTATAAAGGAGAACGGCGTGAATGTGGACATACCCAGCTGACCCCTTGAAGGTGTAAAAGATCAGCAGCATGGCCGAATGTCCCTTCCCACATCTCCTGTCCCTCAAGACACAGACACTGACCTGAACTTGCTATTTAACATTCCCCTTTTAGCTTCTTTTTAAATTTTTATAACGATTTTAAAAATAGGAAGAAAAAAAAGGCATATATGGCAAGGGCATAGCTTTGGGACATGCTGTGGTTTGAATGTTTATTCCCTCTGAATCTGATGTGGAAACCTAATCCCCAATGTGGCAGTATTGATATGTGGGGCTCTTAAGAAGTGACTGGGTCATGAAGGCTCATGGATTAATGGAATAATGGGTTCATGGATTAATGGTTATCATGGGAGTGAGACCAATGGCTTTGTAAGAAGAGGAAGAGGGACCTAAGTTCGCACCCTCAACCCCCTTGCCATGTCAGGCCCTCTACTGCCTGGATTCTGCAGAGTCCTCACAGCAAGAAGGCCCTCCCCAGATATAGTCCCTCGACCTTGGACTTCTCAGACCCCGTAATTGTAAGATATACATTCACTTTCTGTATAGATCACCCAATTTCAGAAACAGAAAATGGATCAACACAGGATGCATCCATGCTCTACGTGGACATCATCCTCTTTCCTCCATTTCATTGGCCCTGAAGACATCTGTTCTAGATCCTCTGTCTGTTGCCCTTCATGAATTTTTGGACACTAAACTTGGCCTTTAAGAAAATATTAATGAGCTTTTTATTTAAAAAAAAAAAGATCACTATTCATGTTGTTGTTACTATTACAGTATTAAGGACGAACTCTGTGCCAGGCACTCTGCTAGAAACTTTGCAGATGTAGCTCCCTTTATTTCTTGCAGCAGTCCTGCAAGGCATCGTTCTTCCTGTTCTCAGATAGGGTGACAGAGCCTCAGTGAGGGCAAGTAGCTTGTCCATGGTTAGTGGCACAACTGACTCTAAAATCTTTTAACCACATCAAGTTGCCCTAGCATACTAGACGAAATGTGTTAGGACTCAGACATGTCTGTTTTACATGATACTTAGATGGGACCATGTGCTGTGGCTGTGATTTTTTTTTCCCCCTTAGAGGCATGTTGGATAGGGTGTCTTGTAAATTAATGCCACTTGGCATGGCAGGCCCCACGAGACTTGGCTTTCAGTACACCCTGGCACCTCCTGCAGTATTGCTGGAAGGAGTCTGATTCAGGCCTTATAGATCATTTATATTACAGAGAAAGGCATGTGAGAGTCTGGAAGCAAATATAAAGTGCGCTGAACTCCTTCAGAAATGGGCTCTGAAAGGAATCTTAGTGACTTTAAAGAGCAAAGCTAGGAGGATTGGCTGCGCTCATGGAAATTTTCCTTTTACCCCTCACTGTATCTGGCTGTTAAATGCCTGTCTTCCAGCTGGCATTCTCTTTCTTATTTATCGTGAAGAGTTAGATTATGTTAAATTGAAAAGTGACACTGATGTATTAGAACCCATCACGTTAGATTGAGGACAGATACCTGACTTAAAATGTGCCCTTTCTGAAGCATCAACTCTGAAAGTATTTGGTGTTCTTCCCATATTATACAGTTATACGATAAAGTCACAAGAATGGGTTTATACCCATTTGTATTCTACTTCGAGTCAAGTAGTAAAAATCTGTGAAATTGACTGATTTTGCTCAGAATAATATCAGAGAGGGCAATAAATCTAAACTTTGGCTCTCATAAAATGTGTTTCTGGGAAGGTAATGATTCATGATCAGATGCACACACAGACATCATGAGAGTGCTAAGAAATAGATTCATAATCTTTGGCTTTAAAAATCGTAGACTGTTTTTTGAGCTCAACCAGCCTGCTCTGGAGTTCGACAATTCTGTGTAGTCTTTCTCTTTCTTTGGCTCTCTTGATTTGCTTACAGGCATAAGTTCAGCCTCCTGTGATGTGTTGAAGAGGAAGAAATAATGATTAAAGTGATAGAAAACAGTTCTGCAAAATGAAAGGGAGAATTGAATTTGTGTAGGTTAATAAAGGCAAGACTAATGTAATGCGGTCTTTAAGTATAAGTGAAAGCTATGCTAAAGCATTTATCCTCCGTGTCCACGGATGGTCAGAGGAAATGGAAGGGGCTTAAATAGAAATGGAGAGGTTTCTTTGGCTGTGAAAAAGAATTTCTTAATCAGGAAGGTAAAGGGCATAGCAGTGGATCTCAGAATGATACTCTGAAGCTGTTTCGCTGTTGCTTCCCTTTGCTGGACGCAGAGCTCCTCAAGGGCAGGGCGACCCCTGCACATTCCCTGCCCAGAGCAGTGCTGGTCCCATTCATCAGTAATGCCCCTCTCCCCCCCAGCCTACAATCCATTCCAGGACCCCACCTGCTGGCTCCACTTTCAGTACATAGCCAGGCGCAACCACTTCTTACCATCTCCCTCGTGACCACCTTGGCTCAAGCCAACATCTCTGGGCACTGGGTTCCTTTGGCTGCCCCCAGGTTTGATAACAAAAATGGCTTTCATTGTTTTTGATTTGTTTCTTTTGATTATTAAGGCTGAGTATTTTTCAAATATGCAGTATTGATTATTAATTTTAAATGAATGTGTTGTTTGCTGTACACATTTTTGCCCATTGGCTTTTCAGTTTTCTTGTTTTTTAAAGAGACTAAAGTTATCAATGTTATATAGTCAAGTATATTACATAAATTTTACATTTAGAAAGTAAGTTCAAATGTAGCAATTAGATATATACTTAACTAAGTTTTATTTTAGATACACATAAATGTGATCATATATTTTCTTTTTTTTTCCTTTTCTTTTTCTTTCTTTCTTTCTTTCTTTTTTTTCTTTAGAGACAGGGTCTTGCTCTGTGTCCTGGGCTCTGGAGTGCAGTGGTGCAGTCATAGCTCACTGCAGCCTTGACCTCCTGGCCTCAAGTGATCCTACTGCCTCAGTCTCACAAGTACCTGGGACTACAGATGTGTGCCATTGTACCTGGCTAATTTTTAAATTTTCGTAGAGATGGGGTCTCTAACCCCTAGCTCCAAGCATTCCTCCTGCCTCGGCCTCCCAAAGTGCTGGGATTATAGGTGTGAGCTGCCACACCCGTCCCATATATACCTTTTAAAAAGGTTCATCTTTTCCTGTTTTCCCTTTTCGCTTCTTTCACCTTTTCTTTTTTTCTCTTTCCCTCCACATATATAAATAAGCTAATGTATATTTTCTTATTTTTCTGTATAGTCATTTAGCCCTATACAGCCATGTACATGTACAAGAGGGGTGTGTATACACACACACACACACACACACACACACACACACACAGTTTTTATTGCCGATGTTTTAAAAAATTAGATCATATTTTATATGCTTTACTCTATGTTTTCATACTTAATACCTAAAAAAAATCATGGAACCCCATTTACATAGATCTAATTTATTCTTTTAAATATGTATAATCTCCCATGCTATGTATGTCATAATTGATGAAGTTTTTCCACAATTTCTTTTCCTTTGGAAAAGCCCCCTGGAATTTTATTTTGCTGTATGGCATGAGTTAAGGATCTAAATTTTTTTAAATGGCTAGTGAATGGTTCCTTGATGTTTTCAGAACTGTTTCTCTCCTGTTGATTTCTAGCTCTTCCTTTATTATATATTAATGATTTATATCCACTATGGTCTGTCTTTCAGCTCACTTTTCTGTACAGATGTCAACTTTTTGTTGTTGCTTTTGAGATCATTCAAATCACTTTTTTATGTTGAAATAACTTGAGACTTATAAAAGAGTTGCAAGAGAGTTCTGGTTTTCCCTTCACACAGATTTCTGTAATGTTAACATCTTACATGACCCTAGTCCATTCATCAAAACTAAGAAATTTTCATTGGTACAGTACCATTTACTAGAGCCTTTTTCCCAGTTTTTTTTCCTGATTATCTTTTCCTGTTCTGGGATCCTTTCTGCACTCCCATGTTGCATTTAGTCACCATGTCTCTGTAGACTTCTCCAATCTGTGACCTTGTCTTCCATGACCTTGGCACTCTTTTTTTTTTTTTTTTTTTTTTTTGAGACAGATTCTGTCTCTTTTGCCCAGGCTGGAGTGCAGTGGCGCGATCTCAGCTCACTGCAAGCTCTACCTCCTGGGTTCACACCATTCTCCTGCCTCAGCCTCCCGAGTAGCTGGGACTACAGGCGCCCGCCACCACGCCCAGCTAATTTTTTGTGTTTTTAGTAGAGACAGGGTTTCACCGTGTTAGCCATGATGGTCTTGATCTCCTGACCTTGTGATCCACCCACCTTGGCCTCCCAAAGTGCTGGGATTACAGGTGTGAACCACTGCACCCAGCCAAACTTGACACTCTTGATGAGTGCTGACCCGTTGCTTTTTAAAACGTCCCTCGATTTGGACTTGTCTGATGGTTTCTCACGATCAAGCTGACTCATCATCTCAGGGCACTTGGCGTCAACATGACTTGTCACTGGCAGCGACAGGGTGGTCACTCGGCTAAGGCGGTGTCAGCCAGTATTGTTCCCTTTCCACATTCTGTTCTTAGAAGCAAGTCTCTTAGCCCGGCCCACATGCAAGGGGAGAGTAGTTAAGCCCCCTCCTACTAGAAGGAGAAGTGTCAGTGACTTTGTGGACACACATTAAAACTACCACAAAAAATTAATTAAATTTTGCGTAGATACTTGGAGGTTATGCACATACTCTGCTTTTCTTTGAAGTTGTGCCCACTAATTTTAGCGTTCACCAGTGGATCTTGCCTGCAGTAACTGTTTCTGTGGATTTCTAATGGTCATTTTTCTCTTCCCCTCATTCTTCTACATTTATTAATTTGAATTCTCCTGCAAGGAAGGTTTGTCTCTTCGCCTTCAATTATTTATTATTCAATCATTATTTGTAATTGTATGGATTTAATGTCATTGGATAACCAGTAGAATAAGTCCCTCATGTTTCTTCTCCTCTTTAAAAAATCTTGGGCCTTTTTATTACTTTTTTGTTTCTTCTTATAAACTTCAAAATACTTATTTTTCGTTTTCAGGACATTCAGTTGGTATGTACTTTGAAATTGTGTTAAATCTTCCAACTGAATCTGGAAAGAAATAGTATCTTTAGGATCCAGTAATTCTTCTATCTCAAATTGTGGCATGTTCTTTCCATTTTCCCAGTTACTCATTTAGGCCCCTTCTAAGTTATTCACTTAGGCTTCTCGGTGTTGAAGGCATACGAATATGTTAGACCCTGTTTATCCTGGCCAGGTGCAGTGGCTCACGTCTGTAATCCCAGCACTTTGGGAGGCCGAGGCAGGTGGATCACGAGGTCAGGAGATCGAGACCATCCTGGCTAACATGGTGAAACCCCGTCTCTACTAAAAAATACAAAAAATTAGCCAGGCGTGGTGGCGGGCACCTGTAGTCCCAGCTACTCGGGAGGCTGAGGCAGGAGAATGGCGTGAACCTGGGAGGCGGGGTTTGCAGTGAGCCAAAATCGCGCCACTGCACTCCAGCCTGGGCGACAGAGTGAGACTCCATCTCAAAAAAAAAAAAAAAAAAATGACCTCGTTTATCCTAAAATTGCCATACTGGGCTCGTGACTTCTCTCTACCCTTGCCTGAGTTTACTTGCTCCTCCAAATGCTAAATTTGGAACTAGGTGCTTTTGATTTGTATGTCTAAATTTGACTAAATTACTGTAAAGTGAATACTTAGTTCATGGGGTTTTTTAAAATTTATTCTATGCTTTTCTTTCTTTGTCTCCTGGGTGAAGTTTTGGGTCCTTGTCTCCATGAGATGGAAAAATATTCCTTTCCCAGAACTTTGTTACTGTTTAGATTACTATGCAGGTTCTGTGATAACCTTCAAGTATAGGTGATTTTATAAAACAGATGTTTTTGGTGAGATTGTAGCAGGGTTGTGGGTTTGGCTCTCAGTCTCCAACGTTTCTGTTGGGCAGGATTTGCATTTCATATCCTGGCATACTGTATTAGGAAGCTTCCAGCCTGTGTGTCTAATATTATGGGGGAACACAAAACTTCCATTTCCTAATTTTTAATCCCTTGTTCTCTCAATTCTTAGCCAGCTGGCACTGGAGTAATGGCATGTAAGGATCTTAGTTCCCATTATTCATTGGTGAGCATTTCTACCCTGACTGATGTGTGCTCAGCTACACTAATCGCCATCTTTTACTTACTTACTTACTTACTTATTTATTTATTTATTTATTTATTTATTGAGACAGAGTCTCACTCTGTCACCCAGGCTGGAGTGCAATGGCACAATCTTGGCTCACTGCAACTTCTGCCTCCTGGGTTTAAGAGATTCTCCTGCCTCAGCCTTCCAAGTAGCTTGGATTACAGGTGCCCACCACCACACCCGGCTAATTTTTTGTATTTTTACTAGAGACGGGTTAACCAGGATGGTCTTGATCTCCTGACCTCATGATCCGCCCGCCTCAGCTTCCCAAAGTGCTGGGATTACAGGTGTGAGCTGCCTCGCTCGGCTGCCGTCTTTTATTTTTTTAAAGTCAAGTACTGTTTTCTCTGCCATCACATACCAAATGATTCAGAGTTTTTCGTCTGGATCACTCCTAAATATACACACACCCAATCCCTGAATCAGAAGACCAAAGTCCTTCATACCTTTTGAGATAGCTTATTGACCTGTAGAAACTGTGGTGCATTGGAAGCCCGGGTATACCAGCAGCCTGGCCCAGTTTTTGTCTTGGCCTAGTGGACTTGTCCTTGTTACAGTTCTTGGTTCTAGTTGAACACCCTTTAACTTTCTTTTTTACACGTTTTTACACCCTTTGTCCTTCCCACCCTAACAGAAATGTCCTGAACTCAGACATTTGCACAACAAATTGAAATTTTTGGCAAATTCCTTTCATTTTCCTAGTATATTCCAAAGCACAGTTAAACTAGCCAGACTAACCTGATGGTTTTTGAGCAAGGGAAGACATAGATGCGGATGATTAAATAAGACACATCACTATTTCATTTATGAGACATTATTGTGTAATTAGCTATTTCATATAACTGGGTTTTTAAAATAGCTGAATGTAATATTTCATCAATATAACCTTTCCCCCATTCTTTGTGGTTGGGTTAATGAAAACTTTTCTAATATGTCTTCACTTCTCTTTGGAGCATAGTGCATATAATTTATTCTCTTTCCAATGTCATTGCAAGGTTATAATTAAAAGCATGAATTCCCTGTTTCATGACCCTAGAGTCTACTGAATGTTTAATCCTTTTTTAAAAAATTCACTAACTGACCTCAGCTGTGCATTCTGAGTTCTTACGGCTACATTTATATAATTTACTTATGACCATTGTAGATTGTCATTGTGCTCTCTCTCTATCGTCCTCTCTCCTTAGCCCTAAGGGTTGAGCAACCAGATCATCAGGTTTGACGAAAACAGGAAGGAGGGCCTGGGAGGGATGGATTGATGATGAGTCCTTCTCATTGATAAGGACCCTGAGCAAGGCCTGGTGAGTTCTAGATGCTGTGGCTGCTCCCAGCTTGCATCTCTGTCTCTCTGGTTCCTTCTCCTCTTGCTTCCTTGGCCTCCTTTGGCCCTTGGAACACGCCCAGCCTGTCCCATTGCAGGGCCTTTGCACTTGGAGCTCTCTTCTGGGTTTTCTCACCTCCGTCTTCATGTGGTTCTCCCTGTTTTGTGATTCGATTCTCAAACTCCAACATTTGTGTCTCCCTGAAAACTCCAGTGAGAACTCTCTGCTGACCAGCTGGAGGATGAAACAGCTTGTTAGTTTTAGTTTAGACTTTCTGCTTTCATGGATTGAGTAGGGGTATTCCTTTTTCTTTTCTTCAGCAGAGCTGTTCTCTTTTACTTTTTAACTTTTTACTGTGAAACTGTACTTAATTATACATTCACAGAAGGTTGCAAAAACTATTCAGAGAAGTTCCATGTACCCTTCACCCAATGTTTATATTTTATACCACTGTAGTGCAATATCAAAACCAGGAGATTGACACTAGTACAATGTGTGTTTGTAGTTCTTTGTCATTTTACTACATGTGCAGATGTGTGTAACTACCACTACATCCACAATACAGTGCTGGGCTGGTCTCACGCCTGTAATCCCAGCACTTTGGGAGGCCGAGGCAGGAGGATCACTTGAGCCTGGAAGTTCAAGACCGGCCTGGGCAACATACCAAGACCTTATTTCTAAAAAAATAAAAATAAATAAATAAAAATTAGCCAGGCATGGTGGCACGCACCTGTAGTCCCAGCTACTCAGCAGGCTGAGGTGGGAGGATCACTTGAACCAGGGAGGTCAAGGCTGCAGTGAGCCATGATCATGCCGTTGCACTCCAACCTGGGGAGCAGAATGAGACCCTATATCAAAAAAAAAAAAAGTGCTACAGAGCTGTTCTGTCACCACAGACATCCATCCCCCTTGTGCTGCCCTGTAATTGTCATACCTTCCCTGGCAGCTTCCCAACCTGGCAGCCGCTAATCTGTTTTCCATCTGTACAGTTTTCTCATCTTGAGAATGTTATGTAAGTGGACCCTACATTAGGTGACCTTTTGGGATTGGCTTTTCCCCCCACTTAACCTAATACTCTTGAGACCCATCCAAGTTGCATGTATCAATGGCTTGTTTCTTTTTATTGTGATGCCGGATTCTGTGCAACAGAGGTAGCAGTTTAACTCTTCACCAATTGAGGAACATTTGTTGTTGTTTTTGTTTTTGTTTCATCCCAAGGTTTTGGTTGTTACAAATAAAGCTGCTATGAACATTTCTATTCAGGTTTTTGCGTAGATGTAAATTTTCATTTCTCTGAGATGAACGTTCAGGATTATAATCGGTGGGTCGAATGTAAGTATATGTTTGGCTTTTTAGAAACTACCAAAGTATTTTCCACTGTGGCTATACTATTTTTCATTCTCTCAGCAACATATGAGAGCTCCAGTTTCTCTGCATTACTGTTTTTTTACATTAGCCATTTTAATAGGTGTGGAAGGGTAGGTCATCATGGTTTTAATTTGCATTTCCCTAATGGCTAGTGATGCTCAACACTTTTTATGTGCTTATTTGCCGTTTACATATTCTCTTTGGTCAAATGCTTCTTGTTGTACTCTGCCCATTTTCTTTTCTTTTCTTTTCTTTCTTTCTTTCTTTCTTTTTTTTTTTTGGAAACAAAGTCTTACTCTATCACCTAGGCTGGAGTGCAGTGGTGTGATCTTGGCTCACTGCAACCTCCACCTCTGAAATTCAAGCAATTCTCCCACCTCAGCCTCCTGAGTAGCTGGAACTACAAGGGCATGCCACTGTGCCTGATTAATTTTTGTATTTTTAGTAGAGAAGGGGTTTCACCATGTGGACCAGGCTGGTCTCAAACTCCTGACCTCAAGTGACTCACCCACCTCAGCCTCCTAAAGTGCTGAGATTACAGGCTTGAGCCACTGCGCCTGTTACACTTTCCCCATTTTCTAATTGGATTTTTTTAATTGTTGACTTTTAAGAGTTCTTTATATATTCTAGATATGTATGCTTTATCAAATTTGTGTTTTGCAGATATTTTCTTCCAGTTTGCAACTGGTATTTTCCTCTTTTTTTTTTTTTTTTTTTTTGAGACAGAGTCTGGCCTGTTGCCCAGGCTGGAGTGCAGTGGTGGCTGGAATGCAGTGGCATGATCTCAGCTCACTGCAAGCTCCGCCTCCCATGTTCACGCCATTCTCCTGCCTCAGCCTCCTGAGTAGCTGGGACTACAGGCACCCGCCACCACGCCTGGTTAATTTTTTGTATTTTTAGTAGAGACGGGGTTTCACCATGTTAGCCAGGATGGTCTCGATCTCCTGACCTCGTGATCCACCTGCCTTGGCCTCCCAAAGTGCTGGGATTACAGGCATGAGCCACCCTGCCCAGCAATATTTTCCTCTTAATAGAGTCTTTCACAGAACAAAACATTTTAATGTTGATGAAGTCCAATTGACTGAATTTTTTAACTCATGAATTATGCTTTTGCTGTCATATCTAAGAACTCTGCAATTTCTCTGATATCTTCTCCTAAAAATTTTACAGTTTTACAAATATATTTATGATGTTTTATGGGTTTATTTTTGTATTCAGTTATATGAGGGTTTGGCTGAGGTCAGTTTTCTTTTTTCTTAAGAATCTCCAGTTGCTTTGGTACCATTGTTAAAAAGACTTCCCTTCCTTCACAGATTGGTTTTTGCCCTTTGTAAAAAATCTTTTGGCCCTACTGTTACGGGTCTCTTTCTGAGTTCTTTATTTTGCCCCATTGGCCTATTTGTCTTTTCCTTTGCCAATACCACACTGGATATAGCTGTATATCTGGTAGACTTATTCCTCCCACTTTTTGCTTCTTTTTCAAAATTGTTTTTGCTATTCTAATTCTTCTGCCTTTACATATTATTTTTAGAATATTTTCTCTATAGGAAAATCTTGCTGAGATTTTGAAGGAATCACATTAAACACGTAGGCCTGTTCGGACAAAACCAGTATCTTTACTTTGTTGTGTTTTCCAATCCATGAACTCTTTATCACTCTCCATTTGTGTAGAACTTTGATTTCTTTCTTTAGTATTTTTGTAGTTTTCAGCATACAAGTTCTGTACGTATTTGCTAGGTTCTCACCTATTTCTGTTGAGTGATTGTCAGTGGCGTTATATTTTAATTTTGGCTTTCACGTGTTCATTGCTATTATAGAGAAATACAATTGGGGGTGGAAGGATTGGTGAGATATTGGTCGAAGGACACAAAATTTTAGTTAGAAGGAATAAGTTCAGGAGATCTATTAAACGGCATGGTGACTATAGTTAACAACAGAGTGCATACTTGAAAGTTACTAAGAGAGTAGATTTTAAATGTTCTTACCACAAAAAGAAAAAAAATACATGAGGTAATGTATGGTTAATTAGTTTGATTTCACCATTTCACAAGGTACTCATATATCATGTTGGACACCATAAGTACATACAATTTTTATTCGTCCATTAAAAAGAAATTTGTGCTATATTTTATGCTACTAAAAAATACAGTTGTTTTTTGTATGTGTATCTTGTATTCTGAAACCCTTGCTGAACTTATTTATTACTTCAGTGAGTGTTGTTGTTACTGTTGCTTTGTAGATTCCTTGGTATTTCCTGTGTAGACCACGTCATCTGCAAATAGAGGCAGTTCACTTTTTCCTTTCTGACTTGAATGCCTTTGTATTGATGCTCAAATTGCCCCTTTCTTGGGTAGCGGGAGCCTCTTCAGGTTGATTCTTGAGTTCTTGTGACATGACGTAGTCTTTGCTTTCTTGCTATATGGTATAAGATGTTCTGGGTTCCTCTTGTACTTTTTCTGCCCTGACCTATAATTAACCATTTCTCTAAAATGTACTGGTTCTTTTTTGTGGCAAATGGTATTTTGAGACCATAGCAGTTCCCCCAGTGGAGACTGTAGACTGTAGACTTATAGAGCCTTGATAGTCTCTTATATATTAGTAAATTCCCCAGTAAGTGCTCAATAATTGTTTGTCAGAAGAGTAAGTGAATTAGTGAACAAATGTATGAAACACATCTAGTGCTAGTCTTTGCTTGGTGGCCAAACCAAAACAAGAAAAACATCATCCAGTGTATCCAAAAAAGAAATATTGTCAAGGCAATTCAGATC
Organism: Homo sapiens; assembly: GCF_000001405.40. Lineage (NCBI taxonomy): Eukaryota > Metazoa > Chordata > Mammalia > Primates > Hominidae > Homo > Homo sapiens. The sequence goes on from NC_000007.14 coordinate 3,805,816, forward strand.
ATTAGTGATCTGTCAAAGAATGACCAAATTAATGGAGAACCAAAACACTTCTCTTTAAACCCTTTTTCTCCTTCCAAGTCACCTCCTTGTAGCTGGCCTGGCTCCTTTGCCCCCTCTTCTTCCTTTACAGAGCTATTCTAGTTTTCGTGCTTCTCTCCTCAGTGTGAATTTTCAAGGTGTTCCTCCTCCTATAGATCTCTGTTGCTACCACAAACTGCATGATAATGCCCTGAGGTCAAAGACAAGGAAAGACTGCAAATGCTTGGCTTGTAGCCCTCCCACCATCTTCAAAGTCAGCAGCGTAAACTTTCTCCTCTGCCAGTGACTCTTCTGACTTCTCTCTCACTGCTGGGACTTTGTCTCACATGGACTCACCCAAATAATCCAAGACAATCTTCCCATCTTTAGATCCTTAACCTCACCATATCTGCAAAGTCCCTTTCCCATGTGAGGTAACGTATCTCTAGGATGTGGATGTCCACATTAGGATGTGGATGTCCACATTAGGATGTGGATGTCCACATTAGGATGTGGATGTCCACATTAGGATGTGGATGTCCACATTAGGACGTGGATGTCCTTGGGGGCCCTTATTCGGCCCACCACGAGAAGGCTCATGTGACCCAACAGACGGCTAAAGAGTTGGGCCCCAGAGCTCTGTGATGCTCACCCTTCCCTGCCTTCTCCACCCAGCAGAGACCGTTACCTTTATAGACCCTAGCGAAGAATTTTCTGTGGCCTTTGGTCCTTTGCAGAACTTCACACCTGTTCATTTGAATCATTTTGCACCAGTTACATACTGCTTGTGGCAAACCTAAAACGCCTGTGGAGAAATGTGACGAGGACTAAGAACAAATACATCACAACCTATGAAACCACGTTGCAGTTCTCTGAGGAGATGAATGGAGCAATTACGTTTTATGTTATTGTGTTGTGTTTGTCATGGAAATGAACTGCACAATCATTAACTGGCAGGTGGTGGAGACGGGAAAAGTAGCTGCTGCCCCTTTTTCTATTTTTATCCAGTTTTTTCCCGTTTTTATTTTTGTGTGGGGTTGTCTGGGAACTAAGAGTGATATTACCTAAATTTGCTTCCTGCCTGTATCTTACGTGTGTATTGTTGTGGTTAATAATGTTTTCAATTTACTCAGACTTTCTCAAAACGGCCCTTTTTGAGTTATCGATAGCTGTATTTCACCCAGGCAAATCTGAAGTTGTCATCTTATTTTCTCATTTTAGATATATCCTAATGTTAAATAAAAAGGAATTTATAAAGCCTTACCTGGGAAAGTCCAAAGTTCTTACCTTTTGAGAAAAAAAAATCTACCCCATCCCCAAAGGAAACTGCTTTCATTAGTCTTCATGGACGGAACCCAGGGCTCATAGCTCTGCCTCTTATTAGCGGGACTGACAGCTGCCTAGTGGAGAAGGTAACCTCCAGAACAGTCCCAAAGAAGGCCAAGAAGGCCTGCCTAGGAGGGTTCTATCAGGATAGGAAGGGGAAGTGCTTAACGCTGACACACATAACTCGGGTGGTGTGGGGGCTCCCTCTTGAGACCCAGCATGCTGTGGTATAGTCGCGCTCCCGGTAGATGGTAATGCCAGGGGCTGCCTCAAGCCCAAAGATTCAGAAAATCTACCCCTGCATTTCGTCACCAGTTTTGTGATCCCCTCTACCATAGGCCAGGCCTTTCTTAGCCAGTGGGGGTATCTGATTGGAGACCTATAGAAAGGGGGAGACAGAGACAGACAAAGACACACGAAGACAGGCACACAGAGAGAAACAGAGAGAGTGGGCCAAGGTGCAGAACTGTTAACCTCACAACAAAGGTTTGCACAGATTCCTCTCCCTGGCATGTTGTCTCACTGGGTCTGGGGCCAGGGAGATGACAGAGACAACCATTAAAGGACTTGATGAGAGAATACATTTGGGATGGGCACAGGCTGGGAGGCTGGGTTAGAGTCTTGATTGTTCATGTTCTTTGGCAAAATTATTTGACCTCTGGTAGCCTCTGCTTCCTTTCTGTAACATGGAGATAATAACAGCAGCTAAGCATTTCTGAGTTTTAAGTGTATGCCAACTGTATGTACCAATCACCTTTTAATATCTCGTTTAATTCTCCTGCCAACACTAAGGGATGGATACAATTATTATCCCCATCTGACCTGCGCATTGGTGCTGTCAGTCAAGCATCTGGCCCGTTGTCAAAGCGTCACCAGCTAGGAAGTGTCAGAGAAGGGACTCCCATGCAGTCATCTCTGGATCCAAACCTTGATGTTAACCCCTGGTTGCTGCAAGGGAATTTGAATCCCTGTGGGATGACCGTGAGGGCTAGGTGAGATGCATGCAGAGCACACAGCAGTTGCCAGGCCCGTGGAACGTGCCCTCCTCATCATGACGGCGAGGAGGGCAGAGCAGAAGCTTTGTAGAGAAGAAGAGTTGACGGGGAGCATGGTGCCCCTTCTGAGAAGTGACAAACAACTCCAGGTGGTGGTTGAGTGAGGAGCAGATGGAGGGTCGGTCCCTAGGGAGGTATGTCCAAAGCCAGCAGGTTCACTCCCTCTGAAATCCTACACAGAAAAATCTCAGAATGCTGAAAGGATGCCAGTGTCTGTCTCCCAACTGTGGCTAATGGTTCAGTGGGATTTGCTTACTGGCAACTTCTGAATAATTCCCAGCACAGGTGTAAATAATGCAAGGCCTCAATCCCAGCCCGACCTGCACCGTGAGGCAGAAGAGACATGTGTGTCACAGTTAACCAAGGGTGCAGTAAGCCCTCCTGAAAGCTCAGTTTAGGGGACCAGGATTTTAAAGAGCTCCCAGCCTTGTTGATAAATCAGTTTCCACCTGATGGCTGTTTGATACATCAGTTTCTACCTGATGGCTGTTTGACCATTTCCCTGTACTTGTTTTCCAGAACAGTGTCCATCGTCACAGAGAGTGATGGCACTGGCGGGCTGTCTGATAAAGCAAAGAACCCAACAGATGTTGTTTACACACAAATGCCATACCTATCGTAGTAGCGTTCAGAAAGAAAAAAAAATCATTAAAAATTGGATTTTCATATTGATTTATTTTCATCTTCATTGTTGATGGTGTTTGTGCGTGAGCATGATCTATCCCTGTAGTTAGGGGAGCCTGTGTTTTGAGTCGTGCACTGAGGATCCAGCATCACCAAGGGTTATTAGGCTGTTCTTGCATTGTTATAAGAGAATACCCAAGACGGGGTAATTTATAAAGAAAAAGGGTTGAATTGGCTCGTAGATCTGCAGGCTGTACAGGAAGCATGGTGGCATCTGCACCTGGGGAGGCCTCAGGAAGCTTCTAATCATGGCAGAAGGCAAAGGGGGAGGAGGCGCGCTACATGGCGAGAGCAGGAGCAAGAGGGAACGAGAGAAGGGGGAGGTGCCACACACTTTTAAACAGCCAGATCTCACAAGAAGTCACTATCGTGAGGACAGCACCAAGAGGATGGTGCTAAATATTCATGAGAAATCCACCCTCAAGACTCTGATCCAGTCACCTCCCACCAGGCCCCACCTCCCATACTAGGAATTACAGTTCAACATGAGATTTGGATGGAACACAGATCCAGACCGTATCCCTGAGATCAGCTGTGCTCGAGGTGCTGTGAGTCTGCCTTAGCCATCGCAGGTGCTCCCGTCTCTGCTGGGCACAGCTTTGTCACTCGGCAATCGAAAAGAGTCTTAACACGAGAGTGGAACCCTTTGGTCAAAATTATGCTCCTTCAAAGAGGAACAAATGTGGTGACAGACTGGAAAGGTGATGGAAAGCATTTCAAAAAGCAGTTCACTCTGCTCATAATTTTCTAGTATTCCTCTGCTATTATTTGCTTTTAAAGAAGAGCCCTCTGCTTCCTAGCGGCTGCTGCGTATGCTTGGTCCAGCCACGAAGACATAATCCTCTGCGGGCAGCATCACGTGGAGCGAGGGTCAAGTCCTCTGCCTGGTGCGCCTTTATCTGCACAAGGGAAGAAGGAATCCTGAGTGCCTCGTTCCGCAGAAAGTGAGACACAGAAAGCATTTGACTTGTCAGGAATCGAGAATTACCAGCCCCAGGCTTCCCCAACTCAGCTCACGAAGTAAGAATGGCTGGGCCAACGCTTCTCTGCAGAGGCTGCAGGTGCGGACACCGACAGCCATGCACAGTCCTCCCAGGAATATTCTTGTATCTGCTGTGTCTTGCTTAGCCATGGCCATATTTATTTAATTTTTGATGGAATTATTTATTGTGTTTTATTCTCTTGCTATATAAACTGAGCTGATTTCAGAATTGACTGCTGTTTGCAGAGTATCCTGGGGAGAGGAGGATTCTTCATGAGGAGCCCCCCCATATCTGGAGCAGTTTTAGTTGGTCCTCATCTACTTTTTAGACGCCTTTCTGTCCTCACTTTTCATGGTTTCCAATTTGACTGGATTTTACACTCTTGGGAAGTTCCACTGTTTAAGGATCTAAAGACTGAAAACATGTATTCCGCACATTTTGTTTAAATCATGTTTCTTTTTTTTTTCCTGGAATTTTTATTTTAGCAGAAAAAGTCTTGGCTGGAAATGTTTCTGCCTAAACCTGGGCTCTGTAAAAACTCCTCCTTCATGCCGTTCCTCTGCATATGACCACACCAGGAATTTGGCATAGCCATTTATTTGTACCTAGTGCTGAAACAATTAGTTAAAATAACAAAAGGCCCCTGGATAAGTACAAATTGACTGAAGTGCTTTTGAAGATTAGCAAGGAAATTTAAGAAACATTGCTATAAATAAAAAATATATTTATTCTGGGCAAAAATCCCTGATGAAATAAATCCTTCACTAGTTACATCAACAGTTACCCTATAATCTCTTCATTTCTTTTCTGTCCCTCCTACTAGACAGCATCTTTCCTAAAGGAAAAGAATCAATTCTATTTATGACACATAAACACATGTGGAGAAAAGGCCAGGGATTTTCCAGCACTAAAGTCTTGTAAAGTGGATTTTAACGTTCGTGGCATCTGGGTGGAAGTATCCGAAGACAAGTTGTTTCTAGGCCTCTTTGCTAAATTATTACATGTACGCTCTTGAGCAGATGGGCTTTGTTTTAGGTAATAGAGGCTTCTGGTCATTTTATGACTCTAATGTGATAATTCAGTGACCGAGCTGTGTTTTTACAGAAGCCTATTAACTAAAACTCTAGGAAGTATTTGATATTTAGCCCCTAGAAGAGGACAGTAGATGACATTTACTGTTTTCTTACTTGCCAGTCACATTCTACACCTGATGAACCAGATTCAGACTTAGCGTACATGGAATTTGTAGCTTCTGAGCCAGCCTCATTCACCTCACTACCGATTTGCACTTCATCAGTGTCCTTTTGATGTCAGAATTGTTATCCCCATTTTACAGATGAGAAAGCCAAGTGATGAGCCTGTGGGAGTAAAATCGGGGCCAGATCCAGTTCCACTTCTCTTGCCCCACCCAGGTCACAGTTGCCTGATCGCGTTAAGGGCCTCTCTATATTAAGACAGAATATCATGGTGTCATTGATGGTGTTACTTCCTGTCAACTGTGATCATCTTGTTCTGGTAGAAAAGTGAGGTGTCTTCTCTGCAGACCACATTAGATTTTAACTTTAAGTCAGGTTCGACACTACTTCTGGTTCCAGGAAACTCAGGGAGCTTGGTTGGGAGAAGATGCAAGAGCTCTGAGCTCACATCTTCTTTGGGCTTTAATTCAGAGACCGACAATATGCACCCAGGCAGATGTCCCTCTGTGCCTCTTTTCTGACCACCCACCAAAGCCCCTCTCTGCTGCTGCTGTTGGCCATGGTGCTGGGAGTAGTCAGGGAGCCCCAGGCCAGCCCCGCAGTTCAGGAGGGAGTTGGATGTGCTGCCTGGCCGTGCAGAAGCCCCCGGCCAGAGCTCCGGTGGAAGGCACGTGGGTAGATGGTCAGCAGGGATGGCATTTCCTCCCACGCCACCTGCAGAAGCAGCCATTCTGTTCCTGAGTTATTAATACCTTGTAGGCTAGAGAACTGGGTCTGTCTTGCTAATGTGATATCCCATCAGATTTTTACACTTTCAAAAGCTATCACTAGGGAAACAGATGTGGTTGGACCTGCGTGCTTTGTGGTGACTTTGCTGCCTGTGTGGCGTATCTACTTTTCCTCTAAAACTCTGTAAAATGAACAGACTGGCTTCACACACTTCATACTGCCATCATTTATCTTTTTATGCCTTTGCAGCTCTTGCCAGTAAGATATCCCCTTGTGTTCAACAACCATATTTTCCAGTATGTCTTCCCTGGACAGTGTTAACACACACAGTAGGCACTGCAAAGATATTTAGAAAATGGTTAAATTACTCCTGTATTTGCTTGGGTTCCAGGTGCCTGAATGTGCAAGCTCAGAAAGGAATAGTCAGAGTAAAAATGCAAATACAAATACTTAGAGATTCCCTTCTTTTTCTTCATTAATTTAACACACATTTATCGACTACACACTGTTTGGCTCTGTGATTAAATACTGGAGGATCCTTGTGTGCAGGGAAAACAAAGGTGTATCTGAACGTATTTCAAATCCAAAGGATTTTAAAGGAGTTACCATTTTAGAAATTCCACCCTGCAACTTACCACCGCTTGGGTCTATATTTAAGAGTTGAGAGACAGTCAATATAGAAGAGTTGGATAGAAGGTGAATTCACATAAATTCAATGGAATTTTTCCATATACTTGCCATTATGAGATTAACAATGACTCTCCTAGAAAAGGATGCCCGCGTAGACTAACTTGAAATGTTTTTCAAGGCATGGGCCATTATGGTAACTAAACTGGTGGAGGCTTGACTGGTCTTTTCCTGCCTCTAGTTTCTTCCCTCTCTGGTCATCTTTTGGTCTTTCTCCTACTGCAGAAGTATAACTTACCCTTTCCTGAAGAATCACAGTTCTGAAGTTTAATGGCTTTCTCCTCTGAGCAAGCCTGCCTGCCTGAATGCAGTTGTGCTGAGCTGCAATCCCATTTGCCCAGGACTTCTTGGTCTGTGCTAGGGATTCATGCATTCCATTAATGAACACAACTCAGCTAGTGGTTTCTGTTGGTTTGAAATCACGAGAAACAGGTTTCCCAAATTCTTTCTTCTTTTGCTTTTAAGATGTTTTTCTTACACCCAGAGCAAATGGTCAGCAGCAAGTGTTTGCTCTTGATGGAATAAACATATCACTCTGGCGACTTAACATGTACTGAGCATTCAGGGACTCATTAGTGCCAAAACTACTTGAAAGCAATTTTATTTTTATTTATTTATTTATTTATTTTTATTATACTTTAAGTTTTAGGGTACATGTGCACATTGTGCAGGTTAGTTACATATGTATACATGTGCCATGCTGGTGCGCTGCACCCACTAACTCGTCATCTAGCATTAGGTATATCTCCCAATGCTATCCCTCCCCCCTCCCCCCACCCCACCACAGTCCCCAGAGTGTGATATTCCCCTTCCTGTGTCCATGTGTTCTCATTGTTCATTTCCCACCTATGAGTGAGAATAGGCGGTGTTTGGTTTTTTGTTCTTGCGATAGTTTACTGAGAATGATGATTTCCAATTTCATCCATGTCCCTACAAAGGACATGAACTCATCATTTTTTATGGCTGCATAGTATTCCATGGTGTATATGTGCCACATTTTCTTAATCCAGTCTATCATTGTTGGACATTTGGGTTGGTTCCAAGTCTTTGCTATTGTGAATAATGCCGCAGTAAACATACATGTGCATGTGTCTTTACAGCAGCATGCTTTATAGTCATTTGGGTATATACCCAGTAATGGGATGGCTGGGTCAAATGGTATTTCTAGTTCTAGATCCCCGAGGAATCGCCACACTGACTTCCACAATGGTTGAACTAGTTTACAGTCCCACCAACAGTGTAAAAGTGTTCCTATTTCTCCACATCCTCTCCAGCACCTGTTGTTTCCTGACTTTTTAATGATTGCCATTCTAACTGGTGTGAGATGATATCTCATAGTGGTTTTGATTTGCATTTCTCTGATGGCCAGTGATGATGAGCATTTTTTCATGTGTTTTTTGGCTGCATAAATGTCTTCTTTTGAGAAGTGTCTGTTCATGTCCTTCTCCCACTTTTTGATGGGGTTGTTTGTTTTTTTCTTGTAAATTTGTTTGAGTTCATTGTAGATTCTGGATATTAGCCCTTTGTCAGATGAGTAGGTTGCGAAAATTTTCTCCCATGTTGTAGGTTGCCTGTTCACTCTGATGGTAGTTTCTTTTGCTGTGCAGAAGCTCTTTAGTTTAATTAGATCCCATTTGTCAATTTTGGCTTTTGTTGCCATTGCTTTTGCTGTTTTGGACATAAAGTCCTTGCCCATGCCTATGTCCTGAATGGTAATGCCTAGGTTATCTTCTAGGGTTTTTATGGTTTTAGGTCTAATGTTTAAATCTTTAATCCATCTTGAATTGATTTTTGTATAAGGTGTAAGGAAGGGATCCAGTTTCAGCTTTCTACATATGGCTAGCCAGTTTTCCCAGCACCATTTATTAAATAGGGAATCCTTTCCCCATTGCTTGTTTTTCTCAGGTTTGTCAAAGATCAGATAGTTGTAGGTATGCGGCGTTATTTCTGAGGGCTCTGTTCTGTTCCGTTGATCTGTATCTCTGTTTTGGTACCGGTACCATGCTGTTTTGGTTACTGTAGCCTTGTAGTATAGTTTGAAGTCAGGTAGTGTGATGCCTCCAGCTTTGTTCTTTTGGCTTAGGATTGACTTGGTGATGCGGGCTCTTTTTTGGTTCCACATGAACTTTAAAGTAGTTTTTTCCAATTCTGTGAAGAAAGTCATTGGTAGCTTGATTGGGATGGCATTGAATCTGTAAATTACCTTGGGCAGTATGGCCATTTTCACGATATTGATTCTTCCTACCCATGAGCATGGAATGTTCTTCCATTTGTTTGTATCCTCTTTTATTTCCTTGAGCAGTGGTTTGTAGTTCTCCTTGAAGAGGTCCTTCACATCCCTTGTAAGGTGGATTCCTAGGTATTTTATTCTCTTTGAAGCAATTGTGAATGGGAGTTCACTCATGATTTGGCTCTCTGTTTGTATGTTGTTGGTGTGTAAGAATGCTTGTGATTTTTGTACATCGATTTTGTATCCTGAGACTTTGCTGAAGTTGCTTATCAGCTTAAGGAGATTTTGGGCTGAGACAATGGGGTTTTCTAGATATACAATCATGTCGTCTGCAAACAGGGACAATTTGACTTCCTCTTTTCCTAATTGAATACCCTTTATTTCCTTCTCCTGCCTAATTGCCCTGGCCAGAACTTCCAACACTATGTTGAATAGGAGTGGTGAGAGAGGGCATCCCTGTCTTGTGCCAGTTTTCAAAGGGAATGCTTCCAGTTTTTGCCCATTCAGTATGATATTGGCTGTGGGTTTGTCATAGATAGCTCTTATTATTTTGAAATACGTCCCATCAATACCTAATTTATTGAGAGTTTTTAGCATGAAGGGTTGTTGAATTTTGTCAAAGGCTTTTTCTGCATCTATTGAGATAATCATGTGGTTTTTGTCTTTGGCTCTGTTTCTATGCTGGATTACATTTATTGATTTGCGTATATTGAACCAGCCTTGCATCCCAGGGATGAAGCCCACTTGATCATGGTGGATAGGCTTTTTGATGTGCTGCTGGATTCAGTTTGCCAGTATTTTATTGAGGATTTTTGCATCAATGTTCATCAAGGATATTGGTCTAAAATTCTCTTTTTTGGTTGTGTCTCTGCCCGGCTTTGGTATCAGAATGATGCTGGCCTCATAAAATGAGTTAGGGAGGATTCCCTCTTTTTCTATTGATTGGAATAGTTTCAGAAGGAATGGTACCAGTTCCTCCAAGGATACCCAGGAATTGAACTCAGCTGTGCACCAAGCGGACCTAATAGACATCTACAGAACTCTCCACCCCAAATCAACAGAATATACATTTTTTTCAGCACCACACCACACCTATTCCAAAATTGACCACATAGTTGGAAGTAAAGCTCTCCTCAGCAAATGTAAAACAACAGAAATTATAACAAACTATCTCTCAGACCACAGTGCAATCAAACTAGAACTCAAGATTAAGAATCTCACTCAAAGCCGCTCAACTACATGGAAACTGAACAACCTGCTCCTGAATGACTACTGGGTACATAACGAAATGAAGGCAGAAATAAAGATGTTCTTTGAAACCAACGAGAACAAAGACACAACATACCAGAATCTCTGGGATGCATTCAAAGCAGTGTGTAGAGGGAAATTTATAGCACTAAATGCCCACAAGAGAAAGCAGGAAAGATCCAAAATTGACACCCTAACATCACAATTAAAAGAACTAGAAAAGCAAGAGCAAACACATTCAAAAGCTAGCAGAGGGCAAGAACTAACTAAAATCAGAGCAGAACTGAAGGAAAGAGAGACACAAAAAACCCTTCAAAAACTCAATGAATCCAGGAGCTGGTTTTTTGAAAGGATCAACAAAATTGATAGACCGCTAGCAAGACTAATAAAGAAAAAAAGAGAGAAGAATCAAATAGACACAATAAAAAATGATAAAGGGGATATCACCACCGATCCCACAGAAATACAAACTACCATCAGAGAATACTACAAACACCTCTACGCAAATAAACTAGAAAATCTATAAGAAATGGATACATTCCTTGACACATACACTCTCCCAAGACTAAACCAGGAAGAAGTTGAATCTCTGAATAGACCAATAACAGGAGCTGAAATTGTGGCAATAATCAATAGTTTACCAACCAAAAAGAGTCCAGGACCAGATGGATTCACAGCCGAATTCTACCAGAGGTACAAGGAGGAATTGAAAGCAATTTTAGTTCTTGTCGTTGTACAGCTAAGGAAAGTTCATCAGTTTCTAAGTTGTCTGCCTTGAACTTGCTTAAATTGTGAGGCATGAGATCCAGATTATACTCAGAACACTAAGCCTTGGAATCAACCCTTTTAAAAGTTGCTTAATTAAAATGGAGAATATTTTGAAGTGGTTTTTTTTTTTAAGATTTTACAAACTAATATTCTGCATCTTCCTGCACGCTGACCTTCTGTTAATGTACTTGAAGGTCAATTGAAACTAGTCAAATGTTACTTTAAAGTTCGTAGTGGTAAAACTATAGACTCAAATTATGCTTCTATGTTTAATGGGCAAAGTTATTATTTTACTAAACATTTTACTGAATTTTCATCATAATGTATAAATTGATGTGGATATTACCACCCTAGTTTGTGGTAAGTGTTAAAGAGCAAAATACTTATTGATAACCAAAGACAATTTATATTTTCATGGAAGCCAACGGATGGGTTACAGTGCAAGTTTTGGGAGCTCATCATGAAAATGTTCACATCATGAAAATATTTCTGGACACCTCCTGGAACTCTTCCCCTTGGGTCCATAGATACTCTTAAGGGAAAGTTGTTAAAGTGCCCCCTGTTACTTCTTACAGCTTGTAAGTACACCCAATCGAAGCTCTATGGGACATGAACAGTGTGTCCTGGTTCAGGTTAGTGTCTCCTCCACTCTGAGCAGGGAGTGGGATTTCCAATAGTTGCTGATTAAATAGTGAAACAGTTACTTGATTCTGCTCCAGTGGTGATCAGGGTGAATGTATACTCTTACTCTTCCTTCCTGGTCTTCAGGCACCTATGCAGTGCCCAGTGGGCTGTTTTCACCAACCATAAATCCTGTGCTTCCAGGATTCCGACGTCAGTATCACATCCCTGAAGGCAGCTGATCTGGTGTGGTCTGGGGAAGGCCACAACCCCTGGCCATGCAAACATAGCAGGGAGCTTCCCAGTCGATGCCTAGCAAGGTGGCCCTCCCTCCCCCATGCCCAAGGGGTGGGTCTAGCCATCATCTCAATGCAGGTGGTCAGAGACCCAGCTAGCTACTCTCTTCCTCGGATTTCATCTTTTCTGAAATAGAGAACTATGATTTTGCCTAGCACCTCAGGAGAGTGTTGGAGAATCAAGTGAAGAATGGCCAGAAGCACTTAGCGAGTGCTCACTGGAAATGGTCTTCCTTTACTGAACTGCACAGATACTTTGCTCATCAGTCTCAGCAATGAAAAGCAACAGATTGATTTCTCTCTTGTGAAAACCCTTCCTGTGCTTATAATTCGTACCTCAGGACCGGTTAGCTTGTTCTTTATGATGTAGCAGTGTCTTCTCCCGAGCGGCAGCTCATCTCATCCATATTGTACTCAGTTATTTTTGTTCCTCTTCTCTTTACTACTATCCCATGGAATTGGGAGTTAAAATGATGAGGTTTCATTTTTAAATGTACAAAGATGGGGGAAGACTAAGGAAGTAATTTTATTTAAAGCCACACATACATTTGTTTCAATAAAGTTAAAGGAAAATCTCTCAGGCCAAATATTGTAATTTTTCTATGAAGTCAGTGTAAGTTTTAAATGTGTCATCTGGAGCTATGTTATAATAAGGCCAGGTAATTCATATTATGGGCAAAGTATTCAACTTTGCTACCATAATTACTCAGCATGCCCCTGTGTTCTTTTCATTACCTTCTGATAGCAAAAGTGATATTTATTGTGGAAAAACTGGAAAATATTTTAAAAGGTAGAATCAAAAGGAAATGGCCTGTAATTGTACCACTCAGACTAACCACTGTTAACCTTTTATGTGTACACACATATGTAGAAACAGATACATAGGACTTATTTGCAGTGCATAGAACCCTTAAATCCAAAAAAGATGTCATCGCATGTGCTGTTGTGAATCTGTATTGGAGTGTTTTGATTTCTAGTGACAGCAGCCCTAACTTATCACGGTTCAACAGGAAGTATCTGAGCTCATGAACCAGGAAGTCCCCAGACAGGACAGGCTGCTGGATGGTTGGTTCATTGGCTCTATGAGATAATGAAGGACCCAAGTGCTTTCCGTTCTCTCTATTCTGCTGCCACAATTATCAGCTTCATGTGAAGGTCATTTCTATCATGGCCATAAAATCACCACCATGAACACGTTGGACAAAATGATCAAGACCCACACCTGATGCTGGGAATGGGGCCAGCTCTCTTGTGTTGCATGGCTGGATTGCAGGGGGAAGGCATGGTTGCCACGACAAAATCAGGGCCGCTAAGAAAGAAGACAGGATGGGCACACGATACTTGCTTTAGTGTCTTTAAATATGGTTTTCTTCTTAAGGTTTACAGCAGTTACCAGAATTTAAAATTAAGATGAATGGTTTTGGATGTTTTATTTTCATTTAAAAAGTCAGTCTCTTGTAGAAATGCTCTGTTCAGAAAGATTTGGATAGGAACAAAGACTTGGTTTCTGGGAAATTAATCTTCATGATCTCCAAAGATGTAGCATTTTCATGGTGTCTTTTTGGCAGCAGCAGTTTTTTTTTTTTCATGAATTTTGGCTTAAACCTTTATAGAAATTAAAAACTAAAAGAAAAAGATAAGCTTAAAGATAAAAGTTATAATAGATGGAAACTTTAATATTTTTATCTTTATGTACCTTTTTATTTTCAATACTCTTGAAATAATGCCGTAAATAATATCGAGAATTCATGGATATTTTATAAGGATACTTCTGAGAAACAATAGGCATATTTGAAATTACTATGGTAAAAATCAGATGTCAAAGAAAAAGTTATATATTCAGTTTTTAAATTGTACTATTAAATGTGTAACTTCATGTGTAGTAAATATTCATATTTAATTTTAGCTGCCAGTGTAACATATACTAAAATAAAATGGAACAATTTCTATGGTTCTATAAAAGAATCTATAAAGGAGTCATAAATAATTATAATAAAACTCTATTGAAATATTTTTATGAGACTAAAAATTGAAAACTTCCTAATAGGGAAATTTTCATAAATGAGACATGAAGTAAGTCATAGAGACCTCAAACAGTAATATATCCTATGGGAACCCTGAATAAGCAATAACTTCTTAAGATAATTTTATATAATGTGTAAAAATCAAGAGTTTTTGAAAAAGCTCTGCAAAAGGTAGCAGGAAGAAAAAGGATTATTATAATGCTAAAATTCCTCATGAGAGATTACTCATTTTGCATGCTTTTGATGTTACCAGAATACAGATTTTAGATAATCTGAATCTGAAAGTGCTGTAACTATTCCCTATAGAGTACCACAATTGTGGTGGGTAACACAACTCACTCTAGAGACCTAAGATGTTTCTCTTGTTTTTGAAATAAGAGCTTAGACTAAATGATATTTTGGTGCTCAGAATGCATCTTACCTTCTATGCCAAATTCACCAGCCAATGAATAGTTTACTCACATTCATATTTTTTTTCTTTCTTTTTTGAGACAGAGTCTTGCTCTGTCACCAGGCTGGGGTGTGGCGGCGTGATCTCAGCTCACTTCAGCCTCCGCCTCCCAGGTTCAAGCGATTGTTCTGCCTCGGCCTCTGTAGTAGCTGGGACTACAGGCGTGTGCCACCACGCCGAACTAATTTTTGTATTTTCAGTAGAGATGAGGTTTCACCATGTTGGCCAGGATGGTCTCGATCTCTTGACGTCACAATCTGTCCACCTCGCCCTCCCAAAGTGCTGGGATCACAGATGTGAGCCACTGCGCTCAGCCCATACTTTTTTAAACAAATTTTACCACCCTCATCCACCTCTTTAACTGGCAAAAAGAATACGGAATTATAAGTGAAGGATCCCATAAAACACCCATTTCAAATAAAAGTTCCTTGGATGAATGGAAGTTGTGTCTTTCTTGTTTTTATTCTTTTTTAAAAATTAAGTAGTATAATGAGAGTCTTTCTATGGTATGATTGGATGAGTATTAATCTGCCTGTGAAAACACCTTCTCCCTTCTCTGCTGTTAAGTTGCTGTGTTACCTAAGACAAGCAACTTAACTTCTGTGAGCCTCAGTGGCGCAGAGAAAGGGCAGGTGCATTAAACGAGTCTCAGAGATGCCTTTCCCAGTAGAATCAGGATGAATGAGAAGGTCTTGGTCACGATCAAGAAGACTGTTTACTCATCCTTTGCACTTCTAAGACATGGTGAGATAGTACAGGTGAAAAAGACGTGGCCTGGAGTTAATAATGATGGTAGAAGTTAAGTTGAAGGGGGGCAGCACTGTGCCCATTGGCGACTTTCCTTCTACGCACCAGTGTAGATATCCATACACAAAGCCTCTGATGAGGCTCCCTCGAGGTGGAGAAAACCACAACTAATTCACTTGCGCTGGGTCAGGGTTGTGGTGGTCCAGCCTTCTAATTGAAGGGATTCCTTCTAACTGGTCTTGTTATGCATTCTCAGAGGAGGAACCTCTGAGTTTTAATGAACTCTGGATGTCTATGTTCCAGAACATTGTCTTCTTCACAGTCAGGTGCTGGCGCAGATGTGGAGCACCCGGTAGGCTCAGACACTGGGGCTGCAGTGTGCCAGCTGGATCAGAAGAGGCTCTCTCTGGCGTTGTCGTATTCTTAAAGTCGGCCTGTGTATTGTTTTTGTCCTTCCAGCTCTTCTTTTAAACTCTAGGCATTCCTTTATAGTTGGCCTAATTAATTTTGTCTTACAAGTAGGAAGTTCCCTGGAGTAGCTTTGACACTGTCCTCTTCTTTTCTGAAACAGAGCCATCACATTGGAGAATCAGCTGGTGATCCTCGCCACCACAACCAGTGATGCCGGGGCATACTACGTGCAGGCCGTGAATGAGAAAAATGGAGAAAACAAGACAAGCCCATTCATTCATTTGAGCATAGCAAGTGAGTTTTGAAATCCCAAATGGTAATTCTGCAAGCAATAAAATCTTGCTTTAATCAGTAACCACTGTCTGACAGGACATTTTGCAATAAATTTTCTCTCTCTAGTGTAGTAGTTACGGTTTAATATTGATCCAGTGCCAATAGTTCGGAGAGCTTTAGGGCTCTTGCTTTCTTCAAAATGATATGCGGAAAAATGTGAATCTCAGTGGTACTTCTGAATGCCAGATCTTTTTTGGGAATTAAAAAAAAAAGTATTTGCTTTTTATACACAGTCAATGCATGTTGTTCCTAACAACAAAGAACTTTCAATTTAAATGAATTGTATCCATGAACCTAAATCAGGACTAGATTAGATATACATTATATTCTTTTAATCTAACAGGAAAATCTTTGAGAAATTCTACCTATTAAGTTGTACGAAAATTAGCAGTATTTAAGCATAATCAGTTGATCATTTTTTCCACCTAATTTAACTGAAAGCCTGATTCTTGAAGACAATGCACACAAATCATGGGTATTTGTCGATTTTATTTGAGGGGACTTTAGTTTGAGTAAACTTAGTTTTACATGTTTGGACTTTAAATTCTACTAGCAAGAGTTAATTGCTAAAGAAGGGAAAATCACCCAAAGCAGGAACTCTGAACTAATCTAGATTCAGACATCCATATCAGAAGGCTTGTCATCAGATGTTTGCAGCATGAAGCTTCATGGTATGAAATGAAATTGTCATGCGGTTGAGAAAATAGGGTTGAAACTAGTCATGGCGGATGGTAAATTTCAAAATATTATTATCATATCATATGAGTGAATTATATTGATTTGTTTGTATAGTAGTGGATTTTATCTTTTTAAAAATTGTCTTGAAGGAATCGTTTCCCCTGCAAGTGATTTGAAAAGTATGTGGGGCTAGGCATGGTAGCTCACACCTGTGATCCCAGCAATTTGGGAGGCCAAGGCAGGCATATTACTTGAGGTCAAGAGTTCGAGACCAGCCTGGTCAACATGGTGAAACCCTGTCTCTACAAAAAATGCAAAATTAGCAGGCATGGTGGTATGCACCTGTAATTCCAGCTACAGGGGAGGCTGAGGCAGGAGAGTCACTTGAAACTAGGAGGTGGAGGTTGCAGTGAGCTGAGATCATGCCATTACACTCCAGCCTGGGCAGAAAGAATGAAATTCCATCTCAAAAAGAAAAAAAAAAAAAAGAAAAGTATGTGGGATGGAGTGATAGTATTTGCCTGACATGGCCCTCGAGGGGTACAATTGCCTTAGGCCCAGTAGAATTGCCTGGGTGAATCTTTGTAGCAAACTCTGGGTGCAGGCGTCTGTGGGAGTTAACTGAGTGGGGTCTCAGATGCCTGCCTAATTGGTCCCAAGTGGCCGTGATGTGCTGTCATCCTGCCTTGAGCTCCTTAATTTGAGGAATTGAATCTCGCTCTGCAGAACGTAGACTTGGCACAGATTTAGGATGAGTGGGGTCTTTGTGATGCCATGGAGAATGATGCACGTGGATTAGGGGTGGGGTTCACAAAACCCAGTGCATGCTGTACTGTGACGTAAAGGAGTGTCTGCATTGAGAATTACAGTAGAAATGAGGATGATTTATTAAGATTTTTTCCAAGGGTTATGATAAAGAATGGAAATTGTATTATCAAATAGATTGTTATTATTTTAATGATTCCAAACTTTACAGGTAGAGCCATTTATCTTGTTTAGCAAATATGAATCTGTACTCAATTGTAATATAACTACCAGGATAATAATGAGTCAAAGGGGGTGAAATTCTGCATCAGAAACAAGGAAGTTGGCCTTCCTCTGTTAGAAGAATTATTCCACTGAAACTGTTTAACATCACAAAGTTATAAAACAGTCCGTACCTAGTACTTGCCTACCTCCCTACTCTGTAAGGGCCAGCAGAAAATAAAGCGAGTACAGTGAATTTGCAAACCGCTGTACTAGCGTAATACCATGGTGTTAGATAATTGGAATATGTAAATTTTTTTCAGTAATTTCAGTTTCTACCCTGACCGAAAAGTATATTGAAAGCTACTCATAAATATTATAATTAACTGGGTTGCATTTTGTTCCTTTGTATGTATTTTTTAACTTTTCATTGGCACCAGGTAAAAATGTGTAAAAAGTGAGATACAAGGCAGTTGATGATATGGACTTATTTTAAATCTTAGGACAAAACCTACATTTTGTTCCTTTATGAATTCTTTGCTTTTTATGAGTGCCAGATAAAATGGGAGAAGTAAGGAGATTGAGGAAACTGCCTTATTTTAATTCTTAGGAGAACCTTCCTGGTGACATACGGGATTTACGTAAATGTTAAATGGCAACCAATTATGCTTTTTTGTTTTTTTGTGTTTTTTTTTTTTGTTTTTTTTTCTGCTAAAAGTTTTATTTTGAAAACCTCTAAAAGTCAGAAGTCTTGATTAATCTGCAGAATCCCCCAGAATTGTTTTAATTGTGCTTCTTTCTGGCATCCAGTGAGGGCTCTAAGCAATGAACACTGCAGTTCAGGACCTGGCCACCCTGCTCCTGGTGAGGGTGTGATGTATTGAAGGATGCGTCTCTTCACCAGATTTATTATGAAATTAGATATTCTCAAGACCTATTGATACTGGGAGTAAGATAGAGTGTGTTCTGCAGACTTAGATATCTTTTTCTTCTGATGTAGGCTTTTGTGGAAACACCACACAAGATTGAGGAAAATTTGTAAAAACTTTCTGGCCAGCGTTTCTGAAAAATCAAAAGATATTACAGCCAATTATCATTTAATGAAGATACATTTTTGCTTGCTGTCGGGAGAATAAAGCAGGGAACCTTTATGTAGTGAACACCATCGGGATGATCGGGTACTGGTAATTAAATTCCTGGTGGATTGTGCTGTAATTAGTTTAAAATCGGAGTGTCATGCAGCCCCGCCTCTTGTTTGCTGTTGTGGTAATAATCCGTTCCTTCCTTGAGGACAGCACCGTGTTAGAGTGGAGCGGCAACCAGGTCTAGCCCTGTCTCAAAACATCTAAATAAGTGATGCGCTGTCACCCAGCTAACAGGAGGAAATAATACATTTTCATCAACAACCTTGTACTTGAGAGTTCAAAAACGTCACCCCTTTTCAATTGCTAGATACTGTGGCTACACCTGAAGCTTATGGGAAGCAAAAGATAGATAGGTTTTAGATTTAAATTTTTTTTTAAAGAAAGCATGACTGTTAGAACTGAGATGCAGTCCCATAATGGTACCGCCTGCTGTTTAGTGCATATTTAGTAGATGGCATTATTATCTCTCAACATTTCTCCCCTCTTGCGTGGTTAAGAAGATAAATTCCAGCATGTTCTGAACCGATATTCCTGTAGGGAAGGAGAGGATTTCCCTGAACTCTCCACCCCGCTGCCCTGGTGAGAGCTTGCTGCCATCCCAGGGGTGGATCCACTTTGAAGTTTTAATGTGATGTGAAGCCAGCAGATGTTAAGGACATAGGTGGGACTGTTGAAGCATCCTGCATGAATTTTTCATGGCCAGCTCCCACTGCTCAGGTGCACACCAGAAAAAGAAGGGTTTGGGCCTGCCTGAGAGTAGATGTGTCTTCCGAGGTCAGACCCGGGAAAGCTTTATGAACCTGTCAACCTATTTTTGGCTTTTGCTTTGAAGATTTTACGTTGAGTTAACCTTTGTGGAACAGAACTTCTGAACTGAATTACTATGTGAATAAGAGTTTCTTCCTCTAAAAAAAAAAAAAAAAAAAAAAGCCACAGGCGATGAGACGAATTCTATACAGTGGTTAATCAGTCATTGTTTATACGCCATTGTACATGCCTTAGACATACCATCAGTTCTGATCCAATATTCAAAATGTCCAATGTAATGAGATTCTCTACTAGGGATGAAGCTTGGATTAAAAAGAAATGACTGCCTCTCTCCTTCCTGTTTTTTTCACCTCTTTCATTTTAATGTCTCCTCTTCAAACAACATTTGCAGATAGGATATCATTTCAGCTGATCCTCCTTCAGGCTGACAAACCCTTGCTTTTAATTCTGAAGACCACTTAACATTCTTTTGTCCTCTATAATGCTAATTTAACTGCAGACTCACGTAGGGTTAGTAGTTGAAAGTGGATTCCTGAGAATGTCCATGAACAGTCATTTCAGAGGACTGCCCTGTAAAACATGGCTTTTGTGTGCCCAGGTACAACTCTCTCCTATTTTCCTTGTACCGTTAACATTAAAGGGAGAGAGGGGAACAGGCAGATGCCTTCCAGATGGCCTCTGACTTGGCTCGGGTTCCTAAAACAATAGGAACTGTTTGAAATATTACTAAAAACCAATCTGGGGCCTAGCCCCACATCACAAATGAGCAATTTAGAACCAAGCATAGTTTTATAGATTGTATGACACTTTACTGCCAGAATTTTTCAGAAACATAAATAGGAAGTCTATTTTATAGTCAAGTCATGAGTTTAATCATTTAGCCATGCATCGAACCTGCTGTACGGAGTGAAGTGTGAGGCATGCTCTGCCCTGGCCTCCTGAGCTGGTGTTGGACAGAACTAAGTCTAGGCCATGGTCCCTAATGCTTTTCCGTAAACACACCATCAGGAAACAAGCCTTGAGCATTTACTCCTTATGCATGAACACCTAGTTACTTATCAATTCTAAGCATTAACCATCAGACAGAAGAGAGGACGGGAATCAGCAGTGCTAATCATGAAGGTTCCGTTCCGTCTTTACTTGACGTCTCATGGCGCAATATGCACTTTGTGAATGGAAATCCATATTTTACTTGATTTTCTTGATACAATCTAGTTTTTTGGAAAAATTCTTATGACATCTGGTTACAGATAATTGTTTCTTCTTGGCGACGTGGCTTCTACTAACGACACAAGTGTTCCTGCTGCCGTTTGTTGCCATCTGATTGTGCTGGTGTTGTGAGTGACTCAGATCTGTGCTTTCTTCCCAGAAATGCCGTCGTCTTCAGTTGTCCACTTTGTGAGAGTTAGTTTAGATAAAACGAAATACACAAATACATAAATCCACCTCTCCGGGCAAAGGTGAAACTGCATCCCATGCCTATGAGGGCATCCTGTCCACTTCTCTGACAATGAGAATTTTCAGACCCTTCCTTGGGATAGCTTGCGTACAGAGTGTCACCTGGGGCCACCTGACCAACAGACTCAACCTGCATAATAAATAACATTGAAACTTAGTTTCCTTCTTGGGCTTTCGGTGAGAAAACATAAGTTAAAATACTAGGTCTAATATTTCGTTTCTGCGCCCCAAATGGATGGATTGGGGAATGAGTTTTAGAAGAGGAGTGTAGCTGGTGGCTCCCAGCAAGACTTCACTCACCACAACAAAGACCATCATTCTCTCCTCACCCCACAAGGCAAAACCGGATGGTTTCTATTGCCCACTCATGCCTCCTTCACCATATCCCCATCTCTTTCCATCCCAAGGTGTCCCCTTTTCCCCTGTGTGATTTATTTCAACCTGATTTCACTGTTGTTAAATCTTAGGAAATCTAATCTGTCTTAAATCTTAGGTTAAGCTATGATCATTTGCCCTCAAAGTTTGAACACATATGGGGGAAGCTCAATATGCCCGGTTTCCCAAAGCAGCAGTCACTGGTCTGAGTATCACTCAGGATACATATAGATTTCCAAGGCGTAGGCAGGCATGTAAAATTTCCAAAGAACCTATTTTCAGTCCTTTCATATTCACATTCTAAAACTGGATCTGAGGATGCCTGAGGTCAAATTTTGCAACTGCTCCTTTCTTTCCGAACGAGATGGAAGGCTCGTGTCTTACTCATCCTGAATCTTTAACATGGGCAATTATCTGAGGGTGTAAATGCCCAGGTGCCAACCAAAGGGAGAATTCTAAATATCAGGGGCAGAATTGAGAAAGTGAAAGACTCTGATAACTGAGAGATAAATGATTTTATAAATCAGGTGTTTTCAATCTTTTGCTGTCTACAAAACGAGGTGGGACCTACGTGTGTTGTCAGCTGACACTTCATTACAAATAACTTGATAATTACTAACTGTAACACAGTCCACTTGTTCTCAGGACGGAAGAGATTTCTAGCCCCTTTGCAGGTGCAGGGCCATGTCAGTGGAATAAAGTGTCACTTTCAGGCCATGTGTTTAAGAGCCAATGTGTTACCTTCATGCTCTCCCTCCCCTTTGGGGACAACCATGGCCAGGCCACATATTGAGCCACAAGATGGAAGCTGTCTGGATATTTGAATCAGTACAGGGGAAGAATAGCCTGGGAGGGCCACCCAAGCAGAATTGGACTCGTTATGAGTAAGAAACAAACCTTGGTATGATAAGCAGTGAGATTTCAGCATTTATTTGTTATTAGAACAAAGCACGTCTGTCCTAACTAATACATTACTATATGACAACAGGGCGCATTGCCTCACGCCTGTAATCCCAGCACTTTGGGAGGCCAAGGTGGGCGGATCACCTGAGGTCAGGAGTTTGAGACCAGCCTAACTAATATGGAAACTCCATCTCTATTAAAAATACAAAAATTATAACTGGGTGTGCTGGTGGGCTCCTGTAATCCCAGCTACTCAGGAGGCTGAGGCAGGAAAATGAATTGAACCTGGGAAGTGAAGGCTGCAGTGAGCCGAGATCACTCCACTGCACTCCAACCAAGGCGACGGAGCAAGACTCTCAAAAAAACAAAAATAATAATAATAAATAAATAAATTACTATATGACTTTTGGCATATAACTTAGAAGGAATTTAAAAAATTGAGAGATATTCTATAACAAAATTTCTTCCATTTTCATCTGTTGCTTTATATGAACGAAATTTTATCTATGAAAAAGAAAAGATTAGAATTAAACTTTATTCCTCATGTCATTGAGAGATGCATTTCTAGTTTTTTAAAATATAAAACCTATTCATCAAAATTTGTAATACTTTAAAAAATTAATTGAATGTCAATAATAATTGTAACAATAACTCAATCCAAGAGAAGGTTTGTTTTGGTTTGGTTTGCCCCCGAGTCATATGGTTAAAAACATTTTTTTAAGAATTTTTTGTTCTTTTTTTTTTTTTTTTGTTTTTTTGACACAAGGACTCTGTCACATGGACTGGAGTGCAGTAGTGAGATCATGGCTCACTGCAGCCTCTAACTTCTGGGCTCAAGCAGTCTTGCTGCCTCAGCCTTTTGAGTAGCTGGGACTACAGGCATGAACCACCATACCTGGCTAATTTTTTAATTTCTTTTTTTTTGTAGAGACAGTCTGGCTATGTTACCCAGGCTGGTCTCAAACTTCTGGCCTCAAATAATCCTCCCACCTTGGCCTCCCAAACCACTGGGATTACAGGTGTGAGCTACTGAACCCCACCAAGATTGAAGTTTATACGCATAGTTTTTTCAGAGGCTGTGATATGATTAATACAATTCTTTGAATCATGTGTTTTTTAAATGGGTGATGCTGTGTATCAAATGTTTAGACGTGCTTATCAAATATTTAGATTCCTTTGAATACATATAGATGCGCTGCGGTAGTTTTATTAAAATATACTGAAATAGTAAAACATTAAACTATACCAGAAATTATGTTCTTTTTAGTCCTTCAAATTTATGATGAAAAAATGGTAGATGTCAGCTTAAAATGTAAGAAAGATACACAGTTTTACAAAATTGTTTTAGGTGATCTAGGAACAACAACTGTTTGAAGCTATATGCAGATGTGATTATAAATCACACATGAGAGTACTGTTGATGACCCTCTAAGGGCATACAGAGAGGAGAAGGCCCTAACATGTCTTGAGACCTGACAGATATCGTCACGTATATTTTCCTTCTTAGATTCCACGACAGCCCTGTGAGTTAACAATCAACTCTGTTTCAAAGCTGAGGACACTGAGGCTCTAAGAGGTTAAATTATTGACCCAGATCACAAGAATAGTCAATGGGAAGTTTGAGGATTCAAGCCAAAGTTTATTTGTCCCCCTCCCAAAACCCTCGTTTCTCCAATGAAAGCAGAACAACATATACCATGGAGGCTGGGTGTGCTCTTGAGGTCAAAACGTGTCCAAGAGAGAAGCCCAAGGAGAAGGCAAAACTTGGGAGGAGGCCATCCAGCAGGAAGGCTCTCTGCGAAGAGCTCTGTGTGTGCAGACCTCAGAGGAGCTTGGTTTTGTTTTAAAAAAGGAAGTCTTCTGTTCTGATATCAAAACCACTCCCGATCAACATTCATTCCAGAGAACAGCAGTGTGCTGTGGCTCAGCAGCTTTGAGGCTGGCACCCTTTTGCAACCCCAGTGAGGCACGTTTGGGCGGACAGCAAACACAGGTTTGGCTCAAGGGTGCAGTGGGAGATGCACTGGAGTCAGTGCTTACTAATGGAGCATCAGAACAATAAGTCACAATTTCTGATAACAAAGTGGTTGTTTTGTTATCAGTAATGCATTAGACAGCACATAGGACATAAAGTAAGACATGATCTGTCCCAGTGGATTTATATGACTGATGTGCGTGATTACACTCCCTAATTCCCAGATATTGACATCGAACTGTTGTGGCAGATTTTGCACAGTGAGTAAACTTCACCCAGGGAGTAAGGCAAGCACTTGGAGAATTAATTCACCAAGCAGAACTGACCAGTTGGGTTCAGCAGACGGACGATGAGTATTCATTTACGTCTCCCAATTATGCTGCGATTATTGAAAGATACAAATTATTCAGTAGTGATTTGCCTAATCGGATTTTTTACAAACTCCTCCACATAGCTCATTGTTAGTAATTCCTCCAATCTACCTTCCCTTCTGTCCCCTTGTTAAATGTCTCAATTTAAATTATTATATTCAGATATTTAAGCATAAGAGTTCTTTAATTTTAGCAGTTTGGGGGCTAGAACTTAAAGTAACCCTAATTTTGTTTTGTTTTGTTTTGTTTTTGGAGACAGGGTCTTGCTCTGTCACCCAGGCTGGAGTGCAGTGGCACATTCATGGCTCACCACAGTCTCAACCTCCTGGGCTCAAGCGATCCTCCCACCCCAGCCTCCTGATTAGCTGGGACTGCAGGTGTACACCACCACACTTGGCTAATTTTTAAAAAATTTTTGTGGAGACAGGATCTGCCCATTGTTGCCCACGCTGGTCTTGAACTCGGGCTCAAACAGTCGTCCTGTCTCGGCCTCCCAAAGTGCTGGGATTACAAGAGTGAGCCACTGCACCTGGCCTAACAATTTTTACCTTTGATTTTGGAACCTAATTTCTTAGACTTAGCCAGCAGCGAATGCCTGATTTCAGTTTATAGGGAATTGAAGATAATTTCATTGTGGAATCATATTATGTAAACATAACATTTCAGAGTATGTAATATATTGAGAGTGACCCAAGATTATAACTTATGCATTTTCTTTCTAGCTCTTATCACTCTAGATGTATAGTCATTGAAGTACTTTGTCTACTCTCCTTGTCTCTGTAATTGATATGAAAGATAAGGAATTTTTGGAGGGCACAAACAAGGGGGATGGAAAATTGAATTTTTCCTGCAGTCATTTTACAATCTCTGACATACATCCATTACACAGCTTGTCTGGAAAAATCCTAAGCAAAGTGATGGTTATTGGCCGAGATGAGACCACATAGAACAAGTTGCTAGTTGTAAATGTACTTTTCTTAGAAAAACTGTATTTACTCAGTAGTTGAATACAGCGATGATTCTGGTGAATTTCCTGGGGTTCAGCTTTTAGTTACTTTCTAGACTAAATGGTTCTACTCGTACCTTCCCAGTATGATTTTTCCTTTTACGAATGAGTTCAGTATTCTGAAGCTGCTAATTAAGAAACACCTGTTTAATTTCCCTTCCTTCAGAATTCTTAAGGTTTTCAAAATCCAGATTGTGTGAGTTGCTAGGCTAAATTGTCTTTTCATATCTCCTCTTTCAGAAAAATGAAAATATATTATTTTCTGATTCAAAGGGAGCACCTAGAGTGGTACCAACCTCTTCAATCATAACATGGTATTTTTGCTGAGTGTAGGCCTGATATCCTATGGTTTAACTTCAGTTTCCAATTTTAAGGACAGAAAGATGTGATTTGGTTCAAAGCATAATGAAGGCTTATTGTAGTAATAGTAACAACAGCTGTTCATTGGATGTCTGCTGTATGCCCTGTATGTAAATATCGTATCTCATTAAAAAAAAAATTAATCACCCGGGCATGTTGACTCATGCCCAGTGCTTTGGGAGGCTGAGGCAGGAGCATTGCTCGAGCCCAGGAGTTCAAGACCAGTCTGGGCAACACAGGGAGACTCTGTCTTTAACAACAAAAACAAAAAAAACGTGCCAGGTGTGGTAGTGCATACCTGTGGCCCCAGCTGCTCAGAAGGGTGAGGTAGGAGGATCACTTGAGCCAGGGAGGTCAAGGCTGCAGTGAGCTGAGATCACACCACTGTACTCCAGCCTGGGCAACACAGCAAGACCCTGTCTCTTAAAATAATAATATAATAATCATAATAACCACCATTTAATCATCGTTTTTAATAAACAAGAGGCCATAAGGTCAGTATTATCCCCTTTTTGCAGATGAGGTAACAAATCAAAGCAACAAGTTACTTTCACTAATCTTATGCAGTTGATTACGTGGGTTAGTTTTGAACCCAGGTTTGTCTTTTCCCCAAAGAGACTTTCACCATTTTACTTATTGAGATGATTTATATCGCAGAACTGTTTTTGATTTTTAAAATCATGTTGTAATTTCTTAATCTGGCTGCTGCTGTAGTGAATGCAGCCTAACGATTGGTCACCTTTTGGTAGCAGTTCAACTCCACCTTTACCACTTAGTCATAATGTTTTATTACTGTTCATTGTAAACGATGTTCTTTTGGCTCTTGTAGAAGGCAATTACAGCAGGTAATTAAAATTGTAGTTCTTTACAATGTGTTTGAGAATATTAAATCAAGCCCACAGAAAATCAGGTAAAGTATCTGTTAAAGTGAAAGGCCACTTAACAATGCTGAAGACCATTAGCAAATCCAGAGTGCTATATTCCCTGCTTTTCCAAGAACACTTCGTATCTGAGATGTAAAGAAATGGAATTTATATCAGAAATAATAGGAACCAGAAATTTATCTGGAGATGTAGATTCTTTCTGTGTGTTCTAATTAGTGAGTTCTTCGCAATAGTCTCTCTCTCTGATTCTTTGTTATTTCAGGTAATTATTCTGCCTGCACCCCTTTACCTTTTATGATCTTGAAGAATACCCTGTTTAGCACAAAATTAGTTCCTTCCAATCTAGTATACCTCTATGTTTGGCTGAGAGGGTCTTAGGAAAGTATAAGAAAGCCTGTGACCTCTGCTTGTCAGTGTAAACTGTTATTTTGCCCAGGAATAACTAGCAAGTGTAGCTTTTTGAGACGGATACCAAAGATATTATTTTATGTAGTTTTAGAGCATCATAAAAATGTGAGCTGGGAATTCCCTAGCTCACCTCAGTATTAGGCCTGCATGACCATCTGGGAAGTGTGAAGGCTATAACGGTTTTGTGGTTTTTCTAGGGAGGAAGATACAAATGTCAAAACTGGAAGTGCGGAACTCTAGAGAAGCTCTTAAAAGAATGAAGGCTTTTCCATTTTAGTTCCTAAGTCGAACTTAAAGAGTAGGAGTCAGAGCTGACATAAGTCAGTAATGGCGAGCATCCGGCTGGCCCCGTGCGGTAGTTTGCTGTTTCACTGATGATGTATTTTGTTGAGGTGTGTCCCATCTGACATTAACGGCCATGTCTGGTATTAAATGCCCTTCTCTTTCTCCAACAGGATGTCACTCTGTGGTTCTATTAATTCAGACAGGGTTGAATTTCACAAAGGCTTGCTTTCATTTGGGAAAGTTTTCAGCACAAGTGTACTCCAGAATTCAAACTTCTTCCTTTCTAATCCTTAAAACATTGGGATGTAAAGAAATGGAATTTATATCAGATTTATATATATCAGAGACTTATATCCTCATTAGTCAGAATGATGTAGGAATAGAAACCATATGCATAGGTTGCCCTTTGGTGATTGGTTCATTTCCGAAAGCTTAAGGAGTTTCATACTTCGTTAGCCTACTCAAGAAAACTTCACTTGTCTTGAACTGAGAAAATGCCACATGCAAAAATGGTACCATCATATTTGAAAATGTATGAAGCGAATAGGCAGTATTCTGAGTCTTTTGTTTCTTTGTTCATTTTACTTACAGTGTTTGTAAAAACCATGACAGCATGTTCTTGATGAAAATCTAGGAAGCAGTTCTACTTGAACCCTAGCCTGGCATTAGATGACCTGGATCCTATTCACCTCTTCAGTTTGCACTTGAAGGATGGATATTAAGCCATGTTGCCCCCACTGGCCTCCATTTTGATTGGCTAGTGACCCTGCCATGTTACTACAGATTTTGAATATCATCTCAACCTGGAAGGATACTGAGGGATGCATATAAGAGTAAACTTATTATAGAGGGAAACAGCTGGCATACTGGCATCAGCCTACACCATTTTCAATGTCTATGTAGAAGAACCAAGGGAAGGGTTGAAGTATGATTTTCTTTGGCTTTTAGAGTCTCTGTCTCACTTCTGTCCCTAAGTGTATGATTCTCCCCAACTCCCTGCCCTTTAAACACTCAGACTACAGTTCTGCTATTCCGCTCAGAAAACGCTGAGCGTCTGATACTTATCAGGCATTACGCTTGATGCCGAGGACACTTGGTGAATATGACATGTGGTTCCTGCCTTCCCTGAGCTCACTTTTGCCAGGAGAGGCTGGCGCACCAGGAAATGACAGGAACACAGTGTGTTAAATGCCACACGAAAGGGAGTTGTGTAGAAGAAGCTTCCGAAGCACAGGCAAGGGAACGATGAATTCTGCTTCCGATGCTGGAACAGCTTTGTTAGCAGAACTCTGAAAATCTTTTCTTTCACGTATGGAGGGATGCACCAGCAGTGAGATGATTAGGAAAAGGGGGTTGGGGTAGAACAGCACTGTCTATGACCGGGAACTGCCATAACCACCGTCCTTTCATTTGCTCCCTTGTTATAAATATCAGTGCCCCCCAGGAAGACTCTGCATTTAATACAACCCCATTCCAAGAGAATCCTTATTGATAATTGTTTTTCATCACCCACTAGAACGTAAGTTCCGCGAGGATAGGGATTTTTGCTTATTTCCGCAAGCCACGGGAAGAGTGCATGACGAGTAATAAGGGCTCAGTAAATACTTGTCCAGTGAGTGCATGGAAGCCTGTGAAGTGAGGCCTTTTTACCCTCCCTTTCCTGGTCCCCTCTCCGTCCCTGGCATCTGAGGATGCTGCTCACCGGCTTGTTCTTCCTGTAGCTCCTTTTCTTTTGGTGTTTATTGCTCCTTTTGGCTCTCCTCGTCCCAAGATGTGAGGATTCTCCAGCCTTTAGTCCTTTGGTGCAATGTTTTCCTTTGTTTTTCTGCCTCTCCTTTTTCTCCTTGGAGATCGCACTCAAGACTCTTGAGACTTCACATATCACAGTTGATCAAATGTTATCTCTAGGCCTGAATAGCAGCCTGGGCATTCAATCTTTGGTAAGTATAAAGTAGGACAAGTGACTTGAAGGTCACTCTGACTCTAAAATTCTGATATCTTCTGATGTTTGAGCTTCTTTGTCTGACTTAGTAAGGTGCCCGAAGATAGAAGGCGTGTCCACATGCATTTCCTCAATTATCGACTCATGTTTCTTCTGTTTTATGACTGCATTTGACCTGCTGGTTGCGGGCGTCCCTCTTTGTCTCAGTCTTACTCATCAAATTAATCATGCTGCTTCTGGATACAGTGGCTAAACCTTGCCCTGTTGAACCTAATATCAGGGACAGTGTGCCGTGAGATGGGCTTTACTACGTTGCTGGACACTTTCACTTGGAAATTAAATTAACCTGCCTCCGTATACTTTCTATCCCAAAGCTATTTTTTCTCCTAAGTTCCCTAGGAAGTCCTCTCACCCCCCTTCTATGTTTTCAGCTCTTACCTATCCTATCCTGAACTCTTAGCATAAGTCCCTGCTTCTGGAAGAATATTCATCTCTCTGTCCATCTGTGCATTCAGAAATGCATTCATTAATTCATTGACTCAAGATGTATTTACTGAGTGTTCACTAAGCATTATAGGCATTGAGGATATCATGATTGAAGCAGACTGGTTTCTACTCTCAGAGCTTTTGTTGGTGGAATCAAAAGACAAACAAGCAATTTCAATATGGATTGGGATGTTCTAAGTCAGGGAATAGTAATTTTCCCACACATCCTGAGTTTCTGCCACTTACATTTTCAAACCTTTGCCTGTTTTAAAGACAGGATTGATAAAGACACAGTAAGGTCAAGACACACAAGATTGTAGGCTGAAGAAGTGCTTCCTTGGAAAGACTTCACAATAGCTCTTATTTATATGAGTATTGGTATAGGCTTATATAGAGAAAATATGGGAGATTTCTCAGAGATGGACTGTGTTATAAATAGAACAAATCAGTCAAATTACAGCTTTCAAGCCACAGGCCTCATTAGTCTCATGAGCAGGGCCCTTTGTGGGCAAACTGAATGAGCCACGTGGAATAACACTCGTGTTCATGTTTTGCAAGCTCAACATGTCAAACTGTAGTGTTAAAATGAGTTGCTTTACAAATGAGCTATAAATATTAGTTCTGCATCTCCAAGCCATTCAATATGCAATTGTGAAAACTGATATCCTTATAACTTATGTATAAGTCACATATATAACTTATACACATATACATAACTTCAATGTACGAGTGAGTAAAAAGTACGGCATTAGTCAGTTTGAGTTGCTGTACAAGATACCCATTCATTAATTCATTGACTCAAGATGTATTTACTGAGTGTTCACTAAGCATCATAGGCATTGAGGATATCATGATTGAGGCAGACTGGTTTCTACTATCAGAGCTTTGGTTGGTGGAAACAAAAGACAAACAAGCACTTTCAATATGGTTTGGGATGTTCTAAGGGAACATGTAGAAGCAACAGGCTAAGATTCAGAAACATTTCTCTCCAAATGGGAAGTTTTCTAACACAAACACCCAACTTAAGAACAAAGAGGCAACCTCTCATCCAAAAACATCTGCCCCTCACATTGCTTTCAATATGCAATACCTTAAAATTCCACAATGAGTATTTTCCCAAAACAAAGAATAGACCCTCCACAGGAAAACTCAAGTCTCTTCCTTAGGAGACTGGGTGACTTAAACAACAGATGTTCATTTTCTCAGTTCTGAAAACTGGAAGTCCAAGATGAAACCAGCTTTGCCAGCCAGGTTGGTGTCTCGTTGGGGCCTCCCTTCCTGGCTCTTAGAGAGCCACCTTTCCACTGATCCTCACGTGGCCTCTCTGGGCATTGGGGGTGCAGGAAGGGAGGCGAGCTTTAGAGAGCTCTGGTGTCTCTTCCGCTTCTTATAAGGACCCCTGTCCTCTTGTGTTAGAGACACCGCATGATCTCATTTAACCTGAGTCACTTCCTTAAGGGCCCTGTCTTCAAATACAGTCACAATACAGGTTAGGGCTTTAACATAGTAATTTTTTTACAGCTCAGTCCATAACGACTTACACATTTCTTATTCCTATTGCATTTTCTTTCCTAAAGTACAGTATTTCTCTAGATCAGAAGACCCGACTAGACATTTGTGGCCTGGATTTGCTCCTTGTGTTTTATTTAGCCCACACAATACCTTAAAAATACATGAGCCAATATTTAACAGCTGGGAGAACATTTTCCAGCTTCTCTTAAAATATGTGGCCATGCTAGGACCCCTTTCCCCAGTTTAAACAGTCTGTGCATTCTCCTAAGGAAGAGACTTGAGTTTTCCTGTGGAGGGCTCTATTCTTTGTTTTGGGAAAATACTCACTGTGGAATCTTAAGATATTGCATTTTGAAAGCAACTCTAGGGGCAGATGTTTTTGGATGAGAGGTTGCCTCTTCGTTCTTGAGGTAAGTTGGGTGTTTGTGTTAGAAAACTTCCCATTTGGAGAGAAATGTTTCTGAATCTTGGCCTGTTGCTTCTACATTAGCTGGCTCTGGAAGCATTTGAGGTATGACCCATGATCCAATAGGAGTTGCTGTGATGATGGAAATGTTCTCTATTTTTACATGGAGCTATTGAATACTTGAAATGTTACTGTTGTGACTGAGGAAGTGAATTTATAATTTAATTTAAACTTTTTTATTTTGGTAACCTCATGTGGCTGGATGCTACTGTATTGAGCAGGACAGTTTTATAAAAATGCATAGCATTTTGCATACAAAAGGGATTCCTAGTCAAACTGGCCACATGACCCATCATTGAGCTTTATTCGCTCCTGGAGTGATCTAACAGTGGTAAGAGCTTGTCCTGACCAGGAAGACTTGGACTCCCAGGTCCCCTTGAGAGCCCTTGCACATATGAGCAGGATACCTCCCTGTATTTTGTATACTGAAGATCCATGGTTGGGGAGCCCTGTGTGCTGGGAGACACTCCCTTAGCAAGTATAGCCGCTTAGTCATTTGCCAGGCTGTTGCATTGCATGCATTCATGGTCTATAGTAGTCTGTATTAATGAGACCCCGAAGAGATGGTTGGTACATAGCCTGCATGGCTGTACACAGCAATCCGGATTAATTCATCAGTTATGCCCGGTGCCAGGCACGGAAGTTAGGGAAGTCAAGGGTGAGATGGTCATCTAGATGGGTGACTAAAGCGAAAGTACCTGAGCCACGGTTGAGAGAAGCACAGTTTGCTCTGGAAAACCCAGCATGGGGCACCCAGACACATCAGTGGGAATTGGAAGGTTTCCCCTGAGAGACGATGTTTAACTGAGACCTAAAGGTTGAGTAAGAGGCAGTCAGCTGAGGCATTGGGAAGAGGTCATCCTGGCAAAGGGGAGCACAAGGCTGGAGTCAGCAGGTGCCTCTCTGTTCACAGACTTGCAGCTCACCTGCTACTGTAGATAGAAACAAAGCCCTGCTTGGCAGAGGGTGCAAACAGAACTGTCTATGACCAGCCTCTGGAAGTTCAGGGTTCCACATAAACACTGATGGTCCGGTGTTGCCAGCCCCCGTCCCTGAACACAGCGATCTGAGGGAGCTGATGGGATGCTGCTCTCAACTGGGGCATCACCTCATCCTGCTCAGGTCTCAGCAGTTCCAAGCTGTGTCCCTCACTAGGAGACCATGCAGTGGGTGTCGATCAAAATGTTTGCACTCTTGTCTTTCTTATAGTAGAGAAATCCTTTAATATAACCAAGTCTCTATCAAAAACAGGGAAATATAAGTTAGACAATGAAGGAGGAGAGTGTCTCTGACTGCCCCATCAAGTTATTGATGTTACCTATCTGCTCGGGCCCTGAAGGCATTCGTTTGGGCAGAGGCACGTCCTGTCTGCTCCCTACAAATAGATGGTGTTCATCTAGAGCAGGGATCTTCACGTCAGGCCTCAGTGACTCCAGGGGATATTCAGCAGTGGATGGTTCTCAGGGAATCCACATCCTCCATTTCCATGTGTACTCTTTCCTGGGATGGATCCGCCTGAGAACACGCCTGGGGTCTTCCCTCTCAGCTGTCCTTTCACGCTTGCTTTTCTCCCTCCTTGCAAGGGAAAGGCATTCCTCCCAGCAAACCCTCCTCTTCCTTGTTGCATTGCTCTGGCCTGTAGAACCCTTTGCTTTCCAGACAGAGGAGAATTTCAAACATTAGGGTCGGTATTGAGAAAGTGGATGGCTTTAATAAGTGGGTAAGAAATCCCCTTGCGAGCCAGAGAGCTTAGAATTCTTGGTTTTCAAGAGAATTGAAGGTGAACCCAATCAAGTTGTCAGCCAATAGATCATTAAAAATAATGTTTGATGATAAATCACTGAGTGACGATGGGCATAACAGAATGCTGTCGAGGAATTGGGTGAAATTGTTAAAACTGTTAAAACTCCTTCCTTCCCATCTGTTTATTTATGAAAATAAGTTTTCTCCATGCATACATTTATAAAAACAAAAAAATAGAAATAAAATTGATGCTGAACACTTTTTCAATTTACCTAGAAGTAATATCCATCCATGAATATATGAACTAATTAAAAAAAGAACATTCCCATT
Organism: Homo sapiens; assembly: GCF_000001405.40. Taxonomy (NCBI): domain Eukaryota; kingdom Metazoa; phylum Chordata; class Mammalia; order Primates; family Hominidae; genus Homo; species Homo sapiens. Next base: position 3,839,684 of record NC_000007.14, read on the forward strand.
TATCTCATTGAGATGTATTTCCAGTAAATTTTACTTTTCTTATTCAATAATTATTTGTCACAATGTATAATGATGTGTGATGGTTTGATTAATTGTGAATAGCAATTATGATGGATAATCAAACCAGTTTTTTTAACATTTAGTTTTAGAGTCACAGGAAATTTTAAAAATTATTGTAATATCTGTCTTTTTGCTATAAAGAAGTGTAGTACAGTGATAAAGCTTTCAAGCTTAATATATATTACATCAAATAAAACTCTGAATTGAAGGAGAAGAAGGAATGATGTAAAATTTGCAGTTGTTAAAAAGGAGATTTTTAAATGGTCATTGGTAGGTATCAAATCAAAGTGGTCTCTGGGTCCCTCCGTATGATAGAAAAGAGTGACCTAAAATTTTACAGTACACTAGAAATTAAAACACTTAAATGTAAACTTAAAATATGTGAGAGGGACATCGTTTTTCAAAATTTTTATGGAGTACCTGGGCAAAAATATCTGAAGGCCATGTTCAGTGAAAGTGGTAATAAGAGGCATATGCGTAATTTTAAACCAAAAGTTGAAACAGAGTGGGAGGAGCGGAAGAGGAGGGGGAGAAGAGAACATGTTGGGCCAATATATTTAACAATAATCATCAAGAAATAGGAAAAGACAAAACAAAAATCTTTTAAATATCTAACACTGTTTTTTCTAATGCTACATGCCCATGAAAATCACCTGGGCTGGGTCAGGACTTTGTTTTAGTCCTCAGGTGATTTTAATACACAGCCAGGGTTGTGAATTATCGGACTAAACTCACAGAGTGGTCCTTGGGCTAGTACTATCAGCATCATCCTGGGAACTTGTTAGAAATGCAGAATTTGGGGCTCCATGTCAGCCCTCCTGAATCAAATCCTGCATCTTAACAAGATATTTAGGTGATTCATATGCACGTTAAAGTTTTAAAAAACCAAGATTTCCAACAAGCTCCCAGGTGATGCTGATACTGCGGTTCACGGACAACTCTGGTCACGGACTACGCTGGGTAGCAGAGTTCTCGAGTTGTGCTACTCAGAAGGTTTATGGCAGAGCTACTCGCAGTATGATCCGAGAATCGCGAGCCTCGCCTGACTTGGATTCACATTAGACATGAAAAGTCTTAGGACCCATGCCAGACCTAGGGATCGGGACCTCTGGGAGTGGGGTCCAGGAATCTGTGTTTTATCAAGCTCTCCCTCACTAAAATTTGAGAAGGACCACCCTAGAGAGAATCCACATCGACTTCAGATGGCTCTGAGCCTCCAGTTAATTTAGGGAGTGGCTGGGGATGTGTTATTACCAAGAGGCCCCACTTCATGAGAGAGCTGCTGCATGTGATGAGCTCCCTCATCACAGCCTCACTTGTCTCCAATCCCAGGGATGCCCGTTTTGCAGTGGGTCTCGAATGTGTGACCAGTTTTACACAGGAGTGAGCTGACGGTGCCTTGCCTCTTTCCTCGTACCACATGCATGTACAGCCCTTGGGCACTGCACCTACCCATGTATCAGGTGATCCAGAAGGCTGTTAGTGTTGAGGGGGGCCGAGACCCAGAGAGGGCTGTCAGGTGGATCCAAGGACAACTTCGCAGCTGTTTGCATTGTTTGATCCAGCAGAACGGATGGTGCTGGAGGCATCCTTTGGATAATGATTCTGTGTGAGTCAGTGCAAGCCCCGTTGCAGAGTTGCAGCTCAGGGCCCAGGAGTTCTGGAGCAAAACCATTTGCTTGGCAGCACAGAACTGCGTATTATTTGAGAAGGACTAACATCTTGCGCTAATGAGTTTCTGGGCCCCAGTAGACACTGAGCTCCAGGTGGCTAGAACCAGAACTGCCCACCTTAGGTCAAGTATTATCAGATTATTTTTTTCTCTTTTTCTTTTTTTTTTTGAGACGGAGTTTTGCTCTGTCACCCAGGCTAGAGTGCAGTGGCGCAATCTCGGCTCACTGCAACCTTCGCCTCCTGGGTTCAAGCGATTCTTCTCAGCCTCCCAAGTAGCTGGGATTATAGGTGCCCGCCACCATGCCTGGCTAATTTTTGTATTCTTAATAGAGATGGGGTTTCACTATGTTGGTCAGGCTGGTCTCGAACTCCTGACCTCAGGTGATCCACCTACCTCAGCCTCCCAAAGTGCTGGAATTGCAAGAGTGAGCCACTGCACCAGGTGTTATCAGATTCTCCAAGTCATAAGGATGGCCAGATGCAAGACCGACCCATTGGGTGGTGGAAATAAAGAAGCAAATTACATGACAGGTGGCCTCAGACTACTCTGATGTCACCCACCTCTTTAGTACTGACACCTCTCCTCCACCTCCATGGCTGTAGCCTCAGGGGTAAGGGATCCTTTTAACCAGCTGGCAGGAAACTAAAAACTTGGGACTAACTCACAGATGGGTCAGAATGACATGTTGGTGGCAGCTAAAAATGTAGTTGTTCAATACTGTCCTTCCCAGGGCTGGCCTGAATCACCAGGGGTAATGGAAGTCCCTTCAGTGGGCAGAGATGTGAGCAGTACTTGCACCACCATCCCCACTGGCCCAGTTGTGGAGTTATCCTTCCTCTCCCCAGACCTTAAGCTCTGCTGTGTTAGAGTCCTGCATCCCGGGAGATGATGCCTCCACTGGAGAATACCCAAGGGTGCCCTGGACCAACAGTCAAAGAAGTCACCGTACTGGCCTGGGTACTGGGTCACTGTGCTGGTATGGGTAGTGGATCACTGTATTGGCATGGGTACTGGGTCACTGTGCTGGCGTGGGTACTGGGTCACTGTACTGGCATGGGTACTAGGTCGCTGTACTGGCATGGTGAATTGGTGCCAGTGACCACGAGGTGCCTGGGTTGCTGCTATACAGTGGAGCAGAAGAAATCTGTCTGGAACCCAGGTGACTCGCCAGGTGTCCCATGGTGCTCCCACACTGGTATACTGTCAGTGGACAGTTGTGACGAACAATCGTGAGTCCACTAAACACTTTAAGAAGGGTCTGGGGTACCATGACACCAGCACCCTAGACCAGCTAAAATGCTGGCTAAGAGTGGGAGGGTTGTGCTCCTTTTCTCCCTCACTTCTTCTTCACGGGAATTCCGCTTCCTGATAATGCTGAACCCAGGCTAGGGCAGAGCTATCTGAATCTGTAGAGCAAAGAGAAGACAGTGTCTCCACAGAGTCAAGACATTTACTATGACATCTGTGGCTCCAGCGTTCACCACAATGGTCTCTTTAGGAAAGGATTCCCAGAAGAACATGTATCGGCCAAGGAGAAGACGGTGGCTCAACGCACATTCTCATTTGGCGAAAGTGCATTGAACAACTGCCTAACGCCCGTCAGTCCGTCTGGACTTAGGAAAACCCATGTGTAATGAAGAGCCTGTGGCCGCTTAGCATTAGAGGAATGTCAGCGGCTCAGGGCAGCACAGCTCTTTCTCGGGGCCCTGATTTATGGAACCCTGGGCTTTGCTGAACTCACAGGCATGGACACCAATCTTAAGCTGTAGCATGAAGCCTCGTGGTAACTCAAAAGGGAAAACAAGAACCACTTTCCTCAACTGTTTGTAAACTTATATTAGCTTCAGAATTCTGCATAACGTAGACTCACATGGCTTTGTCTATGTGAGTGGGATTTGAAGCCAAGTTGAATCTCCTGGCTTCGGATTCTCTATTTTGTAACTGCAGATGGGATATGATTTATTAACTTTGTCGCTAGCTATTTGAAAAAGGAGCTCTTACTATGGAGAAGAAATTGTTACATTCCTATCACCCGCAAAATAGGACTTGACTCTTTCTTCCTCAAATTAACTAAAGTCAACCTGTTTTCAATTGGTGATATTCCTTCATTAGTTTTAATTCATTTTTCAGCACACCTGATTTTTTAATTCATTATGCTTTTGATGGAAATTAATTAGTTTCTTTTAGATCTAAAACAATATTATTGTGGGCACTCAGACATTGTTACACAAAAGGGCCTTATTATGAAGCTGGTCTCAGAATGAAAGCCTGGGTCTGTTTCATAGGAAACTCGCCTGACGATGAAGCCATCGGGACGCTGAGGCTTTTTGGCTGCCTGGTTCTGAGCCTCAGTTTTCCCATCTGTGAAATGAGGAGCTTGAGCCAGATGAACTCTAAACTTTTGTTTGATGAGCACAACAAAATGAAATAAAATCTTATAAAATAGATATATGAAGATGTATATGAAGGTTTATGGTAATATTATGTTGATCAAACATTTTCTTAGCCCAATAGAGAATGAAAATTAATATCCTACTACAACTTTGCAGAAATCCTATTTATTTATTTATTAGACAGAGTCTCACCGTGTTGCCCAGGCTGGAGTACAGTGGTGTGATCTCTACTCACTGCAACCTCCACCTCCCGGGTTCAAGTGATTCTCCTGCCTCAGCTTCTCAAGTAGCTGGGATTACAGGTGCTCACCACCATGCCCAGCTGATTTTTGTATTTTTAGTTGAGGTGGAATTTCACCACGTTGGCCAGACTGGTCTTGAGCTCCTGACCTCAGGTGATCTGCCCACCTCAGCCTCCCAAAATGCTGGGATTACAGGCCATGAGCCACCGCCCCTGGCCCAGTTTAATAATTTTAGACCGTATTGCCAATTATTTAAAGGAGAAGGGTGAGTTTGTATTTCTTTAATTAGGTTTAGGTAACGGCCTAGGGAAAACGGGAATTGCTTACACAGACAGGTGAGGAGGAGAGTACTCCATCAGACCCACCCTAAATTGAATTAAGACTCAGGACCCTTGATGTGCTCAGCTGGATGGGCCTTGGATGTGCTAGCCTGGCTCCCAGGGAACTGTCGAGCTGGGCACCCACAGTGTTGCTCATCTGCCCCAGATGGACAACTGCCTGTAATTTAATGTCTTTTCCAACAGGGAGCTATGAAACTGAATTTTACTACACCAAAGAAAAACCCGCTTCCCTAACTATAATTTCAACAAGGAAGAGTTTACACAGAAAAATCCCATTTAAAAAGTGCCACTTAATGTAATACAGACAGCAGCTCTCCAGCCCGAGTGCCACACAGAGAACCTCACTGTTTGCCCAAGGCCTTGGAGACAGAAGTCAGACCTGTGAGCCTCTCGTGCTGCTGATTCAGCCTGATTAAACAAGAGCCCTAATTTTTATCAAATGTGCAGTTTGGTATTCACAATCCTTTATGAGTAGAACCTCCTGAATTAATCAAACGACTGGTTACCAAATAAAATTTTTTTCAAGAAAAGAGCTTATGACATCATACTTTATTAGCTAGGATGTATGTTTCATCAGAACATCTGTCATCACACAAGAGACAGAGAATGGACTACCTGAAAAATCTACGCTTAACTACCTGGAGCAGAGAGGCAAAGTGGGTCAGCTGCCCAAAGGTGCAGCTTCGGAGAGCGGAGGTCGCGAGAGCCAGGTTGGCGGGGAGGGATGCTGGGTGGTGAGGCTGGGCCACTTCAGCCTGGAGGGTGAGGGCAGAGCCAAAATCTTAATTGTAGGTTGTTAACCAAACCCATTGAAAGAGAGGCCAGGTGCGGTGGCTCACACCTTCCCAGCACTTTGAGAAGCCCAGGTGGGTGGATCACAAGGTCAGGAGTTCAAGACTAGCCTGACCAGCATGGGGAAACCCTGTCTCTACTAAAAATACAAAACTTAGCTGGGCGTGGTGGTGCATGCCTGTAATCCCAGCTACTTAGGAGGCAGAGGCAGGAGAATCGCTTGAACCCGGGTGGCAGAGGTTGCAGTGAGCCGAGATCGCGCCACTGCACTCCAGCCTGGTGACAGAGTGAGACTCCGTCTCAAAAAAAAAAAAAAAAAAAAAAAAGGCCCTAGAGAAAAGAGCAAGATGTGGAGTGGCCAGGCCTGAAATTTGGGTACGTTAGGCAGGCCAGCGAGACTGGAAACCAGGTAACAAAAGTGCCCTAAAAGCCACTCTTGGCTCAGGGTCTCTTCAGCAGTGGGCTCCCTTTAGCATTCAGAGAGAATTCTCTCCACGTGCTTCTCCTTTTTTTTTTTTTTAAACAAATGCAGCCTAGTCAATTAAAAAGAAATTCCATTTGCAGTGTTTATTTAACACTGAACAGGTTGCTTGCTGTATGAAACCAAAATAATAAAAGTAAAATAAAATTTGAGTGAATAAATTACTGGTACATTTAGAAAGCGGATGAATTGGCAGCATAAACAGATTGAAACTGTGGTTTCTAGAATAAATTCAGTAGAAATGAAATTTGATTTGAGCTGCTCTGCTACCTACAACTTTGCAGAAATCCCATTTAATAATTTTAGACCGTATTCCCAATTATTTGATGCAGAAGGGTGAGTTTGTATTTCTTGATAACACATATGTATTTCTGTTTGAAGTAAATGAGAGTAACTTGCACATACCAGAAGGAAAGTGCGTCCCAGGAATTTTATTAACTATATGTTTAGGTTGCTGAGAAATGACATTCTCTCTTAATTTCATGAACTGAGTAGTAAAAGAGCTCACTGGGGATGTGTGCCCAACACATGCATGTACACACACACACAGGCAAGGAAAAATGTGCTGGCATATCCTTTTGGGTATGCAGTTAATATACTGTTTAAAGGGATCTCAATAAAGATTTCCTATAAATTATGTTTATTGCATGAAAATAAGTAGAGTCTAAGGTGTGCATTCTAAATGTGCTTGGGGAATTCCAGCCTTTGATTTTAAAAGGAGAAGGACATTTGTTTAAGGAATTTGATTATCTACTGATAGGTCATTTCTGAAAAGAATATGGCACATTCATCTTGGATCCCAGTGGAGGCTTTACTGCGGACTGCCTTCCCCAAGGCCCTGCTCCCTGCACACCTCACTCTCAACAGCCTCCTGGTTCTTTGCGAAAAGGAAGCCATCCACCACTCTATAAATCCTCTCTAAACATATGTATGTGGACTCATTCTTATTTACCTCCCTCCTGTCCTAAAGAGTATTACTGCTTCCGTTGAAGGCTAAAATTTCCCCCACTTCTCTGAACTCATCTTTTCCACAAGCTTGGCTCTGTTCTTGCCTTTATCTGGAACCCTGTGAGCACACTCAGCACATTTCCTAGACAGCCGTGTCTTTACCCCTGGTTCCTATCAGGAGATCCCCTTCTCCTCCCGCTACGAGGGGCAGCAGCAGCCCTCTCCCCTCTCCACGACCCTCTTTAGTCTGGCTGCTGCTTGTCAGGTCCGCACTGGAACTGCCCCCAGCAGGTGAAAGGTGACCTGTCCATCTCCACCTGTAGAGGTCTATGTTGGTCCTCATCACCTTGGCCCTACTGCGCGGCTGGCTGTCCCCAGTGCCACCCCAGTGTTCTCAGGTTTTCTAGTCTCTGACAGCTGCCGCTTAGTGTAATCACGCTTCTTTTTTTTTTTGCTTTCCCATTAAGCATTGTTCTTGTGGAGAGCTGCAATGCCTCCAGCTCTTCTCTGTTCATGCCTCTCACGTACACCTGAAACCTCCAAACCCTGCCTTTGCGATTTCAACCTTTACTCCTGGAACTCACATGTGTGCCCTGCTGTCTAGATGCCCCATGGACTCCTCGATGTACCATCGACTTCATCAAGTTCATTATTTCTTGCCCAGACCAGTTCCTCTGTCACTATCGACTTGGTCGCCATAAACCTAGAAATCCTGGGATGGTCTTAAATTCTTTCCTTCTTCCATTAAATGGCCAGATTTTCCTGATTCTATTTCTAAAAATAATTGTAATTTATTTAGTATTTACCGAGGCCTTTAACAAGCTATGCTGAGGCAGCTGTCTGACAGAGGAGACTCCTTATGGCCATGGCCACAAGAGTAGTAAGTGACAGAAGGAGGATTGGAAGCAAGCGTGTGGGATTGCAAAGCCGGCCTTCCTCCTCTTGCCTGCTTCTCACGCTGGTCTTTGTTGACGCTGTCATGCTCTCATTATCTCTCACTGGATTAATGCTCTCAGATGTTTTTGCTACTGTTTATCCTAAAGGAATTTTTGAAAGCCGTGTGTCCCCTTGCACATTTTAAAAAGGATATTAAATTCATTTTGTACCTGCAAATAGTTGCAAGGAATATTTACTGTAAGTAATCACATTTTAAAACAAAACCATGACATCATTCTTCTGAATGGAGCAACTAGAATATCCCTTAGATGACACCATTTTCTATTTCAAAAGTATGTGGAAAACATTTTCTTTGACAGTTGGAGGTGGTGCTGATACACTATTGCACTCCGCTGCACCCCTCCCAGAATTAGACCCTAATATAATGTTCTTTTATGCTTGAAAAACAGTTATTAATCATACTATCGTACTTTCCTGCAACATACGTATCACATCTACCCATACACACATGTGCATATGTGCACAAGCACATACACATACAAACCGTATTTGAAATGTGCTTATTTCCAGTGACCATAAACTTAAAAAACAAATTCCATCTCGAGCTGTTATGATGATAGTTCTTATGACACAGTTGATCAGGATTCTATAATATATTACAAACTTCATAAATAATTATTAAACCTATAAAATGTTAATTGGAAACGCATCTCTTAACGAGATGGATTCAGGGGCATTTATGTTTTGGGGTCCTGATGAAAGGAATTCCAGTTGTTCCTTTGTTTTGGTACCCAGAAGGATGTTATTTTAAAAATCCCTTATCGGAACTCTCCAAGCATCTTCAGCACTTTTCCTGACAGTCCTGTCTTCCTTACGTCCTTCAGATGCAGGATGACAGGAGCCTTCTCTTGTTAAAGTAGGAGGAGGGTGATCGTGAAAGGGAAGTTGAGAGGGAGTAGCTGGAGTCAGGCAGGCTTCTTGAGCAGGCAGCTTTCAGAAGGAGGACGCATGGAAGGTGGATATCTACTAATAGAAGTTGATTCCCTTAAAACTGCCTGTGTTTGAAAAGTTCATAGAGTACACACTTAGCCCCAGGGGAACAGGGAACATAGAAGACCACCACCCAGGCCACGTTCTGCAATGACTATAGAGTTGTCTTTTCTTTTTTTTTTTTCTGAGACAGTGTATTGCTCTTGTCACTCAGGCTGGAGTGCAGTGGCGCGATCACGGCTCACTGCAACCTCCGCCTCCCGAGTTCAAGCAATTCTCCTGCCTCAGCTTCCCGAGTAGCTGGGATTACAGGCGTGCGTCACCATGCCTAGCAAATTTTTGTATTTTTAGTAGAGACAGGGTTTCGCCATGTTGACCAGGCTGGTCTCGAACTCCTGACCTTATGATCCGCCCACCTCGGCCTCCCAAAGTGCCGGGATTACAGGCGTGAGCCGCCGCGCCCGGCCTGGAGTTTTCTTTTCTAAATATGCCACTTCTCTTCTTCCGGACCCCCTTGAGGCCCAGCGCATCAGATCTTCACTTCCTGGCCTGGTATTTAAGACTTTTCATACCCGTCCTTTCTCTGTTTAGAGTTTCCATTTGCCGTCCGAACTTTCCCTTTCAAAGGTTTCCTTTTCTCTCCAAATGAATGCACCCCTCCTCTGCTGGACTGTTCTTGAACAAATCCCCTGGCCTGGAATGCGCTTGTACTACATGTCTTCAGGATGCTCCAGCATCATGTCTTCCCCGGAGATGCACCCACTCCTGGCTCATTCACTCTTTATCTTCACCACTCAGCGTTGCTGCTCCTGCCCTGCCTGCTGAGGTCTGAGCTCCTTTCCTGGCAACACTCCCCTTTCGACCTTGTATCCTTGAGTAGTGCAAAGCCCAGGACACAGAGTTTAGAATGGAATTTGTATAGTTTCTAATGGCAAGAAATTAGACTTCCTGGACATTTGTGGGAACATGGATTTATTAGTCTTTAGGAAGGTAATTTTTAAGGAAAATTTGTTTAACCACTTCAGTATATGTTCAATGGTTGAGAGGGTAATTTTTGACTTCAGAGAATATTACAAGGAAATACCATGAATTTGGAAGATCCTGTGAGCCTTATTCTGACTAGTGAATTTCAATTTAGAGCAGGCCAGAGAATTCATTTTGATGGATGATTCTTAGAGGGCGGCGTATTTTGATAATAGATTGGAATGTTGCTGATAGCTGGCCATTGCCTGTGTTACAACAAGTAGTCTTTTAGTTAGCAGGATCATTTGTTTATTTTCTTGTTACTGTACCTATCTGTGTAACTTAGGTCTTTCTTAAAAAAGCTGTTCCAAAGCTCACGTGGAGAGTTTGTGATAGAAGAGTTGACAGACCTTTAGTTATGAAGGCAGTGCTTGGCCTCACAATAAAATATTAGCTTGGCTGGAGAGAGAATTCAGAAGTTTGGAAGAATAATATGTATTTTCATAAGTCGAAATGACCAATCATTCACAAGTTGAGAAAGGACTTAAGGCTCAGTAGAGTTTCTTGGAGTTATGTAACATCAGTCAAAACTTGGAGGATGTAGGCTTCTATACTTACAAGGTATTTTCTTCCACATTGCTGTCCTGTGACAAAAGCCAGGTAGGAGAATGAAGAGCACCTGCCCTGGGAATGGACCCACCCCCCTTCGAGTCTGGCCCTGCCACTCATCAGGCACATGGCTTTGGCAAGCTAAGAAGCCTTCTTCTCTGCATCCAATCCTCATCTGTCAAAGGGGACAGCAATGCTATGTATCTCATGAGAACATTTAAAGTACTAAGTAAATATATGGAAAGCATGTGTAACGTTGCTTGGCATGGAGTAAGGGGTGACTTATTTTACTCTTTTCTGGAATGAAAATAAGATGCCTTTTACACTGTTGGTGGGACTGTAAACTAGTTCAGCCATTGTGGAAGACAATGCGGCGATCCCTCAAGGATCTAGAACTAGAAATACCATTTGACCTAGCTATCCCATTACTGGGTATATACCCAAATGATTATAAATCATGCTGCTATAAAGACACATGCACACGTATGTTTATTGCAGCACTATTCACAATAGCAAAGACTTGGAACCAACCCAAATGTCCATCAGTGATAGACTGCATTAAGAAAATGTGGCACATATACACCATGGAATACTATGCGGCCATAAAAAAGGATGCGTTCATGTCTTTTGTAGGGACATGGATGAAGCTGGAAACCATCATTCTCAGCAAACTATCGCAAGAACAAAAAAACCAAACACCGCATGTTCTCACTCATAGGTGGGAATTGAACAATGAGAACACTTGGACACAGGAAGGGGAACATCACACACCGGGGCCTGTTGTGGGGTAGGGGGAGGGGGGAGGGAAAGAATTAAGAGATATACCTAATGTAAATGACGACTTAATAGGTGCAGAACACCAACATGGCACATGTATACATATGTAACAAACCTGCACGTTGTGCAAGTGTACCCTAGAACTTAAAGTATAACAAAAAAAAAAGAAGACACCTTTTATTATTTCTAAGCATCCTCTGAGTTCTTGACCAAACCTGATGGTGCAACTAAATAAACCCCGTGCATGCATGATTAGTAATTCAAAATTATACCCTACGTGTTGGCATTTTCACTTGTTGGAGTGAAAATTATCATTTTATTAAAATTCACTTAAAGCTTGTTGAAAGCAGGCAGAGATGCTATCTGCCCCAAATAATAAGCTTTTAGAGACAATGTCTTTCTTGAAGACATGATATAGTCTTTTTTAATTGAATTATTTGGCGTTATTAACATTTTAATGAAGGAATTATTCTATTTTCATATTTCTTAGAAACTAATATTTAATTTCCTTTTTATGTTAATAATATAAGTATTTAGCATATTTAAAATCTCAGTTAAAACTAATTTATACTTATATTTTCATAAAGATAGAAGCGTAATATGCTTCTTTGCATTGCGTGTTTATGTTCTTGCTTTGTCCAAGTTTTCCCTTTTCCTTAGCTATATTTTGAAAATACCAGTCTCAAGGGAATAATAATTGAGATCAGTAATATCTTGGATGAAAAAGCTTGCCAATCATGCCGGTGTTATGAGGATGTGTATTTTTAAGAGGAGACTTACTAAGTAAGATTCACTGGCATTGGGCGGCTTGATATATGTGATTTATGGGAACACCTTTCAGTAATTTTACACAGTCCACCAGAAAACCTTCCTCATAGGTAGAAATGAGGTTGAACCCAGAAGAAACGGCCTTTGGAAAAGAATTGGACATTGAAGCTAAGCGGCTAAATAGCTTCAGACATCCCTAGAGGAAGAAAAATAAGATTTAAAGTGTTATTATTAAAGAATATGATCTATAAATAAAATGGTATATTCTCATACCCCTGACAGATTTTGACAAATAAGAGAAAAATGTGTGCTTAATAGGAAAAATGTGTTTGAAGTATGTTTTACACTATTTAATGCCGCTGGTGCACTGAGAGGTTGCTGGTGGACTTGATGTTGAGTTAATCTTGGTGAACAAATAGAGAAGGAAGGATTGCTTGGCGCTGGAGGTCTGCTTTGTGCAGAGCAGCTTTGTTGACAGTCAAATTAGAGGACCGGCCTCAGTGCCAGTTCTCAGCACCTCGCGGATAATGAGCTTTGGACGAGAGTGTGGGTCTAGGCTTTTTTTTTTTTTTAACTTGAGATTCTTTAAATCATTTTGAAATTTTGATTTTAAAAATAGTTCTGGCTAATATTCCGTAGAAGTATAGAAAACTGGCCAGCCGAGAGCGACGGATGGCACCAGGCCTTTGAAGGGTAGCTTGTGTGTTTGGAAGATATGTGCTGCATTGCTGTGGGTACCGTGCTGTCACTAGCCATCACCACTGCCAACACATCAGTTTCACGAGTCTTGCAAAAAATGAGATTTAAAAGTTTATTTAAATCTCATTTATTTAAAAGTTTTTTTTTGGCCGGGCACGGTGGCTCACACCTGTAATCCCAGCACTTTGGGAGGCCGAGGCGGGCGGATCACGAGGTCAGGAGATTGAGACCATCCTGGCTAACACGGTGAAACCCCGTCTCTACTAAAAAATACAAAAAAAAATTAGCCGGGCTTGGTGGCGGGCACCTGTAGTCCCAGCTACTCGGGAGGCTGAGGCAGGAGAATGGCGGGAACCCGGGAGGCAGAGGTTGCAGTGAGCCGAGATCGCGCCACTGCACTCCAGCCTGGGAGACAGAGCAAGACTCCGTCTCAAAAAAAAAAAAAAAAAAAAAAAAAATTTTTTTCCTTGAAATTTGCTTTTAAAAACATGCCATTTCAGGAAAGAAAAATATGTTTCTTTATTCTTTAAATTCTTAAATTCCATGTACTTTTGCCATAATAGTCACCCACCCCCAGAGTTTTTCTGAGAGAATCATCTCATATGGGTGCAGAATGTTACCTTATGGTCAAACTAATTAGCTCTGTTTTCCTACCTGACCGTGTGGATAAGGGAGCATTTGTCATTTGGATGATGCTCAGTGTATATAGTCATCCCTCCATTCCAGGACCCCTGCATGAACCAAAACCCACACGTGGGAAAAGTTAGTTCTCCACGTACGCAGGCTTCACATCCTGTGAATACTGTATTTTCAATCCACACTTGGTTGAAAAAAAAAAATGTGCATAGAAATGGACCCATATTGTTTAAGGGTCATCTGTACATTGACTTTCCATTGCAAAGATGGAAAGTAACCTATTGCTCAGCCTCGACTTGGACATGGTTTGTAGTCCTAAGTGGATTCTGGAGTTCATTTAGTAAACAATTTTGGAGGGCATCTATTAAGTACCAGCTGCTGGCAATATAGCCATAAACATAACTGTCCTCAAGGATGTCACAATCCAATCTGGCCTGTGTTTTAAAATTATTGTGTGTGTGTGTGTATGTGTTTAATCAAGTGATTTTAATATTAAAAACTCTGTTAGAAAATTTTATAATTAAATTTTATATATATGCATTTGTATGCATTAAAATAAGAGTTGTATATCCCTTATTCAAAATTCTTGGGACCAGAAGTGTTTCCAGTCTCAGATTTTTTTGGATTTTGGAATATTTGCAGAATACATACCAGTTGAGCACCCCTAATCTGGAAATCCAAAATCCCAAATCTGAGATGCCCCAGTGAGCTTTCCTTTGAGCATCACGTTGGTGCTCAAAAAGCTTTGGATTTTGGTCTGGCACAGTGGCTCAGGTCTGTAATCCCAGCACTCTGGGAGGCTGAGGTGGGCAATTCACGAGGTCAAGACATTGAGACCATCCTGGCCAACATGGTGAAACCTCCTCTCTACTAAAAATACAAAAATTAGCTAGGCTTGGTGGCGCACCCCTGTAGTCCCAGCTACTCGAGAAGCTGAGGCAGGAGAATTGCTTGAACTCGAGAGGCAAATGTTGGAGTGAGCCGAGATTGCACCACTGCACTCCAGCCTGTCAACAGAGCAAGACTCCGTCTCAAAAAAAAAATTTTTTTTGGATTTCAGAGCATTTTTTGATTTTTAGATTAGGGATGCTCAACCTGTATTTTTTTAAAATGCTTTACACATTTTTAAATTTGAGAGTATGGAATAGGGGTTATAACTTCTAGAGACAGGATACTTGAGAAGGATATTATAGATCTTACTTTCTTAGAAAACTTTTAGGAGCCAAAGGTTATGTACGGTGTGGTAGAGGAACCATAGAGGTTTTGAAATCATCTGACTTCAGTTCATATCTCAACTCTGTTCCTTCCTAGTTTTGTGACTGAGAGAAGACTACCTAAGCTCTGCAGACCTTAGATGCCTTATCTGAAAATATAAATAATTAATGTAACAATACATACCTTATAGAGTATGTGTGCAGATTAAATCAGATAATGTAACTCCTGCAACACAGTAGATGCTTGCTAAATGTTAATGATTGCCCCCTGTCTCATTTCCTTACCTGAAATCTCAATACTAATTACTGGTGTTTGTTGTTGAGTGCTAAAGGTGATCTGATTAGTATAGGGTCACAGAGCAACCATATTCCGTAATGCCAACACGAAGATCTTTCAATGAGAATGAAATGCAATTTTTATATTTTTATTCATGAAATTTTAGAGTCACATAACTACACTTGAATGCCTTTGTTCATGAGAAAACATAGAAGTGACAATTTAGTATTTCTCTGCAATATCTTCTGTAAACATTGAAAGAATATTTGAGGGATTTTCGATCAGATGTCAGACTGAAGTACCTTCTGCAGCCACTCCTTCTCACTCCAAATAATAGAAACAACAAAAAAGATAGGTACATAGATAACAGAAAAGATGGGAAGGGATGTATTATGAGGAATCGCTATAGAGAACAGACAAAGTTGGATTGAAAAGAAACCTACAAAAGATGGGACGAACACTAGAGTTAGGAGACACTGAGAGCAGGGTGGACCCAGGTGCACATGCAGGGTGGCTCAGTGAACTCTAACTGCTTCATCTACAGTGTCCTCCAGACCCTGTACGTCCTAATCCAGCCCTGCTGTGGCCACAGATTTGCCTGCCCACTTGTGACAGCTATCAGTATCAGGACTTAGGCCTAAGAGAGAGGTCACTTTTCTAGTGAGCTGGGAGGACAGAAGAGCCCTTCACTCCCAGAAGATGATCTAGATAAGATCCTCAAGAGCACATCCAGGTCCTTCTCTCACTGCAGGGGATAGACACAGCAGATATTCTTACCTGGAATCTCAAATAGAAAGATGAGCACCACACCAAGAATCACTAGACAGCTGGGGAATGACAACACCATGAAAGAGAGACACCCACTCAACAAAAAATACTTATGCAAGGAAATGCTGAATAGAACAAGCAGAAGAGAACTACAGAAAAGGTACATTTACTATTTTAGGAGAGGTGCAAGAACATATTGCATCCATTAGAAATGGATGAACCTGTAAATTAAACATTGATTGTTGCAATAAAAATTAAACAGGCTGAAGACAAAAGTGAATTCAACTTGAGAACAAGCTTAGAAATTCTCCTAGGATGTATCAACAGAAGACTAGGAGAAATAATGTATGTAAAAAAAAGTTAATGGACATAGAAGATAGAGCCAGCAGTGCCAATATTCATCAAATGACAGGAGTTTCATAATAAGGGAATGTGGGGGAGGTAATGTACAAAGAAGCCCTAGGCAATTTTCCATAGCTGCAGAAAGGCAAAGAGGCCATTAGGTGCCAATAAAAGAGAAACAAACAAAAAACTTACAACACAATATACTAAAAGATCCTGGGGTGGATGTGGAGGCTCTTTTAGTCAAAGTTCTGAGGGGAAAACTTAAGAATGTGGAAATCTGTGCTGCCTTTCAAGGGTCAAAATGAAGTGAAGACTATAAGACTTTTTCAGACATTCACAGTCTCTAAAGCTTCAATTAATGAATGGTGAAAGAATTAATAAATGATGTACTCCAGCAGTAAAAAAGCTGCATAAAAATGAATAATAAAGAATTTACTGAAACTTACTGTTAAATCTAAATGTTTATTATTGATAGCATTAATACAGAACTAACATTCCAAGAGTTATCAACCAGAGATTTTGGAAGACTGGGGAGAAGAGAGATGTGGAGTAAGGGAGGAATAAAGAAAATGCATACTAATTTTCTTATCTTGCTCAAGGGAAGGATATGCTTATTGATTCAGTCTAGATACAAGGAAAAAGTAAGTTTCTGTAAATGTTAAAAATTTAAGGGTAGCTAGTAGAAGAATAGAAACTGAATTCATGACTTCCAAACTACTGGAGAAAAAAATAATGTAAATCTGATCAAGAAAATATATGAAAAGAGGGTTTAAAAAATGAAACAACCTAGAATTTTGGCAAAATAAGTGCATAAAATATCAGGTAGTTCAAATAGATTAATAATCTCAGTAAATGTGACTAATTTTGACTAACAAGACTAACTTCAACCCAACTCTAAAGGACAGAGCCTTTCAGGTAATGTTAAAAAAAAAAAAAAAAAAAAAGCAGCTGGCCGGGCATGGTGGCTCACGCTTGCAATCCCAGTACTTTGGGAGGCCGAGGCAGGTGGATCACCTGAGATCAGGAGTTCAAGACCAGCCTGGCCAACATGGTGAAACCCCATGTCTCCTAAAAGTACAAAAATTAGCCAGGCATGGTGGCGGGCACCTGTAATCCCAGCTAGTCAGGAGGCTGAGGCAGGAGTGTCGCTTGAACATGGGAGGCGGAGATTGCAGTGAGCCGAGATCACACCACTGCACTCTAGCCTGGGCAACAAGAGCGAAACTCCACCTCGAAAAACAGCTATGTTATATGCTACTTATAGGATATAAATTTTTTAATTGCATAGTATGAAAACATGTCAAACATTAACCATGTTGATTAGGTTGAGCAACATTAATATAAGAAAACTTAGAATTCAAGGTAAACAGTGTTAAAAGGGACAAAGAGGGATATTTCCTGCTGAAAAGGAAGGCTCTACCAAGAAATTACAAGGCATAATCAGTATACCATAACCAAGTAGATTGAATCCCCGAAAATGTAAGGATGGTTCAGAATTACACTATGAAAAAATCAACTCCTATTAACTGAAAAAAATTACTCTTAGTCACCTGGGTATAGAGGGAAAACTTATCTAAATAGAGGAAATCTAACAAAAATCTACTGGAAACAACATACTGATAAATTATTAGAAGCATTAAGTTTGAAGTCTGAATCTGGGGAAAGATGTCTACTATTAACATTGTACTCAGGACACAGTCAGTGCAGCAGGACAAAATGGAAGGGGAAGGAGGAGGAGAAAGGGGAAAAAGAAACTGAAAAGAAAAAGGTATAGATATTAGAAAAAGAGCAAACTGTCATTATTTCAGGCAATATGATTACTTGCGTAGAAAACCTAAGACAGGCTGGGTGTGACGGCTCACACCTGTAATCCCAGCACTTTGGGAGGACATGGCAGGGGGATTGTTTGTGCCCAGGAGTTCAAGACCAGCCTTGGCAACATGGTGAGACCCCATTTCTACAAAAAATAATAAAAGAAATTAACCACGTGTGGTGGTGCATGCCTGTAGTTCCAGCTTCTTGAGAGGTTGAGGTGGGAGGATTGCTTGAGGCCAGAAGGTCAAGGCTGCAGTGATCTATGATGGCACCACTGCACTCCAGCCTGGCCGACAGAGTAAGACCCTGTCTCAAAAAAAAAAAATGAAAGAAAACCTAAGATAATAAACTGAATATTAGGATTAATGAGAGTTCTGAAGGGTGGCTAGATAGAAGATAGATATGGAAAAATTCTTTTTCCTGTTCATCAGGAATAAGAGAAATTTAATAGAAATACAGTAAAATAGGAACATACCATTCACTGTAGCAAGCAAAGCTATTAAATATTTTTGAATAAACTGATCAAGAAATAGTTAAGAATCTATAGAACTTTAATGACGATTTTTAAAAGGAACAAATAGTGTGATATACCATATACATGGATGGAAAGACTCAATTATGTAAAGTTGTCACCTCTCCCCAAATCTATAAATTCGGTAAATCATGAAACTTGTCAAGATGATTCTGAAGTTAATATGGAAGCCTTAATAATGAATGGTTTAAACCATAGTATATTCATGCTATGGAATACAATGGATTAGTTAAGGATAATGAGGTAAATTTGTACATATGAGAATGGCTACACCTCCAAGATACGTTTTTGTGTGGTGAAAAGAGAAAATTGCTAAACAGTACATATAATATGATATCATTTTTTTAAAAAAACACAAAAGATAAGTCAGGCACCGTGGCACATGCCTGTAATCCCAGCTACTCAGGAGGCTAAGAGCGGGAGGATTGCTGAGCCCAGGAGTTCAAAACCACCCTGGGCCACATAGTGAGACCCCATCTCAAAAAAACAAAACTGCAAAACAATACTTTATATATTTTATTACTACATGTATATACATCTAAGTGAATTCAAAAAATACCCAGGAAAAAAAAATCACAAGAAGCTTAACTTCCTTTCTGGAAAGGAAGGATGAAGACTGAATGTAGAAAAATTTTCAAAAGGGTATTTGACCCACCTTTCCAAGTCGTCTATGTCTGCTTTGTGTATAAGACCCAGGGTTTTTTGTTGTTGTGTAGCAGGGGGAATAGGGAATGGTATATCTGTACCATCCTTCTAGGAAGCACAAGTCCCAGTACAAGCTTTAAAAGTAAGCAAAAAACGAAGGAAGAATTTCCCTATCAGGTGTCAAAGTGTATTGCAAACATCAACTAATAAATTTGTGATACTAGAATAAGAATGAGCAATAGTGTTGTTTTTGGTTATCTAGTATAACAGTTGTCCCAAAATTTAGTTGTCTAAAACCTTGTATTTTTCTTTTTTCTTTTTTTTTTTTTTGAGATAGAGTCTCACTCTGTCACCCAGGCTGGAGTGCAGTGGCGTGATCTCGGCTCGCTGCAAGCTCCACCCACCAGGTCCACGGCATTCTCCTGCCTCAGCCTCCCGAGTAGCTGGGACCACAGGCGCCCGCCACCATGCCCGGCTAATTTTTTGTATTTTTAGTAGAGACGGGGTTTCACTGTGTTAGCCAGGATGGTCTCGAACTCCTGACCTCGTGATCCGCCCGCCTCGGCCTCCCAAAGTGCTGGGATTACAGGCGTGAGCCACCAAGCCCGGCCCATATTTTTCTTTTGCTCAAGATTTTGTGGGTCATGAATTGGAAAAGGGCTCGGCAGGTGATGGTTGGGGGCTCAACTTTGATCCACCTGCCTAGCTGGGAGGCTGGGCTGGAGGTCTCCTTCCAAGGTAGCTCCTCCTGGGGGGCCTTTGCTCATGGCTTGAGGCTGTCATTGCATGATGGCATCAGGGTAGTTGCAGTTCTTCCATAGTGAAATCCACTTATCAGGCACTTTGAACTTCAGTAACAGAAAACCTCAACTCACGCTGGTTTTGGTTTTTTTTTCAGTAAGGTAATTAAAAGCAGGCTGTAGGTGCCCACTGTGGCTCATGATGTTGTAAAGACCTGAGTTTTTTCTGTCTTTCTGCTCTACCATTCTCAGCATTGGCTTCATCCCAAACCAAGATGGCAGCTGGCAGCAGTTTGGACATGGTGCATCCTGTTACATTATCAACAGACAAAGAAAGTCACCCCATAAAAATTCCTTCTCTTTTGTCTTATAAGGCCAACTTCCATTACCATCCCCAGGGGACAGCCAGATGCTCATTGGCTGAAAGTGATTTTCAGGGGTTAAGTCAACACTGAGTTACCACACTGCCCACCACACCTGTGTCACTCACGTCACACTTCTCCAGATCCATTGCAAATAGGTGAAACATATACATGCAAAATACAAAACTGTACATCCTTAGAAAATAATGACGTGTGGGGAAGATCTTTTTTAAGAAACAAAGTTTTAAAGCAACAAAAGAACTGATAGAAATTTTTTTTTTTTTTGAGACGGAGTCTTACTCTGTCGCCCAGGCTAGAGTGCAGTGGCATGATCTTGGCTCACTGCAAGCTCCACCTCCCAGGTTCACGCCATTCTCCTGCCTCAGCCTCCCGAGTAGCTGGGACTACAGGTGCCTGCCACCACTCCTGGCTAAGTTTTTTGTATTTTTAGTAGGGTCGGGGTTTCACCAAGTTAGCCAGGATGGTCTCACTCTCCTGACCTCGTGATCCGCCTGCCTCAGCCTCCCAGAGTGATAGAAATATTTTATTGCATCAAAATTTAAAACCTCTATGTAACAAAGGCCCTATAACAAAATTGAGACAAAAGACAGACTGGAAGAAAACATTTGCAACATAGTCAATCTACAAAGTCTTTTTAGAGGTAATCACTCGAAAAAAGACAATGAAAAAAAGATGGGCAAAGGATTTGACAAGAAGGTTGATAGGTGATGAATACATATTGCCAGTAAATGCATGAAAAGATGGTCAAGTTGACTTTTCATCTAGGAAATCCAAATTAAGGCAAACTATAAATTTTCACTCAAGTTGTCAAACATTTAAGAAGTTTGATAATATCAAGTGTTGAGCAGGGTAAAAGGATAATGGAATTTTCAAAATGCAATTGATGTGTAAATTAATACAGCCATTTTTGGGAGCAATTTGGTGATATCTATTGAGAAAATAACTTTTATTTGAGGGATGTGAGTCCTTTTAAATTATCAGGCCCAGAGAGACATTAAAATGACGTAGCAGTCATCTCCTCCTCTCCCCTTGGAGGCCTGTATTCATCTCTTGAAACTGCTATTTTTTGCCACAAGTAGCTATAAATTAACTTGATAATGCCGCACCTGACACTGTAACCCACACCCTATAGTTTAACAATATGCAGCCAATCACTAATCAATGTGATTCCTGTAAACCAATGAGAATTGCTGACCAAAAAAACTTGATCAGCCCACTCCCTGTCCCCCACTTTTTGCCTTTAAAAACCTGCTTGCAACAAAGGCCGAATGAAGCTCACATCCAAGGTTACCGGGGTCTCAGTCTTCTGGGCAGCTGTCCCCACTTTGGCTCAAGTAAACTGTCTATATTTTGTGCCTCAGCCACTTCCTTTTAGGCCGACACGATTATAATGATGAATGTCCAAGCTCTGTAACCCTTCAGTCTACTGCTGTGAAAAATAGTTGCACATGATCACAGGGAGACACGCGTAAGGGTGTTTGTCCTCGTGTCAACTGGAAACAGTTGTAATGTTCCTGAGAAGGATGATTAAAGAGCCTATTATGTAGCTAGGATGCAATATTATATGCAAAGGTCAGTGAAGCGCCGTGCAAAAAGATCAGGAAAGACATTGCTGTCATTTTACTCTCCACTAGTTATTTAAGTCATCTATGTATTTGTTTAAGCAAAATTCGCTTGTAGTTCCATTCGGTATCTTTAAAGTTGAAGCATCTTCTTGCTTGATTGTTTTGGTGCTTGTAGGAGGGTAGTAATCACTGTGCAGGCATTTTTGGGCTTGGGGAGTGCTTGTGTGCTTCAAACTGAACAGTTTCCACTGACCCCCTGCTGCTTGGGTGCCACCAAAAATAAATGGAATGAGTAATTTGAACACAAATGGGAGAAAGCACGACTCATTTCCATACTATGGAGAACTTGAATGTCTTCACCAGAAGGGATGTCTGTTAACTTGGTGCTCATTCAAAACCTTATTTGGGGCTAACACTTCTTTATAAGCTGTCTTCATGAGCCTGAAGTAATTCACCAAGATTGATTTGTAAAACATTCTGAATCAATTAAGGCTTTAATCAGCAAAGTAGCAAACTTCACATGGCTTGTGGACTAATTTTACCCTCTCCCGTCAATGTGAACCTAAGTTGAAAAAAGAAAACAATTAAGAGGATGTAATTATCTGTCCTGATTACTGAATTAAAAGAGTTTGTGTTTATCTGTCCCAGTGTAAAGGTGGTAAACAATGCCAGGAGCTGTGGCACTCCGGAGCTCCTACACAAAAACCTGCAGAGCATCCTAGAAGACTCTAGTGACCCTGCCTTAAGTGACCTGGCAGCAAACAAAGGCTGCCGAGTATTATTGTGTATAAATGTTTCCCAGAGCACGGTTTGAAAAAGCTCCTTGCCAATGGTGGGTGGGGGAGTTTCCTGCAGAAACATCTCATTTGAATTACTACATGGACAGATCCATCTACTTACGCAATGCTTAGGAAATTGCTTTCCTTTATTTAGACCAGTTCTCAGCAGTGGCTGCATATTTGAACCACATGGCGGAGCTTTGGAAAGTCCCAGAAAACACTCAGACCAATTACATCAGAATGTCTGGGGGAGGAAGCAGGGCGCTAGTACCTTTTCAAGTTCCCCAGGTAATTTCTGTCTGCAGCCAGGATTGACAGATCCCTGGTTCAGACAGCATTTCCAGGCTGGTGCAGTCTCGGTCTGTGTTGTTGTGGCACAGCGAGCAAATCTTGTGGGAATAGAATGATTTTTGACAATGTCTTCTTTTTGGTAAAGGGTATGTGTTAATGCATAACATAACTAGGATAACTTTTGTAACTTTGTCAGACTTTAATGTTTATGCATCAGAAAGATTCCTTTCTCAGATAATGCTTCCTAATTCCTGAGTTGGAAAAAGTGGTTATCTGAATTATTTGTTAGGCAAAGCTTGAATAGTCAGTGACTTTCACTTAGTCTCTTCCTTATTTTCACTTCAAATGTCAGGCTTTTTAATACGTCAGGCTTTTTCTGAAAAAAATTTGAGCTTGAGTTACTAGTGGTTTATTTGGGACCTCTCTTAGTTCCATACTTCAGTGTTCCTTAGAGCAGCCGTCCCCAACCTTTTTGGTACCAGGGAGCAGTTTTGTGGAAGACATAAAACATTTTTCATGGTGGGTAGGGATGGTTTCAGGGTGTTCAGGCATTAGATTCTCATAAGGAGCATGCAACCCATATGGATCCCTGGCATGCACAGTTCACAATAGGGTTTGTGCTCCTATGGGAATCCAGTGCCACCGCTGGCTGATCTGACAGGAGGGGGAGCTCAGGCGGTAATGCTCACTCACCAGCAGCTCGCCTCCTGCTGTGCATCCCAGTTCCTAAGAGGCCTGGAACCCATACCAGTCTGCGGCCTGGAGGGTGGGGACCCCTGCCTTAGAGGATGAGCAGAGGACTGCTGGTGCAAACCCTCAGCCTGGTTCCTGTCCTCCTGAGCCATTCACTTCTGTTCCAGGCTGGATTATCTACTTAGCAAGATGACCCAGACTCCTTAAAGGAACACAGGGAATGAATAGTGTTAGCCCTGCTTGCCTCCTGGGTTCCTTACCTCTCCCACCAATTGAATTATCAGAGACCTTTCCAGTGAGGGAAATTCTGCCTGAAACTTTTCTCCACTTGTCAGCATTTCCACTGATGCCTTACTGCCCTTTTGAGATTGGCACCCCATTGCCTGGCTGGCCCATTTTATTTTAACTGTGGCAAAATATATATATTGCATAAATGTTACCATTTTAACTATGTTTGCATGTACAACTTCATGTTATTAAGCACATTCATATTGTTGCACCACCATTACCACCATCCATTTCCAGAACTTTTCCATCGTGCCAAACAGAAACGCTGCACTCATTACACCATAACTCTTCATCATCCTCCCTCTTCAGCATCCTCACTCTCTCTATAACTTTTGTTCTACTTTCTGTCTCTGAATGTTCCTACTCTGTGAAGGTCATAGAAGCAGAATGATACAGTATGAGTCCTTTTATGACTGGCTTCTTTCACTCAGTGCAATGTCTTCAGGGTTCATCCATGTTGTAGCAGTTGTCAGAATTCCTTCCCTGTTAAGGCTGAAGAATATTCCATCGTACGGATGGACCCCATTGGTTTATCCACTTATTCCCTGACGGGCGCTTGGGTTGTTTCTGCCTTTTGGCTGTTGTGAATCTGCTGCTATGAACATGGGTATACAGATACTTGTTCGAGTCTGCTTACAGTTTCTTTGGGTATATACCTGGGAGTGGAATTGCTGGGTTGCATGGTAAGTCGATGTTTAGCTTTTTGGGGACACATCATACTGTTTTCCACAATGATCACAGTGGTCACATTCCCATCCACAGTGCACACAGGTTCCAATTTTTTCATATCCTTGCCAGCACTTAATTTCTGTTTTTTGTTTTTGTTTTTGTTTTCATAATAAACATTCTACTTAGTACAAAGAAGTAGGCTGGTCTATTTTTCATTCACTGTGCCTGGAACTGGCTCACTTCTAATATGTTTACACATAGAAGAAAAATTGTGTTTATGTCAATTTGGGCAGGGATCAAGTTTACTTCTCTTCTCCTTACGTTTCCTATTCTGTTCTCTTTGTTTTTATAGTCAATCATTTTTACATATCTTTTGCTGTCATTTTAATGGGGCTTTGGGAGGGAAAGAAGGTCGATATATGTTGATAGTTGTTGTGGGCAGAGATTCAGTAAACTGTCCCTTCCCTTTCCTGCCTGACGTCTCCATCTGTTGAAGAATAAGACAAAAGGGTAAAGCAGATAGGAAGTTAAAATATTGTCTTTATAACTAATACACGGATATTAGAGATGTGGCTAATATCTCTGCAAGAAAGTAGGTTTCCAGACAACAAAACCAGAGCTGAACTTGGCCACCCAGTCTTAGACAGCCCCAAGGACGTGAGGGGCACAGCTGACCTTGGCCGTCCAGTCTCAGACAGCCCTGGGGATGTGAGGGGCAGAGTTGGTGTGCCTCCTGATCTAGCCTGCTTAGTAACGGGAAAGAGGAAGGAGCCCCAGGGAATACACCCTGTTTATTGCTCCCAAATTCACCAATTAGCTCAGTCACACTTCTTTCCCCAGTGAGGGAAAGAATGAGGGAGCAGAGAAAGAGGGAATGACAATAGTGGATCACTAATACCAGTAGTGACGATAGTGCATTCTCTCCACAAAGAAGAAAACAGATGTGAGTAAGAAGCATTTTCCCCCAGCACAAATCCTCCATGTTTAACAGACTGTCCCATTTGAGCTTGCTCTCTGACCACTGGTCTCTCAGGGGTGCTAACTCTGAGCACATTTCCTATACGTTTCTTCAGTCTCCTACCACTCAGACGTCTTGGCTGTGGCATGAGGTCCCCGTGCCCTCCAGCACGTTTTACTGACAGGAGTAGAAAGGAAGGGCATGTCATACCCCCATCTTGGGAAGTGATGAACGTCCACAGAGATGAGATTCATAGGAAGCCCCATCTGAGCCACAGCAGATGGGGCAGGAGGGCCCAGGGGGCTGGAGGTTGTGGAAGCAGGGAGTGTGGGAGGCCTGGTGATCCTCCTGAAGAAGTGAGAATGGGTTGGCCTAAAGGGTGAGTTGGTGGGAGAAAGGAGAGAATGCAGAAGGGCATTTCATCCCACTCCCTTTGGAGGGATGTGGGAATGTGGAGAGGAGTAAGACCGACAGACTCAAAATGTTTTGACATGTGACACGCCATTTACAAATATGTATGCTTTGTAGGCAGAAATGAAAGAATAGCCACCAGATAGAAACCAGGTGTCTATTTTCCCTGAGTTCTTTTATTTTGTTTTATTTTATTTTGGAGACAAGGTCTCGCTCTGTCGCCCAGGTTGGAGTGCAGTGGTGTAATCACAGCTCACCGCAGCTTCAAACTCCTGGGCTCAAGTGATCCTCCCACCTCAGCCCCTCAAGTAACTGGGACTACAGGTGTGTACCACCACGTCTGGCTTATTTTTTTCTTTTTTTTTTTTTTAGAAATGAGGTCTCACTGTGTTGCCCAGGCTGGTCTGAAACTCCTGGCCTCAAGCCTCCCAAAACGCTGGGATTACAGGCATGAGCCACTATGTCTGGCTTCACCTCCATTCTTAACCCATCAGTTTTATGGATTTTTCTTCTAAATAACCCAAGATCACTAGCACCAACATCTTTTCAGAAGTTATTTTGGGCTCCACAGGGAAAAGAAGCCCTCGTAGTCCTACATAAACACACTTAAAGTGTGTATTTGAAAAGCAGAGAGAGCAGCAGCGGACCTGCTGGTACACAGATCAGAAAGGAGATGGGGATGCGAAGGATGAGATGGGATTGAAAGGAAAAGGAGGCAGAGTGACAGAATACAGAATAAAACATTATGAATATATTTTGTTAGTTGACTTTTTAGCTATTTTAGAATACATGCATAAAGTCCTTTCAGTTCTTGGGAGGCTGAATTCTCTCATTCACAACCACCATATTGAGCCTTACTTTGGTCTCAGATCACACTGAAGAGCTGATTCACTTATGCATTCATTACTTCAATAAATACTGATTGTGCATCTCTCACTGGAGAGGCCCCATTCCAGGCTCAGGGAATTCTAGGACAAGGAGAACAAAGATGACCCTGCTCTTCTGAGCTCTGATTCCAGTGGGGAAAGGCAACAAGCAAGTCAACAAGCACATAACTGTGATCATTCCAGAGAGTGATCTGTGCTTTGAACGATGAAAGGGGGCCAAGTGATTCTCTCAGCAGAGAGAACAAGTACACAGGCCTTAGGAAGGCGGGACTTTTTTGTGTGTAGGGAAAGAAGGCCAGAATAGCTGGGTTACAGCTCCCAAGGGGAGGGCAGGATGAGATGATGAATTTTGAGGAGAGGCTCTCCAGAACAGTGCATGCACGCACTAGTTTTCATGCAATTCCACGGAGGTCGTGGACTCCCCTGCCCCTGCCCATAATCCATGGACCACAGATTAATTGAAAAGAGAGACTGAGCATTGATTGTGAGGCATACAGACACCAGGCTGGTTAGAGTGGGGAAGTGTACTGTTCCCAGGGCACAGGAATGGCATGCTGTGTTTAGGGATACTGGCTGTGGAGGAACCACTTGAGAGGAGGCGTAAGGACAGACTGTGAAGGACTTTGATGTCCAGGCTGAAGAGTTTGACCTTGAACCCATTAGCCATGGGAGCTGGACTGCCGAGAGAACACGTGGCCTCCATCCACAGCCCTCAGCTCAGTCTCCTTGGTAGGCCTTAGGCTGGTGAAATGCACCAGCTCTGCCATCCTCTGTCCTTCTGGCAGGTTAACAACAAAGTGGCTCACATGTGGAAATAAACGTGGCTGGTATGAGTGGGCGCAGGCCTTCATTCCCCGTGCTAATGGAAAAGCCGTATTTTTCCAAGTGGTGCTGTAAAAGCTAAGAAAAATTAAGCTTCAATCAAACACAGAAAAAGCTTGATTTTAAGTTAGATTGAAGTGAAATTAAAATTGACCTTGGCCAGTTTTGTTCTGAAGAGATGAGTTCAAACTGGCCAAAGAAAAAAATAGGCCCCTAACACAGGAGAGAGAAAGAGTGGACTCTTCATTGAAAGCATGTTTTTCTCAAGCATGTGAAGAAACTAGAATTTGATTATTTTGGTGTGAAGGTATATAAAAATGCAGCCCTTTTGATTAAGCCATTTTTAAAAACCTAATGTATTAGTCCATTTTCACGCTGCTGATAAAGACATACCCGAGACTGGGAAGAAAAAGAGGTTTAATGGACTCACAGTGTCATATGGCTGGGGCGGCCTCACAATCATGGTGGAAGGCAAGGAGGGGCCAGTCACTTCTTACATGGGTGGCTGCAGGCAAAGAGAGAGAGCTTGTGCAGGGGAGCTTCTCTTTATAAAACCATCAGATCTCGTGAGACTTACTCACTATCACAACAGCAGCATGAGAAAGACCTGCTTCCATGATTCGGTTACCTCCCACCAGGTCCCTCCCACAATACATGGGAATTCAAGATGAGATTTGGGTGGGGACAAAGCCAAAGCACATCACTTAAAATATGGTTTTTGATATCTGGCTTATTTTCTGGCTTTGGGGTAGTGTGCTTGTTTCTTAAATCAGAATTTTCTTTAGAAATAACTATGTTTTATTTCTTCGCTATCATTCCTTGACTATGCATGGATCTCTGCTGCATGAACATGTTCTTTTTTTTTCATGGAAGAAATAAATATCATTTCTGGCAGACCATGACTTATCCTTTCTATCTTTCTCGAGATGATCAGACTCCACAGATTGTGTAAAACTTCTCGGAAAAACCCTATTTCATAACTCGAGAGTCATTTTTGTTTGAATGTTTCACGGAATGTTAATCCTGGCATATTTGGCTGCCATCATGAAGGACTGCAGCTGTGTGGCGTGGAAAGTTCAAAAGAAATGACCCAAAGGAATGAGTCATAGGTCAGCCTTACAAATTGGGAAGAAATATAATCAGGTAACCTGTCATCACCCACTAGAAGTGTTATTATTTATTGTTTATTGGTAAAAAATAAACCTGTCACCAATCATTGATTCTGAAAAATGTGCCGCTTAGTTTATTCCAATGATTGGTACATGAGCTGGGAGGATTTGTCTCAGGGAAGCACTGTAGTTATTAAATACCATCAAGCGGACCCTTGATATAATGAGGTTAAAACTGTCTGTGTGGAGGAACTATACTTTATTAAAGAAGGAATAGGAAAAGAAAGCCACCTTATCAAAGTCAGCTTTACAGACTAGGTGACAACTGGTTAATGAATTTGCTATTTTAGTTGAAAACATAATTTGCATTACTGTTAGACAAAATAGATGGGGGGCCTTTACAATCAGATAATGTAATCTGCTCTAGTATTATGGTCCAACCCTGTTCTTTCATCTATAATTTTCTCCCACAATAATGTATTACTATTTTAATACTGCATTCTGCCCTGATAAAGTCTAGACTTGCATCCCAATTCCAAACGTCAGCATAAATGTACATATGCACCTTTTATTGTGTGTCTTCATAAACCAAGGGCACTTCCAGGGGTACATCTGTTACCTTTAATTTGCACACATAGGTCCCTGTTCATGGGCTGCTGTTTATAAAAAGGGGTTTCATTGGCATCATTTCAGCCTTCAGAGTGAGAAACATTGACCCTGCTTGCTTTTGTTACCTAATATTCTGAGCTGAATAAATGATGTGTACAGTATCATTGCTCCGTATGAGAAAATGTAAATGACTACATTACATTGTTGGAAGGCAGTAATACAAAAGGGAAATATGAAGTCAGCCGACATTTCTCATTCGGGAAAAACAAAGCTGATTCTGGTGATTCTGTGTGGGAGATTGTACTGGGCTGCAAAGCGTTGTCAATTGAAGATTTTTTTTTCCCCCAAAAAAGAGGAAACTAACAGTGTGCTTTTTGGCACAGTTGTATTTTTCATTTCTTTTTTTTTTTTTTTTTTTTGAGGCAGGGTCTCACTCTGTCGCCCAGGCTGGAGTGCAGTGATGCAATCTCGGCCCACTGCAATCTCCACCTCCCGGGTTCAAGCGATTCTCCTGCCTCAGCCTTCCGGGTAGATGGGATTACAGGCGTCCATCACCAGGCCCAGCTAATTTTTGTATTTTTAGTGGAGACGGGGTTTCACCATGTTAGCCAGGCTGGTCTCAAACTCCTGGCCTCAGGTGATCTGCCTGCCTCGGCCTCCCAAAGTGCTGGGATTACAGGTGTGAGCCACCACGCCTGGCCTGTATTTTTCATTCCTCTAAGATTTCAGTCAGGTGTGCAAGCCCAGAGGGAAGCAGGATAGCTGGGCTTCGGGGTCAGCTCCAGGCTTCCTGCAGCGGCCACCCTGTGCCCCCAGCCCGCTGCGTCCTCTTCCCAGCAGCTCCTCCCCTCCCTGCTTGCTCAGCACTCGGCTTCCACAGGCCACATCTATTTTTCTTGCAAATCAGAAAATGTGGGTACAGTGTTTTTAACTTTTGAAATTTTAGATTTTGAGATCTCACCTGACATTGAGAGACACTGGCTCTCTCAGGCAGTCCACTGCACATGGAGATGTCTTACTACTCAGCAAAAAGGAGGAGGGGGCTACAGTGTACACTTAAATTAAAAACCAACCTAACACGTTGCTTGCGAACTTTAACAAATAATACATTGGTTCCTTTGGTTCCCACAGGGTAGGAAAAGAAAATGCTGTTGAAATTATTTTATTTGAAAGAAATGCCATGTTGTATTTATTGTTTCCTCAGTATTGCAAGTTAAAAATCTCATGGATTTATTTAGGATCATCCATCTAAGTGCAGTGCAAAAGGTTCTGCATAAATGGAGTTCTGTCATTGCATCATTAAAAGTAAAAATGATCAAAATAATAAAAGGCATTTAAAAATGCATCATTCTTTAATACAAAGCCTTGGTCAGCATTCAGGGAAGTTTATGTAAAGCTATATAATATTTTGCTTTTAAGACTCCATAAAGATGTTATAAACTAGGGGCCATAGTTTCCATGGATTTTTGATATATTCAACTTAATTTTTTCATTCTATAAATTTATTCTAATATATAAAGTGATTGCTACTTTTCGTTATTTTTACAGCGACTTGGCCCCTTTTAAGCTGAGGGAACTGACCTTATGTGTCAATTTCCAGGGGAAGATGATGGCCATCAGGAGTAAAAGGAGTGCTCAATAAGGATGTAGGTGTTATACTGAACAAGAAGGACTTAGCGGGTGTCATAATTTTAAAGTAAATAGTTTTTATTCCTGTCTCCCACTGCTCCTTCAAGATGCTCTCGTTATGCTAGTCCTTCCCTGACCTTTTGAGGGAAGTCTCTAGCAGGTACCATTTACCTTTTTGTAAAAAAGAAAAAAAAAAGTAAACTTTTAATTTTAAATAATTTTAGATTTACAGAAGAGTTGCAAAGTTAGCACAGAAGGTTCCCATATACCCTTCTTTCAGTTTCCTGTAACATTAACTTTGTATATAACCATAATAAATTTATCAAAATGAACAAATTAACATTGGTACATTACCATTAACCAAACTACAGAGTTTATGTAGATTTTACCCATTTTTCCACTAATGTTTTTTGTCTGTTGCAGTATCCACTCCAAGGCATCATGTTGCATTTAGTTGTTTTATGTTCTTAGTCTTCTCCAAAATGCATAATAACAGTTTCTCATCCCTTCCTTGTTTTTTATGACCTTGATACTTTGGAAGGGTACTGGTCAGTTATTTTGCAGAGATTATTTGATTGGTATTGTATTAAACTATAGATCAAATTGGACGAAGTTGACATCTTCACAACATTGATCTACCAGTCCACGAACATGCTGTACCTCTCTGTTTATTTCGGTCATCTGATCTTTTTCATCAGCATTTTGTAGTGTTTAGCAGATAGATCCTGCACATATGTCAATAGATTTATACCTAAGTATTTCTTGACTTTTTTTTTTTTTGGTGCTAGTGTAAATGGTAGTTTTGGGTTTTTTAATCTTTCCCCCAAATTCCCATTGTTCATTGCTGGTATATAATACAATTGGTCCTTACATATTGACCTTTTATCTCGCCATCTTGCTAAACTCATTTATTATTTACAGAAGATTTTTTCACAGATTCTGTGGGAGTTTCTACATAGACAATCACTTCATCTGTGAATAGAGAGAATTGTATTTCTTCCTCTCGAATCTGTATTGCCTTGTTGCACTGGTTAGGACTGAATAGACTGTAGTACAGGGGATGTGTCTTAGTCCATTTGTGTTACTGTAAAGGAATACGTGAGGCTGGGTGATTTATAAAGAAAAGAGGTTTATTTGGCTCATGGTTCTGTAGGCTGTGCAGGAAGCACGGTGCCAGCCTCTGCTCAGCTTTTGGAGAAGACCTCAGGCTGCTTCCATTCATTGTGGAAAGTAAAGGAGAGCCTGTGTGCAGAGATCCCAGGGCAAGAGCAGAAGCAAGTAGCGGGGAGGCGCCAGACTCCCTTTAACAATCAGCCCTCCCAGGAACTAAGTATAGTGAATGACCAACCCTTTCGTGAGGGATCTGCCCCCATGACCCCAACGCCACCCACCAGGCCCCACCTCCAACACTGGGGATCAAATTACAGCATGAGATTTGGAGGGGACAAATGTCCAGATTTTATCAGAGTGGTTAGAAAAAACCACCTCTCCTTATTCCTGATCTTAAGGGAAAAAGCCATTATCTTTTACCATTAAATCTGATGTTAGCTATATGTATTTTGTGGATGTCCCATATTTGGTTAAGGAAGTTCCCTTCAATTTCTCATTTTCTGGGAGTTTTTGTTATGAACTTTCTCAAATCTTTTCTTGCATCTATTGAGATGATCATTTGTTTTGTTTTTTCTTATTTAGTCTGTTAATTTGGTGAATTGCATAGATTGGTGAACTTACCTTACAATCCTTGGATGAATCCCAATTGGTAATAATATGTTATTCTTTCGTGTACTTTTATATATTTCTGGATTCATTTTACTAACATTTCGGTGAGAATGTTTATATTCTCTATTCATGAGAGTTATTCATCCATAGTTACGTTTGCTTGTGATGTGTTTATCTAGCTTTGGTATTAGGGTAAATGCTAGTCTCATAAAATGAGAAGTATTCCCTTCTCTTTTATTTTCTGTAAGATATCGTATAGAGTTGTTATGTTCGGAAGATTTAACTAGTGACACTGAGTCTGGAGTTTTATTTTATTTTGTTTTTAAAGGTTTCACTATAAATACAATTTTGTTAATACATATAAGACTATTCAGGTTGTTTTTCTTCTTAAGTGAGTTTTTGTAGCCTTTTTTCCCAAGGAATTAGTTCATGTCATCTAAGTTGTTGAATTTATGGTCATAGGATTGTTTTTGGTATCTTTTTTTTTTTTTTTACATATGTGATATCAGCAGTGATACCATATTCCACTCGAATATTGTAGTTGTGCCTTCTCTTTTTTCTTAATTAGCCTGCCTAGAAATTTACTGCTTTTATTGAAATTTTCAAAGAGTAGCTTTTGGTTTCACTGATTTAATGCCTTTTTTCTGAAAACTTTCATCATGGATGCTATAGAGTTCACAATATACATTTAAAAATCTGAATCTACCTCCACATAATGCTATGCTGCTTCACACGGAGTATAAGGACCTTATAACAGTGTATTTCTAATTCCCCTCTCCCATTCCTTCTACTATTATTGTCATACATTTTACTTTTACATACAGTATCAACACACCAGATATTTTTACTATTACAGCTTTAACCAGTCAGTAATCTTTTAGAGAACTTAAAAATAAATAATTTTAATTTACCTTCCTTTATTCCATTTATGATGCTTTTCATGTCTTCGTATTTATCCCAGTCTCTGACCTATATCATACTCCTTTTGCCTGAAGAATTTTCTTTAATGTTTCATGAAGAGTATGTCTACTGGCAGTAAATTCCATGAGATTTGTTTTTGTCTGAAAAGTCTTTCTTTCTCCTTCACTTTTAGAGGATATTTTTACTGGGTGTAGAATCCTGTATTGAGATGTTTTTCTTTAAACATTTGATGTAATTCCACTGTTTTCTTGTTTGCATGAGTTCTGCCAAGAAGTCTGCTATATTTCTTATCTTGCTCCTCTGTAGGCAATATGTCTTTTTTTCCTCTGGCTTCCTTAAATATTTTTTATTTGTCCCTTCTTTTTCAGTAGTTTGAATATCATAACTAGATGTAGAGTTTGTGTTTTGTTTTGTTTTGTTTTGCTGCTTGATGTCCTCTAAGCTTTGATGATTTGGTGTCTGTCACTAATTTTGGAAAATCCTAGCCCATTATTTTTTCAGCCATTTCTTCTGTCCCTTCTGTTTTTCTTTCTGATTTTATAATTCCAATTATGTATATGTTAGGCTGTTTGATATTCTTCCACAGTGCTTGCATGCTCCATTTAGTTTTGTTTGCCTTGTTTTTTCTCTTTGCATTTCAGATTGATTAATTCCTATTGACCCATCTTCAAGTTCAGTAGTCTTTTCAAGTCTGCTCATGAGCCCATCAAAAGCATTTTTAATCTAAATACTGTTTTTCTGATTTCTATCATTTCCATTTAATTCTTTTTCACTTAATTATTTTTATAGTTTCCATTTTTGTGTGAAATTACCCGTCTGATCCTATATGTTATTTACTATTAGAGCCTTTAACATATTAGCTATAGTTGTTTTAAATTCTTTGTCTGATAGGTCCAAGATACATGTCATGTCTGAGTCTTCTTCTGATCATTGTTTTGTCTCTTTGTGGAGTATTTTTCCTTGCTTTTTTTCATATGCCTCATAATAGTTTTGTTGTTGTTGAAAGCCTGTTATGTCATATAATAGGACAGTAGACACTGAGGTCAATATTTTGTGTGGTTGGAGATGAGCATGCTTTTCTTTCCACTGGGCCATTAATATGAAGGTTTTTGTTCGTTTGGTCAGAGATTTGGCTAGGTTTAAAGTTTATCATTGCCATGGTTACCCTCATTCTACTCGAGGCCTAAGTTTCTCTAGTGGAATCATGTGTTCATAGCATGGGATAATTTTTCAGACTTGTCTCCGTATCTGCTCCCCATTTGTCTTTTGAGTTTCCCTGACTTGACTTTGAGTCTTCTCTTTGCACTGGTCCCCTCAGGGAATCTGCTTCTTGCAGCTCCCCTGCTGTATCCTTCAATTATGTTTGCTTAGTGCTTTTGAGTGTGTGCAGGTCATGTGTGTGCAGGGATTGAGGGCATTCTTTTCTGTTCTGATTAAGCCTCAGGCTTAGGCAGGTGCCTGTGAATCTGGGGCCTGAGGCTGTAGTCCTGACAAGTGTTCCTGCTCCTTCCCTACCTGTCATGCTGGGCCTAGCATATATTCCCGCCTCCCTTCCAGGGGTAGAACTCCTTCTCCACCCCCGTTCCCCTGCCCTATCTGCAGTGCGATCCCACCCCTGCCCTCATGCTACAGTTTTTGTTTTGTTTTTTGCTCTTTCTCCTGCATAGTAAGGCTTTCATTCCTTAGGGAAGATGGGGGTGATGAGTGTGTGCAGAGTTTGGTGGTAGCTACCATTTCTTTCTGACCACAGTAAGATTCTAGCAGTGCCTTAAAGCTTTAGTTTTTTGTCCTTCACCCTATAGATTAAAGCTTTTGTTCTTCCAGGAACATAGGGGAGATACGTCTCAGGAGAGTTTTGGCAGAGGTGCCTGTTCTTCCCCCACATCCAGCACCAAGTGGGGGAAGCTGTCTTAGGTTTCTCATTGAGCTGCCCTGAGAGCACCCTTTAGGGTTCCTGGAGGAAAATCCTACTCTAGGCTCTTAACCCCTTTATGTCCTGGTCTGTGGGGCTTTATACACGCTCACTAGCCCATACTTGGCCTTAGGCAGTTTATTCAGACTTCTAGTTGAATCTTCCTATGGGCTTATAGTGAGTTCAAGGTGTCTGTCCCAGATAAGCAAATGGTTGGGTCTGTTTCTCCCTGGAAATGTCTATCTCTTTCTGGATTTTCTAGGTTTTGAGTTAGTTTTTTCCCTGTACCCTTGGTTCTCTGACAGAGTCAAGAAAAGTCATTAGTCTGCACTTCGTCCAGCATTTTTCCTGTGGTAAGAGTGAGAGCAATGTTCTTTCCAGCTCTCTACCTCTAGGAGCTGAAAGCACAAGTTTGCTGTAGCCAGTTTCTGCCACTTACCTTTTAAGTCACTCTCAGAAAACCAAATCGTTCTTTAGTTCCTTTAATACCCAAGATAATCCCCAGATCACAAATTAAACTGTTTAGTCCCACATAGAGGAAAGGCTCTCGGAGCGAGTTTTTGCCTCTCCTATGCAATCGTGTGTCAAGCTGGCTCTCTGCAGTGGGAAAGGGGCTGTGGTAGGCGTCCCCTCTTTATCCCCACTTCAGCTTCTTCTCCATCTCTCTCAGCTCTATGGGTTCCACGGAACCCTCCCAGTTTGTAGATGTAGAGACTCGGGTAGGAAAGATTGGCAAAAACTGGGGTGTGGGCAGGGATCTAAAGGAAGGAGACAGAAAGTTCAGACTTGACCAGTACTTTCTGGAACTAGCAGAGGTGGTTGGTTATAGGTGGTGTTCTCTTGTTAGACTCTTTGTGGATACCCCTGAAACCCCTATATCCTTGGGAATCTCCACCTTCAGGCCCCTTAATATGTAAGAGTGTACCACCTGCAGCTGGTAGGTCCTGGTGTCCCCTCCTTAACTCCTACCATCAGGGGCTACACTTCCAGCTTCTTTGTTCTCTCACTTGCCTGGCAGTTCTCTTGAGCAAAGTCTAAGACACTGTTTCTCACACAATGTGGGGGAAAGTTTTGCTTGGTAGCCTCTTGCCATAGGTGGTGGAAGTATGTCATTCCAATCCACCGCTCTTCCACTGCAGGTGCTCTGGCCAGAACTGCTGTGGTGTGAGTCAGGCACTAGTCTGCTGTTTCCCTCCAAATTGCCGGGGACACATCCAGACTCTCCCAGTGTCCTCCTGAAGTCCTCACGCTTGACTTGAAGTGAAGTAGGGTAGGGGCTGAACTCCCAGCATCCTGGCAACTTTGTTCAAAGTATTTCTCCTAATTTCCAGCTTTTTGGGCAGCATTTTCCCCAGTCTTCTTTGGGGTAGAAATGTGTGACCAGCTAAAGTTTGCAAAACAAGTTTTTGACATCCAATGCTGCAGGTCCTGTTTTGAGGACCTTCTACCATGGGATGTGGAAAGAATCATCACATCAACTTCTTGGGACCTCAATATAAACTAAGCCAGGAAG
The DNA here is from genome assembly GCF_000001405.40 of Homo sapiens. Taxonomy (NCBI): domain Eukaryota; kingdom Metazoa; phylum Chordata; class Mammalia; order Primates; family Hominidae; genus Homo; species Homo sapiens. Next base: position 3,876,449 of record NC_000007.14, read on the forward strand.
AATTCAATATTTAAATCTTTTTGTCCTCATTCTCCTAAAATGAACAGATGCTTTTAGAAACTGGTTCTAGGAAGTACTTTTTCTCTGGGTATTATTTTTATAATTTTAAAATGTAAAAACAGGCATTGAGAACTCATAACATCTTAAGATATTTAGAGTTTAAGATATTGAAAATTACATTTCATATTTCAAAACCTAAAATACAATACTATAGTAGACCTTAAGTGGCCAAATGAAAGATGTTTTTGGAGAGGAATGGATACTTACTGTCTTTTCTTTTGACACAGTGGCACTTTTAATCAAGATAAGTGACCAGGCTTCCATGTGAAGTCTCTAGAGCTAAGGTAGGAGATACTAGTTGGGCTGGATTCACCAAATGTTAGCATTTTAACACAGCTCTATCAGACTTCACACAGGGGCCCCAAAATAATTTTTGTGTAATTGAATTATGTCCATTTTAATAGGGATTTTCTTTTTAAACGAATTCTACTTTGTTCTTTTCTTAAAGCAAAGACTTTTATGCTAAGATAAATACCTTCTGTCCCTCTGCCCCTCTCCCATATTTCCTTTGTATAAATCTTCATTCTTACATTCAGAGGTGACGTGGGCATAGTTGAAAGGTCACAGTTAAAAGCTCTAGCTTCAGAACCAGAGAGGCATGGATACAAATTCTGGCTAGGAACAGACCCCAATCCATTGGAATGAATAAACAACTCATCAGAGTGGCCACTTGGTCTTTCAGTCCCTAAACCCTCCTGGCCCATGGCAGCTGAGCGTTGCCCCTGTTTTTTCCATGCATTGGAGAGTCCGCCTCTCTGAGCTATGTTTCCTCCACACTTGAGGCCAATAATCATCTTGCAGAGTTGTTAGGAGGATCAACTGAGGGACCAACTGAGGTTCCTTGCACATAGTAGGCCCTCAGCAGAAAGTAGCTGCTATGACATTGTTAAACGTTCGACATCTCAAAGAGAGAACAACCGTGTTCCCTCTCCACCCCACAGTTCAGTGTGCCCAGCTTGGAAACTCACATCTTTTTGGGGATTAGTTAATTGATTGGAGATATGAACTGTATCTAGTGGAGGCATGTCTTTATCTTCTAGAGAAAAATCTTTAGATGGTTTATCCCTTTTAACTTTGGTTATAAAAGTATTAAAAAAGAATACACAAAAGATCTGAAAAAGAAACAAAATCATCTGTAATCCTATCACACAGAGTTAACCACTGTTAACTTTTAAAGCATATCTTTTCAAACTTTTTTTTCTATGAAAATATGGAGATTCGTATAAGACGGGGTATCATCCTAAAGTCAATGTGGATAACCCCTTTCACTCAGTGCTCTATCACAGACATGTTTTCATGTCAGCAATTAACACCTTCATAGAATGCCATGATATGGATTTTCTAAATGTATTTAGCCATCAATGGAATTTAGGTTACTTGCAGTGAACTGCAGTGAACTGCCTTACACATAAGTCTTTTAATACATACACAGCTGTTTCCTTAGAGTACATTCGTTGAAGTAAATTTGCTGGAACAGAGGGAATGCCTATTTTAAATAATGAGACATATCACCACATTCACTTTGGAAAGGCTGTTCTAAGTTGTACATACTCCCATTAAAGCATATGTAATGTCCCTGTCTCTGCATTTAAAAGCTCTTGAATAAAACATTTTTATAGTCTTTGATAAATGAGAGAAGTTTCTCCCCAAAATCAAACAGTATCTTTTCAATTTTTTTTTCATATTAAAAGAGAAAAACTCAGTTGTTTAAAAAATAAATAAAGGCTTTTGGCCGGGTGCGGTGGCTCACGCCTGTAATCCCAGCCCTTTGGGAGGCCGAGACGGGTGGATCACGAGGTCAGCAGATCAAGACCATCCTGGCTAACACGGTGAAACCCCATCTCTACTAAAAATACAAAAAAATTAGCTGGGCATGGTGGCAGGCGCCTGTAGTCCCACTTGGGAGGCTGAGGCAGGAGAATGGCGTGAACCCGGGAGGCGGAGCTTGCAGTGAGCCAAGATGGCACCACTGCACTCCAGCCTGGGTGACAGAGCAAGACTCTGTCTCAAAAAAATAAAATAAAATGAAATAAATAAATAAATAAAGGCTTTTTAACCACAAACGAAGTTCTCTTGTCATGACAACTATTAACACTGTATTTATCGGAATTGGTGAAATCTTAAATATCATCTCATATAATCCTCTCTCTTTGTAGATGAGCAAAGTTAGATCAGCACTTAGAGGGTTCGAAGAGGAAGAGTCTCCTCTGTTTCTGTTATCTCTTTTCTTCTCACCCACCTTCTCATATTCAAATAATCATCTTTTTTTTAATTCCTAGAGGAAATATTATTTTTCTCCTAATATCAGGGCAGCCCTGTGACATTTAAAATTCTTTTATTGGAAGTCTAACATGCATACACAAAAGTATACAAATCTCAACTGAATGAACTATCACAAAGTAAAAGCCTGTGTAATCGCCACTCAGGTCAAGATAAAAAAAAATTTTAATTAACATTTGCTAATACAGATGATCATAATGAAAAATGTAAAATTGCTGTGACAGTCTCTTGGACTACAACTTCTATATCCGACAGTCAGTAATTTCTTGGGAGAAGGTACCCAGTTGGTCTCCCCACCTTTACGATTATACTTCTCTGGGGGACAATCTGTAATATTCTGTGTGCGGTAACTTGCATAGTTTTAAAACGATCCACACCACTGAATATTCTTACTATTCGTGAAGCCAAACCAAGCAGTTGTAAGGACAAAACATGGCGGCTGCAAGAGTGTGTGATTAGGATGACACCACTGTGGCCTAAAACCAAATGCTTTGGTACAAGTCAAAAATAAATGGTTTGGTTTCAAGTCACAATTTGGTATTACCCTTGCAGTTACTAGATGAAGGTGGAGGCAAACAACTGGGCGCTTTGCATCTGAGAAGTCTGCAGAGAGTGAGAAGTATTTGCTGCAGCCGCTGGGCTCAGCCACTTGCCCCTGATGTCAGAACTCCCTGGAGGCAGAGACCGCAGCACCCTGACTCCTGGACCCCACGCCCTTTTCAAGGGGCCAGGCTGTGCTTCAGAACCTTGGCAGAGAAGGTTCCAATTCTGTACCGGCTCCTGGCAGCCAGCCACGCTCCCGGTACTCAGCCTCACTCAGCCATTCGCTGCGTGTCCAGGATGGACACCCAGTTTAATCTTGTTGTTCAGTCAATAGCTTTTGCATTATCTTTCTTTTTGTGGTTAATGTACCATTTTTCTTCTTTTCTTCCCCTACACAAACACTGCCATGCCTGAAGTACTTCCCCTGCTTGTAGAGAAGTTATAGCCTGGGCTGTAGTGGAACAGTGCTCTGATTAAAGTGATTAAAACTATATACAGCATGCATAATTAACCTTTGCGCGGCTGTCACAGCAAGCTGATGCATGGAGCTGATACCATATCTGTCTGTGGCAGGCGGCGTATGCTACATGACCATTTTTTTTTTCCTGCAGAATTTTAATCACTTGAGATAAAGAGCCAGGAGAGAGAGATCAAGGCTGTATTAATCTTCTCAATGGCTTTATAATTTCCCTTCTATTCTGCTGCTGGTAATCAAGAAAAATAATGCCGCCTTAATCCTGGATGCCAAGGTCAATCATCTCTGTGCCCTTTGATAGTAAGGATGTCATTATGAAAGGGTTTTTAATGAACATGAACATAATGCTCGCCGCACTCCTCAGGGAGATGGATGCGTTCTGCAACTTCGGGATGGCCAGGTGGGCCTTCATTGCTGACAAAAATGATTTTAAAACATTAGCTCTATTAGAAATAAATCCCGAACAGCTGGTTGAGGTTGCAGACCAGCCGTACCCAGCAGTGATTGAGAAATTCAGGAATGAGCTGCAGCAGGTCAACAGGTGAGAAGGGCCCAAGCCCTGATTAGCGGTTGGGCAACACAGCGAGAACCAGCACGGGGCGGGGGCCTTGGGTAGCCTCAGCAGCAGGAGCCCGGCCCGCGGCGCCAACACCAGCGCCTCTCTGGAGGGCTGCCAAGATCAAAAAAGTGCAGCGATGCGCAGATGCGTGGTGACATTTTAAAACAATGCCCTGGTCTTTTTTTTTTTTTTTTTTTTTTTTTTAAGAACATGCAGACAGGTGAAAAACAAAATCCTTTCAGCTCAAACGCACCTGAACTAAATCCCAGAGGGCTGAGTGCTGCTGTACCACTCCCTCCCGCTCTTACTTGGTTTTCCCAAAAACACATTCCCCAGGTCGAGGTGGTGGAGCTGACCCAGCCTTCACTTCACTGAAAGACAAACCAGACGGGCTGAGAGCAGTTCCCGGGCCTCCAGAGGCTGCGGCTCGCACAGCTTTGCCGGCTGTGGTTATGAACTGTGATCTGACAGTGGAAGGCAGCACTTGTTAGGAAATCTTTATGTAGCATGGGTCACTTACCCTGGTGAAGGAAAGGCGAGGAAGGCGTCGAGTTCAGACTTCAAATACACATGAGGTACCTGGGATTAGGGGAAAGAAATGAGTAACAAGCCGCCCACTCACCCTTGAGAACAAAAGAAAAGAGAGACCTTCATCTCTGGTAGACAGGATTTTAATAAGATTTGGGAAAACACACAAACATTCTTTTTTTTTTAATCTTTATTTTTCATTTATTTTCTTCAGCTTTTAAGTTCCGGAGTGCTTGTGCATGAGGTGCAGGTTTGTTACGCAGGTAAACCTGTGCCATGGTGGTTTGCTACACGAATCAACCCACCACCTAGGTATTAAGCCCAGCATGCATTAGTTATTCTTCCTGATGCTCTCCCTCCCCTACCCATGCAACAGGCCCCCCAGTGTGTGTTGTTCCCCCGCCATGTGTCCATGTATTCTCATCGTTCAGCTCCCACTTAGAAGTGAGAACATGAAGTGTTTGGTTTTCTGTTCCTGCGTTGGTTTTCTGAATATAACGTCTTCCAGCTCCTTCTGCGTCCCTGCAAACGACAAGATTTCATTCCTTTTTGTGGCTGCATGGTATTCCATGGTGTATACGTAACACATTTTCTTCATCCATTCTATCATTGATGGACATTTGGGTTGACTCCATGTCTTTGCTATTGTGACTAGTGCTGCAATGAACATATGCATATGCGTGCATACATCTTTATAACAGCATGATTTATATTCATTTGGTTATATAACCAGTAATAGGATTGCTGGGTCAAATGGTATTTCTGCTTCTAGATCTTTCAGGAATTACCACACTGTCTTCTACAATGGTTGAACTAATTTACATTCCCATCAACAGGAAAACACACAAACATTCTAAAGTGAGCCCTCACACCAGAATGGTTCCTATAAATGGTTCTTCTTTGTATGTCTTTTAAAATGCATTAGATTTACTTTCTCTCAAGTGGTTCATGGTACAGCTTCCCTTCACATTGAGGGATGGGCTACGGAAGCTTGGAGCTCTGTTCCCGGGAGGCTCCTGAATTACCAGCTATATTAGTCCATTTTCACGCTGCTGATAAAGACATACCTGAGACTGGGTAATTTATAAAGAAAAAGAGGTTTAATGGACTCACAGTTCCACATAGCTGGGGAGGCCTCACAATCATGGCGGAAGGCAAAAGGCACGTCTTACCTGGTGGCAGACAAGAGAGAAACGAGAGCCAAGTGAAAGGGGAAACTCCTATAAAATCATCAGATCTTGTGAGACTTATTCACGACCACGAGAACAGTATGGGGGAAACTGCTCCATGATTCAGTTATCTCCCAGCCGGTCCCTCCAAAACACGTGGGAATTCTGGGAGCTACAATTCAAGATGAGATTTGGGTGGGGACACAGCCCAACCATATCACCAGGTGGGGGGTGGCTGTAGAGGCCCACTTGAAATGCCTTTCACTCCTGAGAATGCTGCAGGGAGGGCGACCTTGGATGGGCAGAGTCAAGGTCAATGCCGTATGAGCCAGGAGACCCTGATGCGGGAGGCCCCTCTTTCTCTTCAAGGGCTTTGCTCATTCTTCTCTCTTTTATCATCTGACCCCAAACACTGATTCTTTCCTTCTAGAATTTGTGTTTGGACTCAGTAAATACCTCCATTTGGATTCTACTCATTTAGAATGTATGATGATCTGACCTAGTCTGGGATGAAATTTACTCTTGTACCATCTTTGAGAGAAGTGTACATGGAGCCAGTGTAGAATGTAAATAGCATTGTTGGAGCGTGTTTCACCTCCTTCCATGAACAAACTGTTTTTAAGGACTTAGACACCGCTGTTGTCACTATTTACAAATGAGCCTTCTTTTTTTTTTTAAAAGCCAACTTGGCAGGGTCTCTCCTGGAAACCACTTTGTTAGCAATTCTCTTCACCAGTTAAAATGAAAACTGAATTATAAAAAATTCTATAATTTAGACATTCTCTGCTTCCTCTGAGTTACTCTATTGACGCAGAAAACAATTTAGTCATGCATACCTAAGAGATTGTTCTGGCTTTTTTCCCCTTCAAATGTAATTTAGGTAATGGAACATTTGCCCCGTTTCCATAGATCAGTTGAAGTGCTGGCTGGAAGGGCCGCCCAGATGTGATCCTCATAAGAAATTGGAACATAGGAACTGCCACACTGAGTTATTGGTGCAGTTTATGGAGCTCAGAGGTTTTCTACTGGTTTCTACAGAGCCCACGGGTTCCAGGGAGGTGCCTAGAGGTCTTCTGAGGATGAAGCAGGAGATTCACGGGGTGGCCAGTGGGCAGGACCCCACACACACAGGCTTCGACCAGAGAAGCCTGCTTTCCTCTGTTTTCTGCATTGGGGTTCTCCTAGGATTTGTTAGGGGGAAAAGAGGTTTCTTAAAAGCTTAAGGCCTTGTATATAGCCCTTTGCTCTGTCTCAATAGAATTTATAAAGACAAGATTGATCTCCTTGATAAGTCTTAAGCGAGGAACGTGCCTGAACGGCTAAGTGCTTGTTGCAGACATTATGAGCCTGTCTGCCGCACATGAATCCAGCTGTGTGTGTGCACATGCAGGTGTGTGTATGTGTGCGGCCCTTCATTATTTGAGGCCCCTAAAAAATCACGTCGTTGCCAAAATGAGTTCCAGAAATTCATCCAGTAACCAGGGCACATGGGGACCAACAGAAGACTTTGAGCTTAAATAGTCCTGGACCCCAGATCGTGCAGGCCTTTGACCTCTGTTCGAAGAAATCAAAACTGTGCCATGAAGACAGAACCAGAAACCTAGAGTCGTCCTCTGGACCTCGCTCCCTCGCTCCCTCCCTCCCTCCCTCCCTCCCATTGTCTAGCAGAGGGATCATCACTCTTCCTCCACGGTGGTTCTTGAATACAGTCCTTCCTCCATTCCTCTTGCCCTAGTTCTAGTCTCATCATTTTGGCCTAAATGACTTGGTATCTTAATTTTTCTGTCTCCAGCGTTTTCTCCTTCACTCAAACGTCCACATGGCCTCAATATTCCTACTTTTAAAACATCAATACGATGAAGTCACCAAACTTAAAAATAATCTTTAGTTGTTTCTCATTGCCAGAGGATGAAAGTCCAAAGTCCAACCCCCTTAGGAAGATATTTAAAACTTTACACAATGTCATTCTAAGTGATTGGTTTTTTGTTTGTTTGTTTGTTTTTTGTTTGTTTGTTTTTTTGTTTTTTTTTTTTTTTGAGACAGGGTCTCGCTGTGTCACGCAGGCTGGAGGGCAGTTGCAGAATCATAGCTCGCTGCAGCCTCGACCTCCTGGGCTCAAGCGATCCTCCCACCTCAGCCTCCGAAAGCATGGGGATTACAGGCGTGAGCCACTGCACCCGGCCGCCTTTCTTTCCTTGTAGCTTTTTGATGGCTGTGCATTATTTCATGTCCCACTAGACTGAGGCTCAGTGAGGGCCTCTTGCGTTTGAAAGCCTTGTGTCTGGCGCATAAAAGGAGTTCCATGGGTTTGAACTCAGTGCGCGGGAAGTTGTGCTTTGTTGTTTGATACTGTTGGTTTGTGAGTATCACTGCACGCCAGGCCTCTAACGTTTGCCTCTTTCTACCTCCTCACAACTACTTTACTCAGTGAGAGCAGTTAGCGCCGTTTCTCAGATGAGGACACTGAGTCTCAGGGAGATTAGGCACCTGGGTTAACTTTATTATTATTTACCATCCTTTGCATCCCCCATCTTTGAGCACATATTGTGTGCCAGGCTTGTTCTAGGTGCTGGGAACACACTCACTGGAGGCTGAGGGCAAGTGCACGGGCCAGTGTGGGGACCGGCCCCTCCAGCTCCAGCTCCCAGGAACTACAGCTATGGGCAGAGCCCATGAAGCAAGCGTGGTTAGATCTCTATAAATAGTTACATCTCTGGTGTGGCTCCTTCCAACTTGTGAAGGACAAGGTAACTCCTCAGCGTGAGTCATTACTGAATTACAGATTAGCTGATGGGGCCTTCTCTGCTACAGAGTGGGCCTGGGCTTTAAGGCCTGGGACTAGGGGAGGTGGAAGCTTATCCCTTTCTCGCCATAAGCGCTGTCACTCCAGAGCGGTGCTGCGCAAATTGGAAAGGAGATAGGAAGGTGATGTCCTTTCACCCTTGACCTCCTAGTGTGTCTCCCCCGACCCCCACCCCGCCCCATCTCTGCCAATAGCCCCTGGGGACTATGGCTAAGGGGTCAGGTGCACCTGAGCCTAAACCTGCCCATCCCTAAGGCTGTTCTGGTAATTCGGGAATGAGGGATGTCCACAACGCGAGGGCTGTGGGTCCGAGAGGCCTTCCCTGCTGGCCATGGCAGTCCCTAGTGGCTGGTTTTGAGCGAGTGCTATAAGTGCACTGGCAGTGACTCTAGGCCGGCTGCTTTGGGAATAACGTCTGTAAACTGACTGACGCCCGGTGGCAACAGAGTTCCTTGAATTTGGTAACTTGGGGGTGGGCTGCGTGGGCTGTGGGGGCTGAAGCCACCTATGACACACACTCATCACATTCCACAGAGAATGCAGTGCAGCCCTCTCTGATGATTTATTTGCTCTGTTTTCTGTTTATTGTACGTTATTATCCCTGTGCTTTCGGTACACGTGTCACTTACTAAGAACCCACCATGGCTTTGTCCTATCAAGTCGGCCCCGTCTAGCACCTCAGGCCTGTACCACCTGGCTGCGGCTCCCAGCCCTGCCTTCCTCCCTCTTGATGGTGTGGGAGAATTTCGTGTGTCTCTGTTTTCTTTCCTAAGTTGATAAACGCTGTGGTATCAATTATCATATCTTTCAATAAATAGGTTAGATGTTGCTTAATTGTTTAGTTAATTCCTGGCCTACTTTATTTCCTGTGATGCCGCCATGCCAAGCTGCATTAGTTGTACAGTTCCATTGAAGCCTTTCCCTTCTCTTGTTTCCTCCCAAAGTTCAAAATAAGTAACAATGGTGATGACAAATGCTAACACTCATTTAGCACTTTCTGGAGATGCCGGAGAAAAGTATGCATTCTGCTGTTGTTTTGTTGCGAATTCTCCCACTTACTCCTAAGTTGAGTTCTGAGTTTGGATGGTCTCAGAGGCATCCCGTGAAAAAAGGATTTCAGTGCAAGGGGTTTATCGAGGAGGTGATCCTAGGAGGCGGTGCCGTGCCACAGGGAAGGGAAGGCAGCAGATCGGAGGTTATCAGGCATGGTGGCCCCGCAGAGACCTGCAGCTCAGCCCCTCAGGAACAAAGGGAGGTGGTGCAAAACACGGACTGTACAGTTATCCTACGTCAGGGATGAAGGATGGATCTGGGCCTTCTACAGCAACTCCCAGCAGTCACCTTTGTTCAGTGCTGCACATCGGGGATTCTAATTCTCTGGAACATCTGGTCATTGTGGAAGAAAGCAGAGTGGACTCCAGCCACCAGAGAGAGAAAGCTGTTAGGCAAAGAGATAGAGATGCCGGACATAGGAAGTCGGCCAGCATGCGCTGTACGGCTGTAGAGGACACAGGCAGCAGCAGCACGGCTGCACCAGACCATCGGGGTATTTTTACTTTACAGATAATGAAGCTGAGTCTTAGAGGACTAAGTAGCTTGCCTCCAGTAACACTTGGAAGTCTTTTGTGTTCTTTACTCTCTGAAAAATTCTGACAATACAAATATTTAACTTTCAGTTGAGTTCACCAGTTGTTCAGTGAGCTTGGTTTCTGCCTATATTTGGGTTGGGTATATTTTCCACTTGACCCTGCCTCAAAAGTTGGCTTTTGGCCAGACATGGTGGTAACACCTGTAGTCCCAGCATTTTGGGAGGCTGGGGCAAGAGGATTACTTAAAGCTACAAATTCGACACCAGCCTGAGAAACAAAGCAAGGACCTGTCTCTACAAAAAATATTAAAAATTAGCTAAGCATGGTGGTATGATCCTGTAGTCTCAACTACTTGGGAGGCTAAGGCAAGAGGATCACTTGAGCCCAGGAGTTTGAGGTTGCAGTGAGCTGTAATCACACTACTGCACACCAACCTGGGCAAGAGAATGAGATCTCAATTTAAAAAACTTGGCTCTTGAAGTGCCAAGCCTCCTTGCATCCATGAAACATTATGTTGCAGCCTACTCTGAAGAGAAACCAATGAGGCTACGTTAATATTTTTTTTGAATGATATATTTTTAATTCAGACTTGGAGTAATTGATGGGCTAGGTTATGCCGCTGTTGCAAACAACTCGGTAATCTCAGTGGTTTGACACAGCCTGGGTTCATTTCTCACCTATACAGCGTCCACAGCAGGTCCATGTGGGTACTCAGGGGTCCAGGCTGCTTTGATCTTGTGGCTCCCCTATCTGAAGCTCAGCAGTAGCCCTGGCAAATCACAAGGATGACTGGAGACTTGTGCTTGGACCTTTCACTAATTCACTCCAGAAATGATAATGACATTTCTATTTCCATGTCATTAGCCAAAAAAAATGGCCCCAACTAATTACATGAAAGCTGACAAGTACAATCTTCCTTGTGCCTCGAACAGGCAGGGGAGGAACCGTGGAGTATTAGTGAACATGGAAAGCATGTTTCCCAGTAGAGAAGTAATAATAATTGAGCAATCATGATCAAGGCCCGCCTAGGGCATTTCCTGGGGATTTCTGAAAGGCTGGAAGAATTTTGCCTTGGGCTGTAAATGTCAATTGCTCATTAATTCCTCAGAAATGCCCACAGCCAAGGTTGCTATTGCTAATAAAATTCATTTGTTTGGTTATTTAACAAAACAAAAAAAGCATGTTGTCATTTTCCCCTGGCCTGATGATTCCTGAAGCAGATGATTATTCTCTATGTTCTACATCATATGAGTTTGTATCATCTTTTTCTTTTCTACCTCTCCAAGTGGGTGGGGAGTAAATCTCATTGGCCTGAAATATCATCACGGGCAGTACTCAGCCATTGTTCTCACAGCTGTTTTGAAATATAAATAACAAAAAAATGCATTTTAACGTTAATTTCAATATTTCTTTCCGCCTTAGCAACTGACGTAAGATTTGCTGGTATTGGGTTTTCTGCAAATTTTTATTCAAATGTGTTGTCTTGTATTTCTTTTGTCTGTCTGACTGTTTTACAGAAAAAGTGACCACTATGTAGTTCTTGTCACCTTAACAATAAAGGTGCTTTTCAAGTGGTCTATATTTCTTTTAAATATGTTTCAGTCAAAAGGAGACCAAAAGAGTTAGTAAAGAATTGGGTCAGCCTTACTGAAACAAATGGTTGAAGTTTGACTTCTCTCATCAGTGAATGATAGATGCCGCACCTTCTGCCTGGCTGGCACAGACTCCATTTGATGTAGGAGGAACTCATACCCTTGTAGCTTTTCCCACGTTGTTGTGAAAACTGCGGAAATAATTCCTTGTTCCATGTGAGAACGAGTCATCACTTAACTTGATGCTGTTTTCATCATATTGTCCCATCCCACAGTCTGGCCCACAGCCTGGCCCACAGCATCGGGGTGGAACCAGAAATGGCTCCTGCGGAGAGCAAAGCAGGACATGAACCGTACCCCGCCTCTGCAAGGCTTATGCTGTTATTAGTCCTGATGTACAGAGTGGATTCACAGAGGCCCTTGAGGACCAAAAGAGAAAATATATTCAGTAAATCAATGGTGATGCGTTAATAGACTGCTGCTGTATTTGTTGTTCACAGAATGTAATTCCTTGATAATGGCATTTTCTACAGTATATCATCACAGAACAATAGCAATATCACCACAACAGGAGTGACTTTGATAAATTATACAAGAATAGGATCTTATAATTTAGTACAGATCTAATTTAGGTTAAAAGTATTGGTGGAGAAGGAGATTTCATTTTTAACATTGTTCAGAGGTACAAAAAATCCTGGGAGAAAAAATTCAGACATATTGTGAGAAGCCAATGCACATATTAAGTTATTGGTGCAGATTTCGCAAGGTTTTCACATCTTTTGACTCATTCTCGTATTCTATATGTTATGCTATATGTTATTTTAATGTTTCATTTTACTAGAAGTTAATCTATGTGTCTAAAAATTGCAAGAGTGTTAAAAAGGAACTATGGCTCTTTATTATTTTAAAAGTGGAGATCTAGGAATAGCATAATTTTGTTGCTATTGAGTTTTTAACTAGATGTGTTGATATTCCTTGATAATGTTTCAAGGATCCTGACATAATCAACCGTGGCTCTTGCTTCCTCTGGGACCTTGAAGCTCAAAAACCCAGTAGCAGCTCTTAGCACTCTTAAGGCTGATAAAAATTGAGACTGAAAGTGATATCTAATCAATGCCTCTGAGATTCAATCAAATATTAAGATCCTTGAGGCCATCACACTATTTAATTGGATTCCTAATACTTCTTTATACTCAGATAGACTCCTGTGTCCAAAGGCACTCACATTGGTGAAGCTGGCAGCACATCGTGAGAGGAGGCCATTCTCCCTGTCCTGGCCCCTGGCATCCCAGAGTCAGGCCTACAGTTGGGCTCTCCCAGGACAGTGAATGAAGTGCAGGTGGCAGAAAGACAAAAAGAGGGTCGAGTTCCTTCATGGCAGCTGTAGCTGCATTGGAATCTACCGTGGTGGTGTCCAGAGGTGGCATGCCCTACAGTGGTACCAGTGGCATTCTGGCTAGATGATTCTTTTTTTTTTTAGGGATGGTGTCTTGCTCTGCCACCCAGGCTGGAGTGCAGAGGAGCGATCTCAGCTCACTGCAAGCTCTGCCTCCCGGCTTCATGCCATTCTCCTGCCTCAGCCTCCCAAGTAGCTGGGACTACAGGTGCCCGCCACCTCGCCTGGCTAATTTTTTTGTATTTTTAGTAGAGACAGGGTTTCATCGTGTTAGCCAGGATGGTCTCAATCTCCTGACCTCGTGATCCACCCTCCTCGACCTCCCAAAGTGCTGGGATTACAGGCATGAGCCATCGTGCCTGGCCTATATGATTCTTACTAGAAGGCGGAGGTTGTGTTTCAGAGGTAACTAGTCTCCTGCTGGTCTGTCTTCCAAGGCCAGTCAACCTCTTCCAGCTTTTGTGAACTCTTGAGAACCTTCCAGGAAACTCCCCGCTCCTCCTCCTCACTTTTGTGTAAGTTAACCTGATTGGTTTCTATCATTTGCAACCAAGAACCTCTGACTGGTTCAGTGGTCAGTATTGGCTCAACATTTCCTAAATGCTCAAATCAGACAGAGCCTTGGGAGACCGTCTGTCCCTCATTTTACAGATGGATTTCAGACATGGCCCTAGCTCAGAGTCCTGCAGACAGTTGGTAGCTGAGCAGGGACTAGAACTCTGTCCTCTTGATTCCAGATACAGTGCTCTTTTCACCTGTGGCCTTTCTAGTCTAGAGAATTACTCTGCAGACCTGCACTGCATGGTAGGCGCTAGCCACATGGAGTTGTTGAGCACTTACAATGTGGTACAATCCAAATTGATACGTGCTATGTGTGAAATACACAGCAGATTGCGAAGACTTTGTGCCGGGAAAAATGTCAATGATCTCACATTTATGTTTTTATGTTGATTGCATGTTGAAATTGTAGATGTGTTGGGTGAGATAAACAACATCATTAAGCTTGTTTTTTACCTTTTTCTTTGTACTTTATTCAACATGGCTGTCAGAAAAATTAAAGTTGCATGTGTAACATGGACTATGCACACGTTGAACCAAGCTGCTGTATGCAATTATAAGAAAAGATAACACTTGAGTCTCTATGGGTAACATTGGGCCTGTGGTTATTGTGCTGGGATATTGTATTTGTTTTTGCTGTGGTTAAAAAAAAAAAAAAGTAGCGGGTGTGGTAGCTCGTGCCTGTAATCCCAGCACTTTGGGAGGCTGAGGCAGTCGGATCACCTGAGGTCAGGAGTTCGAGACGAGCCTGGGCAACATGGTGAAACCCTGTCTCTACTAAAAATACAAAAATTAGCCAGGTGTTGTGGTGGGTGCCTGTAGTCCCACTTACTTGGGAGGTTGAGGCAGGAGAATCGCTTGAACCCAGGAGGGGGAGGTTGCAGTGAGCCGAAAGCACTCCAGCCTGGGTGATATAGCTAGAATCCATCTCAAAACACCATTTATTTTTCACTATGGGTCTACCAGTTGGCTGTGGCTTCACTGGGCCCAACCAGGCCAGCCTAACCTTAGCTGGGCTCTATGTGTTTTACATTTTGGGACCCAGGCTCTGGTGGAGCCATCACTGTCTAGAGCACATCCTTCAAGCACCGGAATAGAACTGGAAACACAGTAGAGACTCAAAGACAGGATAAGCCCAGTGGTACTTCCACTGGGAAAGAGGATGGGGGAGGCCCCACAGTCCACAGCAGTCCTAGTGTCCTGCTGGGCAAATATTTCAAGGACCCGTAGGCTGGGAGTAGGGGGTGTCGATTGGGCCTCAGTCGTGCTCCCGGGGAGGACTTTCCAGGCCGTGGTTTTCGTGGCTCTGAATCTGCCCTCTGCCAGGTGCACTCTTCTGTCATCCTCCATGGCTACCTCTGAGGAAGGTGCTGGAAGACATGCTCTCCTTCATGGCTGAGCAGATTTCTTAACCTGCTTCCTGCCCATAGGAAGGATGAATGCCGAGGATCGTTTTAGATCTCAAATGCCACGGTCTATGTTAATCCAGCCGAAAGTGTAGTTATCGATTTGTCCCTTTTGAAGCTGTCCTGTTTGTTTTTAATCTCTTTGATTCCGGTCAACCCCGTGTGCCTACAGTCATTTTTCGTGCATGTCCTCCTTTCTCTAAACTCAATTCCAAGTACACTGAGCACATCATGCTTCCAACAGGCCAAATTCTGGGTCTCTTTCTCTAGGCCATTTTGTGCAGTTGAAAGATTTCATTGGGGACCTTGATAATCCAACTAAAGGTTTCGGCGCAAGAGCCAATGATTGCATCTTTGATTTGGTCTTTACCCGTAGGCTGTGCTTTCACGGCCAACCTTAATTTGGTGAGAAATTGCTTCACTTTAAAATCCTGAAAATGTTGTATTTTCTCTCTTCCCTTTCAATTGTATTTGCAAAGCAGTGAGTTTTTTGGGAGGAGGCAAGGTGCATTTTTTTTTCCTTATAGCACGGTGTCAAAGGCATTCTATAACACCAGTTCACACAGGCAAGATTCTGTTTTGAAAACAAGTTTAGTTAGGCCAATTTTCTAAGTTATCATAGGTTATTTCTTTTTTCTTTTTCTTTTTTTGCCGGGTGTTTTAACACTGCATATCTTGGGTTGCCATTTTTCCAACTTCCTTTAACAACTTTCCAGCTTGCCATCACCTAAACCCAAAACCAATGACCCATATTTCAGGTTTTTGTAATGGCAGCCCTACTTCTGTGTACCAATTTCTGTATTAGCTTTTGCTGCAGTAACTAGCAATTCTCAAATCTCCATGGCTTCCAACAACAAACACTTATTTTTCACTTAAGAATCCTGCGAGTCAGCTGCAGCTCTGCCGAGCTTGGCTGTGTTCTCCACGTCTCCTCATGCCAGGCTGAGGCTGAATGAGCAGCTGCCATCTGGGCCCTGCTCTTCTCATGCTGGAGGGCAGGAGCTCCGGAGGGGAAGCGGGAACCCCCAGGATCTCATAAAGCCTCTGCTGGGACCTGGCAGCCGTCCCCTCCTCCCACAAGTCATATGGCAAGCCCAAGGTTAATGGGGTGAGCCTGTACCCTTCACCTCCTGGCAAGTCACGATGAGGAGAGGGCAGAGACAAATCATTTTGAACAAGTGATACAGTCTCTCACAGGCATAGATTCCAAAAAGAAACCCAGGAGAGAGTCACCATGCCTCAAATCAAGAACAGCCATATTGCATTTCTATCAAGGCAGAAGCACAGGTGTGACAGTGTGACAATGAACCCTGAGACCGGAGGCCCTCCAGTCCAGGTGGACATCCAGCTATGCAGCCAGCTCAGTGCAGCCGAAAGAACCTGGGAGGCAGTCCGGAAAGCTGAGTTCCTCTTACCCGTATCCCTGCAGCAAGCCACTTTCCCTCTGTGGATCTCAAGTTCCTCTTCAATATTAACCAAGAGTTAAGCAGAATCGTGGGTTGCTTTCGAGGATGCCGTTCTGATCTCTGCCAGCGCACTTCACATGGCAGGGAACAGGCTGCCTTCCCAGGAGGCCGAGCTGCAGTAGAAGGAGCATGAGTTTAGGAATCAGGCCAATTTGAGCGGGAAGCCCAGGCAGCCGTTTACCAGGTGTGGGTCCATCATATACCCTCTGACTCTGTTTCCTCATCTGTGAAGTGAACATCACAGCATCTAACTCTCAGGGCTGTGGGTAGGATAATTATTTTATACAGTGCCTTTTGCTAGGAAATTTTTTGTTGTGTTGAGTCAAAATCTGATCCCTTAACCAGTGAACTCCGGCCCCGGTTCTGCCTCTGCCTGGGGCAGCAAAACAGTGATTAGGAATATGGGCACGGGGGTCATCCCACCTGGGTCTGAATCGCACTGTCTGCTCCTGGTCAGGATGGCCGGGGGGAGGATCCTTAATGCCCCCGCGGTTGGCTTGCTATGCTTATCTGTAAATGAGCTACTGATAATATCAACTTCATAGTTTTGTTGTGGGGATAAATGAGCCGGTGCATGCAAACTCAAGTAGCTGTTATTATTTCAGTTGGCAGCTCCTCAGGTACCTGAGCCTGCTTTCCATACCTTCTGGGTCATCCCGTATTTCTTCAGGGTAAGCAACCTCACATTTCTCCAGCATTCTGTAGATGTCAAGCTTTCTGCAATCCTCCCCCGTCTAGCTGTCCTCTTGAGAATCTCCTTCAGGAGCTCTGGTTAAGAGATAAAGAAACAGTGAGGGCATTCGAGTTCATTATCCCAGCCACGATGGCATTCTAGATGTCTCCACAGACATTCAGGATCTGCCCAGGGTCCCACATCTGTCTCTTCTCCACATCTTACCCTGCCTTCTCCAGGTGATGGTGATTTCGTGATCCCAGTCACCTGCCCCCACCCTCACCTTATCTGACCCTGGCTCCTGGGCCACCCACTTGCCACTTGGAATATTTATTGTCTAACTGATTTTCCAGTATTAAGGATTTTACAGGTTTACACTGGAATTAGAAGTTCATCTGAACTGCCTGTGATGTCCCTGCTGGTTTCCCAATGGCCAGGCACTGCAGAGATGTATAAGATACGAGAATACAGTCACCTAAAGACATGGGAAGTTTTGTAAGCAATGTCTCCCGAGATTCCCCATTCTAAATATGGCAAGGAGTGTTTTAAGTACTTCATGCTTGAAGCTTTTCATGCATTTCCATCGTTGCAGTTGGACCAGTTTTAAAATATATATATCATAAATAATCTTCAGAACATTTTAATGTACTACCGATGGTATTAAAAGTCAAAGCTTTCACAAAATTTAATTTACTTCTCCCTGTAACTTAAGAACAGTTTTAAAATGTGCATGGCTCCTGCTAAATTTAACAGCTTCCCCTTTTGCCTTCTCGACTGGAGGCTGCAACAACCTGAGCCAGGAGGTCTGGCGACTACAATGTTTGAGTGAAGCTGTGAGATCCATGCCTGTACTGGAAGCTCCTGACAGCCTCTGCAGGGCCTTGGTGCCAGGCTCCGGGGGTGGTGGGGGAGTGGGCTTTCCTTCTTAGAAAGCCTCTAGGCTTTGCAGGTTCAGGAAGAAGCTCACCAGCTGGGTCCAGCCACTGAAAGGAACCCTGAGCCTCAGTTTGCAGCCCAGAGATGCTCCGGGGTCTCGCCCAGTGCATATTCCTGGAGAGCTACAACATCAGGGCATCAGATCCACAGAAGATACATGTGCTTCACTATACACCAGGTGTGTATTGAAACTAAAGCAGAGTAATACTATTTTTTCTTTTTTTTTTTTTTTTTTGAGACGGAGTCTCACTCTGTCCCCCCGGTTGGAGTGCAGTGATGCAATCTCGGTTCACTGCAACCTCTGCCTCCCAAGTTTAAGCGATTTGTACTTCAGCCTCCCGAGTAGCTGGTGGCACGTGCCACCATGCCTGGCTAATTTTTTGTGTCTTTTAGTAGAGAAGGGGTTTCACCATGTCGGCCAACTCCTGACCTCAGGTGATCTGCCTGCTTTGGCCTCCTGAAGTGCTGGGATTACAGGTGTGAGCCACTGAGCCCTGCCAAGACTCTCATTTCCTAACTCTTGATTACCAGCGTGTCTCTAATGTACATTTTACTGATTCATTCCTCTAAAAATATTGTTGCTTTTACTCAATATGGTAAAAGTTTCTATTATAGGGTAAGAAGAATAGCACAAAATATTCACCAGGCATGGAGGATATCATTGCAGTTCAAGAAAGAAATCATAAGTAGTAATTAAGGGGCTTGGTACCCATAGAGTCATCTCATCATCACTGTAATAAATCATTCTTATATTTATTTATTGGAGCCTGAGGATGTTAAACCCTTACTTTTGTATGACCATTCATAGCTTATTGGTGCTTTCATCTTTATAGAAACACATTAGAGTCTGGCTGCCTCAGGGCCCATTCCCTAGTCACTTCCAGCCAGACATCCATGTATCAAAGCTCTAGCCAATCAACATGTAGTGGACGTCTGCTAAGTAGGGCTTCCAAGGATGTTTTCTGTTTAGAATAAAAAGGGGGAAATGTGGCTAGCCACATTTGACCACTATCCCTTCTTCTGGAACATGGATGTAAAGCTGGAGACAGTGTAGCCATCTCGTGACCACGAAGCAGTGATGAGGAAGACAAGAAGCAACTCACGGAAGGACCCATGCCCCCTTTCTCTTTCCACTCCGCTGTCCTGAGGCTTCTTCTTCTTCCTCTTCTTTTCAAGTTGCGTAAAGTGGATACTTAGATCCCTGAAGTCAGACCTTTCTTCTTTTCTAGTGTAAGTGCTTGATGCCATCAGTATCCCCAGGCACTGCTTTAGGCTCATCTCCCCATTTTTATGTTGGGTCTTCATTTTCTTTCATGACAAAATATCTTCTAATTCCCTTTGCATTTTCTCCTTTCACCCATGGATTATTTATAAGTGTGTTGTTAAGTTCTAACTCTTTGGCGATTTTCCAGATAACTTTCTGTTACTGATTTCTGATTTAATTCTGCGGTGGCCAGAAAACATACTCTGCATGATTTCAATCCTTTTAAATTTATTGAGATTTGTTTTATGGCCCAGAATATCTTGGCATATGTTCTGTGTGCACTTAAAAAGAATTTGTATTTTGCTGTTGTTGGGTGGAGTGTTCTGTAAATATCAATTAGGTCAAGCTGGTTGATAGTCCCGTTCAAGTCTTCTGTTTACTGATTTTCTAAGTTTTAAAGACATTTTAAAAAATGAAAAACGAAATGTTTATATATTTACTCACATATTGACCATTTCTGCTGTTCTTTATCCCCTGTGTACATTCAGCTTTTGGTTTGGCATCTTCCTTCTCCCTGAAGGCATGTCCTTAATACTTCTTGAAGTGCTGGCCTGATGGTTTAAATTCCACCCAGTGCCCTATGCATGAGCGCTGGTAGGAGCACACCCTCTTCCTGGCCTTGTGTGGGCTGTCAGGATTATGTTGCCTCCTCCTGTTATTTCCTGGCCTTGGTAGTTTCCTTACCTGTATGCACAGATCAACACTCAGCAAAAGACCCTGAAGCTCTGTCTGCCACAGCTGCCTCTTCTGTGGCATTTTTCTCCACTAGCTTTAGCCTCCTGGGCCTCCGCAGACTCTAAACTCTGGCTTGTTAACTCAGCAAGCCCACTGGGATCTGTCTGGCTTCCCTCAGCCTGGATTGGGAACTCTTTCAAGGCAGCGAGCTGGACACTCTTTTGTTTTCCTTCACCCAGGAATCACTGTCCCGTGCTGCCGGTGGTCCAGTGTCAGAAATCGCTGCTTCACATATTTTGTCTGGTTTTCAAGCTGTTTAAGGTGGGGGAATAAATCTGATTCCTGTTACTGTATCATGGCTGAAAGCAAAAGTCCTCTTCACCTACTTAAAAAAACTTAATTGTAGCAAAATATACATGTATTAGTTTGTTTTCACACTGCTATAAATAACTACCTGAGACTGGGTAATTTATAAAGAGAAGAGGTAGAATTGACTCACAGTCCTGCATGGCTGGGGAGGCCTCAGGAAAGTTACAATCATGGCAGAAGGGTGAAGGGGAAGAAGGCATGTCTTACATGGCATCAGGAGAGAGAGAGCAGAGGGGAAGAACTGCACACTTACCAAACAACCAGATTTCGTGAGAATTCTATCATGAAAGCAGCAAGAGGGAAATTCACCCCTTAATTCAATCACCTCCCACTAGGCCACTGCCACAACACATGGGGATTACAACTTGAGATGACATTTGGGAGGGGACCAGAGCCAAACCATATCAATACATAACATAAAATTTAGCATCTTCTCCATTTTAAGTCTCCCGTTCAGTAAGAAGTATTATGCACATTAACATTTCTGCACACTCATCACCATCATGCATTTCCAGAACATTTCCAGCTTGCTCAACTGGAAGCTCTTTCCCCATCAAACAATGATTCTCATTCTCCCCTTCCCCAGCCCCTGGCACCCACCATTGTACTTCCTGTCTCCTTGAATTCTACTACTCTAGAGGCCTCATATAAGTGGAGACACACAGTGTCTGCCCTTTTGTGTGTGACTTATCTCAGCATAATGTCTTTGAGGCTATCCATATTGTAGTATGTGTTGGAATTTCCTTCTTTTTTAAGGTAAAATAATATGACCTTATATGTATAGACCATATTATGTCTTTCCTTTCATGTGACGGACACTTGGGCTGCTCCCCCTTGTGGCTGTTATGAACAGTGCTCCCATTTGCCACGTTCTTCTTAATGTTCAACAACTTTGTTAAAATTATTTAAATGCAATGATAGTCATCTCACCATGTAGTTCAACTTGTTTTTACAGCTGTGTGTGTGTGTGTGTGTGTTATAATGGGAAGAAGATGAAATAAATGGTTATAGTTAATTTGGGAACTTTGATCAAATCCCCTTTCTTTCCATATTCCTTTCCTTTTTTCTTTTCTTAAATTTCCCTTTTCTTATCTTTTCTCTCATCTTTTACTCTTCTCTTTGCTCTTTCTTTTCTCTCACTCTTTTCTTCTCCTTTCCTTTTCTGCTCTTATTCCATTTCTTGCCCTCCTTTCCTTCCATGTGTGCACAGTACACTGACCCAGGAAGCCGCCGTGTGCACACACACCCCAATCAACATGACTGAGGTGCTACGGTATTAGCATGAAGCAACTCATATTCCAGGGGCAGAGAGAAGATGTGAACATCCATGAATGTAACCTGAGTTGAAGTGGCCTGAATAGAAGAACAGAAGTGCAGATACGGTGCTTTAATTACTCAGTGACAGAGGTTATTTTTGGTTAGGGAGAATCTGGAAAGTCTTCATTGTAGGGCCGACAGTTGACCTGAAACCTGAGAGTCGGGCACAGTTGGGGTTTCCAACAGGTGCAAAGATTTTCTAGGTTACAGAACCACTAGAGCAAAAAGCGCAGACATGGGACAAGCCTGCTGTCCGGTACAATGTCACATCATGATGCCATTCAGACCTCTTTTCCCAAAGATTCTAACTAGCTTTTTTAAACTTTACAGTGATATACAGAAAATGATAAATACAAGTCATCATTAAAATGGAACAATGAAAATTACTCACTTTTCATGCACTTTGCCCTTTTCTGATTGGTTTTAGACTCGGTACATTGCAAATATTTTTCCAATTTTATCATTTGTCTTTTGTGTTTTACATCCTGTTGTCCTTAAGGAAATAACTGCAACAAAAGAGCAGCATCTCAGGAATTCTCACTGATGAAAATGAGTCATCCGAATTAACAAAAAGTTTGAATTACTAACTTATTAATAGAATTTTGGTTTTATTATGTCACGCCCCTTGTGTCATCCTTGATTGCCAAACTAAGTCTTAGTAATTAGAGCTCGTTGGGAACGTGTTTTAATAAATAGATGGTGATTGTTTCATTTTTAAGTGCCAAGAAGTTCATTCTTTACTAGGCTAAATTCATCTGTAACATCTTATGTTGTTAATCAGTTTAAGGAAATATTTTACCTTTAAATAAATGTATTTTTAGCCTAATTTGTAAACAAATTATCATAAATTCTAAGTTAATGGTTTCCCAATTCTATAGTAAGGTGAAACAGTCCATATCTACCTCATTTTATTATCGTATCAGCTCAATTTTAGGCCTCCTTTTGGTTTCCATTTAAGTCATGAGAAATTTACTAAAATATCATATTTCCTGTGATCCTGTCAGTCTTACTGGTGACTTTAAGTGAAACAATGTGTGAGAATTGTCTTTGGAAAGCAAAGTTGTTCACCCTCCCTGATCTGCTGTTGAGGAACCTCCATGCTCTTCTTAATATATGAGTATGTATCACCCTCAGTCTCCCTACAGAAATATTGCGCTTTAACACTTCCACTTTTTCCATGACACATCTGTCCTTGCCCCTCCTTGGCTTGGAGTTCTTTCATATCTCCCCATCATCTACAGGCTAAAGTCTGTTTGAGAGCAGAACTTTGTAGCCAAAAGGCCCATTTAAATCCTATGTCTACCACGTGAGATGCAACTTACAGGATAATCACTCATTTTCTCTCGGCATCAGCTTCCTTGTCTAGGAAGGGGGAGCAGTGTGGCTGCCCTACAGCATTGGTGGGAAGACTAATGAGAAAAGGCTCAGAAAGTCCTCAGCTGTCCCCGGGTGCAGAGTGGGCCCTCCCGAGGTGGCACACTGCCTTGACCTCCTGAGCAGTGGACAGGTTCCTCCTCCCTCCCAGGCCTGCTCAGCCAGGTCCAAGCTGCACCAGCTCCACAGGCACGCCTGCCACGCAGCCCCGTGGAAGCACCTCCTCTGTCGGCCATCAGCATGTGGGCCATGCTGCATCTCTCTCCCCAGATGTCCTTGCCCACCCTCAGATATCTCCACGCATCCCTGAAGGCTGACACTCCTCTATAGGGGGCGTTACCAGGCCCCTGCCACCCCAGGCACACTGAGAAGTGCTTTGTCCCTGCTTCCCGGACCTGGCACACAGCTCTGCTGCAGGCATTGTGTGGAAATCACAGTTCTTACCTCACACATTCCCTTGACCGCATGCATTTTAAAGCATTTGAATGAATTTTTAAAAATTCTAACTGTGAAATATTTCAGCCATGTGGAAAGCTGTAATCGGATACCAGTGTATGACACTAACATTTAACAAATACGAACATTTTAAAGAGAAAGCAGTTTTACAAAAAAACCTAACCCTCCTCCCAGTTTCCTCTTTGCTGAAGAAACCATGAACCTGAAGTTGGTGCTACTCCTTCTAATCTGTGTCTTTATATTTTATTACATATTTTCATCCCCATAATTCTCTGGAATAGCATTTGTATATTTTTAAAATTTACATAAATATTTTCACCTTTAAAGTGGTTCCCCTCAAATATTTAACACGCGTAATTGAACAGAGTCTAAAATTTACCAACATGTTCTGCCTGAACAGGCTTCAATTTCTCTTGCATCGTTCATGTTTTGTGGTCCGCTGTTTAGGTTTTATCTGGTTTTTCATCCCCAGGTTGGTTATAATAACAACACAACGTCATTTTTTCCTGTTTGGTGCTGATTTAGCCTTTCCAGTGTGTTTAACTCATCATTGCTTCTCTCGTCCTGCCCATCCTTCTTGGCTTCATATCCTTATAGAATTTCTCCTTCAGAAATCATTTCCCACTGGAAGGCTGGAAATAGCTTTATTTACCCTCCCTCTCTTTTTCTCCCACCTTTATTTTGGAAGATTTCAACCTGCAGAAATGTAAGGTGAATTAACTGAATACCTGACACCCTTCACCTAGATTCACCCACCATGAGCATTTGGCCGCTTCGAGTCCCCTCTCTCCCCCTCTCCATTTCCCTCCCCTCTTTCCCTCTTTGCATGCTCTGTCACACACTCGTTTTAGACTGACACATTTGCAGATTTGTTGCAGACATTCCTCCCTAATACTCCAGCGATCTTCAACATAACCACCATAAAATCATTGCTCTTGAAAATTTCGCATTGATTTATGTGTAGTTCTGTTATCTAATATATCATTCAAATTCAAATGTGCCTAATTGTAGCAAAAAAAAAGACCTTTATGGCTTTTCTTTTTCAATTCTAGCGTCCAATTAAGGATTATTTACTGTCTTTAGTAAAAACATCTCCTTACCCATAATCTAATCGTTCCCTGGCCTTTCATTTTTTCTCAACATTGACATCTTTGAAAACTCCAGACCAGTTGTTTGGCAGAATGTCCTTCAGTCTTGAATTTGGCTGACTGTGTATTCTTTGTCAGATTCAAGTTAACTGTCTTTTTTTTTCTTTTTTCTTTTTTTTTCCCGACAGAGTCTTGCTCTGTCACCAAGCTGGAGTGTGGTGGCACGATCTCAGCTCACTGCAACCTCCGCCTCCCGGGTTCAAGCGATTCTCCTGCCTCAGCCTCCCGAGTAGCTGGGACTACAGGCATGTGCCACCACGCCCGGTTAATTTTTTGTTTTTTTAATAGAGACGGGGTTTCACCGTGCTAGCCAGGATGGTCTCGATCTCTTGACCTTGTAATCTGCCTGCCTTGGCCTCCCAAAGTGCTGGGATTACAGGTATGAGCCAAGTTAACTATCGTAATGACCCCATGTCCTTGTCAGTGCACCACATCAGAGGCCACCTGATGTCAACTTGTCCCATTATTGATTATTTTGAGTGTGATTATTAAGCTAAATGGGGACCAACAGGTTTGTCCAAAGGGAAAGGTGCATTTTTCCTTTGTGAGTTATCAATAATCTGTGTGGTAATACCTTGAAACTATGGGACTATTCTGTTTCTTAACACTCTTTACTCACTCACGGGTGACTCTTGCCTCAGTCAACTATTACCACGATGTTTGTGTCCTAACTTCTACCATCCTTTGTGTGTTTATTAGGTTAGTCTTCTTCTGTAAGGAACTCCTTTTCCTTCTTCACATTTCCATTCCTTTTTTTAGGAAGGGACTCTTGTTCTTTGTGTTAATTGAATATGTTATAATATCCCGTTACTCATTTAGGTGTTAACATTGTTTCAGATTTGGCTGCTGGGCATGGTTTCAGAGTATCTCCTCTATCTTTTCCGGATGTTCTCCTCTGTCTTTGAGTGTGTCTCACTTTCTAGCACAACAAGCTGCTCCAGGCTCACCTGTATTTTTCCTGCCCCAGCCCTGGAATCAGCCATTGCTCCAAGAAGCTTTGGTGCCTTTGAGTGCAATATGATATTTACGAACCAAGATCTGGCTGCTAAGTGTGCTTATTACTTCCTTGGTGTTCTTACTCCCAGACTCTTCAGTGGCTAGAAATGTGCGCGTGTGCATGTGTGTGTGTGTATTTTAAATCATGAGTTTACGCTGACATCTCTAATTCCAGTTCATCATCACAGGGTTCTTCCTCTCCTCCCATTCCATGTTTGTGTCTCCCTTCTCCCACAATAAGAACCCTGATTCCCCATCACATTAATGTATTTACCCACTTATTCAATCCTACAATTCACACAAAATTGTTTTTGGAATTGCTATACCGATACTACTGCTCACTACAAATTCAGTAAGAGAGATTTAATATTTCCTTCTGGTTCTTCTTGTGCCTGGAAGATGTCTCATTAAGGGTTACAGTCAGATATTGAGTTCTAAACTTTCTTGCCTTAATTTTTTTTTCCTCTTCCATTTGTTATATTACCTATTTGATGTATAGCTAGGTTTACTGGTTTCTTTGTAGGAAAACTTTCCTGTGTCTTAATTGAATAATATATTTGTGGATATATAAACTGTTAGTATAGTTCAAAAGTCTAAATTACATGAAAAGATGTGGTCAGAGAAGCCTCATCGCCTTCCCTGTCCATGCCTTGTACTCCATTCTCAACAATGCTTCATAAAGAGCTGTTTTCAAAGTTCCTGGTATATCCTTTCTATGTTTTATTGTTTGCTAGTTTTTGTTTGTTTTGCTGAAATAAGAATATAGCACAGAATGACAGAAAAAATTGCAAACCATATATCTGGTAAAGGTCATTGTCCATAACACATAAAGAATTTTTACCACTCAACAATAAAAAGACAAATGGCCTAATTTTAAAATGGACAAAGGATTTTAATAGGCATTTTTCCAAAGAAGATAAAAAAAACGGGCAATAAACACCTGAGAAAATGCTTAACATAATTAGCCATCAGGGAAATGCAAATCAATACCACAGTGGGGTACCTCTTTACTCTCACTAGGATGACAGGTTTTTTAGTTTGTTTGTTTGTGGTTTTGTTTTTTGTTTTGTTTTTTTTTTTTTGAGACAGACGAGACTCCGTCGCTCAGGCTAGAGTGCAGTGGTGTAATCTCGGCTCACTGCAAGCTCCACCTCCCGGGTTCACTCCATTCTCCTGCCTCAGCCTCCCGAGTAGCTGGGACTACAGGTGCCCGCCACCATGGCCGGCTAATTTTTTGTGTTTTTAGTAGAGACGAGGTTTCACCGTGTTAGCCAGGATGGTCTCGATCATCTGCTGACCTTGTGATCCGCCCACCTCGGCCTCCCAAAGTGCTTGGATTACAGGCACGAGCCACCGCGCCCGGCCGACAGTTTTTTTCTTAATGGAAAATTGGAAGTGTTGGCAAGAAGTAGATACATTTTAACCCTTATACATTGTTTATAGGATTGTAAAAGGGTACAGCTGCTGTGGAAAAGAGTTTGGCATTTCCTCAAAAAGTTAAATACAGAGTTACTATATGACCTAGCAATACCACTCCTAGGTATGTATGCAAGAGAACTGAAAGCATATGTTCACTCAAAAAATGGTACACACATGTTTTTTAGCACTCATGAAATACTGCTATGTGGTATGTGATGGTTTGGATGTTTGTCCCTTCCAAGCCTCAAGTTGAAATTTGATCTCCCGTGTTGGAGGTGGGGCCTCATGGGAGGTGTTTGGGTCACGGAAGTGGGTCCCTCATGAACAGATTAGTACTCTCCCTTGGGAGTGAGTTCTTGCCCTATTGGTTCCTGAGAGAGCTGGTTGTTAAAAAAGAGCCTTGCACCTCCTAGACTCTGTCTTGCTTTCTCTCTGGCCATGTAATCTTCGCACACGAGACACCCCTTCCCCTTCCACCATGAGTGGAAGCAGCCTGAGGCCCTCACCACATGCAGACGTCCAATCTTGAACTTCCCAGCCATCAGAATTGTGAGCCAACTACACCTCTTTTCTTTATAAACCACCCAGTCTCAGGTATTCTGTTAAAGTAACACAAAACAGACTGAGATGTGGTACAAGATAGATGAACCTTGAAAACATTATGCTGAGTGAAAGAAGCTAGACACAAAGACCCACATACTGCATGAATCAGTTTATATGAAATGTGCAAAATACACAAATCTATAGAGACAGAAAGTAGAGTAGTAGTTCCCAGGGGCTGTGGGGAGAGGGGCAATGGAAAGTGAGTGCTGAAGAGTATAGGATTTCCTTTTGGAGTGGAAAAAATACTCTGGAACTAGGAAGTGCTACACAACCTGGTGAATATAATATAATATAAATATTCTGTAATGAAACTAGCCTGGTGCAGTGACTCACACCTGTAATGCACTTTGGGAGGCTGAGGTGGGAGGATCGCTTGAGTCCAGGAGTTCAAGAGCAGCCTGAGCAGCAGGGCAAGACCCTGTCTCTACAAGAAATGTATAAAAATTAGCAGACATGGTGGTGCACACTTGTAGTCACAGCTACTCAGAAGGCTGATGTGGAGGATGGCTTCAGCCCGGAAGATCAAGGCTGCAGTGGGCTACGATAACACCACTTCACTCCAGCCTGAGAGACAGAGTGAAACCATGTATCTAAAAAAAATTAATAATAGGCCGGGCACGGTGGCTCACGCCTGTAATCCCAGCACTTTGGGAGGCCTAGGAGGGGGGATCACAAGGTCAGGAGATCGAGACCATCCTGGAGAACACAATAGAATCCCGTCTCTACTGAAAATACAAAAGATTAGCCGGGTGTGGTGGTGGGCGCCTGTAGTCCCAGCTACTCGGGAGACTGAGGCAGGAGAATGGCGTGAACCCGGGAGGTGGAGCTTTCAGTGAGTGGAGATCGCGCCACTGCACTCCAGCCTGGGTGACAGAGCGAGACTCCGTCTCAAAAAAAAAAAAAAAAATAATAATAATAAAACCTACTTATCTGTGTATTTTACAGTCGTAACTTTTATGATATATGAATTATATCTCAATAAAAATACAATCATTTTTAAAGTATAATCAGCACCTTTTTTTTTTCCAATTCATATCCTGGAAATCAGCCCACATCAGTTCATAGATAACTTCACCATTTTTTTTATTTTTTAAATAGCTACTACGTGTTTGTTATACCACGGTTTATTCTGTCAGTCTCCTATATGGACATTTAAACGACTTTCACTATTTTTCTATTATAAGTAATGCCGCAATGAATATTTGTGCATTATTTTTGTATCACTGGAGGTAATGTTACTCTCATTCTTGAATGATAGTCTGGATGTATATAAAACTCTAGGTTGATATTTCACTTTCTTTCAATCCTTTGACACTTTTGTTACATTTTATTTTAGGCTTTTTATTTTTCTGGTAAGAAATCTGCTTTCAGTATAATTATTCTATTGTGGATAATCTTTCCCTATGGTTTTTAGGGTTGTTTTTTCCTTATCTTTGCTGTCTACAGTTTCACTAGGTAGTTATTTTCTCCTGTTTAAGAATCATTATGTTTCTTGTTTCTTTAGAATCATGTCCTTTATCAATTCCAAAGTTTTTTTTTTAGAGGAACGTTCTTGCTCTGTTGTCCAGGCTGGAGTGCAGTGGCACAATCACTCACTGTAACCCCGAACTCCTGGGTTCAAGCAATCTTCTAGACTCAGCCTCCTGAGTAGCAAGGACCACAAACACATGCCACTATCCCTGGCTAATTAAAAAAAAAAATGTGGAGATAAGTGTCTTGCTATGTTGCCCAGGCTGGTCTTGAACTCTTGGCCTCAAGCGATCCTCCCACCTCAGCCTCCCAAAGTGCTGAGATTGCAGGTATGAGCCACTGTACCTGGCCTCAGTTTCAAAATTCTTAGCCTTATTTTTTCTGAATATTTCTTTTTTTCACTTGTTTTGGTCTCCTTCTAGAACTCCGATTTAAGCATATTTGCATCTTCTCATTTTGCCTTATTTTCTCTTCCCATTCATCGTTTCTGTCTCTCTTTGCTACATTCTGGAAACTTTCCTCAATCTCTTTTTCATTCAGTTATTTTCTCTTTAGCTTTGTCTTACCTGATGTTTGTCCTCACCTTTGAGTTTTTAATTCCAATGACTATATTTTTCATTTGTGTTTCCATTTGCTACTCTTCAAATCCACCTTTTCATCGTGTTCTATTATTTTGTTAGAACTTTAATTATTTTATGTTTAATCATTTTTAACTTATTTTGTAGTGTCTCCCAAATTATTGTAGTAAGTTCAGGGGTGGAAATTCTGTTTCAGAACATACTAATCTTTACAATGGTGGCTGTATGCGTATGTGTGTGTGTGTGTGTGAGAGAGAGAGAGAGACAGAGAGCGCGCGAGTGCAGGAGCTCATCTTCATTAATTGTTACATTCATGGAACGCTCATGCTCCCTGAACTGTGCCTTACCATCAAATGGTTTCACCTCTGCTTGTGCTATTGTCCTGCTGGTTTCAATGGTTTAGAGCTGGTTTAAATTAATTTTTCAGATTAAGGAGCCCTCCAAGACACAGGTAGCATTTCAGTGTCTTTTTTTTTTTTTTTTTTTTTTTTTTTTGAGACAGAGTCTTGTTCTGTCGCCCAGGCTGGAGTGCAGTGGCAAGATCTCGGCTCACTGCAACCTCTGCCTCCCAGGTTCAAGCAATTATCCTGCCTCAGCCTCCTGAGTAGCTGGGACTACAGGTGCACGCCACCATGTCCAGCTAAGTTTTTGTATTTTTTAGTAGAGACGGGGTTTCACCATGTTGCCTAGGCTGGTCGCAAACTCCTGAGCTCAGGCAATCCGCCCACCTCGGCCTCCCGAAGTGCTGGGATGGCAGGCATGAGCCACCGTACCCTGCCTCTGTGTCTTTTTTGATCTCCTTTCTAGCGCATGCTGTCTTCTTTTCTCCATCAAGCTTACCTTTTCATTTAAAATTTCCTTCTTATATTTCACCTAGAATCTTACGTCCTTGTAGCAGGAATAGGGTCTGAGCCAGTGTATTCTAATATGTTGCTAAAATCAGATATATTTAAATATATTCTCTCTTTTTTTATTATGAAGATTTGTCTCTATCTGTAAAACTTAAAACTTGCCATTTTAGCCATGCAACTTAGTAGCATTAATTACATGCACATTGTTGTGTAAACATCCTGCATATCTATTTCAAAAATGTTTTATCACCCAAACAGAAGCTCTGTACCTATTAACTCCTCTATTCCCACCTCCCCTTTCGCCACTGGTAGCTGCTTTTCTGCCTAGTGTCTCTGTGAATTTGCATATTCGAAATATTTCACATATTCGTCCTTTTGTGTCTGGCTTATTTTACTTACCGTAATGTTTGTAAGGATTGTCTACATTGTAGCATGTGTCAAAAACTCATTGCTTTTTGTGGCTGAACACTATTTCATTATCTGACATACCACACTCTATGTATCCACTTGCCCGTTCATGTACATATAGGTTGTTTCTGCCTATTGGCTCTTGTGAATAATGCTGCAGTGAACATTCGTGTACAAGTATCTGTTCGAGTCTCTATGTTCAGTTCCCTGGGATATATCCCTAAGAGTGCGATTACTGAATCTTATAGCAACTTTGCGTTTTTAAAACAGACTCTTACCAAAATGAAATAAATCACAAAGGTGTAGCACCGCAACAGCAGAGGTGGTGAGGGTCTTACATCATCCCTCATCTGTTTAGGTTAACATATATGATATTCAAAATTAAGAGCAAACTGCTTAGTCCTAGAACTGCCCAGTTCTTGTTTCTTATTGCTCAGCTGTGTACACCATGTCTACCCAGTGTGAGTTTCAGTGGAACTAGAATACTTTGATTGAGCAAGGGCTTGTGTGTGTATTGTTTACTTTTAAAAACATTGTTTCAAGAGGGTTTTTTGTTGTTGTTGTTGGCTTGGGGCTTGGGGGTGATACTGAACCAATACTCATTCCTGCTTTGATACATTGTTTCCTGAGCCTTCTCATCTCTTCTCTGCGGCTTAGCTTTCATTATTTAACAAACATTTATTGAGTGCCCGTAATGTGCTGGCTTCTGTGATACACACAGAGAAAATTAACCCTGGAGTAACGTGCTGAGGGCTGCGGTACAGGAAAGCACAGAATGGGCCGTGCGCATAACCCGGATGAGCGCCTTGTGTCCCGCTCACTTTGCGCGTTGGGCTGCAAACAGTGAACACTCACTGAAGTTCTGTCATGGGATGGAAAATTCATTGCACAAATGCAAGTGGAAGCAGGGAGGGCAGGATTCTTGGGAATGACGCCAGATCCAGGAGACGATCAGCTTGGTCTCATTCCCCACCACGAACCTCGTGTCCCGACAGCGTCGACACATCCCTTCATACACGGCTGGCCAGATGCTCACCCGCAGTCCACTCAGCGGTCCACTCAGCTGCGTCCAGGATTGCTGGGTCATTTGGAAACTGCATAGAGATTCATAGGCAGCTTCCCCTAAAAAGGGTGATATTCTGATGCTTAGCCCATCTGGTACAGCCACCATTCATCTCTTCCTTCCTTCCTTTAAATATTCCGCAAGTACTCATCTCAACCTCTTCTCACACCTAAGCCTATCCTGATAATTGTCTTTTCCTCCAAATCCTCTTTAATATATTTTTCATGTCAAAGGGGAAATCATCTTCTTTTGTAAGAGAATACATGATAAATTTATTTTCCCTGTGTCTCCCGGATGTCTAGAGCGGGAGTCAGGAAAAGGAAGCATTTTTGGGGGGACTTAGGAGGAAAGAATTCATTTTTTTTTTTTTTTGGTACCTTAGAATACAGAGACAGTGATCCACATTAGAAAGGTATGGGTTGGACTCTCCTACTTCCCTAGGATGTTTCTTCTACCAGTGTGGGTGACACTGGAGTTGGGGTGGGCCATCAGGAGATGGAGGTGAGCCTGCCCCGGATGGCTGCCCCCTGCTCAAGTGAGCCAGGGTGGGAGGAGATGAGGAAGACAGCCCCTCTGGCTGTGCCTTTTGGCCCCCTTTTCTCTCAGTTGCCCTAAAAGTTATTTATTCCTGGAGTTGGCTTTAGAAATAAATAGGAAGTATCTTGGCATAAGTCAGAGAAGGGTCCAAGGCAGACCATCTTCAGACGCAGTGAGACCCTCATCCTCTACTCCATCATACACCTGTTTTCCATTACGGAGTTCTGCTGTCCTCTAGTTCAGCTCTGCTCTCCAGCAGGCTCTCTCGGGTGGTGACCAGATGGCCGCCAATAACTCCAGACTTAAATCCTGCCTGGGCTGCGGGGCGGACACCCCATCTACTGTGCAGGCACTGCTGTTGGCTCCTGTGGAGCAGCTGTGGAGCAGGGGTGGGTGGAGTAGCCTCTGCCCATCCTGAGGGACCTCCTCCGTCCTCCAGTTGTGGCCTCTGCTCAGGTTCATATGGCCACACAGCAACACTGTCTACCTTTTATGCTTCTGCTGATCCCTACCTCTCCCAAAGACAGTAAGCTCGGGAAAAGGGGACAGTGACGGTGTTAGTGACCCCACCACACCCACTACAGTGTTGAGCACTCATCACATGTGTGTCCGTGGAGCTGGCCTATATGCGCTCTCCAGTATGAGGCTGTATTATGTCTAAGGATACACAAATACACGGCTTTAAAGTAGGAATATTTTTTAATTTACTACAAAGAAGCTCAGGGATTAAAGAACCATCCGTCTCTTAATTCTCATGGTCGATGGCTTTATCTTTTTGCATAGCGTGCTTGCCTAAAGCGAGGCACCTCTTCATATATAAATCAGCCTTTTTTTGAATAAAAGTTAAATACAACAGGATGGAAATGCAGCTTTGAAAACCTATAATGAGCAGGAGGGATTATTATGCATCTACACCCCGGGGAAGTGAATATTTCATGTTAGAAAAAGTAGAGGCCAAGGGCAAGGTTCATTTAAAATGTATAAAGATAATAAAAGCGCTCATGGATGGAAAGGCCATCTGAAAGGACTGTTCACTTTTTGGAGAGGCTGATGTGGAATCATTGTGTTTCTTTGCAGGGGGAAAAAGAAAAAGTCCTGTGTGCGAATGGCCCCCTGCGTGGTGCTGCGTCAGCAGACAGGAGCATTATTTTCCCCTGGAATGTGCAGCGCTTGGTGCCTCTGTTCTCTCTGTAGTGCACAGAGCCAAGCAGAGAGAGAGGCTGAGCGTTTCAAAGAGAGACAAAACAAAAACAGATTATTCTGCTGTGCTGCCACATCACCACAGCACAATACTCTGTTCAAAATTGTCTCTTGTCAGGCACATTCTTCAAACAGTATTATGTGTACAAAGACTCTCTGTGTTGGAGAATTTGCATGTGTAGGGAAAATAGCTGCATAGTGCGGAATATTTCCTGAAGAGGCCAGATTTCTGTGTGTGTATGTGTGTGCCGGGCATCTGTGTCCTTAGCATTTTGGAAGGTGCCTGAGCTTTCGGAGGTCACCAAAAAGTACTGAGTCATCGTGCCATTCGGTTACCTTCGGCGCTACCATCCTAGTCTGAAGCTTTTACAGGCCTCTAAGAAGGTCTTCCTGAGACCCCAGTCTTGTTTTTTGCATAAGTACGCTGCCCAGGCTCCGGTGATTGACAGGTGTAGAATGGGACGTCCTCCTTTCCCAGTTGCATGATACATAGTGTTCAGTGTTAATTTCTGGAATTCAGGTCACTTGAAAGGCCAATTCTTGGGCCTTTCTGCCTGAATGGCTGATGATTCCTCTCCTTGCATCCCTCGTGATCAATTATCCAGAAAAACTGATTATTCAGATTGTTAAATCCCCAGTTAGTCCGGATAATCGGCATTCTGTTGTATCCCATAAATGTGGCCCACGCTGTGGAGCAGGGTGGGCCTCTTCCTGGGGCCCTGTGGCTCCTCTCTCCCCAAGCTCAGGCGTGCTGCTCTGTCTCCCGCTGCCTGCTCTTCTGGGCATTCCGCTCTCCTCCAGCGCCACTGATGCACAGCCTTTCCAAGAGGGTGGCCTTGCCTCTGGGTCAGCTCTCCATTTTGGGGGGACTAGGGTGGCCCGGCTGGAGGCCTCTGCAGTCTTTGTAACTGGGACAAAAGTTGAAAGGACACATAAAAAAAATTACAGATAAACCTGAAGGCACATGTGCTCACATGGCTGCTGTGGCTGTGGGATTGTTCCTTCTGCCTGTGAAATGGCTGAATTTAAAACCCATGCTTCTTTGTCCTCTAGATCCTGTACCCCCACTTTAGGAAGGGGCAGCAATCAGAATTAGGCAGCCTACTGTCTTTGTTGGGGGGCTGTAACAAAGTGCCATAGACAGAGTGGCTTGTCAGCAACAGAAACTTACTGCTCACAGTTCTGGAGGCTGTGAAGTCCAAGACCAAGGCACCAGCACATTCGGTGTCTGGTGAGGGCTCATTTCTTGGTTTGCTGTGTCCTCACATGGCGGAAAGGGCAGACGGGCTTCCTCAGGCTACCTGAGGAAGGGCACTAATCCCATTCACAAGGGCTCTGCCCTCCTGATCCATTCTCCTCCCCAGAGCTCCACCTCTTAATGCTATGACCTTGGGTAGCAGGTTTCAACATATGAATTTTGGGAGGACACATTCAAACCACATCACCTGCCCAAGGTCTTACAGCCGGTGGTAGCCCAGGCCAGCCATCTCTTTACTGTACCCATTTTGTCTCTAGTTCTGTATTAGGTGTTGGAGGAGGGAGGTCACACAGATGTGAAAATGAGTCAGCTGAACAAGGAGCAGGCCCTGCCCTGGAGGAGCTTAAGGGGAAATTATAAATTTCCCTCAGTAGTGAATCATGCTATAATCTAGTGCAGGGTGCAAATATGTGACCTGAGGGAGCTGGATAAAGTACTCACCTTGCTGTGGAGACGTTTGACTTGCACCTGGAAGGATGACTCAGAGCAGAGATGAGGTGGGGGAGGGCATTCTAGGGAAGGGGCCAACTTGAGCAAGAGCTTGTAGGTGCGGGGGCGTGCAGGGCAAGGGGGCCCTGTTCACTTAGAACAAAGGATCGGCCAAGGAAGTCTGGGAAACAAACCAAACTACAGAGGAGCTTGAGCAGAGTCGAAGTTTATTTTGTTCCCTCGTTGAAGGTTTAAAGCCGAGGAGCTACGTGATGAGCGCTGTGTTTTAGGAAGAGGACTCCGTAATAGAGAGGATGAGCCAGTGGATCCATTTCTAAATGTGTTTCTTAGGCTATAGGAGGAGGAGCTTTCTTTATTTATTCCAAAATTTGCTTTCAGATGCTAATGCGTGTATTGTGAACTCTGAGAAGAGAGAGTTCCAAAATGTATTTGACCACAAAACCTCTTTTTCACGGTAACTGGTGCACAGTAGGCACTCAGTGTTTTTGCATGACCAAATAAGCAAGTACAACACCAGCGTGCCACAGAGTGTGGTTCAAGAAACATTGCATTCTGTGAGGCGCTGAAGCAAGAAGAAAGGCCAGTGAGAGGCTTTGATATTTATCCGGGGAAGAGGTACTGATTGCTCAAGCTAAGCTTCAGTGGACTGAAGATAGGGAAGCCAACCACCCACAACTCCTCCAAATACCTCCCTCTCCCAGGCAGGCATGGCTGGGGCACCCGCTTCTGGGCTCTCCTGCCCCCTGGGCCCACCCCACGGATGGCTTTTCATGCATTTACTTATCATTCTCCTCTGGCAGAGACCGGCACGGTCTGGCCCGTGGGGGCTCAAGACAGTTGACAGAAGGAAGAGGAAGGAGACCTAAGGGACTTGGCAGCTGGGTGGAGAAGAAGACCCGATTTCTTTATTTATACATGGACTTGCTTGAAAAAGATTTCTAGTCCTTAACCAAAAAAAAGTGCAGTGACCTTTCCACTACGACATCTGTTCCCACGAGATGCAAGTCACAGTTTTCATGTAAGGGCTCAAAGCAACCGTGGAGGGCCGAAGGCAAGCAAGATGTGGATCAGGCTCTTGTTTTTCTCTTCTCTTCATCTTCCCCTCCCCTTCTAAAGTGAGAGCTTGTGATTAAGGAGGGTTTAATGACAGGGAAAACAGTTAAAATGAAGAAGGAGTTGCCTGAAGGAAGCATCTGGGAGGTGGGCAGAGCAAGGGGTACCGGGGGCCCTGCCATGAAGCCTTCAGGGCATCGGTATGGAAATGCCTCCAGCTCCTGGCTCGCGCTAAGCGTACCTGGTTCTCTAGATGGCTCCCGGTCTTCTTGCCTCCTGGCCCTTCCCTCTCCCCTCCTCTGACCTTTCTCTTACACTTATCTTTTTTTTTTTTTTTTTTTGAGATGGAGTCTCGCTCTGTCACCCAGGCTGGAGTGCAGTGGCACGATCTCGGCTCACTGCAACCTCCGCCTCCCAGGTTCACGCCATTCTCCTGCCTCAGCCGCTCGAGTAGCTGGGACTACAGGCGCTCGCCACAACGCCCAGCTAATTTTTTGTATTTTTGGTAGAGATGGGGTTTCACTATGTTAGCCAGGATGGTCTCGATCTCCTGACGTCGTGATCCACCCGCCTCGGCCTCCCAAAGTGCTGACATTACAGGCGTGAGCCACCGTGCCCGGCCCTGTTACACTTATCTTTATTCCCCTCATCCATTCTTTTCTCTGGACTATGTTAGTGCTCTGGTAACATCCTTTCCCTCATTCAATCCCAACTCTCCTAAACCCCCTTGAGTATGTTCACCAGTGGTTTATTGACATCCATCTATTCTTGTTCTCTCCAAGCCCAGCAAAAATAAGAAAACATATTTTGGGGTAGACAGATGCTGACCCCTGACAATTTCTCTTTGATTTTCCTCCACATTTTCTCTTTATTTTTTGCTTCACTAACCTTTAAGCCAGAGTAAATAAAAATGACTGGAGATGACTGATTTGCCCCAGATTACACATTAAGTTAGTGGTGATACTAGCGCCAGGGCCCAGGGCTGACTCTGCTATACCATACTCCCTTCCCTGATGGTGCCTGCTTTTCTGAAAGCTTCTTGCCCTATTATAAAGGAAGAAGCATCTACTCCAGATGTTGAAAAAGGTAAGGAGCGGTTATGAAGGCCCAGCCCTGGGGATAGCTTAGCATTTTGCATTTAGTGCAAACCCATTTGCAGCTTTTCCTCATATTTGGTTGAAAGCATTTGCATTATACAGTTCATTTATGCCTTTATCATAATTAGGTGCAAGTTGCTGCTGCAATATGCTTGTCTGCATTATTACCGTACTTGCCTATTTTCATTCCTGCTCATCCTACGTTATTGTGTCTTACTGGGTTCATGTCAAATCTTTTCAATGTGTATAATATTCTGCTTTCGGAAATCAGGAGGGGGCAAAGATTGTTATGTCAAAAATTCAGAGAAAATGAAGAAATGTGTGTACATGTGCACATATAGAGAGAAACTGCATTGAAATCACAGCGAGATTGTGGCAGAAATGAGAAAACCTAAGATTAACGGCTTAGAGGGTTTTTATGCTCCTGGAACTCAGAAATGGTATGTTTGCAGTTGCTGCACAAACATGGTCTAATTGCTGAAGCTATTTTTAAAAAGCACGCTGAAACCATGAAGCTAGGGAAGTTCAAAGGCTTGCTCTTGCATGTGCTCAGTCATCTTTCCCAACTCTTAT
Organism: Homo sapiens; assembly: GCF_000001405.40. Lineage (NCBI taxonomy): Eukaryota > Metazoa > Chordata > Mammalia > Primates > Hominidae > Homo > Homo sapiens. The sequence goes on from NC_000007.14 coordinate 3,914,641, forward strand.
TGCAAAATGATTTTTTGCTTGAGGACAGAGTGTTGGGTATCTGTGACAGCCACGGTGACATGGGCTGGGAGGTGTCTCCAGAGCAGCTCCAGCAGATCCCTGATGGCCCACTGGGTAATTAAAAGCTAAGTGGAATGTTGAAAAAACGTCCATACAATTTGATCGGTCAATTTGCTTGCTTTTTTGAGAATTTAAATGAGACCTTCAGAATCATTTGAACTTTTAAAAGGAAATCATTTCAAAAGTCGTCGAAAGCGAGTGTGTTTGATGTGTCTTAAGTGACGGGCAAGACTGAACTCATTTTAGGTGGTTGTTGATAGTATGGATGCAGCTGTGAAACTTGAATCAGAATCATGCGCCATCCTTCAGTCAACTTTGTAAGGCACATTTCTCCCGGAAATCCCACAACTGTTGATTATTCTCTTGTACGGCCGTGGAATCTGAGAGCTTTCAATTAGCCCCTAAGGGCACGAGAAGTTGAGGGTATTTTCCAAATAACAGGGTCTACATGCAAATGACGTGGTAGGAGCAGGGGTAGGATGAGCCAGAGAAAGCTGGAGCCTGGCTTCTGCCCCATTCTCTCCAGCTCACTCGCTGTAGAAAGCCAGTGGCTAAAGGCCCTTGTTGGAGCCAGGGGAGTCTTTGGTAGGAGACCCCTGAAGAGCATGTACCCTGATGTGGTTTGGCTGTGTCCCCACCCAAATCTCATCTTGAATTGTAGCTCCCATAATTCCCACGTGTTGTGGGAGGGACCCGTGGGGAGGTAATTGAATCATAGGGGTGGGTTTTTCCCATGCTGTTCTTGTGGTAGTGAACAAGTCTCATGAGATCGGATGGTTTTCTGAGGGGTTTCCCCTTTCGCTTGGCCCTCATTCTGTGTTTCCCACCTCCATGTAAGACATCCTTTTGCTCTTCCTTCATCTTACACCATGATGGTGGGGCCTCCCCAGTCATGTGGCACTGCGAGTCCATTAAGCCTCTTTTTCTTTATGAATTGCCCAGTCATGGGTGTGTCTTTATTAGCAGCGTGAGAATGAGCTAATACATACACTAACCAAGCACCCTCTGTGGCTGACTCCAAGTTGTCATGGAAGTTGATAAAGTACCCTTGAGAGCTTAGTACCAAGTCACGTGCTGACTGACTGGGTTTTACACGTCCTAGCCACCTTCCACCCAGACCACTGTATCCAAAACCTGGCCTGGCCACGTTTTGGATAACTTTTTACTTACTTTTTTATTTAGTGAACTACAGTTTATTTGATCATTCTTGATCACTTTATTAAGCGGAAGGAGATGTTAATCTCTGAAAAGTCTATCCTTTTACTTCCCTAAACCAAAAAGTGACTGGAGCAGATCTCAATAGATGAGAAGTTTATTTTGTCAAGGTTGAGGGCACACCCAGGAAAAAGAAACACAAGTCATAGTAGGATCTATGGCCTGTGCTTTTTCCAAAGAGGGTTTTTGGAACTTCAGTATTTAGAGAAAAGAACAAGCAAGAGTAGCGGGGGGTGGGAAAGAGGGAGGGAGAGGAGGCAATGAGGCCAGTGGTCACATTCCTGTGAAGCCCTGACCAGCCCTCAGTGGATCTACATTTTACATGTGAAGAAAGGGAATCAGGGAAAGTCAATTATGATTCTCTCTCTGCTTAGTAAATCTACACTTTACATGAGTTAAAGTAAACATGTGACATCATAGCTGTCTGTTTGGGAACAAAAGGAAGGCAGTGTTTTGCATGACTCAGTTCCCAGCCCTAACTTCCCCTTTGGCACAGTGAGTTTGGGGTCCTGAGTTTCTATTTTCCTTGCACACGTCTTAGTGCTGTGATAGAAAAGGGGTTTATTTGAACTCTTGCCATCTTTGTCTTAAAAGATGATGGAAAGTCAACTGTCTGTGGATGTGATAGGCAAATCAGTTGTTTTAAGCAATTCTTAGGTAAGATTTAACATGGCCTCAACTAATTACTTAAGAGACAGCTAGGAATTATTTCTGTTTGCCTGTACTTTGCCTCTGTATGTGTGTGTGTGCATTGCATTTCTAGGGAAAATATTGAATAGCAGTTTCTTTTTTGAATAATTATGTATTAGAGAAATTTAGCAATATTCTTCCCAAATTCTATATACTTTACATTACCCTTCATTTTACCTTCCAGCTGATAGAAGAGGGAAAATTGTAGATTATTAATTGATAGATAGATAGACAGACAGATTGTCAGGGAGATGGATGGATGGATAGATAGATAATAGAGGACTTTAGCTTATATAGCAATTCCTGATACAGGCACAGATGCAGACTCATAGTATAAAGTTGCTTATCATGGCAAGTGCCTGACATTTCACCATTTTGATGACTATTCTAGGCCCAAAAGCTCACAGACTGGGGGCAAATCTTTTCCATCTAAAAACACTCCCATCATCCCTTAACAAACTGATGACAACATAATTGTTTTCTATCAAATGAATCCTGAAATAGTATAAAACATACAAAAATTCAGTCTGTTTCATGGAGCATACACCTTCAAAATTCTTTTCAGGCTTATTTTTGTCACTAAATAAAAATCAATCACTTGAAAGCATACGTCTCTGATTTCTATCCCTTGTCTTATAGGCAGGTGTCTCTATTTCCAAGTCAGCATTCATTATGCACTTAGCTAATATTTATTGAACCTCTGTGTTCTGTTGGTAGTTATGAGTGTGATGCAGGGGTGGCTGGGATATCAGGTGTCCTCTTTGAGGGTTTCTCTCCAGGGTAGACGGGAAGCCTCATTGCATCCAGGGTACAGAAAGGTGTGACAGATTCCCCAAGACACGGGCTGCACTTTGGGGCACTGTGGAACTCACAGGTGAGCCCCTCCCTGTGCTCAGGGGCATCAGGTTGTCCTTCAGGGGCCAGCAGGTAAAACGGACTCTGAGAGCAGAGGCCTGCTAAGAAGGAAGTGGGGGTGTGGGCAGTCAGGAAGTCATGGCTTCTGTTTGAGTAAAGCCTGATGAACCACACTCCTTACCCAGGGTTAGAGGAACGTCTATGGGACCAGCTGTCAAATTAAAAGCATAAGTCACACATTCTATTTCCAGAGCCCACAAGGAGGAAAAACTGAGACTTCCTAGACATGAATTTCATTTCTGACAGGCTTCTCTCCTGCTACATACATGCACATTATCTACACACATGCACATGTATGTAGATAGCGTGGCAAGTGCATGCACACACAATTCTGCACACACACCTCCTCCTGCACTCAAGGTTTCTGGTCTCCATACAAAGATGGGAAGATTTGGGGCTCAGGGATTTTGATCAAACCCTCGGTAAAGCAGAAACCACCTCTGTTGTACTTCTAGTTTTCTGTTTCAGGGCCCAAGAAAGTCCATTTCAAGGGCCTTATGTGTAATTCACAGTTTTGTTGGAGTCCCCTTCTAGGTAGACAAAACAGAGGAACCTTTCTTAGACTGGATCTCAGTTCAGCCATCCCAGGGGCTACCCTCTCACCTCAAACTCAACAGAAGATCAGGAATCTGGGGGTAGCATGGGCCACGTGTCTTCCCTCTCAACACCGCGGTACCCTGGAGCAGGGGTTCCCAACCCCCCCAGCCACAGACTGGTATCGGTCCATGGCCTATTAGGAACCAGGCTGCACAGCAGCAGGGGAGCAGCGAGTGAGCAAGCAAAGCCTCATGTGTATTTACAGCTGCTCCCATCGCTGGCATTACCACCAGAGCTCCGCCCCCTGTCAGATCAGCGGCTGCATTAGATTCTCGTAATAGCACGAACCCTATTGTGAGCTGTGCCCGCGAGGCATCTAGGTTACACACGCCTTATGAGAATCTAATGCCTGATGATCTGTCCCTGTCTCCCATCACCCCCGGATAGGACCGTAATTGCAGGAAAACAAGCTCAAGGCTCCCACTGATTCTACGTGATGGTGAGTTGTATAATTATTTCATTCTGTATTACAATGTAATAATCATAGAAATAAAGGGCACAATAAATGGAATGCACTTGAATCATCCTGAAACCATCCCCCCGACATTGGTAGAAAAACTGTCTTCTGTGAAACCAGTCCCTGTGCCAAAAAGGCTGGGACCACTGCCCTGAAGCACTCAGGAGACACCTGCATGCCACTCAGGTCTCTGCAGGAAATGACGCTGGACCGGCGGTTCTACCGAGAGACTTCCTGTCTTAGTTGGCCCCATTTATCCTCTGACGGTTTCCCACATACATGGCTTCTCACACTCTATTCTTCTCATGGACATATTCGTGCCACTTGCAGTTCCACATTTCACTGCTTTTCAGATTGATGTGTTACCGGAGAATTATTCTTCTATCTATTATTATTATAACATTCACCATAATCATCATTAGCCCATTAACTCATAACTATTACTATCATTGCTAATATAATGACTGTTAACTAAATATGAATAATGTATGCTATCACTAATATAATTACTATTATTAACTATATTCCATCTCACATAATCTATCTCAGCTGCTTCATCTCCCTCTGCCTCCTTTCACCTTCCCCCTGCCTGATGTTACAAACTGAACAACTTAGAGTTCCTTGAATATTCCATGAGCCCGGCTTCTCCCCCAGGCCATAATGAGGGTATGTCAGTGTGCAGTGCACAATTAGTTCCTCTGCCAAGGCAAGATCTGGGGTGCATGGCCGGCCTTGCAGCCCGTGTGGGTGTCCCAGTCTTGCTCTTGCTCTTTAAGTCAGGTGTTTGCCTCTGCTGCTGCCATGGGAACCATCTACTGCTGCAGGTCAGGCATCAGAAAAGTTGTGTGTCCTGCCCTACACCCGTCAAGTGACGACAGATGACAATTGGAGGGGAAGGAGAGGAGGTCAGAGGAACTGGAGTTGCACTCGTACCCTCCCTGGTGAACTGAAAGAGCACCCTCCCTGGTGAACTGAAAGATAGACAATATCCATAATGTCGAGGCATTGACCAAAATCTTACCACGTGTTTTGTGCTCCATAGAATCTATTTCAATGGAGCACCGGCTCTTAGAGCGCTTAAAGATTCTGCTTTATTAACTGACTCCATGTTGCTCTACTGGGCCCTGTGGAGTAGTTAACAGCTGTTAGCTTGAAAGAACGTATGGTTTTGTTGGGAACTGTAAGGTGTAATTAATTCATTAGGACCTGCTACATGTCAGAGGCTGCGTGAGACACCGGGCTGCACTCATACCTCACGTCTCAGACACAGACTTGGACCTCAGGGAGGTCACATCCCTCTGAGGAAGAGACCAGCAAAACACCAATCAGATGTGACCAGTGGCACTGGCCACTAGAGTAAGCACCTGGGCTCTGGGGTCACAGCAGAGGGGGCACCACCAGCTCTGGGAAGGCTTTAGGGAGTGGATGGCAATTAGAACTTTCAGGATGAAAGGATGTGGTTCAGAGGACTGGGGGAGAGGGCAGCACAGACAGACGAAGCCACGTGCAGGGGCACTGAGACAGCTCAGGAATGGCGGTGAGTTCACCCCCACCGGGTCGTGTCCGGGAAAATGATGGAGAGCAGCACTGAGGATCAGCAGGGGAAGATCACGCTGTGCATCCTGAGTCTTCTGGGCTTCATGCTGTGGGTCGGGGTGATTCGTTGAAAGATCTTAGCCTAGGGGTGTTTTAGGAAGATGGCACAGGCTGCAGCATGTAGACCAATCTGAAGGAAAGATTTGCAGTCTTGCAGGTGAGATGTCATTAGGCCTTGGACTGAGACAGGAGTGGTAAGAGGGGAACATACTTGGGAGTCTGGGGGGAAGGTCAAGGTCAAGGTCAGCGGGATTTATGACATGGTCATCTACGGGGAGAAAGAGCCAGGGAGTAGCTTCTAAGACTGTGTTTCTAGCTGGAGTGACTAGAGGAGTGAGGGTGATCTTTTCAGAGCTCAGGAGTATGTAAGGAACAGATTAAGGTGGGAGGGCAGGAAAAAAGACAAAACAGAAGTTCTGCTTGGATTCGTTGCATTCTAGCTGCCAAGATGGAACTATCCGGAGGCAAGGCGGCACTTAAACTGCAAGCTGGGGCTGCAGGTGGAGATTCGGGAGTGACTGTTTTAGGATTAATTTCTAATGGCCTCAGATAAGATGACCCAGGGTAAAGGGAGACTATGCAGAGGGGGAGCAGTGAGAGTGAAGAGGAGGATAAATAACAATAGATGGCATTGCATGGGACATAAAGTGACTGCTCGGAGGTTATTTACGGGAAGATGGATCTCGCAATTGAGTGCTGAAGAAGGCGTTTGGTAACAACTGGAGCCCCTTCTCTGTGCCAGGAGCGGGCACTGAGGGGCACAAGTGATTAAATACCACCCCTGCCCTCAAATGAAAGCCAACATAGAAACAGATAAACTATAGATCAAGTTTGCAATTCCTAGAGTTGAGATATAAACTAGGTACTATGGGAACACAGAGCTCATTTTTCTTTTTTATTAGATGAGCAATAAGTGTTAAATGTAGAAAAATTAGAAAATACAGAGAAACAGAAAGGACATATATGTAACTCATAATTCTACAACCCAGACATGTGGCTATGAACATTTTCATTCATGTCTCATACAAATAAAAAATACATTTTTTAGCAAAATGAGATCATACAGCACACACTGTTTTGTAAACATTTTTACTTCATATTTTATTATTTCTGTAGTATTAACTATGTTATCATTTTCAATAACTGCCTAGTTTCTTTTTTTAGCAAATGTATCATAATTTATTAACCTGTCTCCATCATTGGACATTTAGATTGGTTCCTGGCTTTCACCACATTAGACGGAATGGCAAATATTCTTGTAGCTACATATATGCAAACATCAACATTATTTCTTTACAATAAATTCCCAGAAGTGGAATTGTTGTGTTACACGATGTTCTAGTTAAGCTCTTTAGCTATAAGAACTAGACCTCTCTTCTCTATAGACTTGCTAGCTCCAGCTTAAAAGTAGAGGGAGGGGATTTTTATGAACAAAAGGAAATGAGGGAATCTAAAGGCGCCAAGAAGCTGATTCCTGCAGGCCTGTTGAGAGACTAGAAATTAAAACTCCCCGGGCCAGGCACGGTGGCTCATGCCTGTAATCCCAGCACTTTGGGAGGCCGAGGCAGGAGGATCACTTGAGCCCAGGAGCTCAAGAGCAGCCTGGGCAATATTACCAGACCCCATCTCTATAAAAATAAAAAAAATCAGGTGGACATGGTGGTGCGTGCCTGTGGTCCCAGCTTCTTGGGAGGCTGAGGTGGGAGGATCACCTGAGCCCAGGAGGTCAAGGCTGTGGTGAACCGAGATCACACCAGTGCACTCCAGCCTGGGCAACAGAGTTAGGCCCTGTCTCCAAAATAAGTAAATAAGCAATGAAGCTCCCTGGATTCCAGCCCCTGTTACTCAGGAGCCGCAGGGCCTCTCACCCATGCTCCTCTGTGCCTCTCTGCCACCCTTCTCTTCTTTACCAGCCTGGTTTGCTTACTTCTTTTGCCATAAGACTCAATTTTATGTCATGGCCCCTCAGCTTCAGTGGCTGACGGTAGTCTCTGCCTTTTAGTTAAGACGCCGGAGAAGGTGAGTCTGATTGGCAGATTCCCACCAGTCCTGAGTTCTGGCCAGCTAAGCTCGGGCAGCCATGGATCTGGGGGCTGGGAGCAGGATTCAGTCGGGATGTGCTGGAGCCCACTTACCCCAGCTAGTGAGAGCTGACCCTGGGCACCTCCTCCCAGCTCCAAGTTCACTGACGTCATATTGGGAGCTTGAAATCGGCTGTGCCGGATTTACTTACAGCAAGAAAACCAGTAAGTGCTGAGTCAGGGCTGGTCGTGAGATGTTCCTCCGAATACCACTGGGTGTCACATGGAACAAAACTCTCTGACTCCTTGAGAAATGAGTATGGCCAGTGACTGACATCTTTAGAATATTTCTGAAACAATGTAATCTCATTAACATTCCGTAGATGTTACTTCATTCTGTTATTGTGTTTAATGTCCCAGAGAAGAAATCTAGTTTTGGGATTTTCATTTCTTTTCTTTAGATTGATATGTTGTTTTATCTGTCTGCACTCTTGTCAGTTTGATTTGCTTACAAAGCGTGCACGTTTTACTGGGCTGCAACTGTGGTGGGGCGCTCCCTTTGCTGGTTCTCAGTAAGTCCATTTTATTTGAAGATGCAAATCTTTTTCCAAGTCGGGGAAGTTTTTCCACGTTGTTAATTTGATTAATGTGTTTCTTTCACTTACAGTGTATTCACCTTCTGGAATTCCTACTGTGCTTATATTTGATCTTTTGGGTCAATCTTCCATTTTGCTTATCTTTTCCTCATCATAGCTAACTTAATCTATTTTCTTTGAATTCTGGAGAAAACTCTTGATTCCAGCCAGGTTCACTGATTTGATTGTATGCACTATCCAGTCTGTTCTTTCGAGCTTCTGTTGCATTGTTAATTTTGGCAATTGTATTCTCATCTGAAAGTAGTCTTTTCTGATCTCAGATGATTCCATTTTCATATTTACAGTGTGTTATTGACTCCTCTCAATGAGTTATTTGATTCAGATTCTCTGGTTGATCTCAAGCAGTGTAATTCAGAAATTTCTTAAATGTTCTGTTTCATAAGGGTGATATTTCTTTATGTTCTTTAAATTGATCCCATTATTATGGACTTTTTTTTTTATTATGAGCTTTATTATCAGGGCTACTTCACTTTTATTTTGCCACATTAATGAATGTGCAGGCTGTATTGAGAGCCTACAGTTCACTGCAATTGAATGAAGGGAGGTTTGTTACGGGGCTAAAGGAATTCCTTTCCCTGTTTGTTTTAATAATCGAGAAGTTGCCCGGGCTCTACTCTTCTCTCACCAGCACTTAGTGTGCTCAAGAGGTTCTCTCAATGGAGCCCGGGACTGGCAGTGTGGGCATCCCCTGAGTACCTGCCAGAAATGCCCGGTCCAGAGGCACCAGCTCAGAAACTCTGGTATGGGGCCTGGGAATGTGTGTCTTCACAAGTCCTCCAGGTTGGTGCCATCAAAGTTTGGGAAGTGCCTATTTGCTCACCACTGGGCTTCCAGCCACAGCAAGGGTGAGCCAGGTCCAAGTTCACGTTTAGTCCCCTCATGGCAACATCTGTGCACTTTCACGAGGCATTTGCAGATTTGCCCAGCCTGTACCTCAGCCCTCAAGCTGCTCCTACCCGGAATTCTGACCTCTGTGGAGTTTGCAGGGTTCCTCAGGGGTTCCTTTCACTTCGTGTCCAGGTGGACTTGTCTTTTGCGGGTGGGGAATTTCAGGTTGGGCAGCCTCTCCCTTAGACAGGGCTTGCTCATGCTGTCCTGCAGGAGCTCCAGTGTGGGTGGTCGTGATTTTGATTCTCAGCAGAAATGCAGACTATTTCCCTACTATTTTTTCTTTGGATATTTCTATAGAGATTTAGGAAGAGGTGCAGAATGGGAGGCTCAAATCACCTGGAGGCAGAAATTCCTCTTTTTTTTTTTTTGGATGACCTAAGGGAGATTTACAGAGTAAAGGGGACGCTGTTGTAACCATCCAGGTGGGGATGAGGAGGGTCTGGCATTGGGGATGGGGAAAAGGTGGACTCCTGAGTATTTCTGAGATCCAGTGGATCAGCCTGAGGAGCAGTTGCGTGGAAGGAGAGGATGAGTTAGGATGGCTCAGTTCATTCAGTTACAGTGAACTGTAGGCTCTCATTTTCTAGCGCAGCTGCCCTGATGACTTCTTGGAAGACATCAAATTGTGTTTGACTTGGGCAGAAGGATGGCACTGGATGAGTGAATGGATGGGGTGGCCATTCCCAACCACAGCTGAGCACGTCGTGGTGACGGGGTGTGATCTCCCCCACCCCTGCTGCACCCAGAGCTGTCCTGGTCACATGCACATTCACTGTCAGACGACAAACAGGGAGAATGACCGATGCTGCCAGGAATTCTGTTTGGGTCTCGTACGTTATCATCTGTTACCAGTGACAGTAGTGTTTGGGACATTTCGCCAGCTTCCCGGAGAAACAGCCCTTTTTCCTCGGCCTCCCGGCACCTGCAGTCCGTCCGTAGCTTTCCCACAACCCATCCCTCAGAGAGTTCTGGCATGCTAATTTTCAGGTTTACCAAGTGGCATGAAAGATACTAATGAATTTCTTTACCCGTCGCCCTCCTCCTAGCTGTCATAGCTCTTCCCACTTGAAGTGTTTGTTTTCCTTGTTCCTGTGTGTGTGTGACAGAGGTGAGGGGTCTGCTGCCTTCATGGTGGACGACTCACTTGTCTGGTGCTTCAAGCCTGGGGTCTGCCTTCCTAATAATGGCCACTGTCATTTTCCCCCAGCTGGAGGCCTGAGGACATCAGCTTAAGCCTCTCCAGGGCTCTGGGACCTGCAAGGTCCAGACTCTTAATGTGATTCTTGACAACTGATTTGTCAGCTCATTTTCCCCTTTTCTCAATGTCCTGTTGTAGCTCAGTCTGTCTGCTTGTCCTCAGCGTGTAATAAAACAACCCCAGACACCCCACTCCAGGAACCAGGGCCCCAGAGCTGTCCCACAGCCTAGTTTAGGACTGAAGCCCCAGATGGCACCCCCTGCCATTGGGAACTCTAAGGAGACTGAACAGGAAGAAACACAGAGCACATCTTCCAGGAAGAACCTTTGATAAGCTGAGAACTCTTTGCCCTTTATTTAAAAAGTAAAAAGAAGCGAGGAGGAGAAGCTGCGTAGAAGCCCTGCCCTCTGAGTTTGCTTAGAAAAAGCACATTCAAGTTTGCATTTAGGAATCGCAGTCAGTGACGCATGCTTGGGTTCCCTGCTCAAGCTGTTAGGGCAAAAGCGACGGCGTTTCTACCCTCATCAGGAGAGACTGCCTCTATGAATCTCTCGTCGCCAAACTAAGCAGTTTTAATCCAGATACAGAGTGGAGACAGATGAACGCATGCAGGATGCTTCTCCAGAGACGGCGTGTTCTCGCTGTTGTCAGCCATCCAGACAGGGTGCTCAGAGGGCAGCCTTGGGGCACCCTGCAGTGGGCAGGCAGCATGAGGCACACGGATCCTTCCTTCTCTTTTCAGCTGAAGAAATGCTAAAGAGAAGTTTGTAAAATTCAGAGCCTCATCTCAGAGGGAAAGATGAGTTAATGATCTGCTGCAGAAGGACTTGGCAGGTGCGTGCTCCAGCCGGCTGAGAAGACACCCACGCAGCCCTCCCACCATGCTGAAAAACATAGGGTCAGCCATTGGCACTCCCCCTTTTCCCATTGATGAAACGGAAATTATCTTTTGGAATTGTGCTGTTAACAATACTCTGTATTGCCACAAGTAGGTTTTTGCAATATGTTGAACAAACGTGTTATCCCTTTTCAGGTCCTAAAGTAAAGAGGGTCTCAGGAGGGTGTAAGGGCAGCACGTGAGAGTGTGGCCTGTGAGGAGGATGTTGAGTGACTTCAGGGAAATCAGTGTCACCTATGCAGAGTCACAAGCTGGCTTTCCTAGTCTTCCAGCACCTGGATAAATCCCTTTTTGTGCAACAAGCACTGATGGAGTCTACAGAAGCATGCATTCCCGTGGGAAGGGCATGGCTTTGGTGCTGAGCCTCTAGATGGTACAGACAGGCATCAGGGACCCTTTGGCCACTCATTTAAACCCTCAGCCAGAAGGAATGAAATCACTGGGGCTGTCATGAGCAATGAAAATGACAATCTGCACTTTATAGACACTTAGCATAGTGTCTGGCATACAGTAGGCACCCAACATACCTTGAGTCTGTTATGTTTTGTCTATCAGCTGTTACATTTGTTTCTATTGTCTTTTCTCCAGTTTTCTCTGGGATTGGTTAGAGTGAAACGTCATGAAATTGTTTTTATTTTATTTTAAAGACAGGATCTCGCTCTTTCACCCAGTCTGGAGTGCAGTGGTGTGATCTCGGCCCACTGCAGCCCTGACTTCTTTGGGCGCAGGTGATCCTTCTGCCTCAGGCTCCCCAGGCTGGTCTCGAACTCCTGGGCTCAAGCTGTCTGCCCACCTTGGCCTTCTACAGTGCTGGGATTGCAGGTGTGAGCCACCGTGAGGTCCTGTTTTGATTTTAGACTCATCCCTTAAAGCCCAGGCTGTCACATACCAGCCACCACTTTCTACGACTCCGTAAGGCACGGTGGTTCAGAACACAGGCTGTGGCATCTGCAGACCTGGCTTTGTGTTCAGGCTCAACCACTTAGCAACTGTGTGACCCAGGCCACATCAGGCTTCTTACCTGTAAAACAGGAACCACAGGCCTTTTGCATTTAGGGGCAAGGGTAGGCAGATGCCACATTTCCAGCAGGACTTATGGGACATGAACTTAATAAAAGTCTGCTCCAGTAGCCTGAGCACCTTTAGGGCTTAACTTGGGGGCCCGTCAATGCCTCCACCGCGCTCTCAGCCACAGAGGAATTCCTGAACTGTCCACCAGTGGGGTTCCGTTATTTCCTGTGATGGGCAGGTAGGGCTGACACTCTGTTCTCCAGTGTAGATTTCATAGTTTGGATTTGGGCGGCCCAGAAATAGCCTGCGAGATCTTACTGAACCAGGTCTGACGTCATCACACTAAATGGAAAAAAGTTAGGAACGTGCTGGTATTCCAGAATTCTTTTCTTAAAAAAGTAACGTTCCAAAGCAACCATATTGCTAATTGAAATAGAATTTTTTTTTTAAATTCAGGAAATGTTGGGCCCTTTAGTTTCCCTCCTATTTTTCATTAGGTATTTTGGAGCATTTCATTTATTGAGCACCTACCGTGTGCTGGCTGCTGTGTTATATGCATCGTACATATTTTGTTCTCACAACAACTCTGGAAAATAAGCATAACCCCTTTTCTCCTGTAGTAAAGGGGAACTTGGAAGGAAACAGAAGCCTGCCAGGGTCAGAGAGCTCATGGGCAGCCAAGGCAGGACTTAGACTTCACAGTCAGAGGCCTCAAAGCCTGCGCTTCTCCCGTGACACTGTCATTTCAGAGGGTGATGGTCCACCATGGCTGAAGACCAAATTCAGCCAACAGCTGCTGCAGCCAAGAGTCCATCTGTCTCCTCTGACACTGTCATGTCCAACCTGTTTGCCTGAACATACTTTGGCCACTTTGGAGTATTCTGCTCAGAAGTAAAAATAATGTCGTCAAATTTCATAAATAGATTTCTGAGGTATATACTTCTCCGCAGGAACCTGGCTCACTTACTGTCTTTAGATAATGGAAATCGTGGTTGCAACTGAGGTTCTTTCCTAAGTTAACAAATGGTTGTTCCTCACCGCAGAACTACAGGAATGACCCTTACAAATGAGCAGATTCTTTGTTTTCTCTTGATTGCTGGCAGCAGCTGCTGTGGGTGCTCAGTAGAGGAATGTTTAGTGAGAGAAACTGAGCTAGTGTTGCAGCAGAGGAAAAACACTAGGAAATTGACGACTTATCTTTCCATTTGCACCTTCAGAAATAGGTTAATTGTTTCAGTGACTGCCTCTGTCTTGATTAGGAAGCATTAATAGCAATTAATGATATAACTTCAAAAAAGGTATAGGAAAATTAATAGAATTCTCCGTTAATATAAATTATACTCATTATCTACTGTATCCAGAACCATCAGGCCTGCCAAGCTCGTTGATTAAAGTACAAGTGGAGTTTTTTCGGTCTGAATTCTCTAGATAGTTAAACCTTTATTTATTTATTTATTTTGCAGTATAAAATTCCCCACAGTGAGCCAATAGTATTATTTAGTTTAAAATCCCTCAATTCTACAACTTAGAAACCTTTCATAAGTTAATTTTATTAATGTACACACATTTTATCTACACGTACAAATATTATTTGATGGTAATGATGAAACTTTGTTAATAAAGGATGGTGAAGAAAAGTTCAGGTCAAAAAAATATGAAATTGTAGGACTGATTTTATCTAGCTTTAATTCTACTCTGCAGTAGAAACAGAAGGCTTTTTTGGTAGGCAGACGCCACATTTCCAGCAGGACTTGTGGGACTTGAACTCAATAAAAGTTTTTTTTTGGGGGGGGTGGGTGGAATGCCAATAATGGTAAGAATAACAATAGCAACAATGATAGCAAAGGCAATAACCAACATCCCCTAATCTGCCCCTAGGACCAGGTTCAGTACCTCACATGCATTCTCACTAATCTTCACACTTACAGGAATCTTCAAGGTAGAGGGTGTTACCCCGCTTTACAGATGAGGAAACTAAGTCCCAGAGGTGGTCAGGAACTGGCTCAAATTCAGACAGCAAAGTGGCAGAGCTGAGAGTCATGCCCAGGTGGGGAAACCCCACGCGTGCATTCTGTCACTCGGCTGAACTGCAGCACAGCCCTGGGCTTATTTTAAGAACATAAAACCTGTCTCACTAGACCCAACTCTCTGCCCTGTTCCTTATTCTTTCTCAGTGTCACCAGAGGACACATCAGACACAGTTAGCCTTCCCCATGTCAACTCTAGATGGAGAGGAATGCCCCTCGAAGGAGTCTAGGCTGCCTCAGGATTTTACTATGGGTGGGAAACCAATGCATTTGTCCTTGCCCTTGGTTAAACGGTTATCTGAAGTTGGCTTATATTCATCCTCTTACCATCCTTAACAGCAAGCTTGCCGCCAAATTCCGTCACTGATTATTTTGACTTGATGAAGCGTTGCTCTTGATCTACAGATTCCTCGGTGTGTTGTGGACTTTGATCGCTTGGCCAGCTGTAATCTGCCAGCTTGAACACGATTGATCTTCATGCACCAGGCACTCACACCTGCCCATTTGGCGGGGTTGCTTATGTCTTTCTCACACCTTCTAGCTTGTTCTTTCTTTTCTGGAGATCCAACAATCAGAAAAGCATTCCGTATTTATTCCTTAACTTATAAGGAACCTATAAATAGGGCTCCTGTGTTTCTTTTCTTTTCCCCAAGACTGTGTTTGAAGGTTAATTTCAGGATTTTCTTGGCATCCTTAAAGCGGTGGGACTGTTCTAAACTCCTTTGAACAAAATGTTGATTGAAGTGTTATCTTTTGTAATATACTCCTGGAGGGTTGTAGGGATTTGGAGGAAAGGTCAGAGTGATAGGGAGTGTTTTGGAGGAGGTGAGATTTGATCCAGCCCTTGAAGGATGGTGGGGTTTGTGGTGCTAGATGGCTGATGAGGTCATTTGTAGATAGGTGGAGAGGTGTATTAGCTGGTTTTGCGTTGATAGAAAGGAATACCTGAGGCTGGTAATTTATAAGGAAGCTGGCTCACAGTCATGCAGGCTGTTCATGGTGCCAGCATTGCTCAGCTTCTCTTGAGGCCTCAGGAAGCTTTTACCCATGATGGGAGGTGAGGGGAGCCGGCGTGTCACGTTCCTGAAAGCATGGTGTTTTTATTTTTTATTTATTTATTTTCTTTACCTAATTGGTAAACAGGTGAATGCAGTTCTACTTGGAGACTCAGCCCACCCAGCACAGAACTTCTCACACTGAATGAGAAGGCGCTGAGGTGATGTATGTGTAACCCAGGCAGCTCGTTAACATTTAGGTCCTGATTCGATGGGTCTGGAGTGACACCCACTGAGACTTCGCCTTTATAACCAGCTCCTAGGAGAGGTCTGTGGTGCTGGTTGTTGCTCCACTTTCAGGAACAAGGAGCTGAGTAACTCACCACGTGCTGGAAAACATGCCCTTTTCTTCGAATAACTCAGAACTAGACTCCCAGAGCATGGCCAGAGCCCTGGCTTCACCTGGGTGTGGAGTGGAAATGCAGGGTCTTGATTCCACCCCAGCCCTGCCGAGGCAGAATCTGCACTTGAACAGGATCCCCAGCTGAATCACGTACACACACAAGTTTGAGAAGCACTGACATGGAAGAGGCAGGTCTCAAGAATACCAGTAAAGCCAGACGTGGCTTCCAGTAATGAAAGATACAGGTCTCAAGAACAGCAGTAAAGCCAGATGTGGTTTCCAGTGCTCAGAGACTGAAAATCCTGGCATCAAATTAAGCTAATTCGTAAGTGGGTTGAAATTAATTAATCAGAAAGGACAAAATACAAAAAAATTAGCCACGCATGGTGGCACACACCTGTAATCCCAGCTACTTGGGAGGCTGAGGCAAGAGAATCACTTAAAACTGGGAGGCGGAGGTTGCAGTGAGCTGAGATCGCACCACTTCACTCCAGCCTGGGTGACAGAGTGACACTCTGTCTCACCGAAAAGAAAAGAAAAGAAAAAAGAAAAGTCTCTCTGAGTAAAATAAGAGTTGTACTAGGTTTGGAACAAGAAAAGATATTTATAAATGCATTTAAGATTTGTATTTTCAGCATCAGTTAGAACATCTTATCTATAGCCATTTCTTAGAAAAGTCTAGTTGTAAAAGAACAGTGATTTTTGCACATCTTGCTGAATTATTTTTATTTATGTAAATAATAGCAGATGGACATGTATAATCATTTCTTTTCTAAATAAGTGTGCATAAAAATGAAGACATTGGAGAGCACTTCTAATCCGAGAGACGTTATAAGGATTCAGCCAAAGACAGGATCCTTGGGGCTTCGGTTCCTAACCAGAGGGGCACCCCATGGACGAGCAGATCAACCCATTTTAATTTTTTCATGTCTTAAGTAAAACCAGAGCTTCTCAAATGAGAAATTCACAACCAAACACTTAAAAGTGGTAGTACCCAGAATGGAAGAAATATTCTATCAGTCTGGGGCATTTTCTTTCCTCACATATTCCTACCCTAAGTGCAAATGTTCATACAACTATATTGATGAACACTTCCTCTGCCATGGTTTTAGATGATCAATTTCTTATTTGTGTCATCTTTGAGAATGACAGACTCTGAGGTTCAAAACCTTATGGGGCTTCTATCCTAACCAACATCAAGGAACTATAAGTATTCAACGTCCCAAAACAATAAAGAGTAAGTAAACAACTGCGTAGCTAACCAAGTCCCTCCTTTGTTCTGGAAGAATAATTTTGCGGGAAATCCTTGCTTTCTATTCAGGCATGTGGGGTACACCCTAAGCTCCTTAAACTCCCCGCCATCTTCCTCAGTGATATTTGCTCAGCATCCCTAGGTTGATTGGTCTATGCTGTGGATTTGAGCTATGCTGGTTACCAAAGTGCCTAGTTTTTTTCTCTTTCCCTCTCCGTGCCGACTTATGGGGCGTTTTACTTCTTATGTATGAGTTTTTCCATAGGTTGAACAGAGACCAAGTGAAATTTTTAAAGAAACAAATGACGCTCTCCTATTAGAAGCTTTGGGAGAGGTTTGGTAGAAGTGCCTATTGTAATTGACTTGCCATAATTACTTTTGGATTTTCTATAAATTTGCTATACAGCTGTTATTCATGCTGGGCATCACCCTGCTTTAAAACGGCATGAGTTGCTGGGTGCCTGAACCACTCTTACTGTTCATTGGTTTGGATTGATAGTTTGCACAGTCCAGATTTGCTGAGTAATCATTGACCTGCCACGTTTTTAATAGGCCCACACTGACCAGCTTGGTTCTTAATATATTTGAACAATCACATAAATGGAATTAGGACTTCATTTTTTATTCACCTGCCTTCCAGTCTATGTGAACAGACTACTTATGTTTCTAGCAGCAGTAGCTCCCCCCTCACTAATGCTTGTGATAATATGCCCGTAAGTGAGTATCTTAGGAGGGATCTTAGCTGTGCTTTTGTGCACTTCACTCCACACATACAGCCTCCGCCTGGTGCTCCCTCCCTCTCTCTGTCGTCAACTTTAGATTTATTGTCAGTGTTGATTTTCAACCAAAATATAGATGAGATTGTGTTGACATTTAGGAAAAAAACCTTGCTTCGTAGCAGATTGAGTAGAGAACCAGTTGGTTTAAATAGATAACCTTGGGTCATATCAGAAAATGCCTTGTTCTAGCAGAGTACTCTATTCTTGCACCGTGGGACTGACTTTATTCATTTAAAGGAAGCTGGGGCAGACGGGAAAAGAAATATTTTCTTCTCTGAAGACTTCCTGATTTGTTTGTACCTCTGTTGTGACACCCAAGGGTAAGTCTGATATAGCGGTTTCTAACAAAATGAAAAGAGATGGGAAAACAGAAGAGGAAATTCCTCTCCAGTTGTGAATTATCGTTCTTCACTATCAAAGCATCCCTGTGCCTGGCTCGTTCTGTGGCCTTGTTTTCTCTGCTCCTGGTCCAAAACAATGACCCACCCATTCCCAGAGATAGACAGGAGAGAACAATGTGTACACAAAAGAGAGGGACAGAGAGACCCCCAAAAGAAGCCAACACCCACCTCTGTCTCACCTGTGTGTTCAGATAGGGTGTGGCCGATTGTGCTGAGCCTGATTATTTACGCTTCTCAGAATCAGGGCTCTCCACTCAGGACAGTGAATCCCCAAAGAGGCTGAGCCCAGAACCTGCCCTGGGGGCAGCTGGTGCCACCGTGCTGGTAGACGACACAGCCCAGCCAAAGCCACCTGGAGATGAGGGTAGCACAAATCCTCTCTCCATCCTCCGCATCCTCCGGCGGGAAATGCTCCTGGATCTTTTTTTTTTTTTTTTTTTTTTTTTGAGACAGGCTGGAGTACAGTGGCTTGATCATAGCTCACTACAGCCTTGACCTCCTGGGCTCAAGTGATCCTCCTGTCTCAGACTCCTGAGTAGCTGGGACTACAGGCTTGCACCACCACTCCCAGCTAATTTAAAAAAAATGTTTCTAGATACAGAGTTTTACCATGTTGCCATGGCTGGTCTCAAACTTCTGGGCTCAAGTAATCTTCCTGCCTCAGCCTCCCATAATGCTGGGATTACAGGTGTGAGCCGCTGCACCCAGCTGATCCTGGTGTTCGGACACGGGATGCTGTTCCATTCCTGGAGCTGTTTTGGAATGAACGCTATCAAAGGATGTGGTTAGCTTCAGTTGTTTACTGCTCCTCATCATTTTGGAACATTGAGTAGTCTGTCACTTGATGTTGGTTAGGATAGAACCCCTGCAAGATTTTCTTCCTCAGAGTTCATGCTCCTCAAACTTGAAATAAACAAGACACTGATTATCTAAAAGCATGGCAGAGGAAGTGTTCATTGATATATTTGTATAAACCTTTGCATTTAAGGTGGGAATACGTGAGAAAAAAAGTGCCCTATGACTGATAAAAATATTTCTTCTGTTCCAGGTACTACTGCCTTTCAGCATTTGGTTGTGAATTTCTAACTTGAGAAGGTCTGGTTTTACTTAAGATATGAAAAAATAAAAAGGGGGGTGACCTGTTGGTCCATGGAGTGCCCTTTGTGGTTAGAAACTGAAGCCCTAAGAAACCTGTCTCTCAAAAGGTTGGCGCTTGGTTCTGTGTGTTTTTCCCATGGCTAGGGGAAGGTGTGGAAGAGAAAGCTTTCTGTTTGGTGTTGTTCCTGTTAAGAAAGTCTTCAAAATGTAACAAACAGTCCTGGGGGCATTCACCAGCCGCACGGCATCCAGGCAGGCCTCTTTGTAACTAGACGGTGAATTTACCTTCTGCCTGAATAGCGGTAATTTCTACTCTGTGAGTTGAACAGTGGTATCTGTAGCAAGAGAAAATAACTTCAATTTAGTCAGGTTTTCTAAAGATCTTCCTTGTATTTTAAGGAGGGGCCATAATTGTGAATTTCAAGATACACTTTCTGAACAGACTGTGACCCCCTTCCCTCTTATTTATCTCCTTTTTTCTTTCTCTCCTGTGTTCAAACCATTTGTTAAGACAATTTTCTGTTTTCTCCAGGGACTGGGGATTGAATGTCTTTGTTCTTGGTTTATCTATTAAAGACACTTTTCTAGTTACAGATACTGTTTGTGAATCACAGGCTATGCAAAGAACATCTGATTATCAGCGGACTGGAGCCCAGCAAACAGTCACAAACATCCCAGAGCTTTCCTGCCTTTCTGAAAATGTGCATGCAAAATTCTTGACATGAGGAAGTTGTAGGAACAGGTGTTGATGTCTATTTGGAAAGTGTAAAGTTACACTTATGCAATTTTAGCAAACATCTATTAGGCACTTACTGTTTGCCAGATGCTCTGAAGCATGCAGGGATCCACAAGTATCACGTGCCTTCCAGGAATTTGCAAGGAGTGGGGCCGATAAGCACGTGTCCAAATGCGCAAGGCTGAAAGAGATGGGCTCTTGTCCTACTTTCCCCAGAAGTAGAGCCTGTGAGCTCAACAAAGATGTACGTGCAATAGTGCACTGAGCGGTGACCCCAGAAAGTGTGAGTAGAGGAGTGTGCAAAGGACACAGCATGGAAAGGCACTGGTGAGCTCTCATCAGTGAGCATTCATCAGTGTGGTGAGCAGCGAGGTTCAGCCCCGAGGCAACCCCAGGGAGACTGTGCAAAGCCCCTTCGGTGTTGCTTACCCAAGGAGGGGAGGAAGCCTGGATATTTATGCATCAACTCCCCTCTTGTATTGGCAAGAACAACTTTGAGAGCATTCTTTTCTGTCTGTCTGCCTCACCTTTGTAAGCCGGTCATATCTCTGGCCACAGAATGGCCTTTGGTAGGAACTGATGGGTACTTGCAAAAAGCCCTGGGCCTGTTGGTGAATGGTGAGTGCCAGGGACGATGGGCAGGGCACAGGCAGCACCTGCCACAAAGCCATATTAACAGAGTGTAGCAGGTGCACCCCACACCTGACACCGTGTACAAAGCTTAATGCAAAATGGGTCAAAAACCTAAATGTGAGACCTAGAACTATAAAACTCCTAGAAGAAAACTTTATGACATTAGATTTAGGAATGATATTGATAACACTAAAAGCACAGGCAACAAAAGAAAAAATCAAAATTGAAAACTCTTCTGTATCAAAGGACACTGTCAACAGAGTGAAAAGGCAACCTGTGGAATGGGAGGAAGTATTTGCAAATCACATATATAATAAGGGATTAAAATCGAGACTATACACAGAATTCCTACAACTCAACAACAGAAAAAATAAGCTGATTTAAAAATGGGCAAAGAACTGGAATAGGCATTTCTCCAAAGAAGAGATACAAATGACTGGTAAGCACATGAAAAAATACTCAACATCACTAATCATGAGGGAAATGCAAATTAAAACCACAATGAAAGACCACCCCACTCCCTTTAGGATGGCTGTAATTCAAAACAGAAAACACAACAAAAACAGAAAGTAACAAGTGTTGGCAAGGATGTGGAGAAACTGGAACGCTTAGGTACTGCTAGGAGAAATGTATGACGAAGTAGCCTTTGGAAAACAGCATGGTAGTTCCTCCAAAAATTAAACGTCAGGTTACCGTATGGTCTAGCAATTCCACTTCTGGATATATACCCAAAAGAGCTGAAAGCAGAGAGTTGAACAGATGTTTGTATGCCTGTTTATAGCAGCACTATTCATGCTAATTAGAAGGTGAGAACAATCCAAGTGTTCATGGACACATCAGTGGATAAACTCAATAGAGTCCACCCACACAGTGGAATACGATTCATTCTTGAAAAGGAAGGACATTCTGACACATGCTGTATCAATGAACCTTGGGGATGTTATGGTAAGTGAATTAAGGCAGTCAGCAGAAGACAAATACTTTGTGATTCCACTTCCATGAGTTATCTAGAATCAAGTTCACAGAGACAGAAAGTAGGATGGTGGGTGCCAGGGGCTGGGGAGGAGGAAGTGGGGAGTGAGTGTTTAATGGGGTGCAGAGTTTCAGTTTGGGAAAATAAAAGTGTTTTGGGCCGGGCACGGTGGCTCACGCCTGTAATCCCAGCACTTTGGGAGGCCGAGGCAGGCGGATCACAAGGTCAGGAGATCGAGAACATCCTGGCTAACACGGTGAAACCCCATCTGTACTAAAAATAGAAAAAAAAAATTAGCCAGGCATGGTGGCAGGTGCCTATAGTCCCAGCTACTCGGGAGGCTGAGGCAGGAGAAACACGTGAACCCGTGAGGTGGAGGTTGCAATGACCCTAGATCACGCCACAGCACTCCAGCCTGTGTGACAGAGCAAGACTCCATCTCAAAAAAAAAAAAAAATTTTGGAGATGTATAGTGGTGATGGCTACATCACAGCTTGAGCGTCCTTAACGCCAATGAACTGTTCACTTAGAAATGGTTAAGGTGGTATTTTATGTTTTGTGTATTTAACCCCAATGGGGGGAAAAAAAGAAGTATACCAAAGTACAAAGAGGAAAGGCCACTTTAATCAAGGGTACTGGGAAGCCTGCCTGGAGGAGGCGCTGTGTCCTCTGGGCCCTGCTGGATGGGTGGGATTTCAGGAGGCAGCAGTAGGGGTGGGGACGAGTTAGGAATGGAGAGAGCTGTTACAGGTGGGGACACTCAGGTCCGAGGAGGGCAGAGGGGAATGTTTCAGAGAATGCCACACGGTCAGGTGTAGCCGAAGCTCAGGAATGTTGGAACTCGGAGAGGCTGTGAAAGAGAAGCCCTGGCTGCCTGGCCATGATCATCATGTGCCTGGTCTTGACTGGCATGTCAAGAATACTGTCCGTGCAGTGGCGTGTGCCCCAGGAGCACGGCAGTTCTCAACAAGACTGCACCGAGATCTGGAGATGAAACTTCTCAGCTCTCTTACATTTGGCCATGCGGAGGTCTACCCAGGAAGGACAGCCTTGTCCCAAGGACCTCACTCTGTTCACTCAACAGGTATTTATGAGGCCCCTATGACATGTCAGGCATTGTTCTAGGCCCTGGGAATGTGGGCAGAACAGGGCAGATGAAAATGCCTGTGCTCATGGTCATGCGTTCCAGTGGGGGAGAGACAGACATGAACAAAACCAGCACAAGTCATTCTTCAGATGGAGCTGAGAACCACGGGGAAGACCAAAGGCCATGCGGCAGAACCACCCAGCCTGCAGAGGCGGGATCATCAGGGCAGTGTCCTCACCGCTCTTCTTAAACACTGGGCTTAACAGGAGGCTTTTGTGGACATTAAAAACAAAATCGCAGGTCCGTTTGGATCCCTCCATTCCAAGGTTTAAACACAATGGTGTTCGCTGGACGGATCTAAGAATCTTAGCCACTCTGCCTAGCAGCCTCTCAATGTTTTGTGTCTCTCGTTTCAACTTTGAAAAGAGCTTTGTGCCAGGGAGCTCCTGCAGTTTGGGTCGAGGAGGACCAAGGCTTCAAAGGCCCCTGCCCGCGCGTCCTGCAGGTTCCCATTGTCCGTGTTAATAGCCTCAGATGGGCATCAGTTGCCCTGATGGGCTTGGGCTCCACGCCCGGGCTTGCATGTTTGGCAAAATTACTCAAGAGCATTTCTTTTTTTTTTCTTTGAGACAGAGTCTCACTCTGTCGCCCAGACTGGAGTGCAGTGACGTAATCTCGGCTCACTGCAACCTCCGCCTCCCATGTTCAAGCAGTTCTCCTGTCTCAGCCTTCTGAGTAACTGGGATTACAGGCACCTACCACCACGCCCGGCTAATTTTGTATATTTAGTAGAAACGGGATTTCACCATGTTGCCCACACTGGTCTTGAACTCCTGACCTCAGGCGATCCACCTGCCTTGACCTCCCAAAGTGCTGGGATTACAGGCATAAGCTACCGCACCTGGCTTCCAGGCCATTTCTTATCACAGCTAAAAGTGATCTGTTACGTGGCTGGTTACATTCTCAGCAACTTTAGAATTCTATTCAGAAGTGGACCTAATCTTGAGACAAATACCCTCTTACCCCTTGGTCCACTGAAAAGACTTATGATCCCAGTCTTTCTATTGGTGATGGTTCTTCTATTCAGTGGGAGATTATGCATTTATGTGTTTGGATAGAAATTAGATCCTCAGCCTGGCACGGTGGCTCATGCCTGTAATCCCAGCACTTTGGGAGGCCGAGGCGGGAGGATCACAAGGTCAGGAGATCGTGACTAACCTGGCGAACACGGTGAAACCCTGTCTCTACTAAAAATACAAAAACAAAATTAGCCGGGCGTGGTGGCAGGCACCAGTAGTCCCAGCTACTTGGGAGGCTGAGGCAGGAGAATGGCGTGAACCTGGGAGGCGGAGCTTGCAGTGAGCCAAGATCGCGACACTGCACTCCAGCCTGGGCGACAGAGTGAGACTCCGTCTCAAAAAAAAAAAAAAAGAGATCCTCAGCTGTTGTTTCTTGAATCAGATATTTGGATCACTCTAGCATCCAATCATGCAGCTCCTAAATATGCTCCTAAATCATGCAGGTCCAATCACGCACCTGTTTTACGGTTTATCAATTTGTGCTCATCCTGAACTAAATAAACAAATCCATGAGCCAACTGCAGCACTGTCTTTTATCACCTTCGTTTTTCTCTGCCCAGTAAAAAGCTGAAGAAGATACATTCTTTGTTACCTTCCATTCATTTCCAAATGTGTAACTTTTCAAATATGTTATAAATGAGAAGAAAAGAAACTGCTGGATTGTCAAACTGTCATTTTATTTATCGTCTCTCGTCAGTAGAAAAGTCCAGAAGCAGTGCGTTGAGATGAAAATGAAGGTGCGTGAAAGAGAGAATTGGAAATGGGATATACGACCGTATTTCCTCTCTTTCCCTTTCCCTCCCTCCTGCTGGGCAGGAAACGAGAAGAACCTAGTCAGCGGGGAATACCTGTCTCCAGGGAATTTTTTGGGATTAGATCTTTTGGGGTTGGGTTTGTGAGGGGGCCTGCCCTGTCCCCACACATGTGATTCCTCTCACTGCACAATCCTGATGCCTTTGGCATTCGTGATTGCCTTCTGGATGATGAACTATAAAGGAGGCAGCTCTTAAAAGAATAGAAAATGTCTTCCAGACACAACAAAATATACACTCAGAAATGTATAAACCAGCTTCCCACGTCCAGGGGCTGGGCCAGTACAGATTAAGAAGGTGAACGTGTGGAAGGTAAAGGGTGGGAGGAATTTTCTATTTCGTGAACTTGTTTTTTTCTTGTTAGAAAGGAAATCACAGTGTATTTCAGTTTCCACAATAAAGTGCATCTCAGAATTGCCCAGGTTCTGCCACAAGAGACTTACCTCTTGGTGGGCTGGGGATGACCTGGATCTCCCTGCTGCCTGCACGTCTTTCACTTTGGACATTTTAAGAAAAAAATAATAATGTATCTGGGTTCTTGGAGATATATACATATATATGTGTATGTATATCTGAGTCTCTTTAAAAATAGGTATCCCGGGAGCAGAGCCACAGCCTGAGCTATCCAGATGCCTGCTCCCCTTGGTGGAAAGAGATCCGACACACCTGTTGCTCTGAGATGCTTTTGCAGACAGGAAAGCTCTTAATTCCTTTGCTAGGCCATTTTAACAATGCAGAGAAAGGTGACAGTCTTCACGTAGTCCCAAAGGCAATTAATAAGCAAAAAACTTACCTGATTTTAAGTGAAGTGTCACGGAGCTGTCTTCACCCAGCCCATGAAAAACCACCAGTGCACCTTGAGACGCGTAGGCAATGTTCAAGGCCAGGAAAGACTCACCAGTTCCTGTGCTTCCCATTGTCAGAAAGCAGGTGGAGGATGGCCGGAGCCACCCTGGCTGCAGAAACTGACCTACAGAACTTCTCATTGTCAGAAAGCAGGTGGAGGATGGCCGGAGCCACCCTGGCTGCAGAAACTGACCTACAGAACTTCTCATTGTCAGAAAGCAGGTGGAGGATGGCCGGAGCCACCCTGGCTGCAGAAACTGACCTACAGAACTGAACAGAATAGTGATTCAAGTTGGATATTTAGAATATCTAAACGTGCTTTGCGGGACAGTGAAACCCTGCTTGGTGGAGGTCAGGACTTCTGCTTCTGTATAGCTCTGCATTCCTTAGCCACCGTCCTGCAAGGCAAACGCGAAAACGCATCTTAAAACTCGAGCAGAAGTAGCCTTGGTTGTATGCCTGAAAATGCCTGTTCGTTTGGAAAAAGACAATAGCTTCCCGTTTTATGGCATCTTCTTCTTCCTTCCCAGCCCTGGCCATCGTTCTCACTGTCCTCAGCGGACTCCCTGGGCCTCCTCTTTAAAGGTCAGTGCTGACCGGGTGTGGTGGCTCACGCCTGTAATCCCAGCACTTTGGGAGGCTGAGGCACTTTGGGAGACCAGCCTGGGCAACACGATGAAACCCCGTCTACTAAAAATACAAAAAATAGCCGGGTGTCGTGGCAGGCGCCTGTAATCCCAGCTACTCCGGAGGCTGAGGCAGAAGAATCACTTGAACCTGGGAGGTGGAGGTTGCAGTGAGCCGAGATCATGCCGCTGCACTCCAGCCTGGGTGACAAAAATAATAATAATAATAGTAAATTAATTAAAAAAATAAAGGTCAGTGCTCCCTGGCTTCTCTGCAGGCCATCTCCTGTGCTCACTCCTCACACTCTCATGGAGTGGCCTCTTGATCTCCTACTTTCAATCACCGCCCATGTACCCCCTGAACCTGCGCACCTGGGTACCCCGCAGGCACGTCTTAGGAAGCTTGGGCAGCTTCTGCAGAACGCCTTCCCTTCTCCCTCCTGACCCACCAGCACTGCCACTCCCAGACCCCCGTCTGTCTCCTGAGCTTTCTCCCTTATAAGCTGCCCAGCCACCCACCAAGCAGCTCAAGCGAGAAACCTGGAGAGAAGCAAGGGGTCTTAGGTGCCTCTGTCCCTCTCTCCTCTCCCTTTGTCCCCTTCTGTCATACTCACCCCCGTCTTTCTTCCTCCTCTTAGCAACACCCTTGACCCATTGGACTTTGCAGCCTTTTCCCAAACCGTGTGGTAGGCTTTGGTTGTGGCTCCCTGACCGTGCTCCCACCCGCTCTAGACAGTGTGCAAGCCTGGCCATGGCTTTCCTCCTTGACGCCCTTGGCTGCCTCTCCATTCCCTGATGGATCAAGTCCACACTCCTGAGTGTGGCGCTCCTGCCTCCTCCGTGGCCAGCTGTGGCCACGCCCATGCCCCCCCACTGCCCCTCAACCACCAAGAACTGCTTCCTTTTTCCCAAATGGGCCAAACGGGTTCCCTCCTTTTCTCCTATTCCTGAAATGCCTTTCCTTCCATTGTCTGACTGGGGGATGCCTATCCATCTTCCCTGCTCAAACCTTTCCCAATTTCTCCTGGAAGAACTGACCTCAACGCCACACCCACACTCCACGGCCTGCCATCTCCCTTCTCTTTGGCTTTCGTAGCTCCGCCACAATGTGCTTGCTCTGTTCATGTGGCTGCCATCCTCCACCAAACTCGAACCTCTTTGACGAAGTGGACGTTAGGCAGTTCAACTTTGTATCCCCAGCACCTGCCACCATGCTCCTGAAATAAGAGGCAGTTGTTACAGTTGCAGTCATCCTGTAGCAATCGTGATCTGCTGGTGATAACCAGCCGTGGTATATTTGGACAAGACTTCATTCTTTTTTTTTTTTTTTTTTTGAGACACAGTCTTGCTCTGTCGCCCAAGCTGGAGTGCAGTGGCGTGATCTTGGCTCACCTCAAGCTCCGCCTCCCAGGTTCATGCCATTCTCCTGCCTCAGCCTCCCGTAGCTGGGACTACAGGCGCCCGCCACCATGCCCAGCTAATTTTTTGTATTTTTAGTGGAGACGGGGTTTCACCGTGTTAGCTAGGATGGTCTCGATCTCCTGACCTCATGATCCGCCCACCCAAGCCTCCCAAAGTGCTGGGATTACAGGCGTGAGCCACTGCACCCGGCCAAGACTTCAGTCTTCTCTCAGCAAGTGCTTATAGTCAGACTGTTGTCATTTAGGCACTTTGCTGGGTACAGAGATAAATAAGACATGCGTCCCTCCTTATTTCACATGGACCAGCCCACCAGCAGGTAATGACTCTGCAGAGACGGGGCAGTGTCAGAGGAGCAGGGGTCCCCAAGGCAGCAGCTTGAGAGGGATCCCTTCATCTTCTCTCCAGATAACCAGTTGGCAAAATTCTAAAGCATTTTTCTAACTGTTATCTTATCTGGACAACACGATCAAAAAATACTATGATAGGATGTTGGAAAAAGATTTAAAAGAAGCCAAAGAACATATTGCTCAACATTGAGCTTTTAAAATAGGGTCTTTTTCCGTGTGTGTGTGTGTTTTAAAAAAATGTTTTCTCTTGTTTCTACAAGTTTTAGACCAATTATTTTTGGAGCAGGAAGATACTGAGTTTTCAGATGGTCCTGTAGACCCCCTTACCTGCTGGTTTTTTGGTGGAATCCTGTTTCTACAAAAAGAAAACCCCATAGATGTAGACACACTAAAAAGGAAAACCCTGGAGATTGTTTTTAATCTTAGAATTTGTGGCACTTGTACTACGGTTTTTCTCGTAACAAAGCCGCTTCTCGTTGGAAATGTCTATTTATGTGGTTCATGTTGCCCATGTCCACTTGGAGGTTATGCCTGAGTCTCATGGCTCAGGGAGAATATGACTCAGCATCTTTTGGTTGAGGGCAGCTTTGACCTCATTGTTTTCTGGTGTGGCACAGGGAGCAGCCTGGCCACGTGCGGGGAACGGCCCATGGCCTGTCCCTGTTCGAGCTGGCTGCTGCGAAAGTTTCAAGAGGCGTATTCGCCAGGAGCACTCGGCTGTGAATCCAGACACGGAAGACAGTGGTTTTAATAGAGTAAACCAAAATGTAGGATTTGCTCTCTCCGATATTCTGGAAAATCCCACTGCTTTAGGGCATAGACTTTTCCTGAAAATAGAAGGCTGTGTTTTTTAATGAGGTGCTGAGATCTTTGTAACAAAAGTGGGGGAGCAACTGTGCTCAGAGCCCTGAGGGCAGGATGTTCCCTCTGAGCTGTGGCCGGACTTCCCGCCTTCCCACCAGGCTCAAGGTTCAGCAGCCACCTTGGCCTCTGCCTCCCCGTCCCCTCCCTTCTTTCCCCTTCTCCCCCCACTTCCTCCTCCTCCGTCCTCCCCATTTGTGCTTCAGGGTCTTGCATATTCTGGTCTCCCTGCCTGGAAAGCTGTGTGCCCAGCTGCCTACAGGGCTGCTTCCTTTCCTCTCCTCCTTCAGAGCGGAGTCCATTTCCCCCACCCCACCCCTGCCTCCTGGTTGTGTTCCTAGCGCGGAGGCTCCCTGACCAGCTCTTGCTCATTCGACCGCTCCCCAACCCGGCGCACGGTGCGGGGCTGCCGTGGAAGGGGCGTTTTCCATTCATCCGACTTTATTTGCAGTGACTCCACAGCTTAGCAGTTCGGGTTAACTTTGAACTTTATTTTTTTTCTGTTTCAGAGACTTGATATTCTTTAAATGTACTTTTTAATTAAATGCGACCTAGACAGCTTCTCCCTCCTCAGCCTCTTCTATGAGTAAAGAGGTTCATGTGGGGGAAATTGACTAGGATTAGGCTTCATTTCCCTCTGCTGCGTGTTCTTTATTCCTGTAACTACAAAGAGGCGTCATCTGAAGTGTTTGCCTTTCTGCCTCTGAAGCTACCTGGCGCCCGTTGGTTGCTGACTTCTGCAGAAATCCTCCTTTGACTCAGTGTCTTCACCTCCAGCCACCTAAAACCAGCCTGGGAAACGTTCAGTTGAGAACACTACTGTAAAGTCTCAATTAAGGAAGTGCTTGAGGGAAGGAGTGTTCTAGTTAATTTTTGCTTAACAGAGCACAACCAGTGTTTTTGTTAGGAGGAGGCAGCATTATGTAAAAGAAAGATTATCAACTTTGGATGAAGACATTCCATGATTTAAAGCTTTTCTCTATCACTTGAAACCATGTGACTTAGGGCCTCAATTTTCTCATCTGTAAAAGAGGGATAACAATCGTTATCTTACTGGGTTGTCACTATATTAAATGGGCAACATGTGTAAATCATTTACCAAGATGTTTTGTGGCTGCATGGCAGCTTGGCAAAATAGAATTCCTTTCTCTACTTTTGTTTTCGTTCTTGGAACTGAGGCCTTATTCGTTGGTATATGGCATTTTAAAAATGTTTTGTTAATGTAGGACGTTGAAGTAGAAGGTAATAGTAGCGGTGGCTCTTAATTTTAGAATCTTTATGATAAATTAATCATTGAGTATTTGATGAGTGTTTATTATATCTCAGATATGCAAATAATAGAAATAAAGAGGTTGTTTCATTCTTTTAAAAATGCTTAGATATTCTTTGCATCTTCTAAAAATTGAACTTGGAAAACCTTTTGGTAGAAAAGCCATCATGGCAGGTAAAAAATGTCGAAGTCCATCTGTTGACCTCTTCTTGCTTACAAAAGGAGCAAAAAACCCACTCAAAAGCAGTAAAAGAGGAAGAGACGTAGGTCCACAATGACAAAAAGAAAGGGAGAGGAGCCAGTACCGATGAAGGATGAGAACAAACACCCAGAAAGCAAATCTCAGAGGGAGGCATCACAACCACCTGGGGAGAGGGCCTGAGCCTGAGGACACTTGGGGCAGACTTGGTCATGGAGGGGCTGGTTATGACAGAGAGCTATTAGCTACTAGCATGGAGGGGGAGCCATTGCTAGTTTGTATAAAGAACAGTCTATGTTGTAATCCCAGCTACTCAGGAGGCTGAGGCAGGAGAATCACTTGAGCTTCGGAGGCAGAGTTTGCAGTGAGCTGAGATTGTGCCACTGCACTCCAGCCTGGGTGACAAAGTGAGACTCTGTCTCAAAAACAAACAACAAAAACAGTCTACTTGTAACCCCTCAAACTGTAAGCAGAATACTTAAGCTAGATTAAAAAGGTAGATGAACAGACAAACAGAAAGTTATAGATAATGAACAGCCCCAGAGAAAAGACATCCACACTCTGGGATTTAGCGTCCCTTCGGAATAATAGTGAGTGTTTCACTTTATTAAAGTGAAGTCGTCAGTTGACATCTCCTGGTTCATTCATATGTATAAAAGGACACAGGGATCATTTGAAGAAAGCCCTTCCTGTAAAAGGTATATCAAATTAACAAAGAGGGAGAAAAAAGATCCCAGAGGAACACAAAACAGAACTTCAGAAAGTATTTATACTCTCCGAGACATTTAGAAATGTATTTCACCCATGAAACAAGAACAGGATGCAATGAAAAATGAACAGAGGACAAAAAGTTAGTCTTGGGAGTCACAATATGGTTACTGAAAATAAACATCCAAAAGACCAGTTAGAAGATAAAGTTGAGGGCCGGGCTTGGTGGCTCACGCCTGTAATCCCAGCACTTCGGGAGGCCAAGGCAGGCGGATCACAAACGAGGTCAGGAGATCGAGACCATCCTGGCTAACATGGTGAAACCCTGTCTCTACTAAAAATACAAAAAATAAGCCAGGCGTGATGGCAGGAGCCCGTAATCCCAGCTACCCAGGAGGCTGAGGCAGGAGAATGGTGTGAACCTGGGGAGCGGAGCTTGCAGTGACCTGAGATCGTGCCACTGCACTCCAGCCTGGGCAACAGAGCAAGACTCTGTCTGTAAAAAAAAAAAAAAAAAAAAAAAAAAAAAAAAAAGATAAAGTTTGAGGTGCTCTTTCCAAAATTAAAAAAAGGAAAATATTGGAAAAAAGTAAGAAGCATGTTGAATCAATCCAGAGTCCTAAAATCCAACCAATAAGAGCCCTAGAAAGAAAAACACAGAAAACAGAGGGGAGAAAATTATGAAGGAACTAACGCTATCAGGTATGCATGTCTAGAGTGAAAGGACCTTTCAGTTACCTAGCACAATGTATAAACCCCCCTACACTTAGACACGTTTTATTTTATTTATTTTTTTGAGACAGGGTCTTGCTCTGTTGCCCAGGCTGGAGTGCAGTGGTGTGATCATAGCTCACTGCAGCCTCAACCTCCTGGGCTCAAGTGATCCTCCTGCCTCAGCCTCCCAAGTAGATGGGACCACAGGCACAGACCACTAAACCTGGCTAATAAAAAAATTATTTTTGTAGACATGGGGTTTCACTATGTTGCCCAGGCTGGTCTCAAACTCCTGAATTGAAGTGATCCTCCCACCTCAGCGTCCTGAGTAGCTGGGACTACATGTGTGTGCCACCACACCTGCTAATTTTTTTTTTTTCTTGGATAGAGACAGGGTTTTGCCATATTGCCTAGGCTCATCTCAAACTCTTGGGCTCAAGAGAGCCACTCACCTTGGCCTCCCAAAGTTCTGGGATTACAGATGTAAGCCACTAAGCCTGGCCAAAAATCATTTTTTACCTCATTCAAGAACTTTGAAGACTTACTTTTTTTAAGTTATTTAAGGATACTCTAGCTAAGTGAGGACATATGCCAAGAATAAGGAGACAGTGAGGTCCAGGGAACGGCAGGTGTTACCCAAGAATGCAGCGGAGGAGAGTCTCAGAGTGACGAGTCCACACCAAACAGGAAAGGGAATGTCTCTGTGTTTAAAGGGAGCTGGGTAGATTGCCTTCATGTGGGTAAAAGAGAACAGTACAAAAGGCTATAAACAGAATGCAGCCATTTTTGCCACTCACACCAGAGGCGTGCTTTTCTCTATTTAGCCCTTTGTGCTAATATTTAACTCCGTGTCTTAACAATATGTGTCTATTGCTAGTTCTTGATTTGCCAATTTTAGACGTTACCTATTGACCTTCTGCTGTGATGGATGAGCTTTTTACCTCATGCCTCTTCACACATCCTTCTCAAAATATAGTCCAAACAGTATGTGTAGGCCTTTTGTTATTTACCATTGTAACTCTAAGATATATACATGAGCATGCATGCATGCACACACACACACACGCTTCTTTATTTCTTGTAAACTGGAAACAGTAGCTTTTCACTCCCTGTTGTGTAATGAGAAGCCACCCTCACCCCCAATTCTCTTCTGCTCTTCCACCTCACTCCGTCTTCTGCAGTTTCATATCGTCCAGGTTAAAAACATTTAAATTCTGTTTCCTAGGCACAATTACATCTGGCATTTTAGACTATGGATTAATTCTAAAGTTGAAATAAATATACACTGTTTATATTTACTATGTAAAGATTATCTACTGCACAGCTAGACAGTATAGAGAGATTATATTTCTTTCTTCTACAGATTTTTTTCACCGGGATTTCTAATTGCCTTTCCTTTTAAAAAGAAGTATTTGCTTGTGTGTGTGTGTGTGTGTGTGTGTGTGTGTGTGTGTGTATTTTTTTGTAAACATGGGGTTTCACTATGTATATCTTTTAAAAATACATATATATCTATATGTGTATCTATATCTGTTGCTTAAAAATATCTGTATCTATATATCTTTTTAAAATATACACATATATATTTATATATATTTAAATTACACAGGTAAATAACAGAAGAAGTAAAAATCCTGTTTGAAAGTATCATGAAGTGGTGTGAGCTAAAAGCTCATCTGTTGTAGCAGAAAGTCAATAGATAATGTCTAAAATTGGCTAAAAACAAGACATAGCAATAGATGCCTATAATTTAAAGACATGGAGCTCAAAACTAAGATAAAACACTAACAGATTTAGGGGAGATTGCCTTAGGGAGAGGGGGTATGGTTTTGTTTCATTTTAAGCCTCTCTGTAATGTTCTTTTTAATTTATGTGCACATATGAATTTGATTGAAATTTAAAACAATTTTTTAAAGGAAGAAAATATACCAGGATCATGTACTACAATGAGCACTATCCTTGCTATTGAAATATCTGGATTCAGGTCACGTAATATTCTACTGAAATGTTTTTGTGCAGTCTCAACAGAAAATGCATAGCTTTGCCATCAGAAGACCTATATAACCTTGACCTTGTTGTGGTGGTTTCCATAAGTCAGATTCACCTTGCAGGTGACCTTGTGTGTGTATCACCATTGCTTTTTTTTTTTTTTTTTTTTTTTTGAGACGGAGTCTCGCTCTGTCACCCAGGCTGGACTGCAGTGATGCCATCTCGGCTCACTGCAACCTCCACCTCTCGGGTTCCAGCGATTCTCCTGCCTCAGTCTCCCGAGTAGCTGGGACTACAAGCATGTGCCACCACACCCAGCTAATTTGTTTTTTTGTATTTTTAGTAGAGATGGGGTTTCACCGTGTTAGCCAGGATGGTCTCGATCTCCTGACCTCGTGATCCACCCGTCTCGGCCTCCCAAAGTGCTGGGATGACAGGCGTGAGCCACCGCGCCCGGCCACCACTGTTCTTTTAAGGCTGTAGGTGAATCAACACGAAGGAGGGCTTCCTCCTCCTGTGGTGGAGCTGAACCCCGTGATGGATGGATGTGTGCGGTGCCTGCGGCACTTGGCCCTGCGGGGCTGCGAACTCAGCCTTGGGGCTCATCTGTCCACAGCACAGCCCCTTGGAGTCTGCCAGGAGCTGAGCCCCCACCAGTCTGGGGAGGAGGGACTCAGTGGCCCAAGGACCATTCTCCTCAGGCGTCCTCCCCAGTCCTGAACTCAGGCTTCCTCATCTGCCACCGTGGCTGAGCAGTGATTAATGCCAAATTAGCACCCTGTTCAATGACCTTTCAGCATTAGCCACTGCCTCCCTTCACTTCACATAACTATTTGCAAATATTAGCTTCTCCGGCCGTTTCTCCTCATCAGCCACTTTCACAGATGACAGGCAGGCCGTTAGTCTGATTGGCATTCCATTCCTGTCCTTTGCCCCATCGTGAGTGCATCCGGACTCTGCCATCTTCTCAGAAATCTGATAACCAGCCCAGGAATGTTGGCAATTTTACAAAGCGAAGGCGTCAGCAGGAAGGTTTCCGGAGAAGCTTCGAGGGTCCGCTGCAGAGTTGGAGAGTCTAGAGATGGGGAAGGCTGCCTCAGCCCCCCAGGGACCCAGGGCTGGGTGAGAGTCACCCTCACATTATTCAATCAACATATAGATTTTAAAACATTCATTACTTGGCTCTGTCTGCATCAGGCTTCTGTTTTTCTTTTAGAATTCACATGCACGTTTAATACAAAAATCTCATACTGCTTAGGCAGTGCAAGGCAGAGCACAGAGCTGTGGGAAATCAGAGCTGATGAGAAGCCCGTCGTCTCTTTCCCGTTGTTCTCTCTCCGCGGCCCTCACCCCACCGCCAGCCGGGCAGGCTAGAACCTTTCAGTTGCCAGAATCCTCCGCTGCCGCTCACGATGGTGGCGAGTCCCTTCAGCGTGAAGCCCAGATGAAGCGTTTTGCGTTTGCAGTCATTTCCATTTATTTTTATTTCCAGCCTCTTACATCTCCGCCCTTTATTGAAATCCCTGTTCTAGAAATGTTGGATTGGTCTTCATTTTCTCTAAATAAACAGTAGTAAAGTGTACTGTGGGTAGTTTAATTTTGATGTTAAATGTATTTTAGAGAAAAGCGGCAAAAAATATGTCCTATTTTTTTCTCCCTTGTCACCAGAAGTACGAGATAAATTATTTATAGTTTGATACTCAAAAAACATAGATTCAGGATATTTACTTTTCAGAAAGGAAAAAAGGATTGAAACTGCAGTAACAGAACTGAACCCTTTGTTAATTGAATATATTGGCTCCAGGGAAGCATATTTGGACAGGAGTAAGAATGCCCACTGCTTTCCAGTGACACCCATGCCTAACGTAGTGGCTGATACATGAAATATTTGTGGAATTGAACAGATTTGGAAATAGCAGGTAGACTAGGTAACTCAGTAAGCAAACTCTTAAATCAATAAAAGAAAAATAAAGCCAGCAAGCATTTTGGAAAATGCCAAACAGTTTAAATAAAGCCCCTCAGCCACACAACACACAGAGCAGTAGCGTAAGGCCCGGTAACCATGCCCGGTAGGACAGGCTGTGGATTGTGCCTGAGGACACTGGCTGTGCTTGGACCCCATCTCATGTGGTCTGAGAAAGGCCAGGGACAGTGACCCTGCCCCAGGGCTTCTCATGGGAGTTCAGGTAGGGGCCATGAAATTTGGGTTTCCTATTAGCGTGACTCTGACAATAGTCTTCATTTGTCATGCTCCGATCATCCCATCTTCTATCTGCCCTTTCACTTTCTGTGGTTTCCATTACCCTCCGTCAACCATGGTCCGAAAATAGGAGAGTACAGCACAGTAAGATATTTTGAGAGATAGAGAGGGACCACATTCGCATAACTTTCATTACATTATGTTATCATTGTTCTGTTTCATTATTAGTTGTAGTCAGTCTCTTAGTGTGCCTGATTTACACATTTATGACAGGTGTGTATGCAGAGGGAGAAAGTTTGAACAGATGCCCTTCCACTCACAATGGGGTTATGTTCCAATAAACCCACCGGAAGTTGAAAATATCGGAAGTCAAAACGCGCTTTTGTAGCCCCGTTGTAAGTTGAGGACTGGACTGAATGTGTATGGCTTTTGCACCATCATAAAGTTGAAAAGCCCTGCGTGGAGCCATCATACATCAGGGACAATTTGTGTCTGTAGGGATTGGTACTCTCTTTGGTTTTAGGTATCCCCGGGGGTCTTGGAACGTGTCCCCTCAGATAACGGCGGGGGGTGCTCCTGTACTTAGAGTTTCATGGACATTTCTCTTTTCTCTGCCACAGGAGATGTTGGCACACCTGAAACCATGGCCCCAACCATTGTGGTTCCCCCGGGCAACAGAAGTGTGGTGGCTGGATCCAGTGAGACCACCTTGGAATGTATAGCCAGTGCCAGGTACGAGGCGCGTCTCCTGTGAGACTCCTAGTAAATATTCCATGACCTGTGACGAGCCGACGATAGAAGGATACACTGGAGCATGAGGTTCAGCCTTCTAGCGACAGTGGTCTTGTTTGGCCGGGTGGGCCATGAATACGAGATATGGGTAGATAAGGAAATGGACACACTGATGTCTTCCAGAGTCCCCCACTGCAACAGGGCGGTGCTTTCAATGCAGCTCTGGGTGGTAGTGGGGGGCTCCTCTGAGATCCTCTCTAGGGAAGAGAGAGGAGTTGAGGCAGAGGAAAAAGTTCATTGCTCTTCTCCTCTTAGTCAGCCAAGGTGTTCTCTGCCTACTTAGCGGTCGCTCCAGAATCAAGCTCGGATGATCCCGCCTTCCATGTCGTTGTGTCCCCTCACAGTATTTATTTTAAACATTCATTTCCTGAGCAAATGGGATCATTAGCACTTATGGTCCATTGCTGCGGCAATTAGATATCCTTGCTTAATAGCCCTTGAGCAGAATGCATCGTCAATGCGTGCTGGGAGGGAGTAGAGTTACATCTAGATTGAGTTTTCAGTGTCCGTTGTTCAACCCACCATGCACCCTGGTAGCATTAGCTTCGTCAAGCCTGTGCCGAGTGCCTGAGATGATGACCGTTGCCACCTCCCTGAGTCACAATCGTCGTCATGAATGCCTTTCATTCCCACAGGCCTGTGGAGGACCTGAGTGTGACCTGGAAGAGGAATGGAGTGAGAATCACCAGTGGCCTCCACAGCTTTGGAAGACGCCTCACCATCAGCAACCCGACGTCCGCGGACACCGGGCCATACGTCTGCGAGGCGGCGCTGCCGGGGAGCGCTTTTGAACCGGCCAGGGCGACGGCCTTTCTTTTCATCATAGGTAATGCGGGAGCCTCTAAGTGGTGTTGCCAGCATCTCAGATAGCATCCGACACTGACTCTTCTGCAGAAACAAAATAGCGTATTTCAGTGGCTTTATTTGTAACTCGGCAAATGAAGGTGAGGTTGAGTTTACCTTCGAAATCCTTCCTAGCCTTCTTTCCCAAGAATATAAGTCCATTAAATCCAAAGTGTTGATGTTCTCAATCCTTCCAAGAAACGTCCTTCTGAATACTCCAGTCACAAAGCTCGGGAAATAGAGCGGTGAAACCCCTGTCATATAGATCCCTCTCCTATTCTAGCTTTAGGCTGCTAAGCTTTTCTGTAACTCTTATTTGGCTATCGTGATCGGTGTTCAGAAACTATTCTATTATTGCTGTCCAGGCATGGTGGCTTATGCCTGTAATCCCAGCACTTTGGGAGGCCAAGGTGGGCGGATCACTTGAGGCCAGGAGTTCGAGACCAGCCTGGCCAACATGGTGAAATCCCGCCCGTCTCTACTAAAAATACAAACATCAGCTGGGCGCAGTGGCGGGCGCCTATGATCCCAGCCACTCGGGAGGCGGAGGCACGAGAATCACTTGAACCCAGGAGGCAGAGGTTGCAGTGAGCCAAGATCGCATCATTGCAACCCAATCTGGGCCACAGGAGCAAAACTCCAACTCAAAAAAAAAATTATTAATTTAGAAATTATTCTATTAATTATTAATTTAGCTGTTATTTTTTGACCTAGCAGAAAATGTAAAACTATCGGATGTTACCTTTTGTTAAACTTAAAAAAAAAAAGAGAACAGAGATGCTTCCTCAAACTGGGCGACATATTATTCCTGAACCAAGGAGAAAGAACATAAAATTAAGTACACTGGAGTTGCCCAGCTCTAAATGCTGGAAACTATTAGTGTTTAGGGAGTGTGCATTGTACAGTGGCTAAGAAAATACAAAACCTATTATCAGTTTATGAGGAGGTTAAGTTGTGAGGCAAGTGACTTTATTTCTCTCATTTTTCCAGCTACTGTCATGCATTTATTCTTCATAAGTGGCCGTGATGACTATGAGAGCAGCCTGTGTTCCGCAGTGGTAGCCGCTGTTGATAAGAGGTAGCCTTAGAGGCCGCCTCTAGGAAGGAGAATCTCGACTTCCTCTCTCCTCTTTGGGAAAAAGGGGAATTGAGAACAGGAAAATTCAAATAAGAAAACCCTCAGAGAGCCCCTTAAATAAAAAAATTTGCAGTCTGCCACTTTGCAAAATAAGGAAAAAAAAAAAAAAGCTTGTGTTTTCCTATGAAACTAGCAAGAAAAGGAATACTGCACAAAAGGTGGTTTACCTTGATCACGTCCCATTCCTTTAATCATTAGGAAATGACTCCATGTCCTGACCTTGACTCTTCTAAATACAATGCAGTGCAAACCTGTCGGTCCCTCTGAAAGAAGCGAAAGTCTGTTAAAAGCATCCAAGGAAGCCGGCTTTGAGTCACCAATCACTGTTGATTCTACATGAGAGGCCTGAGCTGGTATTGCTACCTTCCCCATCCATGCTTCCGCTACAGATGTAAATATCACATCCCATTCTCTGCAAAGATTTTTTCATCGAGGTTGATCTGTAGTTCTAGGAGCACAGCACATTATAGATTCAGCCAAAATTAAAATTTGCGACGTGTAAATCTCTAGTAGACAGGACTATACCGTGTTCAAACATTTTAAGGTAATTTAAACAAGAGAAGAAATTTATCTCCCTTTAAACGAGAATGTTTGTTTCGATCATCATTCCTTTTTAAAATATTTAAATCTATCTTAAGAGCTTTAGTTTTACATTTATATCTGATTAGTTTTGTGTTCTCTCGAGTTAGCACCTCTCCGTGTTCTGACTTTTAAAGGTACACAAACACACTTCACTTCTTTATGATGTTGAGTTAAATCCCCTTTTATTCATAAGAATTTGCTGTAGCAGGTAGGATTTTTGTGGTTGGCGCACACTGCAAAAACCCTGAAGAGAGTGTCTGTGTCAATTCCGAGGGATTTGGATGAGATTATAATCCCACGCCCTGTGGCCGAGCATTATTGGTTTCACAGGGCTGTCACCATGTACCTGTCAAAAGGGCCACCCGTAGGAGCACACAGGCCAAAGACAGAGAAACAAATGGGCTCCTATTACTTGTATTTTATACTGATGACACAGGACAGGCTAGTTGGGCTGTTTGCCCACCTGCCTGTCTATGTTGCTTAATTTCTG
This sequence comes from Homo sapiens, assembly GCF_000001405.40. Classification (NCBI taxonomy): domain Eukaryota; kingdom Metazoa; phylum Chordata; class Mammalia; order Primates; family Hominidae; genus Homo; species Homo sapiens. Next base: position 3,954,148 of record NC_000007.14, read on the forward strand.
TGGCTTGAATGAGAGCACAGAGGTCGGCTTCCAGGCACCACCCCGCCACTGGCTGCCCAGTCCTGTGGAGCAGCCCCTCTACGCCCTCCACCCTCCCCTCCTGCCTCCCCTCTACACCCTCCTCTCCCGCATCACCTCTACACTCTACAGCCTCCCCTCCTGCCTCCCCTCTACACCCTCCCCTCCCCTCCTGCCTCCCCTCTACACCCTCCCCTCCCCTCCTGCCTCCCCTCTACACCCTCCCCTCCTGCCTCCCCTCTACACCCTCCACCCTCCCCTCCTGCCTCCCCTCTACACCCTCCCCTCCCCTCCTGCCTCCCCTCTACGCCCTCCACCCTCCCCCCTCCCCTCCTGCTTCTCCTCTACACCCTCCTCTCCCCTCCCACCTCCCCTTTACAACCTCCCCTCAACACCCTCCCTTCCCGCCTCCCCTCTATACTCTCCGCCCTCCGTTCCCACCTCCCCTCTACACCTTCCCCTCTGGCCTCCCCTCTACACCCTCCGCTTCCGTCCCACCTCCCTTCTACACCCTCTACACTGCACCATTCATGGGCTTGAATGAGTGTTGGCCTCAGTTTCCACATCCATAAAATGGAGATGGATGTAGATGGTACCAGCTCATATTGTGAAGGTTAAATGCAAAAATGTCTGTCACAGAGGCTCTGAAATAGTGGCTTTAGTTGCTGTTGGCATAACTCTATTATCCTATATGTCCCATTGCACTCGCTATTTACCAATAATCAGTTATGTGACACACATTTTTCATGTTTAGTGTCTCTGGAATCAGGATGTGCCTCACCACCTATGAAACCATTTTTTTTTTCCTTGGGGTAAGACAAGGATGCCCCTTACCTCTGACTGCAGCACCTTAGTGCCTGTGAGATGCATCTTCCCTCCGAGCCACGCCTTCTCCACGGTCTCCTCATCACACACGAAGCCAGCTGCTCCCACATGTGCCCTGCTCCTGCTGAGCACGATGGCTCGGAAACTCGGACGGCGAGTTTTCACTGGGATGGACTCTTTACCTGGTGGGGCATCTGCTGCCAGCCCCTTCAAGTTGTTCATGGAATTCAGTGCTTGTGGCTTGGGGGCTGGCTCCTGGCCAGGGGTCCCCTCAGGTTCCAGAGTCCCCTGCATCCCTGGCTCATCTCCAGAGCCAGCAGCTGCGGCTGAGTTCTTGTCACACATGGAAGCTCTCTGCTGTCCCCTGTGCCTCCAGCTGCAGAAAGTCCTCTCCTTTTAGGGGCTCACATGATTAAATTGGGCCCACCCAGCGAATCCAAGAGAGTCTCCCTATTTTAAGGTGGGATACCTAATCCCACCTGCAGAGTCCCTCTTGCCAAGTGAGACAGCATATTCATAGATTCCAGAGGTGTGGGTGTGGACACCTCCGGGAGCCGTTCTGTCCACCTCGGTGGACTAGCGTGCAGTGCAGGCCAGCCGAGGGCATGCGTGGGACATGCTGCTCCCTGAGAGGGGCGACCTGGAAGGAACAGGGAGGCAGCGCAGGAAACATCTTTGGATCTTGCAGTGATCCCTACACAGAAGAAGCTTTGCAACTCAGAAGCCAAATCCCAGCAGCATTGGGGATGGGAGAGCAGGAAAAATGCATGGTGTTGTTGGGGGGTCCTTCTCCACTGCGGTTGCCTCCATTGGGCCTGAGCCTGCACTTTGTCACACTGGCATTTTGGAGAGTGAGGTCATTTGACAGAGGCCCTTGGTTTGGGGGCAGTCTGGGAGGTCTCCCCACCTCCTCTCCTGAGACTGGGGAGCTAGAAGCTTGCGCTGCCCCTGGAGGCAGCTGCCATGGGCTCTGGGCCATGTGGAAGGCGGAAAATCTGAGCTGGCCTTTTCCTAACACCCTGACTTCACACAGGGCATGAGAACCTTTCCCTGATGTCTTCATATTGTTTCAAAAGAGGGAGAAGTGTTTGTTTCCATCCCCTGTTTTGTTGGCTGCAGTCAGGATCAATTTTCAGAAGTCCAGGGTGGACCCATGTTGGCAGAGTACCCTTTCTAGACACAGTTGCCACTGACAGGCTAAGACATGCCCTCGCCCTCTTGCCCTCTGAAGAGTAAGTGGTTGAGAGTCTATGCACAGGATGACTCATTTACAATGGGTTTTCCCCAGTGTTTAACTCACGGGCTTTTCACGGTCCATAGGCTTGGCATTTCCTCCGGTTCTTTGCCTTAGAGCAGACTGTGTGTAAAACCGTAGCTGGAAATGGGGAGAAACTCCATCTGAGCAGCCGCTGGGTTAGAATACTAGGAAGGGTTGGCAGGGAGAGAACTCGTACCCTCACACGGTGGGGAAGTACTAAGGGAAGCTCAGAGGCCACGCAGGGCATGGGCAGCTCTGCACCTGCTCCCCAGGCACAGCGACCTGGAAGGCTTTCCAGAACAAGCTAAGAGCATCCACAATGAACAGCCAGATGTTTTCCACCCATGCCTAGCACTGAGCTACTAAAACTGCCCAGGACATTGGCCCCTGCAGGCGGTGGCAGGCTGCCCCCCAGACCTTGCCCATGCCACAGTACTATGGAGAGTGTGGAGTGGGATGAGTTTTCTCACCAGGTGGCATGCTGTGTGCCAAACACAGATGGTCCCTGGCTAGGGTGGAGAGAGGTCACCACTTGGAGAGGAGCAGCATCGTCTGGGCCTGGAGGTCCCCAGAGCCATGCACTTGCTCAGCCAAGCCAGCTTCGGGTCACTGTGTGGAGTGCCCGTCTCCCTGACCCCAGCGAGGTCCCTTCCTGGCACTCGAGGGAAGCCTCGGGGGACTGTACCAGGCGACAACGGTAATCAGTACCTCAGGGAAGGCACCCTGGGCCCGTAGGTGCCGACCATTGTTATCTATGGATTTTGTATCATCAAAGCACAGGTCATCTTGGGTGAATCTCAAGGGAACCATGAAGAGTGAAAAAAATAGTTGCAAAAGTTACACTCGATGACCTCCTTTCTGTAACGTTCTTGAAATGACAAACCTACAGAAACAGAGAACGGATTAGTGGTTGTGAGGGGTGGGGGTTTGGGGTGCTCCTGGTCATGGAAGGCAACACCCTTGTGCTGATGGACACGTGGACCTACACACGTAATAATGTTGCATGGGACGTGCATGTGCCGTCTTTTCACGCACACTTGAGCGCAGGAAACACTGGCAAGAGCTGGATAAATTAGGTTGATTGTATCAGTAGCAGTATCCTGATCATGATGTTATGCTATCGTTTTTTGCAAGATGTTACCATTGCGGGAAGCCGAGTGAAGGGTCCATGAGCTCTTTCAGTGTTACAGTGTTACTTCTCACAACTGCACGGACTCGACAGTTTTCTAAAAAGAAAACGCTCAACTAAGAAGAGGAAAACTATAATTAATCATAAGCAAATGTTGTTGTCGAATGTATGTTTTTTTCCTTTTTCCTTCCATGCTTTTAATCAGATCATGACGGTAGATATTGACTTAGCTTCCCTGATGAATACAGGTCAGGACCTGCACACAAGGGCCCTGACAGCAGGCAGCTACTGTATGTATAGTTGGAATATAAATAATACTGCCTTCATGATTATTGATTGAGGAAACGTGATCAAATGGGGGATGTATGAGTTGTGCAATGAAGATGAGCTTGAAAAAGGTAGACATTAAATGCTGGCAATATTTCTTCAGGCTTGGTCTGTACACATGAAAACTTAAGTAGAGGAATCTGCTTCCTTCTAATGAATTTGCAGCCATCTCCTCAGCCGGAGTGGTTGATTCAGGCAGATTCTTTCTGCTTGAGTGGTCCAGGTAATCGCAGAAGTGAAACATCACTTTGCCTCCTTCCAGAAACCTTCAGCCGCTTCCCCCTTAATCGTTTCTTTGAAATGCTTAGTTTTCATTTCTCTTTTTCATCTTTTAGGTCCCACCTTGTTTTAAAGATACAGTCAATATAGGAGGCATGCCAAGCTATCTTATCCACATTCAACACAATTATAATGAAAGTAAACCAGCTCTGGAAGACAGTTCCCAGAAATTAATTATCGCACAGAAAGTGAACACAACAGCCTTTTGTTATCATGATAATGAAATCACCACCACCTTAATACTTGACAAACTTGGCCATGCCTCTGTTGAATTTCTGCTGAATAAACTGGAAAAATGTTGCAATTGGCTCTCCAAGGAAATTCATTGTTTAATACAACCACTGTTTTTTTTTCTGCGGAACGGGCGAGTGGAGTATCGAGAGATTGCAAGTGCCTAGGAGTTTCCTTTGCTACTAAAGATAGATGAGTGCTCCCTTATATGTTTTCTCTTAGTTATTATTTGGTATTCCATTGAAGTATTAAATCTCTATTTTGGAGAAGAACTGCTAAGAATTTTAAAAATATGTTAATAGGCTGTTGCCCAATACAGGCTGCACACCTTCCTCGGGCACTTGACAAGCTTCACGAGCTCGTGTTTAGTTTAGATACTGAAGCAAACTAGCCCATAAAATACGGTGCTGTAAATATAAACCTTTACGAACCTCTTGGGGTAGTCCTTCTAAAATGTAAATTAAGATATTCCATGATTCAAGCCCATAAACTGAAAAGTAGCCATCACCCTGAGTAGTAAGTTGCTTTCTGAAACCCCAGACTGTAAATTGCCTTTGGCCTGTGCTCACTGAGTTCTGAGTTTGTATGCACGATGCTAACTAATGATGAAATTTTCAAGAATGGTTTTTAAGAGGAGCCCACACTATCTTAGGTTATATGGTCTCTGACATATCCTTCTTTGGCTTAGGGGCTTTTTTTTATTTTCTTGTTTGAAGAGCCACCATATTTTACTGCTGAGCCCGAGAGTCGGATTTCAGCTGAAGTAGAAGAAACTGTGGACATCGGATGTCAAGCCATGGGTGAGTGCAGAGTGGCTGCTGGACAAGGAGCCATGACTGGGAGGAAGGGAAACAACCTTTTTCCATAGCAGAATTGCCATCATTCTAGGGAGACATTGAGTGTGATGGCGAAGAGCAGACTTCAGAGAGTAGATCGGTCTTGGGGCAGTGACTGTGGGTAAGGCATTTGACTTTGCCAAGCTTTTGCTTCCTCCCCTGCGAAACAGAGATGATACTATTTACCCAGCAGAGCAAAAAGGAAGCCCACATCTACCCCAGACAGAGAGGGGACTCCATCATATCCTGTGGACTCCCCTTCCAAGGCCCTGACTTCACAAGTGTGTGACCCCCCGAGATTCGGGGCAGAAAATTCTTTCTCATCCATGGGGTGACTAGGACTGGTGAGCACAGCCACTCTAGAAAGGGAGATGGGTGTACATGTATTTGTAGTAGGTACGTGAGGTACAAGGCAATTTTGTTCCACTGATGTATTGCACAGTGGTGAAGCCAAAGCTGGGAGTGCGTCCGTCACTGGAGTGATGTACCCTGTACCCGTTAAGTAATTTCTCATCGCCCACCCCACACCCTTGTGAGTCCCCATTGTCTGTCCTTCCACACTCTGCATCCATGTGCACATGTGACTTAGCACCCACTTATTAGTGAGAACAGGCAGTCTTTGTCTTTCTGTGTCTGAGTTCTCTCACATAACTCAGTGGCCTCCGGTGCCATCCAGGTTGCTGCAAAAGACACCCTTTTATTCTTTTTTGTGGCCGAATAGTATTTGAATAGGAAATGTTACCTTTTTTTTTTTGCCTTTTCAGCTCTGGGTCCCCTTTTCCTTTGCCATTCAGGTCATCCCAGCCCTCATCCCCATGCTTCAATTACAAGCTGCCCACTGTCACCGTCTCATGTCGGGCAGCACAGGTGATTACACAAAACCTTCTAGCAGAGACAGGCTTGTCAAGGCAGTTTCGTTAAGAAAAGCTGTGTTTGTATTCTGGCAACTATCAGGAAACGAAAAGGATCTTTTCTCTTTTGTTTATACCCATCCGTCCTAAGGATAGTATTTTCTCCTACTCCCTAAGAGCTCGGAGGGTAAGAATGACTACCAGTTTTGCAAATCTTCAAAACAGCTCCTAAAAGAGAGATGATTTTCACTGTACCACAGGAAAACCAAGCCCTGGAAAGCATGGTTAAGTACAGTGCCAAAGGCACTGGGCCACTCAATGAAATGGGATCCTTCTCTGGTGAAGTCATTGCCCAGTGTGTGGCCTGTGGAAGTTACTCATTAAATACTGGGTACCTAACTTACCTAGGTCCACATGGTAATGGAGGCAGGACCCAAACGCAAATCTGTCAGCCACCAAAGCAGCCACCTGGCTCTTGCCAGAACACTAGCTTCCCCCAGGACCTGAAGCCCTGGACTTAGAACAAATGCCATTTGTCCATACCTGCAACTGTGTGGATGCCATTTCTTATTCCTGAAAATGGTGTGTCACCCTTCCAGTGCTGTGCCACCCTTCCGGTGCAGCGGCGTGTCACCCTTCCAGTCCTGGTGGTAGAGGGAAAGATCAGCCTCTGCCCACAGACCCCCTCCCGACCCACCGTGCTTTGTAACCACTGCTCCTGGCCCGGGACTTGGTTCAGTAGGAGTTCTGGTCCTCAGCTCCTGACCAGCTCACAGCGGCTGCTGTCCACGGCTCTGTTCTGTTTCTGTTCTTCTCTGTTCCAGCTCTACTGATTCGGCATAGGGGAGGGGGAAAAAGTGTGAGAGAAGAGTAAGACGAATTTTACGTGGAATTATCTTTCTTACAGTGGTTGCATTGTTCTTTCTTGTGTAGGTGCCAGCTTCTTAAGGCCAACAACTCTGTGAATGTGAAGCTATAAAATATTTAGCGAGCTTATATTTCAGAAATAAGAGTATACAATACTGCGGGGGATAAGATTTCTGTTATGACATTAAATTGCCCCAAAATAGAAATACTCCCAGTTCCCTATGTACTAACAATTATTTTTCAACAAATGACAATCTTAAACTCCCTTTGACAAGAGAAAGCTCTGTTTTTTTGCACGACTTCTGCAGGGTAAACTGCTTGTTAAGTGTAGACTTACAAATATAGAGACAACAGATCTTCCGACATTGCACTGCTGTCATATAATTTACTGCTTTCTTTTCATTTTGACAGTGAAACTATAGCAGCATGCGAAGTGGTTATTCCTTATGAAAGTGACATCATGTAACTGCTATTATGAGATATTACATGAATTGGTTATGCTTTTACCTTGAAATGGATTTTTTAATATTTCCTGACTTAATGAAAAGTGACAGGAAACATAATTAAGGCAAAGAAGAGAATCTAGGAAGACATTATCTTGAGTTATTCCATGGCATTAACTTTATTTATTAAAGTCGACATCTCACACCTACCCACACGCCATCTTAAATCAAGGGATTTTGGTGTGCTTTGCACTGAAGCATGTCAAGATATGTTTTTTATTTAAATCCACTTTCTCTTTAGGGAAACTGAGGTACAGAACCATCTGAGATCTAGAGCTAAGTGTAGATATGCCTCATGGAGCGAGGCAGCTTTTCCTGTATCCACAATGGAATACCTCTTGTGCCTCCTCCTCGACCCTTAACAAGGTTACTTAACCTAACAAATTGCTCCTCTGAGACAGTAGAACTCCATGAAGGCCCATGATATCCAACCCCTTTGATAGGGGGTGTTAAAAGATGGCACTCATTTTCATTGTTAGCTGTTGGGATGAATAGTGATACTGCCATTGAGCACTCACCAGGTGCCGGGCATGAGTTTTATAAATACATATGTAAATGTACACACATGCACATATATGCACCACCTCACACAGACACACATAGAAACACATGTACACATATATGCAGGTGCACATATACATACACAGATGTACACACACATATACACACACGCACATGTATACGCATACACACATAAACACATGCACATATATGCACAAACACACACACATACACACATGTAAACACGTAGACACATGCACATATATACACACATGTACACGTGCACACACTCGCATGAACACATGCACATACATATACACACACATGCACAGACACACAAACACATCCAATCTTCAACCTTCTGAAGTCACAATTATCACTAACCTGCATGTGAGGAAACAGACAAAGAAAGGGACAGGTAATGTATTCTGCCCAAGGTGACACTGTCCGCGAGGCATGGACCTGGGATGTGGCCTGTGTCCTGTCCTCTGCCCCTATGACCCTGTGCCCAAGCCCTCCCGCGGTGGCTGAGTAGGGCACTGCAGAGCAGAGAGGGCTTCATCTCCATCTGAACCTTAACCTGACTCTCAGCTGGAATCTCCTTTCCAAACAAGAGCATGAGCCTGTGTGGGTTCGGAGTGGAGCCTGGAAGGCACCGCAGCCAGGGCGGCCACAGTTCATGCCAGCTGTTCCTCTCAACACCCCTCCGTGTCGATGGCTTCATCTACAACGAGAAAAATAGCTCCTTATAGGGTGGTTGAAAGCACGAATACACAAGAAAATGCCTATTAAAATATTGGCATTCTAGCCTTTGAAACAGATGTGCTTCAGTTCTCACGTCAGGAATTATTTTTAAAATCCTATTTATTCCCATTCCTACGCAGGGGTCCCCCTTCCCACCCTCCAGTGGTACAAGGATGCCATCTCCATCAGCAGGCTCCAGAATCCTCGATACAAAGTGCTCGCCAGCGGAGGCCTGCGCATCCAGAAGCTGCGTCCAGAGGACTCCGGAATCTTCCAGTGCTTCGCCAGCAATGAAGGAGGGGAGATCCAGACCCACACCTACCTGGATGTAACCAGTGAGTACACCCAGGCCCACAGCTACCTGACCTGGACGTATCCAGTGAGTACACTCAGCCCCATGGCTACCTGGATGTAACCAGTGGGTACACCCAGGCTCACAGCTACCTGACCTGGACGTATCCAGTGAGTACACTCAGCTCCATGGCTACCTGGATGTAACCACTGGGTACACCCAGGCTCACAGCTACCTGACCTGGACGTATCCAGTGAGTACACTCAGCCCCATGGCTACCTGGATGTAACCAGTGGGTACACCCAGGCTCACAGCTACCTGATCTGGACGTATCCAGTGAGTACATTCAGCCCCATGGCTACCTGGATGTAATCAGTGGGTACACCCAGGCTCACAGCTACCTGACCTGGACGTATCCAGTGAGTACATTCAGCCCCATGGCTACCTGGATGTAACCAGTGGGTACACCCAGGCTCACAGCTACCTGACCTGGACGTATCCAGTGAGTACATTCAGCCCCATGGCTATCTGGATGTAACCAGTGGGTACACCCAGGCTCACAGCTACCTGACCTGGACGTATCCAGTGAGTACACTCAGCCCCATGGCTACCTGGATGTAACCACTGGGTACACCCAGGCTTACAGCTACCTGACCTGGACGTATCCAGTGAGTACACTCAGCCCCATGGCTACCTGGATGTAACCAGTGGGTACACCCAGGCTCACAGCTACCTGATCTGGACGTATCCAGTGAGTACATTCAGCCCCATGGCTACCTGGATGTAATCAGTGGGTACACCCAGGCTCACAGCTACCTGACCTGGACGTATCCAGTGAGTACATTCAGCCCCATGGCTACCTGGATGTAACCAGTGGGTACACCCAGGCTCACAGCTACCTGACCTGGACGTATCCAGTGAGTACATTCAGCCCCATGGCTATCTGGATGTAACCAGTGGGTACACCCAGGCTCACAGCTACCTGACCTGGACGTATCCAGTGAGCACACCCAGGCCGACGGCTACCCAGATGTATCCAGTGGGTACACCTAAGCTCACGGCTACCCGGACATATCCAGTGGGTACACCCAGGCTCACAGCTACCTGACCTGGACGTATCCAGTGAGCACACCCAGGCCGACGGCTACCCAGATGTATCCAGTGGGTACACCCACGCCCACGGCTACCCGGATGTATCCAGTGGGTACACCTTGGCCCACAGCTACCTGGATGTATCCAGTGGGTACACCTATCAGCAAAGCCAGACCTGCTAGACTGGGCCTTCAAGGTAGAACTTCCCAAAATTTGCTCCATGTACTACACACAGAAAATGGTAGTATCTGTTCAGCCCCCTGAGGTAAACAGAAGGGGTAATGTGGCCAGAAGTGGGCAGACCAGGAGAGCCAGCTCTCAAGCACACCTGAAGCCTTTGTGGGTCCTGTGGGGAAACTGCTGAGGCCCACAAGCAGCACAGACGGCTGTCACTCCCCGGCCCTAGTACCCTCCTCTTCTCAGGGTAGCGTTGCCTCTTCCCGCACTAAGCCCTCCTCTTTCTTGAGGAGAAGTAGAAAAAACTCCCTTATTTTCTGGGCAGAATTGGAAAGACTATTGAGTGAATAGATCACTCCTAATCTTTTTCTTTTGATCTTTTTTTCCTATTTTTTACATTCATTCTCTATTTTACTTTTATTGAACAATTGTAGTTCTTTTGTGAGTTTCTTTTATTATCCCATTAACAGAAATACCTTGGCTCTCTGTCTTTGAAAAATAAACTCAAGGTAAAGGTTTTCATTGTTTCTGTGGGTTTTCTTTTTAATCTTCCATGGTTGTATAATACTGTTCTTCTAAAATGAAGTAGAATCTAGTGATTATGGAATTATACCTTTTGTGTTTGCCCTTTCGGGAGCAAAATGCTGATATCCTCAGGGGTGAGAGCTGTTGGAGAGAGCAAATCAGTGTCACTGTGTGCACAGCCAAGGGCTCTTCCCACCCACAGCCTGCAAGGAGACTGACCAGGTGTGTAGCAAGCTGTGCATGTGTTTCGGTGAACTAGGGGTCCCTTCCTTGAATCTTGCCCTCGGGTCAAATTTGTCTTTCATTTTGGAGCTTAGGAAACCAATATTGCTTCAAGCAGTAGAAATAATATGGAATGCTCAAGTCAGAACATGAGTCTTGATTGATTAGAATTATTTGAAGCCTATCTTGCAATCGTGAGCTGGGACGTTCTTGAGCAGGGATTGACAAGCTTTTTCTGCGAAGGGCCTAATGGTAGATATTTTTGGCTTTGAAGGATGTGGCCTACTCAGCATTGCTGTAGTAACCTAAGAGCAGCCACAGTTCTCAGCACATGCGAGTGGCTGTGTTCCAATAAAACTTTATTTACAAACACAGGGTGCAGGCTGAATTTGGCCCCCAGGTTGTAGTTTGCCAATCTCCATTCCAGTGAGAGACTTAGGAATGAGAATAAAAAAGAACCCAGAGAACATCTCTGGGTTTCTCTCAGCCTCAGTTTTCTCATCCATTAAAATGGAGCTAACCAAACCCAGATTATAGGATTCTCATGAGGGTCAGATTGGAAATGTAAGTGAAAGTGCCACCTGCACTGTTACCACGGCAGTGAGTGAGTGAACAAACAAATCAATGATTGTGATTATGTTATCTGTTTTGTAGTAGGAGGTTTTTTGCAAAATGAGTTTTTTAATTAAAATACCCTTAATGAAAGGAAAATGTGCTTTAAAAAATCGATATTGATTTGCTCATTTAGCAAGCGGCTGCTGAGCATCTGTGTCGGGCACTCTGGATGAGGCTCTGGGGACACGGCTGTGAGGAAGACAGGTGAGGTTCCTGTGCTTCCAGGACAGAGGGTCTGCAGGGAGGAGAAAGGCAGTGAAGGACGAGATGACTCCAGCCAGCCAGGGGTGCTGCAGAAAAGGGGAGCAGGTGCGGTGGCATATTGAGCCGGGGCCTCCCCCAGACAGTGTGGCTGCCGGGTGGGGCTTCTCTAGGAGAGATTTAGAAGGAGCAGGAGTGTGAACTCTTGGGGACATGCGCATTGCATGGGCTGGAGGGGACATCAGGTGCCTTGGAGGAGCAAGCTCGGCATGTGTGCAGGTGAAGGGAGGCGGATAGGTTGGGGCTCAGTGACAAGCAGGGTGGCCATGACGGGCTGGAGGGTGGAGGGATAGGCAGGGGCAGAGGCCGAGAACAGGAGGAGCCTCGGGAGCTGCGAGCAAGCAGAGAAGGGACATGAAAGCCTTTGTAGCTTTCAAAGGGCAGCCCAAGGCTGGCTGCCTCAGGGACCCTGACACAGGCACAGAAGTGTTGAGACCTGTTAGGGGGCCTGCGGCATCTGGCAAGACCTGGACTCGGGTGGTTGCCTGCGAGGTGGAGAGACAAGGTCAGCTTCAGGAAGGGCCTTGGCAGTGAAGTTTCTGGGACTTGCCATGGTCCATGGGATTCTCAGCAGGTGCAGGCAGAGGCGGCGGCTGTGCCCTGGGTCCCGTGAGGTCTACTCACTTCTTTCCTTGAGGGGTATCAGCCCAGGGACCCTCACAGAAGACTTGAGAGACACAGATCACTGTTGTACGGGGGGTTCCGGTTAATCGTTATTGGGTAGCACAGAGTTAGGCGAGCCCTCGCTGAAGCCATCAGGAGCTCCTCCTGTCTTTCCTCGGTCTGACTCAGGGCTGCTCGGGGCCGTGACCATCCCCCATGAACAAGAAGAAACCCAGCACTTGGGGATCATGACACCTCCCAGAAATGTATCTTTATGGAGGTCTTTGAAACCTGGTTATTTTAACTCTCAGAACAGATCCTAGAAAGCATCCTAGAAAGTGTCATCTTGTGGATGACATTTTGTATTCAATAATTAGCTTTTTTTTTTGTTTTTGTTTTTGAGATAAGGTCTCACTCTGTCACCCAGGCTGTAGTACAGTGGCACGATCATCACTCACTGCAGCCTCAGCCTCCTGGGCTCAAGCGATCCTCCTGCCTCCACCTCCCAAGTACGTGGGACTATAGGCCTGCACCACCATGCCTGGCTAATTTTTCATTTTTGGTAGAGACAGGGATCTCACTGTGTTGCCCAGGCTGGTCTCAAACTCCTGAACTCAAGCAGTCCTCTTGCCTCAGCCTCCTGAAGTGCTGGGAATATAGGCATGGGCTACCTTTCATTTAAAGAACAAAAGCAGTCTTTTGGCTGATCTAAATAAATGCCTCTCCTCTCTTTAATATTCATCAAAAACTGTTCTTCCTGGGCCCCTGCACGTTTCCACTTGTGTATCTATTACATCGTGACGCTGTATTTTCTCTCCAGGTTGTAAACAAAGATCGGTAACTCCTGGGAGAGGAACAGTGGAGGGCTGCCGTCCCTCCTGAACAGTATTCCTTTTGTATTGCTACAGTTACCTCTGTGATTGGCTCTCTAAAGCCCGTGCAGGATACTCTGCCAGGCTGATGTGAGCCTCTCAGGAACAAGGCCCTGATCATTTCATTTACTCCTCTTCTCAGATATCGCTCCAGTGTTCACCCAGCGGCCAGTGGACACCACAGTTACTGACGGGATGACAGCCATTCTAAGGTGTGAGGTGTCCGGGGCTCCCAAACCCGCCATCACCTGGAAAAGAGGTGGGTAGCATCCACTGCCCACAACAGCATGGCCCATGTAGAACATAACCTATCGGGCCAGTGCTTGCTTCTTATTCACTCTCTTGTTTATTCACTTATGCATTCACTCAATGAAGATTAAATAACTCTTATTGCAGCAGTCCCCAACCTTTTTGGCACCAGGGACCTGTTTCTTGGAAGAGAATTTCTCCATGGTCTCCAGTGGGGGCTGATGGTCTAAGGATGAAACTGTTCCATCTCAGATCATTAGATTCTTCTAGGGAGTGTGCAGCCTAGATCCTTGGCATGCATAGTTCACTGGAGGGTGTGCGTTCCTATGAGAATCTAATGCTGCTGCCGAGCTGACAGGAGGGGGAGCTCAGGCAGTCATGCACGGTGGCCACCGCTCACCTCCTGCTACGCAGCCCAGTTCCAAACAGGTCTGCAGCCCAGGGCTTGGGGACCCCTGATTTACAGAATGCCTACCAGGTGCAAGATACCATGGGCACAAGGATAAATAGGACAGACAAGATCCCTGCCTTCTAGAAAGGGAAACACACATTAGAAAAAGAGAAGGATTGTGCAAATGTCACTCTTCTCTATCCACGCCCTTCAGAGAGTGCCTCAGGCCTCCTCGGGCCTTACCGTGTCAAGGACTGGATGTGAAGTCACTCTGCTAGCACTCACTTTTCCCACTGTTAAGTGGAGCTCTTCCTTGTGACATTCAGAATTAAGGATCACGGCCTTTGTTTTGTTGAAGAAAGATGCTTCCAGGGCCACATCGTTCCGTGCCTTCTGCAGTCAACCTGGGACGCTTCAGCCCACTGTGGGTTCAGTTCCTGGGAAGGCTGCCTTTGCAGTTCCCATAGCCCGTTCCATGAGGGCCACTGAAGGAACAGCACACAGAGTCCATCCTGAACAAGTCTGTGCTTAGCCTTGTTGATTCACATGGATGAGCTCCTCATACTTGCTGGGCTGTATCGGGCTGACATGCCAAAAGCCTTATCTTTCTCTTCCTTCTGGAAAACCACCTGGCAGCTTCTCGACTCTCAGAGGTACAACCCCTGCACTCAGACACAGCTCCTAAAGATCTGGGACACTACAGATCAATAACAGGGCTGGGCTTTTATTCTCTCTTGTTTTCCTGCCTAATTTTGAACATAATAGCTTTATATAAAAATGTTTCAAATACATGCAGATATAAAGAAAACTAAAAACCGATCACCCAAACATAGCAATCACGTTCATGGATCATAATTTGTTTAACCAAATCTCTAAATATTGAGCAAGTAGGATGTTCTTGGTTTTTGTTATTCTAAACAGTGCTAGCAGGTACTGCTTCAGTTATTTCTTTTCCTACAATTTTCACTTTATTCTGATTATTTCCTTAAGTTATTTCTTTGTTGTATTAGTCCACTCTCACACTGATATAAACACATACCTGAGACTGGGCAATTTACAAAGAAAAGAGGTTGAATTGACTCACAGTTCTGCATAGCTGGGGAGGCCTCAGGAAATCATGGTGGAAGGTGAAGAGGAAGCAGGCGCATCTCACAAGGCTGCAAGAGAGAGAAAGAGCAAAGGGGGAAGTGCCAAACAGTTTTAAACCATCAGATCTCATGAGAACTCCCTCACTATCAGGAGAACATCACGGGGGAACCACCCTCAGGATCCAGTCACCTCCCACCAGATTCCTCCCCCGACGTGGGGATTGCAATTCGAGACGAGACTTGGGTGGGGACACGGAGCCGAACCATATTACTTGCTTATGGCTCTAACCACTATCTTCATTTCCTTCAAGCGTTACGACTGTAACATGCCTCTTTTCTCCACTGTTCTTTAGAAAACCACATTCTGGCCAGTGGCTCTGTCCGGATTCCTAGGTTCATGCTTCTTGAATCGGGGGGTCTACAGATCGCGCCCGTCTTCATCCAGGATGCCGGCAACTACACCTGCTATGCGGCCAACACAGAGGGCTCCCTGAATGCATCGGCCACGCTCACTGTGTGGAGTAAGGAGCAGCCCTCGCACGTCGGCCTTCTGTTAGCCACGGTTTAATCATCACGTCATCGTGTGCTTTGGGGATGTCAGCATGCCCTTGGGCTTGCTAATTTAATCAAAAGAGAATGATTATTTTTACAACTAATTTATAGAAATCTGTTGAGAAATTAAATTTTCAATGTCTAAAAGAATACCTAGAAAATGTATTCAGAGATTTAATAGGGGCATTGCAGGAGAGACGAAAGATTGACTTTGTAAAGTCAGTGGAGATATTACACAAAACTAGCTCAAATCACAAAATTGATAGGTTGGTTAATTTTATAAGCATTTTATAAGAAAATTAAGAATTAAAATCCTAAAGAAGTAATATTTTGCTAAACATTTGTTAGGGACAACTAAAACACTTCTAATACACTAACCATCAATGTTTCTTGTATGTTAGGAGTGAACTGAAAGAAAATCTTCCGCTTTTGCTAAACAATTGTTAGGAACAACTAAGACACTTCTAATATACTAACTATCAATGTTTCTTGTATATTAGGAGTGAACTGAAAGAAAATCTTCAGCTTTTGCACTTTTTAAAATCAAGACACATTTTGGAAATGCAGAGTAGTTTTCTGGAGCTTAAGGATTGGACCAAATGGTCCCCCATTGCCACTTTTTAACTTCAATTGCCAATACACTTTCTCCTCTCTGTCTCATCTCAATCTGTACTACTAAAAACTCATATTCAAAAAGCAAAAGAATGCTCACTCAGATTTTTACAAATCTATCTACATGAGGAGAGAAAGTTTTAACTTGCTTGAGGGAGTAATTTGTTGAAACGTTATTCTTCCAGAAAAAGTAAATCATTGTGCTTCATTTCATATTTGTCTAGCATTTTCTATCATATGGTTGGTGTCCACTTTGATAAACGACTCTTCCTAATTTGTAAAATGATCATGCGTTTAAAGGAAATTAATCCAAGTTCCCACTATTCTGTCAAGTACTAAAAAGCAGCTTTTGTTCCATTTGGTGGATGACTCTGTCAGCCACTTCGTTCATTCTGTATCCCTAAATAGTAACCATACATTTAACCCATTTATGCCTGAGGTTGCAGTTTTTTGAACTTTTGTAATCAGAACTTGGCGATGACCTTGAGCAGTAGGATATTAAAAAGCTTATGAAAAAGTGGTATCTGAATCTCTGTAGATCATTCGCCAGAAAATTTTGTGGATCTGCTGAGATTCAACATTATAGCGACACTAGCCTGACTGGGATAACGCTTTGGTGGCTTTACAGAACATTTTCACACACTCTGCCCACTTTAACCTGTACAACTATTAGTGACGTAAGCATTCCCTGCCATAGCCAGGAAAACTAAGATGCAGAATTGTTTTTCTGGACTCACCATTAGCAGAGGTCAGGCTTGCCCTCGAACTTAGCCTTGTGACTCCGAAGTTCTGGGCTCTGTTCCTGGAAGCAGAGCAGGTCCCCCTTAGAGGTATGGGTGCTACAGTGACCCATCGCACAGGCAAGCTGGGGGTCCCCATCCCGTACTGGCTTGGGGGAGGTGGGCAAGTCACTGCATCTCTGAGCGTCCATCTTCCTTCCTGAAAACTGAGAATAGTAATATTTAGCCCTCACAAGAGTGTCTTGAGGAATAAACACAACTCAAACAAAAACACTTGACAGACTCAAAAAGTACCATGCAGACGCTAGAAATGACTAGAATGATGGTCATCTAGGGAGAGAATCTAGGTTTTATTTTAGAGCCTAGAACCTCATCCACACCTGCATGGGGTGGTCGGCATTCAGTTACTTCCATGGTGTTTGAGGTTAAAGCTGATTTAGGAGGGGTGGGTGGGTTGACAGACTGCTGCAATGGTTTACTTATTTGCTTGTTTTTAACTCCCCTAGCATTTCTGAGAGTGATCCATTTACACTCATTCTGCCAAGATGAGAGAAAACTCGGAGGTTGTGATGTCAGATGACCAGGGCATTATCCCCCCTGAGGGCAGAAACTGTCAAACTTGTCATTTCGTCTGACTCGTGACTTGTGTTTTTTTCAGATCGGACGTCCATCGTCCACCCTCCTGAGGACCACGTGGTGATTAAGGGGACCACGGCCACGCTGCACTGTGGTGCCACACATGACCCCCGGGTTTCACTCCGGTCAGCACAATCAGTTACAATGCTTTGGGGCTTGTTGATATTCTGTGAGTTTCTGAAGTGAAGTTGAGATGAGGAGGAAGAATTGGGGGAACTTTTGATTTCAGCAGCAGGTCCCTGATTACGGTATCTTCTGGTTGTGGGCACCGTCATTAATCATGCAAATCCCATTTTCCACTCCAGCCTTATGTGTTATTTACAGTGAGCTATGTTCCACTTCATGACGTTAATGCTGCTTTTCATGATTTTTCCTGCCAAGGTTAATACACTATCTGTAAAACGTACTTGTCAGAGGCTGATACTCAATGAGAGAAAAATCCAGGGGGATCGACTAGGATTCAGCATTGTTTACACGGGGGCTGTGCCACTCCCGGGAGAGTTCTTTACTCTCGGGATAGTTTCATCGTGAAATGGAGGGGGAGGGAGTCCTGTGCATGGGACAAAGTCACCCACAGCCCCCAGTGCACTAATAGGAAGGTGCATGCCAAGAGGGAGGCCAGATGTGAGGGTTCTCTTTTTTTTTTTTTTTTTTGAGACAGAGCCTTGCTCTGTCACCTGAGCTGGAGTACAGTGGCATTATCTCAGCTCACTGCAAGCTCCACCTCCCGGGTTCACACCATTGTCCTGCCTCAGCCTCCCGAGTAGCTGGGACTACAAGTGCCTGCCACCACTCCCGGCTATTTTTTTGTATTTTTAGTAGAGACGGCGTTTCACCATGTTAGCCAGGATGGTCTCGATGTCTTGACCTCGTGATCCACCTGTCTCGGCCTCCCAAAGTGCTGGGATTCCAGGAGTGAGCTGCCGTGCCCGGCCAAGGGTTCTCTAAAGGAATGCCGACATCCTGTCTTTGTTTAAATTCGGGCCAGGAAAGTAACTGCAAAATATGAGACTCCAGGTGAAGTTGTGGTGGCAGACAGGTGGGCATCAGTGGGGAGCTGTTCCCTGAAGAGCAGCCACCTTCAGGATAATTTTAAATTTTTGGAATCAGCCTTGAAAATAAAAAAGGAAATATCCAGTCATCAGAGTATTTCCACTCTGGCCTTAGCCCAGAAGGGGCACAGTGCATGAGTCGAATGGGCAGACTACTCAAGATGCCCTGCTGCTTTCTGGGGCCTCTCACCCCGAGCAGAGGGGACAGCTGTGGGTGCACAGTCAGCAGCGGGACGCGGAGACTCGGCTGTTCTCTCGCGCTTCTTGAGCGGGTGTTTGGCCAATTGTAAATTTCCATGTCGCCACCCGACTCCCTGGGGTTTCCCAGGGCTCAGAATCCAAATTTGGTTTAGGTACGTGGGTGCCGAATGCAAAACAAAACAAGCAAAACAAAAACCAGCAAGTGAAAGACGACCTAGGACCCCCCTGGGGGCCACCCTGGAGACGGTCGTCAGGCCTCGGAAAGAGCTCCTTCCTAAATGATTTGGAGTATGACTTCAAGGAAGTCTGCTTTTCTGCTACTCTGACAGCTCAGAAAGAACCCCCTCGGATCCCTGTGGTTTCGTAGTAGCTTGTTATATGTGATTAAATTGGAGGCCCCTTCCTCAGATGGAACTGGGTTACTCGCTCTCGGGGTGCCCCTCGTCCCAGGGTTGCTCTGCCCTGAGGAGCGCCAGGCTGTAAGTGACCAGCCAGCCAGATGCGATGCCCCGGCGTGAGCAGTCTATCCATCTCCCTCTTGTGGAATCAGCCCTGTTCTATCTCAGGGTAATTGCTGAGAAGGTAGTTTGTAAATGTCTGTGCTTATGACTATGAAGTCTTTAAAGAACTGGGCACATTTGCAAAACCCGATCAAATTATTGTGGAAAAGAAAAACAGCACTTTCATTCCATATAGCAATGAGTGCTGGCCCTGCCCGTGGTCATCTAAAGACTGGGCAGGCTCTCAATTGATTGTGTATTTGAAAAGAAAAATGTGCTCAAATTGCTACAGATAGATTAAATGAGAAATAAATGCAATTTTAAGGACCATCTGCCAGAATGGTCACATTTTAAGAAAGTGTGTTTTTGAAGGGTGATTTTTTTTTTCATGAGTTGGGCAATTCCACTCTGTAGATTTTTTTTAAACAGTCGTTGCCTCCTGTCCAGACAACACTCTTGTCCTCCAGGAGCATTTACCGGGGCAGGAATGTTGGGTGCAGTTTTCATAGGTGACAGGTATGCCCGTGGTTCTACAGACTTCTCATCTCTAAAACACAAGGTCAGACAGGCAGGGCCAGTCATTTTCATTGCCCTGTTTGTAACCTCAGCATGTGTTTTTGTATTATGACCAAGATTTCTGGTTGCTTTTCTTTTTTTTATTATTTTTTGGTTTAATTCATATGCCATAAAATTCACTCTTTTAGGCCAAGTGCGGTGACTCAGGCCTGTAATCCCAGCAGTTTGGGAGGCCGAGACGGGCAGATCACTTGAGGCTAGGAGTTTGAGACTAGCCTGGGCCACATGGCAAAACCTCATCTCTATTAAAAATACAAAAAAATTAGCCAAGCATGGTGGCATACATCTGTGGTCCCAGCTACTCAGGAGGCTGAGGCACAAGAATTGCTTGAACCCAGGAGGTGGAGGCTGCAGTGGGCCAAGATCATGCCACTGCACTCCAGCCTGGGCCACACAGCAAGACTCTGTCTCAAAAAAAAAAAAAAAAAGAAAGAAAGAAAAAGAAAAGAAAAATCACTCTTTTAAAGAGCACAGTTCAGTGGTTTTTAAAGTCCATTCACAAGATTGTTAGTTGCTTGCTTTTTAAGAGACAGGGAAGGAGCAGTGATTCTGTCACTGTGGGGTTTGTAACTCAAGACCCTTTGCTTGGCCCACAGCTACGTTTGGAAGAAGGACAACGTGGCCCTGACTCCATCGAGCACGTCTAGGATCGTGGTGGAGAAGGACGGGTCCCTTCTCATCAGCCAGACGTGGTCAGGCGACATCGGTGACTACAGCTGCGAGATTGTTTCTGAAGGAGGGAATGACTCCAGGATGGCCCGGCTGGAAGTGATGTGAGTACTGAGACGTTTGGTGTTAGCCAGTCCGCGGTTTTCTCCGTTACTGTGCCCCTGTTAGTGACTGCCACTTCACAAGTGTCACGCCCGGCTTGTGTCCCAAGTCAGCGGTCAGAGGCCAGCGCATCATGCTGCATAACTACATATATGGACAAGGTTTTTTTGTGGTTTCTTTCAACTTCGGAATTGAGAAGTTTCGTTTTTGGTGTAGATGGTGTGATCATTGGTTTTTATTTCAGTTGATCCTTTTTGTCATATTTTTCCCGTGGACACCTTATCCTGATAGGCCCTGTTTACCACTCTGCGCTTAAGTAGCAAGTTCATTTTTCCACATAATACCCTTGAGAGCCTCCAGTCCATGAGAGATGCTGGAGTGGGACTGCTGAGGCGAGGTCGTTCCCGTGAAAGCCACCTAGACTTGGGGTTTCAGTGAGTCCCAGCTGCCCCTCCGTGGGTAAATAGATACTTTAAGTTAAGTCTTGTGAAATCTTGAAAACAGAAAGCAACTGCCCGTTACTTCCAATCTGGACCTTCCTGGGGGTTCCAAAGAGCCCAGGCGGGAAACCGTCAATCTCCCCCGTCTCTGCTCTCTTTCTCCCTCCACTCCCCTCTCTATTCATGGAGCAGGAAACCAAAATACCTGCTGACACATTTTATTTTTCTGACATGTATTTATTTGCTTTTTAAAAGTTGTGCCATCTCAATATTCCGTGAGTGCATGAGTACAAAAATAAAACCTGAAAATAAAGAATCCCAACCGAGCACTCATCAAGGCAGTGGCCAGCTCCAGGGACACACCCAGCGCATCCGTCCCTGGTCATCGTTTGACATGCTGGGCCTTTCGACAAAGGCAATCTTGAGAGATTTTTCCTCACTGGACCCTGCCCCCTTTGATCCAGGAAAGATTCTGTATTCAAAATCATTCCCCACAAATAGAATTTGAACACTCCGAGTATAGGAGCCGTGACTCATTGATCCCTGAATCCCAAGACTCCAGCTGAGGGGATTAAAAATGAAAAGAATGCTTGCTAAGTGCTAAGCATGTGGCTTCTGTGTCTGCCACACGCATGTGGAAATGAGTGAACTCACAAACAGCTTTCCTGTAGTCCCTATTTGTGGATATAAAAGGTTCACGATGTGTAGCAGTCAGTCCGGAAGGCCCTGTGGTGTCATCAGTACCTGAAAAACATCCCATCCCAACTCCTGTTCTGTCTCCTTCCAGGATGACCCCTTGTTCTCTTTAGATAGCAGAGGTAATTGTGGTTAGTTAGGAAGCGGCAGGAGTCCCCATGGCTCTACAGAATCAGCCGGCGGCAGTGGTGCGGGGGTCCTGGTGCTGCAGCTGCAAAGCTGCCACGTAGAGGGTCCTCCAGAGAATCACTGAGGGTCCCGGGGCTGAGGCTGCCACGCAGAGGGTCCTCCAGAGAATCACTGAGGGTCCCGGGGCTGAGGCTGCCACGCAGAGGATCCTCCAGAGAATCACTGGGGGTCCCGGGGCTGAGGCTGCCACGTAGAGGGTCCTCCAGAGAATCACTGAGGGTCCCGGGGCTGAGGCTGCCACGCAGAGGGTCCTCCAGAGAATCACTGAGGGTCCCGGGGCTGAGGCTGCCACGCAGAGGGTCCTCCAGAGAATCACTGAGGGTCCCGGGGCTGAGGCTGCCACGCAGAGGGTCCTCCAGAGAATCACTGAGGGTCCCGGGGCTGAGGCTGCCACGTAGAGGGTCCTCCAGAGAATCACTGAGGGTCCCGGGGCTGAGGCTGCCACGCAGAGGATCCTCCAGAGAATCACTGGGGGTCCCGGGGCTGAGGCTGCCACGCAGAGGGTCCTCCAGAGAATCACTGAGGGTCCCGGGGCTGAGGCTGCCACGTAGAGGGTCCTCCAGAGAATCACTGAGGGTCCCGGGGCTGAGGCTGCCACGCAGAGGGTCCTCCAGAGAATCACTGAGGGTCCCGGGGCTGAGGCTGCCACGCAGAGGGTCCTCCAGAGAATCACTGAGGGTCCCGGGGCTGAGGCTGCCACGCAGAGGGTCCTCCAGAGAATCACTGGGGGTCCCGGGGCTGAGGCTGCGAGGCTGCCACGCAGAGGGTCCTCCAGAGAATCACTGAGGGTCCCGGGGCTGAGGCTGCGAGGCTGCCACACAGACGGTCCTCCAGAGAATCACTGGGGGTCCCGGGGCTGAGGCTGCCACGCAGAGGGTCCTCCAGAGAATCACTGAGGGTCCCGGGGCTGAGGCTGCCACGCAGAGGGTCCTCCAGAGAATCACTGAGGGTCCCGGGGCTGAGGCTGCCACGCAGAGGGTCCTCCAGAGAATCACTGAGGGTCCCGGGGCTGAGGCTGCCACGCAGAGGGTCCTCCAGAGAATCACTGAGGGTCCCGGGGCTGAGGCTGCCACGCAGAGGGTCCTCCAGAGAATCACTGAGGGTCCCGGGGCTGAGGCTGCCACGCAGAGGGCCCTCCAGAGAATCACTGAGGGTCCCGGGGCTGAGGCTGCGAGGCTGCCACACAGACGGTCCTCCAGAGAATCACTGGGGGTCCCGGGGCTGAGGCTGCCACGCAGAGGGTCCTCCAGAGAATCACTGAGGGTCCCGGGGCTGAGGCTGCCACGCAGAGGGTCCTCCAGAGAATCACTGGGGGTCCCGGGGCTGAGGCTGCGAGGCTGCCACGCAGAGGGTCCTCCAGAGAATCACTGAGGGTCCCGGGGCTGAGGCTGCGAGGCTGCCACACAGACGGTCCTCCAGAGAATCACTGAGGGTCCCGGGGCTGAGGCTGCCACGCAGAGGGTCCTCCAGAGAATCACTGAGGGTCCCGGGGCTGAGGCTGCCACACAGACGGTCCTCCAGAGAATCACTGGGGGTCCCGGGGCTGAGGCTGCCACACAGAGGGTCCTCCAGCTTTTGTGTACGCATGGGGCAGCCAGGTTTCCCCCAGCCCCTGCCTTCAGGCATTGGAGCCTACGACCCTGGGTTCTTTCTGCCCTTCATGAGCCCCAGCCATCCACTGTCTCTGCGGTTGGGTGCTGTCATCCGTGGGCTTCCCCGGAGGTCTCCTGATCATGCACCCCTTAGCATTCAACGACAGTAGCACTTCCTGCGGTTCAGTTACCAGGATGCTGCCTGCAGTTCTTCCCTGCGCGCAGCTGATCCTCCTGGTAGCACTGATCACGCTGCAGAGGACGACCATATCTTCATGGCTCCCTCTCCTCCTGGAACAGAAGCACCTTGGTGGCACTGTTTTGAATTTTGAGTGCCTGATGTAGTATTTGTTGTATAACCGTTGTTCAATAAATATATGTTGGTTGGTTGCTGCCTGCGTGCATGCATGAAGGAATGAATGAATGTGTGTCTGCCTTGGTGGCCCATTGGCGGGCCTCCTTCTGTTCCCTACTCGTACCTTGATGCTCACATGCCCTGGTTTCCCCACCATGGGTATACAAGTAAGCTCAGGTCGTTCTACCAAAACCCAAACAGTGAGTACCCAAAGCCCTCATCCAGCCCTGCTCCTGCCTCTTTCCTCCTTCCTTTCGGGTCTCAGACAGAGGATTTTTTTTTTTTCATTTTGATAATATAGGAGGATATGGCCAGTGAGTTCCTAGGAGCTGTTGTATTATGCACATTTTTAAAGCTACCTTTGAGAACCTTAGATCATCCATCGTTGGTATCAAATAAATAAGCGTTAGCAGTTCATAAAGACTCTGTCAGCAGAAGCCAAATTGCATACTTCCAATATAGCCCATTCTTTTTATTCTGCACAGTTTTATGGTCTACTGATTTACATGTCTTCCCTACTATTTGCTTATTTGATTTCCTCTAAGTAAAATACATTTTTCAGCAAATGTTGCTGTATGTATAAAATAATAGGCTTTCTCTAACGGTAAAACATCTCATCTCTAAATATAGAAATCTCTGCAAATTTGTGATTCAAACTAATTTAAGTACAAACTGGTTACAGAACTGATTTGGAAGACAGTTGTTCCTCGTGAATTGTTAGTGTCACGAAGGCTCCTCTATCCCAAACCTGGATGAATTGGGAAAGGTGTTCCTTCATGGGGTGTCTTTAGATCCAACAGAGCTTGACTCTACAACAATAATGGCAATAGAATGATAATAATAATAACCCGTGATTGCAGGGCATTCTGTCCTTCTTGGGTAACTTTCAAACTGAGCTCTGTAGTGTTTCCATCATTTACTCAGATAACCAAAAAAAAAGCAAGAGAAAAATCTCATATTGCCAAAGGGAAGGGACTGAGAGGTGCTTATGACTAAACAATGTCCTTCAGAGGAGCCTGAAAGCCTGTTTTCTCCTTGCCTCTCCACTTCAGTTAAAAGCTGCTTCATTAAATATAGAAATTACGAGCATCTGAAGTGAGCTTTTCAAAAATAGACCAGCCGTTGGCCTCTTCTCACGTCTGTTTGCCCCGAGTTTTACACTTAGCACTAAGCTTCACCTCATTGAGGCTGAGTGGAGGGGCGGCCCCCACACCCACATCACACCCACAGCAGTCCTGATGGGGCTGCTGGACAGCAGTGGGGCCAATAGGAGCAAAGGGCTGCACAGGAGGCCCTGCTCACCTTTCACTACTTGTGTGACTTTGGACAAATCCCCTCACTTCTCAGCTTCTGCCTCTCACCTTGTAGACTGGGCATGGTATCATTCATCTCAAAGGACGGCTGTGAGGGCGGCACCCACCCGGGTTTGTAAGATCCTGTTGTGGAAGCCAGTTGGGGAGGGATGCTCTAAGTCCTAGCTCTTCGTGCTTTCTTACCATCTTATACTAGAATGCTGTTCCCCCCTTTCCTAACAGCACCCTGCCTCCTGGGGCTGGGAACTTTCTAGCCCTTTACCCTGCATTATTCTGACTACATTCTATGACCTTCTGACACTAGACTCGAGATGTGTCTGTTTGCTGTTGAGCCCTCAATGCCTGGACCAGTGCCAGGTATACAGTAGGAACCTAATAAATGTCTGGGTAAGCCTCACTCCACCTACTGAGCTGAAATGAGACGGTGTCTTTTGCCCTACTGAGGAGGACCAATTTAGGAGGGCTCTGCCTTCATCCCCCCACTGAGAGAAGAGGCTTCTAAACTCCAGATGGTTCCATGAGGCAGCCTGTAAATTAACAAGACAAGTCATCATTAAATGCTGGTCACCCCTTGTTTTAGTAGCGTCTTTGCTCTAGTTTTCTAGTGCCATGGGGACAGGAGCCAGTTTCCAGGATGACTTCATATTCCCCAAAGCATCTTCCTGTATTGAGCACACCAGAGGGACCAGGCTCCTAAGGCCTTATGGATTGATTAATTGTTAAATCATTTAAAGACCCAATTAGCATTTCATCTCTCCTCCTGAAATCAGAGTCTAATTCTCATGGGCCTGGAGTACAGAGAAAACCCAATTTACAGAGCTGACTTGGAGACCCTGAGGCATTGGGAGAGGTTTCTTTCTATAAAACCAGTTCTGACAGAGCCCTCGTAAGGAGTGAAGAATTTAATACTGTTTCCCCCAGAGTTATCAAGCCCTGTCATCTTCATCCTCAGAGTGAAGTCAAAGAAGATGGGTTTGACCAAGTCATCATTTGTGCATTAAAGGGCCAATGCTTTTTATGTAGAAAAAAAGTACTTATCTGATCCTCTTCTGCCAGAGCAATTCCCCCTACAGCCACAATTTCACCAATTGCTTTCTTTCGAGTCTTTTTCAAAACTGTTTTTCTCACACACACCTTGCTTCATCTCTCTCCCGTACTGTTGGGTTTCCGTTACTGTTGTTGTTAATTTCTGATATTCCTGAGGTGTCCTGTGCCTGACGGTGGTTTTCCCCCTATTCTCTTTCAATTACAAAGTGACTCAGCACTGGGCTTCGCTTCCATTGTTCTCTGGGACCTCTTCCATTTATCAGCCTCTGTGCTTATCACTGTCTGTGAGTCACTCTACTGATCATTTATCTCCTTTCAAAGCTGGCAGAGTAATGCTTCGACGCAATCTATCCCCATTAGATAAGATTTTCTGAAATGGATTCAGAATATATTAAAGCCTCATTTATCTGTTATTGATGGGTTAGTCAAGGATCTCACAAAGCTTCATTTTCCAAATAACCAAAACTTATCATTTAAAGAAATAGTGGCTGGCCGCAGAGGCTCACGCCTGTAATCGCAGCACTTTGGGAGGCCGAGGCAGGTAGATCACGAGGTCAAGATTTCAAGACCAGCCTGGCCAAGATGGCGAAACCCTGTCTCTACTAAAAATACAAAAATTAGCCGGGCGTGGTGTTGGGCACCTGTAATCCCAGCTACTCAGGAGGCTGAGACAGAGAATTGCTCGAACTCAGGAGGCGGAGGTTGCAGTGAGCCGAATTGCACCACTGCACTCCAGCCTGAGCTACAGAGCGAGACTCCATCTCAAAAAAAAAAAAGAAAGAAAAAAAGAAATAGTTTATATTTCCAGAATAAGGCACGCCATCTTCTATTGCATGCCTCAGGTATTGCACGTTTGTTTTTGTTATTTACAAACTGGAGGTTTGCAGCAACCCTGTGTTAAGTAAGTCTATTGATGCAATTTTTCCAACGGCACCTGCTCACTTAGTGTCTCTGGTCACATTTTGGGAATTCTCACAATGTTTCAAACTTTGTCACTATGATTGTATCTGTGATGGCACTCCCTGATCACTGATCTTGAATGTTACTATTGTAATTGTTTTGGGACACCATGAGCCACGCCGATGTTAAGATGGCAAACTTAAGCTATAAATGCCTTGTGTGTTCTGACTGCTCCACCAACAGGCCATTCCCTGTCTCCCTCCGTCTCCTTGGGCCCCTGTATTCCTTGAGCCCCACAGTGTGAAATTTGGCCAGTTAATAACCCTGCAAAGGCCTCTGAGTGTCCATGTGAAAGAGAGGGTTGTACGTCTCTCACTAGAAAGCAGACTGGAAATGATGAAGCTTAGTAAGGAAGGCATATCGAAAGCCAAGACAAGACAAAAGCCAGGCCTCTTGCCCCAGTTAGCCAAGCTGTGAATGCAAAGGGAAAGTTATTGAAGGACATTTAAAGTGCTCCAGGGAACACACAAATGATAAGAAAGTGAAACAGTCTTATTGCTGATGTGGAGAAAGTTTGAGTGGTCTGGAGAGAAAAATCAAACCAGCCTCAACATTCCCTTAGGCCAAAGCCTAACCCAGAACAAGGCCATAGCTCTCTTCAGTTTTGTGAAGACAGAGAGGTGAGGAAGCTGCAGAAGAAAAATTGGAAGCTAGCAGGGGTTGGTTTGTGAGATTTAAGGAAAGATGCCGTCCCCATAACATAAAAGTACAAGATAAAGCAGCAGGTGCTGATGGAGAAACTTGGTAAGTTATTCAGAAGACCTAGCTAGGAACAGTGACGAGGGTGGCTACAGTAACAAGAAATTTGCAGTGTAGACGAAACAGCCTTTTATGGGAAGAAGATACCATCTAGGACTTTCCTAGTTACGGAGGAGAAATCAATGTCTGGTTTCAAAGCTTCAAAGGGCAGGCTGACTCTCTTGTTAGGGGCTAATGGAGCTGGTGACTTTAAGTTGAAGCCAACACTCATTTACTGTGCTGAAAATCTTAGGGCTCTTAAGAACGATGCTAAATCTACTTTGCCTGTGCTCTGTAAATGGAACAGCAAAGCCTGGATGACAGCTCTTCTGTTTACAGCATGTTTTACTGAATATTTCAAGCCTACTTTTGAGACCTGCAGCTCAGAAAAGAAAAATTCCTTTGAAAATATTACTGCTTATGGACAGTGCACCTTGTCATGCTAGAGCTTTGATGGGAATGTACAAGGAGATGAATGTGGGTTTCATGCCTGCTAGCACAACATCCGTTCTGCAGACTGTGGATGAAGGTGGACTTTTGACCATCAAGTCCCATTATTTAAGGAATATATTTCATAAGACTATAGTTGCCATGGATGATAATTCCTCTGATGGATCTGGGCAAAGTAAATGGAAAACCTTCTGGAAAGGATTCACCATTCTAGATACCATTAAGAATGTTTGTGGGCTGGGCGCGGTGGCTCACGCCTGTAATCCCAACACTTTGGGAGGCTGAGGTGGGTGGATCACAAGGTCAGGAGATCGAGACCATCCTGGCTAACATGGTGCAACCCCATCTCCACTAAAAATACAAAAAATTAGCCGGGCTTGGTGGCGGGTGCCTGTAGTCCCAGCTACTCGGGGGGCTGAGTCAGGAGAAGGGCATGAACCCAGGAGGCGGAGCTTGCAGTGAGCTGAGATCGTGCCACTGCACTCCAGCGTGGGCGACAGAGCGAGACAACATCTCAAAAAAAAAAAAAAGAATGTTTGTGATTCATGGGAGGAGATCACAATATCAATATTAACAGGAGTTGGGAAGAAGTTGATTCCAGCCCTCATGGATGAGGCTGGAGGGGTTCAAGGCATCCACGGAGGAAGTTGCTGCTGATGTGGTGGAAACAGCAAGAGAACTAGAATTAGAGGTGGATCCTGAAGATGTAGCTGAACTGCTGCAATCTCATGATCAAACTTGTCCAGATGAGGATTTGCTTCTTATAGATGAGCAAAGCAAGTGGTGTGGGACAGCATCTACTTTTGGCAAAGATACCGTGAACATTGTTGAAATGGCAACAAGGCCTTAGAATATTGCATGAACTTAGCTGGTAAAGCTGTGGCAGGGTTTGGGAGGATTGACTCCAATTTTGAAAGAAGTTCTACTGTGGGTAAAATGTTATCAAACAGCATCACATGCTACAGAAAAGTCTTTCATGAGAGGAAGAGTCCGTTGATGCGCCAGGCTTCACTGCTGTCTCGTTTGAAGAAATTGCCACAGTCCCCCCAGCCTATAGCCCCACCACTCCGATCAGTCCACAGCCATCAACATCCAAGCAGGACCCTCCACCAGCAAAAAGACTGTGACTCACTGAAGGCTCAGATGATCACCTTTTTTAGCATGAAGTATCTTTAAGGTGTGTACATGTTTTTTAGACATAATGCTATTGCACACTTAATAGACTGCAGTAGAGTATAAACAGAACTTTTATATGCACTGGGAAACCAAAACGTGTGTGACTTGCAAATTGCAATATTCACTTCATTGTGGTGGTCGGGAACTGAACGTGCAGTATCTCTGAGACATGCCTCTCTATCACAAGGCCCTTCACATTATGAAACAGGTGATATTGAACACAAGAGATATTATCAAGGGGATTTTCACAGAGGGGAGAGACTGAAACTGGGAAAAATCAATATTTCCTTCCAATGCTTGAGTCCTGTGATTTACCAAAATATCACACTTTGCCCTGGGCCATCACACTGAGTGTGACTTTGAGCCAATGGAGTGACTTCGGGGGACAGTCGCAGAGAAGGACGTGTGCGTCTCTGCACATCACGGGCACTCAGGTCCTCGGGCACTGCCAGGCGGGTAGCTCTTGCCGCCTACACTAAACGCCTCAAGACTAGTTTGCTTTCTAAGTTTTTAAGTATTTGTTTTTAATCTTTTAAAAAATCTTTTTACATCCCTCAATCTCAGGCTGTTGCGACCGTTTTTGCTGTTGGGTGTGCCTGCTTCGGGTAGATACTTCTCATCTGTTGCTTGTGGTCTGCTGGCAGGGGGAAAATCTGAAACCACTCTGACTAGAATCACATCCTAGCTGAGAGGGGGCAGAGGGATGGAGGGACATGTGTGAGCATATTCCAGGGACTGTGAGAGCTGACCCCTGGAGGACAGAAGCTGCCCCGTGAGTAGCCTCCATTTAAGTGAGTGTCTGCAAAGCACTGCAGCCTCAAGAGAAAGGCAGTCCACCCACCTGGCAGATGGGTTGTTTCTGTGTGCACTCTCACCTTGGGCTAAGAGAAGCGTGATTTGAAATCAAGTGCAAGAGGCCGCATTTTCACCTCTGTGAGAAAGACAGACTTTTAGAATTTAGAATTCGATCAAACATAACCCCCTTGAGGTCATCAGAGAAAGTGTGCAGAGACACAGCAGCTTGTCAGGGGCCACAGGTCACCCATTTCTGTTGTCTCCCAGGAGCCTGTTCACATCTTATAGCATATGGTCACCTGGCCCGAGAATGTCTGTTTTGCAAGGTTTGTCCTGAGCTGGCTGTACAACCCTCTCCTGCCCTGGCTTCTCTCCAACTCCTACTGTGTGTGTCTGCAGAGCTGCCTGGCTCCTCGAGCCTCTAACCCACCTTTAGTTTCACGGCCTATCTCCCATCCTGACTATTACAGATGGTCATCTGACATTGTGTCCAGTCTGTGAGAACGGCTTCCAATGAGCTGCCCTTGGGGTCCCAGAACCAATGTCAAAAAGACATCCCAGAAATTGTGAACATAAGCTCATTGCTGGTCTCTCTGTGCAGGCCAGTGCATTTTCCCTCAACCCTGTCTGGCCTCTCTGCCACCCAGGGCAAATCCTGCATTCCTACCACTCTCACCGACCCCAAGCCTCCCAGAGTTGAATCACTGGCTGCATGGTTGAACCTAGTCCCCAGCCCCCTCCACTCCCCAGAGGTCAGAAGGCTGAGCCGTCACCACTGGCTCAAAGCCCCAACCCTCTTATCCCCATGACTGGCCTTCCCAGCATGGCCAGACCCATCCTGGAAGGATCTTGGGGCCCACCATGAGTCCACCCAAGAAGCATAAGCTCAGCTGTGGTCTGAGAGGTTCACCATGGTGGCGAAAACCGTCCCAGTCACTCAGGAAACTAAAACAGTCTGGAAGTTCCATCTCAGATCAGATACATTCTTTATGATAAACCATCTTATTTGGCTATATCTGTCAGATTTATTCATATTTTCTTTTCAGGTGGGACTTTTTCAACAACTTTGGTTTGGTTTCAGACCACACCGATTCAGATTGCAGCAGGGGGAATAGGAAATGGGGCTTGGGAGGAGTAGAATTGATAACTGGCATTTCCGCCTCTAATGGAGATTCGGTTATTGGAGAACTCAAATAGAAATGACAGCTCTGCCCAGGTGCAGTGGCTCATGCTTATAATCCCAGCACTTCGAGAGGCCGAGGTTGGGGAGGATCGCCCAAGGCCAGGAGTTTGAGACCAGCCTGGACAGTATAGTGAGGCCCTGTCTATACAAAAAATAAATAAAAGAAACAAACTATTCCTTTTCTGATTCAAAACTTAATTCACAATTAAAGAGAAAACAAGACGACATCCTGGGCTCGCATTTATTCTTTATCGCACTAATGTACAATGTAGTTGCAGTCTACATTAGAAATATTAGTATGCTTATAAATGGTGCGTATGGGTTAGAGCTGTTTCTTGGGGAACTGAAAGCTCAAAACAGCTTAATAAATTTCAAAATGTAATGAGTACATTTTTAAAATTAAAAATATCAAGTATAATTATGGCTTTGTGTTCTGACCTGTGTGGGTCAGCAGTACCTGATGTCTGAGAGACCAAAAGCTGGTTAGCGGTGACCCGGGTCACACTCAGCATCCCCTCTTCCCGGCACTGCCTGGCAGCGTTTATGGAGGGGCAGCCATCCAGGACAGCCCCGGAACAGGGTCCTGCTCCGGATTCAGGAGACGTGAAGGTTCAGTACAGGGCCCGGGCAGCTCATGGTTTTAAGGTTGTAGACTCAGCCTTGGTAGAAACCATGTAGTAGGGTTTTGCAGCTTTGTCACTGGTTAAGTCCCAGTAAAAACTTTTTTTTTTTTTAACTAGTAACTTATTTAAAGAATTTATTCGCTTTAATTGCATTTCCATTTCATAGCCTTGCTGATGTGTTCTTTACCATTTCCATGGGATTTTAGTGAGTGGTTTCACCACACTTCCTCCAAATCCCCATAACTCCAGCAGAAGACATAATGACAATGTAACCTCATGCTGTCAATAAATGCGGCAACTGTGTGGTCTAAGAATACATGCAGGCATTTTCGCTCATAACTCTAAATGGCTAGTGTTGGAAACATTCCCGTTACATGTATCGGGACTTTTCCTGCATATGTGGCATTTCCATGACCAGCTTCTAGTTGTAAAAAACAAATTGTTGACCACGTTTTCTCAATTAAATAATGTATGTGTAGGCCGGGCATGGTGGCTCACGCCTGTAATCCCAGCACTTTGGGAGGCCAAGGCGGGTGAATCACAAGGTCAGGAGTTCAAGACCAACCTGGCCAAGATGGTGTGAAACCCCATCTCTACTAAAAATACAAAAATTAGCTGGGCATGGTGGCAGGCGCCTATAATCCCACCTACTAGGGAGACTGAGGCAGAGAATTGCTTGAACCCAGGAGGCGGAGGTTGCAGTGAGCCGAGCTTGCATCACAGCACTCCAGGCTGGGCGACAGAGCGAGACTTGGTCTTATAAAAAACAGAAAATAATAATGTATGTGTAAACGTCTGCGTCCCCTCCCCCTATTTATGTGACAGCGTCAGTACTTGTTTTGGTAGCTAGCATAAGGGTTCCATGAAATTATGACCAGAAAACAAAGTAACACTGTGAATAATGAAGCTGGGTTTTGTGTGTCCTTTTCTGGGGGGAAGAGAGTTAATATTTGTGTTTGGGCATATTTTATGTTATTCATTTCCCAAACATGACACAGCAGGACGGTCTGCTGTAAGAGCTCAGGCTCACCATGGATTCTGACATGTGTTTTCCTCTTTTTCCTTTTCATCCCATTCAATTCAAGTGAACTGCCTCATTCACCTCAGAACCTCCTGGTCAGCCCTAATTCTTCCCACAGCCACGCCGTGGTGCTCTCTTGGGTCCGGCCCTTTGATGGAAACAGTCCTATTCTTTATTACATCGTGGAGCTCTCTGAAAACAGTAAGTAGCAAAATGAAACTGTCACCATGGACGATAATCAGATTTTTGTGTGTGCTCTTAATGTCCTTAACCTTTACTTCTGGGTCAGACCCAAAACAACTACTAAAATGCTGTAATGCTTTACAGGGTTTCAAACACAGCCTGCCCTTTAGGAAAGAAAAAACCATGCAGGACCTGAGAGAGGGAAGGGAAGAAGTCCTTAGTTAGAGGGGCTCTTGGTGGAGAGTGGATTTGGGGCCCCATGGGAGGGCTGTGCACACAGGGCTGCCCCGCACAGTGTCACTCCCAGGGCGAGCTGGAAATGGGTTAACAATGCCTGCCACCTGGGTGACTTGAGAGTTCACCGTCGCCGCCACTGCTCATGTCTGTGGGAGGTTTTCTCCGGTGTAGACGTGGTGTCAAGTGTTCAGCACCCTCTTCCTGACTCACCTTCCAGGACCCCTCTGCCCATTTACCGCCATCCTTGGAACTCTTCTACATGAAACATGCTCCTTCCGTGGGCCACTCACAGCCTTGGCTCTCCTCCAGCCGCCAAGCCCTCCTTCCCTTCTCTTCCCAGCTGGCTGGGTGACGTGTGCCCCGCCGTGTGCACCCACTCACGCCTCTCCGCTCTCCCTGGAATCTCTTCCTGGGAAATCGCATGCACTCCTGTGATTTTAAGTGGCATATTTTCCTTGATGACTCGAACATTTGTATCCTTCACCCAGGATTCCAGGATCACTTATGGGGCCCAGCAACTTGACATCTGTATCGGGTTGTCTCACGGCCTCTCCAGCTTAACTTCTTCCCACTGCATCCATCTTTTTAATGTTTTTTTTTTTTTTTTTTTTTTTTTACCTCACTCCTGCAGCCACCCAAATCTCTGCTCCCAGCACCCCGCATTTCTATATTCCTCTGCCAGAACCCTAGGAATGGTCCCCAATTCCTTTCCCTGGACCCCAGCCCCCACCTCCACACCCCCTGCATCAGCAGTCCTATCAGTCTGTTAACTAGGATTCTGATCCCTTTCCTCTCTGCCTCAGACCACTGGTACCTCTCGCCAGGACCACTGCAGCAGCCTTCCAGCCGGCCCTGTTTCCTCATCCAAACCATTCACCTGCCAGCAGCAACACTGATCTTCCTGAGATATACCCAGACCAGGCCACTCCCCTGTCCACGTCCTGCAGGGGTTCCTGCTGCGTGCAATATAGAAGCCAAATGCCTCGCTCCCTGTGCAGCCTCGGGTCACCCTGGGCTACTGTGCTCTTTCTCCACACCGGTCAGCCACACGGGACACATGAAACTCAACACGGATTTTATGTTGACTCCCTGAATGGGCCAAATATCTCATCTCATGGCATGTTCCTTCCCCTGGAAACCCATAGAGCTAGATTGTCACCCTTCATGATAGATAATCCATTACCTCCACAAAGAAGCTCTCCAGCACGCCAGCCCGATTTCACCTTTTGTTTTTTGTTTGTTTATTTTGAGATGGAGTCTTGCTCTGTCGCCCAGGCTGGAGTGCAGTGGCATGATCTCGGCTCACTACAACCTCTGCCTCCTGGGTTCAAGCGATTCTTCTGCCTCAGCCTCCCGAGTAGCTGGGACTACAGGCACCTGCCACCACGCCCAGCTAATTTTTGTATTTTTAGTAGATATTGGCCAGGCTGGTCTCAAACTCCTGGCCTTGTGATCTGCCCACCTTGGCCTCCCAAAGTGCTGGGATTACAGGCATGAGCCACCGCGCCTGGCGTCCAGTTTAACCTTTTAATACGTAAGCTGCCGGCCTCCCTCTGTTATCCTATCTGTATTAGTCGGTTTTCACACTGCCAATAAAGACACACCCAAGACTGGGCAATTTACAGAGGAAAGAGGTTTAATGGAGAACTCACAGTTCCACGTGGCTAGGAAAGCCTCACAATCATGGTGGAAGGTGAAAGTCATGTCTCACATGGCGGCAGACAAGAGAAGACAGCTTGTGCAGGAAAACTCCCCTTGTACTAACCCTCAGACCTCGTGAGACTTGCTGTCAGGGGAACAGCACAGGAGAGACCTGCCCCCATGATCCAGTTACCTCCCACCGGGTCCCTCCCACAACTCATGGGAGTTCAAGATGAGATTTGGGTGGGGACACAGGTGACCCACATCACCCATCATTTATTCCAGATGAGGGTCTCCTTCCCTGAGCCTCCCCCAGGCAGAGCCAGATGCAGGTATCCTGGCTGTTAACACGATCCACTTTATTCGGCCTGTGGTTGTCTCTGGATGATACTGGTGTTCTAAACGGGTCCCTGTTTTCAGGACACCTAGGAGTGGTGCACTCTCGGGTACCCTCCCCTGAAACCCAGCTCCCCGTGGGTCCCTGGTGCTGCTCACTTTTCTGGGCAGATTCAGCCTGAGTTCTGCCGTGGCTCTTCCCAGCTGATGTCAGCCTGTACACGCCCCCAGCAATTATTGAGATAACTCACTTTATTTCTCCTAATTACCTTTCTACACCCTCGCCCTTCCCTGGGGGTTCCCTTCTGATAATACTGCATGTTCACACCACAGCCACACAGTTTAATCCCCATTTCATAGCTACGGGAATGGATGTGCAGAGGCTGTAAGTCACTGTCAACTGCCCAGGGTCACATGGCGATGGGAGGGGAAGATGGGATCCCTGTGCTGTCTGACTCCAGAGCCGGTGCTCATGACGAGTGTCAGGCATCCGCAGAGGAGCCTTCGGAAGCAGAGTGTGCTGTCCTGCACTACAGCGGGGCTTCAGGGAGAGGCCACACTTGGGCGTTGGTCTGTGTGGACGTGGAGGAAGCCACTCTGTGAATCTGAAGAACCATTATTTGAGTTCTGCACCACGCAAACCAGTTCACCGAGGGAAGGCCCAGAGGCAGTATGTTATTCCGGGTCTTAGGCTTCTAAGGTTACACCTTCCAGTCCTGGGCACCACCTCGGAGTGAGGCCAGAGTCCAGGCCCTTCTCCCCCTTGCAGGGGCATCTCTGAGGCCGGAGTCCAGGCCCTTCTTCCCCTGCGGGGGGCCTCTGCAACTCCCACTCGGGCCTCTTTCCTCCCAGAGATGGGGCAGGATAGAAACCAGCGTGTGTGCAGACGGCCATCTTAGCTTCCATTCAACGGCTCTGACCGAACGGGGAAGGCCAGGGTGTTACTGATTCAGATAACTTCTGAGAGTACAGAAGAGTTTCCTGAGGATGGCGTGGCCATGCTGCCTGTACGTAAAACAGGACTTGACAGTGATCTGGACGGAGAGAATGGGACAGGGGAGAGCTCGTGTCATCTGAATTCTGGTTCGCATCCACCCTAAGGACAGCCCCCATCAGGCGCTGTCGCCTCGGGCTTCAGGACTGTGTCTCCTTTGTCTTCGTGCTCCTCATTCCCTGCACTTAGTACGTACTCAGCAAATGAGGTGAAATTCATCTCTCCAGTGGAGTCCTCTTGTGATGCACTGAAAATTACAGTCATGGACCGTCTTCCAAAACAGAGGCATTCTACCTTCCCCCGTTTCCATGAAAGAAGGCATGGCTTTGAGATGCCTGGCCAGCGCTCTTCTCAGCTGATGGCATGACTGGCTCCTCCAGCCAGTTAGCTTGCCTCCATGAGAAGCAGGTTTCGTGTGTAACTATCCAGCCAGCCACCTACCTGTTACAGCGGTGAAGCCAGCTGGGCATCTGCTCTGCACTCTGCTGGGTGCTGGGTGCAGAGCTGACGTGATCAGTGTCCACTGCGAACAGCAAGGAGACAGTCAGAGGCATCGATGCAGCCTCCACGTCGCACGTTCCCGGCTAGGTACGTACATAGTGATGTGACTGTATAGAAGGCAAGTCAGAGAAAGTCTTCAAAGAAGATGTGACATGAGACCTGGGCCAGACGGGCGACGAGGGACAGCATCAGCAAGGACCCCTCAGTGCCAGGCCCCCAGGCTCAGTGGGAAACAACTGCCCGTGAGATGGGGCTGGGGCGTTGCTGGCGGCGTGTATTGGTGTTACCTGGGAAAGTTCTTCCTCCTTCTTGGTGGCTTGGATCAAATATCACTTCTGCAAGTCCCATTACGCCCAGGCAGAAATGGCTTTTCCCTCCTCAGGGCTCCCTTGCTGTTCTACATGCTTCCCTTTGCGCACCTGCGACGTAACTCCTGGCTTGTGTCCATCTCCTGGCAAGACTGGGAACCCCTTCAGGGCAGGTGGGGTCCCTGTGTTGGTCCTCTGTGCTGTGACACCAGCACAGTGCCTGGCACACACAAGATGGCTCTGTAGGTGTCCAGCTGCTTAATTTCACTCAGAAGGGGACAGAGAACGTCAGTCACCCATATTAGCCTCTGGCTCTCCTGAAGCTGGCCGACGTTCCCAGCTGTCTTTCCTTCAGAGCCTGGAGTGTGGGTATTGTGGCATGCAGAATCTAGAGTGGGTACCATGGTTGCCTCCTGCCTGTTCTGATTTCCACTGTGTGAAGGAAGCCCGTGACCTTGGCTGAAGCAGCCTGTGCTGCTACCAGCTGGTTGGTCCGTGTCTTCCTGCTGTGGCAAATAGGAAGAGTACCACCATCATCTGGGCCAGTGGTCTGGTTTTTATTTTTATTAGCAACAAATGCCCTTAAGAAGCAGCTGAACATGCTGGCTAATTAGAGCCAGAAAGAACAGCTTAGCAGCAAGTGCACTAAAATGGAAATTGCACTTGGCCTCCACTCAGCGTGTGCAAGTGGTCAGCACTAAATAGCGCCATCTACTAGGTCTGTCCCTCCGGCTACTTGGGAGACACTCCACAGCCAGCTCCTCCTGGCAGGCTGACTGGGATGCCATTCTCCTGGAAGCCGGGGATCCTGCAGGGGCCAAACCCACATGGTTTAGTGGCCGAGGCAGGCACTTGATAGCCTCTGCCCTGACGACATTCCTGCCACTGCAGAAGGGCCTCTTCCGAGCTCTGTGGAGCAGAGCCTGGGGCTTGAACTGAGCCTGCACCCATGTACGGGACTCAAGGTGCATCTCTGGATGGGAGATACACGTGGCCCTCTGCAGGCATGCCAGGGTTTGCCTCTCTGAGAAGTTTGATGGTTCTCCTGTCCCAGGTGCCTGTTTAGTAAGCCTGGGACTCAGAGAGGGGCAGTAGTGTCCTAGGCCTGGGTCAAGGCACCCACCTGGTGGATTGAGGAGGGCAGAGGGTCAGGCCAGGTGGCGGATGAGGGAAGCCTGGGGGATCCCTGCATTGAGAGAGTGCAGGGATTCTTGATGGCTTGACAGTGGGGACCCTGTGACCAGGCTGAGAATTCTGTTGAATAATGAAAGCATTTGGCCCACTCTCTAAAATGCTTATCGATTATGATCAAAAATGATCTTTCTTTGAGATTATTATGATCCTGTGGAGGGAGACTGTCAGGTAAGAATTGTGAAAGACTTTGCAGTGTGCCATAAAAAGGATTACTGAGTGTCTCATCTAGCGCCCTTCAGGGTTATCTGATTCGATAGGGACCCGCGCTTTCCATCGTCTTTGGGCTACTTATCTCTGTAAATTGTAGAAATCTTATAGTAGTGCACTTTGAGTAATGCAAATTTCTTTTCCAAAGAAATGCAAATAAATGCAAATTTTATCCTGTAGAATATAAATATGGCTATTGCTCTGCAGATACTGACCCGTTTTGCATCTATTTATAAATTCATTTTTGCACTATCAATATGTTGTGGGCTGTTCACTTTCTCTTTTGATACAGTTGAAACGTCTTACTGGTTCCCTCATAAATTAATGACAACTAAAATCTTTGATACATGTTGATTCTATCGTTGCATTAGAGCCGTTATTTTACCTTCTTAAAAATTTATTCTTTCACATGAGTGAGTCGGCATTGCACAGTGTTAGAAATGGAGATTTTCGTTTAATGCAACAGTTGCCACCAGTTTCCACGGCAACCTTGATATTTGGGAGAGGCCATCCTAGTTCTCAAACTGAGCCTCTGCGTGTTTTCCTTGGGCTGGACAAAGGCGTCCCATGGCTGAAACAGAAGAATGGTGGCCTTCTACCAGTTATCAAGAAAAATTAAGTCTTTTTCTTATGATTTTTTTTTCAACCTTAACACCTGCTGTTGTATGTCTTGTGGTAAATGCTTGCAGGTAACAAACATATTAAACATTCAGAATCCTTCATTCTACTCAGTCCTACGGTTAGTTTTTTAATAGGATGAGTGTTCGTAATTGTGATTCCCTATTATACCTTGTAATATTTAAATTTAATTAAAATGTAAAATACATTTGTACTTTTTATTATTCTAGTTATGCATGCTGATTAATAAAAATTTAGAAATCCCTTAAAGCACAAAGAATAAAAACGATCACTACAGTCCCACATATGTTGAAAGCCAGCCCTGCACCCAAGCCCTTGGTCCCTCCTCCAGCCCTTCCTCCAGGACTTGGCTCCCTCTTTATTTCCTCTCTGTGTTCTGTCTTCAAAGCTCTCCCTCTCTCCTGGCTTCTTCTGCCTCAAAGGACTGAGCTCTGCTAATTACCTGCACCTCCTCACTTCTCACGCATTCTATCTACTCTTCTCTCCTGAGGCCATATTGTCGTTGTTGTAAAGGACAGAGCCAGTGAGCTCCACTGAGTCCACATCCCCTCAGCTTCTCTGCAAGCAATGCTCTTGATCACTCTCCCCACACAGACCTCCTTGTTCCCAGGACTTGGCTTAAGTCTTTCTCTTCATTCTTCCTTCTTATTTTCTCCTCTCTATCCATTTTCTCTGACTCATTGAAGGCTCTATTTCCCCTCCTGCCCCTAAAATGTTGGCATTCCCTGCTTTGTCTCACTCACACACTGGTCTTCTTATCACACATGCTTTTCTAGGGATCTCATGTTAGTCCATGGTTCACCTTTGACCCACACACCATAAGTCCCTCATGTGTATTTCTAACCTAGACCTCTCTGCTAAGCCTCAGATTCTTGTAACCAAATGTCTTCCACACATCTACACCTCCATGTCCCAGGGCTTATCAGACTCCAACTCTAAAATAGAACTCATCATCTGACCCCAAAGTTGTTCCTCTTCCAAGTTAGAGATAATGTCCAGGCTGGGCGCAGTGGCTCACACCTGTGTTCTCAGTACTTTGGGAGGCCGAGTCAGGAGGATCACTTGAGGCCAGGAGTTTGAGACCAGCCTGGGCAACATAGCAAGACCCCATATCTACAAAAAATTAAAAAATTAGCCAGGTGTGGTGGCTCATGCCTATAATCCCAGCTACTCAGGAGGCTAAGGTGGGAGGATCACTTGAACCCAGGAGTTCAAGGCTGCAGTGAGCCGCGATCGCACCAAGGCACTCCAGCCTGGGAGACAGAATGAGACTTCATCTCAAAAAAAAAAAAAAAAAGAGAAAAACATAATGTAATTCTTGACTCCTTCACCATTAATTCTCTCCAACAAATCAATCAATAAATTTTATAGGGTTTACCTCATGCATTTTTATCAAATCCACTGCCCTGCCCTTCTTTGTTCCTGCCACCACTGACCCTAACTGGCTGTTGCCCATCACTGTGATCCATGGATCTGGGATCCTCAAATCCATCCTCCCTTGAGCCACCAGAGCGAGCTCAGTAGTACAGGAACCTCACTGAGTGGTTTCCCCTGCCTGAAGCCTTCCAGAGGATCTGCAGAGAACCCACCGCTGGGGCTGGGCAGGAAGGCTTCAGGAAGCCTGGTACTGTAGACATGGCCCATGTCCTCCCTAGGTTGCCAGCCCTACTTCTTCCGTATAGAGGTTCTCGTTCCCTGAAGAGGGGATTCTAGGCTTCTTAGCATGGTAGCAGCACTGTTTACTATCTGACCACCCCCTGCCTCTCCGATTTATCTCCAGCCACTCACCATTCTGCTTTCCTTACTTCAGCAACAAGGCATTCCTCCGGATTCCCTGGGCACACCAGATATTCAGTGCCACTGCACCTTTGCTCACCGAATCTGGGAATTCTCGCCCTGATCCTGTCCCCCTCTGCCTTTGCCTGATCAGCTCTTACTCAGCATCTCCTTTTAGGCATTGCCTCTGGTCTCAAGGTGCTACCCCATCTCCTCCCCTAGGGGTGCCACACCCACCCCCTCCCCTGGGAGCGCTGTCCCCATCCCCTCCCTTGGGGGCGCTGTCCTTATCTCTTCCTCTACTTGCGTTGTCCCCATCCCCTCCCCTGGGGGCGCTGACCCCAACACCTCCCTCCTGAGTTGCCTCAGCAGTGCTGAATCAACCAATGGGCAAACAGCCTTTAGGGCACCAGCAAAGGCAAGACAGCAACACTAATGCAACTATCTAGAAGGCAATCATTTGAATAATCTTTCTACTCCAACTACACGAAGATACCCTCCTGTGTCTTCATTCAGGAGGTTGAGGGTTCTGAGTTTCGGGTCTTCTGAGGGTTGTTTTAGTTTGTGTTTCGACTGCTAGTATTCTTGAACCCATTCTGCCAAGTCGGTTGGCTTTGAGCACTTTCTCTGCTATGATCTGTTCATTTTCTTTGCCCCATTTATCTATCCAAGGCCTTAGGGATTTTTTTTTTTTCTGTCATTTGTAACAAGGATTTTTTCAGTTTGCTTTTACCATTAATGTTTGTATATTACTTTCTGACATACAGAAGTGTTTGACTTTTACGTAGTTAAATCTATTGATGTTTTCCTTTGTCACTTCATTACTTTTGTGTTTGGATATTTCAACACTCTCAAGCCTAAAATGAGTATTCTTATAGGTTTTTGCCTTGTTTATAAAGGTTTAATTTTTAATATATTTAACTCTCTAATTTTTCTGGAATTTAGGTGTGTTATATACTCTGGCACACTACTTTTCCTTTCTTTCAAATGATCCATTTTCCCAACATGATTTATTAAATAATCTATTTATTTATGGTGTCTCCCTCTTTTTATATTCAGAGGACCTGTTTATACAAAAGTCTGCTTGTGGATTATTTAGTTCCATTGATTCATTATCTCTTTTTCTGCCAGTTTTATAGTATTTTAATTGCTTTACTTCCAAAAGGTGTTTTAATAACTGATAAAACAACTCTCTTCAACTTTTCAGAATTTTGTTATTACTTGTCATCATTTATTCTTCCAGAAAAAACTGAAATTATTTTGTTTCAAAAGTAGTCTCATTGCATTTTTAATCATGTTAAACCTATAAATTGTTTTATGAGAAGTGACTTCTTAGTAATTCTGGTTTTCCGTCCAGAAAATAATATGCATCCCTATTTATTCAGCTGTTTAGTGAGGTTTGCAAGTTTATACCCATAGGCTGTATACTTTTTTGTCAAGGTTGTCCTGAGATTTTGACTCATTGCTACTGTAAATAGCAATTTTTCCCCATTTCGTCTTCTAATTAGTTATTGTAGGAACATAGGAAAACCACTGATGTTTAGATATTTATTTTCCATTCAGCCATATTCCATATTCTTTTATTATTCTAACGACTTTTCCATTGCTCTTCTTTGCTTTCAAGGTAGACGATCATATCTTTTCCAAATAATACAAATGTATTGTTTTCTTTTTGTTTTTCCTATCTTGCTGTGTTGGTTGGAATAATTTTAAATAATTGGCATAGTAATGTCTCTTGTGTTTTTCCTGATCTCAGTGGAATGTCTACTAGGATTTTACTGTTATGTGTAATATAGATTGTTTTTTATTGAGATATAATTTGTATGTAACAAAATGCAGGGAGCTTAAGGGAGTTTTGACAAATATATACAGCCATATAGCCCACACCTCAAACAAAATACAAGTCATTTACAATACTCCAGAAAGTTCTTCCTGGCCCTTTCTAGTCAGTCTAACCCCTTCTTCTGACTTCTGTCACCATAGATTAGGTTTTCTTGTTTTTGAACTTATTGGAAATTGTTACGGGATCTTTGGAGTGTCGCTTTTCCAGCCAGAAACCTCTGTGGCTGGTGGCGGTTTTGTCCGAGTTCTCGTCTTGTATCCAGGAAGAATAAGGTTCACAGACAAATGGAGGGTGAGGAAGATGAAGAGGAGCTTTATTGAGTGTCCGGACAGCCCAGAGGAGCCCCGCAGTGGGTGGCTGCTCTCTGTAGGCAAGTCGTCCCATCGTCTCTGCAGCTCTCAGCAGAGAGGAGGCCTGGAGTGGAATTTAGGTGTGTTATATACACCTCTGCTGGCAGCTCATCCCGACAAGTGTTCAGCTGTCAGCAGAGAGAAGGCCCTGGAGAGGATAGTAGCTTCTCTCTGCGGCTGGTCGTCCCAGCATCTGCAGCTCTCAGCAGAGAGAAGGCCTTGGAGAGGTTGTTCAATGTCTGCAGCTCTCAGCAGAGGGTAGCTCCTCTTTACAGCTGGTCCTCCTGTCATCTGCTCAGCTCTGGCTGAGCCCAGGGTTTTTATGGCCTTCAGAGGGGAGGAAGTGCATGCGGATTGGTCAATGGGTGACCATGAGTGGGCCTGGAAAAGGCACCACAAGTTCCCACTCCAGCCAGGGGGACTGGCAGCCCTGCCCCCAGCCTCCAGGCCCTCACTGGCCTGAAGGTGGGGCCTCACCGGAGACCCACCTTCTTCTGCCCAGGAGTCTGTCTGCCTCCTGCTGCCATTCATGGCACTCATGCTCGCCCTGACTTTGCCCCCAGATCAGAGTGGGTGCCAACAGCAGGGAGCAGCCAAGCAGTGAGAGCAGGCACTTCCAAGCCTGCGAGGGCAGGGGGTCTTCCTGGGTCCCCAAGAGTGCAAGAATGCCTGAGTCTGCAGCCGCGGGTTTTGGCAGCTGCAGCTGTGCCCAAGAGGGCAGGGATCCTGCCTGCTCCCAGCCCGCCAAGAGCACAAGGAGGCTAGGATCTGCAGCCACGACTTGGGCAGGGCTCCTGCCTGCTCCATGGAATGGGAGGCCCAGGTCTGCAGCCACGGTTTGGGCATCTGCAGCGGCACCCCGGGAGCTCCCGCCCCAACTCGTAAGGGGCAGAGCTTCCACTTGTCCCCGGCTCCTATGGGCTCCTTGGAGCAAGCGGCCCCGGCAGCACCTCCCTGCAACAGCTGGCATGATGGCAGCGGCAGGCTGTCTAGAGCAGCTGGCTGCTGTCATCAAAAGGAACATGATACTGACTTGAATGAGCAGTTTTGTTTATCATGTAATACATTCCTTCCATTCCCACTTCTTAGGATTTTTTAAAATTATGTAGGAAAATGTTTTATTTCTAAGCAAATTATTCTTAAAATAACAAAATATTACATTTAGAAATACCCCTACGTTTATGTGAGAGAATTCAGAAGATCAATACGCTTCAGCTTTTGGGAATTCATGCATTCCCAAGGCCCTGCCCCCTGGACAGGTTTCAGAGCTGATGCTCTGAGGGACGTGGTCTTCATCTATGACTCTAGGTTCCCCAGCCTCAAACCTGAAATAATGTACTTTTCCTTAACTCAGAAAGAAGCCCTGTTTTCTATGAATTAGGAGTTAATCCCATATCTTCATGTTTTCTAACAATGTGCGGGAGGAACAACACCTCCGTATCTTCCGCATCGCTCGCTGTCTTCCACGTGGAGTTCCGTGCAGTCGGCGTCTCCACTGCCTAGGGAGTGCTGGCTTCTCTGGGTGAATGTGGGAGCTTCCTTTTGCAAGTGTGCCATCCATGTGTCCCTTTATGCCTTGGCTACCAGGAAGCCCAAAGCTAACCTGAGTGTCTAACTGAAGTACCTCAGTCATTCCAACTGCTT
Organism: Homo sapiens; assembly: GCF_000001405.40. NCBI lineage: Eukaryota > Metazoa > Chordata > Mammalia > Primates > Hominidae > Homo > Homo sapiens. The sequence continues at coordinate 3,998,975 of NC_000007.14, forward strand.
AGAACATCTCCATCTCTTTGCATTCTTCTCCTTTATGAGTTTGATTTTGTTTTTGTTTGTATGTATGTCATTGTATCACCCAATTTTATGCAGATTTTCACTTTAGAATATCCTTAAGCTCTCTTTAAAAATAGGAGATATCTCTCCCCAAACACACACACACACACGCACACACACATGTATCATGTCACCATACTTTAAGGGCAGGCTCATGTGAAATGAGCCATCGACCTTCTTTCTCTCCTTTAGTTTCTTTCTCCCCATTCCCTTGGGTACAGAGCACAGTCAGTTCACGCAAGTCTGCAAATTGCGCATCCACTCCCTCCTGAGAGCATTAGACACCAGGAGATACCAGGAAGAGCGTGAGGTCCATTTTCGAGGCAAAGAACACTCACAAAATTAAATCACAAATCCAAGAATATACGAGGGGGCGTCGGGTAGTATGTGATCGCTTGCCAGGAAAGTGGATCTGAGGATCAAGACCGTCAGGGAAGGGGGGTTCCCTGTGGGCAGGTGTGGGCATGGAGGCCCTTGGAGGTGGACCCTGAGCAGAATGTTCAAACGGTCAGTATTCGGATGCCCTGGTGCCTCGGGGCGGGGGAGGCTGGTGGCCAAGGACTCCGAGGCTTGGATGCAGGGCAGCAAAATGGGAGTTCAGGAAATTTCCCAGTGAGTGAATTCGTAAGAGCAGAAGGATCTTTGAGCAGGAGAAGCTGGAGGCTGGAGGCTGAAATGGACTGCTTTATAAAAAACCATTTTCTAACTAATAATGTATTTTTAAGTACAAAGTAATACATGCTCATTGAAGCTGGAGAAATAGTAGATGATGTATAAAGGGAGAGTTCTTATCTCCCCCCACCATGAGGGAGCACTGCTAGCAGCCTCGGGTGCATCATTCCTGGCTGAAAAGGGATGCCTGCGAGGGACAGAGAGGGACCAAATGATGCCAGACCCGAGTCTTGTACAACAAAGAGCTGCACAAAGCTGGGAGCTAGGCAAGGTGGTGTGAAAGCAAGTTTTTAGCAAGATTAACCTGGCAGTGGCCTACAGGGAGCTGTCTGTGAGGCTCAGAGAGTGAAGGAAAGCAGGAGGCTGAGGGCCTGGAGCAGGAAGGTGGTCATTCCCGAATTGCTGATGGGGTTTCCCTGGGAAGGAGGGGGCCCAAGATGGCCTAGAGCCCCAGGCCTGGACGTGGAAGTAGGAGGCCTGCTGAGGAAACCGGTCTGGGAAGAGCATCTGTGAGCTTGACTAGAGCATGCTGAGGCTGAGATGATGTTCTGGGGTTCAGGTTGCAATATCCTCCAGGCAGCTTGTCCTTCCTCCAGCATGGAACGTTCTGGTGCCCCCAGCGGCCTGATGCTTTTTTGTGCCTCTCCGCCTCTGCTTTCTGAAGCACGGCTTGGTTTTGTCAGCTGCTGGGCCAAGACTAGCTTTTGGAGCACGTTCTCTGAGTCCCAGTGCCTCTCCTGAGCCCCTCCCCAGCATCTTTGCAGGAGAGGTTCTTCCTCCACAAAGAGAATCTCTGAGCTGCACGGCTGGGTTGGTTCTTCCCCTGCCACAGGTGCCTTTTCATGTAGGGAACCCGTCAGCCGTCTCCACGCCGCTCTCCATGAAAGCTGCTCCTGGCTGTCACCGCACAATCTGTTCAACATCTCCATCCCCTGTTGCTATTATGGACTTAAAAGCTGATGGGCGTTGTGCTGTTTTGCTTGCCAAAATGGCGAAGAGACTTTGTTCTTCATGCTTCAAATATTTTAATACTGTCTTTGAAACACACCTCACACAGGCGTTTTCTAATGGCCTCGGACTTTTCGGGGAGCATTTCATATTTTAGCTCGTCTTTCTTTGGGCTTTTGCTTTTTAAGCCTCCCATGCATAGCATTTGTCCGCATTTTAATAAATGCACATCTAGGGAGACAGTACCTGTCAGAGGTGTTTATGAAGGGGGGACCATGGCTGTGTTGGGGGCCCAGAGGGGGCTGAGGTCTGCTTCTGCGTTCACTTCCTGTTAGCTTCCTGCCCTCACCAAGACGAGATGGGGGTCAGAGAGCCCAGGGTGGCTCCCACATCCTTGGTTGGTCCTCACCTTCTGGAATCCTCTGGCCCAGGCTGTCCCACAGGATGGTGTAACTTCCTGCGTGGGAGTGCCTGTGGTGACCGCACGGTGCGGAATACAGCGTGGCTCCCATAGCTTGAGCTCCAGGAGGTCAGGCCAGCTTCCATCTGGAGAGGGGCCCCTGCTCCACCCACTGCCTGCCAGCTATCTCCAGCCTGTTGCAGGGGTTTGCCACCATTAGGATTGGTCTCCCACCCAAGATCGAGTTCCCCAAGCTTCTGGATATATCCAGTCACCATTTCCAACCTCCTGCCCCTTCTCTGGAGGGAATGGCTTCTCCAGCACATAGGCCCACATCTCCCGGTGAGCATGTGTCTCCCCTTGGGTCCAGGTCAAAGTCTGGCCTCGGTGGGCCACCTTTGGTGTCTTGACCTGAGGCTCTGGAGGCCACAGTGCCCTGGATGTAAGCAGTCTACGGCCTCAAAGCCTGTTGTGGGATCATTTGGGCTGCATCCATTAGCTGGGGGTTTCATGTATTTCTAAATGTCTCAGCTCTTTAGTTCTTAACTTTTTAAGACAAAAACTTGGTGCATTTTAATCCTGAGCTTGTAGACCTTTATGGTTTCTCTAAAGACATATACAACAGAGAAAGTCTTCCCAAAGGGAAGGATATCAAAATGTATTTATACTGTCCACTCTGTGGTGTTTTGTTTTAGGTAGAAAGTATCCATCTACTTCGTACTCTTTCTTCCCCCTGTTCTATGAAGTCTTTGTCTGGCCTAAGCCTCTTTCTTTCTCAGGCGTCCTCAGTGGTTTATCCCTGTCACTCCTGTGGCCTCTGTCTTCTCTTCCAGGGTTGCCACCACGAACAGGTCTCTCTCACAATGTTCTTTTCAAATTGTGTTTGTCTTAGATGTGTTTCATGCCTGAATAGAGTCACATTCATCTGGGGGCCCTCGCAGTCCCCTGCAGGAGTACAGTCTGTTCTACAAATGTATTTACCAGCTTAAGCTTGGAATTCTACAGTGCCACTAAAAATTATGTTCCTTTTGTCACTGTCAGAGTTTTTAACTAGAATCCTGCAGAAAACACTTTATATAACCTTTGCATAACGAGTTATTATCTATGCTTCTCTCTTAGTGCCCAGATGAGCTCTGACTAGACCAAGAGAAGCTTTTTCGTAGCCCTGGCTGTGCCCGTCTCTGAGTCTGGGCTCCAGCCGGAGGGGTGAGTGGCTCAGAGCAGGAGTGGGTTCCGAAGCCTCACCCCAAGCAGTTTAACTGCATGGAGGCTGAAATTCTTTGTTGTCTGGGCTTTCAAAACTGTGTTATTTCTGTTCATGTGACGACAGTAATTTAAGGGCGCTTTAATATAGAGGAGGAAATGTCATTCCTTCCACCAAACTAATCTCAGTAACTCACTGAGCTGAACACTAAGATACAGGTCGGAGTCTCCAAAAACGTGAAAGTAATTACCCAAAGCATTGAACAACAATGAGAATGGTTTAAAAAACAAGAACTGCAGTATGGACCTATGCCTGTTTCATTTCAGTTCCTTCCCATACTCTTTATTTTCCAAAAATTTTAAGTGAACTTCTATCATTTTTTATGGTATAAATAATGTACATACACAAACATATATATACACAAATACATATACACACAAAATATACATAAAATTTACCATTTTTTACCCCTTTAAGGTGGAAAAAAATCTGGTTGGGAGATGGATATCTGGTTCTCAGGGGTGGATCCAGGTTTTGTTGTGTAATTTCGGAGCTCTTGTTAAGAAAAATAATACAAAATTGAAAGAGCCTCTGCTGGGACCCGGGGAGGGCCCGATGTGATGGGAGCCAAGAGCTCCAGGTCGCTCTGTTCATCTTTCTTCTGGGGTTGGCATGAGCTTCCTTCCCAGAGGGCACTGGGCAGTGCTGTTTGCAGCTCATGGAGCCCTAGCCCTTTGCTACTGCTCCACCCCATGGGCATCAGGCCCCCCAACACTGAGGAGTTCAGCATGAGCCATGTCTGGGACAGCTCATTCTCCAGGCTCTAGCCTCAAGGAGGAATCCCAGTGGCTTTAACCCCAGCTCTCTGACAGCCCTCACTCTTGTGTGCCTGGGCACACGCATGTGGACACATACACACAGATCTGCTCTTCTCATGCAAAACACATGACCTTCCACTGCAGGTTCCACGCAGGGCCTCCTAACCTGCCCCTCCCCTGCCTGCTCCAGACCAACCACTCATGGTAGGTCTTTCTTTTTTCTTACTAAACTTGGTGTTTTAGAGCAGTTTGGAGCTTACAGAACTGTTTCAAAGATGGACCCGCCACCCAGCTTCCCCTGTGACACTAGTATGGTGCCTTTGTCCATTCATTGAGCCCACAGTGACACCTTATTGTTCACTGCAGTCACTGCCCCCTTCCGAGCTCCGCAGTCTCTCCCTGATGACGTCTTTCCCGCTCTGTTGCAGGATCCCGTCCAGGATCTGTTTTGTAGAACGTCACTCAATCGGGATTTGTCTGATGTTCTTCTCTTAGCTAGACCAGGATTATGGGGCTTTGGGAAGAAGACCAGGGAGGTAAAGCGCCATTCTCATCACATCACATCACATCAAGGGTGAACCCTGTCAACGTGACTCATCACTGCTGATGCTTGCTAGACCTTCCAGACACGGGGAATTTAACCTGATCTGTGCCTAGGGCTAGACTCTCAGCAGCACCTGTCTTGAGTGTGCAGTGCCACCCTAAGGAATGCAGCCTGCTTATACTCAGTGTCTAGAGAGACAGTCTGTTGTGGTGGAGGGGAGCCTCTGATTAGCGTGAAGCCTCCCCACTTAGCTCCATGTTGGGGGCCCTCGCGGGCATTGCTCCAAGACAAGCTCATCTTCTCCTTCATCTCTGTGACCAAGCCCTTAACTTTGCAGCTTTAAATCCTAGGCAACAATGAGATGTGGAGTTTGCACAAGGAGCATTAATGGAGAGTGGAGAGACCCTGAGCCTTCACTCCATCCATTTCTCATGTGGAAATGAAGATCATTTTATCCCCCTCAAGGTTACTGTGAAAGTTGAACGTGGACACATACAGCCATCAGCAGTAGCTCCAAGAGTGGGTGCTTTTGTTCCACAAACACTTATTGAGCTCCTACTGTGTGTCAGGCACTCTTCTAGTTGCTGAGGACCAAACAGGGAATAAAATAGATCCCAAGGGAGCTCAGCCAGTGGATAACTCTTTTCATGGATCACCATGATTATTGTGAGCTAATACTTATATTTCAGGAGATTCAACATGCAGACTGTTGTAGCAAAAACAGTAGTAGAATTCAAATTAGAAAAATAATAAATTTGCACCTAATTTTTCCACTTAACTGTAACCTGGGGGAACTATCCTTATTTTAATGAAAGCATGCTCATTCTCATTCATATAAAAATGCAAAGTAAAGCATCAACCAAATTACATTTTTCACCCACCAATAGACAATTACAACAGTTATAAAATGCTCCATGCTGGCAATGCTATGACAAAAATAGACACTTTCTAAGAACTTTTTATTATTAGAAGTACTAAATACACACAAAAATATAGCTCCAACAACCAGTAACATTTTAACCATATTTATTTCATCTGTTCCTCACTTTCCTTTTGCTAGAGTGTTTTAAAGGAAATTCCAGAAATTATGTCAATTCATCCCTAAGTGATCAGTAAGCAGTTCAAAAAGTTGATTACACCTAACAAAATTAATAGTAGTCATTAATATCACCTGCTATTCAGTCTATATTTAATTTTCCCTAAGTGTCTAAAAAGAAAGGTCTTTTTACACTTGCATCAGGATCCAAACATGGTCCATCCATCGTACTGGTTGTTTTGTGTCTCACTGTGTCTTCATCCACAAAACCCCCTTCTACCTCCCCGCTTCCTGCTTGGGCAGAGTCCATGACAGTTGTCCTATAGAAGGCCCCAAGTCCTAGATTAGGATTCTGGTAATTCTGGTGTTTAATTGGTTCCTGCACCTTTTTTTTTTTTTTTTTTTTTTTTTGAGACGGAGTCTTGCTGTGTCACCAGGCTGTAGTGCAGTGGCTTCATCTTGGCTCACTGCAACCTCCATCTCCTGGGTTCAAGCGATTCTCCTGCCTCAGCCTCCCAAGTAGCTGGGAATACAGGTGCATGACACCACGCCTGGCTAATTTTTTGTATTTTTAGTAGAGACAGGGTTTTACCATGTTGGCCAGGATGGTCTTGATCTCTTGACGTCGTGATCCACCTGCCTCGGCCTCCCAAAGTGCTGGGATTACTGCACCTTCTTTATTGCCTGGAGACTGGATTTGAGCTGCCTTCCGTTTCCGGGTAGTTTCTTTTCTTATGTGAGTGTGTGTGTGTGTGTGTGTGTGTGTGTGTGTGTGTGTGTGTGTTAATACTTCTTGGGTATTGCAGGTACTTCCTGCTGCATCACCCAAGGAGGCACATGACACCAGCTGCCCCGCTTCTGGTGATGTTGAGATGGAGCCACTCTAGGTAGCCGCCACCTGTGAAATTCAGCAGAAGTTATTTAAACTTCCCTGAGTCTTGGTTTCCTGGAGTGAAAAAGAGGCGCAGTAAGACCTCCTCCCCAAGCGGGTTTCTGTGGCTACAGACCCGAAAGCACTTCCAGGCGGCAAACTGCCACAGAAATATTATGTATTAATAATATGATGATGCTTTTGGCAATTAAGGAAAATCTCCCTGCTGGGCTTGGTGGTTCACTCCTGTAATCTCAACACTTTGGGAGGCCAAGGCAGACAGATTGCTTGAGTCCAGGTGTTCAAGACAAGCCTGAGCCACGTGGCGAAATCCCGTCTCTACAAAAAATACAAAAATTAGCCGGGCACGGTGGCACACACCTGTGGTCCCAGCCTGGGGGATGGAATGTATTGTGGGAGGTAGGGGTGGAAAAGAACATGACTAAGGCAGGAGGATCGCTTGAACCCAGGAGCGGAGGTTGCAGTGAGCCGAGATTGCGCCACTGCACTCCAGCCTGGATGACAAAGCGGGACCCTGTCTCAAAAAAGAAAAGAAAAAAATACCTTCTTTCAAAAAACATGTTCCTCCTTCAGACACCTTTAATTGAGAAACTGATAATGCTCTTTTTTATTGGAAAAAGCTTCCAGTACATTTTCAAAGATTGGAAACCACCAGCTTTTTCAACCAACAGCTAAAGCGGGGTTGTGATTCATTCCTCGTGATTCTCGGCCTTACCACTAAGAAAACGAAAGTGTAGTGATGCCCTCTGTAGAACGGAGCCTGGCTGGGGAAGTGTAAAATCCCTCAGTCTTCTAGATCTGAGAGTCCCTGAAGGGGAGGAAAAAAGGTATTAAACGTTTATGGGATGGTTTCCTTTATCAAAAGATTCTTCTACCTCCCAGCCTCCAAGACAAGCATCCTGTGGCCCTCTTCTGTGAGGACCGGCTGGGGGCGGACCCTTTTAAAGGGATGTTGCTTATTGATTGTCAGGAACAGACTTGCTATTTAAATTTTAACAGTTCTCAGCAAGCTTGCAATTCCAGAGCTTGAGAATGAGCAAATCCTTCCCAAAACAATTTTTTTTTGTATGAATCAGGGTGCCCAGAGATGGATCAGTTCATTTGTATTAGTTTTCACTTTAATCTCTCTTCCAGCCAGACCTTTTATTTTCTAGTGAAAGAGGAAAAAGAATAAAGAAAGAATTCCTATAGCTGCAGCAGGACTGGGCAGGCCCCGAGATGCAGAGGTAATTAATAGGCCCTGTTGTCAAATCAAACCAGGCAGCAGACTCTGAACCCTGAGGCTGGGGTTCTGGACTTTCAGGAGCTGTTTACACTCGGAGTGAACAAACAGCCAGGATCAGGCAGGGCCAGGCTGGCGGGATGGGGCCGAGGGCGGGAAAGCGGCGTCTCCAGGCTTGCTCTGCCTCTCCCGCAGTCTGATTAATCGCCTCAGTCACCTGGTTTCAACAGTTGTCCTCTTGACTGTCTCTTTCTGAAACGATGTTTGTTCACTGTGCCTGACGGAGCAGGTGAATGGCTGACTGCTAGACACTGTGATGTCTGAAGGAAGAAAGGGATGGACGAAGAGCTTTACTGAGTCCAGTATCAGTCAAGCTTCCTGAGGGAAAAGATGGCGTTCCTGAATGAGAGCAATCAAGGAGGAAGTTTTAGAAGGGGAATGTTTGCAGAGGTGCGGGTGGAGGGGAACCACTGTTACCGGGGGCTGGTAGCCTCAGAGCGGGTTTCACTCTAAGGTTCAAGAGCCCGAGGCAGTTGCAGAACCCCAGAAGGAGAGATTATGTAGGGTGGCTGCTTGGAAAAGAGGGGGACCCAGGTAGCCCCAGGCAGCCTCCCAGTGAGGAAGAAAGAGCCTTACATTTGCTCCCCTCATCTACAGGAAGCCTCGGGGCAGGAGTCCCGAGGACAGAGCTGGATAGGGAGGGCGGAGCTTGGATCTAGGGAGAGCAAGCTGTCCAGCACCCTGGGCCAAGCTTACAGCTAGATGCTTTCAATGTATGTGATTTCATACTCGGGGAGTCTTGGGGGTTATATATTATCACCCCATCTTTTCATTATTTCCTTTAATTTGTTTTTTGAGACAGAGTCTTGCTCTGTCGCCCAGGCTGGAGTCCAGTGGCGCGGTCTCGACTCCCTACAACCTCCGCCTCCCGGGTTTCAGCAATTCTCTGTCTCAGCCTCCTGAGTAGCTGCGATTACAGGCACCTGCCACCACGCCCGGCTAATTTTTTTGTATTTTTAGTAGAGGCGGGGTTTCACCGTCTTGGCCAGGCTGGTCTTGAACTCCTGACCTCGTGATCCACCTGCCTCAGCCTCCAAAAGTGCAGGGATTACAGGCATTGTTTTAATCTTTAATGGTAGTGAAACACACATAAAAAATCCATCATGTTCACCATTTGTAAGTGCACGGCTCAGTGGCATTAAACACATTCACACTGTTCTGCCACCGTCACCACCATCCTTCTCTAGAGCTCTTTTCATGTTGCAAAACTTCTGCACCACTAAACAGTCGCTCCCCGTTGCCCTTTCCCCTGCTCCTCCTACTTTCTGTCTCTGTGAATTTGTTCTAGATGTCTCATGCAAGTGGAATCATACAGTATTTGTCTTTTTGTGACTTATTTCATGTAGTATACTGTCCTCAAGGTTCATCCATGTTCCGCCATGTGTCCTAATTTCCTTCCTTTAAGAAGCTGAATAGTAGACATTGTATGGACAGATCGTATTTGTTTACCCATTCATCCATCGGTGGGCAGTTGGGTTTGTTAGGAATAACGCTCAAAATCCTAAGGAAAGTGAACACACGAACAAAAGATTCTTAGCAAAGCAATTTTACTTCTGCGCAGAGGGGTGCCTCCTTGGCCAGTCGCCATGACAGCACACCTGAACAAAGGGGCACGAGAGCCTTTATTCCTGACGCAAGTCCTGCCCCTGTACCCTTTCCCCATTGGCCGGGGTCGGGTCATACAATCTAAACTAATCCCGGTTGGCTGAACCTTTGATTTTTTTTAGATAAGGTGGGCACGTAAAAGAAAGCGAAGAGGAAAGGGGAAGGGGTGTTCTGTAATGAACTAGAAAGTTAGTCCTCTTTCCAAATAAAGGAAGGAATGTGAGCTGCTACTGATAATGCCTGGTACTGTGGCATGCCTGGGCATCTAACAAAGGCAAAAAGGAAAAAAAGGGAAAGGGCAGCAGGGGGAAGGGTACTATAAATTAAAGAATAAAAGATTGATTGGGTTCTTTGAAGAGAAACCTCATCATATCCCTCAGGTTGCTTCTACCTTTTGGCTACTGTGAATAAAGCTGCTTTGAACCCAGGTATGCACATATCTCTTCGAACCCCTCCTTTCTGTTCCTTTGAGTGTATACTGAGAAGCAGAATTGCTGGATTCTATGGTAATTCTGTCTTAATTTTTTGAAGAGCCACCATACTGTTGTCTGTAGCGGCTATACCATTTTATATTCAGAACAACCGCGAAATGGGGCGGAATTTCTTCACATCCTTCCCAACACCTGTTATTTTCTGTTTGTGTGTATGTGTTTTCTTTTCATAATAGCCACCCTAGTGGGTATTAGATGCAATATCATTGTGGTTCTGTTTTGTCCACTGTTTTCACGGAAGTTCAAACAAAACTGAACACCCTTAAGTGGGAGAGCTCGTAGTCAGCTGTGGTCTCCATGCTTCTTTCTTCTACATACCAGTTCTCTTCAGAATGAGAACGGTATTTCCATGGAAGCTGGACTTGGCACGAAGGGGCCCTGCCTTCTACCAACCGAGTCTGGTTGCCCTGATACTGGGAATGGCCTTTCGTCTTCTGCATTGACAAATGGCTGTTTTCTGTAAGGGAGACTGCTTAGCAAACCAGATCACCATGAGCTGCATGATACAAGTGGAAGGGTTTTAGGCTCCCAGAGTAAAAAGGGAAGTTGCTGTGAGTTCTTCTGTAGGTAACTGGGAATGCGCACATTTTGTTTTTAAAGGAGACACACAGAGAGGGGGATCCTCATCAGCTGCCCATTATCCATGTCACTGGAAATCAAAAGCCAAGAACGCTGAAATGCCCAGCTGGTGGCGAAGACTGCGTTCCCAGAAAGCCATTTTTGGAAGCAGCTTGATTTGAAATAATTAAAAAGATCCCATCTTCATCGCCAACTGGCTTCATGCTTCAGAGCAGCTTAACTTTGTGTTAAGGAATCCAGTGAGCAGATTCTGAATTAGTGATAGACACCTCTGTGTGAGGCAACAGAAGTTTCCTTTGAGAGTCTCATTTTCATTTTGGAGCAATTTATGGCCACTGCTTGGTGATTGGTAAGGAGCTGGAGTGCATTTCCAATGAGCTCGCAGGCGCAGACTTACGAATCCCCGCGGTTGGGGCTGCAGGTTTTTGGAGAAGCGGCTGGGATTTTATGTGTGGATGCTGACACGCAGCTGGTACTGTCTGCAGGCTCTGCCTAGCCCAACACTATGGTGGAAAGCATGTGCCACCTCTTTCTGACCATCTCTAATGTGGGTGAAAGGGACCTTAGCGCCACTTCAGGTCAGCGAGACAGCTCGATTTCCAGAAGAATTTCCCCCACCCAGGTTTTACTTCGCTAGTAACTTGAAAATTCAGTTCAGGCATCATCACAATTCAGAATGGGAACCGACAGCGGATGCTGGAAGTCACTGCCAAGACTTTGTTCATTCCAGGGCATCAGTCTACAAAATGACTGGGCTGAAAAGCCTGTTTAAACTCTGCAAAAAATCCACGCAAGGGTGTAGGATCTCCAGCAGAACCTTCGGAAGCCTTGCCGGCAAGAGTGCATTTGGCTGGCAGAGTCCCTCTTGCACACCTGCTGGAAAGCTGGGTGGGAAGATATTCTAAGCTCGCTGTGAATTTCATTACGCCTCTCTCCAGCCAAAGCCACTCAAGGGTGTGGTGGTGTAATGGGCCTGCCACGCAGATGGGCTGCGAAATACACAGCCCATCTGTCTTTATCATGCTCATTTCCTCTTTTATTAAAATGTTAATGAATATAGTTTTTATTTATCATTCAGTGACATGTGCAGCATCCTTTTCTGGGAGACAAATCTGCAATCTGCCTAACCATGTGAGCCGACGGAGAACTTTCTCCCCTTACATACTGAACACAGGAATTAGGGACGTTTTGGTTCCTTTTAAACCGCCGTATGCAGGTTGCACAAAAAAATCCTTTTGCTCATTGATGGCGGCACCGGGGAAGTTGCCTTTCTGGCTTGTAAGTTACTAGCCACATGGCCAGAGCCTCAGTTTCCACACCTGCTAAATGGGATAAGCTTTCCTTCTCCTAGAGCTGTCCTGCTAAGCAAATGAGATGTTCCCTGAGAAAGCCTTTGCATTCACCTCTTATTATTCAGACATGATAAGCCTGTGGGCTTGAATTCGTTTTCTTCATTCTTTCAGACTCTCCATGGAAGGTGCATCTGTCAAACGTTGGCCCTGAGATGACAGGCGTCACCGTGAGTGGCCTGACTCCGGCTCGTACCTATCAATTCCGGGTGTGCGCGGTGAATGAAGTGGGCAGGGGCCAGTACAGCGCCGAGACAAGCAGGTGCGTGAATCCCGCCCCAGGTGGGGGTGTGGAACAGCCGGGGGCCTGAATGCCAAAGAGAAGCATCACATTATGTGGTGGAATTGATCACAGCAACCCGCTGGCTTCCCTCAGGGAGACGGGACAAACCGTGAGCAGAAAAGCCTGTCGCAAAGAGGGAAAGACAGGCCCACGCAGACTTAGCTGGGCCTTCCTTCATTGCTTTGAGGCAGGTTCCTTGGATTTTTCCTGTGGCGATCTGGCTGTGCCTACATAAATCGCTCCTGACAGCACAGCCCTCTGTGTACAGGAAATTCAGAGCTCACATGTTTTCCGTGTTCTTTGTCCACCCCACTGCCGGGTGGACGCTGATGCCACAGTCTTAGCAAGTCAACACCTAGCATGCTGTTAAGGGAAGCTGTCTCTGCAGAGGCGTCGCATTCCTGAGCGGTCTTCACGCTCTCCCATCCCTGCGAGGGCCACCTCTGAAAAATCTCATTCGGAGGTGACATGGGAAAATGGCTTCATCACATTTCAGCACACCTTCCCCAACCAACCTGAGCTTTCAGTGGGCTTGACTTGTAGAACAGCTGAGCTGTAAATGCCTTTCTTTTTTTTTCTTCAAAATGTGGGAGTTTGATATGAGAAATATTGAAAGAGCCGGAGAAAACAGTTTGGGAGGAGTCTGAGACGGCAGGCCGACGAGCGGACGCATTCAGGCTTGCAGTCTTTCTAAAGGGCTGAGGTGCTGGGGTTATTCACACAGAACAAAGTCACCTCCACCTTTCCTCGTTGCTTGGTTAACTGATTTTCTATTATGTTGATTTGTGGTAACTGTTTCTCACGTCCTTTCAGTTTCATTGGCTGTGTGTTTTGCTTTTCCTGAAACCCGATTTTTGTGAATAGTCAGGCTCAAGATTCAGCAAGATAGATGAAATGCAAATGGGCCCCCGCTGTTTCTGGTACTCATCTCTCTTGTTCCTACCCGTCTTTTATTTATAGGTTGATGCTACCTGAAGAACCACCCAGTGCTCCCCCGAAAAATATAGTGGCCAGTGGGCGGACTAATCAGTCCATTATGGTCCAGTGGCAGCCACCCCCAGAAACAGAGCACAACGGGGTGTTGCGTGGATACATCCTCAGGCAAGTGCCCTGTGATTGGCCATCTTTAGGCCGCCATTAGAGTTGAGCGTCGATTTCACAGAGGGTTGCAAACTCTAATGTCTGTAAGAGCCAAACAGGAACCAAAGGAGTCAGGCCAGGTGTGAGATGTTAGGGAGTGGTGGAGACTGTGGCAAACTGGAGTGCACAGGCCAACGTGGGCAGCCGTGCAGAGACATTCTGTGCATATCTGACCATAAATGACACACACAAAACTGGTGTCAGGGTAGCATTTTGGCAGGAGAATGGAGGGGGTATTAGGGGTTGGAAGCAAGGTATATTGTTCAATGTGAAGCTTTTTTTTTTTTTTTTTTTTTTTTTTTTTTTTTTTTTTTTTTTGATGGAGTTTCTCTCTTGTTGCCCAGGCTGGAGTGCAGTGGCACAATCTTGGCTCAATGCAACTTCCGCTGCCTGGGTTCAAGCAATTCTCCTGCCTCAGCCTCCCGAGTAGCTGGGATTACAGGCATGTGCCACCACACCTGGCTAATTTTTGCATTTTTGGTAGAGACAGGGTTTCACCATGGTGACCAAGCTGGTCTCAAACTCCTGACCTCAGGTGACCTGTCCTCCTCAGCCTCCCAATCCTCAGCTGGGATTACAGGCGTGAGGCACTGCACCTGGCCTCATTGTAGGTCTTTTGATTCCATTTAAGTTTTCAACCAAGGGCATGTGTTGTTCAATACAGTAATTTTAAATTAAGAATAATTAATTTCATGTAATTATTAGCCAGTTGTCACCATGCTGGTATGTTGCTTGCTATTTCCAGAAATCCAAAGATCTAGCTTTGTACCTGAAACCTCCCAACTTTTAGATGTTGGAAATGAAATCAATATATTTGGAAACAAAGGGCAGGGCTAACACACACTTCTGCAGGCCAGATGTGGCTGAAGGGTAGCCAGTGTGCTGTCTTTGCTTTATAAAGGACAGTTAGGCTTCTAGAATTATTGGGAACACTGTATCTGAACTTGTCTGTGTTTGAGAGAAGAAACCTCCTTTGCCAAAACTGCTAATTTTAAAATTGCACTGAACGCGATCATTGCAGTAGCCTGTTGACACAAGTAAAAGCAAAAGTAAAGCAGAATTGCATAATAATTATTAAATCTCTTCTAATAGATTGCACCACTGTGGACATATTTGTTCATTTTACCAGTGATATTGGGACAAGAACAGTGGGTATCCGCTTATTCCCTTCCTGGGCTCGTTCCAAGTGTGTGATCAGTAAACAGTGGCTAACAAAGGTCTTCAGCAGACAGATGTAATTTCTTAGATAAATGTGAGAAATTGGGAAATGTTGCATCTTCAGCTTCATTATCCTTGTGTATGAAGGGCAACGCCTTCCCTGTATATATGTGTATAGCCATCCATTCATCATTTAATATGTGTTTTTCTATGTGCCTGGACTATTTGCCTGTCAAAACCAATTTGCCGCTGTTTACAAGTTTTTCCTCCAGCGTCGGGATTCTCTTCTAAATGTAAGCCAGACCGTGACCCACCTGAAGTGGTTTAAATGGGCCATCCCCAGGGGTACACAAATAGCTCCAATCAATAGCAAGGCCCCTTTTGTCTCGAGGCTCCAACTGTCCTTCCTCATTTCAAAGAAGGGGGAAGAGGAGCTTGCAGTTCTGTCCCCTCGGGGTGGGGGCCGCAGGCTCTGGTTCCTGTTGATCCCCTGGGACAGTTCCTAATTGCCTGACCACCTCCGCTCCAGAAAACAGCCCCGTGTCCCCGCCGCCTGCGGCCGAGGGCTCCTGTGGCACTGCTGCTCTTGCCCCTGCCTTAGCCATTACCTCTCATTCTGCACCCATCCACTAATGAGAATAATTGGCTGCCCTCTGTACCCAGCAGCACAGGCCTGTCATCCCTCTGCCTCTGCCTTTCTTCAGCATGTGCAGGAAGAGTTTCCTTAGGCTGAAGCCGTCAAGTAAGGACTTTAAAAGTCATCCCACAGAACCAGGCCCGGGGCACAGAGTTTAATAATAAAACCTCTCTGATGTTACGAGGCCACTTCGGGGACTGCACATTTCTCTGTTTTGTGGGATTACTACTGTTAAAAGGATTTTCTGTGATGGGGTCAGTAGAGTTGGGTGCTGGAGATGAGGGCATCTTCTGTATTTGCAGGAGCTTAAATCCAGAAAGCTCCAAGATGAGGGTGCAGTACCCTAGGCCTGTGAATATCAAAGTTTTCAGAAATGAAAGAGCCATGCCAAAGTGAATTTGCTTAAAAACATTTCCGCATAATCCTCTGGTCTGCACATCAGCTCTCTGTTTGCGAGTGTGTATCCTCCAGGGCACAGTCTCTGTGTCAGATCCGAGGCACAATGCAAGGAAAGCAAAGAGAAATAAATCACTTCCGTGGCTCCAGCCATAAGAAGTAGTTAGGACGCGTGTGCAGTAATAAAATATTTATAATAATAGGGAGGGTGTTTCTTTGAGAGGAGCATAGGGGTTATGTCCTTTATAAACGTTCTCCTGTTTATTTTTGTATAAAAAATCATCTTGTTCTGGCTGAGATGGTCTCCTGGGCAACATATCCTACCAGCAAGAGGAGGCTGCCCTGCACTTCCGTTATTGACTGTGACCTTCTTAGACATCCTGTGACTATCACAAAAGCACCCGGAGCCACTGGTCAGAATGGGCCAACGTGACTGTTCCGGAGGGGAGCGCAGGCTCTTTGGAAGATGTAAATTCTGCAGTTTGTTATTCACAGTGCTGTTAAGAGTGGCCCCAGAGAAGTTGGGTGGCTCATGCAGGTGTAGTTCCTTATAACTCATAGTTATCTCTACCATACTTCTCGGTAGAAGAGCAGTGTTTAAAAATGTATATATATTTAGGGAGTGCTTTACACCTTCACATCTCTTTTACATTCAGTGTCTCCTTTGACTCTTGCAACAAGAATGGAAATGCTACTGTCGTACCCACCTTAAAGAGGTGGAAACCAAGGCTCAGAGAAGTTTGGAATTTTCCCAACACCACCCAGCTTCTGAGTGGCCGTTGAGCAAAGTCTTCCGATGCTGGTTCCTCAGCTCTTCCCTGGAATGTGCATTGTGTAGCGTTGGGTCCACATGAGGAATCCTTCTTAAACGGCATCCTCATTCTGTCATAGTGATTACAGATGGTGCTTGGTGCCAGCATGCCCAGGCTACTCAGGTGCATGGTGTGGGCACAGAGCCAGTTTCTACCTTTTCCCAAATGGCTGTCTCAGTCCCATTTATTTTAAGCGTTCATCTTTTGTAGATGGTGAATGTAAGTGGAAATACCTGTCACACAGGTGAATCCATGCCAAGCCTTTCTCCCAGTGGCCCACCGCCTTGAGGACCATCATGCTACGTCGGTGATCTGAACACCACCTGAGAATTGCACGTGTACTTGCTTGGTGCAGGTCGTTCAGTAAAGGAGTCAGTGATGGACACACTAGGAAGCCAAAACATGGTTTGATAACTTGACTTTCATTTTTGCCCATCACGGAATAACGCTGTCCCTTCCCTGAGTCTCCCACCAGGCAAGCCCAGAGGCCACTTGCTCCTTTCAGGCAAGAGACAGAAGGAGGCCCGGTACCTTCTTGCTACTCAAGGGCCATCTGCTTATCATCATTTGTTTTCTATCAAACAGGCCCCACCAAGTGTACATGGTCGGCGGCAAGAGGGAACGGGAGAATGCTCTCGGAAACTCCTGATTTTTGTGAAGAACCTTGTGTGACCATTTCTCGATTTCCTCACTTCATTTTCAAGCCCTCCTTCTCTTGGGAAAGTTGTTTTACATTTTAGGGCCTGAATTTCTGGGTTTCTTCTCTGCTTCGGTGTCAGCAGCCTTACTGATGTTCCGGTCCACGCGTGTCTGTCTCAGCTCCTTCCCCTTCGTGCTCAGGTGCCCTGCCCGCGTGGGACCACACAGGTAATGGACATGGAATCTGCAGAACCACAGAGCTCAGAGATCAGCGTCCTGGAGGAGCCTGAAGATTTCCACATGCCGTGAAAAGCCAGCGGATTTGCTGCCACTCAAGTGTGGGACTGTGAGGCAGGAGCCACTTCTGGGATAGAAATTAGAGGCTTTTGGAAGCTGCAGGATGACAGGGCAGTCACTCCTACTGGGCATGCCCCTGGCTTTACCCAGAGGGGCTGATCCAGGAAAGCTCAATAAATTACCTGAGTCAGTTCAGTGCATTAACTTCTATAGACTGAATCATGGAGAAACATATGCTAATCAAAATAATACAATGCAAATCTTCTCACAGTACACACAGCAATTTCCTAATTTATACACCCTAAGTCCTGAGTTGTGTACATTATCTTTTTCATAAACACTACTTTAAATTTCCACCTTTAGTATGCTAAGAACATAGTACCCAAGCACTCACAGAGGTCTTCTACAAAGCAATTTGTCATAGTTAGTACTGGACTAGTATTTTAGAAATTTCAACACCTTTTCAAAGCCGCTGATTCTTGTTCTGGGATACACTTGGACAAACCTGCAATTCCTAAATGGAGCTCTGTCCCTGGACACCACAAGGCCGTGTGCTGCTTGCTTCTGGAAGTCTCCCCACGTTTCAGACTCACAAGAGGAAAGTGTTTCTCAAACTGATTTACAGCAACTCCCCGATGGAAATCATGTCTGGAATTTTTCGTCCTAAGTCACTGTAGTCCCTAGACGAGTTACATGTAAAAAGCTGTAATTTTTTCTTAACCGTTATGTAGTTGAAATGTCAGTTCCATTTTGCCTTGAGCTTATAATCACTGTGAGATTAGAGCACACTTTTCAAAATCATCGAGTTGGGAAATAGTATTGTTTAGGGCTGACCTCTCAGCTCTGCTCTTGATTATTTACTTCCATTTCCCCCTAACCCTGCGGAATAACTGCGGGTAAACACCGTTCCTGGGTCCAGTTATTTCCTTATCGTGATGGGCTTCCTTCGTGGCGCAGGTACCGCCTGGCTGGCCTTCCCGGAGAGTACCAGCAGCGGAACATCACCAGCCCGGAGGTGAACTACTGCCTGGTGACAGACCTGATCATCTGGACACAGTATGAGATACAGGTGGCGGCGTACAACGGGGCCGGTCTGGGCGTCTTCAGCAGGGCAGTGACCGAGTACACCTTGCAGGGAGGTAAGCTTGTCTCCAAAACCACGAGGTGGCGGGATCTTTGCCGGGGAATGGGATTTGCAAGGTTTGACTGGAGTACGTTAGAAAGAAAAACAGAGAATCCAGTCCCCTAGGGAGCGTTTACAAGAAAATTCATCACGTATTTAATGGGATCTCTCCAGCTATTCCTCAATGAAAACAGAACCGTAGACAGGAGACAAATAATATTCCAACTGCTTTTTCAGTGACTAAGGAAGTTTCTGTACACGCCTTTTGACGGGTGCATCTAGTCTTGAAAAGTCTGTGGAACTGGATTTTTCTAAATGGAATGATTGTAGGTTTTCACAGGAAAGCTGGCTGTGGAGTTCTGTGTGATACTGTGAGTGTTTTTCAAAGAGCACGATGATTATTCACAGTTTTATTTTTAACGACGTAACGTGATTACTGGTAATCGAATTTGCAACGTGGTACTTTTTTTGGTTGTGCTTTTCAGTTATACAAGCAAACAATCTACTAGGTCAATAAAAACTGCCCCCGACCCCTGGAAAAATTGACCAGACATAAACGTCATGAAGCCAGTGGTTCTTAAATATCCGTGGTGAGATCCGGGTGCGGCGTGGCAGGCTTTCCACAGCATCTGGTTCCTCCGCTGTTTTCTGAAAGATTCAGATCTCAGCCCCAGGAGGAGCCAGCATTGGGAGATCTCCTCCACATCTGCATTTCACTGTTACTGCTCTTAGCAGGAATAAACAGACCCTCTCCCAACACAGCCTCATTTGTCCTACAGCAGCCCAAATCCTTGCCCAGGGAAGTAATTTTTCTACTGAGTCTAAAATCCTTTTTCACTCTGCGATTTATGCCCTCGCCTGATTCACAGGTGTGATTTTATTTGCTTAGGCATTTTTATTGCTACCAGACCTTGACCTTTTTCAGATGACAAGGTTTCTGACTGCCCAATTCTCTCCCCAAATCATGCCTGAGACCTAATGTTCCTTGATATTACATGCTTTTATTATCATCCCGTATTGACTGGCTGTCTGTTGTCATCTGTAAGTCCATAAATCCTCCTTTATAAATTAAGTGCAGTCAGTTCTGCCTGCACAGCGACTAGAAGAAATATTTAAAATGCAGGACAGCCAGGAAGGACCTGTCCATATGCAAGTAATTCTTGATTACTCATTTGAAAAGGAAAATGGCTGAAAACCTGGACAGTTAACATTTGCTTTAACTGGTCTATTTAATAAATTAACAATAAACTTAGAAACACTTAAAAAGACTCATATTGCTATTAGTAATCCCTTATTACTATTAACTGTGACTGTTTCATTTTATTTCCGGTGCATTTGAGTTCTGCATGGGGCAGAGGGAAGTGGATCTCCACCTAATTGAGAAGGGCTTTGAGGCTTTGGACTCTGGCTTTTATTCAGTTGGCAGTGGGGAACCATGAAAGGCTTAAGATCTGTGAGTGACATGAGCAAAATGCTGCATTAGGGGCGGAATCTGTGCGTGGGTGTGCAGGGAATGTAGGAGGCGGGGAGCAGAGAATGGCAGCAGGGACTCTAGAGACAAAAAAAATGAATTGATGAGTGTCCTCTAGCTCCAAAGGCTGGCAATGAGAAGAGATAGGGATGTAAGTTTAGGTGGGACGCCATTGTTTTCAAAACAGCTCTCATGGATTCCAGGGTTGTGCCTTCCAGCAACCCTGAAAACGAATGCAGTTTCGGCCCCACAAGCACCTCCCAGTGCCTTCTGTACAACAGGGCTGGGTATAAAAACAGGAACAGGCCCAGTGCCTCCTGTACAGTGGGACTGGGTATAAAAACAGGAACAGAGCCCAGACCCTTCCTCAAAGTGCAGACAGTTTATAGGATACAGCAGGGCAAGTTTCATTTTCAGACACCTGTTCATAGGAAGCTGAACATTAGCTAACTGGAATTTAGTTGGTCAGAAATCACACAGGCCACAAAGGCAGAACCAGCACTGACATCCAGGCTTCCAAGACAAGACTGCTGTTCTCTGAGTGACATCAGCTGCCTCTGACGTCAGTAGGACTTGAGATTTCAGAGGAGATTTGGCGAGGGACTGTGCTTAGCTAGTGGGCTGGGGTGCAGGGTTCCCCTAAGATAGTGGCACAGTGGGTGGGGTCCCGCCTCCATGTCCAAGTAGTCTTCTGGATGGGGAAATTACTAAATTATGCATTGCTCTGGGAATGAACTTTTTCCCATATGTGATGAGAACCTGACTTCGATTGGTCCAAATCTGGTTCATCATCTATACTTAAAAAAAAAAAAATGCTCTTCATGAGTGAACGTTAGTGGATAATGCTGCACGTGCAGTTTCCCATCTGCAGCTCGGCTTCTGTAGCAGCACCATCCTTCCCTCACTTGGGTGTTTGACATTGGGGGTTGGTATACAGAGCCCCTCATGGGTCTCGGAGGGCCCAGCAGACACAGTCGTAATTCCTGTCTTCGTGTCTTCTTCATGTCTTCTGCCTCGGCACTCCTGGGAGCACCCTTATACAGATGTGGATGGCCCTCCCTTGTTCCCTTTTAAGCCTGGTGTGGAAACACAGGTGGCCCCGTCCTCCCTTTGAGGGACTCAGCCCTCCCTCTCTGGATGTCTCGGACTCCCGTGTGCTCAGTGGGATGGTAAATGCCTCTGGGGAATCTCCCTGGAGCTTGCTGGGATTGGGAAGGTCATGTCATGCTTTTCTTCCAGACCCTGACTCCAACCCTAAACCTATTCCTGGGCCACGAGGATGAACATCTCAGGCTTGTGACAGTCTCGGAGACGCCGGGCACCACCCACCTGACCCTTCTTTGTTCGAGGGACATGCTTGAGTCCCAGGATAAATTGGGGGCTGATAACAGTTACTGGCCAGAGTGTTAGGACACTATCCCTTGGACGTGGCTGGGGTCAGGCACGTGGCAGGCAGCAGGAAGGGTGGTCCATGGCCTGGGGGACATGGCTGGCTTGGCTGGCTGCACAGCCTTGATGCCTCAGTGTAGTCAAATGCACTTATCCCTCTGTGCTATTCAAGGACCTCCCAGCCAGCCACGCTGCCGCTGAACAGAATGAAGCGAGCGTATGAATTCTGTCCTGAATCCACGTTCCCCTCTGTGACAGTACATTGCTAGGAGATGACATCAGACCACCAGTCTAGAAAGAGCTGGGGAGGTGAAGGGAAGACGGGGGCAATGCTTGCCTGGCTCTGGAGGGGAAGATGCAATGAATGGGACAGAAAGGGATCTGCCTAGAAGGTGGCACATGAGGAAGCAGAGTGACAAGAGGGACTGTGAATGCATCAGGGGGACAGTGGTGGGGGCGCAGTGAGCGTGACGTTTCACACACACGTGTATATTCACACATCTTTCTGGATATGTGACCCCCAGAAAGAGCCCTTCCTGGGAGTCCATCCAGGCCTCACTCCATATTTACTACTAATGTGCCTTCAAGAAGCACCTGTGCCCGTTCTGAGCCTGCAGTTTTCATTTGTGAAACTGTGGCATTTACACCTGTCCTGACTCAAAGGGCACTGTGAAGAGGAGATGAGATACTACGTGTGAAAAGGCTTTCAAAACAAGGAGACATCACACACATGCCAGCACTGTGGCTTTGTCTGTATTCGTTTTTCCACTGTGATGAAGAGTGTCTACTAGGGTATTTGAATGCTTCCATAGGGGCCATTACACTGGAAGAGATCTGGGGGTCATCTCCCTACTGACAGTAACATCAAACAGAGACACTCAAGAATTGATGTGAGCACCTGCAGTTTGTGCAGAGTTGTGGGAAGGGCCCTGACCCCGAGGGTAGGGAAGATATCTGGTGTGTCATCATCCTTGGGGACCTGCAGTCTGGCCCTGGAGGTGAGACTGTCATTCATGAAATAAGAGCAGGAAGTAGAAAAGAAATCAGCCTCACTCATGCACGGTCACCCCTCATCTATCCACAGATCGGGGTACTGGGCGTGCTTTGAAGAGTCCTCAGTCAGCACCCAGAGGAACGGGCTATGGACACGAGGGTTGTGATCCACGTGGCGGGGACACCTCAGAGTTTGTGGCTATCTGTGTTGCTTAGGAATAGTGTCTGGCTGCTAGAAACAGACCCACAGTGACAGGAGCTTAAACAAGATAGAGCTGTGTTTTTACTTTTCTCACATCAGGGGGTTGGGCAGTAGGTGGGGCAGTCATAGCAGCAGCTCCGAGGTCATCAGAGATTCAGGGTTCTTTGTCTTTTTGGCTGCCACTTTAGCACGTGCCTCAGGTCACAAGCCTGCTGCTGCAGTGCCAGCCATTGCGTCCCCACTCTAGAAGGCAACAAGGAGAAAGCCTCAGGGTTGTGCCTTGGGAACGAGTATGCCCACCTTTAAGGAACTTTCTTAGAAGTTCCATTTGCTGCTGACTCTGCTTACAATTCCTGGAATTCTCTCCTTGTGGCAGAGGCTGGCAACGTGGCCTTCCAGCTGGGCACATATCTGTCCCTTGTTAAGGAAGGAAGGGGAAGCTCACAGCTTCTGCCTCACTTTCTAAGTGAGATGAAATCTGACAATGGGCTCCTGGCTTGCCTCACACAGAATGAAAACTGCAAAAGCACAGGTCCTTCAGGCCATGACTTCCCACCCATCCCCTGAGGGCTCCTCAGCCTCAGGCCCCCAGCTCCATGGGGCTGTTTGGGCATTAAGTGCTAAATGCTTATTTGCTGCTGGGAGCCCCACTTAGGGGCTTGAAGTACCCCCAGCTATTAGCACTGATTGTCAAGGCAGCCTAGGGGCTTGAGCAGGTCCTTGAAGCTGAAAAGGGAGTAATTAAAACGCCTGTAAACTGAAAGGGAAAGCATAACTCATAAAATTAATTATTTGTCGGCATAATTTGGGAAATTATTGGAATGTCTACAAAGAGAATTCGACAGCATGTCAGAGAGCATGCAGAAGGCAGGAAATGCCCAGCCAGGAGAAGAAGGAAGCCCTAGGCCAGCCAGCCTCATTTCTCCTCCTCCCTTCAGTGAGTGGCAGCTTGAGGTATCCGGGGAAATGAGATGTAATTCATCTTGACTTTAATAAGGCCCTTGGATTGAGCTCCTCCTGAGAAAGTATCCGAATGCCCGGGAAAGATGGTGCAGCGTGCGCTACCATTAGGCGGGTGTGGAACTTGCTAGGCTGCCGTCTCAAAGAGAACTCAGCAGTGACACAGCATATGCCTGGGCTGAGGGAGGGAAGGGCATGCAGGCTGCCCTGGTTGGCACAAGCAGCAGGCAGGGAGCAATGGAGAAGCTGTCTGCTGCAGGGGGAGGTAGCAGCTCATTCTTCTAGAGCATACATTTTTGGTCTCAAATGTGTTTCCTTCCAGGCAACTCCTTAAGGAAGATCAGCAGTATGTAGTGAGCACAGTGCGATGTTGACCCCACCACTCACTGGCCACACTCCTCGTTTTTCTTTTCTTTCTTTCTTTCTTTTTTTTTTTTTTTGAGACAGAGTCTTGCTCTGTCTCCCAGGCTGGAGTGCAGTGGCGCGATCTCGGCTCACTGCAAGCTCCACCTCCTGGGTTCACGCCGTTCTCCTGCCTCAGCCTCCCAAGTAGCTGGGACCACAGGCGCCCGCCAACATGCCCCGCTAATTTTTTTTGTATTTTATTAGAGACGGGGTTTCGCCGTGTTACCCAGGATGGTCTCGATCTCCTGACCTCGTGATCCGCCTGCCTCGGCCTCCCAAAGTGCTGGGATTACAGGTGTGAGCCAACACGCCCGGCCCTTGTTTTTCTTTTCAATCCCATTTATGGCTCAGATATATTTACAATGCATGGTTTGTCCACTCCAGTTCTTCGCAAGCTCTCGGCATGGGCTAGCACCTTGGACACATGGGGATTACTTAATATAAACTTTCTAACTTTCCTGACTTTTCTTATCCCCCTTCATCCACCATCCCCCATTATCTTGTCGGCCAATCCCATTTAATAGATTTTATTAACGGTGACTCCATGACCTTTTCAGCTCAAGGCATTTTAAAATGGGACATATTAACTTACAAATTGAGCAGCAAAGCTCTAATACAGTTTCAGCCAAGTGAACTTTCTGAGGGGTGAGAGGAAAGGTTGGTGCTCTCACAGAAGCTGTGGCCTGAAACTCCAACAGACTCAGTTCCGCATATCAAATTTCCATGATGATTACCCACGATGAAATGGAAAATAACTGAAATTTACTCGAGAATTTTAAATTTAAATAACCGAAATGGACTCAGAAATCAATACGCTTTTGGTGTCGAGTGGAAAAAATTCCGCGGAGTGTAAGTTGTGTATAACCGAGTGCCCAGTATAATTAGAAACATTTTTCTTACTGCCAGTGTTTACTTCAGCAACTTTCTAATAGTGTAGCTTGGGAGGGAGAGTACTATAGTCATTTGAAGCAATCAGTAGTTCATATCGATGCTGACTCGCTGTTTGGCTCACAAATTCAGTTTTTGTTAGAAATTGTTCAAATAATGATGAAAGACACAGGAAGAAAGAATGTGGCTGTGAAGTTTTCAGGTGAACCTGAGTGTGGAACACTGGACACTGCCAGGATATAAAATGTAATCGATTACAGTTTTGTCCTAAAACAAGCCTGTATGGATTAGCAAACTCCTTCTATACATTTTTTGAATTCATCCATTAAGACGCAGATGTTGGTTTTTCTAGAAGGGGTCCAGAGACAAATTATGCTATAAATCATCATTCTGAGCACACCAAGATTTTCCTTTTTTTCTGGTTTTATTTCTTTATCATTTTTCTTCTTGTAACAGGTATATTTGTGCTGTAATGATTTATTCTGGTTTCAGAACATTACCTTATAATGAAAGAGAAATATTTCATATTTTAAAAGAAATGGAAAAAACATTTGGTTATCCACATTTCTAAAACATTAGTAAAAGCTCCTAAATGTTCACTTGGGCTTTGAAAGGTTTTCTAAAGTAAGGATTATAAATGAGCACTCTGTTTGCAAGCCCCATTCTTATCTCCTCTTGGGAAATTCTCAATGTGGCATTAAATGACATTGCACAAAAGATTTGTTTCTCAAGCCCTACAAGACTTTCTAGACCTCAGGCTGTACCTGCAGAATAGGATAATGTTCCAGATTCTCCCAGCGTTGCCTAAAACACTAAGTAAAAACTGAACAAAATAGATATGGAATATTCCATTAGGGGTGGGCTTCCTTTGGTCTTTTAGAACCTACAGGAAGACAAAGGACAGGAAGCTCATGCTTTAGGGGAAGCCACTGTGTACCAGCCTTCACCATGCTGTGCCACGTCCTTACATTCACTGTCTTACTCCATTCATCCCTGGGGGTCACATAAGATAAGCATCATATCCCTATTGGACAGAGGCAAAGATGGAATCTCAGTGAGGTAACTCACTTTCCCAAGGTGATATAGCTGGACAATGCTGAGAAATGCCGGAGCCGAAACTTAAGTCTGCTGGGCTCCCAAGCCCAGGCTATCATCTGCCATTACTACAGTTTATGTTTTTTGTTTTTGTTTTTGTTTTTCATTCTGTGTATATCAGCCCTGGTGAAAAATGACTTCCAGATTCCCACAGCCGCATTATGTGGAATAGAAAAGACATGGGCGTGCTTCTCACTCTGCCGCCGTAGAGGGTGGGTTTGCAGTGGTTTCTGAGCACTTTGGACTGCGGTGCACAATGAGAACTCTATTTTGCATTCACACACACACACACACACACACACACACACACAAACAGAGCATCCATGGAACAATAGTGACTCTCCCAGTGTATGTGTACTTTGGTATTTTCTGTTCTATTCCATTCTGTTTCATTCTTTAAAACAATGCTGCTGTGACCACGGAATTGATTTCCCTATCCACGAGTGTATTTGTGACCTACAGTTTGAAAAATCCTGAATTCCAGCAATACAGCAACACTGTTTGGTTTGACTGATTCTTGCCTCCCTTTCGGAAAAAGCTTCCGCCGAACAGAGGATTCATCAGGGTCTCGGCTATGAAGCCTGTCTTATCCTTTCAACTGTAAAGACAGACGGGTCTGAGTGAGGGCGTGAGCAGGGCCGCCAGCCGAGGCACATAGCGGAGGACTGGGGTGGAGCAGGGCAGGTAGGGTTTAGCATCTGTATCGGTGCAGATCACCTCTGTGCACACAGAGAAGGGGTTCCTGGGACTTACCCTTCACCTGCCGCTAGAGGACATGTGGAAAAATAAACCAATCTAAGTTACTGTGAGCATCACCTTATTTTGTGATTCGCAGGCCTGTCTTTCCTGCTAGCCTAGGAACCCTGTGAGGGCAGGGGCTGTGTCTGATTTGTCTTTTTCATATCTGTATCCCCATATCCAAGCACAATGCCTGACCTATAAGTAAACAAAGCATAAAATAGATGTCTGATTGAAAACACAGGGCTTATTGTTCCTGTTTCAACACCCAGTGCTGCACCACTTTAATCTCCATCTTCAGCACCATAGCCTGCCTTCTGCCCTGACTCTTGCTGTCTCGAAGTCTCGGAAGAAAGCAGTCCTGAGCCCTGTCACATGTGAGTTAGGCCTTCCTGTCTTTCTGCCTTGTGATGTCCAACAGCAACCCTTCCTGGGTGCCGCCCACACTGAGCCTGGCTTTGCTCAGGAGCCTAAATGCAGAATCTTTCCTCCTCCCCCTCCCCTGCTGGAAATGCTGAATCCGGGACTGCAGCCCAGAAGGCGCATGGGGAAATTAGGTCCACGAACGCGTCCCCAGCGTTGGGGAGGTATGCCACTCAGCACCCTGGACACGCCAGGCCGCAGCGCTGGTCTTCCACAGTCCCCATGCTGTATGGAAAAGGCCCCTTGCCCCACGGCTGGAGAGGGGAGCTGGTCGTGGGAAGAGTGGAAGAGAAACCACAAACATGCAATTTTCAGATGCGGAGAATGCAGAGACAGGGCATGGGAAGTGGGGGTCGGGAGAGGAAGAGGAAGAGACACCAAGTCGGCAGGAGCCCAAGCGAGTGGCCAGAGCTTCCACCCTCGGTGGCCTTGGGCCCATGTTTTAGAAGCTCAGCGTTTGGCATGGGCGAAGATATATTTTAGGAATGAAACTGGTATTTTGTGAATAGAAATAACATCTTGTTCCTAACTGACTTCAGAGTCAGACGACTGGCTTCACGAGGGCCCGGTGTGCAGACAGCCTGCCAGGGCCTGCGGGCTCTCCCCACGTGCTGTGCCCCCACCCCAGCCCAAACACTGGCCCCAAATGCTTCTCTTCAATGCCTGGCAAGTAAAGATTTGGAAAAAAAAATAAGTTCAGAAAGGAACACACAAAACTTTTTAAGTGTTAAAGTATTTTCTTCTGAAGGCCATCAGAAAAGAAACTTGAGCTTATTTGTCAAAGGTTTGTTAACCTAATAATGCCGTAGAAATGTTTAATGCAGTGAGAACCTTCAGGTCTATCAAAACTGCAAGCACCATAACAACGCGAGAACTCAGCCGTGGCCCATAACAATCTGGAATTAACGATAACACCCGGCACACAAACGGCAATATGTACACCCACCCAGCGGTGTGCGGCCGGTGACTCTACCAGGTAACGAACTCACCGCTCCCTGGTTTCAAAGGCGTATACATTTAATTCTATGTGGTAACCTGGAGAAATGGACACCTGTGAATCCCTGCTGTGTTCTGGATAGATGCATCAGTCCCTTATAGTTTAAACCATGTACATTTGGGATCATGAAAAACGGTGTGTGCTGTTGTGCAGGACGTGAAGATTTGTGCTTCTTGCATCGTGGGGTAGAAGCAGCTCCCCCACTGGCTGCTCGGCTCCCAGCCCCTGGCTTGCTAGAGGAGATCGGAGCCAGCAAGTGGTCCCTGAATGGTCCAGTGAAGGCTGCCGAGCACCCAGGAGAACTGATACTGCACCTGAGGGTCATGGACGATGAAATTTCACTGTGTAGAGAAACTGAGATTTCACGGTTTATGTGTAACAGGGAAGGTGGTGTTGCTTTAGTAAATAGAACTGGGCATGTTAGAATATCGGCAAGTGCACTCTAATTTCCTCCTGTGCCAAATCCAGCTGATTTTACAGCATTCTCAGTGGGCTCCTTAGCATGTGTAGGTGGGGTTTGCACAGTCCCGTAGGGATACTAAGTAGGATGTAGAAATTGCTCATTCCTTACTGCAGAGGCCTGGATATTCACATCCACCTGGCCCAGGAGGGCCTATGAATTGCTCTCCCAGCACCTCCTAATATCAGTTTATTAATTTTATTTGACATGTTGCAAATCTCCAAAACATCCTAGAGCTCCATGCTTAGCATGAGTTTCCTCGGATTAACCATCATTTTCTACTATTTCTCCGTTTATGTAGATGGAAGAGAAGATGAATAGTAATAATCTTTTCTCAGGGGTGTTGCAAATAAGCTTTATATTAATTTCATCACATTATATGACTTAAATATCAAAAATAAAAATGTGTGTCTCTCTCTTCAGCAGCAGGGAAAATACCTGCTGGACGTAGTCACAGACTCTGTGGGCTTTAACTGGCAGCAAACGGTCCTGGTAGAGGAGAGGAGAAGGGGGAGAAGGGGCTTGTGGGAACGAGAGTAGGGGCTTTCTATCAACCAATTAATTAGGATCTAGATAGAATAAAAGCAACAAGCAGGGGAAGAATGGAGGAGGGGAGGGAGAGAGGGAAGAAAGAAAGGAGCAGAGAGGAAGGTAGGCAATTAGGTAAGAAGGGGAGGAGGAAGGAAGGGAGGAGAAAATAAGTAGAAAAGCAAATTGACAGTGGTGGTTCTCAGAGATGGTCTGTGGACCCACAGAATCAACATCTCCTAGGAACTTGTTAGAAATACAAATTCTCGGGCCTTACTCCAGACCCACTGAATCAGAAACTCTTACCATATGTGTTTCGACATGCCCTCCAGGTGACTCTAACACCCACTCTAATTTAGGAACCTTCTTTAGGCATTGATAGGTAGAAGAATGTAATACCAAGGACTAATAACCATGAGCCCCACCAGCTGTCATAGCAGAGGGCTTGTACCCACGGAGGATCAGTCCAGGCTCCTGGAGAGAAACAATAAGCAACAGTCCCCGTGAACCACAGCATGTGACATGTGACATCACCACGTGTGCAGGCAAATCTCTCAGAAGAAACCTCAACTGTGTCTCAGGAAACTCTGGTGGTTGGGTGGGAGGCTGGAGTCTCCTTAAAATAAAGGTCATGACTTTGGGAAAAAGGTGGATATGGGTGATGACACATTGTCTACATAAGAGGACTGAGCTGTTGGGACCAAGGTGAACCAGTGAAAACACACGTTTGGAGGAGGCTAGAATTTCATAACACTTTATGTCCCACATTTCCACCTCTAGCTCTCTGGAGGACAGGCTGGGAAGGTCTCATTGGCCACACTGACTTCCAGTCAAGTATCCCTTTTCTTCTGGTTTTGATCGGCTCCCTGTCAAGATGAATGAGATTTTTGTTAAACACGGGATTTTGTTGTGACTTGGGATGGGGTTCATCTCAAAAAGGAGAGGAAGAGCCCATTCAGCGGAAAACCCATTGGAAGATGAGGAGTGGAGAGGAAATACTTGGACGGAGCTCTGCAACACTTGATGGGGACAGGACTCCAGGTTCATGTAAAAGGAAGACGCCAAGAGAAGCACAACCCTGTAATTCCTGTAATTCCCAGGAAGCCATCACCAGGGGTCACGTCGGGTGTGCTCAAAGTGCGGCACATTCTACCAACCCCGTTTGCTTTTCCGAGGGGGGTGGGGGTCACTGAATTGATAGACCTTTTCCGAGGTGGGTGGGGGTCACTGAATTGATAGACCTTTTCCGAGGGGGGTGGGGGTCACTGAATTGATAGACCTAAATACCATATTCATCCTGTAGCTTGATTTTCTTTCTTTTATTCTTTCTTTTTTTTTTTTTTTGTGAAGAAGTCTCACTCTGTCATCCAGGCTGGAGTGCAGTGGCACAATCTCAGCTCACTGCATCATCCACTTCTTGGGTAAAGCAATTCTTGTGCCTCAGCCTCCTGAGTAGCTGGGATTATGGGCACGTGCCACCACACCTGGCTAATTTTTGTATTTTTAGTGGAGACAGGATTTCACCATGTTGGGCAGGCTGGTCTTGAACTTTTGACCTCAAGTAATCTGCCCACCTGGGCCTCCGAAAGTGCTGAGATTACAGGTGTTAGCCACTATGCCCTGCCGATTTTCTTTCATTCACTCATTCATTCATTCATTCATTCATTCAGTAAGCACTTTGTAGATAAGATGAGAAATATGGATTGGGTAATAGGTCATTAGATGGACTCCCACTCACATCACCCAAGCAGGGTGGGGATTGAGCTATGCCCAAAGAGTGTGATTTACTTGATCAGCCACCACTTGGAGGGTGACCTCAACAAACTCTAGCATGCTGGGCTTCTCCTGGGCAGTACCGTCTGTGACTTGGAGCAAATGGAGATGGCATCCCTGTCAAATATGCAGGTGTCACAGCTAAGGGGGTAATTCATCGATTCTGCCCCAGAATCAGAAATCAAAAATAAATTGCTTTGTTAGATTGGTGGTTGGAATCAACACACTGAAATGTAGAAAGGATAAGCCAACATGCTGCACTCGGATACAACAACCACTAACGTGGCAGCAGGATGGGGAGACGTGACTTGTCACCAGTTATAACACTTGGGGTTTACACCCAGAGAGAGCTGTGACCGTAACTTAAACTCTCTGTGGATGACAGGTTTCCAGATCGAGGTAAATGGCAGCACCATACAACCCTGTACTGGCTAGATGCGCGTCAAGCATCGGCTCCGGGTGCCTGGCCACCAGGGGAAGCAGGAAAATTCAGGCCCCTCTGAGGAGCAGAGCCAGAGGGGCAGTGCTTCATCTGTCTCATCGTGTGAGCCACACAGAGAGAACCAAGGCATGTGTTCCTCCTATCATAGTCAAGTCCAGTTAGATATCTTTGTGACATTCAAATAGTGTGACAGCTATATATGTGTACGAAAACAG
Source organism: Homo sapiens (assembly GCF_000001405.40). Taxonomy (NCBI): domain Eukaryota; kingdom Metazoa; phylum Chordata; class Mammalia; order Primates; family Hominidae; genus Homo; species Homo sapiens. Next base: position 4,030,316 of record NC_000007.14, read on the forward strand.
CTTACGCAGAAGACAGAGGGGAACCAATGGGCAGAAGTTGCTCAAAGAAAGATTTCAGTTCAGCATAAGGGAAATCCTCCTTATGATGTACACCCTGCACGAGTTGACGTAAGGAGCAGGAAGGTTGGGTCCAAGAAGTTTTGCTGGTGGCAGTTGACAGGTCGCAGGCTTGGGTGAGGTGACAGGACTCCTGCCCAGCAAGTTGGCACATGCCGTGACCTAGGAGGGCCCCTGGGGCACCTTCTCCTCCAGTCTGCATAACTCTATCTGGACATCATCAACGGGCTTTTCATACGCGCCTTGGTGCTATGAAGCTTCACACAAGAAGCGTTCGGCACCAACATTCAGGTGATTTTAATTTCATATAACAAAACCATGATGCTGAATGGAGCGTATGTATTCCAGCTTGCGTCCATGCCTTGGCATGTTCCCAGGTTGCACTAGCCTTCCCGCTGTGTTTCATCTGGCAATTATCACTTATATTTAAAGCTTTGGCCCAGGAACTGTCTCCTCCGTAGGGCCTCCTTTAAAGAATTCCATGCTGACCTGCACTGTAGCACTATTACACAGAAGTGTAAATGTCTGCTTCCCCTACTACACTATGAGCTCCATTAAGGCAGAGACATCGAACTTAGATTTGTTACATAAACACAAAGAAAGGACCAGGTTTCATAACAGTAGGCCCCCATACATACACATTCACATACATGCGCAAACAGAGACAAGTATACATATACATGTATACATACACATCTGCATCTATATATACACATGCACACACATGCATGTGGACACGTATATATACATGGACACAGATAAGTCTATATACACATATTTAAGTATACATAGATATGTTCTTGTACATGTATATATACACGTACATCTGTACATCCTCACACATACACATATGCATGCAGTTATCAGATAAAATCGGCTTCTGTGTAATTGAAAATCTAAAGCCAAAATAATTATTTCAGCAAATTATAATATTTATAAATTGAACTTGTATATTTTGCCATATTATTAGTCTGTAATCTTTTATCACAGAATTTTTAGGGAGGAAAGGAAAAGTTTACTAGCCAATGGTAATGTTACTCATAACAGAGAATCAATAGATTGTATCCAGAGAAAGAGAGGACTAAGGTTCTATGTAAACGTCTGAATTATGTGTGTATAAACATTAGAGCAAAAGTACAAAAACCTTCCCGATTACTAAAACATATCAAAAAAGAGAGAAAACAGACCAAATAAAGACACACACACTTACATATGTCAAGAAGTGTACATGTAATTATATGTATGTAGAGAAATATATGTAGATATAGCAACTATCTACATATAAATATATGTAGATATAGCAAATATATGTAGCTATATGACAGAAGTGAAGTGAAATTTATTGATTATATCAATAAATATACTGGACTTAATTAGCTTTATAAAAATAAATAACATTTCCCCAGCACTTTGGGAGGCCGAGGTGGGTGGATCACCTGAGGTCAAGAGTTCTAGACCAGCCTGGCCAACATGGTGAAACTCTGTCTCTACTGAAAATACAAAAATTAGCCGGGCATGGTGGTGCACGCCTATAATCCCAGCTACTCAGGAGGCTGAGTCAGGAGAATCGCTTGAACCTGAGAGGCAGAGGTTGCAGTGAGTTGAGATAGCGCCACTGCACTCCAGCCTGGGTGACAGAGTGAGACTCTGCCTCAAAAAAAAAAAAAAAAAAGTACATAGATAGATAGATCGATCGATCGATCATGTCCTAGGCCACAGAAAACCCAAACAGGTCCAAAGAATGCAGACAAATGCACCAGATAAGAAAGTTGCGGATTAGTTTTATCTTAAGAGTGTTGATGGGAAAAGCTAAAATGGTAAAAATTATCAAAATCCAACAGTACATTTAAAACAGTAGATCATATTCAAGTGGGATTTATTCCAAGAATGCAGTTTTGATATTTGCCAATATTCAATGCCCATCTGGAGTACAAGCATATGATAAAATAGAAATGTATTGACATTTATTTGATACGGTAAACTGTGCATGTACCTCAAGCTCTCAAATCTGCATTCCCCATCTACTTGACTGGGAAACCCTACAGGCATTCCTGCTGAAGGCAGAAGCGTAAGGTAGTCCACAGTCTCCTCTGCTCTTTAATATTGAAATCGACACATTTGCCACAGCTGTAGACAAGAGAAAGCAAGGCGAGGTATAAATCCCCAAAAGGAAGTGATTAAACTATCTTTATTTGCAGATAATAATATATGATATCTGGAAACTACTATGAGCAATAAAGAATTTAGCAAACTAGCAAGCTATAAAATCAGCATGAAAAAACAAACCGACTTCATATGCACAAGCAAAACATAGCTTGAAGTTGTAATCAGAGAGAAGATCCCATTTACAATAACAGAATAACATTAGAAAAGAAAAGAAAGCTGGGGATAAACTTAAGAAATAGCAAACACATACGAAGAAAAGTACAAATGCTGCTGGAAGTTACTAGAGAAGGTGTAAACAAACGGACCGTGTTTTTGAACAGGAAGACTCAACATCACAGGGAAGTTAGTGCTCCTTGTGTGAATTTAGAATTGTCACATGATCCCCAATAAAATAATAACAGATTTTTTTCTGGAGCTAGAAAAGTTAATTTAAAATTCATTCATAAAAATAAATGAGCAAAAATAGTCAGGAAACTTCTGAAATAAAAGTAATGAGGGTGGACTAGTCTCCTTTAGGTATTAAAACATATTGTAAAGTGCTGTAACTAAAATGGTGTGTCTATTGGTGGATGACTAGAAGATGTCCGGAACAGAACAGAAAGCCCAGAAATGGACCCCATTCGATATGGCAATTTAGTATATAATAAAAGGACATCTTGAATAACTGAATAAAATAGACTTTTTGATAAGCATTATTGAAATAAGTGGATACCTATATGGAAAAAATACAAAACTGTATCCATTCCCTACCCCCATATACAAGGATACATTCCAAGTGGATCGGAGATATCAATATTAAAAATATGAAACTGTACAAGTACTAGAATAAAACACTAGTTTTAGTCTCTCTAACCTGGAAGTGGGGAAAACTTGTCTAACAATGACTCAAAATCTCGAAGCAATAATGAAAAGATTGATGAACTGACTATTTAGAAGCTTTAAAAAGCTAAAATATTCCATATGCAAAAAAATACAATGAGCAAAGGAAAACAAGACAAATAGCAAATTGGGGGAAATCTTTGCAGTTTATATCCCAGAGAAATGGTTAATATCTCTATATTAAGAGCTCTAAAACAGAGAAGAAGAAGAAAATTAGAAGAAAAATGGGCAAGCTCTATGAAACAAGAGTTCACAGAAGTGCAAATGGCCCATAACCACAGGAGAATACGCTCAACCTTATCAAGGTAACACATAAAAAGTGATGGTACACAGACACACAGAGAACAATGTGATAAAAATGCAAAAGTCTGACAATACTCTGATGAGGCTCGGGGGAGGGGGAAGAGGCATTGCTGCTAGGAATGCAATGATACAACCCCTAATTAATTCAATCCAAACACATCAGTGGGTGCTAGAACTAGTGGGAGAAGTTTGATGAGGAACAGGATAGACTCCTCACAAAGTATGTATACATCACAAAGGAAAAAAAACGGAGTAACTCGACCCTGGAGAAACCTGGCAGTGAGTGGTTGCAGTTAGCACCACCAGTAATGGGGCACCTCAGAACTGTGTACCACTGGATAGGATGCGATGAAAAGAACACAGCCTCGCCTCTGTGCTATTCGTGCCTACGATGCAAGCCTGAATCAAGTTAAAAAGAAACATCAGATGGACTCAAACTAGGAACATATTGCACAAGAAATTGGACGGCAGCCTCCAAAAGTGACAAGGTCATGAAAGTCAAGAACTACTCCAGATTGAAGAAGACGAAAGAGACATGATTCCTAAATGCAGCATACGATCAAAATTGGATTCTGTCACCACAGAAGACGTTGTGGGAAAACAGGAGAAACCGTAGATTAGATGGCAGTCATGTGTCAATGCCGACGTCCCGGTTTTGATGCCAATATTGTGGTTACCTGGTGAGTGTTCTTGGAAGTACATACTCCAGTATTTGGGGGTGATGGGCCTCATGTTAGCAGCTCACTCTCAAACAGTTTTTAATGTCTTTATACAATTTGAAATTCTTTGTAAATTTGAAATATTTCAAAATGAAAATTATCTTTGGCGTTTAAAAATGTTTCTCATTCTTTTTCATTTAAAACACAAACTGATGCAGCCCCTGAAGCAGGACAAGTTAGCAGTAACTAATTAACCTGTTTACCTTCTCACTCACAAACTCGACTTTTAGGAGTTTATTCCAAAAATGAACTTGCAGACAAATGAAAAGATACAGGTACAAGCCTATTCGCTGCAACACCACTTGTTATAGCAAAAGACTGGAATCTACCAAAATGCCCATCATTAAGAGACCGACTGAGTAGACCATGGTATATCCACAAGATGGCATATTATATATCATAACAGAAAGAGGACGAATTCGAGAACTAGAGCTATGGGGAAAAAGAAGGTACCAAAATAGAAATCAGCATTCTCTGAATATATTTGCTTATAGAATTGGCTTTGAAAGCATGTAAATATATTTTATCTATTCATAGCACTAAATTAATTTTTTTTGGAGACGGAGTCTTGCTCTGTTGCCCAGGCTGGAGTGCAGTGGCACAGTCTTGGCTCACCGCAACTTCCACCTCCCGGGTTCAAGCAATTCTCCTGCCTTAGCCTCCCGAGTAGCTGGGATTACAAGCACGTACCACCATGCCCAGCTATTTTTTTTTTTCTTATCTTTAGTAGAGATGGGGTTTCACCATGTTGGTGAGGCTGGTCTTGAACTCCTGACCTCAAGCAATCCATCCACCTTGGCCTCTCAAAGTGCTGGGATTACAGGTGTGTGCCACCATGCCCAGCCAGCACTAAATTAATTTTTAAGCCTTTGGAAAAGAAATTCTAAGAAATTGAAGGCAAAATTAAGCAAAGGGACAGAATTGTATACTGAGTTGGTGGCATAACAGTATGGAAAGTAACTGTTTCACATAACTTTGAAAGATGGAAATTTGTACATCCTAGTGGGATGTACTCTAAGGACAAAGAAAAAAAGATTTTCAACTGTTTTCAGCCATTGGAATGTTGGTGGGAGTGGCATGGCAGATTTGTGTCTTTAAGACAGTTGCATGAGTATTGTGGGGCTAAAGCAACTAAGTGATTATGTTGATGTCTTTGGGAAATGAGATTTTCAGCCCAGTCTTAACTTTAAGTCTGAATTGGGACTATAATGATTTTACCTTTTAAAACTTAACCTAGTGGCACTGAGCTTCCTAGTAACAGAAAAATAGCAAGTTTCTTGGATAAACACATGATTGCAGGTCAGAAGCAGATAATGTGTAAGATGAGCCTGGAACATCTCATCATTCCAAGAAGCAAAGACGGTATGCTATCAACTATCAACATGGCCTTGTCAAAAAAACTCTTAGGCCAACTTGAAGAGGCTCCTGCTAGTTAAAGATGGGAAAATTTACAAATCCATAATAATAATAATAACTGCAATGGACTGAAATGCTTCAAGTACATTTCAATCCGTAACTATTCAATGCTGAATTTGTATGAAACTTCCAAGTCAAAAATCTCTTTTAAGATTTTTAGTAAGAAACTTGAGCTTCATCGGTGAACATAACATTTTCTACACCGGATTTTATTCTTGTGATGACTTCATTCAAGACTTTTAATGATAACCTCTTCAAATATTTGAAAGCCGCAATTGACAAGAAAGCTTCTGCCAAAGTAGGAGGTCACAATTGCTGGGAAATTATTTATTGCTTTTTCCTTAGTTGAGAGCAACTTTTTTCTTGACATTAACTAGAATTCAGATAATTAAGTCTCTTTAAATTATACTATAAGGGTACAGTGTTTCTTTAGGTCGACAGTTCTTCTTTTTATTTCTTTGACAAAAGTAATGAATGGTTTTGTGATCGTGTAAATGGATTTGGAATCTGATCAAATGTTTTTAATATCAGGTATTTCAAAATAATGGGCATTTCTGTAGACCTACATGGATGCCGCTCTACCAGTCTTCATTATTTTTCTTTAGGGCATAAACACTGACTTCTTTAGGATTACAAAACTGATTACATCTCACAGTTTTTAACACCGTAACATAGTTGAAATTTTGCTTTGAATCCATACATTTTACACGTACACGTTAGTATATGCCATGGTCTAAATATTAGTGTCCCTCCAAAATGTGTGTGAAAATTGTAACCCCCAGGAGATGGTGTTAGGAGATGGTGCCTTTGAGGGGATTAGATTGTGAGGGCTGGTTGGGATTAGCACCCTTATGAAAGAGACCTCTGAGAGCTAGCTAGTCCCTTCTGTCATATGAGATTACAGTTAGAAGGCACCATCTCTAAGAAAACAGGCCCTCACCAGACACTGAATCTGCCTCAGTCTTGGCCATCCCAGCTTGCAGAACTGTGAGAAATAAATGTTTGTTGTTTATGTGCTACACAGTCTATGATATTTTTGTTATAGCAGCCTGAACTAAGTTGGTATACTTTTCACAGGTTCTTGCAGCTGTCTATTGCATTCACTCAGGTGCCCAAAGACGTCATTTAAGAGGCCGTTTTTGATACCAATATCCTCTGCTTTAACCAATCTTCAAAGTGAGACCCCTTCACCAAAAGTAATAACAATGATGATGATAACGATGCATTGTTCATAGATTCTTGCAAAACTCTTTGGACAGCCAATGCTTGTCAATTTGAAATTGCAATAGGAAATTTAAACGTTTCTGCTTTTGAATAATATTGTTTGAAGATGCATGGATGACAGGTCAGATGACCAAAGACGAACTTCATCTAGAAGATCATTAAATCGAACAAGCTTCGACTGCACACTGGGAGAACTGATGTTAGTAACAACACTTGATGTGTAGCGTGAGTCTGAATCTCTCAAAAGAAATTCTTGGGCTAGGCATGGTGGCTCATTACCTGTAATCCCAATACTTTGGGAGGATGAGGTGGGGGGATCAGTGGAAGCCAGGGGCTTGAGACCAGCTTGGGCCGCATAGTGAGACCCATCTCTACAAAAAATGCAAAAAATTAGCTGATTGTGATGACTCATCTGTAATTGCAGCTACTCGGGAGGCTGAGTTGGGAGGATCGCCTGAGCCTGGGAGGTTGAGGTTGCTGCAGTGGGCCATGATTGAAACATTGCATCCCAGCTTGGGCGACAGTGCAAGACCACATCTCAAAAATAAAAATAAAATAGCTTCTTTTGTCAAAAATGACATTCTGATTCCATATTTTTCACAAAGCAAAAAGCAAGTGGGACCATAGCATCTTGGATTTTATTAGACGTGCCATTCTGATAACATCACTTAATGAGGAATACAGCTTTATAGGCCATCTTTTACCTAGAGACCTTCTCTGCGAATACAACAATGGATTTCTTGATTCCCAGGCTCTTCAGATTGAATTTTGCTATAAAGTGTTTATACCTTTTTACCATCATTGGTATCCAAAACTTATAATTTTTTTCTCTATTATGTATTCCAAAGTGTTTGTGTAAGCTTTGACCATTTCATCCCCAGCAGTTTGTCTGGTATATGGTAGATACTGTAGTGCTGCCACCCAGGTCGGTTCTTCAGGGTGACACAGCTGTCCCCAGTGCTGGCACATAGGCTGCCCAGCTCACAGCTGTGACCTTCACTGAGAACTGCCTGACCAAGGTGACACCCCTCCCATGGGTCATCCTGTGGCTAACGGCGCCACAGGAAAGCCCAGTCCCCTTTGAATCAGTTGAGGACAACTTAAGACCCCTCTATTCCAGAGCTCCCCAGAGGATCGACTGAGGCCTCAGCTACTGCCATCCTGTGGGACAGCTTCTCCTTCTGCCCTGTCCTGGCCTCCCCACTTCCTGGCAGATGTCTCTGTTGAGTTCCACTGAAACTTAAACTCCAAACTCTTCACGCCCAGAGTCTATGACCGGGGCAAACAATTGAAGACAGGGAATTTTTTTTTTTGTACCTTAAATAGTGTTCAAAGCATTTATTTTGAGGGATTCAAACTCATGCCATACACCAAGTGCCGTTACTAACATCAGCACTTATCAATCTGCAGTGGAAGCTTGTTTGATGTAATAATCCTCTAGACTGGGTTTCTCTGGGTCATTTGACCTGTCATCCATGCATCTTCTAATGGTATTATTCGAAAGCGGTACTTTTCTTATTTCCTGTGCTTCACTGGTCCCAAACATGTTGCTGACAGTTTCTAATGCACCTTGGCAAAGTGAGTGATTCTGCAATTGCAGGAGGAATTTTGGCTTTGGCTGTTAAATGCAGGACATTGGAACTAGCATCTTGTATTCAGTCTGACACAGTTGTGGTCCACTCATCAATACTCCCACTTCTTATTGTGTAACTGCAGACAATTTTCCCAGTTCTGATCTTTTTCTGTATGAGATCAATGCTTTAGGGAAAGGTGCTGGCATAATTTGCCTGATGTCATTGCATCTTCTGATTCCTTTTTCATTAAATACGACATTGAGACAGAAGAAGACAGGATTATTGGAAAATGCAAATCTGAATTTGAGATCATTTTCATTATAATTTCCTGAGTAGCAACTTTTTTTACCACTCTACTTGGTACACTTGATGACTTTCTTTAATTAAAAAACGTAAGGACAAAAAACCAAACACCGCATGTTCTCACTCATAGGTGGGAATTGAACAATGAGAACACATGGACACAGGAAGGGGAACATCACACACCGGGGCCTGTTGTGGGGTGGGGGGAGCGGGGAGGGATAGCATTAGGAGATATACCTAATGTTAAATGACGAGTTAATGGGTTCAGCACACCAACATGGCACATGTATACATATGTAACTAACCAGCACGTTGTGCACATGTACCGGAAAACTTAAAGTATAATAAAAAAAAAAGTTTCTTATTATGATGGGAAAATATCTCTCTATAAATATGCAACAGTATTAAAAATATCAACCTAAGTAATTTTACTAAATATATACATATTTAAATATAAAAGTATATAAAGTGGCCTGTAGGCCTTAATGGCTTCAAAAATTAACTTTTCAAGATATTTTGATTGCATACATCCTCAAGAATGTTTCAAAATAAATCAAGTTGAAAAATTCAAAAAGCAAAGCTTGCATTAACCAAAATGAGCAATATTGACATTCCTTTTTATTTGATTGGACAATTAAAGTTCTGAAAAACTCATGAATATAAATGTCAGTGATGTCATCTCTGATCCAAAATATTTTGAAAACTCAATTATTTGAAGATATAAAACCCTACAGTCCTCTTTACTGAGTTGATTTAATTATGGAACTTATTATAACATCTTTAAAAATCTGTAAAAACAGTAATTTATTTTGAGATTCCATCAGTAATCAGATCTTGCTAAATTTACATCATCACTAGCCAGAAACGAAGGGAAGGGGGTGGGGGAGAAGAAAATTTTAAAAATCATTTTTGTTTTAATAAGGAACACCTAATACCAGATAATAATTATAAACATAATCATACGTTTTACTTAGTCACATAGGTAAAAATACTAGCAAATTAATTGAATAAGAAGCGCCCCCACATGCTGAGCATGTTACTGAACCAAACTGGGTTTGTCTGTCCCTGCATGAGAGGAAGACGCTGAAGCACTGGGTTTTTGCAGCAAAAAAGCTTTATTGAATGTCAAGTGGTGAGGAGCAGGAGGAAAGACTCAAATCTGTCTCACCACACTGGGGGCTGTACCGGGCTTTATAAGCATAGGGTAATGAGGCGTGTTCTGATTGGATCTTGCAGTGGGGTAACGCCAGAGCTGAATCTGATTGGATCCTGCTTCAGCTTTGCCATGTCCATTTCTTAATCCAGTCCCTGCTCCTCTGCCTGAGCACTTAGGTTCCCCCACCGTGGTTGCATGCTTGGTTCATCTGAGTGTGCTCAGAGTCTGTAGTCTTCAACCCGGGGGTCCGTGGCAACTGAAAAACAACTCACAACCTACTTACACACAAGTCGAACCACATTGTGAAGCGGCATTTTTGTCTAGGGTAATACCCAAAGTTTGTTGTCTCACGCTGACGAAATCAAGGACCCGGACACACAAGGAGTGAGGTTAAGAGTGGAGGTTTAATAGGCGAAAGAGAGAAGAGCTCTCTCCTGCAGAGGGGTCCGGAGTGGGTTTTTCCAGTCCGCCACAAAATGCAAAGGATTTTACAGATGAGCTGGAGGAGGCAATGTCTGATTTACATAGGGCATGAAAGATTGGTCAGACCAGGTGTGCCATTTGCATAAGGCACAAAAAACCAGGACTGGATGCGCCATTTGCATAGCCTCCAAAAATCTGGCCACCCACACCCTAATCTTTTATTATGCGGATGGGTTATCTCCCCCGCTGGTGCCTTGTTGCCTGCATTTTTACTGTACACGTGGTGACAAAGAAAACGGAAGATGGAGCCTCCATGTTGAATGTGTCTGGCCCTCAGGTAGCCCTTTTCTGTTGGCACAGCTGCCGGCATTCACCTGTGCAAGTTTCTAGCTTGCTTATCTATGTCTGCAGCTCAGTTTTTCAGGCTGCTCTTTGTTAGAAAAGAAATGATTTGGGAGCTGTTTTCTGTTAAAAGGGAAGCCTTGCCAAAGACTCTCTTACCCTCACTATCTGCCTAAATAATTTCTTTCTAGCTCCTGTATCAATTGGTCCTGTGCCTGGTACAGACAAACAAATTCACAGATGAGAAACAACCTGCAAGTGAAATAAAACAGCTTGATAAGAGGGGTCCATGGGGGTGTCAGGGAAGTGCCGTGTGGCTCAGCCAACCTGTGCCTTTCTGCAGCAGATCCTCTCAAGAGAGTTACCGGGTTCAGAAAGTTTACAGGAACCACATGCATAGTTTTGTTTTACTTTTTTTTTTTTTTGGAGTACTTTCAGATTCATAGGACAGTTGAGTAGAAAGTTAAAAGAGTTTTGATATACTCTCTGCCCAACATGTACAAAGCCTCTCCCACTATCAGCATCCCCCACCAGAGTGGTACCTTTCTTATGAGCAGTGAACCTACCTTGATACATCACTACCCAAAATCCATAGTTTACGTGAGGGTTCACGCTTGGCACTGTGCATTCTGTGGGCTTTGAGAAGCATATGGTGACATGTATCCCCCGTTATAGCCTACAGAAGAGTTTCCTTGCCCTCAAAACCCCCATGCTCCTCCTGTTCACCCCTCCTGACTGCCGACCCCCAGCAGCCACTGGTCCTTTTGCTGTCTCCATAGTTTGACCTTTTCCAAAATGTCATATGTAGTTGGAATCACACAACACATGGCTTTTCCAGAATGACATCTTTCACTGAGGAATGTTTAATGCATGCGTGTCGTGAAAACACAGCATATATATAGTGAAAACAGCATGAAATGTAACTTCAACAGCTGCAATTTTTTTTTTCTTTTTTGTGACGGAGTCTCGCTCCCTTGCCAGGCTGGAGTGCAGTGGTGAGATCTCGGCTCACTGCAACCTCCGCCTCCCAGGTTCGAGCAATACTCCTGCCTCATCCTCCTGAGTAGCTGGGACTACAGGCCCGCGCCACCACGCCCAGCTAATTTTTGTGTTTTTAGTAGAGGTGGGGTTTCATCATGTTGGCCCGGATGGTCTCTATCTCTTGACCTCGTGATCCACCCACCTTGGCCTCCCAAAGTGCTGGGATTACAGGCATGAACCACCGTGCCCGGCCAACAGTTGCAAATGTTTGAATGGCTGTAAACGGTGGTTTATGGCTACAAAAACTAACAGATATCCCTGTCTCTGGGTCCCTGTGTAACCTATCCGAGGCACAGTGAGAGACCACTGCACTGTCCCACCTCCTTCTTCCCCATCCACTCCCAGAAATCCTCTCTTCAGGTAGGAGAAACTGCTACTCTCTGATCCAGGTTTCACATATTTCCGTGGGATATAAAACCCCTAGTGCCTGAAACTGCTCTTCTGGTTTCTCCTTTCACCTGTGATTATTCCCTGAGTGTCGGGGGCTTCAGGACAGAAGACTTTGTCATTGGCTGTGAGCATCAAGACAGTGTCCAATGGGTTTAGGCTGAGAGCCAGCTCAGCCAGGTGCCTGCGTGGGGGGAATTATCCAGTGAAAAGATATTTGTCTGCTCAGTGAAAACCAGAAAGGAGCATAACACCTGTCACGTTACCAGCCTGCCTCCAGGCCTGCCATTGGAGGCACAGCAAGGGTCTAATGCTAATCATCCGGGGAGGAAGTGTCCCTTGAGGCTTAGTCTGAGCAGCGGGAGGCCACGCTGCACACTTGAAACCCCTTTTGCCTTGACTTTTCTGCAGCATAGTTGGACTAAGCCCTTGTCGTTGGCTTAAGAAGGGGCAGGGTTATGTAACCCTCAATAATTAAGACCTTTCCAGCCATAACCACTCTTTTATTTTCAACACTGTCAAGAAGGATTTGCCGGCTGTAACTCTTTCTCGCTTGAGGGCATTTTTAATTCCATTGTCCACAAATTTCTGAGTCATTTCTGATGGCGGTAATCAGGACAAAGAGAAGCCGAAGACCTGGGAATAAAAGCAAGGTTGGCGATTTTTTGAATTAAACCTAGGGTATTGAGAGAAAGGAAACTGAGGCTTTAGAACCTCCCTTGTCCTGTGACTGGGGAAGGAGAGTGTGTGCCCACAGGTCAGGCTCCGAATCTGACACCAGGGAGCCCAGGTAGAGTGAGTGTCACAGCCAGGGGCTCAGGTAGAGTGAGTGTCACAGCCAGAGACCCAGGTAGAGTGAGTATCATAGCCAGGAGCTCAAGTAGAGTGAGTGTCACAGCCAGGGGCCCAGGTAGAGTGAGTGTCACAGCCAGGGGCTCAGGTAGAGTGAGTGTCACAGCCAGGGGCCCAGGTAGAGTGAGTGTCACAGCCAGGGGCCCAGGTAGAGTGAGTCACAGCCGGGGGCCCAGGTAGAGTGAGTGTCACAGCCAGGGACCCAGGCAGAGTGAGTGTCACAGCCAGGGACTCAGGCAGAGTGAGTGTCACAGCCAGGGGCTCAGGTAGAGTGAGTGTCACAGCCAGGGCCTCAGGTAGAATGAGTGTCACAGCCAGGGGCTCAGGTAGAGTGAGTGTGAGAGCTCGTGATTTTAGGTAGCCCACATAATGAGAAGGGAGGGGAAAATGCCTTGTTAAATGGGTGAACTCAGGAATTTGTTTCTCTGTAAACATGGTGTGCCCCAGAGAGGCACTGCCTCCAGGATGCAGGACCAGAACTTGACGTGAGGATTGTGCTGCAGCCACGCAAAGGTACAGACGTCCTCTTGAATCTGCAGGAAATGACTACTTATTTAAATTATGCAAATTTTTTTGTTGCATATGATCCTCATAGCCTTACTTTAGAGAATTTAACAACATTTGATATTTGGTATTCTGGCATTCCTGAGTCAGTAATTGGGCTTCGTGAAACCCCAGAGCTAAACCTACCGAGAATGAGATGCCGTCCTCAACCCCAGAGGTTGTGGGTTCTAAGAGAAAACGTCACAACAAATGTTGGTCTTTTCCCAATAGCTCCTGGCGTTTATTCTTTCTTTTCCCTTTTCTTCCTTTTTCTCCTTCCTCCTCTTGTGTTTTCTTTTCTTTCTTTCAGCAGAGATTGTTCTGGTCATCTATTGCTGCCTAACTGACTACCCCAAAACTTAGAGATTAAAAGCAACACCTGTTTATATGTCATGATTTTGCGGGTCAGGAGTTGGAGCAGGGCTTGGATATGTGACCGTCTGTGCCTCTCATTCAGTTGGGAAGATGGCTTCGTGCACACGTTGGCGCCATGGCTAGGAAAGCGGAAAGGCTGGCTCCCTGGGCTGTCCACTGGGCAGCTGCCCCTGGCCTCGCCAGCCTGCAGCCTCAGGATCCCCACACTCCTACCGCTGCTCAGGGCTCCCGGAAGGCAGCAGAAGCTGCTAGTTTATTAGGACCTGGATCATACTCTATTGGTCAAGCAGTCTCAGAGCCTACATTGAAGGGTTTCAGACATAGACACCACCTCTTCATGGGAAAAGTATCAAAGAATATGCAGCATTTTGCTTTGCTTTATTTTTTTTTAGGGACAGGGCCTTACTCTGTTGCTTGGAGTGCAGTGGCAGGAGCATAGCTCACGGTAACCTCAAACTCCTGGGCTCAAACCATCCTCCCACCTCAGCCTCCCAAGTAGCTAGGACTACAGGTGCATGCCACCATGCCTGGCTACTTTTTTTACTTTTGTAGAGACAGATTATCTCACCCTGTTGCCCAGGCTGGTCTCAAACTCCTGGGCTCAAGCGATCCTCCCACCCCAGACTCCCAAAGTGTTGGGATTACAGGCATCAGTCACCATGCCCTGCCTGCAGCATGTTTGAAAAGTGAGATTTATTGTGGTTTCATAATTTACATACAGTAAAACTCACCCTTTCTAGAGTACAGTTATATATACATTTTCACAAACATCTTTAGCCCACATTCACCAGCGTGACGGAGATATGACTATTTCTGTCACCTCCCCCAAAAGTCTTTGTGCTTTTATATTCACCCCTTTACCCCCACCCCAGCACTTGGCAAGCACTGCTGTTTTTTCTTCTTATATCTTTGCCTATTTCAGAACATCATATAAATGGAGCATGCAGTGTGCAGTCTTCAGAACCTGGCTTCCTTCCCTTAGTGTCATGCATTTGAGATTCACCTGTGCGTTCATGCGTATAAGTATTTTGTTCCCTTCTACTACTGAGCAGCATCCCATTCCATAGACACACTACAGTTTGTTTCCCATCCATTGGTTTAAAAACATTTAGGATGTTTGCAGTTTGGGGTGATTATTAAAGCTGCTATGAATATCACATATAGATTTTATTTATTTATTTATTTAGAGACAGGGTCTCACTCTGTGCCCAGGCTGGAGTGCAGTGGTGTAATCACAGCTCACTGCAGCCTCAACCTCCTGAGCTCTAGTGATCCCCCCATCTCAGCCTCCCAAGTAGCTGGGACTATAGGTGTGTGCCATCATGCCCAGCTACTTTTTTGATTTTTTTTTGTAGGGACGGGGTCTCTCTGTGTTACCCAGACTGGTTTCAACCTCCTGGGCTCAAGCGATCCTCCCACCTCGGCCTCCCAAAATGCTGGGATTACAAGTGTGAGCCACTATGCCCCGCTTCATGTAGATTTTTATGTGAACTTTTACATGTCTTGTGCACAGTTACCCGGGGGCAGGATTACCGGGTCACGTGGCTCGCGCATGTTTAACTTCGTAAGAAAGCACCAAACGGTCCCACCAGGTGGCCGTGCCATGGGCATCCGCATCTCAAACTGCGAGGGCCTTGGGCACTCCACATCTTCACGGACATGGGTTGTTATTGCTGTTGGTTTGTGATGTTTGAGTCCTTCTAATAGGGGTCCAGGGCATCCCATCATGGTAAATGGGATGGTGAGGTTCTCTTCACTCATGGATTTCCTGTCGTTCTATTGGCTTTGGTGAAGTAACTATTCTTTTTGCGTACATTTTTGGTTTTCTTACAGTTGAATTTTGAAAATTCTTTTTTCTGCATAGTAGGTTTTTGTTCTTTTTTTTTGTTTTTTTCTTTTTAAGAGACAAAGTCTTACTTGGTTGCTCACGGCAGCCTCACACTCCTGGGGTCAAGGGATCCTCCTGCCTCAGCCTCCCGAGTAGCAGGGACTACAGGCATGCACTACCACACCCAGCTGATTTTTTTTTTTAATTTTGTAATTCTTTGTAGCGGTGGGGTCTCACTATGTTGCCCAGGCTGGCCTCAAAGTCCTGGCCTCAAGCGATCCTCCTACCTCAACCTCCCAAAGTTCTGGCATTCCAGCCGTGAGCCATGAGCCACAGCACCCGGCCTGGATAAACGTTCTTTATTGGGTATCTGTCTTGCACACGTTGTCTCCCAGTCTGTGGCCTGTCTTTTCATGAAGTCAGCTTTATTCATTTTTTTTCTTTTATGGATTATGTCCTTGATATTCTATCTGAGAAATTTTTCCCTAACCCAGTGTCATAACTGTTTTTTCCTAGAAGTATTAATAATTATAGGTTTACATTTATGCCTCTGATCCATTTTGAGTTAGGTTTTATAAATGGTAAGAAATATAGATCTAGATTTTGTCTTATTTTGTGAATGAATGTCTAATATTTCCAGCACCATTTGTCGAAATTACTATCTTTTCTTTGTGCTTTTATTGAAAACCAGTGATATATGTGTGAGTAATTTCTTGCCTGTCTTCTCTGATCAGTGTGTCCAGCCCTTCTCCAGTAACACCCGTTTTAATTACTGTTGATTTCCAGTTAGTCTTGAAATCATACAGTAAAGGTTATCCAAATTTTTTTCAGACTTGCTTTGGCTATTCTAGTTACCTTGCTTTTCCATATAGATTTTAGAATCACCTTTTCAATGTCTAGGAGATATCTAGCTGTGATTTTTTTTTTTTCTTTTTTGAGAGCGGGTCTTGCTCTGTAACCCAGGCTGGAGTGCAGTGTAGCTGGGATTTAGATTGGGGTTTTATTCACTATATTGATTGGTTTGGGGAGAATTGACCTCTTTACTGTGTTTTCTTCCAATGCACCCATGTGATATGATTCTGTATTGACTTAGGTGTTTGGTTTCCTTCATTCGTGTTTTGTAGTTTTCCGTGCACAGCTATTGCACGTAGTTTGTTAAACTTGTATCTATTTTATGTTTTTAGAGCTTAAATGAGATATTAGCTGTAGGCGTTTTATAGGTGCCCTTTTTAAAATTTAGAATGTTCCTTTAAATTCCTACTTTGCTGAGAGGGTTTTTTCTTTTTTAAAAAATCACAATTGATTATTAAATTTTGCCGAATGCTTTTCCTAAATCTATTAAGATGTTCATATGTTTTTCTATTTTATTCTGTTGATGTGATGAATTACTTTGATTGTTATTCACATCTTGAGCCAGCCTTCCATGTATAAGATACACCTCGCTTGATCAGGCTAGACTATGACTGTTATATATTGTTGAATTTTATTTTCTAATATTTTGTTGAGGATTTTTTTGAATTTGTGTTCATGATGGATATTGGTCTATAGTTTTCCTTCAGAGGCTTTTTCTGATTTTGGTATCAGGGTAATGCTTTAGAATTGGTTTAATTTATTCCTCAAATGCTTGGTGGAATTCATCCATGAAATATGCGTAGTTCTTACCTTTGTTCCTCTGGATGCTGTGTGTCTGCGCTCCCAAAGCTTCTGTCCTCTCTTGTAGCTCACATTCAGCCTTCGGCCATTCATTGAGGATTTTGGGTGAATTTCAGAATTTCCATTGTCTCCTCCTCCCGCGCTCTGTGACGGGTGAGCAGGACCCATCCTGACTCCTTGGACAGGCCCATCTTTCCTTGTGTTTCCGACCACCTGGCTGGTATGCAACCTAAGCTGTCTTATGGGCTCAGGAAAAGTGATTGTTTTGTACTTTGTTCAACTTTTCTTGTTCTTAGGTGGATGTGATGTTCTTTCCAATGCTCGGCATCCCAGGCACAGCAAGCCCTGTGTCCATTTTTAACCCACACATTTTACAGGATGGCAAGTAGGGCAGTTTCCTGGTGACTTAGAGAGGGGGCCGAGGGGCATCACAGCCATGACCAGCAGTGGATGGGGACAGAGGGTCCTCCTGCATGCCTGGGAAGAGAAGACTTGAGGGGCTTGGCCAAGTTTATGTTTGTCTCATCTCTGCCTGAGACGGGCTTTTGGGGAAGGGAGCCGAGAAGAGTGTAGCGATTTTCACCAGGACCACATGGGATCCCGTGTGTTCCGGCCGAGAAGACCCTTGTTTTTCTTTCTCTGCGTGGATCCACAGGATCTTAGGCTTCTGTGCCTCACTTTAGAACAAGCACCTGAAGAACCAGGACCTTCCTTCCACCCAGTGGAAGCCTTGATGGTGCAGCCGGAGGCTTGGCTCCTCTCTGCAGGCCACTGGGGTTCCCATCCTGAAGAAGCTAGCCCTGCCCACTGCCCTTTCCGGAAGGCCTTCAGTTCCCCATTGCCTTATGTATGCGTCATCAGCCGTGCTGCTGGGCACGGTAGACAATCCCAGCGAGACCCGCGCACTGTCAGCACCCCGCTTCCCCCCACCCCTCGTCCAGCCGTGCTCCGTGTGCACCCATCCTCGCCAGGCTCCTTGGCAACATTTTGCCTTTTCCCATGGCTCTCCCAGCTGAGAGTGCCCTTCTCAAGAACTTACCCCTCACAGGCCACCCTTCCTCCCAAACACAGTCCAGATGAGGCCCTCCAGCCCTCCCAGGCCAGAGGCAGTCATCTGCCCTTCACGAGTTTGCTGCTCTGCAGAGCATCTGCCTCTTACAGTTACACGAGCATGTCCCCTAGAAAGGGCATGCCCTGAAGGCAGTCATTTGGCAGGTATATAATTGGGTTCAATAGCTGTTCTGTAAAAGAGAGAAACAAACTGTGGAAAATCCAAAAATGATTGTCCCCGTTGACAGACAAAGAGAAATTTAACCTCCAACAGCATATATGGGACAAGGGTGATGATTTTGTTTGCTTGTTCCCCACCCCCCGCCTCAATGTAATGAACAATTTAGCTTGAAACATAGTGGTATATATTGAGGGAGGATTTCTAGATGAAACCTTGCCTTGATCTCAAATATCTGTTCATTGAAAAAGAGATTAGAGAAAGCTTTGCTTGCCGTCCGTCTTGGAACCACAGGAAAGGCCCATCTGTGGAATGAGAGGATGGTCTGGTCCACCTTTCTGCCTATGCCTTAAAGAATTCTGCAAGAGAAAATGAAAAATAGCCCAATTCTCTTTCTTGGTAATGCCACTGTAAGCTTCCCAAAACATTCATCACACTTCCTCGGTCTCAGTGCAATAATTGCCTGTGAGCATGATGGCAGCTAAGGGTTTCCTTTCTGTCTCTCCACCCCATGGTCCCTCCTGCCATTTGTTCTGCTGTCATCAATGACTGCCCTGCCACAGTGCCCACCGCGCCCCCGCAGAACGTGCAGACGGAAGCCGTGAACTCCACCACCATTCAGTTCCTGTGGAACCCTCCGCCTCAGCAGTTTATCAATGGCATCAACCAGGGATACAAGGTACGTGGCCTGGGTTCAGGGCCTGTGGGCAGCTGTCATTGTCTGGAGCCACAGCGCGACGCAGCTGGAGGCACCCCCTCTTGTGTATCAAGAGCTGGTTGCATTAAGATACAGGGCGTCTTGACCTTGGTGAGACCACCATTTATCCAAAGTCTTGGCATCAGCTCTGCAGGTTCAGAAATTCAAATTCCTAGTTATCAAGAGGATGGTTCATACATCAGTGAGCAATTTCTTATGAGAAAGGCCATTCATTTTTAAATGGTGGGTGGGAGACGTGTCTCAGTGATTAGAATGAATATTTGCACAAACTACTTCTTCCCAGAAGGAGGTCCTCTCAGGAGAACACAGGCCCCGAGCAAAGGGAATGGTGTGAGTGATATTTCCATGGAGAAAGGATAGTTTTCTCTCCTCCCTTTCTACTTCAGGGAGAGTTCTGTTTAAAGAACTGAGACCAGTTGATTCCAGCTACCCGCCCATACTGAATTAGACACATAGACAAATTTCCATCATCCGACTTCTTGTGTCTTTAGCTACCAGAGTGTGTTAACTTCACTGATGTACCAGGATACACCATCACAAAGCACAGCTGATCCTCCCTTTCAGATCAGCTTCTCCTGATTGGATTTGGGAGCGCACCTTGATTTTAGCTACAATAGGTCCACTAATCGTCTTTAATAGACGATGGACAGGGGAAGCTCTATACAGTGAAGGGATTCCATCTAGTTTCCTCAATACCTGGTAATTTCACATTCAGAGGGTGAGTTTCCTCAGACACAAGGTTCAGTTTTCTTTTCCCACAATTTGCATTCAACTTACTAAAACACTGATTTGTCTGCCAGAAAGGCAGAAGTAGCTGGAAATTTTCCCTGCCTTTCGTTTACCCTCAGAAGTATCCAAAGCCAGAAGCTTTTGTGAAAGAAAATCATATTGATCAAGCAAGATGCTTTTGCCTTCTTCCCTCTCCTGTCGAGTCTCGTTGGCAAGGCTGCAGTGTTCGTTTGATGACTTCGCTGTCAGTTTGATCTGTGTAAATACGCTTTGCGTCCTGCAGCATGTCAACTTTCAGACCCAATTAGTCCTAGAAATGTTTGGTGCCAAAGGAATTAAAAGTCACACACCTACGTAATGCTGCCAAAACATGAACACGCTTTCCTTAGGTTGTGGATACAGTCTGTATTTCTTTAAAATTGTAAGCAGTCTCCTAAAATCCTTTTTGCGAAACTAGTGTGATATAAATTATAAATAATTAAGATTATTGCTGTTGAATCATGGATGTCTTTTTTGAGACAGAGTAGGTGCTTTCTAGAAAAATATTTGTATTTGTTTCATTGTGCTGTTTCAGCTGAATTAACAGATGGTTTCATCTTTATTCTTTACTGTTAAAATATATATTATATACTATATGGTATATATTATATATACCATATAGTATATATTATATATAGTATATATAATGTATTATATATACATACATACTATACGTATATATTATATATACTATATATGTTATATATATGCTATATATGTTATATATGTTATATATAGTATACTATATGTGTATATGTTATGTATGTTATATATAGTATACTATACATATATATGTTATGTATGTTATATATAGTATACTATATGTGTATATAATATATATGTATAATATATACATATTATATATAATATATGTATAATATATACATATAGTATATATGTATATATTATACATTATATATGTGTATATATTATATATGTATACATAACATATACTATATATGTTATATAGTATATAGGTTGTATATAATATATATATAATATATACTTTTTATGTATATATGTTATATATGGATATATGTAATATATATTATATATATGTTTTTTAACCTTCTTAAGTGAAGAGAGGGTGAAGATTTGAGGGAGTGTCCATTATTCTAATATGAGTTAAGTAGTTATTTACATATACAAGTATAAAATACATGTAAATATACATGCTTGTATACAAAAACCTATAAAATATATTTTTATCTCAACTTTTTTCAAGCGTGATTATAAAATGCAGGATTTATGGACTTTCTTAATTATGACTTTACATTTTAAAAGACAAAATAAAATTCTGCTGCAGACATGAGTGTGGAGAAATGCCATTGAAAACAGGCTGTCTTTTTCACCCTGTTCCATCTCAGCTTCTGGCATGGCCGGCAGATGCCCCCGAGGCTGTCACTGTGGTCACTATTGCCCCAGATTTCCACGGAGTCCACCATGGACACATAACGAACCTGAAGAAGTTTACCGCCTACTTCACTTCCGTTCTGTGCTTCACCACCCCTGGGGACGGGCCTCCCAGCACACCTCAGCTGGTCTGGACTCAGGAAGACAGTGAGTATTCCTTTCTGCGTGTCTCTTAAGTCACTTGTCAAAGAGGTGTATACCGCTGCAACTTCCAGAATCAGGCAAGGGCAGAGGTGGATCACGAGGAGGCCCCGGATTTTTGGAGTGCTTGCAGTCAGCTCACCTAGGGAGATCAGGCATCAGTACTGATAATGCCTCGCAGAGGATGGCACGTGGACAGTGGAGGGTGGCCTTGGCTCAAGGAAGGAGCTCTGGGGACAGGGGGTGGAGAATCAGGTTCCAGCTGTGTGGCCACAGCTTTGGTCTTGCTGAACTTGCTCTTCATGTAGAGTTCAATTTCTGATTCCCTCACCTGCTTCCATGATCCCCCCCCCCCCGACGTCCCCCAGCCCATTCTTTCCTGACCCTCGCTCCCAGGGTCCTTTTCCCCACGCCCTTCTAAGCTCCCTGAGTTTGCATTACCTCCATCTGGTCAGTTCGAAGCCACTCCTTCTCTGCTCACAGGCCAGCTGACGCATCTGGAAAACGTTAGCTAATGAAGTTACCCCGAGAAAATAGTCACAGATGCACACAAAGATTTATATATATACAAGGCGGCTCGTTACAGTTATTTGTAGCTGGAAAAAATGTGAAAAGCATTCAGATGTTCCAGATGGGGAGAATTGGGAAAAAGTATAGAATGACAACATAAGAAATATTTTGTAGTTGTTGAAAAAACGAAACTCTGAAGATCAAAAATTGTGCGCAAAAATGGTCATGATATAACATTGTGAAATAATAGTATACAAAACTATGAGATCCAAATTTTATAAAAATATACTGTATGAAATATGAACAGAGAAAAGACCTTGGAAGAAATACGTCACACAAATTTAAGACTTGTTATCCCTATGTGGTATCATTATGAGTAGTTTTGGCATATTTCGTTGTATTTTTTTGCATTTTCTAGTTTCTACCACGAGTCTGTACTCCCTCTGTAATGAAAGTTAAAACTAGAATAATTAGGGCCATGCAGTGGTTCATGCCTGTAATCCCAGCACTTTGGGAGGCTGAGGCAGTTGGATCACGAGGTCAGGAGTTCACGACCAGCCTGGCCAAGATGGTGAAACCCCGTCATTACGAAAAATACAAAAATTAGCTGGGTGTGGTGGCAGGCGCCTGTAATCCCAGCTACTCGGGAGGCTGAGGCAGGAGAATCACTTGAACCCAGGAGGCAGAGGTTGCAGTGAGCCGTGATCATGCCACTGCACTCCAGCCTGGGTGACATAGTGAGACTCTGTCTCAAAAAAAAAAAAAAAAAAAAAATTAGGAAAATTATTTTTTAAGTCACCCTGGGCTGCTGCTTGTCTCTCCCCCAGTGCTGGATGGGCTCAGCCTTCTGAACTTGTCTCTACTAGAGTTTGGCCGTCGCCAGCTCCACCCCGTGCTGCTCCCGTTTTTGGACTCCCAGCCTCACCGCACTCCCAGCAGGTGACATTTGCAGAGGCCAAGGCCACCAAGACGGATTCCTTGCCTTCCCACTTCACCCTTTATTTCCGTGTCCTTACGCTTGCCTCTCTCCCCTTTCCTCTCAAACGATGCAGTATGGCCTTTCTAAGGGTCCTCCGTCATCCTGTTCCCTTCTTCCCCTCTCTGTCTTCATGGCGCTATTACTTCTTCCAATCTTTTTACTATTGGATCCTTTCCCTCCTCCCACAAATATGTTCAGGTCTCCCTCACTCAAAATCGGCAGCTCCCTGACTGTGCTGCCCCTGGAGCTGCCGGGATGGCTCCCCACTCCCTTTTAGTCTAACCATTGCTTTGACCTTGAACGCCTTATGTTCTCCTTGACCCTTGGCAGCCTAGCTTTCTCCTTGCCACTCTCCTGGAACAATCTCGCCATTGACTCAAGGTCTATGTCAAATGAGTGACAGGGGAGGAATAGAACATGGATTTCTTGACCCTCTGAGACCAACAATCAATCCCTCCTCACAAAAAAGATGAAATGAAAAGTAGCCCTGCTGCTGCTGTGAATTGATCCCAGAAGTTCTTCCCATACTCTGCCTTTGCTCTGCTTTCTGCTTTTGTTTAACTGATTTTGGCTTTTTTTGTTTTTTGGGTTTTTTGTTGTTGTTGGTGGTGGTGGTGGTTTTTTTTGTTGTTGTTGTTGTTTTGAGACAGAATCTTGCTCTGTTGCCCAGGCTGGAGTGCAGTGGTGCAATCTTGGCTCACTGCAACCTCTGCCTCCAGGGTTCAAGCAATTCTCCTGCCTTGGCCTCTCAAGTAGCTGGTATTACAGGCACCGGCCACCACGTCTGGCCAATTTTTTTGTATTTTTAATAGAGATGGGGTTTCACCATGTTGGCCAGGCTGCTCTCAAACTCCTGACCTCAGGTGATCCGCACACCTCAGCCTCCCAAAGTGCTGGGATTACAGGCATAAGCCACCACACTCACCAAGGTTAACTGAAATTTTTATTGAGAGCATTACAGATTCATATGCAATTATATGAAATAATATTGAGACCGTGTACATTTAGCCCAGTTTCTGCCAAGCTGACATTTGCGAAACTATAGTATTGCATCACGTCCAGGATATTGACACTGATGATACAATTCACAGATCCGATTTGGGTTTCTCCAGTTTTGTTTTTTTCTCTTTTGTGCATATGTGTGTGTTTAGTCCTGTACAGTTTGACACATGTGTAGGTTTGTGTATCTACCACGATAATCAAGATCTTGAATGTTTCTAAGGCCACAAAAATCATCTGGGTTCCTTTATAGCCACACCCACCTTCCTCCAGCTCTTCCTTTCTAACCTGTATGCCTTTCATTTCCTTTTCTTGCATGATTTGCAGTGTCTAGGATTTCTAGTACTATGCTGAATAAGAGTGATGAGACCAGACATCCTTGCCTGCTTCTCACCTGAGAGGCAAAACATTCAGTCGTTCACTGTTAAGGATTTTTTTTTTTAATCAAGTTGAAGTTATTCCTCACTATTGCTAATTGGTTCTGAGTTTTTGACATGAATAAATCTTACTTTTTTTCACGTGCTCTTACTGCATCATTTGACATGATCATCTGGTTTTTCTTCTTAGCTTGTTGGTCTGTTAGATTACATTGACTGATTTGCAAATGTCAAACCAGCTTTGTGTACTTAAATTCAACTTGGTCACAGTGTATAATTCTTTTCATATGCTGTTGGATTGACTTTGCTAGCACTTGGCGAAGGACTTTTGCATGTAAGTTCATGAGAGATATTAATCTGTAGTTGTCTTTTTTTGTGTGTTATCTTTGTCTGGTGTTGGTATCAGAGTAATATGGTCCCATGAAATATGTTTAGAAGTATTCCCACTTCTATGTTCTGGAAGAGATTGCGTAAAATTGGTGTCATTTTCTCTTTAAATGTTTGGTAGAATTTTCCAGTGAAACTCTCAGGGACTGAAGAATTCTTTCTAGGAATATTTTTAATATAAATGCAATTTATAAATGGTTTTAGGACTATCCAGGTTGTCTGTTTCATCTTGGCTGAGTTTTGGGAGTTGTTGGTTTTCAAGGAGTTGATCCTCTAAGAGTTCAGATTTGTGAGTATGAAAATGTTAGCAGCACCACCTTCTTATTGGTTGCAGGATCTGTAGTGATGTCCTGTTTTTTATTCCTGATATTGATGATTGGTTTCTTCTGGCTTTTTAATGTTGTCATTCTTCCTGGAGGTTCTTCAATTTTATTGCTTGATTTTTTTGGTTTGTTTTTGTTGTTGTTGTTGTTGTTGTTTTTGTTTTTTGTTTTTTTAGAACCAGCCTCTTGTTCCAGGTCTCCTCTTCTTCATGGTCTCCTTCATTTTCAACTTTATTGATTTCTGCTCTTTATAATTTCCTTCCTCTGCTTGCTTTGAGTGTATTTTGCTCTCCCTTTTCTGCTTTCTTGAGGTAGCCATGTTGGTTATTGGTTGAAGACCTTTCCTTGTTTCCAGTGTGAGCGTTTAGTGCTGTACATTTCTGCTTCCATGATGCTTTAGCTGCATCCCAGATGTTTTGACACTCTATGCTTTCATTTTCATCCAGTTCTCTGTATTTTTATTTCCTTTGAGATACTCTCTGTGACCCATGAATTAATTGGAAGTGTGCTGTTCATTTTCCATGTGTTTGGAGATTCTATTGTCTTTCTGCTATTGATAATCTGATTTGATTCCATTATGATCAGAGAACACACTTCATATAATTTTAGTTATTTTATATTTGTTGAAGTTTGTTTAATGGCCTAGGATATGGTCAATCTTGGTGAATGTTCAATGAATGATTTTTTAAAAATGTCTATTTCTCCTTTTCAATTGTAAATTTTATGTCTCAGAGAAAACTGGAAATAATCTCAATTTTTTTTTTTTTTTTAGAATTTTCTAACTGAATCATTTTTTGGTAGGCAGGGAGCCTGTTTATCCTATTTAGGATAATAACACATCTTTGTAAATGTCAAATATCACATTAAAAGACTGAAGGTAGGGTTGAAGTCACCTCTGGGGGGTGTAGCTTTTAAAAGGAAAGTTTGGAGCCTGAATGAGAGGGGCTTCAGGGGCCAGCTGACCACAGTCACCTGGTACTGGCCTCCTTCATAAAGAAGAACAAGAACAGCAAGTAGGTAACCACACTTCAAATAGATCCAAGAGAGAAGCTGGAATTCAATAGAGAAGTGACAGGAAGCACCTATGGCAAGGAGGAAAGTGAAGTGCAGCAGCTCCTCCGGGACTGAGATCGGCTGGGAACCCAGACAGGTTCCCCACTGTGGGAAAAGGGAAAGGGAGAGACCCCCGTGGTCCACATTCCCACCACAGACTCCTGCAATCCGAGCCACAGGAAAGCCCCTCAAAACTCACAGGCCCAAGACTCACGTAGGGAGACTCTCACAGGGAGACCGTGTGATGTCCTGCTCCAGAGAGGGAGCCCACGCTGCACCCCACACGCCCGAGCCCAGAGCAGCTACTATGCAGTGCTGCTCAAAGAGCCCAGCCCCACCAGAACATTCCGCCGTGGGTCCCACCAGACCATTCCGCCCCGGGTCCCGACAGACCATTCTGCTCCGGGTCCCGACAGACCATTCCGCCCCGGCTCCCGACAGCCTCTGCATCTCCATATTCTGCAGCCCCACTGACATCCCCTGCCCACAACCACCACCACTGCTGGCTGCTGCCACCAGAGGCAAAGCACAAACCATTGGCAGTGACCCCCAGTGGTGGGGCTGCTGGGCATTTTCACTCATCTTGAGGACAGACTTCGCTTCCAGGCACCCTGAGGTCAGACTCTCCCACCCACAGTTGCCACCTGGGTCTGAAGCACACCTCCCCAGCAGCAGGGCCGCAGTGCAGCCATTGCCAGCCCTACCAAGTGTTCTGCCAGGAACCTGGGGGTCACCCCACCCCAGCTGACCACAGCTAGCAACTGCACACACCACCAGGGGTCCTGAGGACAGGCCTGCTTGGCTTGCTCAGCCTCCCCCAGTATGAGCAACACTATCCAGGGCCCTGGGCTCACCCTGCCCTGTCCACCACTATGAGCACCTGAGTACTTCTCCTGGGGACCTGAAGTCGGGCCCACCCAACCTGCTGCACCATCACAGCTGGCACCCATTCCTACACACCACCCCTGGGCCTGGGGACTGGCCTGCTCAGCCTGTCACAGCCACCAGCAATACCAGTGCAGACTGCTAAGGAGCCAGGGGATTGTCCCACCACTGCTACTGTCACTGCCTATAGCATGCCTGCTGTCCAGGGCCTTGAGAACCCACCCACCTGCTTGGCCCCCTGCAGCCATTGCCAGCACCTGAGCAACCCACCTAGAATGCCAAGAATGAGCCTGTCTGGATCACTCTGGGATGTAAGGACAGGCACACTCAGCCCACTGCTGCCACCACTGGGGCCCAAGGATTGGCCCACCTGGTGTCCCTGTCCCCAGCAAAACTTTACCACAGCCTCTACTAACAACCACACCCTAAGCCGCTGAGGAAATCACAGACACCACTGATGCTGTTTACAGCCAAATAAATTATATGGAGACTACACTACTGCTTCATCCAGAATCAAAGCCAAAGTACCCTATCCAATCAACACCATAGATACATCTTCAGGAAAAAGCCCTCCTTTATGAAAGCAAATCCAAAAAATTAGAAGAAGCAACTGTTACACCAGATGTGCAGATATCAACATAAGGACACAAGAAATATGAAAATGCAAGGAAGTATAACACTTCCAAAGGAACATGGTAATTCTCTAGCAACAGATTCCAATGAAAAAGAAATTATGAAATCCCAGAAAAAAAATAAAAAATAATGATATTAAGGAAAGTCAGATAAAAGAGACACAGATAAATAATACAAAATAATCCAAAAAACATTTCAATACATGAATGAGAAATTTACCAAAGAGATAAATATTATAAAAAAGAACCAAACAGATATCCAGGAACTAATTAATTCATTGACTGAAATTTAAAAATACAATAGTAAGCTTCGGCAGTAGACTAGATGAGACAGCAGAAGGAATTTCAGAATTTAAAGTTGAATAAAGACTATGTGATATATGAGTCACCATAAAGGAATGAGTATTTGAATTTTTGATGTCCCAGAAGGTGAAAAGAAAACCAAAGGGATACAAACCTGATTTAACAAAATAATGGCTGAAACCCAAGTCTAGCAAGAGATTTAGACATCCAGATATGGGAGGCTCAGAGATCCACAAATAAATAGATACTATTCAGAAAGGTCTTCTCCATGGCACATTGTAGTCAAATTATCAAAAGTTGAAGACAGAATTCCAAAAACACCAAAAGAAAAGCATCTACTCACTTATAAGAGAACCCCCATCAGACTAACAGTGGATTTATCAGCAGAAACCTTACATGCCAAGAGAAAAATGGGATGATATATTCAAAGTACTGGGGAAAAAAATAACTTGTTAGCCAAGAGTACTATATGCATAAAAGTTACCCTTCACAAATGAAAGAGAAATAAAGTATTTCCTAGATAAGTAAAAGCTGAGGGAATTCATCTCCACTGGACTGGCCCTACAAGAAATGCTTAATGAATTCCCACACCTGAAGTGAAAGAACAATATCTACCATCATGAAAATGTACAAACGTATAAAACCCATTGGTAGAGCAAACACACAAATAAGGAAGAGAAAGGACCCAAATGTTACCACTACAGAAAACCACCAAACCTCAAAAATAAACAATGAGAGAGAAAGAAGGGAACAAAGGATATATAAACCAACCAGAAATCAATTAATAATTACTAGAATAAGCCCTGACATATCAATAGTAACCTTGAATTTAAATAGATTAAAGTATCCAAAAGGATAGACTGGCTGAATGGATAAAAACAAAAACAAAAACAAAAACAAACCATGACCCAACTATAGGCTGTGTACAAGAAACTCAGCTCACTTGTAAAGACACATGTAGACTGAAAGTAAAGAGATGGAAAAAGAGATTTTGTGCAAACAGAAAGCAAAAGTGAACAGGAGTAGGTACGCTTAGATAAAATACTTTAAGTAAAAAACAGTAAAAAGAGACAAAGAAGGTTATTGTGTAATGATAAAGTTATGAATTCAACAAGAGGATATAACAATTCTAAACATATATAGACCAAACACTGGAGCACTCAGATATATAAAGCAAATATTATTAGATCTACAGGGAGAGACAGCAATACAATAATACTTGGGGACTTTAACATCCCCCTCTCAGCATTAGACAGGTCATCTTGACAGAAAAATAACAAAGAAACATTGGATTTAAACTGCGCTTTAGACTAAATGGACCTAACAGACATTTACAGAACATTTCATCTAATAGCTACAGAATGCACATTCTTTTCATCAGTACATGTAACATTCTCCAAGACAGACCCTATGTTAGGACACAAAGCAAATCTCAACAACTTTTAAAAGACTAAAATTCGATCGATATCTTCTTAGACCACAATGGAATAAAACTGGAAATCAGTAATGAGGAACTTTGGAATCTGTACAAATACATGGAAATTAAATAGCATGCTCCTGAATGACCTTTGGGTCAAGGAAGAAATTAAGGAGGAAATTTAAAAATTTCTTTTTTTTTTTTTTTTGAGACGGAGTCTTGCTCTGTCGCCCAGGCTGGAGTGCAGTGGCGCAGTCTCGGCTCACTGCAAGCTCCGCCTCCCAGGTTCACGCCATTGTCCTGCTTCAGCCTCCTCAGTAGCTGGGATTACAGGCGCCCACCACCACACCTAGCTAACTTTTTTG
Organism: Homo sapiens; assembly: GCF_000001405.40. Lineage (NCBI taxonomy): Eukaryota > Metazoa > Chordata > Mammalia > Primates > Hominidae > Homo > Homo sapiens. The sequence goes on from NC_000007.14 coordinate 4,060,055, forward strand.
TATTTTTTAGTAGAGACGGGGTTTCACCATGTTAGCCAGGATGGTCTCGATCTCCTGACCTCGTGATCCGCCCGCCTCGGCCTTCCAAAGTGCTGGGATTACAGGCGTGAGCCACCACGCCCGGCCAGAAATTTCTTGAAACAAATGAAAATTGAAATACGACATACAGAAACCTACAGGATACAGCAAAAGCGATGCTAAGAGCCTACAATAAATGCCTACATCAGAAAAAAGTAGAAAGATTTCAAACAATCTAGTGATACACCTCAAGGACAAACCAAACCCAAAATTAGTAGAAGGAAAGATATAATAAAGATCAGAGCAGACCTAATGAAACAAAGACTTAAAAACAATACATGTGTTTTTTGGCTGCATAAATGTCTTCTTTTGAGAAGTGTCTGTTCATGTCCTTTGCCCACTTTTTGATGGGGTTGTTTGTTTTTTTCTTGTAAATTTGTTTGAGTTCATTGTAGATTCTGGATATTAGCCCTTTGTCAGATGAGTAGGTTGCAAAAATTTTCTCCCATTGTGTAGGTTGCCTGTTCACTCTGATGGTAGTTTCTTTTGCTGTGCAGAAGCTCTTTAGTTTAATTAGATCCCATTTGTCAATTTTGGCTTTTGTTGCCATTGCTTTTGGTGTTTTAGACATGAAGTCCTTGCCCATGCCTATGTCCGGAATGGTAATGCCTAGGTTTTCTTCTAGGGTTTTTATGGTTTTAGGTCTAACGTTTAGGTCTTTAATCCATCTTGAATTGATTTTTGTATAAGGTGTAAGGAGGGGATCCAGTTTCAGCTTTCTACATATGGCTAGCCAGTTTTCCCAGCACCATTTATTAAATAGGGAATCCTTTACCCATTGCTTGTTTTTCTCAGGTTTGTCAAAGATCAGATAGTTGTAGATATGTGGTGTTATTTCAGAGGGCTCTGTTCTGTTCCGTTGATCTATATCTCTGTTTTGGTACCAGTACCATGCTGTTTTGGATACTGGAGCCTTGTAGTATAGTTTGAAGTCAGGTAGCGTGATGCTTCCAGCTTTGTTCTTTTGGCTTAGGATTGACTTGGCAATGTGGGCTCTTTTTTGGTTCCATATGAACTTTAAAGTAGTTTTTTCCAATTCTGTGAAGAAAGTCATTGGTAGCTTGATGGGGATGGCATTGAATCTATAAATTACCTTGGGCAGTATGGCCATTTTCACGATATTGATTCTTCCTACCCATGAGCATGGAATGTTCTTCCATTTGTTTGTATCCTCTTTTATTTCATTGAGCAGTGGTTTGTAGTTCTCCTTGAAGAGGTCCTTCACGTCCCTTGAAAACACATGAAAAAATGCTCACCATCACTGGCCATCAGAGAAATGCAAATCAAAACCACAATGAGATACCATCTCACACCAGTTAGAATGGCAATCATTAAAAAGTCAGGAAACAACAGGTGCTGGAGAGGATGTGGAGAAATAGGAACACTTTTACATTGTTGGTGGGACTGTAAACTAGTTCAACCATTGTGGAAGTCAGTGTGGCGATTCCTCAGGGATCTAGGACTAGAAATACCATTTGACCCAGCCATCCCATTACTGGGTATATACCCAAATGACTATAAATCATGCTGCTATAAAGACATATGCACACGTATGTTTATTGCTGCACTATTCACAATAGCAAAGACTTTGAACCAATCCAAATGTCCAACAATGATAGACTGGATTAAGAAAATGTGGCACATATACACCATGGAATACTATGCAGCCATAAAAAATGATGAATTCATGTCCTTTGTAGGGACATGGATGAAATTGGAAATCATCATTCTCAGTAAACTATCGCAAGAACAAAAAACCAAACACGGCATATTCTCACTCATAGGTGGGAATTGAACAGTGAGAACACATGGACACAGGAAGGGGAACATCACACTCTGGGGACTGTTGTGGGGTGGGGGGAGGGGGGAGGGATAGCACTAGGAGATATACCTAATGCTAAATGACGAGTTAATGGGTGCAGCACACCAGCATGGCACATGTATACATATGTAACTAACCTGCACATTGTGCACATGTACCCTAAAACTTAAAGTATAATAATAATAATAATAAAAACAATACAAATGGTTAAACAAAACTCAGTTTTAGGGAAGATACACAAAATCAATAAACTGCTAGCTAGACTTAAGAAGAATAAAAGACAGATTACTTAAGGAAACAAAATCAGAAATGCAAAAGGAGACATTATAACTGATACCACAGAAATACAAAATATCATTTGAGACTCTTACTAACAACTATACACTAACAAATTGGAAAACCTAGGAGAAATGGATAAATTCCTGAACACATACAACCTACCAAGATTGAATCAGAAAGAAACATAAAATCTGAACAGACTAATAATGGGTAATGAGATTGAGTCAGTAATAACTCTCCCAACAAAGAAAAACCCAGGGCCAAGTGGTTTCACTGACAAATTCTACCATACTTTCAAGGAAGAACTAAAACCAATTCTCCTCAAACTATTCCAAAAAATTAAAGAAGAGGAAATTCTTTCTAACTCATTTTATGAGGTCAGTGTTACCCAGATACCAAAACCAGACAAGGACATAACAACAAAAAACTACAGTCCATTATCCCTGATGAACATAGACACAAAAATCCTCAACAAAAATATTAGCAAACTGAATCCAACAGCACGTCAGAAATATAATACACCATGCTCATGTGAGATTTATCCCAGGGATGCAAGGATGGTTCAACATATACATATCCATAAATGTGATACATCACTCCAACATAATAAAAGACAAAAACCATGTGATCATCTCAACAGATGCATAAAAAGCATTTAATAAAATTTAACATCCCTTTATAATAAAAACTCTCAACAAACTAGGCATAGTAGAAACATACCTCAGTATGATAAAGTCTGTATATGAAAAACCCACAGCTAACATCACACTGAATGGGGAAAAGCTGAAATCCTTTCCTCTGATAACTGGAACAAGACAAAGATGCCCACTTTCATCACACCTATTTGTAGTACTGGAAGTCCTAGCCACAGCAGTCAGGCAAAAGAAAGGAATAAAAGGCATCTAAATTGGAAAAGAGGAAGTCAGATTGTTCTCTTTGCAGATGACATGATCTTGTGTCTAAACAAACCTAGACTCCACCAAAAAACTCCTATATCTGATAAATAAATTTGGTGAGGTTGCAGGATACAATAGCAACACACAAAAATCAGTAGCATTTCTATAAACCAATAATGAACTAGCTGAGAAATAAATCAAGAAGTTGATTCCATTTACAATAGCTATAAAAGAAAAACATATCTAGGAATTAATTTAACCAAGGAGGTGAAAGATCTCTACAAAGAAAAATACAAAACATTGATGAAAGGAACTAAGAAACTGAAGAAGACACAAGTAAATAGAAAGACATCCCATGCTCATGGATCAGAAGAATTAGCATTATTAAAATGACCATACTCCCCAAATGAATCTAATGACTCAATGCAATCTCTATCAAAATACCAGTGTCATTTTCACAGAAATAGCAAAAAAAAAAAACAAAAAACCCCGTAAATTCTTGTGGAACCCAAAAAGAGCCCAAATAGCCAAAGCAATCCATAGCAAAAATAACGAAACTGGAGGAATCACACTACCTATCTTTGAAATATATGACAAGTCTATAATAACCAAAACCATGGCATGGTATTGGCGTTAACAACAGACACATAGACCAATGGAACAGAATAGAGCACCCAGAAACATATCCATATATTTACAACCAACTGATTTTCGATAAAGGTGGCAGGATACCTTCAATAATTTTGGTGCTAGGAAAATTGGATATCCATATGCAGAAGATCGAAATTAAAAAATAACTCAAGATGGATTAAAGACTTAAATGTAACACTTGAAATTATAAAACTACTAAAATAAAACACAGGGGAAACACTTCAGGACATTAGTGTAGGCAAAGATTTTATGGCTAAGATCTCAAAAGCACAGGCAACAAAACCAAAAATAGACAAATGGGACTATATCAAACTTAAAAACTTCTGTACAGCAAAGGAAATGGTAAACAGAGTGAAGAGACAGCCTGTTGAATGGGAGAAAATATTTGCAAACTATTCATCTGGTAAGGGATTAATATCTAAAATATACAAAGAACTCAGCTCAACAGTTTAAAAAATCTCATTTAAAAAGTGGGCAAGGGACATGAATAAACCCTTGTCAAAAGCAGACATACAGATGGTCAACGTGTCTATGAAAAAATGCCCAGTATCACTAATCATCAAGGAAATGCTAATCAAAACCTCAATGAGGTACCATTTTATCCCAGTCAGAATCACTAGAATTAAAAAGACATAAAAAATGCTGACAATCATGTGGAGAACAGGGAACTCTAATACACTGTTGGTGATGATGTAAATTAGTACAGCCACAATGGAAAACAGTATAAGTTTTCAAAAAACTAAAAATAGAACTACCCTATGAGCCAGCAATCCCACTATTGGGTATTTATCCATAGGAAAGGAGTCAGTGCATCAAAGGATACCCATACCCCATGCTTACTGCAGCACCATTCACAGTAGCCAAGATACGGAATCAACCCAAGCGTCCATCAGTAGACCAACGGATAAGAAAATGTGGTGTATATACATAGTGGAATACTATTCAGCCACAAGAAAGAATGAAATCCTGTCATTTGCAGCAACATGCAGGGAACTGGAGGGCATTACATCAATGCCCTCAGGAAAACAAATATCACAAGTTCTCACTCATAAGTAGTAGCTTAAAAGGCCAATCTCATGGAGATAAGAGAGTAGAATGAAAGATACTAGAGGCTGGGAGGGGTGTGTCGGTGGAGCAGGGTGGTGGGGAGAAAGAGAGGTTAGTTGATGGGCATAAACATTCAGTTAAACAGAAGGAGTAAGTTCCAATGCTCCGTGGCACAGTAGAGTGACTACAGCTAACAATGATGTATATTTCAAAATACCAAGGAAAGAGGATTTCGAATGTTCACAACACATAGAAATGATAAATACTCCAGGCCATAGGCACTCTGAACACCCTAACTTGGCCGTTACACAGTCAGTGCCTGTAACAAAACGTCACCTGTACCATAGAAATGTGTACAAGTATTATGTATCAATAAAAAAGAAAGTAAAGAAAGCTTCAGACTCTCGGGTGCTGGAGAAACGGCCTCCTTTTCTCTTTAGCTGATGGTGCTGTAGTTAGTTCCACACCCAGCAGGACTTCTTTCCCAAAGCTCCGAGGAAATGAGAAGTTGTTGGGAGAGGGTAGCAGTAAAGAGGAAACAGAATATAAATTTTAAGCTGAGACATCGCCAGCTGATTGCAGCAGAGCTAGAGGACAGCATCTTTGGGCAGGAATCCAGGAAGCAGAAACATAATATAAAAGGAGCAAAAAGGTTTCTTTCCTTCTCCATCGATTGAAAAAAGAACAAGTCAGTGCAAAAATCTGTCAGAATGTCTTTCTGGAGGCTCACAATTGTGGGAGGATGAGATGGTCTTGACAGCCATTCTATTTTACCATCTTCCACACTAGAAAAGTGAAATTTATCAGAGCATTTGAGCTTATCTGTGAAAAGTCTTTTCAAAGTTTCACCCAGATGAGTGGTTGTTGTTTTTTTTTTTTTTTTTTTTTTTTTTTTTTTTTTTGAGGCTGTTACCATTTTAAAAAAATTACGACTTGTGTTAGAAGGCTTTGTCCAAGTACCAACTCAGTGCTCGGTATGGAATTCACCCTAAAAATCTAATGTTTGTGCAAGTGAGGCTGGCAGTAACCAGAACAGGGACTTTGCAGGGGTGAGACTTCTCTGTAGGAATCCTGGATACTCTTTCAGGACAACTGACACCCTTGACTTCATGCTCTCCTATTTTAAGCTGAAAGACTTGCATTTTTTATTACTAAAAAGATTTGAATGTGGCGCCATCCAGCAGGTTCACTAGGGGAGTCGTGTGGTGTGGAGCTTTCAGTAGGAACCAGTGTTCCCTGCCTGGCGTGGAGGGTGTACTCAGCTGATACATACAGAAACTGACGGATGTCTCGTCTCTTCTCCATCATTCTTTTCCTCCCTTTTCCCCGGTTCTGCCTTTGAACTACCCTTTCCTCCTGCCCTTTTCTCCTCCCTGGCTTTGTCGCTATGTTTCTCCTGAACGGGTATCTGGAGGGGTAGGCATGGGGGCATTGTCAGAGAGGAGGTAGGGCTCTCAATGGCAGGCGGGGAAGCAGGGCCAACCCGGGCAGCTGTGTTTGTGTTTGCTGCTGAGATCAATGGATGGAGGGGCACTTTCAGGCACCGCACAGGTGCCTGTGGTGCCTGACTTAGGGAATGGGAGTGCACTGTCTCTCTTCCCCTCATCCTTCCCTCCATTTGCTCGTAAGACGCCAGCCTCCCCAAAAGCGTTTCCATTTCCACCTGCTCCTCATGCCTTGCACAGCAGCTATGGCTATAGAGAGACCATGGAAGGCACATGGCAGGGCTTGGGAGTAACGGCATCCGGGAGAACATCACCATCAGGACATCCACCTATCTCCTCCAGATAGCCAGGCATCCTCTCCTCCCTCCCCATCACCACACAGTGTGGGCTGGCCCTGATGGGACCGATGGGACCTGCTATGGGAACACTAAAAGGCTCTAAACCTGGGTGAGCTGGTGCAAGAGATGTGGGTCAGAACTGCCAGATGTCCCTGCTGTCCGGCCAGCAGCGACTTGCTGTGGGCCCTGCTGTCCCTGAGTCGCAGGCAGGTGGTCCATCTGCATGTGGGGCGGAGCTCTGCGCCTGTGGCCGCCCTTCCTCAAGCAGTTTGCTTTGCTGAGCTGCACCTGCATCTTGGATTTTTAACTCATGTTTTAGACTCTCAGGTCTTTTCTCTGGGGTGGCATCCTCTGATCCTAGGAATGAGTTTATGTTCTGATGAGAGGTTCATCATCATGACAGCGGCTGATGATCATGGAACATTTTCATGGTGCCCGGGACATCCTCGTGTTTTCATGTTTTATTACAATTTATTCTTATAATTGTCTCGCTGAGTTATTTTTATTTTCCCTGCTTCACACATTAACAGACTAAGGTGTCGAGAGTGTAATTTCCTAGGCAGCAAGTAGCTCAGCCAGGTCTGACACCCAGCTTGGACGCCAGCGTTCAAGCGTAACTCTGCGGCTCTGCCTGCCCGTGTTAGCAAGGGGGCCGCAGGGCACAGAAGCTCCTGGGAAAGGAATTTGTTTTTGCTGGGATTTTCTCAGGCCACTGCCTCGCCCCTCTGGAATCCTTCAGGATACCGATTGGGTTTGGAGCCTGGAGTTCTGGACCAGGTTGGCAGGTGAGCCTGCCCCTGGGCCCAGGGTCCTTTTCTGGTTTGCACAAGGTTACAGATGGCCCCCACACAAGCCAGACACGGGGTTGCATACACCATGGAGGAACACTCAGAGGAGGCAGTTGCTCTTGAGAATCCAGCCAGCCTGATTGTTCTAATCAGATTAGATCAAGGAGAAAGACAGAGAATGGTTTGTGTATAAATCTCCTGCCACCAGTAGCTCCAGTGCCCTGTGTGGCTGGGATGAAGCTGGAGAAAATAATGTGTGTGATGATAGCCAGGATGCCTTGAACACCCTCCTTCTTTCTGCATTCCACTGATGTCTCCTGCAGGGTTTTGCAGCCCCAGCTCACCACTTTCCTTCCATAGTTAGAACCTTCCCCACACATCTGATCAAAAGAAAATTTGGGCTATTGTGTTAACAGATGACTTTGCTTTTAATTGGTAGAACCAGGAGCTGTGGGACATCTGAGTTTCACAGAGATCTTGGACACATCTCTCAAGGTCAGCTGGCAGGAGCCCCTGGAGAAAAATGGCATCATTACTGGTAAGTAGGCCTGTCCTTCAAAAAAGGAAAAGATAAGTTTGTCCTCACAAAAAGAAGTGGCTGTCACTTCAAACCAAACTGCTGACAGCATGGACCCGTGCCCATGGCCTTCTCAAGAGGAACTGAAAAGTCTTCCTGGCCGTGTGGCAGAGTCCCAGCACTGGGACTGCCCCAGTGAGAGCCAGCCTGGTCTGGGGCCCTTTACTGTGTGGGCAGCAGCCATAGTTTGAGATCTGTTCTCCTCGCATGATCTTAGTAGGTGTCCAGAGTCTCTGACCAATGAGAGTCAGTCATGTTATGACACATTTGTTCACATGCGTGTGTCTTGCTTAATTCTCATAGCAGCATGGTAAGGTCAATATCGATATTATGACCATTTTACAGATGAGGAAACTGAGGCCCCGAGAGGGTGGGTGACCTTTCCTTCATTCAGCAGATGGCACTGAGCGCTCCTGTGGGCAGCCAGCCTTCTCAGACACAGCCAGGTGGTGTGACTATGAGGCTTACGTGCCTGTGTCTCAGCCCTCGTCCCACAGCTGTGAGCCGCAAGGGTGAGATCTGGGTCTTCTGACTCCAGATCCCATGTTCTGTCCCCTCCCCACCCTGCCCTCCAGTGAGAGCCCTGAGGAGACTGTGAGGCAGGTACTTCGGAGGAGGTTCTGAGCTGTACCAGGGATGGGGGCTGAGCCTTAGAGGCCCCTGGGCAGTGAGATCTCCTCTCCTGGTTTGAGGGGGTCTCTGTGGGAGACAGCTCACCTTTTTTAGGGTTTTTAATGATTTTATTTATTTATTTATTTATTTATGAGACAGGGTCTTGCTCTCTCGCCCAGGCTGGAGTGCGGTGGCGTGATCTCGGCTCACTGCAACCTCCACCTCCCGGGTTCAAGCAGTTTTCCTGCCTCAGCCTCCTGAAGAGCTGGGATTACAGGTGTGTGCCACCATACCTGGCTAATTTTTGTATTTTTAGTAGAAATGGGGTTTTGCCATGTTGGCCAGGCTGGTCTCGAACTCCTGACCTCAAGTGATCCACCTGCCTCAGCCTCCCAAAGTGCTGGGATTACAGGCGTGAGCCACTGCGCCTGGCCAAATTTTTATAATGTCTCTGAAAAACCTTTTAGGTTAAAGCTTAATTTAAATCTTAGTTCAAAAAAAAAATCTTGGTTTGACAAAAGCAACATAGGCTCTAGCCTCAGATGAGGCTGGGCAGGGCCCCCTGTTCTACTGTTTTAGTCACTCTAAGAGCCTCAGCAGACCTCTGGGATCCTCAGTTACAACTGAGGGGCTGTCAGGAGGACGAGTTGAGAGAAGTTGTATCAGTGGCTGCCCACTGCCTGGCCCAGAACAACTCAGCCTCCAACAGACATCTGTTTTTTTTCTAAACATTACCAAGGATTTCTAGCAAGCCACTTAATCTTCTTCTCTGTCAGCCATATATAGGACACTTCTGTGTCAGCCCTCTCTGGGGGCTTTGCCTGTGGCATCTCATGTCCCGGCAGGGGCTCCTGCGTGGGTATTCTGCAGCCGCACCCCAAGGTTGAGTGAGTTGCCCGTCCTGACGCGAGCGGTCAGTTTGGAGCTGAGCTGCGTCTCCGCTCCGTGGTGGCAGCGTTCTCAGCTGCCTGCGGGAGCCATGGAATTCAAGTGCCTGATTGTTCTGTGAAGCAAGCTTATGCTCTCTGGGTGTGTCCTAGAAGCCTGTGCTGGGACTGTGCTGCCCAGAGACCAAGAGCCTCAGGTGATCTCTCCCTCCTGCCAGGCTGCAGGGTTGGGGGCCGTTTCTTCTCCGCACTGGCGTCCTGGATGACAGCGGCAATGATGACCCTGGCCACTTCCACTGTGTTTGTCACCCTAGCCTTGTGGGATCTCGTTTTGCTTTCTCAGCAACCACACAAGGGGTGTCTTATAACCGAGGCCTGGCGATGACAAGGCTGAGGTTTAGGGTGGTGACGTCCCACCATCACAGCCAATGGGCATGTGCGCATTCTCTCCTCTGCAGCGTTGATGTGGTGGGGGTGAGGTTTGAACCATGCTCTGAACCCCACAGCATGGGATGCTCACTTTCCCCATCCACAGTCCTCTTAGCATCTCCATAATTTCTCAAAGCACCCTGAGGCCACAGAAATGCCTGACGGTTCTGTTTATTAAGTAGTTAGGTCCAAACAACGGAAGTGTTAATATGCGCTAACAATTATAATTGCCATGTAAAAAATACTACACAGTAGTTGAAAGAAATAATACTTGCATTTCTTTTTTCAGTGACCACAGTTAGTTCCTAATGGGATGTCTGCACCCGCCTGGGACTGCCCACCTTCTCAGACCTTGGGACCAGATGGTCCCTCGTCACCCTCATTTCCCGGTTCACTTTGGTTTCCAGGCAGTACTTGTTTCCTTATCACAACATCCACCAAAAACTCTGCTTTGCAAAGACAGGATATATCCAAGGACTCGTGGCATGCTCTGACCCGGAAATGGAGCCACCTCGGGCTGGAGGCTCACGTGTGTCCCACTGGCATTGAGTGTCCTGTGCATCCCTGCAGTGCTCCTGGGAGGTCACTGCAGCATCCCAGGTGCCCTGGGGCACAGTGGGAGACTGTGTTCCTACAGTGACCTCTTTCTACACAGAACTCCAGCTACATAGCAAACCCAGTGCCAACCCCACCACTACTCATCAGTAGAATCTCCTGTAATCATCTGTGCCAACCAGATCCCCTGATAGAGCGGTGTGCCCACAGCCCATACACAAGGTCACCTTGGAGCCAGTGCCACCTCTCAAATTTTTTTTTTTTTTTTTGAGATGGAGTCTCACTCTGCAGCCCAGGATGGAGTACAGTGGCACAATCTCAGCTCACTGCAACCTCTGCCTCCTGGGTTCAAGCAATTATCCTGCCTCAGCCTCCCGAGTAGTTGGAACTACAGGCGTGAGCCACCACGCCTGGCTAATTGTTTGTATTTTTAGTGAAGGCGGGGGTTTCACCATGTTAGCCAGGATGGTCTCGATCTCCTGACCTCGTGATCCACCCACTTTGGCCTCCCAAAGTGTGCTGTGCCTCTTATAAGCATATAGCTGGACTTTGTGGGGTTTTTAATTTTTTGTTTATTTATTTTTTGAAATGGAGTGTCTCTCTGTCACCCAGGTTGGAGTGCAGTGGTGTGATCTTGGCTCACTGGAACATCCGCCTCCCGGTTCAAATGATTCTCCTGCCTTAGCCTCCCAAGTAGCTGGGATTACAGGTGTGCGCCACCACACCCAGCTAATTTTTGTATTTTTAGTAGAGACAGGGTTTTACCATATTGGTAAGGCTGGTCTTGAACTCCTGACCTCAGGTGATCCACCCACTTCGGCCTCCCAAAGTGCTGGGATTACTGGCATGAGCCACCACGCCTGGCCTCACCTTAACTTTTAAAAAAAGTAAATTAATGAATCTGGCTCTGCCTTCCAGAAGCTTATCTTTTGAAGTGCCCACTTTAAATAGTGTGAAAACTCCAGGAATGGGGGGAAGTCACTACTAGAATTGGACACAATCTGTTGCACATTCTGAAGTCATCTGAGAATCGCAAGTGCTGAGTGTGTACAATTAAAAGGGCCTCCTGTTGCCTGGAGTCGAAGGAATTAAGCAAAGGCAGGGGGAACTGAGCAGGGGAGGGCACTATAGACTGCAGGAACCTAGTTTAATCTTGCTTTAAACCATTCAAAGAAAGGAAAAACAAACTAGTGGGAGGAGGGATTTTTAAAAGCTGAGCAGGAGGCTACCATTCGGAAGAAGAAGACTTTCCAGTTCAGACCCTTCAGGGACCAGTTCAGTGGCTGGAATTAGAGCTCTGCTTACCACTGATCCCAGAAACGGGGCTGCCCGGGTAGGAAAGAAAGAATTCTGGCCTACCGTCTGCCCAGTCGCCTTTCAGGTCTGCAGTCGGCCATGTTTTGGAAATCTGGCAGAGACTCCTTGGTAGATGTGTGTACACAGAAGGAATTCCCTTTTTACAGATACACACGTTAGCCCCTGCCCTGCCCTTTGTGAACACAGCACACACTTCTTTCCTGTTTAAAGCTGAAAGAAAAAAATCCATGGGCATAATAATTCACGTTGAGCCAACATTTCACGGCTAAGCAGTGGTTGCCAATACTTCCAATTTATGATCGTCTGTTTCACCAGCTAATGGGGCTTCATGAACTCATTTTCATGTTTTATTTAAACAAATACCTGTAGTTAAAAGCAGCAGTCTGTTGTTTATGGTGGAGCTTGACTTCGAAGCTCGAGCTTTCCTGGGCTGGGTGTAGCCAGAGGCCTGGGTTTGGAGGTGCCTGTGCTGTCAGGGGCAGCAAAGTTGCAGTGAGAGCACCAGGCAGACTCTCTGCAGGTTCCTCTCGGCAGCCACGTTGTCCCCTTCTGTGTGTGGCCTGTGTGTTTTCCCTTCCTGCTCACTGTAATGTGCACCTTGTGTCACAGAAGCTGCAGTGGACGCCTGCAGCTCTTTGGAGGAGAAGGTCCTAGAGGAGATGAGATCGGATGTTATCACCTTACCAGCCCAGCATCACCCTGTGCCCCCAGTGATGCCCGCATCAGGGGAGCTCCCCCCAGCACCCACCATGTAGACATAGTTTTCCAGTGGAACATGCTGGCAGCACCATGAAATTCTATTCTGTGCTGAAGGCAGAGTGTCTCATTGAGAAGAGCAAAAGAAAAACTGTGTTCGTGGGCAAACCTGGCTGCCGGTTTCTGGAAGTGTTGGTGCGGCACCACCATGCTCTCGCAGGCTTCCTGCAAAGGCTGCACCTGCTATTAAAGGCAGCTGCAGGAGCCCAGGATGACTGACGGCTTGGGCCTGGGCTCAGCACCACTTTACGGGCCAGAGGCGCTGTTGGAAACGTAGGTTTATTAGCCCTGGTCTGTGGTGAGCACCCCCAGCTTCCATTTTAATTCGAGGCCTGGAATGAGAGGGAAGCACGGAGTAGGGGGCGGCTGCGCCTGCCCGAGTAAATTGCCCATTGCCCGCTCATTGTAAATTTCAGCGTCCTCCACTCTCCTTCAGTAAACTCTGATTTATGAGGGCCAGGATGCAGACAGACAGTTTGTGATTGGATGCACTGCTCTCTTCTAGAGAATTTACTTTAGATCAACAGAAAATTATTTCTGAAGCTCCTCTGGCCATTAGTCTCAGTTAGGCAGCCATTGGGAGCAGGTAGGATGCCAAGCGGGAGGTACCCCCGCTCCTGGCTCCGGGCGCCTCTCTCCTCTCTCCTCTGGGAGCTGGAAGCAGAGGATGCATCCCCTGGCCAGCACTGCCTGAGCCCTCCACGCACCTCCCCCAAAAGCTGTTGTTCATAAATTAGGGGACGTCTTTCCCACCTCACGCCCACCACTCTGTCTGTGCTCACAGGCATCACACGTCTTGGGCCTGCACCATTTCTGCTGGCGTTTCTCTGCAGATCAGCCTCTCTAGCTATCCGTTTGGTTTTTGTTTGTATCCACAACCATTTGAGCACACTATATTATCAATGTTGATCCTAATAAATTCTATCAACACTGCTCTTCCTGAAGATGCTGGAATTGCCGTGTTTCAGCTCTAGGTCGACATGACAAACATGACGCTGTGTTTCAGTAAATTCTGATGAAAAACAGCTTTTAAACAAATAAAATTTTCTGGCAGACAAGTTGTAATATTAAACAAAGTCTGCTCTTCCCATAGGTTCAGAGTAGACCCCGAGGATCAAATTATTTAGCGATTGACCAGGTGTGACCCACCAAGGTCAGGGATGTCTCAGTTCCCTTGCACACATCAGGAGGAGGTGCTGGAGGAGGAGGCGCTTTGAGAGCAGGGTCTCGTGCACCATGAGAAACAAACTCACCCGTCCAAACCCAAAGAATGGACTCAGAGACCCGGAGAACAGCGAAAGTGAGACTTTTAATGCCGGTCTTGCAAGATCGAGTGTGTGGTGGGCAGGCACACTCAGCACGGCCACAACAAGCGATTTATCCCCTAGTGCTCAGGCCCCTCTCCCAGTTCCTCATAGGCTGAGCACTATGGGGTGGGGCGGGGGAGGTCACAGTCTTCCCGGACATCGCCTATTGGTTGTTGGGCAGGGGGCCGTAGGTGTTTTTTTAGGGTTGTCCTGTTGCATTTTGTTGCAGCCCACAATGCACTGCAATCCTAGTCAGCTCAGGGGGTCTTCAGGTATTTGACTTACGACCTAAGTAGCTGGGCAGGCTGATAAGAACAGACGAAACGAGCTATTCTGCAGGATAGTAAACTTTCATCTTAGACTAAACTTCTTTGGTTGGGGTGGGGACAACTGAGGGATTGGGGGAGGCTGAGAAGCAGGCATTTGCGATTGAAGCAGGGGCTTAGTGTATCCTGTTTCTTCTGTAGTTTGCTGACCTAAGCTGATTCAAGGTACTTTGTCTTGGAAACGGACCATGTATCCATTATTTCCTTCATCCACTGAGGGCTGTCTTGGGTTCCAGCAAGTCCACGAAGCTTTCTGTGGCTTGGTTTCTTCCTTTGTGAAATAGGATAACAATGGCTCCAATTTCAAAGGTGTGTTGTGAGGGTTACATGAATGAATGGGGCAGGCTAGATGTCTTAGACGTCAGGGTGGGCAGATGAGGGAAATGCTAAGATGTAAAGCGAGGGCAGGGCCCAGGCTGGGCGTGGTGGCTGACGGCTGTAATCCTAGCATTTTGGGAGGCCACGGTGGGAGGATCGCTTGATACCAGGAGTTTGAGACCAGCCTGGGCAACACAGTGAGACCCTCATCTCTACAAAAAATTTTAAAAACTTGCCAGGCATGGTGGCACATGCCTATAGTACCAGCTACTTGAGAGACTGAGGTGGGAGAATCGCTTGGGTTGAGTGGTTCAAGGTTGCAGTGAGCCGTGATCACCCCACTGCACTCCAGCCTGGGCAACAGAGCAAGACTTTCTCTCTCTCTCTCTCTCTCTCTCTCTCTGTATATATATATATATATATATATATATATATTTTTTTTTTTTTTTAATAAAGTTAGGAAGGAAATGGGAGAAGGCAAAAATGAGTGGTTGGCCTGGGTAGTCGGCCTTCTCCCCTCTCCCTGGGAGGAGGAAAAGGAGACCAGGACCTGAGAAGCAGCCAGGCGCCTTTGATGAAGACACCACAGAGGATGGTTTAGTGACCCTCCTGGGCCCAGGCAGAGACCCCAAAGGCAGGCAGGCAGCACCACTTGGTGACAACTCACAGGATGGCAGGTGCTCCAAGTGCTCTGGAGGCACCCAGCAGCCAGGCCTCCCCTCTGGTGGCCCTTGTTCCTTGGAGCTCCCCACTGCGTCCGCCCACACGGGAGTCCCCTCAGCCCGCACACAGAAGCTGCCAGGCTGTACGGGGCCTGTGGCACGGCCAGGGGGAGCAGTTTACGACATTAAATTTTTTTCAAAATATAAAGTCTCAAGATGCTGTCCTCTAAATTCTTGTTTACCTGCAAGTGCAACTCCTAGCTTTATTTATTGCTTTCATCAGAATGAGGAGGAAGTTTCAGGTGCGTCCTAGCGCTTCTATATCCCTGAGGTTATTGACTAGAAATAGGGAAGAGCAAGCGTTTTCAGCTGTTTTCTTTTGCCTGTGGACCTATGAGCTCTTTCCACCACTGTCTCCCTCTTTAAAAGACACTTTTAAGTGCTCTCTGATCACATTAACTCCCCTCCACGCGGGTTGATTGATTCAGGAGCTAGTTGGGTCTTATTTCTCCTTTTTTTTTTTTTTTTAAGACAAAGTCTTGCTCTGTCACCCAGGCTGGAGTGCAATGGCGCAATCTTGGCTCACTGCAACCTCCGCCTCCCAGGTTCGAGTGATTCTCGTGCCTCAGCCTTCCGAGTAGCTAGGATTACAGGCGCCCACCACCATGCATGGCTAATTTTTATATTTTAGTAGAGACGGGGTTTCACATGTTGGCCAGGCTGGTCTCCAACTCCTGAGCTCAGGTGGTCCACCCGCCTTGGCCTCCCCAAGTGCTGGGATTACAGGTGTGAGCCACCGTGCCCCGCAGGTCTTTTTTCTCTAAGCCCCAAGTCACAGTGGAATCCCAGGTTGAATAAATTTTCGTCATGAGGCCCCACTGGCCTGAAGAGAGTATAGGGGGAAATCAAATTTATTAGAAAACAGGATATATGAAAAGGGGAGAGAGAGCTAGAAGCAAAACTCACACACTCAGGTGAAAATAAACTTTTCCAGTGCATTGCAAAATGTAAGAGTAATCTGTCAGTCATTTCTTGAAGGAAAAAGTAGAAGTGTTTCCATGAATTAGTTGCAACCGAAGAGCAAGCCATTGATTTAAGGTACAAAAAATATCGGCTTCCAAAAATGAAATGATTGGCCGGGTACAGTGGCTGTAATCCCAACACTAAGGGAGGCCGAGGCGGGAGGATCTCTTGAGCCTAGGAATTCCAGACCAGCCTGGGCAACAGGGGGAAACCCCATCTCTCCAAAAAAATACAAAAAATTAGCCAGGCATGGTGGTTCACGCCTGTGGTCCCAGCTACTCAGGACGCTGAGGTGGGAGGATGGATTGAGCCCAGGAGGTTGAGGCTGCAGTGAGCTATGATTGCACCATTGCACTTCAGCCTGGGCAACAGACTCAAAAATAAATAGATAGATACATACATACATATATACATACATAACATTTTTTAGTGGAATTATTGGTGAAATGCATTCATAATTTGACAAGAGAAGGTCGAATTGAGCACAGCAGGCTGGCAGCTGTCGTCATGTTTCAGTTCACGCACCTGGTGCTGAGGTTACCAGAGCATCCCAGAGGCCCTGTCCTTATGAAGCTCGCCCTGGTAGGGAGGGATGGTCCCCTGTGGTGGGACCGTCACTCCCATAAGCAGGTTTACGAGATCGCATTGGGCACACAGAGGAAGGAGCCTTGACCTGTGTCTCATGTCAGTAGCACAGTGGCTCTAAGCTGCCTTCAGCACATCCAGCCAAGCTCTCCATAGCTCCAAGCCTGCAACGATGGTGCTGTGGAATTCAGGTGAGCCCTTGGCCTTCAGGAGACCAACACTGGTCTGGTCCTGTTGCTTTCTAGGCTATCAGATCTCTTGGGAAGTGTACGGCAGGAACGACTCTCGTCTCACGCACACCCTGAACAGCACGACGCACGAGTACAAGATCCAAGGCCTCTCATCTCTCACCACCTACACCATCGACGTGGCCGCTGTGACTGCCGTGGGCACTGGCCTGGTGACTTCATCCACCATTTCTTCTGGAGTGCCCCCAGGTCAGTAGAATCGTGTGCGGTCCTCCTGCTGTCACCTTTCTCTTGGAGATTCCCGAGGCTAGAAGTTGATTGGCACTTTGGTGTGGAAGCCACTGAGTGCCTTGAAAAGGAGTAGTGGCCTCCTGCCAAGATGCTGGAGGGTAAATGGGTGTTGACCCCACTTCAGCCCCATTCTCCAGAGCATTCCACCACGGCCTCACGTCCCTTCTGTCTTCCCCTCCTGCTTTGGCCTCAGCCAGTTCCCAGAACATGCGTTGAAAGTGTTTAAAGCCAGTTCCCAATGCATATCTAAAATGCCATGAATACTTTCAAAACAGTAGCGATGATTGTATTAGTCCATTTTCATGCTGCTGATAAAGACATACCCGAGACTGGGCCATTTACAAAAGAAACAGGTTTAATGGACTTACAGTTCCGTATGGTTGGGGAGGCCTCACAATCATGGCGGAAGGCAAGGAGGAGCAAGTCATGTATTACATGGATGGCAGCAGGCAAAGAGAGAGCCCGTGCAAGGAAACTCCCGTTTTTAAAACCCATAGATCTTGTGAGACTTATTCACTATCATGAGAACAGCACAGGAAAGACCTGCCCCCATGATTCAGTTACCTCCCACCAGGTTCCTCTCATGACACATGGGAAATGTGGGAGTTACAATTCAAGATGAGATTTGAGTGGGGACACAGCCAAACCATATCAATGATGATGGTGTGTGGTTTAATTGGGTAAAAATTGGTATATATAGCGACCAAGGTTAACACTAGAAGCACATCTGGGTGCAAGTTACCAGAGTTTTCCTGAGATGTCTTGGACATTGTTTATCCAGGGCAGGGAAATGGGTTAGCTGACCTCCGGAAGGCTGTGCTTCCAGAAACACTCTGACGCACACTACGTCTGGAGCCACAGAGTGGAGTGTTAGAGGGGAAACTGAGGCCTGGCTGCTTTGGCCAAACCCCTGATAACCAAGGTGCAGGGAGGCACTGGAGTTGCTGTTCCGTCATTGCCAAGGCTGAACGCTTGTAGCTGGAGAGGGGTCTTAAAGCCTTACCCACTCATCCTGGGTAGTGGCTGGAGGCAAATCAAATGGCGAGGACTGCTTTGGGGACACCATGTTCTGTTTACCGTGCTTGAAGTTTATCGCCATTAATGATTGAAGAACCATTTAAAAATCCAGAGAGCTGAGAAATAGGAAAGAGTCCACTTGTCCTTCAATTTAAACATTTTCTATTTCAAATTCATTAAAAACTAGATGTGGAAAGGACCCTTGAGATCCTACAGACCCTGCCCATGCCGATACTGAATTGATCACCAAAATAGTTTCATTGTCCCTGTGCAAGACCTGGTTTCAAACACCCCAAGCAACAGCAAATGAGGAAAGCATTCCTCAGAGATAGTGAGGTCTGAAAGCTGCCCTAGCCTTGCATTTTTCTTTTCTTTTTCTTCCCCATTTTATCCCCTTATCTTTCTCTAGAGTATTTTGCATGGCACAGTAACACGAAAGCTCTCGTTTTGAACTCATAATGCTACAATTCCGGGTGGGAGATGCTCTTTGGGGAGCGGCATCTGAAGGGTCTCTCATCTAGGAGTAGGCTTGAGCCACGGGCACCCTCAACGGGAGGCTCATTCAGAACCCACCTTCCACCTTATCCAGTTGCCTGAGCAACTGAATAGAAGCAGAGAAAGGAGAGTTCTGCACTTGCACGAGAATTTGTTCGTCTTGGAAACGAAATCCAAGAAGCCTAAGGCTCAAGACCTGATCCTGACCGGGTGTCACGTCGCCTGGGAGCAGGCGATCCTGACCGGGTGTCACGCCGCCTGGGAGCAACCCTGGGCCTATGCACTCTTCCCTCCATCCCTCCGAGGCCGCGGTAATTATGAAAGGAAGTACGGCCCGCTCGTTCTCTGTGTGGTTTGAGGAGCCAGGAAGAATTACATTCATTCATCCTTTCCTCATTCAGCCAGCATCTGTTAATTACCTACGAAGTACAGAGATGCGTAAGACATGACGTGTGCCTGCAGAGTTTCTCATCAGGGAGGCCATGTTAGCGACGTGTCTCCCAAAGCCCACTGGGTCACCCCATTAAAGCAAAAACCATGCACTGATCATGCCCCTGGGGAAGCTGTGCTGCTTCTCACCTTCATGGTTTTGAGAGCAAATCCTTTTTTGGTATAGAATCGTTTTGAAACTGTTTACTTTTGAAGCTGACACGTTTGATACCTTTCCTAAGCTGTGACGGACTGTAAATCTCTCCCTTTCCTCCCTGGTTCCTCTCTAGACCTTCCTGGTGCCCCATCCAACCTGGTCATTTCCAACATCAGCCCTCGCTCCGCCACCCTTCAGTTCCGGCCAGGCTATGACGGGAAAACGTCCATCTCCAGGTGGATTGTTGAGGGGCAGGTACGTGTGTCGTTAGACTGGGAGCTGGCATTTGCGAAGAGCAGTGTTGGGGCCTGTGAATGAGTGGTACCCCTGCAGATGATGGCTTGGGGTGTCGGGGAGATGGGTGTGCTTGGAGAGGGAGAACCAGGGGCTGGAGATAGCCCAGATACCAGGGCAGAATGTAGGAAGACAAAGAACAAGATGTCAGGCCGGGGTCCTACCAGGTGATAAGACAAGGATAAGAAGGGTTAAAATGAAAGTTGTGATTCAAAATAGGTACCCAAAATTGGATAGTGTCGTTGATTGAGTTTTTAAAAATTCTATATCACAATTAGCTACTAAATATACTAATAGGATTAATTGCTTGGTACAGCTTGTGTGTCATTAGCTATGCATTCATTCAACAATATTTTTAGAGACGATTGTTCTATCAGCAGGCACTATTCTGAGCACGGGGGCTATTGCAGTAGACAAAGCTGGCTGAGTTTCTGCTGTCGAGGAGAAAAGTGCTGTCTGGGAAAGAAAGACCTCCAGCTGTGGGAAAGCTGTTATATTTGAGGGACAGCGAGGAGGGTGGGTGCTGGAGGGAGGGGAGCAAGCCCTGCGGTGGCAGGGAGTGAGTCTGGGGAGAGCTGGGGGCGGGTTCCACAGGACTTGAGAGAGTGGACTCCGCCGAGAGACTTCCGGTCCGACTCCAGCTGTGCAAGTGCTGGAGCACGCAGGGGTCCGGGACAGTGCCAGGCTTGAATAGGATCATGCTGGCATTGGTGAAGCCGTGCAATCTGCCACTTCCATGTTCCAATAAAAGCAGGAGGAAAAAGATAAAGGGCCAAATTATGAGGAGTAGTAAAGTTTCAAAATAGTTATTATCTGTAGTAAAATCCTTGTGGTTTTCATGACTGTACTTATGCTATACTGCAAGACGATCCACTCCTGGAAATTGGCCGTAAATTAGGGAACAAATCCTATCTACCTCTTCAAAAGTTTCATTAAGCAAACATTTCTGAAAGTCTAAGGAGGATCCTGAAGGCGCAAACCATCTGGATGGGACTGACCCACAAATGGGGCTGGAACAATTATTTACTTAGGAAAAATAGCAGTAGAGCCCTACCTCACATCATCACACACCAGGGACTGTTGTGGCGTTGAGGGGGTGGGGAGGGATAGCATTGGGAGATACACCTAATGCTAAAAGACGAGTTAATGGGTGCAGCACACCAACATGGCACATGTATACATATGTAACAAACCTGCACATTGTGCACACGTACCCTAAAACTTAAAGTATAATAATAATAAAATTACAATAAAAAAAGAAAAAAGAAAATCAGTCTTCAGCAAATGAAGACTAAATTGATGAAAGCAAACTTTAAAACGCTTAGGATTAAATATAGGACAAGAATCACAATGTCTCATGAAAACCAATTCTACTATTAAAATCCATCTGCAGAAGTAGCCAGGCAATACTTTTAGGCCCGCAGAAGCACGCGCTGTGGTCTTTGGTGTCTGACGATGCCGCATAGCTGAGGCCAGGAGGCAGCGCTCTCTGCAGGCTTTAGAATGTGGTGTTACGCTAGGGCTAGGCAGGCCACAGCGACAGAAACGCCAGCGTCTTCAGGGCTCAACATACAAAAGCTCATCTGTGCATCCAGGCAGGCCTAGGAGTGGATGACGCTCCTTTGGCCCATGTTCCGTTGCCCAGAACTTGGGCAACGTGGCCCTGTGTCACTGCAGGAGAGTCTGAGAGTGTTGCATTTCAGCTCATCTGGGAGGGAAAGACAAGGAGTGATGTGGGGACCCTCACCACAGTTTCTTGGCCATAGTATCCTAGCTTTATGTCATACAACCTGTTTCTTTAATTTTTTTTTTTTTGAGACAGAATCTTGCTCTGTCGCCAAGCTGGAGTGCAGTGGCGCCTTCTCAGCTCACTGCAAGCTCTTCCTCCCAGGTTCAAGTGATTCCCCCTGCCTCAGCCTCCCGAGTAGCTGGGGCTACAGGCACCCGCCACCCACCCAGCCAATTTTTTGTATTTTAGTAGAGACGGGGTTTCACCATGTTAGCCAGGATGGTCTGGATCTCCTGACCTCGTGATCCGCCTGCCTCGGCCTCCCAAATCGCTGGGATTACAGGCATGAGCCACCGCACCTGACCTGTAAAGAGGTTTTACATTTTTAATGTAAAACATCTTAAATATATGCAAAAGGAAGAATAGAGTAAGCCCTCTTATACCCATCAGCAAAAGTCAATGATCCTCAAGATTTTGCTGCATCCATCCATCCCTGGTTTTTTATTGGCGTATTTTGAAGCATATTTCAGACCACATGTCACTTTTCCCCCATACACATCACACATGTGTCTAAAATGCCTGTTCACATGCCAATATGGATGAATTTCACAGGCATAATGTTTAACAAAAGGAAAACCAGACCCCTGCTTGGAGCATATACTGTGTGATTCCATTTATAGAATGTTCCAAAACAGGAAGAAGTAATCTTTGGTGTTGGAATAACAGGTTTTCCTGGGACCCTTGTGGTTACTTACCGTGGGGGTGACAGTGACTGGGAGGGGGCCACCTGAGGAGGGGGCGTCTGGAATGGCAGGAGTGCTGTCTTTTGATCTGGGTGCTTATTTTGTGTATACACCAGTCGTCTGTGAGCTTGCCTGTATGTCTTACTTCAGTGAAAACTTTGGCCAGGCGTGATGGCTCACACCTGTAATCCACACTTTAGGAGACCAAGGCAGGCGGATCACTTGAGGTTGGGAGTTCGAGGCCAGCCTGGCCAACATGTGAAACCCCATCTCTACTAAAAATACAAAAATTAGCCAGGCATGGTGGCGCACGTCTGTAATCCCAGCTATTCAGGAAGCTGAAGCAGGAGAATCGCTTGAACCTGGGAGGCGGAGTTTGCAGTGAGCTGAGATCATGCCACTGTACTTCAGCCTGGGCAACAGAGTGAGATTCTGTCTCAAAAAAAAAAAAAAAAGAAAAGAAAAGAAATTTTTACATGAAAATATGGATGTCTTTTCTCATGATACCATTGTCACACCTGATAAAATTATTATTATTTTTTTGAGATAGAATCTCACTCTGTCACCCAGACAGGAGTGAAGTGGTATGATCTCGGCTCACTACAACCTCTGCCTCCTGGGCTCAAGCAATCCTCTCATCTCAGCCTCCTGAGTAGCTAGGACCACAGGCGTGTGCCACCACACCAGCTAACTTTTTATATTTTTGGTAGAGACAGGGTTTTGCTGTGTTGCCCAGGCTGGTCTCGAACTCCTGAGTTCAAGCGATCTGTCAGCCTCGGCCTCCCAAAGTGCTGTGATTATAGGCATGAGCCACCGCACCTGGCAATTTGAACATTTTAATATCATCTAATAGTCAGTTCACACTCAGATTCCCCCAAATTTTCCAAAACATCTCTTTACGGTGGTTTTGATAAAAGTAGGATTCACGCAGGGTTCACACTATTCATTTTGTTGTCATGTCTCTCAAATTGTTAAAAAAAAATGTTAACAGCTTTATTGAGTTGCAATTGACATACAGGTTTAAACTGCATATATTTAAGATGGACAGTTTGACAGCTTTTGACTTAGCTACACATATACACACACCTGGGAAGCTGTGACCACAGATGAGATAATGAACAGGTTCCTCACCCTCAAAGGTGTCCTTGCAGCCCCCACTATCCCTCCCTACCAACCCTCCCCGTCCCCACAACCACTCATCTGCTTCCTGTCACTATAGGTTACAGCTCTGTTAATCTAGTGGAATCCCCCACTCTTTTCCCCCATGCAGTTGCCTCGTTGAGAAAACCCAGCCAGTCATCCCATGGGACATCTGCATTGGAGATGCACCTGGTTACATCCTTGTGGGGTCACTTGACCTGTTCCTCTACCCCGTTTGCCCTGTAAACTGGAAGTTCATTGCAAAGAACTGGTAGATTCCATTTCCACTCCTCCCTCCCTCCCTCCCTCCCTCCCTCCCTCCCTTCCTTCCTTTTTGCCTCCCTCCTCCCTTCTTTCCTTCTTCTCTCCCTCCCTTCTCTTGTCCCTCCCTCCCTCCTTTCCTTCCTTCCTTCCTCCACCCCTCCCTTCTTTCCTCCCTCTCTCCCTTCACTTCTTCCCTCCCTCCTTTACTTCCTCCCTCCCTTCTTTACTTCCTCCATCCCTCCCTTCCTTTACTTCCTGTCTCCCTCCCTCCCTTCTTTCCTCCCTCCTTTCCTCTCTCCCTCCCTTCCTTCCTTTCTTCCTCTCTCCCTTCCTCTCTCTCTCTGTCTGTCTCCCTCCCTCCCTAAGACTGCTTCCCTGTTACTACAGCAGGGTGGGGGCACGTAGGTCTAGTCGCCCCACTCAGGGATGCTAAGTTGGGTGGCAGAGCGTAGCAGCCTGATGCCTACCTTGTGAATTTCTCCATCAGCTTTTTATCTAATGGTCTCATCCATCCATGATCTTTGCCTGAATTAATTATGTTCTTAGGATATTCAAGATGATAATTTTATATTTCTATCAGTCTTTCCTCATTTAGCTGTTGGAACTCTAAAAAGAAGCATCTCTGCTCATCCCTCAGACTATTTAGTTACTCTCAAATGCAGGAAGGCAGAATAAATGCTTAATTCTTTTCCCTTAATTACCAGTTTCCAGGGTGAGGAATTGGTCCCCTGGTTACTTCCAATGTTAAATAGATTTTTCTTTCTTTTTCTGTCTTGTGATCTCTTTTGCTGAGTATCATCATGAAAGCATA
Source organism: Homo sapiens (assembly GCF_000001405.40). NCBI lineage: Eukaryota > Metazoa > Chordata > Mammalia > Primates > Hominidae > Homo > Homo sapiens. Next base: position 4,084,311 of record NC_000007.14, read on the forward strand.
GGTTCTTACCTGTTCAGTGGGTTTCAGTCACCTGCAGTCATTATTCTTTTTGAACCTAGAATTGGCCTGTCTTTGGCCTAGGGAGGCTTTCGTATCCTGGGGCTCCGGCATGAGGCTCCACTCTTTGATGACTTCCTGCCTCAAGCTGAGATGGAGCCATGCCTGCAGGGCCTTGGTTTCATGAGTGTCAAATGCTGTTTAAAGACGATAACCTGAGCACCAAGGTGGATCTCCTCGCTCCCAGCTGGTCCCTGCTTCGACACCTTCCCAGTAGACAGAACATATTTTCTGAAGCATCATGAGTTCATACTGACGTTTCCAATGAAATTTCAGGTTACTGACCTTAAATGTATATGTTATGTTACGTTATGTTATGTTATGTTATGTTATGTTATGTTATGTTATGTTATGTTATGTTATGTTGTTACTTAAATGTATATTTTATTTTATTTTATTTTATTTATTTATTTATTTGAGATGGAGTTTCGCTCTTGTCACCCAGGCTGGAGTGCAATGGCACGATCTCACTGCAACCTCCGCCTCCTGGGTTCAAGTGATTCTCCTGCCTCAGCCTCCTGAGTAGCTGGGATTACAGGCGCCCGCCACCACGCCCAGCTAATTTTTATATTTTTAGTAGAGATGGGGTTTCACCATGTTGGACCAGGCTGGTGTCGAACACCTTACCTCAAGTGATCCACCTGCCTTGGCCTCCCAAAGTGCTGGGATTACAGGTGTGAGCCCACTGCGCCCAGCCTAAATGTATATTTTAAATATATTTTCCCTTACTCTAAGACTGTGCTTTTTAGGACTCCTAACTCGATTATCTTCTTTATCCTCCTATTGTATTAAGAGGTTCAACCTGTGGTCTGTGAATTTGCCTGTGTATCTTACTTATATGAAAACTTTATGTTAAAACACAAATACTATTAGGAGTTTCAAAATTATAATCTCAGTGGTATGACTAACAGAGACTACTGAATGAAATTTAAGTATTTGTCCTTAAAATGTGTTATACCATGGAAGTGTAATATATTCAGTTTATACCTACAGTTTATATTCAGTTTATAATATATTTAGTTTATACTTACAGTATACAAGTACAGTTGCAGTACTGTTCTAAAGCCACTGTTCTTTTCTCATTGTGGTTATCTCGATACAGATTTAAGTGCGTTCATTTCAGGACTTGTTTTGTTTTTTTGCTTCAATTTTTAGCACTGACTTTCTTTAAAAATCATTTTACATTTTTTTTATTTATTTATTTTGAGATGGAGTCTCACTCTGTCACCGAGGCTGGAGTGCAGTGGCGTGATCTCAGATCACTGCAACCTCCACCTCCCGGGTTCAAGCTATTCTCCTGCCTCAGCCTCCTGAGTAGCTGGGATTACAGGTGCTCGCCACCACGCCTGGCTAATTTTTGTATTTTTAGTAGAGATGGGGTTTCACCATGTTGGCCAGGCTGGTCTTGAACTCCTAACCTCAAGTGATCCGCCCGCCTCAGCCTCCCAGAGTGCTGGGATTACAGGTGTGAGCCACTGCACCTAGCTCATTTTACATTTTAAAAAATTGGTGGAGGATTTTAAACTAATTCTTGAGGATATAACTCATTTACACGATCTCAAAGTCAAAACTATTTAAAAAGTGACATTCACAGAAGTTTCTGTTCATTTGTCTCCTTACCCTGTTGCCTGTCTGCCACATAGATAACCATATTTATTAGACTTTTGGTTTTTCCTTTTTCTTTTTCTTTCTGGCAACATAAACAGCTCTGCGTATATGTGTACTTCCTCTTTCTTCCACGGAAGGTGGCATATTGCGCCTTGCTGTCTTCCGGTGACAGCACATCCTGAATACCCCTGGGCATCATGTGTGCACTTGTCCTTTCTTCTCACACCTGCACAGGTCTGCCCGGTGTGCATGAGCTGGGGTTTGTTTATGTAGCTAGTCCTCTGCTGACACGCATTGGGATGTGTATTAGTATTATATCACTGCCATAACAAATCACCAAAAACTGAGTGGCTGATACAACATACATGTGTCATCTTCTAGTTCTGCAGGTCAGAAGTCCAGCATGGGTCTCACCAGAGCCATGTTTCTTCCGGAAGCTCTGGGGATGAGTCAGCTTCCAGGGTCATTCGGGTTGCGGCAGAATTCAGTCCTTGCAGTTGTAGGACTGAGGTCCCCATACTGTGCTGTCAGCCATGGTCATTCCCAGCTCCTGGAGGTCACCACGGTCTGTGGCTCGGGATCCCCTTCCTTCATCTTCAGAGCAGCCGGGGCAGGTCAAGTCCTCTCAGACTCTGGCTCTTTCCTCCTCCTTCCTTCTCATCTCTCTGGCCCACTCTTCAGCCTCCCACTTCCACTTTTAAGGACTCCTGATTACCTTGTATTCACCTGGATAACCTCCCTGATGTAAGGTTCTTACCCTTAATCACATCTGCAGAGCCTCTCCTGCCACATAAGGCAGCGTACTCATGGGTTCCAGGAATTAGGGTATGGGCATCTCCAGGGGGCCTCATTCAGCCTCAAGCTAGTTTTCAGCCTTTTGCATAGTCATTTTGTATTTTTGCCACTGTATCTTTGGGGGAGATTCCCAGGCATGGGTTGGCTGGATCACAAGGCAAATGCACATGTAAACTTCCCAGACATTGCCAAATCCCTCTTCTGCAGATGGTAACATGTTGCATTCCCAGCAGCAACATGTATATATTTTTTGCCATGCAAAAAAAAAAAAAAAATTGAAGTCTAATTTATGACTCCTTTCTTGCATGCCTCTGGTTTTTGAATCATAGGCAGAAAGGTTTTCCCCACTTTCAGGTTCTAAAGGAACCCAACCAATTTTCTGGTTTCATTTTTACATTTAGAACTCCATCCATTTGGAACTGGTTCTTGTATATGGAGTGAGGTATGAATCCATTTTCATCATTTTGCAAATAGCTACGTAATTGCCTCAGTGCCATTTATTAAAATGACCATTTTTTTTCCTGATTTGTAACATTAAATTCTCATACGCACTTTGGTCTATTTCTGAACTTTTCATTCTGTTCTATTAGCCTGGTTATTCATGCACTAATTCCACATTGTTTACTTAGAGAGGCTTTAAACTATGCTTTAATATCTGGTGAGGCCTGCTTCCCCATAACCAATGTGTGTGCACAGACACACACGCGCGCACACACACACACACACACGCATTGCTTGACTTTCTTAGGATTTTCCCGGCCACTCTTGTGGACATCTGATGGTGTTGAATCTTTCTGTTCAGGATCATGCTACCTCTTTTCACTTGTTTAAATCTACTTTTCTCAGCTGTTTTCTCTTGGAGAAGCACTGGGCTCTCTAATCCTGCCTTCACCTGCTCTCAAAAAGGCAGGAAAATGAGGGGCGATCAATATACCTCAAAAGCTGTAATGTGAAGAATACGGGCTTTGAGTCAGACAGACCTGGTTCCCCCCTTTTTTAGCACCCCTGTTTCCCAGCTCTGTAGACGTGCTTCTTAACTTCTTTGTGAGCCTGAATTTCCATCTGGAGAATGGGGTCAGTAGTACCATCTGCAAGGTTGTCATGAGGATTAACTCACGTATGGCTATTTTAAATGATATTTTCTGCCTGTGTTGTTTGCATAGGGGAACACAATTGATTTTTAAATATTTTTGTTTCTTTAATAAATTCTTCTGTGTTCTAAGTGCTTTCACAACTATGAACACGTTTAATTCTCATAATGGCTCTCTGGTGGCTGTTATAACCCCGTGTCACAGATGAGACATCAAGGTGTTGGATTACCTGCCGAGGTCACACAGCCAAGCCATGAAGCCGGATTGGAGCCTGCAAACCTCGGAAGTCTGTGGCTGCTCAGCCTGGTGTATTGGTGTTACAGCCAGAAACTTTGGGAATTCTCTTGTTAGTTGGTTAGTTTTACTGTAATTTTCTATAAAGAATTCATATCATCTGTTAATGGCGACAGTTTTTGTTTCTTCCTTTGAATTTTTTATATTCTTTCTTTCTCTTTTTTGTTTCTTCTTCTTTGAGTATTTTGTAATCTTACTGGGAGGGCTAAAGCGTCTTCTATCATATCGAATTGGGACAATGATAGAAGACAATCTTTGTTTTGTCACTCTAAAGAAATTATTGTAAGATTTTATCATCAGGTATGACATTTACACCATTGATGTAGGCTTTTTAAAAAATATATCCAGCCTGTATTGGGTTAAGATGATTCTTTTCTGATCCTGATTTCCTAGGAGTTGGTTTTTTTTTTTTAAAGCATAAATAAATTTAATTGCATCAGACTATTTTCTCATCTATTGAGCTGCTCATTTGGTTTTTCTGATTTCATCTGTTGGTAAGGTGGTTCACACTGCCCTTCTGTTTCACTATTCCGGAGCTCCTGAGACAGAAGCAATTTGGTCTTGATGTTTGTTTTGTTTGGGGTTGAGATTGTTGTATCCATGTTCATAAGTGAACTTGGCCTTTTCTGGTTGTAGATTTGGCCTGGGTTTTAAGATCGATAGTGTATTTTCTCACCAGTTTTCATAAACACAGTTTGGATTGAGCTTGTGTTCCTTAGCCCTCAGGCAGAGGACTCTCGTGGGCATCTGCACAATGAGGTCACTCAGGCGGAGGTGAGACCCTTGTGGGCATCTGCACAATGAGGCCCCTCAGAGGGAGGTGAGACCCTCCCTCAGGTGGAGGTGAGACCCTTGTGGGCATCTGCACAATGAGGCCCCTCAGATGGAGGTGAGACTCTCCCTCAGGTGGAGGTGAGACCCTCCCTCAGGCGGAGGTAAGACCCTCTCTCAGGCGGAGGTGAGACCCTCCCTCAGGCGGAGGTGAGACCCTCCTTCAGGTGGAGGTGCGACCCTCGTGGGCATCTGCAGGATGAGGTCTCTCAGGTGGAGGTGAGACCCTCCCTCAAGTGGAGGTGAGACCCTCATGGGCATCTGCACAGGGTGCTCAGTGCCTCCCAATCCTGCCACACGTTGTGGGTGTGGAGGCGCCCAGACCCCGACTCAGTTCATCAGAACCCCTGGGGCAGAGGCTGCAGCACTCTTCCATTTGTGAGGCTTGGAAATGACAGATCTGCATCTCCGCTGAGGGTCCCGCCTCAGGGGGCCTCTGTGCTGGGCCTTGGAGGCAAGATGTGCTCAGGCAGCCTGTCCCGGGCTGCTATTCTCCAGCAGTTCAGAGGTTTTAGTGCTCCAGGGAAGAATGAACGGGGCAAGCTTCCTGCCTTCCCCATCGTGGGCTTGCCCCTTCCCCAGGCCTGTGTTGGTTGCACACCTCCCTGGGCTGTCTCTGAGTGTCCAGGGCAGGGAAGCTCCGTCACGTGGAGCCCACGTGTGGGTGACTCCCTGGGGCTGCCTGACTCCTGGGCCAGCTCACAGCCTGCAGCCAGTGGTTAAACATTTCATGTGGAATTTCCAATTCCCTTGAAGGGTAATCTTTCCCTTTGATTTCAAAAGTGTTTTAGAAACTATAGACAAGCCTTAAGAATCCTACAGAGAATTCCCCTCCACCCAAAGGCCTCATCCATGATTTGCCCAGTTTTCCCCAAAAGCCCTCGGTAACAAAAGGCTCCACTCCAGGACATGGGCTGCACCCAGTGGTCTCCTGTGATCTCAGTTATTTCTTGACTTCTGTGACCTTGACAATTTTGAAGACTACAGGCCGGTTATTTCCCTGATTCCCCTCAATTTGGATTTATCCCAGTGTCTTTAGGAGTCGTCCTAGGTGACGCATTTTTGGCCAGAATGTGGGGGAAGTGATGCTGGGCACCTCCTGCTACACCTTGTTGGGTTTGACTTGGCCTTGGCATGTCCCGTTGTTAGTCCAGTTATTTTGCTAACTTGACTGAGATTTCTCCCCTCTAAAATGACCGCCACTTCTGCACCACCCACTTTACAATTAATCAGTATTTTGTGAGAAGATACTTTGAGATTCTTTAAAAACCTCATTTCTCTTTCCAGTCTCATCCACCAGTTTGTCATCCATTAATATTTCTTGCTGGAATTAATTAGGGCAATGAGGGCACCAGTGATTTTTTAAAAATTCAATCATTTCTTCTACATTTATCCATTGGCCTATTCCTGAAAGCAAAAGCTTTCTCCTCATTTATTTTTCCATTAATTATCATCAGTGTGGACTCATGACTTTTTATTTTGGGTAACAGATTTTAACCCATTGCTATCATTGCTAATTTTGATGCTCAAACTTCCCTCCATTTGGCGATTTGGGGGTGGCGGGGAGCCCATCCAGCTGGCTTCTGTATTCTTTTGATGTCTCCATCATTCTTTGAGCACTTCCTTATCTTCTGGCACAAGATGTTCCCAACTCATCTTGTTCTTTCTCTCTTCTTTCCCAGCCATTTCTCCAGGGAACCTTGGGTTAGTGCAGTGGAGAGTGGGATTTAGAAACCAAGATCCAGGCAGTAGTGTGCTCATTGCTACTGGGGCATCACTGCTCCCAGCTAGGAAATGTACATATATCTATAGCTAGGTCAGTTTCTATATCTAGCCACACATACTGAAAAGCATTATTTCACACTATCACCTCCAAATACAATGCAAAACCCTCAGTTTATGTGAGCTTCCCTTTTCTACATCTATCCGAGCCCTTCTCTGGCTCCCAGTATGCTCAGTATATTTATTTTTTTGCTGAATTCCACTCTATGTGGCCAGTCTTATGATCAAAGTGGGCTGCTGCCCTGCTTGGACACCATTCTGCTTGGATGCCTTCTTTGCCCAGATCCTGACCCCTGACTGGACTCTTTCACTGCTGCCCTTAAAATTTTTGCATATAAACTGAAGTTATCAAAGTCTAACATGACTGCACTATCTTCTTTCCAGGACTTAAGTACAGGACTTAAAAATTCCTGAAGTCCAGTCAAGTCATACTTGTTATATGTCCAGCACATCAACTCTGCCTCACTTTTCTATATCTACAAAGGCAATGATCCTTACTGGGGCATTCTGTCTCACAGTGAGTGCTGGCTTAGATTTCTCCACATTTGCCATTTTCTTTTCTTTTCTTTTTTTTTTTTTTTTTTTTTTGTTTGAGACAGAGTCTCACTCTGTCACCCAGGCTGGAGTGCAGCATCAGGATCTGGGCTCACTGCAACCTCCACCTCCCAGGTTCAAATGATTCTCATGCCTCAGCTTCCTGAGTAACTGGGATGATAGGCACGTACCACCACACCTGGCTAATTTTTGTATTTTTGGTAGAGATGGGGTTTTACCATGTTGGCCAGGCTGGTCTCAAACTCCTGACCTCAGGTGATCCACCCACCTCAGCCTCCAAAGTGCTAGGATTACAGGCGTGAGCCACTGCACCCTGCCAACAGCAAGGTATGCTTTTAACAATGATGAATGAGCAGGCATCTCTTTAAACACCTTCTGAGGGTGTTTCACTGGCAGGCCAGTGTAGATAAGAGCTGCTGTTCAGCCTTCTACAGACTCAAGCAGAATATACTCCAACCCTCTACATCACCAGCCAACACCTTTACAGCTCCGTCCAGGGAAAGAACAGTTCTGCAGCCCCCTCTTCTCATTCTTAATGCCGGAATTCTGGCCACACGTTCTTCTGGGGAACTCCACACTGCTTCTCTCCACGTGCCACCTTCCTGGCCTTCATCACATTCCATGGATCATCTCTGACTCATCCCCCAGGAAAGACATCGTGACAAGCAGCGAGCAGAACAAAACCGTCGGGCGTGTAGACACAAGCAGCACAGGCTTTGGGATCACAGCGACAGGGCCCGGAATCCCAGCTCCATCACTTTCTAGCTGTGAGGCTTTAGGGAAGTCTTTTAGGTCATGTTCTTTAGCCATAAAGCCCTAATAACAGTGCCTGTCTCACGGGTGATTGAGAGAACTAGAACATGGTGTTACATTGACTTCTGCTTTCTGTCAAGCTTGAGCAACTTTACGAATGCATCTCCTCTGAGAAACCTGCCAGCCCCTGAGGCTGTCTGTGGCTCTGTCCCAGCCTCCCTCTGTGCTCGCCTACCCCCTGTCCCGTGGTCCTCCCAGGACGCCTGGTTCTCATTCCCCAGCCACTTCTCTGAGAATGTCCCATGGGCTCCCTGGTCCAGGCAGGCTCCAGAGGCACCCATGAAGCCCAGCTGTCCTAAACTCCAGGCAGCGGGGCCCTTGAGGCTGTGACTAGTATAGATGAGGCCTCTGGGGCCTCCTATACCTCACCCCCTTTGAATGGGATGCAAGACAAACCCAGGCCTTCTCTGCTGTAGGGAGACTCCAGGGCTGCCTCTCACAGCCTCTCACCCGGGAAGCGGTTGTTGACTCCTAGTCTGTGCCTGGCCCTGGGCTAGAATTTGGGGAGGAGAAAGACTCCGGAGCACATGGTCTAGATACAAAGTCATTAATCACATAGAAGCCAGGGAGGTGATGTCAGAGAGGTCTGCTGGGGCGCCGGGAGGACACTGAGGAAGGAACAATAGAACCCATCAGTTGGGTGTGGAGGGCCCAGGAAGGTCCTAACAGCCAAGCCCCGTCTCGAGGCTCTGTGAACGTGAGCCCAGGCGGAGAGCAGCAGAGCAGGGCAGGGACGAAAGCTCCCACCACAACACTCTCTGCCAGAAGAGTGTTCACGTTTCTTCCCTTTCATCTACTTTTCAATTGTATCTTCTTTGCAGAAAAGTTTCCTTTAGATGCTAACCATTTTTAAAAGTGCACCAAGAAGGTTTTATTACTTAGAGTTACCTTCAGTGAATTATGGAATGAAGGATCCTAATCATTGGAGGAACCCATTGAAAGGCCCTATAATAAGTTGATGCTCAGATGTGGGTTGCCAAAAAAAAAAGCAGCAGCTTTTATAGGTATTTCTGGCTCAGTAATGCTTTGCTTAATTAGTAACCTTTGACTGTAGAGTGAGCAAAACATCTCTTTGAGCATTTTTATGGTGCACCATAAAAGGGAGAATGCAAATGTTATATGTTTTCATTTGCCACTCCTGTTTGTCTGCTCAGTTACCTCTGTAAACCCCTGCCATTCGCAGCCATTTGCTGTGCTCTAATAGCCAAAATAACGTCTAGTCTTCTCAAAAGCCTGCCCTGAGCAGAGTTTTCCATAATGAAGATGCTAGTGGTAACACTTTAGGTACAGCTAAAACTGTTTTCATTCTGAAAATGGAAAGCAAAAAAAAAAAAAAAAAAAAAAAAAGTCCCACTTAGTGCTTATTTGTGCATAATAGTAGCCATTTTCTTAGAAGAAACTGTTTTAGAAAGTGTTATGGGCTAATAAAGCACAAGTCTGTTTAGTGCTGGTCTCTCTGTAACTAAAGAGTAGTGGAGATGGAGCAGCCGGGCGCCCAGGCGTCCCCAGGACGCTTAGAGACGCCGAGGCTGCCGGCGGCGTCGACAGCGACAGCGTTTGGAATGACGCATGCCTCGGTGAAGTCGGGGGCGTGAAGCAACACTGTCTCTCTCCTAAGCACACGCTGTGCCGAGGGACCGGATCCTGGGCTGATGGATGGGAGGCCACGGGCTGTGTTTCATTTTGCTGTTTGCTGAGGCACTCACCTGCGAGGACACCTTGCAGGATGTATGGGGCTTTCTGTTTCTCTAGCACGTCCTTGGTCCAAAGCCTCTTGCGATACACCTCTCCCAGAGGTGAATCCTGGGGAAAATGTCGTCTCAGCAGATGAGTGTATCTGCTTTCCCTAGTCAGAAGTTGAAGCCCATACAATCCGGGGGCAGTCCCCTTTTTGCCTAAACGGCCAGGGTGGTTTTTTTTGTGTTTTTTGCTTTTTTTGAGACGGACTCTCATTCCGTTGCCCAGGCTGGAGTGCAGTGATGTGATCTCAGCTCACTGCAACCTCCGCCTTGTAGGTTCAAGCGATTCTCCTGCCTCAGCCTCCCGAGTAGAGTGGCTGGGATTACAGGCACCTGCCACCACACCCAGCTAATTTTTGTATTTGTAGTAGAGAGGGGGTTTTGCCATGTTGTCCAGGCTGGTCTCAAACTCCTGACCTCAAATGATCCACCCACCTCGGCCTCCCAAAGTGCTGGTATTATAGGTGTGAGCCACCGCGCCCGGCCCAGCCGGGGGTTTGAAAGCCAAATGGATTGCCCTGGAATTCCGGGGTGGGATTGCCCTTCCACAGAACTTGCTTCTGCTCTACTCACCCCTCCAATCCCCATGTGCTGACATTCGCTGTGGTCCAGTGCTGTGCTAGGCACAGGGGCCTCTGAGGAAAGTACAAGGAGAACCTGCCTTCAGTGAGTAGGAAAGAGAGACTCAGGAAAGAAGCAAGATACCAAGACCTCATGGCAGGTGGCCATGCCTCAGAGGGAGAAGCAAAGGACCGGGACCTCAGAGGAGGTTTCCTTTATTGTTATCAAACCGGACTTGTGGACCTCCCTGGCACAGCAAAGCCAAACCATTGACATCGGGATTGCAGCGAGAGAAAGTGAGGTGTGTCTTTCAGGGCACCAGGCCAGGAGAATCGGGTCACTCAAGCCTAAGACCTGACCTCTCCTATGGCTTACAGTAAGGATCCATAAAGGCAGAGAGGCAGAGGCTTCAGGCAGAGTCAAGCATCAGGACACGGAGGTGACACATTGGTTTTACCTAAAAGGACATCTTAAAGCAGGAACCCACAGGTTATAGGTAAATTCAAAGATTTTCTGATCTGTGATCGGTTAAGGAGGTGAAGCTTTGTCGAAACATTTTGGATCAGCAGAAAAGAACGTTAGCTCTGGCCTGAGGGTGTGACTTCCTCCAGGCTCCTTAGGAAGAAATTTAGAACAAACAGCAGAGGTCAGAGTTCCATCCTCAGCTCCTCCATATCTGAGGTCTTCCTCACCTCCCCCACATCTGAGCTCTTCCTCAGCTCCCCCACATCTGAGCTCTTCCTCAGCTCCCCCACATCTGAGCTCTTCCTCAGCTCCCCCACATCTGAGCTCTTCCTCAGCTCCCCCACATCTGAGCTCTTCCTCAGCTCCCCCATATCTGAGGTCTTCCTCAGCTCCCCCACATCTGAGCTCTTCCTCAGCTCCCCCATATCTGAGCTCTTCCTCAGCTCCCCCACACCTGAGGTCTATGTGTAGCGGACCTGCATAGCCAACCCATTTGGTGGGAGTCCGGGTTTCTGAAAAACAACTCAGGGACATATGGTAAGATGTCACTTTAGTTTCTATTGGGAACCAAGCATCTCCTGACTCTGGCTTCCTTGGCTATTGTTTTCAGCTACTTTCACCTTCTTGTTTGTCAAGTTGCTCCTTTATTTATTTATTTTTAATTTTTATTTATTTATTTATTTTTTTCCGAGACGGAGTCTCGCTCTGTCTCACAGGCTGGAGTGCAGTGGCGCGATCTCAGCTCACTGCAACCTCCACCTCCTGGGTTCAAGCGATTCTGCTGCCTCAGCCTCCCAAGTAGCTGGGATTGCAGGCACTCGCCACCACACCTGGCTAATTTTTTGTATTTTTAGTAGAGATGGGGTTTCGCCGTGTGGGCCAGGCTGGTCTCGAACTTTTGACCTCAGGTGATCTGCCCGCTTCGGCCTCCCAAAGTGCTGGCATTACAGGTGTGAGCCACCACGCCCAGCCTCGCTCATTTACTTCTCAGGGCTAGCTAGGTGCCTGGAATTTCCCTTGAAGGAACTCAAGATTTTTCTTTATTTCCATGTTTGGGGGCCCACCAGTCCCTAAGAGGGGTTCCTGCTCCATCTCATTATGAGGATCTTCCTTGGAAAATAGGCAGTGTGGACATGTGGGTAGAAACCTGTCCTGAAATGTAGCTGTAAAGCGTCCACTTTCCTGTGCATGTCTTCTCTGTGATTTGCTTTCCTCTCTTCAAAAGTCCACAGTGTTTATAAGCACATCAGGCAATGTCAAGGCTTAGAAATCCCAGAGTCTCCTGGAATAAGACACTCAGATCCCCTCACTCTACCTTTACTGCTGCCAGCATTCCGTCTGGAACCAGGCCTGGCTGTGGCAGGGCAGAGCCAGCTCTGGGACCTGCATGGATTTGTGTGGCCACAGGCAAGGCCAGGGGAAGGTGAAGTTATTACCTGGTAAAACCAGCAGAAGAGAGGAACTTTAGGCACCTTAGCAACGAGCCACCCTCCCGGCAATGGTTGTTAGGGGTGTGGGGGATGGTCACTGAGAGCTGGCTGGTTGGCAGAGGATGGAGAACAGAGGCTAGGGGCCAACTATACCGGGATGGGTCGTGGGACCTCTGTAAGCCTCAGTTTCTTCATCATAAAATTCAGAGACCAGAAGTTCATTTAACGCTTTAGCATGGGACTAGCACATATTAGACATTTAATAAATGGAAGTTCCTAATAATAAAAATAATGAAGTTAAGGCAAGTGTTTAGCATCCAAGAAGGCTGCTTGAGACACTGTGACCTTCAGAGGAAAGACCTCCTTCCCCAGAGGGAGGCCTGTGGAGTGTGCAGGGCCCTGTCCTAGAAAATACCTGGGAAACCAAGCAGAGGCCAGCAGGGCAGGTTCAGGCAAGATGAGCGCCACATAGGAGCTGAGATTCAGGGGCCGGGGACACTGAAACCCCCACGGGGGTCGCTGTGGTCAGAGAACCCAGGTCTGCGAAGTCCCCAGTGACTGTAAGGATCTGTAGCCCAGGAAGAGGCAGCCTGGGCTCAAACACCCACAGTGGCAGTGGAGAGTCAGGCTGGAGCTACTCACAGTGCACTCGAGCAGAATCACAAACTCGCACAGCTTGAAAATGGCAAATGCAGCAGTCCCCAGCTCTTTTTCCCGGTAGAAACTGACTTTAGGAACAGCAAGGAGGCTTCTCACCCAGCACACTGGTTCCCAGGCTTCACCCAGCTGGGCAGAGGGTCAGGAGCAGCCCATCTCTGCAGAGGCATTGGCCTGTTCCTGCCCCACCCCACCTCGCAGCAAACAAAGATGGCAAGACGGCCTGGGCCGACTCTGGGTGAGGGGCTCACCTGGGTCAGGAAGCAGACAGCTCCTGTACGGCCAGGGGCTCTCAGGTTGCTGTGTTTGGTACAGTAACGTCCTGTATTTATTTTTTATGTGGTTACCATCTTTGTCCTCCCAGGAACACAAGCTCAGTGAGAGCAGGGACTTTGTCTGAGCAGTGCCGCATCTCCCCTTGGCACCCAGAACAGGGCCTGCTGCATAGAAGGAAGGCGTCATGCCAGGAAGCGCCTGTGAGCAGGTGGACAGGGCATCGCACACATGCCATCCGGGACAGACATAGCCCCAGACAGATATATTGGGCCGCCCAAGGCCCAATAAAGTTTCCAACCTTGATTGACTTCACTGTCCACCTGGCCACCTGTTACCTCTGTAGGGAGAAATTCTAGTGTGCCCGTCTCCTGCAGGTTCATAAGCCAAATGCTTTTATCTCATCACTTCAAGATCTGGGGCTGGGGATTTCTCATCACTACTTCTGTCTCCTCCTTCCCTCCTTATGGAAGGACGTGAGACCTGTCTGTGGCCCTTTGGATAAGTATCTGTCAGCATTTCGGTCATAATAAACCCTGACTGTAGTTGAATTTCTTTTTCATAATAGGAGGAACAAGAGTGACATTATCTCTGAATAGTCATTCGCACATGCACAGGAGAGCTGTCATTGGCCCTAATGACTCCTTCCATAATCCCACGGTCATCTGGTAAATTTGCCGAAACGGGCCTCATTTTTTGTTCTGGTGTAATGTCTCTGCCTAAGCGTTTAGGTGCTGGGGAGACAGGTGACAATGACATACATACTCAGAAATCTCAGAATGTTTCTTGGTTGCTCGACTGTCCATAATAACACCCTCACAGTGGCTTTTCTCTCTTATTTCTCAACCAGCATACAAAATCTATATGAGATGAATGGTGGAAAAGGGGCCTTTTTGTTCATTCATCTGTCAGATCCGTTGAGGTCCTATTATGGGACCTTTAAAACTACCACAGGAGAGGAAAATACTGCCGCATACGTGACAACTCAAGTGGGACCAAAGGAAGTGTTTTACCACAAATGTCATTTTCGAAAAATAGAGGTCAACGTATATATAAATCACAACCGTCAAACCAAATTAAATTTTATGAGACTCATATTTCCCCGTTCTTTCCGAGGACCATTCCCTGCTCCGATTCCTTCATCCTAATTCTCTTGTTGGATTTTTTTAGATTTGCCTGTGTGTTTCATTTTTCCAGCCATTAGGTTTTATATTTCTTTCCTTCATTCGCCCATTCACCCAGCAGACACTTATTAAGCACCTACTGTTTTATAGATTTTATTGTTCCAGGTATCGTGCTACAGATTAGATTACTAAGGTCAAAACCTTTTAGTTTCTCCCTCCGAGAATTCACAATTTTCAGGAGGAGGGATGTGAGAGGGAGGATGGAAATGTACTCGGTTTTTTCTTTTTTTTGTTTTGAGATAGGGTCTCGCTCTGTCACCCAGGCTGGAGTGCAGTGGCACAATCTTGGCTCACTGCAGCCTCAACCTCCCAAGCTCAAGCAATTCTCCCACCTCAGCCTCCCGAGTAGCTGGGATTACAGGAGCACACCACAATGCCCTTTTTTTTTTTTTTTTTTTTTTTTTTTTGGCAGAGATGGGGTCTCCCTATGTGGCCCTGGCTGGTCTCAAATTCCTGAGCTCAAGCGATCCTCCTGCCCCAGCCTCCCAAAGTGCTGGGATTACAGGTGTGAGCTACTGTGCCCGGCCACAAATGTAGTCTAAATTTTGGTACACATGAGAGTCGTGAGAATTGTTGTAATGATCTATGGCCAGGGGAGTATGTGAAAGCAAATGAGTGAGCAGGGTCAGCCAGGAAGGCTCTGCAGAGGAGGTGAGACTCAGGTTGGACCTTGAAGGGGACACAGTCTTTCGATGGGAGGGAAGACATTCCAGGCACAGAGAAGAGAGGAATGAAAGGCTCAGGGTTAGAAAGTTGCACAGCACCTGTCGTTTTAAAGTATAGATCTTATTTTTATTCGGGAACGGTGATGCCAACAGATCGAGAGACAAATGGCATTGGAAAGACAGTTTGTTGCTGACAGATCCCAAGGGGAGGGGGCAGGGAATGCCACACAGGGCCATGTGCAGAAGCACCGGGTGGGTCAGGAGGCAGAGGAGGAGGGGACTGTGGCAGGAGCCTCTGCTGTGGCTTCTGAGGGAAGGGCCGGGCCAGGCAAGGTTAGGACTGCCTGGTGTCACAGTCTCAGCGGGCTCCGGGGCTGGGGGCTGTTCCTGCTGTCAGATGCCCAGCCCCAGTGACAGGACAGAGGCATGAAGCCCTGAGTGTGAGCGCTCACAGAGGATGAGGTGGGACTGGGCTCTAGGTACAAAAGGTACTACCTCCAGGTGAGCTGCTTGCTGTCTCTGGGAACTGGCTCACCCTGGGAGGGCCATCTCTCCAGGGCCAGCCAGGCCCAGGTGTGCCAGGTCCAGTGGAAGTGGTGGCTAATGCACCGTGGGCAGGGCCAAGCAGGCACAGAGTGGGGCGTGTGTGAGCGGGATGTGATGGGAGATGGCCCAAGGGGAGCCGCAGCTGGTGGGAAAGGCCATGCTTGGGGGCTGGCTTGTTTTTATCTAAAAGCACCCCTAAGAAACCGTGGCTGCTGGTCACCGAGCTCGCTGGCATGTGCCGGAGTGTCCGGGGCTGACCTCGTCCCACTGGGGGCTCTTGACAGCCCTTTAGGGTGACCACTGTGGTCCTCGCTATGTGGACAGGAAGTCTCAGGAGCTCAGTGTCTCTCGAACGTAGGCCCAGCCAGGCCTCATGCCCCAGAGATTTTGGCCGAGGAGCCACTGCTGCTCTCCTCACGCCCCTTCCTGGGCAACGGAGCAGAAGTCCTCACCAGCGTTTCAGGAATTTAGAAATATTAGCAGGGAATCACCCAACATGTGGCACAGGGAGTGTCAACGTCCCTGTTTCCCCTTGAGAGGGATCAGATCTGATGGGAGGGAGGGACAGATGCGGATGGGGAGGTTGCAGGACTCAGCTCAGACACGGCCCTGGGCTCCTAGGGCAGGGGCCATGGGGGGCAGACATGGCCTCCAGGAGAAGGGCTTTATGAAGGAGCTGGTTCCTTCAGGGCATGGGGTTGAGCGGGAAGGCTGTTTCGGGGGACACACTTGGGAGATGTGAACAAACTGGCCAGAATGCAGAGAGCACAGGGGGAGCTAAGGCAGGCACCAGGCGCTGTGGACTGAGCGTGCCCCCAATTCCTGTGCTGAAATCCTCACCCCCAAGGCGAGGGTGTCAGCAGGCCTTTAGGAGGGGATGGGGTCATGGGGTGGAGCCCTCACCAATGCGATGAGTGCCCCTCTCCTTCCACCACGTGAGGACACAGGGGCATTTGGCCATCCCCAGCCTGGAAGGGAGTCCTCACCAGGACCCACCCAGGCTGACCCCCTGGTCCCTTCAGTCCCAGCGCTGTGAGGAAATGAACTCCCATTGCTTGTAAACCACCCAGTCTGTGGAGTGTCATCACAGTCGCCTAGTGGGGAAGGTGGTGTAGGAGGGCACCAGGCACCCCTGGGCCTGGAGAGGGAGGCTGGACCGCTCGGCACAGCAAGAGCCGTGAATTGGAGTCGGGTGAGATGGATGAGCTGGGGGCCTGTGGGTTAACAAGGACCCCAGACTCATCTGCCCCTCCTTCCCTGTGGCTGTGAGCCCCAAGGTCCACAACACCCTGAGGCCTGCCCCAGGCTGAACCCTGCAGGGTGCGTGACGGGGGAAGGGAGGCCTATGCGGAGGTGCACACAGGGGTCTCCTTTAGGCCAGTGCTCTCCGCACTGGTTGCCAGAGAGGCCGCCTTGCCTGGGCCCCGAAAACCAACAGCTGGGCAGCCCTGACCCTTTGGTTTGTTTGTTTTAAGGTAGCAAGGACACTTGCATTTTTTTTTTTTTTTTTGAGACGGAGTCTCGCTCTGTCACCCAGGCTGGAGTGCAGTGGTGCGATCTCGGCAAGCTCCGCCTCCCGGGTTCACACCATTCTCCTGCCTCAGCCTCCTGAATAGCTGGGACTACAGGTGCCCGCCACCACACCACGCCCGGCTAATTTTTTGTGTTTTTAGTAGAGACGGGAGTTTCACCGTGTTAGCCAGGATGGTCTCGATCTCCTGACCTCATGATCCACCCGCCTTGGCCTCCCAAAGTGCTGGGATTACAGGCGTGAGCCACCGCACCCGGCGGAAAAATTTGCATTTTTTAAAACTCACCGATCTGTCAAAATAGTTCAAGCAAGAGGTTGGGAGCTTCTACATCAGGGTCCTACCACTGAAATCAAGCAAATGTAAGAGAGGCTGTGGAGGAGACCCCACCATGTGCAGCAGGGGAGGGGTGACAGAAGGAGCACTGACCCTCGATGACAGAGGACGATGGTGTCGTGACCAGAAATAGAGCCTTCCACAGGCGGAGCCCGTCTTGGGAGGAAGATCGCGGTTCTGGGGTGAGGCTGTCACATGTGAGCTGCTGGACCCCAGAAGCGTCTGCCTGTGGTCGGTAGGAAGGAGGTCCCGCACCCAGGTCTCTGTCTCCTTGTGGAGGGACAGGAAGGGCCCTAGGAAGGAAGCCATGCAAGAGAGAAGAAAGAGGAGGCAAGGACACACTCAGGAGGGTCAGAGAAAGGGCCAGATGGGGAGTGGAGGGAGATCGAGAGAGCCAGCACCCCAGGAACCCAAGCATGGAGCTCAGGATCAGGGAACAAAGCCCATCACTCCACAGCCCTTCTGCCTCTGAAGATCCAAAGAATATTAAACAGGAAAGACAAAACAAACGACAACCCGGAAAGACAGAAGTCCCCAGGGAAGGGCTGGGAATCTAGAGCTGGGCTGATTCAAAGCCTGAAGCTTCCTTGGGAGTGAAGATAAACGCAGCACAGCGTCGAGTCCCCTGCCGGCTTATGAGGTGTGCAAACTCTGCGATTTGTTTGAGGGAACTGGCCTCTGGGCCTTCCTGGTTTCCTGTGCCTTTACCAGAAGCCCCCATCTGTCCCTCCCTCTGCAGGGGCCCTCCAGCCACCTCCTCTCAGGAGGTTTCATTTGGCTGTGGTGGGCACGGGGAGGAGCCGTCAGAAGCAGGGGTACTCAGTGTCTGTGGAAGTTGCTAGACGTGCAAGTTTTCCTGCTGACACCAGAGTTTCAGCCAGGCAGGGTGCGCTTGGCTTGGCAGCTTTCCATGGAAGGGGTTCTGGAGCATCTTTTTCTCCTCCTCTTAGCTCTGGATGGAGGGGGGCCACCTCCTCACGTCCCTCCTCCCTTCCCCACACGCAGCTGCACCTTGTCTGCTTCCTCTCCATGTGCAGAATTACCTTTGGGATGAGGTTAATGACTCTCCTCTGAGCAGCCATTGACCCTGGCCTCCGGAGTGCTGAGCTCACCATGGCCACCAGAGCCTCCCAGCAGGGGTGTTCCTGGTCCTGCCCTGCCCACCAGTTTCCACCAGTTTTTCCAGAGGCCGGATCTCATGTGCACAAACAGACCAAGCCTCCTGGCCCACTGGCGCCAAACCCCGGCCAGACCTGGGAGTGGGCAAGCTGGGGCTGCGTGGCGGGCGGCAGCATCCCCGTGGGTATAACAGACAGACAGCTCCCCTAATGGGCCTGAAGGACCGCCCCTACCGGGTGGCATTTGAAATAGATGCCATTTCTGCCTTTGTCCGAAATATCATAAAGTACTGTTTATTAGCCTTAAAAAAAGTTAAAAAAAAAAAAAAAAAAAAAAGCCGTTCAAAATCCCGGCTTCCCCACAGAGCTTTTTTTTTTGGAGACAGAGTCTCACTCTGTCACCCAGGCTGGAGTGTAGTGGTGCGATCTCGGCTCACTGCAAGCTCCGCCTGCCGGGCTCACGCCATTCTCCTGCCTCAGCCTCCAGAGTAGCTGGGACTACAGGCGCCCGCCACCACGTCCAGAGAATTTTTTGTATTTTTAGTGGAGACTGGGTTTCACCATGTTAGCCAGGATGGTCTCAATCTCCTGACCTTGTGATCCACCTTCTTCGGCCTCCCAAAGTGCTGGGATTACAGGCGTGAGCCACCGCGCCCGGCCCCCCACAGAGCTTTGATTTGTTTTATCTTTAAAGAATTCTGCCTCCCTCTACATCAGCACATTGTTAGTGAGCACCCAGTTGCTTCTAGAACATTCTTTCTTGGCCTTGAAATCTAACTAGAGAGCCAGAGGAGCCCAGCCAGGGTTAAAGAACTCCTGTCTCTCACGAAAAAAGAGTCCTGGTCTCTCCAGACAAAAATGTAAACCTTTTATTATAGAAATTTCAGTTTCTCCCCTAGAGGTCGCTAAGTGTAGTTACATTTTTGGTGATCATCTGTTTTGGAGCTCCGTGTAAAGCAACCCATTTTCAGTACTGATTTTTAAATCATTCGCATGTTCATTTGTAAATTCGTTAATGCATTAAACACCAAGTTGAGGCTGGACCCTGGGAGAGATGCTGGAGGTGCAGGGATGCGTGAGACCCTGACCTTGCCTCAGGGCAAGTCCACAAGCAGCCAGAAGTGATGACACATGTGGTGAGAGGACTCAGCAGCCGAGGAGGAGTCAGTGCCGTGGGGGTGGTGCGCTCCAGCAGGGCTTGCCACACTTTCTGTAAAGGTCCCGATAGTGAATACTTGAGGCTTTCCAGGTCAGACGCTCTCAGTTCCAGCTCCGCAGTTCGGCTGCAAAAGCATGAAAGTGGCCAGCAGCCGCACAAACCAGTGACAGTGGCTGTGTTCCAATAAAACTTTATTTACAAAAACAGGAAGTGGGCCAGATTCGGCCCCTGGGCCGGAGTTTGCTGACTGCAGTACTAGAGCCCTGCTTGTTTGTGTTTGAGACGGGGTCTCCCTCTGTGGCCCATGCTGGAGTGCAGTTGCATAATCACCACTCACTGCAGCCTAGACCCTCAGAGCTCAAGCGATCCTCCTGCCTCAGCCTCCAGAGTAGCTGGGACTACAGGCATGCACCACCACACCTAGCTAGATTTTGTATGTTTTATAGAGAATGGGGTCTCACCACGTTGCCCAGGCTGGTCTCGAAGTCCTGGACTCAAGCAAACCTCCCGCTTTGGCCTCCTACAGTGCTGGGATTATAGGCGTGAGCCACTGAACCTGGCCTAGAGCCTGCTTTAATAAACCTGCTAGGGGCCATCACGTTAAAGAAGGTAATTGTGTTTGACTTACTGTTTGTTGATTTGGCCCAGACTCTGTGAAGTTGGATGCTACCTCATAGAAGATTGTAAGTTGCAAAGCCAGAGGTCACGGTTATATTGCTCTCATAGCTGGTTTTATTTCTAACTTTTTGATCTTATTGAGCATTCTTTCTTTCATTCACTCTACATACTTTGACATATATTCCCCTCCGAACCAGTTTTACCATCTTACTAGTTCCTCATTAATGAGTGAAATAAATCTTTGACACACACTATATATTTGTATGAGAATTTGTATGCATGTATGTATTTATTTATTTATTTTTGAGGCAGGGTCTCACTCTGTCATCCAGGCTGGAGTGCAGTGGTGTGATCATAGCTACTGCAGCCTTGACATCCTGGGCGCTAATGATCCCCCTGCATCAGCCTCCTGAGTAGCTGGAACTATGGGCTGTGCCACCATGCCTGGCTAATTTTTTTTTTAATTATTTTGTAGAGATGGGGTCTCCCTCTGTTGCCCAGGCTGATTTTGAACTCCTGGGCTCAAGAGATCCTCCTGCCATGTCTCCCAGGAGCTGTGTTTTTATTTATTTATTTATTCTTTTGAGATGAAGTCGCACTCTGTCACCCTGGCTGGTGTGGAGAGGCACAATCTCAGCTCACAGCAACCTCCACCTCCCAAGTTCAAGCAATTCTCCTGCCTCAGCCTCCCAAGTAGCTGGGATTACAGGCATGTGCCACCATGCCCAGCTAATTTTTGTATTTTTAGCAGAGACGGGGTTTCACCATGTTAGCCAGGCTGATCTTGAACTCCTGACCTCCGGTGATCCACTTGCCTTGGTCTCCCAAAGTGCTGGGATTACAGGTGTGAGCCACCGCGCCTGGCCAGGAGTTATATTTTTTGTTTTTTGTTTGTTCGTTTGTTTGTTTTAGATGGACCTTCACTCTGTCGCCAGGCTGGAGTGCAGTGGCATGATCTCAGCTCACTGCATCCTCCACCCCCCTGGTTCAAGCGATTCTCCTGCCTCAGCCTCGTGAGTAGCTGGGACTACAGGCACGTGCCACCACACCCAGCCAATTTTTGTATTTTTAGTAGAGATGGGGTTTCACCATGTTGGCCAGGCTGGTCTTGATCTCTTGACCTCGTGATCCACCCACCTCAGCCTCCCAAAGTGCTGGGATTACAGGCGTGAGCCACCACGCCTGGCCTGGGAGTTGTGTTTTTAAATGAATGCTTTGACAGTGATCTGCACTGTGCTGGGGGTACTCTGAAGAGGGTATAGGAGTACAGAATTAGGACATAGATTCTGGCAGCCTGGCAGGGGCAGTGAGAGGCTAAGAGGGATGCTGTTCAGAGGCTTCCGAAAGGCCCGGATGCTCTCCAGATTCCAAAGGAGTCAGCCAGTTGCAGAGAGGAGGGGTGGAAGGAGCAGACACACTCTGAGAGGGGGAAGAGTGGTGCAGGGGGACAGGTGTTGGAGACTGCGTGATGCCTCCAGGTAATGACAAACCGCGGCTGCAGGAGGAAGTGCAGGCAGAGCCTAATGGAGCCATGTGGCACCTGCCTGGGTTCCCCAATCATTTGGCACCTGTTCCAATCGACATCTTTCAAAAAGGGAGACCAGGCACTGGGCGGGAAGGGCAGGGTAGTTTGACCTTGGCTGCCACCTTCAGTGGTCCACCCTTTTCCCAATCCATTGATCCTGGCCCTGAAACTGTTTTATGCTCAGCAAAACAACAGCCCTGTAGATAACCAGACACTCGCTGCTCAGAAGGCAGGTGAGGGGGTCATCTCATGGAGAATGGCCACAGGGCCTAGCAATGGCTCCCTCCTCAGGCTCTCCTGGTGGGAAAGGATGAAGTGAAGTGGAGATCAGCCGCCCCACTGTCCCCCGTTTCTTTTTTTTCTTTCTTTTTTTTTTTTTTGAGACGGAGCCTCATTCTGTCACCCAGCCTGGAGTGCAGTGGCATGATCTCAGCTCACTGTAAGCTCTGCCTCCTGGGTTCATGCCATTCTCCTGCCTCAGCCTCCCAAGTAGCTGGGTCTACAGGCACCCACCACCACGCCTTTTTTGTATTTTTAGGAAAGACAGGGTTTCACCATGTTGGCCAGGATGGTCTCAATCTCCTGACCTTGTGATCCACCCACCTCGACCTCCCAAAGTGCTGGGATTACAGGCGTGAGCCACCGCGCCCGGCCAGCCCCCGTTTGTGACCGTGCAGTGGTTTCCCAGCATCTCTGCAGAGGGAGCCGCACGCCCGGCGTTCTCAGAGAAACCCGATGAGCCTGGCTGCCTCTTGCTGTGCTTTCCCCCACTCTCCTGCTCTCTCAACGCGGCGCGTGCCTTTCTCTCCCGGGCAGCCTCCCGGGCCTTACTGGTTCTCTTTCGTTCCTCTTGGTCGTGGGGGTGGAACAGCCCTGAATCCCAGAGCTACTGCCCTGACCACCGCTGACCCCGCAGCAGCCCCTGTGGCTGAGAGCCTGCCCTGAGTGCCCAGTGCCTGAACAAGATGAGGGAGCCCACAGGGTCAGGAAGCCCCCAGGCCTCAGGTGAATGCTTCTGGGGCCAGGAAAGCAGCCAGACAGACTGAATCCATACATGCCGAGCATCCAGGCCAGAGGAGGGCAGGGAGCTCTAGGCAGAGCCCCCGCCCAGGACCCCAGCGTTCCTCAGTCTTGTTTATTTCTCCCTCAGGCAGCCGAATACACACATCCAGGGTGGGGAGGGTGGGGAGGGTGGGGAGGGTGGGGAGGGTGGGGAGGGTGGGGCTGCAGGGGCCAACCAGAGGAAGGAGACCTGGAGTCGCTTAGCAAAGGTGAATGAGCGTCCGCAGTGCAGCTTGGGGTCTTGAGAGTAAGTTGAACCCGCCAGGCGTCTGTTTCCCCCTCACACATGCACAGACCAGGCAAGGACCCGGAAGGCAGGAGGCTGCCGGGAAAAGCGCCCACCGGTCACTTGGCACCGTGAGCTACGCACGTGAGCCACGTGCGCCCTGACTGCTGGCTCTTTCCTTAGTGCTTATACGTGATTGATAAAAGGTGCTAAATTGACGGCCTGAAATGGAAGTCATCCCTTTTTCTTCCTTTCTTCTTCTTTTTTTTTTAAACAAACAAAACGTATTCTCCATGAAATCGCCCAGTGCTTTGGTTTAACACCCAGAGGACTGGTTTCACTAAGAGGAGCCCACCTAAGTCACCGAGGACTCTGAAACCGCTAAACCATGCCACAGGGCCAGCATTCAACACGGAGGCACTTTGCACCCAGTAAAATCCAACTGAAAAAATGTGGGGCTTGGTCCTCCGCACTCCCCAGTATCTGGTCCCAGCCCGCCTACGACCCCCATCTCCTCCCCTGAGACATTGCCCAGGCAGCCGGGGGCCTCCCACGGAAGCCTGAGCAGCTCGTCTTGCTTGCCCTTCCCTCTGTGCTGTGGTGCGTGTTCTCCATTACCTGGAGGCCTGTAAGGTGTCGTGAGCTGTGCCGATGTGTGACAAACATTTGGTGACCTTGAATGAATCACTCTTTTTCTGGGCCTCAGCTTCTTTCAGCGTAACATAGGCTGGAATAATATCCTCCGGCTTCCTAGCTTATGGGTGGGCCCATTTATGCATCAGCTGCATAGATAAATATCGCACGGCTCCTCTCCACTAGACACTGTGCCGGGGCCAGAGCTTTCAAGCCAACCTGAGTGAGCTCCTCTGAGATCCCCGGATCGTGAAGTTCATTCTCTTTTTGCCCATCAGGATTGGATGGTTCCAGTCTCAGCATTGTGCTCCTGGGTCCTTTCCCTCTTCACAGACGCGATGGAGGAAGGCAGCTGCCATGGGCCCTGATGGGGGATAGGGAGGCCTCAGTCCTGTCTGACTCAAGAGCTAGTCCAACCCCAGGTTCGCCTAGACCCTTCCCTTCTCCAAGATGAGTGTTCTGTGGAACCTTAATCTATCCACATAACTCTTGTTTTCTGTGTCTCTGAAGTGAGGATTTGAGGGTTTCGATGGCTACCCCAGTGCTGAGAACTGGCTCACTTTGGCTGAAGTGAGGATATGAGGGTTTTGATGTCTACCCCAGTGCTGAGAACTGGCTCACTTTGGTGCCAGGGGACTTGCCCCCTTTGCCTCTGGCTGTGCAAGCTGCACAGTCTTTTCCTAATTACACCACCCTGTGGTTTTGCCGACTTCCGGGGTATTCATTATCTACGCTGACCTCCAGCTCGTTCTCTACCAAATATTTTGGCCGGTCATTCTACATTTCATTTTATTGTTTCTTTTTTTCGTTGAGGTGAAATTCACCTCACATAAAATTAACCATTTTAAAGAATACCATTCACAACTTAGTAGATTCCCAGTGCTGTGCAACCACCACATCTGTCTAGTTCCAAAACATTTTTATCATGCCACAAAGAGACCTCATACCCAATAGCAGTCACTTCCCATCCCCTCCTCTCCCCATCCCCTGGCAACCACCAACCTGCGTTCTGTCTCAATGGATGGAAAGATCCTGGACATTTCGTAAACTGGAATCGTGCGGTGCATGGACCTTGGGTCAGGCTTGCTTAGCTTTCCATCAGTCATGTTTTGAGATTTGTCCATGTGGTAGCAGGTGTGGGTGCTTTGTTCCTTTCTATGGCTGAATCCTGTTCCATGGTGCAGAGTCCTTTTGTTTATCCACTCAGTGCTGGGCGTTTGCCTTGTTCACGGCTTTGACTGTCGTGACTAGTGCACTAGGAGCATGTGCCTGCAGGTATCTGTTAAGACACCTGTTGTCTGTTCTCTTGGGTCAGTGGCTGGGGGCGGAGTTGCTGGCTTATGCGGTGACTGTGTGTAGCTTTTGGAGGAGCCACTGACCATGTGGATGTTTTCAGCTGAAAGCGTTGAGAGTTTTGCGCTTTGCCTTTCGAGTTCTCTAGGAAGCAAGCCACCAGCATGCCTGCTTACACAGTCTCCTCTGCATCCGTGTCGCCAGTTTACCAAGGTCATTTTGAATTCTCCTGCCACCCTCCCAAGACTTAGCCACCCACCACCTTGGTTTCCTCTGCACACTTAGTGAGCACGTTTCCTATCCTGTCATTTAAGCCACTTACGAAGTGTTAAATGCACCAGGCCCCAGGCCAATCCCACTCCAGCAGCCAGTTTGTCCTGACATGCTCTCCATGCTTGCAGCCGGCCTTCTCTGTGTCCCTTGGGTCCCCCAGAGCCACACGGCCACACGAAACCAGAGTTTGCTTGTGATGGGGCTGCAGAGATCTCCAAAGATGAGCTCCAGGGCTCTCCTGGTGGGCACAAGGCCGTGGCTGTCTCTCCCGTGGCTCCCTAGCTGGCGCAGCTTGTGTGGCACCATCAAGGGGGAGAGAGGGACGTGGTCAGCTTGGGGCAGTGGCAGTAGAAGCGGCACTGGCACTCGGGTTTCTTAAGAGCACAAGGATGAGTGAGAGGTGGGGCTCGGGGTCAGATTAGGGGAAATGAAAATGCTACTGAGCAGGGAGATGGTGTGGAGCTCCCAGACAGGGAGTAAAATTAGCACGAGACAGACCATGGGGCAGGAGCAAAGACTCGGGAGAGGAAGAAGCTGGGGAACTTGGAGGGCACCCTGCAGGCATCGCCAGCAGACCCGGAAAAGGCAAGTCTCTGTTGAAGGGAGTGGCTCTTCCCTCGTCAACACTGCCAGGAGGCAGTTTCTTTAAATCTTAAGGGGACTGGGCCTGCCGATCTGGCTTCCAGGGCAGAAGACTCATCCTTCCCTGCCTAAGGACCTTCCTTATGCCGTGGGCCAGCAATGGTGTCTGTTTGGTGTGTGTTTGGGGCAGAAAGGGTTGGGGTCGAAGCTGGACCCCCAGCCTGTGCCCACAGCTCTGTCACTGCTTACCATGGTCCTGGCCAAGTCTTCCTCTCTAGGCTTTCTCTGAGCCCTCACTTGTCAAACAGGAGGAAGGATGAGATGGTATGGAAGGTCCCCTCCATCACTGATGGCCTCCAAGCCCTCAGAGGTTTGTTCCCAGGGGTTTCACTGTTTGGGTCCAGTCCTTCTGTGGCCCAGTTCTTGACTGTGAGCTTTTGACTAAAACTCACCCAGACTTGATGGTGGGCATAGCAAGAGCCTGTATCTCCAAGGCACAAGAGGGGGTTGTGCAGGACTCAACTTGTCCCAGGTGTGGGGACGCCTTGCAGCCCTGCCCAGCTCACCAGGTACCAGCAGGTGCACATGGTCTACATGGCAGCCTCAGTCCCTAAGGCATGTCCAGCCCATCTCAGTGTCTCCCTCTGCACAGGTGGGAGCTATCGGCGACGAGGAGGAGTGGGTCACCCTCTATGAAGAGGAGAATGAGCCTGATGCCCAGATGCTGGAGATCCCAAACCTCACACCCTACACTCACTACAGGTGAGAACAGCAGTGATAAGCTGTTACAGGAGGAAACACTGGCAGCCCAGGCAGGTGCCTTCTGTTGGCAATAGTAAAACCCAGTCGTACGTATGCAAATCAGATGTTTCCTAGTGGCAATAACAGTACCTAAAAGCCTTAAGGAGCAGGCGGGATGCATAGCTTGGTGTTATTCCAAGGGAGATGATAGGCAGATGTTAGACTCATGAGGCTCCTTCTATCAGTACCAGCTGGCAAAACACCCCATAGAAATGGCCCACTGTTATTATATTAGGCTGAATAACCAAGAACCACAGGCAGCAGAGATGTGGCACTTTACCAAACTCCACAACCTGTTGGGACTATTAACGTGCCGTGTGCAAACAAAGCAGATGTCCTAGGAAGATCCTTCTGCTCCCCTTCCCAAGCAGGGCCCAGGAGCTGCTAGTCTCACTTATCAAGCAATTAACATGCCATTTAACCTTTAGCTTCTTGAACCCCGAAACTGATCCGGGCAGTAAATCCTTGGCTTTAACAAAGGGTAGGGTGATTATGAGCTGTTAGTACTGTGATCACTTCCCGTAAGGCCTTTGAAGGAGATGGAATTTCCAGTTATCACCAGATGTTGAGTTTGATAATGTCATTGTTCTGCCAGGATGGAACATTTCATACGATTGGAGAATGAAAGAATAGGAATTAGTAATTCAGGGACTAAAAGGTGAAATTACATCTTTATGAAGAATTTTTCTTTCCGGCACAAAACCAAAGTTAGAGTTAAAAAAAAAAAACAATGAGAGATGCTATTTAGCTTCTATTCATTTTAACATCCTTCAGGAGCTTAGAACAGACAAATCAGGACACAATACACTGGGTTTTAAAGAAAAACATTTAGCTTAAAATGAGCTGTTGGGATTCAAGACTTACCATGTGAAATTAACTGA
This sequence comes from Homo sapiens, assembly GCF_000001405.40. Lineage (NCBI taxonomy): Eukaryota > Metazoa > Chordata > Mammalia > Primates > Hominidae > Homo > Homo sapiens. Next base: position 4,111,693 of record NC_000007.14, read on the forward strand.
AGCTATATAGTTATTTCAAAGAACAGAAACTGTAAGTAGAGATCAGTGTCCCTGTCTGAAACTCAGGTACATTTGGGGAAACCTCTATAGTAAATGTATATGTGCATACTTGGGATATTTTTCTAGTATGTAAATTGAATTCAAATAATTGTTTATGTATGTGTAAAGAAGAGACAGAACTGAAAGCATTCCTGTAGATTTTAGAGAACATTGAACTCCACCTTCATTTTATAGTTAAGGAAACGGAGATCATCTGATTTGCTGTAAGTCTCACAGTTACTCACTGGATGGAATCACAGAGTGTGGTGTGAGCGGATAGAGGCCTCAGTTACCTGACAAAGTTTATTCTGCCAAGGTTGAGGATGCACCCGTGACCCAGCATCAGGAGATCCTGGCAACATGTGCCCAAGGTGGTCAGGGCACAGCTTGCTTTTATACATTTTAGGGAGACATGAGACATCAATCAATATATGCAAGGTGAACATTGGTTCAGTCTGGAAAGGCAGGAAAGCTTGAAGCAAAGGCAGGAAGACTCCAAGCAGGGAGGGGGCTTGCAGGTCACAGATAGGTGAGAGACAAAGGGTCCCATTCTTCTGAGTTTCTGATGAGCCTTTCCAAAGGAGGCCATCAGATCTGCATTGATCTCAGTGAGCAGAGGGATGACTTTGAAGAGAATGAGAAGCAGGTTTGCCCTAACGCAGCTTGCGTTTTCCTTGTAGCTTAGTGATTTGGGGTTCAAGATATTTTCCTTTCACCCCTCATTCTTCTCCTGAACCAACAGAAGAAGAGATGCAGAGTGCCGTTGATCATTTAAAAGGCTGGACTTCAAAACTGCCCTTTGGTAGTGACATCCTGATATTCCAATTCTGTCCCATAGCTACTTGCACTTTAACCCCTCGAGGTTATCCTAAACTTGAATCAGGGCAACTGATGACATCAATTTCTGGACACCCAATCCATCCAACTAGATTTCACTTGCAAATTTAAAATTGTTGAGTTGCAACTGATGTACCTGTACCTTTCTTTGAAGTCTTTTAGGGGAAAAAGGGCACATATGCAATTTGCATTTTTTTTTTTTCTGAGGCAGAGTCTCGCTCTGTCACCTAGGCTGGAGTGCAGTGACACCATCTCAGCTCATGCAACCTCTGCTTCCCTGGTTCAAGCCATTCTCCTGCATCAGCCTCTTGAGTAGCTGGGATTCCAGGCACCCGCCACCACGCCTGGCTAATTTTTGTATTTTTAGTAGAGACGAGATTTCGCCATGTTGGCCAGGCTGATCTGGAACTCTTCACCTCAGGTGATCCCCCGCTGCCTCCTGCCTCAGCCTCCCTAAGTGCTGGGATTTGATCCCCCGCCACCGCCTGCCTTGGCCTCCCTTAGTGCTAGGATTACAGGTGTGAGCCACCACACCTGGCCACAATTTGCACTTTTAATGAAACCAGGTGAAAAGAGGGTGTCCTTGAGCAATAGCCTTTATGATATGAGTAGACACCTATCTGAGCCCTCCCTTGAGAAACAGTCAGCGCCTTTGTGGTTTCGTTCTTTTCCTTCTTACCTTTGCTTTGCCGTGACTCTCATCAGTGGTTTTTCCTTTAGATTTCGAATGAAGCAAGTGAACATTGTTGGGCCGAGCCCCTACAGTCCGTCTTCCCGGGTCATCCAGACCCTGCAGGCCCCACCCGACGTGGCTCCAACCAGCGTCACGGTCCGTACTGCCAGTGAGACCAGCCTGCGGCTTCGCTGGGTGGTGAGTGGGGGTGAGAAGGGAGGCTGGAGGCACACGGGTCCTGAGTGAGCCAGGGCACACACTAATCCAGGGCTTAGGAGTTTCTTAGTCACGCCTTTGTCCTAGTCAAAACTAATCTCATCGTCAAACCAAAAAGTATTGCATTTTACAATTAGTGTTGGATCTCAGGCCAGCCCAGGAGATCTGATTAATTAGTAGCATTACTCACTCTCTTCTTGGAACTGAGGAATATTCCTTGGGGCAGGAAAGCTGGGGGTGCCTCACACCAGAACTCTAAGTCCTTAAGCTAGGTCAACATGGAACCAATACTCAATATTTGTAAGAGAGCCAGCCTGATATTTAATCAGAACATTTGCCCACAAAATTAAGCCAAAATGTATTAAAAGAAATTATATGCAGCCAAAGTTACTGACAGGGTTTCATTTAATTCACAGAACAAAAGTTTCAGGGAAGAATAAAGTAGATCCTTCTAAGACTATTTCCCCCAGGAACACCTCCTCCACGGAGTTGGCCTCACAGGGCAGGCCCATCCCTTACAACCCGTGAGGGTGGCAGTTCTGAGATGTCAGCTCATCGCGACTCCTCGTTCCTTCCTAGCCCCTGCCGGATTCTCAGTACAACGGGAACCCCGAGTCCGTGGGCTACAGGATTAAGTACTGGCGCTCAGACCTCCAGTCCTCAGCAGTGGCCCAAGTCGTCAGTGACCGGCTGGAGAGAGAATTCACCATCGAGGAGCTGGAGGAGTGGATGGAATACGAGCTGCAGATGCAGGCCTTCAACGCCGTCGGGGCTGGGCCGTGGAGCGAGGTGGTGCGGGGCCGGACGCGGGAGTCAGGTGAGGGGAAGGCGATTCCCATCCTGGAGACACCGCATTAGAGATGGGGCTGAGTGCCCCTGAGCCTCCAGATCCCAGGCTAGTGGCGTCTCATTGGCCTGTCCCACTTGTGTCTGTCTTGGAGCTTTCCTAATCCCGGGTTTGGCCAGACTCGGCAGGAATTTCTGTCTGATTTCATTAGGGCCCCAAGCCATTCATTGGAAACTGGTGATGATTTCCAACAGGGGATCGACTCACATTACTGTTTTCTAAATTAGGGATAATTTTCGCTAACGATGAAAAGCAAGAATGTGTAAAGTTCCTATGGGGAATCTTTAAAATACAAGGTATTCAGGACCTTCTTGTCACAAATTAATAGACGTAGTATGTTAAGTAATCTAGCCTGTGGTAATAAATAGGCCTCTAAAAGTTTAATTGCTTGAACATAATAGGAGTTTACTTCTCACTCATATTGTGGTCTAAGGTGGGCGTTCCTGTTTGGCGGGTGGCTCTCTTCCACAAGGTGATTCAGGGACCCAGGCTTTACCGTTCTGTGGGACTAATCTCCTTCTGCACCCAGCTGCCAGCAGGGAAAAGAAGGCAAAGAATGGACCTCTTCAGACCTGTTCAGGAGTGGAACGTCACTCTGTTCATCTTCTTGGGGCTCAGTCATGGGGCTCTGCCAGTTGCCAGGAAGCAATGGAGCAGTGTTTTTGGCCAACCTTGAGCAGACCTCTGCTGCCCTGTGCTAATGCTGAAAGTGGCTGCCTAATCTTCTGGGCTTTGTGGACTAACTTCCGCTGGCCAACTGTGGGTCATAGGAGCTTTTCTTGCCCCCCTCCTTAAATTTTTAGAAACCCAAAGGAAGGACGGCAATTAACGCTCATGAAGGACTCACTGTCACCTGACCCCGGTCCCTTCAGTCTGATCTGAATTAGTGAGGTTCTGTCTGGAGAAGGAATGAACCAGCTGCACCTCTGCCCCAGGCTTCTTGGATGAGAGTCACAGCTTGTGCTTGACAGATGGAGGGGCTGTTCATTCTGGACTAACCTAGGCTGTTAGAAATACAACTTAAATTCCTGACCTTTGTCCAGACATGGGATGAGGAGGAGGTATGAAGGGTTGAGATGGTGAACTGGGTCAGTGGCCAGAGGAAAAGAACAAGACTCCCCCACTCCTTCCCCCAGGGAGCCTAGATCCATTTTGCTTATTGATGTCAAACCCTCTTATTCGCTCTCTTTTGCTTCTCTTCTCTGACTCTCTGCGTTAATGAGAATATTTGGCTCCATTGTTTTTGCTGTCGTAGACATGGCTCTGTTTCCTGGAGACAGCTCCTGAGCCCAGCATGAGTCCTCCTTTCCTTGGGGCTCCCAGGGCACAGAATCGCTCTTGAAGCTGGGGAGTCAAGAGATGGCCAGGGCCTGCCCACAGCTGTTTCCACCCCAGAGTCCTCGGAAATGCCCCGGATCTGCCCTCTCTGCAACCCAGAGCCTCCCTGCTTCTGTCCCTGTACTACAATGCCGTGCAAAGAGACAGTCCCCCTGTTGTTGTTTTCAGTAGAAAAATTAATTAACTTGCTAGATGCTGGAAACTGCCTTAGGAGACACAGTTGGAACTCAGAGTGACTTTGATGGGAAATGGACAGAAAGATGAGCTAGGAAGCCAAGTGCGTGACGGGTATCAGAGAAAACCTCGCACAGTCAGCAGGAGGAGGCGGATGACGTGGGGGCACAAGGCCTGTTGGCATGGGTGGAGGTGGCTTTGGGGGGCTGCCATCCTCAGGACAGAGGAGTTTAAAAGGGAGGAAAGCATAGACACTTGGGGGGCCCAGGGCTCCCGGGCCTGGCCTGTCTGCTCTAAAGATGAAGAGGGAAACATAGAAGGTGGTGCCGAGGTGGGAGGGCAGCCTCTGAGGACAGCTGGAGTGAGGACGCAGATCAGCTCCCAGCAATAAGGAAAGGGGACTTGGAGCCCTGGGCGGTGCCACCCCCTCACCTCTTCCTAATGCTCATCTTATCCGTGCCAGGTGCTGCAATGGGTGCAGGTATTCCCAACACCACCCCTCCACCCTCGAGACAGCCAGGCCGGGGTGAGGAGTCTGCACCCTGGGCTTGGGTCCAGCAGCGCCCAGCACACCGAGGGCACCAGCACGTGCCCAGTGCATCTGCACGTGCCACCCGCTCTGTGTGCCACAGCGTGGAAGGGCCTGGGAAGCTCTGGATAAAGGCTCCTCTCATCCTTTCTTGCTCATTCCCCGGGTCCCGTTGGTGACAGGTCTGAACCTGCCGCCACCCTTGTAGGTTACTGTAATGCACAGTGGGTTGCAATGCACAGAAGCCCCCTGGGTTTCCTCAATGCTGGTTAACTTTCAGCCACCAGCACCAAGCCAAAGCTCCTGTGCCACTTTGTGGCTTTATTTCTTCCTACTCTTCTCAGAGGGCAGGAGGTGAGGGTAGACAGGAGGACTCTTAAGCAGTAGCAGGGAGAAGCAGAACCATGGCCTTGTGGGAATGCTGTTAGGGCGTGGCGTGAACCCTGGAGCCCACCAATGAGAGCCCCGGAAGAGCAGCCGTGGTGACAACCAGTGTGCTTCTGAGAGGACCAGTGTTTCAGGATGGAACTGCCCAAGCAGCAGGGCTGGGCCCAGTGTCCCTCGGCTCTCCTTCAGACTGAAGCTTTCATTACGTTCCAAAGGAAAGGTGGAGACGCACCCACATGCAGCCTGGGATTGTGGTCACGTGGATTTCAAAAATCTCTGTTATCTTCACTGTCTGAATCTTTGTGACAAAGGAGAGAACTTGAGAAGTTCAGAGGGACAGTTCTAAATCCAGTAAAAGGCAGGCCAAGAAAATAGTTTTTCAGAATTAAAACTTCTGCCATAACCAACAAAAACTTATGGATAAAATATAACTTTCTGGAATCTTAAATGTATTGGCCAGGCAGGGTCCTCACACCTGTAATCCCAGCACTTTGGGAAGCTGAGTCTGGAGGATAGCTTGAGTCCAGGAGTTCAAGACCAGCCTAGGCAACATAGTGAGACCCCATCTCTACAAAAAATACAAAAATTAGCCAGGTGTGGTGGCATGCACCTGTAGCCCCAGCTCCTTGGGAGGCTGAGGCAGGAAGATGGCTTGGGCCTGGGAGTTTGAGGCTGCACTGAGCTATGATCGCACCACTGCATTCCAGCCTGGCCAACGGAGCAGGTTATTATGCCTCTAAAAAATAAGTAAATAAATGAATTCATCAACACACTCATAAGAAAAACAGGGAAATCCTCAGGTGTCAGAGGCATAACAGGAACTAGAAAGAGTTCAGCAGGAAGTGCTGGGCTGGTGCCGCAGCTGCCCTGGGTGGGATAGGATCAGGTTGGATCTTTCCTGGTGGTTTCAGGACCTGGGGTAAGGAGTCTGCACCCTGGTCCTGGGCCCAGCAGTGCCCAGCACACTGTGGGCACCAGCACGCATCCAGTGTGTCTGCAGGTGCCACCGGGAACTGTAGATACACTGGGCAGGCCATGCAGTAACATGAGAGTCAGCTTTGAATCTGTGTAAGGGAAGAGTTAGGGCCTAAACTCCTGCAGTTGAGACACGGCTCTTGAAGGCCTTTCCCTCCTTCCTAGGAGAGGCTGAAACTCTGCCTGCAGAGGTTTGACTGTATGTCTACCTGGACTCTGAGTAGAGAATGAAAAGTCAGTCTGAGCCCTGTGCCCAGCTCAGGACTGGGTTTTGAATTTGCATTATATGGATGGCCCAGGAACTCCCAGAACAGAAATTAATGTAACATTTGGTTCCAGAAACCAAAAGCACGAGCAACTAAAGAAAAAGTAGATACATTAGACCTCATCAGAATGAAAACCTTTATGCTTCAAAGAATGTCATAAAGGAAATGAAAAAAACTCCCCAAATGGAAGAAAATATTTGCAAATTATGTATCTCATGAGGGATTTATATCTAGAATATATAAAGACTTCACAACAAAAAGACAAATGACCCAGTTAAAAACTGGGCAAAGGATCGGCATAGACATTCCTCCCAAGGAGATTTACAAATGGCCACCAAGCACATGAAAACATGCTCAACATCATTAACTGTTAGGGAAATGCAAATCTAAGCTGCAATGAGATACCACTTCACACTCCTAAAATAAGATGGCTAAAATAAGAAAAGTTGGACAATAACAGGTATTGGTGGGCATAGAGAAATTGGAATGCTTGTACGTTGCTGGTGGGAATATTAAATGATTCAGAAACGTTGGAAAACAGTTGGCATTCCTCAGGAGGTTGAGCAGGGAGTCACCATACGACAAAGCAACTCTACTCCTAGGTATGTACCCAAGAGAGCAGAAAACATATGTCTACACAAAATCTTGCACATAAATGTTCATAGCAGCTTTATCCATAGTAGCCGAAAAGTGGAAACAACCAAAATATCACTCAGTTGACAAATGGATAAATAAAATGTGGTCTATGCATTCAATGGATGATTCAGCAATAAAAAGGAATGGAATTCTGATACATGCTACAGTGTGGGTGAACCTTGAAAACATTAGGCTAAGTGAAAGAGACCAGGCACAAGAGACCACATATTGTGTGATTCTATTTGTAGGAAACATCTAGAATAGGCAAATCTAGAGAGGCAGAAAGTAAATTCATGGTTTCCTAGACTAAGAGAGAGCATTTGAGAGGAATGGGAAGTGATGGGTGATGGAAACAGAGCTTCTTTTGGGGATGATGAGATGTTCCAAAGTTCATCATGATGATGGTTACACAACTCTGAATTCACTAAAAAATGTTGAATTGTACAATTTAGGGGAATTGTATGATATATTAATAATCTCACAATAAGGCTTTAAAAAAAAAGCTCAGCCTTCCTGAGATTAATTTTATACAGATAAAATGTTATTAAAATAAGTATGGGCTGGGGGCTGTGATTCGTACCTGTAATCCCAACACTTTGAGAGGCAGAGGCAGGAGGATTACCAGGAGCTTAAGACCAGCCTGGGCAACATAGCAAGACCCCATCTCTACAAAATAAAAATAAAAACTATAGAAAATTAGCCAGGCATGGTAGCACATGCCTGTAGTCCCAGCTACTTGGGAGGCTGAGGCAGGAGAACTGCTTCAGCCCAGGAGGTCGAGCCTGCCATGAACTACGATCATACCCCTGCACTGCAGCCTGGGTGGCAGAGCAAGACCCTGTCTCTAAAAAAAATAATAAGAATGGCTCATAGATTGTACACTTTGCGTATGGTTGGAAGGCCCAGAAAATCTGTGTGTAATATCTTCTTACCCTCAGGGAAAACAGTGATCAACTCTTCCTGAAATAGTTACATATCATACCCCAATAAAGGATTTTACTCTCCTCCAAAAATAAAACAAAAAGAAAATACACAAAAAACTAAAGAAACATGGTTTCAGGCCAGACCATCTGGGCAATCAACAGAAGCAAAAATGATTCCTCTCTGGAGAGATATTGCCAAAGCCAAATTATCCAAAATAAAAAGCCTTTTTAAAGATGAATCACAATTGTCAAGCACACAGGCAATGATTTGCCATGAGTAAAAATGACCAGTTTTAAAAAAAGAGAGAAAGATAGAGGGCTTCAATTACATTAACATACATACAAGTCTGAGAGAAATATATAATAACTACATTTAAAATTATTAAAGTCTTAGTAAAATAAAGCGTTAACATTTTAAGTAAAGATTAAGGTACCATTTCTTAAAGCAGATTTGTTTTTAGAAAAAATAAATGGGACACAGTCATTGAAAATGAAAGCAGTTTAGACACTGTCAAAAAGAGAATTACCAAATTAAAAGCTAGATTTGAGTAAATAACTCTTAAAACAACATAAAGACATAAGATTGAAAATAGAGATTAAAAGACTTGAAGAACAGAATGAGATCTACCACATAGCTAATAGGACTCGAAAGAGGAAGCAAATGAGAGTTACAAAATACACAGAGATAATAGCCGAGAAATTCCAGGGTTGATGGAAAGCATTATTTACAAGACTGAAGAAACACCAATCCCGAGTGGAGTAAATAAAACTGAATTCATACCAAGATGTATTTGCTACAACTGTAAAATGCCAAAGAGAAAAATCTTAAAAACAATTGGAGTGAAAGGCAAATAATCACAAAGGCAAGACCATTTGACTGAGGTGACTATTCAGGAACAACAGAGGCCAGAAGACAATGGGATAATAATCTCGAAGGAGCTAAAAGCAAATAACTGCCAACCTCAAATTTTATACCCAGATAAACTAATCTTCCAGGATTTTATTCAGAAAACAGCAAAGTAAATGCTATATAAAAATGAAGACAATTTAATCAAAATAGATATATTGTTTTGATAATTTTTCAAATAATACTCTTTTTTTTGAGGTGGAGTCTCACTCTGTCACCTGGGCTGGAGTGCAGTGGCATGATCTTGGCTCACTGCAACCTCTGCCTCCTGGGTGCAAGCGATTCTCCTGCCTTAGCCTCCCAAGTAGCTGGGATTACAGGTGCCCACCACCATGACCAGCTAATTTTGTATTTTTAGTAGAGATGGGGTTTCACCATGTTGGCCAGGCTGGTCTTGAACTCCTGACCTCAAGTTATCTGCCCAACTTGGTTTCCCAAGGTGCTGGGATTACAGGCATAAGCCACCACACCCGGCCAAGAACACTCTTTTAAAAAAAAAAAAAAAGAAAGAAACCTATGGCAAAACTGCTGATTTGAGACTCTTTTTTTTTTAAACAAACATTTCCAGCTGTTGAAAACCTATCTTTATAGTAGTCAAGAGAATGCAGAGGATAATATTTTATGTGTAAATGTATTCCAGGGTTTTTCTTCTGACTTTGTTTTTTTTCAGACAATCTTGTATCATCTTTTACACAAGAACCCTGAGGAGACTTTCTCTAGCGATGTTGTTTATTTTTGTAGATGCTACTGTGTTTTAATTAATATTGAGATATAGATTTTGTATCAAAAGAAGCAAGTGGATTTACCTTTGTCCTAGCTGATTGTAGCATGTATGGTGATACGGTTTGGCTCCCTGTCCCCACCCAAATCTCATCTCAAATTGTAATCTCCACATGTCAAGGGAGGGACCTGGTGGGAGGTGATTGGATCATGGGGGCAATTTCCGCCATGCTGTTCTCATGATAGTGAGTGAGTTCTCACAAGATCTGATGGTTTTATAAGGGGCTCTTCCTCCTTTACTCTCTCTTTTCTCTCCTGCTGGCATGTGAGGAAGTTCCTTGCTTCCCCTTCACCTTCCATCACGATTGTAATCCTGAGGCCTCTCCAGCCATGTGTAACTCTGAGTCAATTAAACCTCTTTCCTTTATAAACTACCCAGTATTGGGTATTTATTTATCACAGTGTGAAAATGGACTGATACATATGGCTAGAGGGGAATCACATAGAGCCCTTGCAGAATCCCCTGTATCAGCCTCACTGTTTTTCTGTTCATAGTTCATGTTCTGTTCACTTGTTCAGAGGATTTTGATCAAGAGTAGGAATTGTTCTTGCAACTGAAGCTTTGTTTTGTCAGTTATTACATTCTTTCTTATTTTGAGGGTTATAGCTTATGGAAGGGTATTTTTTAGTTTCTAATTGAATGTGTGTTTAATTAGAAACTGGTGCAACACATATTGCTCTGGGAAAAAAAGTTTTGGTTCACGTGTTTCCATCAAAAATTTTATAATTGGGTTATTGATCTTCATTTCAAGATGTGGATGATTCAGATTCTGGACATGTTGAATGCTGGAATAACGAGCTCCCAGGGACCCCTCTTAGACCAGTCTCTCTTCTGGTTGGTGCTGGTGCTCCATCTCTGCCCGTCCTACCACCTGGGGAATCTCAGGGGCCCAGATGCTGCAGGACTTCCGCTCCCCCTCCTTGTGTTTAGCTCATCAGAATGGAGATTTCACAGCCTTCTTCTCTGGGAATCTCCCCACCTCTGACTGGCAAGGCCCTCCCAGGTGCAGCAGTTTTGACTTTGGGCCTTCCCTGGCCCTACTAACATCTGAAACTTACTCTCCCCAGCAGAAAACTCGATCCTTTTTTGAAATGGGGGGAGGCAGGGATGAGATGGGGAGGTGAAGGGGTTGCCAGGGCTGAATGGTGAGTGGACCTGATGGAGAGGGAGAAGGATTGGAGAGAGAATAAAACAACTGCCTTTTGTCTGAAATAAGTCTCCCCTCAATGGAAATAGCAGCTCCTGGGAGCTTAGGAATGGCCCAGTGTGCAGGAGTGCTGAAAACACGCAGAGAACACACAGCAGAATGCTCGGAGCCACATTTCAATGAAGTTTACAGTTTTGAAGTGCAGTTTAACAGGTTCTGTGACATCTTATGATATATTATGATATATTCTAAGGATAAATGAGGCCTTAAAAACCGAGAGAGACCACATGAGGAGGAACAGTGAGCTGCATAGTGTGAAATCCTACAGAGGGGAGAGAAAAAAATGAAGGAGAAAAGAAGCCATGGAATGGCTTTGTTTTTAATGAAAGGGGAATTCCCAAGAACATCTCAAAACGTAAGATGTCAGGTTGGAAAGGGAGTTGAATCTACTTCAAAATAGATGATGGGTAAGAGGTTTCTTTTTCAATTCTTGAAAACTTTGCAACTCCATGGCAGATCTTGTCCTCGTAGGATTTAAATGCGCTGAAATTTCCATCCTGAACTCTGCCATTTTCTTTGCTTTAGCTGCCTCACCTCCCTATCTCCACGTGAGAAGTTCAGCTGCGTTCAAAGCCCCGTTGGTGTCCGAATTGCTGCAATCCCCAGGTTGCCCTCTTTCTCCAGGGACGGGGTTGGCTCTCCAGTAAATACCTGCTCATCCCACCACATCTTAGAAAAACAGCTGTGATTTGTAGGTCTATAGGGAGAATTGGGCACTCACAGTTTCCCACAGGAAGCAGTTAAAGATTACAGAAGTAGACCATTTGTGTTGCTATGACAATGGCCTCTCTTTTTGCAGACAGGGACAGAGGTTTTAGAACCTGGTACCAACGTCTTGGGCATACAGTGTTTGGTGTTCTTACCTTATTCTAAATATATTCGGATACGTTGTAGGTTTACATTTTTTTTTTAATGTTAGTGCCCCCTTTAGCTCATAGTTGATTCAAGGTCCCAGTTTATCAAACTTTTGTATAAAATGAGCAATGTGCAAGCCATTTCCTGGTAACAGCCATGGTGGCATTTAAGACACCCTATGGGAGCTCTGTGCAGGCCCAGGGAGCAGGAGTGAGCCGGGTGGAGCCACAGCTGGAAGGCACCAGGGACTTGGGGCTGCATCTGTGACAAGCCCCCTTCCTCTTTGGAGAACTGAGCAAACTTCACATTGCAAGTATTCCCTTTCCGTGACACCTCTCTACTCAAATAAATGGATAGTATTTCATAGAAGCACTGAGTAACTGAATGAATGACTCTCAACTGACATATTTGGGAAGATTGGACTGGCTGGCATTATCTCCCTCCAAAAATAGAAGGGGGCTCACAGTGTTTTTATAGTGACAGGCATCACTGGGGGTTTTCTATTTTGTGGACACATTCACTGACCTACACCCAGCAGCCGATCTAATGTCCATGCAGGGAAGGTGCTCAGCATGGTAGGGGGAGAAGGGAAGGGAGAGATGCTGCCTCCCAGGGCTCTCAGGATCAGGGAGCGTGCCCCTTCCTGGGGGCAGGCATCCCAGGCCTTTGCTCTGCAGGTTCCTCTGTGGTTTCAGAGACCCCACAGGGTGTGGTGAGGGTTGCGGTGAGGCCACTGACTCGCGTCCTGAGGCTTAGTCATCCTCAGCCGCTGGCCCTGTTAGGCTATGGCCTGCTTTGGGGCTGTCCTTTCTCGCCCCTCCCTTGTCTAGGGAAACACCTGTTTGTGGTGGTGAGGCGAGAAGCTTCCCACACAGCATGAGAACAGCTCTTCTAGGATGCACATGAACCCTGGCATTGTCTTAAAGACTGTGTTCGTGTCATAGCAGAATGCCCCAAACGGGGTGGCTTAAATGACAGAAATGTTTTCTGTTACCATTCTGGAAGGTGGAATCTGAGCTGGAGGTGTTGGCAGGGCCATGATCCCCCTGAAAGCTTGGGAAGGATCTGTCCTGGGCCCCTCTCCAGCATCTGGTGGTTCCGTGGCTCGGACAGCCTCTCTCCCATGTCCCCACAGAGTTCTCCCTGTGTGTGTCTGTCTCCTCCCATGGCACTCTCCCTGTTGTGTGTCTGTGGACAAATTCCTTTTTTTATATGGGCACTAGTCATACTGGATCAGGGGCCCACCCTATGCAGTATGACCGCATCTTAACGAGTTACATCTGCAACAACTGTGTCTCCAAATAAGGTCACCTTCTGAGATACCGGAGGTTAGGATAACAAAATAAGGATTCAGGGGGCACAGGTTCAAGCCATAACAAAGATCAAACTACTCTCGTGTAGAAAATCTTGCAATTAAATGTCATAGGTTGCATTATTGTGCAAGCCCCCCACCATGTTACTTTCTGTCTTCAGACTAACTAACAGTGCTACCCTCTCAGTCTCTGTGTAATGAGGAAGTCTGAATGTCTGAAGGAATAGATGAGTGAATGGATGGATGGATAGGTGATGGGCGAATGGATGGATGGGTGGATGGTAGATGAATGGATGGGTGGATGGATGGATGGATGGATGGATGGGTGGGTAGATGGATGGATAGATGGATGGATGGATGGGTGATGGGTGGATGATTGGATGTATGGATGGATGATAGATGGATGAGTGAATGGATGGATGGGTAAATGGATGGATGAATGAATAGATGGATGGATGGATGGGTAATGGGTGGATGGATGGATGGATGGATGATGGATGGATGAGTGAATGGATGGATGGGTGAATGGATGGATGGAAAGATGGAATGATCGATTTATGGATGGATGGATGGGTGGATGGATGGATGGATGGGTGATGGATGGATGGATGGATGGATGGGTAGATGGATAGATGGATGATGGATGGAGGAATGAATGGATGGATGGGTGATGGATGGATGGATATGTAGATGGATAGATGGATGGAGGAATGAATCGATGGATGGGTGAATGGATGGATGAATGAATAGATGGATGGATGGATGGATGGATGAATGGATGGGTGATGGGTGGGTGGATGGATGGATAGATGGATGGATGATGGATGGATGGATGAGTGAATGGATGAATGGGTGAATGGATGAATGGATGGATGGATCACTGGATGGATTGATTGATGGATGGATGGATGGATGGATGGAGATGGATGGATGGTTGGATGGATAGATGAGTGGGTCTATGAAAGAGCAGAGGAAGTCCTCGCAAGTGTTCCTGCTACAGAGGTGCATGTGTGCATCCTGCTGTTCTTGGAGCCCTAGTAGGGCTTGTGAAGGAGAAGGAAACAGATGCTTCTACTCACCTCTGTGTGCCAGTGCCCTACCAGGCACCTCAGTGTTTGCTTTCATTCTCACTCTAAAGGCTAGGACTGGTCATAGCATCCTCCTTTCACTTTCTTCAAAACAACTAGCTATTGATCACCTGCTGACCAACAAGTGCTGACCACCAGGAGGGGAGAGTGAGAAGACTCTTAAGTAAGGAAGGTAGGCCAGGCTTAGCCTTTCACAAGTGGGACAACTGAGGCACAGGTGATCAGAGCAGCATCTCCAGCTCCCACCCTGAGTCCGGCCTTACTCCATCACTCCAGGCTATTTCCCTGGGTATCCTGGAGACCACCTGATTCAAAAGGAGACTTTGCCACCAAACAGTATCCTCCCAGAACCTCCGTTGCTTCATCTGCAGAGTGAACCCCCGAATGGGATATGGTGGACTTGAAGTGTCTCTCCTCCTTTTTCAACCATGGGGGCCCTGAAGTATGGCGGGATCTTCAGTCCCAGCTGAGAGCAGCTCCTCCATGCTGTTTATAAACAGGGCCTTCCCTGACTGCTAGGGGCTAGCTCAGGTCCAGGTTTTCCTATCTGAATGGTGTTTGAAGTTTAAATCGGTCCACAAGAAAATTAACAAAGCAAATGGAGATTGTCTAGAATATAATACCCTTGTTTTTAAAGTTTCACTGCTTTTATACATATTATATCTGAATCAGTGCAAACATATCAAGACAAATTAGTTCAGTGATGTTGTACACAGAAGAGAGATTTCATGAAAGTAAGAAAATGATCTTACATGTGGGCCGGGAGTGGTGGCTCACGCCTGTAATCCCAGCACTTGGGAGGCCGAGGCGGACAAATCACTTGAGGTCAGGCATTCGAGACCAGCCTGGCCAACATGGTAAAACCCCATCTCTAGTAAAAATTCAAAAATCAGCCAGGCGTGGTGGCACATGCCTGTAATCCCAGCTACTTGGGAGGCTGAGACAGGAGAATGGCTTGAACCCAGGAGGCGAAGTTGCAGTGAGCCAAGATCGCACCACTGCTCTCCAGTCTGAAATAAAGAAAAGAAAATTTTCTTACATGTGTATGGGTCGAGAATGGCATGGCTGGCCTCGGCTGCCCATCTCCTTTTAGAAAAACATTCATTGAAATGGATGAATGCGATTTTCTCAGCTTTAGTTTTCTGATCGGTAGAAAAGGGGTAACGATACCTACTTCATTGGGATCATTGTGGGATTAGATGCAATTATGTAACTGAAGGCAGTTGGCACAGACAGGCACTGGATAAGCACCTAGTCAACCTACCCTCCCTTCCCCTTCTTTTGTGTAAATCCTCACGCCCCCTTCTCTCTTCAGCTTCTCCTGTCCCTATCACAGAATACCACATTTAGAGCTGTCAGTGAACAGGCATGTGTCTGAAAGTCAGGATTTCCTATTTGAGATAAAAGTCTGCAGTTTCCACAAGTTAATACAGCAAACAGACCAAGCATCTTTTTTTTCTTGCTTGGTGGACTCAGGTAAAATTGAGCTGCTAAGTACCCAGGATTTATGGAATTTGTTGCTAATATTAAAGAGATTTACATGTCCGTTATACTCCTGTAGGTTTAATCTGATCACTACAAAATGCTTAGAATACGTTGCTATTTCAAGGACAACTTGATTATTTGGGTGAAAGCTGGATCTTTGTATGTAGACACTCTAGATTTTGGATGCTAATCTACTTCATTGGTTCTTTGCAGTTCCTTCAGCCGCCCCTGAGAACGTGTCAGCCGAGGCTGTCAGCTCGACCCAGATTTTACTGACATGGACATCCGTGCCGGAACAGGACCAGAATGGGCTCATACTGGGCTACAAGGTGTGTGATCACAGGATGACCTCCCTTTGCTTAAAGAGTGGGCTGGGGAAATGGGAGCATGTGCTATTCCCCCAAAGCAACGAGCTTCCTCTTCTCCTACAGATCTGCAGCGTCAGCCAGTTTGTGATTTTTATTAAGATATTCAGTTGTCTTATCTAAGCCTCATTGCAGCCTGGGAATTAGGCATCAGTATAACTATGACACAAATGCCAAAACAGGGCACCAGAAGAAAAGCACAGCCGGAGTGGAACTGACCTCCGGGCCTGCGCCTGACTCTGCCCTCGCTGGCCTCAGTGCCGCGGGCCAGTTACTGAAGCCCTGTGCTTGTGTCTCCCCGCTTGTAAAACGGGAATAACGATGGTAGCTTTGTCCCAGGGTTGGTGTGAGAATTCAGGGGGTCTTTTACACAGCACGCCTTGCTCATGTGAAGGGCTGGGTGAGGTGGATCGCTGTGTGCATGTTTCTATGTGTGTCATCACGGTCCTAGCAATGGCATCCGCTGGCAGGGTTGAATCTGTCCCAGCTTCTCTGGGGAGCCATTTCTGGGTTCCATCTTCCATGCATCCACCCCACCCCTTTAAAACCCCCTTCTGTTCCTCGTTCCATCACTCGGGGCGACAGGCTCTGTCTCCCCATCTGCTCCTTGGCTCAGCAATGCCAAGCATCAGAATGAGCTGTTTCGGACCCGGCCAGCGAGGCCACGCTTGTCTCAGTGCTGCTCCCTGGGTTTTGAGCGTGCCTCCTCCACCTTTCCGTACTTCACATCCCTATTCTTTGTTTTCCCCGCCTGCTCTCCCATGTCTTCTCCCTTCCCCGGGTGTTCTAAGTGCGCCCTGCTGGCTCTGTGACACATGGCAGTCCCGTTGAGGGGATTCAGTGACCAAAACTTCACACCACATTCCTGGGGCCCCGAGAAACGCGCTTGCTGTGCTATTTTCAAACACCTCCCTGCTGATGCTATCCTTTATGGCCTTCCAGGTCCCCGATCTCAGGGAGCAGTTCAGAGAAGGTGGGCATTGAGTGAGGTCTTAGCAGGAGGCCCTGGAGCAGAGCAGCTTGGGGTGGGGTGCCCTGGAGGAGAGCATAGAGGAGAGCAGCTTGGGGTGGGGTCCCCTGGAGGAGAGCAGCTTGGGGTTGGGTGCCCTGGAATAGAGCAGCTTGGGGTGGGGTGCCCTGGAATAGAGCAGCTTGGGGTGGGGTGCCCTGGAATAGAGCAGCTTGGGGTAGGGTGCCCTGGAATAGAGCAGCTTGGGGTGGGGTCCCCTGGAGGAGAGCAGCTTAGGGTTGGGTGCCCTGGAGGAGAGCACCTTGGGGTAGGGTGCCCTGGAATAGAGCAGCTTGGAGTGGGGTCCCCTGGAATAGAGCAGCTTGGGGTGGGGTGCCCTGGAGGAGAGCAGCTTGGGGTGGGGTCCCCTGGAGGAGAGCAGCTTGGGGTGGGGTCCCCTGGAGGAGAGCAGCTTGGGGTGGGGTCCCCTGGAGGAGAGCAGCTTGGGGTGGGGTGCCCTGGAGGAGAGCACAGAGGACAGCAGCTTGGGGTGGGATCCCCTGGACTAGAG
This sequence comes from Homo sapiens, assembly GCF_000001405.40. NCBI lineage: Eukaryota > Metazoa > Chordata > Mammalia > Primates > Hominidae > Homo > Homo sapiens. The sequence continues at coordinate 4,129,053 of NC_000007.14, forward strand.
CAGCTTGGGGTGGAGTCCCCTGGAATAGAGCAGCTTGGGGTGGGGTGCCCTGGAAGAGAGCAGCTTGGGGTGGGGTCCCCTGGAGGAGAGCAGCTTAGGGTTGGGTGCCCTGGAGGAGAGCACCTTGGGGTAGGGTGCCCTGGAATAGAGCAGCTCGGGGTGGGGTCCCCTGGAATAGAGCAGCTTGGGGTGGGGTGCCCTGGAGGAGAGCAACTTGGGGTTGGGTGCCCTGGAATAGAGCAGCTCGGGGTGGGGTCCCCTGGAATAGAGCAGCTTGGGGTGGGGTGCCCTGGAGGACAGCAGCTTGGGGTTGGGTGCCCTGGAATAGAGCAGCTTGGGGTGGGGTGCCCTGGAGGACAGCAGCTTGGGGTGGGGTACCTACAGCATGCACAGCTGCAGATGGCCCAAGGAGGCCAGAGCTCCCGGTCTGTGTGAGGACAGCAGGTCTTCTGGGGCAGGAAACCAGCTTCCATGGCTGGAAAACCCAGGGGGCTGCTGGCTCCTGTGGCAGGAAGCAGAGTGTTGTCTGTGTTCATAATCGAGTCTTTGTTTTAGTGGCTGTGGTTGGCATGGCTGCAGTTGGGCCCTCAGATCTTGCAGATTATGACCAGGCAGCAGGCTCGCCAAGCCGTGGGCACTAACTCAAGCTCCCCTGGAGCGCAGTCACTTTACAACCACCTTCCTCCCCAAATGCCAGCATGGACAAATTAGATCCAGAAGCCCTGCACACAGCCATCCTCAGGGAGAAAGCACAGTTGGCTGGGCCTTGATTCACGAAGGGGGCCTGCCCCATGCCACGGCGGTCCCTCCTGGCACCCGCCTCCTGATAACCCTCGTGCTGTGTCGATACCACAGATCCTGTTCCGGGCCAAAGACCTGGATCCCGAGCCCAGGAGCCACATCGTGCGAGGGAACCACACGCAGTCGGCCCTGCTGGCAGGCCTGCGCAAGTTCGTGCTCTACGAGCTCCAGGTGCTGGCGTTCACCCGCATCGGGAACGGGGTCCCCAGCACGCCCCTCATCCTGGAGCGCACCAAAGACGATGGTAGGTCCAGGGTTCGCGCCTTCGGGAGCCTTGCTGCCTCCCAGGTTGGCCTTTCCAATGCAAACAATTTGGATTGTTGTCGCTTTTAACTTAATTTTCAAACCACTTTCTTTTGCAGTTGAGGGAAACAAAACAAAATTGTTTTTCAGTCACTGAGCACTTATATGGCCAATTTCAGCCTGGAGTGGATTTTTACAGCCTAATTATGAACCTGTACTGAGTTTCCCTCATAACTCTGCCGTGGGCAGTGCTGGGGAGAGGCAGCAGAGGCTGGGGCGGGGCCGAGCTGTGGATGTCAGCTGTGGACGCTCCTCTTGGCAGGGGCTCCACACACTTCGTGTAGTGCCCCCTTATCTGGCAACACATCCCAGGACCCCAGGGAATGCCTGAAACTGCAGATAAAAGGAGACTACTATAGTTTAAAAAATCCACAGTGGACCTCATGCCTTACTTCCCTCGGTACTGCCCCGTCTCACTGTTTGCATTGTGGGAGGTAATTAGAGGTTATAGAAAGCCCCGTGCTGGATGGCCCAGGGTCCCCAGCTCCCTGAGTTTCTGGACCTGAATCACAAGGACGCCTTGCCAGCTTTGTTTTCATGGAACTCTAAATCATCGGTAAATATGTTTTCCCACTCTGCAGATGTCAAACACATAAAGGTTAGCGCCTTTACATTTTCATTATTAAACAGACTGTAATGAATACATCAGGGAGAGAAATGCGGATCTCTCCCGCCACAACACCCACCCTGGGGATCGGAGTGGCTGAAGAAGTGAAACACCTGTAGGTTTTCTTAAGCATCTTTGCTGAGTAACTAAATGAGCCCGAAAGTCCTCTTAACTGCTGAGTGGAAAGCACTCTCTCCACGTTGCTGAGAGAGTGCCACCCCTGATCCTCGCCTCGCCTCACGGAGAGACGGGAACCCTGCAGAAGGCTTTGTCCATCCTTCCCTGACACAAGGTCTCAGGCTAGAGGGAGATCCAGGAGGGAATGGGAATGTGGGTGTTGTTTCCTTGCAAAACTATCTCCTGCTCCAGTGTATTCCAGGTTTCCCAGATGAAAGTAAAAATGGGCCTATTAGAAACTGTGTGTAACAGCAGGCCCACTGCAACTGTTCCCTCCTGAAGCAGGCGCTGGTGAGTCCTGGAATGCCGCTGCTTCCTCTCCCACAGCGCTCCTGTAGACATGCCTTCCTCCTCTGCTTTCCAGCATAATCCCCATAAACAGCCTGGGAGAGGGCTCAGGGGAGCAACGCTGCTTAAGTCTGAAGTCAGCGTTTGCGTATCTGTGACTTAGTCCTAGTTGGGAGCCTGTGGCCTCCTACAGACATTTATTTCACCCCAAAATAGGCGTCATAACACACATTCAGAATTTAAAATACTGTTCCCAGCTTCATAGCCAGGGACAGACGTCAGCGGCCCAGAACGACGAACATACATCCTTTTATTTTGATATTGATTGTTTCATGCCCATTGCCTCTTACCTGGGAATCGGTCAGTTATTAATTCCAACAAGAAGCTCTCATACTGGCCACACACTTACTTGCCTGTTCGTTTAAGTAAATGTATTTTATGAGGGCCACAACCCTATTATTCAGCAGTTCCACCACACCTAGCTGCTTTTTCAGTTATTGGTGCCCCGAACCACACACAAGAATTATTATATGCATTTGTGCACACCAACTCTTAATTATCTAGGATGATGCAGGAGAGAGGTGGCATGCCTACGAGAGAAATGATTGAGGATACACATGTTATTTCATCAGAAATTGTAACCTCCGTTAGAGTTGGGAGGAACTTCAGGCCGCCTCATCTACCACCTGCTTTGCAGATGTCAAACCCAGTAAGGGAATCCGAGCTCAGATGAGGGAAATCCTTCCTCTCAACCTGATGTTTGCTCTCAGAGTCATTTAGTGACTGGTCTACTTGTGTCCTGGTAGGCTGGTTACACTCACACTATTCCTGGCATAGTTCGTGAACCCTGCTTTTGAGTCTTGGAAAGCAGACGGGCAGGGTTTAAAGGGAAGTGTTTGCTCAAGATCCTTAGGGAGCCACACTACCAGTGACATTCCAAAAGTCATCAGTCCAAAACTTTAGGGGGTTCTAAACCCACGACAGTGTAGCCTGTGGTAGTTACTGCAGCCAGCTGACCCTCGGAATCCTGTGTAACCTGTCACGCACCCAAGGAACACTGTCTTGAGATCTGAATCCCTGTGGTTTTTCCCTTCAGCCCCAGGCCCACCAGTGAGGCTCGTGTTCCCCGAAGTGAGACTCACCTCCGTGCGGATAGTGTGGCAACCTCCGGAGGAGCCCAACGGCATCATCCTGGGTAAGGGAGCGGCGGTGGCCGGGCGTGGTGGCTCAGGCCTGTCATCCCAGCACCTTGGGAGACCGAGGCAGGTGGTTTGCTTGAGCCCAGGAGTTCAAGACCAGCCTGGGCAACATTGTGAGACCCCATCTCTCCAAAGAAAAAATTCAGACTATTAGCCGGGCATGATGGCATGCACCTGTTGGTCCCAGCTACTTGGGAGGCTAAGGTGGGAGGATCGCTTGAGCCCAGGAGGTTGAGGCTGCAGTGAGCCAAGATTGCATCACTGCACTCCAGCCTGAGAGAGAGTGCAAGACCCTATCCCCAAAATAAGAAAAAAAAAGGAGTGATGGTATTTAAAAGGAGAGAAATAACAATCAAGTTGATGTCTTCCGTGTTTGTTAGATGTTTATGAGGTTAAACAAAAGGCTGTCTCCAGCAGCCTAGCATTTCCTGAACCGAGATGATCATGGGCCTCTTGACTGTTTTCTGAGCTACGTACTAAAGGTTTTTCTTATGGAATGAAATTCACATTTTTTTAACGTGGAATTTCTTCCATTCGTTTGCGGCTCATGGCGATACCGTTTGTAACCGACCTTCCCTTCCTCTCTGAAATATCAGGCTATGTTGATGTGTGTTTGAGAAACAACAGGCTAGTTTTTCAGAGAAGATGCAGACCTAGCCTTGGTTCCCATGTTCCTGGAAACATCTTTCTGCTGCAGCACTTGCACCCAATCCTTGTAAGAAGCCGCTGAGATGAAGCGCATGCCCTGGGTCCCGGGGAACGCGTTTACTTCTGACTTTTCAGCATTACAGCCAGCATACCAACTCTGGTAACACAGATGAAAAGCCTGAATTTTTCCGTTCCCCAAAGCAACAAATTCTATTTTAAAACATCCCAGTTCCTTGACTCATTCACCCTTTCACAGAGACAAAGTAAGGACTTTCCCTGTGCAGGTGTCGTATGTACAGTGGGGGGTGAGGAATGAATGAGGTGTGCCTGTCCTCAAGTTGCCCACAGTCCCGTAAGGGAGACACATGTTGAGAGTACAGTGAGATAAGCCATCTGAAAGAGGTTTCATTCAGTGCCTCACACACAGCTCCTTCTGGGTGGGGTCTCTGTGGGTGGAAGTCTCCTTTTGAGAGGGATCTGGAGATAGGTGGCTTCTAAAGCCTTGGAAGAAGGGAAGGGGGCTGTCCACTCAGCCAAGACCGAATGCTTTCAGCCTTTGGGAGCACTGACAGCTCCAAGGCTGGGGATGGAGGCTGGGCCGGGTCTTGAGCTACTGTGAGCTCCCTGCTGTGTCCTGGAGAATGTGGCCCTGAGACCTGGACGTTTTAAACTGGCCTGTTAGAGGCAAGTGCAGCAGCCACAGAACATTGCCCCAGCCCCAGGTTAGCTCTCGGGATATTGCCATACCAGACACCCCGATTCGGCTAGCCTGTGTTCTAGGTGATTTACGGTAAAGTTATAAACCCAGACTTACAAACAGGTGGTAAAATTCACCACTTTTGCCTGCATTTGATCTTAGGATTCTAAGACTTGGTTTGAAGAAAGAGTTTCACATCACTAAAAAAAAGTTTGGAGGCCTGTGTTGAACGGCAGCAGGAATTCATCCAAGGTCTTTGAGTGGGAAAGCTGCGCAATCAGATTTGCCTTGTAGGTAATCACTCCGGCAGCCTGAGAAGGGTGGACGGAAAGTCAGATATTTATTGAGCCCTTGCTTCCCTGAGAGGGGGCCTGGAGCTTCCTAAGTCTTCTGCACAAGGAGGCTGTGACCTATTTTCGCTTTGCCTCTTTCTTTATGTGATTTCTGGAGTTGCTAGACAGAAGTGTTTGGCTTTGAGTACGGCATTTCTCAATCAGGTGACCTTTGGAATTGCGGGTTCCTGCTACTAAAATCTCAGTTGAGCAGCCACCTTGGAGGTGAGCATTTCAGGGCCTGGCCCGGCGGAGAGGGAGCTATGAGCCACATCTGGTGCCTGCGCAGTGAGCCCAGTCTTGGGGTAGGAAATGGTCTGCCCAGCAGACAGCTGTGGCGAGGAGATTTGCAGGAGCCCCACCCAGGCAGGCCCTAACCTCAGCACAGCACCCAGGCATCAGCCTTTTCTGGAACAAGCAGGGCTAATATCTGATTACCCGGGAGCTGTCCCCAGCATGCTGTGAAACAAGAAACATTGACAGAGTCACAGGAGTCCACAACAACAGTGTTCCCCGTGAAGAAGCAGGCTCGCCCCAGCCCCACCTCCACCCTGGCAGGGCCCCTGGCTCCCACTGCCGGCCTCGGTAGACCCTCCCGGCAAGTCCTCACTCTATGGTCACCTCCGTCCACTCACTGTCAGCTTACCGGGCTGCCAAGGATCAGTTCTGGAGTGCGGAGGCGTGGGAGCGGTGCAGGAGCAAAGCATGTGCTTCATCTGTGCTTCTCTCTTGCCACAGACGGACGCGTGCTCAGATTCCAGTACTGTGACTTTGACCCAGGGCGTCCTTGCACACGTGGGGAGGCTCTGGCCTCAGCCGGCTCTAGGCCCCGCCCTCTGCCTGACACCCACTTCAGGGCATCTGCCCTTTCTGAGGACTCACGCCGATGTCCTCTGTAGCCCCGGGTCCTCACTGCCCCGCTCCCTGCACGTGTCTACCTGGTGAGGCTTCTCCTCAGCACGCCCGCCGGAGTGAGGCCCGCTGTCCACTGAGCCCATCAGCTGGTTTTATCATCTGTCGTTTACTTTCCAGACTGTCTCTGACATTTCTTTTTCCGATGACAAGAGCACTATAAAATGATAATTGAGGCCACAATGAAATCCCATTTCACATTCGCCAGATTTGGCACCATAAGTAGCTGTGATAATGCCAAGTTTACATGAGGATCTGGAGAAACAAGACCCCTACACCCTTGCCAGGAGCGGGAGTTTGTGCGTCCACTTTGGGGAGTGCTCACCAGGAAAGGTGAGCGCATTCACACTGCACCCCAGACGCTCTGCACTTCCAGGCCTTCGCCCTAGAGAAATTCTTGCCTGTGTGCACAAGGAGAAACGTACAAGGATGTTCATTACAGATTCACTGAAATAGCAAGAAAGAAAGCAGCTGTCGTCTGCACAAGTCAGATGGCACGAACCTTGGGGCTGCCTGCTTTTCCTTTCCCCTGTGTTTTCAACACTGCATCACGGACAAGTAGGCCGGCAGCCTGGGTAACGTTTTGGACTCAGATCTCAGCCTATGCTTATTAGCTGAGTGAATTTATGCGTGTTTCTTAGCATTCCCATGCCTCAGTTTCCCCATCCCTCAAAGGGGAAGCACATTCGTGCCTCCCTCACTGGTTAGAGTTGCACTTAGAACAGTGCCTGCCACATAGTGAGTGCTGAGTAAACGTTAGCTTCCGTATCAGATCGAATATTTCATCGTTTCCCTGGCACCAGAGGAGGCTGGAGGCTCCCTGGACTTGAGAGCTCCTCCTAGACCATTGGGGGCTCAGCCTGGTCCTAGTATTCCCGTTGCATGCAGCAGTGGTGTGCTGCCTTGATTTGTCCTCCATAACTCTGGTTGCTGAAGCAGAGGCTTCTTGCCGACAAGAGAAAGAAAACTTAGAAGGCTGCTTGGGTTACAGAGTGTTCCTAAAGTGCGTCGGGAGGTATGGATCTTGATTTGTGGTCACTGAAAGCCACTGAAGCCCAAGTGAGGAGAAGGATAATCACTTAAATACTTTGAGCCCTCCAACCGTGCTGAACGCTGCTGAATCACACAGCACCGTGTCTACCTGCGAGGCAGACAACGTCACTGCCGAGCCTCCTCTGTCATGCAGCATTGGCTTGTAATTGTAATGCATGTTGTCCGGGTAACCTGTCACCCATGGGTCATTACAGCCGGCACACCACACGGCGGAGGCTGCAGGAAGACAGGAAGACAATTCCTGCAAATTCAGATGGGTGTTCACAGGGGAGAAAGCAAAACATCTTTTCGTCTGACTCACTTTACATCCAGAGACCTTGAATCAATGTTCCCACTCTGGCAGCTTGGCCTTCTGAGTACATAAACACCTCTGCCGCCCGAGCTTTTGTAATCTATATCAAAACATGTTCTTGCATTTCCAAAAGAGATTAACAGCGTGAACCACAGCAGGCACCTAGAGGAGAAAACACTTGCTTATTTGCGTAAATATTTTACTGTGGAGTGCTTTTAGCATTTAGAACTTTTCTTTGGGGGGATGGGGTTGGAACCCCCTGAGTACAGACGTCCCTCCCTCACCCACCAGCTGACACCACATGGCCTTGACTGGTATTACGCTAACGTGATGATGCGTGAGCTCTTCAGACCCACTTGGGCCTGCCCTGGCCAGACACGCGGGATCCCGCCCTGCCAGCAGGAGGGCCTAACATTTACCTTTAAGCTTATTACGAAGGGTGTGCGGGAACTCTGCGGAGAATCAGGAGCTCCAGCAAGTATGATCCCTGTTGGCAGATTCAGCGTTTTGATCCCCAGCCCTTGGATGGATAAGCTGCAAAACCCACAGGCCACGGCATCTAGGCTCGGCCAGCGTGGGCGTCCTGGGGCGATTCAGTGGCTTGCGGGTTCTCTGACCCACTTGCCCACCAACAGCAGCTGCAGAGAGATCGGCAGCACGTGCCCCAGATGGTCGTGCTTTGGAGTCATGAGCGCTGGGGTCCCAGTGATGCTCACTGAACAGCAACTCTCAGACAATGCCTTTTGTTTCCCAGGGAAGTGCACAATTTATTAAAGGTTTGCAACTAGCTGGGCACGGTGGCACACACCTGTAATCCCAGCTACTCAGGGGGCTGAGGCATGAGAATGGCTTGAACCCGGGAGGCGGAGGTTGCAGTGAGCCAAGATCGTGCCACTGCACTCCAGCCTGGGTGACAGAGCGAGACTCTATCTCAAAGGCTTTGCAGCCACCTAAAACGTCCGGATAGAAGTCTCCAAATTGCTCTGTGTATAGCTGTGCGGCGTCAGTCTTCAGGCTGACCTGGAGCTGAGATGCCTACAAGGCTTCCAGTATCCAGCCTCAGCTCCTTAGTGCCACCTTCTTGTGTCTCGAGCAGTGGACGGTTCTGGAACTTGTCTCAGGCCCGTGGCGCAGTCCCTTTCTGGATTCTGATTGTCTAAATGTGCAGTGCCACCTCCGTCTTCCAGGTGTATTCAGAAACCCACTCAGGCCTCTCACTTGATGTTTTTAATCTTCCATTTGGATCAATGTGTCTCGTACTTGGCCTTGCTCCTTTTAATGCTCATATTATCATAATTCACCCATACCCTTAAAAACAGGGCTCCTCGTAAGCCGCATTTTACTGCTGCTATTGATTCGGCCTGTTCATTCCTCCCTCGCACACGCCGCCGTCTTCTGGCCTTGCGTCGCTGAAGTGCAGCGCACTGATGTTTCTGATCTCGCTGTAACCGTAATTACATAACTAGCCTTTTCCACAGAAACGCTCTTATCTCTGAACACCATCTATCATTATTCTCTAAAAATGCAAGGACTGCTACTCAGCTGCTCCTTTGTGCCATTTATGTACAGAAAAAAAGCTGTCTTCTATTGTCCATCGAGTCTAGGACTTTTTAAACGTGTCAAGGTGAGCTATAGGCATTCATCTTTATGTTCAGCAGACCGTGGTGTGGCGACCAGCTGATATTATCTTTATTTTAGGGCAAATAATAGGAAGGTACAAATAGAACACACAGGCCAAGGAGTTTTCTTCCAGTGCCTAGGGAACCAGATCAGAGAGAGAAGAAGAACCCAGATTTCTGCAATTAGCAGGGATGCCGTCGTGCTTTGCAATCTGCATACATTGTCTCACTGGGGCTTTGCCAGGCCTGCATCCTAAAGGTCAGGGGAGGGGAGGGCGACCCCACTGCAAACTCCCCCCTTCCTACTTGGGTCCAGCGGCACTGCCACGCAGTGCACTATTAAACAGTCATTAAAATTCATGCTTCTAAAGGGAAAACATGCTTTTGTTATGTTGTGCAGAAATCGCAGAATGAAAAACTCATACTGAGTGTGGAAATCCGGGTTTGTTGAGTACTCATATGCGTAGAAAAATGATTACCAAAGGCCAGGCATGGTGGCTCATGCCTGTAATCCCAGCACTTTGGGAGGCTGAGAAGGGTGGATCCACGTGAGGTCAGGAGTTCGAGACCAGCCTGGCCAACATGGTGAAACCCCGTTTCTACTAAAAATACAAAAATTAGCTGGGCATGTTGGCACACACCTGTAATCCCACCTACTTGGGAGGCTGAGGCAGGAGAAGCATTTGAACCTGGGAGGCAGAGGTTGCAGTATAGCCGAGATCATACCATTACACTCCAGCCTGGGCAACAATAGTGAAACTCTGTCTCAAAAAAAAAAAAGAGAGAGAAAGAAAGAAGAAGGAAGGAGGGAAGGAAAAGAAAAGAAAAGAAAATTGATGACTAAAAAAAGTCCCAAGACAGCTACAGTTATCTCTGAGTGGCAGCATGGTCCTCCTGCAGACCAGCATACCATCACCCCAGCTTCCAGGCCATCACCTGGGACTCTGCCCAGGGGCTTTCTGTGGCTGCCGGAGCCTGCTAGGTTTTGAGGACTGGGCCATACATTCAAGGGGTGCCCCCAACAGCCCTTAGCCAACCGCTGAGAGGCAGTGGGCGCACACTGCAGCTCCCCCCGTGTCATGTGTTGGGGACGAGGCTAACAGGTTCTCCACCGGCCCCCACAGTGGGAGGAGCCCAGCCCCACGGCCCCTGCCTTGATGCACACACGTTCATCAGCTTCTTCTCCGTGTCACTTCTCTACCCACCCCCCATTTCCTGGAGTGACCTCCCAAATCGCCACTTGCACTCCAGTCCTGGCCTCAAGGTCTGTTCGTGGGGCACCCACCCTAGGGCCAAAGGTGATTTCATGGGTTTTTTTTTCCTGCTTTTTTTGGGTGGCTTTTATACAAAAGAAGCATCTATCTATCTGTATGTATAAACAACTATATATGTGTGTATATATGTACGTGTGTGTGTATATGTGTGTGTGTATATGTGTGTGTGTGTATGTATATATGTGTGTGTATATGTGTGTGTATATGTATATATGTGTGTGTATATGTGTGTGTATATATGTGTGTGTGTATATGTATATATGTGTGTGTATGTGTGTGTGTATATATGTGTGTGTATATGTATATATGTGTGTATATGTGTGTGTGTATGTGTGTGTATATGTATATATGTGTGTGTATATGTGTGTGTGTATATGTATATATGTGTGTGTATATGTGTGTGTGTATATGTGTGTGTGTATATGTGTGTGTGTGTATGTGTGTGTGTGTATGTGTGTGTGTGTGTATGTGTGTGTGTGTGTATGTGTGTGTGTGTGTGTGTGTATAATCTTGAAAAGCTGAAGCCCCAGGAGCGCTATGGGACTGAGGGGCTGAGAGCTTTAGCACCGCATCAGAGGGCCTCGCCCTGCGCTGTCTGGGCTGTCTTGGAGCTGGGTGGAGCCCTCGGGACTCAGGCAGGGAGAGTCCATCGATGGGAACGATCTGGTAATGGGGCAGGGCCCCAGGCCTCCCTGAACAACAAGACCCCACTGTTCTCCCATGAGCCTATTCATTGTGCACCTCTGGGCCAGCTCTGCAAACGGTGATTCCTGCCAGGCCCACACTCTGGAAGTGTGACCTCCAGAGTGCCTTGTCCCCCTGTCACCACCTCCCTGGGAGCACACAGGTTCCCTTCCTCGTGCTCTGGCTGCTGCAGACAGTGGCGCTGCTCCTGCAGGCCTTCTCTGCCGCCCCGCTCCACCCCAGCCTGCACCTCACAGGCTGCTCGTCCCCCTCTCAGATCAGTGGCTTTGCCTCTGGCCCCCGCTGCATAGCGCTCTCCCTGGGCCCACCTCAGCTGACCTCTTTCCTGATGTTACTCCCCAAGGCTCTTCCCGAGGACTCTCTTTCTTTGGCACTTTCTGGAACAATTCAGCCTCCCCAGATGGGAGCCCTCACATGCTGGAGGCGTGGCTCTGGAGCTGGGCCCAAGTGGGACCCCCGGCCCCACGATGAGGGGCTGTTTCTTGATGTTTTGCAGTTTCCCCCACTCTGTGTCGGTCACCTTCAGAATGTCCTGCTGAGTGACTTTCTCTGAATTGTTTTCTGTTTTTTTCTCCCTTTTCTTTAATCATCAGAATCCCATCATACTGCAGCAGGGGGGAGCTGAGGCCAACAGCAGGGTATCCTGGGAAGAGCTGGGGCTCGATGCCGAGGGACCCCAGCCCTGCCCTGTTTACTGTGTGCTCGTGGGCACCCAGCCCCTCCTTGCCTGCAAATGTGAAATGGAAACAGGAATATCTGCCTGGGGAATGTCATGAAGTCTTAATATGGTAGCTATGAAGTGCCTGGAATATAGAGGCCCCTAATAAGCTGTGTCTCCATTTTAAAAAATGATTAATAGAGGCCAGACACAGTGGCTCATACCTGCAATCCCAGCACTTTGAGAGGCTGAGGCAGAAGGATCGCTTGAGCCGAGGAGTTCAAGACCAGCCTGTGCAACATAGTGAGACCCCATCTCTATTTTAAATTTTTAAAAAAATGATTAATACCAAGAGATGAGAACTGAGAGTCAGGCAGAGATTAGAATTTGCCTGAGGGCTGGGTCAGGAGCCAGGTCTCCCGGCTCCCTGCTGTCTAGTCAGGAGCTTCTGAGAGAGAGGCAAGGACCACACACGAAAAACAATCCACAAACCCGAGGCAGTGTATCCTCCAAGGCAAGTGAGGTGAGGCCCACGTGGGGCAGTGAAGGGGCAAGTGCATAACCACATGATGGAAGCCTGTGTAGTCTGCGGCATGGCCAAAGGCAGGGCTCACCTTGGAGGACAGAAGAGTCAGGTGGGGCCATTGATAGAAAGGAGGGTCTGTAAGCAAACCTCAGACAGCTTGGCAAGAAGAAACCAGTTCCCACATAATCCCCAAATCCTGTGATCCACAAGGAGTGCCTTTGAACAACATCTTCATTTCATCTCAGGATTATTACCTCTAGCAATGGAATAATCTGGGCAGAGATAAAACATGGTGAAACAGTAAAGATTAAACAATAATGAAAACACGTCTGTAACCATGCCCTGCTCCTGAAAGTAAATAATACCTCATTAATTCAGACATAGTCACTGAAAGGCAATTTGGATTTTGAGCGAGAAGTCTTAATCACACACAACTCTCCAACATATTAAGTAATGAATCAAGGGAACTCAGGTAGGCTGGTGGGATCCATAGGAAAGGCATGTTCCTGGCCATCGGGGATGCTGGGGAAGGCCCTCGTTAGTCGTCTGTCGGGGCCAGGCCTCCAAGCATCTTCCACACAGGGCTTTCTCTTTCTCTTTTAGGGATAGGCATGTTTTTGTTGTTGTTTTTGAGACAGAGTCTCGCTCAGTCGCCCAGGCTGGAGTGCAGTGGCGTGATCTTGGCTCACTGCAACCTCCGCCTCCCGGGTTCAAGTGATTCTCCTGCCTCAGCCTCCCGAGCAGTTGGCATTACAGGCACCTGCCACCATGCCTGGCTAATTTTTGTATTTTTAGTAGAGGCGGGGTTTCACCATCTTGGCCAGGGTGGTCTTGAACTCCTGACCTTTTGATCCACCTGCCTCGGCCTCCCAAAGTGCTGGGATCATAGGTGTGAGCCACTGCGCCCTGCCGGGATAGGCATGTTTTTTCACACGGTGAAGAAGAAATCTTTTTAGCCACTTGTGCAAAATCAGTGAGATGATCCCACCTCGACAGTGTGGAGGGAGCAGGCTGAACCCTACGCATACATACATGAGTCTGTTTTTAATGCAAACTTGATTTTTGCTGCCTTAGCGAAAGATTCGTATCTCTTCATCTCTAGGAACGATATTCAGATGCCTGAACTTAACACTGGGTTACACATCATTCTTGGTGGTTTTGGTTTTGCGTTTTTGTTTTTTGTTTTGTTTTCTGTTTTTGCTGGAGACAGAGTCTTGCTCTGTCACCCAGGCTGGAGTGCAGTGACGTGATCTCGGCTCACCGCAGCCTCCGCCTCCCGGGTTCAAGCGATTCTCCTGCCTCAGCCTCCTGAGTAGCTGGGATTACAAGCGCCCGCCATCACGCCCGGCTAATTTTTGTATTTTTAGTAGAGACAGGGTTTCACCATTTTGGTCAGGCTGGCCTCGAACTCCTGACCTTGTGATCCGCCCACCTCGGCCTCCCAAAGTGCTGAGATTACAGCCATGAGCCACTGTGCCCTGCTAAAGTTTTGTATTTTTAGCAGAGACAGGGTTTCACCATGTTGGCCAGGCTGGTCTCAAAGTCTTGACCTCAAGTGATCCACCCTCCTTGGCCTCCCAAAATGCTGGGATTACAGGCGTGAGCCACTGTGCCTGGCTGCTTTGCACTCTTTACCTGGCACATTTGCATGATTTTTGAGCCATGTGAATGTTACACAGCTCAAGAAATCATAACAATATTGAATGTCTTTAGACAAAAGGCAGCTTAAGCCTAGAAGGTCTCCAAGATGAACATCGATTATGTGGCCAGAGATGCTTTTTCCAGGCAGAACACAGCCGCCCAGAGACCTCAGAATTAGGGTCATTCTCCCAGCCCCGAGGAAGCAGGACATTGTTGGGGAATTTACATTTTAAGGGGGAACTCCGACCCAGGGAGTCCTGTTCTGAGGCACACGCTGTAGGTAGTTAACTCAATCAGGCATTGCAAAGTTGGGGGTGTCACTCCTCAGGGCTGGGCTAGGGGCTTGGCCATGTCTGTTCTGGGCCCCTGTGCTGCTTCCGGTGGGCATTCAGCACCCTGTCCTGGAGCTGCAGGGGCCTAAGGCACCACGCCCATATCAGTGCCTGTGGACAGGTCCGGGGAATAAGGTTCCATGGAGGCTGTGAGGAATGATAACTCTGTGGTCATACCGGCCACCACAGGGTGAGGAACTGCTAGGGAAGGGGTCTTGCCAGCTGGAGGAGGGAGGAGAAGTCGTGACTGCAATTGTTTTATAATAATATTAAAGCCAGGAGCAACCAGGCATGGCTGTGCCAGCCAGGTCATTACCACCGTGAGCCCCCAGAGCCCTCCTGGCACCCCGTGAGGTGTCCTGCCATATCCTTGCACCATGTAGTCCAGCAAACTGAGGCTGGGAGAGGCTGCATGGCTCATCCACGGTCACACAGTGAATGATTGGCAGAGCGGGATTCCAGCCCAGAGGTGCACCCCCAAAGGTGTGTCCTTCCTTTGAAGGGCCCGCTAGCTTCTATTGGAGAGGATGCTTCTGCGCAGTGGGCCCTGGGGTCCGTGGTTCCGAGCAACGGGGACCTGGCGAGGGGATGCTCTCCCTTTGCTCACAGATCGGCATGGGTGTTTGCTTCTCCCAGGAAGAGTAGGCACCCATGGGGCTCCAGCCCGACTCTCTCGTCACTTTCTCGCTGGGGACCCATCTTGGAGCTTCACAGCCTCGTCCTCATCCTTGTCTTGTATGCTTCCTGACAGGCCTGCGGCGAGGGTCTGGCATGGGAAGCGTTGCAGGGATGCAGCAGGGTCCCTGGATGTGCCTAGCAGTGTAGCCGCTGTGGTCACGCTCTCCTCACCGTCAGAGTGCGGGGCGGCCAGGAGCCCCGAAGCCTCAGACTGAGCTTCCATTGTGTGTGCACGGCTGACTCCCTACTCTCACTGTGCAAGGGTCGGGGAAACGGGAGGCCTGTGGGAAGAGCTGGCCCTCTCCCTACTCTCACTACACAGGGGTGTGGGGGAAGGGGAGGCGTGGGGGAAGGGGAGGCCGGGGGAAAGAGCTGGCCGCCGTCTCTAGGCTGCCCTCGGTCAGTCAGTGACTGGGAAGGAACAGGAGTCTAGCAGGGACACCCTTGCCAGAGACCTGAGGCCAGCAGGGCCACATCCAGGAAGTCTCAGAACTCCCGGTCCCCATTGTGGGGAAGACAGCCCGTCCACTGGAGGCAGGGCAGCGGCTGCGACAGCCACTCTGGGGGCCTAAGTTCAGGGTCCTGCAGACACCTGCGCCTAGAGGTGGCTGCGTCATGGACAGGGCAGGGCGTGTGTCCCTGTCTGTGTGGCGGTGATGACGGTGCTGATGGTGAGCGGTGATGCCTGGGGCCTGATGTGAGGATGCCCTTGAGGTCTGATCTCCGTGTAATTGTCCTCCCACCTCCCAGATGGCGGGCTGGGGAGGGGTTTGTTAAATGCGTGGATGAGTGACAAGGCGCAGGAGCTGGGAGGATGCCTGTGAGCTCGGTCGTTCATGAACCAGAGACCTGAGAGCAGGAAGAGCTGAGAGAGGGAGGGGTTCACCCGGAACAGAGGCTGAGGGCAGGGGGCAAGCAGCGTGGGGTCGCCCGGCAGCTCCTCCCCACAGAGGGTGAGCCACCAGTGCAGAGGCCACTCCACGAAGAGGCAGCACTGATGAGACCGGAGCGCGGCTCTGTTCCCCCCGTGCGTCCTCCCTTGTTTAACTCCAGCAGTTGATTTTTTTTGGAAGCCACAGCGCCCCGTCATTTCTGGTTTTAATCAGCGCAGGAGCTCAGCCGCTGGACCACACGTTGTCTGTGAGCCAGGCAGGGTGCGGACTGGAGCTGCAGAGTTAACAAGGTTCCTCCAGATGCCAGCGGGGGAGGCCTGGGGCGGCCAGTGGAGAGGAGTGATCGTTAATAAGGAACGTCTGGTCAACCCCAAGCCCCTCCCAGCGGAGGAACTGAGCAAGCCAGGAGCCCTCCCTCAACTGGGCAGCACAGGGGGATTCTGTAAGCAGAGCTGCCCTGGCGGAGCTGCTCGGGAGGGGTGGGGCCAAAGAAGGGGCCGGATGGACGTTGCTGGGGTCCCTGGAGGGAGCTGGGGGGTCAGAGGTGCAGGCAGACAGGGAAGACAAAGGAGGGAAGGAGGAGTGGCCGCTGTGGAGCTGCTGTCCTGCCTGGGGAGGCCATGCTGTCTTTTGCAAGAATTAAACGACTTCCTAAGAGAGCGACGGGGAGAGCCAGACTGCAGGAGGGAGGGAGAGGCAGAGACTGAGAAGCCACAGCCCTCTGGGGAGCAGGGAGGGACTGGGTCCCTGTGGCATGCTCGCCTCGTGCCCGCATCCTAAGGAAAGATGAACCCGTGTTCACACCTTGTTCTGGTGAAGGATGGAGCAGGAAACAAGCTTCACAGGGAAATCCACGTGGGGCCCCACCATTCATCACAGCCATGAGACCACCCTTTCAGTGCACAGGCAGTGACCTCCAGAGACGGGGAAGAGACAGATGGCCTTCCAGGGGTCAGCACAGGGTGTGGGCACAGGGCTTCCCTGTGCCGTGGGTGACTGGCTCAGCAGCTGTCTCCCATGTCACCTGCCTGCAGGGTACCAGATTGCCTACCGCCTGGCCAGCAGCAGCCCCCACACCTTCACCACCGTGGAGGTCGGCGCCACAGTGAGGCAGTTCACAGCCACCGACCTGGCCCCGGAGTCCGCATACATCTTCAGGCTGTCCGCCAAGACGAGGCAGGGCTGGGGGGAGCCACTGGAGGCCACCGTCATCACCACCGAGAAGAGAGGTAAGACCTTGGGGGACCCGGGGGTACTGCAGATGTTGTGGGCACAGCTTCCTCAATCAGGCCCTCTGGGGTCTGCGGGGTACCTGGGAGGCTTCGGCCTTCCCTTCGGAGAAAGAGAAGGGATGTGAGCATTTACAAAGCACCCATTGCACCTGACATGGAGCTGGACACACTATCAAACAGCATTGCATTCACACCTTCAGCCTCACACCTGCTCTCTCAGACACGTGAGCACTGCGTTCACACCTTCAGCCTCACACCTGCTCTCTCCGACACGTGAGCATTGCATTCACACCTTCTGCCTCACACCTGCTCTCTCAGACATGTGAGCATTTCGTGACACACTTTCAGCCTCACACCTGCTCTCTCAGACATGTGAGCATTGCATGACACACTTTCAGCCTCACAGCTGCTCTCTCAGACATGTGAGCATTGCATTCACACCTTCTGCCTCACACCTGCTCTCTCAGACATGTGAGCATTTCGTGACACACTTTCAGCCTCACACCTGCTCTCAGACATGTGAGCATTGCATAACACACTTTCAGCCTCACACCTGCTCTCTCAGACACCTGAGCATTGCATTCACACCTTCAGCCTCACACCTGCTCTCTTAGATATGTGAGACGGTCTCAGGTTTAAGGAAAGCAACATTGCTCGCAGAGGCTGAGTACCTGGGGCAAGGCTGCAGAGTCACCACATTTGAGGTTGAGCTCCCCGAAAGCAGCCCCCAGTCTCTGATGTTAAACCCACGTCCTCCGTAGAGCAGGTGCTCAGTAAGTAAGTTTTCCAAATAACTGCCTTCCCAATGAGAACTGCCGGGCGAGCAGGGCTCTGCTCCACGCACGGAGACAGGTGCTCCATGCACTGCACTTGGCCTATCCTTCCTGCAGCCCACGGAGCAGCATGGCATTAGCTCTGATTTTTACCAAAGATGAGACAGAGGAAACTGAGAGAGTTTTATTAATTTGCCCAGACACACAACTGCAGAGCTGAGATTTGGACTCCCCTCTGACACCACGAGGCCGACTCTTCCCATGAAAGTCTATAGTGGGCGCCCTTCTCAGTGGGCTCCGCGCATGTCCTCGGGCCTTGCAGCGTCCAGGGTTGGTGCCACAGGACCCTCACCTCAGCAGCCCCAGCTCCCACTCCAGGTCCTGATGTCATGGCCAGACCCAGGGACCCTGTGGGAATGAGGACGGGAGGGAGCTTGCAGGCACCACTGCAGGGATACTTGGAGCACACAGTTCTGGCCACGCTCCTATTTTTGTTTTTTTATTTTTGAAACAAGTCTTGCTCTGTTGCCCAGGCTGGAGTGCAGTTATGTGATCATAGGTCACCGCAGCCTGGAATGCCTGGGCTCAAGCAATGCTCCCACCTCAGCCTCCCCAGTAGCGGGGACTACAGGCACACACCACCCAGCTAATTATGTTCTGAAGAGACAGAGTCTTGCTATGATACCCATCTTGGCCGCCCAAAGTGCTGGGGTTACAGGCATGAGCCACTGTGCCCAGCTAATATTTTAATTTTTGTAGAGATGGGGGTCTTACTACGTTGCCCAGGCTGGTCTCCAGCTCCTGGGCTCAAGCGATCCTCCTGCCTCAGCCTCCCAAAGCTCTGGGATTGCAGGTGTGAGCCCCTGCCTTTGGTCCTCCCATAGCATTCAGTGAAAGCACATCCCCTCTGTGACCATTACCACTATCATTATTATTGTTATTAGCTGGAGGGACGGAAGCCCTCAGTCGCCACAGACACCCGAGGTGCTTCTGCAATGTAAAGCACATGGAAGGGATGCCCTGTGAAAGGAGCGCCCCTATCCCCCTGCTGCCACCCTGGGTATCAGCACTCAGGGCTGTCGGCTTCTCAGGAAGATGGTAATGGCTCCCAAGCAAACGTTTTGACTTCTTTCTCTAATGTATTTGTGTGGTTTTATGGTTCATTTATCTTAAACATTGACTGTGCCCCTCCCGCGAGCCAGGCACGTGTGCAGGTGCATCACAGACACGGTCTCACAGCAGGTCCTCTTATTTCCCCGTGTCCTGCCCCACAGCCCCGCCCCACAGTCCCGCCCCACACTATGCCACCTGATTATCCGGACCAGAGATTTCGGAGATTTTCCATTGGGGCCCCCATCCTCCATCCTCGTGGCTCAGGGAGAGGGAATCCAAGAGACTTGCTAGTTACCACTAAGTCCAAGAGAGCCTTTGAAACGGGATACGCTGGGCCACCTCCCCTCCGGAGACCAGGTGAAATCACAAGGGCCAGAACGTGTGCTTACGGAGGCAAGTGCTGATGAAGTGAGACGGGAGCCCTCCTCCCACACCCGCCACTGGGGGCCGACAATCAATTGCAGCTTTACACACGCCACGCATTCTAATCAGAATCAATAATCTTCATGATAAACAATTAAACAATTATTCCTTCCGCCGCGGAACTTCTCTGCTGAAATCGATGGGGTGCAGAGGCACAGCGGCGGCAGATGATGGGCACTCCAGGCCGGGCCTGGCCCCAGGCACCCCGCGTCCCGCATCCAAGCTACTGCACACACCAGAGGCAGTGACAGCCCAGAGGTGCCCTCACCTACAGCAGCACTGAGTAGATGCCGTAGATGCTTTAGGCCCTGGGTGACTGCAAGAAGGAGGAAATTCAGCGTTAAAGGTGGACTGAGCACAACATCAGAAAAAGAGAGACCAAAGGGACCACAGGGCTTGGAACAGCCCCCAAGACCCTGCGACCCCAGCTGTCATCACAGACACAGTGCCTGGTGGTCTGGCAGCCCAGGGACTCCTGTGTGGCTTTGTTCCTGTCTGTTGGTCTCTATGAGTAGTGCATCCGAAGTCAGCCTTAAGATAGCTGCTCAGCTGGGTGTAGTGGCTCACGCCTGTAATCCCAGCTCTTTGGGAGGCCGAGGCAGGCGGATCACGAGGTCAAGAGATCAAGACCATCCTGGCCAACATGGTGAAACCCTGTCTCTACTAAAAATACAAAAATTAGCTGGGCGTGGTGGTGCACACCTGTAGTCCCAGCTACTCAGGAAGCTGAGGCAGGAGAATCCCTTGAACCCAGGAGACAGAGGTTGTAGTGAGCTGAGATCACGCCACTGCACTCCAACCTGGTGACAGAGTGAGACTCTGTCTCAAAAACAAAACAAAACAAAACAAAACAAAAAAACAGAGCCTCTCATCTCCCTGACCCAAGGAAGGGACTGGCTTCAGACTGTCCAAGGCATGCAGGCAGCTCTCATGGGCAAGCAGTCAGCCCTGTACAGCAGCGTAGCCTCCTGGGGATGTTCCTTGGGAAGGGCAGCCTCTCACATGTCCCTGGTCTGTCCTCATTTGGTTGCAGAGCGGCCGGCACCCCCCAGAGAGCTCCTGGTGCCCCAGGCAGAAGTGACCGCACGCAGCCTCCGGCTCCAGTGGGTCCCGGGCAGCGACGGGGCCTCCCCCATCCGGTACTTCACCATGCAGGTGCGAGAGCTGCCTCGGGGTGAGTGGCAGACCTACTCCTCGTCCATCAGCCATGAGGCGACAGCATGCGTCGTTGACAGGTACTGAGAGAGCAGGAGCACCTCCCCGGGGAACGGGGCCCTGGCCGCCTCCAGCCAGCTCCTGTCCAGATAGTGGGGAGGCTGTGTGGGCCAAGCAGGTGCACCCCTGAGAGCACAGGCCCCCTTTCTTTTTGACACTCCCCATGCTGGGAATCCCAGAACTCCTGGGTCCTGGAGCTACTTCCAAGGGCCCACCCCCAGCCGCTTCCCGGAGTCTGCTCTTCCAGGTGTGCAGGGCTGGTTTGGTCACCCCAGGACCCAGGGATTGGCGAGGCAGGGGTGATGGGGGGCAGGCTGGACATGTGGGCTGGAGTCCTAGCCCCTCCCAAGGCTGGCAATGGGGAGGGGACCATGTGGAGGAGGGCTGGGCTGGCCTCGGGTGTCCAGGGCTGGAGGGACGTTGCGTCCCCTTGCGTTCTCGAAAGCAGCAGGGAGATGGATGGCACCACGAGTACTGTGCTTCCTTAGTGATGGCTGGGGAAGATGGGAGGGCATGCCTAGGACACGACTAGAATCCGTCCACTCACTCAGTTGTTTACTGGACCTCTGGGCTCAGCATGGGAGAGGGTTGCATTGACAATAGCAGCGGCGTTCTGTGGGTCCCCCAGGGTCCTCACAACTGCGGTTTACAGACCCACCCACTCTTTACAGACAAGGAAACTGCCACAGTCACACAGATGGGCATCCCAGGGCTTAGAAGCCACCCCAGGAGTCCACACCCTCACCACATGCCCTGACCAGGCCCTCCTGGGGCCTGTCTGGTTCGCAGGCCCTGCCTGGGCAGGGCCACCCGGGACACCCGCCTTGTGCTTCTCATTGGCCCAGAGTTTGGTCACTTGTTACTGAGCTCACACTCCAGGCTGTGGAGCGGGGGTCTTGGAGTGAGTCCCTCCATGTCGCAGGGCTCTGGAGCCTGCACCAATGACTAAGAGGGTAGAGGGGCCAAGACGGTTGTCTCCAGGCTGGCCGAGCTTCCTCTGTCTCTCAGATGGTCACATAGGTCAGCTCTGCGTCCCTGCAGTCACCCAGTAAGGGGAGACCATGATCCCACTCTACAGAGGAAGGCCAAGGTCAGAAAAGTCGGTCATTTGCTCATATCCCCCACCCAGCCTCCGTGGCGCCCAGCCATCCTCGTCTTCGAGGCTGCCCGTCTCAGCCCTTCCTGACTGAACCTGAATGTAGGGAGGGAGGCAGGTCCCAGGTGAAGCCCCTGGCAGCTCCTCAGAACACCACCCTGGCCCCACTCTGCCCTGGGGGCAAAGTTCAGGCTTTGGAGTGAGGGCTGATTGGAGTGTGGGTGTAACTGGTCCTAGATGTGACAACAGGGGGTTTCAAAGAGAAGAGAAACCTCCAAAACCCCCATCCCTGGCTTGAGGACCAGGCCCATGACAGAGGCGAAGCACTTGCCCAGGGAGGGGTGGCCGACCGGGCGTCTCAGTACAGAGCTGTGAAGCTGGAACTGTGCAGGCTCAGCCTGGCTTCTGCCACTTGCCGTTGAGTGATCTGGGGCAAGTGACGGGCTCTCAGGTGTCTCCAGCTCCCTGGCCTTTGAGTTGCGAGGCTTGGAGGTGATAAGGCCCTTTGGACGGTCATGGCCATGGATGCCAGTATCGCCTTTGCCACCCCACACAGTGTCCCCAGGAGGCACAGCTGGGTGTCAAATGCAAATCCTGACCAGAGTCCCTGAGCAGTCCAAGGAGGGTCACACGGACCATCGGGAACCCATGCTGCGGCTCCCAGGCCCCCATTGGAGACCACAGACCAGCAAGGAAGCCAGCGCCCCAGTGCACAGCTCCAGCTCTCTGTGGCCCCAGAGGACCCACCCTGGCACAGTCACCCTCTGCAGTCTCATGGTCCAAGCAGCCCTCTGCTCTTCTGAAAATCGAGGTGGAATGGTCCCTGCGCACGGGGCTTGTTTCCAGCAAGGCCAGAGCCATTGCCTGGCTTCCCCTCTTACAGGGCACAACATCTGGTGAGGTCCGTATGCTGGCGGGTTGGAATTTAGAAAAGCTGTTCCGTCCCCACAACTGTGGTTATGCCCCTCATGTTAGGAAAACGAGGCTGCAGCAGCTCCGGCTTGATGTCCCCTCTGAGGTGTTTTCCCTGGTGATCTAGTCACTCAGCTTCCAGACAGTTAAAGCTCTGACAGGACTTCACCACCACCACCGCCATCCTCGTCGCCATCATTATTTCCGGAATCCCCTCATCCTGTCTAGCACCTGTCATTTTCAACACCACTTCCATGTGTCATTTCATACGATCTTTGTAACAACCATGTGGACATGCAGCCCAGACTTCTCACTATTCCCAGTTTACACACGCAGACATTGAGGCAGAGATATCTTAAGTAACGCATATGCAGGTGCCTTGACGTCTCTAAATGGAAGGGATATTTCCTGAGGTTTTTGTAGTTGTCACATTCCGTGAGCCAGAGGTCAAGGCTCCATAGACACAGTCCACGTCCTACAGTTAATTTACAAGGGTCTGCGACGTATGAAAACCCAGTGTGTGTGCATCTGAACACCAAACTTTCCACAGTCAGTCTCCCCTTAGTAGCTGCGTGGCCTTGGAAAAGTCCAACCCTTGGCTGCCTGCTAGGACTCTGTCCTCTCATCTGTGAAAGGCAGGGCTGGAGCGGGGATCCTGCTGTTCCCTCCAGCTCTGTGAGTCCAAGGTTTGCCTCATTGCTGACCGCCACGGAACTGGCAGCCAAGAAATAAGGCAATCGGAAGAGTCAGACTGTCCGCCAGGTTCCTGCCAGCATCTCACTTGCCCTTTGAGCTACAGCAACAGAACTCGAGGGGCACAGCTCTCTCCCCTCCAGAGGAAGGCACTCCTAGTGGCAGATACCATCCTCCCAGAGCCCTGGAATTCTCCTGGCACAGCCCCGAGGGTCAGGGGAGTATGGCCAGGTGCGCCCAGCCTGACTTAATAAAGTACACAGGATGCTTAGCTTAATTGGCAGTGTGCTCACATATATAAATAACCTCACCCTTTGTGTAACCATCTAAAAGAAGGAAAAAAAATATCCAGCCACTATTCCTGAAGGCTTCTGAAGCCAAACAGACTAATCGTGTGTCCGGGACTTCATGCTGGCAAGGAGAGGTCCATGTTTCAGGACAGACAGTTTAATTTGGTATAGGAGAGACCAATGTCAATTTCCTAATGGGCCAGAACTAGGACAAATGCTTCCTCTGCCTATCAATAGAGAACATGTCACAGGAGAATCCCAGGAAAGTGATATTTTGTACACTGCCACAGTATAATCTCCCTTCCTGTTTAATAATCCTGACAGCTACATTTTACTTTCACCAGTTGTGTGACATCTGTGAGTATCCAGAAAACATTAAGAGTTTAAATGTCTCAATTTGGTGACTGTGACTACGTCCAGGGAATATGGGTCGAGACCCCCAGGGAGAGGGGTTGGGTCTGAGACGTGTTCAGGTGTTGCCAGTGTCTGGTTGGTGGTTGAAGTTGTGAGACGGGGTAGCCACCCACAGAAATGCAGTAGAGAGGAAGAAGAGAAGGGCTCTGAGCCCAGTGTGACTTGGAGGTTCTGGATGTCACTTTAGGACAGAGCAGTGGCTGTGCGGGCTCAGGGGGTGGCTGTGCATCTGGCTGTGATGGGCTCAGCTCCTCCTCTGAGCTCTGTCGTGGGATAGGTGCGGGGGTTCCAAACAGAAGACAGAAAGGCGCAGAGGGAATGAGCATGGAAAACAGCAGGGATTCAACGAATGTCAGCACCACGGCCCTAGCTCCTTTTGACTGATTTCTTTTTTTTTTTTTTCTTTTTCCGTATAATGTAATTTTTTAAAAATATCATTATTTAAGGATCAGATGGGCTGGGCATGGTGGCTCATGCCTGTAATCCCAGCACTTTGGGAGGCCGAGGCGGGTGGATCACCTGAGGTCAGGAGATCGAGCCCATCCTGGCCGATATGGTGAAACCCTGTCTCTACTAAAAATACAAAAATTAGCCAGGCATGGTGGCATGTGCCTGTAATCCCAGCTACTCAGGAGGTTGAGGCAGGAGAATTGCTTGAACCTGAGCGGCGGAGATTGCAGTGAGCTGAGATCATACCACTGAACTCCAGCCTGGGCAACAGAGTGAGACTCCATCTCAGAAGAAAAAAAGAATCAGATGAACTTGGCCAAGGATATGATACATGAGCTTGATATTCTTTGTGATACAATAGTGAGGTCTAAGTGTTTGTGTTTGTTTGGTTGGTTGTTTTATTTGTTTTTGTCTGTCACCTGGGCTGGAGTGCAGTAGCTCCGTCATCGTTCACTGCAGCCTCCAACTCCTGGGCTCAAGATACCATCCTGTCTCAGCCTCCCGGGTAGCTAAGACTACAGGCATATGCTATCGTGCCTGGCTAATGTTTAATTTTTTTTTTTTTAGAAATGGGGTCTCACTATGTTGCCCAAGCTGGTCTCAAACTCCTGGCCTCAAGTGATCCTCTCACCTCAGCCTCCCACAGTACTGGGATTACAGGCATGAGCTAACATGCCCGGCCAATAGTGAATTCTTAAGAAACATTTTTAGTGCCTTCCAGATAAGTAAATAAAGACAGCAGTGAATCGCTTTAAAAAGATGCTCAGCACTCATCCATTTTATAATAGAACCAAAATGAAGGAATGGAGCTCCTCCTATTTAAAAGACTCTGCATTTAGCTCTGAGGCAGGAACGTGGAACTTAAGCTATGTCCTTCCCCGACGCCCATTCCAGAACACTTTGGCTGTGGAGGTCAAGTTTGTGTATGTGATTAGCCGTCCGAGGCAGTACGAGTACAAACTGGCTTTCTAAATATATCGGTTATTGATTTGGGGTAAGCAAGAGTTCTGATAGCAAGTTCAGAGAGTGAGGGTCCTGTATTACCCAAATTATTTATTTCCTGAGTTTGGGATGATTAGAAGAAAGAGATTAGATGGCAGATGTTATCTCAAAAATATCCCTAAATCTATCCAGCTTCTGAGTTTGTATGTGGAGATTTGGGAGGTGAGGCATGGGGAATGAGCAAAGGCCCGGGGAGTCACCAGGCAGCATCAGTGGCTTCCTGGGGACAAGTGAGGGCTCCGGGGTGGGGGAGCCAGAGAAAGCTTTCGGGAAGACAAGAAAGAGCACATCACATTTATTCATTGCCTGCTGTGTGCCACGATCCACCCGACTCCATGAGGATGCGTGATGGGATGTCATTTTCACGACAGCCCTGGAAGCCCCGGTGCTGCTATCTCCATGTCCATAGCCGAATACAGCAAGGCTCTGAGACACTGACTTGCTCCAGTGAGTAGTGGCAGAGCCAGCATTGGAATTCTGCTTAGCCCACTCCAAAGCAGAGGTTTGGGCTGGCTTGGAAGTGTGAACAGAGTGCAGAATTGGGAGGAGTTAGAAGGGTTACAGGAGGGTGTTCTTGCATCCTGTGTGCATTTGTCCCTTTATCATGGAGTCACCAAAATCCATGCTCTGCCACAGGAGGGAGCATGGCAGGAGCAACGGGGGTGGGGGGCTTGAGGATCAAACATTTGGTCTAGGAGGTAGACCAGTCATCCACAGGAGCAGCGCTGCAGGGAGGTGAGGCAGGTTGGGGTGAGTGCACAGAGGATGCTACCGTCTCTAGTACTGCAGAGCCAGGAGAGGGGTTGATAGCACTGCCCTCTGCCTGCCTCATTTGGGCAGTGGGGCTGCTGCTCCCATCGGCTGCCTGCTGGAGCTGCTTTCTGCCTGGTTTTGGGGGCACTGGCGTGGCTTCCACCGAGAGGGTTAACTCCCCCAGATCCGCATTTTGTGTTCCCTGCAGCTCACAGAGACACTTAATCAATCCTTGTTGAATGAAGTGAGTCCGGCAAAACACAGGCCTCACGCTAAGAACCCTGCTCTCTGTCCTCCTTTGCACCCAAACCCATTTGTCTGGGAGCCAGGCTGATTTGTCCAGCCACCTGACACGCACTTATGGCACACCACGTGTGCCCGGCTCAGTGCCAGACCCAGGCAGGACAGTGGAGAAAGAGGGGTTTCAAGGAGCTTGCAGTGTGGCTCCAAACCCCCAAATCATAGCAAAGTGTGAAGTACTAAACAGTGGAGTGCTGAGTATAATTACAGTTCAATGCCAGAGGCCAGTGAGAAAACAAATACATCAATAAGTAAGCATAATCGCAAATAAATAAATAAGTAAACAAATCATTTCTGCAACACCTACTGTGTGCCAGATACAACACTGGTATTTACGTGTCCTCATAGGCAACCCCCCACCCCAGCCTGAGAAACTTCGCAGATGGGGAATAGCATCCTTATTCAATCCTTCCACCCATAGATCTGAGCACCTCCTGGGTGTTCTTGGCTCTTGGGATACAGCAGGAAAGGAGGCCGACTCGGTCCCTGTCCTTGTGGATGTTGAGTCTTGTAAAGACAGATAGTCGTCAAGGAAATGTCACCCATCATGATGCAGAAGATGAAGGGAAGGAACAGGGCACGGGGGACAGCAGGCAGGGCCATCTGAGCAGATACTTGCAGATCCATAGGAACAGCTGATCCTTAGTGAGCTTGCCCCACACCACACACCTGACTCTGCTGAGTGTCTCACCTGAGTTTAAGCCTCACCTCAGTTTCACGATGCCTGTGCTATTAGCCCAGGTAAGGAAACTGAGGCAAAGTATGCTGTCCAAGGTTAACTGGGAGGTAGAAGCCAGGCAGTTTGACTTTGGGGTCCACATTCCTGATGCCCACTCTGCTGCCTCCTGGTACAGGAGCCAGTGGGGCTATGGTGGGTGGCGCAGGGGGAGGAGGCAGGGAGGTCGTGGGAGAAGACACATGGTTATCACCCAGATGAGGCAAAGTAACTCCTAGGATGCCAGGAACAGAGGGGAAATTGTTTGTTTTAACTTAGCAAAGGCTGTCTACCAGAACTCTGGAGCAAAGGTCATTTTTATGGTCGGACTTCAGAAGCATCTCCATTAAAGCTGGGACCAAGGCCAGCTGTCTCCTGTGGCTGTTTTTCCAGTTGTGGACGCTGAGTGCAGAGGGTCTGAGATGTGCCTGCGGTCAGGGACTGGGAAGTACCAAGACCAGACCAGGTTCTGGAGGGCTGCAGTGGAAAAGCAGGCCTTGAGGTGTGAGCTGGTAGAGAAACAGTGTCACCTGGTCTTAAGCAGGACGGGGACCTGAAAGCAGGAATAGAATCTAATCATGGTTTCCAAAAATGGTTATCAGTTTTCTAAAAAGCAGAATCCTTCCTTTAAACCAAGTATGACCCAGGCCGAATGCATAAACCTGATGGGCATGGAGCTCTTGTTGGCTGATGGGGGCTGTGTGGGCCTCTGGACTTCAGAGACTTCAGAGTCCTGGGGGTCCACAGGGCTCCATTTGAAAGCCACTGGTTTACAGATTCCATTGGGAGTGAGGACAGAAGACTGGTTTTCAGGTGATGAGGGCTTCGGTTTAGAGTGATAGTTGAGACTTTTAGACATGGGTAACAGAGGTTAAGAGTCCTGAGGCACCCCGAGTTTTCTGGTCTGGAAACTGAGGAGGATGGAGCCCTCATCTATGAAGAGCCGCTGCCCGCCAGGGAGGAGAACAGAGCAGTTTCCTCACTTGCTCATTCGGAAGTCGAATGAAGGGTATCTGAGAGGAACCAGCCAGTGACTGGGTTGCAGGGCGGGTCCCTGACCGGCTGGGGCTTCACCAAGATCCCAGCATTGTCTGCACGGAAGAGTTTGGCTGAAGTCTTAGTCTCAGGCATGGCATGGGGCTTGGCACAGGAGACCCATTGCATGTGGAGTAGCTGGACGGACGGACGGAAGGAAGGAAGGAAGAATGAAGGAGGGGAAGGAAGAAAGGGAAGGGAAAAGGAAGGAGGGACGGGAGGTGGAAGGGAGAGAAGGGAAGAAGGAAGGAAAGTGGGAAGGGAGGAAGAAGGGAGAGAAGGAATGAGGGGAGGGAGGGAGGAATGAAGAAAAGGAGGGAAGGAAGGCAAGAGAAAAGGAGGGAAGGGAGGTGGAAGGGAGAGAAGGAAGGAGGGAAGGAAGGGAGGAAGAGGGGAGAGAAGGCAGCAAGGAGCGGGGAGGGAGGGAGGAAGGAAGGTGGGTGGGCAGATGGAAGCGGGCCCGAAGTGCTAACAGCAGAAGGCACCTCAGGAAAACATGAGTCCCGTTAAAATCTCCGTCGACGGGCTGGGGGTATTTTTCACTTGGATGCTTGACAGGGATGTGGTCTTTTGTAAAGTGACATGTGAATATTGCCATTTACTAGTCTTGTAGCAGTGGGCCTCAGTTTTATCATCCTTGAAATGGGAATAATGATGCCTCCTCTCCCAGAGCTCGTGTGAGTTCAAAGGGGTTGCACTTGCCAAGCGCCTGGCACCGTGTCAGCCCCAGTGAATGGTAGGGGTGCGGGGCTGGCGGGTCTCTGCCTGCAGCCGGCCAGGAAGTGGACCTTAGAGAATGCTGCAAGGCTGGGTCTGGCCCAGTAAAGAGCTCCAGGAGGACGGAGCGTGAGAATCAGGCAGGAACTCATTTTATACTTCGGATCAGCACAAGGGCCCGGGGAATTAGCTCTTCCTGAGGACTTCTCTGGATCCCTTGGAGAGCAGTGATGTGCCGACTAGAGTGCAGGGGTGGCTCCAGTGAGGGGTTGGCACTGCCTCCCCGAGGAGCCCTGAGCAGAATCTTCCCCCTGGCCAGGACGCCCTGCACTCCCTGCCCTCTGTGCAGCTCCTTTCTCCCTGAGGATTTCAACCGTCCAGGTGTTCAAAGGCTTCTCCCAGGACAGGTCCAGGGTCTCCTTCAAGCCCCTGCTCATTGCACCTAGGAAGTGATTGGGTCCGACCCAAGAACAGCCTCCTTGCTAAGCTGTCTCGGGCCCACACAGGAGCCCAGAGCTCTCAGGGCAGGGGAGGGATTTGCCCCTCTTCCCAGGGCTTCACCAGGAATGCCTGAGGGCAGGACAGGGTGGCAGGGCCCCGGCAGTCACGGTCTCTTCCACATTGCAGACTGAGGCCCTTCACCTCCTACAAGCTGCGCCTGAAAGCCACCAACGACATTGGGGACAGTGACTTCAGTTCAGAGACAGAGGCGGTGACCACGCTGCAGGATGGTGAGCAACCCGGGGCCCAGACCGCGTTCCTGGCCGCTGCCCCTGGAGCCCGAGATACTTAGGCCACACTTTCGTCTTGAGCCAGAAAGGGGCCACCAGGGAGTGGTGGAAAGCAGTAGAATTCCATTAGTGACAGACAGCTCGGAGGGTTTCCGCACAGCCTGTGGTCATAAATCAAGGTTTCAAGGGCTTCCAAATGGAATGGAAGTTTCTTTGATTGGCTTCTAAAGCCCCTACTATCCATTAGCATCCCAGAAATTGAATAATTGATAGGGTCATTAAAAATAAATGTCAGCGGGTAGCTGGGTTTTAAGAGATTTTCCCCATTTTTCTCATTCACGAGCCACTCTTTGACAACAGCGCAGGTAAGTGATGGGAAGCGAGGTCTCCTCAGAGCTCCAGGTGGCGTTTTCAGCCGCTCCGTCCTACCTCGGCGGCGTCAGGCCTGAAGATGGATTGTTATTCTGTGTGGCCCAGGCCTGTGGCGAGCCCAGGAGGCAGCTCTATCAGCCGCGTCCAGCGGTGATCACAGGACGGGTGGGATGGAAAAGAGTGGATGGTGGGTAATAGCTCAGCTCCCAGGCTGGAAACCCAGTACTTAGTTCACCCAGCAGCGTTTCATCATCATTCCCGCAACCTATCCCCAAAGCACTGTCTTTTCCATTTAACGCTCCAGTGGAAGAATTTTCCAATAAACCAATTTCCAGCTGGCTCACCCTGTGACCTCACATCTCCACTTCTGCTCTCTCGATGACCTGGAAGTGTGGTTTCTCCCACATAGGCCTCCCTTGGCCTCAGGGACCAGCAGAGGGTTTGAGCAAACCATTCCCGGCTTCTCAGCAACTCACAGAGGCTGTTTTGCTGCAAACCCTGCACTCCCAGCAGAGCAGAACCTGCAAGAGCCTCCAACAGGCCCCAGCTGTGCTCCCAGGAAAAGCACACTTGCCCCTGGAAAAGCACTGGCTGGCTTCTGTGGCTCCTGCCTCTCATCCAGCTCTTTTCTGAGCACAAATCCTGGGAGTTTATTGGAGCTTTGGGGAAAGCCAGTGAGAAAGAGAGGAGCCGTCCCGGGTATATGGGGTGGTCCAGGGCCCTAGTGAGCCCTGCTGGGCCCTGAGGAGCCGGGCTGAGCCCCAGGAGCTCACTGTCCAAGGGTCCCACATCGTTAGATTCAACCAACTGTGGATTGAAATGTTCAGAAAAAAAGTTAAAAATACAAATTAAAGATATACAGTGTAACAACTGTGTATTTGTTTGGAGAGTGTTATGACCTTGTACAATTTCTAGATTACTCATGAGAGCTCCTACAATTATAACATTGTAACATTGTTATGTAACAGTATTACAAATTATAACGTTGTAGGAGGACTGATGAGTAACCTAGAAATGATTTAAAGTATGCGGGAGGATGTGTGCAGGTTACACCTAGAAATGATTTAAAGTATTCAGGAGGATGTGTGCAGGTTACATGCAAATACTGCACCACTTTATTGTTAGCAAACCTGGAGGCAAAAGCTACTTGTAACTGGAAAAGCCTTTCCGGTTAATCTACTTAAAGTGGGGACCAATTTCACACTAAACCACAAGGGAAAGGCTTTGCAGGAACTAAATTACAAAACAAAAACTATATAAATGCATTCATTTTAACGTTACCTTTAACACAGTTGAGGTAATGTTTGCAACTAAGCACTAAATCTTAGAATAAAGAACAAAACCCCACACAAGCTGATGTCATTGTCGTAATCTCTCTGACAGATTGTGTGAAAGCAAAGTGCAACAGCCTCCTTTGACCTCCAGGGCAGCATCCAAAAGGACCATTTTTGAAAAAAATATTGAAGGGCCTCTTCAGACTCCAGAGGCCTTTCTTACCCTTTGATATTCAGATTGGGCTTTGATGCACCTATCTTGTCATCGCCTTCCCTGGGATGTGCAGTTTCTCTTTGCAATGGAGTTGCATTGTATTTGTGTTGTATTGTCTTACACTATCTAGAGATTGACAGGCACAGACTCTCTCCAGGGGTTGGGGAACCCTCGGCAAGATAGGGAGAGTCCTCTGAGTATGTGGACGGTTTACTGATGAACAGTTTCTTTTTATAGTGATTTCTATTTCCCTGCACAACCTCACAACTCAAGGACATTGAGAACTCCCTGTAATGGCACCGCTGTATCACCAGGGCTGTCAGGAAGCTGGCTAGAGGGCCCACCATTAAGCTGGAACCACAGGAGGTTAAGGGGGTTGGAGGGAGACCCATCCCTAAAACAGAACGGGGAAGGTGGAGGTGTGACTGATGCAGGCACTGCCAGGGCTGAGGAGGGGGTGTCTGGCAGGTCCAGAGGAAAATCACAGAGCCGGTGACCCCGGGACCCAATCTTGGGTTCTAAGTGGAGAGGCATCTGCTAGATGCACAAGTGTGCCTGTGGGAAGAACATCGTCATTCCGTTCAGTGAATATGGACTGGATACAGAATGCGTGTCACACTTCTGCTGGGCCCCCGGGATCTTACAGCTGGGAGGCATAAGAGTTCAGCTCAATATGCCAAGACAGGACCACACAGATTTGGAGGGAGCAGAGGAGGCAGGGAAGAGGGGCACAGAAGACCTCTTGGATGTGGCAGATGACAAGAAGTTTAGTTTGGCTAGAGTGCAGGGCATGGCCATAGGCAGAGGTCAAACCAGCCTTGTCCCTCCAGAGAGCAGAGCAGAACCATGGCAGACTCCCCTTCACTTCACCCTGCTGTCCCAGCCAGCTGCAACCTCACCAGAAATCAATCTCCTTTCCTGACAGCCTTTTAGTGTTTCAAACCAAGTGACCTGGCATGATCATGTGTCCTATTCAGGAAAAGTAGCTCTCACCTAGGTATCTTAAAAAAAAGAGAAAAAGATAAGTTCCCCTGCTCTCCCAGAAGACCTGAGCCCTGCAGGGAGGGTCTCGAGCCAGAGAGCTCCAGGACAGCCTCACTGGAGGGGTGGCTCTCGGAATGTCCACCACAGGGAGAGCCCAGTCTGGGTCTGTTTCTCGGGGCCATTGTTAAGGTTGGCTCCCTCCTATCCCGAGGACAGGCTTTGAAGGAGAAGCTCTGGGAAGCCCCGAGGAAGGGCAGGAGAAGGGGACCCCTGGAGAAGGAAGGAGGCAGGGCTCACCAGCCTCCCCATACTCACTGAGGGTGGCCCTGGGAAGGGCGGCAGAACATAACAACCACCCTGACCCCCGCTTTCCTCTCCTGTGTGTTTCAGTTCCAGGAGAGCCCCCGGGATCTGTCTCAGCGACGCCACACACCACGTCCTCTGTCCTGATACAGTGGCAGGTAAGAGCGCGGGGAATCACGCGCGTTTTGTCAAATGTGTTCTCATTTCCCTGCGCATTCAGCCACAACGGCTGACATGGACTGCAAGCTGAGCCCTGAGCTAAGCGTTTGAGAGTAGAACCAAGGAGACACACCCTCAGACTCAAAAACGCGAGGGGGAAATGGTGTCAATTATCATCTCGGTGTAATTTCCAAAACATTAGAAGCAGGACTGTGATGCACGTAGAGAATGAACTTGACTCCCCTTATTCAGGAGGGACCGGCAGGATGGGGAGGCCAGTCTGAGAGCGTTGGAGGAACTGGGTATGTCTTGGCATTTCACCGAGGACGTTGGAGCAAGGCTTCTGTGTATACACAAATTGGTTATCGCCCTACAAGGCAGTAAAACTGCAACCGCTGGAGTTAGCTTTTCTAGAGAAGTCATCTGCAACCAGACAAAATATCTACCGGATTGTACATATTTTCCCAAAGTCTGGGGGTGGGTGGTGGTGGTGGTGGTGGTTGTTGTTGTTGTTATTATTATTATTATTATTATTATTATTATTATTATTATTATTATTTTGGGACAGAGTCTCACTCTGTCACCAGGCTGGAGTGCAGTGGCACAATCTAGGCTCCCTGCAACCTCTGCCTCCCGTGTTCAAGCGATTCTCCTGCCTCAGCCTCCCAAGTAGCTGGGATTACAGGCGCATGCCCCTACACCCAACTAACTTTTGTATTTTTAGTAGAGATGGGGTTTCACCATGTTGACCAGGCTGATCTTGAACTCCTGACCTCAGGTGATCCACCCACCTCAGCCTCCCAAAGTGCTGGGATTACAGACATGAGCCACTGTGCCCAGCCAAGTCTAGGCCTTTAATCTCCAATGTGCAGTGAGTTAAATGAAGGCATATTCTTCCAGATAATCACACACTCCTTGTTGGGCCTGCTCAGCAATGCTCCAGTAAGGCATTGAAGGACACGCTGCCGTCTCTTTCCCTTAGTTTCAATTTTGGGCAATGCTTACTGACAAGTACATTGATGACAAATATAACAGAGGGACAAAACTGCCCAAGGAAGGGCTGCAGGCCCCAGGGAGATCCCAGCTGAAGAGTGGGGCGGGGAGCTGTGCGGAGGACTCAGCCCAGGGCCTGTGTAGCCCGGATCCGGGGCAGACAGATGTTGAGTTTCCCCAGGGCTAGAGCTTGGCCTGGCAGCAGACACAACAGATGGACAGGCAGGGGGCCAAGCACGAGGGCAGAGTCAAAGTTTCTGGCCCACAGGGAGGTTCCTGAGGCCAGAATGGGGGCTGCTGTGCCAGGGAGCTGGGAACATAGTGGGATGGGGCCAGCATGGGGTGGGTACGGCATGAGGACAGGTCAGCCTGGGAGTGCCTGCTGGGAGCTGGGGTCAGGAGGGCAGTCTGGTGGGCACGAGATTCTTCCTTGGGGCTGAAGCTGTCCTCAAGGACAATGGCAGGGTGCCCGATGCAGCAGGTGGGAATGATGGTTCGGGAAGTCAGGAGAAAATCAAGAGGGGAACAGTGGTCTAGACATGGCCTTGGAGGGCGAGGGGATGTCCCGGCCACATGCCCTCCGCCGGTGCAGGGGAGGCAGGAAGGGGTCCTGTGGAAAGTGGGGGCTGCGGGAAATGGAAGGGATGCTGGGAAACACAGCCAAGGCCACCAGTAGGTGTCCCAGACAGAGCATCTCCCAGGGCCCTGCAGAAGGGCCACTCCAAGGGACAGTGGCTTCACTTTGCAGCACGGAGGATGAGGTCCAGGACCAGGCTAGGACAGGAGGTGCCAGAGATGCCTGCTGGGCCGGGAGAGAGACGTGCTGAGTGAGCAGCGCCAGCCGCAGCCTTCCTGGGCATGGTCTTGAGGTGCGTAGTGCTAGAGATGCCAGAGAGGAACCCGGTGAGCAGAGCCAGGCTGGGCTGTGGGTGGGGCCAGCCAGGGGGAGCTTGGGAGGGGCTCCGCTTTCACCCTCTTGCTGTATGATCCTATGAAATATGACCATGTTTGAGGTATGAAAGTGGCAATTTATGTGATTCAACCTGATATCACTTGCTACTGCCACTTATCTGAGGGATGGAGAGTAGGCGTTTAACAAGCTGGGTTCTGTGAAGAGTGTGTCATCTCCTTCAAGTGTCCATGGAGGTGTGCGGGGCTGCGTCTCGGCTGCCTTTCTCTTGCTAAGGGATCCAGCTTCTCTGGGTAGGATAGGAACCTTTCCAGGCAATGAAAGAATGTCCCAGTGTCTCCTGGTGGAACTGGAAGAGCACTTCTGTGGCACTCAGCCCTACTGAGTTTACCAGAGCATAGGGGGGCCAGAGTGGGAACCACGAAAACAGCCTGGGCCCCACCTCTGCCCCTGGGAAGCCACAGCCCCTGATCTGTCTGGGAGCCACTGGAAAAGTGACGAAGGACCCACCCGCAACTTGCCATCGGGTGACTGTGGCCCTGAGAGGCCCCTCTGACTCCAGGTTCCTCCTTTGTAAGAACAGAAGGTCACAAAGGTGAGCTCAGGTCTCACACAACATCTCCAGTCTTTGGGGGCCGCTAGACCCCCAGACCCGAGCTTCAGCCCTGACTCCCGTGAGGGTCTCCGGTGGGAGGTTAGAGACATTCAAAATGGAAATGCAAAGTCCCAAGTGCTCGTTTCCCAGCCTGCACCAACACAGTCAATCACAAGAACATTGGCACTTTGTACCATGCTGAATCCTACCAGAAAATTCACATTTTCTTTGTAGACGTGGCGGCAGCCTGCCAATACCTTACCTAGGTAAGCTCCTTTCCTATAAAGGCAGTGAGCATCAGGGCTGGGATGCGTCACCTCCTCCAAACAATGGTTGTGAAGGCATCACTTGCTGTCAGCCCCAGTGGACGGTGCAGGGCTCGAGCTCCCCTTGGTGCTGCTGGACAGCTCAGGGACGTGCCTAGTGCCACCTGGAGGAGCTGGGCTGGTGTGTGCATCAGCCGTCCCCCTCCAGAGCCCAACAGAACAAACTAATTGCAAGAAGACCAGAGCAGGAGGTGGTCAATACAACGTCCTGTAGAAATAAATGCTTGTCAACTGCCAGGCAATTGAAGTATAATTAAAATTATGAGTAATTTACTGCATTAGAACAAACAGAACAAAGAAAAAGAAACTAGGTTTAAATATAGATTTGCATTCCAAATAAAATGTTTCACCTGTAAACCTTTTGTGTTTTTTGTTTTGTTTTGTTTTGTTTTTTTAGTAATTACTTTAAAAATGCAAACACAGGGCCAGCACTTTGGGAGGC
This sequence comes from Homo sapiens, assembly GCF_000001405.40. Lineage (NCBI taxonomy): Eukaryota > Metazoa > Chordata > Mammalia > Primates > Hominidae > Homo > Homo sapiens. The sequence goes on from NC_000007.14 coordinate 4,165,124, forward strand.
TGAGGCGGGTGGATCACCTGAGGTCAGGAGTTCAAGACCAGCCTGGCCAACATGGTGAAATTCTGTCTCTACTAAAAATACAAAAATTAGCCGGGCGTGGTGATGGGCGCCTGTAATCCCAGCTACTCGGGAGGCTCAGGCAGGAGAACTGCTTAAACCCGGGAGGTGGAGGTTGCAGTGAGCCAAGATGGCACCATTGCACTCCAGCCTGGGCAACAACAGCAAAACCTTGTCTCAAAACAAACAAACAAACAAACACGGGCTGTAATTTCAAGGCTTATAGACCCATTTAAATGCCTCCCTTAGTAGACTGTCAGGCTTGATTATTCTTAGTAGGACAGTCAATCCTTGCCTTTCATGGGATCCAGTTCTGTTTGAAAGCTAAGGAGTAGAACTCCTTCTGTCTTCCAGGGTGGAGTGCAGTGGTACGATCTCGGCTCACTGCAACCTCTGCCTCCCGAGTTCAGGTGATTCTTCTGCCTCAGCCTTCTAAGTAGCTGGGATTACAGGCCTGCACCACCATACCTGGCTAATTTTTGTATTTTCAGTAGAGACAGGATTTCATCATGTTGGCCAGGCTGGTCTCAAACCCCTGACCTCAGGTGATCCACCCACCTTGGTCTCCCAAAGTGCTGGGATTACAGGAATGAGCCACCATGCCCAGCCTTGTGTTTTCTTTTAAAGACAGGGTCTTTCCCTGTCACCCAGGTTGGAGTGCAGTGGCGCAATCATAGCTCATTGTAGCCTCCAACTCCTGGGCTCAAGCAATCCTCCCACCTCAGCCTCCCCAGTGTCTAGGACTACAGGTGTGCACCACGATGCTTGGCTACTTCTTCAAAAAATTTCATAGAGATGGAGTCTCACTGTATTTCCCAGGCTGGTCTTAAACTCCTGGACTCAAGCGATCCTCCTTCCTTGACCTCCCAAAGTGCTGGGATTACAGGTATGAGCCACTGCCCAGCCTGTAAGTGGGTTTTGAGACTGTTTTCTAGCAAAGAAAAAAATCCCAAGCAATTGATCACACCATACGGGAGGCTCTCAGTGTAAAAGGCACCTTCCCAGAGGAGGGTTACATCTGCCTGGGCAAAGGCAGGGAGGCATCCCGCCGCTTCAGAACACATCTTGGGGCTGTTTCTTTTTCTCTTCACTTGTGCCACCCACAGAGGACCAACACCTGCATGGAGTGCTGAGTTCCAGAGGGGACTGAGGCAGGCCACAGAATGTGAAGAGCTTTCATTAAGCGCAGTGGGCTCTTTAAGGCATTGATAGGAAGACAGCAGAAGGAACGAAACTAACTCTGGCCAGAGGGGCACCTGAATGCACTTGGCAGGACTGCCAGGCCCCTGCAGTGAAAGGCTGGAGAAGCGCGTGGCCCCCGGCACAGCCTGAGGAAAGGCTCACGGGTGACGTCACTGGTGTTTGATGTTGTGTCTCACGGGTATTGCGTGTTGAGCCTCCTGTGCTCTCAGAACCATCAGGACCAAACTCCGGAGAGAATCCCTGTTCTACTCTCCACAAAGCAGAAGGCACAGGATGGAAAGTGAAAGCTCAGATGGTTTCACTGAGCTTCCGGCCCGGGGGACCACGGTGGCCGGATCAGATTTGGATTTGGGCACCTGCTCTGCCTGAACTCGCAGGAGACAGTGGCACGTGGTTGAGCCTCCCTCAGCCCAGCTCCCTGTCTCTAGAACTAGGAGAGTTAGGCCCTGCCCTGCTGCTCCCCTACCTCAGCAGAGAGAGCTGGGTGGGAGGTTCCACAGAGGCCAGCAACGGCAGAGGGTCCGAGGTCACCGTTCAGGCAGCTGGAAGGAGAGAGGCTTTCCCTGCAGGTCCTGCCTCCTCCTACCCCCAGGCCTTCCCTCCACTCAACTCTGTGGCTCCAAGGTGCCCACCCTCCTGGGTCTTCCCCAGACCATTGACTTCTTCCTGCCTCCCCTACCTGGTGATAAAACCCAGGCACACTCCTACCAGGTCATTTGCATTTAAACAGGCTCTTTTGCTGTGGCACGCCTGTAATCCCAGCACTTTGGTAGGCTGAGGCGGGCAGATCACGAGGTCGAGATTGAGACCATCGTGGCCAACATGGTGAAACCCCGTCTCTACCAAAAATACAAAAATTAGCCGGGCGTGGTGGCGGGCACCTATAGTCCCAGCTACTCAGGCTGAGGTAGGAGAATTGCTTGAACCCGAGAGGCTACAGTGAGCAACCCAGGAGGTTGCAGTGAGCCAAGATCACACCACTGCACTCCAGCCTGGCGACAGAGCAAGACTCCGTCTTGAAAAAAACAAAAACAACAACAGCAACAAAAAAACGGGCTTTTGAAAAATGAAGAACCTCCAGGAGGCTGCTGGCGAATTTCTGAGGCGTGGCAGGCACAGGGAAGGTGTTTTGAGGCAGGACTCCCAGTTCCCTTCAAGCTTCTCTCCACACAGATGGCCAAGCCAGGGTGCAGTGACACACAGATGAGGTCATGTTGAACTCCGGCAAGTCCCACTCCACCCCAGGGCTCTGACTGAGCATCCGCCATGGCTGAGGCCTGGCCCAGGTGCTCTGGGCATTTAAACATGAACAAGACCCGAACATGGCCTGCCCCTGGGCATATGCAGAGTCAGAGACATGCGAAGGGCTGGGGACACGGGTCTGTGGTGCAAAGCGAACCTTTTGTTTCCAGTCATATAATACTCTGGAGGCCATCTGGCCAGACTTCTGCCTGTCTTGGGCACAGGGTTGAGCCTGGGAGTTTGAGCAGTCAGCCCAAGCTTGTACTGCAAGGTGGCTGCAAGGCCACGACCCAAATCTAGAGCCTGACCTTGACCTCATGGGTTCCATGGAGCCGCCCTGCTGATGCCTCCGAGCACCTCCGGAGTTGGAGAGCCTCTTTCACAGATTACAGACAGGTTAATCCCAAAGTCCAGGAATGGAAAATATGGTTGAACCCAGTTCAGAACCCTGTGCAGGCAGGCCCGGGCATCTCTGTGAAGCCACCGGACCCTTTGTAAGTGACGCTCCCACTGGGAAGATGACACCTGCTAGCAGAGTGGCCTCTGCCAGCTGCTGCCTTCAAGGAAGCCACCCTCTGGGGGCACGGCCGCCTGGACCCCCTCCCCAGGCCTGGAAGACTCCTGCCAGGAGCGGATGCATTTTGACTCTTCAGTGATTTCTGGTGCAAACAGCATCAGTTAGCCTGTTGGCCAAATGTGGCCCCAGCCCGGTGGCTGACGGACACTGTGTCTGTTGGGCAAGGCGGATTGGCCATTTCTTATAGCTCTAAATCATCTCATTCGCCTAGGCTAGAAATATCTGTGAGTCCAGGATCAGTAATCTTCGGCCCCTTCCCCTCCATCTTCCAGCCCCAGAGGCTGGGAAACCACACTTGGGCCCAGGGAGAACATTTTTATTTTCCCAACCTCCTAACTTCCTGCTTAGTTGATAGTTTTGGTGAATTGAATCCAGCCTTCGTCACGCCACCTGAGCTTCCCTCCTCCCCCAGAAGTAAATTGCACTCTCTGTAATCCTGTCTTGTCTGTGCATCTGCAGAGCTGGCTGAAGGCCTCTGCAGTCTTCCTTCTGAGGTACCAGTTCCTCGAGCTGCTGCAGGTCTATTCTGGGGCGAGAGGGAGGCTTTGAAGGTGACCTCAGGGCGAGGTTGCTTGGCTGGTACTTACAGAGCCCCTGCTGTAAGCTTTTGATCTGTCTGCTCGCCTCTTCGTCATGCTGATAGTCAGTCCAGAGCCCAGAAATGGAAGCTGAGGTCTCTCATCTTCACTGCCCAGACTCCAGCCACTCCCACCCCACCACCAGTGTGAACAGCAAGGACAGGACTCCCAGCAGGACCGCCTGGGACCATCTGGGTGGACCAGGAGCCTTGGGCAAAACAATCCGGCTCTCTGGGTGCGCAGGCATGTGCTGGGTGAGAGCCATTAGCGGGGACCTGTTGCTGTGTGGTTGTCAGGGGCCCAGGAGAGGAAAGTCAGAAGCCCCCAGGGTCTTGGAAGTCACTGCCATCTCTCATTCAGCAAAGGGCTCCTGTCAGTGCATTTTTGCAAGACTGGTTGTTACCGGGAGTAGCAGTAACCCAGGAATCCACCAAGCCCATCCATGGCTCCGGTGGATTGGAGGAAGCTCCGTTCTGGCCAGTCTCCTTCTGGGGAGCCCACCCAAGTGGGGAATGACCCGGCACTTGGGCTAGTCCTGGCTCAGGCACTGGGAACTGTACCTGTAGCCTGGCTGCTGCTCCTAGACCCACCCAGACCTGCCCCTGCCCTTCATGCCCCTCGCTCCCGTCTAGTGGGGCTACACCAGGCACTGTGCCCGCCTTGCAGAGGGCCAGCCCTTCTCCCCTCATCAAAAGCCGCCTCCTCCTCCAAGGGCAGCTCAAACGCCATTCCCTGCAGTTATCCTCCAGTTCTTCCTGGCAGTGAGCTCGCCGTCTCTGAGGCTTCAGAGCCGCCTTCCTCACTCAGTCTCTGGCACCCGGTGCACTATAGCTCAGGAGATCTCCTAGATGCAATGAGACGGCAAGGCTGGAATATATTCCCCAAGGGGCGGAGCTCAGTGTTTGCGTGCATTCCTCCAGTAACATGCCCTGAGCTCTTGGTGAGTCAGTGTGAGGAGACAGGTGCAGCTTTTCAAGGAGCCACAGCACCAGGCCTTCCTGGTGGCTCTGGCACTGCCCTCCCTCCCTGCGGGAGGGCCCCTGGGCACAGAGCTCTCCTGCCTCCCTTAGAGCCACCTCTTTGCAGTGGCCCGAGTCACACAGGACAGATGCGCTGTATTCTTTAGGGTCAGCAGAATGACCATGGAAAGCAAACGGCCATGGAGAACACTTCCTTGGGGCTCAGTACAGAAACCACTCTGTCTCCTCTTTCTGAAATCCAGATGGCCTGCGGAGAATTGCCTCTCTTCAGTCTCACATACCGACTTTTCCAACTTTTCCATCCATTGTATTTCTTCTAAGAAGGTTAAGTAAACCTTCTATTTCATTGTGGCTAACAGTTGTGTTTGAAGAAGGATGCCTTACAGAATAAGGGTTTTAATTTCAGTCTCAGCTGTGGCCCATGAGATAACCAGGGCTAGAGTTTGAAAGAGCAGACTGCAGGATCACCTAAGCCCAGTAGTTCGAGACCAGCCTGGGCAACATGGTGAGACGTCATCTCTACAGAAAATTTAAAAATTAGCCTGGTGTGGTGGTGCAGGTCTGTAGTCCCAGCTACTCGGGAGGCTGAGGCAGGAGGATCGCTTGAGCCCAGGAGGTCGAGGCTGCAGTGAGCTCTGATCGCACCCCTGCACTCCAGCCTGGGTGACAGGGTGAGATCCTGTCTCAAAAAAAAAGAACAGAACAGACTACCTGGAACCCCCTTGTGTGGTGATGTGAGTGGATGTGCAAGTGTGTGTGTGTTATGCACACACAGGATTTCCACCACGCCCCCACATCTCTGGTGGTGCTTTCATCACGACACTGTCGGGAGCCAGATTGCAGTTGCATATAATACTGACCGGTGCCCACTCCTAGCACAAGGGACTAATTTTTAAAGACTAAGAGTAAAACAACTGAAAACCTAAAAGCTGCTCTGAATGTGATTCTATAGACTCCACAGGGAGGAAACCGAACATGAACCCCATCAACACCCCCAGTTTTTAGGAGACTGTCTGACATGCCCAGCCCTAAGGGATGGGGTGCAGAGCAGGACTGGCGGCCCGGCATGGGGGAGCTGGAGAAAGAGCAAATGAGCAGCCCAGGACACCTGTGAGTGACTGTTGCCGGCGTCCCAAACACTGCTTTGTCGTCAAAATCATAGAAAAGGAAAAGAGCATTTAGTAAAATCAGCAGGCACTGTAGCCTCCCCTACCTGTTCCCCTATCCAGCCTCGACTGTGCCTGTAATTCTCACTCCTTCCTTTTCTGCCAGCTTTCAGCTTCCCAAACTCATAGCTCCCTGGTCAGGTTTGGATTTTATTGTTTTCCTGGCAAGTTGAGTAGTGCTGGGAACTCCTTGAGCCGGTGAAGGGGTGCCTGCTGGAGAAAGGGGTCAGTGGCCACAGGGTGTGGACGGATGGGGTGGCCACGTGCCCCAGGGACCCTGCCGTGCCTTGCTGATCGTCTGCCGCCGCCTCGGGTACACCGCACCCTGGAGAGACCCTCATCTGTGCTGGCTCACTTTCTGCTTTGTTTCTCTAGCTCTATTACTGGAGGCGCTTTGAAAAGCTTTTCCATCTGTAGATTGTCCCGATGGAAGGCAAGCAGCGCCGGGGAGGGAGCGGGTATCCAGAGAAAACCTGGGATGCCCAGTTACATCTGAATTCCAGAAGAATCATTTTCAGATTCTGATTTAGCTGGGTGTCTTGTTTTTTTATAGCTTTAAAAAAAGCAAAAAAATCAAGAGAGCCTCATTTGACATTGAAGTCCCGGGCTCTGGTTCGGCGGTTCTGGCCTGGTAGCTGAGCATGCTCCAGCCCCGTGAAGGCGGCCAGCCAGGGCCAGAGTAGAGAGGCTGGAGCAGAGCCGGCACCAAGGTCCCCTCATCCACTGGTGGTGGCCAGTGAAGGGTAAAGAGAGAAAAGGAAAAGCCAGCAGAAAAAAAGTCCCTCCCAGATAATAGCCCAACTCCACCGTCCATTTGAGAATTTGGAGCTAGATGCCGGGCAGTGCCATTTCCCCATCTCTGGTCTGTGGTGGGCAGCGGGAGTCCTCGGACCTGGGGCTGCAAGCCCGCAGGATGGATACGTGACCCTTGTAACTTTCTGCAAAATTGAAGAGGGCTGTGGGGCATTGACAAGCACACCGTGGGGGGAACACAGGGGACTCAGACGCGCCCCCACCCCCAGACGACAGCTCTCTCAGCCCCTGGGTTTGCTCACTGGGGTCCGACACCCCTGGGCCAGGAGCGGAGCTGTGTCCAGGCTGGAGTAGTGTCTAAGGGTGTGGGTTTGCAGGGCCTCTAAGACACGGATCGCAAAGACCCAGCAAGGCCACTCAGTTGTTCCCGTTATGCTTTTCCGCGTCTGAGGGGGGATTATATCCCGTCGTGCTGTTCCTGAATTGGGAGCATCACAGGGGTGTCAGAAAGTCCTCAGAGAGGGACAGCTGCTGGCAGCCCTGCATGGCAGTGGCCTGGGGGCTGCTTGAGCTAATGTGGTAGCAGGCCTCATTTTGGAAAACCTCCTGAGTCTGCCGGGTACACACGGTGCCCCTCTGGCATGTGCGTGTCGCATGCTGCATGCGTGAGTGTTGAACGCGTGAGTGTTGTTCCTCGTTGCTACCACAGTGCAAGCCCCCCTCACTATCCAAGCCATTCTGTCGGAGAGCCTGGGGAGCAAAGAACACCGCTTCCTCCACGTTTGGGTTTTGCCTCGTGAGTAGCAAGAGTCCAAAGAAAAAGCGATTTCTCTAAACATCCAACCCCTCCTGGTGCCTGGGTTCAGATAGTGAGGACCAGAGAGAGTTTGGATTGCAAGGATGTGTTATTTACCGGGGGCAGCAAAACAAGTTACTACGCATTAGGTGGTTGGAAAGGGCAGAGCCTTATTCTCTCACAGCTCTGGGGGCCAAAAGTCCAAACTCAAGGTGTCGGCAGGGTCCTGCTGCCTCTGAGGGCTCCAGGGAGGATCCTTCCTGCCTCTTCCAGCTTCCGGTGGCCGATGACAACTCTTGGCGTTTTTCACTTATGGACGCGTTACTCCAGTCTCTGTCCCTGTCTTCATCGGGTGTTCCCCCTGTGTGTCCTGTGTCCAAACTTCCCTCTTCTCATAATTTCCCTCCACTCATCAAATTAGGACCCTCCCCTAATCCAGTATGACCTTGTCAAAACCAATTGCACGTGCAAAGACCCTGTTTCCAAATAAGGTCAGGTTCACAGGCAACAGGGCTTAGACTTGAGCGTGTCTTTTAGGGGGACACAGTTCAACCCACAGCAAAGGGGCTCTCGTGCAGCAAAGCTGTGGCTCCGCCCAGGGAGCAGGATGGTGCTGCGGTGTGGGTGCCTCACAGTGAGCCCGACACCGGAAGTTCTGTGCACATCCGTCCTCTGACGAGGCTTCGTGGCCTCGTCTTCAGCCATCTTCTGGTCACAGCTTAGAAGGTTCCTGTTCCTTATCCCTCATCTGAGTATCCCAAGAAGAGACCAGATGCTCGGAGGCTCAGCACCCAGATGAGTGCAGAAGTCACTGAGGCTTTCCAGGGCATCCGCCTGGAGTGGGAGGACCCTTCTCAGTCTCAGATTTGTCTCCTGCGTGGAAACATCCTCCCCAAATGTACTTATAAACAGAAACCGACTGAAGGAAAAGGCAAGCCTTGCGCTGGGTCTCGAGTGGTGAACAGCCACATCCTAAAGTGGACAGGTCTTGAGGTCTCATAACCCTGTGTTTAGATTCCAGCAAGACCTGAAACTCCACTTCCTTATCTGCCTGTGCTCCCTATTCCATGGGAGTCTAATGTGTGTCTAATGAGCGCCTAGCCATGGCTTGGTAAGAACTGCAGGGTGAGAGCTGGATGGCAAGGGTGTATTGTTTGCCTGGGGCAGCTGAAGCAGATCACCGGACCGCAAGATGATAGGCCAGGCCAGCCATCATGCGAGGGGCCATGGGGATTCCAGCCTGAGGACTGAGTCCGGCACAGTGGGGTGGCCTGGCATGGGGAGGCATCAGTGAGGGGTACAGTACGGCAGCCACAGCCTGGATGGCCAGGGGAGTGAGGGAGGGTGGGGTCAGCTGGTGGGTGCTTCAGAGCAGGCCGCCTCTCGAGGTTCCACCCTGCTCTGGGCTCACCACACAGCACCCAGCCTCCTCGCCGTCTGTGTCTGTCCCCAGCCTCCTGCCCCAGCCTGGGGGCTCATTTGAGGATTTGAGCTGGACAGGGGTCAAAATGCTGATGTCCCCACACACATGCACATGAAAACTGGGATTCTGAGAGTATCTCCACAGCTTGGTGCTGTGCCCTGGGAGCTGCCTGGGTTCGTCTTGATGAATCTGACACCTGTCGCTGGAACCCACGACTTTCTTCTGTGCAGCTGGCTAGTTAAACAGGGGTGGAGGTGAGCCCTGCTGCAGGCCAGCTGGGTTGACTCCCATGGTGTGGCTGAGTCGGTGTGATGTCTTTGCAGCCTCCGAGGGACGAAAGCCTGAATGGCCTTCTTCAGGGATACAGGATCTACTACAGGGAGCTGGAGTATGAAGCCGGGTCAGGCACTGAGGCCAAGACGCTCAAAAACCCTATAGCTTTACATGCTGAGCTCACAGGTGAGACTGTCCCCTCTGTCCTGGTACAGGGAGGGAGGTTCCCAGGGGACCCTTGGTATCTGCTCAGTGCACATCATGGTGGGAAACGCTGTGGAAGAGGCTGAGAGAAGAGGCAGCCCTGCCCTCAGGAACAGGGAGCAGGCGGGTTTACCCACCAGGGGCACACAGGGTGCAGGTGTGCGGCAGGTGGGTGCAGCTGCGGAGGCAGAGGGGCCTTGTCTACCACAGACTGTGTTAAGGGGAGAGCAGTTGCCAGGCCTCCAGTGACTGCACTCTACCGGCGTCAGTGGGGAAGGGCTTTGGGACCTGAGATGGAGGCAGGGGGCCAGTAGGAACCTGTTGCAAAACCCAAGTCCAGGGACAGGCCCCGCCTGTCTGTACCAGACAGCCTCAGCGTGGAGCCCATGGTGCTCACCCCCGGGCTGATTTTGGCTCTGCCTGCACTGCGCCATGATCGTTGCTCTGACGAGGGCCCAGCTGCCTTCAAGACAGCTTCTAGAACCCTGGAGAGGGACGGCTGCCCTGCCCGTTCCCACCCCTCCTCTGTTGGATGGAGGTTAGAGGGGGTTCATTTCCTGGCACCCACCAAACGGTGTCACAAAAATACTCTTTGCCCCTTGACATCCTCGTGCCGGGGACAGAGTGAAGAAGCAGCTCCAGAACACGCCGTGTGGACGGTGCCCTCCCGCTTTCTGCCATCCCTGTGGCACCAGGGCTGCCTACCTCACGCGCCAATGCCAGCCGCGGGGCCTTCCACGCACCCAGTGCGCGGACGGCAGCAGCTCCTATGCTCCTATGCTCACACAGCTTGACCCCAGTACAGCGCCAGGCATGATGTTGATGAATGTTGAAGACGGGAAATTGCAGCACTGGTGTCTGCACTGTTGGCACACCCCAAAGGTGGCCCTTGCTGACCACCAGACAGTTGGCATCTCCCTGGGCTCTGTCGCAAAATCAAAACAGCACAGTAGAAGGGCCCCGGGATGCGGCTGGGCTTACGCACCTGGTCGCGCAGCTCTCCCTGAGGTGGTTTGCTCGGCTCCTCCAGCCGGGGCTCCCTGCGTGAGCATGAGTCAGCTGCACCTGCCCCGGGGTGACCGGGAGAAAAGGTGTCCTGCCACTCAGTGCTAAGTTGTGCCAAAAACTAGCATGTTTCACTGAATCAGAGTGGTAAGCACACCCCGCCTGTCCGGGACTGGGGTGCCTTGTTGTTTACGAGGAGGTGCGGCAGCCCCCGCAACTGGGAGCTGGTGGAAAGCTTGGGCGGTAGCGGGGTCTTTATTGCCCCGGGAGGCGCAGCGTGGGAAGTGGCTGGCATCCCAGTAAGGCACCTGTCTCCCTTGTTCCTGCCGCACATCACCTGCGATGGCCGTGTCCCTGCGTGCTAACCACCTTTCTGCTTTGCTTACCCCAATAGCCCAAAGCAGCTTCAAGACGGTGAACAGCAGCTCCACATCGACGATGTGTGAACTAACACGTAAGTGCGCTCTCAGCGGGAGGCCCATGCCGCGAGGCGCACACACTGTGCCCAGAGCCAGCTGGTCTCTCAGTGCAAGGGAAAACCAGCCTGGATTAATGGCTCCAGTTCTGGAATCGCCTCTCAAACGCTGCGTCTCCACATACCAAACCACCAGGGAGATAGGAAAAGAAGCTTCTAGAAACAGAGGCTGGGGAAATTTACTAATATCTGGTCTTCAAGTTTGGGACAGAGAGGAAAGCCAGATAGAACAAGATCTCTGATCTCTCCAACTTCCTTCTTCCTTTTTTTTTTTTTAAAGAAACACTCTTTTTTCTTTTCTTTTCTTTACTTTTTTTTTTTTTTAGAGACAGAGTCTCACTCTGTTGCCGAGGCTGGAGTGCAGTGGCACGATCACAGCTCACTGCAGCCTTGAACTCCTGGCTCAAGTGATCCCCCTGCCTCAGCCCCCCAAGTAGCTGGGACTATAGGCTCATGCAACCATGCCTGGCTAATTGTGTTTTGTTGTTGTTTTTTAAGAGACGGGTTCTTGCTATGTTGTACAGGCCGGTCTTGAATGCCTGGACTCAAACGATCCTCTTGTCTCAGCCTCCCAAGATGCTAGGGCTATAGGCGTGAGCCACTGCACCCAGCCTTTCTTTTTTTATTGTGGTAAAATACATATAACAGAAAATGGACCTTCTTAACCATTTTTAGGTGTACAGTTCAGTGGCATTAAGCACATTCACACTGTTATGCAGCCGTCACCATCATTCTCCAGAACTTTCTCATCTTCCCAAACTGAAACTCTGTCCCCATTAAATACTAATTCGTTATACCCCTCCCCACCAGCATCCACATTCAACTTTCTGTCTCGACGGATTTGACGACTCTGGGGACCTCATAGAAGGGGAATCATGTAGTATTTGTCTTTTTGTGGCTGGCTTGTTTCATGAGCTTAACGTCTTCAAGGTCCAAGCACGTGAGAGCAGGCATCAGAATCTGAGTCAAGACTGAATAATATCCCATCGAATGAAAGACCACGTTTTGTTTCTCCACTCAGCCTCCCTTCACCCTTTCAATAAACCACGTTGTTTCTCCTTTGATTCCCAGCTAGGGAGGAGTTTCAAAATCCAACTCAAGGGCTAGACGTGGAGCCATAATGTGATCGACTTCAACACACAGAACTTGGCTGGTTTGGGAAGTGGACCAGGCAGGAGGGAGGGGCTGGCCCTCCCCGAGCCTATGTTGTGTTCAGGCATTCTGTAGGGGTGGGAGTGATTTGCAGGGCAGCACAGCTCCAACATGTTGAGATACTGACTCCATAGCATGGGTGGACCCTGTAAGCATCTCTTTGAAGGCAGCCGTCCAAGGACGGGCGCCTGAGTCACGGAAGCTTTGCTGGGCTGGTAGCTGGCAGGAGGCACAATTTGCAGGCCCAAGCACACCACCATCCACACCAGCACACAGGTGCCAGGCACACACATGGGACCTCGGAAAAGCCAAGCCACCCACAGAGCAGTGTTAACCAGTGGGAGAACCTTCCAGAATGTTTTGGCTTAAAGGTCAATTATTCTCACCCTGTCACTTAGTGCGGAGCTGGTGCTTGGCCCCCTGCCCTAAGGAGTTCTCTGTGTACAGCAGCCCACGCCCGTTCTTTCCCAGGACACGGCCGCTAAGGTCTCAGAGGCCTTTGGTTACCAGCGTCCTTCTACATTCTATTTTCAATGCCACAGTCTTACTCTATCTGTTCATAATTTCAAGGAGAGATTCTGAACCAAAAGGCAGGCCCAGGTTATGTTATGTATTCTAACTCAGGGGTCTCCAACCACTTTGACACCAGGGGTGGGTTTTGTGGGAGACAATTTTTCCATAGACCAGGTGGTAGGGGATGGTTTTGGGAGGATTCAAGTGCATCCCATTTATTGTGTACTTTATTTCCATTATTAGTACATCATAATATAGAATAGAGTGAAATAATTCTACAACTCACCATCACGTAGAATCAGTGGGAGCCCTGAGCTTGTTTTCCTGCAACTAGACGGTCCCATCTTGGGGGGAGGGGAGACAGCGACAGATCATCAGGCATTAGATTCTCATAAGAGTGCAAACCCTATTGGGAACAGCACGTGCAAGAGAGCCAGGTTGTGCAAGGCATAAGGAGCACGCAACCTAGATCCCTCGCACGCGCAGTTCCCAATAGGGTTTGCACTTCTGTGAGAGTCTAAGCTGATCTGACAGGAGGCAGAACTCAGGCAGTAATGCGAGGGATGGGGAGCAACTGTCAATACCAGTGAAGCTTTGCTCACTCACCCGCTACTCACCTCCTGCTTTGCGACCTGGTTCCTAACAGGCTATGGCTAGTGGCCCAGGGGTTGGGGACCCCTGTTCTAAATCCTTTACTTTAGAGGAGGGAGCTCCGTGCTGCCTCTTACCTGAACACAGGATAGGATGGGTACGTCTTTTGCTTAATGGTGGTGGGTGCTTAGTTAATAGGAGAGAAGGAGGGTGCCCCGGTCACAGTGGATGCAGGTATTTCACAGATTTCTAACAATCCCGCCTCCTCTCCTTGGAGGGTGCTCCTTGCTTCATTGTGGTTCATAGGGGGAACTTTGGAGAAAGAGAAGGTGGTCCTGGTGGAAGCTGATCCATATTTCCTTCAACCCTGCAGATTTAAAGAAGTACCGGCGCTATGAAGTAATAATGACCGCCTATAACATCATCGGCGAGAGCCCAGCCAGCGCGCCCGTGGAGGTCTTTGTCGGCGAGGCTGGTAAGCTCCGTGCACCCCCAACCCCACTGCCAGAGAGGGCCACAGTGGTGGGGACAGCCAGGCACGCTGCGGCCAAGCCCCTCAGGTGTCCAGCAGCGTTCTTTCTCCTTGAACACATTGCTGTCGGGGCTGAGGTCTCCACGCCACTGGCAGGGAAAGATGGGCTCAGCTGAGAGCTGGAATTTCCTGACAGCTTCAGTGAATGGTCAAGTCTTGCTTTTGAGACCTAAAGGGTTTGTTCGATACCTGGGGCCATCATATTTACTGTGGCTTTGCTCTACGAAAGTGGTATTAAGTCAGTGGTGATGTAGGTGTGTGGGAAATGGAACCTCGTTATCTGGAGGGGCAGATGTTTGTATCTGCATGGGTCCTTCAGTGGGCTTCGGCAGTGGCCTGGTGACAGCCCATTCTCTAGGTCTGGGAGAGCCATGTGGGCCATTGTCTCCACCCCTTTTAGATAAGATGTGACTGTTGGGTCTGATTCAAGGGACCTTGCCTTCTGTGGGGCTCACAGTGGGAAGCAACGTCTATTTTTAGATCAGATCCTGTCCCTATCCCTCTCCGGGCCCAGCGTGCCGCAGGTAATGAGAGCAACGCCATTCCTTCGGCCAAGGAGACCACAGAACCTCACCCTCCTCGCTGGCTGGTGACTTTAAAGAGTTCCCTGACTTCACATAGAGCCTGATGTTTCTGCTCTTTTCCGCTGGTGCAGATTTAGAAGGGTGTTGTTTCAGGCCCGGAATAATTAGAGTGTCCCTGAGGACAGAGGCTCGGCCTAGCAGGAGCTGCTGCATAGTGGGGAGGGTGAGATGGGGGGGCAGGGGCGGCTCGGACTGCGGGGGCCAGAGGAGGGAAACACATCAGGTGACCTTTTGCAATTGGGAAGGGTTATTGTTATGAACCAATCAATAGCACCAAGGGTCAAGCCCAGCGGATTTTTTCCGGAATGGTCAAGCGGTATTTGCATACAAATGAGGATGCGTGGAGAGAGGCATCAAGAGCATACGGTATTTCTGCCTCTCTTTGCACGAAAATATGTTCAAAGGGGTCACTCAGAGCCACCGAGGTACGGCTCAGCTTTCCCTCAGGGATGGACCTGGCTGTAGAGGAGCCCATTGAGGGCCATGGTGGGGCCACCAAGGGTGCTGTCAGAGAGGGGTGCCAGGGTGCCGTCAGTAAAGGGTGGGTGCCACTGCGGACGGCGGCCATGGCAGATTCTGTGCTCTCCAGTTGTATTCGGGTGACTGGGCCCCAGTTGGCCCCCATGGCTGGGGGTGGGTCAGCCTGTGGCATCGGGGGAGCACAGGAAAGGAGGGCCGGGAACTACAGTGTCTGAACTGCAAGCAGAAGGTGTGGGTGTCAGAGCTCTGCCTGAGGGTCTGCCTGCGCCTGGGCATAGGACACCAGGAACCAGGGGGCTCAGGGCACTTGGGCAGGCCCTGAGACCGAGGCAGACGTCCAGAGAAAAGAGCTTCAGCAAGCGGTAGGGAAGCCAGGGGTGGTGCGGGAAACTGGGGAGTCGCGCCAGGGCCAGCCAAGCGGCAACAGGACTGGATGCCCAGCAAACAGCTCCAGCTCTATGCCCAGCGCCCAGCTCCAGCTCTATGCCCAGCGCCCGGCTCCAGCTCTATGCCCAGCGCCCAGCTCCAGCTCTATGCCCAGTGCCCGGCTCCAGCTCTATGCCCAGTACCCGGCTCTAGCTCTATGCCCTGTGCCTGGCTCCAGCTCTATGCCCAGTGCCCGGCTCCAGCTCTATGCCCAGCACCCGGCTCCAGCTCTATGCCCAGCGCCTGGCTCCAGCTCTATGCCCAGCGCCTGGCTCCAGCTCTATGCCCAGCGCCCAGCTCCAGCTCTATGCCCAGCACCCGGCTCCAGCTCTATGCCCTGTGCCTGGCTCCAGCTCTATGCCCAGTGCCTGGCTCCAGCTCTATGTCCAGCACCCGGCTCCAGCTCTATGCCCAGCGCCCAGCTCCAGTTCTAGGGTCTGCGCTGTTGGTGTCTTAGTTCCTTCTCACACTGCTGTAAAGGGACGGGGTAATTTATAAGAAAAGACGTTTACTTGGCTCACAATTCTGCAGGCTGCGCAGGAAGCATGGTGGTCTCTGCTTCTGGGGCGGCCTCAGGAAGCTTCCAATCATGGTGGAAGGCGAAGGGGGAGCAGGCATCCCACACGGCACAAACAGGAGCAAGAGAGCGCAAGAGGGAGGTGCCACACATTTAATGACCAGATCTCATGAGAACTAAGCCATTCATGAGAAACCCACCCCCACATCCCCATCCCCTCCCGCCAGGCCCCACCTGCACGTTGGGGATTATAGCTCAACATGAGACTTGGGCAGGGACACATCCAGGCCATATAAGTCTGTCATCGTGGTAAGATGCGTATAACATGGAAAGCATTCTCCGTGTGCAGTTCAGCGGCATTCAGGATGGTGAGCAGCCATCACCAACATCCATCGCTGGAGCTGTCTCTTCTTCCCAAACAGAAATCCCATACCTATGAAGCAGGCCCCCTTTTCCCTCTTTTCCCATCCTGGGCAGCCTCTCACTTACTCTCTGTCACTGCAAGTTCACCTCTCGATACTTGGTACAAATGGAGTCGTGCAGTGCTTGTCTTCCTGTGTCCAGATCCTTGCCCTCGGCGTGAGGTTTTTGAGGTTCAACCGGGTTGTAGCAGATGTCGGAATTGCCTTCCTTTTCATGGCTGAGTAATATCCCATTGCATGCATTTACCGCATCTGGTGTGTCTGCTCCTCCAGGGATGGACACTCGGGGGCCTTCCCCCTTTTAGACTTGTGAGTGTGCTGCTGTGAGTGTGGGAGAGCGAAGAGCTTTTCAGCAGTGCAGAGCTGAGACAGCCCAGGTGTGGGGAGGCAGTTGCAGAGGCTACAGGTGAGCCCGGCCTCTGAGGTTAGCATCACGGTGTGATGTGGCTTCTCCCTTCCCCACTGGGCCCCCATCTCCCTCCCCTCCCAACATGTGCATCCCTGCTCCAGCCCTCCTTTCCAGAGGCCTGCCCTCCTGCCCCACTCCTCCTCAACACACCCACACCCTCCACGTGACTCACCTCTGCCCAGAGGCCTGGGCTCTGCCACCTGCACCCTTTGCAGTCCCACAGAAGGGAAAGGAAAGCCTACTTGCTGTGCCCATGCCACCAAGGCCTTTTCCATGCACACACACAAACTCCACGTGGCCACACTGCACTGCTCACAGAGCTCGAAGGCGGGTGCTGAGAGTCAGCAGAGCCGGTTCCCACAGCATCACACCCACCCAGAGTGCCCTGTGCAGCCCCTCCAGTTTAACTTGGCTGAGGCCTGAAGCACCCTTTATGCATCTTTTTTTTCTTTTTTTGAGACAGCGTCTTGCTCTGTCACCCAGGCTGGAGTGCAATGGCATGATCTCAGCTCACTGCAATCTCCATCTCCCAGGTTCAAGCAATTCTCCTGCCTCAGCCTCCTGAGTAGCTGGGATTACAGGCGCCCGCCACCACGCCCAGCTAATTTTTTGTACTTTTAGTAGAGACGGGGTTTCACCGTGTTAGCCAGGATGGTCTCAATCTCCTGACCTCACAGTCTGCTCACCTTGGCCTCCCAAAGTGCCATTTAGGCTTTTATCCCCTGAGGAGCGGCTGCCACTGCCCCAGGACACCCTCTCTGTCCCCCTCCCTCTAGGCGGGGCTCAGATTTCCCCTCTGTGCGGTATCCTGGGTGCTTTGTGCACAGCTCTGCCTTCCCCCCAGCAGCGGGGCTGCCTTCTCTCTAATGCTGCTCCTCCCCATTAGACCAAGGCTGCTTCATCCCAAACAGCTCCTTGCCCCAGGGGTATTGCCAGAGGGGATCAGAATACCTTTGTCATTCGGGCAAATTGAGGTTCCCAAACTTCCACAGGGCAGGAGAGCAGCTGGGGAAACCCTGCACCCAGGGACGTGTCCTGGAGACAGGGCCTCCCAGATATGCTGAGATGAAGGCAGGTGGAATCAGTGTCTCATAGCAGGGCTGCAGGGAAGGCTAATCAGAAGCTCCTCATCCTGAGGGAGAGGAGGGAGAAGGAACCTATGGTCTCTGTCCCTGTAACAGCAGATAACACAGTCACCATCTGCCGCCCAGGCACTCATGTTCTAAGCTGGTCTTTCCATGGGGCTCCTTCCTGAGGCTCCTGGCAGTAGGGAGGGAGAGGCAGAGCTGGTGAGGGTGCACAGGCTGGCAGAGGCTGTGAGGCCACTTTAGGGCCCTGGCAGATGGGGAGCAGTGCCAGGAGCCGGGGTTCACACAAGGGAATGTAACCGCCCAGCAGGCTCCTCCTGCCTGCAGCACAGACAAAACCAGTTCACTGAGCCCATGGTATTGCAGTCAAAACAGAGTTTAATTAGAGCCCAGCCACATGGGGGAACTGGAGTTATCACTGGTCAGTCTCCCTGAGGGCTCAGAGGTTAGTTTTTTCCAGGATAGTTTGGTGGGCGTGGGGGCTAGGGAGTGGGTGCTGCTGATTGGCTGGGGATGCCATCACGGGGCGTGGAAAACGGTCCTCATGTGCTGAGTCCACCTCTGAGCGGGGCCACAGGACCCCCTAAGCCGTGAGTCGTGAGTCATGAGTCCAGATGGGGTCAGTCCATTTTCAGAATGCAAAAGTCTGAAAAGCATCTCAAAAGATCAATTGTAGTTTCTATAATAGTGATGTTATCTTTAGAAGCAACTGGGAAAGTCACTAATTTTGTGACCTCTGGTCACATGCCTCCTGAGCAGTGAGGGATTACTTACCCAGCTTACAGGCTGGGTGCGGTGGTTCATGCCTGTCATCCCAGCACTTTGGGAGGCTGAGGTGGGTGGATCGCGAAGTCAGGAGTTCAAGACCAGCCTGGCCAACATGGTGAAACCCCATCTCTACTAAAAATACAAAAAATTAGCTGGGCATGGTGGTGCATGCCTGTAACCCCAGCTACTCGGGAGGCGGAGGCAGGAGAATCGCTTGAACCGGAACCCGGGAGGCAGAGGTTGCAGTAAGCCAAAATCGCACCACTGCACTCCAGCCTGGGCTACAGAGCAAGACTCCGTCTCAAAAAAAAAAAAAAAAAAAGAAAGTATGCTTATATTTTAGCCGAGTTCAGGCTTCTCCCATACTCCTAATCTCTCAGCCTTTTATTAGCTTTACAAAGGCAGTTTCCACCCCCAAACGAGGAGGGGGATTGGCTTTAGGGAAGGACCATTATCAGCCTTGCTCTAAGTTAAACTAAAAAGTAAATTCCTAGACACGGCCCCTGCATCCAGGTCTCTGCTCCACCCCACCCATCAGATGTGGCTTGGCTCTTGCACACCCAAAACAACTCACACATCTCCTGTGCCAGGCCTGGCAGTGCCAACCCTGCAAGTGGACATCTCAGTTGTTTGGCCTCAGCACACTCCTCCGGGTTCTGTGTTTACACTGCAGAGAGTTTTCTGGAAGGAGAAAGCCAGTTCGCCATTCCCTTTCTAGCCTCTGCTTCTCGCAGCCCAAGTACCTGCATTGTAACAACCCTAATCTGCTGAGGAGAGGCACTGCTAACGTATTGACTTAGAGCAAGTAGGCCTTCAGAAGAGGAAATTAAATTGGGCCAGCTTCCGTCCCCTCGGCTGGAAGCTTCAGAGCACCACAAACTCGTGGGCCCGAAATGCTCAAAGGCTTTTATGAAAACTAAGACTTTGCTGTGGTCCCATAGGTAAGCGTGCAGGTCCAAGCGTCGGCTCTACTGTTTACTGCCTGTGTGACCACGGGCAAGTCACTTAACCCCTCTGAGTCTGGCCTTGAGACCTTGTGCTGCTGTGGGGAGACCTGTGAGTGAGGAGACTCAGGTACTGGCTTCATTGCTGCCACTAAGGCACCAGTCCTGCTCATAAGATGAGTGTCCAGAATGTACCTGGCCCGGGGTCAGCCCCCAGTCAGTATTTGGTGAATGAGGGGGACCCTGGGTGAGTGAGTCGGTTTGTCTGGCCTCATCTGTAAAATGATGAAATGTTCAGAATAGATGATCTCTGGGTCCCCTGAAGTTCAAATACGTGATACTTAAATCTGTTTAAACTCAGAGAGGAAGGATAATTTTTAGATTTTTAGCTGAGATTGATGCACAAGCCCAGGCACTACAAATTGGTAAAAATAATCCATCGGTAAGGACTCCAGTGTGCAGGAGGTAGGACCCAACGCCAACAAGCTTAAGCTGAAAGAATCATTATTAACTCCTGCACTGGAAGAGTTGCAGAGCCTGGGACAGCTTCAGGCATGGCTGGATCCAGCGCCCCAGCAAGCTGCTCCATGTGGCCTCTTGGATCCACTTTCCTCCTAGTTGGCTCCTTCCTTGGTCAGGCTCTTCATCAAGGTGGCCATACAGCCCTGGGCACAGAGAGCTTCCCTTTTCTGCAGTGGAAGTCCACTGGCTGTCTTCAGCCTGCCTTTAGTTGCATATCTGTCCCCAAACTAGTTGCTGCAGCCAACGTCCTGAGGTGCCCAAAGCCAGGGAGATGTCATCTCTACCTGGACCACCTGGGCCAACTGTGAAGCGAGAGGGTCCCTAGAGGAGATCCAGTGCGACAGTCAGAAGAAGGGGACTCGGGCATTCACCACCACAGCTGTCCTGCAGTGCTGATAGGCAGAGTTTGACTAGGTGGCCAGAAATTTTTCTGGTGGAGGTATGGACAGTGTCTATGGGTTCCTCAGCAGGAGAGCTCTTCAGATGACCCAGCCAGAGTTCTGGGCCCAGCTCCACATTCCACAGCGTTCCGGGCACTGTGGGACCACGCTCCAGCCTTCAAGACACTCACTATTCATGGATGGGCCCTGGTCTCAGGTTAAGCCTGCACTCCTGCCCAGACCCCAAGCAGGCATCTCAGCCCCTGCCTGTATTTCCAGAGCCCCCAGGCTTCCCCCTCCTTGAGTATGTGCCCCCTCATCCATACCAAGCTGTTTCCGCCTGGGATGACTGCTCCCTACTCCCGTCCCTGGGAGGACAGACAGTCCTCCCTCCCATGCAGCCCTGCATCCACGCGAGCCCTTGGATGGGGCAGCTGTCTTCTCTTTCCCGGGCAGGATTAGCTGTTTCTTCCTCTGCTCCAGAACATGCCACGTACACAGCTCTTTGCATATCCACCTGAGGACAGGTCTTTTTCTCTCTGAGTTCCATGAGGGCAGGGACCCCTCTTATCCCCAGAACGTTAGCATAAGGCCAGAACATAGAAAACATTCTGAAGATGTTAGAGGAAGGGTGGGAGGGAGAGAAACACATTTAGACAGGAAGGAAGGAAAGAAGGGAGGGAGGGAGGGAGGAGGGGAGGGGAGGGGAGTAACAAACATAGCCCAGGCCACCGGCCCAGAAGCACAAGTGACTGAGTGACCCCTGAGCTCTAAGGGGGGATGGAGCGGCTCCAGGGCCCAGGGAGCTCAGGGAGGGCCTAAAGCAAGGCTTCCTGTCCAGAGGTGCCCGGCCCAGCTCTCCTGTTTGCTCTGCAACTACTGTCCTTTCCCAGGAGCTCTAAAACAGTTAAAGCTTTAAAACAAAACGAAACAAAATAGCAAAGCTGGCCTCACACACCAAACAAAGCTTGTGGTTTTCTGTTCATTTATGAATCCACGCTGACCGAAAACTGATTCAGCCCCAGATGTGTCGTGGGGACACTAGGGGCAGTCAAGTTCTACCCACTTTGCCCTGGGGGTCCTGGCACAGACAAGCATGGCCGCCAGCCCAGCTCCCAGGAACTGCAAGAGCAGGACCTCCTCTCCTGGAGCAGGGCCCTCCGACACCCACCCCGGCTGCTGGGACCCCTCGTGCACCTTTGTTATCCCCAGGGTCGCTCTTTAGCCAGAGTTAGTGGCAGCTGCCCCAGGACAGAGCCTCCAAATAAAAAGAGGTGCTGTGTCCCCACATAGGCCGCCTCCTTGGAGCCTGTGGCCTCGTGGTTCCCTCGACCCTTAGCTCGTCCCCGGAGCCGGCTCGCCTTCCCCACCTGCTGAGCCCTGCCACTGATGGTTTAGGTCACTCGGCGGTCCTGGGGGCTTCTGGGGCCTACAGCTGGGAAGCTGGGTTGGGGTGAATCAGGAGGAAGGGCTGCCGTCAATGAGTAGAGCCCCCCGCTGCTCCAGCTTCCTAGGGAGAGACCAGAAGCCCCCAGCCCACCTCACTAAGCCCTCAAATGCTGTGAGCATGCCTGCTGTCTGTCCAGTGAGTCTAGGAGGTGCCTTGGAATCTCCTGGGCCCGTATAGACAGTGCGGGTACAGGCATGGCCCTTCTTTGGGGAGGAAGGCGCCCCTCCTAGCCTCCTCCTCCACGGGCCTTCTCCAGTTCTTGCCCTGTGCTTTGGGGTCTAGTAGTGGCCAGACCTGGGATTGCCACCCCTGGCATCTGTAGCCTCCTTCTGGGGGCTGCAAGTAGTAGGGGCTCCAGCATGTCTACCTAGGAGGGGCTCAAGAGCCACACTGTGGTTCGGAGTGGGGCTTGGGACCCATCTTGACTGTGTTTGCAGTGTGGGTTGTGTGCATGTTGGGTGTGTTATGTCTGTGTGAGGGACTGTGAGAGAGGACAGGTGGGCTTGCTGCTACATGAGGCACGGGGGCCAAGTCCAGGGATGAGGCAGGGGGCACCTGAGGGAGTGGGGAGGGCTGGGTCCCATGTGGGGGTAAACCTCCATAGTTAACCCACGGCATTATTACCATTATTTTCCATCATCCAATACATTTGCACAAGACTATGGGTCCAGCACCTTGCTATTAGAAATGAAGCTACTCTGAACACTGTTACAAATCTTTTCCAACGTCTCCAATGCCTGCCTTGGGATAAAACGCTAGAAGCAGAACTTCTGGTCCAATGACATGAACATTTTTCACCTTTGAAATACTTCAGCTAATTGACACCCTGCAGCGGTGACCAGATACAGGGCTCAGGTTGCATTCCTCTTTCCTCCTGCTTTTAAATCTTTCCTAGTTTATTAGGCAAGAAGGTATCTCATTATTATTTTCCTAGATGGGCTTTTAAATGACTGGTCTGTGATTAAATGCCTGCAGAGCTCATGGCTATTTTTTGCATGGGGGTCTGTTACAAGGTAAACTGAGACACAAAATGTTAGAAGAGTTTATTCGAGCAGACAGCAATTCATGAATCAGGCAGCACCAGTCCAAAGGTGGTTTGGGGTTCTGGGAAGGGAACACAAGGGGAACGTTTTTATGGTGTGAATGTGGGAGCTGGACAAAGAAAATACTTGATAAGAGTATGTTGTTGCCTTCTTCAGTCTCAACTGTTAGAAAATTCCTAGTTGTATTGGTTTTCATGCTGCTGATAAAGACATAGCCAAGACTGGGTAATTTATAAAGAAAAAGAGGTTGAACGGACTCCCAGTTCCACGTGGCTGGGGAAGGTGAAAGGCACGTCTTAAATGGTGGCAGGCAAGAGAGAATGAGAGCCAACCCCTTATAAAATCATCAGCTCTTGTGAGACGTATTCACTACCATGAGAACAGCATGGGGAAAACCACTCCCATGATTCAATTCTCTCTCGCTGGGCCTCTTCCGCAACATGTGAGAATTATGGGAGCTACAATTCAAGGTGAGATTTGGGTGGGGGCACAGCCCAACCATATCACTAGCTGTATATCTGCCTTTAGTTGCATATCTGTCCTCAAGCTAGTTGCTACAGCCAACGTCCTGAGGTGCCCTCAGTAAGTTGTTGGCGGCTTCTGATTGGTTGGGCTTAAGTTTTATTTTTCTTTAATATGGGCATTTACAAGAAATAGCCCAGGTTAAGTTTTGTTTAGGTTTGCAGAACCAGCAAGGTCAAGGTTGTCTCCACGGCTTAATGGGCTTTGCTCAGGGGATTCTCAAGCCTGGTCTCCATTTTATTTTAATGGGTCTTAGTGTTTTGTGTTGATTTCTTAGAGCTTCTTATATATTAGGGATATCATGTTTGATCATGTCTATGGCAAATACTTTGTCTTTAATTTTATTGTGTTTAAGTGGTTGTGTGCTCAAACCTCCATATCTGAGGCATCTCTCCTTCCCATTTTGAGACCAAGTAAATATTCACCCAGATATTTTTTCATAATTTTCATGGTTTTATGTTTTCCATTAAACTCTTTCATCAAAAAAAAAAAGAAAGAAAGAAAAAAAAAACTCTTTCATCCTCCTGGAATTAATTCTGGAGCCTGGCATGAAGTGAGCTTCTAAATGGATCATTTGTTTCCAGAGAAGTTTTTTCCCCCGAAACCATCTATTGATTTTTAATTGCTTTGTGGTGCGTCTTAATCATGGTTTAAATTCTTACACACAGTCAAGTCTGTCTGAAGACATTCCTTCGTTCCACAGACATCTTTACTGTTGCCCTAGTACTTCTAAAGCTTTCATTTACATCAGTTTGTTACACATTTTTTTCATGTTTAGGAGGGCTTGTCTTATTCCTCTTTGTTTTCTAAAATTTCTCAGCCATTCTATGAATTTTACAATCATTTTGGCAAGTTCTTAAAAAAAAGCAAATGCTCCTGGGATTTTGATGGAAACGTATTAAATAGTAAAGGGATTTGGAAATCCTCGCCGTCTTCCTCCTTTTCGTCTATTCATGCTTGCTCCCGGGAGCTGGCTGTCCCTCTGGCACGGTGCTGCTGGGCTGGCAGCGCTCCTGGTGCAGGTCCTGCTGTTGCTTGTCAAGTCATTCCTGGCAGTTTTATTGCGGCGGTTGCTGTGAGCCTGGGTATTGTAATGGCTCGTCCCTGCTCTGCCCACCGCCAATCGCAGCTCAAGGCTGAGGCTCACATGGTTACTCAGGCATGTTAAATATTAGTCCAGCAAAAAGAGCAACATAGGTTTTCCCCAAAAAGCGAGCCAGGACTTGCCTTTTTTCCACACCCAATGGGGAGTGGCTGCCCAGCTCAGATGAGAGCCGAGTGTCCAGCACTGTGGCCTTTAGCCCCGCAACTTTCACCAAAAACAGAAGACAGACAGATACCCATGCTCAGCATTTAAAATCACTCGGCCGGCCAGGCATGGTGGCTCATGCCTGTAATCCTAGCACTTTGAGAGGCCAAGGCGGGTGGATTACTTGAGGTCAGGAGTTCGAAACCAGCCTGGTGAAACCCCATCTCTACTAAAAATACAAAAATTAGCTGGATATCGCTTGAACCCAGGAAGCAGAGGTTGTAGTGAGCCGAGATTGTGCCACTGCACTGCAGCCATGGCAATTGAGTGAGACTCCGTCTCAAAAAATAAATAAAATAAAATCAGTTGGTGGCTTTAGGTGGTGTTTGGTTGTTCCTGGTGTACATGTGGCTGTGGAAGACAGAAAAGTGTCTTGAAAATATCTGTTTGCTGTTTTTAAGAATGAAAAAATTGTCGTACAATATGGGTCCCACCTTTCTTCTAAGTGCTCCAAGTTTTTAATTACAGTTGGTTGGAATGAGAGAAAAAAAAAAGCACAGCTTCTAGCTGTTTCAGCTCCCGCTAGTGACAAATAAAGCCAGTCCTAGTGCCTATTAAGTGAAATTAAAAGGCTTCAGTGACGCCAGTTTGAAAACATGTGTTTGTAGGGAAGAGTGAATGGCACCTGTTTACAGGGTAATTAACGTCGCAACCCCGACTCCACAGGCTGCACTGTCTCATCATCGACGTTCCCAGGGCTCCCTGGGTAATTATTAACATATCACGCGATAATGACATTGTGCAAACCACAGGCCGCCCCTGTCATTTCTGCGGCCACAGTCTCTCCAACTGATGCCGGTGGGCTGTGCTGCGTACAGGGCTGTCTACACGGTCCTGGATGATGGATAAACATCTGCCGAAAGCCTACTGTGCTGGTCACAGATGGTCACCATCCCCTGGGTGGGAACCGTTGCTCCGTTTCACAGATGAGAGTGATGAGTCAGCTTTATCCGGAGTCCGCAGGGGGCTCCCCGGGCGCTATCCCACCCTCTGGGCTCCAGCTCGTGTTGTTTCAGACGTTCCCTTCAGGCACAAATGCACTAAGAAGCCCTCGCCAAGGAGTGCAGAGTGGAGAGACTGTGGGATGCAGGTGCCTCCGCCGTGGGGGATTCTCCAATGCGCTGCACCCGGCCCACAGCAGGCTGTGCACAGGCACTGCTGACTGACTGGGAGCTTGGCCCACCCCTTCCCCATGCCAGGGAGTATTTCAGAATTCACGGCTTCCTTCAGGCTCTCTGCAGCATACGCTATCCCGGGACAGCCTCTTGCCAAAGGGCGGGTGATAGGAGCAGCTTCTCAGAGAGCTCCCAGGATGGAGCTGTGGTGCCCCTAGGCAGACACAGCCCCCGAGGGAGGATGGGCTTGACACCAGCCTCATCAATGCTGGGCCGGAGGGTGGAGGGCGGGGAGGCTCCTTGCCCACAGGTGCGAGCCTAGCCAGGCTTCTCTGGGCGGGGGCTCTCAGGGAAGCCTCTGGGGCCTGTGTCCACCCATCCTCTACACTTCTGCTGGGGTGACCCTTGTGAAATGCAAATCCCATCCCCTCACTTTCTGTTTCCACCCTTCAGGGGATCCCTGTTATGTATGCGGGAAAAATCAAGCTCACTCCTGAGACTGGCCCCAGGGACTCTGAGGTCCTGCCAGGCCAACCCCGCGGCGGTCACAGTGGGTGTCCTCATGGCCCCCAGGCCCTCCCCCGCCGCAGTCACGGTGGGTGTCCTCCTGGCCCCCAGGCCCTCCCCCGCCGCGGTCACATGGGTGTCCTCCTGGCCCCCAGGCCAGGGTTCCCTTTCGTGCTCAGGCTTCACACGCACAGCCCGGCAGATGCCCAGGAGACCTTGGTGGCGGGCTGGTAGTATTACTCATCTGACGTCCATCACTGTAGACAAAGGTTGTGGAGCATCGCGCGGTGCCCGCTGCTGCATTTGGAAAGGCTCCCTCACCTCTCACCATCCTGAGTTTCACTCCTTAGCCAGCTTCTCTGGGATCCCTCCAGGTCGCCACGCTGGCAGCCAGTGGAGGCCTTTCTTCAGCACCCACTTGCTCAGCAACTTGCTGGCACCGAAGGGAGCGAGAGAGCCCTGAGGTACGGGCCTGCCCTTCAGCTGCTCCCCCGAAGCGTGAGCCAGCCCTTCAGCTGCTCCGCCAGGGAGAGGGAGGATCACCGGCCTGGGCCTTTGCGACCTTCTCTGGGGTTGAGTCTGCAAGGGTTAGGGTCTCCTGTGAGTGGCAGAGCTCAGGGTGGACAGGGGGCTGCAGGTGGGCTCTGCACCATAGGAGAAGCTGGGCTATCCCCACAGAGGAGGGAAGCGCCATCTCCACAGGTGTGGCCGGGCAGACCACCCCTCCCAGGGCCGCGCGTCACGCACAAAAGTGGGGTTCACATCCAACCCACTGTTGAGAGTGCACCAGAACAGCAGATTTGAAAGGGCTTTGACGGCAGTTTCCGACCCCACCCCCAGGCCTCTCTCAAACCCTCGCCCTGCTCCTCCTCTCCAGCCACACTCTCTTCCGAGAGAACTCTTCCCCTCTTTGCCTGTTTCTCTGTTGTTTAACTTCTAGATAGGGAAATCTCAAGCATACACAGAAGGAGACAGACAAGTGCAGGCGCATCACACTCCTCACAGTTGGCCTTAGTGTGCTTCGTAGATACTGTGTCAGTTACAGATGGAAGGTTTGGGGCAGCCCTGCTGTCAGTGCCATTTTCCCAACAGCACGTGCTCACTTTGCGTCTCTGTGACAGCATCTTTTTTGCAGCAGATTTTTTGTTTGTTTCTTTGTTTATTGAGACGGAGTCTCACTCTGTCGCCCAGGCTGGATAGCAGTGGCACTATCTTGGCTCACTGCAAGCTCCGCCTCCCGGGTTCACACCATTCTCCTGCCTCAGCCTCCCAAGTAGCTGGGACTACAGGTGCCCGCCACCACGCCCAGCTAATTCCTTGTATTTTTAGTAGAGACAGGGTTTCACTGTGTTAGCCAGGATGGTCTCGATCTCCTGAACTCGTGATCCACCCGCCTCGGCCTCCTGAAGTGCTGGGATTACAGGTGTGAGCCACCGTGCCCAGCCAGTAAAGTATATTCTAATTGAAGTATGTTCCGTGTTTTTTCAGAGAATGCTTTGCACATTGAACAGATTATGGTATCGTAGAAGCATAGCTTTTATATGCACTGGGAAGTCAAAACATGTACGTGACTCCCTTTTTCAATGATCTGGAACCAAACCCACAATATCTCCAAGACCCGCCCGTGTCGAGAACACTCCTGCACTCGCCACCAGCTCAACCACAAGGCAGCACGGCCAGTCTGGCTTCATCCAAACATCCACCTCCTCCCCTCCCGTGTGATCCTCAAGCAGCTCTCAGACATCATATATAGAGGTTTACAACATCATATCATTTTATTCACAAATACTTTTACCATATATCCCTATAATAACTCTTTAACATATGTATTAGGATTCTCTAGAGGGACAGAACCAATAGGCTATATATAAATATATAATATATAAAAATATATAATATAGATTATATAAGATACAAAAATATATAATATATATTATAATATATAATATATAAAATACAAATGTATATATAATATAAATATATTAAAATATATATAATATATAAATATATTAATATATTTATATAATATATATTAAAATATTTATATATTGTATAAATATATTAATATATTTATATATTAATATATATATTGTATATTAATTGTATAAATATACAATATATTGTAATTAATTGTATTAATTACATATAAAATACATATAAAATTACATATAAAAATATTAATATATTTATACAATATATAAATATATTAATTTATATAATATATTTATATATATTAAAATATTTATATATATATATATATATATATATAAAGGGGAGTTTATTAAATATTAAGTTACATGAGCACAAGGACCAACAATAGGCTGGGATATTGCCACTACTGGGGATGAGGAAGCTGTTCCTTCTGGCAAAAAAGGTTCATTAGAGTTTACAAGCTCAGTGTCCCCAGCTTCATCAAGGTCCTCCCACACATCCCCATTCCAAGTTGCAGAGTCCCATTCTTTTTCGGTCCATGCCCTCACTTTAATAGTAGACACCTGGCAAGGCTGTGCATGCACCTTAACTTGCAGGTCAGCCACTCACATGGTAAGAGCTTGTGTCTGTTTTTCCACAATTTCAGCTCTTCCTCTACAGGAGTGAAGACTCTCACTCAAGGCAATCTTAGCAGACTTGAGACTCAGTATCTGCTTCTGAAGCTGGGAGACAGAATCCCTGAGTTCATCATTTTCTTTCATCACTTTGTGCATTGAACTTAGGAGCAACCAACCAGCTTCATTATGTTTCTTGGTTCTCCACACATGGTCAGAGGTATTATGTATAGAGTCCCTAAACTCCTTGCCTCTCACGAGCGGTGAATCAGGAGCGTCAAATGCATTTATTTTGCATAACTCTCTAAACAATTCACGCCAAGGACTATCAGCATTCTCCATACTACTAGAAGTAGAGTCCTTAGCATTTTTGGATCTAATCATATTAAGCAGCCAACTCCGGAAACCGCAAAACCAACAGAAGAACTCCATCCTGAATATTCTGTCTCTCTAGAACCACTCCTGGTACCAAAATCTGTATTAGTCAGGGTTCCCTAGAGGGACAGAACTAATAGGAGAGAGAGCGAGAGAGATATATATATGTATACACGTATGTGTATACATGTATAGATATATGTATGCACGTATGTGTATACATGTATAGATATATGTATGCACGTATGTGTATACATGTATACATATATGTATGCACGTATGTGTATACATGTATAGATATATGTATGCACGTATGTGTATACATGTATGTGTATACATGTATACATATATGTATGCACATATGTGTATACATGTATACGTATATACATATATGTATACATGTATATATGTGTGTGTGTATATATATACTCCCATATATATGGGAGTTTATTAAGTATTAACTTACAGGATCATAAGGTCCCACAATAGGCTATCTGCAAGCTCGAGGAGCAAGCAAGGAGATCCAGTCCGAGCCTCAAAACTGAACAACTTGGAGTCTGATATTCAAAGGCAGGAAGCTTCCAGTATGGGAGAAGGATGTAGGCTGGGAGGCTAGGCCAGTCTCACTCATTTCACGTTTTTTCTGCCTGCTTTATATTAAGTGGCAGCTGATGAGATGGTGCACACCACATTAAGGGTGGGTCTGCTTTTCCCAGCCCACTGAGTCAAATGTTAATCTCTTTTGGCAACACCCTCACAGACACGCCCAGGATTAATACTTTGAATCCTTCAATCCAATCAAGTTGACACTCAGTATTAACCATCACAATGTATAACTACAAAGTCATTCTTACACCTAAGAAAATTATAATAATTGCTTAGTGTAATCGGTTAGCTAGTCAGCATTTGAATTCCCCTGGAATTTTCTGCTCTGACAGCCCACAGTTCTATCCTTCTAGACTTGTCAGCCCTAACCCATGCCACTGAAACCATGATGCAAATCAATGAGCTGCTTTAGAAAAAAAAATTTGTATTTTTAATTGACATATAATAATCGTATACATTTATGGAGCACAAAGTAATGTTTACCATGTGGAATGATTAAATCAGGCTAATTAGCATCTGCATCACATCACATTCTATCATATTTTTGTGGTGAAAACATTTAAAACCTACTCTTCTAGCAACTCTGAAATGGTGCACCGTGATTTCTTATAGTCACGCGATGCGCTGCTTGTTGCAGAGTCCAGTGGGTGCTCGCGTCCCCGGTCTTGCCCTGGCCTTTGATTTGAGGCCGACTCCTTGCCTGGTTTCCAGAACACTCTGCCCTGGCTGCTGCAGCTCCGCTTCTCTCTGGGGTTTCTTGGGGCTCAGCTTTTCCCCGTCCCTCCCCCACGTCACTCTCCATCCTCAGCTGCCTCTGGAGCCACAGCTCCCAAATGAGTCCCCTCCCGCCTGGGAGTCTCTTGGGGAACCCAGGCCTGCAATTCCCACTGTCTGCCTGGCATCTCTGCCGGGCGCACCCACAAGTTCCTTGACCCAACTTGTCCAAAATTGAGTTTCTGTGTAGTAGCCAAGAGCAAGCACTTAGAAGCCAGAATGCCCAGGTCTGGCTCCTGGCTCTGTCCCCATAACCCTGGGTAAATTACTCCACCTCCCTGGGGCTCAATCTCCTTGCCTGCAGGGCTGCAGAGAGGACCAGATCCGCAGAGGGCCCTGGAAGCAGTGCCGCAGGAGCTCTGCCTGGGGATGAAGCCGTCGCTGCTCCTCCCCAGCCTCTCGGCAGCAGCAGCCACGGTGGCAACAAGCCTGCTAACATGTGCCCTTGGGAGGGTGCCTCCACCCACCCCAAAATCCATGACAGAAACCCCAGCCTCAGCCCAAGTCTCTCCACCACACCCACGCATTACATATTGTCAGAGGCTGCTTTTGCCCTAGGAAAGCAGAGTTGAATAGTTACAGTGAAGCCCTTCAGTCCCTCAAAGCTTACCACCCTTCATGTCTGGACTTTTACTGGAAGTATCGTTATGTCCAAGCCTAGAGAAGCAGCGTGGACCTTAGAGCAAGGCAGATTCAGGTTTGAATCTAGCTCATTATGGGGGATGTGACTTAACCCCTCAAGGCCTCGGCTTGCTTGGTCCCCTGGTCACTGCAACTGGTGGATTCCAGGCCCTTGCCAACAGGTCCGCCTCTGTCACTCTTCTTCCTGTTGCAGCCCCGCCCTCGCTCAGACCACCCTCTGCAGCCTGTGACCTTGCAGGAGCTCCTCCGGGCTGGGTCCCCACACCCTGTGCACTCCCTAGCTACAGCCAAAGCCATCTCTCTCATGTACAGCTTTGACTGTCTCACTCTCTGCTTTCAAACCTTCCCAGAGAAACCTCTGATCTCTAAAGCCATTCAGTCCCCTGGACGTGCGGTGCCGTCTCTCCCGGGCCTTTGAACACACAGCCTCTTCCACCTCAGCTGCTGGCCCCTCCCTGCCCCTTGCTCTCCACGCCGTAACTCTCCTCTCCACTGTTCAAGTCTCTGCCTGGATGCACCTGGCCAGGGGAGCCCTCCTAGGCCCAGGCACTGCCCGGGGAGCCCTGCTGCTCACCCCCACAGTGCTCTGGGCTCATTCCCAGCACAGAGCCCACCCTGAGGGCTGGAATTGCCTGCTGACCTGCCCGTGGCCTGCTCTAGACCATGCACCACGTGAGGACAAGTGGCTGATGCCATCCCAGGCACACAGATCCTACCTCATGAGCCAGTGCTTCTCACGGTACCTAGTGGAGAAGCATTCGGAGAGGATTTATCTGATGGATGTTGACTCTTGGCTAACAAGGGCTGCCTCTCTCCATCCCCTGACTTTTTAGGACAAGACCAGAGATGCTAAGGCCATAGCTAGGAAAGTCAGGCCCTGGAATGAGACCGTCTAGGCTTGAACTCCAGCCTTGCTTCCTGTTGGAGCATGCTATTTAACTTTTCATCTTATTAAACAGAAATAATGGGAGTGGCCTCCAACGATCTGCTGTGCAATCCACACGGGCAAACATGAAACCTCCTCTCCCACCTGGGGTTAGAGCAGCGAGGAGACCCAGGCTGGCCAGGACAGAGACTGGTGGTACTTTGCCCTTGTTAAGAGTTCTTGGGGCCAGGCATGGTGGCTCATGCCTGCCATCCCAGCACTTTGGGAGGCCGAGGTGGGAGGATTGCTTGGGCTCAGGATTTGAGACCAGCCTGAGCAATGTAGCAAGACCTCATCTCTGAAAAAAAAAAGAAAAAGAAAAGAAAGAAAGAAAGAAACAATTAGATGGGTATAGTGATGTATGCCTTTAGTTCCAGCTACTTGGGAGGCTGAGGTGGGAGGATCGCTTGAGCCCAGAAGGTTGAGGCTGCAGTGAGCTGTGATGGTGCCACTGCACTCCAGTCTGGGAAACAGAGCAAGACCCCATCTCAGAAAAAAAAAGTTATTTGAAAACATTCTTCCACAAGGAGAAAAAGAATGGATGCTTCGCGGTCAAGGCCTAATAGCCAGCCGGGCTGGGCTCGTGTGAGGCTGTAAAACCCCATCCGCAGCTTCTGTGATGGTGTACAGGGGAGCGGAATGCCTGGTGCTGGCGTCAGGCTCACTGTCCTGCAGCTCTTTGCTGGCCTGGCCTGTTCTCCACCCTCGTTTGCTCCTGGGTCTTGTAAACAGTGTTCCTTTGACCTTCCCCTCGAGGACCAGAGATCACTTGCTGTCTGGCGCAGGCGCTCCTGACCTTCAGATGTGGGAGGACTGTAAGAATCTCAGGGAGACCCCCACCCACTGCTTGCGGTGGTCTCCTTTGTCATAGACGACAGATGCTTGCCACACGCAAGCAGAGGCAGGGCTTAAAGGTTACTCTCATTTCTCAGGTGAGAAAAAGCAAAGTGCAGATGGTTTCGGAGGGTCCTCCAGGAATGCTCAGCTCATCCGTGGGACCAGGACGCACAGGCCTGCCCACTGCATCTAAGGCAGCGAGGCCCTGTGGAATCAAATCAGCACTGAGACAGAGGGCTGCAGGACGTGGTCACTGAGGGCGTGAAGCCAGCCTGTGCCCTCCTGGCCTCACTTGCCCCGTAGGGCCTCTCATGTCACGTCACCTGCCTCTGTGGAAATGTCCTGTAGCTCCTGTTTCCTGCAGGGTGTCACAGAAGCGCCACCTTCTGCTAGCGGCCCAAACCCATCACACACCCCCCTCATTTGCCCCTCACAGAGTGGTCAGAACCTACTGCCAGTTCCCACTGCACCCCTGACAGCTGTAGGGTTAAAGGATGGGGACAAAGTCACAAGGGTGTTGGCTGGGACACCTGGGCCAGGTGCCTTGAATTCTGCCCCAGGGCTCTTTGCACTTGACGCACCAGCTCCCAGTCAAGGCCTCTGCTCTCATTGCAGCCCTCCTGCACTTCCTTCCTCTGCCTCGGAGCAGGATCTGCAAACAGCTCAGCGGCCAAGCCTAGCCCATTACCTGTTCTTGTAAATAAAGTTTTATTGGAACACCGCCACACCCGTGCATGTTGTTGGAGGCTGCTTTTGCCATAGAAGGTGGAGTTGAATAGTTGCAACAAAGCCCTTACATCCCTCAAAGCTTAACATCCTTACTATCTGGGCCTTTACCTAAAGTTGTGCGACTCCCACCTTAGAGAAGCAGCTTGGACCTTAGGGTTAGGCAGATCCAAGTTCATATCGAGCTCATTCTGAGGCCTCTGACTTAACCCCTCGAAGCCTCAGCTTTCTTTTTCTTTCTTTTTTCTTTGCTTTTTTTTTTTTTTCCTTTGAGACAGAGTCTTGCTTTGTCGCCCAGGCTGGAGTGCAGTGGCGTGATCTCGGCTCACTGCAACCTCCGCCTCCCTGGTTCCTGCCATTCTCCTGCCTCAGCCTCCAGAGTAGCTGAAATTACAGGCACGCACCACCACGCCTGGCTAATTTTTGTGTTTTTAGTAGAGACGGGGGTTTCACCATGTTGGCCAGGCTTGTCTTGACCTCCTGACTTCAGGTGATCCACCCTCCTCGGCCTCCCAAAGTGCTGGGATTACAGGTGTGAGCCAGCGTACCCGGCCTCAGTTTTCTAAAAGGAGAATACAGTCTTTCTCCAACAGGTTGAATTTTGTGTGTACAAACTGCATATAATGCAGTTAATGAGTTAGGGGCTGTGGATTGCACCATGGAGGAACACCACCGCTTGTGATGCTGTCATGATCTGTGAGGACCCGGATCTTCCTGTGATGGGGACTCACTGTACGGGCCAGGAAGCACACACAGTCCGCAAGCCGCAGAGCCGGTTGGCTCAAGCGTCTTTTAACTTTGTTTATCATAACAGTGGGTGATGATGGCTATTGAGCTGATAAGAAGGTGGAAGCACTATTTCCTGATGATGGGAAGCAAAGATCATTACTGGACGAAATCAAACGCCAGAATTGTCTAGCAGTATTGAAGTTTCAGAGCTAACCTTTAAAATGGAAATATCTGTAGGACAAATATGTTTGTTATCGTGAGTCTGAAGCTCTCTGGCCTCATCCTCCTTTTCCTATGGAAACAACTGCTTTTAAAACAGTCTTTAAAGCTACTCGGTTTGTTAGAATTGCAGCTGCCATGTCACAGCAGAGCAGACTAAGGCCATCCCCTGGGGCTATGGAAGGAGAGTGTCCCCTGTCCCAGCTGCCACACCTGTGCTGCTCTCAGCCCCTCACCTGGAGTGCTCTGCCTTTCTCTCCACACATCCCTGTGCTCAGTCAGAACTTAGAGCACACAGCAACTCCTCCTCTTCTGTGTTCTTGAGGCACCTGTACTCAGCGAACCACTCAAATTAACCCATGCACAGTTCTAGAATTCTGTCATCCTCACTGACACACCTGCCAATAAAAACCCCATCTCTACTAAAAATACAAAAATTAGCCGGGTGTGGTGGCGGGCACCTGTAATCCCAGCTACTCAGGAGGCTGAGGCAGGAGAATAGCTTGAACCCAGGAGGCAGAGGTTGCAGTGAGCCGAGACTGTGCCATTGCACTTCAGCCTCTGTGACAGAGTGATACTCCATCCCCCCACCCCACAAAAAAAGGCCAGGAGCATCTCTTAGATTTCCTCTGCGTACCTGTAGTGCCCCACCCAGAGCCAGGTCTGGGTGTGTGTAAAGACATGTGGACCCTGACAATGGATTATCACCTGTACACCCACACCATGAAATCCAACATTCATGGCAAGGGCTGCACCAAACTCCAGGCGGTCTTGGAGACTTCAAAATGTGCAGAGGCTTGGCTGAGGCCGGCACCTTCCTAGAGGAGCTGGAGCTACAGCTGGGATGTATCAGTCAGCTGTTACCACATAGCAAATGATCCCAGTATAGCAACCTAAAACAACACACATCTCCTACCTTGGTTTCTGTGGGCCAGAAATCTGGGAATAACTTAGGTAGGTCCTCTGCCTCAGGGTCTCTGGGACAGTGTCAACCAGGCCTGTGGTCTTCTCTGAAAGTTCGACCGGGGAAGGATGCATTTCCAAGCTCACCCATGCAGTTGCTAGTGGGATTCCATTGTTCGTGGACTTTTGGACTTGAGTTCCTTGCCATGAAGGGCCTCTCCATGGGGCCTCTCACAACATGGCAGCTGGCTTCCTTAGCATGGGCTGGCCAGACCACAAGAGCAGGTGAGCAGGAGAGATGGCACAGGCTCTTGTTGCTGAGTCACAGCAGTGCCACATTCTAGTCCTTAGAAGCAAGCCATGTATTCAGCCCACATTCAAGGGAAGGAGATTCTCAGGGCATAAGTAACAGGAAGTGGATCTGCAAACAGCTCAGGGGCCAAATCCAGCCCATTACCTGTTCTTGTAAATAAAGTTTTATTGGAACATTGCCATGCCCATGCATTACAGATTGTTGGAGGCTGCTTTTACCATAGGAAGGCAGAGTTGAGTAGTTACAATAAAGTCCTTACGTCCCTCAGCTCATGTAGGGACCTGAAGCTCCTGGTGGGCAGGGCAGATGGCACTCAGACATCTGGGGTGCACTGGGCACCATGTCCTTTGTTCCTAGGGCTATGCACTTGCCCAGACACGGGGCTCTGCATTTCCTGGGTTGCTTGCTCAGGCTCTGCTGCTGGCTTTCTTGCACTTCTGCCTTGAGTCATTGCTGTCTATCTCCAACTCTCACTTGTCCCCACCTGAGTAGAAGCAGGGTGATCCCTTTAAACCTCCTGATTCATTGAGAAGGCCTCCCGAGCTGCAGAGTCACCCAGAATGGAGCCTGTCTCCAGGTCCCCCTGCTCAGGGGAGCAGATTGCGAGCAAGATTTGCCAAGAAGGTAAA
Source organism: Homo sapiens (assembly GCF_000001405.40). Lineage (NCBI taxonomy): Eukaryota > Metazoa > Chordata > Mammalia > Primates > Hominidae > Homo > Homo sapiens. The sequence continues at coordinate 4,201,354 of NC_000007.14, forward strand.
TGAGATCAGAGAATTCTATTTCCCATAGTTCCTTAGGAAATCAGAAAGAGAATCTCACCAGTTTGCTTTGATGTCATTAAAGCAAACTGAGGAATATACAATTTTTAAAAAATCATATAAAGAAAATTATTTCATTATATTAAAACATTAACATTGATTCTCAAATTATCCATTAAAACCTTGCTTTACCCAAACAGTCAGTCAATGGGCTACAGAAACTGAAAGTAGAAATCTGGCATGGTCTATCCTGGTCCAGTACTGCTCTAGCCACAGCAGATGCCTGGCATGGCACAGGGAGGCTCCGGTGACAGGAGGCGCCTGGCGTGGCACAGCGTGGCTCTAGTGACAGCAGACACCCAGCATGGCACAGGGTGGCTTTGGCAACAACAGATGACTGGCATGGCACAGGGTGGCTTTGGCAACAACAGATTACTGGCATGGCACAGGGAGGCTTTGGCAACAGCAGACACCCAGCATGGCATGGGGTGGCTTTGGCAACAGCTGACGCCTAGCATGGCACAGGGTGGTTCTGGCAAGAGTGGACACCTGGCACGGCACAGAGTGGCTCTAGCAGTAGGATGACCACCTGTCTGGTGTGAACCTAACATGCACCCCGTGTTCCCACCCTTCTACTCTTTCTCCTTCCATCTCTATAGTCAGCAGTGCCCTTGCTCCCTGGCCCACTGTCACGTCTCAAATCTTCCCTGTTATTTAAGGACCAGCCAGATGTTCTACTTTCCAGGAAACATCCACATCCCTAGCTGGACATGCTCTCTGGGCCCCGACCCTGTCCCCACACTCCGCCTGGCACCGTGATTATTGTGATGCGTGTCTCTCTCTGATGAAACTTGTCTTTCACATCTGGTGTCCACCTGTCCCTCAGCCCAAGGCCTAGACCCTGGTTAATATTCAGGAGGATTTTGGCAGCGTTAGGCTGGGATAACAAACAACCTCCAAGGGCTGGTCCCACCAGTAGTGCTGGTCCCTCCCGCTGCCGCCCTCCGAGTGCCAGCATCTTCTCTTCTGCTACCTGCCATTTTCATCCCAAGACTCTGGTTGGGGGAGCAGCCCCCGTGTGACTGGCCAGCCTCAGGGCTGCTAGAAGAGAAGGTTCCAGGCCATGTGACTCTCCAGAAAGTGAGTTGTTTGGTCACGTGGGGCCAGAGGGGAAAATGTGCAGTCCTCCCTCAGTTGGAGCGACCGCCAGTCACAGGGCCATGTCGCTGTCCCCAGATCAAATGGATGACCTTCCGCCTGGCGGACGGTGAATGTTTTGAATGAGTGGGCGGAGGCTGAATGAATGAGCATCATTCTCCCTGCAGAGTTAATTCCTACAGCTCTGAAACTTTTCCCTCACTCTCTGAAGCCTCCACTCCTCCACCAAATGCCACGTAGAACCGTTTTGTTTTGTTTTTTTCTCCTGAGATTTGAGTCACACCGGTGCCTGTCCAGCTGCCTCAACTTGCAGCAGAGGTTCCTAAACCCTGAGGTGAGGGGGCTGCAGCCCAGGCCTGCCATGCAGGGCTCAGGTTCACCTTGGGTCTGGTGGGACATGGAGTTAGAACCATGAGCTGCTGGTGCTCTCCACCCACCAGCAAATTAAGACTAAGTCAGGGCAGCCACTGTGTCCCAGCGGCTGCTTTTGATCCAGCTGAAGCTCGCTGGCCACTTAGGGACGGCGAGCACAGGGAGGTTGGGCGAGGCGACAGAATGCCGTCCTTGCTGCCGTTTGGGGCTTGGCTGCAGCCTCCAGCCCACCCCTTCCCGCAGAGGCAGGAGGCCACGCCATAACCCGGCTCAGGCCCCAGCGCCCAGCCACGCAAGGCCATCCAAGCAACCAGCCAGAATTCCAGAACATTTCAGAAATGTCAGGAATTCCACGATGGCTGTCAGGTGAGGGTCCCTCCAGAAGTCCTGAAAGCTTGTCTCTCATTGCCTCAGCAAGATCCCTCTCCCAGGCCGCAGAGGCCCCCTGGCGAGGGTACAGGACCCATCACACCAAGGACCTGAGTCACTCAGCTCTGCGATGGCATCGTAGCCTTAGCGTGAGACCCCAGAGAAAACCCCAGCTTTGCACCTTTCCCTTTAAATGCCAGTTGCAGGCAATCTCCCTAGCAGCAGACGCCAGCAATTGCCGGTCTAAAATGCTTTTTAAAAATAATTTCATGTATTTTTTTTTTAAAAAAAAAAAGCTTCCAAGCTGGTATGTATGTCATCCTTACACCGCAAATGCTAAGGTGGGAAAACAAAAAACGAACGACAATCAGATGCTCCGTGTCTCCCAAACTGCACACGCTTTACGGAGAAGGAGAGTTGCACCGGGGCTTGTCAATGGCAGAGCCTTCCTGAAAGTCAGGTTCTCCTGTCAGGGTGGAGACCCAGCGGCTTTCAGGAGCAAAAAAGAAGTCTCCAAACCGACACGCTTTGCTCAGCGTTGACATATATTTCTCTCTTCCCTGCTGGTGTCAACAAAAAATGCTTTGTTGCCTGCAGTAATTTTACGGTCCAGAAGTGCCTTGCTGTAGCATTGCTGGTAGGCACGGCAGTGCGGCTCAGCTGCCTGAGACAGGGTCATGGGCCTTTGCCCAGCTCGTCTCCACCCCAGAGAAAGGGGCATGCGGGCCCCTAATTTATGGGGGTTCACCTGGCGCTCACAGACCCACCAGTTCCTACAGGCGGATATCCAAGTCCAGAGCTGTCGTGGGCGCGCTGAGTTGGGCCATCTTTGGAAAGAAACCCTGGGGCTGTCGCGGGGGGAGGGCGATGTCTCACCGACTACCAGGGTAATGGCCGCGCTCAATTTTGCCTTTCACATTTTAATTGTACAACAGTAATTTTGCAATGGAGTTGCCGATGGCAAACATGCAAAAGACATTAACTTTATTTATGTTTTGGATTATTAATGTGGCTGTTAAAATTCCTCCAGTTAGTTTTGATTGAATTGTTTTTTTGTGTGATTCTGCTGTTTAATGGGGCGGTAAATAAGAATTTCTGATAATGAGGCTGAGCATCTGTCACAACAACCTGGTGTGGGCTATTAACATTTCCATTAACGGCAGGGTGGGCAGTGATAATACGGAAACCACACAGTTAGAACAAAATAAATAGTTGGTGTCAGGCTGAGTGGGTGTTAATTACTATTTTATTCTGCGCTGGGGGGAGAGAGCAGAAAGTGGGGAGGGGGTGATGGGGAAGGGGCGAGTCCTGAGGTCAGTCTCTCCCAAGAAGGCCTCTCCAGAGAGCCGGGTGCTGGGCCATCTCCCTCGGACAGCGACTGTTTTATCGTCTCCATCGATGGTCCGTAAAGACACTCAGTCAAAAGGCTGCACTCCTGGGCCGCAGCCCCGGCGGCAGGCGGAGAGGAGTGCTCGGCTGGCCTCTGCCTCCGGGAGCCAGGCCCCCTGCACAGCTGCCCTGGAGCTCCCCAGGGCCCAGCTCATGGACAGCCGGGAGAGCCCCAGTGGGAGGAGGGAGTAGCAGAGAATAGGCCGTCAAGAGAAAGTGCGCAGCGTGGAATTCAAAGATAGTGTGAAGCTGGCATGGGGCAGACAGGACGGAGGCGTTCTGGAACGCAGGCGTGTGCTCCCAACTGCCTAAATGGCTGTGTGGTGAGGTGCGGAGGTGCGGCCACACCCCTAATGGCGGTGTGGTAAGGCGCGGAGGTGCGGCCGCAACATCCTCATGTGTCCTTTGGTTTGCGTGTGCCATGCAGCCCTGCAGACGCAGACAGCACCCCAGTGAGCTCCTCCCCAGGGGGAGCGAGGGGGCTGGAGGGGAAGACTGGATCCTCAGAACGTGAAGCCAGAGCTGGCCTCAGAGAGCAAAGTGCAGCCATGTTCTCAAACATCGGAGCTTCCTGTCCCTCTTAGAGGGGCAACTCTGTGTATCTGGACGAACTTCATCTAGATCAGGGCTTCATAGCCAGGGATGCCTGAACCTGTCATGGGAACACAGCTATCTTTTCTCTAATCTCAATCAGTAATATTAGTGACAAAAACCACAGCAGTCAGGAGTCCTGTGACTCCCTCGCCGATAGAGCCGCAGTGACCCTGTCACATCCCAGGCATTGCTGGGACCTCAAGTTAACATCCTCACCCACCAATGCTTTGATCTCACAGCAACCATCAGACCAGCCCCTAAGCCTGGTCAGGTATTAACCAAGAAGCACGTGGATTACGATCTCATACCTTTGGTTTCAAATACTCTGCTAACTGTATCTCGGTATAATTATTTTTCTGTGCAATTCTATATATTTTATTGTATGCATTTAAGAACATCGTATGGGAAGGATTTGTGGTCTTCCCTGGCATAAAAGGGCTGAGAGCTCTTAGGGGGACACAGAGCCACGGATCCCAGGACATAACTGTCTAAGGCCTCCTAAGCCAGGGCGACGGCCCAGGGAAGAATCTCTCACATGGTTCCCAGCGGAATTAGGGCATGCTCGAGCCCCATGGGCATGTGGGCGAGGGTCCGGGCCGGCTCTGAATGAACGTCTCAGCTTCTCTCCGCATTGCTCTTTCCTCAGCCCCGGCCATGGCCCCGCAGAACGTGCAGGTGACCCCACTCACGGCCAGCCAGCTGGAGGTCACGTGGGACCCACCACCCCCGGAGAGCCAGAATGGGAACATCCAAGGCTACAAGGCAAGGCCCTCCCGTGCGGTTGCCTCCCCTGGCTCGCTTGGGCACCCCTCGTTCACGTGGTCCTGCCTACTGCATTGCCAGCAGCAGACCCCGCAGGCGCTCCACCTGGAGAGCTGGGGCCCAAGCGTCGGAGCTTGGCTAGACCTGGCCTGTTAACTGTGGTCACAGCTGCTTGTGGGTGGGAGGCAGCACAGGGGCCAGGCTCACTGCACACCTGGCTGTGCCCACCACAAAACAACCCAGGTTGGGGGCCCTTGTTTGTCCACTGGCTTCTCCCCACTCTGGACGCATGGCCTGGCTGGGGAACCCTTCCGTTTCCTGGGCCCATTCTGGAGCCCCCAGTACATTGGCTGACTATAAAAGAACATGGGGCGCCTGGAAGAGACCAGGCTCCCCATCCCAGCTCCCCCCTTGGTCACAGTTGGACACTGAGTGAGTCCCTTGATTCGGTCGGTCCAGGGTGGGGCCCGCCAGTCTCATTCCTCACAAGGTCCCAGATGTGAGGTCCCTGGGAACCCTGCTTTGAGAACCGCCACGGTAACATGTGAGAAGCCCATTGTCACTGGAGGGTCTAGAGATGGGGAGAAAGGAAGGCAGCAGGCCATGACAGGAGAGCGTCGAGTGAGGAATCATTATGTGGGGCTGGGTTATCCATGGGGCGGGAAGCACCTCTCCACGTCCCATCCCTGAGGCCTGGCCTCCTTAGAGAGTACAGGGCCCATAAGCATCCGGGGTCTTTGCCATGAAAACGCCCCCATCCTTCTCCTAAATAAATTCCCCTGTCTATTCTGCTGGGACCCAAGTCGATCAGTCATCAGATTCTGGGGGCTAGCCTCCCCTAATGACTATTGGACCGATTAAATGTCCATTTAAAGATGGTTTTTGCAGGTGTGTTATGAAAATTAATACCTTCCTCCATGGCAGGGCTGTTACAGTGATGAATGAGCTAATGGAGAGCCCCATGAGCTTGGAGGCATGGCGCTATTTATGTATGTCCAAAATATGTTTTCTAATTTCCTTAATGATAAAGACACTGATCTTGGATATTGATCTCAAGTTAGCAAGGCCTGGGCGAGCGGAAGATCTTAGACGGTCAATTCAGTGAGCAGAAGCCCACTACATCCTGCAGGTGGAAATGAACGATGCTCACCAGTCAGGGCCTGCCCAGCAAGAGCAAGGCGGGCGGGTGTGCGAGGCAGGCGTGCCAGCCCTGGGGCGCTCCAGGCTGCCTCCCCGAAGCCTCCGTGCTGCCTTTTCACATGGGCAAGCCGCTCTAACAGCCTGGCCCTGGTTTAGACCCACAGAGCCAAGGTGGGTCTTCTGATTGGTGTTGTCTTTGGGCAGCCTGGCTGGCACTGGTCGGAGGTAGCAGTGGTTTCCGGCCAGCTGTCTAGGGAAGCAATTCTGGCAACCTCTTTAAACCTTTGTGCTTGGGCGTCAAGTTCAACTACAAGCACATAAAAGCTAGACAAGAGGAAATGGCACCCCAGAGGAATGAGGCCTTCCCAGCAGCCCTGAGCCCAACATAGTTCTCCTGCCTGTTGTTTTTGATTGCTTTAATCTCCAAAGTATATTGCCATATTGAGGAAAACTTAGATGTCGGCTCTGAATAAAATGTGGGAACACATCGTAGGAGTTGGGGGTTTGTTGTCTCCATAGCTCGGAGCAGGGGGTGGACACGGGGCGGCTTCCCTTCTCTCCAGAAGATGGGGGAGAGGGAGAGGCCAAAAATCAAAACACCAACAGAGCTAGGTCTGCAAGGAAAGGCACATCATCGGCAGCTGAAGGGCAGCTTCCCTTCCGTCCTCACAACTTATCTTCAACAGCGCTTTGTTTAACGAGGCAATGCTCATACTCTAGGTGAGCAACAGGAAAATGTTAAACATCGTCTCCCAAACAACATTAGCAGCCAGGGGTCCCCGTCCATACACAGTAGCCTCAGCTTCTCCCTGATTCCTCCAGGAGGGAGCCTTTCCACCTTCCCACCCAGCACAGCTCGCCCCAGAACTCAGCTCACCCCCTCGCTTTGACCTTACACTCAGTGGCCCCCGCTTACTGGAAGGCTTCCCCAGGACCCACCCCAACCTCTTGCTGTTCCTAACAGATTTACTACTGGGAGGCAGACAGCCAGAACGAAACGGAGAAAATGAAGGTCCTCTTCCTCCCCGAGCCCGTGGTGAGGCTGAAGAACCTGACCAGCCATACCAAGTACCTGGTCAGCATATCAGCCTTCAACGCCGCCGGAGATGGACCTAAGAGTGACCCCCAGCAGGGGCGCACCCACCAGGCCGGTAGGAGGAAGGCGGGTTTCCTTTGGGCAGGCCTCCTTGGACACGTGTTTTGAGAGCGCCAGCTCAGGTCCCCTCACACAGTGGTTCCCGGCCCGCCCAGGCGGAAGGCAACACCTTTTGAGTAGCTGGGAGTTTCTGGATGGGCAGGACTGGGTTTGGCTCATTTGTTCTCCCTGTGCCTGGCCTCAGACTGGTACACAGTGGCGCTAAATAAATGTTAGGTGGGTTGGAGCAATGCATGCTTTTTCCCAGAGCCCTGGAGATTCAGAGGGGAGGAAGGGCTTTGAGTCTGCAGCAAGGCCTCGTTCATAACTGACAGCATCCATTCCAGTTCCTCCAAGAAATGGAACTTCCCATCAGGGGCGCCTGATGGCATGTCCAGATCCTTGGGGGTAGGCTCCTCGGGCAGTAAATCCAGGCCACAGCGACGGGAATTCCCCTGGGTCTCAGGGCCACAGACCACCCCTGGAGACTGCTCACTACACACATGCCACGGGCCAGTCCCGAGGGCTCAGACAGGTGCTGCGCTGCTGTGGCCTCATCTCCACGCACAGGGCGCAGCGCCTGTTCTCAGTCGACCCCTCTTCCAGCGCATCTCAGTTTCCTAGCAGCCTGGAGGATGCTGTGAAGCTGCTTGGCCTTGGGCTCTGAGGAGCTCTCCAAGGCCCTCTGTAGGATTCTGGAAGTCTGAGAGACTGGGAGAGTGAGGTCTGGGAACCGTGGGCAGAGACGCAGGGCTCAGGGCCTTCCGACATTCCATGGGTTCAGCTGACCCACAGACAATGGACTCCGGGAATCAGGGCCCCTTGGCATCAAACTCTCATGTGCTGACCACAACCAGGTTGCAAGGACCACTTCCTTTGGCTTCATCCAGTGCCCGCATCTGAGCTGGAAGGATGTGGGCAGATCTGTAGGCAGAGATGAGGGTAGAGCCATGTTGAGCACTGCCGGCCTGGCAGGTCACAGCTGTGGGTCCCAGAGACTGGAGGGAGGGCAGAGAGGGAGGAGGGTGGGTGCCACTTCACAGGCACTTCTGAGCAGCGAGGGGCACCAGGGCGAGGAGAGTAGGTCCCCCACCTAGGCTGTCTGGTAGGGGCAGCCCCAGTACACGCCCACCTTACACGGCGCCCGGGCAGAGGGGGAGCTGCCAGCAGGCTCCACATCACCCCGGCCACACACCTGACCTTCAGTAGCTCTAGATATTTCCACCAGCTCCCTCCCCGCTCCAGACCCAGGGGGACACTCAGCCTGGAGAGTGTGGTGGGAGATTTCACGTGCAGGAGCCAGGGGTGTCCCCCAAAACCCCCAGGCCTCTGAGGGAGAGGCGAGGAGGGGTCAAGAGAGGCTTCATCCATCACAGAGCTCCGTCTCTCCGGCAAAGAGCAGGACTAGAGCTTCTGGAATCCTCCAGCAGTTGCTAGAAAATGGAGCTCCCTGCGTTTCATTTTCTATTTCCATCTATTATTCATTTTTATGCCTTTGCCGTTTTGTCTCTCAAGCCCCTTTGTGTTTAAACACTGTCATTTTCTCCACTCTTCTCAGGAGGGTCTGCGTGTCTGATTGATCCTCGGAAGTTCTGAGGTGATCAATAAATCTTTTCATTTTATGACATTCAGACTTTTACTGAGTTGAAAATAACATCGAATAACATTTTTTATTCTATACGGAGGCACAGACATGTATGTATATGATCTATGTAGGAGCCCCTGTAAAAGTCACTTTGTGTTCTATTCTCCCAGCCCCTGGGGCCCCCAGCTTTCTGGCGTTCTCAGAAATAACCTCCACCACGCTCAACGTGTCCTGGGGCGAGCCTGCGGCGGCCAACGGCATCCTGCAGGGCTATCGGGTGGTGTACGAGCCCTTGGCCCCTGTACAAGGTAAGACCCGGGGTTGGGGAGATGGGAGCGCGGGCCACACCAGTGCCCAGCCCTCTGCAGTCTACACAGTGAGCCGCACCTGACCGCTTCTGTGGGCCAGGAGCCTTCTGGCGCCTGAAGTGGGGGGTTTTGGAATCTGAGCTGGACGGGGCTGGAGCTGAGTGCGAGGGGAGCGGGGACTCGCGGGGAAAGGCCTGTGAGGAAAAGCTGAGCCAAGACCAGACCTCTGTGTTCTGAGACCAGAACGGCACTCTCCCTCTGAAGCCGTGTCATATATGCCCTTGATCCTGTCTCTGTCACACTCAAGACATTCCTCTCCTATTCCTCCCGAGATGTTTGTCCTGTGGTCGCCGACAGAGACCACCCAGGGTTCCACTTGAAGCCACGCCTCACAACACAGGCCTTCGGCTACCCTCAGCATCCTAGGAGGGATGCTGGCATCCCCGTGTCTTAGCACCCTGGTGCTCCCCTCGCTCATCCGTCCCCTCAGCGGACATCTATGAAGCTCCTGTTCTACATGCTGGAAAAGCCAAGACATGCTCCAGATGCTGGAATCGAGGACCTGGGAAAGCCAGGATTTTGACTGGCTTGTTTATCAGGTCCCTGGCTTTCCTGCGTCCAGGCAGTTCCTATTCCAGGGCAGAGGTAACACACAGGTAATTAAATCAGCAAACAACAGCCCGAGCGTGATCAGTGCTTTGGAGGAAAGAGAGGAGGGCTAACACAAGAGGCTTAGGGAAGAGACCGGAGTGACAAGGGCCCGGACACACAAGAATCCTGGGGAAGATCTTCCGAAGGGAGGATCCGCCAATCTAGGGGCCCACGGTGGGCAGAGCTTGGGTGGTGCTGGTGGCTGGAGCTTGGTGAGTGGGGTGCAGGCACTGCAGGCCACAGCACACGGGGCTATGGCATATCCCACTGGAGAGTGACACAGGAGCAGGAGGACCTGACCTCCCCAAGACCAGGATCCCTCGGGCCCAATCCCCCGTCTCAGTGTCACGATGGAAAGAAGCTATCGTTCATCTCCACACTTCCTAGATCAACCGGAAACAGCTTCCATAGAAGAGCAGGGAAGGTGTTGCCAACACAGAGGACTTTGAAAGAGGAAATGTCAGGGGCTTGACAGTGAGTGACAGGTGAAAACGGAAGGTGGAATGCAGATGGCTCGGAGGAGAACGGGTGGCAGAGATTCTGTAGACCAGGGAGTGAGGAGGCCGGCCGGGGCTGTGGCATCATCCTACAGGAGAGCGGCGAGAAGGGGAAGGGTGCGGGGGCAGGGGAGGAGGGCTCAGATCAGGGGTGTGTATTGAAGGTGGAGCTGGTGGGGTACTGGCGTGAAGTGGAGGAATGGGGGTTGCGGGCAGGTGGCTCTGCCCTGCTGTGCATGTGGCTGCTGCTCTGCACCTGCTGGGTCAGTGCACACCCTGCTCAGGTATTTGTTCTTGTTTTTGTTTCTGTTTTTTTTGAGACGGAGTCTTGCTCTGTCTCCCAGGCTGAAGTGCAGTGGCACGATTTCTGCTCACTGCAAGCTCCGCCTCCCGGGTTCGCACCATTCTCCTGCCTCAGCCTCCCGAGTAGCTGGGACTACAGGCGCCCACCACCACGCCCAGCTAACTTTTTGTATTTTTAGTAGAGACAGGGTTTCACCATGTTAGCCAGGATGGTCTCGATCTCCTAACCTCGTGATCCACCTGCCTCGGCCTCCCAAAGTGCTGGGATTACAGGCGTGAGCCACCGTGCCCGACCCCTGCTTAGGTGTTATTCCAGTGCCTTCTGTGTCCCTCTCTCCTGCCATCCAGACACCAATGTGTCCACCAAAGATTCCGGTCTGGGAGGCACGTCTTTCCCACCACACTGGGGTGAAATACAAGTCCAGCTGTCTCTGCCTTATGGTCCAGGGCAAGTTTCCCCCTGTAATATACACAGACAGACTGTAAAAATTATAGATTATTTAATGTCTGCGAGGAAAAAATACAACGAGCACATCAAAGAATATCGGCGCTCCATTTAAAGCCGTGATAAAAGTTTCCTTTAAAAATAAGCACATTTAGATGAAACGGAGTTGATTTGATGAAGAAAATTTAAGCACTAGTTTTTTATTTCACTGAATCTCAGATGCCATTCACTGTAAGATTCATCATTATTTTATGAAGTGCTCAGAAAGAAAAAATGCTCCCAATAAACCAGAGCCCAATACTTTTGTATCATCAATTCTGAGCTGCATCCCAAATCGGAGATGTGAAAATCCGAGAAAGAAAAAAAAAATCACGTCTTAGACAATCGATGGACTTTGGTAAATAACAGTAGAGGTGAGATGTGGGCATGGTTTTTGAACCAGCAGAGAGGGCATGGGAGGGACGGGGATTTAGTGTGGCCACTTCGAGGGGCGGCCAGGATCTGTTGTGACCTTCCGAGTGCCCAGCACCTGCCTGGGAGCCAGGGGGCCTGGACGAGGCTGCCTTCGAGGTCCCACAGCAGAGGCCCAGAAGCAGGCATGCCATTTGCTCTTGCTTGTCCTGCAGGGAGAAACAGTAGAGAATTTTGGAGACACACACGGGTTCCATGAGCCTGTGTTACAAATGCCTTTTCAAGGGTCATAACCAACGAGGACCATTTAAATGAGAATTGACTGTGAAAGCTTCATAGTTCTGATTGACCTGTGAGTCCTTCCTAATCAAAGGCAGCTCAGGTTTTCCCATTCTTCCTCAAGTAAGTGACTGGTTCTGCTCCCCAGTCTTCTGTGTTAATGGATTTGCAGAATCTCCGTGGAAACTCCATGGTGTGTGCCTCTGGGCTTCTCTCTTGGGCTGCTGCTCTTAGTCTTGTGAGAAAGTGCTTCATGGGCTGGGCGCAGGGGCCTGTAATCCCAGCACTTTGGGAGGCCGAGGTGGGCGGATCACAAGGTCAAGAGATCGAGACCATCCTGGCCAACATGGTGAAACCCCGTTTCTACTGAAAATACAAAAATTGGCTGGGTGCAGTGGCTCACACCTGTAATCCCAGCACTTTGGGAGGACGAGGCAAGTGGATCACGAGGTCAGGAGTTCAAGACCAGCCTGGCCAAGATGGTGAAACCCCATCTCTACTAAAAATACAAAAAATTAGCTGGGCATGGTGGCACGCACCTGTAATCCCAGCTACTCCAGAGGCTGAGGCAGAAAATTGCTTAATCCTGGGAGGCGGAGGTGGCAGTGAGCCGAGATCGCGCCACTGCACTCCAGCTTGGGCGACAGAGCAAGACTCCGTCTCAAAAAAAAAAAAAGAAAACAAAAATTAGCTGGGCATGGTGGCATGTGCCTGTAGTCCCAGTTACTCGGGAGGCTGAGGCAGGAGAATGGGTTGAACCCGGGAGGTGGAGGCTGCAGTGAGCTGAGATCGCACCACTGCACTCCAGCCTGGTGACAGAGCGAGATTCTGTCTCAAAAAAAAAAAAACCAGTACTTCATTCCAGGCAAGGCCATTCCATGGGTCATTACCCAGTCAGAAGTGCCGCACAGGGGCCTCGATGTGTTGGGTCCTCTTCTCTCTGCAGTTTCACTCCCCTAGAATTGTTTCTTGGCTTCTACCAAACCTTCCCCCTAGCCCAGTCTCCCAGACACAAGACCCTGCACATCTGGCTTCCCTTGTGTTTTCAGTGTTGCCGTTTCTTGTTCGTTTCATGACAGTTTTTGCATCACTGGGAAACTCAAAGCATTCGGAAGATTTTTAGACAATCCTTTCAGCATGTCCCGCTTACATGGGCATTCTGTGTTCTCGCTATACACAGGCACCCCCCAGGTATAATCACAGTGATAGGTGATGTTTGTTGAGCTCAAGTCGGGCACTGTGCTCAGCACTTAACATCCGCTATCTCCAAATCCTCAGAACGGCTCTACCTTGTGGCTGCAGCTTTTCTTCTCCTCCCGCAGACAGAGAGATTGGGCTCAGAGCCACAAAGACATTTGCCCAAGGCCTGCGTTTTGAAAATAATGACGAGGGTTGGGATTTGAACCCAGGTGTTCTGAGTCCAGAGCCAAGGCCTAAACTGCTCCATGATGGGCAGAAAGCGTCTGGAGCACTTGTGTTTCTGAAAGTAAATGTGAAGGTGAACTTCAGAGATGGGGCTTGAGGAGGATTCACTAAAGCGTTTTATATTCTAGACAAACCGCTGGCTGCACAGCCGAGTAGGGGGCCTGTCTCTCCCCTGGATGGCAAAAGGTGGAGTCACTTTAGTCACAACCGTTTTCGCCTCTTTTCACAAATAGCAAGACCGTCCGTCACCAGCCTTGTCTCTTTTGTCTGTTGCGAAGGGCTGGTTCCTTCATCCTGGATTTTCCTGGCTTTGCAACCGAGGCAATGTGCTCTGAGATTAGAGCGAGAGGGGAGCAGCACTGTCTTGCTTTGCAGCTCCTTCCTTGGCTCTGCAGGCTGAGGGGCGGCCAGGATCTCAGCAGAAAAAGCTCCATCAGGCCTCCCCGGGTGTCAGGAAGAACAAGCCATGCAGACCCCCCACGTTTGGGCTTGCTGGGGGCTTGGGCACGTTCCAGACTTCGGATTCCTGCACATCAGTCAAGCAGCGGATCCAGGTGTGGATTGCCCAGCGGTGCTGGTGACATGAGGCGTCCAGCCCCCACCCAATGGCCTTATAGAGCTTCCTCTAGACATGACACCTGGCTCTGACTAAGCCATGGGGCCCCCGCCGGGGTCTTTCCCGCCACAACACCGTCAGTCTGCAGGCACCATCATCCGTGGTCCGGCTCCAGCCGGGATGAGCCTGAGTCTGGCTATAGGTTCCAGATCCCTCCTGGCTTCTCCCTCGGGCAGGACTCAGCAACCCTGCCCCCCAGTGCCACCCAGGTGGACCTCATGGCTGCCTGGGGAAGGCCCTCCTCACCACAAATGCCAGCAGAGCCTCGGGACCCTGGCGCTCGCCTGCCTCCCCTGATGGTATTGGCCAGAACCCTGGCTCGCCGAGACACTAACCCCAGGCCTGTCCGACAAGCCACATCCCGTACCCACATACGTCAAAAGAAGAACGTGGACCAAGAGAGGATGGCAGATCAGACTCACTGAGTCAGCTTATATCTCATCGGGGGCCAGAGCACTGGCATCTGATGAAGATTCCCAATTGGTGGGTGGTGAAGGTGGAGGTGGCAGAGGCGGAGGGGCCTATCTCTCCCTTCTCCTGAGTCCAGGCCTTGGGCGGAGTCCCCCTACACCGACTCTGCGCTGGGCCACGGGATTCGCTTCAGCCAGCGGGACAATAGCTGTCATGAGGCAAGCAGCTTCAAAAGCATTTGCACGTGGGAGGCACCCTGGTCCTCCTGCTGCCCTTGGAACCCAACCACCATGTGAACACACCTGGGCTGGCCTGTGGGGTGACAGTCACGCACGGCCCAGCATGGGAGAGGGGCCACCTGGGCCAGCCAACCCCCAGTGAGACTCAATGTGTGACCGCAGACATGCTGAGTCTAGTGCAGGCCAGCCCGGCCAAAGGACTGCCCCGCGGTACGGGAGCTGGTTTGGTGGTGGTGGTTTTGAGCCACTCGGTTTTGGAGTGGTTTGGTTCACAGCCGTGCATGAGAGAGGTACAGCAGGTGAGGAGTCCATGTTGATTGTGGAGCACCTATTACTTGATGCGTTCTTAGACAATAGTCAGAGTTGGGGTCCTGACTATCGGCTGGGCACTCCCACTCATCCCCCCTGCCCTGCTCCACTCCTCACCGTGGTCCTATGAGGTAAGCGCTGCCAACCTCAGAGCAGAGGGAGAAACTGAGGACTCTGCAGAGACCACATGTCCTGCCCAGCCTCACACAGGGAGCAAGCAGTGGGCTTCAGACCACTCCCATCCCCGTTCCTGCATTCTCTCTTCCTCCCAGCTGACTCTGCAGATACCACAACCGGCCTTGGCAGGAACGTGGTTCAGGAAGCACTCATCCTGGCAGCTGCTCTCTGCCTGCAGGCATTTCTGAGTGTCTTGGCCTCCTGAGGCTGGGGAAGGGAGGACGTGAACTCTCTGTTGAATGTGGGAGGATGCCGGGATAGCTTGAAAAGGACGACAACGCCACACGATGGAGTGTGGCCAAGGGCAGGGTGGTTGACAGAAGGCAACGACTGGGAAAAAGCAAAGCAGCTTCGTGCACCCCGTGGAGGTTACACCATCCAGCCCTCACTGCCCTGCACCTCCACACCCAGACTGGCCCCGCCCCACGGCCGCTGCTCCCACTCTCACCCGGAGGGGCTGCACTCCCGTCTGCTCCTCCCCGAGGCCCCTAGGAGACAACTGTGCCTGCGTGGGGGACTCTGAAAAATCCAGACTCTAACCCTTTCACTATTGCATCAGGATTCCCAACGGGGAACCACAAAAGCGGTAACTGGACCTCCACATGACTTTCAATATTTTGCTCATGGAGTCTGTGCGTGTCCCAGGGAAACAGTTGCAAACGCAGTGAAACATCAGGCATCCTTGAAGTATATTGTGATGACAAAATATTTTAAAATATGGTAAAGATAGTTAAAAAGTAAACAGTGATCTCACCTGGTAGGGGATCTGTGGGGTCTTCTGACCTCTTTCCACACCTCCTCACCCAGAACCAGGTCTGTGCCTGACATCTGCAAACTCTTGGCTGGGCATTGACCAGTCGGGCCAAGGCAAATAGAGGGTACAGCATTTACCCGGTATGGGCAGCTCCTCTAGTCACTCCACTGTGAACACAGTCGTGGCTCATCCTGTGTGCTGGGCAGAGCCCAGGGCCATCCCCAGCCATCCCCGTCACTCTAGGGAACACTCCTCGAACCCCTGGGACATCACATTGTCCAGAGCACCAGGCCACCCGGAGCACCACACCACCCGGAGCACCAGGCCACCCGGAGCACCACACCACCCGGAGCACCAGGCCACCCGGAGCACCACACCACCCGGAGCACCAGGCCACCCGGAGCACCACACCACCCGGAGCACCAGGCCACCCGGAGCACCACACCACCCGGAGCACCAGGCCACCCGGAGCACCACACCACCCGGAGCACCACACCCCCCGGAGCACCCTGCCACCCGGAGCACCAGGCCACCCAGAGCACCAGGCCACCTGGAGCACCAGGCCACCCGGAGAACCACACCACCCGGAGCACCAGGCCACCCGGAGAACCACACTACCTGGAGAACCAGGCCACCCGGAGCACCAGGCCACCCGGAGAACCACGCCACCCGGAGAACCAGGCCACCCGGAGCACCAGGCCACCCGGAGCACCACACCACCCGGAGCACCAGGCCACCCGGAGCACCAGGCCACTCGGAGAACCACACCACCCGGAGCACCACACCACCCGGAGCACCAGGCCACCCGGAGCACCACACCACCCGGAGCACCACACCACCCGGAGCACCACACCACCCGGAGCACCAGGCCACCCGGAGAACCACACCACCCGGAGCACCACGCCACCCGGAGCACCAGGCCACCCGGAGAACCACACCACCCGGAGCACCAGGCCACCTGGAGCACCAGGCCACTTGAGCACTCAGCCATGTGCTTGGGAATCCGATTTTATGGCAGAGCTATTTTTACATTTTTTAAAATGTTTTTAATGGTGGTGGTTTATGGGATTGTACCCTGAGGCTTTGTAGTGCTGGGCATGGTTTAAAAATTGATTAAATAAATAAAATTCTGACACACCTGAAATGGGGAGAAGGCCAGGCTGGCTCTGCCTCCTGTGGGATAGAATTTACAAAATCTGTACCTGGGTTTGTTTTTGCTCCAGGGAGAAGGAAGGCATTTTTAACAATGAAAAAAAAAGTTGCTCTCTAGAATCACTTTACATTGGACAGGACCCAGTTTGTGTGTTGATGACAGTCACTATGTGCACAAACTGCCATCCTCATCACCTCTCTGAGCAATGGAAGGTCAGTGCTCACACATGCCCCATTCCTCTACAGGAAAACCCAGTTTTGGAGGGTCACCCAAAAGTAGCCAAAATTGGCCCCAGGCACGGTGGCTCATGTCTGTAATTCCAGCACGTTGGGAGGCCGAGGTGGGCAGATCACTTGAGGTCAGGAGTTTAAGACCAGCCGGGCCAACATGGTGAAACTAAAAATACAAAAATTAGCCAGGCATGGTGGCATGCGCCTGTAATCCCAGCTACTCATGAGGCTAAGGCAGGAGAATCGCTTGAACTCAGGAGGTGGAGGTTGCAGTGAGCTGGGATCGCACCACTGCACTCCAGCCTGGATGACAGAGCGAGACTCCGTCTCAAAAAAAAAAAGCCAAAATTGCTCTGAAATAATTCGGAAGAAAATAATTTAGCTGAATATATGTTTGATAAAAGGCATAATATATGAAAACACTGAACCAGCTAGAAGATATGTTGGAGATTTTTAGGATAAGAGAAATTTGCTTTGATGGCTTTGAAAGATGGACCCGTTTTGTAGTAGGAAGGCGCTTTGTTCTGTTCTGAAGTGGAGATGACTGGGGTATTCCAGGTGCTGACTAGCAGCGCACGACCCTCCCGCACCAAGGCAGCCATTTCTTAGGGCTGACAGCAGGAGGGCAGGGCTGGGCAGGTGGACTCAGGACGGTGGGTGCCACTCACCAAGGGCAGCTCTTCTCAGGGATGCTCCTTGGAAAATGAGCTCTGCCAATCGGTCCATCCTGGAAGTACCACACCTTGATATCCTCCTCCAAGAGCTGCCTGGTGGAGATTAATCTATTGAAAGTTCTGAGAAGTCCAGCAGTTGAGAACTTATCTAACTGTTTTTTTTTTTAATGCATCATTTTCAAACTTGTTTAACCAAAGAACTTGATTTTTCCTTCTGGAAAATGCTGCATATGTGTAATTTTCAATATTTATTCTCTCCCCTAAAATGTGAAATCTCCATTTTCTATTTCTAGGTAATCCAACCAGCAAGACTTTTGCATGATCACTTGTTTATAACATCCCATAGGTTTGAGGACGTTTGTCTCTATGTTGCCATCGTCCTCTGAATCGAGGCATCAATACTTGCAGTGAAATTAATTAATTTTTTAAATCCTGGCTTCAGAGTCCACAGATGAAGTTCTTATGACTCATTTGAGGCCTGTAGGCCGCAAGTTGGCCAACCCAGGCAGGCTGCAGCCTCCTCGTGGGGTCTAACTAGATGGAGTATCTTCCTACATCTTGTATACGCTCCCTGTGTTAATCTGTTCTCACACTGCTAATAAAGACATACTTGAGACTGGGTAATTTATAAAGGAAAGAGATTTAATGGACTCACAGTTCCACATGGCTGGGGAGGCCTCACAATCATAGTGGAAGGCAAAGGAGAAGCAAAGTCACATCTTACATGGTGGCAGGCAAGAGAGCATGTGCGGAGAACCTCCCATTTATAAAACCATCAGATCTCATGAGACGTATTCACTACCACGAGAACAGAATGGGAGAAACAGCCCTCATGATTCAATTATCTCCCCCAGGCCCCACCTTGACAAGTGGGGATTATTACAATTCAAGGTGAGATTTGGGTGGGGCACAGCCAAACCCTATCACTCCCCTCCCTCGTGACTATGTCAGGAAGCTTGCAGTCACCTTACAAGTGACACCAGACTTTGCACAGCTCAGAGCCAAGTGGGAAGGGACATTCCCTGGAGTGTCCAACCTGGAGAATGGCAGGACCGCCCCCCTTCCCCCGCCCCCGCTCCTCCCTCCCCTCCCCGCTCCTCCTTCATATCATTCCTGAGACGGCAGCCTCCCCCTTTTGTGTTGTCAGCCTCAGTTGTTTTCTTTGTCAGCACCCACTTACCAAGCTTAAGCTCTAATTACACTTATCTGTGCTGAAAATTGGCTATTACCACCATATAAACTCCTAATAGTAAGAAATACTTCCTTAGCAAACTGCAGGGACCACTTTCCTTGTTATCGCAACAGAACAGACAGTGGACAGTTGCTTCTCCAGGCTGAACCCCCTTGTTTCCTTTGCTTCTGGCGGCTGCAGGGGTGAGCAAGGTGGTGACCGTGGAAGTGAGAGGGAACTGGCAGCGCTGGCTGAAGGTGCGGGACCTCACCAAGGGAGTGACCTATTTCTTCCGTGTCCAAGCGCGGACCATCACCTACGGGCCCGAGCTCCAAGCCAATATCACAGCCGGGCCAGCCGAGGGTAAGTGGAACTCCAGGGGCAGACAATGTCAATTGCAACTTTAGCCTCCCGCCTCCTGCTTCACTGAGCTGAGATCCATCTACATGGTCAACAAGGTGATGTTGGCGGCCAAGAGCTGGCATCAACTCGGGGATGTCTGGGCAACATGGACGTCTTCAAAAGCACGCGTCAACATGGAGTTTGCAGGTGGACTTGTTACATCCATGGGCACATTGTTAAATATTAAGCATGTCAAGTTTTAGTTGTTTTTTTTTTTTTTTGAGAAATCTTAAGAGGAAAATAACTGAATTTGGCATTTGAAATAAATCAGAAAATTTTAAAGTTTTCCAGGTCATGGGGAAGAAGCATGTACCTTCCCACTTATCCAACTGTTCTGCCCTTTGTTTAAAGACAGGAAGGCGTGGGCTGCAGAACCGGCATTCAGGGAGTGCTGCTTAGTCCCGGGCACAGTGTGGGGTGCCCTGCACCTGCCAGCTCTTTCAGGCCCTCTTCAGGTTTTTTTGTTGTTGTTTGTTTTTTGAGACAGGGTCTCACTCTGTCACCCAAGCTGGAGTGCAGCAGCATGATCATAGCTCACTGCAGCCTCAACCTCCCCCGGCTGAAGCGATACCCCCACCCCCCACCCCGCCTCACCCTCCTGAGTAGCTGGGCTACAGGTGCAAGCCACCACACCTGGCTACTTTTTTTTGTATTTTGTAGAGACAAGTTTTTGCAATGTTGCCCAAACTCCTGGGCTCAAGCGATCCACCTATCTCAGCCTCCCAAAGTGGCTTTCAGGCGTGAGCCACCACGCCCGGCCTTGCCTCCCTGTTATTAAGATGAAAAACCCTGGGTGCGTGAGGTTAAGTAACCTGCCCAGACACTCTGCAGCCTCGACCGGTCTGACCCCCCACTGTGAAATCTCACGGGGTGGGATGTGAGCCCCGCAGGGCTGATGCCTCACCTCTCTTTTCTTCTTTATCCCGCAGGATCCCCGGGCTCGCCTAGAGATGTCCTGGTCACCAAGTCCGCCTCTGAACTGACGCTGCAGTGGACTGAGGGACACTCTGGCGACACACCTACCACGGGCTATGTGATCGAGGCCCGGCCCTCAGGTAGGGTGGCAGGCCCCACAAACGGGGTCTCAGCCCAGCGGACGGCAGTGCTTCTAAGACTGTGTCGGGGGCTTCCATCACTTTCTCTTTCAGCATTTTCCCCCCACAAAGCTGGGACCAAGAGGGCGGTTTTGGTGAAAGAAGACATCCATGGCTCACTCAGCTCCTCCCAGTCTTCATAGTCACAACTGTGCGGTTCACCTTAAGGGCATACGCTTTGGGATGTTTTAGCCCCAGGACACTTACTTAGGATGATAATGGTTATTCCTAGAAACAGGTGAATGAGAACTTAGGGACACTAAAAGGCATTTTCAAACTCATCCATGAATGTTTTCAGGGACTCATGTCAGGGTTCTAAATGTTTGCTGCCGAGATGGAAAACGTCAGGCTTGTTTCTGATAATACGAAGATTCTTATTAATAGTGAAACCGACACATCGTTTGCTTCATTTTTTAGGCTTCCGAAAATGAGGTCTAAGATCCATTTCCAGCCTTATTCACCAGAATAATTTTTTTCACCCTTCCTTCCATTTGCCTTTAATAACTAAGGATGGGCATTATTGGGAAATGAGTTTCTGATCGGGTGCGTCGGATATGACTGCTTGGAGCTAGTGGGTATCACCTAACACAGAAAGCACGGAACAGCTCCAATATGACCTTCAGATGGTTGCACAGTTAATCATGAACATCTGAGCATGAAAATATGTGATGTGTCAGGGACGCTATTCAGGAAGCAAACCATCAAACCCCACCTGCCAATCTGGCAGGACCACGGTGCTAGGAACTAGTTTAGTCTAATACTTAAACAGGCTATTAGACCAAGAGGAAAGACCCCAAAGCTACATCTGTCACTGTGTCAGGACACTCGTTCCCTCCTCCCCCACCAAATTGCTTTTGAAAGATTATTAGTTACAAGTGCTTTCTAGAAACTTCTTTATTTTATTTTTTTGAGACAGAGTCTCTTTCTGTCACCCAGCCTGGAGTGCAGTGGTGCAATCTCAGCTCCCTGCAATCTCTGCCTCCCGGGTTCAAGCAATTCTCCTGCCTCAGCCTCCCGAGTAGCTGGGATTACAGGCACCCGCCATCACGCCCGGCTAATTTTTATATTTTTAGTAGAGAGGGGGTTTCACCATGTTGGCCAGGCTGGTCTCAAACTCCTGACCTCAAGTGATCTACCCTCCTCGGCCTCCCAAAGTGACAGGATTACAGGCCTGAGCCACGGTGCCCAGCCGCCTTCTAGAAACTTCTAAGGAGAAACCTAGTGCAGAAGCGTGAAAAAGCCAAAGGCAACATAAACATTTCTTTGGCTCAATAACTCAGAAATCCAGACGTGCTCGCCTGGGGGACCCTGAGAGTATCTTTTGAGCAGGGCGTCTGTCCTGTTGTGGAAACAGAGGGTCCTGAGTTGGTAAAGGATGTGAGTTTGGCAGGGGCCTCCTGTGGTCACTGCCTGTGAAAGCCCATGGCCCCTCACACAGCCAGCTGGCCCTTTGCTAATGACTTTGATTCAAGAGCACTTTCAGAGACTGACAGGAGCTGAGACGTGTGGGTTCTGGGGCCAAATTGAGGCTTTGTGGAGGCCAAGGGGGAGGGAGCTGGTGGCAGGGAGCAGCCCAGACTTAAGAAACCACTTCAGACACTTTCCTCCCCATATCCAGGGAGAGCACCGATTTCTTCCTCAACTCTTCCAGCCTGGGTGACAGAGCAAGGCTCCGTCTCAAAAAAAAAAAAAAAAGTTTCTAGAAGGCACTTGTAACTAATAATCTTTCAAAAGCAGGTTGGTGGGGGAGGAGGGTACGAGTGTCCTGACACAGTGACAGATATAACAAATAGGATCCAGGCGTTCACAAATAGAATTCAGGAGATCCGTGAGCTTGGATGGGGAAAATACACATTTTATTTTCACTGACCTCTAACTAGAATTTGGCATTTCCTGTAATTATGGATGCAGGCACATTCGTTATCCAGGGCTGCCTTAGCAAAGTCCCACAAACTAGGCAGCCTCCACAACAGACATGGGTTGTCTCACAGTTCTGGAGGCCGGAAGCCCACAGTCAAGGTGGCAGCAGGGCAGGCTCCTCCTGAGGCTGTGAGGGAGGATCTGTTTCCTGTAACCTCTCCCCCACTTCTGGTGATTACAGGCCATCCTGGGTGATCTGGGGCTGACAGGTGCTTCACCCATCTCTGCCTTCATCTTCCCATGGTGATCTCCCTGTATGTGTGTCTGCATCTCAGTTTTATCTTTTATGAGGACGCCAGTCATACTAGACTGGGGACCCACTCTACTCCGGCAGGACTTCATCCTAACTAATTACATCTGCAACTACCCTATTTCCAAATAAGCTCATTGGGAGGTATTGGGGGTTCGGACTTCAACGTATGAATTTGCAGTGGGGGGCAGAGACATAATTCAATGCATAATATTAGCTAAGAAACCACATAACTCATAGTAGGCCCTGTGACACTTCCAGGAGTACTTTCGTATGACTTCCCCGCCATTGCAGATATTTCACAATGCTGTTTAGATGTGTCCTTACGTTGAAATCACAGTCATTTGTAGACTCTCTGCTGGACCTTGTTGGCTAATGAGTCCATGAAGCGTAGACTTTTGAGTTGTGCTGGGATAACGGTGGCCACAGGTCACCTAAACCCAACTCTTCATACGTCTTCCAAGGAACCACGTCGCTAAACAAGTTAGTGCAAAGAAAACCACCCATAATCCATGCCTCCAGCATTACCTGGAGACACGAGTTCCCAGGAACCTGCAGGTGCCTCCAGGTGATCGTAGGCATTACCAGTTCTGTGACTCCGTTCTCACATTGCCATAAAGAAATGTCTGAGACTGAGTAATTTATAAAGAAAAAAAGTTTAGTTGGCTCACAGTTCTGCAGGCTGTACAGGAAGCATGGTGGCTTTGCTTCTGGGGAGGCCCCAGGAAATCATGGGGAGACCCCAGGAAGCTTCCAATCATGGCAGAAAGCCAACAGGGAGCCGGCACGCCACATGGCTGGGGCAGGAGGAAGAGAGTGAGTGGGGAGGTGCCACACGTTTTTAAACAACCAGGTCTCATGAGAACTCACTCCCTATTGTAAGAACAGCACCAAAGGGGTGGTCCTAAAACCATTCATGAGAAACCCACTGCTGTGATCCAAACACCTCCCACCAGGCCCCTCCCCCAACACCGGGGACGATAATTCAACCTGAGATTTGGGTGGGGACACAGAGCCAAACAATATCACCAGTAGAATTGGTTTCCTTTTCAATTTTAGTTTATATATCTACAACCATTCTGAGAAAGTGTCCTTGAGCCAACAGATCGCCACAGGGACCCATGGTGCCGAGAGCAGATTAAAAAGCCTGTAATCCCAGCACTTTGGGAGGCCGAGGTGGGCGGATCACTTGAGGTCAGGAGTTTAAGACCAGCCTGACCAACATGGTGAAACCCAGTCTGTACTACAAATAGAAAAAAATTAGCTGGGTGTGGTGGCATGCACCTATAGTCCCAGCTACTCGGGAAGCTGAGGCAGGAGAATTGCTTGAACCCAGAAGGCAGAGGTTGCAGTGAGCTGAGATGACGCCACTGCACTCTAGCCTGGGCAACAGAGTGAGACTCTGTCTCAAAAAAAAAAAAAAAAAAAAAAAAAAAAAAAAAAAGACACCCGCACTAGAAAACTACAGAAGGGCCTGGCTACGAAACTTCCTCCTCCCTGAACGCCTGCCTCCCTGACTACAGATTAAGGATCCCAGCAGATGGGTGGCTGTCACAGGGTCACAGAAGGAGGCATTCTGGATCTCGACCGCATCCCTGCCCATGTCCCAGTTGTGAGACTGCAGCACAGTTTTGCAGGATGTTACCACTGGGGGACACTGGGTAAAGGATACACAGACTTGCTCTCCGTTGTTTCTTACAACCGCTTGGGACTCTTCAACTACCTCAAAATGATATGTTTAGCGTCAAGTAATCATTGAAAAAGCCACGGTGTCCGTCCTCCCCAGCCTGCTCGGACAAGCACACCAATGTGTCTTTGAGCACTCTTGTGTGGGAGAGCGGCCTGTGGGATGGGGCGGTACCAGCCAGACACGGGTGCCTGGGCTCAGCCTCTTAACGCTGTGAACACATCTCAGCATTTTCCAGGCAGCGATAAGGCATTGGTTCTCAGGCTTGCCGAGAGAGCCCTTGACTTTCTCCTCAGGTTCTCATATGCTGCTCCGCCGGCTGCACGAAGGGAACAGGACGCCTGTTGGTTACTGGTGCGGCCCAGGGAGCCTGGCAGGCCGTGCGGATTAGAAGTAATTGGCGTGTCGGCGAGGGCTTCACACTGGGCCCACGCCTCAGAGTGGCTTGCCTAACATGGAGAAGCTTCTGAAGTCAGCTGAGTCTGAGCTCAGCAGGGTTGGGGCCAGTGTGTGGAAACTGACCCACAGGGGACCAAGATGTGACAACAGACTTATCAAGAAGACCCCAGCTTTTTCGGCGAGGGCTGAAGATCCTGCACTTAATTCTGCTTGGCTGCTCAACATTCAAAAGCAGGTCGCCAACGATCTCCCCTTTCGGATCATGAAGGGAACCCAAGCAGGCCGCGGGACCCGTGTTCTTTCATGGGAAGTTGAGACGCCCCCTCCCTTCAATGATTAAGGCCAGCAGCAGCTCAGGCAAATGAAACGCTTTATGGATTGTCAATATTTAAGCACCTTGCTGGTACCTGAGGGCTTTGGATCTCAGCTGTCATCCATTACAGGCCTCATTACACAAAACATTAAATGCTGTATCATCTCATTTTCCCACCGAAGCTCCCTGGCAAGACGTTCTCCAGGTGGGGTGTGGTTTGCTCCAGGTGCAATGAATGGGCCCCGTTTTGTATTGGGAGGGGCCACACAGGGGCCCTCACCGCTGGGTATCTGGGAGACGGGCACTCGGTGCCAGGCAGCCCCTCTGGCCCACGTGGTCGGCTCGGCCTGATGTCTCTCTATCCAGCTGAGTCTCTACCTTGCCCCTGGGAGACAAGACACTCATCAGCTTTGTTGCTGCTTTGCAGAGGGTGGCCAGCGGGCCTGGGCAGCCCGGGCAGATGGTAGTGGAGCGTGCTGCCCTCCCATCCCCATCCTTCCTTACACCCCCCGCACATTCTACTGCATAGCCCCTGTTGCTGTGGCCATGTGGAGACGCAGAACTGAGCAGCAGCTAATGAAATTAGCACCAGGCTAGAACACAGATCCCCTCTTATTCCTGGAGAGGGCGCTCCATGAGTGTGAGCCCAAGGACACCGCCACCAGCTTCCACCAGCATGGCCTGGCCCACACGTTCCTTTCTCTGGCTGTGCGTAAGTTTCCTCCAAATTGGTGTTGCAAAACTCCCTGGAAGGCACTGGAAACTATGCACTGGACATATGCAGATGATCTATTTACACAGATTATTCTAAGGCATTTTACTGGGTAGATCATGAAGCCTAATTTACATATTTACACAATAGACTGGAATGACGCTAAAGGAACTATAAATATATTTTCCTCTCCAAAGCAGCCATGAAATACATATTTAGAATGTGCCCAATGCAGGCAGATATTGTATTGCATTTTTTTTTTTTTTCTTAAATAATGTGTGTAGCCCAGAGACGAGGGCAGGTGGCTGGAGGACAGGTCCCGTGCCTGATGGGGACACCCCCCAGCCGGAGGCCTGGACTGCTGTCCACTCGTAGTCCCCTGGGGGCTTTCCAGTTCCCTCCCCATTGATTTTGTTCAATTTCAGTCTTTGGCAACGGGAGTTTTCAAGTGAGTAAGGAAGAAAATCAGTATTTCTCTGAAGGTTTGACATCCATAGAAGTTCCAAGTCAGCAGGTTCAGCAAGAGGGGGCTGTTGCCATGGCTCTGATGGTGCCCGGTCCCCTCATGTGCTGCTTGTCTTTCTCATAAGCTGCTTGTCTTTCTCATAAGCGTGTTTCTGACAGCTTGTCAGCCCGGCTTCCCACCCCTTCCTGGGATCAGCCTGCAACACGGGCTTTCTTCGTCATCTTAACATGCAATGCATTTTGCCTCCTGCCTTGAATGAGGATCCGATGGAAGGTAACTGTCTTTTTTTTAAATCAGATGTATTTAGCCTCATGTTTAAGCGCCACCAGCTTCAGTAAAATTTCTAACCTGGATTGGCCATTCATACAAAAAGAAATGGCAGTATTTAAGAAATAAACAACTGACAGGCTTGCATTTGCTCTGAGCTGCAGACTGACAGTCAAGCGGTTGGTTGTGTGAGTGCGTGGAACCAGAAATCTCAGGCAGTGAATGACGGTTTCATTCAGCATGGAGACCCTGTTTAATTGTCCATGAAATCAAACTTTTGTATTGGCATGACGTCGGCCCTAATACCTGCAGCACGCAGCTCCGTTCTGGGCGTTGGAGGGATAAATTGAGTGCAGACCCTTCGACGTGCTGCGCTGGGCTCCAGCTCAATTCAGAAAAGAGGTGATCATGTTTCTGGGTGTATTAGGACATTGTCTGGGAACAGATGTGCCTCCTACCGCTTGGGCGGGGGGAGATGCTGGCACCAGAAGCTAACAGCTGACTCATTCTGTCGGCTGGAGACAAGCATGGATGGATAGCAGAACCTATTTATACAGAAAAGATTTCTTTTTTCAAGGATCTTCAATATTAGCCACTTACTTCCCTTGTTTAAGTGGACAAATCACGCCGTAAAAAATGAAGATGCATAGTTCATATTCTTTAAAGAAAAGCCGCCTCAATGGGAAGCTGAACTGGCTCTTGCTTTTTCCCACTCAGCCTTCCTTCTGAGGTGGACAGGATTGGAGGTTGTGGTGACAGCGTGGCTTCTTCAGGAATATTTTGCAAAGTCTCTTTCTCAGTGGCTTCCCACTTTCTTAGTGGTATTTCTCCAATGGCGTTTCAGTAACAAGAGTCCAGGAAGGTGCTCTTTCGGGCAGCCAGGAATGAAAGACCAAGCACGATAGACAGGTGTGATTTGCAGTCACATCACCATGAGGGCACCTCCGCCCTCCACAGACATGAAGTGGCAGGTCCAGCCCAGAGGTGGACATTACCCACAGGAAGTTCAAACCCTGGGCCTCAGCAGGGGACTTGATGCCTGCATCAGTCATTTTGGGGGATCAGTGATCTGGGGATGTGGCTTTTTAGGGGACATGACTGTCCTCTTCCAGCCGGGCATTGCTTTTCTCTTTTCTTTTTGAAACCGAGTCTCACTCTGTTGCCCAGGCTGGAGTGCAGTGGTGCAATCTCGGCTCACTGCAACCTTCACCTCCCGGGATCAAGCGATTCTCCTGCCTCAGTCTCCTGAGTAGCTGGGATTACAGGAGCGTGCCATCATACCCAGCTAATTTTTGTATTTTTAGTAGAGACGGGGTTTCACCATGTTGATCAGGCTGGTCTTGAACTCGTGACCTCGTGATCTGTCTACCTCGGTCTCCCAAAGTGCTGAGATTACAGGCGGGAGCCACTGCACCCGGCCCTTGCTTTTCCTACAACGGCAACACAGCTCGTTCACTGGGGAAGAGAAACCAGGCTGGCTCTTCCGGACATCCCAGAGAGCTGACCCTAGCCTGGGTGATTGACAAGTGGCTGACTGTGTGCCCAGAATTGCCTTTAAAAAGGATGAGGCCCTGCTGTCCTCTCGAGTGTTGACTGAGATGGAAATCCAGGCACTGGGGACTGTCCAGAACATGGAAAAATTGGTTGCATAAATCTCATTTTTGCTAATAGTTCTGTAATGTTATTTTCCCCCTAATTTGTAGAGATACTTTTCTCCATCATTGATTTATTGAGATATTTAACAGCATAATACAAATGAGAAAAACAATCCACAGTTGAGAAATAGAGTGGACGCCTTACCAGCTGCCAAATTTTTTTCTTACCCACTCGTGATCGTGGTGTAAATATTAGTACGAGATAAGTAGCCCGGTGAATTATAGCTAGAGTGGAAAATATGCTAATTTGGGAAAGGCAGAAGTAAGCAGAATAAAAATGGGAACATTTTCTTCTGTTAATTCAGAAGGAAATTATCTCGGTATGACATTCCCCCTCACCCAACATTTTTGAGTGTAAATGGATTGCTAAATAAATCGTTCTGCGTTAAGATTCTGTATCAATATTTTAAAATGTTATTATGAAAAATGCACACAATTCCTGGAGCTATGACAGAGTGCTTAAAATAAAATGTGGCCTTTAGGTGATGGTACAGGAAGGGAGAATCATTTTTTTTTTCCTCAGGAGCAGGAAAGCATTACAGAAACATTAATGCAAAAGACATTCAGAGAATCCACTCCGGAGGTGTTCAGACCTTCTCAGAACAGTCTGAAGAAATCCTTCACTTTCTTAGTCCCTTAATTTCAATGGCTTTAAGCAACACCCAGTTTATAAGAGTCTGTATTTGGTCTTTAGTGTCTATTACAACATAAAATTGTCTATCTTTTTAGAGGAAAAATACAATTCATTCAATATATAAAGCCCTTAAAATAGAGACTTGCTCACAGTAAGCAGTAAATAAAATAGTGGTGGTTATTATTTATTGAAAGCCTGCTGTACTAGGCCCTGAGAAAGCCCATGGGATACAAAGAGGAATGCAGGGGTTGGGGGTGGGACAGATGGGTGGATGGGTGGAAGGAAGAATGGATGGATAATGGATGGATGGATGGATGGAAGGAGGGGGACCCAGAAGGAAGGAAGGAAGGAAGGAAGGAAGGAAGGAAGGAAGGAAGGGTGGGCAGGCAGATGGATGGGAGGTGGATGAGTGGGTGGCTGGTGGGTGAGTGGATGGATAGATGAATGGAAGGAAGGAAGGAAGGGTGGGTGGGTGGGTGGATTGATGGGTAGGTAGATGAGTAGATGTGTGGATGGATGGACGAATGGATAGATGGATAGGTGGATGGGTGAGTGGGTGGATGAATGGATGAATGGATGGGTGGATGGATGAATGAATTGATGAAGGAAGGATGAATGGATGGATGGATGAATGAATGGATGGATGCCTGGATGGATAGATGGATGGATGGCTAGAGGGAAGGGAAGGGAGGGCAGGGGAGGGAAGGGGAGGAAAGGGAAGGGAAGGGAGGGCACAGGAGGAGAGGGAAGGGGAGTGGAGGGCAGGGGGAAGGAAGGAGGGAGGGAAGGAAGGAAAGAAGGTTGGTTACATGGATGAATGGAAGGAAGGAAGGAAAAATGGATGGATGGATAGAAGGAAGGATGAATGGATGGATAATGAATGGATGGATGGATGATTACTTAGGAAGATGGATCATGGAAAGATGGACAGAAGGATGGATGGATAGATGATAGCTGGAGGGAAGGAAGGAAGAATGGAATGGATGGATGGTTACATGGATGGATGGGTGGATGGATGATGCTAAGCCTGATGGTGTGAACAGCCAGGTAAATGTGCTGATGTGATTTAGAAGCCCATTGGTGGAAGCAGTCATCCCTTCCTGGAACGTGGGGTGGGGTCAAGGTTGACCTCAAAAAGATGAGTCTGAGGGGGCAAAAGGACTCTTGATTTTCCTCCATCCCCTGTCCACAGGCTGTGCGTAAGTCATTAGAACAGCAATCTCATCTGATTCCCTGATGGATGGCACAGGGTCTGATCAAAGAGTAGACCGCATTTGTGGATGAATAAGGGAGTGAGGCAGGGGAGGAGGGGGCAACAGTTCTCCAGGTCCAGAGGAGGCCTGAACAGAGTAAATGCACAAGCCTTCCCTGACCATTCTTAAGCCAAACTCACATACGACAATATAAACCACATACAACCAGCATAAACTACATACAGCCAGCAATCTGTGTGTGAACCTCAGCATCCTAGGAGAAAGAAGGTAGGCTTAGGCTCTGGCTTGCCATTCTGACATTATTAGTGGTGATGAGTGTCTTGGTGAGAAATGGCTGTAAATGAGAATATTTAGAAATAATGGCCAGGCATAGTGGCTCATGCCTATAATTCCAGCACTTTGAGAGGCCAAGGCAGGCAGATGGCTTGAGCTCGGCAGTTCGAGCCCAGCCTGGGCAACACAGGGAGACCCTGTCACTACAAAAAAAAAAAAAAATTAACAACTTAGCCAGGCGTGGTGGCGCATGCCTGTAGACCCAGCTATCCAGGAGACTGAGGCAGGAGGATAACTTGAGTCCAGTAGTTTGAGGCTGCAGTGAGCTATGATTGCACCACTGCACTCCAGCCTGTGTGGACAGAGGAGGGCCCGGTCTCAAAAAAAAAAAAGAAAGGAAGAAGAAAGAAAGAGCAAGAGAGAAAGCAATCAGAGAGGGAGGGAGGGAGGGAAGATCAGTATTATACTACCTTTCTGCCGGTGGAGAGATTTGTACCTTTAAAATCTCATTCACGTCTATTCCTCATTAACCTGTGACTGTAAGGACTTAGTCGGTGCACATTCTAAATCCTCTGCAAATACAGACAGATACAATAGCAATTTTCTGCCTATTTACTGTTGGGCTAATCCATCTGAGTGTACCTGGTGATTCCGGGTGGGTGATAAGGTTGGTTTCCGGAGCAGTCTCAGTGCCCATAAAGTAGTCAGCACGGGTACACACATATCCAAATGGGTTTTCCCTCACCAGATTCCCTGCTTTGTAAAAGATCTCATAGCTGCACCTAGAAAAGCAAATACAGTTCATGAAGGATTGCTACTTCAAATGAACATTTTGGCCTCTGAGCCTACTTTTTTTTTTTTTTTTTTTTTAACCAAACAGCCTCCTTAGAATTGAATTTATACAAACACACGTACAGCACTTACTATGTGTGAGGCACTGTCCTAAGCACTTTATAAATATTAACTTACTTAATCCTCAAAGCAAATCTATGATGAAGATGCCTTTGTTATCACCATTCTACAGACAAGGGTCAGAGAGGTTCCGTTCTTTGTCTAAAGCCACACAGCTAATTGAATTGGTGGGGCCAGGCTTTGCAAAGAGGCTGTCTAGCTCCAGGCTCCAGCACCCCTTTCAGCCCTGATGCTATAGTGTCATAAGTTTTTTTCTTTCTTTTTTTTTTTCCTTTTTTCTTTTTTTCTTTTCTTTTCTTTTCTTTCTTTTTTTTTTTTTTTTGTTATAATGTGAAGTCATAAAAATTGCAAAGTTCTTTGTTTGTTTTTTGAGATAGAGTCTCACTCTGTTACCCAGGCTGTAGTGCAATGGCACAATCTCAGCTCAGCTCACTGCAACCTCAACCTCCCAGGCTCAAGCAATCCTCCTGCTTCAGCCTCTTGAGTAGTAGTAGGGACCACAGGTGCATGCCACCATGCCTGGCTAATTTTTAAAATTGTGCATATATATGTTTCCCTGTGTTGCCCAGGCTGGTCTCCAGCTCTGGGCTCAAGCAGTCCTGTAACCGCAGCCTCTCAAAGTACTGGGATAACAGGCATGAGCCACCATGCCTGGCTCATCGTGATTCTTTACAACAAATCTCACTGATCACATTTCTTTTGCTCTGTGGCTGGAGAGATGCCTCAGAACCCAAGTCATGTGCCTCTAACATCCTCTCTATGTCTGATTTTAATTTTAAATTTATTAATGGCTTTAATTTTGAGTTTATTCATGTTTTCTTATATGTGAGGTTTATAATAAATCATACATACATATATTTACTGTGGGGAGATATGCATAACCTAACGTTTCCCACTATGACCATTTCAAGTGTCCAGTTCAGTAGCATTGAGCACGTTGTTCTACAATCATCACACCATTCATCTCCAGAACGCTCTTCGACTTGCGAAACTGAGACTCCGTCCCCATTCAGCACTCACTCCGCATCCAGTGCCCCTGATGCCTCATCCAGGGCTGCTGCAAGCCGACCCACCAGGCAGGTGCATGGGGCTCGCATCTGGGACTTCGCACTTCTAACCTCTGCTCTCGCCTCCCCATCCCTCTTGCAGATGAAGGCTTATGGGACATGTTTGTGAAGGACATCCCGCGGAGCGCCACATCCTACACCCTCAGCCTGGATAAGCTCCGGCAAGGAGTGACTTACGAGTTCCGGGTGGTGGCTGTGAATGAGGCGGGCTACGGGGAGCCCAGCAACCCCTCCACGGCTGTGTCAGGTAGGCCCTCCCAGGGAGGTCTGTCTTCTTCTGGAGGACTAGAGGGAGAAATGGGGTCGAGGGGGACCCAGGGAGGTCTGTCTTCTCCTGAAGGGTGGGAGGGAGAAATGGGGTCGAGGGGGACCCAGGGAGGTCTGTCTTCTCCTGAAGGATGGGAGGGAGAAATGGGGTCGAGGGGGACCCTGGGAGGTCTGTCTTCTCCTGAAGGACGGGAGAGAGAAATGAAGTCAAGCGGGACGAAAGGGACACACATCTGCTGCTGTAGGTGTCTCCAGCTTAGTTGAGGTTCTGCCC
Organism: Homo sapiens; assembly: GCF_000001405.40. Lineage (NCBI taxonomy): Eukaryota > Metazoa > Chordata > Mammalia > Primates > Hominidae > Homo > Homo sapiens. The sequence continues at coordinate 4,233,714 of NC_000007.14, forward strand.
AGGGAACATGTGGGTGGGGAGAGCAGTGCCAGTCTCCGGGTGCCTCCCCAGTGCCACCCATCCTCCTGGGCTGCTCCCTGCTTCCCTCTGGCAGGACCCCAGGCCCCAGAGCCTCCCCCAGCACCACCAGCAAGGCCCCTTATGGGCTTTGTGTCCACGCTGTGCACCGGCAATTCCTAATGTGTTTCCTCATAGTTTTAAAAATCAGAGACACATGGAAGTGTCAGAGGTGTGAGCATGAGCCACGTGGTGTCCCCTCCGCAACAAAATCATTCGCAAGGAAAGCAGAGCCCCGATCCCCTGTGTTAGCTGACGCATCCTTGCCGAGGAGCATGTGTGATTTTGGAGGGGCAAGAACCACCCCGGCAGCTATGGGGGAGCCCACGAGTGCCTGACAAGAGGTCACGTCTTCCTGGGACCTCCCAGAAAGCCAGCGGAGGGGCCGGGGATAGTAGCTGCTCTGGGCTCAAGGTGAGCAGTATTGCCGTCCCTGAGGATGGCGTGCAGGTGAAGGTACTGCCGATCCCAGGCTGGGCATTTCTTCACGTGCACACCTTCGCTGTGAGGTACCGCAGGCTCCAGAGGCCACCCTGGGTCCAGGTCCAGGTCTGCTCTCAGGGGAGTGGCAGAGAAGGCCAGGGCAGGGCTTCCTCCCCGAGAGCACCCGTGTTAGATGACAGACATGTCTGCAGTCAGCAGTCATGGCAGGGGTTATGACACACAGGGTGGGGGCTGTGACCTCGCCTGGGAATCAGGAAGGTGCCCAAAGCCTACCACAGGGGAAGGGAAACCTGCAGGAGGCAGAAGGTGGCGGAGAAAAAGTCCTGGTCACTGAAGAGCCGTGGGTGGGGGAGCTGGAGAGGGAGGGCCGGCAAAGCTGGTCCCTGGTTGTGGCCCCCCAGCCCCCCATGTGCCTGTGAGGGACTCAACCCTGGCCGCACCTTAGGGTTGCTTGAGAAAGTTAAACACACACCCTCGCTGGCCCCTCACCCCAGACAGTGACTTCCGTGGCTCCAGGCGTGACTTTCTTTACCCCGCGATGATTCTATCGTGCAGACCGGCTGCAAGCCAGGGCGCTGGGGGGTTCAGAGAGGGATGGGCTGTGTTTGAGGAGAGGGGATCTCAGCAGCATGAAGGGCAGGGAGGCCTCGGCGTTGGGGCAGCAGAGCCTCAGCCAGAAGCCCCAGGTAGGGCCAGCTCTGTTGGTCCTCTTCCTGGGATTAGGAAGAAGCTGTTCCTCTCCTCTGCGTTAGAGCTGCTTGAGCTACTGACTGCACTTGTTGAAATTGAACTTAACCTTCGTCCTTTATGTGCTATGAGTTTGGAGGAACGACCCTGTGCTCGTCTGTGGGTGAGCGTGGGCCCTAAGCCTGGTACCCTGGCCTGGGAACATCCTTGAATTCCGGGGTTGCTCTGTGAGAGGGGCTGTGAGGAAGGGACCCAGAGGACCACCTGATTTTATTTTTTTTGAGATGGAGTCTCACTCTGTTGCCCAGGCTGGAGTGCAGTGGCGTGATCTTAGCTCACTGCAACCTCCGTCTCCCGGGTTCAAGGGATTCTCCTGCCTCAGCTCGCAAGCAGCTGAGATTACAAGCATGTGCCACCACGCCCGGCTAATTTTTGTATTTTTAGTAGATACAGGGTTTCACCCTGTTGGCCAGGCTGGTCTCGAACTCCTGACCTCAAGTGATCCGCCTGCCTTGGCCTCCCAAAGTGCTGGGATTATAGGAGTGAGTCACGGCGCCCAGCTGACCACTTGATTTTTTAATGAGTAAGATTTAGAAAAAGCACAGATTTCTCATTTCCCTAATTTTAATTATGAATATTTTAAATGTACCCCAAAGTATAGAGAATGAGGAACCCTCAGCACCCCTCATCCTAATTCAGAGATCCAAGATTTACTGCCTGAGTTTTATCTGTGGAAAATTGGTACAGAGCAATTACACATGCACAGAAAGCCGGTTCCTCATGCGGAACGTGCACTTTGACCCCACTTCCCAGGGCCTGTGGTTCAGGCCTCTCTGAAACTCCATCAGACGCAGAGCTGGCCTTGCCATGAGCTGGACCGCACTGAGCTCATCAGTCCTTCAGGGAAGCCAGCAACCATCACCTGCTGGCGTCAGGACCGGGCCAGGCCCGCAGCCAGGGTGTCCTGCCCCGTATGAGAGTCCTCCAGGACAGCCCGGCCTTCCTTTCCTACCAGGTGCTGGGGTCAGGCCCACTCCGGGCCAGTTGCCCGGTGGTGTAAGTGTGGCATGCGTCAGACTTGCCGCATGGAGTACCAAATGCGCAGCCCACAAACCTACTTCTGTCTTTTGGATTTAAAGCACCGTCACCTCCTAAGGAGCCCTGTGAACCTGCATTAGCCAAAGCCGATTCCCTGTTCTTCTTCCCGGTGTGCACACATCCCCTATTCGTGAGATATAGGATAGAAGCTTCGGGTGGCTGTGTTTGGAAGGGTTCTGGCTGCCGTGAGCCAATGCCTGGGCTTTGCCTGTGAGAGGCTTTCTGTTCTGGGGGGCTTCCAGTGCCACAGAACCTACTCCCCTTCCAGGCCCATGGAAGGCCCTGAATGGGACGCCGGGACCACCCAGCACCCATCAAGATACAATTTCCCGCTTTTCTGTTCTGAGCGAGCAGAACGAGACAGAAGGAAGAAGAGCGTCCTTCAAAGCCGCCTTTACATGCATTTTTTTCTATTGATTTCTCAAAAACACATCTAAAGACAGGGCCAGTCGTTCAGCTTGGTTTTGCTAGAGGCAGAAAATAAATAAAACACAGCCCCAGGCTTTAGGGGTCTGTGGCCTGTGGAGGGGCCAACAGGTAGAGAAGCAAATACACACAGTGCGTGTTTGCGGCGGGGGCTTCCATAGACGTGCAGACGGCAGGTCCTGGGGTGCTTCGTGGGCTCAGGGTTCACCCCGTGGCTGTTGGGAACCACTGAGGATTTTAGGGGGGACAACTGATTTCTATCGGAGGAAGACCTCTCTTGGGTGATGTAAAGGATGGATCTGAGCAAGACAGGAGGAGGCGTAACAGGTGGAATGTGAGTGCTGTGCGCAGGCAGGAGGTGGTGACGGAGAAGGCAGGGGACCTGGAGCTGTTTTGGGGGGTGTCCCAGCACCAGGAGAGAGAAGGACGTCTAGGCGCTTTGTTCCATCCTCACTTTAACCCACACAACGTTTTTGTTTGCTGCCTTGCTTGTTTTGTGGAGACAGGGTCTTGTTCTGTCACCCAGGCTGGAGTGCAGTGCTGTGATCGTGGCTCACTACAGCCTCGACCTCCTGGGCTCAAGTGATCCTCCCGCCTCAGCCTCCTGAGTAGCTGGGACTACAGGTGTGCCACCATACCTTGTTTTGTAGAGAAAGGGGTCTTGCTATGTTGCCCAGGCTGGTCTTGAACTCCTGGGCTTAAGCCATCCTCCCACCTCAGCCTTCCACAGTGCTGGGACTTCAGGCACACGCCTCTGTGCCTGGCTGTTTTTTTGTTTTGTTTTGTTTTGTTTGTTTTTTGTTTTTTTAGAGATGGGATCTCACTACATTGCACTGGATCAGGCAGTGTTTTTAAACAGATGAAATTAAGAGAAAGCAAGCAGGAAGGGCGGTTTTGATGGGCAAGGTCAGGGCAAGGACAAAGATACTGAAGTCTCCAGGGCAGGGGGCAGCTTGGAGGACAGAGGAGCCCTGAGCCTGATCCCACAGAAAAGGTGGCAAATGGGGGCTGTTGAATTCCCAAAGCCTGCTGAGGACCATGGGAGCCTCCTGAGCTTGTCCCATGGGAAAAGTCCACCCGCCCGGCTGGACATTGGTTTCATCTCACCTGTAACTGGGAGTTATCTACCCCAGCCTTCCCTGCCAACCACCTGACTCGCGGGAGGTGACTGCAGCTGGAGCGTCTGCCCCATGTCATTGTGTGTCCGTGTCTTTTCCACAGCTCAAGTGGAAGCCCCATTCTACGAGGAGTGGTGGTTCCTCCTGGTGATGGCTCTGTCCAGCCTGATCGTCATCCTGCTGGTGGTGTTCGCCCTCGTCCTGCACGGGCAGAATAAGAAGTATAAGAACTGCAGCACAGGTGCAGGTCCAGCCCCTTCCTCGCGTGTCCCACGATGCCACTCAGCCAAAACATAGCGTTCGTTCTCTCGTGGATCTGCCGGGCCCGTGTCTGCTTTTCCATTTCATTTGCTTGTAGGTGCTGAGAGAAATGCAATAGGTTTTCTTTCTGGGGGCAGCCAGGCACAGTGCAGCAAACGCTCTATGCCTCGGGACCCAGATGCTGACCCTGCCTGCCCTCAGATTAACTATGTGTCTTGGATAAGGGCGTATGAGTCATCCAGCCTCAGAGATCCCCACTCTGTACCTTTGTTCAAATGCAATTGCTTTTTTTTTTTTTACAGTCTCACTCTGTCACCCAGGTTGGAGTGCACTGGCACAATCTCGGCTCACAGCAACCTCTGTCTCCTGCATTCAAGTGATTCTCCTGCCTCAGCCTCCTGAGTAGCTGGGATTACAGGCGCCTGCCACTACGCCCGGCTAATTTTTGTATTTTTAGTAGAGGCGGGGTTTCACCATGTTGGCCAGGCTGGTCTCGAAATCCTGACCTCAGGTGATCTGCCCGCCTCAGCCTCCCAAAGTGTTGGGATTACAGACGTGAGCCACGGTGCCCAACCTAATCACATTTTTTAATAGTATTAGAAAGTGAGGTGTGTCTGGGAATGGTGGCTTATGCCTGTAATCCTAGTGATTTTGGAGGCTAAGGCTGAGGATCACCTGAGCCTAGGAGATCCAGGTTGCAGTAAGCCATGATCACACCACTGTACTCCAGCCTGGACAACAAAGCGAGATCCTGTCTCTTTTTTTTTTTTAATTTGAGATGGAGTTTCACTCTTGTTGCCATGGTGCAGTCTAGGCTTACTGCAACCTCCACCTCCTGGGTTCAAGCAATTCGCCTGCCTCAGCCTCCCCAGTAGCTAGGATTACAGGCATGCATCTCCACGCCCGGCTAATTTTGTATTTTTAATATGGATGGGGTTTCTCCATGTTGGTCAGGCTGGTCTCGAACACCTCACCTCAGGTGATCCACCTGCCTCAGCCTCCCAAAGTACTGGGATTACAGGTGTGAGCCACCGCGCCCTGCCGAGATCCTGTCTCTTACAAAAAAAAAAAGTATAGAGCATTAAACAGGTGGCATATTGTACTATGCAATATTATAAACACAGTGACCTGGGGCACTGCTCAGACGTTGATGTTTTGCTGTGGCTCAGAGACTGTCACAGAAGCATCTCCATGGCATAGCTCTTCTCACCCACTGCAGCTTGAACCTTGCCTGTGTCCGTGGTCTAGCTCTGAGCCGTCTGAGGGCCAGGTCACTACTGTGTTTCCAGCAGAAACTCCACACCAGGCATAGAGCAAGCATTCAGTCAATAAGCATTTATTGCCGAATGACCCACTATCATTAGAGAAAGGAGCAAATGAACGTAGGGTAAAGCCAGCCACAGAGAGCACAGACCTTGTGACTCCATTTACATGAAGGCCAGGAACACCCACAGTGAATGGAAGTTTCCAGAAGGCAGAATCCTGCTTGCCTGTTGGTGGAGAGGTATAAACAGGGAAGATGCATGAGAGCACCTCACAGGTGCTAAATGTGCTCTGTCTCTCTACGTGGACGGTAGTTACATTCACAATCATAAAGCATCATTCTGGACACTTAAGATTAGCATAGCTTGTGCATTTGATTATCGTCAATTTTAAAAACCTCATAATTATCAATGAGACCACTTCTCTGGATAACCAGAATGTAACTGACTGCTAGACCGCAGCCTGTTTTTTGTTTTTTAAATAGACGGGTTTCACCATGTTGGCCAGGCTGGTCTCGAACTCCAGGGCTACGGTGATCCTCCCACCTCAGCCTCCCAAAGTGCTGGGATTACAGGAGTGAGCCACGCACGGCGCCCGGCCTATGGCCTGTTTTGATCCTACGGAGCATCCACCAGAGCTGTAGCTGAGCCCAGGAATGTGGTCACTTCTGTGATATCACCACAACCGCTGGGCCAGACCTCTTCCTGAGCTCAGCTCATTTGTTGGAGGTTTTCCCATCAACTGGGTCTTCTCTTTTTGGAAAGGCAGATCCCTGATGAGCTGTTCTTAAAAAGAGGAGCTGGCTACATTAGCCCCCTGAGCCAAGGAGCCAGGCAGAGTAGGTTCCTGACCCCGACCACAAGTCCTACCATCCTTGTGCCAAAGGGGTTAAAAAAACCAGTCACCTAAAATGCCTCCTTATTTGCTTCTATAATGTTAAGCAATTCATCCTTCAAAGAAAGGATTTATTTTTTTCTGTATAAATTCACTTCTAACAAGTGTTCGTAAATCAGATTTTATTCCTGAGGGATTTACAGTGTATGAATGGCGTGTCATTTTCCTGAGTTAATGCTATTACAGAATCCTGTGTCTGGTGCATAGAAAAATCTCCCTGCTTTTCACTGTCCTCCTCCATCTGGAAAACAGACTTGAAAAGGCAGATCGGACCTGCAGCTTCCGATGCTCAGCCGCACCCTGGAGTGTTAATTTAACATCATAATTGAAGCCGGGAAAAAATAACACTTATCTACCAGAATGTCTCCCGTCCTGCCCAGGAGACATTGCAGAACTTAAACCTCTGTTGTGATGGCCTCACTCGACACCCCTCCCTGCGTGCACTCCTTATCCTCCCATCCTCGTCTGAATTCCTTTCTGATCTTGGTTTCCACCTGCTCACCTCCCATCATCCCAAATCCCCTCTCCCAGGCAAGCCCATCTTTCATTTTCTGCTCTGTGTTCTTCCGTTAAACACAGAGCATTAAGGTTTAAAGCACGTCAAAGGGGGGCCAGGTCCCAGCAGAGAGGAGCCTCTTGGGGTTTAGAAATGCCAACGCACTTAGCAAATACCTGCCAAGCCCCTGGTATGTGTGTAGGCGCTGTCCTGGGGGCTGGCGGGACACTGGGGAGTGTGATGGACTTAAGTCTGTACCTCAAAGAGCAAATATGTACATGGGCCTGAGAAACAGAGGTCACTTTATGTGGTCAGGGAGGTCGCCTCTGGTCTCAGGGCGTTTGAGCTGTGATCTGCAGGAAGGGGAGAGAAACCCGGGAAATACTGGGAGAAGGAGCTTCCAGCAAGAGGGAGAGCCCCAGGGGGAGAAACCCGTGTTAGGGAGGGGCTGAGGGCTGGAAGATGACGCGGGGGTTTGCAGGGTGGACAGACCAGGCCAAGCTTGGGGGCAGTTTGGAGGCCTTGGTCTTTCCTGCAGAATGAGCCGGGAAAACCCAGTGCAATTATTTTTTATGTTGTTCGGTTTTTCAGAACTTTATTTTTATTCATTTGATCTGTTAATATATTTTAGAATGTGTTTTGCTATGTATTTGTAAATTTACTCTTTTTTGAAGTGTGCGGTTCAGTGGTGAACGCACAGGTACGTGCAGTCATGACCACAGTCAGTTCTAGAACGTTCGTGTCACCTCAAAAGGAAGCTCTGTACCCTTTCTTTAGCCGTCACACTCCCACACATTTATCTTTACTTCCTGTTTTGTTAAATGAGTGTGAGTTTTTATTTTGAAATTTATTAAATATTTAATTTCCCGGAATTTTTAGAAGTGTATGCATTCTTGGCCAGGTGCAGTGGCTCACGCTTGCCATCCCAGCACTTTGAGAGGCCGAGGTGGAAGGATCACTTGAGCCCAGGAACTCGAAACCAGCCTGGGCAACGTAGCGAGACCCCATCTCTACCAAAACAAACAAACAAAAAATCAAAAAAAGTTTATGCATTCTGAGTCTATTTTCATAAAACACTGGCAAGAATACTGGTATTTTGGGATCAGACAGAACAAATATGAAAATGCTAATATTGTCACTTTGCTCCAACACTGTGATCAGTACCTAGCTCTTCTCCCCAGCTCAGCCCTAAGCACAGCTGAAGCAGGTATCCTCAGCTCTGGGCTCTGCGTGCAGCAGGACTCAGGAGCTGCCCCGCTGGCCAGCTCTGGCTTGGCGTGGCTGCGGTGGCCACACCAGTAACACGTCTGTTCTCACTCTCCTGCTGGGCTTTAGGAAAGGGGATCTCCACCATGGAGGAGTCTGTGACCCTGGACAACGGAGGATTTGCTGCCCTGGAGCTCAGCAGCCGCCACCTCAATGTCAAGAGCACCTTCTCCAAGAAGAACGGGACCAGGTAGGCAGGCAGTGCTGTGCTGCGCCCACCTGGGGATCTGAGCTGCCAGGGCTGGGGTGGCAGCCCACGCCCACTGGCACCTCCTGCATCCCGCCCTGTGGTTCCAGGAAGCAAAACCCAACCCACCGCCAAGTGCGCTCCCAAACCACCAGGGGCAGCCCTGAGTCTAGGAGGGACGGGGTCGGCAGAGCGGCTGGAAATATTTTCAGGACATCTCCGGAGATTTAGAAAGAGGGTCTCAGGTGTGTGGGAAGGGCCTGGAACACCCAGGGGCTGCCAGGCTGGCCTTCTGTGTCAATCGCATGCACCTTGGATCTGGGCGTTCCTAGTTCATGGAGGTGTCACCTGGGCTGCCACAGGCCCGACCAGGTGTCCTCGCAAGCAAGCCTGGTGCTTGTTGCTGATTTCATTGCTCTGTGTATTCCAAAGTTTTCCTGTGCCGATACACATTGCCATTCCATACACGGATTGAGTGCAGGCGAGAAGGATTTTCATCACCATAGCCTCCTTAGCTTATAATCCTTTTCCTAAATCCAGCAGGAAGCAGGGTTTCCCAAACAAGAGAGGGGTTGACCTGGGTTTGCCTTTTTGATGTGCAGAGCGCCATCCTCTGATTTGAGTACCCTTGACCAAGGAGAAGGGCCAGGAATGGGGAGGGGTCTTGAGCGTCTGGAAGGAAAAACCCAAACACCTGAGGACGCTTCGTCTGGAGAACAGACAGCTCCGGGCTTTCCCAGGGTGCCCCAGCATCGGGGTGGAGGAGGCTTCTCTCCCTCAGCCAGACTCACCTTGGATTAGACTCAGCTGCAAGGGTGTGGAAATCACACATCATCCAGACCCAGACAGACCCCAGGGTTTCCTCTTCCCTTTACTGTTTACAAAGCTGCAGGGGCCAGCAGTGTTTGGAGATTCCCTGGGCCGCCCCCGCCCTCCACTGAATTTGGGAATCTTAGATCACTCGGGTGGCGCCGAGGCACGGGTGGGCCTTCTCCCAGCCACTGACGCTCTGCCAGCCCCACAGGTGCCAGTCCAAAGCACCGCAGGCCGCCACCCCACGAGGCCTTCCCAAGGGCTGGAGGTGGATGCTGGTGGTGACATCTGGTCACACCTTTCATTTCATTTGTCTACTGGGAGGCAAGTTTTTCCTGCCGTGTAATAGAAACATGAAAAAGCAACCACATGTAGTTTCAAGGCCAGGAGGAACTTGTCACAGAGAATTTTAAGATATTACATGCCCTGCTTCCTTGCTGCAACTCTGTCTTCTGAGTTCTGAGAAGAGACACAGCCTTGAAGCACATTGCCCAAGAATAGACAGTCGTTCAGTTTGTTAAGTCCATCTGCTTCCTAGGAAAGAGAAACATCATTTGATGGTGAGGTTGGAGGTTCTCAGCCCACAAAGACCCAAGGACAAAATAAAATTAAGATGGAAAAGAAAATGGACCCTTCCCTTAGGTTTTTAAATAAGCCATCACCTTTTCAGTCCTAGCAATAGGACCCTGTATTCATCTGTCCTCACGCTGCTAATAAAGACATACCCAAGACTGGGTAGTTTATACAGGAAAGAGGTTTAATGGACTCACAGTTCCACATGGCTGGGGAGACCTCACAATCATGGCGGAAGGCAAGGAGGAGCAAAGTCACGTCTTACGTGGTGGCAGGCAAAGAGAGAGTTTGTGTAGGGAAACTCCCCTTTATAAAACCATCAGATCGTGTGAGACTTATTCACTCTCACGAGAACAGCACGGGAAAGACCTGCCCCCATGATTCAAGTACCTCCCACCAGGTCCCTCCCACGTCACATGGGAATGATGGGAGCCACAACTCAAGATGAGATTTGGGTGGGGACACAGCCAAACCATATCAGACCCCACATGTGATTGAAGGAAAGGATTCTCTGCTGAGAGGGGAAGGGTCTGGGCAGGGACACCTGAGATTGGTCCTGTAGCATCATCCCCAAAATATCTTAGAAATACGGGCACAGTTGATTTATGTCTCCCCCGTGCACGTTTGTGCTTCCAATTTCTTTTTGGGGAAGACACCATTTTAGCTCCTTAGATAAAAAGATTTACCCAAATGTTTAGATAAGAAATGGCATCTTTCCCAAAGTAAATTACCTTTGAGATAGAGAAAGAAAGGCCCTTGAGCCTTCACTGGGCCTTTCCAGGAGAAACTGAGGCACACCCTGGGGGAGACAACACCCACGACACAAAACCAGAGGTCTCCATCCCCTCCAGCCTTCCCAGCAGAGTCTCCACCCAAGGCCTGGTTTCCTGGCCTGTAGCCTCTCCTTGATCACCCAGTGTTACTTCTCCCATTGAGGGATGAGAAGACACTTCCTCTGTAGCTGCCACTCAGTTCTGCACTCACTCCTCGCAGCATGAGGGAGGGCTTGCTGGGTTGCTGGGGGTCCTGGACATGGTCCCTTTGAGCACACAGCTGCCTGTCTGACTGCCCACAGGCTGCTCTCACTATCGAGTCCCTGCACACCCTTCGGAGGACTAAGGAGCACTCAGTCCTGCCTGATGTGAAAATTCAGCAATGTTGTACTCAGAGTTTTTCCCCAAGTTCTGAGTTCTCCATCTGAAAAACAGAAGCTGGGCTTTTACTCAGCTCAGATAGTCACCAGGAAGTGGGGAGCTGAAGAGGGTACTCATTTTCTATCGCTGCATGGCAAATGATCACAAGTTCAGCAGCTTAAACCAACACCCATTTAGCACCACGCGGTCTCCCTGGGGCAGGAGTCTGGGCACAGCTCAGCTGGGTCCTCTGCTCAGGGCCTTGCATGGGTGTAATCCAGGTGTAGATGGGCTGTGTTCTCATCTGGAGGCTCAACTGGGCAAGAATCTTCTTCCAAGCTCATTCAGCCTGCTGGCAGCATGCATTTCCTTGTGGCCGCATGACTGAGGGCCCCAGCCTCTTCTTGGCCCTCCTCTGGAGGCCGCCCTCATGTCCTGGAGGCCGCTCATGGTCCCCTGCCATGGGGTCCTCTCCAGGGGCTGTTCACAACATACTGTTGGCTTCTGTGAGGCCAGCAAGAGCATCTCTGTCTCCAGTCCGCCAAGATAGGGTCTCCTAATGTCATGTGATCATGGGCGTGATGGGAGTAGCTGTCCTTCACCCATTCCATTTAATGTAACCGAGTCTTCAGTCTGCCATGTTCCACTGGTTAGAAGCACGTCACAGGCCCTTCCCACATTCAAAGGATGGGATGATGGGGGTGGGGGCAGTGATGGAGCCATCTTAGAATTCCACCAGCCAGAGAGGACGAATGCTCCCCCACCAGACAGGGAGACCAGGCCTGGTGCAAACTTCCCCAATTCCCTCTCATCTGTAGGAGACAATTCCCACTCCTTAGCATGGCAGATCAGACTGTTCCTCATGACTCCATCCTCATCTCTCTCCACTGCACTCCCCTGCCTGCATCTGGCAAGCACCTAAGCTCCCCGGCCTCCTATCTGTCCCGACCTCAGGGTGCTGTTTGTACGTGAGTGTCTCACTGCCCCTCCTGGCACAGACCAGCTCTTCCTCCATGCCTGCAGGCCTAGCACAGTCTCCACAACTGACAGGCACAGGTACACAGAGGCTGTTGACTCACCAGGTAGCCAGTGCTCAGAATTTTTTGCATCAGTTGCCAAAGTGATGTCAAAGGCTGTGGGTTTCCTCTTAGTCCAACGCAATAAAGGCCAAATGCCAGGTTAGGAGTCCTCCGGGGAAGGGCGTCTTTTGCCCAGAGGGTAATTGCAGCATGGGTCCTCATCCTAGGTCCCCACCCCGGCCTAGCCCCGGCGGCCTGCACTACTCAGACGAGGACATCTGCAACAAGTACAACGGCGCCGTGCTGACCGAGAGCGTGAGCCTCAAGGAGAAGTCGGCAGATGCATCAGAATCTGAGGTCAGTGTCGGTGCCTACTTCCGGGCAGTGACCATCAGCCCCTACTTCTGCAGTGAGACTTCTGCCCCCTCAGGCTGTCTTGTCCTATTTGAGTCTCATAACATCCCCACAGGCAGAGCCAAGGACAAAGGGCTTCATTATGCAGATGAGAAAAGAGCCGAAATTCAACCCCACGGCCTGCTCTGGGCCCCGCAGAGCTCACATAGCCTCGAGCAGTCTAGACATTCCAAGGCTGATTCATGGAGGAGCAGGTTGTGACTCCTAAGTCCTGGGATCTGCTTTAGGCCCAGCAGAGCTCACACAGCTTCGAGCAGTCTAGATGCTCCAAGGCTGATTGATGGAAGCGCAGGTTCCGACTCCTAAGTCCCAGAGACTGCAGTGAGAGATAGGCAAGGCTGGTGCCCTCTGTGAGAGGTTTCTTGCAGAGCAGAGTGTGGGTGTTGCCTGGGTGCCAGCAGGCTGAGTGTCAGATGGTCGCTTTCACGTGCTCCATCTCATGTAGTCCCGGGGTAACTGGGCCTAGACCACCTCTTACAGATGGAGCCGGCAGGGCTCAGGGAAGATCAGTAACTTTCCCAGTGTGGACTCCTGCCTCGGAGGCCCATTCTCTCTCCATTTCACTTTCATAGATAAACATAGGCTGCCATAAAAATTGGTGGTCTGTAGACCCCAGTTAGGGTGGCAGCGGGTCTGATCCTGCAGGGCGGATAGAAAATGTGACCCCTTTACCAGATAGGAGCTTCCTGCTCACCCCTGGACATTCGTTTCCCCCTACACCCTGCCAGCCTCCCACCCTGCCCAGGAAGCTTCTGTCCTAGCTCCCTCCCTTGCGCTGAAGAAGAGGGATTTGCTCACAGCAGTTCCAGGTCATGTATCGGGCTCAGGGTGAATCCAGACTTGGGATGTGTTCCTCTCCTCACCAAGCAGCTGGACCAGGGAGATGGCTTCCCCGAGGGAGTGTCAGCCTCCACGCGCTCCCTCCAGGACCCCAGGGCCTACCCGCCTCAGGCCTCCCCTGCGCCTGGGTGTGCAGCAGTTGAGACATGGAGTGTTTTTCCTGTGCCAGGTCCTGTGCGGCGTGACCCAAAGGGACTTTAACCAGCAAGGCAGCCACGAGGGGGCTCTAAGCAGGGGGCTCAACACACCTTCCCTACAGGTGCACCATCTCCGTTTCTCATACTTACCAGCAAAAGCAGCAGAAGCAGCAATTGGAGAGGTTGCCCCTTGGGTCCTGAACTTTTTTCTTTTGGATATGCCAGGCCTGGAGAGGGGTGAAAATCACCAACCATTGGCTGTACACATAGGCCTGCCCCGCCTCCTGGCACTCAGGTTCTAAATCAATATTTAATCTAAAATAAGTCTCACCTTCATTTTAACCTGAATTCAGGCCTTATTGAGCCCCGGGGCTCTATCGAATGGCTTCTTTTCAACTGTGGGTTGTAGATGAACTCCCGGCGGGAAGGGCCAGCAGGTGGGTGTGGTGAGGCCGATTCTGCTTTGCTTTGCGTGTTCTGTTTACAGAGGATGCCGGGTTTGCTGTCCGCACCATAGCCTTGGGCTTGGCAGAAACAGCAGGCAGCAAAGCAGATGCTCGGAAAGGGACATTTGTCTAAAACTCAGGGGCTGTCAAGTGAAATCCTGCAAAACTACCTGCCTTTTTGTGATAAAGAAAAAGCTTATCAGAAGCTCGCTGCATGTACGAAAGCAGCAGGTTGTGCGGAGCAGGCAGCCTTCGAGCAGGACAGTCTGGTCAGCAAAGAGGCTCATCTCACAGCGCCGGCCTCGGGCCTGTCCCTGCTGCCGCTGCCGGGCCGCTGCTCTTTCGAGTATCCAGGCACCGTGGGGGTGTCATAGCTGTGGGTGGTTCCTGTGTGCTGAGCGCTCGCTGCTGTGTGTTTCCAGCACTCACTGTGGGCCTGGCCCAGGGTGAACGTGCACTCCTCTGCTGCCCACCCCAGCCCCATGAGGTGGGGCCAGTCTCCTTATTGGTCAGAGGCTGAGGTTGTCCAGCAGGCGGCTGTTGAAGCTGACACCCAGCCAGACCCCCGTGTCTCCAGAGCTCAGTGTACCCCTTCCCTCCCCATTGGTCTCCTCCAGCCCCACACCAGAGGAAGGGGAGGGAGGCATCCAGGGATGGTGTGTCCTAGAGCAGGCGGGCAGGATTGGATCTGTGAACTCTGAATATTTGTTCCTAAAAGCATTTTCAACATGGGCTAATGGAACGCATTTGGTCTGTTTCTCCCCCCAACATATGTGGCGTGTTTGGAGATTTAACATCGGCAAATGTTTATGGAAGATTATTGAGCACACCCGTGAACTGAGCTAAGCATATACATTCACGTATGCATGCACACATGAACACATATGTACATGTACACACATGTGCACGGACACATACACACCTGAATACATGCACACACCTGCATACACACATGCATACCTAAATAGAACACACAACACACACACCTAAATACACACACACGCACACATATCTATACATACACACATGCACACACATATACATATACACCTGAATACATGCACACACACGTTTACCTAAATACAACATACACCTAAATACACATATGCACACATATGTACACATACACACATGCACACACGTATACCTATACACCTGAATACATGCACACATGCATACACACGTGCTTACCTAAATACACACAACATATACACACCTAAATACACATATGCACACATACGTACACATACACACATGCAAACACATACATATACCTATACACCTGAATACATGCACACACATGCATACTTAAATACACACAAACATGCACATACCTAAATACACACACATGTACACATACCTGTGCACATGTACAAATAACTACACACCTGAATACATGCACACACATACATGCACACATGTACACACACGCACACGCACATACCCAAATATGTACATGCAAAAATTTGCATGTGCACACATACATCATATACTCATACATATACCTACATACCTAAACACATGCACACAGGCACATGGCTCACACATACTACATGCATGTACGCATGCATATATACACGTGCATGCATACCTAAATACAAGTACAAGCACACATGCATACCACCATGCACACATACACATATGTACATACATGCACAACACATACATACCTAAATACACACATACACATATGTACATACATGCACAACACATACATACCTAAATACACACATGCACACATGCCTGCACATATGCATATACACCTAAATACAAACACATACACAGAGGTGGCCTCAGGGAGGGAGGTGAGTGTGGGGAGGGAGGGAGGTGAGTGTGGGGATAGGGGAAGAAGGGTGGAGGGCAGGACATGGAACCCACACTAAATGGAATTCTGCACAGAGGGTGTTATCATCCTTATGTAACAGGCAGAAAGCCGAGACTGAGAGTTTTTGAATGTCTTCCCTGAGACACGCACTGATGAGCTGGACTGGAGAGGCAGACCTCAGCATCTAACTGGAAATCCCACCTTCCCACCAGTCCTGCTCTCAGAGCTGAGTCTCAGGCAGCGTGGCTGAGGTGGCAAGGGGCCTGGGAACCAGGCCACACTGCTCCCACATGGCAAGCCCTGTGCTGGAGGAAAGCGTTCCTGCAAATGCACCTCATGGTTCCTAGTGCCTTTTGGGTGACAGGCTGCTTCTGGAGGCTGATGAAAGGTGCAGACATGCTCTCCACCTACATACAGGCAGAATTTCACCTAGGATTTGGGGGCCCAAGGCACCCCGGAAGTCTCTTACAGACCCCACCAGCTAGCATCCCATAGAGTCCCAGCTAAGAATCCCCACACCTGGACCATCCTGTGCTCCCCAGGTTTTTGAGTGGATAAAGCGTAGCCTCCCTTGTCTGTAGAGCTCTTTGCTAGGTAACCTTGCTGCATCCTGCTTTTGAAGCTTATGAATTTGGGGGATTTGAAGGCACTCCATATTCATGGGATCCCAACAGAGGGAACCGGGGACTTAGATCGTTTTGGAAGTGCCAGCTCACATGGTAACATTCACTTTGAACCACTGTTTGAAACAGCTGGATTAAGACCTAACTCACATGTCATACAATTCACTCATTTGAAGTACACAATTCAGTGGGTTTCAGTACATTCACAGAGTTGTGCAGCCATCACCACAGTCAATTTTAGAACATTTCCATCAGCCCCCAAAACACCCTGTACCGATTAGCAGTCACTCCTCAATCTCCCCAAACCACCCACATACACCTGCAGCCAACCCCAGCTCTTGGCAACCAGTAAGCTACTTTCTACCTCTCTAGGTGTGCCTATGTGGACATTTCATCTAAATAAATCGTACAGTATGATGTCTTTTGTGACTGGCTTCTTTCCCTTAGCATGATGATTGCAACGCATTTGAACCACTTTTACGAAGTAATCAATTTGTGTGTTTCATCAGTTCTCTTTCACATTGTTTGTTTTAAAATCTGACTTCAGAACTTCTCCCTTTATAGGAAACAAACATGTTGTATTTTGCCCATGTGGTTTCTTGGAACAGAAGTGTAATTTTTTTTTTTTTAGATGGAGTTTTGCTCTGTCGCTCAGGCTGGAGTGCAGTGGCATGATCTCAGCTCCCTCTAACCTCCGCCTCCTGGGTTCAAGCAATTCTCATGCCTCGGCTTCCCAAGTAGCTGGGATTACAGGCACCTGACACTATGCCCAGCTGATTTTTGGTATTTTTATTAGAGACAGGGTTTTGCCATATTGGCCAGGCTGGTCTCGAACTCCTGACCTCAAGTGATCCGCCCACCTCGGCCTCCCAAAATGCTGGGATTACAGGCATGAGCCACTGTGCCCGGCCAGGAAGTGTATTTTTCTGTGTAGGGTCTAACGGAACACAGGCCAAATGTCACAAGGGGATTTGGAAAGGCTGCCATCTTGACAATTATGTCCCTCCTAGTCCCCAACCCCACTCTAGTCAGAATCTTCTTTTTAAAAAATGCTTTATTGAGTTATAATTCATATATCATATAATTTGCCCATTTAGAATATACGATTCAATGGTTTTTAGTATTTTCAGTTTTTGCAATCATCCCCACAATTTTGGAACTTTTTCATCGCTCTAAAAAGAAACCCCATAACTCTACCAGTCACCTCCCATTCCCTTCTCCCTCCAAACCCTGGCAGCCACTTTCTGTCTCTATAGATTTGCCTATCCTGAGCATTTCATATAACAGACTCATGCAATATGTGGTTTTGTGATTGGCTTATTTCATTCAGCATAATGTTTTCAGAGTTCATCAGGGTCACTGATATATGTTGTAGCACATATCAGTACTTCATTTCTATATTATATGGGGGGAAATTCCATTGTATGGATATACCACATTTAAAAATGCATTCATCAGTTGATGAACATTTGAGTTTGTTGTGTCTGGGATCCCCAAGAGCACTCCCAAGTTCAGTGATTCACTAGAAGGACTCACAGAATTCAGCACACAACATCCTCATGACTAAGATTTATTACAGCAAAAGAATACAGAGCAAAATCACAAAGGGAAAATGTGCACAGAGCAAAGTCCAGAGGAGACCAGATTCACGCTTCTAAGAGTCTTCTCCTATAGAGGCACACAGAACACACTTAGTCCTCCACCAGAGAGCTGTGAGGACACATAGGAATTGTTGTCTACCACGGCTTTACCATAGCCTTGCACTTATAGCAAACTGCAACTGCATTGTAGGTACTGCTGATTAGAAACTCACTGCCCAGGGTTTTTATCGGAAGCTGGTCACATAGGCATCCTCTGCCAAGCATGTACCAAAACTCCAGACTCCAGAAAGAAAGCAGGTGTTTGGCATAAACCATATTATTTGTACAGTTTAGACACTGCAGTCTTATAATTTAGGGAAAACATTTTATCAATGAAAGGAACTTTTTACCAGTCAAGTTCCCAGATGCCAACCAAGGGTAATCTTTGAAAGCAGGTCTTTTTAAGGCTAGTGGTCTCAGACCTGCTCTGTTAACTTTCTTCCACACCAGATTGTTTCTACTTTTTGGTTACTGTGAACAATATTCCCTTTATCTGGTTGAGTTTGGTGAGTGTTTTTATTATCGAAAGGTTTGGAGTTTTGTCAGATGGTTTCTCTGTGTCTGTCTGGATGTTTTTTGTCCTTTGTTCTATTTATATGGTACATTACATTAACTAATGTTTGGATGTTAAACCAACCTTGCATTCCTGCAATAAATGCCCATTGTTCATAGTGTATAATCCTTTCTCTTTTTTTTATTATACGTTAAGTTTTAGGGTACATGTGCACAACGTGCAGGTTTGTTACATATATATACATGTGCCATGTTGGTGTGCTGCACCCATTAACTTGTCATTTAACATTAGGTATATCTCCTAATGCTATCCCTCCCACCTCCCCCCACCCCACAACAGGCCCCAGTGTGTGATGTTCCCCTTCCTGTGTCCATGTGTGCTCATTGTTCAATTCCCACCTATGAGTGAGAACATGCGGTGTTTGGTTTTTTGTCCTTGCGATAGTTTGCTGAGAATGATGGTTTCCAGCTTCATCCATGACCCTACAAAGGACATGAATTCATCATTTTTTATGGCTGCATAGTATTCCATGGTGTATATGTGCCACATTTTCTTAATCCAGTCTATCATTGTTGGACATTTGGGTTGGTTCCAAGTCTTTGCTATTGTAAATAGTGCCGCAATAAACATACGTGTGTATAATCCTTTCTATATGTTGCTGGATTCAGTTTTCAATATTGCTGAGCATTTTTGTATCTATACTTATAAGGGATATAGGTCTGTAGTTTACTTGTCTTATTTATCTTTGTGTGATTTTTATGTAGGGTAATATTGGCCTTATTGAATGATTTGGGAAGTATTTCTTCCACAACTGGTATTAATTCTTTAAATGTTTGATAGATTTCATCAGTGAAGTCCTCTGGTCTCGGGCTTTTGTGTGTGGGAAATTGTTAATTACTAGTTCTATCTGTTTATTGGCTATAGATTTATTCCGTTTCCCCCCCCCTCTTTTTTTTTTTGTTAAGTCAGTGTCACTCATTTGTGTCTTTCTAAGGATTTTTAATGCTACCTCATTAATCTAATTTATTAAGATACAGTTGCTTATAGTTGTGTACAGTTGTTTATAATCCTTCATTTCTGTAAAGGCAGTGGTAATTAATATCAATAATTCATTCCTGATTTTAATAATTTGAGTCCTCTCTCCTATTTCTGGTTAAAGTTTTGTCAATTTTGTTCATCTTTGCAAAGAACCAACTTGTAGTTTGATTGATTTTCTCTATTATTTTTCTACTTTCTATTTCATTTATTTCTACTCTAATCTTTATGACTTTCTTCTGCTTAATTTGGAGTTAATTTGCTCGTCTTCTTTCAATTTCCTAAGTTGGAAGTTTATGTTGTTGATTTGAGATCTTTCTTTTTTTGTAAATACAGGACTTTATGGCTAAAAATTCCCCTCTAAGCACTGTGTTAGCTGAATCTCATAAGTTTTAATATGTTGTGTTTTTGTTTTCACTCATCTCAAAATATTTTTTTAATTTTCTGTGTAATTTCTTCTTTGACACATTCGTTATTTAGGAGTGTGTTTTACATTTCCTCATATTTGTGAATTTCCCACATTTTCTTCTGTTATTTATTTCTAATTATATCCTATTTTGGTCAGAGAAACCATAATTTATATATTTTCAGTCCTTTAAAATTCATTGGGTCTTATTTTAAGGCCTGGCCTATGGTCTATACTGGAGAATGTTTCCTATCCACTTGAGAAGAATGTGTTATTCTGCTGTTTTGGGGTGGAGTGTTCTGTATGTGTCTGTAGGTCTAGCTGATTTATCATGTTGTTTCCATCTTCTGTATGTATGATCTTCTTCCCAGTTCTGCCATTTGTCAGTGCATTGAAATCTCTATTTGTATTGAATTGTCTGTGTCTCCCTTCAAATCTATTCATTTAATTTCATGTATTTTGAGGCTCTGTTAGGTGCATGTGTGTTTATAGTTATATCTTCTTGATATATTTACCATTTTATCAGATATTTGCTTTCTAATAAAGATATGTCTCGTATCTTTATTCCCTATTTTCCACTATCAGCTTCTTTTTGTTAAATGAATTTTCCAAATATATCATTTTGATTTCCTTGTTTTTGCTTTTGCTCTATATTTTTGGATATTTTTGTTAGTGTCTTACTCTAGTATTATTATCTACCTCAGATTTATAGTACATTTTCATAACTTATGGGAACTTTACTCCTATAGCTGTATTTCTTCCTTTTCTTTTTGTGCTATTACTATACATATTTTACCGGTAGATTAATGATTTTTATCAAATTTGGGAAACTTTAAGTCATTATTACTTTGAGTGTTTTTGTTTTTGTTTTTGTTTTTGTTTTTTTGCTTTTTTCTCTTTCTCCTCTCATTCTGATATTCTTATTATACGTATGTTGGTGCTGTTAGTGCTGTCTTATATTTATCAAAGGCTCTGTCCATTTTTAAAAGTCTTTTCTTCAGACTGCGTAATCTCTATCAATCTATCTTTAAGTGAACTGATTCTTTCTTCTGCCAGCTCAAGTCTACTATTGAGCCTATCTAATGAATTTTAAATTTCAGTTATTGTATTTTTCAACTCAAGAACTTCCCATTTGTGTTTTTAAAATAATTTCTATCACTTTATTGATATTCTTCAATTGTCATCATACCTTTAATTTTTTAAACATGGTCTCCTTTAGTTCTTTGAACATAATTATAATAGCTACCTTTGAAGTCTTTGCCTGCTTAGTCCAATGTTTGGGCACCCTCAGAAGCTACCTTCTTTTTTTTTTTTTTTCCTGTGTATGCATTATACTTTCCTGGGTTTTTTTGAAAACAGATCATTTTTGGTCATATATTGCAGCAACTCTGAATAATGATATTCATGCCTCATTGAGGGTTATTGTTGCTTGCTTGTTTGTTCAGTGATTTGGCTAGATTCATTCAGTGAAGTCCATTTCCCCTGCACTGTGTGTGCTCTCATGTTGCTCCTCAGTCTTGGGCAATGCATAGAGTCTTGCTGCCTACCAGGGATGACTGTGGTTTTAGCTGGGCTCCCTTTGCCTGTCCCCATTAAGATTCTGGATGGTTTACCATGATTGGCGTCATACCCAGCAGTTAACCTCCACTACGTGCTAGCTCTGGTTTTCTCAGCAATGCCTTAGTGCATAGATTGCTCCTCACTTTCTGATCCAGTTGAAGTCCAGCCTTTCTGCAGTTGCCAGATGCTGTCAGTCTTTGAAGCTTGCTCTGACACTAAGAGGCCTCTTCTTAGCTTCAGAAGTCTCTTTTCCTGGTTCTGTCTTTCAAACTGCTAGCTGGTTTTACCGCTTCCATTGTTGCTGACATGGAACTACCAGCTTCCTCTTCATTCCTCACCTCCAAAGCCTCCACAGTTTTCAACAATGTCCTTAGGTATGCTCTGTTCCAAATAAAGTCATTTTCCTCAGTCAGAGCTGGAAGCTCTCTGTTCTTACAGAATAACTCTCCACTCTGCGCAGGACCTCTGTGTCACTGCATCAAAGTGGAGGTGAGGACAATAGCCTTCTTCTTCCATAGTGACACACCCGCTACACAAGTGGGGCACTGGGTTGAGAGGGCAGTCCCTGGACTTTTGGGCCTGCTCCTCCCAGCGTGGGACTTCTTCCTACAAACAAGCTGGGGTGGGAGCACTCGGGGCCCAGTATTCTTGGCGTACCATACCTGGTACAGGCTCCCAGCTTACAAGCAAAGGCTGGATGCGGGACAGGAGCCCCAGTACTCTTGGCCATCTCTGCCTAGAATAGAGCTTCTTCAACATGGAGTTGGGTTGGGGGAAAGGGGAAGCTGGATAAGAGATGCCAGAACTTTCCTCTCCAAGTTAAATTCCTAAACCAGCAGCCCTGCCTTGTTGCCACATCTGCCCAGGGTGGAATTTCTGTCACACTGAGCTGGGGGAATTGGATAGGGAGAGCAGGTCATGGCTCAAGCACCACAGACTCTCACTATCGAGTGAGATTTAGCGCAGATCTTGTATCAATCTATCTTTCTCCATTTGCTATCTACTCTGAGCACCATTTCCAAATACTTTTTTTTTTTTTTTTTTTTTTTGAGAGGGAGTCTTGCTCTGTCACCCGGGCTGGAGTGCAGTGGTGCGATCTCAGCTCACTGCAACCTCTGCCTTCTCAGTTCAAACAATTCTCCCACCTCAGCCTCCCAAGTAGCTGTGATCACAGGTGTGCGCCACCACACCCAGCTAATTTTTGTATTTTTAGTAGAGACGGGGTTTCGCCATGTTGGCCAGGCTGGTCTCGAACTCCTGACCTCAAGTGATCCGCCTGCCTGGTCCTGTCAGAAGGCTGGGATTACAGGCGTGAGCCACTGCACCCAGCCTTCAGAGATTTTAGATGGTTATTTATAAAATACTTTTCACCAGTTAAATCATTGTTCCGCTGGGGAGAGGGTCTGCTGACCTCCTCACATTGCCATTCCAGAAATATCCTGGCCTTCATGGCTAGTAACTCTGATATTCAGAGGGGACTGGGAAGAAATGTGGGCTTTGGCCTGGTGCCTTAACTCCAAGTTTACAGAAACGGAATCCAGTCCCAGAACTGCAGAAAAGGCTGTTAGAGAAGAAAGCATTGCAGGGAAAGCAGACCGAGGGTTGCTCAGCAATGGAATAAACCCAAAAGCTGTAGCATTGGTTTTCAAATAGGACTATCAAAAAAGTGGCTTGGATTTCGACGAGGGTTTAAGACGTTTATCCTCTCTACTGGAGACAGCTTGTAGATTTGAGTACAATATAAACCGAAATGTTGGGAATAAAGAGTAATGTACGTCCTCGGCCCTGGCTTCAAGCCAGTGTTTTGACACAGCATTTTTGTTGGTGAAAGCCGTGGACAGAGGCAGGCTTCTGCTCACCGTCTTCTCCAGGGCCCAGGGGATAAGGAGTGAGAAGCCCTTTGTGGTCTCTGCTAGAAAAACTCTCCTGAGAAGCGAAGATTTCACTAAGAAAACAGTGAGGCCATCCTTTTATCCCCCAGGACATTTTTAAACCACTCTCAGAACTATTGCTAAAGTGAAAATTCTGCAGATCCGTTCCCAGGTGCTCAGGAGCCTTCCTGATCGGAGGTGCTCCTCTGAATTATGTCCTAAGTGTCACACGACGCATGCTGTGGCTATTTCTGTTTTTCTGTTTAGAAACAAGAGGGTTTGTCACGGTTTTATCACATGGCTGCTTCTGAATGATATCTGCCGTTCAAATCACATGTTAAAGATTGTTTTCGAAATCCAAAGAAACTGTTTTCAAAATCCCTCCTGCTCCCACCAGCTTAGACCAACCCCATCGTACCCAATTAATTCCTTAATAATATTTGAGTCTTTCATCTTGCCAACGTAATACCCAAAGTGTTGAGATTATCTTTATTAGCTGCTTTCCAGGCGTCTGTGCACCTTTAGAAACTCTCGCAGTCGGTCTGATACTGCATCCAATCACTTTCTGTCCTTCTACAGTTTCCCGGGAAACCGACACACGTTGCTACTTCACATCACACAGGAAACTTACCAAAAACAGACTCTGCAGCATTTCCATTTTGTCAATAATTCTAACTCACTAAAATACATCCCCATTAAAAAATAATAATGTCATATAAATAATAAACAGAGCAGGCAGCAGGAGGAAGAATGACATTTTAAGATTGTGCTTTCTCAAAGAGGCAATGACAGGGGCTGAGCAGGAGCCAGGAAACCCAGCTTTTAGCTTCAGCTCTGCCTGACATTTATTGGTCATGTGGCTCTGGGTGTATTCTCACTTCTCCTCCCTAAATAGCAAGAAGGAAAAGCCTCTTGGAGCCTCGTGTCTCTGCTTCTTTCTGTACAATGGTTATGTTCTGTCCGATTAGCTGTTATTATAGAATCACCTGGCTGGGTCTGTGGGCACTGGCCACTCAGAACTCACGGCCTCCCAGCTTTCCTCCCCAGAACAAAGCACTCTTCCCTTCCAGCTGCATTGTGAAAAATCCCAAGGCAAGACTCTGATTGGCTGAGCTGAAGCCACATGCCCAGCTATTAGCCAATCACGGTTTTCTGAGAGGCAAGCTAGCCTATCCATGTGGTGGGGAAGAACTGCTTCCTTCAAAGAAGGGGTTGAGGCCTAGACACAAACAACAGGAATCACTGCGAGTTGGACGACCAAGCACTCCCAATTTGTGTCTCCCGCCAGGCCCCCTTCTTGGCACCCACATGTGTCACAGACCCTTCTCTTGAGACTACAGGACTTTTAGATCTTTGGCTGAGGAAACATCAGGATACATAGCAACATATATACAAGCCGTGAAGGAAATGGTATAAACACGCAGATGGGTGTGGGCCATGTGCTACACTCATTCTCTAAGCAGTTCTGGACATGCTCTTGGAAATGTGGACTCCAGTGAGAGCTCAGCAGTCCCTTCCGAACCACCCCTAGGCCCCACCCAGTGTGAACCCTGCTTCCCTACAGCCTGGCAGCTGCAGGAGGAGGGGTGGGCAGGGGTGTACACAGGGCAGAGAGATGCCCAAAGGGTCACCGAGTGGGTGCAAGACAGACTAACTGAATTCGTAGCATGCCCTCCCACTGAAATTGCTGATTTCCCCACCATGCAGAGACGCTTTCCATATAAGACTCACCCATATAAATAGCGTTTCTCTATCTTTTCTACAACTGGGGTTGAAGGTATCTCCTCCCTGCTACTAAAAGGACTTTATTTCTGCCACCTTTGGCTGAGAAACCAGGCTGGTTTTGGCCCCGGTCTGGCCCCGGCCAGTATGACCCTAAGAAGGTCACTTGCATTTGTGGATGTTGATTGTTTCAGACCCAAGACGAGGAAATTGAATCCAGTCACCACTTCTCTCGTTTTTCCCCACTAGGATCCCTTGTGGTAGGGAAGTTGAATGGGGAAGACCCCCGGGACCTGGGAATATAGTCAAAAGAGGGTGAAAGTCTTGAACCTCATATTTGACCTTCAGATGATAATGAACCCTAACCCCAGTTTGTGAAACCTAGCACTAAATTTCTGTCATTCGTTCCTAAATATTCTGTGAATTTCTCGTGAGAAAAGTGATTCCTTCACTATATTTCAATACATGTGATTTTCCCTAAGTTTCAGGAAGTTTAGATTCCAAGTTGGTCTCTAAAGAAGTAACAAACCCAATTCAGGGGCTAATCATGGAGATTCCTTTGGCTTCCTTCAGATGATCTTTGTTCTCTTTTCTTCCGTTTTAGTTTACGCAGAGCTTAACCTTGTAAGCCACCTCAAGGCCCCTAGAAAACAGATGAAGAATAAATCTTAAACAGGCCAGGTGCAGGGGCTCACACCTGTAATCTCGGCACTTTGGGAGGCCGAGGTGGGCAAATCAGCTGAGGTCAGGAGTTCGAGACCAGCCTGGCCAACACGGTGAAACCCCATCTCTACTAAAAATACAAAAATTAGCCAGGTGTGGTGGCGGGCACCTGTAATCCCAGATAGGAGGCTGAGGCACGAGAATAGCTTGAACCCAGGAGGCAGAGGTTACAGTGAGCCAAGATCGTACCACTGCACTCTAGCCTGGGCTACAAGAGTGAAACTCTGTCTCAAAAATAAATAAATAAATCTTAAACAGCCACAAATACAGATCCCTGATCTCTTAGCTGAAACCCTTGAGGCTAGATATATTTAAGAATCCAGTGTTTCTCAAGTTTGGGAGTACATCATATATTAGGGAACTGCTCCAGTAGGGCCGGGCCAGCGCTTGGCGACCAAACACATTGGTCTTCTTGTAGCAGAATATGAGAATATTCACACTGAATAGCCCTACATCAGCTCACCTAGGGGTAAGCTGCCAGGTTAGCTCAAGTCAGCTCAGCCTTCGCCACCAAATGAGTTATAAAAAAACCTTTTGAGTTTCAGAGCGTTGTGGGTTTTGGAATTTGGAATGGAGGGTTGTACACCTGTTGCGCGGATCCTAGAGAGAAGCCTGGAACTAGGAGGAAGTTACAGGATCTGCGGAGGTGGGTGAACCCGAGGGGTTGGGGAGCTCAGGTGCAGGCTCCCACCCAGCCTCTCTCGCTGAGCCTTGCTTCTTTATTCATAAAGTGGGAATTGTAACATCTGCATCATAGGATCCTCAGCCAGTTGCAGAGATCATGCCCGGGCATTAATCTGGTATGTAATCGGTGTTCCCGAAAAAGGAGCCACTGCCACGTTTATCATCGTCACCCGATGAAGGAGAAGCTGGCTGCTCTGGGGTCTCTGTGTGTGTGGGAAGATGTGTTCATCGTCACCTGATGGAGAAGCTGGCTGCTCCGGGGTCTCTGTGTGTGTGGGAAGATGTGTTCATCGTCACCTGATGGAGAAGCTGGCTGCTCCGGGGCCTCTGTGTGTGTGGGAAGATGTGTTCATCGTCACCTGATGGAGAAGCTGGCTGCTCCAGGGCCTCGGTGTGTGTGGGAAGATGTGTTCATCGTCACCTGATGGAGAAGCTGGCTGCTCCGGGGCCTCGGTGTGTGTGGGAAGATGTGTTCATCGTCACCTGATGGAGAAGCTGGCTGCTCCGGGGCCTCGGTGTGTGTGGGAAGTTGTGTTCATCGTCACCTGATGGAGAAGCTGGCTGCTCCGGGGTCTCTGTGTGTGTGGGAAGATGTGTTCATCGTCACCTGATGGAGAAGCTGGCTGCTCCGGGGTCTCTGTGTGTGGGAAGATGTGTTCATCGTCACCTGATGGAGAAGCTGGCTGCTCCGGGGCCTCTGTGTGTGTGGGAAGATGTGTTCATCGTCACCTGATGGAGAAGCTGGCTGCTCCGGGGTCTCTGGGTGTGTGGGAAGATGTGTTCATCGTCACCTGATAGGGAAGCTGGCTGCTCCAGGGTCTCTGCGTGTGTGGGAGGATGTGTTCATCGTCACCTGATGGAGAAGCTGGCTGCTCCGGGGTCTCTGTGTGTGTGGGAAGATGTGTTCATCGTCACCTGATGGAGAAGCTGGCTGCTCCGGGGTCTCTGCATGTGTGGGAGGATGTGTTCATCGTCACCTGATGGAGAAGCTGGCTGCTCCGGGGTCTCGGTGTGTGTGGGAAGATGTGTCTTACGTCTGCAATTCTCCTAAATGCAGAGGAGCCACAGATGGATTCAGCTGTTCTGTGTATTGTACCATAAGCCAAACAGTTTATACTTAATGTTCGGAGAAGTCCCAAATCTGTGACTCGCTGTTAGTTTCATGTAAATATTCCAGTTTGAGGTAGATTTTCAGCCTGTGTCCCCAAATCCCAGGAACCTCTGGCTCCCTGCTACGCCTCCATGGGGTTTCTGCACAGCCTGGAGGCTGACCACTCTCACAGGGCTCCGGGACAGATCCAAGTCCCTAGGTGCCGGACGGTGTCGGCTCATGGATCAGAGCTTCCTGCCCGGGTGCTGATGTGGGTAATTCACTCTGACTCTCAGATGAGGGAGCAGCTGGCAGGAACATCACTCACCGCACCCAGGGACGCTTTTGTTTTCCTGGGTCTCAGTGTGGACCTCCTGCAAAATTAGGGGAGCTGGCAACTCTCCCATCCCCTGCCCACCCCCGCCTCCAGCTGCAAGGACGCAGCTCACACACCCTGGGGAAACCGGATTGGCAGTTTTCCTTCTAGAGTGTTTACTTCTGAAAGAGCTGCTGTGGCTGGCAATGGGGCCCACATCTGGGGCCACAGCCGTCTGTCTTAACACCCACAAGGCGCAGCTCCTAGCCTGGCCGCTGATGGGAATCCTCAGAGAGCCTGTAAAAGAATGCACATTCCCCGGCCTCCGACAGACCCACAGAGTCAGGATAGCTGGAGCCACTCCCAGGAATCTGCTGCCTCGATACACAGCTGATGATCCTCAGATGGCATTTCAAGGCCGCTCACTCTTTTACCCCCTCCCCAGTTCCCTTGATACCCTCTGGGGAGAGGAAAAGGTCAGGTCTGCCTGACCCCTGTGAGAGACGGGGGCCCTGGGAAGCGTCTTAGCGTTAGTTCCGCAGCAGCGCCTTGGTCTCTGTGCCACCAGGTGGATCCCCTAGGAGCCTGGGAAGCTGTTAGGACGCACAGGTGAGGGTCCCAGGATGCTTCCATGCATCGGGAGGATGTGGCACTTATCAGCAAAACCGAGAAACCTCCACCTTCTTAGGGGAAAAAAAAATCAATTTCACCCTCTGCTTTCTCCTTTTTTTTTTTTTTTTTTTTTTTTTTTTTGAGATGGAGTCTGGCTCTGTCACCCAGGCTGGAGTGCAGTGGCGAGATCTCGGCTCACTGCAACCTCAAGAATCCCTTGAACCCGGGTTCAAGGGATTCTCCTGCCTCAGCCTCCCAAGTAGCTGGTATTACAGGCACCCACCACCATGCCCAGCTAATTTTTGTATTTTTAGCAGAGACAGGTTTCACCGTGTTGGACAGGCTGGTCTCGAACTCCTGACCTCAGGTGATCTGCCGACCTCAGGTGATCCGCTCGCCTCAGCCACCCAAAGTCCACTTTCTCCTTTAACGGTCCTTCCAATGACTTCACATCAAACCGAAAGACCATAAAATAGAGGTTTGCTTTCAGAAAATGAACCTAGAAAACATGCAGGGTCCATGTTCTTAATGGAAGCTGCTGATTTATTTTATAAAAAGGAAAAAAAAAAGCCTCAAAGGGACTGATCTTCAAACATCAGTGGGAGGCCTCAGGCCACTTTTCCGTGTGTTTGAGGGGCCAGGCCATTCAGTACCTGGCCGGGGAGACATATTAGACACCCTGGCTTATTCAGGCAGCTTCATTTCTCCGTCCCCTCCCCACCCTCGGAGGTCTCTGTGGATGTGATGTCACACGATCACTTGCAAGGGGAGGATGCACCCCCCAATCCTCTCCCCTCATCACCTCCCCCATCCCCTCCCTTCTACTTAATCACACCCCACCCCCTCCCCTCCCCTCTACCTCATCACCTCCACCCCCTCTCCTCCCCTCCCTTCTACCTCATCACCCCCTACCCCTCCCCTCCCCTCTACCTAATCACCTCCCCACCCCCTCCCCTCCCTTCTACCTCATCACCCCCACCCCCTCTCCTCCCCTCCCCTCTACCTCATCACCCCCCACCCCCTCCCCTCCCTTCTACCTCATCACCCACCACCCCCTTCCCTCCCCGCCACCTCATCACCCCCCACACCCACCCTCCCCTCTACCTCATCACCTCCCCACCCCTCACCTCCACCTCATCACCCCCCACCCCCTCCCCTCCCCTCCCTTCTACCTCATCACCCCCCACCCCTTCCCTCCCCTCCACCTCATCACCCCCACACCCACCCTCCCTGCTACCTCATCACCCCCCCACCCCCTCCTTCCCCTCTACCTCATCACCTTGCCCACCCGCTTCCCTGTACCTGGTCACCTCCAGAATCCTTTTGTTTTGGTCTGTAGCAGCCCACATCTTAGTCTCAGGCAAGCCAAAGACCCAGATCTTCCCCACCCCTGGGGCTCTTCTATGTTCTGCCCTGTAGGGGCAGGCAGAGTCCCCTGGGGCCTGTGTGGGGAGGCTGCGTAGACCTCTGCTGGGTGGGGAGGCCACCTAGATCTTTGCTGGGGTGGGAAGGCTGTGTAGACCTCTCCTGAGTGGGGAGGCCGCGTAGACCTCTCTTGAGTGAGGGAGTCCGCGTAGATCTCTCCTGAGTGGGGAGGCCACGTAGACCTCTCCTGAGTGGGGAGGCCGCGTAGACGCCTCCTGAGTGGGGAGGCCGCGTAGACCTCTCCTGAGTGAGGGAGGCCGCGTAGACCTCTCCTGAGTGGGGAGGCCGCGTAGACCTCTCCTGAGTGGGGAGGCCGCGTAGACGTCTCCTGAGTGGGGAGGCCGCGTAGACCTCTCCTGAGTGAGGGAGGCCGCGTAGACCTCTCCTGAGTGAGGGAGGCCGCGTAGACCTCTCCTGAGTGGGGAGGCCGCGTAGACCTCTCCTGAGTGGGGAGGCCGCGTAGACGTCTCCTGAGTGGGGAGGCCGCGTAGACCTCTCCTGAGTGAGGGAGGCCGCGTAGACCTCTCCTGAGTGGGGAGGCCGCGTAGACCTCTCCTGAGTGGGGAGGCCGCGTAGACCTCTCCTGAGTGAGGGAGGCCGCGTAGACCTCTCCTGAGTGGGGAGGCCGCGTAGACCTCTCCTGAGTGGGGAGGCCGCGTAGACCTCTCCTGAGTGAGGGAGGCCGCGTAGACCTCTCCTGAGTGGGGAGGCCGCGTAGACCTCTCCTGAGTGGGGGAGGCCGCGTAGACCTCTCCTGAGTGGGGGAGGCCGCGTAGACCTCTCCTGAGTGGGGAGGCCGCGTAGACCTCTCCTGAGTGAGGGTGGCCGCGTAGAACTCTCCTGAGTGGGGGAGGCCGCGTAGACCTCTCCTGAGTGGGGGAGGCCGCGTAGACCTCTCCTGAGTGGGGAGGCCGCGTAGACCTCTCCTGAGTGGGGAGGCCGCGTAGACCTCTCCTGAGTGGGGAGGCCGTGTAGACCTCTCCTGAGTGAGGGAGGCCGCGTAGATCTCTCCTGAGTGAGGAGGCCGTGTAGATCTCTCCTGAGTGAGGGAGGCCGTGTGGACCTCTCCTGGGGTAAGGAAGGCCGCGTGGACCTCTCCTGGGGTAAGGAAGGCCGCGTGGACCTCTCCTGAGTGAGGGAGGCCGCGTGGACCTCTCCTGAGTGAGGGAGGCCGCGTGGACCTCTCCTGAGTGAGGGAGGCCGCGTGGACCTCTCCTGAGTGAGGGAGGCCGCGTGGACCTCTCCTGAGTGGGGAGGCCGCGTGGACCTCTCCTGAGTGAGGGAAGCCGTGTGGACCTCTCCTGGGGTAAGGAAGGCCGTGTAGACCTCTCCTGAGTGAGGGAGGCTGCGTAGATCTCTCCTGAGTGGGGAGGCGGTGTGGACCTCTCCTGGGGTAAGGAAGGCCGTGTAGACCTCTCCTGAGTGAGGGAGGCCGTGTAGACCTCTCCTGGGGTGAGGAGACCATGTAGATTGCTCCTGAGTGGGGAGGCTGCATAGACCTCTCCTGGGTGGAGGCCCAGCTCTTCTCGGAAACCTGGTACAGAGTGAGGGGCTGGATGCAGCTGAGAAAATGCAGTGTCGGTCACACCTGGATCAGGGAGGGGGACCTGGGGGCTGCCTGCTCTCCTGTGTGGAGGGTGGGAGGGCCTGGCATTGGGTTGGGGTGGGGAGAGGGCTGGAGACCGCGACACACGCCCCTGGGGAGGTGCCCCCACCGCCAGGCCTCCTGCCCAGCACGCTCCGGGCCCTGCGCCCTGCCCTGCACTCACACCTTCTCTCCCGCTCCCCGCAGGCCACGGACTCTGACTACGAGGACGCGCTGCCCAAGCACTCCTTCGTGAACCACTACATGAGCGACCCCACCTACTACAACTCATGGAAGCGCAGGGCCCAGGGCCGCGCACCTGCGCCGCACAGGTACGAGGCGGTGGCGGGCTCCGAGGCGGGCGCGCAGCTGCACCCGGTCATCACCACGCAGAGCGCGGGCGGCGTCTACACCCCCGCTGGCCCCGGCGCGCGAACTCCGCTCACCGGCTTCTCCTCCTTCGTGTGAGCAAAGCGCCGCGCCTCCCTCAGGGCGGAACGGAGGCAACTTTCCGGAGTCTATTTTTGTTAAGACAATCAACTCCAATAACTGAGCTGAAGTTTTTGTTTAAAAAGAAAAAAATCTGATAAGTGATGATTTTACCTACTTGTGGACACTAGATTTCAATTAGGAAGGTTTTTTTAAACGGCTTTTTGTAACTTCGCTGCAGGAAGCAGGTTTGTTTCTTTTTCTTTTCTTTTTAAGAGAAGGTGTATTTCACTGGTGCAATGGCTTGGCACCTCCGGGGCCTGGGAGGACCTCAGACCTCCCCAGCCCTGGGTTTCTCCGTCTTCAAGACCAACTAGGAAGGGTCAAGCGGGGAGAGGGAGTGGAGGGTCAGGTGAGATCTCAGAGCTGCCCCGGCCGGCCCCCGTCTCTTTCTACCTCCTCTTCCAGAGAACCAGCGGCTCACACCCTTCTCAACGCAGGACATCCTCGGCGGCTCCTGGGGTTTGAAGAGCAAACGTTTTTCCCTGGGCTCAGTGCGTTTTGTCCCAACTTCATCTGTTTCTGAAATGTTCTCACTTGGCAGTGTCTAGTCAAGGAGTCGGCTTTCAGGTTCCTGACGGCCAGGCAGGGATGCTAAGGTGTGGCTCAGCCGTCACTGTCTGTGTCACTGCAGTGGTGCGGTCCTCAGGCTTTTCTGCCTGTCTTTCCCCCTTCCTTCTCACCTGACAGCGAGGGAGAGGGAAGCCTCTTAGGGCTGGAAGCCACCACGCTGGCCCTCTCCTTCCCCGAACACAGCACACGGTCAACTCCGCGGGACACGAGGACACGGGACGGCGTCTCCAGAATTGCTTGTTACGTAGGAAGCGTGCATTGTTAACCAGAGTATTTTTAAAATCTTTTTATCTTTTTTTAAACTATGTCACATGAAATGAATGCGTCTTTGCTGTCTCCAGGTGCCTTTTTATTAATTGTTCAGCTTTGTACATGGGAAAGATGAAAAGCAACAGTGTCTGCAAATAAAGCAAAACAGCTCTGAGAACACACGCTCCCGACTCGCCTCGTGCACACCAGGCCGTCCCCTCCCTCTGTCCTGGCTTCTGCTGGCTGCTCGCAGCAGCCACCGCTTCTCCACCACTGGCGCTGCTGCTGCCCCCTCTCCCAGTCCGAGGCCAGCTTTTAGCCTTAACAGGTTTTTTGGAAATGTTTCTTTTTTTTATTTAAAATTGTCATTGTTTGGTTTAAATTTTTCAGCTAGATGAAAAGAGTATGAACTACTTTGGAAAACTTAACAGCTCAGAGATGGCCATGCCTCCAGCCCCTCACGTCATCTTTGCAACAGACGACTGGGCTGCCATGGTCCACCCCTCAGCCCGGGTCCCGGGTCTGGATGGAACGGGAGCACTGCTGGTGCCCACTGGCGTGTGTGCCCCGGGTCCCTGTAAGTGCCCCCTCACCAGCAGCAGCGTGACACACACAAGACTCAAGACCACCCTGTCAGTGCCCCCCAGTGCACGGCAAACGGGCAGGTGCCGTTCCCCCAGTGACCTGAGGGTAGGGGACAACTGAGCAGTATCTGACCAGTGCCACCCAGGAGCCAGTCTCCTGGCCACATGCAGAAAGTGTGGCCCCTGCTTACCTAGATGTTTTGTGCACCTCCATGGGCAGAGGGTGTGGATATTGCCTGGATTCTGTGCTGTCAGCGTTGCTGAGTATGGCCCCAGGAGACCAAGGAGAGTTTTGTATAGGCTGGAAAACCCCTTTTCAGTCTTTCCAAAATTAGAGGGTATGGCAAGTTTCCTTTTTTCTCTCCTCCCTTCCTTCCCCTCCTTCCTTTCCTTTACCCCTCCTTTCCTTCCTTCCTCCCTTCCTCTCTTCTTTCCTCCCTCCCTCCCTCCTTCCCTCCCTTCCTTCCTCTCTTTCCTCCTTCCTTCCCTCCCTTCTTTCCCTCCCTCCCTTCCTCTCTCCCCTATTCCTTCTTCCTTTTCTCCTCCTTTTTCTGAGTGGAGGGGGAAATATTCTAAACCAAAAATCCTAGATGCTCTGCCCAAAGCCACTTCTGCATGAGAATCGCAACCCACAGTTCCCCGGATGAGACTCACCACAGTGGACAGTGCCACCTCCTTCCCCTCGGCCCCGGAGAGGGCGAAGTGGGCGGGAAGCCAGGATGTGAGCACTGGAATTTCTTGGAAGAGAAGCGATAAATGGAGACCATGGCCAGCGCTGCTTTCTGTGCACTCTGATGACTGCTCTCTGCAGCCATGAGGATGTGGCTTTACATGCCAGGGAGAGTGTTGAGACGTCTTAGGTTGAGGATGAGCAGATTCGAGATATGTTTGTTGCTCTCGGGTTTTCGATACAACATCATGACACTTCTGTTTCAAGCTCATGTTTTCCGTCTCCCCTCCACTCTTAGTAAACCTTGATCTGTACGGAGCGGCCTGTCCGAGGCTACGCCGGCCTCCTGGCTGCTGCTGGACTGTGCTTAGGACAGCGCCCATGCCTCGGAGGGACTCTGTCCCATGAGAACCACCTGTGCAAAGGAACAGAGCTGGATGTTTCCAGGTAGATTTTGGCCTCCCAGAGCAATGCGGCATTTGAGAAGCAACAGTTCCTAACTCCTTATCTTCAGGGAAGGAAAAGAAAATCACAGCCTAGGAAGATGGAGGTTGGATTTTAATCTCGGTTTTAAAAAGAGGACAAACAAAATGTCTCTAAGCCAGGCTAGATGGAATGTGCTCCCGCTCTCTCCTGCCGTGCTGAAAGTCATGCCTTGCGGATGCCTCATGACAGCAGTGGCTGAGTCTCCCCACCCACCCCCAACGTGGCTCATTTCAGATTGCTTCGGCCCCACCCTGCAAGGATGTGGTCACGGAGTGGCCAGGAGGCTCCGTCTGAGCCACAGGGATGGGTGTGCAGAGCTCCCTCCTCCTGGGGTGCCAGGGCAGAGATTCCAGGCAGGTGAGCCCAGAGAGAGCTGCCAGGCCACACCCCCTCGGCCTCCTGCACGGCCACCTTCTGGGTGAATCGGTCCAGCCCAAGCCCCTCTCCCCAGCCTCGCCTTCAGCCTCTCTCCCAGCCTGCTTTTATAAGGCGCACTTCACTCAATGCTGTAGCCAAAAAACGAGGGGCCCCAGGGAGAGGGGACCCAGATGGCCACACACGGAACGCGCCTCCACAGCCCCGGGAGGTGGCTCACTCTGTACAGGTCTTCGGAGGCCGTGTTTGTATCTAACTGTGACTGGGCTGAAGCATGATGTTTGCCTAATGGTTCGTAGCATGGTTTTTATTTCTTACGCATTCTTGGCACACAGTGTAGCTATCCTCCTGACGAGCAACCCGTCTGCGTACCTAAGTGTGGCTCCCCGTGGGTCAGCGTCCTGGTAGCATGGATCCAGTCTGAAAGGTGAGGACAACGTGGAAACTCATGAGCTGAGCCTGCCCGCTGGGACACGTCTCCTTCCCGCGTCACCTTCTGGTTTAGGGAGCCGTCAGGTCCCTAAACGTTCCCTACAACTTTTTCTGAAATTGTGCAGAAAAACAGATCTCATTAAAAGAAAAAAAGAAACAACTTGTAGGAAGACAGAGAGGTGCTATGGGTACAATTTTTAATAAAAACATTATTTTGTTCCTTAAACGCTTGTGATTTTCTTCAAGCATTGATGCAATTATTCGGGAGACCTTAGGAACCTTCTGGATTTGAAAAGCTGTAAATATGAACCACTGGGACTTCACCCCAGTGCCGTGCTGGACCCCCGGCACCCCCAACACCCTTACCTTTATCCTGTTGACATGCAGGTGTGTACAGGCAGCATCCCCCAAAATTGGAGTTGAGGTCAGGGGTAAAGCCACTCCACACCCTGGCCGGGTGACCTGGGGCAGGCAGCATGGAGCCTCAGCCAGTGAGACCCCCCTGCATGGACCAGCAGCCATTCCCAGGGCCAGCCCAACTCCACCCACCACCTGGCTGGACCACCAGAGACTTCACACGTGTCCGGAGGAAAAGAACAGCTCATAGCCAAACTTAGCCTTGGGTGGGCGGAAGTGGAGCTGTGAGCAAGACGGCCTTTGCCTCCTAAGGGGTCTGTCCACACCACAGCTTGTCACGCCCCAGGCGTGCTCTGGGTCGAGGGAATGAGACGAGACCATTCCCTTCCCTTTCGGAAGTGGAATTTTGCTTGTTTCTTTCTTTTTAAGAGACGGGGTCTCACCCTGTTGCTTAGGATGGAGTGTAGTGGTGTGATCATAGCTCACTGCAACTTTAACCTCCTGGGCTCAAGTGATCCTCCCACCTCGGCCTCCCTAAGTGCTGGGACTGCAGGGTGCCTGAAGTGGAATTTTCAAAGGCATCTGCCAGTCACTGCAGGTACCCTGGGCTTCTATGAAACACGGGGCCACTGAGGCAGCCACATGCCGGGGCCAGCAGGAGGAAGCATGGCTGCCCCCTTATCACCCATCTTGCAGGGCTTTGGGCCTCAGTGGCCCCAGGATCGTTAAAAATCTCAGTGTCCAGGCCACACCCAGGCCAATTAAATCGGAGTCTCTGGGGATCGGGTGCAGACATTTGTTTTGAAAGCTCCCCAGGTGATTCCAACGCAGCAAGGAAGCTACTCTGGTGGGAGGAGGGGCCGGGGTGGGGCCGGTGTTCTGACCTTGAATGAAGGGACAGGGTTCTGACTTTGCCAACGTTACCTTTTGCTCCGGAAGCAGTCGCTGCCACTGATAAGCCCCAGGTAAGAACCCTTTCATTTTCTCTGTTTTCCCACCATGTTCAGCCCACATCCCACCACCCTCTATAATACGACATGTAAGTCTGCAGATTTCCCACCATCTCCAATATTTCAGAAGTTGCAGCTGCGGTGGAAAAGGCCCTTGACATTTACTGAACGCACGCCATGTGCCTGACGGTGCTCTGGGTTCTCGTTAATCCACAGAACTCCCACCAGGACCCTGTGAGGTAGGTACAGTCAGGGGGGTCCCATTGTGTAGATGAGGAAATGCGCCCAGAGAGGTGGAGCCATTTGCCCAGGGGTAGCCAGCTGACCAAGGCAGATCAGCTCCAAACCTGGGCAGCTGGGGGCTCCGGAGCCTGGTGTCTAGGCCTGACCACTGCACTGCACTGCCTCCCACGAGGCTGTCTGCAGTCACCGTCAGATCCGTGGGCTGTTATCCTGTGAGGAGGCATGTACCTCTCCCTATAGCTCGGAGCCTGGCGTCATTACTGCAACGTCACGGGCTGAATGCACAGGCGGCTTAGAAGATTTTATTTTCCCCACACCATCCTCTCCTGTTAGAAAGAGGAAAGGCATGAATTAAGTTGGGATAGGTGATGCAAAGCCCTGCCGTTACTACTATTGTTGAAAAGTTCACGGGAGAAAGTTGTAAACGCAACTAGTTAGCCCGGAGAAAAGAACTGCCCTGTCTTGTTGGATGACGATTACATAAGAATAACTCCACAAGAAGGAAAAGCAGCCCAGGTGAGATGCCAGCCACATCGGAAGGGAGAGGAGTTGAGTGCAGGAGCCCTGATATGGCCTCTGGGACTCCGGCATCAGCATTTGGTTCCCCATGGGTGAGAAAACAGGGAGGGAGGAGGACGGGGAGGGAGCCTCCAGCTTGATCACTCCTGGGAGGAGCCTGTGGATTTCTGGGCTTGGGGGTCCCACAGAGCCCAGTGCCCATCTTCCTCCAGCCTCTGTGCCATCTAAAGTGGGCACTCCATAGGTGCAGAACCAGGAGGGACCCGCATCTTCCTGAGTTCAGGTCTCCTCTGAAAGGAACTGAATCTGGGTCCTCCTCTCCCTCACAGAGAGCCCCATCCACAGGAGGTGAAGCCCCAGGCCCCGCTAGGACTCTTGAACCAATGGGCACCACCCTTACCAAAGCATCTCTGAGCTGAGCTGGGTTCTCAAGGGCCAAACTCAAGGGCGGAGCAGGTTTGCCTGTGCTGTGGCTGCCACAGCCCATTTCTCCTGCCCGACAGCAGCCTCACTGCCTCTGGGAAATCGCCTCTTCCCCCAACAGATCCTGCATAGGACAACCATTCTTTGGGGCCATCCTTCCAGGCCAAGAGGCAACGTGTGTCCCGAGCCAGGTGGAATGGGGCAGGGCAGGCGCTGCTCCCTCCTGGGAATGTGAACAATTTGAATTCCCCAGCAGGGAATGAACAATCTGGAGGCTCTTCTGAGATTCTTCTCTCAGAGCCCCTGGCTTCCAGAGCCCCCTTTTCTTCCTGCGAGTTTCCAAGCTGGGCTCCTGTCCACGTGTCCAGCTCTTGACATCCCCTAAGTTCCTTTTGCTGAACTTAGCCTGAGTCGGTTAATTCACCTTCTTGTAACCGAAGAACCTGCTCACGAACCTGGGGGAGCCCCCACAGGCTCGAGCTCTGGCAGCAAAGCTCCTGGGAAGGCCCTCCAGCTCTCAGAGTGGCAGCCGCGTCCCTGCTGTGTGGGCTCAGGCGGGAAATGCTACCTACATCACGGTGCACACGCTCTGCAGCCACAACACACACATGTCCCCAGTGCGAGTGAAAAGATTCACCCACCTGGGCTGAGGCCTCACTTACAGGGTGCCGGGGACACAGGCTGGAGCAACAGCCTGGCATGCTTTCCACAAAACAAGGTACTTCCAGCGGAAAAAAAAAAAAAAGTGCTCTGTGAGAGTCATGAACTAATTTACCCTTAGATGAAGTGACCTTCTCTGCAGGTCACCATCCCCACGCCCACCAGCAAGGTGTAGGGTTGACTCAGATTGAAGAGTGCAGAGCCGTTGCACCCCTGCAGTGCGGGCCCCTGGCTCCACCCCGACCTCAGGCTCTGACCCTAAGGAGAGGCAGGGGTGACCTCTGGTGTCCTTCACAGATGCAGGATCCTTACTTCCCCGCACTTAGACCCTGTGGAAAGGAGAAGCCAGATTTCACAAGATGTGGGGGCCTAACCACGGGAAGCACCAGCATGCACTGAGCGGGCCGCAGGTGCCCTGGCGGCCTCAGCACCCCCATGGCCTCCACCATGGGCTCGAGGGTGACTGCAGGGTAGGACTCTCCTGTGTACCACGGTTCATATCACGGCCAGGCAAGACCCACAGTGCTAAGAAAATGGCAAACCAGGCCGGGCGCGGTGGCTCATGCTTGTAATCCCAGCACTTTGGGAGACCGAGGCGGGCGGGTCACCTGAGGTCAGGAGTTCGAGACCAGCCTGACTAACATGGAAAAACCCCATCTCTACTAAAAATACAAAAAATTAGCTGGGCGTGGTGGCACGTGCCTGTAATCCCAGCCACTCAGGAGGCTAAGGCAGGAGAATCGCTTGAACCCAGGAGGTGCAGGTTGCAGTGAGCAGAGATCACACCACTGCGCTCCAGCCTGGACAACAACAGCGAAACTCCATCTCAAAAAAAAAAAAAAAAAGAAAATGGCAAACCAAGCCATGGTTCTGAGGTTGGTGACAAGGTCTTTCCATATTTCCCAAGAAAATCAAAATTCCGCGTGGTTATGCCAGTGTCTGTGAAATTCACAGTTATATTTTAGAAGTTTGGTCTTTGTCAGTAAGTGGAACCATGTGCAGATACTGTATTCGGGAACCACAGAAGCCTTTGCAAACCTTCCGGTTAAGCAGCCTATTTTTCTGAAATGCTTGGCTCACCGGATGCTTATTTTAAAAGGATTTGAACGTGTCCATGGATTTGCACAAGTACCTCAGGATTTGCCAAAAATTCTTTCCCTTTAATGGCTTATGTCAATTAACAGCCAGCATGGGTGAAAATTCCAAGCTGTGAATTCAGGACTCTGTGGTCTTAAAATGTCCTGCTTCTCCTCAGATAAGACAATACTCTGCAGTCATTAAGCAAACCACTCTATTATGGGGCTGAATTTCAAATAAATTTCAAAGAAAATTTCAAATATTTTAATTACAATAAAAAGTCGTATTTCTGAGGCATCCCGAAAATGCGTCCGTTTCTGTGGGATTCTCCAGCCGCCACCAATATGTTTGGCCTGCAGAGCTGGTGGGTCCAGAGAGCCCCATGGGGTCCCTGAAGGGAGGTCGAGAGGAAAATCCCATTCCCCTGGTGGAGTCCCAGGTTTACAGGGATGGGTCCCTTGCCTCTCTCTGTCTTAGGGAACATTTTGCAAGGATGTTGAGTGCCAGAG
Organism: Homo sapiens; assembly: GCF_000001405.40. Taxonomy (NCBI): domain Eukaryota; kingdom Metazoa; phylum Chordata; class Mammalia; order Primates; family Hominidae; genus Homo; species Homo sapiens. The sequence goes on from NC_000007.14 coordinate 4,273,513, forward strand.
AATTGGAGAATCTGGGAGTCGCTTGCCGCAGAGGCGAGGTATGGCAGAAACTAGGTGGAGATCCAACAAGCCCCTGGGTAGGGGCATCTCTCATGGAGATGGGCCGCTCAGCCTCACAGTGAGCCCCCTGCAGAGCCCTCAGCACACGTGTGGCCTGGCCTGGGCTCTCTCACTCCACCCTCCCCCACCCATTGCTCATACTTTCTCCACCACTGATGTCTTTCTGTCCTCTGCACTTCAGCCCATGCTCAGTCTCTTCCCCAGGAACCACCCCTCCCCACCCCCAGCGGTTCCAGCCAGCCTGGTCCCCCCATCTCTGGCAACCCACTGTCTCAGGAAGGCCACACCCTGGGACCTTGTTCATTATTTTTACATCCTCCGCATGACTAGGACATGAGTCCCATGAGGTTAGAGTTTGTCCTTTCTTCTTTGTTTGCACACGCGTGCAATACCAACTCTAGCATGCAATCCCCACATGCTGAGTGCTTCGGGGAGACAGGAGCACATCAGATGCTACCTGCCTTGCAGCCTGCCTGTAACCAAACGCTGGGCCCATGGTAGGGGCACAGCAATCTCCAAGCTATACCATTAAGTGCAAAATAAGCATGGTTCCATTTGTGTGTGTGTATGTATATGTGTATGTGGGTTGTATATGTGTATACACCATGCATGTGGGGTGGACACACGTGCACACCCCCCAAACCCCTGTCAAGAAAGGGCATAATACCGTGTTGCAGAGAAAGCCTCTAGTGCCTTCAGGATTTGCCTCAGGTGCAGAGAGTTGCCTCCCACAAGGACTCATTCTTCCAGGAACAGCTACATCTCTGGCCGATGGAAGTGGGCGTATCAAGGAAGGTTTGGCCATTTCAGCTGGACAAGGAATAACTCTGGTGGGACACGTTTACCCTGAAGCTCCCAGGGAGTTGGGCCAAGGCTCTGCCAGGCACACAGCATGGCTAAACTCCACCCAATCCTGCCCTTCCTCCCTCCACAAGTGTGGACCCTGATGCAAACCCTGCCTTCCCCATTCACTCTGAGGGCCACTTTTGGAGACCTGCTCTGTAACACATGGAAAGAGCTGCCTGGGAAACCAGGCCAGACAACCTCAGGGAACTCCTCTCCCCTGGACTTGCCTGCCCTGCCAGTGAAGCCAGCACTTCTGGATTTTGGGGATCTGCTGAAATGTCTACCACATGTGCAAAGTCATATGAGAAAGGAAATGTCTTCATAGTACACTACATGGCTCAGTTGTGGGTGGTATTTAAGTAGCTATTATATATTGAACTTTGTGTATTGACTTGTTAACAAACTGTGATATAATTATGTTGAGAAGTGAGGGAGGGTAATGTTTGTGATGATGTTTGTGAGCAGGGTGAGGGCTAAGACTTATGATTCCTGAGTGAGGAGTCATAAAATGTAAAAAAAAAAAAAAAATGATCAAAGTCACAGCATAAGCACAGCACAGTACTTAGAAAGATGAGGGCCAGGCATGGTGGCTCACACCTGTAAGCCCAGCACTTTGGGAGGCCAAAGTGGGAGGATCACGAGGTCAGGAGTTTGAGACCAGCCTGGCCGATATGGCAAAACCCCATCTCTACTAAAAATACAAAACTTAGCCAGGCATGGTGGCACGTGCCTGTAATCCCAGCCACTCCGGAGGCTGAGGCAGGAGAATTGCTTAAACCCAGGGGGCGGAGGTTGCAGTGAGCCGAGATTGTGCCACTGCACTCCAGGCTGGGTGACAGAGCAAGACTGCATCTTGGAAAAAACAAAAGAAGAAGAAAAAGAAAGATGAGGGTAGATAGGATAAATACAAGATTCAACAGTTAAAGGAATTGCAAATGACAGCCTGGGATGGAGAGTCAGGGCTGCAAGGCTGTGGCAGAGTAAGCAGACCTGGAGCAGAGACCACACAAGGGACCGTCAGCTTTTATGATATGTTTTATTATACTATTTGACTTTTACATATGTTACTTTCATTTAAAAAAGAATTAAAAGGGAAAAAATTAGACATTGTGTTGTTTTTCATTATGTAAGACTTTAAACAACCGAAATGTCCATCGGAAGGGGATTTGGAAAATGAATTATGCCAATCCACACATGGGAACCCATGCAGCTGTTTAAAAGAATGAGATGGGGCCGGGCTCGGTGGCTTACGCCTGTAATCCCAGCACTTTGGGAGGCTGAGGCGTGTGGATCACAAAGTCAGGAGATCGAGACCATGGTGAAACCCCATATCTACTAAAAATACAAACAAAATTAGCCGGGCGCAGTGGCGGGCGTCTGTAGTCCCAGCTGCTTGGGAGGCTGAGGCTGGAGAATGGCATGAACCTGGGAGGCTGAGGCCGGAGAATGGCATGAACCCTGGAGGCAGAGCTTGCAGTGAGCCGAGATCGCGCCACTGCACTCCAGCCTGGGCAACAGAGTGAGACTCCATCTCAAAAAAAAAAAAAGAATGAGATGGGATCACATGCATGAAGATAGCCATCTCCATATGTGCGTGTAAACACACACACGCTAGAAGGTGTAGAAACTATCTCTGGAAAGATGAACAAGAAATTGGTAACAGTGGTTGCCTCTAGAAAGAACAAAAGGAGGCCAGGCGCGGTGGCTCACGCCTGTAATCCCAGCACTTTGGGAGGCCAAGGCAGGCGGATCACGAGGTCAGGAGTTCGAGACCAGCCTGGCCAATATGGTGAAACCCCATCTCTACTAAAAATACAAAAATTAATCTGGTGTGGTGGTGCGTGTCTGTAGTCCCAGCTACTCGGGAGGCTGAGGCAAAAGAATCACTTGAATCTGGGAGGCCAAGGTCGCAGTGAGCCGAGATCACGCCATTGCACTCCAGCCTGGGCGACAGAGCAAGACTCTGTCTCAAAACAAAAACAAAAACAAAAACGAACGAAAGGAAAGGAACCAGAGTGGAGAGAGACTAACCTTCACACTGCATTTCTCACCATGGACATGTGTTATCTTTCCCAATAAAAAAGAGAAAACCTAAAATGTGAAGGCATCCATGCTGGGTGATCCACCCTCGCCAGCCCTCAGTGTCTGTCCTCTCTTGGCCTCCTAGGCAAATGGGCACAGTCCTCAAATGGAGACAATGAGCCACCTCCTAGCTGTGTGGTCTAGGGAAAATCACAACCCTCTCCCTTCCTTTCCTCTCTTTCTCTTTCCCTTTTTCCTTTCCCTTTCATTTTCCCTTTCCTCTCCTCTCCTTTTCCTTTCCTTTCTTTTCTTTCCTTTTTTATGGAGTTTCGCTCTTGTTGCCCAGGCTGGAGTGTAGTGGTGCTATCTTGGCTCACCACAACCTCCGCCTCCTGGGTTCAAGTGATTCTCCTGCCTCAGCCTCCCGAGTAGCTGGGATTACAGGCATGCGCCACCATGCCTGGCTAGTTTTGTATTTTTAGTAGAGACGGGGTTTCTCCATGTTGGTCAGGCTGGTCTCAAACTCCCGACCTCAGGCGATCTGCCCGCCTCAGCCTCCCAAAGTGCTGGGATTACAGGCATGTGTCACCACACCCAGCCATTCTTTTCCATAATATAACACCAGGTTATTTTGAGGATTACATGGGAAGTTAGTGGGAAAGCAGTGTGAAGACTCCAAAGATATATTATATATATTAGTGTTTGTTAGTTTATTCCCCTTGTCAGCATTGCTTCCACCACCACCATCTCAGGGCACTTCAGGTAAGAAACAGGGTCCACCAGTCGATGTGTGAGCCATCCCACCCTGGCCGCCCAGGTGTCCACAGGAAAACCAGGGACAGAAGACCAGGACACCTGTCCTCACAAGTAGGTCAGAGATGACTCAACCCAACCACTCCAAGGTTTCACCATCAACCCATTCATACAGGTAGAGTTTTAAGTAAATTTAAAAAAATAGCCGCTTTTTTTTTTTTTTTTTTTTTTTTTTTTTTTTTGAGACGGAGTCTCATTCTGTCACCAGGCTGGATTGCAGTGGGGCGATCGCAGCTCACTGCAGCCTCTGCCTCCCAGGTTCAAGTGATTCTCCTGCCTCAGCCTCCCGAGTAGCTGGTTCTACAGGTATGCACCACCGCACCTGGCTAATTTTTTGTGTTTTTAGTAAAGACGGGGTTTCACTGCATTAGCCAGGATGGTCTCGATCTCCTGACTTTCATGATCCACCTGTCTCGGCCTCCCAAAGTGCTGGGATTACAGGCATGAGCCACCATTCTCGGCCTAAAATAGCCCTTCTTAAAATTCATAACCCTGGTTTTAACCGGCCCAAACTGAAGCTGGACTGTAGTCAGCATTTCATTCGGGGGCAACTTAGGATCTTTTGGGTAAGAAATTGTACCTTGGGTCTGTCCATTCAGAATTATTCTTCCATTCAGAATTATCTGTACTGAAAAGTGTCATACATTTTAGAAATATATTTTGAAGTTTCAGAAATATTAACTTACTTAACCCTTGACTTAAAAGCTTAGCCAGCTAAGGCTCACTCTGCCACACCCACACGCTACATCCCAGCCTCTGTGTCTTCCCTTCTAGAGTAGCCTCTAATTCTGATTGTCTTTTATCATACCCAGGACAATCACCACTAAATCTGGCATCTGGATGTTCTGTTGCCTTCCGAATGAATCAGCATCCAGCTCAGACTTAAAGTGGAAACCCACTGGAATCTCAATTAGACCACCAAGAATCCTGGTCGCTCTTAGCAGAGATTATTGGAAAACAAGAAGATTAATGGCACAAGGAAGCACAGGTTAGCCAAGGTGGAGGTCAATGTGGTCGGAACCCCCAGTGCCCCTGTCTGCTCTCATGGAGGTTGTTTCACCAAATCTACCACCAGCCAATTTGTCTGCCCTCTGTTGACAAGCTGCTCCCATCTAGCTAACGGGAAGAGAAATTCATCACCATGGCTGGGCTGAGGGAAGAGCCAGTAGATCCAGGTTGAGCCGGAGGCAGCTAAACCAAGGACATTACAGGAAGTCAGGGATCAAGAGGGTTGTGTGACTGTGACTGTGTCCCCTAGAGGCAGGCCATGAACGGCTGTCTTCCCAGTGTGTGCAGGAAGTGCAAATTCTGCATCAGACGCTGTCAAAACCCTGCTCCTTCTCTCGCTTGCACCAGTTGGTGATATGTTGTGTGCAGTACTCACATTGATGACCTATTTACATTTTTCTAAATCAAAATGCACCTGTTGGTTTCTGTTTCCTGGAGTCTTACACTCTCAGTTTCCATGAGCATCTTCCAACCTGGCCAGCCCATTCCCCTGGGAGGTTTCCTTCGGCTGTGCAAGTTTCTTTGCTTTTAGCCAGAATAATATCCTGCAGGTGTCACCCAGGTAGGCCCCGTAACAACTGCCCAACGAGGCCTCTGTAGATCGTTGGTCGAGATCAGAGGTTCAGAAACTGCAGCCAGAGGCCAAATGTAACCCACTGCCTGTTATTTATTTATATTTTTGAGGTGGAGTCTCAGTCTGTCACCCAGGCTGGAGTGCAGTGGTACAATCTCAGCTCACTGCAACCTCCTCCTCCCAGGTTCAAGTGATTCTCCTGCTTCAGCCTCCCAAGTAGCTGAGGTTACAGATGCCTGCCACCACACCTGGCTAATTTTTGTATTTTTTTGTAATTTTAATAATTTTGTAATTTTAGTAGAGATGGGGTTTCACAATGTTGGCCAGGCTGGTCTGGAAATCCTGACCTCAGGTGGTCGACCCACCTGGGCCTCCCAAAGTGCTGGGATTACAGGCGTGAGCCACCACACCAAGCCCTGTTATTATTTTTTTTCTAACAGTTTTATTTACCAAGATGTAATTTACATGCCACACCATACAGTCACCCATTAAAAGTGTACAAGTCAGGAGTTCTGAGCACATTTACAGAGTTGTGTAATCATTACCCTGTTCCAATTTTAGAGTGTTATCATCCCCAAAGCAGACCTTGTACCCATTACTAGTCACTCACCATTTCCTCCCCACATCTGCAAACCCTGACCCAGGCCTACGCAATCACAAATCTACTGTCTGTCTCTCCAGTTTGCCTTTTTTGAACATCTTACATAAATTAAATCATATAATATGAAGCTTTTGTGACTAAAACAATGAAAATTCACCGAATGTAAGACAGAGGTTGACAGAAGGGTAAAATGACCCATCTCTATGCCTTCTACAGTAATATTGGTTCAAATATGATGATATAGGTAAGCCGAAAGAAAAGAATACAAAAACATTAATCAATAGAAAGGAGAAGTAGATGCGTATAAATCAGATAAAGTAAACTGCAAAGCAAAGAAAAATTACAGAGACAGAAAGGGAAGTTAAAGAATGATAAAAGGGTCAAATCACTATTAAAGCATGGCAATCCTAAATGTGTATATGCCAAAAATAAGAACTGAAATATGTCAAGAAAAAACTGATAGACCTGAAAGAAGAAATAGACAAGTCTACAATTATAGCTGTAGATTTCAACACATATAGTTGTACACTCTCAGCAGTTGATAGAATGACTAGACAAAAAGTAAGTTTATACAAAAGCTTAACACTACCATCAACCAACAGAATGAATACTTTTTTTTTTTTTTTTTTGAGATGGAGTCTCGCTCTGTCACCCAGGCTGGAGTGCAGTGGCGCGATCTCCGCTCACTGCAAGCTCCACCTCCCGGGTTCATGCCATTCTCCTGCCTCAGCCTCCCAAGTAGCTGGGACTACAGGCGCCCGCCACCACGCCAGGCTAATTTTTTTTTATATTTTTAGTAGAGACGGGGTTTCACCATGTTAGCCAGGATGGTCTCAATCTCCTGACCTTGTGATCTGCCCACCTCGGCCTCCCAAAGTGCTGGGATTACAGGCGTGAGCCACCGTGCCCAGCCCAGAGTGAATACATTTATTTACAGAAAACTCCATTCAACAACAGCAGAACACACATTATTTTCAAGTCCCCATGGAACGTTATTGTATTAGTCCATTTTCATACTGCTGTAAAGAACTACCCGAGACTGGGTAATTTATAAAGGAGAGAGGTTTAAGTGGCTCACAGTTTAGCATTGCTGAGGAGGCCTCAGGAAACTTACAGTCACGGCAGAAGGCGAAGGGGGATCAAGGTAGCAGGAAGGAGAAGTGCCGAGGAGCCTGGAGGGAAGAACCCCTTATAAAACCATCAGATCTCATGAAAACTCAATCACTATCAAGAGAACAGCATGGGGGAAACGGTCTCCATAATTCAATTTTCTCCACCGTGTCTCTCCCTTGACAAGTGGGGATTATGGGGGTTACAATTCAAGATGAGATTTGGGTGGGGACACAAAGCCTAACCATATCAATCATTCAAGATAGAACATATCCTGAACTATAAAACATGCCTCAACATGTTTAAAAGAATTGAAAGTGAAATTGCTTTTAGCCAGAATAATATCCTGCAAGAGGCAAGAATATGGAGTCTGACCACAATGGAATCAAACCTCAAATCAATAACAGAAAAATAAAAGGAAATTCTCCAAACATTAAAAATCTGGAAAACAAAATTCTGAATAAACGATGGGTCAAAGAGAAAGTCTTCAGGGAATTAAATATATATATATATATATATATATATATATATATATCTATGTGTGTGTGTACATTACTAGACTAATATATATATATTACTGAACTAAAATGAAAATACAAATCAATTGGTGAGTTGAAGCTAAAATAGTTCTGAGAAGGAAATTTCTAGCACTAAATATATTAGAAAAGAAAGAAAGTTTTAATCATAAAAACTCCCACCTTAAAAAATTAGAAAAGATCGTGCCATCGCACTCCAGCCTGGGTGACAGAGCAAGACAGTCTAAAAAAACTAAAAATAAAAAAAAACAGACTGCAGTGAACCCCCAACCCCTTTTGCCACATGAGGATACAGCAAGAAGGCACCATCTGTGAGCCAAGAAGGGGGTCTCCCGAGACGCAGAATCTGCCAGCTTATTCATATTCTTGCCTCCAGAACGATGAGAAATAAACTTCTGTTGTTTGCCAGCTGCCCAGTCTATGGTATTCTGTGGTAGCAGCCTGAACAGGACTAAGACAGTAGGAGACAGACAGGAGAGCATGTTTAGGTGCAAAAATCTTGACTTTACCCTCACAGACCCTTGGTGATGCCAAAGGAAATCTCTAAAGGGAGAGAAGGAACCCAGAAAGCAAGAGGGAGAATAAGTGGGTGTAAAATGTCCTCTTTCTTTTTAGAAGGGAGGATCTTGCAAGAGATTGGGCTGCTGGGGTGGAGAGGGGAACGCACGACCAGCAGCCAACTGAATATCCCAGAGGGAGCTTTGTGGGTGCCCCTGCAGGTCTCAGTGGTCTTCTCCAGGCCCAGAACATGAACATCTTGTCAAGCCTGTCCACAGAGACATGGGCACTCCTGGTGGCCTGTGTCACACCCTTGCTGCTGAGATAAGCAACAATTGCAGCTCACTCGCCACCAGATACTGACTAACCAACCTCTGCTCCACCAGAGACATCTACAGCTTTGATCGGACAAGAAGCTAATTTCAGTAACTTTCTCCAGGTAAGAGACCATGGTCATGGGCTGGTTCTGGCTGGTTTACAGAGGCTGTGCACTGAGTGGCTTTGTGTCTCTGTGTCACCTTTCGATATATAGGGCTACCTGTAGAGCATTTAAATGTTAAGTCTCAGCCGGGCACGGTGTCTCAGGCCTGGAATCCCAGCACTTTGGAGGCCAAGGCAGGTGGATCACCTGAGGTCAGGAGTTCAAGACCATCCTGGCCAATATGGTGAAACCCCATCTCTACTAAAAATACAAAAATTAGCCGGGTGTGGTGGCGGGCGCCTGTAATCCCAGCTATTTGGGAGGCTGAGGCAGGAGAATCGCTTGAACCCGGCAGGCGGAGGTTGCAGTGAGCCGAGATCGGACCACTGCACTTCAGCCTCGGTGACGAGAGTGAAACTCTGCCTCAAAAAAAAAAATGAAGTCTCCACTTGCATGTTCCATTTCATGTTTGTCTAGTTTGCATGTGTCAGGACCCCCTGCATGAACAGTCGCAGCTCCTCCTGTAACCTATTGAAAATATGCCCCTGGCCAGCCCATTCAGCTTGATTTCTATTCTCCCTTCCCTCTCTCCAAGTGTCTGCTCCCAGGCTGTAGCTGGAGTCTATGCTTCCCCGCCTGCCAGAATGGCCACCCGCAGGCTGTGGCTCTTTATAAGAACTAAAGTCTCCTTTCCAAATTTCTGGATCTTGTGATTTTTTAAGTTAACACTGGCCTGCTGCAGGGTGGTGTGGGGGGCAGGTGGTTCCCACCTCCATCAGGGGATTAATCGGAGATGGGGAGGCAGGGGGCTTCCCCTGGGATACTGAATGAGATGAGGACAAGGGTGGGAAAGAAGCAGCTGCTGGATGAAGAGGAGGAATCTCAGGGCCTGGAGACAACACAAAGCTGGGCTCTGGGCATGGCGGGAGGGACCTGCAGCTGACCCCCATACCGTCCGTGCCGCCCAGGGCCCGGCAGCTGACTTGAATTCCCCACACAGGGCTAGGCCTCAGGCAAAGTCAGGAAGACATTCCCTGCCTGTCCCACCCCTGAGTCACTGGACACACCAGGCCATCGCTCGGGGGTTGCAGAGAAGGATAAGACATGACTCAACCTGGCAGATGCCAAGTTCCAGATGCCAAGTGACGTCTTGGCCACATCACAACTGTAGACCCAGGTGCCTCAGATGCACGTGGACGTCTGAACAGTCCTGGCTGCTTTTCATAGTTCCACAGACATGTAGCTCACGCCTGTAATCCTGGCACTTTGGGAGGCCAAGGCGGGTGGATCACTTGAAGTCAGGAGTTTGAGACCAGCCTGGCCAACATGGCAAAACCCCGTCTCTACTAAAAATACAAAAATTGGCCGGGCGTGGTGGTGCGTGCCTCTAATCCCAGCTACTCGGGAGGCTGAGGCAGGAGAATTGCTTGAACCCGGCAGGCGGAGGTTGCAGTGAGTTGAAATCATGCCACTGCACTCCAGCCTGGGCGACAGAGCAAGACTCAGTCTCAAAATAATAATAATAATAATAATAATAATAATAATAATAATAATAATAATAATAAATAAATACAAATAGTTCACAGATGTTCGCTCCTTCCTGCGGCTGCCACTGCTGCTGTTGTTAAGTGTCCAGGGCAAGTGGAGCTCATGGCAGGCAGGAGGAAGCCAGGGATGCCTTATGATGCGGGAAGGATCAATGGATCGTGAGACAGAGGGGCGGGACATTCTGGGGACAGACAAAAATGGAAAGGGGGGAGATAGAGCTTTCCAATCATTAGAAATAAGGCAGAAATTCCCCAGCCGGAGGCGACTGGACCCAGCTTTCCCTGTCATCAAGGAGTCTCCGAGGAACAACTTTTGTGACCAAGTGAAAGTCAGTGAGTGGCTGAGAATCTTGTCCCGTCTCCCGAGGGTGACTGCAGGACTCCTACCCATGCGTAGGTGCCCTGCCTCCTCCAAGGTGGCAGCAGCTCCCCTAAAAATCCTGACTTGTGTTTAACTAAAATGGCTACAACTCGGCCGGGCACGGTGGCTCACACCTGTAATCCCAGCACTTTGGGAGGCCGAGGAGGGTGGATCATTTAACGTCAGGAGTTTGAGACCAACCTGAACAACATGGTGAAACACCATCTCTACTAAAAATACAAAAATTAGCTGGGTGGGCCAGTCATGGTGGCTCACGCCTGTAATCCCAGCACTTTGGGAGGCCGAGGAGGGTGGATCATTTACGGTCAGGAGATAGAGACCAGCCTGAACAACATGGTGAAACCCCGTCTCTACTAAAAATACAAAAATTAGCTGGGTGGGCCAGTCATGGTGGCTCACGCCTGTAATCCCAGCACTTTGGGAGGCCGAGGAGGGTGGATCATTTGAGGTCAAGAGTTCGAGACAAGCCTGGCCAACATGGTAAAACTCCATCTCTAATAAAAATAGAAAAAGTAGCCAGGCATTATAGCACACGCCTGTGATCCCAGCTACTCGGGAGGCTGAGGCAAGAGAATTGCTTGAACCCGGGAGGTGGAGGTTGCAGTAAGCCGAGATAGCTCCACTGCACTCCAGCCTGGGCGACAGAGCAAGACTCGGTCTCAAAAAAAAAAAAAAAAAAAAAAAATGGCTACAACTTGAGGACAGAGAGCCTTCCGGATCTCTATGATGTAAACCCTGGAGGGGAATCTTAAGCTCTCTGGAACCTTCCCCAGGGTCTGCCAGAAGCTCAGCCACTTCTACGTTCTAGGGACAGGTAAGACAGATGAGGTCATTGTCTTCACTCACAGAGCTGATATTCTGGGGAAATGGACAGACAGAAACCAATAAGTAAGGTCATTTCAAATAACAAGGTCCCTGCCAGACAGAACAGGGTTCAGTAATGGGGAGACCCATGCTGAAGGCTGGTCTCTTCCCTGCAAGGAGCTCAGATCACACACCAAGGAATTGGCCCCCAGGACATGAACACCGGTCAGTCAGAGGCCAGGGGAAGCCTTAGGCTTTACATCTTACTTTTTCCTCCATCGCATCATAGAAGACATGATTGAACCTTAGGACGCTGCAGCCCTCCCTGCCCCATACGCAGCAGCTGCACCATCCTGTGGAAAACCCGTCATAACCAGTTACTGCCGGGATCTCAGGAAGAAGAGCACAGAGATAAAAGGAGACCCTTTGCTTCCACGGCAACTGCATTTGGTCCAGACTCAAAAGTTCAGCCTCGATTTGTACAAAACTGCACAAAAGGAGAAAGCCTTTCCTGGTCTAGAGAGCTTCAAGATCTTCCAAGCAACTCTGCAGAAAAAAGATTCTATCTGAGGCCGGGTGCGGTGGCTCACGCCTGTAATCCCAGCACTTTGGGAGGCCGAGGTGAGTGGATCACGAGGTCAGGAGTTCAAGACCAGCCTGGCCAACATGGTGAAACCCTGTCTCCACAAAAGTGCAAAAATTAGCCAGCCATGATGGCGAGTGCCTGTAGTCCCAGCTACTCGGGAGGCTGACGCAGGAGAATCACTTGAACCCGGGAGGTGGAGGTTGCAGTGAGCTGAGATTGCATCATTGCACTCCAGCCTGGGCAACAGAGCGAGCCTTCGTCTCAAAAAACAGAAAAAGCAGAGATTCTATCTGACACATTGGCGTGGATTCAGGCAAATCCAGAAATTGGATTTGTCCGAATACAGTAAATGGCTGCATTAAATATATTAATTCATTAAATGCATTAAGTTGCTGCAGAGATTTCCACTGTTTCATTATTACACCGTTTATTTATGCAGTCTCCTACAAATGGACAATTAAAAGCTATCGGCTCTTACAGGCAAGGGAAGGTCACCCAGGGGTTCTCATGGTCCACATTCTCAAAAAAATAATATAAATAAATAGTTCCACAGACGTTAGCTCCTTCCTGCTGCTGCCACTGCTGCTGTGCCCTTTACTCAAATTCTCCCAATGGTTACATTTCACATAACTACAGCGCAAGAGAAAAACCAGAAAACTGAGGTGAGCACAATTGGTGTATGGTGTGTCTAGAGCTCTATGCCATTTCCCCACCGGTGCAGATTCAAGTGAAACCTACTGTCATCAAGATACAGAACTGTCCACCCCCAGAAAGGTCACCAAGCTGCCCTTCTATGGTCACAGCCACCTGCCCCATCTGGGACATCCTTACCTGGCAACTGCTCATCTGTTTTCCATCACTATAATTTTGTCATTTTGAGAATCTTATACAGATATGACTTTCAGAGATTGGCTTTTTTTTTTCAACTCCGTCCAACATACTCCATCTAAGTGGCTGCATGTTCCTTTTTATGTGGAAACGGTATTCCACGGTACGGAGGTAGCATTGTTTGTTTTAACCCTTCCCCTGTTTCCAGATTTTGGTTTATGTAAATCAAGCTGCTGTGAACATTTGCATGTAGGCTTCTGTGCCTATGTAAGTTTTCCCTCCAGAGGGAGCAATCCCCAGGAATGTGGGTGCTAGGTCATCCGGTGAAGTGTGTTTCTTTTTGTAAGAAACTGCCAGACTGTTTTTCAGAGCAGCTGTACCCTTTTACATCCCACCAGCAATGTGGGAGGAAACCATTTTCTGCACCTCCTCAACAGCATTTAGTCCTGTCACTAGTGTTTATTTTAGCCAACTTGATAGGTGTGTGGCAACGTCTCATTGTGCTTTTAATCTGCATTTCCCTGCTAGGTAGCGACGCCGAACATCTTTTCGTGGACGTATTTGCCATCAAATATCCTTTTCGGTAAAATGTCTCGTCCTTGGCCCATTTTCTAATTGGATTGTTGGTTTTTTTAGCTGTTCGGTTTCAGAATTCTTTATATATTCTGGGTGAGTACTTTGTTAGAAGCATAATTTGCAAATATTTGCTCATAGTCTGTAGTGTGGCTTTTCTTCCTTCACAGGGTCATTACAGAGCGCATACTTTTAATTTTGATGAAGTTCAATTTATTGATCTTTTTTTGTGTGTAGATCATACTTCGGCATCATGCCTAAGAATGCTTTACTAGGCCCGACGTCCTAAAGATTTTCTATGCTTTTCTTTTCTTTCTTTTGTTCTCTCTCTCTTTCTCTCTCTCTTTTTTTTTTTTTTTTTTTTTTTTTTTTGAGATAGTCTCATTCTGTCGCCCAGGCTGGAGGGCAGTGGGACGATCTCGGCTCACGGCAACCTCCACCTCCCAGGTTCAAGAGATTCTTCTGCCTCAGCCTCCCAAGTAGCTGGGATTACAGGCGCACAGCACCACGCCTGGCTAATTTTGTATTTTTGGTACAGACAGCCTCACCATGTTGGCCAGGCTGGTCTTGAACTCCTGACCTCAGGTGATCCACCCGCCTCGGCCTCCCAAAGTGCTGGGATTACAGGTAGGAGCCACTGCACCTGGCCTGTTTTTTCTAAAAGTTTTAGTTTTATGTTTTATATTAAGTCCATGATCCCTTTGGGGTTAGTTTTTGTGTAAGTATAACATTTACACGGAGGTTTCTATTCTAGCCTGTGGATATTGACTTGCTGGGGCAATAATCACACAGCAATTCAATAACCATTTTGGGTTTTTTGTTTTTAATTGTTAGCAATTTGTTTTCAATTTGTTATTTGTTGAAAAGGCTTTCTCTCCTCCATTGGACTGCTTCCACACTTTTGTCAAAAAAACCGTTGGCCATACACGTGTGGGGCTATTTCTGGGTCTTCTATTCGATTATTTTAATCTAAGTCTCTTACTCTCTGCCAATGGCACGCAGTCTTGATTACTCTAGCTAGGTCAGTCTTGATATCAGATAGATTCTTCCCACTTCACTCTTCTTTTTCAGAATGGTTTTAGCTGTTCTGGTTTCTTTACCTTTCCATGTAAATTTTAGAATAATCTGGTCCATATCTACAAAAAAAAAAAAAAAAGTCCTGGCTGGCGTTTTGATAGGAATTGTGTTAAGTCCAAAATTCTTGGGGGAGAGTTGACATCTTTCCTATGATGAGCCTTATCCATGAACATGGACTATCTCTCCTTTTTTTAAAGTGCTTCTTTTATTTATTTAATAACCATTTTGTAGCTTTCAGCATGCAAGTCAGGTGCATACTTTGTTAGATTTTCACCTAAGTAATTCTTTCTTTCTCTTTTTTTTTTTTAGTGATTATAGATGGTATTGTATTTTTTTTATTTTGTGATTTATTATTATTATTATTATACTTTAAGTTTTAGGGTACATGTGCACAATGTGCAGGTTAGTTACATATGTATACACGTGCCATGCTGGTGTGCTGCACCCACTAACTCGTCATCTAGCATTAGTTATATCTCCCAATGCTATCCCTCCCCGCTCCCCCCACCCCTCAACAGTCCCCAGAGTGTGATGTTCCCCTTCCTGTGTCCGTGTGTTCTCATTGTTCAATTCCCACCTATGAGTGAGAGTGTGTTCATGGGTAGAATAGAGAAAAAATTACTTTTTGTATGTTCCTCTTACGTACTGCACCTTACTGAATTCACTTATGAGTTCTAGGATGTATTTTGTGTAATTCCTTGGGATTTTCTAAGTAGACGATTATGCCATCTGCATATACAGACAGTTTTAATTCTTCATTTCTGATCCATATGTCTTTCATTCCCTTTTCTTTACTTTTCATGCTGGCTAGAACTTTTGATACTATGTCAAATAGCAGTACTGAAGGCAGACATCCTTGCCTTGGCCCTTATCTTGGGGGAAAAGCATTCAGTCTTTTGCCATTAAGTATGATGCTAGCTGTAGGTTTTTGTAGATTTTAAAAATCAAGTTAAAGAAGTTGCCCTCTAGTCCTAGTTTTCTGAGAGTTTTTATATAAATGGCTGTTGCATTTGTCAAATAGTTTTTCTGCATCAATTGATGTGATTATGTAATTTTTCTTCTTTAGCATATTAAGGTGATCGATTACATTTAATGATTTTCAAATGTTTAACCAGCCTGTATCCTTAGGGCAAATTCCACTTAATCATGGTATGTAATGATTTTCAAATGTTTAACCAGCCTGTATCCTTAGGACAAATTCCACTGAATCATGGTATGTAATGCTTTTTATGTATTGTTGAATTCTGTTTGCTAATATTTTGTTCATAATTTTTTTGTCTATATTCATGCATAACATTGTTCTGCACTTTTCTGTACTGTCTGGTTTTGGTATCAGGGTAGTACTGGCTTCATAGAATGAGTTAGGAAGTGTTCTTGCCTCTTCTGTTTTCTGGAGAGATTGTGTAATTAGTATCAATTCCTCTTTAAGTATTTGGTAGAGTTCTCCAGTGAGTCCATCTGGAAATTTCTTTTTCTGTAGATTTTCAATTATGAATTCATTTTTCTCAATAGTTATAGGGATATTCAGAAAATCTGTTTCATACTGGGTGAGTTCTGGTAGTTGGTACTTTTCAAGGAATTCATCCATGTCATCTAACATCAAATTTACGTGTGCAGAGCTGTTTGTAATAGTCCCTTCTTTTAATGTTTACAGAATCTGTGGGGGATCTCCCTGGCCCATTCATTACATTAATAATTTGTATCTTTTTTTTTTTTTGTCAGTTTGACTAGAAGTTTTCAATTTTCTTGAATATTTCGAAGAAATAGCTTTGGTTTCACTGATTCTCACTCTTTTTATATTTTCAGTTTTATTGATTTCTGCTCTTTATTATATCTTTCCTTCTGCTGTTTTGGTTTATTTTGCTATTCTTTTTTTCTAGTTTCTGGAAGCAGGAGTTTCCATCATTGATTTCAGACTTTTCCGCTCTTCTAATATAAACATTTTGCTCTAACCTTCCCTCTCAACACTATTTTAGCTTCATTTCACAAATTATTATATGTTGCATTTTCATTTCCATTTGGTTCAATGTGTTTTTATTTCTGTAATACATCCCGTCTGACAGGTGGAAATGTAGAAGTGTGTCATTTTGTTTCCAGTATCTTTGAAGATATTCTTGTTATCTGTTACTGATTTTTAGTTTGATACCATTCTGGTCAGAGAACACTGTATGGTTTCAATTACTTTAAATTCAGTACTTTCATTTTCAATCTATGTATGTCATTCTACATGAATTGTGTTACTTATAGTTAGATCATGTTTCTTATCCACTCTGCCAACCTTTGTCTTGAAGTGGTATATTTAGACCATTTACATTTAATATAGTTATTGATATGTTAAGACTTAAATTTGCCATTTTATTATTTTGTTTTCTCTTTGTTCTGTTTTTTGTTTTGTTTTCTTTTTTCTTGCATTCTTCTAGGCTGCTTTATCACTTGTTTTTAACTTTTTTTATAGTGTACTTGTCACACAAAAGTTTCAAACTTTACATAATTTGCTCGAAATGTATCTTGCTACCTAGTGCTGCATACTTTCAGTAAACTGGAAGCCTCTAGCACTTGAGCATTTTCATTCCTGCTGCATTTTATGCAATATTAAGACCTCTACAAAGCCCAAGTCACCATCCACTCTTGCCCAACTCCATGCTCCAGGCCCAGGAGGAATCATGGAAATTACATGACATTTTCAAGAGTCCTGTGACCCACCTCCAGAGACGCAGACTGGATTATTACCTGCCAGAGGAAAATAGAGGAAGACTAAGCCTAGGAGGTCTAAAAGAATCCCCTTTTCTTTCAACCTGTTACAAGTAAATTTCTAGTTTTTTATTGATAGAGCTAAAAACTCAGTTGAAGGCAGAGTGCCTCCTTCTTTAGAAGAACACTTGAGATGCAATTCAATGTGAAAGACTGGGCACATTTGGTCTTTGAAATAGAAAAGATGACAAAAATTTTAATATGTCTATATATATGCAAGAAGACTGTTGACTCTTGGGGGCTTATATGGTTTGGCTGTGTCCCCACCCAAATCTCATCTTGAACTGTAGCTCCCATAATCCCCATGTGTTGTGGGAGTTACCCTGTGGGAGGTAATCGAATCACGGGGGCAGGTTTTTCCCATGTTGTTCTCGTGATAGTGAATAAGTCTCATGACATCTGATGGTTTTCTAAAGGGCAGTTCTCCTGGATGTGCCCTCTTGCCTGCCACCATATAAGATGTGCCTTCTTTCTTCCTTCACTTTATGCCATGATTGTGAGGCCTCCCCAGCCATGTGGAACTGTCAGCCCATTAAACCTCTTTTATTTACAAATTACCCAGTCTTGGGTATGTCTTTATTAGCAGCATCATCTGTCCTCTGTGCCCTGGGAAGACAACATTTTATTTTCATCTCCCAACGTTCTTTTAGCCTCAGGAACATGGAGCCACACCCAGTGGCTTGGAGATTGTGTCTGTACTAAACCCATCCATGAAGCTCAGTTGCACTTCTTAGACAAATTTTCAAATGCAGATGCCAGTGAGTGCAAACTCTTCGGGTTGAAAAGGGGCTGAACCACACAAGCCAGGGCAACAGAGTGCTGCATCTCAAGATTTTGTTTCCTTGACTCTGGGTGGGAATTTTAATAGGTAAAAGGCTAGTGATTTCAATCAATGCCTTGTCTCCTCTGTACATGGTCAGCATGTTGGGCTGGCCCAGTGATTTCCAAAGTTTTAACATTCAATATCATCTTCACTATTTTTTCCCATATCCAATCACCCCCCATGTTATTATTCACGGTTTTCTTTAAGTCCATTTCTCTCTCTTTTTATCTTAAATCCATATAGCTTTATCTTATGAAATGGTATCTTAAAAATTCTGAATTACAGGTACCAGTTATAATTTTTTCTGATTTACCATAAGATGGTTGATATTAACCTAATGAATCTCTCCATGTACCACCCAAACCATCTCGTGTGCAACTTTGGGAAACAATGTAGTGGGAGATGGAGAGGTCCTGAGTGTCTGAGCAGTGAGGATACAGCAGTGGAACATCTAATGGGACTTTCTTCTTCTACAGGGGATTCTGGAATTTTGAACTGTAATGTTTTAAGCAGTACAACAAAATAAGAGGGTAAGGCTCTCCTCATTAATCCCCTTCCCTTCACACAGCAAAGTGAGGCAGGTCAGGGCTGTGCTCTCTAAAAGGCCAGGCCAGTGAGCCTGTCTGGGAGTAATGTCAGGGAGGACATGGTATCCTCTGTGATCTTTGCTGTCTTAACACCCCAGGCTCTCAATATCAATCGCACTTACACAGTAGACGTGGATACATTGTAGGATCCTATCCAGTTGAAAATTAATCAGCCAATATTTGGGTTGCAATCGTATTCAGGCCCTGAATCAGGTACAAGGCAAGGACTCCCCCTTCCAGGATCTTCTTGGAGTAGCTGGTATCTGGGTGGAGTCTTGAACAACATAGGAGAGCAAGTAGAAGTTGGCTAAAGAGAGACTATTAGAGCTCAGTGGGGGTAGACTTAGACCGATGCAAATTCAACACTCTAAACTCAAGGATGGTAGCAATCACCATGAAGATGGAACAGAAGCTGCGGCCACCACCCTCCAGCCAAAGCCACCCTCCTCCAGTGTGCATGCTCAGGTCCTGGCGGGAATGTCATTATGGGGGTTAAGTTTTTCTTTGAAATGATTCCATATAAAAGCCACAACTAGCTAGTGTTGTATGTGCTGTGGACACAGCTACCAAGTTTCATTTTCTCCTCTTTTCTTTTCAGGATTCAAACAAAACAAATTTTAATGCTGTGGTCAATGTTGTTTGCTAAAATATTTGAGGACCAGGGTAGACATCAAATCTATGCAAGGCGGTATTGGACACCATCGATCAATATACTGATCACATTTTTATACAGCTTAACCTAAATGTCTCTTGAAATTCCCATTTTAAAAGAATCAGAAATGCCAATATTTCTATACCAACAACCAACTACTACCTCCATCTCTACCCCTCATTCATTTATCAGGCCTTTTTGGTGCTTTTACCCATAGATCAGGCACTATGATAGACACAGAGGGAACAAAGATATTTAAAGAACATGCCCTTGTGTTCATGGTTCATGGTTCTGTGAAGGAGGGAGACAGTTTAACAGATGTTGCAAGTTCAACACAAAACTAAGGTCAGGTACAGTGGCTCACACCTGTAATCCCAACACTTTGGGAGGCCAAACTGGGAGGATCACTTGAGCCCAGGAGTTCAAGACTAGCCTGGGAAACAAGAGACCCTGCTTCTACAAAAAATATAAAATTAGCCAGGCATGGTAGTGCACACCTATAGTCCCAACTACTCAGGAGGCTAAAGCTGGAGGATCACTTGAGCCCAGAAGGTTGAGTCTGCAGTTACCTATGATCTCACCACTGCACTCCAGCCTGGGTAACAGTGAGACCTTGTCTCAAAAAAAAAAAAAAATTCAACACAAAGGCTTGAGAGTTCTATAGGGAACACAAAGTAAATCTAGAAAGCTACCTAGAAAAGATGGTTTCTGAGAAGGCTTGAAGGATGAATAGGAGTTGGCAAATAGAAAAGGAGAAAAGCCATTTCACACCCACCAGAATGGCTACAAATATAAAAGACTGACATTACCAAATGTTGATGAGGCTGTAGAGCAACTGGAACTCTCATACATTGCTGGTGAGAGTGGAAATGGCTTAACCACCTTGAAGAATGGTTTGCCAGTTTCTTATAAAATTAAACATACATTTACCCTATAACTCAGCAATTATTTACCTAGGTACTTATCCAAAAGAAATGAAAACATGTATCCCCAAACCAAAAACTTGTACAAGAATGTTCACAGCAGCCTCAATCATAATCCAAGTGTTCATCAACAGAAAATGGACAAACAAATCTTTGCACATCCATATCATGGACTACTTCTTGGCAATAAGAACAAACTATTGATATGCACACAATCTCACAAGCATTATGTTGTGCAAAGGAGGCTATACACGAAGGAATACTTATAGTATGATGCTATCTGTATGACATCCAAGAAGAGACAAAAGCAAATCTATGGAGACAGAAATGAAAAGGTGGTTTGAGGGGTTAGGAAAAAGGGTAGGGAATTGACTGTCGCTTTCTAGATGGTGAGAATGTCTATGTTTTATTTTGACTATTGGTGACCTCAATTGAAACTGAACTCTTAAAAATGATTTGTCTCAAAACAGAATGGGGCAAAGGGCCCTGTAATATTCTGCGTACAGTAGAGACTAAAGATTTCAACATGGCAAGAGCACATAGGATGCCTGATAAAAAGCTGGGAGGTAGATGGGAATGAGATAGTAAAAGAAATCATATTAGGAAGTGCTCCCCTGCAAACTCATGTTGAAATTTAATTACCAACATAACGGTATTGGGAAGTGGGGTCTTTAACAGGTGATTAGATTAATGCTGTTATCTCAGGAGTGGGTGAGTTATTGGGAGAGTGTTCTAGTTATCTCAGGAGTGGGTTAATTACTGAGGCAATGGGCTCCTATGAAAGGATGAAACTTGACCCCTCTTTCTGTCTCGGGTGCTCACTTGCCCTTCTGCCACGTGCTGATGCAGCATGCAGGCCCTCACCAAATGCAGCCCCTTGGTCTTGTACTGCCCAGCCTCCAGAACCATAAGCCAAATAGATCTCTGTTCTTTACAAATTACCCATCAATGGTATTCTATTAGAGCAATACAAAGCGGACTAAGACAGGCCGTATCCTTGAAATTAAATACTCAGATTTTAATTTATGCAGTATTCCTGTGCTCCTTACCTGTGGAGGATATGTTACAAGACCCTCAGTGGATGCCTGAAACCTTGGATGGTACTAAACCCTATACCTACTATGCTTTTTCCTATCTATACATACCTATGATCAAGTTTGAGTTGCAACAGCAAAAATAGCACAAATCTCTTTTTCCTCCCTCACAATTTCATGGATAGCAGTCTGCTGTTACCGTAGATCTTAGCATCCTCAGCATACATTTTTTTTTCTTTTTAAGTCAACAACTTTCATCTTTTCACTTAAAGGAAGTACTTTATGGCTTCTCTGTGGCATCTCTGCATTGCCATTATCACCACTCTTGCACTGTAGGGCCATTATAAAGTAAGGGCTGCTTGCACCTAAGCACTTCAATACCCCGTCAGTTGATCTCATAACCAACCGGCTACTAGTAGCTTATTTGTGGATAATCTAGACAGAGAGGGTACACTGGATAAAGGGATGATTCACATCCCAGGCAGGATGGAGGGGGACAGTGCAAGATTTTATCATGCTACTCAGAACAGTGTACCATTTAAAACTTATGAATTGTTTATTTCTGGAATTTTCCATGTAATATTTTAAAACCGTATGTTTTAGTCTGTTTTCACACTGCTGATAAAGACATATCCAAGACTGAGATGAAAAAGAGGTTTAATTGGACTTAGAGTTCCACATGGCTAGGGAGGCCTCAGAATCATGGCCGGAGGCAAAAGGCACTTCTAACATGGCAACAGCAAGAGAAAACGAGGAAGACGCACAAGCGGAAACCCCTGATAAAACCATCAGATCTCATGAGATTTATTCACTACCATGAGAACAGTATGGGGGAATCCACCCCCCATGATTCGAATTATCTCTCACAAGGTCCCTCCCACAACACATGGGAATTATGGGAGGACAATTCAAGATGAGATTTGGGTGGGGACACAGAGCCAAACCGTATCACCGTGGTTGACTCAGGGTATCTGAAACTTTGGAAAGTGAAGCTTTGGATAAAGTGGAACTACTGTACCCTAAGTGGGGGAAAATAATAAGGAGGTTACATGATAATAAGGTTTTAGGAAATAATCAGAAAGTTAGGCTTGCCAACCAGGATACTTTGGCTTGAAGAATATTTTTTAAGAGTCATTTACCATTTTGTTTTGTTTTGGGTCTTGGTGTCTGTAGCAGCGTCTATGAAGGCAAACAACCCATGCTGGCCATTCTGGGTCCTGTTCTCATTAAGTCCATCTGTCCAGCTTCTAGAAGGAGTTCTAAACCCTTTTTTACCAACCAAAGTGTAGGTTGCTTCTTCCATTGGTTTTCTTGAACAGAAGCAAGTTAAACTTGGGCTTTTGGAGATGGCAATTTTCTTTTCCCCCCTCTAACCAGATATAAGAATTAATCATCAGCTAGTAAGCTTGAAGCCTCTTTTCTTTTTCTTTTTTTTTTTTTTAATTATACTTTAAGTTCTGGAGTACATGTGCAGAAAGTGCAGTTTTGTTACATAGGTGTACACATGCTATTGTGGTTTGCTGCACACATCAACCCAACCCTTACATTAGGTATTTCTCCTAATGCTATCCCTCCCCTAGCCCCCCACCCCCTGACAGGCCTCAGTGTGTGATGTTCCCCTCCCTGTGTCCACGTGTTCTCTTTGTTCAGCTCCCACTTATGAATGAGAACATGCGGTGTTTTGTTTTCTGTTCTTGTGTTAGTTTGCTGAGAATGATGGTTTCCAGCTTCATCCATGTCCCTGCAAAGGACATGAACTCATTCTTCTTTATGACTGCATAGTATTCCATGTTGTATATGTGCCATGTTTTCTTTATCCAGTCTATCACTGATGGACATGTGGGTTGGGTTGGTTCCAAGTCTTTGCTATTGTGAATAGTGCTGCAATAAACATATGTGTGCATGTGTCTTTATAGTAGAATGATCTATAATCCTTTGGGTGTATACTCAGTAATGGGATGGCTGGGTCAAATGGTATTTCTAGTTCTAGATCCTTGAGGAATCACCACATGGTCTTCCACAATGGTTGAACTAATTGACACTCCCACCAACAGTGTAAAAGCGTTCCTGTTTCTCCACATCCTCTCCAGCATCTGTTGTTTCCTGACTTAATAATCACCATTCTAACTGGCGTGAGATGGTATCTCACTGTGGTTTTGATTTGCATTTCTCTAATGATCAGTGATGAGCTTTTTTTTTTCATGTTTGTTGGCTGCATAAATGTCTTCTCAAAAGAAGCCCCTTTTCATATTCATATATTCATTTCATACTCTGACGGCTTTGAAAATTTGGTCTGGCTCTTCATAATCTTGCATCTAAGACGCGGGAATTTGCTTGGAATGGGTGATAGCTTTTGTGAAATAAAGACGGGCTCATGTGGAGATGACTCAATGGGGGCACCTAAACCAACGTGATTTATCCACTGGCTGAAGCTAAAATACCCATAGATCAAGGCATCAAGGATCCCAGCACTCACCATCATACATTGCAGGCCTTTGTCAAGTGGCGGTCAATGCTTCAGGGCAACTGGGAGATCTTGGGAAGGCCAAGTTGTTAAGTTGTTGGGATCTTTAGGGCCGGGATTGCATTTTAATAGATTTCATAGTGACCCTTCTCTCACCTTTAACTCAGTAGTACAAACATTAAATGGTGCCAAAACATGCTGGACGGTTGGTTTTGGGAAAAGTTTCTTCCCTACACTTTTCAGTTTATTGTTAGTGGCAAATGCCCCAGACCTGGTCTCTGGTCCCAGTTTGGGCTCACATCAGCCACGTGGCCCTGGCGAGTCACAGGCCCTTCAGGTACCTGAGCGTCTTCACTTTTGGGAGAGAGAGGGTGGTGGCGGGTGCAGGAGAGGTCTATCCTTTCTTCAGACGAGATTTCCACAGTCTACCCTCAGGCTGAAAAAAACAATGGGTCTGAAAGATGCATGCCTAATTGTTTCCCCAGCTTAACTCCCAGCAAAGACAGAGTTCAGCTAGTTCTGCAGAGGAATCTTCTTTGAGACCCCCAACGCTAGTGATAGAGGTGCCCCCACTCCAGGAGTGGTTTCCAGGGTTAGCTCTCTGCTTATGGCTCCCAAATCTGCCAAAATGTCACCCGCCTTCCCGCCCCCCACAGTCTACCTTGGCGTCACGCTCCTTCTGAATGCTCTGGGAAGAAGGCAATGTCACATATGATCTGACTCCTTTAAAAAAAGAAATCTTTTTGGCAGTGCATCCATCTAATCCTTCCTTGGAGAAACTCCCAAGCTACACTCTGTAACCCAAGCTGTACCCGTTCCCATTCACTTGATCTGCTTTAGAAGCTGGGTTGAAACAGAATTTTGGAATCGGGCCTTATCATCACCAAACATGAGAAATGGAAACGGCTCAGATCTGTCATCTCCCCAGCCTTCCCTAGCGGAGAGCTCCAGGAGGTAAAGGTTGGTTGGTGAGCCAGCCCCAAGGGCAGGCAGAGAGGAAGCTGGGCCCTCCAGCTCAGAGCCCCACCCGGGGGTCAGGAAGATGCCTGAGCTGGTGGGAGGTGGCAGGTCCTGGGTCTTGAAGCTCTTTCCATCTCCCGTGGTTGGTTTTTCTTCTTCCTGCCCTCTTCTTTCCTCCTGCCCTTCCTTCCTCTCTCCCATTCCTTCTTCTCGCCTTCCTTCTCCCTTTTCTCCCTTCCTTTATTCCTTCCCCTCACTTTCTCCCTCTCCCATCCTTCCCTTCTTTCTTCAATGCAGATCCCCTGGGCTCCGGTCACCGAGAGTAAAGCGGTGCCCATAACCCTCCTCCCTTCCATCCTAGGGACAGAGGCAGACATTCATCTGTGAATCTGCTGGCTCTGATAGTGCTAAAGGAAAGACACCCAATTCCATGAGTGCATGTAACCAAGGAAGCCAACCTGGATTGGGGTCCAGGGCCCCCCTGAGGATGGACACACCCCTCTTCCTAATTTCTCTCAGCAGGAGAAACTAAATATCTGAGAACATTCTCCGTCTGGTACAAATTCTTGCATTATACGTAAGTTTGGGCATCACCTTTGTATTAATAATGTGTGTAAGAAAATAGTTGAGCCATAGCTAAATCAGCATTTTTTTTTTTTTTTTGAGACAGAGTCTCGCTCAGTCGCCCGGGCTGGAGTGCAGTGGCGCGATCTCGGCTCACTGCAACTTCTGCCTCCCAGGTTCAAGCGATTCTCCTGCCTCAGCCTCCTGAGTAGCTGAGATGACAGGCGCACGCCACCACACCCAGCTAATTTTTGTATTTTTAGTAGAGATGGGGTTTCACCATGTTGGCCAGGATGGTCTCGATCTCTTGATCTTGTGATCCACCCGCCGCAGCCTCCCAAAGTGCTGGGATTACAGGTGTCAGCCACCTCCCCCGGCCCCCCTAAATCAGCATTTTATTTTTTTAGACAGAGGGTCTCACAGTGTTGCCCAGGCTGGAGTGCAGTGGCGCGATCATAGCTCACTGCAGCCTCAAACTACTGGGCACAAGCAATCCTCCTGCCTCAGTCTCCCAAGTAGCTGGGACTTCAGGCATGTGCCATAATGCCTGGATAATTTTTTAAGTTTTCTTTGGAGTGACAGGGTCTTGCTATGTTGCCCAGACTGGTCTTGAACTCCTGGGCTCAAGTGATCCTCCGGCCTTGGCCTCCCACGTAGCTGGGACTACAGGTGCATGCCACCATACCTGGCTAATTTTTAATTTTTTGTAGAGACAGAGTCTTGCTATGTTGCCCAGGCTGTCAATCATTATTTTTTAAGCAGCAGAGGGTGGGAGGTGAGGGAGGATGCAGGATTCGAATTTTGAAACCTAGGTGTAGCAACAGCATGCTCTCTCCTGTGAGCCTCTCCTGCTCCCTTCCTCCCAGCGACCTGGGGAAGGTTCATCTTGGGATCCCTACATTCAGGTCCCAGTGATGTAGGGCTTCCCTCCTCTTTGCCTGGAGCTGGGGAGGAGGGGGCTCTTTGGACCTCACCATACTGGGAAGAAGGTCCCTGTGCTGGGTTCACGGAACCTCATGGGAAGTGCCTCAGAGCTCAGTTCTCCTCATGAGAAAGGAGTTAAAGTGGAAACAGAGGAGAATCCAGGTTTCTCAACCTGGGCGAGAAACAGAATGCTTCTCGGGGAACGAGGCGTGGGGCTGAATGCAGCAACTTTCTCCAGTCCAAACCAGTCTCAAGGCAGAGAGAAACTGCAACCCCAAGCTCCACAGTTAGCTTCATGGGACTAGTATCTATTAAAACAACATCTTGGCTGGATGCCATGGCTCACACCTGTAATCCCAGCACTTTGGGAGACCAAGGCAGGAGGATCATTTGAGACCAAGAGTTCAAGACCAACCTAGGCAACATAGCAAGACCTCTTCTCTACAAAAAAAATAAAATTAACCAGGCATGGTGGCACATGCCTGTGGTCCCAGCTACTTGGGAGGCTGAGGTGGGAGGATCGCTTGAGCCTGGGAGTTGGAGGCTTCAGTGAGCCATGATCACACCACTGCACTCCAGCCTGGGCAATAGAGTGAGATTCTGTCTCAAAAAAAAAGTAATACAATTAAAAAAGAACAACATCTTGAAGAAAAGGACGGAGCCTGTATTGTCGGAAATTTTCATTAACCAGCAAGGAACTCAAACCCTCAATTTGGCCAGATTTTCTTTCTTTTCCTGTCTTTTTTTTTTTTTTTTTTTTTTTTTGAGATGGAGTTTCGCTCTTGTCACCCAGGCTGGAGTGCAATGGCACGATCTCACTGCAACCTTCGCCTCCCAGGTTCAAGTGATTCTCCTGCCTCAGCCTCCCAAGTAGCTGGGATTACAGGCACCTGCCGCCATGCCTGGCTAATTTTTGTATTTTTAGTAGAGACGGGGTTTTGCCATGTTGGTCAGGCTGGTCTGAAACTCCTGACCTCAGGTGATCTGCACACCTCGGCCTCCCAAAGTGCTGGGATTACAGGCGTGAGCCACAGTACCCAGCCAATTTGGCCAGATTTTCTATCTGCATTTGACATTTAGGCACAGGGAGCCAGATGATAGCAGAGTAAAGTTGTAGCTGGAATAGAAACAAATTTAAAAAGACGAAGATCTGCAGCTGGGAGAAGCACACCTAGCTGTGGGCTGGAGCCTGCACCTGCTACGCGTGAGAGCCTATTCTGCACATTTTGTCCCAACTTCATGTTCAGGTCTGTGGCTGTGGTAGCTTCAAGTTGACCTCAGCAGTTGTTTTTTTGTTTGTTTGTTTTTTGTTTTTTGTTTTTGTTTTTGAGACGGCGTCTCGCTCTGTCACCCAGGCTGGAGTGCAGTGGCACAATCTCGGCTCACTGCAAGCTCCGCCTCCCGGGTTCACACCATTCTCCTGCCTCAGCCTCCCAAGTAGCTGGGACTACAGGCACCCACCATCTCGTCCAGCTAATTTTTTGTATTTTTAGTAGAGATGGGGGTTCACTGTGTTAGCCAGGATGGTCTCGATCTCCTGACCTCGGGATCCGCCCACCTCAGCCTCCCAAAGTGCGGGGATTACAGGCGTGAGCCACCACGCCCGGCCCAGCAGGAGTTTTTAACCCCACAGGCACTCATAAAGACGGGTGCCTGTTCTCTTGGCCAGCCGGTTGTTGCACATTGACCAACATTGCACCGATAACCCTCCCTCTAGAATTTGGGCCAGTTTCCTCTCCTGCTTGGGGATTGCAAACACAAACACCATCCTTAAGTCCCAGAGAGACTGATTTTCAGAGACTAGACTTAAAAGAAGCAAGAAACTCAATTCAAACTTCAAACATTTAAAAAAAACATCATGTTTTCACTAACCTGATGCTTTTTAAAAGGATGAAATAAAAGTCTTTTTCTTGTTCAAGCAAGTCTTTTTCTTGTAACAAGAAAAGTCTTTTTCTTATTCATCAGGGCATCTCATTCCTCCTTTTTTTTTAAAAAAAAAAAAAAAAAGGACAGGGTCTCACTCTGTCACCCAGGCTGGAGTGCAGTAGCAGCATCGTAGCTCACTGCAGCCTCCAACTTTTGGGCTCAAGCGATCCTCCCACCTCAGCCTCCCGAGTAGCTGGGACTACAGGTGTGTGTCACCGTGCCTTGCTATTTTACATGTTTTGTAGAAATGGATCTCACTGTGAACCCAAACACCTGGGCTCAAACGATCTTCCCGCCTTGGCCTCCCAAAGTGCTGGGATTACAGGTGTGAGCCACCACACCCGGCCCTTATTTCTCTTTAATGAATCTGACTGCCCCTTGGTTTCAGCAATTCCGGCTAACGGAGGTTTCACCGGAGACCTGCACTGACACACCCAAGTGTCTTTCTCAGCGCTGGTGACCTGTGGATGCGTCCAGGGCAAAATGCTGAACTGTTATCCTTGTGCTCCGGCCGTTTCCCTCCTCAAACTTCAGGGAGACCTTCTGGTGCAAAACATTGGCAAGAATGTGAGGAGCAAGTGGGACCATCGGGGAGGGGTGAGCGGAGGAGCAGCTGGCTCTTTTTGTTGTTGTTGTTTTTGAGACGGAGTCTCGCTCTGCCGCCCAGGCTGGAGTGCAGTGGCGCGATCTCGGCTCACTGCAAGCTCCGCCTCCCGGGTTCACGCCATTCTCCTGCCTCAGCCTCCCAAATAGCTGGGACTACAGGTGCCCGCCACCAAGCCCGGCTAATTTTTTGTATTTTTAGTAGAGACAGGGTTTCACCATGTTAGCCGGGATCGTCTCGATCTCCTGACCTCATGATCCACCCGCCTCGGCCTCCCAAAGTGCTGGAATTACAGGCATGAGCCACTGCGCCCGGCCTGGAGCAGCTGGCTCTTTACGGCATCTGGGAATTGGAGCCGAGGGGAGGTGGGGTTGTGGCTCTGAAGCCCAGCCATGAACATCCAGGATTCTCTCTCTCCTTCTTATAGCTGATGCGACGAAGTGAGACAAGCCCCAGGTGCCTTTCCCGGCCCTGCACTTTATTGGCACAGGCTACAAGGCCCAGAGCACAGATGAATTTAGAACAGGTATTTAAAAATGTGAAGATTTTACTAGAGTTAGAAATGGTGAGCTGAGGCCTCGCTCACTGCCTGGTCCCGTGCACCTGTGGTCCAGGCCAGGCAGCATGCAGGCAGGTCTGTCTGTGTCACTGTGAATCCTGTGCACCTGTCCAGGGCTGAGGTTCCCAGGGGACTAGAGGTTCAGGCACCGGCTCCAGCCTGGGTCCCTACTTTTTTTTGGGGGGGAGGTAGGGGGGACAAGAGTCTCGCTCTGTAACTCAGGCTAGAGTGCAGTGGCACAATCTCAGCTCACTGCAGCCTCCGCCTCCCAGGTTCAAGCAATTCTCCTGCCACGGCCTCCTGAGTAGCTGGGATTACAGGCACCTGCCACCACGCCCAGCTATTTTTTATATTTTTTAGCAGAGACAGGGTTTCATCATGTTGGTCAGGCTAGTCTCGTACTCCTGACCTTAAGTGATCCGCCTGCCTCGGCCTCCCAAAGTGCTGGGATTAACAGGCGTGAGCCACCACACCCAGCCCTGCCTGGGCCCTTCCAACCCACTGTGTCTCTGCTCTTCTGTGCAAACAATCCCAGCACCAGGAAGGAGCCAGCCCTGCCCCCCGCTGCGGCCCTCTCCATGGGGAACCGTCAGGCCTCTCTGCCTACGCGGTCTCTGCAGATACCTGATGGGTGTGGAACGCCTCTGCCCATGGTTTAATAACTATTAAAACAGCTGTAAATGCTTCCCTGGGCAGTCTCGCTTGGCGGCCCCCAAGTACAGGGTGTTGCTTTTAGAAAGTAAATAAATCTACATACATTCAATCTCCAAAACACATCCTGTTCAACGAAGCTTCAAGAATAGGATAATTTTGCTTTGGAATACAGATGCACTTCACAGCATTTCCCCTGCAGCCCAGGACCGATGAGGATGTTGCAGCCTTCGGTGGTGTGGAAACGGGTGAGGGGTGAGGCGGCGGATAAGGACTTGGACAAATCTTTTTGCAGAGATGTACGTTTCTGCCTCAGGAAGCTGGTGTAAGGATAAGAATGACTCAAAGGTAAGACTTTGTTCTTTTAAACAGATGGAAGCAGTTTCCTCAGTGAATTACTGGAACCTAGTTCTGTTCATTACCTGAATTGTCCTTTTTTTTCTGTTTGATAATAGCTTTTGGTTATTTTTTTTACACACCACTTTTAGGTGGCAGGCAGTGGTTCATGCCTGTAATCCCAGTGCTTTGAGAGGCCAAGGCAGGAGGATCCCTTGAGTCCAGGAGTTTGAGACTAGCCTGGGCAACATAGCAAGACCCCATCTCCACACACACAAAATATATTTTTAAATTAGCTAAATGTGGTGGTGCATACCTATAGTTTCAGCAACTCGGGAGGCTGAGGCGAGAGATTGCTTGAGTCCAGAAGGTTGAGGCTGCAGTGAACCATGATTGTGCCACTGTATTCCAGACTGGGCAACAGAGCAAGACCCCATCTCTAAAGAAAAAAAAATCCACACTTGTATTAAGCTATCCCTCATATACAGTAAACCACACACCTCTTAAATGTACAATTGAGTGCCTTTTTCCATATGTCCCTACCTGTGTGCCATCAACCAAATCACGATATAGGCTATTCCCAGCTTCCAGAATGTTCTCCCATGCTCCTCCTTACTTCTTCCTCCCCCTGCCACCCTCTGCTGGGTGACCACTCCTTAACCTCTATCACCATAGGTAAGTCTGACCTGTTTTTGAGCTTTATGTGAATAGAATGGTATACCAGTTGTCTTGTTTCTGGCCTGCTTTACTCCATGTCATGCACATTCCCTCATGCTGTGTGGATGAATTCATTCATTCATTCATTCATTCATTCATTTTCATTGCTATATTTCTTTCTTTCTTTCTTTCTTTTTTGAGACAGAGTTTTGCTCTTATTGCCCAGGCTGGAGTGCAACGGTGCGACCTCAGCTCACTGCAACCTTCGTCTCCTGGGTTTAAGCGATTCTCCTGCTTCAGCCTCCCGAGTAGCTGGGATTACAGGCATGTGCCATCACGTCCGGCTAATTTTGTATTTTTAGTAGAGACAGAGTTTCTCCATGTTTGGTCAGGCTGGTCTCGAACTCCTGACCTCAGGTCATCCACCTGCCTCGGCCTCCCAAAGTGCTGGGATTACAGGCGTGAGCCACCGTGCCCAGCCTGGTTTATTATTTTGATTTGCCTGGTGAGTCCAACACTACGCTGGGCTCAGAGTGTAGCACTGAAGCAGCAAAAGAACTAGCACAGCCCACTCCACGTTTGCTTAAGGGGCCTTTCCCCACTCCTGCACATAGGCTAGGATGATTTTAGAGCACTGAAGTAATAACGCAAAAACAGCAATCATGTCCTTCTTGAAACCAACTCTGGGATGAAAGAGGAAATGTGTAAACAGCTAACTAGGTTTTATTAAAGATTTGCGGCCGGGCCTGGTGGCTTATGCCTGTAATCTCAGCACTCTGGGAAGCGGAGGCAGGCGGATCACTTGAGGTCAGGAGTTTGAGACCAGCCTAGCCAACATGGTGAAACCCTGTCTCTAGTAAAACAGCAAAATTAGCCGGGCGTGGTGGTGAGCGCCTATAATCGCAGACACTCGGGAGGCTGAAGCAGGAGAATCGCTTGAACCCAGGAGGCGGAGGTTGTGGTGAGCTGAGATGGCGCCACTGCACTCCAGCCTGGGCAGAAAGAGTGAAACTCTTGTCTCAAAAAAAAAAAAAAAAAAGAAAGAAAAAAAAGGTTTGTGGGAGCACTATGACCTGGCCAAGGGCAAAGAAGTTCCCGGCCTCCTCTGAACCCTCGCTGGCACCTAGGTGTCCGTGGTCATCAGCCACTTCTTGATCCCAACCCCCTCCTCTTCCTCCTGCCCTTCACATAAAAAGAGCCTGAAATTTGTACTGACTCAAGATGGTTCTTTAGAATGCTAGGGCACCGTCTTCTTGCTTTGCTGGCTCCCTGAATAAACTCACTTCTCCTCCCACCAACACTAGCTATCATGTTTGGCTTTTAAGCAGCAAGTGCTGAACCTCGGTTCAGTTACAAGAGCCCAGGAGTTGGCTGGTCAGTGGGGAACGAGATTCCCAGATCTCCTTGATCTCCTTGCCTCTTCTGTGTTATTTTCTTAAGTTCCACGTCATTTCCAATGCAGGGTGTTGGGGGCCTACAGTCATCACCAGTCATGCCCTCCTTTGGTGTGGATGCTGATGCCCTCAATAACCCCAGGGAAGCTCTTCTCCACCATATTGGGAAGTTGATCGCAGTGGGTTTCCTATGCCCTCTGATCATCCTCAGTGACAATACACACTCTCCTCATCCACGTGTGGTGTGGTGCGTCCAGCCTGGGCCTGTGGCTGTCTTCAAATCACAGTGGGTTCCCCGAGGGCCTTGTCTCATCATGACTCCCCCAGAAGGAAAACCAGGAACTGCTTCTCAGGGCTTTGGTGAGCACTGAATGAGATCAGCCGTGGGAAAGACATTTGCAAGCCCAAAGCTTACAAAGAAAGAAATATCGGGCTCATGCCTGTCATCCCAGCACTTTGGGAGGCTGAGGTGGGTGGATCACCTGAGGTCAGGAGTTCGTGACCAACCTGGCCAATATGGTAAAACCCTGTCTCTACTAAAAATACAAAAATTAGCTGGGTGTGGTGGCAGGTGCCTGTAATCCCAGCTACTCGAGAGGCTGAGGCAGGAGAATCTCTTGAACCGGCGAGGCGGAGGTTGCAGGGAGCTGAGATCACACCACTGCACTCCAGCCCGGAGCGAGACTCTGTCTGAACAGAGCGAGATTCCGTCTCAAAAAAAAAAAAGAAAAGAAAAAAAGAAATACCGGAGGTGAACCACATCACCTGGAAAACTTCTCCACGCATCACAATGTCCTTTGTAGGAGTAGATTAAAATTAAGCAAACCCTTCATACTCGAGCCTAGTGTATGTCCCCATCCGGAGAGGATCTGCAAGAAGACAACAGAGATCCCCAGAGGGTGAGCCCCATCTGTGTTCTGCACTGTGATCCCAAGGCGCACTGGCCCAAGCCGAAGGAGTTCTGTCCTGCACCAGGAGAGCCCTGGAGGCTCTAAGCTCTGGTCCCTTTCAGGGCTGTGTCATCGTGGAAGTTTTTCATTGCAAGGTAACATTTGCAGAGTGAAATGCTCAGGTTGTCAGCGCACAGTTGCGTGAGCTTTAATAAACAAATCTACCAGCGCAAACCCTGCATCTGTCAAGATAAGGAATTTTCACCACCCCAGGAAGTTCCTTACACTCCTGCCCAGCCAGATTCCACCGCACCATAGGGAACCACTGTTCTGATTTCTGCCGCTAGAGATTAGTCGTGCTGGTGGTTGAACTTCATAAAATGGAATCATCCAGTATGTGATTTTTGTGCTGTTTTTTCCCTTTTGATTGCTGAGCGGTGGTCCGTTGCAGAGATGTATTGCTTCTCCGTGCTCCGGTGACAGACACCTGCGTGGTCTCCCTTTGCAGCTAAAACCAATAATGCCACTACGATCATTCTTGTGTAAGCCTTTTATGAGCATATGTCTTCATTTCTCTAGGGTAGACATTTACAGGTGGAAGCATTATAGGATTTTTTTTATTTATTCCTTTTACAGATGAGGTCTCACTCTGTTGCCCAGGCTAGAGTGCAGTGGCGTGATCACCGCTTACTGCAGGCTCAACCTCCTGGGCTCAAGTGATCCTCCCAAATAGCTGAGACTACAGGCATGTACTACCACACCTAGCTAATTTTTTATTTTTTATTTTTGTAGAGATGAGGTCTCACTATGTTGCCCAGGCTGGTCTGGAACTCCTCGGCTCAAGGGATCCTCCCTCCTCAGCCTCCCAAAGTTCTGGGATTGCAGGCATGAGCTACTGCACCCTGCCTATAGTAGGATTTTCAAAAGGACCTTGGAAGCACCACCTGCCACTCAATCCCAGATGGCCTTCTCCCATTCTGTGTCAATGCCGTCGTAAAAAGAAATACAAATGTTCGCCCAGATGCCTGTCAAGAGCGTCCAACCCCCTCTCTCCGGCCAAGGAGTTTTATAATCTCCATTCATACACTGTGCTCGGAATTTAATTAACTCTATGGAGGAACGTGCCATCAGGACCAGCTTATAGCGGCTGTAACATTGAGGGGTTTATGGCCAGATATTACAAGCAAAGCCATAGGGAGATGGGCTCAGAGCCAGGCAAATCAGTGGCAAGAAGGATAAAGATGTGTTGAAAATAAAATTTAATTTTCCAGCTGCGGTTATGAACAAGTCATATTCCAGCTTCACTGCGGGGTCACAGCCTAACAAATGAGGCAGGCCTGGAGGATGGCGTCGGAAACCCAGGCAAGCAACGGACCGAGGACGGCTGGCCGCCCCACCTGTGGGCTGGAGCCCTCACAAGAGCACCCTCAATGAAGGGTTTTAAGTTCGTGTCCTTTTCTGCATAAATCCTCATGGCCGCAATCAAAGGAATCACCTGGAACCTATTTAACTAAATCGCTTTTTCACAACAGGTCAAGCACAGCAGGGTCCCTCCTGCATTTGCCTGGAGTGAGATAGTCGCAGCCGGTCAGGCCCCGCCTCTGGGCACAGCCTGTTCCCGTCGGAACCGCCCGCAGTTGGATACGTGGCCCCCACCAGCCCCAAGTTGACCAACTCCATCTAGGTTCCTGGACTTGTCCTTCCTCCCGTTGGCTCTGCGGCCTGGACGACGTTTTGTTATTATTATTTGTGCGTCTTCTCCAGCCCTGCCCTCGCCCCACGCCTTTCCCTCTCTCCACCTGCGGAAACGCCTCCATCCTGGAGGGCACCTCGGACACCGGCTCTTGCATGCACGCTTGCTGACGTGCCCGGCGTGCCGCTGCTCCTCGTGCCTGCACCAGCACCCACAGATCCAGCCCTCCATGCTCCTCGCCATGTTACTGTGCCAGGCCTCACACAGGAGAGCGGATCCCCTCTCCGTTCTGGAGATCCAGGTGTCTGCAGGGCTGCGCCCCTCTGAAGGTGCAGGGAAGGAATCTGGCCCGGGTCCCTCTCCAGCTTCTGGTGGTCCCCCCCCCCTTGTGGTAATTTCTCTCCCATCTTCCTTGAGCATGTTTCTGTCTCTTCTTCCCATGGCGTCTTTTCATAAGGACTCCAGTCCTATTGAGTTAGGGGCCCACCCTCCTCCATTTTAACCTTATTTTTACTAATTCCATCTTCAATGTCCCTATTTTCAAATAAGGTCACATTCTAAGGTCCTAGGGACTAAGACTTCAACTTCTGAATTTTGGAGGGTCGGACACAATTAAATCCATAAAACCTTCAACAGCACCTTATCCACTCTATGCCAGGCCATGCGGAGGAAGTGAACAAAGAACCAAATGAATTTCTTTTTTTTGAGACAGGGTCTTGCTCTGTCACCAAGGCTGGAGTGCAGTGGTGCAATCATAGCTCACTGCAGCCTCAAACTCCTGGGCTCAAGTGATGCTGCCACCTCAGCCTCCCCAGTAGCTGGGACCACAGTGTATACCACTGCCATGCCTAGCTAATGTTTTTTATTATTATTTTTTATAGAGACGGGAGTCTCGTTATGTTGTCCAGGCTGGTCTGGAACTCCTGGCCTCAAGACTTTCTTTTTTTTTTTTTTTTTTTAAGACGAAGTCTCGCTCTCGCCTAGGCTGGAGTGCAGTGGCGCGATCTCGACTCACTGCAAGCTCCGCCTTCCGGGTTGACGCCATTCTCCTGCCTCAGCCTCCCGAGTAGCTGGGACTACAGGCACCCGCTACCATGCCTGGCTAATTTTTTTGTATTTTTAGTAGAGACGGGGTTTCACCATGTTAGCCAGGATGGTCTCAATCTCCTGACCTCGTGATCCACCCACCTCGGCCTCCCAAAGTGCTGGGATTACAGGCATGAGCCACCGCGCCCAGCCAAGACTTTCTTAAATCACTTGGATTCATGTGGATGTCCCAAAACAAAGATGCCATTATGTTCTTATCTTTGTATTCACCTCCTCATCTGTAATTAGGCTCTGGAAAGGCAATAGGAAGTCTCCAAGCTCCTGTGTTCTTCTCCCCTCTGCTTCAGGCCTCTGCTCCGTGTTGCAGTGAGGTTTGCTCTCTTCTCTCTGAAGTCGCCTCTGCCAGGCTCCAGCAGAATTTCCCCACAGAGACTTGCAAAGAGACCCCGGTGAGACAGCTCTCTCTCTACTTTGAATCCAATTTATTTGATTCCGAAGTCCCCGTGGTCTTTGGGTTGTGTCTGCAAGAAGCCAGGCTACCTGGGAGATGCAGCGTTCAGGAGCAGTCCACAGGACCGCCCTCACTTTTGACGCCAATTGCGAGTTCAGAGGCCCTCGAGACCACCCTTAGGTTCGACGATTTGCTGGAAAGACTCGGAACTCGCTGGAAGCTGTGATAGTCCCAGCTATGGTTTATCACAGGGAAAAGACACCGATTAAAATCAGCATGCAGGGGCAGAGCCCACGAGGGTTCCACACACTGAGCGTCTGCTGTCCTCTCCTGTGGAGCTGCGGACAGCGTTACCCCTCTGACAATGTGCGATCATACGCACAAAACACGGTCAGCCAGGAAGGTTCCTCCACACCAGGGCTTCCCTGCGGCTCCATCCCATAGGCAGGGCTGACTCCTCACATGGCTGAGCTCAGCCTGCAGCCCATCCAGAGGTCAAGCTGATATCCTGCAGCTCAAAGCCCCTGCCCTAACTCACATGGTTAGAAGAGTTGGTGTGACCCGAGGCCCCCAGAAAAACAAAAACACTCCTGTTAGGACATTCCGGGGGCTTAGAGGTCACCCTCCTGAAATGGGGGTCCAGGGCCAGGCCTCTCTTTGGGCCAGGTGAAATTTTTTAGTGCCCAGTGAGGGATTCATAGGTGTTTCCTCAAGGAATTCACCTGGAGGACGCCCGTTTCATACTCTGCGTTGCAAAGTAGACCTGCCACAACATGTGGTCTGGAACCTGCACACATCATGCCCCTAATCACAGGGCTTTGAAATAAATTTGGGGAGAACTTCAGAAACCTTTTTGTTTGTTTGTTTCAGACAGGGTCTGGCTCTGGGGCCCAGGCTGGAATGCTGTGGTGTAATCATAGCTCACTGAAGCCTTGATTGCCTGGGCTCAAGGGATCCTGCCACCTCAGCCTTCCCAGTAGGTGGGACTACAGGCATGCACCACCACACCCGGCTAATTTTTTTTTTTTTTTTTTTTGAGATGGAGTCTCGCCCTGTCACCCAGGCTGGAGTGCAAATGGCGCGATCTCGGCTCACTGAAACCTCCACCTCACAGGTTCAAATGATTCTCCTGCCTCAGCCTCCTGAGTAGCTGAGATTACAGGCACCCACCACCACGCCCAGCTAATTTTTGTATTTTTAGTAGAGATGGGGTTTCACCATGTTGGCCAGGCTAGTCTCAAACTCCTGACCTCGTGATCCACCCTCCTCAGCCTCCCAAAGTGCTGGGATTACAGGCGTAAGCCACTGTGCCCGGCCAATTTTTTGTATTATTTTGTAAAGACAGGGTCTCACTATGTTGCTCAGGCTGGTCTTGAACTCCTGGGCTCAAGCAATTAGCCTGCCTCAGCCTCTCAAAGTGCTGGGATTAAGGGCATGAACCACTGCACCTGGCCGAGAAATGGTTTTGATGGGGGCAGGGAGGAGGGAATTGAGACTTGCTTAAAACCCCAACTGCTTCTGCCTTTCCAAGTAAGAGGCCTTGTAGACTTAATTGAGAGTACAGGGAGGGGGCTTGTTTCCTGATTGACAGAGTGAGTGCTGGACATGTTGCAGTTCTGAACCACGTGCAGCTCTTTTAATCTTCCTCAGAGTCTTCTCTGCTTTTCTCTGTAGATCCCCTTAGAATTGGGAAACGGGAGCTTCATACTGCTCAGGAAATCACACTGAAACCGAGGCCCAGGGCAACAGTGGAAACTCAGGAGTGAAAAGCAAGAATCTAAGTCACGGGACGTTCCATTGCCCTCATGCTGTACCCTGGGAACTCACTTTGGGTAATTACCAAGGAAAAATCAGAATCTTGGATCCCAGGAAGAAAGGTGCACCATGCTTGGTCCCTGGTTGGCCCCACCTCTCTTTACGACCACCTACGAAGAAAGCATGATCTGAAATTCCAAAGCTTTCTTCCTTTACTATCAGGCTTTCTGCCCCGCCCCCAGCAATGCAGAGACATGCAATGTGAAAACCCAATCAACCCGTCAGCAAGTCCTGGTTTTACACCCCTTCTTGTCGACCTGGTGGTTGGGGCCTTCTGCAGGCTGAGTGGCAGGTGGCTTGGGAAATGAAACCCTTAATAATCACCCAAAGCTAATTCTCACCCACAATGACCAGAGTAATCTTTGCCCAACTGAGGTCCAGACACCGTGGCTGTGAGGGTTAATTTTAGGGAAGTTGACTGGACTGAGGGATGCAGAGATGGCAGGTGACAGAAAGAATGTTTCTGGGGGTGTCTGTGAGGGTGTTTCTGTAACCGAGCCTGATGTGGTTTTGATCTGTGTCCCCACCCAAATCTCATGTTGAACTGGAATCCCAAGTATTGGAGGTGGGGCCTGCTGGGAGGTGATTGGATCGTGGGGGTGGATTTCCCATAAGTGGTTTTGCACCAGGAATCCTCTGGGTGCCGTACTCCCAATAGTGAGGGAGTTCTCTTGAGATGTGGTCATTTAAAAGTGTGTGGCACCTCCTCCCTCCCTCTGCTTCTGCTCTGGCCATGTGATGATGTGCCTGCTCCCCCTTTACCTTCTGCCACAATTGGAAGCTTCCTGAGGCCTCCCCAGAAGTCAAGCAGGAGCCAGCACTATTCTTCCTGTACAGCCTGCAAAACCATGAGCCAATTATACCCCTCTTCTTTGTAAATTACCCAGTCTCAGGCATTTCTTTTATTATTATTATACTTTAAGTTTTAGGGTACATGTGCACAACGTGCAGGTTAGTTACATATGTATACATGTGTCAGGCATTTCTTTATAGCAATGCAAGAACAGCCTAAAACAGGGCCCCTTGAGATTTCCATACCTAACATCTCTTGTCCGTACAGTGTCATTATAAACTGAGAATGTGCTGTTTCTTTGTCAAGGTTGCAAGTGATTCTCCCACCTCAGCCTGCCAAATAGCTGGGATTACAGGCGTGCACCATCATGCCCGGCTACATTTTTTTAGTATTATTATTTTTAGTAGAGACAGGGTTTCACCATATTGTCAAGGCTGGAGATAACTTTGGGGGTCACAAAAAAAAATTGAAGAAGGAATGACTGCCTTTAAGGATGTTGCAACCAGCTGCTGACACCCAGAACTCTGATTGCTCCAGGTGTCATTATCTGAGACTAAAGAAACACAGAAGTTTCCCCTCAGTTCTCTGAAATCTCTCTCCGTTACTCCCTAGCTGCATAAAAACTCCTGGGCGCAGTGGCTCATGCCTGTAATCCCAGTGTGTCCGGAATTGGTGGGTTCTTGGTCTCACTGACTTCAAGAATGAAGCCACGGACCCTTGCGGTGAGTGTTACAGCTCTTAAGTTGGCGCGTCTGCGGTTTGCTCCTTCTGATGTTCGGTTGTGTTCAGAGTTTCTTCCTTCTGGTGGGTTCGTGGTCTCGCTGGTTCAGGAGTGAAGCTGCAGACTTTTGCGGTGAGTGTTACCGCTCTTAAGGCAGCGCGTTTGGAGTTGTTCGTTTTTCCCGGTGGGCTCGTGGTCTCGCTGGCTTCAGGAATGAAGCTGCAGACCTTCGTGGTGAGTGTTACAGCTCATAAAAGCAGTGTGGACCCAAAGAGTGAGCAATAGCAAGATTTATTGCAAAGAGAGAAAGAACAAAGCTTCCACAGCGTGGAAGGGGACCCGATTGGGTTGCCACTGCTGGCTCGGGCAGCCTGCTATTATTCTCTTATCTGGCCCCACCCACATCCTGCTGATTGGTAGAGTCCAGTGGTCTGTTTTGACAGGGCACTGATTGGTGTGTTTACAATCCTTGAGCTGGACACAAAGTTTCTCCAGGTCCCCACCAGATTAGCTAGATACAGAGTGTGGACAGAAAGGTTCTCCAAGGCCCCACAGTAGCTAGTTACAGAGTGTCGATTGATGCATTCACAAACCCTGAGCTAGACACAGGGTGCTGATTGGTGTGTTTACAAACCTTGAGCTAGATACAGAGTGCTGATTGGTGTATTTACAATCCTTGAGCTAGGCATAAAGGTTCTTCAAGGCCCCACCAGAGTAGCTAGATACAGAGTGTGGATTGGTGCATTCACAAACCCTGAGCTAGACAC
The DNA here is from genome assembly GCF_000001405.40 of Homo sapiens. Taxonomy (NCBI): domain Eukaryota; kingdom Metazoa; phylum Chordata; class Mammalia; order Primates; family Hominidae; genus Homo; species Homo sapiens. The sequence goes on from NC_000007.14 coordinate 4,313,785, forward strand.
AGGGTGCTGATTGGTGTGTTTACAATCCTTGAGCTAGACATAAAGGTTCTCCATGTCCCCACCAGACTCAGGAGCCCAGCTGGCTTCACCCAGTGGATCCCGCACAGGGGCTGCAGGTGGAGCTGCCTGCCAGTCCCGGTGCCCTGCTCCCGCACTCCTCAGCCCTTGGGTGGTCGATGGGACTGGGCGCTGTGGAGCAGGGGGCGGCGCTCGTCAGGGAGGCTCGGGCGGCACAGGAGCCCACGGAGAGGGTGGGAGGCTCAGGCATGGCGGGCTGCAGGTCCCGAGCCCTGCCCCGCAGGAAGGCAGCTAAGGCCCGGTGAGAAATCAAGGGCAGCGCCGGTGGGCTGGCACTGCTGGGGGACCCAATACACCCTCCGCAGCCACTGGCCCGGGTACTAAGTCCCTCACTGCCCGGGGCCCGCAGGGCCGGCCGGCTGCTCCGACTGCCGGGCCCACCAAGCCCACGCCCACCCGGAACTCCAGCTGGCCTGCAAGCGCCTCACGCAGCCCTGGTTCCTGCTCGCGCCTCTCTCCACACCTCCCTGCAAGCTGAGGGAGTGGGCTCTGGCCTTGGCCAGCCCAGAAAGGGGCTCCCACAGTGCAGCGGTGGGCTGAAGGGCTCCTCAAGTGCCGCCAAAGTGGGAGCCCAGGCAGAGGAGGCGCTGAGAGCGAACGAGGGCTGTGAGGACTGCCACACGCTGTCACCTCTCACCAGCATTTGGGAGGCCGAGGCGGGCGGATCGCGAGGTCAGGAGTTAGAGACCAGTCTGGTCAACATGGTGAAACCCCGTCTCTACTAAAAACACAAAAATTAGCCAGTTGTCATGGCGGGTGCTTGTAATCCCAGCTACTCGGGAGGCTGAGGCAGTAGAATCACTTGAACCCGGGAGGCAGAGGTTGCAGAGCTCCAAGACGGTTTCACCATGTTAGGCCAGGCTGGTCTCTTAACTCCTGACCTCGTGATCTGCCCGCCTCGGCCTCCCAAAGTGCTGGGATTACAGGTGTGAGCCACCACGCCCCAGCCAGGAGTTAGGAAATATATGCAACTAAATGATAATATAAAAATTATAGATAAAAATTCTACAACATAGCTAAAGCTGTCCACAGAGGCAATTTTATAGCTTTAAATAATTTTATCAGAAGAATAAAGGTTAAAAACAGATGAGTTTTCCACACAAAAATTTACCAGGAAGTGTAGCAAGGAAATGTAGCAAGATAATTATTAACAATTAGTTGGCTAGAAATAAAGTTAAGTTTTTTTCTTGCATCATCATATATCAAAATAAATTCCAAGGTTTAAAAAAGTGAAATGTACAAACCAACCCATACAACCCGCCATTGTCAGGGAGGATTACAGAAACATTACTATGGAATTTCAAATTCCAAATAGTAGAAATCTGTTCATCCATCGCCTGATTATCTATTCATCCATTGCCTGATGAATAGATAAATAAATGTGGTATATCCATGCAATTCAATATTATTTGGCAAAAAAAAGGCATGAAGTGCTGATACATGCTGGAACATGGAAGAACCTTGAAAACATTATAAGTGAAAGAAGTTAGTCTCAATGGACCACATATTGTAGGATTCAATTTATATGAAATGCCAGAATAAGTAACTCTATAGAGACAGAAAGTAGATTACTAGTTTCCTTGGCCTGGAGTGGAGAGGGGAATTGGAAGGTGATGGCTAATGGGCGTGGGGTTTTTTTTTTCAGGTAATAAAAATTTTGTAGAATTGATTATGGTGACTGATGCACAGTTACGTGAATATACTAAAAACTATTGAATTGTACACTTTAAACAGGTGAATTGTGGGATATGTGAATTACATCTCAATAAAACTTAAAAGTAGAGCTAGGTGCAGTGGTTCATGCCTGTAGTCCCAGCTACCAGGGAGACTGAGGCAGGAGGATTGCTTGAGCCCAAGAGTTTGAGGCTGCAGTGAGCTATGATTGCACCACTGGACTACAGCCGGGGCCACAGAGCAAGACTTTGTGTATTAGCCTGTTTTTGTATTGCTGTAAGGAACTACCTGAGACTGGATAATTTATAAAGAAAAGAGGTTTAACTCACAGTTCCACTGGCTGTACAGGAAGCATGGCTGGGAGGCCTCAGGAAACTTACAATCATGGCAGAAGGCTAAGGGGAAGCAGGCATGTCTCACATGGCCAAAGAAAGAGGAAGAGGGAGAAGGAGAAGGTGCTACACACTTTCGAACAACCAGATCTCGTAAGAACTCATTCAGTATCACGAGGACAGCAAGGGGGACGTCTGCCCCCATGGTCCAATCCGGCCTCTCCTTCAACACTGGGGATTACAATTCAACATGAGATTTGGGCAGGAACACCAATTCAAACCATGTCATTTTGTATCTGAAAATAAAAGTACGAATCTAATGCTAATAACAAGTCTACTATTCTCTGCAGTTTAGGGGTGGGGAAACCCAAGCACAGAGAGGTGAAGGGACATGGAGCCCGCAGCCTGACTCCAGCCTCCGTTTCATCAGTTCTGCATCTGCAAGAGTGTCCCACCACCTGCTACTCACTCAGGAAATGTAGTGGGAGAACTAACTAATTGGATAAAAAGAAAGTTACTTTCTCTCCTTGCATCATTGTGTATCAGAGTAATTTCCAGATGGTTTAAAAGGTGAAATGTACCAGCCAAGCCACACAGCTAGAAATAAATGTAGGGAATCTCAAGGTAGAAAGGACTTTTTAGGCATAAAATTATGAAAGAAAGGGCAACATAGCTTGACCCCCATATCTACAAATAAAAAAATTAGCCAGGAGTAGTGGTGCATGCCTGTAGTCCCAGCTACTTGGGAGGCTGAGGCAGGAGGATGGTTTGAGCCCGAGAGGTCGAGGCTGCAGTAAGCCAAGATCATTGTGCCACTGCACTCCAGCCTGGGTGACAGAGCAAAACTCGACAGAGAGAGAGAAAGAGAGTGACAGAGGAAGGAAGGAAGGAAGGAAAGAATGGGAGGGGAGGGAAGGGAAGGGGAGAGAAAGAAAAAGAAGAAAGGGAAAGAGAAAGAAAAGGAAAGAAGAAAGAAAGAAAAGGAAAGAATGAAAGAACGATTGAAAGAGAAAGAAAGTTGGTTAAAAGAAAGAAGAGGCAACAGACACAAATAAAATGTACTGATATGATGTTTAAATTTGAAAAAAAATGAATAAAGTAAAAATAGGAAGACCACAATAAATTAAAAGTGGAACAACAAACTAGAAAGAAATATGTATAAAAGATGATGGCTTTGAAAGCAAGCTCCAAGGCTAGAAAAATAAATATCTAGCCAACATATAAAATATTGTACTTCTTAATAGTGAAAAATATAATAGTCAAAAATAACACAAAGTGAAGTAGTAATGAATCAAATTGTCAAGGCTGTAAAGAAAAGAAAGGCAGCACATGGTGTTAGTATAAGTACTATGAAATGACATTCCCATTCATTTCCATAGAAGAGAGAATCCCAGGAGATTGCAGAAGCACCATTTGGAAAGACGCATCCAAAGTTTGCAGAAAGCTCCTACTTTTGACTAAGGAATCCTGTTCTGCAATTCATCTTCAAATAGCCATTAAATAAACACACAAAGATTTATATGCAGATATTAATTTATAACAGCCAGAAATGAGAAAGCTCCTAAATATGTAAGAATAAGTAAACAGTTAAACAAGCTAATAAATTTATATAATGAATTATATATACCAATTAAAAAGCTACTGATTGGCATCAGGAAGTGCAAGAAAGAAAACATTAGGGAATAAAAGCAGGATACAAAAAAGAAAGTACAGTGGGTCCTCATTCTGAAATAGCTAAATAGCTAGACATCTGCCCATGAAGACAGTGAAAACAACAGTGCTTGACATCTACCAAGCACTCTGTAATATCATGGAATGTCTGAAAGATGAGAATGAAAGACAAACACCAACATATGAACACTGGCTTTTGGGAGGCATGATCTGGGATATATGTTTTGTCTATAATTTTGTGTATTTCTTAACTTTTCTACAGTCAACGAATTATCTTTATTATCAGAAAAAAACATAATTACATTTTAAAAGGCTGTAGATATGTCAAGTAAAATAAAGACTGAGGGCCGGGCGCGGTGGCCCACGCCTGTAATCCCAGCACTTTGGGTGGCCAAGGCAGGTGGATCACCTGAGGTCAGGAGTTCGAGACCAGCCTGACCAACATGGCGAAACCCTGTCTCTACTAAAAATACAAAAATTAACCGGGCATAGTGGGGGGCGCCTGTAATCCCAGCTACTCGGGAGGCTGAGGCAGGAGAATCGCTTGAACTCAGGAGGCGGAGGTTGCAGTGAGCCGAGATTGTGCCATTGCACTCCAGCATGGGCAACAAGAGTGAAACTGTCTCAAAAAATAAAATAAAATAAAATAAAATAAAATATAAAGACTGAAAACTGCCTGTCATATTGAACAAGTAGGTAAAACTTGTTGAATTTAAAAAAAGTAAAAATAATCAATAAGCATTTGAACAAAACGAAAGCAGGAAAGATAGGTTTTGGAAGGCTGACCACAGACCCAAACTCTTTGCATCTTTACTCTTTAGATTGACAACTAATGCGTGTGGAGTTAATTTTCAGTTCATTGTCCCTGGATGAAGTCAAAACCACAACTGTTAGCAACAATGAAAACATTTTCATTGGTTTTCTTTACTTTTTCATTCCCAGTCAACAATTTACTATCGCTTTTATCAGAGGCTGTTACCACGACTGGCTCAGAACAGGTGGAAAATTGCAGCTGTTTTGTCAAAAATCACAAGAACAATTCGGAGGAGGGCATGGGACAGGTGCTGGTTTTTCAAAGCCCCTTGCCTCGGACAGAAGCCCCTCTTCCCCACATTGCCATGTGGCTGTGCAGAATCCTGGATTATTTTTTACCCTTTGGCCACCAGCAGCATCACAGCCAATGAACACGGGCAGTGAACATCCTTAATAATGCACAAAATGACCCAATTTTCTGGAGCACGGAGACATAAAAATGTAACACTGAAATCTTACAACCCTAAAACTGGCTCTTGGTTAGGACAGGCAGGCTGTCTCATCATCTATCCATAAGAGTAGCTACAGTGTTTCTGGAGAGCAGCTGAGGCACAGATCATAAAGAAGATTTGGGATCATCTCTGAGCCAGACACAATGATATGATTCATATTAATCAGCTGCATTATAGACCCAGAGTCATTCTCTCTGGTTTATCCCAATACCTACTCCAGAAGATCCCTACCCCACTCAGATTTACATTTATGATCCTAAAACCCTGTTTTCAAATTTTCAATATTTGGAGAATTGTAAAATAGTGTAACAATCATAGCAGTCTTCCTAAGAGGGCTGTGTAAAAGTTAAACTGCAAAGAGATGGTTGATGAAATATTACCACCAGCATTTTAGCCCCTGTAAAGCGCCCTTTGTCCCTCCCACAGTGGCTGGTTCTTGGGTAGTGACCCCTTTGCAAAGTGGCATTTTCCCATCTCTGCAAATGTCTGTTTGTGCCCCTGGAGATCAGGACCTGAAGCCAGATTTGACACAAATAAAAATATTGGTTTTGCGGGCGGTGGGGGGGTTCCCGACTTCACGTTGCATATGTTCCCCCAAAAGGAGTCCCACATGGCTCTTGAAGCCGTCTCCCAGTGGGCACCGCCTGGAGTTGTGCACCAAGACAGTTCCAAGACATGACTTCATCCTTCAGCTCTCCGGCTCCCTCATCTCATATCTGAAGCACTTTACACATTCACATTCTTTGTCTACCTTGAAGTCTTTCGTGCGACATACCTGCCAGAGACTTGGACATCACTCACACGATGGAAAATGTATTCAGTACCTCTCATGATCTCCATGCTTCCCAAAGATGAAGAGGTTTCATGCAGCGGCCACACGTACTGTGGCGTGACAGTCACCGGAGGATGCAGGCATCATAAATTTGGAAAGGCTTCGTGAGCTTAACTATAGTATCCTGTATCCCTTTTCTCAATTTGAAGTGACCACAGGAGTACCAGGGGTACATAAACCGCCCCCAGTTGCAATGGTTTACTATTGAGAATTTGTGCATCGTATGTGAGCTTTGAGCTTTGCATGACTCCAGGTGGAATTATTCATGCAGGAAGCCATCCTTTGCATAGATCGCAATGCAGATAGTTCCCCCTGGAGCTGTGCACCAAGACAGCCATAAGACATGACTTTCTCCTTCGGCGGGCATTGTTCCCATGGACCCCTCTAACCAAGGTAGAATTTGGGGTTGCTCAGGGCTTCTCAATATGTGGCATAGACCTACTGGCTCTTACTCAAACAAATTGAGCTTTCCATTACGATGAAGAGATTGGGCAAAAGCTAACATCACATCTGTCAAAATATGAGCAAATATAACCAATAAGACCCCACCCCTGAATATCATGATCTTTCCAAACTCTAACCTGGCATCTGTGTGTCCTTATTTTTCACAGCAATATCCTTTGACTCATGTCAGGTACTGTTGTACACAGAGACGTCAAAGATCGCAGCAGTGAAGTGATTACGTGAATCAGTCAGAATCATTTTCTGATATTTTTTGACTTTATTGCTTTATTTATAGCTTTATTGAGATATAACTACATGTCATTCAATTCACCATTTAGAGTATACAAGTCAGTGGTTTGTGGTGTGTTCATACAGTTTTGCAACCATCGGCAACTCTAATTTTAGGACAGTTTCACCACCCAGGAAGAGCACCCAGTCTCCATTAAGTATCACTCCCCATTTTACTCTCACCCCCAGCCCTAGGCAACCACCCACCTTCCATTTTCTGTCTCTACAGATTTGCTTGTTTTAGGCATTTCATATTAATGGAATCCTACAGTATGTATTATTTTGTGATGGGCTTTTTTCATTTAGCATAATATTTTCGAGGTTCATTCATATTACAGGATGTTTCAGTATTGCATTCCATTTTATGGCTGAAAAGTTTTCTACTGCAGGAATAGATCACATATTGTTTAACATTTCAGCAGTTGACATACATTTGGATTGTTTCCACTTTCTGGCTATTACCAATAACGCTGCTATGAGCATTCATGTACAAGTTTTTATGCTTCCATTTCTACTGGCTATATATCTAGGCGTAGAATGGCTGGGCCAGTGAAAACTCTATTTAGCATTTTGAAGAAATGTTAAAGTGTTTTCCAAAGTGGCTGAACATTTTATGCTCCCTCCAGCAATGCACAAGGGTTTCAGTTTCTCCACATCTTTGCCAACACTTGTTATTGTTTGTCTTTTTAATTGCATTCATCTTAGAGGGTGGGAAATGATATCTCATTGTGGTTTTAATTTACATTTCCCTGATGGTGATGATGTTAAAACACTTTTCATGTACTTTTTTTCCCATTTATGTATCTTTGGAGAAATGTCTGTTAAGATCTTTGCCCATTTTTTCACATTGAGTTATTTTTTAAATTATTATTATTGAGTTGTAAGATTTTTTATATATTTGAATACAAGTTCCCTTATCAGGTATATATTTGCAAACATTTTCTCCCAATTAATGAGTTGTAGTTTCACTTTCTTAATGGTTTTATTTAAAGAATAAAAATAATTTTTTTTTAGACAGGATCTGTCACTCAAGCTGGAGGGCAGTGGTGTGATCATGGCTCACTGCAGCCTCAACCTCTTGGCCTCAAGTGATCCTCCCACCTCAGGCTCCTGAGTAGCTGGGATTACAGGCATGCACCACTGCACCCAGCTAAATTTTTTTATTTGTAGATACAGGGTCTCACTATGTTGTCCAGGCTGGTCTCAAACTCCTGGGCTCAAGTGATCCTCCCACCTCAGCCTCCCAAAGCGCTGGGATTACAGGTATGAGCCAAAAGTTTTTAATTTTGATGAAGTCAAATTGTTCTTTTTTTCATTGATTGTGCTTTTGGTGTCATATGTAGGAAAACATTGCCTAACCTAAGGCCATAAAGATTTATTCCTGGATCATATACCTAAATGTAAGAACTAAAACTATAATGACACTTCTAAGAGTGTCATTTAATTCAAATGGATCATACACCTAAATGTAAGAGCTAAAACTATAACGACACTCTTAGAAGAGTTAATTAATTAATTCAAATAATCCGCTTGAATTAATTTTTGTGTATGATGTGAGGAAGGGGTCCACTTCATTCTTTTGTATGTGCCCGTTCAGTTCTCCCAGCATGATTTATTTAAAGGACTATTCTTTACCATGCAATTGTCTTGGCACCCTTTTCAAATATCGATTGACCATAAATATAAGGCTCTATTTCTAGATTCTCAATTTTATTCCATTGATCTATATGTCTGTCCTTATACCAATACAACATTGTCTTGATTACTGTAGCTTGGTAGTAAGGTTTGAAATCAGAAAGTGTTATTACTTTTTTTTTTTTTTTTTTTAAGATGGAGTCGAGCTCTGTTGCCTGGGCTGGAGTGCAATGGTGCAGTCTTGGCTCACTGCCTCCTCTCCCTCCCAGGTTCAAGCAATTCTCCTGCCTCAGCCTTCTGAGTAGCTGGGATTACAGGTGCACACCATCATCCCCGGCTAATTTTTGTACTTGTAGTAGAGACGGGGTTTCACCATGTTGGCCAGGCAGGTCCTGAACCCCTGACCTCAGGTGATCCACCCGCCTCGGCTTCCCAAAGTGCCGGGATTACAGGCATGAGCCACCACGCCCCACCTTATTTTTTATTATTCTCTTTCAAGAGTGTTTTGGTTATTCTGGGTCCTAAAATTCATATGCAATTCCATATGAATTTTAGGATCAAAACAAGATGTCTGGGATTTTGATACGGATTACATTGCGTCTGTAGAGCAATTTGGGGAGTATCCTTGTCTTGTTACTGATTCTTGGGGGAAATCATTCAATTTTTCATCAAGTATGATGCTAGCTATGAGTTTTTCATGGATATTCTGTAGGAGGTTGGAAAAATTCCTTCATATTCCTACTTTGTTGAGTGTCTTTATGATGAAAGGTGTTGGATTTTGTCAAATGCTTTTTCTATGTCTATTGAGATGATCATATGGTTTCTGTCCTTTATTCTATTAATATTTATATTATATTGATTTATTTTCAGAGGTTAAACCAACCTCACATTCCTGGAATAAATCTGTTGATCGTGGTGTATTTTTTTTTGTATGTTGATGACTTAGTTCATTATTAGTAATATTTTGTTGAGGATTTTTGCATCTCCATCCAGTGTAGAGATATTGGTCTGTGATACTGGGGTATTTTTGTTTTTGTGAAGTCTTTTCCTCATTTTGGTATCAGGGTAATATTGGCCTCATAGAATGAGTTAGTAAGTATCCTTTCTCTTCTATTTTTTGTAGAGTTTGTGAAGCTTTGGTGTTCTTTCAATGTTTGATAAAATCGCTCCATGTAACTATTTCGTTATGAGATTTTCTTCATGGGAAGTTTTTTGATTGCTAATTCAATCTGTCTACATGTTAGAGGTCTATTCAGCTTTCCTATATCTTCCTGAGGCGTTTTGGCTAGTTTGTGTCTTTCTAGAAATATGGCCACTTCATCTCTGTTATTATCTGTGTAATTGTTCATAGTATATTCTCGTATATATATTTCTTATTTCTATAAGGTCAGTGCTTATGTCTCCTCTTTCATTCTTGATTTTAGTAATTTGACTTTTCTCTCTTTTTACCATGTTCAGTCTAGCTAAAGTTTTGCCAATTTCGTTGATATGGGCTCCATGTTTGCCGAAGAGAAATCTGCAGTCATTTAAATCATTGCTCTCTATAAGTTATGCATTTTTTTTTTTAGACGGAATCTCTCTCTTGTCACCCAGGCTGGAGTGCAATGGTGCAGTCTCGGCTCACTGGAACCTCCCCTCCTGGGTTCAAGCAATTCTCCTGCCTCAGCCTCCTGCGTAGCTGGGATTACGGGCGCCCGCCACAGTGCCTGGCTAATTTTTTATTTTTATTTTTTTCAAAACGGAGTTTCACTCTTGTTGCCCAGGCTGGAGTGTAATGGTGCGATCTCTGCTCACCACAACCTCCATATTACGGGTTCAAGTGATTCTTCTGCCTCAGCCTCCCGAGTAGCTGGGATTACTGGCATGTGCCATCACGCCTGGCTAATTTTGTATTTTTAGTAGAGACGGGGTTTCTCCATGTTGGTCAGGCTGGTCTCAAACTCCTGACCTCAGGCGATCCACCTGCCTCTGCTTCCCAAAGTGCTGGGATTACAGGCGTGAGCCAACGCACTTGGCCTTTCTTAGCTACTTTCAATATATTTTCTTTCTTTTTGTTTTCAGCCTCTTGGTTATGATGTGTGCGAATTTCTTTGGGTTTATCCTGTTTGGGGCTCACTTAGCTTCTTGAACTGATAGGATTTTTTTGTTTTGTTTTGTTTTGTTTTGTTTTGTTTTGTTTTTTTGAGACGGAGTCTCGCTCTGTCGCCCAGGCTGGAGTGCAGTGGCACGATCTTGGCTCACTGCAAGCTCCACCTCCCAGGTTCACGCCATTCTCGTTCCTCAGCCTCCCAAGTAGATGGGACTACAAGCATCCGCCACCACGCCCGGCTAATTTTTTCTATTTTTAGTAGAGATAGGGTTTCACCATGTTAGCCAGGATGGTCTCGATTTCCTGACCTCGTGATCCACCTGCCTTGGCCTCCCAAAGTGCTGGGATTACAGGCGTGAGCCACCGTGTCCGGCCGAATTGATAGGTTTTGTCTTTATCCAACCTTGGGGAGTTTTCAACCATTATTTTCTCAAGAATTTTTTCAGCACCATCCTCCTTCTCCTTTTCTTCTGGGACTCAGGTGACCTGAAAGTTAGAACTTAGGTACTGTCCCACAGGCCCCTGAGGCCATGTTTATTTTTTTCATTCTTTTTTTCTCGTTATTTTTCAGTGTCGATTATTTCTATTGATCTTTCTTCAGTTAGTTCATTAACTCTTCCCCCTATCCTCCCCGTTCTGCTAATGGAACCCACTGAATTTTTTATTTCAATTATTATCATCTTTTAATTTCTAAATTTTCCATTAAAAAATATCTTCTGCCAGGCATGCTGGCTCATGCCTACAATCCCAGCACTTTGTGAGGCTGAGGAGGGTGGATCCCTTGAGGTCAGGAGTTTGAGACCAGCCTGACCAAAATGGCGAAACCTTGTCTCTATTAAAACTACAAAAATTAGCCAGGCGTGGTGGCATATGGCTGTAATCCCAGCTACTCAGGAGCTGAGGCAGGAGGATCACTTGAGCCTGGGAGATCAAGGCTGCAGTGAGCTATGCTGGCCCAACTGCACTCCAGCCTGGACAACAGGGCAAGACGCTGTCTCAAAAACAAACAAACAAAAAAGGCCCAGCACAGCGGCCCATGCCTGTAATCCCTGCATTTTGTGAGGCCGAGGTGGGTGGATCACTTGAGGTCAGGAGTTCAAGACAAGCCTGACCAATATGGTGAAACCTCATCTCTACTAAAAATACAAAAAATTAGCCAGGCATAGTGGCATGCACCTGTCGTCCCAGCCACTCAGGAGCCTGAGGCAGGAGAATTGCTTGAACAGAGAAGTAGAGGTTGCAGTGAGCCCAGATCGCCCCACTGCACTTCAGCCTGGGCAACAGAGCAAGATTCCATCTCAAAAAAAAAAACAAAAAACTTCTATATCTTAGTAAAAAAAATTATTGTAATATATGCTCCAAGACTGTTTGCAATTGCCCATTTGAATATTTATTGTAAATTGTGAGCCAGGCGTGGTGGCTCATGCCTGTAATCCCAGCAGTCTGGGAGGCTGAGGCAGTGGATGACTTGAGGTCAGGAGTTTGAGACCAGCCTGACTAACATGGTGAAACCCCATCTCTACTAAAATTACAAAAATTAGCCAGGCATGGTGGCACATGCCTGTAGTCCAAGCTGCTCAGGAGGCTGAGGCAGGAGAATCACTTGAACCCGGGAGGCAGAGGTTGCAGTGAGCCAAGATTGTGCCACTGCTCTGGCCTGGGCAATAGAGTGAGACTCTGTCTCCAAAATAAATGAATAAATAAATAAGTAAATTGTGGCAAAATGCACATCACAGAATATGTACCATCTTAGCCATGTTAAGTGTACAGTTCCGGAGTGTTAAGTAAATTTATATTATTGTGCAACCCATCTCTAGAACTCCTTTCATCTTGCAAAACAGAAACTCTATACCCGTTAAACAGTAACTGCGTTCCCCTGGCCCCGCCTCCGACGATCACCACTCTACTTTCTGTTCCTATGCCTTTGACTCCTCTAGGTACCTCGTCTGTGTGGCATCACACAGGATTTGTCTCTTAGTGTCTGGCATATTTCACTCAGCATAATGTCCTTGAAGTTCATCCAGGTTGTAGCGCATGTCAGAATTTCCTTCCTTTTTGAGGCTGATCATATAGTCCCTATGTGTACGCCATATTTTATTTGTCTATTTATCTGTCAGTGGACACCTGGGTTGCTCCCACCTTTTGGCTATTGTTAATACTGGAGCCATTAACATGGGTGTACAAATATCTGCCCAAGACCGTACTTTCAATTCTTTGGGACACATTACCTACAAATGAAGTTGCTGGACCATAACATAATTCTATCTATCTTTAATTTTTTGAGAAACCATAGAACTGTTTTCCATAGCAGCTACACTAGTTCATATTTCCACCAGTGATGCACAAGAGTTTCAGTGTCCCCACATCCTTGCCAACACTTTATCCTAATGGGTGTATCATTTGAACATTGTTGTAATAGTTTCTTTACAGTAAAATCTATGCCAGATAATTCTGATGTCAGTATCATCTTGGTGTTGGCATCTGTTGATTATCACAGGAGTTGAACTTTTTTTGGTTTGGATTACATCCTGGATGTTTTCAGTGGGATGTTTAGGATGCTCTAAGACTCTGGGTCTCATTGAAATCTGATGGAGAATGTTGATATTTTGCTTAGTGAACAATTAACCTCAGTAGGTTCAAGTCACAAGTTCTGAGGGCCACGGTGCCAACCTCATCTCAGTTTTCAAAACCTTTGTGGTGCCCTTTTTTGTTTTGATTTACAATTAACAGAAATTTATTTGTCACAGTTCTGAAGGCTGTGAAGTCCAAGATCAAGGTGTCAGCATCTTTTGAGAACCCTCTTGCTGCCTCATCCCATGGCTGAAGGTGAAAGGGCAAGAGAAAGAGCCCATTCCCAGAGGCCCCTCTTTTTGTGACCAAAACAAATCAAATATTTTATTCCTAGGGTTTTTTTTTTTCAAATAAATCTCTTATGTATCTTCTCTACTCTTTGTAACAGCTGAGGCAATGTAACAGTTAAGCAAATGAAAAAAGCTACAGTGTAACTTAAGCAGTAATATTCAAGTTATATTCAAGGTATAGACATCTACAGAATATTCACATCTCTCTTGGGCGTGTGCCAACCGGTGGTCCATCTGGGACCTGAGAAGTGGCTTCTCCATCAGTTCATCTCTGAAGTTCTTTGGTATGCTTGAGAGAGAGCACTGGAATTCATAAGGAGCTTGATGGAGACTTCCTGAGCTCCTCCCTCTCCATGATCTCCCTGCTGCATCCCAGTTCCCTGGGCCCAGTGGTGGAGGACACAGAGAAAATAGAGACCTCAGCATTGGTGCCAGCTTTTAAGACCCCTACTGCACTGAAGGCAGGGGCAGTAACCCCTTCTCAGAGCATGGTTTCTGCTGGCCCTCACTGCCATGCCTCTGCAGGATTGCCTGAGGGCTGGGTCATAAGAGAACAGAGAAATAAAAAAGAGAAAAGAAAGAAAACCTGGAAAGTGGGGTTTCTGTGCTCCCTTTGTACATTAAGAGTCTTTTTTTTTTTCCTCCCAGAGCCGAAACATCCCACATTCACAGGATGTCCTCTCCCCGCTCCACACTGTCTTTCTGAGCGTTTCTGCCTGGGCTCTAGGGCTCACCTCTGGATTTCCAGATGCATTATTATTTCCAGCTGAGAATACTGGAAGGGAAAAATGCCACCCACCACTCATTTGGTGGTTCTTTGAAATCTGGTATCCTTCCCTGATCTGCCTGCTACGGTTTATTTAATTTCTAGAGTCCTCAGGTAGCTGCCACATGCATTCTGTCCAAGTTTTATAATTACATACGGTGGAAAAAATGGCAGTGTGCTTATTCCATCCTACCCAGAACTGGAACTTGAATTGGATTTGAAAAACTAAAACCAAAAGACTAACGCAGATTAGCACAAATGCATTCTATTTACTGGAAAGATAATTAAACCAGAGTCTCCCGGTAACAGGTTAGTGACATCATCTTCACCTACAATGGACAGCTTCATTACCGTAGTCTAAATTTCATGCCCTAAGCATATCTTTATCTAATTTTGCTTTATTTGAAAGGATTATTCATTGACATTTCCAACTGCTACTGGATGATGTTGCATAAATGAATAAATGACTGTTAGGGACATTACCACTTTCTAATTCTGTTTTATAACGTGCATACTCTAGGGTTTGCTGATTTCTACAGCTGGGCATCTGCAGGGATCATCTCAGCTCACCGTTTTGAATACTGACCTCTATTATATTAGTAGATGAGAAAGTTGATGGCAGTGCCAACTCCAGAAACATGAATTAAAAGATATCAGATGTGGCCTGGTACGGTGGCTCACGCCTGTAATCCCAGCCCTTTGGGAGGCTGAGGCGGGCAGATCACTAGGTCAGGAGTTTGAGACCAGCCTGGCCAACATGGTGAAACCCCGTCTTTACTAAAAATACAAAAATTAGCCGGGTGTGGTGGTGTATGCCTGTAATCCCAGCTACTCGGGAGGCCGAAGCAGGAGAATCGCTTGAACCCGGGAGGCGGAGGTTGCAGTGAGCCGAGATTGCGCCACTGCACTCCACCCTGGGTGACGGAGCGAAACTCCATCTCAGGAGAAAAAAAAAAAAAAGGGATACCAGATGATCTGCATCATATTCCCTGGTAATTCTTTAATAAGAGTTTGTCAGAAGACATAAGGAGAAGTCAGTCCAGAGGTGCCTAGTCCTCAACTCGTTCAAATGCAGAATTCTTGTAGTGGAAAGCCATGGCTCTCCCAGTCGAAACATCAGAATATTGTTTGAGACGTTGCTATTGTCTGAATGTCTGCATCCTCTCCCTCCACCAAATTTATATTGAAATCCCCACCTCCAAGGTAATGGTATTAAGAGGTGGAGCCGGCTGGGTGTCATGGCTCACACCTGTAGTCCCAGCCCTCTGAGAGCCTGAGGCGGGAAGATCTCTTGAGCCCAGGAGTTCAAGACCAGGCTGGGCAACATGGTGAAACCCCATCTCTACAAAATTTTAAAAATCAGCTGGGCACGGTGGCATGCACCTGTAGTCCCAGCTACTTGGGAAGCTGAGGTGGGAGGATCACTTGAGCCCAAGAGTTCAACGCTACAGTGAGTCATGATCACAACACTGTGCTCCAGCCTAGGCAACAGAGTGAGCCCCTAACTCTACAAAAAAAATTAAACAAAGAGCCCAGCATGGTGGTTCATGCCTGTAGTCCCAGCGACTGAGGACTGTCTCAAAAAAAAGAAAAAGAGATAGAGACTTGGGAGGTGATTAGGTTGTGAGGGTGGCACTTTGATGAAGGAAAGGAAAGTGGATTCCAGACAGACCCCCTCATCTCTTCCACTGAGTGACAGCACAGGGAGAAAGTGCTGTCTGTGAACCAGAAAGCAGCCCTCACAGACGCAGAATCTGCTGGCACCTTGATTATGGACTTCCCGGCCTCCAGAACCATGAGAATTAAATTTCTTTTCATTTATTTATTTATTTATTTATTTATTTATTTATTTATTTAGAGACAGGGTCTTACTCTGGCACCTTGATTCTGGACTTCCCGGCCTCCAGAACTGTGAGAATTAAATTTCTTTTCATTTATTTATTTATTTATTTATTTAGAGATAGGATCTTTCTCTGGCACCTTAATTCTGGACTTCCTGGCCTCCAGAACCATGAAAATTAAATTTCTTTTCATTTATTTATTTAGAGACAGGTTTTTGCTCTGGCACCTTGATTCGGGACTTCCCAGCCCCCAGAACTGTGAGAATTAAATTTCTTTTCATTTATTTATGTATTTAGAGACAGGGTCTTGCTCTGGGACTCAGGCTGGAGTGCAGTCACATGATCACAGCTCACTATTTTCTCAAACACCTGGGTTCAAAGCAATCTTCCCACCTCAGCCTCTCCAGTAGCTGGGACTACAGGCACACACCACCACACCCAGCTAATTTTTTAAAAATTTTTATTTATTTATTTATTTAATAGAGATGGGATCTCAATTATGTTGCCCAGGCTGGTCTCAAACTCCTGGCCTTAAGTGATTCTCCCACCTCGGCCTCCCAAAATGCTGGGACTGCAGGTGTGAGCCACTGCTCCCAACTGGAAATAAATGTCTGCTGTTCCTGGTACCCAGTTCATGGCATTTTGTTATTCCAACCAAAATGGATGTAGCCAAATATCTGGACTTGTTTTCCCATTGTACTTACCTGTTTTCTCTCCTGTTGAAGCTGTTAGCCTCTGAAGATTTGGAGCAGGAAGGAAGACACGAAGTGCTTGCCAGATACTTTCTCTCCCTACCTGGTCAATATTCAAAACCTTAAGCTCATTGAGAAAGCAGAATGTGAAGACAGAAGTGAGTTTCTGAGGAAAACGTGGAGACAGAGGGAGAGTTTGTTTCAGATAAAAAGGAATTTCTCTTGAGTGCAAGGAGCTGGGGGCTACAGTTCCCCTCAAAAGCCGAGACCTGTGCCAGACCTTTATCTATTTCCAAGGTGGTGCTGGGACCTCAGAGACAATGGCCACCTGATGTCCCAGGGGGGTGGCCCTCAGCCCAGACTCAGCCTCACCAAAGGTTGTAGGACCTCTAAACTAGATCAGAATCAGCAAAGAGAGCTTTAGACTCGGAGGGTCCACAGGGACTGGTGATTCCTGGTCTTCAGACAACAACTTAACACTTTCAATGGATGGTCAATCAGAAAATCTTTAAATCTACTTATGACCCGGAAGCCTCCACTTCAAGTGTCCCTCCTTTCCAGATGGAATCATTGTACGTCTTACAGGCATTGATTGATGTCTCATGTCTCCCTAAGATGTATAAAAGCAAGCTGTGCCCCGACCACCTTGGCCACATGTAATCCGGACCTCCTGAGTCTCGGTCGTCATCCATCTGTGATCCAAGGGGCTCCCCGGCTCTCTTGGCCCCTCCTGGAACCCCAAAACGTCAGCACAATTTCTGTAAGGGGAGATGGAGTCATAAAAACACCTGAGGTTATATTTCCACCAGCGAAGCAGGACAGGGACTCAGAGACAAACTTAAGTTGATTTAAAAATATTGAAGGCATAGGACATTGAAGGCATTCTGGCACATTGGAGTCTTGCCCACACCCCCAGCCCCACCGCCCAGCCCCACATGCACCATCATAAATAGAAGTCAGAGGCTGGGCACGGTGGCTCACACCTGTAATCCCAGCACTTTGGGAGGCCGAGGCAGGCGGATCACCTGAGGTCAGATGTTGGAGACCAGCCTGGCCAACATGGTGAAACTCCCTCTCTACTAAAAATACAAAAAATTAGCCGGGCGTGGTGGCAGGCGCCTGTAATCCCAGCATTTTGGGAGGCCGAGGCAGGCGGATCACCTGAGGTCAGAAGTCTGAGACCAGCCTGGCCAACATGATGAAACTCCCTCTCTACTAAAAATACAAAAAATTAGCCGGGTGTGGTGGTGGGCACCTGTAATCCCAGCTACTCTGGAGGCCGAGGCAGGAGAATCACTTGAATCTTGGAGGCGGAGGTTGCAGTGAGCTGAGGTCACACCACTGCACTCCAGCCTGGGCAACAAAAGCAAAACTCCATCTCAAAAAGAAAATAGTAATGAGAGACAGAACCCTTATGGTTATGGATAGAGGGATTTCTACCAAATAGACGAGGCTGCCAAAACCAGGGAGTCTTATTCAGCCAAATGATTACAGCTCAAGTTTTATTTCTAAGCATCTTTTTAGCATTATGTTGTCACCTTTAATAAGCAGCACTTCTTGTACAAGTGGTAGAAGATGCTAATTGGCCCTGGCGAAGGGATTTTTCATACATTTCAGGAGGCAAGGGATGAGCAGAGATGCAGTTACGCTAATGGTTTCATTTTTTAAGACACTGAGTATTGTTTATGCGCCCGTCCTTATTTTATTGTGTGCAGATTAACAATTGCAGGTCCCGGGTGGGGAGCCAAGTTCGGGAGGGTTCATTTCATCCACCGGCTGCTACAAGCCTCCTTGATTGCTTTTTCTCTTCCCCGCTGAGGTCAATAACCAGTGCTGATATTTCTGCTGAATCAGTTTGCTGGGATTTGTCTTGTCCTCCTGACCCGTGTTAATTATATCTTAAAATGAGTGCTGGGCTAAAATACAGAGCTTCTTTCTTTCTTTCTTTTATTTTTACTTTTATTTTAAGTTCAGGGGGTACATGTGCAGGTTTGTACCATAGGTAAACTGGTGCTATGGGGGTTTGTTGTACAGATTATTTCACTAGCCACATATTAAGCTTAATACCCATTAGTTATTTTTCCTGATCCTCTCCCTCCTCCCAACCTCCACCCTCTGAAAGACCGCAGTGTGTGTTGCTCTCTTTTCTGTGTGCTTGGGTTCTCATCATTCAGCTCCCATTTATAAGCGAGAACATGCAGTGTTTCATTTTCTGTTACAGAGTTAGTTTGCTGAGGATAATGGCCTCCAACTCCATCCATGTCCCTGCAAAGGACGTGATCTCGTTCTTTTTTTATGGCTACATAGTATTCCATGGTGTATATGTACCACTGATGGGCATGTAGGTTGTTTTCATGTCTTTGCTGTTGTGAATAGTGCTGCAATGAACATATGCTTATACACTGTTGGTGGGAGTGTAAATTAGTTCAACCATCATGGTAGACAGTATGGTGATTTCTCAAAGACCTAAAGACAATGGCATTTGACCCAGCAATCCCATCACTGGGTATACACCCAGAGGAATATAAATCATTCTATTATAAATATAGGGCTTATTTCAATAGTGAGAAAATGTATTTCTCCCTATTTGATGGACCTTCACTTTGATTTTCAGCTCCGTCCCCATCTTGCCATGGTCCATAATCAATAGCCACGTGGTTCAAGTTCTTTATCTCGGAGGCACAAGGAGACCTTGGAGGTACCTTCTTTTCAGACCTCAGAATCCAGAGTTAATACAGGGATAAAAGGACTTTCTTCTCCTTCCTTTCCAGGGAAATGCACTCTCAGCCTCTTATCTTAAAATAGTCTACCCTACTGGAAATCTGACAAATGTCTCTCTTCTATCTTCTGGAAATTCAGATGGTTCATCTTACAGAAAGATAGTTCTGCCTCCAGATGACCAAAAGTAAAAGCCGAGTTCAAACAAACAACGTAAAAAGAAAATCACGTTCTCAAAGAGGAATTAGTTTTGTCCAATTTATTTATTTATTATGTATTTATTTTTCAGAGACAGGCTCTCACTCTGTGGCCCAGGCTGGAGTGCAGTGGAGTGATCACAGCTCACTGCAGCCTCGAACTCCTGGGCTCAAGTGATTCTCCTGCCTGAGCCCCCTGGAGTAGCTGGGACTGCAGGTGTGTGCCACCACGCCCAGCTAATTTTTTTATTTTTCTGTAGATACGCGCCTCACCATATTGACCAGGCTGGTCTCAAACTCCTGGGCTCAAGTGATTCTCTCATCTTGGCTCCCCAAAGTGCTGGGATTTCAGGCATGAGCCACCACACCTGGCCTTTTGTCCAATTTAGAAGGTGACTAGATGCCAGATTACCTCTGCCTATCCAGAACTCCAGACATTCATTCCACAAACCTGTTACATGGAGCTGTGGGCTCTTGGTGATCTAGAAATAAAGACATTTTATGCCCTATCCTGGCACACGCTATATTCTCTATTAATGCTCATTAGCATAATTCAAAGGCCATTAGTTGAGTCAAAAATGCTGACAATGGAGCATAGACTACGTGGAAAGGAAGGTAAATTATCATCTTGTGGGAGGCATTTGAACCAGAGCAACTCCATCTTGAATAGGAGCTGGGTAAAATAAGGCTAGGACCTGCAGGGCTGTATTCCCAGTAAATTAAGGCATTCTTAGTCACAGGATGAGATAGGAGGTCAGCACAAGATACAGGTCATAAAGACCTTGCTGATAAAACAGTTTGCAGTAAAGAAGCCGGCCCAAACCCACCAGAACCAAGACGGTGATGAGAGTGACCTTCGGTGATCCTCACGGCTACACTCCCACGTGTGCCATGACCGTTTACAAATGCCATGGCAACATCAGAAAGTTACCCTATATGGTCTAAAAGGGGGAGGCGTGAATAAACCACCCCTTGTTTAGCATATCATCAAGAAATAACCATAAAAATGGGCAAGCAGCAGACCATGCTGCTCTGCCTATGGAGTAGCCATTCTTTTATCCCTTTACTTTCCTAATAAACTTGCTTTCACTTTGCTGTTCAGACTCGCCGTAAATTCTTTCTTGTGCGAAATCCAAGAACCCTCTCTTGGGGTCCGGATCCCTTTCCTATAACAATCTCTGTTGTCAGGACAATGCAGAACAGATGAGTTGATAAAATCTGCATATACACAAACCACTATCTTCTCAGCATGAGTATTCAAGATACGTTCCTTTATCCCTTTTAGAGTCATATTTGCTTTTTTTTTTTTTTTTTTTTTGAGACGGAGTCTCGCCCTGTCACCCAGGCTTGAGTGCAGTGGTGTGATCTCTGTTCACTGCAATCTCTGCTTCCTGGCTTCAAGCAATTCTCTGCCTCAGCCTCCTGAGTAGCTGGGATTACAGGTGCCCGCCACCACTCCCAGATAATTTTTTTTTTATTTTTAGTAAAGACGGGGTTTCGCCATCTTGGCCAGGCTGGTCTTGAACTCCTGACCTCGTGATTCACCCTTTGGCCGCCCAAAGTGCTGCAATTACAGGCATAAGCCACCACGCTGGCCCTCTTATTTATTTATCTATTTATTTATTTTTATTTTTGAGACAGGGTCTCACTTTGTCACCCAGGCTGGAGTGAAGTGGTGCAATCTTGGATCACTGCAGCCACAACCTATTGCGCTCAAGCAATCCTCCTGCCTCAGCCCTCCAAGTAGCTTAGACTGGGATATAGGTGCACACCACCATATCCAGGTAATTTTTGTATTTTTAGGGAGACAGTGTTTGGCCATGTTACCGAGGCTGCATTCAAACTCTTGAGCTCAAGCAATCTGCCTGCCTCAGCTTCCCAAAGTGCTAGGATTATAGGCATGAGCTACCATGCCCAGCCATATTTGCATCCTTGGGGGCCCACCTTAGGTAAATTGTTAAGTAGGAGCACCCCTTAAGTATCTTGAAACTTGCCATTGTTGTGTCTTACTCCCTAAAGCATCTATGGTCAGTTCTCATTATTTTCAATAATTACATTCCATAAAGTCACTGCAGTACTGAATTATTGAATTCTGAGCCACTGCTCCTAGGAAAACACCGAGTTAGGTTCCTGTGGGTCTCTGGTTGTGATATTTTCATCAACACATAGCCTTGTTTTGTGTGTGTTTCTGATTAAACACATTGAATTGGATACACATGGTTGACTCATTAACATTGGCCTCCCAGCCAACAGTGCTGTAATTCACGCCTGTGTTTGAAATGCTTGTTCCCCGGTGCCGTAAAGAAATAGCACTTGAACCTAAATTCAACTTACTCAGTGAGGCCATTTCTACTTCCTGCAGAAAGGTACACTCGCCAGCCGTTTTGCCACAAGAGTACACCGAACAAAGGAGACAGGGTCATTTATAACCTGATGTGCCCGCCCTACTGCTGTGTCTGGTTTCCATTGGCTGGAACGGGACCTCACATTCTGTATTTGTCCCGATTGGCGAGCAACTTATAACTTTTTAAAAGAGGCAAAGGCAGAGGAGAACAAAGGAAGGAGGAAGTAACTTGTGGAATACTGGGAAAGGTAAAAAAACAAAACAAAACAAAACAAAACAAAAAAACACCTTCAAATAAGGAAGAGGAATAGGCTATGACCTAATGCTTGCTTGAACCAGTATAAGCATTCTGGGGCAAATATTTAGGCTAAATTGTGGGAGCTAAGAACATAAAGTACATTGATTTCTTTATCACGGCTAGCAGATATTTAAGAATGTCAGCACAGGTCTTTGAATCAATTTTGCTTCTAAGAGAAGTTACTATTTATTCCTCATTAAATGAGGAAGAAAGTCTTTGAAGAGGAACCTCTACTTTACTTTTTACACCTGCATGAAGTGTATCTAACAGGCATTTCTTCTCCATGGGGCAAATCACTGCCTTGTTGTTCTTTGGACAACAGACAGCACTCAGCACCTCACACGGGGTGGCGGGCATTGTAAATGGCAAAATCAACAACAAAAAAAGCACAACAATGTGAAAAAGATGGCACTACCTAGACTCTGAAAAGGCCACTCATTGACTGTATGAAAGCTGGAAAACCTTAGCTGGTGTGAACCCAAAAGTATCTGAGACAGGTCTCAATCAATTTAGAAAGTTTATTTTGCCAAGGTTAAGGACACACCTGTGACCCAGCCTCAGGAGGTCCAGACGACATGTGGCCAAGGTGGTCGGGGCACAGCTTG
Source organism: Homo sapiens (assembly GCF_000001405.40). Classification (NCBI taxonomy): domain Eukaryota; kingdom Metazoa; phylum Chordata; class Mammalia; order Primates; family Hominidae; genus Homo; species Homo sapiens. Next base: position 4,336,415 of record NC_000007.14, read on the forward strand.
CTTTTATACATTTTAGGGAGACATGAGACATCAATCAATACCTGTAAGATGTACAATGATTCCATCTGGAAAGGAGGGACACTTGAAGTGGAGGCTTCTGGGCCATAAGTAGATTTAAAAATTTTTGGATTGGCCATCCATTGAAAGTGTTAAGTTGTTGTCTAAAGACTTGGAATCGATAGAAAGGACTGTCTGGGTTACGAAAAGAGGTTGTGGAGACCAATGCTTTACCACACAGATGAAGCCTCCAGGTAGCAGGCTTCTGAGAGAATTGACTGTAAATGTATCTTATCAGACTTAAGGTCTGTGTTGGTGTTAATGCTGGCTGGCTTTTCCCGAACTCCACAGTGGAGGAGAGTGTATGAGGCAGGTCCGATTCCCTCTTCCTATCAAGGCCTGAACCAGTTTTTCAGGCTCACTTTGGGATATCCTTGGCGGAGAGGAGAGGTTCATTTAGATGGCTGGGGTCGGTGGGTGGGGGGTGCTTAGAATGTTATTTTTGGTTTACACTGGGAACATGTATATCAGGTGATTCAAATCTTTTACCACTCTGTGTATGTCTGTGAACGACTGTAAAAGCCCCAAATTCGCATTCAACCCAGTCTTTAGGACCGAGAGCAACCTCGGGCAGAAAGACTTAGGTGACTCCAGCCCAGCAACTCGAGACTCAAGGTCGCACGTTTTGCCCGTTAAGTTTGACCTTGTTTTACGACATTTTTGCTGTGTTCCCTTGGATTTGGGGAACTTGCCTGAGAATCTCTTGCCAAGGAGCTACCACAGTACTAGAGTGAGTCAAACAGCTCTGAAATAGTGAGGAGCAAATTCACAAATGTACAGTCCTCTAAGGATGACCACAGACTCCACATTCTAAATTGCTTCGTCCCTGACTTGCAGAACGTCTCCTTCTTGCGTCCCTGTGTTAGTTTGTTCAGCTGCCGTAGCAAAGGACCACAGGCTGCGCCGTTTAACCAACAGAAATTTATTTTCCTGTAGTTCTGGATGCTAAAAGTCTGAGATCAAGGCATGGGCCGGGCTGGTTCCTCCTGAGGTCTCTCTCAGCTGGCAGAGGGTGCCTTCTCCCTGAGTCCTCACCTGGCCATTTCTTGGTGTGTGTCTGTGTCCTGATCTCTTCTTATAAGGACCCCAGTCCTGCTGGATGAGGGCCCACTAATCTGACCTCGTTTTACCTTAATCACCTCTTTAACAGTCTTAGCTCCAAACACAATCACATTCTGAGATACTGGAGGTTAGGACTTCAACATACGAATTTTGGAGGAACACAATTTAGCCCATAATAGTCCCGTTTCCTCAAATCCCCACTAAGCCACGTGGATTTACTCTTTCAATTTAAGATGTCAGGATCTTAAATATTTCCCTTCTTGGAGCTGCCATGCTAAATTTTAACTGTGAGCAGAAAAAGGTTTTCTCCTAACCAAATCTGGAATCTGGCTGCAGGTTTGGGCCCATAACATAAAGATTAAGATTGAGATAAAAGCAGAAAAAAGGCACTGCCCAGGGAGGCACAGGTCATCCTCTTAAATGAAGGTCAATTACCAGGGGAACAGAGAGAAAGCAACCTCCTCCAAGGCTGGACTGGGACAAAGGCCCATGAGGACTGCCTGGGCCCTGAGCCCTTGGGTATCCCTGGGAATGACCTCAGATTCCCAATATCCTTGCGTGAGCCTCCTGACCTCAGGCTGGGGGTGGAGGGCCCCTGTCCGGGTGCTGTCAGCCCAGGGCAGGGACTCTGAATGCTACCGGACCTGCACTGAACCATGGAAGATTCAAGGAGAACAATGGAACTAAATCAAGCTTCTGCCTTTCACACTTGCTCCCAAATTGCATCTGTCCATCCAACACCAGGGTTATGGGTTGAACTGCAGGCCCCACAAGATACTGTGGTCCTAACCCCCATACCTGTGAATGGGACCTTATTTGGAAACAGTGTATTTGCAGACAAACGAGTCGAGATGAAGTAATTAGGGTGGACCCTAATCCAATAGAACTGGTGTCCTTGTGTGCAGGAGATCCATCAGAGTGGTGGGAGAAAAAGCACTCTGGGAAAGCAGCAGGTCTTCTGAAAGGTTGGAGGGCTCTGCATGGCACTGGGGGAGAATATCTGAAGGCAGCTGTTCTCTGACCCCGAGGCAGAGGGCGAGGAGTACGTGCAAGGCAGTGAAGGGGAAGTTTGTTTGTTTGAAGTTGTCCAGAAACTGACCTTTGAATATCCGGATGCACGAGATTCCCTGAAAGGGGAACAATAAATGTTAATTTCCCACAGATTATGTTTGTTCCAGGCTTTAGGCATTGTGCCTGCCCTGAATTTTTATTCTTCTTGGGGCTGCACTCTGGCCACTTGAGCCAGGCAGTCCCCTAGCTGCTCTTGCACTGCATACCTGTGTCTGAGTACTCCTTTCATCCATTGATCCGCCAGGGTCTGTGGGACAGACCCGGCACTTGTGAAAAGGAGAAATTTGAAGACAGACACACCCAGAAGAACATCATGAGAAGATGAAGGCAAAGATCAGAGTGATGTACAAGACAAGTACATTAGTGACGTACTAATACAAGACGGCTGTATTAGTCCATTCTCGCGCTGCTGTAAAGACATATCTGGGGCTGGGTAATTTATGAAGAAAAGCAGTTTAATTGATTCACAGTTCTGCAGGCCATACAGGAAGCATGGCTGGGCCTCAGGAAACTGACAGTCACAGTGGAAGGTAACGGGGAAGCAGGCATGTCTTCATAAGGCGGCAGGAGAGAAAGAGCGAAAGGGGAAGTGTTGCACACTTTTAAACAACCAGATCTCTGGAGAGCTCGCTCACTATCACAAGAACAGCAAAGGAAAAGTCTGCCCCCATGATCCAGTCATCTTCCACCAGGTCCCTCCAGAGGCCCGGAACAGAAGGAACCAGCCCTGCAGACACTTTGTGATATGGTTTGGCTCTGTCCCCCCAAATCTCATCTTGAATTGCCAAGTGTTGTGGGAGGGACCTGGTGGGAGGTGAGTGAATAATGGGGCGGGTCTTTCTCATGCTGTTCTCGTGATGGTGAGTAAGTCTTACAAGATCTGATGGTTTTAAAAAGAGGAGTCTCCCTGCACAAGCTCTTCTTTTGTCTGCTGCCATGTGAGACATGCCTTTGACCTTCTGCCATGACTGTGAGGCCTCCACAGCCACGTGGAACTGTGAGTCCATTCAACCTCTTTCTTTTGTAAATTGCCCAATCCCAGGTATGCCTTTATCAGTAGCATGAAAACAGACTAATACACCTAGATCTTGGATTTCCAGCCTCTAGAACTTGGAGACAACACATTCCTGTTGTACAAGCCACTAGGTTTGTGATACTTTATTACGGCAGACTTAGCAAACTAATACACCCAGAGAGATTGCTTTTAAATCAGCTGTCTTCTCCCCTCTGCTTAAAATTCACCACCACTCTTAAGATAAAATTCACCTCCCTACCATGGCCAACAAGCCCTGCATAGCCTGGTCTTTGCTGACATCTTCCCCATTTTTTTTTCACCTCTTCCTGAAATTCAATACACTCCAGAATTTCAGGTCCAGTGGTATCAGACCTGGTCCTACCTCCCGGCATTTGCTCCAGTTATCACCTTCATCTGCATTGCGCTCTTCCTAAGTATTTTTGTCGTTTCAGTTTTGGTAAAAACATCACCCCCCACTGAGAGGTGTTCACAACAACTTCATCCAAATCATTGTCTCTATAACTCCAGAGCTGTCTTATCCCTTATTCTGTTTTTTGCTTCTTGCCTAAAACTATCATGATCTGAAATTATTTTGGAGAAAAAAGAATTAAAAAGAAATATGCCAAAATGTGAACATGGTGATATCTCTGATGAGATTGCATATGGCATGATTTCTGCTTTCCAGAGTTTCTTCAATTAACATGCATCATTTTCTAATTGGAAGAGTCAATAGCTTCTCAAAAAGAAACGGTTAAGAATTTACTGGCATCAGCGCTTTCTGTGCAATCCCAGTGGCTGGCAGGACACTTCCCTTCCAGGCAGTTCTCCTGCATTCATCTGCAGGGTGATACACTGAGGGATGACTGGAATTAAGAAACTAAACACGGCCAGGTGCAGTGGGTGGCTCACATCTCTAATCCCAGCCTGTAAGTGCAGCCTTTGAGTTCTTTGACTCTCCATCTCCTCCAGGTGAGATTAGACTGGCCTAGTAACTCACTTATAGCCGATAGAATAAGCCATAAGTGATAGGCTAGGTAGAAAAAGTTCTTCCTCCTTGGACACTTGCCCTGAAAGCACAACTACTCTGAGATTGCCATGTGAGAGAGGACCCGGCCACCAGCTCCACCAGCCAGCCTTCTGAGCGAGCTTTGAGTGAGCCATCCGGGATGGCCAGCCCAGTTGAGTCTTCAAACAATGGAACCTCAGCCAACATCTGCCAGCAGCAGCATGAAGGAGACCCCAAGTGAGAACAGCACCAGCTATGCCTTCTTTTTTTTTTTAATGGAGTGTCACTCTGTCGCCCAGGCTGGAGTGCAGTGGCACCATGTGGCTCACTGCACCCTTTATCTCCTGGGTTCAAGCAATTCTCCTGCCTCAGCCTCCTGAGGAGCTGGGATTACAGGCGCCCACCACCATGCCCAGCTAATTTTTGTTTTTTTTTTTTTTAGTAGATACCGGGTTTCACCATGTTGGCCAGGCTGGTCTCGAACTCCTGACCTCAGATGATCCACCCACCTCAGCCTCCCAAAGTGCTGGGATTACAGGCGTGAGCCACTGTGCCCGGCTTTTTTTTTTTTTTTTTTTTTGTCAAGGTCTGTATTAGTCAGGGTTCTCTAGAGGGACAGAACTAATTACATGTATATGTATAATGTTTGTTTTTGTTTTTGTTTTTGTTTTTTTTGAGACAGGGTGTGTATTAGTCAGAGTTCTCTAGAGGGACAGGACTAATAGGATAGATGTATATATGAAGGGGAATTGATTAAGGAGTATTGACTCACACAATCACGAGGTGAGGTCCCACAATAGGCCGTCTGCAAGCCAAGGATCAAGGAAGCCAGTCCAAGTCCCAAAACCTCAAAAGTAGGGAAGCCGACAGTGCAGCCTTCAGTCTGTGGTCAAAGGTCCAAGAGTCCCAAAGCTAAAGAACTTGGAGTCTGATGCTTGAGGTCAGGAAGCATCTAGCACAGGAGAAAGATGGAGGCCAGAAGACTCAGCCAGTCTAGTCTTTCCACATTCCTCTACCTGCTTTTATCCTAGCTGCACTGGCAGCTGATTAGATGGTGCCCACCCAGACTGAGGGTGAAGCAGCCTCTCCCAGCCTGCTAACTCAAATGTTAATCTCCTTTGGCAACACCCTCACAGACATATCCAGGTTCAATACTTTGCATCCTTCAATCCAATCAGATTGACACTCTGTATTAACTATCACAAGGTCTCACTGTTGCCCAGGCTGGTCTCAAACTCCTGGCTCCAAGAGACCCTCCCACCTTGGCCTCCCAAAGCTCTGGAATTACATGCACGAGCCCCAGCGCTGGGCCATTCCTGCATTCTTGACCCACAAAATCATGAGCAAAATAAAATGACTGTTGTTTTACATCACTAAGTTTGGGGTAATTTGCTTTGCAGACACTGGAGCAGTGGTTCTCCACAGGAAAATGAGAATGATTTCCTAGTGGTTTAAAGGACCTGGTGGTGACTTGCACAGCATTGCCATCAGGGTAATACACTCAGGGAAGACTGGAATTGAGAAACTGAACATGGCCAGGCCCTGTGGGTGGCTCAGGCCTGTAATCCCAGCACTTTGGGAGGCTGAGGCAGGAGGATTGCTTGAGCAAGGAGTTTGGGACCAGCCTGGGGAACATAGTGAGACACCATCTCTTTAAAAAATACAAAAATCAGCCGGACGTGGTGGCACACACCTGTAGTTCCAGCTACTCTGGAGGCTGAGGTGGGAGGATCGCTTGAGCCCAGGAGGTAGAGGCTGCAGTGAGCTATGATCGCACTACTGCACTCTAGCCTGGGCATGCAAACAAACAAACAAGGAACTAAACACTCCCTTACAATAAGGCAAGCCACTGGGGGAGATTCGGTCCTGCTGGTTCCCAGTCTCACCATATTTGCTCTGTGCATGTAACCACACCCTCCCACACACTTCAAATCACACACATGTGCAGGCCCATCCTCCACCCAGTCTTGAGGACCGAGAGCAACCTTGGGCAGAAAGGACTTAGGTGACTCCGGCCTAGCAACATGAGACTCAAGGTCTCACTTTTTGCCCCTTAAGCCTGACCTTGTTTCATGATATTTTTGCCGTGTTCCCTTGGATTTGAGGAACTTGCCTGAGAATCTTTTGCCAAGGAGCTACCATGGTAGTAGAGTGGCTACTGCGGGGACTTTGGAGTCAAACAGCTCTGAAAGCATTCTATCTCTGCTCGGCCATTTTATTGGGCATGCATTTGGCTGTAACTCAGAGAAAACTTGAATAATATGGGTTTTTTAAATAGTGTGTTATTTTTCTCAAGGAATCTGCAGATAGGTAGTTGCTGACATTGTTTCAGCTGCTTTAATATCATTAGAGAAACAGGCTGTGCTCACTTTGAGTTTTCTTCCTTCCTTCCTTCTTTCCTTCCTTCCTCCCTCCCTCCCTCCCTTCCTTCCTCCTTCCCTCCCTCCCTCGATCCTTTCCTTCCTCCCTCCCTTCCTTCCTCCCTCCCTCCTTCCCTTCCCTTCCCTCCTTCCTTTTTCCCTTCTTCCTTCATTCCTTTCTCTCTTTTCTTTCTTTCTTTCTTTCTTTCTTTCTCTTTCTTCCCTTCCTTCCTTTTTTTGCCTCATGGTTACAAGATGGTTGCAGCAGCACCAGATATCACATCTGCTACCAGGCAGTGAGAAGGGAGGAAGGATGAGGAGCAGTGCTAGCCACGTCTTTCCTTTCTTTCTTCCTTTCTTTTTTACAAAAACAAATGAAAACACCAATAACTTTTCCAGAGCTCCCTGTAGCAGTCCTTTCCTTAGGCCTCATGGGTCAGAAGTGGACCACGTGACTTCCCCTAGCTGCCACAGAGTCTGGGGAATTGAGAAATAGCTTTGTCATGATTGTCTTAGACAATCGTTAAGTCATCACTTGCGGCTGAGTGCGTTGCAGCTCTTAACAAGGAAGAGGGAGGTGATGAGTTTTAGGGACCTAGTTAGCAGTATCCACCCTAGCCACTAAACTAGCCTAACGGCTTAGTGACTTTGAGCTCGCCACTTGAGCCCTGTGTGCCTCAGTTATATTATCTGTATAACGGAACAACACCGTATCCTCACCTAGCAGCGTGTCTGGCTCACTAAGCATGTCCCGAAAAAAAGGAATTCCTACCAAAAGGCTGGGCTGCTTCCCCTATCTAAATACATTGCACAATGCCTATCATTAGCCTGGTGGTGGGTCAGGTCGTGAGAACAAAGAAATATTCAAATCTCTGGGTCGGAGTCCAGCAATCCACTTTCAGAAGGAAAAAAAACAAAAAGCACTAAAGTGGACGTTCTAGAAAAAAATGTGTGCTGCAAGTCATAATCAGCTCAAATGTGAGCTGCAGTTTCTCTGTCTTTTTCAGACTGGAGACACCAGCCGGAGTCAGAGTTATGGCCGTCGAAGCACTGTCTGGCCTCTGCTCCGCCTTCATTTACGACCCATGGTTGCTATGCCTGGTAGGGAATGCGGGTGCCCTGCGAGACTCTCTTTGCATTTACTTCGTGGCTGTTACACATTCATATCTTGGAGTCTCCACTGTTTTTCACTGTTTTTTGTAGGATCATTACCCGCCTCCAAGGTACGTCTCAGCCAATTTCAGTCATAGAAACCTGGCTCACATTTTGCCCGGGGCAGTATCACCAGGGTTGTTCTGGGACGCCAGACAATAAGACATTGCTTCCGCCCCTAAACGGGATGCATTTCCTCCTCCTCTCCTGACCTTGTTGTTGTTAATCAAGCTGATTTTCTGTCACTGGCCTAAACTGGTACTTGCTGCAGTCTCTTTGCCCTACAGAGAAATTCCTTTTACCACCGCATCCCAAGAGGGCAAGTCCTTGGCTCCTTCTAACCAGAATAAAGTGACTCGTTAAACTATTCCACTGGCTTTCAGAATGAGCATGGCTGCATGAGAACATTTTTCTGCGTCTCCTCCTGGAAATCATACATGAGGAGCAAGGAGAATTTAAAAACCACTTAAACTCCATTTTCAAGGAAACTAGAAAAGACATAGATAGAGTCCACAGACTTCAAAGAGCATGTCCAGACTTAGCAAACAGCTGGGATGGAGCAGAACTGTCAAAGGGGAGAGGAAGCCAAGAAGTGCGGGGAGGCCACCTGCAGATGAGGAGTGCACCAACTCAAGGCACCTCCCAAAAGTGAGGGGTTCACCTTGAAGCTCAACAGCTGAACCTGCTGCCCGCAACACCAGCTAGCATGGAAACTGGGGAGAGAGGTGTGAGAGCAGCTCTTGTGGACCTGGCTTGGTTCAGAGATGCAGAGAGCTGTAGAGAGGGAAGCCATATTTACCAAGAGTAGCCTAACTCTGTGGCAGGAGAGAAGAAAAATCCTTGGGGTTGTGAAGACAGCACCGATGCACTTCCTTCCACCATTCTCAACAGCTTCCCACCAGGGGCTCAGTCACAAGATTGTTGCTGGATGTCTTCCCAAATTTTTTTTCCTTTTTTTTTTTTTTTTTTTTTTTTCATATTTATGGAGTTTTCACTGGGTTCTTGGTCAACCACCTGGAAACTACATCTCCCAGCCTCTCTTTCAGCCGGATGTGGTCATAGGACCGTTTGGGGCCAATGGGTTGTAAGCCGAGGGTAAGTGCACAGTTTGTGATTGACAGGAAAACCATGTGTTTTGGACTCTGGCCTTTTTTCTTCATTCATCTGGAATGCAGCCGCAGTCATGATGCAGCTCCTAGTATGCTGGGTTTGGACAGGAATCTAGGTGATGAAGGAGCAACAATGTGGAAAGAACCTGGATCCCCGAGTGACTTCATGGAGTGTGGAGCGTCCCCAACTGCCTGGACTGAGAACCCCAGGGTTGTTAGGAGCTGTTCCGAGAGGGAAATAAGTTTCTCTCTTAAGTAAGCTGCTGTTTTCTATTGCTTTAACCTATGCCCTATATTTTATATTTTTAACATAAGTTTGCATCTGGAAGTGTGAACATAACAAAAACCTGAAATAGTGTCATTAGCTTAGTGGCCCTCGAAGGGATCCTTGGAAAAGGAGTGAGCCTGAGTCCTTACTTCACCTCTTTGCTAAGCGAATCAGCCTCTCCAGGAGCCAGAGAAACCAGGTGTCTCCAGGGTCCAGGGTTATGTCCTCCCCTCTGCAGAGAGTTAAGTAAATCTCTCTGGATTTGTCTCACTGTCTATGCAGTTGCCAATTAACTTGAAAAGCTTGTTCTTAGTCCAGGACCCCAAATTTGAGTAAAATTGGCTCAGAAAACCCCAACTGTGGAGGAACCCAATAATATTTCCTTTGCAATCCCGCAGTAAACATATTGCACATGCCTTCTAGCTCTAATCCTTTCCCCTTTCCTATTTCACAGAGCTCAAGGAGGGCTTATCAGGCTTTCTGGGTATTCTGTGAGGCATAAGCTCACTAGAAGGGCTGCATCAAACTTACCTGGAACGAATGGCAAGGACTCTTGACGTGTGTCTTTAACCCATCTTGCCAATTAGATCATGAATCACTGCAGGTAGTGTCTTTTCTTGAGGTCTGCAGAAGCTTCAGGATTTTTAACACACTTCTTTGACCACACTGGGCAGCAAAATGTTTGTTTGTTGACTTTCTTTTTCTTTTTTATGAGACAGAGCGTTGCTCTGTTGCCAGGCTGGAGTGCAGTGGTGCAATCTCGGCTCACTGCAACCTCCGCCTCCAGCGTTCAAGTGATTCTCCTGCCTCAGCCTCCTGAGTAGCTGGGACTACAGGTGCATGCCACCACACCTGGCTAATTTTTGTATTTTTAATACAGATGGGATTTCACCATGTTGGCCAGGATGATCTTGAACTCCTGATCTCGTGATCCGCCCACCTCGGCCTCCCAAAGTGCTGGGATTACAGGTGTCAGCCACCACACCCAGCCTCATTGACTTCCTAAAAAACTCAAAACTCTTGACTATGAGACCGCTTCTAGTTGGAGTGTGTGCTCCATTCAGAAAACAACCACTCGAGTGCACCTGACCCATTCCCAGTCCACGTTTCTCAAATGTTGTTTAGCAGAAGAAACTTTTCTTTTTCTTCAATCCTCAAACAAAATCTCACCCAAAGCACCCATATATAAAAAGAGACGAAAGAGGCTCTGATGGTGGTAGGTTTGGAGGGTTCAATGGATCCATTTTCTGGGCTCCTCTCAACCCCATTCCTTCTTTCTCAGTCCATCTCAGTGATCAGAATGAACTTTTCATTTGTTCAAATGAAAGCAATGAATTTCACAGCCTGTCTGTGATCCTCCGTGCCTCACTTTATCCTGTGACATTGAATTGAAATCACAGGCTCATGACCAATGCATGCACCAGCAAGGATGAACCTCACACGTGCTTTGCTGAGTGAAAGAAGCCGGACACAGAAAAGCACATCACAACGTACCCTTTTATTCCGTTGATATGAAATTCCAGAACAGACAAAATAAATCTATAGTGACAGCAGATTCGTGATTGCTTCTGGGGGGCAGGCGGGCAGGGCAGGGACTTATTAAGGAGGGGCAGGAGAGAATAATCTCGGGTGATAGGAAATTCTCTGTTGTGATGCTGGTTTGGTTACAAGGTGTTTGCTCTTGTCAACTCATCAAGTCACACATGAGATGTGCATTTTGTTATATGTAAATTTCACCTAAACATAAGCATAAACAAACACGAGCTTTAGCTCATGAGATGCATGCTGAAGTGTTCAGGGATGAAGTGCACTGAGATTGCCACTTGCTTTGAAATGCATCAAAAATCAGAGAGGTTGATGGATGGGTTGAGAGAGAAACACCATGGAACCAATACGGCCAAATGTTCAATGTAAAGTCTAGGTGGTGCTGTATAGCTGTTGACCATACAATTCATTAAACTATGTTTGAAGACATCCATCATGACATGTGAGGGGGAAAATATTTATAAGAATTCCATAGTGTTGAAGGGAGAGAAGAGACAGCCAACCTGGTTTCCTGTTGCAGAATAATTTTTATTTCAGACTTTTTTTTTTTTTTTTTTTTTTTTGAGACGGAATCTCACTCTGTCACCCAAACTGGAGTGCAGTGGCGCGATCTCGGCTCACTGCAAGCTCTGCCTCCCGGGTTCACGCCCTTCTCCTGCCTCAGCCTCTGGGGTAGCTGGGACTACAGGCGCCCACCACCTTGCCCAGCTAATTTTTGTAATTTTAGTAGAGACAGGGTTTCACTGTGTTAGCCAGGATAGTCTCAATCTCCTGACCTCGTGATCTGCCCACTTCGACCTCCCAAAGTGCTGGGATTACAGGCGTGAGCCACTGCACCCGGCCTCAGGCTTCTAAATATTCTCTTCGAAATACTTTCCAAGGTTTTCTTTTCTGCCCACTCCTTTAGAACATTTTCTTCCATTTTCTTTCACTTTTTAAAAGGTTGTTTTTGGGAGGTAAAATGTGCATACGATAAAATTTTACCTTCCAGTGTACAGTTCTATGAGTTTGACAACGGCATGTGGTTGCATGACCACCACTATCATCAACCATCATTTCACATAATTCCCTTGCATTCCCCTGTAGCCAGCCCTTGCCCCAGCCCCTAAGCTCCCAGAAAACACTGATGTACTGTCTGTCCCTATGATTTTGCCCTTTTGAGAATGTCATATAAATGGAATCATGTAGTACGTCGCCTTTTGTTTTGTTTGTATTTTTTGTATCCCCTCTCTTGCTTTTTCATTTTTTATTTTTTTAGAGACGGAGTCTCGCTCTGTTACACCCAGGCTGGAGCTCAGTGGCATGGGCGTAGCTCACTGCAGCCTCAAACTCCAGGGCTCAAGAGATCGCCCCTATTAGCCTCCCAAGTAGCTAGGACTGCAGATGCATGCCACCATGCTCAGCTTCACTTTCTTTTTCTTTTGAGAAAGAAACTCTCACTCTTTTCATTTCCTGTCTGCTGGGAAACAAAGTCACCAGGCTTAGTAAAATTACATGTGAACGAGACCTGCTAGGTACCTGTGAAGGCCTGCGAGCTGTCCCATAGGATTTTCTTCGAGGGCCTTGAGGTAACTGGCCTCATGAATCTTTTATTTACTTAGAATTCTGGAATGTTTTGCTTGTTGGTTAGAGGCTGTGTCCTAAAGGCTGTGGCAGAAATGTGACTCTGAGAAATCTCAATGCTGACACTTCTCTTATAATAATTTTGTTTAGTTTTGTTTTGTTTTATTTTGTTAAGAGATGAGTTCTTGCTCTGTCACCCAGGCTGCAGTGCAGTGGCATAATCATAGCTCACTGTAACCTCTAATTCCTGGGCTTGAGTGATCCTCCTGCCTCAGCCTCCTGTGTACCTGAGATCAGAGGTGCACACCAGCACACCAGCCTAATTTTTTTGTAGAGATGGTGTCTTGCTGTGTTGCCCTGACTGGTCCTGTATTCCTGGCCTCAAGCGATCTTCCAGCCTCAGCCTCCTTAGTTGCTGGGATTCAGTGTGGTGCCTTTTGAACTGGAACTTTTCCACTCTCCACAGGGCATTTGAAATCTACCCATGTTTGATGCAGCAAACCAACATGGCACGTGTATACCTACGTAACAAACCTGCACATTGTGCACGTGTACCCTAGAAGTATAATAAAAAGAAAAGAAATCTACCCCTGTTATTGCATGTATCTATACTTCATTCCTTTTTTCCAATTGTTTTACTGTGGTGAAATAAACACAAAACATAAAATTTACCATCTTAACCTTTTTAAATGTACCATTCGGCGGTACTAGACACATTCACGATGCTGTGTAACCGTCACCACCATCCACCTTCAGAATTCTTTTCATCTTGTAAAACTGAAACTCTGCGCCCATTAACCAACAACGGCCCGTTCGACTCTCCCCACAGCCTCTGGCAGTGACCAGTCTACCTTCTGTGTCTGTAATTTTCACTACGCTACGTGCCTCTTGTAAGTGGGATCACACGGTGTTCGTCTTACCTCCCTGAGCCTAACGTCCTCAAGGTTGACCCGTGCTGTAGCAGGCATCAGAATGTCCTTCCTTTTTTTTTTTTTTTTGAGATGGAGTTTCACCCTTGTCGCCCAGGATGGAGTGCAGTGGCACAATCTTGGCTCACTGCAACTTCCGCCTCCCAGGTTCAAGCGATTCTCCTGCCTCAGCCTCCCAAGTAGCTGGGATTACAGGCACCCACCACCATGCCCGGCTAATTTTTTGTATTTTTGTTAGAGATGGGGTTTCACCATGTTGGCCAGGCTGTTCTCAAACTCCTGACCTCAGATGATCCACCCACCTCAGCATCCCAAAGTGCTGGGATTATAGGCATGAGCCACTGCACCCAGCCAGACTCAGTTTTTACTATACATCTCTTTCACCAAATACTTACATGACCTACCTATTTAAGGATTAGAATTTAATACAATAAAAAAAAAATGAAGTCAAGCCTTGCACAGAGGGTCACACCTGTAATACTAGCACTTTGGAAGGCCAAGGAAGGCAGATCACTTGAGGTCAGGAGTTGAAGACCAGCTTAGCCAACATGGTGAAACTCTGACTCTATGAAAAATTCAAAAATTAGCTGGGCATGGTGTTGGGCACCTGTAATCCCAGCTACTCAGAAGGCTGAAGCAGGAGAATCACTTGAACTCAGGAGGTGAAGGTTGTAGTGAGCCAAGATTGCACCGCTGCACTCCAGCCTGGGTGACAGAGCAAGACTCTATCTAAAATAATAATAATAATAATGAAGTCAAGTCAGCCTGAAGAACCGAAGAGTTCTTTGTGAAGATTTAAGAATGCAGTAACAAAATTAAAACAGTGATGACGAAGCACTTTACATAAATATAAAGGAGATCCATATCTTTATGATTTTCAAGAGGGTGCTATTTTCAGAAGAAATCTTGATAAATATTTTTTAAAATAAAAAACCAACAACTACAAATCTCAGTAAAAAACCTTGATATAACTAGAGCACCCACAGACGGATTTCTCTCTTTTAGTTACCCTATGTTTAAAAAATATATATGCTTAGGTCAGGCGCAGTGGCTCACACCTGTAATCCCAGCACTTTTGGAGGCTGAGACGGGTGGACCACGAGGTCAGGAGATCGAGACCATCCTGGGTAATAGGGTGAAACCCTGTCTCTACTAAAAATACAAAAAATTAGCCAGGCATGGTGGCAGGTGCCTGTAGTCCCAGCTACTTGGGAGGCTGAGGCAGGAGAATAGCGTGAACCTGGGAGGCGGAGCTTGCAGTGAGCCGAGATTGCGCCACTGCACTCCAGCCTAGGCTGCAGAGAAAGACTCCATCTCAAAAACAAAACAAAACAAAACAAAATGCTTAGAGGAAAGGAGTCAACATTACAAAGCACCTATTATATGTGAAACATTTTACATATTTCATTGAATCATCATAATCATCTGAAAGTTTAAAAGCATTATCCCTGGGGCTTGGGCAAAGTAAGTAATTTTCCCAAAAAAACTTTGCTAAGTAGAGATAGGCCAGCACCATCTGGTTCCAAAGCCCAAGTTGTTTCCAATATACCAGGTGGGCTTTATTTTATAAAACAAAGTAGAACTGCAGCAGGGAAAGAAGGAAACTAAGTTTTAGAATATAGGGTGCTATGAAAAAAGAAATGTACTTCTTATAAGTGGCTTAGAAATGGTTATTTACCAAAGAACTCTTATTCCTAAATTATTTGTCAGTGACAGCATATTTTGTCATTTTTCAAGAAACTTGGAATTACCTCTGAGTTGATTCTTTTTTTTTTTTTTTTTTTTTTTTTTGAGACAGAGTCTTGCTCTGTTGACCAGGCTGGAGTGCAGTTGTGCGACCTTGGCTCACTGCAACCTCTGCCTCCTGGGTTCAAGCGATTCTCCGACCTCAGCCTCCCAAGTAGCTGAGATTTCAGGCACGTGCCACCATGACTGGCTAATTTTTGTATTTTGAGTAGAGACGGGGTTTCACCACATTGGCCAGGCTAGTCTCGAACTCCTGACCTCAGGTGATCCACCCACCTCGGCCTCTCGAAGTGCTGGGATTGCAGACATGAGCCACTGCGCCTGGCCGTTCTATCTTTATATCCAGAATGTCATTTAATTATTTCCTCCCTTTGAAATGTTTTTCAGATTTGTCCCTTATTCTACAGTTTTAATACTATTACTACAAGTCTACAAGTCTCTCTGACCTGTTTTTTCACCTCTAAAGCATCCTTACTTCTAATGGGTGCAGCACACCAGCATGGCACATGTATACATATGTAAGTAACCTGCACATTGTACACATGTACCCTAAAACTTAAAGTATAATAATAATAAAATAAATTAAAAAAAACTTCAAAAGGAAAAAAAAATCCTTACTGATTAAATTTCCTAAAATACTTCTTTCTTCACTTGAATTTTCTACATAAGATCCTATACTGTCTCAACAAGGATAAATTCCTCTTACAATATTCTTCATAAAGCTTATAAATCTTTGCCCACTGTTAAAATCCAGTTGTTTGTTTTATTGCTGTTGAGTTTTAGAAGTTTTAATTTTTCTGAATAGTAACCCATTATCAGATACACAATTTGCAAATATTTTATTCCATTCTGTGGGTTGCTTTTATACTCTGCTGTTAGTGTCTCTTGATGAATGAAATTTTAAAAGTTTTGTGAAGTCTAATTTGTCTGTTTTTTCTTCTGTTGCCTGCACTTTTGGTGTCACAGCCAAGAAATCATTGCTAAACGCAATGTGATGAAGCTTCTGTCTGATGTTTTCTTCTAAGAATTTTATAGTTTTGGGTCTTACATTTAGATTCATTTTGAGTTAATTTTTGTAGATGATGTTAGGTGAGAGTCTAACTTCATTCTTTTGTATGTGGACATCTGTTTTCCCCAGCACCATTTGTTGAAAAGATTATATTTTTCCCATTGAATGGTCTTGGCATTCTTGTCAAAAATCATTTGACCATATGTGTGAGTGTTTATTTCTGCAGTCTCTGTTCTGTCTCTATTGGTCTGTATGCCTGTCTTTACATTAATACCATACTATTCTGATTACTATAGCTTTGCACTAAGTTTTGAAATTAGAAAATGTGAGTCCTCCAAATTTGTTCTTTTTCAGGATTGTTTTGGCTACTCAGGGTCCCTTGGGATTGCATATTAAGTTTAGGATGAGTTTTTATATTTCTGAAAAAAATATCATT
Source organism: Homo sapiens (assembly GCF_000001405.40). Classification (NCBI taxonomy): domain Eukaryota; kingdom Metazoa; phylum Chordata; class Mammalia; order Primates; family Hominidae; genus Homo; species Homo sapiens. The sequence continues at coordinate 4,352,743 of NC_000007.14, forward strand.
GGGATTTTCATAGAAATTGCGCTGAATCAATCCATAGATCACTCTGGGTGGCACTGACATTTTAACAATATTAAGTCTTCCAATCCATGAACATGGAATGTGTTTTCATTTATTTATATTTTTAATTTATTTCAGCAATTTTTTAAGTTTTTCTTGTGCAAGTCTTTTACCTACCTGGTTAGGTAAATTGCTAAATATTCTATTCTTTTTGATGCTGTTATAAATGGAGTTGTTTTTGTAATTTCCTTTTCAGATTGCTCATTGTAAGTATACAGAAATGCAACTAATTTTTTTGTGTCGACTTTGTATCCTGCTATTTTTCTGAATCCATTTATTAGAACTAACAATTTTTGTGTGTGGAATCTTTAGAGTTTTCTACATATAAGATCATATTATCTGTGAACAGAGATAATTTTATTTCTTCCTTCCAATTTGGATGCTTTTTGTTTATCTTTCCAAATTGTTCTGGTTAGAACTTCCAGTACTATGCTGATAGAGGTAGCAAAAACTGACTTCCTTACCTTGTTCCTGATCTTAGCAGAAAAGCTTTCAGTCTTTCACCATTGAGTATGTTGTTCACTATGTGATTTTCACACATGGCTTTTATCACATTGAGATAGTTTCTTTCTATTCTTAGTTTGTTGAGTGATTTTATCATGAAGGGGTGTTGAATTTTGTCAAATGCTTTTTCTGCATTATTCCTTTCTATTAATGTGGTGTATTACACTGATAGACTTCATAGGTGGAACCATCCTTGCACTCTTTCTATTAATGTGATAGACTTTCATAGGTTGAACCATCCTTGCAGTCTAGGAATAAATCCTACTAGTTCATGGTATATAATACTTGTAATATACTGCTAAATTTGCTAGTATTTTGTTGAAGACTTATACACTAATGTTTATTAGTTCATTCCTTTTTTGTCCCTGAGTTTACATTTTTTGTATGTATCTACCAAGTCTATTATATATTTCACAGTTGAAGATCATCTTCCAGTTTTTGGTGATTATGAATACAGATGCTATAAACATATAGGTTTTTGTGTGAACCAGAAGTTTTCATTTCTCTTGAGCCAACACCTATAATAAGATCAATGAGGCCGGATACGGTGAATCGCACCTGTAATCCCAGCACTTTGGGAGGCCAAGGTGGGTGGATCACCTAAGGTCAGCAGTTCGAGACCAGCCTGGCCAACATGGTGAAACCCTGTCTCTACTAAAAATACAAAAATTAGCCAGGTGTGGTGGTGTGCGCCTGTAATCCCAGCTACTTGGGAGGCTGAGGCTGGAGAATCGCTTGAACTGGGAAGGTGGAGGTTGCAGAGAGCTGAGGTGGCACCACTGTACTCCAGCCAGGGTGAGACAGAGTGAGATTTGGTCTAAAGAAAAAAAAAATCAATGTGTCATATGGTGAATGTATTTATCACATTTTAAGTAACTGCTAAAATGTTTGCCAAAGCAGTTATACCATTTTATATTCCCATCAGCAATTTAGAAGAGTTTCAGTTGCATTGCTATCTGTCCTCTTCGGCACTTGGTATTGTCACTATTTTTTTTAATTTTAGCCATTCTAAAAGATGAGTAGCAGTATGTCATTGTGGTTTTAATTTGTTTCTTTATAAATTGTTAACTAACGTTGAGCACATTTCATGTCCTTATGTGCAGTTGTTATTCTTCTGAAATGAAGTGTCTGTTCACATCTTTTGCATAGTTTTTAATTCAGTTATTTTGTTTTCCAATTATTGAGTTTTGAGACTTCTTACCTTCTGGATTCAAGTCCTTTATCAGATATAATTTCCTTCCACTTTTCAAATCTTCTCTTATAAATAGGTAAGTGATTAACAGGATTAACAAGAAAAACTAATGAGAAAGACAGAAATAAAGATTGGATTATTTTCTAGGCACCATGGGAAGATGTTGGAGGTTTTTGAATAGGGGAATAATACAATCTTGTTTACTTTTTATAAAGGCCTCTCTGGTTGCTGAGTGAAGAATAAACTCCAGGATGGCAAAAGAGAGAGCAGGAGCTGTGGTTCAGACTAGAGATGGGATTAGCTCAGACCAAGGAGTGGTGGTAGAGGCAGCAAGAAGTGGCTTGACTGGGACATACTTTGAAAGTGAAGCTTACTATTCCATGATGTTTTGCCTGAGTGTCTGAGTGGGTGGTAGTAGTAGTTCCTGCTTTCAGGAGCACTGGGGAGGAGCAGGTTTTGGCGATGGAAGTCCAGATTCCTCTTTGGGGGTGTTAAGAATAGGATGCCAATCAGAGATCCCAGTGGAGATGCTGAGCAAAGAGATCTCCATAGCATGAATGAATGAGTGAATGTTTTAATGGCTTAATTGAGTTGTACAACTGGATACCAGGTCCCATATGATTTTGCCTCTGGACACATCTCCAGATGCACTTTATGATCTCCTGGCTACAGTCAAGACGAACTTCTTGCTGTTCTCACACATCAAGCATATTCTCAGGCCCTTGTATATACTGTATCTTCTGCATCTATACTCAGTCTTTCTCACTTCCTTCAGGTCCTTGCTTGGAGATCACCTCTGCATGAAAGCTTGCCCTGACAAACTCTCCAACCACTCTATCCTTTGCTGATATGACTTGGATGTGTGTCCCCACCAAATTTCCTGTCAAAGTGTAATCTCCAGTGTCAGTGGTGGGGTCTGGTAGGAGGTGTTTGAGTCACGGGAGTGGATCTCTCATGGCTTGGTGATATCCTCCTGATAGTGAGTGAGTTATCACAATATCTGGTTGTTTAAAAGTGTGTGCACCTCCTCCCATTCTCTCTCACACTCCCACTCCCACCATGTAAGACACCTGCTACCCCTTTGCCTTCTGCCATTATTGGAAGCTTCTTGAGGCCTCCCCAGAAGGCAAACAGATGCCAGCACCGTGCTCCCTGTACAGCCTGCAGAACCGTGAGCCAATTAAACCTCTTTTCTTTTCTTTTTTCTTTTTTTTTTTTTTTTTGAGACAGAGTCTCACTCTGTCGCCAGGCTGGAATGCAATGGCACAATCTTGGCTCACTGCAATCTCTGCCTCCCGGGTTCAAGCTATTCTCCTGCCTCAGCCTCCTGAGTAGCTGGGACTGCAGGCATGCACCATCACACCCAGCTAATTTTTGTATTTTTAGTAGAGACAGGGTTTCACCACGTTGGCCAGGATGGCCTCGATCTCTTAACCTCGTGATCCGCCTGCCTTGGCCTCCCAAAGTGCTGGGATTACAGGGGTGAGCTGCTGTGCCCGGCCAACCTGTTTTCTTCATAAATACCTGGTCTCAAGTATTTCTTTATAGCAATACAAGAACAGCCTAATATACTTGCCATGCTTAATTTTTCTCCCCAGCATTTAAAAATATCTGATATTATACATACATAGATTTTTTATCAATGTGAAATCCATGTAACATAAAATTATCCATTTTAAAATGAACAATTCAACAACACTTAGAATATCTACAATGTTGTGAAACTCCCACCTCTATCTAGTTCCAAAACATTTTCATGATCCCAAGAGGACACCATGTACCTGTCAAACAGCCACTCTCTATTCCCTCTTAACTCTCTGCTCTGGGTAAGCACCAGTCAATTTTCTGCGTCTACGGCTTTACTGATGCTGGATAGTTTGCATTAAAGGAATCATACAATATGTGATCCTTGATGTCTGGCTTCTCTCGCTTAGCATCATGCTTCTGAGTTTCATTCACATTGTAGCATATATCAGTACTGGCTATGGTTGAATTATGTTCCCCCAAAATACGTATGTTGAAGCCCTAGCCCCCAGTACCTCAGAATATGACTGCATTCGAATATAGGGTCTTTAAAGAGATAATTAAGGTTAAATGAGGTTGTTGGTGTGGGCCCTAATCCAATCTGACTGGTGTCCTTATAAGAAGAGAAGACTGGGACACAGACACACACAGAAGGATGACCCTGTGAAGACATAGGGAGAAGATGGTGTCTATAAGCCAAGGAGAGAGGCATCGGGAGACATGTACCTTGCCAACACCTTGATTTCAAACTTCCAGCCTCCAGATTGTGAGAGAATACATTTCTGTAGTATGAGCCACCCCCCAATCTACAGTACTTTACTATGGCAGCCCTAGAAAACTAACACAGCACTTCATTCCTTTTCATGGCTGACTAATATTCCATTGTATGTTCCACTGATGCATGCACCACATCGCTTATCCGCTCATCCGTTGATGGACATTGGAGTGGTTTCCACCTGTTGACTGTTGTGAATGATGCTGCTACAAACATATGTATATGTGTGCCTGTTTGGGTATTTGTTTCCTCTTCTTTTGGGTACAGACCAAGTAGTGGAATCACTGGGTCACACGGGAATTCTATGTCTAACTTGTTGAGGAGCTGCCAAATTGTTTCCCACAGAGGCTGTAACACCATTTTCCATTCCCACCAGCAATGCGTGAGGGTTCCGACGTCTTCACATCCTTGCCAACACTGGCGATTTTCCATGTTTTAAAGTATAGTCATCTTGTTGAGTGTGAAGTGGTATCTGATACTACATTTTACATATATGTTTGTTGATTTGTTTGCCATTATCTCTTTTTTCTTTTCTTTTCTTTCTTTTGAGGCAGAGTTTGGCTCTGTCACCAGGCTGTAGTACAGTGGCATGATCTCGGCTCACTGCAACCTCTGACTCTCTGGTTCAAGCGATTCTCCTGCCTCAGCCTCCCAAGTAGCTGGGATTACAGGCATGCGCCACCATGCCTGGCTAATTTTTGTATTTTTAGTAGAGATGGGGTTTCACCATGTTGGCCAGGATGGTCTCAATCTCCTGACCTCATGATCCGCCCGCCTTGGCCTCCCGAAGTGCTGGGATTACAGGCATGAGCCATCACGCCCAGCCCATTATCTCTTTTTTCTAGAATGTACACTCCACAAGGACAGGGACATTTTCCTCACTGATATACCCCATTGCAGGTTCTTGCTAAAAATTCCTTCAGTAAATGAATGAATGAATGCTTCACTGAATCTTAAGTGGGAATGCAGGGACAGGAGTGCCTGATTTCAACTCGAGAGATCAGAGGCAGTTTCATCATAGAGGAAATGTTTTCTCTGAACCTGGGAAGATGGGCCGGTGCTAATCTCAGAGCCGTGAGACGATGACCAAACTTTGCTTTACCACTAAGCAGGATGCACTGAAAGTTTCAGTGTATGAACAAGGCGTGGCCAAAATTATATTTTAGGAAGAGAGTTATTTTCTCGTAACTTCAAGTGGGCACATCACAGCTTCTTGCTGTGAACGTTGTTAATTCTGGCCAGCGTGCACCTGCGCCTCCTTTCTTTCTATGTTTGGGGACTCTGCCCCTTTTCAGACAGGGCTGCCTCTGTCTCATCCAGGACAGGCTGAAAAATGCCAACTCCTCGCTTTCCAACCTCGCAGGGAGCTGGGCGCAGGCTCATGGCTCAGGTTTCAGTCTGATTGTCCATTCCTACAGACTAGTTTTAAAATTGGAGACAGTGAGGCAAAGCAAAAGGAACCTCCTGGCTCTCTTCTAGCCAAGAGTGGCCACGGCACAGCAGCTGTGTCCAGTGTCTGAAGCCAGCAGTAGACGCAACTGCTCGATTTGGGATGGAGGGGCCAGGCAAGCAGTTCTCTCAGATCCCCAGGGTGGCAGCTGCAGCGTCTTCACCTGTGTGACTTGGGGACATCGTTAATGGCAAAGGCAGCTTCCAAGCCTGCTTCTTAGACCTCGTGGGGACTCCATGAGGTCCCTAAAATCCTCTTCACAAATTCCCTTTCTGCTTTAATTAACCACATTCAGTTTCTGTTGCTTGTAAATAAAACCCTAACTAATAATACTTCTCTGCTTCAGGTGCTCATTCCTTACATTTGAATCCACAGTAGCACAGATCTCATGAAGAAATTTAGAATTAAAAATGTGAAGCTACAACAGCAACAGCTCTCCTTTAAAAACAAAATACCCACTTCAAGCTGGTTATGGTGATATGCACCTGTAATCCCGGCTACTCAGGAGGCTGAGATGGGAGGATCACTTGAGCCCAGGAAGTTGAGGCTGCAGTGAGCTATAATTGCACCACTGCACTGCAGCCTGGGCAACAGAGCGAGACACTGTCTCCAAAAGATAATGGGAAGAAGAATTAAAATTAACATTAAAAAAATAAAAATACTCATGTCAGAAATGATTCAAGAACTCTCTGCCTAAGGTTGTAACTTGTAAGAATGGAGGGACATACAGGGTTTCCTCCAAGGATAATCCTAGGTCAGGAGAACTGGGGTGCAGGTGACCCCAAGATAATCAAACTTCAGAGAAACCCAGGGTGGAATCCTAGAGTGGAGAGAGTTGAAATGGGAGAAATAGGCTGAAATGAGGTGTATACGGGTGGAGGGGAGGAAAGGGGAGTCAATAAGAAGAAAGAGTCAAACATATGCTTACAATTTCAGGAGCCTATTGTCTTCTTTGCTACTTTAGGGACCAGAGATTGCTCTGCAGGGACTAAGGTTCCCCAGGATGGCTGAGGCAGGGAGAGACCTTTCAGCTTACTGATGCCCAGGCAGTCATGGCAGAGATGTCAAGAGGATGGAGGTGGGGATTTGAAGCCCAGCTCTCCCATTAGTGTATTGTGTCGCCATCATTACACTCTTATAGTTTAATGTCTACGGGATGCCTCAGGCTAATAACATGAGAAGAGTAGCAAATGACCTGAGAATCTCACTCAGCTCTGAAGGCACAATAATATGCATAATTAAAAGGTATTGTCCAATATTATTTGATGTCTCCACTTGGATGAATGAACCAGGTTGAGTGAGGATGACATTTTCCCTCTGCTGCAGCCCCTATATGGATGGAGATTGGGAACCACTGGGAGAAGCCATATTCAACCAAGAGTTCCCGTGATGAATGAAACATAGTACCGCATGTTCTCCCTCATAGGTGGGAATTGAACAATGAGAACACTTGGACACAGGAAAGGGAACATCACACACCAGGGCCTGTCATGGGGTGGAGGGAGGGGGAAGGGATAGCATTAGGAGATATACCTAATGTAAATGACGAGTTAATGGGTGCAGCACACCAACATGGCACATGTATACATATGTAACAAACCTACACGTTGTGCACATGTACCCTAGAACTTAAAGTATAATAATAAAAAAAAAGACATGAAGGGAAAAAAAAAAAAGGAATACTGAGAATTAAGAGAGTCTGTGGAACTAGAAAAAAAAAAAAAAAGAAACCTAGGCTCTCGATTGCTGGCTTTCTCTTTTGCTTCTCTACCACGCCTCCCCTCCAAGACCTTGACCCAGGGAAGGGAGGTCAGGAGATTCATCTTGCCCCTGTGAAGCTGTCTCAATCTCTGTGCACTCAGCTTAAAGATTAGGACTAAGACCAGAGGGTTTCTGCTCAGGCACACAGGCTATAATGCAGTGAAGAGCTTCACTGCTTCATTCACGAACTTCTTCAAGTTCAACTTAGCTGAACGCTACACTGCTGGGACAGACACCTTTCAGGACGTGAGATTGCTCAACAGGGCAAAGCATTTGCTTATTAAGCAACTATGTATGTATCAAAACTCACTTTTAGTTCCTCACCTCACTATGCCCCCCAAACCTAAACTATTATATCAAGAACTTCGCCCAGCCCCAGTGAGACCACCTGTTAACCTCACAATGGGTAGGCTCCGTCTCTTGGTGGGTACCAACTCAATGACCACAAACAGGGAGGATTTAACAAGGGGGATTTTATTACTTGCAACAAGTTCAGGAGAGCACAGAGGAGAGTTCCCCAGAGCATCCCCAGCTGAGTCGGGTTTTATAAGCATAGCGTAATGAGGTGTGATCTGATTGGATCCTGCAATAAGGTGATGTCAGGAGGCATGATCTGACTGGACACTGTCATGGGGTGACCCCAGAGCTTGATCTGATTGGATCCTGGATTCTGCCATGAGGTGTCGGCTTCTTAATTCAGTCCCCACCCCTCAGTCGAGCACTTAGGTTTCCCCTATGCTTGCACACTTGGTTCATCTGGGAGTGCTCAGGTTACTTGACCATAACCATGGCAACTAACAACAAGTCTCAACTTGGTTACAAAAAAGTTGAAGAAACAGATTTGGTCTGATGTGGGTACACACCCATTGAGAGACTGATCTTCAACCAGCAACAGTCCCCAACCTTTTTGGCACCAGGGACTGGTTTCATGGAAGACAATTTTCCACAGACAGGGGCAAGGGGATGGTTTCGGGATGATTCATGCACATTCCATTTATTGTGCACTTTATTTCTATTATTATTACATTGCAGTAATAATAGATGTAGATTCTACCGTAATGTAGAATCAGTGGAAGCCCCAAGCTTGTTTTCCTGCAACTAGATGCTCCCATCTGGGGATAATGGGAGACAGTGACAGATCATCAGGCATTAGATTTTCCTAAGAAGCAGATGACCTAGACCCCTCCCATGGGCAGTTCACAATAAGGTTCACACTCCTATGAGAGTCAAATGCTGCGGCTGATCTGACAGGAGGCAGAGCTCAGGCAGTAATGCAAGTGATGGGGGGTGGCTGTAAATACAGATGAAGCTTTGCTCACTTGCCAGCCACTCACCTCCTGCGTGATCCAGTTCCTAATGGACCAGTACTGGTCCATGACCTGGGGGTTGGAGACCTCTTCCTTAAGCCACTGAAGACTTGCAATGGGCTGAGAGTGCCCCACCCCCAAAAAAATATACCCACATCCGAATCCTGGCCAGCTATGAAGGTGACTATTTGGGAAAAGGGTCCTCGCAGATGTGATTGGAAGGATTTTGCAATAAGGAGATCCTGAATTATCCGGGTAGGCCTTAAATCCAGCTGTGAGTCCTTGTAAGAGACACACAAGTGGCTCACACCTGTAATCCCAGCACTTTAGGAGGCCAAGGCTGGTGGATCACGAGGTCAAGAGATCGAGACCATTCTGGCCAACATGGTGAAAGCCCATCTCTACTAAAAATACAAAATTTAGCTGGGCATGGTAGTGCGCCTGTAATCCCAGCTACTCAGGAGGCAGGAGAATCACTTGAACCCAGGAGGCAGAGCTTGCAGTGAGCTGAGATCGTGCCACTGCACTCCAGCCTGGCAACAGAGTGAGACTCCGTCAAGAAAAAAGAGAGAGAGAGACACACACACAGTGATGGAACCATGGTGGCTGTGTTTGCAGTGATGCATCCTCGCCACCAGGAATACCACTAGCTGGAAAAGGCAAGAATAAATTCTCCCTGCCTCCTCCAGGGGAAGCACGGTCCCACTAGATTCCAGACCTCTGGCTCCCAGGACTGTGAGAGAACAAACTGTGTTGTTTTGAGCCACCCCATCTACAGTTGTTTGTTCTGGCAGTCCCAGGACATGAACACAACGGCTCAAGCCATCTCATGCCTGGCATGACCAGCACTGAGCTCCTTGTCTGCCTCCCGAGGCTATCGCTCTCAGGGTCTTCCCAACTGAGCTGATGTCTCTGTCCATCCCCCTGCTCAGGCTAAAACCTTGGAGACATTCTTCACTCTCCTCTATCTCTCACATGTCACAGTCAAACTACAGCAAGATCTGCTTGCCTCCTCCTGGAAACCATGAACCTGGAATCTAGGCAGCCTCATTCACCCCCTCTGCTTTGGGTGCCAGAAGACTGTGGCGTCTTCTAAGGGGTCTCCCTGTTCCTTCTATGGTCTCTGCAACTTCTCTCCATACAGCAGGGAAAGCAATCCTGTTAAAACATTTGTCAGGCCGGGTGCATGGCTCATGCCTGTAATCCCAATGCTTTGGAAGGCCAAGGCAGGAGGATTACTTGATGCCAGGACTTTGAGCTCAGCCTGGGCAACATAGTGAGGCTCTGTCTTTATAAAAAAAATTTCAAAATTAGCCATGTAGCTACTCGGGAAGCCTAGCTGGGAGGATCGCCTGAGCCACGGATTTGGAGGCTGCAGTGAGCCATGATTGCCTCATTGCACTTCAGCCTGGGTAACAGAGTGAGGCCCAAAAAGAAAAGAAACAGATCATGTCTCTTCTTGGCTCTCAATTTTTCTTTGAGAAATTGGCTCTGTATTTATTTGTCTCTCAATTTCTTCTGTCTCTATGTCACCTGCACGGCACGTCAGACACATCTTCTCTCTCCCCCTCCACTCTGTCACCCACTTTCTCATTCCATCCAGCCACACTGATCTCCTTGCTGTTCCTATAAGACCCCAGGCTTGTCCCCACCTCAGGGCCTTTGCACAGGTGATCTGATCTCTGTAGAACATACTTTCTCTGATATTTATATGACGTGCCCTCTCTCCTCCTCCTTCAATTTTTTGCCCAAATGTCACTTTCTCAATAAGTTCTCTCCAGACCATTTATTCAAAATAGCAACACATCCCCAGCCTTCCTCATCTTCCTTACTCTGCTTTTTTTTTTTTACTATTACTTTTTTTTTAACTTATTGCCTTCTATCATGCTGTGCCCATTATTTATGTACTGTGTTTGTCGTTTACTGCCTGTGTCTCCCTAGAATGTAAACTCTAGGCCAACAGGAATTTTTACTTCCTTCATTCCCTGATATATCACTCAGAAGAGTGCTAGATGCAGAGTTGGCGCTCAATAAATATTTGTTGAATAAATAAGCGAGGTAAAAAAGTGTCAGTGGTTTCTTTCATAATACAGTTCATAATGCAGTTCATGTGTTGAGGTCCCAAAATAAAGGAAATCATGTGGTCATCAAAACTTATTGTCTGTGGTGGAGCATTTTGAAATATGAAGGTATTCAGCTTTGCTGAAATGGTTGTCATTTTCGTGTATGGCTTATCAGCTACATTTAGAAGCTGTCCCACTTTGTAGAATGCAGTTGATCACTTACCACTAAGAACAGCAGCATTTTTCTTTCTAGTCTGGACCAAGATAATCATTGCAAAAGGCCACTCTGAGAACATTTGTGACCTCCACACACACTCCCAGGATTAGGTGAGGTTATGCTGCAGTAATAAAGGACCGCAAGACTTCAGTGGCTTAACATAGTGAGGGTTTGTTTCTTGCTTGCCCCAAGTCCCCCGTGCGGCTCAGTAACTCTCTGGGCAGTCTCCTTCCAGGTAATGGCTTATCTTTGCATAGTATCTAATGTTATGCAGATACTAGCTATTTTATTATGCAGATGCTACATATTTATTATGCAGATATTTGCTATTTTTTATGCAGACATTACATATTTTATTATGCAGATATCACATATTTCATTATGCAAATATTAGTTTAATATGCAGATATTACCTATTTTATTATGCAGATATAGCCTATTTTACTATGTAAATATTAGACCTTTTATTATGCAGATTTTACATATTTTATTATGTAGATGTTACCTATTTTATGAATGCTGATATTATCTACTTTATTATGCATATATTAAATATTTCATTATGCAGATATTATATTTTATTATGTAGATAGTACCTGTTTTATTAATGCAGATATTACCTATTTTATTATGTAGATATTACCTATTTTATAAATGCAGCTATTACCTATTTTATTATGAAGATAATACCTATTTTATTATGCAGATATTGCCTGTTTAATTATGCAAATATCACCTATTTTATTATGCAAATGTTGCCTTTCATTGTGCAGATATTACGTATTTTATTGTGCAAATATTAAATAAAATATCTAAAATGTGCTGCTGTAATCACACCTTGGCAGGGCGAGAGCATCCGGGAGGCTCTCCTACAGGGATTGAAATGCTTCCACCTGCAAGCAATGCCGTTCATTTCTGCTTCATCTCATTGGCCAAAAGCAGTTGCCTGGCCACGCTGACCTCAAAGGCATGGGGGCCAGAAAGGAGCCAGACGTTGCAAATGCTGATGAGTTAGCATCGTATATTCAGTATACTCATCGCATACTCAGCCAGGGGTTGAGGGGAGGGAGGAATGAAGAGGTGGAGCACAGGGGGTTTTCAGGGCAGTGAAACTGCTCTGTATGACACCATAATGGCGGATTCATGTCGTTACACATTTGTCAAAACCCATACAGTGCACAGCACCAAGAGTGAACCATAATGTAAACTATGAACTTCAGTTGATGGTTATGCATTGCAAACAAAAAATGCAATTCTAAGCCAAGTAAAATTCCCAACCATTTGAATGGATCCCTTCTCTTGGCCAAGGGTGTTCCAAAGTTAACCGGAAAAACTAGTTCAGATCATGATGGAAAACTGGAGTCAGATGTGCCCCATTATACCCTCCTCCCACTGGAATTCAGGCATAGCTGACCAGTATTAACTTCAACACAGAAACCTTAAGGCTGGTAGAACAGACTCTTAGAGTCTGATGGGAACATATACAATCCATTTTCTCTGGAGCCTGTTACCTGGAGACTTCATCTGCGGGATAAAACCATGGTCTCCACAGCTCCTTATCTTAACCCAGACATTCCTTTCTATTGAGTCTAGGATTTTTTTTTTTTTTTTTTTTTTTTTAAAGACAGAGTTTTGCTCTTGTTGCCCAGGCTGGAGTGCAATGGCGTGATCTTGGATTCAAGTGATTCTGCAACCTCTGCCTCCTGGGTTCAAGCAATTCTCCTGCCTCAGCCTCCTGAGTAGCTGGGATTACAGGTATGTGCCCCCATGCCCGACTAATTTTGTATTTTTAGTAGAGATGGGGTTTCTGCCTGTTGGTCAGGCTGGTCTCAAACTCCCGACCTCAGGTGATCCGCCCGCCTCGGCCTCCCAAAGTGCTGGAATTACAGGCGTGAGCCACCACGCCTGGCCAAGAGAATGTGTTTTATAAACCCTATCGTTGTCTCTGTACCGGGGTGGTGAGACATAGTGCCCTAAAATAATTCATGTGGTTTTTATAGAAAATGATGGTAATGAGACATTTCTCAGCCAAACCTCGTCTCTTTACACATGCACTGGGGTATGGCCCTCTGAGACCTTGAGCTTGGCCATATGTCACGCACATAAGCTACACCGACTAAGAAGACACCTTGTCAATGGTAATTAGCAATACGATTGCCCACATGTAATTTTTCAACTCTAGTTCCAAGTGACAGGGGTCAGTGTTTTGCAGCTCACAATCATGACTTTACTCAGAATGCTTTTTATTTACTTTTTTATTTTTATTTTTTTTATTTTGAGACAGAATCTCGCTGTGTCTCACCCAGGCTGGAGTACAGTAGCACGACCTTGGCTCACTGCATCCTCTGCCTCCCAGGTTCAAGCGATTGTCCTGTCTCAGCCTCCTGAGTAGCTGGGATGACAGGCGTGTGCCACCACACCCAGCTAATGTTGTATTTTTAGTAGAGATGGGGTTTCACCATGTTGACCAGGGTGGTCTCAAACTCCTGACCTCAGGTGATCTGCCCGCCTCGGCCTCCCAAAGTGCTGGGATTACAGGTGTGAGCTGCCGCGACCGGCCAGAATGCCTTTTTGCTATCTTCTAACCCCCCTCTGTTCTCCCACGCTGGGCAAATGTCCCTATCTAGGCAAATCCAAACAGCCCCTCACTGTTTATGGACCTACCTTTATTTCACAGGCAGGCATTCTAAAATGCTGACTCAATCATTCAACATTTCCTGCTACGTAATGAAAATTTATTCCCCTCAAATTTCCCAGATCATTTTTTAACAGTAAGAATTAACTGTTCAGCAAATAAATATTTATGCATATTCCTCCCAACCTCTGCCTCTCTATAAATTATGGAGGGAAATGCCACAACAACTTGACAAAGAAAAAAATCTTATAAACAAATTTCATGGCGTAAATATCGCTGAAATAAACATTGACAGGCAGGATCGTAGTAAGGGCTGTTCTTCCTTGGTTTCTTTTAATAGAATCTCACAAATAATCAAAAGAACAAATATTACTAATGGAACAAAAATGAGTCAGAGGAGCTATTCTTTCCTATGCTTTGTTGATAATTCCCACATATACCCCAAAACTCATATCACAGTCATGGACTAATAAAATAAGATGGCCTACAATAAATTTTTCCCTCTTTTTTTTTTTTTTTTTTTAACCTCTGTCACCCAGGCTGGAGTTCAGTGCTGCAATCATAGCTCGCTGCAGCCTTAAACTTCTGGGCTCAAGTTATCCTCCTGCCTCAGCCTCCCATGTAGCTGGGACTATAGGTGTGCACCACTATGCCCAGATAATTTTTTTTTTTAGAGATGGAGTCTTGGTATACTGCCCAGGCTGGACTTGAGCTCTTGAGTTGAAGCAATATCCCTGCCTCTGACTCCTCCCAGAATGCTGGGATTATAGGTGTGAGCCACCGAGCCCAGCCCCTTACAAAAATTTAATATGGAAGTCCACTGCTGTGGTGCGCACTTGTACTCCCAGCTGTCTGAGAGGCTAAGGAAGGAGAACTGCTCGGGCTCAGGAGTTTGAGTTCAGTCTGGACAACATAGCAAGACCCCACCTGTAATAAATAAAGACAAATTAAAAGACTTTAATATGGTTTCAGCCTCTTGCTCGTTTTTGATGTGTGAGTGAAGCGTTGCTAGAGAAAACAGCAATGGGGACTGGAGTGTGGTTTACCCAGATGGCGCCGTGTTCTATCACCCCACGATGCAACTACTCAACCCCAGGGGAGGCTGGTGTCAGTGAAGCCAGTGCTTCTGGGGGTCGGGGGTGTGAGTCTGGGGGACACACTGGAGCAGCCTCCCAAAACTTGGTCTCACACGAATGTAAATTTGCAGTTGTTAATTTTTATGCAGTGAATGAGGAATTTTCCCGAGTCTCTCAACTATTTCCTATCTGTTGATTGCACAAATGTTTCAGCACCTTGGGGAAGACTGAATGATTGGTGTGAATTCTTCACTCCCTTGTGGTCATCTTGCATGTCCACACCCTGGTCATGGCTTCACAAAGGGCAAGGTATTTCTCCACCATTTGACTTTGAGCTTAGCCATATGTCATGCTTTGGCTAATGGGATGTTAGCAGGTGAGACGCCAAGATGTAATGTATCTTCATCCAGTTGGGCTTGTGCTCTCACACTTAGGCCACCACCATGAGAAGAACACGCCTGAGGTATCTAGCTGACCCCAGAAGAATAACAGGCACAGAGGGAAGAGGTGAATGGAACCCAGGCCTGGAGACAGGCTCAACCAAACCCAGGCTCGATCAGTCACACTCCAGCCAACCAGCAGAGGTGAACCCCAGAAACATGCCTGTCATTGTCTGCCAGTGGGTTTGGAGATGACTTGTTACGCAGCATAATTGCAGCACTTGCTGACGAATACACGTCTATCATGTGCTCAACAAGGGGTGCAAAGGTGAAAAAGTTTGATAAAAGAAGTTTCCATTGTCTAAAGAGCTCATAGTTGATTCAAGAGACAGATATGCAAATAAGTGAAAAACACTGAGATAAGTGTTAGAAATGTATGAGCCCAGGGCAGTGGCGACTCCAAGGTGAAGGGGTATGGTCTGCTCCTCCTGGGAGCCAGAAACCCCTCCTGGGAAGGATGTCTTGAACTGAGAATGAATAGCAGTTCACCAGGCAGCTACAGAGGTGTGGGGACTATAAGCAAAGGAAAAACGTGTGTGCAACGTTCAGAATCTTCTGGTCATTCAGTCTGGCTGGAGCACAGGGTGTCAGGGGGAGGTCAACTGAGAAATGGAGCCCAAATTGGGGGCTTGCATCACCCTGCACCTTAGTACAACCACGGCAGCAACCCTCCAAAATTCCCACGCAAAAACCTGATGGAGAAAACCTGAAAAATGATTAAAGAGGGACTTTGAAGTAGTGAAAGAAAAATTCAACCTGAAAGCAGTGTAATATATAAAATCACAACCTTAGAAAATGCCAGGACCGTCAGAAGAGACTTGATTTTTAGGCTATGCCTGAGATAGAACAAGGATGAAGGAAGCAGATAATATCATCTAGGCTGACAGGATCTGAACGTCAACAAAGACTTGGAGCTGGGGGGAGCCGTCAGAAGGATAAAAAGCTTGCAAGTGGGCTGAGATCTCTGAGATAGAAGAAAATGAAAAACTTTCAGCTGATGAAACTTCAAGTTCTGTACTCTGTGCAAAAAGTCTCATCCACCACAGCAGAAAGCATGTGAAGTGCTCCTGGGCTCAGGCGGCAAGACTGTGTGCTGTCTGAGCAGAACGGCTTGCAGTTCACAGTGTCTGGCACCATTGCCTGGGAAGGGCCTGCGCAGTAAACTCCAAGGCCCTCAGCAGCCAGGCAGGCAGCATAAACACAGGCAGCGGGCTGAGGTTAAGACAATAGGGGGTGGTGGGGACTGGGGCTAACTGCTGTTGCTCAGCCCTGTTCACCTTTTGGTGAGTAGGTTTCGGGACCCAATCATGTTGCATCTTCTGATTGTTTTTGGTGAGGTCAGAATCAAGATTTTAATAAGAAATCATTCCATGTGTAAAAAAGTTGACTGACAGGCCGGGCACAGTGGCTCACACCTGTAATCCCAGCACTTTGGAAGGCCAAGGCTGGCAGATCACTTGAGGCTAGGAGTTCGAGACCAGCATAGTCGACATGATGAAACCCCATCTCTACTAAAAAGAATATAAAAATTAACCAGGCCTGGTGGCAGGCAACTGTAATCTCAGCTACTAGGGAGGCTGAGGCAGGAGAATCGCTTGAACCCGGGTGGTGGAAGTTGCAGTGAGCCGAGATCGCACCACTCCACTCCAGACTGTGCAACAGAAGAAGACTCCATCTCAAAAAAATAAAAAAGTTGTCAGCTAATTCAATTTTTTATTTTTTTGATTGATTGGTTGATTGTTGAGACAAGGTCTTGCTCTGTTGCCCAGGCTGGAGTGCAATGGCATGATCACCGCTCACTGTTGCCTCAACCTCCTGGGCTCAAGCAATCCTCCCATCTCAGCCTCCCGAGTGGCTGAGACTACAGACACACACCACCATGCCTGGCAAATTTTAAAAAATTTTTTCTAGAGATGGGCTCTCACTATGTTGCCCAAGCTCTTTCCAAACTCCTAGACTCAAGTGATCATCCTGCCTCTCCCTCCCAAAGTGCTGGGATTATAGGCATGAGCCACCACGCCCAGCCCTCCTTCAATTTTAAGACAAATAAACCAGAAATATAACTCATATGTCAAATTCAAGGTCTTGATAGTCCAAACCTACCTACCTCCTGGCCAGCAGTGGGAAACTTCTGATTTAAATCCTAAGGGAAATGTAAGTGATCGCCTACAGGCTAGGATTCTAAAATTGGCCAGATTTTACCCAGAATCCAAAAGTCTCCATTGCTTTAAGGATTGGACCAGGACAGGTTTTTCTGAAACCATGGGAAGAGGCACACAAAAGGCTAGGGAAGTAAACATTAGCAAACTTCACAGTCTTTGGGAAGCCTCTATGATAGGTCCTGAGAATAAAATACAGATACGGCAGCCCTAGTTTCCTCCAAATTTGAATTTGTGGGATTTGGGGGTTTGCAAGCTTTTTTTTGAGAGGGAAAAAAAATCATACAGTGAAATAGAAATGAAATTGCATTTAGGTCTTCATTGACCTGAGGGTTTTCCAATGTATCCGAATTCATAAGCCCCCTTCACAGTAATATGTAATCGTAGGACCCATCTTAGGAATTTTAACCATATTGCAATTTTTTTCTTGGTATATCTGTCAGTGTTCAACTAGGGAAGCAAAACTGCTATGAGTATTATGGGCTAAGGGATTTATTGTAGATGTTAGGTTGTGGGTAGCCTGGGGAAATGAAGGTTGGAAGGCAGAGCTGAGGGGGTTGGAGAAAATTCACTGAGCAGCCCCCCTTAGGAGGGGTTTCTGGCTCCCAGGAGGAGCAGACCACACCACTCCACCTTGGAGTTGCCACTGCCCTGGGCTCATACATTTCTAACGCTTATCTCAGTATTTTTCATTTATTTGCATATCTGTCTCTTGAATCAACTATGAGCTGTTTAGACAACGGAAACTTCTTTTATGAAACTTTTTCACCTTTGCACCCCTTGTTTGAGCACACGATAGACGTGTATTCGTCAGCGAGTGCTGCAATTATGCTGCGTAACAAGTCATCTCCAAGCCCACTGGCAGACAATGACAGGCATGTTTCTGGGGTTCACCTCTGCTGGTTGGCTGGAGTGTGGCTGATGGAGCCTGGGCTTGGTTGACCTGTCTCCATGCCTGGATTCACTTCACATCTTCTCTCTGAGCCTGTTATTTTCTCCTGGGGTCACTGGGCAGCACGGGCGGCATGGGCAAGTTGGCTCCTGCAGGGAAATTTGGGAAGCCAAGCCCAAGCTGGAGTGCAGCAGGCCATGGAGAGGACTGTGGAGCTGCAGCCCTAGTGGTCGCTGTGCCTCTAGACCCACAGCCAAGGGTCTGCATGTGGAGTCAGTGGGAGGTGCCGGCCGTCAATGGAGCTGAAGGCCTGTGCACCCCCAGGTGGAGTGGGGGTCGGCGGGGACAGCTGGACCCACAAGCACGTTAGGTCCATCCTTCCCTTCACCAGACTAGGATGCTCAGGGAATAGTGGTTGCTCTTTCCTCTTCCAAATCCCCTGTGAACTCCTCTTTCCAGAAACGCTAACCAGAAGCTTATGGGGCAGGGTCCTCTCGGACATGCAGTTTTTGGTCTCAGCGACATTGCGCAGATAATCCCGCCCATCGGTGCATGATAAAGCAGGACTTTTCAGTTAAAATGCATCACTTTAAGTCAGTGTCGCTTTGAAATCATATGTGACATAATGCATTATATAGATATTTATTTCATGAGATATACCTAAAATGCTGGGGTTTTTGCATTAACTCTGTATGAAAAGCTTGATTCATGGACAAACAAATTAAAACTAAAAAAAAAGAATATTGAGATAGAATTGAAATTCACCTCTCCGTTATATTCTAAGGATGGACAAAAATTGTCTTGATGTTTGAAATGCTTGAATCTCGAATTTCAAATCAATCCATTGACTTTTTTTTTTTTTTTACCGGCTGCAAAGTTTTTTAAATAAAATATTGAGAGTTCCAGATTGGGAACATTTTTCTATATTGTGGTAAAATGTAATCACAGAATTTACCATTGTAACTATTGTTAAGTGCACAGTTCAGGGTTATTAAGCTCATAGTGGCTGCACCATTTTACATTTCCATCAGCAGTGCACGATCAACTGGTTAATTTTTTAAAAATAAGTATTGTGTTTTATCTTTAAGTGAAAAGATGAGGGAAGATTTCAAGTTACTGTTTGGTTGCAAATCTTCCCAAATAGCACATGGCAGAGACAGTGGGAATAAAGCCTGCATTTGAAAGGATGGAAAGTCAAATTAGATGATTCTCTCAATGTCCTTCCTTCTTGTAACACTAAATTTTAAAATATAAAGAAATGTCGGCAAGCCATTTTCTATACAATGACTATAATTTAGGGATCTAGTCAAGGGCTGCCGAGAATCGTCTGGAGACAAAGTTGAAAAATCCTTATCTCTTTTTATTCTCCATTATTTAACTTATATTTAAAATTCAAAGTTTCATATGCTTTTCATCTTTGAACATAGTCTATTCTATACCTGCATTAAAGCAATCGCTAAAGTAGATGGACATTTAAAAGCAGACAATTAAAGACAATTTAAACCTGCATAATGGGCAAATGCATGCCTTGGTGGCCTGAGTCAGTCAATAAGTGAGAAAATGCATGGGGAAGAGATGGCCACAGCCACCCATACTCCACCCGCCAGTGGAGGGCTCACCCAGTATACACGTGGAGGCTTTGAAATGGTTCTAATTTAAGTAATAAAAACATGTAAATAACAAGCTTGATACAGGCTTTTTTTTTTAAACTGAAATGGAAATATGAGCTATAATCATTTTTAGCCATTTCAGTAACCCCAGGACATATGTTTGAACACCTGTGGGTTTATGGAAACTAGGTTGGAAATGCTGATTTAATCTTAAAGCCTGGTCCATAAAAATGATGCCAAGACTGCTCTGGAACAATCCTTAAACTTAGAACATTCTTTCTTCTACAGAATCAGGTGAAAGGAAAGGTTGGGAGGACCTCCTGTTCTCAGGAAGGGGTGGGCAGGAGAGCATTTTGAAGATTCTGAAAGAGTGTCTGGTCCCAGGAGGCAGGGAGCATGAGGGAGACCCTTGCATGCTCCAGGAGGTCTTGAAAAGAGAAGCACAGGCCATGAACCCAGAAGGTGCTTTTCTGAGCAGAAGTGATGGAGTGGCCTGCCTTGTCATTTTAGGTAATGCAAAAGCAACTCAAAATGAGCTAAACCCAATTTCCAGGGGGAGAAAACAATCTGTGAATTCCCTGCTTTCTTGCACCACGCTGGGATAGCTGCAGTGTAGAAAGGAGGCCTGGAACATCTCATGATCATCTTGGCTGACCTGAGAATCAAGCTCTGGCACACTTTGCCTGTGAGTTAACTCAACAGATGTTCCTGAGCCACTCCACCTCTGCCTCCACTCCAGATGCTGAAAAATCCTCCATTTCCCCAACTCCCTTGCAGCTAGGATTTGCCCTGGAGCACAGTTCTTGCCAAAGAGAGGCAAGCAAATCCTACTGTAAGCTTCTGGCAGAGGTCTTGTTTTTCCTGCATAAATATATAAAAAAGATGTACCTGACTACTCTTTCTTCTTCTTTTTTTGTTTTTTGTAAAGACAGAGTCTCGCTATGTTGCTCAGGCTGGTCTTGAATTCCAGGCCTCAATTAATCCTCCCGCCTGTCTCTCGGGTAGCTTGGACTACAGGTGTGCACCACCAGGCCCAGCTAGCTTTTGGAATCTTTGTAGAGATGGGGTTGCCCAGGCCATCTCTTCTTTTTATGAAGACACCGGTCAGATTAGATTAGGGTCCACTCCCACAGACTCATTTGAACTTAGTCACCTCTTTAAAAGCCCTGTCTCCAAATACAGTCACAATCTGAGGTACTGGGACAGGGTGGGGGCATTAGGGCTTCAACATAGGAATTTGAGTGGGGCAGAATTAAGCCCGTAACAATCTCCCAGCATGCACATTCCTCACTGAGGTTGAACAAGGTGATGCCCCACCTTCTGTCCCAGCTCTTCTACTGTAAACAGTGTCTTTTCCATGATCTAGTTAGTGTTCTGCTTTTCACGTTTCTGTGCTTTCTGTTGTGGATTTTGCTGTCGATTTTGCTGTTTAAAATGACCCAAAGCATAGTGTTGAGGGCTGTCTGGTGTTTGTAAGGACAACAGGCTGTGACGTGCCATATGGAGAAAATAGGTGTGTTAGAGAAGCTCCCTCAGGCAGGAGTGGTAGTCCCATTGGACATGAGCTTAATATGCATTAAAAATATATACAAAATAAGGTGTCTTTAAACAGAAACACATACAAAAAAGTAATACATTGAGGCCCGGAATGGTGATTCACTCCTGTAATCCCAGCACTTTGGGAGGCTGAGGTGAGCAGATGACTTCAGTTCAGGAGTTTGAGACCAGCCTGGGTAACATCTTTCTACTAAAAATACAAAAATTGTCCAGGCATGGTGGTGCACCTGCAGTCCCAACTACTTGGGGGTCTAAGGCAGGACGATTGCTTGAGCCCAGGAAGTCGAGGCTGCAGTGAGTTGAGATCGCACCACTGCACTCCAGCCTGGGTGACAAAGTGAGTCTCCAAACAAATAAAAGAAAAAAAAGTAATGTGTTGATTGGTTCACAAAAATGTAACCAAAGACTCACAGGATCCTAACTTTATATGTCCCCCAGGAGCGACGGCTCGGTATTCACCAATTCAGTGTCTGCAGTGACTTCATAGAACATGGTTATAGCGAATTAGGAGAATCATCTGTAACTTGATCCCCGTTCAGTCTGGAGGGGAAGCATTGCACTGACTTTCAGCTTGTTAATTGTATTGTTTCCTTCCTCCTCAAGGTCATCCTCTTCATCACCGGGTAGCCTGGGTGTCCAGATGTTTTCCTAACTATCTAATGGAGTTTGCAAAGCTTTCTCTAAAACCATTAATGTACAGGTTGTTTCTTCAGAAGAGAGACCACCAAATAAAGAAAGGATTTAATTCTGGACATCTTGGAAATTGTTTCTTGAGCTCATTCTATGAATATATCAACTTGTTACTAAGATTAAAATATTCTCCATCCATATAGTGCTTCTTTCAAATGAAAGAAATATAAAGCACATGATATAATTTGAGCAAAAAAAAAAAAGAAAAAGAAACATTGCATTTGATTAAATAATCCATAACCAAGCCCTGCTTTGCATGGAGCACTCCTAAGTAAGATTTTTCAGAGTCTTAGCACTTTTGCCTCTGAGCCCTCATGGCAAGTCTCCTCAATTTATCAGGACAACAATCCAGAAAGGCAGTTATTATTATACCTGTCTTGAGTTGTCCCTAAAGCAAATATTGAGACAGGATTTGGGTGCAAGCATTTTATTTGTGAGTGTTCCCAGCAAGGAAATGAACTGAGATGAGAAAGGGAGGAAATGAATAAAAGGTGTGATTGCATAAAGGCCACCGTGATGGACAACCAGGGCTTAATCCTACTGAAAACTCTATGAAACACTGTGTGGAACAGTCAGAATTTCCTTCCCCATAAGGAGCGAGAGAGCGGGGGATATTTCTCCATCAGCTCCCTTTCTGCATTGATTGGAGGTGTCTTTTGGGCCGTTCTCTCCTTGGTGCTTCTAGTCTGGCCTGTGTGCATAGGCTAAGGATGTTCCTATAGACCAGAGAATGAACTCAGGCAGAGGCACAGGAAGCTGCAGGTGTCTAAGAACCACCTGCAGGTGAACTCTGGGAGGGGCCCAGGTGTCAGAGTCATATGAATCAGAGAGACTTCACCTTAAATAGGGTCTGGGTAAAATAAGGCTGAGACCTACTGGGCTGCATTCCCAGGAGGGTAGGAATTCTTAGTCACAGGATGAGATAGAAGGTCAACACAAGGTACAGGTTACAAAAACCTTGCTGATTAAACAGAATGCAGGCTGGGTGCATTGGCTCACCCCTGTAATCTCAGCACTTTGGGAAGCCGAGCTGGGTGGATAATGAGGTCAAGAGATCAAGACCATCCTGACCAACGTGGTGAAACCCTGTCTCTACTAAAATTACAAAAATTAGCTGAGCATGGTGGTGCGTGCCTGTTGTCCCAGCTATTCGGGAGGCTGAAGCAGGAGAATCACTTGAATCTGGGAGGCAGAGTTTGCAGTGAGCCGAGATCATGCCACTGCACTCCAGCCTGGCAACAGAGTGAGACTCCATCTCAAGAAAAAGAAGAAAAAACAGAATGCAGTAAAGAAGCTGACCAAAACCCACCAAAACCAAGATGGCAGTGGTCACCCTCACTGCTTATTATAATGCATTAGTGACATGGTTTGGCTCAGTGTCCCCACCCAAATCTCATCTTGTAGCTCCCATAATTCCCACCTATGGTGGGAGAGACCCCATGGGATATTATTGAATTATGGGGGTGGGTCTTCCCCATGCTGTTCTTGTGACAGTGAATAAATCTCAGGAGATCCAATGGTTTTAAAAATGGGTATTTTTCTGAACAAGCTCTCTGTTTGCCTGCTGCCATCCATGTAAGACATGACTTGTTCCTCCTTGCCTTCCACCATGATTGTGAGGCCTCCACAACCGTGTAGAACTCTAAGTCCATTAAACCTCTTTCTTTAGTAAATTGCCGAGTCTTGGGTATGTCTTTATGAGCAGCGTGAAAACAGACTAATACAATTAGCACGTTAAAAGACACTCCCACCAGCCCCATGACAGTTTACAAATGCCATGGCAACGTCAAGAAGTTACCCTATATGGTCTAAAAAGGGGAGGAACCCTCAGTTCCAGGAATAGCCCGCTCCTTTTCTGGAAACCTCACCAATAATCCACCCCTTGTTTAGCATATAATCAAGAAATACCATAAAAATGGGCAAGCAGCAGCCACACTGCTCTGTCTATGGAGTGGACATTCTTTCATTTCTTTACTTTCTTAATAAACTTGCTTTCACTTTATGGATTTGTCTCAAATTCTTACTTGCATGAGATCCAAGAACCCTTTCTTGGTGTCCAGTCACAAAGGGATGGAGTGAGCAGTGACTGCTATAGACCCCATTTTATAGATGAAACGCGGGAAGCAATGTACACAAGGTTACCCAACAGAAACTGGGAGGGATGATGTACTCGATGTCCTTTGCCGTGCAACAGACTATCCCAAAACCTTCCAAAACCTAGCATCTTCAAGCATTTATTGTCTCACACAGTTTCTATGGATCGTGAATCTGGGAGCAGTTTAGCTGGATTTTCTGGCGTGGGGTCTCTCGTGAGTTGCAGTCAACTAGTTGGTGAGGTCTAAGATCATCTGAAGATTTAACTGCATTGAAGATTGGCTTCCAAGCCCACACCTGTGACTGTTGTTCCTTCCCAAGCCCAGCAGGGTGGCATGCACCTGTAGACCAAGCTACTTGGGAGGTTGAAGAAGGAGGATGGCTTGAGCCCAGGAGTTCGAGGCTGCAGTGAGCTATGATTACACCACTGCACCCTAGCCTGGGTGACAGAGTGAGACCCTGTCTCAAAAAATAATAATAATAAAAGAGCTATTTATGGCACAGCACCTGGCTTTCCCCAGAAGGACTGATCTGAGAGAAAGGCAAAATAAGATAGAATCAGCAGTGTCTTTTATAGCCCAATCTCAAAAGTGACCTATGATCAATGCTGCTATGTTCTACTGGTCACCCAGACCACCCCTAGTATATTATGTGGAAGAGATAAAACAAGGGTGTGGACATCAGCAGGGAATTCATTGGGTTGACGTCTTGGAGGCTGGCTGCTACATATAGAATTTTTTGGTTTTGTAGATAGAATTTGAACTCAAATTTTCCTGGCTTCTTTGACCGTATTCTTTTTGTTACACATAGTCCATATTCATTCCTGTTTTGCAGAGTCCTCTTTCCTTTCCACCTCCCCCACTGGCTCTAACTAGCTGGACTTGCATGTGCAGAGTTGGGGTCTGCAGTGGAAATAACAGGAGTGGGAGCCAGAGGATTTGTCTAAGACTACGGCATGAGACCGGGCTCAGGGATGGTGTGCAGATCCTTCTCCCTCAGCCCCTCAATCCCACACTGAGCCACAGCTGCAATGTGCCTGGGGTGTCGTTGAGGGAGGGCTCTTGACACGAGGAGTTCCTCTATTGGAAGGGTTCAGAGCTGGAGATGGAGCTTCTGGGAATCCTGGAGGTCTCTTATGAGTCTGACTCTTCCAAATCCCTCTTCCAATAAATTCCAAAAAAACTCACAGGGACTCTGAGGTTCTCAGCTCCCACCTTTACCAGAGCCACAGACTAGTGAATCTCAAGACTGGACTGTGTTCAGCCCCATGTGTCCATCACTAAGGGCAGTCTATTACAGCCTTGCTAGTTTTTGAGTAACTATTTGTAGGGTTAGGCAAACATTGTCAAACCTCAAAATTGTAATTCAAAAAAATAAAATATAATTGTATTTCACTAAACTTAGTTTCTATTCAAACCCTGTTCCATCAGATAGTACAAAATATACCCTAGTCATATTATGGGTGTCTGTTATCATTTCAGGCTTTGCTTCAGTTTTCTATTGCTATGTAACAAATCAATCCAAAACTTAAAGACTTTAAAACATTTATTTATTCTCATGGTTTCTGTGGGTCATGAATTCAGGAGGAGCCTGGCTGGGTGGTCTGGCTCCAGGCCATAAAACCAGGTCATGGGTGGACCTGGAACAGCATACATTAGGTGGGGACTGGAGAAACTGGACCCAGCATCTCTCTCACTCCACGTAGTCTCATGGCCTTTCCAAGTGAGATAGTTGAGCTTCCTGGAAGCATGGTGGCTCCAGAGCAATCAGACTGCCTTGCATGGTGCTGAAGGCTTCAAGATCAAGTATTCCAGTAAACAAGGAGGAAGCTGCATCATCTTCTATGCACTATGACCTAGCCTTGGAAGTCACGCAGGGTCACTTCTGCTGCATTATTTTGGTTGCAAGCAAAATGAAGCCCACTCAGATTCAAGGGCAGGGGAGGAGGAGACTTAGACTCATGTCACTCTGGGAAATAGGCAAGGTTCTAGAAGAGCACGTGCAAGTCTCTGTGACCTCTGTGTTCCCACCAGATCTCTGAGCTCACAGATCTCTTTACCACCATCTTCATCCTACCTCCTACAAAGGAAACCCTGGCTGACCTAGCTTCTACTCAGGGTCCATGAGAGGAACAGTGGGGCTGCCTCAGACCTTTCTGCCCCTGTAGCCTGCTCAGGCATCTCTATTGTTCTGTCCCCCTACCTTGATGGTGGAAGAAACTCCTCCCAGACTGGAAGGGGTACATGTATCCCCCTGCCTCTCAGATTTGTATCTTTTTGGAATATCCCATAGTTGTTGGCCGCCCTCCCTTAAGCCTTCTCGTTCACCTGCTTGTGTGGGATACAGGATACAGAACTCTCACTAGTATCTAAATGTCTGCTGTTTCCAATTGTCTTCTCATCCACAAATTCAGAGATAATTTATTTCCTCTGCAGTGACATGAACTTTGGAGATACTGACTTCACAATATTTCTGCCAAATCCCCCTGTCTTATATCTAGCCCTTAGCTCTTCAAAACTAAAAATGCAATGATTTGATTTGATGTTCCAGTCTCCCCTGGGCCAGAAGCTGCAGGGGATAGGGGAACTCATGTTAAAAGTGGCAACATTCAGGGACTAACAGAAAGAAAAAAGAACATGTTAACCAATATCCTTCACAATGTCACCCTGAAACATGGGTGACCTCATTTACTTCTTACTAAATAGTTACCATCCCTACTGTACACAGGAGGAAATGGATTTAGTGAGAGGTGAAGTGACTTGCTCAGGGTCCCAGGTAGCATAGTATCTAGGTTCAACCAGAGTACTCAGTGGTTGTAGTATCTGAGTCCAACAGGAGTACCCATTGGTTGTGGTATCTGAGTCCAACAGGAATACTCAGTGGATGTAGTATCGGAGTCCAACCAGAGTAATCACTGGATGTAGTATCTAGGTCCAACCAGAGTACCCATTGGTTGTAGTATCTGCGTCCAATAGGAATACTCAGTGGAGGTAGTGTCGGAGTCCAGTGGGAATACTCCGTGGTTGTATTATCTGAATCCAGCCAGAGTACTCAGCGGTTGTAATATCTGAGTCCAACAGGAGTACCCACTGGTTGTAGTATCTGAGTTCAACGGGAATACTCAGTGGATGTAGTAGTATCAGAGTCCAACGGGAATACTCAGTGGTTGTAGTATCTGAATCCAGCCAGAGTACTCAGCAGTTGTAGTATTTGAGTCCAACAGGAGTACCCACTGGTTGTAGTATCTGAGTCCAGTCAGAGTACTCAGCAGGTGTAGTATCTGAGTCCAACAGGCGTACCCATTGGTTGTAGTGTCTGAGTCCAACCAGAGTACTTCAGTGGTTGTAGTATCTGAGTCCAGTCCAGCCAGCGTACTCAGTGGTTTTAGTATCTGAGTCCATCAGGAGTACCCACTGGTTGTAGTATCTGAGTCCAGCCAGAGTACTCAGCAGATGTAGTATCTGTGTCCAACAGGAGTACCCACTGGTTGTAGTGTCCAAGTCCAACAGGAGTACCCACTGGGTGTAGTGTCTGAGTCCAGCCAGAGTACTTCAGTGGTTGTAGTATCTGAGTCCAACAGGAGTACCCATTGGTTATAGTGTCTGAGTCCAACCAGAGTACTTAGTGGTTGTAGTATCTGAGTCCAACAGGAATACCTAGTGGTTGTAGTATCTGAGTCCAGCCAGAGTACTCAGTGGTTGTAGTATCTGAGTCCAACAGGAGTACCTCTTTCTTGGTTGTAGTATCTGAGTCCAACCAAGTACTCAGCGGTTATAGTATGTGAGTCCAACTGGAGTACTCAGTGGATGTAGTATCTGAGTCCAACTGGAGTACCCATTGGTTGCAGTATCTGAGTCCAACAGGAGTACCCATTGGTTGTAGTATCTGAGTCCAACCAGAGTACCTAGTGGCTGTAGTATCTGACTTCAACAGGAGTACTCAGTGGATGTAGTCTCTGAGTCCAACAGGAGTACTTACTTAGTGGTTGTACTATCTGAGTCCGAAAGGAGTACCCGTCGGTTGTAGTATCTCAGTCCAAAATCTATGACTTTCCACTTGCTTCACTCCACTATTTCTTGAATAGATGGATAGTTTTCACAGTTAACTGGGGCCTAATCCTACTTTCCAATCTTCAAATTATACCACAGGCTCAGACCAAAAGACAGAATGTTTACGATCAGGACTGTCATTTAAAACCTGAGGCATTTAGGTGTCCTGCTGATCCTTGTCAATACTAATACAATAGCGGGTCTTTAAGCATCCATGTTGAATGTTATTAAATGTGAGTTTTCTTCCCTTTCTATGTATTTTTAACCATGCTGTAATTCTCCTATTGTTCGAAATAACTGCTGTTAGCAGGAACTGGCTCCATCCTGGGCAGAGCATCAATACTAATATGGTAGTAGGTCATTATCCATCTGTAGTACACATTTTAGATGTGAATGTTCTACCCACTTAATCTATTTTATTTAAATATTCTTCACTCTGTATGCTACCAACTATTTTCTTTCCTATTACCTCTAGTTTCCCAAGGGTCTTGGTAAAATAGTATGTAGACCAAAAAAGATTTAGTAAATGAGTAAAGAATGGACAAATTCTAAACCAAGATACCTCAGGACAAATGCAATATATTCCAAGAAGAGAACCCTAATGAGAAAGAGCATTATTTCGGTGTGACCCACAGGTTCTCTCTCTCTCTGTTCTCTCTCTCTCATTTATATACATATACTATATATACCCCCTTGTGCGTATACATATATGTCTGTGTGTGTGTGTATATATATAGATATAGAGAGAGAGGTAGATAGACAAATAGATAGATACATGAGACAAATAGAGAAAAAGATCTTTACATGATTGAGCCTTTTCTTTGTAGAGCCTTGGGAGTCAATGCAACATAGTGGTTAAGAGTAAGGGTCTGAGGTAAAGGAAGAAATTTACTGACTGTCATCTCCCCGGAAGACCCCCAGAATAACCTGTTGGCCAAGCAAAGCTGAGTTTATCACCCGCTGCCGTTGGGTATATTTCCACCTCAACAGAATCTTAGTAGTGTCTCAGAAGAGGGGTTAAGAGATGCCATGTATCAGGTTTTTAGGTCTAGGTTTCTATTCGTTTCCTGGGGCTTCTGTCACGCATTAACACAAACTGCGTGGCTTAAAACAACAGAAATTTCTTCTGTCAAAGCTCTGGAGGCCAGAAGTCCAAAATCAAAATGCTGATAGGGGCATGCTCTCTCCGAAGGCTCTAGGAAAGAATCCATTATTTGGGGCGTCTGGACTAAGGGATAGTTTGCACCACCCGGATGACTGACAGTGCATTAACAGACCATTTAGGCAACTATTAACAATTGATTCCTTGAATACTGATTCCAGGGGATGGTGGGTGTTTGCAATGCAGATTGAGATGTCCAGTAAGAAACTTATTATTACTATTTATTTATATTCTTTAGAGACAGGATCTCACTCTGTTGCCCAGGCTGAGGTGCAATGGTGTAATCTTAGCTCACCACAGCCTCCTCCTCCTGGGCTCTAGTGATCCTCCCACCTCAGCCTCCTGAGTAGCTGAGACTACAGGCATGCACCACCATGCCCAGCTAATTTTTAAAAAAAATTTTTGTAGAGATGGGGATGTCACTACCTTGCCCAGGCTGGTCTTGAACTCCTGGCCTCAAGTGATCCTCCCACCTTGGCCTCCCAAAGAGCTGAGAGGACAGGCATGAACCACCGTGCCCGGCCAGGAAACTTATTTCACATTGTGTAACCTGTTCTCCTGAACATTTATTTCACCTTGGATTTTTCTTTTCTTTTTTTTTCTTTTTTTTGTAAAATATCCAATATCCTCAGAACAGTTAGGAAACTGCTTAACTAGAGCAAGAAGGAAAATTATCCAAGCCCCAAACCTGGGAAACATCAATGCCTACGAAATGAACTGAAGAGGAAGAAACAATAGAGGCACAAGAGGAAGGACCAACAGAAGTAATGGAAGATACAAGTGGAAGATGACATGGATAAGCCCACAGACAGGGGAGCTTCAGGGTTGCCCAAACTCACCACACACAATGTTCTACTGAGTCTATGGATGACCTGTTGAGCAGATCATCCATACTTCTCTAGGGGTTCTGAAAGACACTCTCCTCTTGTTGGGAAGACAAAAAGCCCCACTCTGCTACTAGGTGCCTGAGTCTAGGTGCTTCTCCTCCCTGTCCTTTCACTCCCAGCTCTGTCTTCTCTACCTGTCCCTAGAAGGTTCCTGTCTTTGTCACCTCAGATATTCAAGATTCAGCTCCAAGATGCCCTCTGTCTTCGAAGCATCAGAGCTTTGCTGACCCTCCCGCATTAGTTTTCCCTGCCTCATCAATGAAGGGGCTTCTTTTGGGAAATGTCAGATGGCATTAGCCCTGCCCCCTTAGCCTTCTCTGAAGACGTGGACCCTGGGGAAGCACTAACCGATCCAGGACAGCGAAAGAAGAGAATCGGTGGCATCCTTTGACCTCAGCATCCAAAGCTGGAGTGTTTTTACCTCTTCATTAAGGCTGTGCTTAAAGATGAGGTCACACTCTCCTCCTGAATCACAACCACATACTTTATGTCTCCCGAAAGCAGTGTTCTGTAGGAAAAGAAAAAAAAAAATGCATTATCTGCCTGGCTGCTCACCGATGTCACTGAGAAATGCAAAATAATGATAGTCCGCCGAAGCACTGTTTATGGGCCCCGTCCTTGTGGGATTCTCTAAGGGAGGGGAGAGATCCAAACAGAGTCAGCAGTTTGGGCTCTTGCAGGTCTCGGAGGTTTCAGATTCTCCTGCAACTTCATTTATCCTCCCCTGGTTACTCTGCACAGCGATGGCAGCCGGAGCCTTAGGCGGGTCCTCGTTGGATTTTCCTGACAGCTGTACTGAATCATTTTTCCAGGTCACTCATTCTTCCTGAAAATGTGTTTCGTCTTCTGGCAGGTGGAGGGTGCAGCAGCACATTCTCACCATCAGTTGAGCTCGAGACCTCGAGATGCTCTCGTCTGTACTGTGGGGTCCCAGCAGGGACCGACGTTTCATTTCCTTGTCTGAAGCAACCGTACGTTCCCACCTAGATTCACAGGTCCTGGGGTGGTAACCCCAGGTGATGAGTTTACCACCATGTGGCTTTGTTCATGATAATGAATTGTTCCTTCAGAGGCCACCAAAGGGGAAAACACTGTGAACTGCAGGCATTACATCCATCAGGATTTGAAGAACAGTTATCTTGCCAGTCAGGGGCGCAGTGATCCCTGATTCTTTTATGTATGTGTGTATGTATGTATGTATGTATGTATGTATGTATGTATGTATGTATGTATTTATTTATTTATTTAGTGAGACAGAGTGTTGCTCTGTTGCCCAGGCTGGAGTGCAATGGCACGATCTCGGCTCACTGCAACCTCCGCCTCCCAGGTTCAAGCAGTTCTCCTGCCTCAGCCTCCCGAGTAGCTGGGATTACAGGCAAGCGCCACCACGCCCATCTAATTTTTGTATTTTTAGTAGAGATGGGGTTTCACCATGTTGGCCAGGCTGGTCTCGAACTCCTGACCTCAAGTGATCCTCCTGCCTCAGCTTCCCAAATTGCTGGGATTACAGGCGTGAGCCACCGCACCCAGCCAGCGATCCCTGCTTCTGAATGTAATGCCGTCCTCCTGAGCCATCTGCCTCCCATTATGGCAGAAGAGAACCATGCAAAATATGGCAATTTAGGCACCAAGGATGTCTCCTCTCCCTCTTTCCCAAAGCCCAGTTAAGACGATAATAAGGGAATGTTTTAAAACATAAGCTTACACTGACACAGCGACTATGAAAGGGACCGTCAGTGGGTGAGAGACTGAACAGTGTAGGAAGTGGAAGGCGACAGGGAGTTGGAGAGGTGATCACTCTTGCAGGCTGCAGGAGTCAGAGCTTGGAGAGCTTTGGGAGGGAGAAGGGGAGAAGAACGGAGCCAGTGTGTTCCCGTGGAATTTGAGATAAACGAGACATCTAGTCCCCCAATATGACACAGGTAAGATAAGATCTGAGAACAAGGGGCCGAATTGAATGTCTGTGATGGGGCCGCAGACCATCTGTCCTATCCCTCCACCCTCCATACAGAACCTGGCAGCCAGGCATCCAATGCCGAACCAGAGATAGGAAGTTTACCAAACAGCACATGCTCTTACTCATAAGTGGGAGCTAAGCTATGAGGATGCAAAGGCATAAGAATGACACAACGAGGCTGGGCACAGTGGCTCACGCCTGTAATCCCAGCATTTTGGGAGGCTGAGGCGGGTGAATCACGAGGTCAGGAGTTCGAGACCAGCCTGACCAACATGGTGAAACCTCGTCTCTACTAAAAATACAAAAATTAGCCGAGTGTGGTGGCAGGTGCCTATAATCCCAGCTACTCAGGAGGCTGAGGCAGGAGAATCACTTGAACCCGGGAGACGGAGGTTGCAGTGAGCCGAGATTGTACCACTGCACTCCAGCCGGGGTGACAGAGCGAGATTCCTTCTCAGAAAAAAAAAAGGAATGACACAACGGACTTTGGGGACTTAGGGGGAAAGTGTGGAAAGGGGGTGAGGGATAAAAGACTACAAATTTGTGCGATATATACCTCTTGGGCGATGGATGCACGAAAATCTCACAAATCACCACTAAAGAACTTACTCATGTAACCAAACACCACCTGTTCCCCAATAACCTATGGAAATAAAATTTAAAAAAAAAGAAAGAAAGAAAAGAAGTTTATCCTCTGGAGAAATACAGCCCCAGGAGAAGTGTCCTCATGGTCTAATCTAGCAGGCTGGAATCTCTCAGCAGGATTCCCACCAATTTTCTGACTTAACACTTCCTTAATAAACATCTATCATGTTCCAGGCAAGTTCTCAGCTCTTGGGGCCTAGGAGGGAAGAGAACCAGTAACCAGGTTCCTGACGCCATGTGTATTAGTCCGTTGTCACACTGCTGATAAAGACATACCCAAGACTAGAAGAAAAATTGGTTTAATGGACTCACAGTTCCACGTGGCTGGGGAGGCCTCATAATCATGCTGGAAGGCAAAAGGCACATCTTAGATGGTGTCTGCAAGAGACATGAGAAAGAAGCAAAAGCCCTTATAAAACGATCAGATCAGCCGGGCATGGTGGCTCACACCTGTAATCCCAGCATTTTGGGAGGCTGAGGCAGGTGGACCACGATGTTAGGAGTTCAAGACCAGCCTGGCCAAGATGGTGAAACCCCATCTCTTCTAAAAATACGAAAATTAGCTGGGCATGGTGGCGGGCATCTGTAATCCCAGCTACTTGGGAGGCTGAGGCAGAGAATTGCTTGAAGCCAGGAGGTAGAGATTGCAGTGAGCCGAGATCACGACACTGCACTCCAGCCTGGGCGACAGAGCCAGACTCCATCTCAAAAAAAAAAAAAAAAAAAAAAAAATTAGACCTCATGAGACTTATTCACTACTATGAGATACAGTATGGGGGAAACCACCTCCGTGATTCAATTATCTCCCAATAGGTCCCTCCCATAACACGTGGGAATTATGGGAGTACAATTCAAGATGAGATTTGGGTAGGGACACAGAGCCAAACCATATCACCATGCATGCCAACTAATGGAGCTGCTATTCATTCCATAAATGTTTATTCAGCACCGCCTTTGTGTCGGGCAGTGTTTCCAGGCACTGATGATAGAGCAGAGAACAAAGCCAAGTGCCTCCTTTCCTCTCCAGCATATTTCAGTGAGATGGTAGAAAGAGACGATAAAGAAATAAAACAAACACTGTTTTTTTTAAAAAAATGTTTCTTGCTCGCTCATTTTTGCTTTGCAATTTTTTAGCTGTTTTTCTTCATTTTTGCCATGGAATAAGATTTCTTTTGTAATATTCCAGTAAAACAGCTTTTTCTTGTGTTGAAATTTACCAGTGTCAACTGGACTTTGCTGGCGTCATGATATAAAGAGATAAGAAACAGAATCAACCAAGGAGATCAAACATCCAACTCCTAGGAGTTTCATAAAGAGAGAGCTGAGAATATGAGAACAGAAACATGCAATTAAAGAAGCAATCTGTCACCAGGCACAGGGGCTTATGCCTGTAATCCCACTACTTTGGGAGGCCAAGGCAGGAGAATCACTTCAGGTCAGGAGTTCAAGACCAGCCTGGGCAACATGGCAAGATCCTGTCTCTACAAAAAAATTAAAATATTACCTGGACATGGTGGCACACATCTGTAGTCCTAGTTATTCAGGAGGCTGATTGTTTGGGTCTGGGAGGTTGAGGCTGCAGTGAGCTATGATTGTGCTACTGCACTCCAGCCAGGGTGACTGAGTGAGACCCTCTCTCAAAAAAAAAAAAAAAGTTAAAAAAAGAAGAAACAATCTGTGACCATTTCTAGCAATGGAGAAAGGCCATAACTCACCCACTATTGTAGGGTATCATTCCAGAACCCTCTGTATCAGAGAAGCTCCCAGAAGGAAAGAAAACAAATAAAACCAGGTCACCTATGCAGAACAGAGAATCGTAATGGTGTCTTACCTCCCAACAATGCTGGAGGTTAGAACACAATGGTGGATTTTGTAAAATGTCCAAGGGAACATGGTTTTCAGTTTGGAAATCTTTTTTTTTTTTTTTTTTTTTTGAGACAGAGTTTCACTCTTGTTGCCCAAGCTGAGTGCAATGGCGCGATTTCAGCTCACTGCAATCTCTGCCGCCTGGGTTCAAGCGATTCTCCTGCATCAGCCTCCCAAGTAGCTGGGATTACAGGCATGCACTGCCGCGCCCAGCTAATTTTGTATTTTTTTTTTTTTTTTTTTTTTTAGTAGAGACAGGGTTTCTCCATGTTGGTCAGGCTGGTGTCAAACTCCTGACCTCAGGTGATCCGCCTGCCTCGGCCTCCCAAAGTACTGGCAGTTTAGAATTCTTTACCATGAAAAACTATCAATATAGTGGAATGACAGACGAAAAAAGATAAAATGATAAGCCTCCCACAGATTGAACAGAGGGCTAAAGGGCCCCCCAAGAAACTTTAAAAACTTGGCTCGTGCCTGTAATCCCAGCATTTTGGGAGGCCCAGGCAGGTGGATGGCTTGAACCCAAGAGTTCGAAACCAGCCTGGGTGACACAGTGAGATTTCATCTCTGCAAAAAATACAAAATTTAGCCAGGCATGGTGGCCTATGCCTGTAGTCCCAGCTACTCAGGAGGCTGAGGCAGGAGGATCGCTTGAGCCCAGGAGGTTAAGGCTGCAGTGAGCCCTGATTGTGCCACTGCACTCCAGTCTGGACAACAGAGCAGGACCCTATCTCAGAAAATAAAAACTGAGCTCCCAGCCATGATGGAATGGGAGGTTGGACACAGTTCAGTATGCTATTTCCTTATTAATCCCTAAGCAGAATTCTTCCCTAAGGAAGAAACAGAACCCAAGGCTCTAGAAAACAAGAAACAGATGCCTCATTCCTTTATCGCCTTTAGACAATTGTCTGAGGCCAGGACTGGATACTTCATCCTTCTTTGCAGTCTTGGCATGAGAGCTCACCAGTTTCACAATGCATTTCTTCCTATTAAGAGACCACCAGCCGTGGAGGAGTTCTGGCCAGGCAATGGAGGCTGCACAATGAGGGGTTTCTAGCCCTGCTTCATCTTTGGATGTCAGAGAGCCCAAAACTGCACCCCTGGATCATGCTAATGCCATCATTTTTTGAACATGCACTATTTAAAAAAATTTTTTTTGTTTTATTTTATTCTGTTTTAAGTTCCAGGATACATGTGCAGAACGTGCAGGTTTGTTGCATAGGTTGTGCCATGGTGGTTTGCTGCACCTATCAACCCGTCACCTAGGTATTAAACCCTGCATGCATGCATTAGCTATTTAGCCTGATGCTCTCCCTCCCCTCACCCTGCCAGCAGGGCTCAGTGTGTATTGTTCCCCTCCCTGTGTCCATGTGTTCTCATTGTTCAGCTCCCACTTATGAGTGAGAACATGTGGTGTTTGTTTTTCTGTGCCTGTGTTAGTTTGCTGAGGATGATGGCTTCCACCTTCATCCATGTCCCTTCAAAGGATGTGATCTCACTCCTTTTTATGGCTGCATAGTATTCCATGGTGTATATGTACCATGTTTTCTTTATCCAGTCTATCATTGGTGAGCATGTGGTTTGATTCCATGTTTTTGCTATCGTAAATAGTGCTGCAATAAACATACATGTGCATGTATCTTTATAATAGACTGATTTCTATTCCTTCAGGTATATGCCCAGTAATGGGATTGCTGGGTCAAATTTTATTTCTGGTTCTAGATCCTTGAGGAATCGCCACATTGTCTTCCACAATAGTTGAACTAAATTACATTCCCACTAACAGTGTAAAAGTGTTCCTATTTCTCCACAGCCTTGCCAGCATCTGTTGTTTCTTCACTTTTTTTTTTTCAAGATGGAGTCTCGCTCTGTCACCCAGACTGGAGTGCAGTGGCACGAGCTCAGCTCACTGCAACCTCTGCCTCCCGGGTCCAAGCGATTCTCCTGCCTCAGCCTCCCGAGTACCTGGGATTACAGGCACCTGCCACCACGCCCAGCTAATTTTTGTATTTTTAGTAGTGACAGGGTTTCATCCTGTTGGTCAGGCTGGTCTCGAACTCCTGACCTCAAGTGATCCTCCCTCCTCAGCCTCCCAAAGTGCTGGAATTGCAGGAGGGAGCCACTGCCCCTGGCCTTTCTGATTGGCATGAGATGGTATCTCATTGTGGTTTTGATTTGCATTTCTCTAATCAGTGATTTGAGCTCCTTTTCATATGTTTGTTTGGCCACATAAATGTCTTCTCTTGGGAAGTGTCTGTTCATGTCCTTTCCCCACTTTTTTTTTTTTTGTCTTTTTTTTTTTTTTTTATTGATCATTCTTGGGTGTTTCTCGCAGAGGGGGATTTGGCAGGGTCACAGGACAATAGTGGAGGGAAGGTCAGCAGATAAACAAGTGAACAAAGGTCTCTGGTTTTCCTAGGCAGAGGACCCTGCGGCCTTCTGCAGTGTTTGTGTCCCTGGGTACTTGAGATTAGGGAGTGGCGATGACTCTTAATGAGCATGCTGCCTTCAAGCATCTGTTTAACAAAGCACATCTTGCACCACCCTTAATCCATTCAACCCTGAGTGGACACAGCAGATGTTTCAGAGAGCACAGGGTTGGGGGTAAGGTCACAGATCAACAGGATCCCAAGGCAGAAGAATTTTTCTTAGTACAGAACAAAATGAAAAGTCTCCCATGTCTACTTCTTTCTACACAGACACGGCAACCGTCCGATTTCTCAATCTTTTCCCCACCTTTCCCCCCTTTCTATTCCACAAAACCGCCATTGTCATCATGGCCTGTTCTCAATGAGCTGTTGAGTACACCTCCCAGACGGGGTGGTGGCCGGGCAGAGGGGCTCCTCACTTCCCAGTAGGGGCGGCCGGGCAGAGGCGCCCCTCACCTCCCGGACGGGGCGGCTGGCTGGGCAGGGGGCTGACCCCTCCACCTCCCTCCCTGACGGGGCGGCTGGCTGGGCTGGGGGCTGAGCCCCCCACCTCCCTCCCGGACGGGGCGGCTGGCCGGGCAGAGGGGCTCCTCTCCTCCCAGTAGAGGCGGCCGGGCAGAGGCGCCCCTCACCTCCCGGATGGGGCGGCTGGCCGGGCAGGGGGCTGACCCCCCCACCTCCCCCACTTTTTGATTGATTGTTTTTTTCTTGTAAATTTATTTAAGTTCCTCGTAAATTCTGGATATGAGACTTTTGTCAGATGGGTAGATTGCAAAAATTTTCTCCGACTCTGTAGGTCGCCTGTTTGCACTGATGATAGTTTCTTTGGCTGCATGCAACCATTTTTTAAACACACAACCCACGAAGAAACATGACGCTCAGTTGCACATGTGCACGCTTCTCCTTTCATAAACATTCGTGAATCTCCTGTGCTGTCTGAATATGTACACATAGCCAGCCTGTTCAGCATGCATTTCATTCTTAATGCTTTCCTCTCCCGAGGGTCTTGTTCTCAGCTTGTGCAGGAGTCTACACCTCCCAGTCTGCAAGATAGCCAGGCTGTGGGCTGCAAAGTTTTATGAGAAATAAAGCTCTCCCTTCCAAATTTATGAACCTGTGATTCTTCAGGTGACAGGGAGTTTAGAAAAAAGACATTATCGGCTGGGTGCCGTGGCTCACTCCTGTAATCCCAACACTCTGGGAGGCCGAGGCAGACGGATCACTTGAGGTCAGGAGTTCAAGACCTGCCTGGCCAATGTGGTGAAACCCCATCTCTACTAAAAATACAAAAATTAGCCGGGCATGGTGGTGGGTGCCTGTAATCCCAGATACTCGGGAGGCTGGGGCAGAAAAATTGCTTGAACCTGGGAGGTGGAGGTTGCAGTGAGCAGAGATCATGCCACTGTGCTCCAGCCTGGGAGACAAACTGAGACCCTGTCAAAAAAAAAAAAGAAAAGAAAAGAAAGAAAGAAAGAGAGAAAGAAAGAAGGAAAGAAAGAAAGAAAGAAAGAAACAAACAAACAAACAAACAAACAAAGAAGGAAAGAAAGAAAGAAAGAAAAAGAAAGAAAGGAAGGAAGGAAAGAAAGAAAGAAAGAAAGAAAGAAAGGAAAGAAAGAAAGAAAGAAAGGAAGGAAGGAAGGAAGGAAGGAAGGAAGGAAGGAAGGAAGGAAGGAAGGAAAGAAAGAAAGAAAGAAATGAGAAAAAAGACATTATCAGACAGGCCAGAACTTAGAAAAAAGTGATTCTTGTGCATGACTTTCTTTTCAAGCTCTTGATAAAGTGCTCCAGCAAAACAAGATATCACACAGGGAGAGGAGAAGGTGTGGTTTATCAGACTGACCACAGATGGTTCCAATAAAGAAACAACAATGGGGCAATGACTCCGGTTTTTTGTTAGTTAAGGAGACAAAAGAGAACAAGGGAAATGGAGACACCCAGAGACTAGCAGCTGTTTCTATCCTTTGGGATGAAGAAACAATTGGATGTGGCTGGGCACGGTGGCTCATGCCTGTAATCCCAGCACTTTGGGAGGCCGAGGCGGGTGGATCACGAGGTCACGAGATCGAGACCAGCCTGACCAACATGGTGAAATCCCGTCTCTACTAAAAAAAATAGAAAAATTAGCTGGGTGTGGTGGCACGCACCTGTAATCCCAGCTACTCGGGAGGCTGAGGCAGGAGAATTGCTTGAACCTGGGAAGTGGAAGTTGCAGTGAGTCGAGATCACGCCACTGCACACTCCAGCCTGGTGATGGAACGAGACTCCGTCGCAAAAAAAAAAAAAAGAAAGAAAGAAACAATTGGAGGAAACAGCATCCCTGGGCACAGGGGAATTGAGAATCAAAGGCTCCCAGGAAAGGACTGTCACTGTGGAAAGAACATGCGAGTAGAGTGTGCTGTTGAGCTCTGCAGTGAACACCAGTCATGTCAGTTCCATGTATTCATTTAACTCAAAATATTGGGAGCCTGAGAAGGAAGTATGGGGGATGCAGATACAAGAGCAAAGTCTTCATCTGTTGGAGCAGAGACTTAACAGAGGCCTCAAGTTTAAAAATAAAAGCACAGCTAGATCGGCACATTATTTAGAGTTTTGCAAGAGATTCACCTGAAAAAAAAAAAAGAAACCTGTCAAAAGTTAAGTGGTTCTGGGTGCTGGGCACAGTGGCTTACACCTGTAATCCTACACTTTGGGAGGCTGAGACAGGAGGATCACTTTGAGCTCAGGAGTTTGAGACCAGTCCGGCCAACCTGGCGAACTCCCCTGCCCGCCACCCCCGTCTCTACTAAAAATACAAAAATTAACTGGGCATGGTGGCATGCACCTGTCATCTCAGCTACTTGGGAGGCTGAGGCATGAGAATTGCTTGAACCTGAGAGGTGGAGGCAGCAGAGCTGAGCTCATGCCACTGGGCTCCAGCCTAGGCGATGGACGGAGACCCTGTCTCAAAAAAAAAAATAGAATTATACCAAAAATGATTCTGGGTATAGAACACAAAAGTGAAAGCAGGGACTCTAACAGCTCTTTTTACCACCGTGTTCATAGCGGCAGTATTCACTACAGCCGCAGGGAGGAAGCAACTCAAGTGTCCATCAGTGGATGAGTGGATGAACAAATCAGGTCTTTCCACCCAATGGAGAATTATTCAGGTTAAAAAATGAGGGGAATTCTGACCCACACTCAACTACATGAGTGAACCTTGCGGACTGGCTAAGTGAGATAAGTCAGACACAAAAAGACATATACTATATGATTCCACTTATAGGAGGTTCCTAGGGGAGTCAGATTCATGCAGACACAAAGTAGAATGGCGGGTGCCAGGGGCTGGGGAGGGGGCTGGGGACTGAGTGTTTCATGGGGACACAGTTTCCGTTTGGGAAGATGAAAAGGTTTTGGAGATGATGGTGGTGACAGCTGCTCAATACTGTGAACGTGCTTAATGCCACTCAACTGTGCATTTAAACATGATGAAAATAATAAATGTTATGTTATGTATATTTTATCACAAGAAAAACAAGTTAAAAGTGGTTTTCTGTGAGAAGTAGGACTTGTGGATGGGGGGATTGATTCTCATCATAAACATGTGATACTATTTGATTTTTAAGCTATGTGTACATAATACTTCGATAAACATTTTTAAATTAAAAATCAAACACAGTAAGTGATGCCTTTCAGTGGGAAGAAAAGGAAATCTGTATAAGAATATAAACTGTCACGCCCACTCCCTGCCTTTCATCTTGCTGGAATATGAAATAATATATTTTTCTTCCCTGGTAGAACCAGCAGAAATGCAGATGCAGTTTGGAATGGCTGAGATGTTATGTTGAAGGTTTTCTCCTTATGAAAAGAGGATGCCTTTAGTTCACATTTTTCAAAGCATGCTCACAGATAGCACCTTATTTCAAATCACACTTTTGTACAGTGAGCTGAAAGTGCTTTTTTCTCTTCCTTTTAAAAATAAGGGAGATGAGCCGGGCACAGCGGCTCACGCCTGCAATCCCAGCACTTTGGGATGCCGAGGCGGGTGGATCACAAGGTCAGGAGTTCAAGACCAGCCTGACCAACTTGGTGAAACTCTGTCTCTACTAAAAATGCAAAAATTAGCCGGGCATGGTGGCGTGCACCTGTAGTCCCAGCTACTCAGGAAGCTGAGACAGGAGAATCGTTTGAACTGGGGAGGCACAAGTTGCAGTGACCCAAGATTGTGCCGCTGCACTCCAGCCTGAACGGCAGAGTGAGACTGCATCTCAAAAAAAAAAAAAAAAAAAAAGGGAGCTGAAACTCAGAGAGATTAACTGTAAGTTCTTAGAGTAGAAGACTTCTCAGTACATGGTAAAACCACACTTGTGTTCGACCTTTCACAAAATAGTAAATGTGCCAAATATTAGTGGTTAACTGAAACACAGTTGGCTCCAAAATTGACTATTAGCGAAATTATTGTAGGCTCTGTCAATTGATCATCTATCTATGTCTATCTATCACCCTATCTATATCATCTGTCACCTATTTACCATCTGACATCTATGTCTATCTAACTCTTCTATCTATTTCATCTATCTATATCATCTATCACCTGTTTATCATCTAATATCTATATCTATCTATCATGTATATCTAACTCATCTATCTATCTCATCTATCTCATCTATCTACATCATCTGTCATCTATATCTATCATCTATCTATCGATGTATTTTTCTATCTATATCATTTATCCATCTATATCATCTATCTATATCATCTATCTATATCATCTCTCTATATTACCTATCATCTGTCTATCATTTATCTATCATCTATCTCTATCTCTGTTTACCTACCTACCTCTCTATCTGCCATCTATGTATAACTCTATCACCTATTCATCCATTTATTCATCTATCATCTATTTACTTACCTATGATCTATCACCTATCATTTATTTATTGTTTATCCATCACATATCTACCTATCACCTATCTACCAATCATCTATCATTTACCTGGTGATCTATTTGTCTACCTACCTATCTGCCTATTATCATTAGGGTGACCAAACTTCTCAACTTTCCTGAGACAGAATCACTTTATCCCTATTGTCGCAGGTTAGCATTTGTCTTCGAGTTCTCATTTCTAACAACACGGTGTTATAAATAGGATAAGACCAGATGGGCCTCCACTTCGTGTACTGGAAGCTCCTGCCATCATCTTATCTGGTCGTGTATGAGACAAGTGTGCAGGAAATGGAGTTCTCATACTCACATATGGCAAAATCTGAAAGTTGATATATCATAATCTGTCCCCTGTTTCCCAACTATACCCAACACCAACTGATACTTCTCTTTCAAGGAGAGCATGTAGGGGACTTGCTGATAAAATAAAGTTGTCTGGCTGATAAAAATGAAGTGCACTTGGACAGAAGAGGCTAGACACAGCTCACCCCATGCAGTCCTGAGTAGCAGTGGTGATATTCAGCATAGCTGCCCCTATCAGTCCCTGTGGGGTGGACAGTTGGATGAACAGAGCCTATGCTTTACTTTCTGATATGGTTTGACTCTGTGTCCCCACCCAAATCTCATCTCCAGTTGTAATCCCCATGTGTCAAGGGAGGGAAGTGATTGGATTATGGGGGTGGATTTCCCCATGCTGTTCTCATGATGGTGAGTGAGTTCTCATGAGATCTGAGGGTTTTATAAATGGCATTTTTTCCTGTGCTCCGCTTCTCTTTCCTGCTGGCATGTGAAGAAGGTCCTAGCTTCCCCTTCACCTTCCATCATGACTGTAAGTTTCCTGAGGCCTCCCCAGCCATGTGGAACTGTGAGTCAATTAAACCTCTGTCCTTTATAAATCACCCAGTCTCAGGCAGTTCTTTATAGCAGTGTGAGAATAGATTAATACACACTCCAAACCCATGAAACCACAAGACCACAGGTTGTTTGGGTCACTGAGAAACACAGGAAGAGATAGATGGGTGCATGAGAAGTTTATGTGGGAAACGCTGTGCCGTAAGATCTGTTAGAATAATCTGAATGCTCTTGCGAGAGTACAGTGGATGTTTAGTGCATGGAGCAAACCTACAACTAGATTTGTATTTTATAGTTTGG
This sequence comes from Homo sapiens, assembly GCF_000001405.40. Taxonomy (NCBI): domain Eukaryota; kingdom Metazoa; phylum Chordata; class Mammalia; order Primates; family Hominidae; genus Homo; species Homo sapiens. The sequence continues at coordinate 4,395,823 of NC_000007.14, forward strand.
CAATGTCTTTTTAAATTTTGCAACAAACCCTTAAGGTAGTAATAAACAAAGAAAAGCAAAAGTGTGCGTTTCGTGAAAATGAAGTACTGAGTTTTCATTTCTCAAGAAAGTTGATGACGAATACATAATTGACACAAAAAGCTTGCTGACATACCAGGGGGACCACAGTGAAAGCAACCCTCATATAAAAACCAGAGAAAGAAAAACCTGCCTGCTGAAGAAGCTTTAGCATCTCCTTCAAGAGCTAATTGACATTTTAAGAAGACTGTGCTCAAAGATGACAATTCACCACGTGCGGCTGTGGAAGTTCATTTAGGTAGCACTCCATGAAGCATGAGTTTTCATTTAGATCAAGTGACTTTTCTTCTAAGTTAATATTGCTCATTTTCACTCCAACTTTTCCTGCATATGTGCAAAGGGTGAAGCAATAGCTTCGCTCCACTATGTGCCATCTTTGTTAACAGAGGAATTTCAGGAACAATTAAGCGATGCCAGTTTTGTATAAAGGTCAAAAGATGTTTTGAATTGAAAATCAGATAATTCCAATTCCAGTTGGATTTTTTTCATCCAATTCATATGATCAAAATAAAACCCTTGAAAATTCATCCTGTTGAAGGTGAAGCATCTAAAATTATCATAAATGCTATTGACAATTCAGTTAAGTTCAATATTGAAGATAAAATAATTTTTTGACCATGATGATGACAGATTTTAACGGAGCACAGTGTCAAGGTAGAAAGATCATTCTTACCAAATTACACAACCTAAGGAACAAAAATTGTACTTGGAACGTGTTGTGCTACATACATAATTATTCCCAAATATGCAGCAAATATTCCATCAATAGAAACAGAAACTATGCCTGCTGCAACTTACAAATATTTTATTTAAGAGTGACCAAACTACAAAATTATTTAAATGATGTTTATGCTTTTTTTTTTTTTCACAGAGTCTCGCTCTGTCACCCAGGCTGGAGTGCAATGGCACAATCTCAGCTCACTGCAACCTCCAACTCCTGAGTTCAAGCGATTCTCCTGCCACAGCCTCCCGAGTAGCTGGGACCACAGGCACATGCCACCACGCCCAGCTAATTTTTGTATTTTTAGTAGAGGTGGGGTTTCAATGTGTTGGCCAGGCTGGTCTCGAAATCCTGACGTCAGGTGATCTACCCGCCTTGGCCTCCCAAAGTGCTAGGATTAAAGGTGTGAGCCACTGTGCCCAGCCAGATGATTTTTTTTTTTAATGAACACATTCCTTGCTTTTCACCTGCAATGCATTTTAGAAATGTTTGAGCCTTTAAGTACTTTAAAATAGAACACTATTTAAATAAGTCTCCCACAATGACAGTGACTATTATTTTTGTAAATGAGTCTTCCAAATTTTGGATGAATTTTTTTTCAAGTCAGTTGGAAATTTTTAATTAAAGTAATCATGGCATACTGAAAGATCTCCAACACTTGAAGATCTTAGCAAAATGCAATTATTGGAAATAAAGTCTGCAATCAGGAAGGTATTGAAATTTGTCCCCACAAAAGCAAGCCTGGAAGTAAACAACTTAATTGATGTGAGCTCAAGCCGTGTACAAGATTTAATTTTAAACTTCTAAAATTGTGTTTGGGAGTAATCTAGATGTACAGGGAAAATCTTTTGATGCAGCTCCTATTTATAATTTGATAAATTGATACTCAGTACCTATCATTTCCCAGCAGCTCTGATTGTTAGCAAAACACTCAAAAGAATCAAAACTAAAGGAAATTATTTCACAAATTTTTATTTATAAGAGTATTTGTCAAGGTATTCTGAATGGAAGCAAAAAGACAAGATCTGTAAAAAATTGGACTGAAATATTTACACATTTTAACACAAAAATATTAAAACTGATAATAACCTCCCTGTATCAGAATGGCTCTGAGATTACCAAATACCTCAGCATCTGTAGAGAGAAGCATTTTTACAATTTAAAATATTGTGACTGACTGAGAAGAATCAATTGAAGGTGTCAACATTTTCAAATTCATTAACCATAAAAGCCACTTTGAGGAAGATTGCAGGCAACTTTATGAAAAATAACATAAAACAATATTGAAAAACTTCATTTTTCAGAAAAATGCCAGTCATGTGGTGTTGGAAGTAGATATGGCTGAGAAACAGAGAGAAATATGTGAACAGCTAGCAAGCATAAATATTCTTCTTATTTTAGTGTTTAGTGTCAGATCATTAATATAACAAATTTAAAATTACTTTTTCTTAAGGTAGCAATAAACTGCTTATAGATTTACGCAGGTAATACATGCATATCGATTGCAATTATTTTTTTAAGATTTACTTTTAAAAAAACAGTTTTTGAAAGGAATTATTTTATAGGTCCATTAATATAATGAAACCAATTTGTTAGCCAATAAAAATATATTTTAAATTATTTATATTTTTGCATCCCTCTTCAATCTCAAGAGTTTCCTCGTTTGTACAAAAATAAATTAAATGTTTACTTCATCTAGAACCCTTCTTGTTCCAGAAGAGATTTAAGGAAACATAAGAAGATGTAGGACCTTCCAGCTTTGAACCTCACTAAATCAGATTTTTGAGGTTTAAAGCCCTTTTTCAGGATTTGTCCTGCTTTTAGTTAAAGTGGCCAGTTTCAAACTAGGATAATTTTAACATTTGCTGTAAATAAAATTAGGGTTATTAAATCACTTTTATTTTGCTTCATAATTATTCCAATTCATCTGACTCCAAATCACTCCTGAGAAGCTTATTAGATATTGTATCTTCAGGTACTCACAGTAGGCTATTTGTGCACATTTTTAATTTGAAAATCATCATCCAACAGTTATCGGGTACCCCTCCCCAATCCGTGGTGTGGCATAACCTTCTCAAATATGATTATGAGGGAAGACAGCTGTATAATAAGGTCCTTTATCAAAAGATAAGGGTTGTTTTTGCAAAATCATGTGGTTTTGTCCAGAAAAAAAATCTCTGATTGATTGAAAGGTACCTAAAAGTCTGACCGTGGCAAACAGATTACTGTTCCTCTGTGTTCTCTGGTGTGCAGGTGTGTGATCAAGACCGCAGGACCTGGCCGAGTACGGTGGTCACACACACGCCTGTAATCCCAGCACTTTGGGAGATCTAGGCAGGTGGATCACTTGAGCTTAGGAGTTTGAGACCAGACTGGGTGACATGGCGAGACCCCATCTCTAATACAAAAGTTATCTGGGTGTGGTGGTGCACACCTGTAGTCCCAGCTACTCAGGAGGCTGAGGTGGAAGGATCCCTTGAGCCCAAGAAATTAAGGCTGAAGTGAGCCAAGATTGTACCACTGCACTCCAGCCTGGGTGACAGAGTGAAACCCCATCTCAAAACAACAACAAAAAAGACAGCAGGACCTACAGAGATTTAGCAGATGCATTTTCTCGGAAAAGTGTTTTCTTCAGGTGGGCATAGGGTGGGGTGAGTAGGTAAGAGGAGCTGTCAGGGAACGTGGATGGCGGTGTGGGAAGGAGTCACTCTATAAAACTTGTAGTCATGGAGACCATATCCCAGAGATCGGAGCCTTCCTATTCCTGTAGGCTACAAAGTAGAGGGCACAGGGGAGTCAGCTGAGAGAAATGGGTGAATTGCAGAGACAATGAATGCTTCTTGCTATGACCTGCTATGACAAGGTGGGCTTCTTGCTATGACTGGAGGTATGGTGGGCCTGCGGGAGCCTTTACCAAGGATTGCCAAGCAACAGATTTTGAGGGAATGTTCCCAAAGGGAGCTTCTTGTGAGTCAGGTGTTAGCCTGGGTTTTCCCAAAAGCCGACCTTGAGACAAAGGTTCAAGCTCCAGGGTGTTTATTTGGAGGTGATCTGAGGAGGAGGCAAAGGGAAGTTAGATGGGAAGAGAAAGCAACCAATCAACAGTGTGTATCTGCACAGGTTATCACGGCGCACCAGCGAGCCCCCGTCCCACTGGAGAACTCTTGGAGAACATGAAGAACAGGTGTTGGAGGAATGGTGGAGCCGGGGTTATTTATCCACCAACTTCCAGCAGTCATTGTTTGAAGACTGGCGGGAGGGAGGGGGGCTGAGAAAAGGTTAATTAGGTTCCCGTGACCAGAGAAAGCACCCACAAGCACTAGCAGACAAGAGCTTTAGCATGTGCACTGTCAGACTCCAAAGATATTCCATGGTGTGGCTGTACCACTGTACGTTGCCCAAACTCCTAAAGATAGAGAGTTTGTTATTTCCATCATTTTTCCTTTTGCATACAATGCAGCTATGAACCTTCTCAAAGGGTCTTTGTGAATGTACATGTACGATTTTCTCTAGGATCTGGACCTAGGATTGGAATTGGAATTTGATGGAGTAGGGGGTGTTGCCAACAACACTAGATATTTCCAAATGGCCTCCCAAGGTCATTGCATCAATTTTCACCATCTCTGGTAAAATACAAATAATCCTGTTGACTCATGTTCTCACCAATGTTTCCTAGAGTCAACCTTCCTAAATGTTGCCAACCTGTAAGTGTGGCTTTAATTTGCATTTCCATGGTTACTAATGAGGCTGATCATCATTTTATGTACTTATTGCTGATTATATACCTTAAAAAAAAAAGTCTAGTGTTGAGTGTTTAATTCCATAAGCCCATGTGTGTGGCTTAGGAAGGAGTGTGTGTGTGTGTGTGTGTGTGTGTGTGTGTGTGTTCTTCATTTTGAGGATTTTTGTCAAGCATAACTCTTTTTGACACCTTGGGAAGGTATTTGTAAGAGTTACATAGTGCTTTCTTTGGAGACTCCAATAATTATTTGAACTAATGTAATTCTCAAGTATGAATAATAACATCTTGAGAAAAAGAAAATCATATTCCCCAATAAAATCATCATAATTCCATTACATTTACTGATCTTTCATTGTATTATTAGCCTACATTTGTATTCGTTAACTCTCACAAGTACCCAGGGAATCTAAACAGTACCAGTTACATGGGGTTCTGTTGGATCCTGAGAAGCTATTTATCCTTTGAGCACAATTCCACATTTTTGAGTTATATTTAGCTAGCATTCCTTGTTGACCTGTTTTCTTGACTATGAGCACATCAGAAAGAGCCTTACCATTTTCTGCCATAAATAAATCCTTCATTAGTTTCTTAATCAGATTCAAGAGCAAGGTGAGAGAAAGTGGCTGAGCAGGAGGTACTGTAAAGACACTCTTCATCTCTCATCTTCACGCTGGGCTAAGCTTCAAGTCAGTGTTAGGGATGACACAGAAATTGAAAGCACAGTTGATGAGTAAGTAACCAGTGGTGAAAAGGGACCTGTGCGGTGAAGGGTTAACTCAGCAGGTCTTAGTTGTCCAAACCCTGCACATTAAAACTCTGGTCCTTAACTGGCTCCTGGGAGGTAACCTCTAAGCCCTTATGTGGCAGAATAGGCAAGCCCCCAAAATGGGGGTTAGAACAGGAGGGTTCTTGGCTTCACCCAAGACAGAATTCAAGGGCAAGCCAATGGTGTTAGACAGCAATCTTTTTTGAATGGTACTTCTCCTTGTGGAGCAAGGCACAACCTATGGGCCATTGACAACTGTATTTATACTCATGTTAACCCACTTTTAATTACCTGCAAATTAAGGGGTAGGTCAATGCAAGCTGAGGGGTGCTGGTAAGAGTGTCTTATGCCAATGAGCAATGAGGGCAGGTGGGGATCACTTTTTTCACCATCTGCCAGTTTCTGTGGGTTTGTTTTGTTTTGTTTTGTTTGGGTTTTTTTATTTTTGTCCTTATAGATCTTGTTTTGGTTAGCATGGTTGTGACCATAAAACAAGTCCTGCCAAGCTCCTACCTCACATGAAAAGCTGTACTAGCCTGTTCTCACACTGTTGTGAGGACATAATCAGGACTGGGTATTTTATAAAAGAAAGAGGTTTAATTGACTCACAATTCAGCATGGCTGGGGAGGCCTCAGGAAACTTACAATCATGGTGGAAGGGGAAGCCAATATGCCCTTCTTCACATGGCAACAGGAAGGAGAAGAATGAGAGCTAAGCAAAGGGGGAAGCCCCTTACAAAACCATCAGATCTGGTGAGAACTTACTCACTATCACAAGAACAGGATGAAGGAAACCACCCCCATAATTCAATTATCTCCACCTGGTCCTTCCCATGACACGTGGGGATTATGGGAACTACAATTCAAGATGAGATTTGAGTGGGGACACAGCCAAACTGTATCAAACGCCCTGCCTGGTAAGAGTGTCTTTGTTTACCTGGAGGCCTTGGGCCATGCCAGATAATCTAACAATGGGATTTATGGTGGGGGCTTTGGGTCACATGATATCAGCTCAACCTCTACAGGGGCTGGAGTCTAAGTTCAGCCACATGAGTGGCTGGCCATGCCTACATATCCAGCCTCCAATAAAAACTCTAGACACCAAGGCCTAGGTGAGTGTCCCTGGTTGGTAATTCTCCATTCTAGTGGTCATGCACAGTTACTAGGAGAAATAAGTGCTGTCTGCATCACTGCCCTGGGAAACGACAACTAGAAGCTTGCACCAGGTCTATCCTGGACCCCGTCCTATGGGACTCTTCTCCTTACTAATTTTAATCTGTATCCTTTTGCTATAATAAATTGTAGCTGTGAGTGTAACATCTTTTCTGAGTTCTGGGAGCCCTTCTCATGAATCATGGGACCGGAGGAGTGGTCTGGGGGATCCTCAAACTGCAGTACTAGGCAGTGCACACTTATAATGCATGAATGTAAGGTATGAATCCAATTAACTCTTTTCCTTCTGTATTAGGGTTCTCTAGAGGGACAGGACTAATAGGACAGATGTATATATGAAGGGGAGTTTATTAAGGAGAATTGACTCACTTGATCACATGGTGAGGTCCCACAATAGGCCGTCTGCAATCTGAGGAGCAAGGAAGCCAGTCCAAGTCCCAAAACCTCAAAAGTAGGGAAGCGAACAGTGCAGCCTTCAGTCTACAGCCGAAGGCCCGAGAGCCCCTGGCAAACCACTGGTGTAGGTCCAAGAGTCCAAAAGCTGAAGAACTTGAGTCCGATGTTCAAGGGCAAGAAGAGTCCAGCATGGGAGAAAGATGAAGGCCAGAAGACTCAGGCAGTCTAGTCCTTCCACATTCCTCTACCTGCTTTTATCCTAGCTGCACTGGCAGCTGATTAGATGGTGCCCACCCAGATTGAGGGTGGCTGTGCCTTTTCCAGTCCACTGACTCAAATGTTAATCTCCTTTGGCAACACCCTCACAGACACACCCAGGAACAATACTTTACATTCTTCAATCCAATCAACTTGACACTCAGCATTAACCATCACACCCTCCTATCTAACCTCTTTGTTCACCATTGCCTTCGTTCAGGTTACATTAACAGCAATACCATAGACTGAGTGGCTTAAACAACAAACATTTCTTTCTCACAGTTCTGGGGGCCAGAAGTCAGAGATCAACGTGCCAACATGGTCAGGTCCTGGCAAGGGTCTGCTTCCTGGTTTGAAGACGCAGCCTTCTTGCTGTGTCTTCACTCAGAGAGGGTGAAAAAGAGAGAAGAGAGAGAGAAGGGGAGAGAGAGAGAGAAGGGGAGAGAGAGAGAGAGACAGACAGAGAAAGAGAGAGAGAGAGAGAGAGACAGAGAGAAGGAGAGAGAGAGAGAGAGAGAACTCCCTGATGTCTCTTCTTATAAGGGCAGGAATCCCATTCATGAAGGCTCCACCCTTATGACTTAATTACTCCCATCACTGAGGACCATTACAGTGAGGATTAGGGCTTCAACAGGTGAATTAGGGGCAGACACAAACATTCAGTCCACAGCAACCACTAATCATTGATATCCCCCTTCCCGACCCAAATGTCAGCGCTCTAACTCCATAGGAGCTGGCCAAAATTTTCCAAATTTTAACACAGAGACCCTGGAGACAACAACTGTAAACAAACTGTCTTTGGCTTCCATCAACCAAGCCCACAACCCTTGGTTCCCATTTCAGAGCATTGTTTATTAGGTTCGTGCAAAAGTAATTGCAGTTTTTGCCATTACTTTTCTAAATGGCAAAAACCACAAATACTTTCTCACCAACTTAATAGAATTGACCAAGCCACAGAGACAGACTCCTTTAGAGACACATATTGTCAATTATTTTTCTTGCTGAACTATTTAAATCCTGTAATTAATTACATCTCTTCAGGTAATATATTTGTAGCCTGCGCCCCTGACACAAGGATCCACAACTTCAAACGTTTCAATAAGCAAATAACATAAAACAGCATTGATTATTTGTCCTGTTTTTCTCAGCTCAGGTTAGAAAGTTCATTTGACTTAGAAGAAAATAAAACGTATTTTAAGTGAGAGAAACAGATCACAGGACTATATATATCATGGAATCCTAATTTTGTAAAAACTGCACAGGTATTTGCATAGAAATAAACATAGAAGGAAAACCCTTAAGATGTTAACAGCAGGCTCTCAGTAGGGAGATGGAGTTGTGGGCAACTTTCCCTCTTTATCTTTTTGTTGAGTTTGTTGTTTGGTTTCTCTGCAAACAGCATGGATTAATTGAGAAAGTAAAGGATGAAATATTGATAGATGAATTCATTATCTCTACAGTTCTAGACTGTTTACTTACCTGCTCTTCTTTACATATTCTGAAAGAAATGTTCTGCAGCAGAAACCATAGGGTATTTGGTGCTAATAGGAGTCCATGGAGTTGCCATACAGATTCTGGAGCCAATACCAGAGAGGAGAGAGGTATGATGGGACCCAGAATCTCAGCTCCACGAGGCCAGGGATGGGTCTTTGTATCCCCAGGGCCTGGCTGGCACCTGCACATAGCTGTGCCCAGTCCCGTTTGTTGAATTGAATGAAGGGCTCGCTTTGTTTTCCTTACCAAACTTGGTTTGAGAATTGAGGGAAGAAAGAAGGAGGAGAAGGAGAAAAAGGAGGAAAGTGAGGAGGAGGAGGAGAAGGTGATGTAGTTTTTGGATCTGTGTCCCCGCCCAAATCTCATATTGAATTATAATCCCCAGCGTTGGAGGTGGGGCCTGGTCGGAGGTGATTGGATCATGGGCGATCGTTTATTCTCAAAAATGGTTTAGCACCATCCTCCTTGGTACTGTTCTTACTGCGATAATGTATTAGTCTGTTCTCATGCTACTAATAAAGACATACCCAAGACTGGGTAATTTATAAAGGAAAGAGGTTTCATGGGCTCACAATTCCACATGGCTGGGGAGGCCTCACAATCATGGCGGAAGGCAAAGGAGAAGCAAAGTCACGTCTTACATGGTGGCAGGCAAGAGAGTATGTGCAGGGGAAAGCCCCTTTATAAAACCATCAGATCTCATGAGACTTATTCACTGTCATGAGAACAGCACAGCAAATACCCACCCCCATGATTCAATTACCTCCCTCTGGGTCCCTCCCATGATACATGGGGATTATTACAATTCAAGGTGAGATTTGGGTGGGGACACAGAGCCAAACCATATCAGATAAAGAGTGAGTTATTATGAGATCTGGTTGAAAGTGTGCAGCACCTCCTGCTCTCAGTCTCCTGCTCCTGCCCTGGCCATGCGATGACATGCCTGCTCCACCTTCATCTTCTGAAGCTTCCTGAGGCCTCCCTAGAAGCTGAGCAGATGCCAGCACCATGCTTCCTGTACAGCCTACAGAAAAGGGAGCCAATTAAACCTCTTTTCTTTATAAATTACCCAGTCTTGGGTATTTCTTTATAGCAACACAATAATGGCCTTATACAAGAGGAGAATGAGGAGGATGAGTAAGAGGAGGAGGAGGAAAGTTAGGAGGAGGAGGAGAGGGAAGATGAAAAGGAGGAGGAGAAGGAGGAAGAGGAAAATTAGGAGGAGGAGGAGGAGACAAAGGAGAAGGAGGAGAAGGAGGAAAATTAGAAGGGGGAGAAGAGGGAAGATGAGGAGGAGGAGGAGAAGGAGGAAAATTAGGAGGGGGAGGAGAAGAGGGGAGATGAGGAGAAGAGGGGAGAAGGAGAAGAAGGAAAATTAGGAGGAGGAGGAGGAGAAAAAGGAGAAGGAGGAGAAGGAAAATTAGGAGGAGAAGGGGGAGAAGAGGGAAGATGAGGAGGAGGAGGAGAAGGAGGAAAATTAGGAGGAGAAGGGGGAGAAGAGGGAAGATGAGGAGAAGGAGGAGAAGGAGGAAAATTAGGAGGGGGAGGAGAAGAGGGGAGATGAGGAGAAGAGGGGAGATGAGGAGAAGAGGGGAGATGAGAAGAGGGGAGAAGGAGGAAAATTAGGAGGAGGAGGAGGAGGAAGGAGGAAGAATAGTCTAGATAAATGCATTGCATTGGCATTGAAGTCATTTGCAGCCATTGATTTTCAGAATAAAGTCTGGGGAAAGGCCCCCCAGGAAAGTTGATTCTGCAGTGTTTCTGTAAATATTCACTCTCCTGTCCCTTTCCGTCTCTCAAGATTCCCAGATCCTCTGCCACTAAGTTGAATTATCCTTGCATGTAGACCTGAAATCTGGTTGAGAAGCATCTTTACTCCCTGTTTGCCTAACTGAGAGGCTTCACGGAAACTGGATGCTATTTTGATCAAAGATCAAATTCCCCCATCCCTTTCCAGGATGGTTCACCTGACAGCAACCAAGACCCAGGTTCTAAGTTTACGTGGGAAAATTGCCTCATTGACTATATGAACCCAATGACTCACTTCAGAGAACAAAGACCTTTTAAGTGTACCTAAATCCTCAAAGCAAGGCAGAATGCACCACGTAATCTTTGGTGTGTGAATTTCCCAAACAGAGCTTCAATCACAGAAGCACAGTCTTCAAGAAACCCTGCATATTTCACACACACTCCAGCTTCTGGGAGGGTCCATTGCTCAGTGCTATCAGCCCAAGCCCTCGGTGTGAAATGAAAAACACACTCAACATGTGAAACTCAAGTCGGACCACATGCTAAAGCAGGGACAGTGAACTTTGTAAAGGGCCAGAGAGTAAATATCTTTGGTTCTGTGAGCCTCATGGGTTCTGTCCTAACCACTCAACTCTGCCTCTACAGTTCAAAGGCTGCCATAGACAGCACATGAACAAGTGAGCATGGCTGTGTTCCAATAAAACTTTATTCGCTAAAACAGGCTGTAGGCCATAGTTTGAGGATCCCTGTTCGAAGGAAAAGAGTAATCTGGAAGGTTTGTGAAATATTTATTTCAATTGTCTCAGAGTATGTGTGTGTACATGTATAATGTGTATTATATATGCCCTTTGACTACATATTATGTATATATATTTTGACTATATATTGTATATCTACACTTTGAATATATCTCATGTTTATACAATATTTAATACTTTAAATATATTTCGTGATTTATTATTTTTATTAAGTTAATATAAATTATTGTTTCTATTGTATATTGATATAACATATTTTGTTATAAACTATTTTAATTATTATATTATATGTATTAATTAAATAATAATATAATTCATATTGTATATGATATGTATGCAAAATGGGATTATATATGCACGTGTGTGTAATGTGTATATGTATATATAATAAACATACATATTTATATATAAGAAATCAAACATATAAGTAGCTTTGAATAGATTCAAATATATAACTATAATACATATTTATATAGAGAGAAGAAATCAAACATATAAGTAGCTTTAAACATACTTGTAGGTTTGATTCCTTCTCTACCAAGTCTAGGAACTGAATATACATGAAGCACAATGGTTATTTGTTTCCTGTGTCCACACAAAGTCTATGCTTTGGGCTCTGTAAGAGTAGCACAATGTTCCAGATGTCCATAAGGCACAAAGAGTGGAGATGCTGCCCTCATCCCTGAAACCTGGTCACCCCTTCCATCTCCGTGGTCCTGTGACCCATCCTTTCTAGACACTGGGGAGCAGTCCAAGGGTTTCAGTCACCCTCAAAATCAAACACTTCATCTTTTGCAGGTCTTTATGCCTCCCAGGTGGGCAGAAATTATTTTTCTTTTTTACTCAACAAATACATATATATAGACACAACAAATATGTGTATAATATATATTTTATATATTTTATACATATATTATTATATAATATATATTATATATATTATAATTATATATAATATATATTATATATATTATAATATATATAATATATATTATATATATTATAATATATATAATATATATTATATATATTATAATTTATATAATATATATTATATATATTATATTATATAATATATATTATAATATATATTATATATATTATATTATATAATATATAATAATAATATATATTATATATTATTATATAATAAAATATAGATTATATCTTATATAAGATATATACTTATATCTTATATAAGATATATACATATATCTTATATGATATATATTATCTATTATGTAAAAAATATATATTATATAATATATAATATAAAATACATATATTATATATAATAAAAAATATATATTATATAAAATATATATTATATAAAATATATATATTATATAAAATATATATTTGTATATATATATTTTTTGAGATGGAATCTTGCTCTGACACCAGGCTGCAGTGCAGTGGTGCAATCTCGGCTCACTGCAACCTCTGCCTCCTGGGTTCAAGCGATTTTCCTGCCTTAGTCTCCCCAGTAGCTGGGACACTGGTGGGCACCACCACACCCAGCTAATTTTTGTATTTTAGTAGAGACGGGGTTTCACCATGTTGGCCAGGATGGTCTCCATCTCTTGACCTCATGATCCACCCGCCTCGGCCTCCCAAAGTGCTGGGGTGACAGGCGTGAACCACCACACGAATATAAATTTTTTAATTTCTACTTTATTTTACATATGGGGGTACATGTGCAGACTTGTTACGTGGGAATAAATATTGCGTGATGCTGAGGTTTGGAGTACGGATCCCATCACCCAGGTGGAGTGGAGTGTTGAAAGGTATTTCATCAGCCACTTCCCTCCATCCCTGCCTAATAGTCTCTAGTGTCTATTGTTCCCATATATTTTTCTTTATTTGAGACGGAGTCTCACTCTGTCGCCCAGGCTGTAGTGCAGTGGCATGATCTCGGCTCACTGCAACCTCCCCCTCCAGGGGTTCAAGCGATTCTCCTGCCTCAGCCTCCTGAGTAGCTGGGATTACAGGCATGCATCGCCACATCCGACAAATTTTTGTATTTTTAGTAGAGACGGGGTTTCACCATATTGGCCAGGCTGGTCTTGAACTCCTGATCTCAAGTGATCCAACTGCCTCAGTCTCCCAAATTGCTGGGATTATAGGCATGAGCCACCGTGCCCAGCCTATTGTTCCCAAATTTATGGCCTTGGGCACTGAATGCTTAGTTTCCACCTATAAGTGAGAAAATGTGGTATGCAGGAATTACTAACAAAGGAAAATAGAGCTACAAAAGCATAGCTATCATAGATCTGAACTCACTCTCCTGCCTATCAAAGTTGACTCCAAATCGACAGTTTCTTTTAACTCCACTTTTTACTTTACTTTTTTTACTCATTTTCATTCCAAACAACTGTTTTTCTAATGGCCAGATAGGCTGCATCTTAGAGAAAAAGAAATCAAACATGTTCACTTTTATTGCCCAAGAAACACCTTGGTCATAGCAGCTGCCTTACTATTTATAAAATATATGTGATTTTTATTCTACCCAAGTTGAAATTTATGTGCATTTCTATTATTGTCCAAAAGTCACCCCCCCAAAAAAAAAAGAATCACTTGGAAACTCTTTTAGTGGCAAATAGGGAACAAAAATGGAACAGAGACAAATGAGTGTGCAAGGCCACCTGCTGGAAAAAGGCTGGTGTATTAGTGGGTTTTCACATTGCTATAAAGAAATACCTGAGGCCGGGCACGGTGGCTCACGCCTGTAATCCCAGCACTTTGGGAGGAGGCCGAGGCAGGCAGATCACCAGAGGTCAGGAGTTCGAGACCAGCCTGGCCAACATGGTGAAACCCCGTCTCTACTAAAAATGCAAAAAAATTAGCCGAGCGTGGTGGTGCATGCCTGTAGTCCCAGCTAGTCAGGAGGCTGAGGCAGGAGAATCACTTGAACCCAGGAGGCAGAGGTTGCAGTGAGCCAAGATCGTGCCACTGCATTCCAGCCTGAGCAACAGAACGAGACTCTGTCTCAAAAAAAAAAAAAAAAAAAAAAGCGAGACAGAGAGAAGAAAAAAGAAAGAAAAAGAAAAAAAGAAAAGAAAAGAAGTACCTGAGACTGGAAAATTTATAAAGGAAAGAGATTTAGTTGGCTTACAGTTCTGCAGGCTGGGCAGGAAGCATAGTGGCTTCTCTTTTTGGGGAGGCTTTGGGAAGCTTCCAATCGTGGCAGAAGGCTAAGGCGAAGCCGGCGTCGTACATAGAAGGAGCGGCAGCAAGAGAAAGGGAGGGGAGAGGTGTCATGCGCCTTTAAACAACCCAATCTCAGGAGAACTCACTCACTTTTACAAGAACAGCACCGAGAGGATGGTGCTAAATCACTCAAGGGAAATCTTCCCCGGTGATCCAATCACCTCCACTGGGCCCACCTCCAACATGGGGGATTAGAGTTCCACATGAGATTTGGGCAAGACACAGATCCAAACCATACCAGCCAGTATGCAAAGTTCCCAGGCACTTGGCATCCAATAAGAGGATGTTTCACACAGGAGCAAGGCAATAACCCCATTCAAGTGATTCCTGCCCCCTCCGATTCCTTTATAGTGCAAGGCAGCAGAGAACAGGGTCTTCTTCCAGGTCAATGCCAATGTGCATTCAGCCGTGCCTGATCCCCCATGCCTTTCTGCGGGGTTCCAGGTACCACTGCTGCACAATAAGCCACCCCAAAACTCGGAAACGTGAAGCAATTTTTTTTTTTTTTTGAGACGGAGTTTCACTCTTGTTGCCCAGGTTGGAGTGCAATGGCACAATCTTGGCTCATCACAACCTCCGCCTCCCGGGTTCAAGTGATTCTCCTGCCTCAGCCTCCGGAGTAGCTGGAATTACAGGCATGCACCACCACGCCCGGCTAATTTTGTATTTTTAGAAGAGACAGGATTTCTCCATGTTGGTCAGGCTGGTCTCCAACTCCCAACCTCAGGTGATCTGCCTACCTTGGCCTCCCAAAGTGCTGGTATTACAGGCGTGAGCCACTGCGCCCAGCTGAACCAATTGTTTTATTATGCTCACATGTTCTGTGTGTCAGGAATTCAGACACAGATCTTCAGGGACAGCTTGTCTCGGCTCCTCCACCACATCTGGAGCCTCTGCTGGAAAGACTTGAAAGCTAGGGGTGGCTCTTTTGAGCCCTGGGCCCTGAAAACATCTAGAACAGCACCATCCAATGCAGCAGCCACTGGCCACATGTGGCCGTTGAGCACTTGAAATGTGGCTAGTGCTAATGAAGAACTGAATTTGAAACTATATTTTAACTTCAATTAATTTAAGTTCAAATAGCCATACATGGCCAATGGCTATCATATTGGATCGTGTAGATCTGGAGTCAATCTTGATTTTGTATCTGGAAGTTGGTGCTAGCTGCTGACCTGGACCTCAGCTGGGCTGGTGGCTGGAGCACCTACATGTGATCTCTCCCTGTAGTCTCTTTGCATGGGCTAGTTGGGCTTCCTCATAGCATGGCAGCTGGGTTCCAAGAGTAAGCATCCCCTGAGACTCAAGGAGAAGCTGTATCACCTTTTTTTTTTTTTTTTGAGACAGTCTCACTCTGTCGCCCAGGCTGGAATGCAGTGGCGTGATCTTGGCTCACTGCAAGCTCCGCCTCCCGGGTTCGTGCCGTTCTCCTGCCTCAGCCTCCCGAGTAGCTGGGACTACAGGCGCCCGCCACCATGCCCAGCTAATTTTTTCTGTATTTTTAGTAGAGACGGGGTTTCACCACGTTAGCCAGGATGGTCTCGATCTCCTGACCTCGTTCGTGATCTGCCCGCCTCGGCCTCCCAAAGTGCTGGGATTGCAGGTGTGAGCCACAGTGCCTGGCCTGTATCACCTTTTATAACCCCAACTTTGGGAGTCCTATAGTGTCATTTATGCCAGGGTCACAAGCCTACGAAGGTTCGAGTTGAGGGAACATAGATCCTATCACTTGATGGAGGACTCTCTACATCAAATTGTAAGAAGAGCAAGTAGACTGGAAGGTGTTGCTGTGGCAAGAGGACAGTTCATATTAAAATCAGTTATTGGCCAGGCATGGTGGCTCATGTCTGTAATCCTAGCACTTTGGGAGGCTGAAGTGGGAGGATTGCTTGAAGCCAGGAGTTCAGGACCATCCTAGGCTACATAATAAGACCTTGTCTCTACAATAAAAATTTAAAAATAAAACATTAGCCAGGCGTGGTAGCACATGCCTGCAGTCCTAGCTACTCAAGAAGCTGTGGTGGGATGATCACTTCAGCGCAAGAGCTCAAGGCTGCAGTGAATTATTATCATACCAGTGCACTCCAGTCTGGACAACAGAGCAAGACCCCATCTCTAAAATAAATTAATAAATAAAATAACACAATCAGTTCTATATTCCTGTGCAATAAACCACCCAAAACCTGGCAACTTAGCAACAATTATTGATTTTGCTCACAATCTGCAGGTTTCAAAGAAGACAGCCCACCTCTGCTCCAAACAGCATCACCTAGGGCAGTTTATCCTGGTATTGAAGAATCTACTTTCAAGATAGCGCACTCACATGTCTGGCAGGTCGGTGCTGGCTGTTGCCCAGGAGCTCAGCTGGGGCTGTGGTTCAGGGCTCTGCATTTCTCTCCATGTGGGCCAGTCTGTGGGCTGCTTGGGCTTCCTCACAGCATGGTGGCTGTGTTCCACAGGTGAGCTTCCAAGGCAAGGTATTTTTATGACCCCACCTTGAAAGTCACATTGTATCATTTATATTGTACTCTATTGGTGGAGACAGTACCAGGGGCTGCCCAGGTCCTAGCGCAGGAGACGAACATTCATCCACTAGGTCAGAAGGGCGAAAATAACGCACTGCAAGGGAGGTACGTGGGGTGGGAGGCGTGGAGACTATCTTCAGAAAATGCAGTATACTATAACCAAGTCCAAACTCACTCTGCTCACTGTATAATAGCCAGTAAGTTGAGAGACAAGGAGTTGGAAAGCAAGGAAAGTGACTTTATTTGGAGAGCCAGCAAAGCAAGAAGACAGACCAGTTTCCTAAGAAACCATCTTAAGTCAGTAAAACGTTCAGCCTCCTTTTATGTTAAGAGGAGGGGAAAAGGAAGGAATTGGGATCAAGAGGTGACCGATGACTGCAGATATCCGTATGCCAACGAGGATCTGTAAAGGCCAGGAACTTCTCTGTCCTTGATCAGCTCACAATGCTCCTGCAAATCTTTAACAAAACCTAGTTAGCTGCTTATACACTTTTCCTTTCATCCCAGAGTTAGTTTCAAAAGCTACTGATTGCTGTTTTTGCATTATTATCTCAGTGCTCTAAAATTATCCCAGCCTACGTGCAGGGTAAAGGATCCTTAAACAAAAATGGGGTGAGTTATACTGGTTCTTCTTCTGTTTAACTGTTACAGTACTACACATGGGAAGGTGAGAGTCTGGGGTACCCTGTTGGTCCTGTGCCTAGAAGGCTTTTTGAGCCTGCAATGCATATTAATGGTCTTTGTCTTTCCCAACACATATTTCCCAACACACATTCACCTCTATTGTTTTGAGACAGAGTCTCACTCTGTCACCAGGCTGGAGTGCAGTGGCATGATCTCGGTTCACTACAACTTCTGCCTCCTGGGTTCAAGCAATTCTTCTGCCTCAGCCTCCCGAGTAGCTGGGACTACAGGTGCCCACCACCACACCCAGCTAATGTTTGTGTTTTTAGTAAAGATGGGGTTTCACCATGTTGGCCAGGATGGTCTCGATCTCTTGACCTCGTGATCCTCCCACCTCGGCCTCCCAAAGTGCTGGGATTACAGGCATGAGCCACCACACCCGGCCACATTCACCTCTATTCTTACTGTTCTCTTTGAGCCCACTTTTCGTCAGCATCCTGGAAGCTATGGTCCCAGTTTACCCTTGCATCCTCTATTTCTGATCCTGTGTCTAGTATTAGCTAACTCTTCATTTTCCCTGTGGAATACAAGCATATCCATTTTTTATTTTTTTGAGACAGGGTCTCGCTCTGCCACCCAGGCTGGAGTGTAGTGTCACGATTATAGCTCACTGCGGCCTCAACCTCATGGGCTCAATCAATCCTCCTGACTCAGCCTCTCAAGTAGTGGGATGACAAGCATATACCACCATGCCCAGCTAATTTTTTTATTTTTAGTAGAGACTGAGTTTCACCACGTTGCCCAAGCTGGTCTCAAACTCCTGGGCTCAAGCGATCCTCCCACCTTGGCCTCCCAAAGTGCTAGGATGACAAGTGTAAGTCACCACACCTGGCCCATATCCATCTCTTAAATAGAAGAGTTTGGTCTATTTGAGCTGCTGCCAGAAATGTAAATCAAAGAGGGAAACTGGTAAAGATTTTCATATACAGGTCCCGGGGGAAAAAAGAGAGTGACAGTTGGCATCAATTAAAAACTGATTGTGGGGTTTTAATTACTGTTATTTCTAACCACTGCTCATTGCCTTGTCTGGCCAGGAACCTGTGTTGGCATTTAAGAAGTCCTTCTGGGCCAGGCGCAGTGGCTCAGGCCTGTAATCCCAGCACTTGGGGAGGCTGAGGCGGGTGGATCACGAGGTCAGCAGATCGAGACCATCCTGGCTAACATGGTGAAACCCCGTCTCTACTAAAAATACAATTAGCCAGGCGTGGTGGTGCACACCTGTAGTCCCAGCTACTCGGGAGGCTGAGGCAGGAGAATCACTTGAATCCAGGAGGCGGAGGTTGCAGTCAGCCGAGATAGTGCCACTGCACTCTAGCCTGGGCGACAGAGCGAGACTCCGTCTCAAAAAAAAAAAAAGAAAGAAAGAAATCCTTCTGTTGCAGGGGCAGATGAGCTCAAAAATGGGGGCTCCACTCAGGAAGATAGTTGGCTTCACCCAAGAAGGAATTCAAGGGTGAGCCAGTGCTAGAAGAAAATAGCTTTATTGGCCAGGCAAGGTGGTTCATGCCTATAGTCCCAGCACTTTGGGAGGCCAAGGTGGGAAGATCACTCGAGCCCCAGAGTTCAAAACCAGCCTGGGCAACATGGAGAAACCCCATCTCTACAAAAAAAAAAAAAAAAAATAGAAAAATTAGCTGGGCATGGTGGTGCATGCCTGTAGTCCCAGCCACTAGGGAGGCTAAGGTAGGAGGATCATCTGAGCCTGGAGAGGTCGAGGCTGCAGTGAGCCATGATCATGCCACTACATTCCAGCCTGGGTGACAGAGTGAGACCCTGTCTCAAAAAAGAAAGAAAGAAAAGAAAACAGCTGGTTTGAGGCAGCAGTGTACAGGCCAGTGACTGTTTCTGCACAGTAGGGTTACCCCCATAGGCAGTGTGTGGAGAGCAGCAGCCCCGAGGCAGTTCTGCCATCATATTTATTCTCATGTTTAATTACATACAAATTAAGGGGTTCTTCAGAAATTTCTAGAAAAAGGGCGGTAACTTCCAGGTGTTGCTATGGCAATGGAGAACTGTCATGGCACCAGTGGGAGTGTCTTGTGAGACGAAAGAGGCGCTTTCCTCTCTTCCCTGTTTCTGCCAGTCTTCAGTGTGGTCCGGAGTCAAGTCAAGCCCCGTCTCCTACCTCATTTCCATGGGTGCACTGATTCTTCTGACATACTAACTGCTTTTAGGGAGAACTTACATTTTAGGGAGGGTAGAGGGACAATAGACACATATGCAATTAAGTGCATAGGCTCATTTTAAATTGGGATATATGCTTTAAGGAAAATAAAAGTGCATAATAGGGCCAGGCACTGGGCTCATGTCTGTAATCCCAGCACTTTGGGATGCTGATACAGGAGAATTGCTTGAGGCCAGGAGTTCAAGACTAGCCTGGGCAACACAGTGAGACCCCACCTCTACAAAAAAAAAAAAATTAAAATTAGCCAGGCATAATGGCACACACCTGCAGTCCCAGGTACTCAGGAGGCTGAGATGGGAGGCTCGCTTGAGCCAGGAAGGTTGAGACTATAGTAAGTTGTGATTGCACGACTGCACTCCAGCCTGGGCAACAGAGTGAGACCCTGTCTCAAAAAAAAAAAAAAAATTTAAGTACATAATGAGGTCGAAAGTAATGTCAGAAATGTGAATAACTGTAGCCAAAATCTAAAATAATATTTGAGAAAAGCTATACTGAGCTGTACTGAGCACCGAGGATTTTCTTCAAAAATCAAGTTACCTTCTAATTGAAAGTGAGAGCGTGACTTGTCTTGCCGCCTGAAGGGTGCCCCTCATGCACTACTCGAAATATTCCTTTCATTTAAACAAAGTTTTTGAGGCCCTTTGTACTCTGCATGTGAACACCAAGGGCAGCCTGATTTAGGAATGAGTTTCATTCTCATTATTCATTAAAGAACATTTGTTTCCTCTCCACCGGGGAGCTCTGCCGACTGTGCAGGCATCTTTTTGACGATTTTCTTTCAATTCTGCTTATTGATCCAATGAAGAATCCCAGTACTTCTCTGGGAGTTGGTTTACATTCTACATTTTAAGACGAGGAGCCAGGAATGTAAGTACAACTGTAAAAAGGAAAAGAAGGCACGATGGAAACAGAGGCTGTGCAGGAGCGTCCGTCTGCCTCGCCGTTATCTCTGGGGCAAGGTGCATTGGCTCCCTGGGGTTCTATGACCACAATAACTGACTTTCATAAAACCCGTGGCAAAGTGAATGATAGAATCTCAAAGCTGTAAATGGCCTAATAAATCATCACATTCAAACGTCCACGCGCTGCAGATATCTCTACCGTAATGTTCCTGATAAACACGCATCCGGTTTCTGTTGGGCCAGGTCCAACGTTGCTAAGACTCCACTATGGCGGCTCCACTTGCCCGGAGCTTTTCCTCTTAAGCGTCACCCGCGGATCCTGATATTGCTTCTGGACTGTCTGCCAGCGCCCCTCCTGCCAGATCCTTCAAGCTGACTCTAATCAGGCCTTTATAGCCACCGTTCCAACTCAATCACCCTTTGTCAATTTCACCAGGCCTTCCATGCTGTCAAACCCAATGCTCAGTCTTCAGCTCTCATCTGATTTGTTCTAGTGGCAGCGTTCCACACAGCCGATCGCTTCCGTCTCATTGAGTCATTTTCTTCATTTGGCTTCCAGGACACCAAAGCCTCTCTGTTTTCCTGCCGCCTCCCCAGCTGTGCCTTCTCCATCCCCTTTGCTTCTTCCTCCTCCCCTTCTCCTCACTTTCTAACTCCGGAGGCCATAATCTCCTCTCTACCTACGCCCCGTCCCTTGGCGACCTCATCCAGACTTGTAGCTTCAAGTCCCATCTACGTGCTGATGGTGCTACAAGTATGTCTCCAGCCCAGTCCTCTCCCAGCAATCTCAGACACAGAATCCAGCTTCCTCCACTTCACTGATGTCCTAACTGTCCTTCCAGCTGGCACCTGCCCTTTAGGGTCGGTTCCAACAGAGTCCTCCATGAAGATGGAGTCAACATTTTACAAGACGCTCGTTGACCTCAGTCATCTCTTACCACTTGTGCTCTGGTTGGTCTTGGAACACTCTGGGCCATCTCAAGGCCTTTGCTCAAGCTTCTCTGTGATTGACTACTTGTCTGAATATATCCACAGGGCCCCTCACTCACCTTTCTGAGCTCAGAGTCTTTACGTTTCAATAACTAGACACGCAATTTTTTTCTTTTGTAATCTCCCGGACTATCTTGAGATTCAGTTTTGTTCTGAGTTTTCTTTTCCTTCCAGATGGAAAATCTCTCTCTTGCTGGACACCATAGGGTAGGGAAAGAAAAAGAAATGGAGGCATGAACTTGAAGATGTGGGGTGTGATCCCCATGCTGGCATGCTCTGGCTGTGTGTGTGTGTGTGTGTGTGTGTGTGTGTGTGTGTGTGTGCTCCTGGGAAAGTTATTATCTTTGGACAATGTTCTCTTTGTGTGTAACATGAAGATAATATCCACCTGAAGGTTTTCATGCAGATTACAGGAGAAAATACATGCGAATTTCCCTGGATGGGTTGGGGGTCACCGCTATACACGAATTCTTGTTCCTTAAGTCTTCTCTTTTTGCTAAAAAAAAAAAACAAAACAAAATACCCTTGTTCCATGTTGATCTTGTTCTTGTGATGGATGACTTGGGGTGTCAACTAGCTGAATTAAAGGATACCCAGTTAGCTGGTAAAGCACTCTGTACTCCCAATCATGGCATGAATTCTTCTGAGTGCTTCTCCAGGCACAGAGACCCTCCCTCTTCTCCTGAAAGCGAAGCCTGGGCAGTTTGGCATTTGATTGGAATGATTGGGCTGCCCCAGGTGTGTCTGCGACGGTTTCTGGAGGCAATTGGCCTGTGAATGGGTGGACTGAGTGGGGAAGATCTGCCCTCAGTGTGGGCAGGCACCATCTAATCCACTGGGGGCCCACATGTAAGGGCAAATTATTGCTCTCTCTTCCAGAGCTGGGAGATCCTCTTCTCTGGTCCAGAGGCATCAGAACTCCAAGCTTTGACTCTCTGACTTTTAGACTCCACGACATGGACAAACAGCCCCTGGGCTCTTAGACCTTTGGCCTTGAACTGAGCATTACACCATCACCTTCTTGTCTCTGAGGATGTGGACTTGGGCTGAGTCACACCACCAGCATCCCAGGGGCTCCAGATTGCAAAGAGCCTGTCATGGGACTTGCCAGCCTCCATAATTGAGGGAGCCAATTATCCTAATGCATCTCCTTCCATGTCTCTCCCTCTATATCTGATTGGTTCTGTCTCCCTGGAAAATCCCAACTAAAACAGACAACATTTTGATATTTTGCCCCAAAGAATGTCGATAACTCTTGGTCTTTTTGCTCCTGACTTAGCTTTCAAAATCCATCATGTTTAGCATTTGTGCACCTCCACCGATTCCGACCCTCGGTCATCTTGACACCATTCTTACAGGCTCAAGCCTATGTTTGATACATACTCCCAGGTACATGATGTTCTTTTCATATCCTCTGTATCTCTTAACCCATCCAAATTAATGAGCATTCTCCCATGTACCAGTGGCCCATCACACAGATTCCATTAGATATTTTCCCATTATCATTTCATTAGGCCCCTTTATAATTGCACAGCCAGAGCTTTGTCATTCACAACTCCCCATGCCAACTGAGCTGCACTTTCATAGACTGTCACTCATAATGAAATTCTAGCAATATATGGTCTCCAAACTGTAAAAGGAAACTTTTCCAAAATCTAGGATATACCTGAGGTGGTGTGCAGCATCCACAGTTTCTTGCTTACATCAGCTCCAAATTCCCCAGTCATGTTCTATAGTTCCTGCAATTTCATGGCATAAATTTGCAATTATTCAAAACATTTCACCCAAAGGAAAAAACTAATCCTGATAAATTCACTGGAAAATATTTCCAGACTTACAAAAACAACCAATAACACCTCCACCACCACCAAAAAAAATTACAACATTTACATGAATGACTTTAAAATCTGAAGAATATATTATGGGACTCATTTTATGAGACAGTGTTTTTCCATTTTTAATGTTGAGTGTGTATTAGGTTTCAGGTACTCTTCTAAACCTTTTAGTTATTATCTAATTTGATTATTTCAGAAACCATAGGAGTTAGACACTCTTTAAAATATTTTTTATTTTAAAATAATTATAGATTCACAAGATGTTGTAAAGGGAGTGCAGAGAGGTCTCACGAAAACGTCAACCAGTTTCCACCAATGGTGACATCTTCTTTTTTTTTTTTTCTTTTTCTTCTTCTTTTTTTTTTTTTTTTTTTTTTTTTTTGTGTGAGATGGAGTCTCACTCTGTCACCCAGGCTGGAGTGCAGTGGTGTGATCTCAGCTCACTGCAACCTCCGCCTCCCAGGTTCAAGCAATTCTCCTGCCTCAGCCTCCTGAGTAGCTGGGATTACAGGTGCCCGCCACCACACCCAGCTAATTTGTTTTATTGTATTTTTAGTAGAGACAGGGTTTCACCATGTTGGCCAGGCTGGTCGCAAACTTCTGACCTCATGATCCGTCCGCCTCAGCCTCCCAAAGTGCTGAGATTACAAGCGTGAGCCACAGCACCCACCCAGTGACATCTTAATTATAGCAGAATACAGAAAAACAGGAGTTGACATTGGTACAACATGTGCAAGCACTTCCATGTCATCTTATCACATGTAGGTTTGTATAATCACCACTATAATCGAGACACAGAACGGATCTATCCTGACAAAGATCTGCGTCATTCCACCCCTTTCTAGCCACTCCTCAGCCTCCATCATCCCTAATGCCAGCAACCACTAATTTATTCTCCATCTTTATGATTTTGGCATTTTGAGAATATTATAGAAATGGAATTATACAGGATGTGACCTTTTGGGACTGGCTTTTTCACTCATCATAATGCCCATGAGATCCAGCCAAGTTGTTGCCTGTGTCAATAGTTTATTTCTGGCCAGGTGCAGTGACTCACACCTGTAATCCCAACACTTTGGGAGGCCGAGGCAGGTTGATCACCTGAGGTCAGGAGTTTGAGACCAGCCTGGCCAACATGGTAAAACCTTGTCTCTACCAAAAATACAAAAATTAGCTGGTCATGATGCTGGGTGCCTGTAGTCCCAGCTACTCGGGAGGCTGAGTCAGGAGAATTGCTTGAACCCAGAAGGTGGAGGTTGCAGTAAGCTGAGATTGTGCCATTGCACTCCAGCCTGGGCAACAAGAGTGAAACTCTGTCTCAAAAAGAAAAAAAAAAGTTTATTTCTTTTAGTAGGGAGCAGTATTCCATGGGATGGATGCACCACAAAACACCAATTAACCATTCACCTATTGAGGGACATTTTGGTTGCTTCTAGTTTGGGGCTTGATATATTTTAGATATTTGTCCCCACCAAATCTGATGTTGAATTCTAATCCCCAATGCTGGAGGTGGGGCCTGGTGGGAGGGTACTGGATCATGGGGGCGGATCCCTCATGGTTTGGTGCTATATTTGTGATAGTGAATTCTCACTAGATCTGGTCATTGAAAAGTGTATGGCACCTTTCCCCAGTACTCTCTCTCTCTCTTGCTCTGGCCGTGTGACGTGCGTACTCTCCCTTCACTGCCCGCCATGATTGGAAGCTTCCTGAGGCCTTCCCAGAAGCTGAGCAGATGCCAGCACCAAGCTTCCTATACAGGCTGCAGAAACATGAGCCAATTAAACCTCTTTTCTTTATAAATTACCCAGTCTCAGGTTTTTCTTAAAACAACACAAGAATGGCTTAATACAGGACTATTACAAATAATACTGCTATGAACATTTGATTACAAGCTTCAAGTAGACACAACTTTTCATTTTTCTGGGATAAATGCCCAGGAGTACAATTGCTGAACCATATACTAAGCATATGTTTAGTGTGCCAATTTTCCAGAGTGCCTGTATCATTTTACAGGTACCACAAAGCAACATACGAGAGTTCCAGTTGCTCCATGTCCTCACCATCACTTGGTGTTGTCAGTTTTTTAAATTTAGCTCTTCAGATAATTGTGTACTGATATCTCATTATGACCACAGATTTGCATCTCCCTAACAGCTGGTGACATTGAGCATCTTTTCATGTGCTTATTTGCCACCCATATAAACCCTTTGGTGAGATGTTTGTTCATATCTTTGGTTCATTTTCTAAATGGATTGTTTAATTTGTTTTGCTGTTGAGTTTTGAGAGTCCTATAATATTTGCAGATATGAGTCTTTTTCCTGATATATGGTTTGTACATATTTTCTTCTAGCTCGTAACTTGTCTTTTCATCCTCCTCACATGGTCTTTCATAGAACAAATGTTCTTAATTTTAATGAAATTCAGTTCGTGATATTTTTCTTTTATAGATCGTGCCTCTGGTGCCATGTCTAAGAACTCATCATCAAGCTCAAGTTTCTGAAGACTTTTTCCTGTGTTTCCTTTTCAGCATTTTATAGTTTTATATTTACATTTAAGTTCATTATCCATTTGGGGTTAATTTTTGTGTAAGGTCCAATGTTTAGGTTAAGATTCGCTTTTTGAAAAGACTGTTTTTCTCCCCATTGAGTTGCTTGTTCACTGTTATAAAAATAAAATCAAATAAGAGTTTTGTTTGTTTCTGACGAGAAATTCACTGACATTCAAAAAACTTTTTCCCCTACGATAAGGTGTCATTTCTCTCTGGCTTCTTTCAAGAGCTTTTCTTTTCTTTTGTTTTCACAAGTTTGACTATGATGTGTCTTTGGATTTATCCTGCCTAAGATCTATTCAGCCTCTTGAATCTGTACACATGTGCTTTTTTAGCAAATGTGGGGATTTTTCAGCCATTATGCCTTCAAATAATTTCTCAGCTGCACTCTCTCTTCCACCTCTCCTTCTGGTAATCCAAGGATTTGAATATTATTTCCTTGGCTATAGCCCCACAGATCCCTGGAGTGCTGCCCTTTCTCATTTTTTTAAGTTTATTTTCTCTGTTTGCAGAGTAGTTCATTTCTACTGTTTTATCTTAAAGTTCACTGATTCTTCCCTCTGTCTTCTTTATTCTGCTCTTGAGCCCATCCATTGAGTTTTTTTCTTTTAATTATTATATTTTTCTTTACATTATCCATTTCTCTGCTGAGACGCCCTCCCCTTTTATCTTTTGGCTTGAGCATGTTTATGATTTCTCACTGAAGCATTTTTATGATGCCTGCTTTTCAATCCTGGTGAGATCATTCTGACATCTATTTTATCTCAGCATTGGTGTCTTTTGGTTGCTTTTTCTCATTCAAGCTGAGATATTCCTGGTTCTTGGCATGACAAGTGATTTATCTTGAAACCTGGACATTCTGAGTATTGTATCAGGTGACTGTAGCTCTTACTTAAATCTTATGTTTGGGCAGGCCTCCTCTGACACAGCTCTGGTGGGTGAAGGGGGCAGCACTCTCTTACCACCAGGTGGGAGTGGAAGTCCCGTCCCTGCCTCAGCTGTCATTGGCACTACGTGGGGAGGGACTTCTCACTACTGCTGGGCAGGGTGGGAGTTCAGGATCACCCCTGGGCTCTACTGATACTGTCACTGGGAAGTGCAGGAATCCTCAGTTCTTGCCTAATGTGGGAGAAAGAATTCAGCCAAGAGACAATTCGTAATCCAAGCAAAGGTCTTGCTTTTGTTTTTGTTTTGAGACAGAGTCTCGCTCAATTGCCCAGGCTGGAGTGCAGTGGTGTGATCTCATCTCACCGCAGCCTCCACCTCCCAGGTTGAAGTGATTCTCCTGCCTCAGCCTCCCGAGTAGCTGGGATTACAGGCATGCACCACCATGCCTGGCTAAGTTTTGTATTTTTGGTAGAGACAGGGTTTCACCATGTTGGCCAGGTTGGTATTGAACTCCTGACCTCAAGTGATCCGCCCACCTTGGCCTCCCATTATGCTGGGATTATAGGCGTAAGCACTGTACCCAACCTCAAAAGGTTTATTAAGGAGATACAAGCACACCCCAAGAGGGAAGCAGGCTGACCCGTCTGGAAAACAGCTCCAGGCTGGTCAGGCTGGAAACATAGCAGTAGCAGCATTTACTTAAAGGGATGGTGCACTCTGAAAGAGATGAGACAGAGCGGGCTGCTGGGGGACTGTCTTTAGAGAATCTTACATGATTTTTCCTACAGGGGCAGGAGGGGGCGTCACTTGCAATCATGTTTTGGGTAGTCACCTTGGGTTTGCACACTCTGTGGTTGTGCATGCTGGTCCACACATCACATGTCTCATATGCATGCAAAGTCTCCACCCAAGGATGAGCTTTTTATTATCATAATGAGCAACAGGATATCCTCGGGCAAGGTTTTGGAGGAGTGGGCATGCTCATCAGCACGGGAAGTCCCTACCGTGGTTATCTCTGACTAGGGCTCGATAAACCCCGTCGGAGCCGGAAGAGCCCAACCACAAGGCCGGAAGTAGCCAGTGCAGCCTTCATCTTTTTCTCTGACTGTCAAAGGGCAGCATCTCCAAGACGTTTTTTCCCAGGAGCTCCTTTGCCTGTCTATTTCCGACCCTTTACCTCCTCTAACAACACCTTTCTAGCTGAGAGGGGCAAAGGTTCACCATGACTGTTCCCTGTGTGGCCACCATGGACAAGCAGAGGGATGACCTCATTACCGCTGGGCAGTAGTGAAGGCTCTGACTCCTAATAGGCCTCCTCTGACACCAGCCGATTACCAAGCAATTGATGTGCTTGCTGCCCAATGTGCACAGAGGCCAATACCATGGCACCAGCTTTTGAGAAGAGAAAAGCTGGCCGGGCACAGTGGCTCACGCCTGTAATCCCAGCACTTTGGGAGGCCGAAGCGGTGGATCACCTGAGGTCAGGAGTTTGAGACCAGCCTGGCCAACCTGGTGAAACCCCGTCTCTACTAAAAATACAAAATTAGCTGGGCGTGGTGGTGGGCACCTGTAATCCTAGCTACTCAGGAGACTTAGACAGGAGAATCGCTTGAACCTGGGAGGTGGAGGTTGCAGTGAGCTGAGGTCCTGCCATTGCACTCCAGCCTAAGGTACAAGAGCAAAACTCCGTCTCAAAGAAAAAAAAAAATAGAAAAGCTTTATTTGAGTTGACCAGCAAGGAATGGGAGGAAATGCTCCAATCTGTCTCCCTGAGCTGGGGGCTGGGTTGGGCTTTATAAGCATAGGGCAATGAGGTGTGATCTGATTGGATCCTGCCAGAGGGTGATGCCAGGGCTCAATCTCATTGGATCCTTGATCCTGCCATGTGGTGTCTGCTTCTTTTTTTTTTTTTTTTGGGACGGAGTCTTGGAGTCTCGCTCTGTCCCCCAGGCTGGAGTGCATAGGCGTGATCTCAGCTCACTGCAAGCTCCGCGTCCCAGGTTCACCCCATTCTCCTGCCTCAGCCTCCCTAGTAGCTGGGACTACAGGCACCCGCCACCACACCTGGCTAATTTTTTGTATTTTTAGTAGAGACGGGGTTTCACCATGTTAGCCAGGATAGTCTCGATCTCCAGAACTCATGATCCACCCGCTTTGGCCTCCCAAAGTGCTGGGATTACAGGCGTGAACCACTGTGCCCGGCCTTGGGGTCTGCTTCTTAATCCAGTCCACGCTTCTCCTTCCAACCACTTAGGGTACCCTTGTGGCTGCACCCTTGGTTCATCTGGGCATGCTCAGGTTATGTGACCTTCAACCTTGGGCCCCATGGCAACTGAAAAACAACTCACAAGTTTGTTACATGGATGTTGAACCAGGGCCAGCATGGTGGCGCATGCCTGTAATCCCAGCACTTTGAGGTTGAGGCAGGAGGATCACTTATGTTCAGGAGTTCAAGACTAGCCTAGGCAACATAATGAGACCCCCATCTCCACACACACACACACAAAGTTGAACCAGATTGGTCTGATGTGGTTAAAACCCCAGCAAGAAAGGGGAAGAGAGGGTGTCCTGTTGCTCCTGGGTGGAGATGAAGATCCAGGCCCCCTGCGTGGTTTCTACTGACCCAGCATGGTGGAAGAGGGACATGTTGTTGCTACTCAGTGGGGACGAATGTCCTGGTTTCACTCTACGCCTTTGCTGACATCATTCAGTGGGATATGGGTCCTGTCATTACAGCCTGGTAAGGATGGGAGTCTAGGCTCCCCACTCAAGCCTTGCTGGCAGAGTGGACATAGGGGAACACACTATGTTCTGTGGTTATTGGGCTGGGGTAGAGTGATTACTGTCTGAAAGTTTTCTGTCTTGACAGACTTCTCCTTTCCTGGTCCCCTGGCTAGAGAACAGACTTGTATTCAGGCTTTAAAAATTCTGTAGCTATTGGCATTTCCTGTTGCTGGCCCCTCTGATACCCAATCAGAAATAGAAAAAAAAAAAGAAGAAGAAAATGTAGGGAACTGACCATCAAGTCATTCTTTTTTTTTTTTTTTTTTTTTTGGAGACAGAGTCTCACTCCGTTGCCAGGCTGGAGATCTCGGCTCACTGCAACCTCTGCCTCCTGGGTTCAAGCAATTCTCCTGCCTCAGCCTCCTGAGTAGCTGGGACTACAGGCCGCCACCTCCACGCCCAGCTAATTTTTTTGTATTTTAGTAGAGACGGGATTTCACCATGTTGGCCAGCATCGTCTCGATCTGCTGACCTCATGATCCACCCGCCTCGGCCTCCCAAAGTGCTGGGATTACAGGCGTGAGCCACCACGCCCAGCCCACCATGTCATTCTTTGTGTCTGGGAGTCCCTGGCCAGTCTGCCTTCTTCTCTCCCCCTTTCAGAGTCTTCTTATGTTTGTTTTTTGTTTTGTTGTCGTTGTTTGTTTGTTTGTGGCAAAATAAACATAATATAAAAGTTGCCTATTTCAATTACTTTCTTTTTGTTTTTGTTTTTTGGCTTTTGTTTGTTTCAGAGATGGTGTCTCATGCTTTTGTCCATGCTGCAGTGCAGTGGCACAATCATAGCTCACTGTAGCCTCAAATTCCTGGGCTCAAGCAATCCTCCCACCTCAGCCTCCCAAGCAGCTGGGATTACAGGTGCACACAACCACATCTGGCTAATATTTTAAATCTGTTGTAGAGGTCTTGCTATGTTGCTCAGGCTGGTCTCAAACTCCTAGCCCCAAGCCATTTCAACCATTTTTAAATGGTTTACTAGCATTAAGTGCAGTCACCTTGTTGTCTTACGGCTGTCTTGCATTTGACATCCTGGGTTTTTCATTGTAATTGTCAAGATGAATAGGGAAAAGCACGTCTACTCCATCAAGTGGAAGTTAAAGGGATATTTTTAAGACTGCGAGCCAACAGTACACTTCATGGAGAAGCATGAGACAGTATGAAAATGTGATTAGTTCCTTTAAGTCAAAGGGTCAAGATTTGCTCATTCCTTTCCAGTATCGAGTAGATGCTAAGCAATGTGTCCTAATTCAGGTGGAGTTCTGGGCTGGGCACAGTGGCTCACACCTGTAATTCCAGGACTTTGGGAGGTCGAGGTGGGTGGATTACCTGAGGCTGGGCGTTCAAGACCAGCCTGGCCAACCTGGTGAAACCCTGTCTCTACTAAAAATACAAAAATTAGCTGGGTGTGGTGGCGGGTGTCTGTAATCCCAGCTACTTGGGAGGCTGAGGCAGGAGAATAGCTTGAACCCAGGAGACGGAGGTTGCAGTGAGCCAAGATCACGCCATTTCACTCCAGCCTGGGCAACAAGAGCAAAACTCCGTCTCAAAAAAAAAAAGGTGGAGTTCTGGATGAATCAATCGTTAACCTTGTGGGTGCCCTTGCTGGGTCTCCGCAGTAATTACCACTGTGGTGTGTCCTGTATCTCTTTCCTGTGAAAGGCCAGATAGCCAGAGAATCAATGCCCTCCAAATATAACCCCAAATGATGGCCAACGGCACCTGATGTACAAATGTCCCAGCTCCCCCATCCATTGGGTAGGGTAACACTGAGGTGCGTGTTCCACAGTGGCAGAGTTCTCCAGGGGGCATGAACTTCAGGTATCCACATGGCACGTTGCTTGATAATGGACCCTGTATTGACTGTTTTGCCTTCTCCTTCCCTCCCATTGTTTTTCCAAATAAACTTGAACTTGCCTTAGGATATACCTCTGGGGAAAGCCCAACTGTGCTATATTCATGTTGGGAAAATCTAGGAGCATTTCAATGAGTTTCCAATTTAGCAAAGATCCCATATCCTGCCTCATTCTGGAAAAGTGTAGGACACCCCAGCCCTCACTCCTCCCTTCACTATTTCTCTGATAGTTCTCTTATTCACTCCTCTCTCTGCCTACTCTCCATGGCATCTGACTATATAGCAGGGATTCCACCATATGTCCTTTGGGTAAGAAACTGAAGTTGACTGTCACGGATGCCAACAACCTTTATGCCTGTCATCATCTCCAACGTACAGTGGAGTCAGGATACCTGAGCCAGTTTTCCTGCATATCTGCTTTGGCTCTTAGTCCCTTATCTTTGTTTGTTTGTTGTTTGTTTTGTTTTTGAGACAGGGTCATGCTCTGTTGCCCAGGCTGGAGGGCAGTGGTGCAATCTCAGCTCACTGCGACCTCCACCTCCTGGGTTCAAGTGATTCTCCTGCCTCAACCTCCAGAGCAGCTGGGACTACAGGCACGCAACACCATGCCCAACTAACTTTTGTATTTTTAGTAGAGACGGGGTTTCACCATGTTGGCCAGGCTGGTCTCAAACTCCTGACCTCAGGTGATCCACCCACCTCAGCCTCCCAAAGTGTTGGGATTACAGGCATGAGCCACCACGCCCAGCCAGTTCCCTTATCTTTGCATCAGAGATATTAATAACAGTAGTTACATGCACTGATGCTTGTGGAAGTGCTCAGCAGTGTCTGCACATGCTTGGCAACCAGTTGATCTACAAATGTTACTCTCCTTCCTTCCTCTGTAACAGCAAGGCAATCATTTCTAAGAACCCCATTTCTAAGATCAGTTTTCAAAGAATAACTAATATGTGAATAAGTTTTTTCATCCAATTGCATGGATTACTCAAGGAATCAATATTTACATCTAATCATGTACTGATCATTATATCTCTGCTATAGGCACCACAGGGCCACGGGTTATGGTAAGAGGAAAAACATCACAAGTTTCCTTTCTCTTTTTTTTAAGGCTCTAGACAATTCCATCTCATACACTGAGTAGCCTGATCTATATTCATGATCAAGGAGAGCTTGAGCGAAGGCTTAAGATTTTCAGTGTCATATTTCAAATCGGATTTTCGAAGTGTGAGTAGATATCAGCTATGTGGGCCTGAAAGTTCTCATTACCATACCAGTGACAGTTCAGGGAAATTTACGAACTTGGAACTTGCTTACGAGGAGAAATAAAAGCAGTTCTGTGTACCCTACAACCCAGCCAGGAGTCTTGAAACGCCACCAATGACATATGGTTTTCTCTAGGGTGCAATCTGGTGAATTCTCACTCTTTTACTTAAATTGGGACGGTTGCACCAGCTGCTTCATATAATGCTTTACAGTGGGAAACATCTACAAGACATTACTCTTCAATACTACAAGGAAAGATGAGATTTTATAAGTTTAACTGCTTCTTGACAGCAAAGACAAAACTTCCTCTTATTACATTACAGTAGTCAATTTCACCTCCCAGGGAGATTAAGATGGGGATACCAAGGACTCTTAGAAAATAGACTGGTTATGCTTACAGAGCATTCTCCTAATTTCTTCTTTTTTTCTTAAAAGTTTTTTACCGCCTTGGTCTTCCTACTAGTGTGGGTTGTGAGAACACACAAACTCTTTCCAATTGTTCCTCATCAATGATGACATAGAGGAAGTGAGTCCCAGAGGAGTAAAGTTCTGGGAAGTAGAATTACAACTCAGCTTAAGCATTTTACCAGTTAGTGATTTTTTTCAAAATTGTAGAATATTTACTTGATGATCATGTAGAAAACACAGATTCTTGATATATTAATAAGGGATTACTGAAGAAATATGCTGCAGGAAATATACAGGCCAACCCACATTTCTGTTTTCTAATTAGATACCATCCTATTGATAATGTGCCCCTTAGTGTAATTATGTAAGAAATGCCTCTGTATACATAAATGATGGGTATATATCTAGATGTTATCTCTGACTTCTCAAACTTCCAAAGCATTTATAGCTCTTTCATAACAATTGTTCCATATCATTTTGTATAATTGTTATTTGTGGGCGTGACTTATCTTCCCTACTAACATACAAAGTCCTTGAAGATAGAGTTTGTCTTACACAATATATGCAACTCACATGGTATAAAATTCAAAATGAGGCCCTATAAGTATGTTCTAAATAAATGGTTCTGAGTTTTACCAATAAGAACTCACTTTTAGACAAGGATACCCATTCTCACCACTTCTACTCAATATAGTACTGAAAGTCCTAGCCACAACAATTAGGCAAGAAAAAGAAATAAAAGATATCCAATCCAAAAGGAAGAAGTAAAATTATCTTTTTTTTCAGATGACATGATTTAATATGTAGGAAACCCTACAAACTCTACAGGAAAAACATCTTGTTAGAACAAATAAATGCATTCAGTAAAGTTGGAGGATATGATAATAATACAAACCAACATACAAAATCAAATGCTATCAGTTGTATTTCTACATACCAACAATGAACTATGTGAAAAGTAAATTATGTAAACAATCTCACTTACAATAGCACCAAAAAGAATAAAATACTTGGAAACAAATTTAAATAAATTTCACCAAAAAGGAAAGAGTTATAAAATATTGATGAAAGAATATTAAACTATAGAACTATAAAATATTGATGAAAGAAAATAGAGCAGACACAAATAAATGAAATGACATCCCATGTTTATGAATTAGAATAATTAACATTGTTAAAATATCTGTACTACCCATAGCAATCTACAGATTCAATGCAATCCTATCAAAATCTCAATGGCATTATTTACAGAAATAGAAAAAGCAATCCTAAAATTCATATGGAACCAGAAAAGACTCCAAATAGCCAAAGCAATTTTGAATAAGAAGAACAAAGCTGGGGGTATCACACTTCCAGATTTCAAAATATATTACAAAGCTACAGTAATCAAAACAGTATGGTACAGGCATAAAAATAGATATATAGACCAAGGGAACATAATTAAGGGCCCAGAAATAAATCCACACAGCTATAGCCAACTGATTTTTGACAAGAGTGCCAAGAATAAGCGATGGGGAAAGGGCAGTCTCTTCAATAGTGTTGAGAAAACTGGATGACTACACCCAAAAGAATAAAACTGGATCTTTGTCTTACACAATACAGAAAAAATAACTCAAAATGGATTAAAGATTTAAAAGTAAGATAAGTAAGATCTGAAACCATAAAACTCCTAGAAGAAAACATAGGAGAAAACTTCTTGACATTCTTGCACATGACACCAAAAACAAGTCAACAAAAGGAAAAATAAGCAAGTGGGACTACATCAAACTGAAAAGCTGCTGTACAGCTAAGGAAATAATCAGCAGAGTAAAATGGTAACCTATGGAATGAGAGAAAACACTTGCAAACCATACACTTAATAAGGGGATAATTTCCAAAATATATAAGGAGCTTCCCCAACTCAACAGCAAATAAGTATGTAAGTGAACGTATACATACTGATATGCTTTGGCTGCGTCCCCACCCAAATCTCATCTTGAATTCCCATGTGTTGTGGGAGGGACCCAGTGGGAGGTGATCGAATTATTGGGGTGGGAATTTCCTGCACTGTTCTCATGATAGTGAATAAGTCTCATGAGATCTGATGGCTTTATAAGGCAGAGTTTCCCTGCACAACTCTTTTTTTTCCTGCCACCATTCACGTAAGATGTGACTTGCTCTTCCCTGCCTTCCGACGTGATTGTGAGGCCTCTCCAGCCAGGTGAAACTATAAATCCAATTAAACCTCTTTCTTCTGTACATGGCCCAGTCTTGGGTATGTCTTTATCAGCAGCATGAAAATGGACTAATAGACATACATACACATTATATATAACCCAATTTATAAATGGGTAAGTGAGCTGAACAGACATTTCCCCAGAGAGGACATGGAAATGGCCTACAAGTACGTGAGAAGATACTGAACGTCCCTAATCATCAGGGAAATGAAAATCAAAACTGCAGTTAGATATCATCTCACACCTGTTAGGATGACTATTATCAAAAAAGCAAAAGATGATAAGTGGTGAGGTTTGAAGAATAGAAACCCTTGTACATCATTGGTGGGGACTGGAAATTGATGCTGCTGCTATGGCAAACAATATGAAGCTTCCTCAAAAAAAAATTAAAATAGAACAACCATATGATTCAGCAATCCCACTTCTGGGTATCCAGCAGTAACTTTTATCCATGGTTTTGTTTTCTGCAGTTTCAGTTACCTATGGTCAATGGTAGTCTGAAAATATAAAATGGAAAATTCCAGAAAGAAACCATTCATAAATTGTAAATTGTGCACTGTCCTGAGTAGCGTGATGAAATCTTGAGCTGCCCCACTCTGTCCCTTTCAGGACGTGACTGATGCACACTGTGGATCCGCCCTGTACAAACTGCCTGCCCACTGAGTCACAGTTATCAGATCTGACTGTTGCAGTATCGTAGTATTTGTGTTCAAGAAGCCCTTCTTTTACTTAATATTGTCCCCAAAGTGCAAGAACAGAGATGCTGGCAACTTTGATATGTCAAAGAGAAGCCATAAAGTGCTTCCTTTAAGTCAAGAAGTGAAAGTTCTCAACTTAATAAGGAAAGAAAAAAAATGTATGTTGAAGCTGTTAAGATTTACAGTAAGAACAAGTCTTTCGTCTATGAAATTGTGAAGAAGAGGGAAAAAAGTGTGCTCGTTTTGCTGTCGCCTCTCAGACTACAAAAGTTTTATGGCCACAGTGTGTGATGAGTGCCTCGTTTAGACAGAAAAGCATTTAACTTTACGGGTAGAAGACATGAACGGAAGTTGCATTTGGATGGACAGCAATTGAGTTAGGTACTATCCATGGTTGCAAGCAGCCACTGGGGGTCTTGGGATGTAACCCCAGCAGATAAACAGGAATTACTATATATCCAAAAGAATTGAAATCAGGATAGGCCGGGTGTGATGGCTCATGCCTATAATCCCAGCACTTTGGGAGGCCAAGGTGGGTGGATCATGAGGTCAGGAATTCAAGACCAGCCTGGCCAACACAGTGAAACCCCATGTCTACTAAAAATACAAAAATTAGCCAGGTGTGGTGGTACGCACCTATAGTCCCAGCTACTTGGGAGGCTGAGGTGGAAGAGTTGCTTAAACCCGGAAGGCGGAGGTTGCAGTGAGCCAAGACCATATACCATTGCATTCCAGCCTGGGTGACAGAGTGAGACTCCATCTCAAAAAAAAAAAAAAGAATTGAAATCAGGTAGGTGGAGGCTGAAACAGGAGGATTGCTTAAGCCTGGGAGGTTGAGGCTGCAGTGAGCTGTGATCGCACCACTGCACTCCAGCCTGGGTGACAGAGTGAAACCATCTCAAAATAAACCAAAAAATTAATAAATTGTTAAGAGGGTAGATCTCATGTTAAGCATTCTTAACACACAGACCACAAAGGGACACAAAGAAGCTTTTGAACAAGATGGATATATTTATTACCTTGAAATTTTAAAGAAAAAAAAAAAGAACTCAGTCTTAAATGTGAATACATACAAGTCACTTGGCAAGGGTACTGTCCATTTTCATGAGCTCTGTTTGAAGGAGGGCTGGACCTGTGATCACCACCATAAGTTCCATGAAGAGAGAATGTATGTAGCCAAGTAGCCCCATGTTGACTCAGAAGTTGGTTATAGAGTCCACAAACCCCGTTTTTCTTTCTTTCTTCCTTTTTTTTTTTTTTCTTTTGAGACGGAGTTTCACTCTTGTTGCCCAAGCTGGTGTGCAATGGCATGATCTTGGCTCACTGCAACCTCTGCCTCCTGGGTTCAAGCGATTCTCCTGCCTCAGCCTCCCCAGTAGCTGGGATTACAGGCATGCACCACCACGCCCAGCTAATTTTTGTATTTTTAGTAGAAACAGGGTTTTTCCATATTGGTCAGGCTGGTCTCGAACTCCTCACCTCAGGTGATCCACCCGCCTCAGCCTCCCAAAGTGCTGGGATTACAGGCGTGAGCCACCGTGCCCAGCCTTTTTTTTTTTTTCTCTTTTTTTTTAAAGTAGAGACAAAGTCTCACTATGTTGCCCAAGCTGGCCTCAAACTCCTGGCCTCAAGCAATCCTCCCACCTCAGCCTCCCAAAGTGCTGGGCTTAAGAAGTGAGCCACCACACGAGGCCACAAACCCCAGGTTCTAAGTTGTTGCCTGTGATCCTCTCTCCTCTAGAGCAGGGGCATTTCTTGTTGGAGAGACAGCAGAATAAGCATCAGCAGTACTTGAGCAAAATTTAAACTTTATCACAAAGCCTTTTTTTTTTTTTTTTTAAAGATCAGTTTCTCAAATGAGTTTCAGATGGCTCAATTAAATCTCCAGGAAGGAAAACTGGAAACGTCCAGTCTTCAGTTTTGTATTTTTTTTCTTTTAAATGAATTTAAACCTTTTTTTAAAATCAAGGACCATGTTAATTTCTATCTTAGCCGTCTATTGGTTGATCCTTCGATGTTATAAGCTACTTAATCACAAATATGCTTAGGGAACTAATGTCATCACATTCTGTATTCTTAGTATATGCTCAATTTTTCCAGAGCTGTATCAAAAGTTGAATATATACAATAGGGAATTTTTTTTAACACTTCACTTCAGGCACAGAGAGAATCAGTGGGCTTTTCCAAAAGGAGAAAGCTGAACAGGTTATGCCCTAGTTCACAAGCAAACCGTCCAGAAAACATTCTAATTGGGGAAAACAGCCGTGAGAGTGTAATGCTCCCAGCGCAAAGCTGCCCTGACAGCTGACCCCTTTTTTTCCCCTTCCTGTTTCTGACACTTGGCGAGGAATTAAACTGGAGCTAAGGGCACAGAAGTTGAAAAGGCAAAAGGCAAGCGTTCTTCTGGGTGGTCTGAGCGTGGTCCTAGGAAGGACGCTGTTTGTGAAGGTAAAATCTCTAATTGGGGAGAGAAGGGCCAGCTGGTGAGCTGTTGAGATCAGGTGAAGACCTGAATCGCAGAAGCACAGCACGGTCAGAGCCCGCTGCGCCGGCAGCAAGGCCAGAAGGTGCACGAAGAAGGTGAGGATGCCTCTCTGTTTATCGGTTTGTTGCTTTTCAAATTCTTTTATTTTCAGAAGTTGCGATTTTAGTTCTAAAAATTACAATTGTGCATGATTCGTGAGAAAGGTCCTGAGTTGAACTTTAGACTTGGTTTTCTTTAAAAGTTGGAGCGTCTTCTGAAATAGCACATTTGAGTCAAGTTAAAGCCATACCTACAGCTTGAGGGGTTGAGATAAGCCGTAAGTTCTCATCTAGAGCCTGGAAGAGTTGGGTGACTCTCGCATTAGGAAAATGAATTTTTAATTTGGCTTAAGCTTTTTTGTACTTCCTGAAAAACCCATGTAAGATTTATCAAAGGAGCTGGTCTTGGGCAGCAAACACAAAGCTCCATCTTTCTTTTTGGCTATGGACTCTTCAAACCCATTTTCTTGGCTAGTTTTTCTTAGCCCTTAATGAAATTTCAGGCAGATCACGTAGGTTATTTTATGTCTTCCAAAAAATATAAGTAAATAGTATCTCTTTCGGGGATTAAAACACTCTAATACTAAAACCCCCTGATTTTATTAAACTTAAGACTCTCCTCCACTGGCTTGGGCTGGCATTAGGATTACGAACCTCCAGTGGGAGGGAGAAGGGTCCTTTGAACCTAAGCTAAACATGGCCCCCTGATTCTTTGGGCAAAGAAAACAAACCATGGAAGGGAAACAGATGTTCTTGGAGGACTTTGTTAGAGTAATTCTGGAAGGGAGAACACAGTTGTGGTGGACATGGAGCTGTGGAAAGGACTCTCATTCAAGGAAGGCTTTGCTGCCCAACTAGGGGGAATGTGACCGTGTGTGCCTTCAGCCACCAGCTCCTGAAGGTGAGCCTCAGTGGCAGAGAGCCACCCTGCCCAAGGTCACGACTTCCTGGGTGGCCTACATCTGGTGGCTGAGCAAGGAAGGGCTGAAAAGGCAGGCTCTGCTGTTACGGAACCAACAGGTTCCTGTGCCCCCTGCAGAGTAACAGACCAATGCACTGAGACAGCAGAATTTGCAGGACAGACAGTTTAGCGATGGCAGGACCCCAAGCAGGGAGATGGAAGGAGACCTCCAAATCCATCTCTCTGAGGAATTCTGGGGTTTTTAAGAGGATCATGGAGGATGAGGGGCTGTTCATTGGTGGGGTCAGGGGAATGAAATCATCAGAAGGTGAAAACCGCATTCTTTGGTAAGTCAGCTCCTGTGGGTTCCTTCAGACCAGCTGGCATCAGCAGGGTCTTTCAGATCAAACAAGTCATTACTTTCATGAGTATGCAAGACCTGAAGGAATATCTCAAAGAGAAAACTTCATGTTTCATAAGGTTCAAGCTGTTGTCTGCAGAGCAGGTGTGGAGAGCTGTAATCTTGTAACAGGGTCCACATGATTCTAAAACAATAAGCACCAAACAGCCATGAGAAAGCAGGTCAGAAAGAAAGCAGACTGCATGATGGATGCTGGATGTGCCACAAGTTTGGTTTATTTTTATTTCTCGCCCCTTCTCTCATGATTAATTTTATAAAGATGGTAGGGATGGTTTCACAACCATCTCAGCCCAGGGAGGGGTGCTGTCATGGAGATGTTCACTCCAAGGCCCCCAGGGTGTTGCTGAGCCTATTTGGAGATTCAGTTTATTTCCTCTGCCCAATCCTGGTGGTTCCTCCCATTTTCTTTTCTTTCTTTCTTACTTTTTTTCAACCAGATGCAAATCTCACACCTCCCATTTTCTAATCAGGTGCTGAGCCTTACAGACAGTCCTTCACGCACAACTCCTTCTCTCCACCTGTTCCTAGAGTACTCGAGCCATTCACCTGGATGCTTAGATAGAGCGCTTATTCCTTTTATCTCAAGTAGTTCATCAGGGAACCAAGGTCTAACTCAGGGGTTCTTGACTATTTTTCAGTCACAGACACTTTTGAGAAAATGAGGAAGGTTACATTCCCCCCCCCCCCGAACCCAGAAAAAAAGAAATTACATGGCGCTTACCATTTTTGCCTGCAGTTTCAAAGATTTTGAAGAATCTCTGACACTCCTAGAGACATTGACCCCAGCGTTCACCTTCCCACCCTAATCTTCCCTTGAATATTGTTCTTGTATATTCCTTGAAGTCTGGATGTTATTAGACTTACGTGGTGGTGATACTGGATTTGCTGCCTAAGGTAAATATTTGAGGGGTTGAGATAAGCCGTGAGTTCTCATCTAGAGCCTAGAAGAGATGATGACTCTTGCATTAGGAAAGTGAATTATTAACTTGGTTTAAGCTTCCCTGAAAAACCCATGTAAGATTTATCAAAGGAGCTGGTCTCTGGGTAGCAAACAGAAAGCCCCCTCTTTCTTTCTGGCTATGGACTTTTCAAACTCACTTTCTTAGCTAGTTTTTCTTAGCCGTTAATGAAGCTTCAGACAGATCACATAGATGTTTGGGTTGCTTCCAAAAAATGTGTACAAAAATTGTGTCTCTTTCAGGGATTAAAACACTCTAATACTAGAATTCTCTGATTGTATTAAACCTGAAACTCTCCTGCACTGGCTTGGGCTGGCTTTAGGATTAGGAACCTCCCGTGGGAGGGAGAAGGTCCTTTGATTCAGCCTCCTTCCACATTCCTAGCTGTTGTCATCGGCTCCTAGAGCCAGGTACCATGGGAAGGATGCTGTATGGCTGGTACAGTGGTGCTCTGGGCTGGAGCACTCTGGTTGTTGCAGAAACTCTAAGGTGTATCTCTAAGGCTCCCCTATATATTACCCTGCTGGAAGCTCCAACTACATCTCCCTTGATATAAGTAGTGCCTTCTTTATCGGACTCATTTCAACAACCATGGCTTTCTTGCAGTCCACCACCCATCTGCTGAGTCACTTTGTCTGCAAGGACACCTTTGTATGTTGGAAGTCACTTTCCCAATAGCTCACTGCCTTGAATCTACATCTGGTCCTTCCTCTACCCCTGTCCCTAC
Organism: Homo sapiens; assembly: GCF_000001405.40. Classification (NCBI taxonomy): domain Eukaryota; kingdom Metazoa; phylum Chordata; class Mammalia; order Primates; family Hominidae; genus Homo; species Homo sapiens. Next base: position 4,437,474 of record NC_000007.14, read on the forward strand.
CCCATGTTGGATCCCCCATTGCCACTGTGGGAGGAGCAGGTGCCTGCAGCCCTCTTTCTTCATGCCCTGCCACCAGGGGTGCCCCACACCTTTACTGTTCCCAGGAAGGAGTCTGACACCCACTCCTAGGTCCCTCAAACGCCACCAGGCTCATGGCAGTTTCTCTCAAAGGCACACCAGTACACTTGCACCCCAAAGAAACCCTCCCTTTCCAATTTCCACAACCCACACAATAGATTCTCCACCTTCTTTTTGGTGGCCTCCTGGAAGACAGTGGGCTGATGCTGGCAGAACCACTAGACACGGTCTACCTATCCTGACAAGACTCTGAGCCAGAAAAGCTTCCATTTCAACATCCTGCACCCCAACACTATAATTTAGTCTTTAGGATAAAGTCCATCTGTATCCTTCATTTTCCTCTGAATTGCGAGCTATGTGAAATGAGGACAAGGATTTCTCTATATTAGAAATAGTAACCTATAGAAGTATGTAGCCATGAGCATCTATTAACTATGTTTGGCTGGCTGGGAATGCTTTGTAATCATAAAGGAATTTTTCCATCTGTGCCATGACCCCAACGAGAATATACATTAAGAAAATATCCATTCAAAGGGCAGAAATGACCAAAGCAGTGTGAAGATTGTTTCTTTGAAATAAGCCTACATCCTGAAGAAGGCTGCCATGAGTCTGAAAGGCAGCTGCAGCGAACCTATTTTTGGAAAGCCTAAAATCATAGAATTTCAAATTTCCGAAGGAAGCCTGAGTTATTGAAAACAGATGTTTTAGGAAAAGGAATAGAAACTTTTAAGCGGTAACTTTTTAATAAGCCATAATAGTTCAAAGAGTGTCAGAGGAACACAGCCCGGAGATATTCACCTTTGAAAAGTCCCAGATGGCCAAGTAACATTCCCACAAATAAAGAAAAACCCAAGAAGAGAAAGTTTTTGCAAAAATACCAAAACCAACCGTATTTGCACCTCACAACATGACACCTCCCAGATCTGGAAGGTCATTTGAAGATAAAGTCCCAGATTCCATGGACCAGGCAGCAGAAACTCAATCCTCTGGACTGATTAGAAAGAAAGTCAGGTCCTAAAGCAGTGGGAAGTGTCATTTTGAGACATTTGGGAAGTAATGTAGTTTTATTAACCTGATATACATTTAGAAATCAACCATTGACAGAGAGGCCTCACTGAACTCTGTTTACAAAGAGATAAAAATTATTTGTAATCTACGTTTATATTTAAGTCCATGTTTGCAAGAGTAAAGCTATAGAGAGATGATAGATAGATAGATAGATAGATAGATAGATAGATACATTAGATAGGTGATTTATTGATTGATAGATAAATAGATTATAAATAGTAGGTAGACAGATGATGGATAGATAGATAAGATAAATGATAGACAGATGATAGATAGATTAGATAGATAGATAGATGATAGGGAGCTAGATTAGATAGATAGATTTGATAGATGATATATAGATTAGATAAAAAGATGAAGCATAGATTAGACAGATGATAGATAGATTAGATAGATGATAGTTTAGATAGATGATATACAGATTAGATAGAAAGATAGGTGATAGATAAATGATAGATAATAGGTAGATTAAATAGATGATAGATAATAGGTAGATTAGATAGATGATAGATAATAGGTAGATAGATAGATTAGATAGATGATAGATAGATAGATAGATAGATAGATAGGATAGATATATACACAGATACATAGAGAGCATGTGTTACTTGACCGGGGGCACTTAGTAGATGGGCTCAGAGATGCTAGATGTCCTGCATTGGACAAGACACTTTTGCAAATCCTCCACAGTTTTGTAATGTTCCATTGACATTAATAAGTTAAGATGAAAAACCTATTCACAATTATCTATATATATCTATAGCTTTTTCTCAAGCTAACTAACTTTTCTCTGGTATGATTCTTACCCTTTATTTGGCTAATAATCATTCACAACGTGATTTGTACCTTAACATTTGGTACAGCTTTGAGGGGCATAGAAAGAAGTTTCCGTCAATAGAAATCCAGCTTATGTTTTAGACAAGATGCTGCTTAGGAATTCTGAAAGACTAGGCAGCTGGGCCATCATTCAGGCAGCTGATATGGTGCATTTCTTCCAAGAACGTGGAGTTCTAGGCTGATCCGCTGTTTTCCCGTTAGACAGGTCTCAAGAGGGATGACCCAGCTCAGTGGTTCTCTGTAGGGACAGTCCTTATCCCAGGCAGCATTTTGAAAATTGCTGGAAACACTTCTTGTCACAAGATTGGAGGCACTTAGTAGGTGGGCTCAGAGACACTAGGTGCTCCGCAGTGGACAAGAGATTTCTGCAAATTTCTCATGACTTTGTAATGTTCTCACCGACATTGACATGATAAGAAGATGAAAAACCTCTTCATAATTATCTACACTTAGATGAAACTCAGATTTATGTGTAAACACAAAGTATGTTTGCGTGGTTTTAATACACTTGAATTTCCAGGAAGGTAAATTCAGTGGGACGATTGTGCTACTATTTTTTGGAATTTTACCAGGAGGTTTTCTGTTTAACCTTTTCGGAAAAACCATATCACCAGTGGCAATGCTAATCATAATAAATAGAGTTGCCAATACAATACGTCTCTATTCGTTTGCATTTGTATCTGTCACAAGCGTAGTTCTACACATAGATGCATCTGACTTCTTCCTTTATCTTCTAGAATAGGCCCACCTGAGCATTTACACATTCCAATATTTATTTTATCTTAATTTGTTTCCCTTTACTTCTCTGTTGTATCATAGTAAGGGCTTTAAATTGATTTTTTTTTAATTATTATTATACTTTAAGTTTTAGGGTACATGTGCACAATGTGCAGGTTAGTTACATATGTATACATGTGCCATGCTGGTGCGCTGCACCCACTAACTCGTCATCTAGCATTAGGTATATCTCCCAATGCTATCCCTCCCCGCTGCAACCCAAAACAGTCCCCAGAGTGTGATGTTCCCCTTCCTGTGTCCATGTGTTCTCATTGTTCAATTCCCACCTATGAGTGAGAATATGCGGTGTTTGGTTTTTTGTTCTTGCGATAGTTTACTGAGAATGATGATTTCCAATTTCATCCATGTCCCTACAAAGGCCATGAACTCATCATTTTTTATGGCTGCATAGTATTCCATGGTGTATATGTGCCACATTTTCTTAATCCAGTCTATCATTGTTGGACATTTGGGTTGGTTCCAAGTCTTTGCTATTGTGAATAGTGCCACAATAAACATATGTGTGCATGTGTCTTTATAGCAGCATGATTTATAGTCCTTTGGGTATATACCCAGTAATGGGATGGCTGGGTCAAATGGTATTTCTAGTCCTAGATCCCTGAGGAAGCGCCACACTGACTTCCACAATGGTTGAACTAGTTTACAGTCCCACCAACAGTGTAAAAGTGTTCCTATTTCTCCATATCCTCTCCAGCACCTGTTGTTTCCTGACTTTTTAATGATTGCCATTCTAACTGGTGTGAGATGATATCTCATTGTGGTTTTGATTTGCATTTCTCTGATGGCCAGTGATGGTGAGCATTTTTTCATGTGTTTTTTGGCTGCATAAATGTCTTCTTTTGAGAAGTTTCTGTTCATGTCCTTTGCCCACTTTTTGATGGGGTTGTTTGTTTTTTTCTTGTAAATTTGTTTGAGTTCATTGTAGATTCTGGATATTAGCCCTTTGTCAGATGAGTAGGTTGCAAAAATTTTCTCCCATTGTGTAGGTTGCCTGTTCACTCTGATGGTAGTTTCTTTTGCTGTGCAGAAGCTCTTTAGTTTAATTAGATCCCATTTGTCAATTTTGGCTTTTGTTGCCATTGTTTTTGGTGTTTTAGACACGAAGTCCTTGCCCATGCCTGTGTACTGAATGGTAATGCCTAGGTTATCTTCTAGGGTTTTTATGGTTTTAGGTCTAACGTTTAGGTCTTTAATCCATCTTGAATTGATTTTTGTATAAGGTGTAAGGAAGGGATCCAGTTTCAGCTTTCTACATATGGCTAGCCAGTTTTCCCAGCACCATTTATTAAATAGGGAATCCTTTCCCCATTGCTTGTTTTTCTCAGGTTTGTCAAAGGTCAGATAGTTGTAGGTATGCGGCGTTATTTCTGAGGGCTCCGTTCTGTTCCATTGATCTATATCTCTGTTTTGGTACCAGTACCATGCTGTTTTGGTTACTGTAGCCTTGTAGTATAGTTCAAAGTCAGGTAGTGTGATGCCTCCAGCTTTGTTCTTTTGGCTTAGGATTGACTTGGTGATGTGGGCTCTTTTTTGGTTCCACATGAACTTTAAAGTAGTTTTTTCCAATTCTGTGAAGAAAGTCATTGGTAGCTTGATGGGGATGGCATTGAATCTATAAATTACCTTGGGCAGTATGGCCATTTTCACGATATTGATTCTTCCTACCCATGAGCATGGAATGTTCTTCCATTTGTTTGTATCCTCTTTTATTTCATTGAGCAGTGGTTTGTAGTTCTCCTTGAAGTGGTCCTTCACATCCCTTGTAAGGTGGATTCCTAGGTATTTTATTCTCTTTGAAGCAATTGTGAATGGGAGTTCACTCATGATTTGGCTCTCTGTTTGTCTGTTATTGGTGTATAAGAATGCTTGTGATTTTTGTACATTGATTTTGTATCCTGAGACTTTGCTGAAGTTGCTTATCAGCTTAAGGAGATTTTGGGCTGAGACAATGGGGTTTTCTAGGTGTACAATCATGTCGTCTGCAAACAGGGACAATTTGACTTCCTCTTTTCCTAATTGAATACCCTTTATTTCCTTCTCCTGCCTAATTGCCCTGGCCAGAACTTCCAACACTATGTTGAATAGGAGTGGTGAGAGAGGGCATCCCTGTCTTGTGCCTGTTTTCAAAGGGAATGCTTCCAGTTTTTGCCCATTCAGTATGATATTGGCTGTGGGTTTGTCATGGATAGCTCTTATTATTTTGAGATACGTCCCATCAATGCCGAATTTATTGAAAGTTTTTAGCATGAAGGGTTGTTGAATTTTGTCAAAGGCCTTTTCTGCATCTATTGAGATAATCATGTGGTTTTTGTCTTTGGTTCTGTTTATATGCTGGATTACATTTATTGATTATATTATTGAGGGAAGAAAAATGAAACTTGCTTTGGATATATATCAAATTCATCTTAAGATAACTTTTTTAAAATTACAGAATATTTGCTGTCAAAAGGGATCTGGTAGGGTAGTAAACCACTGCCTTAACTGAAACATTGGGATACATGCTGGAATTTTTTTAAGTCCAGATTTGTACAAAGCATTCTGTATATGTTTATTATAACAAGATTGTTAATTATGTTCTTTTTATATCCTACTGATTTTCTCTTGTCTGCTTGAGAGGTAAGTTAAAAACTCCTATTTTTTTGATGGATGTGTCCATTATTAGTTGTAGATTTCTTAATCTTTGCTCTGTAGATTTTTGAAGTTGGATTATTAGGTGCATACAAATTTATAATTGACATTCATTTCAAGAGAAGAAATTTTATCATAATATAGTAATTCTCTTTGGATTTTTGTCTTAAAGCCTATTTTATTTTATTTTAAAAATTTTTAATTGATATATAATAGGTGTAGATATGTTGGGGTGTTATATTTTGGTATCTGTATACAATGTGTAATGATCAAATCAGGATAATTGGGACATTCATCACCTGAAACATGTCTTTTCTTTGGGTTGGGAACATTACGAACCTTCTCTTCTAGCTTCTGAAGTATACTATAAATTATCATTCTTTATTATTTCCCTACTGTACTGTAAAATCTAAAATTTATTCCTTCTAAATGTATTTTAGCACCCCTTCACCAACATTTTTTATCCCTCCACTAAAATCTATTTTATCCAATATTAATATAGCAACACCACTGTTATAATTTTTTATCCTTTTACTCTCAAACTTTGTCATTACATGTATGTAATGATACGTGTACATGTCATTACATGTATGTGATGATACGTGTACGTGTCATTACATGTATGTGATGATACGTGTACGTGTCATTACATGTATGTGATGATACGTGTACGTGTCGTTACATGTATGTGATGATACGTTTATGTGTCGTTACATGTATGTGATGGTGCATGTGTCGTTACATGTAAAAATACATACATGTATTATAACATACATACATAATACATACATGTATTATACATACGTACATAATACATACATAGATACATACATAGATACATACATAGATACATGTATCTATTAAAATACATGTATGTATTTTAATAGATAACACATAGTTGGATTTTGGTTTTGTATTCATTCTGACAATGTCTATTAGCTGGAGGAGTCAAACTATATTTCTAGTAAATATGGATTTATTTGGATTTCTTTAGTATCATTCACTCATTCAACAAATACTCATTGAGCACCTGCTATGAGCCAACTTCTGTTTTAGACATTGGAGAAACAAGATAAACAAAACAGACAATGCCCCTGCTTGATGGGGCTAATGAGAGAAGGCTAGTGATAAATATTTTCTGTCTGATAAGTGCCGTGGAGAAAAGTGAGGCAGGATAAGAGAGTTAAAGAGCTAGAATGGTGGGAACAGAGAATCTTGTTATTTTATAGAGGAAAGCCTCCTGAGTAAGGTGACATTTAAGCTGAATCATGAAAGTAATGACAGAAGAAACTGCAGCTTTCTAGAGGAAGAGACTTCCAGGAAGAGAGAGCTTCAAAGTGGAAACCTGCCTGGTATTTCAAGGAACAGTAAGGTGGCCAGCATGGCAGGGGCAAGGGGAAGAGCTGGGAGACAGGGCCAGAAAGAAAACCAGAACCAGATTACGTGGCATCATAATGTGAAAATATGTAGTTCAAAATTAAGCTGCTAGAACTGTAAAACACTTTGAGCCTTAAGGAAATGTGATCATGGGACCTGAGTCACATAAACAGGCAGCTATAACCTAGACAGCTGCAGCTGTAACCTTTCTTTCTCTGGTTATAGATTAGCCTTTTTTTCCTTACCTACATTGTTTTGTAAAAAAAAAAAAAAAGTGGGGGGGCGGGGGGGATCACCAGGGAGGACCCCTTCCCTCTTAATTGTTGATCTTCATTGTAGATTAATTTTCCTCTTTCCTCTCTGACATGAAGACTCCATGACTCTTACAGTACCTAAGATGGAATGTTAAATATACTGTTTGAAATTGGAAATGAAATTAAAACAAGCTATAAAGAAAAGAAAAGAAGCTGTATGGAAAATAAAATAAAATGTAACTACGTGGTAACTTGTAAGACAGCCTTGTATGGGAAGCGTTATAGTCTTACTAAATTTCTTTGTTTTCTGCCAATATAAGCAAGACCTTAGCTTTTAATGTCAGAGCGCTGACCCCATTCCTTTGGAGTCTGCATCACCTGAATGGCAAGTCTCAGCTTTTCACTTGAGTAAACTACTTTAAACTGTGTTCTAATCATTTCAATTATTTTGGGTTGCAAGCAAGTAAGACCTTTAGCCTTTATTCTCAATGAGAAGGGGAATCACTGCAGAGTTTTGAATACAAGAGTGATGTCATCTGAATTGTGTTATAGAAGGATTTATCTGGCTGCTGTTTTCGGAATAGATGATTGAGAGGTGGGGCTAGGAGACCGGTGAGGAGACCACTGACATCATCTGAGTGAGAAGCGAGTATAGCTTCCACCGTGGTGGTAGTGGAGGAAACGGTAAAATAAGGCCAGACTTTTCAAGTTTTCTGAAGGTGGAACCAATGGAATTTAAGTCAAATTGGACATGGGTTATGAGGAAAAGAGAGGGCATGAGAAAGATGGAGCTGGCATTTACAGATGTAGGAAAGGCTGAGAGAGGAACGGGTCTGTGGAGAGAAGACCAGGAGTTCACTTTGGACAGGAGAGTGTTGAGATATATCCAGGTAGAGTTGGTCGAATGTCAGCATCTGGGGCTCAGGAGAAAAATCCAGCCGAGAGACGTAAGCTGAGAGGCACCAGCATGAGGATGCTGTTTCCAGCTGCAAGCCAGGAGATGAGATGATGTGGGGAACCCAGACACAGGAGAGGGGGCCCCAGAGGCTCAGCCCTGGGGCGCAGCAACACTGAAATCTGAGAAAGTGAGGAGGAACCAGAAGGAGTTGCTGAGGAGAGGCCAGCGAGGTAGGAGGAGAGAAACCGATGTTTGAGGAGTCAAATAAAAAACATCTATTTCAAGCAGGAGAAAATAAGTAACTTCCAAGCCCAGCTGATAGGACTAGAAGAAGGGGAGGAAGAATTATGGTTGTTCATGGGAGTGAGCCATGTGGACACAGACACACATACATACACAAACACAAAACATAGAGACATGCAGACACACATATGCACACATACACACATATGTACACACATACATCTGCACACACGCACACACATGCACACACACATACACATACCTCTGCACATACATATACACACATGTGCACACATACATATGCACACACATATGTGCACACATATGCACATACATATGCATGCATACACACATACATGCACACACATACACATGTATATGCACACATACATATGCATGCACACATACATACATGTGCACACACATACATGCACACACATACACACATACATGTGCGTGCACACATACATGCACATACATACATACATACACAAACACCAGGTTTGTTCTAGAATGCACAGGTGCAAGAAACATCACCTTGATTTATTTTTCTAAATCATAAAAAGCTGACTCCCAGTGCCCTCTTTTCAAGGTGACGAAAATTCAATCTCAGCTACCTCTTGGGATATTCCTCTCTCCCCCAAAGAATAACTGTAATGAGAATAAAAAGATCTTAAAGGGAGGACAAAGGATGGGGGGAAAGAAACCAATTTACTTTCTTAACCCAAAGGATTATGTACATTTTTGTTAATACATTATTTTCATAGCTGACATACGACCAGTTGTTGTGATAAGCTCTTTCTGGGCATTATCCCAGAGTTCAGCCAACTTTTGCCAGCCACGTGATCCCTGTGGCAGGTGCCCAACCCTACCACCGTCGCGCAAAGGCAGCCATTGACAACATGGAAATGAATGAGCGTGGATGTCCCAATGAAACCTTTTTCATGGACGGCGAAATTGAATTTCATCTAATTTACACATGTCACAAAATATTATCCTTCTCTTATTTTCCCCCCAAGCATTTAAAAATGTAAAAAACCACTCTTATTTGGGAGGCCGAGGAGGGCGGGTCATGAGGTCAGGAGTTCGAGACCAGCCTGACCAACATGGTGAAAGCTGGTCTCTACCAAAAATACAAAAATTGGCCGGGCATAGTCGCACGCACCTGTAATCCCAGCTACTGAGGAGGCTGAGGCAGGAGAATCTCTTGAACCTGGAAGGTGGAGGTTGCTGTGAGGCGAGATCATGCCATTGCACTCCAGCCTGGGTGACAGAGCAAGACACCATCTCAAAAAAAAAAAAAAAAAAAAAAGCCACTCTTAGCTCACAGGCTGTACAGGAACAAATGGCAGATCAGGTTCAGCCCACAGTCCCCATTATATCATATAATGTCCACCACATATCCTATAAGGTGGGTAATAGTAAAAGCTTCCCATTATGAATGAAGAAACTGAGTCATGGTCACATTGCCAAGAAGGATGGAGCAGTGATGGGAGCAAGTGTAGATGCTCTGGAGTCCACAGTCCCAATGGTACAGATGATCATCTGATCATCTCTGGCTACTTTATATACGGTGAGCATGTCCATTGATTCGCCACCTTGGCCCATGGTGTCGTTAATTATATGACATCTCTTCCCAGTGCTTTCTTTACATCTCCCATTATTGAATGAGTTAATGATAAAAACAGCGGTTTGCAGCCAAACATATGGCCCAATAACAGCCAGTATTTCATTATTACCCACCCAGGTTCAGAAGACGTTATCATTGTTACTTACTTACTCATTTACTTTCTTCAATGTACCTAAAAGGTAATGAAGAGCACCATGACCTCATACACGAACAAAGAAGTTACGAATGAGTGATGTTAAATCTTGAAATATAAACTGTAAAGTTCAGGGCATGCTCCTGGAAAGCTATTCACTTGATTTTGTTCTTTTTCCAAGATCGAAACAAGAAAAATAATTCACCAGTGGAAAAAGGCACAAGTGGGCTTACCAGCCTTTCCGGTCATGCACCTCTAGTTTCTGACAACGTGTTGATAACTCCGTTCCACAAATACTTCATAATCATCACACTGTGCTCTTCTTGCTATAGCAAATTATTTGAGAAAAAAAAAAAGTCACTGGACCCAGTCCTTATGTTCCGAGAACTTACAACCTCTGAAGAAATCAGTTCTAGATGAATCCACTATTTAAGCCTTATCACTGCAGCTGTGTGGGCTCCTGTCTTTAGTTTTTGGAATACATCCACTGGGGACCTGCCTTGAGACTTTTGCAGGTGCATGGACTTCCCAGCTGAGAGCAAGCTTTTCTTTTGCAAGGCCGGCTCCTTCTCAGCCTCCAGGCCTTGGCTTGTGAAGCCATCCCAGAACACTTACATAAGGAGTTTCACTCTCATTGCTCTCTTTCTCTGCATTGTGTTTTCCTCATAGCCCTGTTCACAATCTGCAATTATGACTTACTAATTACCATATATGATTTTAATATATGATTTGTTTGCGGTTTACAACACCTTTTTACAGGGCTCCCCCTTTAAGCTGGAAGCTTTAAGGAGACTGCTGTTTTCCTGTTGCTTTGCACAGGGGGCCTGGCACATAGTATGCACTCAATAAATACAAATGGAATGGACACGACTGAGTGAATGAATGATGGACATGAGGCCAGAGGGGAGCCAAGGGGGTCAGCTTCGGCACCCCCATCTCTCACTTCAGCCCCAACCAGAGCACAACAGTGTTCAGTCGTTTAATATTTGCACTCAAGCCATTTTTTGTTTTGGTTTCTTTTTTTTTTTTTTTTTTTTTTTTTGAGACACAGAGTCTCGCTCTGTCACCCAGGCTGGAGTGTAGTGGCGCGATCTCAGCTCACTGCAAGCTCCGCCTCCCGGGTGCACTCCATTCTCCTGCCTCAGCCTCCCAAGTAGCTGGGACTACAGGCACCCGCCACCACACCCAGCTAATTTTTTTTTTTTTTGTATTTTTAGTAGAGATGGGGGTTTCACCTTGTTAGCCAGGATGGTCTCAATCTCCTGACCTCGTGATCCTCCTGCCTCGGCCTCCCAAAGTGCTGGGATTACAGGCATGAGCCACTGAGCCCAGCTTGTTTTGATTTCTAAACATGAAAACAAAAAGGCAAATAGGAAAACATTTAAAAAGCTGGCCTCACTAAACTAGAGAGTTTATTTTGCAGAATTGTGGGAGATGAGGTTGGCTGGATAAAGTAAGATCTGAATATAGACTTTCACTGAAGCTATGGCAAGGATCTCAGCACGCTATTGACACAAAGACAGAGAGACCAGGGAGGCTGAGCCGAGAGTCCTGACTCAGACCCACACACAGACCGTCACTTCATTAACAATGGCACCACGGCCATTCCAAACGGACAGAAGGGTCTTTGCAATAAATGACGCTGGAGTCTTTAGACATCCACATGGAAAGAAAAACAGGAATCCTGATGCCTTCCATCCTCATCGTGTTTTGAATTTTCTGTGTCTTATCATGTTTACATCTTGAAAATCTTGCTGGCCAGGGAGAGACTGCCCTTCCCAAGAGCTAGCTGACTCCTAAAGATGGAGAACAACTGAGCTACAGACATGCCTCTCCTACCCAAGCTGACTCCCTCCTTTATCTAACACCCACACACCAAGCCACTGTTTCTCCTGCCCTAAATCACCCCAGGACCAGGTACCAGGCAACTAGCGACCACCCCTAGAGCACGGAACCCGCCAGGATTATTCAAATAGCCAGTCCTGAACTGTGGACTCTGACCTACCTAGTCCCTCCCTCAGAAACCCCAATCAAGACTATGACCTACGCGGGCCCAGTGGCTCAGTCCTGCAATCCCAGCACTTTGAGGGGGCCAAGGCAGGAAGATCGCTTGAGGTCACGAGTGTGAAAGCAGCCTGGGCAACATGGCGAAACCCCATCTCTACAAAAAAAAATACAAAAACTAGCCGGGCATGGTAATTAGCCTGCCTGTCGTCCCAGTTACCTGGGAGGCTGAAGTGGGAGGATCACCTGAGCCCAGGGAAGTAGTGGCTGCAGTGAGCTGTGATCGTCCCACTGCACTCCAGCCTGGTGACAAAACGAGACTCTGTCTCAAAAAATAAATAAGTCAATGAACAGGTAAATAAAAGACTGACCCAGGCCTTCCCCCTGCTCCTGCTGCTGCCCCCTGACCAAATCTGGTGCTCCCTGTGGGACCCTGCGTGGCATGGTGTGGCGTGGTGCAGCATGGCATGACGTGGTGCAGGGGTGTGGCATGGCGTGCCACAGCGTGCCTCCTTCTCTTGGGAATGTAAATAATAAATACTTCTTTCAATGGCATTGCCTTCTCTAGGACATTCCCTCACAAATTAAAATCCCCCCAGTACAAATGAGGCATATACCTACCCAGCAACTCTGTTACTAGAGAAATAAGTGCATTTGCCTGCCAAAAGCACAAACTATGATGTTCAGACCAACTTTATTCATAGCAGCCCCAAACCTAAAACAACCCAAATGTCCATTAATAACTAAATGGAGGCTGGGCATGGTGGCTTATGCCTGTAATCCCAGCACTTTGGGAGGCCGAGGCGGGCGGATCACTTGAGGTCAGGAGTTCGAGACCTGCCTGGCCAACATGGTGAAACCCTGTCTCTACTAAAAATACAAAAATTAGCTGGGCATGGTGGCGAGCACCTGTAATCCCAGCTGCTTGGGAGGCTGAGGCAGGAGAATCGCTTGAACCCAGGAGGCGGAGGTTGCAGTGTGCCAAGATCGTGCCACTGCACTCCAGCCTGGATGACAAAGTGAGATACTGTCTCAAAAAAAAAAAAAAAAACTGAATGGATACATCAACTATCACATATTAGACAATGGAATATTATAGAGCAATAAAAAAGAATGCTACAAGCAGTATCATGCATGAATCTTATAAGTCAATATTCTGTTGACCAGACACAAAATAGTGCAGTGTGAGGTTTCATTCATGTAAAATGTGAGACAGGAGAACTGATCTGTGTTGATGTGAACCACCTTAGTACAGCTCCCTCTAGGGTCAGATATTGACAGGCTAGAAGCCAAGGGAGGCTTACTTTTGGGATCATGGGGATGTTGTAAATTTTTTAGTGGGGTAAGAGTTACACACACACATGCACACACGACGTACACTTTCTCTGGTACATTTCAGTGGGTGTCTATCTTGTACCCTAATAAAAAAGGTTTTTTTAAGGAAAAGATAAACTCAAGATAGAATTTTATTTTTTATTTTTTATTTTTGAGACAGAGTCTCTGTCTGTCACCCAGGCTGGAGTGCAGTGGTGCAATCATAGCTCACTGCAGCCTCCATCTCTGGGATCAAGCGATCCTCCTGCCTTGGCCTTCAGAATAGCTGTGACCACAGGTACGCACCACCACACTGGCTAATTATTTTATTTTTAGTAGGGTTGGAGTCCTGCTAAGTTGCCCATGCTGGTCTCAAACTCCAGGGCTCAAGTGATCCTCCTGCCTCAGCCTCCCAAAGTGCTGGGATTGCAGATGTGATCCACCGTGCCTGGCCTCAAGGAAGATTTTAAAAATAAAAGTTATGTTCCTGGATGTTTGAATGCACAAGTCAACAGATAGGAGAAGAGGAATCTCAAAGCCCCATGACTGAGAATAGTGGTACCCTTGACGGAAATAGATAAAAATAATAAATGGGCTGGGCGGCTGACCTCCATTGTTTGGGACATTTTGAGTTTGAGACAAGGGAAGGGGCCCTAAGCAGAAATGCCTTGCAAATGGGTGGAGATCCAGGACGGGAACTGAGTTCACTACGGGAGCTGTAGACTTCCAAGGCTTCAACATGCAGTAGGTGAAGTATGAAGGCTGGGTGTGGTGGCTCTGTAATCCCAGCACTTTGGAGGGCTGAGGCAGGAAGATCACTTGAGGCCAGGAGTTCGAGACCAGCCTGGCCAACATGGTGAAACCCCGTTTCTACAAAAAATTAGTTGGGCATGGTGGTGCACACCTGTAGTCCCAGCTACTCTGGAGGCTGAGGTGAGAGAATTGCTTGAACCCAGGAGGCAGAGGCTGCAGTGAGCAGAGATTGCACCACTGCACTCCAGCCTGAGCGACAGGGCAAGACCTTGTCTCAAAAAAAAAAAAAAAAAAAAAAACAAACAAAAAAAAACAGTTCTCTCTGGCTGGGTGCAGTGGCTCACCATGCCTGTAATCCCAGCACTTTGAGAGGCCAAGGCAGACGGATCATTTGAGCTCAGGAGATGGAGACCAGCCTGGTCAACATGGTGAAACCTCGTCTCTACTAAAAATACAAAAATTAACTGGGCGTGGTGGCTGCGAGCCTGTAGTCCCAGCTACTTGTGAGGCTGAGGCAGGAGGATCGTTTGAGCCTGGGAGGCGGAGGTTGCAGTGAGCTGAGATCACACCACTGCACTCCAGCCTGGGCAACAGAGCAAGACCCTGTCTCAAGGAAAACAAACTGTCTTAAAAACACCAGAGGTCTTCAAGGAAAAGAAGATTATCAAAAGTACTCACATTCAAGATTACTCCTTGGATAATGTTCACAATTAGGAAAGATAAGGAATGTGGGCCCCAGAGGGGAGGTGATGTTTGCAGAAGACAATGGGATCTTGCTCACAGGGGCAGAAATGGATAGCGACGGTGACAAGGGAGGCCTTGGCTTTCTTCCTTCTCTCTTTTGTGACACCTGCATGGATTCTTCATTCCTTTTCGCCATTTATCGAAGTCCTCGCCTCTAGGAGATGTTGCAGTGAAAGTTTCCCTGAGAACAGTCAGCTCCTAAGCCCCCAGCCTCACCCAGGCCTCCAGCTGTCTCCATCTACCCCCTGTCAATTCTGAGTTCCCTTCATTCAAACGGAATTCAGACACAAAACGGTTTTTTAACTCGATTGGGGAATATCGTCACTCTTCTGTACTAGCCTAGAGATGGGCTGAGAGGTCATTTCGAATAATTATCACCTGATAATAGAGCAGATGGCAGTCACCAAATCGGGCAGGCCCTACCAGTCGGCGTCTCTGCAGCTAATTCACCTTCATTCCTGGACAATTTATTCTAACTAGATTGCATTTCATGATAGCCACTTATGTTCTCTGCTTTTCAAGGTGCCCAAGAAACTGCATTTCAAAGGATTTTAATTCTACAAGAAGCAGTTCCTCCCAAAGCTGTGACAATTGGCACGGATCCATACACCTAACACGGACCGACTGAGACATCACCATTGTCCTCAGTCATGGCTGGGTTTTTTTGTTTTTTTTTTCATTTTTACCTCTCTCTCTCTGCTTGAGCTTTGCCTCTCACCTACAACCTCCTTCTCACCTATGCCCCTCCAGTCCTCTCTGACAGTACCATATATATGCAGAGAGAGAGGGAGAGAAAGGTCTCAACAACCCTGACGTTATTCCATAGATAGACAGACAGATAGATAGATAGATACATACATACATACATAAATACATACAGATAGACAAATACATACATACATACATATAGATACATATATGCATACATAGATACATAGAGATAGATAGATAGATATAGATAGAAGATAGATAGATAGATAGATAGATAGATAGATAGATAGATAGATAGATAAACAGCTACATGGAGAGAGAGAGAGATCTCAGTGGCTCTGACCTTATGCCAGAGAGAGAGAGATAGACAGACAGGTACATAGAGAGAGAGAGAACTCAAGAGCCCTGATCTTATGCCATAGATAGATACATAGATAGATATGGAGAGAGAGAGAGAGAGATCTCAATAGCCCTGACCTTATGCAATAGACATAGATAAATGATAGATGATAGATAGATAGATAGATAGATAGATAGATAGATAGATATGATAGGCAGGTACATAGAGGGAAAAGAGAGAGAGAGAGAGATCTCATCAGCTCTGACCTTATGCCATAGAGGTAGGTAGGTAGGTAGGTAGGTAGGTAGGTAGGTAGATAGATAGATAGATAGATGACAGATAGACGATAGATAGATAATAGATAGATAGATACATATATATATATATATATATATATATATATATATATATATATATATATACATAGATAGATACATAGAGAGAAACAAAAAGAGAGAGACAGATCTCAACAGCCCTGACCTTATGCCATAGATAGATAGAGAGAGATTATGCTGCCGTGGTAGTAAAGCTCTACATAGAATAGGTGCTGAATCACTCTCCATTTTTAATGAATCAAATTCAGCAAACAGAAAAGCAACTCGATTACAGACATCACTTTTCCTACTTTATCCTGGCAGCCATTCCCGTTATCTCTCTCTATCCTTTAGTTTGATCCTTTTAATAAGAATTCTAAGGGAGCTGCCTACACTATGAAAATGCACCTCTCCCCAGGAAGCCAAACACTCAGGATGCCAGATGTGTGTTTTTGTTGTTGTTGTTTTGAGGTGGGGGTCTCGCCCTCTCGCCCAGGCTAGAGTGCAGTGGCACGATCTTGGCTCACTGCAACTTCTGCCTCCCAGGTTCAAGTGATTCTCCTGCCTCAGCCCCCGAGTAGCTGGGATTACAGGCAAACGCCACCATGCCCAGCTAATTTTTGTATTTTTAGTAGAGATGGGGTTTCAGCATATTGGCCAGGCTGGTCTCAAACTCCTGACCTTGTGATCTGCCTGCCTCAGCCTCCCAAAGTGCTGGGATTACAGGCGTGAGCCACCGCGCCCGGCCGGCAGGTATTACCTCTGTGAATGGGTCATTACTTTTAGGAGGGGAAGTGAATAGCCTATTTACTAGAGGAGAGTATGAAGGCAACAACATATAATCACTTAATTTGGAGCAGACCTAGGCCTGAATCTCAGCACCTTTGATTTAAAGGGAAAAAGCAATTAAAGGCAGCTAGCTGAATGTTCTTTCAACTCAATGAAGTCATTCAATCAGTACATAAAAAATGACTAGCTTCTGAAAGTATAATTTAATCCCAAGTTGAGGATAGAATAAAATGCAAAGATTGGCCTAAATGCATAGAAAACACAATCCAAACAATAGATCATTTTGGAATTTCCATGATTTCATTGGTTTTCTAGCTCCATTTTGTTTTACAATCATTCTACTTCTCCAACACATTGGCCAATGTGTCATTCATCCTACATGCCCAGTATCTTTTTTTTCTTTTCTTTTTTTTTAGACAGAGTCTTGCTCTGTCACCCAGGCTGGAGTGCAGTGGCACGATCTCGGCTCACTGCAAACTCAGCCTCCCGGGTTCATGCCATTCTCCTGCCTCAGCCTCCCAAGTAGCTGGGACTACAGGCGCCCGCCACCTCGCCTGGCTAATTTTTTGTATTTTTAGTAGAGACGGGGTTTTACCATGTTAGCCAGGATGGTCTCGATCTCCTGACCTTGTGATCCACCCACCTCGGCCTCCCAAAGTGCTGGGATTACAGGTGTGGGCCACCACGCCCAGCCTTGCCCAGTATCTTAACCCCTCTTAGCATTTGACAAGTTCTCATCTTCTTGGGGAGTTGGGGGAGGGGATCCACATGGAGTGGTAAAGACTGCTCCCACGACCAGGCCTGAAAATGCTAGACCTCATTTTCCCAGCTTCCTTTGCAACTCAAGCAGAGACATGTGACCTGCCCTCTCCAATCAGTACACACCTTGTGTTGACACCTGAGCTAGTGATATAGGAGGCCGGGGACAGGGAGCTCTGTCATTACAGTGTCCTCACCAGAACCAGAACCGGAAATGTAGGGGAGTGCCTCCAACACGAGGATACTAGATATCTAGGGAAGGGGACATCAGTCAAAAAGAAAAGATCACAGAAAGGGTCAGAAAGACATCAACATCACAGAAGTGGCACAATTTCACTGGGAGGTGAATGAGTTCAACTCATAACAGAAGGGGCCTAAGATAGGGTCAGCCCTAGGAAAAATGAGAAATTTGCTTTTGATTTTTCTAGCTTATTCTGGAACTCTCCCTCCCTTCCTCTGTCATCTCCCCAAACATTTCTGAATGTCTAATATATACTTAGTGACCAGATGCCCACTAAGAGCCGCCCACCTGAGTCCCCAAGCCTCCTCAATTTTATAGGATTTTTCTTCTCCCAGTGTACAAAGTCGTACAAAGTCGAGCCCTCCGTTTGTAACTCACTTATAACTATATGGTGTCATGTTACAATTAGAGGCCAAGGTGTCTTATCTGAAACACTTGGGGCCAGATGTGTTTCAGAATTCAGCATCTTGCAGCTTTCAAAAAGATAATACATTGCGTCCACAGCTGCTCTGTAGTGCGTTAAAACCCCTGAGGGATCTGGATGCAGCACCCCATGATCAAAACCATTAATATTTCTGCAGCAAAAGACATGAATATTCAGAGTAAGTGGGGAAAATAATGATTATAAATAGTCTCTCATCAGCTCAGGTCAGGTTTTGCAGCTAACAGAGCTCCAAAAACTTTCAGTTTGCAAAACTTCTGAATTTTGGAGTTGCATGTAAGGACTGTGGACCTGTATTGACACATCTTTCTACCCTACCCGGCTTAGCTGGCTCCCTACCCATCCATAGAATCCGACGTCTCGGTATAATGTCCGACTAAATAAATGATGAATGAGGTCAAAAAGGAAGTGTTGAAAAATCAAAATGAATCCCATATTTTTCCCTCCAAAGTGCTGCCCTCCTAGAGGAAACTGGCTGATCTGATCAACTAATACAGAAGTGGGCAAACTTTTGTTTTGTTTTGTTTTGAGACAGAGTCTTGCTCTGTCACCCAGGCTGGAGTACAATGGCATGATCTCAGCTCACTGGAACCTCCGACTCCCGGGTTCAAGCGATTCTCCTGCCTCAGCCTCCCAAGTAGCTGGGATTACAGGGGCCCACCACCACACCTGGCTAATTTTTGTATTTTTAGTAGAGACGGGGTTTCACCATGTTGGTCAGGCTGGTCTCAAACTCCTGACCTCAGGTGATCCACCCATCTTGGCCTCCCTAAGTGCTGGGATTAAAGGCAAGAGCCACTGTGCCCGGCCTGAAGTGGGCAAGCTTTTTCAGTAAAAGGCCAGATAGTAGTGTTCAGCTTCGCAGGTCAGACAGTCTCAGTTGCAACTACTTACTTCTGTCACCGTGGTGCAAAAGTAAGTTAACAGGCGTGGCTGTGTTTCAGTAAAACTTTATTTACAATAACAAGAGGAGGGCCGGAAGTTGACCCGCAAGTCACATTTTCTGATCCCTGGACTATCCATGCAAATGTCTTATTTGATGATCTGGATTCATTCAGCAAACAGTTACAGGGCTTCCCCCAAGTCCTGGGCACTGTGATTGTACTGGAAATTCAGCAATAAAAAAACAAGTTTCTGCCTTCATAAAGCTTACATTTTTGTTGGGTGTGGTGGCTCACACCTATAATCCTAACACTTTGGGATGCTGAGGCAAGAAGATCGCTTGAGGCCAGGAGTTTGAGGCCAGCCTGGGCAACAAAGTGAGATCCCATCTCTACAAAAATGTTTTAAACTGAGCCAAGCACAGTGGCTCACGCATGTAGTCCTGGCTACTAGGGAGGCTGAGGCAGGAAGATCACTTGAGTGCAGCGGAACTAATTTTTTTAAAAAGAATGTGGTCAGCTGGGCGCAGTGGCTCACGCCTGTAATCCCAGCACTTTGGGAGGCCGAAGCAGGCGGATCATGAGGTCAGGAGGTCAAGACCATCCTGGCTAACACGGTGAAACCCCATCTCTACTAAAAATACAAAAAATTAGCTGGGCGTGGTGGTGGGCACCTGTGGTCCCAGCTACTCGGGAGGCTGAGGCAGGAGAATTGCTTGAACCTGGCGGGGCGGTGGAGGTTGCAGTCTGCTGAGATCGTGCTACTGCACTCCAGCCTGGGCAACAGAGCAAGACTCTGTCTCAAAAAAAAAAAAAAATGTGACCAAGTTCGAGACCAGTCTGGCCATCACGTCACTCACTCCAGCCTGGGGGACAGAGCAAGACTCTGCAACAGAAAAAAAAAAAAAAAAAATTAGCTGGGCGTGGTGGCAGGCACCTGTAATCCCAGCTACTCTGGAGGCTGAGGTAGAAGAATCACTTGAACCCAAGAAGCGGAGGTTGCAGTGAGCTGAGATCGCACCATTGCACTCCGACCTGGGCGACAGAGCGAGACTCCGTCTCAGACAAAGAAAAGGCTTGTCAATTTGCCTAAAATGATATGTTAAATAATCCAGTTTTTGCCTGTGATTTGAAAGCCAATGCCACATCATCACTCACCAGGTTCCCATGGGTACTTGAACCTATTCCTAGATTCCCAAGTCTATTCCTTGGCCTTTCTCTATTCCTGCCCCAAAGCCTTAGCCATCTCCACGAGCGCTGCTCTGTCATACATCTGAGTGTCTGCTGAGGCTAATGCTCCTTTGTTCTGATGGCTGTAACCTTAGAGGTGCCCCCCGACCTGAGATACTCGCCCCTCTCTCCGTGAGAGTTGGAAATTGTAAGATGCCAAATTGGGGAAAATAAGAGCCAGACTCCACCTGTATCATCAGAGTTTGCTCAGGAAAATAGAGACCGATTTAACATTTCCAGCTCGGAGAGACTTAATACAAAAAATTAGAGACTTAACAATAATAGCATGAGGAGGGAAGAGTTGGTGTTGGCTCAGGAAACTGGCAAAGGCTGCCAACAGTCTCAGCTGTTTTCATTTCCCCATCATGGGAAGTGCGTGGGTGTGCGCTCCAGCCCGCACAACTGCGGGAGGGCAAGGCAGTAGGCAGGGGCCTCTGACCTTGCAGAGATGCCTCCTGCGGACCCTCGGTGGAGAAGCCATGTGAGTGAGAGATGACCTTTTGTTAGATTAAGCACCTCAGATTTGGGGCTGTTACCAAATCAAATCTATGTGAAAGCACAGCCTTTCCTGACTCACACAGTATGTTAGACTTCGAGTTTAAAAGGGAGGGATTCACTCTCTCTCTCATTCTTTCAACACACACATACACACACACACACACACACACACACACACACACACACACCCCCTCTGTTTTTCAAACCAGCAACTAATTACAGCTGGTTACCTATGGGGCCAGGGAGGAATGGGTGGAGGGAACAGAGATGGAATTCCAACTTCCTTGAATATTCTGTGTTACATGATTTTGCTATTGGAACCACGTAATTACTTAAAATAGCTTTCTTTAAAAACAAAATTAAATCAAAACAAAATAAGACAGGCAGTCTCCATGACTCATGCCTGTAATCCCAGCACTTTAGGAGGCTAACGTGGGAGGATCACTTGAGTCCAGGAGTTCGAGACCAGCCTGGGCAACACAGCAACACGTCATCTCTACTAAAAAATGTAAAAGGTTAGCCGGGTGTGGTGGTACATGGCTGTAGTCCCAGCTACTCGGGAGGCTGAGGCAGGAGGAGCACTTAAGCCCAGGAGGTCAGGGCTGCAGCGAGCCAAGATCATTGTGCCACTGCACTCCAGCCTGGGTGACAGCGCAAAACTCAAGAAAGAAGAAAAAGAAAGAAAGAAGGAAAGAATGAAGGGGTGGGGGAGGGAGGGAGGGAGAAAGGAAGGAAGGAAGGAAGGAAAGAAGGAAGGAAAAAAAAGAGAAAAAATAAATAAACAAAACAGTATAAGTAAATCCCTAAAAATTTGCACCAAACTGAAATGAAGGGGCCTAATTGTGCATAAAATTGATAGCATAAGCACACAAAGAAAAGAATTATTAAGAAATATTCCACACAATTTTAGAATATGAGACTTTGAGCATACTTTCTTAGTGGGTCATATTTTGAGCACTAAAATAAAATAAAACTGCAGCCACATTTGTTTTGCTCTAGTGTTAAGTAATATTGATATTATTATTTTGAAACAAGCCAAGGTAGATCATAGGTGAAACAAGATTTTCACTATAAAAGGAAGGAAATACAACTGTAAAATTTAGAAAGTTTTTATTTGCTGGATTTTGTTTTTGAATATTAAATTTTAAACATTTAAGTTAAATAAATAGATTTTTTAAATTAAACTAATATTTAAATGACTTTAAATTTAAATGTTCAATAGTAACATAAAAATATGAAATACTGAATAGTGACACTTGAATTCTCAGAATGAACTTGTGATTTTCATAAGATGCATGTGTCTGGCCAGGCGCAGTGGCTCACGCCTGTAATCCCAGCCCTTTGGGATGCCAAGGTGGGTGAATCACGAGGTCAGGAGTTTGAGACCAGCCTGGCCAAGATGGTGAAACCCCATCTCTACTAAAAATACAAAAATTAGCCAGGCGCAGTGGCAAGCGCGTGTAATCCCAGCTACTTGGGAGGCTGAGGCAGGAGAATCACTTAAACCTGGGAGGCAGAGGTTGCAGCGAGCTGAGATCGCACCTTTGCACTCCAGCCTGGGTGACAGAGTGAGACTCCGTCTCAGAAAGAAAGAAAAAAAAAAAAGATGCATGTGTCTACTGAAAAGATGTAGAAGCAAGGACAAGCCAGGGTGTCCTAGGTGCACATTACAGGGACAGCGAGCACCTTTGCACCTGTATTTTGATATCTAAATATCAGCCTCCTCTAACAGGAACCAACATTCCTTGTAGAAACAGCTGACCCAACATCTGAGACCAAAGGGCATGTGATAAGCCTGGGACATTTTGTTTTTGCTCAAAAAGCAAGGTCATTGTCAAAGATTCATATGGCGACCTTAAAAGGACGAAGGGTCCAGTTTGAAAGGCCGCCCACTTCACGCCTTTTGACTCTTTTTCAACTTGCATTAAGATTTCTTTGCTCATCCACAAGTTATTTAGCAGTGTGTTTTTAAATTCCCAACTTGTGAGCATTTAAAAATTGACCTTTTTGTATTAACTTTTAACTTGGCCAGGTACCAGTGGCTCACACCTATAATCCCAGCACTCTGGGAGGCCGAAGCAAGAGGATCACTTGAGGCCAGGAGTTTGAGACCAGCCTGGGCAATATAACAAGACTTCATCTCTTAAAAAAAAAAAAAATTATCCAGGCATAGTGGCATGCACCAATGGTCCTTGCTATTTGGGAGGCTGGGGCAGGAGGATCACTTGAGCCCAGTAGGTCAAGGCCGCAGTCAGCTATGATTTGCACCACTGCACTCCAGCCTGGGTGGCAGAGCAAGAAGCTTCTAACTTCATAGCCATGTAATCAGAGAACAAAAGCTGTATGAAACCTGTTCTGTAAGATTTATGGAGGCTGCTGTGTGGCCTAGCAACCACACAATTAGTGTCTGCAGGTGGTCAGGGCTCTCTGTGTATCTAGCACTGAAGGCAGAATTCCATGTGGGTCAAGGTTGTGGCTTGTGCGGATCTCCCATATCTTTGCTCATTGATCACCTGATTGGCTTATCAATAACTGAAAGAATTGTAAGGGTCTATTTATCAATTTCCCCTGCAGTTCTGTCCATTTGTAGCTTCATCTGTCTAGGGATATTTTACCCAGTGTATCCCTGTATAGAATGGCTGTATCTTCTTGCTGAATAGAACCTATTACCATTATGCAGAGACCAACTCTATGCCTTCTAATGCTTTTTGTCTTAAAGTCCATTTCGTCTAATATTTACCTAAGTACCACAGTCTTTTGGGTAGTATATTATTACGGCCAGATATTTTTCTCCATCCTTTTGTTTTCGACCTTTGCGTGCCCTCTGCTTTAGATGTACCTTTTAAAACAAGAGACAGAGGTGGAAAGAGTAGTTAGGATAATAGCACCCCCCTCCTCCTCCAGAGAAAGCTGTAAAATCACTGACTTCTGCAGACGTGGCTTGGATTTAAGGGAGGGGCCCACTTCAGCCCCTGCCCATCTTGTGGTTCCCTAGATGAAGTCAGAGAAATCAGATGGGGAAAGAGCAAATTCCACGTAAAAGAACCCAAGGAATCTGGGTATCTCCGGAAATGTAGAGAATGCAGGCGCCCTCAGTTCTCTTTCCTTCTTTTCTTTTGCTATATTTGGCCTTGGTTTTCGTTGCTTTTTAACTCTCCATAAGGTCAGACACAGAACTTGGGGACCAGAAACTGAAAGAGCGTGGGGGAAAAGAAGAACTTGGTAGAAAGAAACCCAGTGAAAAGCCACCCCATCAGGGCAGGAAGTGCCCCTTCCTGGGTCTGTTAGTTCTACACCACTCTGTGAAAGAGACTCCACATTTCAGTTACGTTGTGAGCTCCTTCCTCGCGTGCAATATCCTTTTCTGCTAAATCAGAAGATCCTCAATTTAGAGCAAAACTTGTACGTCCACATTTAAGTTCCTTTATGAGCTCCTTCCTTGCGTGCAATATCCTTTTCCGCTAAATCAGAAGATCATTGATTTAGAGCAAAACTTGTCTGCCCAGAGAAGCAAACCAAGGTCAGCGCGTGGGTGAAGCACCCAGCCTTAACCATCAGGGAGCAGGGGGGCATCTGGTGAGTGAGGCAGTACTGGTCCCACCTGAAGGCAGTTTTCAGATCCATGGAAACACTGGAGCCGTTTGGAAGTGTCCGGTGATGGAGATGAGTGCCTGGTTGGTTGAAAGTAGTCACGGCTGTGAGGATGGCGAGCCGGGAGGAGAAACACAAGGCAAGCAGAATGAGTTAGACTCAAAGTCTCAGGAGCAATGCCGTCACACCTTCTGTCCCATTTTCTTTTCTGCACATGTATACCTGATCTTCCGGTGAACTACAGAGAAAGAAGGGACTTACGGACATTAAGTAGAAAGGAGCAAAACTTGAGCCGGGCGCAGTGGCTCACGCCTGTAATCCCAGCACTTTGGGAGGCCAAGGCGGGTGGATCGCCTGAGGTCAGGAGTTCCAGACCAGTCTGGCCAACATAGTAAAACCCCATCTCTACTAAAAACAGGAGAAAAAAGTACCTGGACATAGTGGCGGGTGCCTGTAGTCCCAGCTACTCGGGAGGCTGAGGCAGGAGAATCACTTGAACCCGGGAGGAGGAGATTGCAGTGAGCCAAGATCACGCCATTGCACTCCAGCCTGGGCAACACGAGCGAAACTCCATCTCAAAAAAAAAAAAAAAGGAGCAAAATTCAAAGTTTTTAATTGAGTTGCACGTACATCAGGCTTTTCAAACCAACTTATCAACTTGAGAAAATAGCCTTTGACTTCAAGAGACAGACTCAAACTCATGACATGTTTCTTTTTTTTTTTTTTTCTCTGTTTTGAGACAGAGCCTCACTCTGTCACCCAGGCTGGAGGGCAGTGGTGCGCTCTCGGCTCACTGCAACCTCTGCCTCCTGGGTTCAAGCGATTCTCCTGCCTCAGCCTCCCAAGTAGCTGGGACTACAAGCACCCGCCACCACGCTCAGCTAATTTTTGTATTTTTAGTAGAGACAGGGTTTCTCCACATTGGCCAGGCTGGTCTCAAACTCCTGACCTCAGGTGATCCACCCTCCTTGGCCTCCCACAGTGCTGGGATTACAGGCATGAGCCACAATGCCCGACCTCATGACATGTTTCAATTGAGACATGACTATCTACTCAAAATAATTTTTTTTTAGAGAAGACATTTAAAACGGAAACTTTGGAAGTCAGTTTACCCACATGGATCAAATGCTTTCTAGAAATACCACACACTTAACCTAAAAATTTCACTCATAGGAGCTTGTCCTAAGACCAGAAGGGGACCATTGGATGCAGATGAATGTATGAGGATGTTAACAGCATTGCTTTTTATAATAGAGAAAACTCAGAAAATAACCTAGATGACTATTGGTAGGAGATTGATGAAACAAATAATGGCATACCTATGCAGGGGAATACTTTACAGCCATTAAAATTATGCTACAGATCAATAATTATTAACATGGAAGATAGCCATTGCCAAAAACAACATTGCTTTTAAAAAGAAACGTGTGTACAAAAATATGCTTACCTTAAAAAATGTTTGAAAATTATTCATCACAGTGTTAACAGTGCCTGTCTGAATGTTAGGATTATTGGCAATCCATTTTTTCTTTGTGCTTTTGTATATTTTGTAAGTTACTTGAAAGAAACACACATTATAATAATGTATAAAAATTAAAAGTTATTAAAAGTCCATTGATAAAATTCTTTCAACATTTAAATGAATAATTGATCTATGTATGGCTTGTGTTTACTCTAAGTTATAAATTCTCAAAGAATAGGGAGCATTTTTTCTTCTTATATTCTCTCCCCAGCTCCATACGCAACACTGCGTGTAATAACTCTGTAATGGCTGTTGATTGACTGGGTATTTAGACGTCAAGCATTGAGGAGATATTAGCAAAAATAGCTAAGAACTAAATTGCATGGCTGGGCCTTTGGCACTAGAATGTTAATAATTGAAAACTAAAACCTTCAAGTCATTTGTTTTTATTATAAATGAACCCACCTCTCACAACTCCCCTTCGGTTTTGAAATCCTGCCAAAGTGTTTCTTCTGATCCCATCCTTTGGCTAATGTGAAAGTTTTAAAAGCTTCTTAATGACATCATTATCCTGCAAATCATCATGAAGGAGACAAAAATGAATCAGGTTTTTGGTAAAGCCGTGCATGGATCTGTGATTTCTGATATGGGAGCAGAGATTGTCTAGGCAACTTTGAGAAGGTAATAAAGTCTTATTTGGCAATCTCAACTTTCTCACCAGCATCTTTGACCTCTGTGTCAGTCAGCTATTGCTGTGTAACAAACAGATCAAAAAGAATTCGGTGGTAAAGAAAAATAGCATGTGTTTTTTGAACTAAACTGGGCTCATCTGGGAGTCTTTGCTTCTTCAAGCTACGAGTCTGGTCGGCCCCACCCCTTCCACCTCTATGATTTGGATCTCAGTCTGCACCATGTGTACTCATTATGGGGTCCATGTTCAAGGGCCAGAAGCTATTCAGGGGAAGCTCTTCTCATGTAAATAACGGAAGGGCAAGAGTGCCTGTCCAACTGTGCAAGCATACAGCAAATCTCTGCTTGTGTCATCTGTGCTCACATCCTTTTGGCCAAAGCCAATGCCCCACATCAGTACAGCAGGAAAATAGATTCTGCCTCCGTAAGACTACACAGCAAGCATGCATGTTAGACAAACAAGAATTCAATTTACCACACCCTGCATTTCAGCAAATCTCATTCACCACTTCTCCTACTGAGCCATTCAGTGTCTTCATGCAGTCCCTGGCTTCTTCACACGGAGGTATTGTGAATGGAATGAAAGGAAATGAAATTTGTATTATTAGAAAGAGTATCATGTGGGAACATTACTGAACCCCAGGAAATGAACTGTAGGATTTCAGACAAGACAGCCCTCCAAGACACTTCTACATAATCATCTATGCTGCCCAAGGGAAAAGCCAGTCTGGCCTGAAGTGGTAAACTGCACCTTCCTTTTTTTCTTTCTTTTTTTGTTTTTTGTTTGTTTGTTTGTTTTTTGTTTCAGATGGAGTCTCGCTCTGTCACCCAGGCTGGAGTGCAGTGGTGCAATCTCGGCTCACTGCAACCTCCGCCTCCTGGGTTCAAGCAATTCTCCTGCCTCCCGAGTCTGGGATTACAGACACCCACCACCATGCTCAGCTAATTTTTTTTGTATTTTTAGTAGAGATGGGTTTCACCATGTTGGCCAGGCTGGTCTTGAACTCCTGACCTCAGGTGATCCAACTGCCTCAGCCTCCCAAAGTGCTGGGATTGTAGGTGTGAGCCACCACGCCCAGCCTACACATTCCTTTTGAGCAAATAAAGGCTGATGTGATGTTTTGTTGGCCCAGTTCTTTTTTCCTTTGAAGATTCTTCGGAGAGGAAAAACTCTTCCCCAGCAGAGGTGGGTGCAGGGTCTGGTAGATTGAATTCTTGTTTGTCTAGCATGCATGCTTGCTGTGTAGTCTTACAGAGGCAGAATCTACTTTCCTGCTGTGCTGATGTTGGGTATTGGCTTTGGCCAAAAGGATGTCCAGCATAAATGACACAAGCAGAGATTGGCTGTATGCTTGCATAGTTTTCATCTCTCTTAGTCATCTTGTAGCCAGAACGGAAAAGAGCACAGGGCAGAGGCACAGAGAGAATTGTGCCAGGCACACAAGGAGAGTGCTTACAAGCTGAGGGAAGAATAGAGTCCACTTTGCCTCGATTTGAGAAGATACACGGTGATTGCCGCCACAGCGTGGGGCAGGCAGGAGGTCACCTCCACCGGCTGTTGTAATTGGCACCATCTGAGGAAGAGCATTTAGATTTCCTTCAAATTGCTGAGTGGGAACAGCATTTACGCTAATGACTCCTTGCTTTAAATCTCTAGGGAAAGCGTATGAAATTTTCCTTTATAGAGTTGTAAATGAGGCTGTGTTTTGTGGGGGACAGTGGTGAGGTATGCGGATAAATGGGTACCCTATTAGGAATGTTGAAAGGAGGCAAGTTGTGGGTTAAAGAGGACTTCTGCAGGGTTAGCAACTAACAGAGGCTTTTAGCTTTTTCTCTCCAAATCTAGAAGCTCATTGGCAATTTTCGTGTCTATTGTGTTCTGAATGAGAACGGGCATCCGTAGCTCTCAGGGGCTTGAACATGGCTGAGATGAGAGGAACACAGAGCAGTCTCATCACTAACACAAGGCAGTCCATGGTGAGACCTAGAGATGAGTACCAAAAAAGAGGGAGGCTTGAAAATAGGATGGTTGGGCCGGGTGCAATGGTTCACGCCTGTAATCCCAGCACTTTGGGAGGCCGAGGCAGGTGGATCACTTGAAGTCAGGAGTTCAAGACCAACTTGGCCAACATGGGGAAACCCCATCTCTATTAAAATACAAAAAAAAAATATATATATGCACGTGTAGTGATGCACACCTGTAATTCCAGCTATTCAGGAGGCTGAGCCAGGAGAATCACTTGAGTCTGGGAGGCGGAGGTTGCAGTGAGTCGAGATTACGCCACTGCACTCCCGCCTGGGCAACTGAGTGAGACTCCAGCTAAAAAAAAAAAAAAAAAAGAAAAAAAAAGAAAAAGAAAAGAAAGAAAAAGAAAAAGAAAAGAAAATAGGATGGTTGGAGGGAGGGGGGTCCTCAAGCATGGCTCTCAGACTGGCAGCTTCAGCATCACCCAGGAGCTTGTTAGAAATGCAAGTTCTTGGTTCCTACCCAAGCCTGCTGAATCAGAAACCCTGAGGGTGGGACCCAGCAACCGTGACCTTGAGAGGTGCCCCAGCCATCTCAGGCTCCTTGACCTACCACCTAAACTAGGGAGAGAAATCAGGATCAGGCCTCCATGGGTCAGGCATTCCATTCCAACCAGAGCTCAGTAGCAATATTAGTCAGTAGTAGTATTTGTGTTGAATAAGTTCACTGAAAGCTGATCACAGTGAATGAACAGGAATAGGAGTCTAAGAATGTGAGAATATAAGGAAACCAGCCTCCTCTTGGAGGCAAGTGGAGCTAAAATAATATAGAATCTAGGCACATGTGGCTCACGTCTGTAATCCCAATGCTTTGGAAGGCTGAGACAAGAGGATCGCCTGAGCCCAGGAGTTCGAGACCAGCCTGGGCAACATGGCGAGACC
The DNA here is from genome assembly GCF_000001405.40 of Homo sapiens. Taxonomy (NCBI): domain Eukaryota; kingdom Metazoa; phylum Chordata; class Mammalia; order Primates; family Hominidae; genus Homo; species Homo sapiens. Next base: position 4,467,088 of record NC_000007.14, read on the forward strand.
TTGTCCCTACAAAAAACTTAAAAGTTAGCCACATGTGCTATTACGTGCTTGCAGTCCCAGCTACTTGGGAGGCTGAGGCAGGAGGATTGTTTGAGCCAAAGCATTCAAGGCTGCAATGAGCTGTGATTGCACCACTGCACTCCAGCCCAGGCAACAGAGTGAGACCCCATCTCTCCAGGTGACATCCTCTGAATGCCGAAAGCCAGGTCTATTCCTGGACTTTGCAATTACGTGAACCAATAAATTTCTTTTTCATCAAAGTCGTTCTGAATTGTGTTTTTCTGTCCCTTGAAATTTAAAAACTTCCAACAGATACTGATGGTTTAGGGTCTAAAAGTCAAAGGTGCTGCTGACTTCATTACAGCACACACACACAAAAATGGAACCACTGGTGTCAAGATGTGAGGCTGCTCTTGGCTGGAGAGGACCAGTCTGGAAACTCCAGTCGCTTCCAGGCCCTCAAATCATAAATGTTTGAGATTATGAATAAATATGGTAATTGCTTTGATCTGATCACTATAAATTATTATGTATGGCAACATCATTATGTATTCCACAAATATGTACGATTATTATATGTTAATTTGATTTTTTTAAAACAGGTATTAAACAAAACTAGAGTTTTTGGGGTTTTTTTTCTTTGTTTTTTGGGGGGGGTTTGTTTTGTTTTGTTTTTTGAGACAGAGTTTCGCTCTTGTTGCCCAGGCTGGAGTGCAATGGTGCAATCTTGGCTCACTGCAACCTCCACCTGCTGGGTTCAAGCGATTCTTCTGCCTCAGTCTCCCAAGTAGCTGGGATTACCGGCATGTGCCACCATGCCTGGCTAATTTTGTATTTTTAGTAGAGACAGGGCTTCACCATATTGGTCAGGCTGGTCTCGAACTCCCGACCTCAAGTCACCCACCTGCCTCGGCCTCCCAAAGTCCTGGGATTACAGGTGTAAGCCACCATGCCCAGACAAGTTTTTTAAATAAAAACATTGTATAATAATTGAGAGAGATTCCTCAAGCCCTGCAACCCCTGCTCGGCCCACCAGAGTCTCCAAGCACACCACACAGGAAGATGTAGCCCCTGTCCTTTGGCATGGAGTCCATGAGCCAAAACAATCTGCATCACCTGGAAGCTGGCTAGAAATGCAGGTTCCCAGGTGCCACCCAAGACTTTTTGAGTCAGATTGTGCATTTTAACAGGATCCCCATGTGATTCCACTGATATGCACATTAAAGCTCCAGAAACAGTTTAAACCTAATCAATAGGCAAAATTATGGTGGATGAAATCCCAGCTATTTTAGCAATCAAATTGGATTTCTACTCATTCAATCGGATCCAAAGCTACACCTCCAATGATCAAGATAATCAAACCACTAAGTCACCCTATGACTAAGTATGACTCCCTTCTCACACTGCTATGAAGAACTTCCTGAGACTGGGTAATTCATAAAGGAAGGAGGCCCAACTGACTCACAGTTCCACATGGCTGGGGAGGCCTCAGGAAACTTACAATCATGACAGAAGGGTAAGGGGAAGCAAGGCACATCTTACATGGCAGCAGAGAGAGAGAGAGAGGGAAATGACAAACACTTTTAAACCATCAGATCTCATGGAACTCACTCAATATCATGAGAATAGCATGGGGGAACCACCCCTATGATCCAATCACCTCGCACCAGGTCCCTCCCTCAACACCTGGGGATTACAATTGGTGATGAGATTTGAGTGGGGACACAGAGCCAAACCATATCAGACTATAATATGATTTAGTATAATGTACTATAATTAATATATAAACACACACTCGTGCACATGCACACACCACAAACACACGTGCGCATTTAGACAGGGTCTCACTCTGTTGCCTAGGCTGGAGTGCAGTGGTCCAATCATAGCTCACTGCAGCCTCAATCTCCTGGGCTTAAGTGATCCTCCCACCTCAGCCTCCTGAGTAGCTGGGACTGCAAGCACATGCCACTGTGGCTAATTATTTTATCTTATTTTTTTGTAGAGATGGGGTCTTGCTATGTTGCCTAGGCTGGCCTCGAACTCCTGGGCTCATGCAGTCTTCCCAAATCAGCTTTCTAGAGTGCTGGGATTACAGGAATGAGCCACCACACCCAGCCCGGTTATATTTATATTGTATAGATTTTACTTTGAAATGCACAGGGCACTAGAAAGTATTTTTTATGAATGTGTGTTTATCTAATTGTGTGAATGTAATTCTACAGAATATTAAGACAAAATATGTGCTTTGAATGACGGTATTACATTAACCATGACCATCAGCATTATGAACAAAAGTTGTTGAGTGGTGACTCAGCTCTTAACTTCATACATTTCCAATTGACCGAGGGTCCAGAATAGCTCACCGGATACTTGGTTGGTACCAAAAATCATTCCTTAGAAACGAAGACAGCTGAAAGGGAATCAGAAATCTCCCAACAGTTCCTCTGCTACAGAAAGTAAATTCTGTCTTACTTCCTGAATGTCAAAGTGATTTTTTTTCTGGCTTCCTCTGTGATTAAAAAAAAGGACTGCTTGGAAGGCTTTGGAAAGTTTGTTTTCATTTCTGGTCATTATTCATGGCACAACTTCAGGGTAGCAGGCACCAAAGGGATAAGAATAGCGTGGGTGCTGCTATGCAGTGAGATCAGGCACAGTAAAGACTATGAAAGAATAAAGAAAAATGACCAGAGCTTGTTTTTAAAAAATACAGAGCTGAGTCTATTCAGATGCAAGCAAAGGAGGAAGAGCTCATGAAGAAATGCACTGAGCATAACACAACATTTACATTCTGGATAGGGGGCCCTGCTGGTTGTGCTAATGGAGGATTGATCACCAATGTTGTGGTTGCAGCAGAATGAGCTCACAGGTGTGTGCATGGGGGTTAAAACAAGCCCCGTTGTTCATTGGCATGGGAAATGTCTTCAGTTTGGTCCAGAGGGTATCAGGGGTCAGTCCAAGTGCATGCGCCTCTGTCAGCAGCAGCTGGCTGGGGCCAGGTGTGATGGAACACAAGGGGCAGTTGTGATGTGTCTTAGACAGGTGCTGCTGTGGTAGAAATTTTTATTTGCAACTCTAATTCACTTAGTCAGCACCTGTGGATCCTCTGATATTGATCACTTCGTTCTGATCTTTGCTCTCATGTCATGAGATTGGAGAGGCTTTTCTTGTCCTAAAATCGCATCCCCTCTCCACTGCTGACTCTAGTTCACATCTCTGCATAACTCCTGTCCCTGTCTGTCATCCTGTGAAAGGGAGTGCAGTTATTAGACCCCAGCATCTTTGCTGCTGTCTCATCCACTTCTAGTGGAAGCTTCATCAGGAAAGGGCTTTTTTGTGTCCCCCTATGCATCCGCCTGAGTGTTCAGCACCTAGGACAGTGCCTGGCACCCAGTAAGTGCTCAGTAAGTGTTTCTGAGTAAAAAGCAATACATCAGGCCGGGCGGGTGGCTCACGCCTGTAATCCCAGAACTTTGGCAGGCAGAGGTGGGCAGATCACCTGAGGTCAGGAGTTCGAAACCAGCCTGGCCAACATGGTGAAATCCCGTCTCTACTAAAAAATATGAAAATTAGCCAGCCGTGGTAGCTCACGCCTATAATCCCAGCTACTTGGGAGTCTGAGACAGGAGAATCACTTGAACCTGGGAGGTGAAGGTTGTAGTGATGGAGATCATGCCATTGCACTCCAGCCTGGGTGATGAGAGTGAAATTCTGTCAAAAAAAAAAAAGCAATGCTTCAAAACAAGGGAATAGGGAGAGATTTCTGGGTTTTTGGTTTGTTTTTTGGTTTTTAAGACTTAGAGTCTCGCTCTGTCACCCAGGCTGGAGTGCGGTGGCACAATCATAGCTCCCTGCAGCCTTGAACTCCTGAACTCACACCATCCTCTTGCCTCAGCCTCCAGAGTAGCTGGAACTACAGATGCATGCCGTCGCACCTGGCTAGTTTTGTTTTCAGTTTATGTTGAGACAGGGTCTTGCTATGTTACCCAGGCTGGTCTTGAACTTCTGGGCTCAAGCAATCCTTCCATCTCTGCCTCCTAAAGTGCTGGGATTACAGACAAGAGCCACTATGCCCCACCGAGATTTCTTAAAGAACACAAAATTACAGTCAGATAGGAGGAATGAGTTCTAGTGTTTATAGCATTGTAGGATGGCTACAGTTAACAATAATATATTATGTGGTTTCAAATCACTAGAAGGAGTATACTGAATGCTCCCAACACAAAGAAATCCTAAATGTTCGAAATCATGAATATGCTAATTACTGTGATCTGAGCACTATAAATTATATGTATTGCAACATCATTATGTACCCCATAAATATGTACAATTATTATATGTTAATTGTTTTAAAGCAATGCATCGAGTATTAGACAAAACTAGAATTGGTTGTTTTTTGGGAGTTTTTTTGTTTTTGTTTTTGTTTTCGAGACAGATCTGGGTCTGTTGCCCAGGCTGGAGTGCAGTGGTGTGGCAGAGCGAGATCTTTCTCAGCTCACTGCATCCTCCCCGTCCTGGGTTCAAGCGATTCTCCTGCCTCGGCCTCCCAAGTAGCTGGGATTACAGGCATGTGCTACCATACCCGGCTAAGTTTTGTATTTTTAGTAGACAGGGTTTCACCATGTTGGCCAGGCTGATCTTCAACTCCTGACCTCAGGTGATCCACCCGCCTCATCCTCCCAAAGTCCTGGAATTACAGGCGTGAGCCACCACGCCCAGCCAAAACTAGAGTTTTTAAATAAAAACATTGTATAATAAAACATAAGTCAGGGCCAGGTGCAGTGGCTCACACCTGTAATCGCAGCACTTTGGGAAGCCCAGGCGAGTGGATCACCTGAGGTCGGGAGTTCAAGACCAGCCTGACCAACATGGAGAAACCCCCATCTCTACTAACAATACAAAAATTAGCCGGGCATGGTGGCGCATGCCTGTAATCCCAGCTACTCGGGAGGCTGAGGAAGGAGAATCACTTGAACCCGGGAGGCGGAGGTTGCAGTGAGCCAAGATTGTGCCATTACACTCCAGCCTGAGCAACAAGTGCGAAACTCCATCTCAAAAAAAAAAAATCATAATTCAAATGCTGTAAAAAAAATCATAATTCAAATGCTGTATACTTCAGTTAAAATATTTCTCAAATCCTACGTTAAAAAGCATAGGATCCAAGTGCAGTGGCTTACACCTGTGGTCACAGCACTTTGGGAGACTAAGGCAAGACAATTGCTTGAGTCCAGGAGTTCAAGACCAGCCTGGGCAACATAGCAAGAGCCTGTCTCAACAACAAAAAAATAAGATAAAATAATTAGCCATGATGGCATGTACCTGTAGTCTCAGCTACTCAGGAGGCTGAGGTGGGAGGATCACTTGAGCCCAGGAGGTTGAGGCTGCAGTGAGCTATGATCGCACCACTAGACTCCAGCCTGGGTGACAGAGCAAGATCCTGTCTTGATTTTTTTTAAAGCATAGGGAGATGGGAACACTCATACCCTGCTTTGGAAGACAATTTACCAGCATCTGTAAAAATAGCAAATTCTCCTACCCTTCCATCCAAGAGTTCTCCCTCTCTGACTCTACACCAGCCCCCGTACATAGGACGTCAGAGCACACATGTTCACAGCAGCCTCATTTGTGAAAAATTGAAAATGAGTTACAGTCTCTCTCAGCTGCTTGCTTCCCGTGGGCCTCATCAGAGCACACAGCAGGCACTCGGCGAATGCAGCCCTCATTGTCCTGCAGGATGCCTGCCTCTCCTCTCTCACGGTCAGTGCCGAGCCATCTGCATGAGTGACCCAGTCTGCTCCACCAGCGACCACTGTCTCTTTCCACAGTTCCCACCCCTAACAGGCTGTCTCGGATTTGCCATGGTCTAGCAGCTGAGCTCCACCTGCTGAGTGGCCGTAGCCTCTACAGGTTCTGCTCGACGGAGACTGGATGGCTGGCGCAGACGCCACTGGGTTTCAGCTCAGCCAGACTCAGGCATTTAGGGGAACCTTTGTGAACAAAAGGCCCCAAAAGAGCTGGTCACTTGGGCTTTGCTTCAGGAAGCAGAAAGGGAGACACGGTTTGTCTCACAGGGAGAGCTGCGACTTTGTCACAGAAGGCTGAGTTACCTCTGGGGCTCGGCCAACGGCCGTCTTCAATGCCCCCACATCCATCGGACAGGGAAGGCTTTGTGGACCCTTCTGACTTGTCAGGCCTGGAGTTCAGTCCTAGAGCTCCTTGACCGATCACCTAAACTAGGTGTATCAAGCAAAGAAATTGGGATCGGGCCTCCGTGGGTCAGGCATTCCATTTCAACTGGAGCTCAAAGCTTAGTAGCAATACTAGTCAGTAGGAGAATTTGTGTTGAATGAGTTCACTGGAAGCTGATCACAGTGAATGCAAAGATAAGCACTTACAGGCAGTGCTGAGAAATTCCACAACAACAGGGATGAAGAGGAAGTCCCAAAAGATTCCAAAACAGAGAGGGAGAGAGACAGAGGCAGGGGAAAGGGAGAGAGAGAGGAGAGGAGAGAGAAGAGAGACAGAGAGAAGACAGAGAGGGAGAGAGAGAGGAGGGGAGAGGACAAAGAGGGAGGAGAGAGAGAAGACAGAGAAGAAAGAGAGAGGAGAGACAGGGAGGAGAAAGGAGAGGGAGAGGAGAGAGAGAGGGAAAAGAGAGAGAGGGAGAGGGAGGAGAGAGAAAGGAGGGGCCGGGCGTGGTGGCTCATGTTTGGGAGGCCGAGGCGGGTGGATCACCTGAGGTCAGGAGTTTGAGACCAGCTTGACCAATATGATGAAACCCCATCTCTACTAAAAATACGAAAATTATCTGGGTGTGGTGGCATGCGCCAGGCCACCTATACAGAACAAAGAGGAAGATTCTAGCTCCTGAATCATACCCTGAGTAATAGGAAGTTTATTTTAACTCAAAGAGGCTAGAAATTGTTAGAGTTCATGCTAAGCCCTGACCCATCAGTGGTGGCAAATAGCAGCGAGCTTGTCCCACTGCATGCAGCTCTGGTTGGATCAGCGTGAGCCACTGTGTCACTAAAGAGGCCAGGGCACAACAAGTATTCCACACACACAACCACTCTTAGGACGTGGTGGCTCACGCCTGTAATCCCACCACTTTGGGAGGCCGAGGCAGGTGAATCACAAGGTCAGGAGTTCAAGACCAGCCTGGCCAGCATAGTGAAACCCCATCTCTACTAAAAATACAAAAAATTAGCTGGGCATAGTGGCGCACACCTGTAGTCCCAGCTACTTGGGAGGCTGAGGCAGAAGAATTGCTTGAACCCGGCAGGCGGAGGTTGAGGTGAGCCCACTGCACTCCAGCCTGGGCAACAGAGCGAGACTCCATCTCAAAAACAAACAAACAAAACAAAACAAAAACAAAAACCAATTCTATTGCAATGTTTACTCAAACACCGTCATTTTAATTCTGGCTCTCTTTCTTTCTCTCTCTGTATATATTATGTATATATTTCTCTCTCTCTCTCTCTTCTCTTTCCCTCTCTCTTTCTGTATTTCTTTCTCTCTCTCTTTTTCTTTTTCTTTTCTTTTTTTTTTTTTTTTTTTTGACAGGGTCTTGCTCTGTCGCCCAGGCTGGAATGCAGTGGTGCAATCTTGGCTCACTGCAACCTCTGCCTCCCAGGCTTAACCAATTCTCCTGCCTCAGCTTTCTGAGCAGGTGGGACCATAGGCACACACCACCATGCCTGGCTAATTTTTGTATTTTGTTTGTTTGTTTGTTTGTAGAGATAAGGTGTCACTATGTTGCCCAGGCTGGTCTTGAACTCCTGGGCTCAAGCCATCCTCCCGCCTCGACTTCCCAAAGTGCTGGGATTACAGGCGTGAGCCACGGCACCTGGCCTCTCTTTGTTTCTCTTTCTCTCTCTTTTTTCTTTCTCTTTTTTTCTCTTTCTCTATTTCTCTTTCTCTTAATAATTTAATCTTTTAAAAGTTATCTCACATGGCAAAGCTTTGGCTTTACAAAGCGAACAAAAAAAACTTCCCCATGAAAAGTATCCTGATTCATTACCACTTTTTTTCATTTTTTCCTGTTTTTCAGTGCGTTTGACATATGCGTCATTGTCGTAGTAGCACGTGTATAATTTTAAGTCCTGTTTTTCACGTAGCCTCCTATTAGCACTTACCGTCTTGCCCCTGAGCCTTCGTAGCTGTCATTTTTGATGTCTACATAATATTCTTTGATTGAGTACCCCATGATTCATTTTCTTTTCTCCTGCTTTTGGCCACTTTGGTTGTTTCCAATTTGTGCCATTATAAATAACACTGCAATTAACGGCTTTTATTTCCTCAGATACATTTGCATCTGTTTTATGAATTAAAAGCAGCTGAACTGACTTCTGTGTCATTCCTGTTTGAACAAAAATGGAATGTCCTGGTTTCGTAACGGGACAATCTAAATTTAGCCTCACTGACAGAGCTGTGCGACAAGGGGAACGGCAGAGTAGAGGTCGTAGAGCATTTCAGAAAAAGTCTATTTAGTTCATTTGTCCCACTTTGAGGAGAAGACGAAGTCTTGTGTTGCTCCAAAGTGAGCGCAAGATTGGTAACTTTACCCTTGACAGGAGTTTTTAAAAAAAAAAAATAATAAATAAATAAATAAATAAATAAATAAACAAACAGTATCATGGCCGGGCACGGTAGCTCACGCCTGTAATCCCAGCACTTTAGGAGGCCAAGGTAGGTGGATCACCTGAGGTCAGGAGTTCGGGACCAGCCTGGCCAACATGGAGAAACTCCGTCTCTACTAAAAATACAAAATTAGGTGGGCATGGTGGCGCACACCTGTAGTCTCACCTACTCGGGAGGCTGAGGCAGGAGAATGACTTGAACCCAGAAGGTGGAGGCTGCAGTGAGCCATGATCGCACCACTACACTGCAGCCTGGGTGACAGAGCGAGACTCTGTCACAAAACAACAAACAAACAAACAAAAACAGTACAACTTCCAGTTCTGTTCCTTTCTTCTGACCTTGCTATGCATGACCAAAGTGAAGAGCAACTATGAATGCATGATGTCCAAGTAACACTGAGAAGGTTTCTGGTTTTCGTATGTTTTGTCTCCACAGGTAAAGAAATGCCTGGTGAGGGGACAGCATGTATGTTTGTGTGGAGGGTGATGAATAAAGAAAAGTAAACCATGAGGACCCTCAGAAATTTAAAATAATGGTTCCAACATGGAGCTCAACAGACCAGGTGAAGAATAGATCAATGCACCTGAAAATGAATTATGGCCCCAATAATCAAGCTGCTCAAAAGGCATCTCATGTGAATTTCCTGTGTGAAGGATTGACAGAACAGAGGAGAGAGAGAAAATTAATAGTGAAATAAAACTACCCAGAGATAAATGAAGACACATGTATGTGTGTTGAATGAGTTCACTGGAAGCTGATCACAGTGAGTGAAACAGATAAGCGCTTACAGGCAGCACTGGGAAATTTCACAACAACAGGGGTGAAGAGTAAGTTCCAAAAGATTTCAAAGCAGTCTGGGTGCAGTGGCTCACGCCTGTAATCCCAGCACTTTAGGAGACTGAGGCAGGTAGATCACTTGAGGTCAGGAGTTCAAGACAAGCCTGGCCAACATGGTGAAACCCCGTCTCTACTAAAAATACAAAAAATTAGCCAGGCGTGGTGGCGGGCACCTGTAATCCCAGCTACTCAGGAGGCTGAAGCAGGAGAATCACTTGAACCTGGCAGGCGAAGGTTGCAGTGAGCCGAGATGGCACCATTGCATTCCAGCCTGGGAAACAAGAGTGAAACTCTGTCTCAAAAAAAAAAAAAAAAAAAAAAAAATTCCGAGGGAGAGAGAGGGGAGCAGGGGAAAGAGAGGGAATAGGAGAGAGAGGGGAGAGGGAGGAGAGGCAGAAGAGAGGGAGGAGAGAGGGAGAAGAAAGGAGAAGGAGAGGAGAGAGAGAGAGAAGGAGGGAGAAGAGAGAGAAAGGAAAGAGAGAGAAAAAGAAAGCAACTTCCCGGGTGGGCATGGTGGCTCACGCCTGTAATCTCAGCACTTAGGGAGGCTGAGGTGGGCAGATCACTTGAGGTCAGGAGTTTGAGACCAACCTGGCCAATATGGTGAAACCCCATCTCTACTAAAAATACAAAAATTAGCCGGGCGTGGTGTTGGGCACTTGTAGTCCCAGCTACTTGGGAGGCTGAGACAGGAGAACCCCTTGAACCCAGGAGGCAGAGGTTGCAGTGAGCCAAGATCACACCACTGCACTCCAGCCTGGGCAACAGAGTGAGATTCTGTCGAAAAGAAAAAAGAAAAGACAAGAAGAGAAAAGAAAAGAAATTTCCCTACAAAGAAACAAAAATTAAATTGGGTTCTGCTCCTCACTGGGGACAATGGATGCCGGAAGACAACAGAGCAGTAACCTCAAAAGTTTTGGAGATGAAAATTATTTTGAACTTAGCATTTTAGGCCAGGCGCAGTGGCTCACACCTGTAATCCCAGCACTTTGGGAGGCTGAGGCGGGTGGATCACCTGAGGTCAGGAGTTCAGGACTAGCCTGGCCAACGTGGTGAAACCTCATCTCAACTAAAAATACAAAAAAATTAGCTGGGCGTGGTGGCGGGCACCTGTAATCCCAGCTACTTGGGAGGCTGAGGCAGGAGAATCTCTTGAGCCCAGGAGGCGGAGCTTGCAGTGAGCCGAGATCATGCCACTGCACTCCAGCCTGGGCAACAGAGTGAGACTCCATCTCAAAAAAAAAAAAAAAAAAAGAAAGAAAAAGAAAAAAGAAAAATAGAAATAGATGTATAACTTTTTAATCTGTTAAAGGGTAGTTACTAGAAAAATAGAAACAGATGTATAACTTCTTTAATCTGTTCCTAAACTACTGGAGGAACAATAATAAAATAACCACTCCTCAAAGGACAAGAAATAAAGCATGAAACTATCCGTGGCTAGGTGTGGTGGCATACATCTGTAATCCCAGCTACTCAGGAGGCTGAGGCATGCGAATTGCTTGAATCCAGGAGGTGAAGGTTGCAGTGAGCCAAGATCGAGCTACCGCACTCCATTCTGGGTGACAGAGAGAGACTCTGTCTCAAAAAAAAAAAAAAAAGAAAAAAGAAAGAATATATGTATCAATTAGTGTCATACCAGCTGAGAGTTACAGACAACTTGATTCCCTGTGGCTTACAGAAAGAAGTGACTTGACTTTCTCGTGTTACAGAAAAGTTCAGACACGCCTGGCAGCAGACAAGGCTTGGAGCAGGGGTTTAAACAGTGCTCACAGGACTGAGTCTGTCCTTGTGTGGAGGCTGCCTTCCTCCACACTGCTCTCATCCTCAGGCCCTACACGGAGGCAGGTTACCTCCATCAGCTACTTCTGTCTTCCCAGTTCCAGTCCAGTGGGAAAGGGCCACCCTTCTACTAACAGTTCCACCAAATGCTCATTGTCCCTCATCAGCCTGATGGGCTTATGCGTGCAGGGGGACACAGGCTGTGATTAGCCAAGCCCTGAGCCACCTGCCCATCCTAGAATCAGGAAGGAAGTTGGAGTTGAGAGTGGCTTAAGAAGGAACATAGCAGCCAGGCGTGGTGGCTCACGCCTGTGATCCCAGCACTTTGGGAGGCTGAGGTGGGCAGATCACCTGAGGTCAGGAGTTCGAGACGAGCCTGGCCAGCATTGCAAAACTCTTTCTTTACTAAAAATACAAAAGTTAGCTGGGCATGGTGGCATGTGCATGTAATCCCAGCGAGTCGTGAGGCTGGGCCTGGGAGGCAGAGGTTGCACTGAGCAGAGATTGCACCACTGCACTCCAGCCTGGGCAACAGACCAAGACTCCATCTTAAATAAATAAATAAATAAATAAAAGAATGAGCCTGGCTTTAATTACATTTTAAAATAACTTACAGAGTGTAACTGGATTGTTTGTAACTCAAAGGATAAATGCTTGAGGGGATAGATACCCCATCCCCATGGTGTGTTTATTTCATATTGCATGCCTGTATCAAAATATCTCATGTACCCCATAAATATATACACCTACTATGTACCCACAAAAATTAAGTTAAAATATATATATAATGTATATACACATATATACATGTATATATATATATATATATATATATATATATATATATATGTATATATAAAAGAAAAAAGAAAGAATTAGCCTGACCAAGCACAGTGGCTCACACCTGTAATCCCAGCACTTTGGGAGGCCAAGACAGGAGGAACACTTGAGCCCAGGAGTTCAAGACAAGCCTGAGTAACACGTCAAAACCTTCTCTTTACAAAAAATACAAAAATTAGCTGGCACGCTGACACACACCTGTAGTCCCGGCTACTTGGGACTAAGCAACATTGCCTAGACATCGTCAGATCCCTCTCTGATCCCCTCTCCAGCAGAGGTTCTCTTGCTCTCCTCCCTCCGGTAAGTAGCTCCATCCCATAGCCTCTGAAGTTTGCATGCCATGAGGGACCGCCCCCTCCAGCAAATCTGTCAAGGCTTTGACCAAAGAAAACGTATGCATTCTACTGCCATCTTGTGGTCATGTCTTTTTCTTTGCTCAGCCTCCAAACCCCTCAAACCCTACAATTACCTCCTGTGCTTATTGAGGAATAGAAGGACCAGAGACATGGGGGATACTCCTCAGGCCACAGAGCTAGTCAGGGTGGTGCTAGGACTAGAACTTTACTCCCTTGACTCGGTGGCATTTTACTTTCACCCGCAGGTTTTCGCTGGACTTCCTGGTTTCACTAGACCGGGGGTCAGCAAACAACACCCCATGGGCTGAATCCGGCCCACTGCTCATTTTGTCAATAAAGTTTTATTGGCACACAGCCACACTGGTTTATGTATTGTCTGTGTCAGCTTTCTTGCTACAGCAGCACTGTTGAATAGTTGCAACGGGGACCACAGAGCCAGCAAAACCTGAAATATTTGCACTCTGGCCCTTTACAGAAAAGGTTTGCAGACCCCCGCCCCAGTAGTGGACCCTGCTAGTCCTGAAGGTAGATTCCAGTTTATAGAATCTCAGTGTGACATGATGCGATGGACTGAGATATAGCCAAACACCAACCACTTTGAAATTGTTGAAATAGTTGAAAATCCTTGCTCTCCATTTTTAACTCTGGATTGGCTCTGGGTTACAGACGCATGGGTTTTTAGTGCTGCAATAGATGCTTCCTTAAATCCACTACCTGATGCCCCCCCGTGAGGAGATCGGAAAGGCAAGCCTAGTTGCTCTTATTAGAAAAGAAACAGGCCGGGCGTGGCTGCTCACTCCTGTAATCCCGGCACTTTGGGAGGCCAAGTTGGGCGGATTGCCTGAGGTCAGGAGTTTGAGACCAGCCTGGTCAACATGGTAAAACCCTGTCTCTACTAAAAATAAAAAAAAATTAGCCAGGCGTGGTGGTGGGCACTTGTAATCCCAGCTATTCGGGAGGCTGACGTAGGAGAATCACTTGAATCCGGGAGGTGGAGGTTGCAGTGAGCCAAGATCATGCCACTGCACTCCAGCCTGGAAGACAGAATGAGACTCTGTCTCAAAAAAAAAGAAAAAGAAAAGGAAAAGAAAACAATAGCCAGCCCCAGTGTGTGTTGTTTCCATCTTTGTGTCCATGTATCCTCATCATTCAGGTCCCGCTTGTAAGTAAGAACATGTAGTATTTGATTTTCTGTTCCCACGTTAGTTTGCTAAGGATAACGGCCTCCAACTCCACCCATGTCCCTGCAAAGGACATGATCTCATTCTTTTTTTATGGCTACATAGTATTCTATGTTGTGTATATGTACCACATTTTCCTTATCCGGTCTATTATTAATGGGCATTTAGGTTGATTCCATGTCCTGGCTATTGTGAATAGTGCTGCAGTGAACATATGCGTGACATCATCTAGACTTCATCAGACCCACTCTCTGATCCCCTCTCCACCAGGAGTTCCTTTGCCCTCTCCTTTCTGGGAAGTGGCCCCATCCCATAGCCTCTGAAAGTTGCACACTGTGAAGGAGTTCTGTGTGTCTTTATGGTATGATTTATATTCCTTTGGGTATATACACGAGTTCACTTGTGGATATGGTTTGGCTGTGTCCCCATCCAAATCTCATCTTGAATTGTAGCTCCCATAATTCCCACGTGTTGTGGGAGGGACCCAGTGGGAGATAACTGAATCATGAGGGCGGTTTCTCCCATTCTGTTCTCATGGTAGTGAGTAAGTCTCACAACATATGATGATTTTATAAGGGGTCTCCCCTTTTGCTTGACTCTCTTTCTCTCTTGTCTGCCACCATGTAAGACGTGCCTTTCACCTCCCACCATGATTGTGAGGCCTCCCTAGCTACGTGGAACTGTGAGCCCATTAAACCTCTTTTTCTTTATAAAATACTCATTCTTACATGCACATGTATGTTTATTGCAGCACTATTTACAATAGCAAAGACTTGGAACCAGCCCAAATGTCCATCGATGATAGACTAAAGAAAATGTGGCACATATACACCATGGAATACTATGCAGCCATAAAAAAGAATGAGCTCATATCCTTTGCAGGGACATGGATGAAGCTGGAAACCATCATTCTCAGCAAACTAATGCAGGAACAGAAAACCAAACACGGCTTGTTCTCACTCATAAGTGGGAGTTGAACAATGAGAACACATGGACACAGGGAGGGGAACATCACACACTGGGACCTGTTGGGGGGTGGGGGACAAGAGGAGGGAGAGCGTTAGGACAAATCCCTAATGCATGTGGGGCTTAAAACCTAGATGATAGGCTGATAGGTGCAGCACACCACCATGACACATGTATACTTACGTAACAAACCTGCATGTTCTGCACATGTATCCCAGAACTTAAAGTAAAATAAATAAATAATTGCCCAGTCTCGGGTACATCTTTTTTTTTTTTTTTTTTTTTTTTTCCAGACGGAGTCTCACTTAGTCGCCAGGCTGGAATGCAGTGGCGTGATCTCGGCTCACTGCAACCTCCGCCTCCCGGGTTCAAGCGATTCTCCTGCCTCAGCCTCCCAAGCAGCTGGGACTACAGGTGCCCACCACCATGCCCAGCTAGTTTTTGTATTTTTAGTAGAGATGGGGTTTCACCATGTTAGCCAGGCTGGTCTCGATCTCTTGACCTTGTGATCCACTCGCCTGGGCCTCCCAAAGTGCTGGGATTACAGGCATGAGCCACCGTGCCCGGCCCCCAGTCTTGGGTGTGTCTTTATCAGCAGCATGAAAATGGATGAATACACCTATACAGCAAACCTATACAAGTACCCCTGCACTGAAAATAAAAGGTTTTTTAAAAAAAGAAAAGAAAGGCCTTAGTTCTTAAGCAATGACTAAAATGTGGGGAAACTCAGGTGGAATTCTGCAATGACACTGAAGTATCACGGTTCAATTTTAGACACAAAAAGCCAGGCAGGCAAAGACACCCACCATGAGCCAAGCTTTGCTGGGTTTGGGGAGGGAAGGGGACAATTGCTGTAATCTTGAGACTGAACAGTGCTGGAGGGAGGATTCAGGACAGCTTGGTAAGGGGCTTAAAAGATATTGACATGTACCCCAAATTGTATTTAATGGCATTTTGCTAAGTAATCTGGTTTCTGGTTTTAGATTCGGATTTTAGTTAGAAAGAGCTTATGCTGGGACACTGGACTGGACAGAAGAGCCACTTTCCTGCCTCACAGGGGCACAGTTTCTTTCTAGAATTCTCTTTGCAGAGCGGCTGTCCAAGATTAAATTGAAGCAGATGGGCCAGGCACGGTGCCTCACGCCTGGAATCCCAGCATTTTGGGAGTTTGAGGCAAGAGGATTGCTTGAGTCCAAGGTTCAAGACCAGCTTGGGCAACACAGTGAGATTCCTGTCTCTATTTCCTTTTTTTTTTTTTTTTAAGATGGAGTCTCACTCTGTGCCCCAGGCTGGAGTGCAATGGTGTGATCTTGGCTCACTGCAGCCTCTGCCTCCCAGGTTCAAGCAATTCTCCTGCCTCAGCCTCCCAAGCTGGAATTATAGGCGCCGGCCACCGCACCCAGCTATTTTTTTTTTTTTTTTTTGTATTTTTAGTAGACACGGGGTTTCACCATGTTGGCCAGGCTGGTCTCAAACTCCTGCCTTCAGGTGATCCACCCGCCTCGGCCTCCCAAAGTGCTGAGATTACAGGTGTGAGCCACTGCACCTGGCCTCCCTGTCTCTGTTTCTAAAAGAAATATATATATACTAATAATAAATAAATAAATAAATAAGAGGACAGACTTCTCTCTCCATTGCTTAAAAATCTCCTTATATAGCTGGAAAGTAGCAAATTGTAGGAAAGCAAGAGGAAAAGTCCTAGGGGAAGGAAGCCCAGCAATTCCTAAGACGTGTGATGTGTCCTAACCCCCAGCTGGTTGACTTATGTGCCTGAGGAGTCTGAGGACATGGCTACCTGGATCTCTGGGCATGAGTGCCAGTCCCTGGGACACCTCTCAGAGCCCAGCTGTCTGGAAAGGCCACCTGTGGGCATCTAATCCACAGCCCACCTGAGCCCTCCATGTGCACCACCTTGGACATCCAGCCCCATGCAGCCTGGAGATGCTGTAGCCCCAGCACTCTGGGCTGGTGACCCCATGAGAGGCCCTGCACAAGAACCGCCCCACCAAACCCTTCCCAAATTCCTTACCCATGAAATCATAAGCAAAACAAAAATGGTCGTTGTGAGCTGCTAAGCTTAGGGTTGATTTGTTGGGTAGCAGTAGCAATCTGGAACAACTGCCCAGAAGAGATATGCATCTGCCTCTGCTAAGGGAACTGCCGGGGAAGAGCCCCCAGTAGGGAGTCTGTATAGAGTTGCAGAAGGTGGAGAGAAAGGGAGAAAGAGAGAAAGAGGAGAGGGAGGGAAAGAGAGAGAAGAGGGAAAGACAAGAGAGAGGGGGAGAGATGTTACCAAAACACCAGGGGTTTGGTCTAGGCCCTGCTGCTCACTGCACAGAAAGCCAATCACTGAGACAATGAGTGTTGCTGAGGGAGAAGGCTTTAATCGGGTGCAGCAGCTGAGATGGGAGCTCAGTCTCAAATCCATCTTCTTGACCCACTAAAGGCCTTTCTTTAGCAGGGAAGAAATGTAACTATGTGTAAGAAAACAGGAACTCAGATAAAACAAAGCCAAGTTTCAAGCTTTAAGAACTTGATCAGATGGGTCAACTTCTATGTTTATCCAAAAAACAAAAAAACTTGTCTATGGGACTACTAGGTTGGTTTCAGAGACAGAAGTAGAGGGAGAGAGAGAAGAGGGAGAGAAGGCAGGGAGAGAGAATGGGAAGGGGGAGAGAGAAAAGGGGGAGGTAGGAGAGGAGAGAGAGAAAGGGGGGAGACAGGAGGGGAGAGAGACAAGAGAGAGAAAGAGAGCAGGGAGAAATAAGAAAAAGAGCAGGGAATGATAAGAGAGAGAGAGGAAAGGGAGAGAGGAGGGGGAGAGAGAAAGGGGGAGGGGGAGAGGGAAAGGGGGAGGAAGAGAGAAGGGGGAAAGAGGAGGGGAAAAGAGGAAGAAGAGAGTGGAGAGGGAAAGGGGGAGAGGAGGGAGAGAAAGGGAGAGGAGGAAGAGAGAGGAGAGAGAGAAGAGGGAGAGAGGAGGAAAAGAGAGGTGAGAGAGGGGAGGGAGAAAGAGGATGGAGAGAGAAGGGGAGAGAGGAGGGAGAGAGAGAAAGAGGGAGAGGGAGAAAACGAGGAGAGAGGAGGAAGAGTGAGGAGGGAGAGGAGGAAGAGAAAGGAGGGAGAGGGGGAGAGGAGGGAGAGAGAGAGGAGGAAGAGAGAGGAAGGAGAGAGAAAGGGGAGTGAGAAGGGAGAGAGAAAGAGGGAGAGGGAGAAAGATTGGGGATAGACAGGAGAGAGGGGGAAGGTGAGGGAAGGGAGAGAAGAGAGAGAAAGAGGAGGGGAGAGAAAAAGAGGTGAGAGGAGTGAGAGAGAGAGGAGGTGGGGAGAGAGAAAAAGGGCAGAGAGAGAAGAGAGAGGGATGTCTGCACATCTGATCTCCAGGTTCAGAGAGTCAGGAGTTGGCTGACAACATCCACAATGGCGAGCTGCCCTGTCCCTCCTCTCTCTAAGCTGCAGAGGGCAGGGAGGAAGCAGGACCATGGAGGGAAGACACCAGCCAGGTCTCCCCTTGCCCTCCGCAGGCTTCCAGCCCAAAGCAGCCCCAAACTAGAAGGGGGATTTAATGCTGAATCCAGCATGGAGCTTTAATTAACGTCTCAAATTAGACAATCTGTTCAGTGTTGCTCAACTGGCTTGAGACTGCTTTTGCTTCTGAAACTGACCTGGGACTGTCCCTTGCATAAGAGTGAACCAAAAAACCACGGCCAATCCAGTCTCAATTTGGGGGATGGGCGAAAGTGGAAGTAGGAGGAAAAAAAGCTGCGTTTGATTGTGTCTGGAATTGTGTATCTTCAACACAGTGAAGCCAGCCCTGTGAAATTCAGGATGTTTTCATCTCACGTGCTGGTTTCTAGAAGCCTCATCCTCCTGGATCCTCTCATCTGATTACACTTCAGGTTTATCTGGGCTTTTTTCTCTTAAAAACACAACATTTTTATAGACTGATGTCTAGACTTGCACCTTTTCAAATCTGAGTCTTTTTTTTTTTTTTTTTTAGACAGAATTTTCACTCTTTTTACCCAGGCTGGAGTGCAGTGGCACAATCTCAGCTCACAGCAACCTCCTCTGCCTCCCGGATTCTAGCGATTCATCTGCCTAAGCCTCCCGAATAGCCGGGATTACAGGCATGCGCCACCATGCCCAGCTAACTTTTTTGTATTTTTAGTACACATGGGGTTTCACCATGGTGGCCAGGCAGGTCTTGAACTCCTGACCTCAGGCTATCCGCCCGCCTCGGCCTCCCACAGTGCTGGGATTACAGGAGTGAGCCACCTCACTTGGCCTCTCTAAGTCTTTGTTTGAGTGTTTGTTCAGAGACAGAGTCTCTCTCTGTCACCCAGGCTGGACTACAGTGGTGTGATCATAGCCCACTGCAGCACTCCTGGGTTCCAGGAATCCTTCAGGAACTCCTCTTGCCTCAGCCCCTCCAGTAGCCAGGACTACAGGCATGTGCCCCCATGCTGGGCTTTTTTTTTTTTTTTTTTTTTTTTTTTGACAGGACCTCACTCTGTTGTTGCCCATGCTGGAGTGCAGTGGTGTGATCATGGTTCACTACAGCCTCAGACTCCTGGCCTCAAGCAATCCTCCTGCCTTAGCCTCCCAAAGCGTTGGGATTACAGGCGTGAGCCACCGCACCCGACATCCCTGAGTCCTTACATTGTTGCCTGGCCGTGCACTCTCTGCCCCCCACCACTCTCAGCACTTTGGAAGCATTTAATTCACCAGAAGTGTGACGGGGTGATGGTTTTACAGGTCCCAGGAAGAACACACAATGTCACACTCACATAAGTGTGCATGCTCACACCCAAATCAGACACTCCCTAAAGCTGTTCAGTGTTGCTCAGAAACACCCTCAAGAGATCCTTGGTGGGTTTGATTCCCGCCCTGCTCACACCGGCTTCTCATTCCCATCAGGCCCACAGTGCAAACCCCTTGAGCAAGCACAGCCAGTGGGGAAAGGCCCCTCGGTCAGCAGACGCAACACAGGCCCCGCAGTGACAGCTCTTCAGATTTTCACATTTTTCCCAAGATGTCAGAAACCTGGATTTTTTATTTTATTTATTTTTTGGTAACTCTCCTGATTTCTCTATGCTGGCAACAAAATAAAAATAATTTTAAAACATTCAATGAGCCAAGCAAAACAAATATATGCACCTGATTCCAAACGGGCTTACAACCTCTGATTGACAGCGAGGTCTCCTCCGTCATAAATCACAAGGGCGATGATGGCATTACCTGCATTGGAGCTGGATTCAGCAGAGAAAAGGAGGTAGGGCTGAGGAGACGAGTCACAGCCGTCTCTTTGCCATGGAAACCCCAGGGGAGGAGGCTTTTTTTTTTTTTTTCTGTAGTAAGAGATCAATGAGAGATTAATAATAATCCTGTACATTGATGTAGCACTTCAAACTTGAGTGCTTGCCCATCTATAATCTCATTTGATCCCCAGAACAGCCCCGTGAGCTTGTCAAGAACGCCTGACACTCTCTAACCTGATAAAGGGAGATAAAGACCCAGGCAATTTCACACAGAGAAAGAAAGAAGGTGGGGAAAGGTAATGGGAGGACCCAGGTTTTAGTGGAAGGGCTCAGAAAGAGTTCATTTTTCTTTGCTTTTGTCTGATATTGCTGTCTCTCTCTCTCTCTTTCTGTCTCTCTTTCTCCCTCTTTCTCTTTAAGAGACAAGGTCTTGCTCTACTGCCCAGACTGGAATGCAGTGATGCAATCATAGCTCACCGCAGCCTCAATATCTCAGGCTCAAGTGTTCCTCCCACCTCAGCCTCCTGAGTAGCTGGGACCACAGGCACGCACCACCACATCTGGCTAATTCTTTCGTTTTTTTTTTTTTTGAGACGCAGTCTCGCTGTGTCGCCCAGGCTGGAGTGCAGTGGTGCGATCTCAGCTCACTGCAAACTCTGCCTCCCAGGTTCAAGTGATTCTCCTGCCTCAGCCTCCCGAGTAGCTGGGATTACAGGTGTGCACCACCATGCCCAGCTAATTTTTGCATTTTTAGTAGAGACAGGGTTTCACCATGTTAGCCAGGCTGGTCTCAAACTCCTAACCTCAGGTGATCCACCCACCTCGGCCTCCCAAAATGCTAGGATTACAGGCGTGAGCCACCGCTCCCGGCCTAATTCTTTAATTTTGTTTAGAGATGGGATCTCACTATGTTGGCCAGGCTGGTCTCAAACTCCTGGCCTCAAGTGATTCTCCCATCTCTGCCTCCCAAAGTGCTGGGATTACAGACATGAGCCACTGCGTCCAGCCTGTCTGCTCTGTTATACCCTCTCTCTGTGATAGACGATTTTGCTTTGCAGTTGCAGAAGGCAAGAGACAAGGGTGTTTCTGCCGTGAGCGGAATGGCAGCAGCGGGAGTGAGAACACCAGCTGGCAAAACAAGACACAGCTGGCAAGATTTGCGAAGAAAATACGGCCTGGTGGTTGAGGATCCAGAGATGACCTTCACTGACTTGTCGATGCCACAAGCATCAAACCTGGCCCAACCTCCATGGAGTCCATTCGCATAAAACTCATTAACTGGAGCCAATCTTCACAATCTGGTGACTCAGAGGTAAATGTTCTTTTATCAAAAGTGGAGTGAACATAACCATTAGGATGGTTACTCTAAAAGAAAATAACAGAAAATTACAAGTGTTGGTGAGGATGTGGAAGCATTGGAACCCTTGTGCCCTGTTGGTGGGTATGTAAAAGGTGCGACCACTGTGGAAAGCTGAATGGCAGTTCCTTAGGAAAGTAAACATAGAGTAGCCAGGCGCGGTGGTTCACACCTGTAATCCCAGCACTTTGGAAGGCCAAGGAGGGCAGATCACCTGAGGTCAGGAGTTCGAAACCAGCTTGGCCAACACGGCGAAACCCCATCTCCACTAAAAATACAAAAATCAGCCAGGCATGGTGGTGCATGCCTGTAATCTCAGCAACTCAGGAGGCTACTAAAGCAGGAGAGTCAGAGGTTCTGATTCTGCCTGGAAGGCAGAGGTTGCAGTGAGCTTAGATCGCGCCACTGCACTCCAGCCTGGGCAACAGAGTAACACTCCATCTCAAAAAAAGAAAAAGAAAAAGAAAAGAAAATTAAACATAGAGTTACCCTATGACCCAGCAATTCCATGTCTGGGTATATACTCAAAAGAATTGAATGTACATGTATGTTTATTGCAGCACTGTTTACAATAGCAAAGATTTGGAATCAAACCAAATGCCCACCAATGATAGACTGGATAAAGAAAATGTGGCACATATACACCATGGAATACTATGCAGCCATAAAAAAAGGATGAGTTCATGTCCTTTGCAGGGACATGGATGAAGCTGGAAACCATCATTCTCAGCAAACTATCACAGGAACAGAAAACCAAACACTGCATGTTCTCACTCATCAATGGGAGTTGAACAATGAGAACACATGGACACAGGGAGGGGAACATCACATGCCAGGGCCTGTCAGGGGGCCGGGGGTTAGGGGAGGGATAGCATTAGGAGAAATACCTAATGTAGATGCCGGGTTGATGGGTGCAGCAAACCACCGTGGCACATGTACACCTATGCAACAAACCTGCATGTTCTGCACATGTATCCCAGAACTTAAAGTATAACAATAATAAAAAATTGAAAGCAGGGTCTCAAAAAATATTTGCACACCCATGTTCATAGCAGCGTTATATATCACAAGAGTCAAAAGGTAGACAAGACGCAGGTACCCATGAACAGATGGATGAATGAACAAAATGTGGCCTGTCATACAATGGAGTATTTTTCGGCCTTTAAAAGGAGATAAATTCTGACACCTGCTCCAACATGGATGGACCCTGAGGACATTACGCAGAGTGACATAAGCCATTCGCCGAGAGACAAATACTATACGATTCCACTTACAGGAGGCACCTAGAGTCATCAAACTCATAGGGACAGAAAGTAAAATGATGGTTGCCAGGGAGAAGGGAGGAGGGAGAGTGAGTGTTTAATGGGAACGGAGTTCAAGATCACAAGATGAAAAAGTTCTGGAGATGAATGGATGGTTGCACACCATGTGAATTAACACTCCTGAACTCACACTCAAAAATTGTTAGGATGGGGCCGGGTGCGGTG
Source organism: Homo sapiens (assembly GCF_000001405.40). NCBI lineage: Eukaryota > Metazoa > Chordata > Mammalia > Primates > Hominidae > Homo > Homo sapiens. The sequence continues at coordinate 4,489,783 of NC_000007.14, forward strand.
GCTCACGCCTGTAATCCCAGCACTTTGGGAGGCCGAGACGGGTGGCTCACCTGAGGTCAGGAGTTCTAGACCTGCCTGACCAACATGGTGAAACCCCATCTCTACTAAAAATACAAAAATTAGCTGAGTGAGGTGGTGCGCGCCTGTAATCCCAACTACTCGGAAGGCTGAGGCAGGTGAATCGCTTGAACCCAGGAGGCAGAGGTTGCAGTGAGCTGATATTGTGCCACTGCACTCCAGCCTGGGCGAGATAGAGCGAGACTCCATCTCAAAAAAAAAAAAAAAAAAAAGGTTAAGATGGTAAATTTTATGCTACATGTATTTTCCACAATGTTTTAAAAAATGTAAATGGCCAGATGCAGTAGCTAATGCCTGTAATCCAGCTCTTTGGGAAGCTGAGGCAGGAGGATCACTTGAGTCCAGGAGTTCAAGACCAGCCTGGACAACATAGTGAGACCTCCATAGCTACAAAAAATAAAAAATTAGCCAGGCTTGGCGGTGCACACCTGTAGTCCTGGCTACTCTGCAGGCTGAGGCAGGAGGATGGCTTGAGCCCAGGAGTTCAAGGCTGCAGTGAGCTGTGATCGTGCCACTGCACTCCAGCCTGGGCTACAGAGCGAGAATTTGTCTCTAAAAATTAACTCTTTATGTTAAAAACTAATTTTTTTTAAATTAAGGTGGGGTGAAGTCTCAAGAATAAATGCATTCTCTTGAAGCCCAGCCTCCCTCTGCTCCCAGCTTTGGCTTCAACAGTTTCACCCTCCTTCCAAACTCCTCCATTACACTCTGCTGGTCTAAACCTGGGTAGGTTTGCCAATTCTGCTTCCTCTGCCTAGAATCCTCTTCCCTCCTTTATCGTATCTTTTGGCCAAACCCAGCTCAAACATCAGGTTTTGGAAGCCTTTTCCATCCTGACCACCCACAACCCGCCCTGAAAGTCACCTGCTCTCCCCCTGGGCCACGGCTTTGCCTGGACTGTATTTCCATCAGCCTCCTCTCACAGAGCACTTACGGCTACTTGTGCACATGTGCATCTCCCCTATCAGCCATGGGGGGTGTTTTGGGGAAGGTGCATGAAGGATTGGTGGGAAGCAAGCCTTTTCTCACCCACCCAGGACAGAGAGGAAAGACCCAAATACTAGGCCGGGCGCAGTGACTCACGCCTGTAATCCCAGCACTTTGGGAGGCTGAGGTAGGCGGATCACCTGAGGTCAGGGGTTCGAGACCAGACTGGTCAACATGATGAAACCCCATCTCTACCAAAAATACAAAAAATTAGCTGGGTGTGGTGGCACGTGCCTGTAATCCCAGCTACTAGGGAGGCTGAGGCAGGAGAATCGATTGAACCCAGGAGGTGGAGGTTACAGTGAGCTGAGATCACGCCACTGCACTCCAGCCTGGGTGACAAGAGAGAAACTCTGTCTCAAAAAACAAAGGGAAAAAAAAAAAGACCCAAATACTTGGAGACTGAATTTAATTAAAATGGGATTGTAATGGCCTTAAACATGCATGCTCATGACCTCATGGTGAATCTTCCACCTCTCTAGATTGTCACCATGCGTAGGTTCCTGAGCTGGTGTTGCTGCAATTTTGGGGCATCTCTAGGGGCCATGAGGGCCCCATGAGTCTCATGGAACAGATGAAACCAATGGGAGATGGGTTAGGTTTGCAGCATGGTCCTAGGCTTAAGATTCCTCAGTAAACTGTGCCCAGCAGGGGAGGTGCCCATTGTTAAAGAAATGTGCCTAGTGACTGTCGGGCGCAGTGGCTCACACCTGTAATCCCAGCACTTTGGGAGGCCGAGGTGAGTGGATCACAAGGTCAGGAGTTCAAGACCAGTCTGGCCAAGATGGTGAAACCCGTCTCTACTAAAAATACAAAAAAATTAGCTGGGCGTGGTGGCGGACGCCTGTAATCCCAGCTACTCAGGAGGCTGAGGCAGAGAATTGCTTGAACCCGGGAGGTGGAGGTTGCAGTGAGCTGAGATTGCACCACTGCACTCCAGCTTGGGTGACAGAGCGAGACTCTGTCTCAAAAAAAAAAAAGAAATGTGCCTAGTGACACATGAGGCCTGGGAAACTGGCATGGGGAGGTACTGAATAATGAAAACACTTTCAAAAGACAACGTTGGACACCATCATGCACTTAACCTAACTCAAGCCTTCAGGGCACTGGGGCCAGATTCCCAAGAAAAAGATTATAATAAACAGTAAAAGAGATCAATAATTTTTCAAAGGGCTCTACCCCCTGGGATATTTAAAAGCCCACGGGAAGGCTAGAAGTAAAGATGGCAGGAAGAAATGAGAGTCTAGAAATAGACACACACATATATCATCAATTGATTTATTACAAAGGTGCCAAGGCCATTGGAAGGAAAAGGGATAGTCTCTTCAACAAGTGTTGCTGGAACCACTGAATATTCTTATGCCATAAATAATAAGAAACGTCCACCCTGACCTCACACTGTGTAAAATATTAACTCAAAATGGATCATAGACCTAAATGTAAGAGTTGAATTCATAAAGCATCTAGAAAAAAGCAGTGGAGAACATCTTTGTGACCTTTGGTTAGGAAGAAATTTCTTAGATATGACACCAAAAGCACAATCTATAATAGAAAAAAGAGATAAATTGGATTTCGTCTCAATTTAAAATATTTGCTTTTCAAAACCACCATTAAGAAAATGGAAAGACTGGGCTCAGTGGCTCAGTCCTGTAACCCGAGCACTTTGGGAGGCTGAGGCAGGAGGATGGCTTGAGTCCAGGAGTTTGAGACCAACCTGGCAACATAATGAGACCTCACTCTACAAAAAAAAAAAAAAAAAAAAAAAAAAAAAGAGGTGGGAGGATCGCTTGAGCCTAGGAGGTCAAGAGGCTGTAATGAGCCGTGAGTGTGCCACTGCACTCCTGCCTGGGTGACAGGAGTGAGATCCTGTCTCCCCCTGAAAAAAAAAAAAAAATAGACAAGTCACAGACTGAGAAAAATATTTGTAAAACATGTGTGTGATTAAAAAAAAAACTTTTATCCAGAATATATAAAGAACTTCTACAATTTAGTAATAGGAAGACAAACAACCCAATTTAAAAAAAAGTAAAGGGCTGGGCACAGTGGCTCATGCCTATAATTCCCAGCAATTTGGGAGGCCAAAGTGGGCCAATCTCTTGAGCCCAGGAGTTCAAGACCGGGGCAATGTGGGAAAATCCCATCTCTCCAAAAAATACAAAAATTACCTGGGCATAGTGGCACATGCGCCTGTAGTCCCAGCTACTCAGGAGGCTGAGGTGAGAGGATCGCTTCAGCCTGGGAGGCTGAGATTGCAGTGAGCCAAGATCATGCCACTGCACTCCATTGTCAGTGTGGGTGACCGAGCAAGACCCTGCCTCAAAAAAAAAAAAAAAAACATAAGTAAAATATGTGAATAGACACTCTATCAAAAAGTTATATAGGTAGCTAGTATATGCACAGGTATTATTAGTCATTAGTTGGATGCCAATTTAAACCACTATGAGATACCATTAACATCTATTAGAAGAGCTATAATCAAAAAGATTGTCAATTTGCAAGGATATGGAGAAACTAAAAGTCTCAAACATCGTGGATGGGAATATAAAATTGAAAAGTAGTTTGGCAATTTCTTTAAATGTTAAGCATACACCTATCACATAAACCTTATCATACAAATCAGCAGTTCCACTCCTGGGTATCTACCCAAGAGAAACGAAAACGTGTGCACACAAAGAGATGGGCACAAATGTTCATAGCAGCTTTGATCACAAGAGCCTCCAACTGGATATGGTGCTGATGTCCATCAACTAATGAACAGATAAACAGATTGTGATGTAGATACACAGTAGACTATAATCAATAATAAAAAGGAATGAACTGAGGCCTGGTATTAGTCTGTTCTTGCATTGTTATAAAGAAATGCCCGAGACTGGGTAATTTATAAAGAAAACAGGTTTAACGAGCTCACGGTTCCTCAGGCTGCATGGGACGCATGGCTGGGGAGGTCTCAAGAAACTTACAATCATGGCAGGAGGCGAAGGAGAAGCAGGCAGGTCTTTTTTTTTTTTTTTTTTTTTTTTTGAGACAGAGTGTTGCTTCGTTGCCCAGGCTGGAGTGCAGTGGCGTGATCTCGGCTCACTGCAAGCTCCACCTCCCTGGTTCACGCCATCCTCCTGCCCCAGCCTCCCGAGTAGCTGGGACTACAGGCGCCCGCCACCACACCTGGCTAATTTTTTGTATTTTTAGTAGAGACGGAGTCTCACCATGTTTGCCAGGATGGTCTGGATCTCCTGACCTCGTGATCCGCCCACCTCGGCCTCCCAGTGCTGGGATTACAGGCGTGAACCACCGGGCCCAGCCGCAGGCAGGTCTTACATGGCCAGAGCAGGAGGAACAGAGAGGAGGGAGGCACTGCACTCTTTTAAACAACCAGATCTGGTGAGAACTCTATCACAAGAACAGCACCAAAGGGGGAAATCCAATCCCATGATGCAATCACCTCCAACTAGGCCCCACCTCCCACATTGGAGATTACAATTCGACATGAGATTTGGGTGGGGACACAAATCCAAACCATATCAGACATCAAACACTATGAATGAAACTCAAAAACATTATGCTAAGTAAAAGAAGGTCAACATGAAAACCTGCATATTGGACAATTTCCTTTATGTGATATTTCCAGAAAGGGCAGAACTTCAAAGATAGTAAACGAAGCAATAATTGTCTGAGTTTGGGGTTAGAAACAGGCACAACGGGCCGGGCACGGTGGCTCACGCCTCTAATCCCAGCATTTTGGGAGGCCAAGGCAGGCGGATCACGAGGTCAGGAGATCGAGACCATCCTGGTTAACACGGTAAAACCCCGTCTCTACTAAAAATACAAAAAATTAGCCGGGCGAGGTGGCGGGCGCCTGTAGTCCCAGCTACTCGGGAGGCTGAGGCAGGAGAATAGCGTGAACCCCGAGGGGGCGGAGCCTGCAGTGAGCCAAGATCGCGCCACTGCACTCCAGCCTGGGCGACAGCGACACTCTGTCTCAAAAAAAAAAAAAAAAAAAAGAAACAGGCACAATGAAATTTTGAGGGTGGCGGAACTGCTGTAAAGCTGGATGGTGGTCATGTGGCAGAACCGTATAAATTTACTAAAAATCGTTGAACTGCACACTTAAAATAGCTGCATTTTATGGTATGTAAATTATACTTCAATAAACCTATTGTTTAATCTGCTACACGTTACTCAGAAATTCTACCCCCAAGAATCTATCCTATGTTAGCAAAAATACAAAATGACCCATGCATTAGTCTATTTATTAAAACATTTTTATATAAACAAAAGGCTGAAAACAACCCAAATGTTCATTGATGGGGACTGATTGCATTATCTGTAGTATATCCATAAAATGGAGTACTCTCCACCTATAAAAAACATAAAGTAGATTACAACATATGTTATACAATAAATTCCAGAAAACATCGTTAAAGGAAAAAAAATAAATTGGCAGAAGAGTTCCATTAGTGAAGAGGAGTTTAAAAAAAGAATATGAGACCAGGTACAGTAGCTCACGCCTGCAAGCCCAGCAGTTGGGAGGCTGAAGCAGGATTGATTGAGGCCAGGAGTTCGAGCCCAGCCTGGGCAACATAGTGAGACCTTGTCTTTACAGAAGTTTAAAAATCAGCTGGCGGTGGTGGTGCACACCTTTAGTCCCAGCTACTTGGGAGGCCGAGGTGGGAGGATTGCTTGAGCCAGGGAGTTCAAGGCTTCATTGAGCTATGATTGCACCACTGCAGTCCAAAAAAAAAAAAAAAAAATTGAAGGTTTTGGGGGAGGTTTTTTGTTGTATGTCTTTTTTTAATTTTGCTTACCAGGGATTCTCTTGCCTGTGCCCCCTTCATTGTGGAGCAGTAATGCGGCTAAGGCCTTGTCAAGCTCTACATCAACAGTTGGCACAACTCCCCTTGTTACAACTTTCAGCCACAAACAGTACTTTCATCCATCTGGTAACCCGGAAGTCATGTGAGATGAGTTCATGGGAAGAAGGTGGACTGAGGAAGCCTAATGAGTTGGCCATGGTGAGCCGGTAAATGCTTAACAACTGGCTCTCCAAGGGAAAAACCAGTTTGTAGTCTGTGCCAATTCCTGTGATGTAAATACTCCCACTGCGTCCGGAATTGGTGGGTTCTTGGTCTCACTGACTTCAAGAATGAAGCCACGGACCCTTGCGGTGAGTGTTACAGCTCTTAAGTTGGCGCGTCTGCGGTTTGCTCCTTCTGATGTTCGGTTGTGTTCAGAGTTTCTTCCTTCTGGTGGGTTCGTGGTCTCGCTGGTTCAGGAGTGAAGCTGCAGACTTTTGCGGTGAGTGTTACCGCTCTTAAGGCAGCGCGTTTGGAGTTGTTCGTTTTTCCCGGTGGGCTCGTGGTCTCGCTGGCTTCAGGAATGAAGCTGCAGACCTTCGTGGTGAGTGTTACAGCTCATAAAAGCAGTGTGGACCCAAAGAGTGAGCAATAGCAAGATTTATTGCAAAGAGAGAAAGAACAAAGCTTCCACAGCGTGGAAGGGGACCCGATTGGGTTGCCACTGCTGGCTCGGGCAGCCTGCTTTTATTCTCTTATCTGGCCCCACCCACATCCTGCTGATTGGTAGAGTCCAGTGGTCTGTTTTGACAGGGCACTGATTGGTGTGTTTACAATCCTTGAGCTGGACACAAAGTTTCTCCAGGTCCCCACCAGATTAGCTAGATACAGAGTGTGGACAGAAAGGCTCTCCAAGGCCCCACCAGAGTAGCTAGATACAGAGTGTCTATTGGTGCATTCACAAACCCTGAGCTAGACACAGGGTGCTGATTGGTGTGTTTACAAACCTTGAGCTAGATACAGAGTGCTGATTGGTGTATTTACAATCCTTGAGCTAGGCATAAAGGTTCTTCAAGGCCCCACCAGAGTAGCTAGATACAGAGTGTGGATTGGTGCATTCACAAACCCTGAGCTAGACACAGGGTGCTGATTGGTGTGTTTACAATCCTTGAGCTAGACATAAAGGTTCTGCATGTCCCCACCAGACTCAGGAGCCCAGCTGGCTTCACCCAGTGGATCCCGCACAGGGGCTGCAGGTGGAGCTGCCTGCCAGTCCCGGTGCCCTGCTCCCGCACTCCTCAGCCCTTGGGTGGTCGATGGGACTGGGCGCTGTGGAGCAGGGGGTGGCGCTCGTCGGGGAGGCTCGGACAGCACAGGAGCCCACGGAGGCGGGGGAAGGCTCAGGCATGGCGTGATGCAGTCCCGAGCCCTGCCCCGCGGGAAGGCAGCTAAGGCCCGGTGAGAAATCGAGCACAGCGATGGTGGGCTGGCACTGCTGGGGGACCCAGTACACCCTCCGCAGCCACTGGCCCGGGTGCTAAGTCCCTCACTGCCCGGGGCCCGCAGGGCCGGCCTGCTGCTCCGAGTGCAGGGCCCGCCAAACCCACGCCCACCCGGAACTCCAGCTGGCCTGCAAGCGCCTCACGCAGCCCCAGTTCTGCTCGCGCCTCTCTCCACACCTCCCTGCAAGCTGAGGGAGCCGGCTCTGCCTTGGCCAGCCCATAAAGGGGCTCCCACAGTGCAGCGGTGGGCTGAAGGGCTCCTCAAGTGCCGCCAAAGTGGGAGCCCAGGCAGAGGAGGCGCCGAGAGCGAGCGAGGGCTGTGAGGACTGCCAGCACGCTGTCACCTCTCACCACCACAGCCAATTTCAGACTAATCTGGTGAAGTCACTGAACCCACAGTTGGAATGAGACGCACACAACCAGCTCTTCCACGCAGTCCACACCAGTTCCAGTACACAGCTGGCGATGAGGTACCATTTCATTGACAGACTTTCTGGCAACTCAGAAAGTCTGACGATACCAGATGTTTAATATCAAGAGGCATTAAAATGTGGTAGAAATATGAACTGGTACAATCACTTTGGAGAGCCAAATGGCATAGTCTGGTGTTGCACATATCCAAAGTCTAAAAATGTTTGCAGTTTTCCATCAAGATATGTTATAAACAGTGCTTATTGAAGAATTGTTGGTAAAAGCCAAAAAAAAAAGAGGAAAGAAAGAAAACAGCCAAAATGTCCATCAGTAGGAGAATGTATAGACTAATTCTGGAATAGTCAACTGAAAATGTTCTATAGCATTTAAAATTAATAAGTTAATATATGAAAATGGCTAGATCTTGAAATCATAATGATGAATTAGAAGACAAGCTTTAGGATGCTATTCTATGCATAACATAGGACTTCTATAACCATTTAAAATGCGTAAAAGGATACTCCGCAATATTGTATAGAGACATATTCATTGAAGCACGTGATACAATCATTTTAAATAGAGTAGACAAACACATACCAAATTTATGATAATGTTGCCTCTGGAAAAGAAGAGATTGAAACTGGAGAGATATAGAAAAGGTACTTCATCCTTATTATTATTCTAAGTCCTTTAAATATTAAAAAATGTATCTGAAATATTAATGGTTTAAATTCAAGCATTGAGGAATAGGGTATGCATGCTGGTTACCTTATTATTTATGGTTTTTTTGTATTTCAGAAACTCCTTCAAAACATGAAACACAATCCTTTATAATAAGAGTTTTATTTTTTTAATTTTCCAATTTTTTAGAGACAGGGTCTTGCTCTGTTACCCAGGCTGGAGTGCAGTGGCGTGATCACAGCTCACTGTAGCCTCAGCCTCCTGGGCTGAAGCCATCCTCCCACCTCAGCCTCCTGAGTAGCTGGGACTATAGGCGTGCACCACCACTCCCAGCTTAGTATTATTTTTTATAAAGATGAGGTCTTGCTATGTTGCTCAGGCTGGCCTTGAACTCCTGGCCTAAAGTGATCCTCCCACCTTGGCCTCCCAAAGCCCTGGGATTTATAGGCATGAGCCACCATGACCAGCCTAAAAGTTTTTATTAATTCTTCCACTGTTCACTGGTAAATTCCACTATTTGCCCAATATTCAGGTAGAGAAGTACCACTCGAATATGACCATGTGGGCACTTTCCACTCAGGTAGCCTGGGGCTGAATGAGGTCAGTTTAACATCCCCTTTTCTGGGAAGCCTCCCCTGACTCCCTCCTCTTACACACGTTCCAGTGGCATTTCATGAGCGTACACTATGACAGCTGACATAGTGTATGCACAATAATTGTGCTTCTGTCTCATCCATTAAACTATGAAATCATCCAGGCAGGAACCATAATTTATTCATTTCTTTCTTTTTTTTGAGATGGAGTCTCGCTCTGTCGCCCAGGCTGGAGTGTGGTGGCGTGATCTCGGCTCACTGCAAGCTCCGCCTCCTGGGTTCACGCCATTCTCCTGCCTCAGCCTCCTTAGTAGCTGGGAATACAGGCACCTGCCACTGCACCCGGCTAATTTTTTGTATTTTTAGTAGAAACGGGGTTTCACCATGTTAGCCAGGATGGTCTCGATCTTCTGACCTCATGATCCGCCCGCCTTGGCCTCCCAAAGTGCTGGGATTACAAGCGTGAGCCACCGTGCCCGGCCTAATTTATTCATTTCTATATTCCTAGGGCCTAAGAGTGCTATAGCAGACATGGCAACTTTTGAATGAATGCAAGAACAGAGAAAACATTTTCATTTTTCACAAGCACCTTCTTTTTCTCTTGCTCTCTCTCTTTTTTTTTTTTTTTTTTTTGAGACAGAGTCTCTCTCTGTCGCCCAGGCTGGAGTAAAACAGCGCAATCTCTGCTCGCTGCAACCTCTGCCTCCCGGGTTCAAGAGATTCTCCTGCCTCAGCCTCCTGAGTAGCTGGGATTACAGGTGCGCACCACCACACCTGGCTAATTTTTGTATTTTTTTAGTAGAGACGGGGTTTCACCATGTTGGTCATGCTGGTCTTGAACTCCTGATCTTGTGATCCGCCCACCTCGTCCTCCTAAAGTGCTGGGGTTACAGGCCTGAGCCACTGCGTCCGGCCCCACAACCACCTTCTAAATTGAGTAAGCTGAGCAGTGCCAGATCACTTCACTTTGTAAATGACCAATTAATGAGTCCTCACTATTGGTGTGCCCAGTCCTTAGGACATAGCACAAAGGGTCGTGGAGCACCGTGATGTAAGCACTTGCAAGTCACTGGTAGAGGGAGGGTTGAGCACTGGGCCAGATGGCTACAGGGCCATGGGATGATTGACACCTGGGATGGCCTCATTTAAGCCCAGCGCCTGCTACAGGCACTTCCCTTGATGTCAGTGTTAGAAATAAATTTTCGGTGCTGCAAAAGAAATAGCACTTGAGCATAAATTTTCTCAGCAAGGCAATTTTACTTCCATAGAAGGGTGCATCTCACAGATGGAGTAATGGCGAGAGCACACCTTGAACAAGGGAGGGGAAGGGGGTTCTTATCCCTGATGCAGGCTACTGCTGTGTCATTCCCCTATTGGCTAGGGTTGGACCGCACAGTCTAAGTTAATTCTCAGTGGCTATTTTAAAGAGAGCAGGGGTACCAGCCGGAGTGGCAGGGTGAGTAGTTTGGCAGGAAGGACGGTTACAGAACAGGTGACTCAGGTTGACTCAGGTCAGAGCAGGTGACAGGGGTGACTCAGGATGGAGCAGGTGACCAGAGGTAACTCAGGACAGAGTAGGTGATAGAGGCTAGGAGAGGGTTGTTTACTGAAACTAGGAACAAGGAGATGAAGAGAATGAGGAAGTTAAACTTTAAAATGAAGGACAAAGAACAGGGGAGCTGAACATACTGATTCATTGGTTCTTTGGAGAGGATCTCAGAACTCATTGTACTTAACAATTTACAGGCTAAAACCTTTGAAGAGGAATTTATCATATCCTACCTCAGTTTGAGAAAAGTCCATTCACCAAAATTGTAAGACATTGAGACTTGGGATATCCCATCCCTGCCATTTCTCTGCCATAGATGGAGGCAGAAATCCACAGAAACAAAGGAAACAGTAAAGTGGGTTTATGGAAAAGCCAACCAAGGCATGATAGAATGGGGACAGCAGCAGCAAAGAATGGGGCAATTCAGGGACGTGCGGCACATGGCAGGGTAGGACTTAAGTCCAGAAATAAAAATAGTCAAGCATGTTTACTATTTTATCCCAAAGGCTCAGCTTCCTGTGAGAGCGGAGGGGAAACCCAGCCCCCTGGCGTGGTTTTCAGCCTCTCTATCTCAGTCTTCTTTTAAATGCAAATGCCCTTTGCGGTACGAAACCTGTTCTTCCAGTGGCATAGACAGGAACAAAACCTAGTACCTCCTCCAGGGCTGCGCAGAGTAGAAAGGTAGTGGTGACCTGGCGCGGTGGCTCAGGCCTGTAATCCTAGCACTTTGGGAAGCTGAGGCGGGTGCATCACTTGAGGTCAGGAGTTCGAGACCAGCCTGGCCAACGTGGTGAAACCCTGTCTCTATTAAAAATACAAAGATTAGCTGGGTGTGGTGGTGGGTGCCTGTAATCCCAGCTACTCAGGAGGCTGAGGCAGGAAAATCACTTCAACCCAGGAGGTGGAGGTTGTAGGAGCCGAGCCTGTGCCTCTGCACTTTAGCCTGGGTGACAGAGCAAGACTCCATCTCAAAAAAAATAAAAAATAAAAAGTACTGTTTATGGTCTCTCCCAAGAAAATGAAGTGCTTAGGTATAAATGTAACAAAATATGTATGGGATCTGTATGCTAAAAGCCACAAAATGTTGATGAGAAGAATCAAAGAGACCCTAAATAAAAGAAGCACTATACTATGTTCATGGATTGAAAGAGTTAACGTAGAGATGCAGATTTTTTCCCCAAATGGATCTATAGGTTTAAATCAATTCTTCTGAAAATCCCAGCAAGGTTTTTGTAGAAAAGCTTTTTTTACATTTTATGGAAGGGCAAAAGACTTAAAATCGCTAACACAATTTGGAAAAAATAAACTGGGCGGAACCACTCTGTACAACATAATGACTTACTAATAGTGCAATAATTAAGACTGTTTGGTACTGGCAAAGGGATACACACAGTGATCAATGGAGAAGACTAGAGAATAAGAAATAGATCCACGCAAATAGGGGCAACTGATTTTTACAATGATGCAGAACCATTTCAGTGGAGGAAGGATAACTGTATTAGTCTGTTCTCACCCTGCTATGAAGAAATAGCAGATCACGTGAGCCCAGGAGTTCAAGAACAGCCTAGGCAACATGGTGAAAATACTCAAGACTGGGTGATTTATAAAGAAAAGAGGTTTAATTGATTCACAGTTACTCATGGCTGGGGAGGCCTCAGGAAACTTACAATTATAGCAGAGGTCACCACTTCACAGGGCAACAGAAGACAGAATGAGTGCCAGGCAAAGGGGGATACCTCTTATAAAACCATCGGATCTCATGAGAACTCACTCAATATTATGACAACAGCAGGGGAGGAAACTGGCCCCATGATTCAATTATCTCCTACAGGGTCCCTCCCACAGCACGTAGGGATTATGGGAACTACAGTTCAAGATGAGATTTGGGTGGGGACATAGCCAAACCATATCAATAAGCTTACCATAAATGGTGCTTTATACGCACTTTATACAAAAATTAACACAAAATTAGTCATAGACTTAAGTGTAAAACATAAGACTAAAAAACTTTTAGAAAAATAAACATAGAAAAAACATTCAGGAACTAGAGCTAGGTAAAGAGATTTTAGACTTGACACCAAAAGCACAATCTACAAAAGGAAAAATGGATAAATTGACCTCTTCAAAAAAAACAAAACAAAACAAAAAAAACTTGCTCAGCTAAAGACCCTTTTAAGAGGAAAAGAAAAGCTACATATGATGATCATAAAAGAATAGCAGTCTGTGTGCGGTGGTTCACATCTGTAATCCTAACACTTTTGGGAGGACAAGGCAGGCAGATCACGTGAGCCCAGGAGTTCAAGACCAGCCTGGGCAACATGGTGAAATCTCATCTCTACAAAAAAGATACAAACATTAGCCAGGTGTGGTGGCACATGCCTGTAGTCCCAGCTACTCGGGAGGCTGAGGTGGGAGGATTACTTGAGCCTGGGAGGTCAGGCTGCAGTGAACCATGATTGCGCCCCTGCACTCCAGCCTGGGCAACATAGTGAGACCCTGTCTCAATTTTAAAAATAAATAAATAAAAGAATAGCAAGAGGGAGCCCTAGGGTGATGGGGTGATAGAATAGTTCTGTACCTTTTTTTTTTTTTTTTTTTTTTTAGACGGAGGGATAGCTCTGTTGCCAGGTTGCAGTGCAGTGGCACCATCTTGGCTCACTGCAACCTCCAACTCCCTGGTTCAAGAGATTCTCCTGCCTCAGCCTCCCGAGCAGATGGGATTATAGGCACCTGCCACCACGCCCGGCTAATTTTTTTTTTTTTTTTGTATTTGTAGTAGAGACGGGATTTCACCATGTTGACCAGGATGGTCTTGATCTCTTGATCTCTTGATCTAGTGATTCTCCCACCTCAGCCTCCCAAAGTACTGGGATTATAGGCATGAGCCACAGTGCCGGAGCAGTTCTGTATCTTGATTGTGATGGTAGTTGCACAAATCTACACGTGACAAATTTGCACAGAGATGCACACACACATGCACAAACACACACACACACAAACACACACACACATGCAAGAGTGCACATAAAACTGATAAAATGTGAATGAGCTCTGTGGATTGTACCAATGCCAATTTCCTGGTTTGATATTGCACTGTAATTACACAAGACATTACCACTGGGGGGCACTAGATGAAGAGTACATGGGACCTCCCTGTACATTTTCCCCAACTTCCTGTGAGTCTATCATTATTTCAAAATAAAATTTTAAGTAAATAAATACATTTTTCAAATTTTAAAAATGGATGCTTACCTGCCAGTTTGTAAAGATAGCATAACATTGTTTCGCTGGCACTCTTTGATCATGTCTGGATCTATGATAGGCGATGCAGGCTGTGGACCACCATACAATCTCTGATGGCAATCCACAGCTATTAAGCCTCATGAGCCTGATTCTCCAGCTGGAGTCACGCCCAAGAGTCCAGACTTTCATCCTAAGGTTACATCATCCATACGCCTGTTGTACAATACACAGCAAGATTAGCTTCTGGGTGAAGTTAGGGTAGGACACAGCAAGATTCTGATCACAAAAGCCACTCGAGTCTTCATAAAATGAATGAGAATACGTCAAACAAGTAAGAGGTATTTAAAGACAAAATAGCCCTTCAAAGAGATGGTTAGAAATAATAGAACATGAGTGGATCACCTGAGGTCAGGAGATCGAGCATCCTGGCCAACATGGCGAAACCCCATCTCTACTAAAAATACAAAAATTAGCTGAGTGTGGTGGTGCACACCTATAATCCTAGCTACTCAGGAGGCCGAGGCAGGAGAATCGCTTGAACCTGGGAGGCAGAGGTTGCAGTGAGCCAAGATGGCGCCACTGCACTCCACCCTGGGCAACAGAGTGAGACTTTGTCTCAAAAAAGAAAAAAATGGAAAGAACTGAACATTTGTTTAAGTCTAGGTGATGAATACATGAATATTTCCTATACCATTTTTTGTCATTTTTTATAGATTTAAAATATTTCATTATACAAAAAGGACATTAGGTTAGTAAAAAATTGAAGGCAACCAAATTATCTAAGAGCAGAAAATTAATTAAGGAGAGTCCACATGCTCAGTTATTAGAAATTATAATTTTAAAGATGTGTCAAAAACATGAAAAATGCATATGACATAATATGAGATGAAAAGTGGAGACACATTGATTCCAAATACATAAAAATGTGTGTGCAAATGCAACAAGACTTGGAATGCTCAAAAGTGATAATGAGATTATGAATCATTTCTTTGCCCTATTTTTCTAAAATTTTCTATTTTACAATTTTTGAAAGACAATATTATTTTAACTATTCAAGAGAGGTCTTTGGTAATATTAAGGCTAGAAACATTTGAAACCAAAGGACAAAGTCTATCAAGGAATACAGAGGAGCACGTATCATTTATTTTTAATTGCTTTTCATTATTTTCATTTATTCCTATATATGGGCAGTGACCTCTTACCAGCTAGGCAAGCCCATTTTTGACACATAAAACTGAGTCTTTGTATGTGACATATACCAATAGCTCCTGCTTCCCTGCTATCAGGATTCCAGTTCATGGCAATAGACTGCTGGAATGATATTTACTTTCAGTTTAATGACAACGTCTGGTATTTTGTGTCCCATTCTAAATCATTTGCACTTCCCAGGACAGACTGAAAGGTTTTCTACAAGTCACCTATTCCTTGATTTCATGGAAGAACGCCAAATAGTTTTATGATTGTATATAAAAATGGGTGAGAGGCCGGGCACAGTGGCTCACGCCTGTAATCCCAACTACTTGGGAGGCTGAGGCAGAAGAATCACTTAAACCCGGGAGGTGGAGGTTGCAGTGAGCCAAGATCATGCCCCTGCTCTCTGGCCTGAGCGAGAGAGTGAGACTCCATCTCAAAAAATAAAAAATAAATAGATGAGAGGCACTGCACATATGCTGCCCACTTCCAAAAGTATTCTAAAGCTTAGAAGACTTAAGTGGGGACAGGTGCGGTGGCTCACACCTGTGGTCCCAGCACTTTGGGAGGCTAAGGAGGGTGGATCACGAGGTCAGGAGATTGAGACCATCTTGGCCAACATAGTGAAACACCGTCTCTACTAAAATACAAAAATTAGCTGGGTGTGGTGGTGCATGCCTGTAATCCCAGCTACTCGGGAGGCTGAGGCAGGGGAATCGCTTGAACCCAGGAGGCGGAGGTTGCAGTGAACTGAGATTGCACCACTGCACTCCAGCCTGGGCCACAAGAGTGAAATTCCATCCCAGAAAAAAAAAAAATTAGACTTAAGTGGGTACCGAGTAGATTTAGTGTTGGACCATTGATGTGACACTGATGTAAGTTATGGAGGAGGCACTTAGCTCCGATCTGCCATCAGACTGATCGCATTTCTTGGGTGATTCTCGCACATATTTTTTCAAATAATTCTGGATGGAGAAGGTACAGTGTGAGATTGTGGATAACAATGGTGACAAGTTGATCCCGGTGGCATCTGCATTATTTTTCTCCTCGGATTGCCTGGACTCGTCTCTTTACATTCATGATCTCACACCACCCCCAGGATTTCTGTAATCACCAGTTAAAATTCAGATTATTGGGCCCCAACCCAGATGCCTCCAGATTCGGTCTTGCTGGGGAGTGGGGCCTACGAATCTGTATTTTTAACAACTTCCCTTGGGTGGTCCTTATGTCCACCCAAGGTCAAGAGCCATTTTCCAAAGAAGGAACTGGGGGCCGGGTGAAGTGGCTCCTGCCTGTAATCCCAGCACTTTGGGAGGCCGAGGTGGGTGGATCATCTGAGGTCAGGAGTTCGAGACCAGCCTGGCCAACATGGTGAAACCCCATCTCTACTAAAAATACAAAAATTAGCTGGGCATGGTGGCGCATGCCTGTAATCCCAGCTACTCAGGAGGCTGAGGCAGAAGAATCACTTGACCCAGGAGGCGGAGGTTGCAGTGAGCCGAGATCATACCACTGTACTCCAGCCTAGGTGACAGATCTAGACTCCATCACAAAAAAAAAAAAAAAAAAAAAAAAAAGGAACTGGGGCTCATGGTGATGCAGTGACTACACCCAGTGCTCATGAGGACAACACGTTTCCGGGACAGGTAGAGTCAGGCCCAGGGAGATCCAACACTGCTGGCTCTTTCTTTCTATCTTTCTTCCTTTTTTTCTTTCTTTCTTTCTGCTTGCTTCCTTCCTTCTTTCCTTTTCTTTCTTTCTTTCTTTCCGCTTGCTTCCTTCCTTCCTTCTTTCTTTCTTTTTCTTTCTCTTTCCTTCCTTCCTTCTTTCTTTTTTTTTTTTTTTAGACAAAGTTTCGCTCTTGTCATGCAGGCTGGATTGCAATGGCGTAATCTCTGCTCACTGTAACCTCCGCCTCCCAGGTTCAAGCGATTCTCCTGCCTCAGCTTCCTGAGTCGCTGGGATTAGAGGCACCTGCCACCATGCCCGGCTAATTTTTGTATTTTTACTAGAGACGGGGTTTCACCATGTTGGCCAGGCCGGTCTCGAACTCCTGGCCTCAAGTGATCCACCCGCCTCGGCCTCCCAAAGTGCTGGAATTACAGGCCTGAGCCACCGCGCCTGGCCTGTTGGCTCTTTCTAATCAGTTACATCGCCTATATGGGCTGTGCCAAACTCAGCAGTACCCCCCAGCCAGCGCTGTGGTTTCTGAGGATTCAATGAGAGGGGATGAAGAGGTATGAACATGCAAAGCCTACTCCCACTTACTTGCAGCGTACAAATACCCCGTGCACCTCTTCTGCTGCTCTCGCCAAACCTCCAGCCCCTCCGAAAGGGAAGAGCTGCTGCAACTGGCCAAGGCCACCCTACAAAATCATAAAGTCCATCCGCCCACCAGGGAACACCGTGGTTGAAGCAAACCCCACCTCTCCTCTTCCAAGTCAGCAGAATGGAGTAGACAGAGAAATACTTGTATATGTTTCTATTGAAAAGTCTTGGCTAAAATGTTAAAAAATACAAGAACTCCACACCTGCAGAGAAAGTAAAACCAAAGCTGAGCATAAATGCCTCCCCCCGTCCCAGTCTGTTTACCTATATCCCCAGCCCTCCTTTCAAAAGCACATATTAAATCCAAACATTAAATACAGGATTTTTGGCTTTTAATTAAAAGTGACTCCATCTGGGAAGAAGATAATGCCATGCATTTATGAGCACATATTAGAAGGAAATAAGGTATTTCATGCAATTATAGGGGATCTAAGGAAGGAAAAATGAAGAAGAGAGGGATAGTCAGACACTAGGAAGAAAGTGATGCTCAGAGTCCCTGGGCCATCAAAGCCTGGAGGAAAGTGATAACTGGCAATGTTCTCAGCCTAATTCAGATAATAGACTGTGATACCTGGTGACATATGGAAATCTTGGTAGGACAAGCCTTCAAAAGCTTTTTTTTTTTAATTTTTTTAATTATATTTTAAGTTCTGGGATACATGTGTAGAACATGCAGGTTTGTTACACAGGTATACATGTGCCATGGTCGTTTGCTGCACCTATCAACCCGTCATCTACATTAGATATTTCTCCTAATGCTATCCCTCCCCTAGCCCCAATCCCCCTACAGGCGCCGCTGTGTGATGTTCCACTCCGTGTGTCCGTATGTTCTCATTGTTCAATTCCCACTTAGGAGTGAGAACATGCAGTGTTTGGTTTTCTGTTCTTGTGTTAGTTTGCTGAGAATGATATTTTCCAGCTTCATCCATGTCCCTGCAAAGGACACGAACGCATCCTTTTTTATGGCTGCATAGTATTCCATGGTGTAGATGTGCCACATTTTCTTTATCCAATCTATCATTGATGGGCATTTGGGTTGGTTCCAAGTCTTTGCTATTGCGAACAGTGCTGCAACAAACATATGTGTGCATGTGTCTTTATAGTAGAATGATTTATAATCCTTTGGGTATATACCCAGTATTGGGATTGCAGGGTCAAATGGTATTTCTGGTTCTTGATCCTTGAGAGATCGCCACACTGTCTTCCACAATGGTTGAACTAATTTACACTCTCACCAAGAGTGTAAAAGTGTTCCTATTTCTCCACACCCTCTCCAGCACCTGTAAGCCTTCAAAAGCTTTATGATAGATAGCTTCATCCCAAAAGGCTCTGGACTCAGACTGTCTTCTGTGCACAGGGGTACTTCATCATAGCAGCGAATCTACCTGATGGAAGTTTCCCGAATACTAACCCCCACATTTTCCCATACTTCAATGGACATACTTCCATTCTATATCTGAATCCCAAAAACACCGGGAAGAAAAACAAGATAAAATTTAACCATTATGTCCTGAACCCTACCTCTAATTGGGGCAAAAAAAAAAAAATTGAACCTGATAAAATCAGTCTAGCTGTCTTTCACTAGCAGTTAGAGGGAAACTTATTCCAAGACGTCTTAGGGGAAAAGAGAGAAAACAGAGGAGATATTTGAAATGGAGAATTTAAAGTCACTCTTGAATTTTCTCTGAGTATCATAGACAGTGAATGCCTCTCCCTTGTCTGTGAATACTAAATAACTCCTTGTCTTTCTGACTTGGTGTTGCTACTGCTGGTATTCTCTCTAAAATCTCATAGCTCTCTGAATTATTGCCTCCAGGGACACTGAGGCTGGGGGGAAGTGAGCAAGTGTCTCCAGGGAATGCACAATGTTTTATCTCCTCGTTCAACATCCTTTTCATTTATCTCACAAGTACTCTAAAATTCTAGCAGAATTAGGAAGTTAAGGACACCAAGGACCTCTTTCAGTCTATCAGATTTACGTACATCTAAGACACATTGTTGAGTGGGAAAATGAAGAGTGAGCAAATGACAAAGTAGACTCGCTTTCCAGTTTCCAGCTCAGCACAGAAGAAATCAGGAAATGTCATCTCTACACATACACGTAGGATGTGGCAAATTAAAACACTTGCCCTGCACTATTCACAATAGCAAAAACATGGGAACAAAATAAATGCCCATCAGTGGTAGACTAGATAAAGAAAATGTGGTACCTGGCCGGGCGTAGTGACTCACACCTTTAATCCCAGCACTTGGGAGGCTGAGGTGGGTGGATCACCTGAGGTCAGGAGTTCGCAACCAGCCTGACCCATGTGGTGAAACCCCATCTCTAGTAAAAAAAAAATACAAAAATTAGACAGGCATGGTGGCATGCACCTGTCGTCCCAGTTACTCGGGAGGCTGAGGCAGGAGAATCACTTGAACCTGGGAGGCGGTGATTGCAGCAAGCCAAGATAGCGCCACTGCACTCAAGCCTGGATGACAGAGCAAGACTCCTTCTCAAAACAAACAAACAAACAAACAAATTAGCCAGGCATGGTGGCACACGCCTGTAATCCCAGCTACTCAGGACGCTGAGGCAGGAGAATGACTTGAACCTGGGAGGCAGCAATTGCAGTGAGCCAAGTTCACCCCACTGCATTCCAGCCTGGGTGACAGAGCAAGACTCCATCTCAAGAAAAAAAAAAATGTGGTACCAAACACCATGGAACACTATGTAGCCATAAAAGGGAATGAGATCAAGTCCTTTTCAGGGAC
Organism: Homo sapiens; assembly: GCF_000001405.40. Lineage (NCBI taxonomy): Eukaryota > Metazoa > Chordata > Mammalia > Primates > Hominidae > Homo > Homo sapiens. The sequence continues at coordinate 4,509,890 of NC_000007.14, forward strand.
ATAGATAGAGCTGAAGTCCATCATCCTTAGCAAACTAAAACAGGAACAGAAAACCAAATACCACACGTTGTCACTTATAAGTGTGAGCTAAATGATGAGAACACATGGACCCATAGAGAGGAACAACAGACACTGGGACCTATCACCACCTATCAGAGGGTGAAGGGTGGGAAAACGAAGAGGATCAGAAAAAATAACTAATGGGTACTAGGCTTAACACCTGGGTGATTAAATACTCTCTATAACAAACCCCCATAACACAAGTTTACCTATGGAACAAACCTGCACGTCTACCACTGAACTTAAAAGTTAAAAAAACAAAAAAACTAATACTTGCTCTAAGTTTACACTTCTAAAACTTAAAAGTGGCCAGGTGCAGTGGCTCATGCCTGTAATCCCAGTGCTTTGGGAGGCCGAGGTGAGCATATCACTTGAGGTCAGGAGTTCAAGACCAGTCTGGCCAACATGGTGAAATCCCAACTCTACTGAAAATACAAAAATTATCTGGACTTGGTGGCGGGCGCCTGTAATCCCACCTGCTCTGAAGGCTGAGGCAGGATAATCCCATGAACCCAGAAGGTGGAGGCTGCAATGAACCAAGATTGTGCCACTGGTCTCCAGCCTGGATGACAGAGTGAGGTTCCATCTCAAAAATAAACAAATAAATAAAATAAAACCTAAAAGTAAATCTTCCTGTTGCCAAGTTTTGACTGTAGTGCTTTAACTGTAGAAAAGAAAGTCCCAGAAATGTGGCTTTTGGGGTACACCTACTAAAGAGTTGATCTGGGAAGAGTTGAGAGGAAAAGATTGCTTTTTTAAAAAATTAAGGAAATAGAGATGGGGTCTCCCTATGTTGCCCAGGCTGGTCTTGAACTCCTAACCTCAAGCAATTCTCCCACCACAGTCTCCTAAAGTGATGGGATTACAGGTGTGAGCCACCATGCCCGGCCAGATTGCTTTTTTCAGAGGGAAAAAAGTATGGAATTTTTAGGCAGCAATTAGGCAACAGAGGCCTCAGTCTGAAAAAAGCCTTGGGTCTGAGGGAAAGGAAATCTAGGCCAGAGAGCACCTGCACAAAGGCTTTGCTGGGGCCCTGTGGACATGAGCTTGTTGCCTGGCTGTGGACAAAGCAGCGGACCACATTAGCCACAAAGGCTGGGCCAAAATTCACAGTCACTGTGGCACATATGCCATTATGTTCAGTTAAATTGAATGTTTGGTAATTTTGTCAAACATCCCCTTTCTAGGGATGGGTATACACGATTCTGCCTTTGTTTAAAAAAAAAAAAAAAAAACTCATTTCATGGTTAAATATCTGACGTCAATAGACAGTCACCATCTTGTCTCAGTTATATTCATTGTCTGCTCAGACTCACCCACAGAGTGCCACCTTTGAATAAAAAGAAGTAAAACAGAACCCTGTTGTTCTTTCTCAAAAATCCTCAAAGGATGTCATGGGGAGCAAAAGCTGGGATGCAGCCATGGGAATATCCACAGGGAATTTAGCAGTTATTGAGAGAATTCAACTAGGTGCAAATTACCTGATGGTGAGTACTTGGGCTGGCTAATAAACTGAAATTTCAAAGCTATTCAGGAGGAAGGGGATTGGCAAAAAAGGTTACCAAGAGCTCATGCTACAAACAGAAAAGTTTGAATCTCATGCACGCAGCTAATTAGAGCCACTACGGGGTCCTCCCTTCCTGCTTTTCTCTTAGTGCTAAGTATGGCTGTACCTTCCCAGGATTTTGCACCAGGCAAAAATAAAATTCTCTTTGTGCGCTCACAAAGGCTGAACATGAAGTCCTGAACATTGGGTGCTGATCTGCCAGAGATCTGGGCTATTCGACGGAGACACATCTGAGATTGGTAGAAGTTGACAAGACAGCGATGGGATAAACCTGGCCACACTCTCTGTGGGGCCTACACACCATCTCTGAAAGTATACATCCTCATAACTTCCTGCTGAGGAGGGGCATTTTACTGATGGAACTATACTGGTCTTTGCAACCTTATGAAGCAAAAGGGGGAGCTCAAACAATTCACTTTGCAGTAAGACAAAACAGTTCTCCAAAAGGCAGAAGTGTCAGCCCAGGAATTGCCATCTTCTTAAAAAGCCCATGTGAACAGGTCCCATATCGATAAAGTGAAGGAGTAACCAGATCACAGGAATGGTGACTTTATAGACACGGAGGCTGGTGAGTCTCTGACTTAGGAACTGGAACAGTCAAGAAAGAGAGGTAACATGTAGGCGATAAATAACATCAGCAACTCCAATGGCAATAATTACATTCACTCTTCAGTTCCTTTCCCTCTTCCACTGTGAGACCTTCTTAAAGTAATGGTGATTAGGTAAAAGCAGGTAAGTTTTCATGGTCCCAATCCTAGAGTGAACACTTAATAAACATTTCCAAACTTGAGTGCTCCTGAGGGGTTCCAGCTGGAATTCTTCCAAGGCGTTTCATTCACTTATGTCTATTTAGTAAGTGAACTCTACCATGACTTGGAGATTCTCACACTAGGTAAAAACAGGGACTATCTGCTCCTGTGATAGTTAATTTGATGTCAACATGGCCAGGCCATGCTACCTAGTTTTTGGTCAAACACCAGAATAGATGTTGCAGTGAAGGTATGTTTCAGAAGGGATTAAGATTTAAGTCAGTAGACTTTGAGTAAAGCAGATTACTCTCACACAATCAGCTGAAGGCCTTAAGAGAAAAGATGCCGGGTGCAGTAGCTCATGCCTGTAATCCCAGCACTTTGGGAGGCCAGCACTTTGGGAGGCCAAGGAGGGCAGATCACCTGAGGTTGAGAGTTTGAGACCAGCTGACCAACATGAAGAAACCCCTTCCCTACTAAAAATACAAAATTAGCTGGGGGAGGTGGTGGGCGCCTGTAATCCCAGCTACTCGGGAGGCTGAAGCAGGAAAATCACTTGAACTCGGTAGGTGGAGGTTGTGGTAAACCGAGATTATGCCACTGCACTCCAGCCTGGGCAACAAGAGCAAAACTCCATCTCAAAAAAAAAGATAGAAAAGACTAAGTTCCCCCAAGAAAGAAGGAATTCTGCCTCCAGACTGCCTTCAGATTCAAGACGCAAAGGCAACTCTTCCTGGAGCTCCAGCCTGCTGGCCTGTCCTGCAAATTTCAGACTTGCCAGCCCCCACAATCACATGAGCCAATTCCTTAAAATAAATCTCTCTCTCTCCCTCTCTCTCTCAACACACATACGCATCATATTGTTGGTTCTGTTTCTCTGGAGAACCCTGACTAATACAGTTCCAATAATGAGATTTTGCCAAAGTGCATCCACTCAATCACAGAGGGTCACCAAGAGCCTGTCATGACATTATTCTCACAGCTTGCTGTCTTTTATGCTTCTCCTTTCCTCTATGCCTGGACCTCATTTTAGGATCTGGCCCTTCCTAAATCTGCCTTCACGGAGAGGCCTCAGGGAAATCAGTGTTCTTATTTATATAGAATAAGAACCATGTTCAAGGATTCCACTAGCCTCGTAGAAGTGTGAGCACCTTTTGGCTGTAGCCAAGTCCCCGTGGTCAGGTTATCTTGTTGATTTGAGCTATAGGGAAGGATGATTGATCTGTACATTCCCTGAATCTCACTGTGCAGAGAGACCAGTGACTAAAATATCCATTTCCAGGCCATTCCTCCCCTTGTGGAATCTGGCCCTCCAACACATGATGCTCAACCTGATAAGCACAGTGCCAGGCATGCTCATTTCTTTCAAGGTGGTCAGTCACAAAGCAGTTAGTTTATTGCCTCTGTAGATCAACTATCTCTGTTGGAAAACCCATTAAGGCTGTTGCTCCAAATAGCAGGCCTGCCTGCAATTCATCTTTGATGGGTCATGTGTGGACTCCACCAACTGGGGGTTCTGAATCCTTGCAGACCTTCCCACTCTAGCGGTACTGAGGGATGGAAGACTGGAGGAAGAAGAGAGGCTAAGGCAAGAGACTGCTAGCCACTGATCAACCATGAAGCCAATAGTCCCACAGTGTTGGCTCCATAGAGGCAAATTAGGAAAGTGTGGCTGAAAAGTATGTTGTGCTTTCAGCTAAAAGACAGGGGCCTTCTGGCCGGGCGCGGTGGCTCACACCAGCACTTTGGAAGGCCGAGGCGGGTGGATCACAACGCCAGGAGATCAAGACCAACCTGGCTAACACGGTGTAACCCCGTCTCTACTAAAAAATACAAAAAAATTAGCCGGGCGTGGTGGTAGGTGCCTGTAATCCCAGCTACTCTGGAGGCTGAGGCAGGAGAATGGCATGAACCCGGGAGGCAGAGCTTGCAGTGAGCTGAGATTGTGCCACCACACTCCAGCCTGGGCAACAGAGTGAGACTCCGCCTCAAAAAAAAAAAAAAAAAAAAAAAAGACAGGGGCCTTCCAATGTTCTGGTACCTTCTTCTGTTGATAGCAAAATATGCATTATGCTAAATAACAAAAGTAACTGTAACCAAAGAATGTTCCAGAGAGTTGAGAGAAGATCTTGTCTCTTCTTCTTTGGTGATTAGCCTTTAAGGTAATAGTCTGCACAAATCCAGGAAATCTCATCATATGTGATAAAATACAACGGAAAAAGTGCACAAAGGCACAAGTGCTTGGAGGACCCAGCAGAGGCACCCTGGCTAGGCCCAGCTGGGCACTTGGATCCCTTCCCCAGAACAGCTGGTAGGAGTGTGTGCACCCACTGTCAAAACCAGGGTGGCTTTGGTTGTTCCCACTCCAGTTCCATACCTTGCCTTTGCAATCATGGTGTATTAGTCAGCTTGGGTTCCTATAACAAAATACTACACACTGGGTGCCTTAAACTACAAAAATTTGTTTTCTTCCAGTTCTGGAGGCTAAGAAATCAAAGTGCTGGCTGACTTTGTTCCTGGTGAGGGCTCTTTTTCTCACTTGGGGATGGCCACCTTCTTGCTGTGTCTTCACATTGTAGAAGGAGAGAGAGCAATCGAGTGCTCGCTCTCTGGTGTCTCTTCTAATAAGTGTGGTAATCCTATCAGAACAGAGCTCCGCCCCATAACCTAATTTCACCTTAATTACTTCCTTATTCCAAGTTTAGTCACATAGGGGGTTAGAGCTTCAACATACGAATTTGGGAGGACACAATTCAGCCTATAGTTCATGGCAAATTAATGAAACTAATTTCTACCTCTGAACTTTCCATGTGTTATATGGACACTCAAATGAGGCCAAACAATTGAGTCACTATGTCAGCAACATTGGCCTCAAGGAAACATCTAGTCTAATGTCTAAACTCACATGATTTCACATAAAGACAGAAGATGCGCTTGGTGAATTCTTCAGCTTCATCCCAGCTCCCCACTACGTGGTAGAGTAATCCTGCTTTGGTGCAAATGGAGCAAACTACAAAGCGAATCATTTTTATTGAGTTTACATCATGTTGGCATAAGAAAGACACCATAGACTCAATATCCACTGACTCCTGGGCTGCACCTGCCTCTCCTGAGGCTATGGTGTTGTTCCCTAGAGGTGACAGTTTCTAGTGATAGCTCCACTGCCAGATGGACCACACAGTGTACCATAGGTGGTGTCCCTGTCTCTGGGATTCAAGCAGATGAGATGCCCACTCTGTTGCCTTTTGAGTCACCTTCCTTGGAGTCAGATCAACAATTATCTCTAGGAGCTCTGCCATGGAGGGTGAGGAATATTCTCCCACTTCATCCTGACTCCTACCTGGATGCCTTTCATGTCATCACCGGCTCACGGTCTTGCTCACTCAACTTCATTAAGAGATTAAAATAACCTTCTTCCCAGGTATATGTATATTTTAAAACATATATGCAGATGATTCTGGGAAGATGATAGAGTAAAAAGCACCAGGAATCTGTCTTCCCACCTAGACAACAATTGCACTGGCAGAATCTGTCTGATGTCATTATTTTTGAACTCTGGACTTTATTGGAGGCTTGCAACTTCCAAAGGAAGATTGGAATAGTTAAAGTTTCAGTCAATGTCACTTAATTTCAGCTCTCACACAGTAGCAGTTACCCATCCCACCCCACTCCCAGCCCTATGGAAGGCAGCTGAGCAGCTGAGCACGTGTTCATGGAGCAATACGCACAGAACTTGCCGAAACTAGGGTGGGCAAAAAGTACTGCCCAAAAAGTATTGATGATCTGTGCTCTAATCATCGATCACTGCTTCTGATCACAGAAGTGAAGACAAAGAGGTGGATGGCCATTGTTGTTGCTCCTTCCACCATTATTGTAAGCCTCTCCCCCTCAAGCTGGTACCCTTTCCCACCCCCGCCCCTTTATTTCTCTCTTTTTACCTTTTTGGAAGCCAGATATTAAAGACCAGAACATTCCAAAGCAATTGTATATATAGGGAAAATTAGAAGGTGACCACACACGCCCAGAGAAAGGCACAAGCTCAAGAAAGACCTCAGAAGATCTTAGGTTTATATCTCAGCCTGATCACAGAGCTTTGTAGGCACAGAGAGTGCCCACAACTATTTTAAAAACCAAAAGCAATAAAAAGAAAAACCTCACAAACCCTAGAGAAGGGGGAGAATTGGATTTCCAGAGTTATTAGATTCAAGTGTCTAATGTTTAACAACAACAACAAAACGCAAGGCATACAAAGAAACAGGGAAGTATGGCCCATGCAAAGGAAAAAAAATAAATCAACAGAAGCTGTCCCTGAAAATGACCTGTTGGCCGATCTACTAGACAAAGACTTTAAAACAACTGCCTTGAAGATATTCAAAGAACTAAAGAAAAATTTAGAGAAAGTCAGGAAAATAACGTATGAAAAAAACGAAAACATCAATAAAAAGAGAAAACCTTTCTTCTCGGTTTCACATGGGAAGAAAAGAGAAAACTTTAAAAGAAACTAGCTTTCATTTCATAACTACAATGAAAAATTTACTATAGGAATTCAAAGACAGATCTGAGCAAGCAGACGAAAGAATCAGAAAACCTGAAGATAGGACAATGGAAATTACCAAGTCTGCGGAATAGAAAAAAATAATGAACAGAACCTAAGGGATCTGGAACACTATCAAGCAAACCAACATATGCACTGTGAGAGTCCCAGAAGAAGTGAGAGAAAATACTTGAAGAAATAATAGCTAAAACCTTCCCGAATTTGATGGACGACATGAAAACAAACATCTAAGAAACTCAATGAACGCCAGGTAAGTTGCACTAAGACCCACACTGAGACAGTTTATAATCAAACTTTCTAAAGATAAAGACAAAAAGAGAATTTTGAAAGCAACAGGACAGAAGCAACTTGTCATATACAAGGGATTCTCAATAAGATTTCTCAGCAGAAAGTTTAGAGGTGGGGAGGCAATGGGTCAATATCTTCAAAGTGCTGAAAGAAAAACAAACGATCAACCAAGAATCTTGCATCTGGCAAAATTTTTCTTCAAAAGTGAGAGAGAAAGTAGGACACTTCCAGATAAACAAAATCTGAGGGAGATCATTACCACTAGACCTGCCCTGGAAGAAATGCTGAAGGGAGTCCTACAGCGTGATGTGAAATGAAAGGACACTAGCCAGTAACTCAAAGCTATATGAGGAAATAAAAATCTCAATAAGGGTAAATACATTGACAATTACAAATGCTAGTATATTGTAACAATGGTTTGTAATTCCATTTTTTGTTTTCTACATAATTTAAGAAAATAATACACTTAAAGGAGTTTATTAGTTTATATTTAGGGGTACATGGTATATAAATATATAATATTGTGACAGCAACAACAGAAAGGGGTAGAGACAGAACTGTTAAAGGATCAGTGTTTTTTTATGTTCTTGAAGTTAAGCTGGTATGAATTCAAATTAGAGTCTTATAACTTTAGGGTGTTAAATGTAATTCTCATGACAACTACAAGGAAAATAGTTATAGAATTATACAAAAGGGAATGAGGGGGTAATTTAAATGTTTCACTACAAAAAAATCAACTAACACAAAAGAAGACACAAATGCAAGAAGAGCGACAAAATAGCTATATGGCATATAGGGGGAATATAGCAAAATGACAGAAATAAATCCCTCCTTATCAGTAATTACCTTAAATGTAAATGGATTAAACTGTAATAAAAGACATTGGAAAAATTGATTTTTTAATGTGATTCAACTATGTGTTGTCTACAAGAAACTCACTTTATATTCAAAGACACAAATAGATTGAAAGTTAAAGGATGGAGGCCAGGCGCGGTGGCTCACACCTTTAATCCCAGCACTTTGAGAGGCCAAGGCGGGTGGATCACGAGGTCAGGAGATCGAGACCGTGGTGAAACCCCGTCTCTACTAAAAATACAAAAAAAATTAGCCGGGCATGGTGGCGGGCGCCTGTAGTCCCAGCTACTCGGGAGGCTGAGGCAGGAGAATGGCGTGAACCCGGGAGGTGGAGCTTGCAGTGAGCCGAGATCGCACCACTGCACTCCAGCCTGGGCGACACAGCGAGACTCCACCTCAAAAAAAAAAGAGTTAAAGGATGGAAAAGGATATTTCATGCAAATTATAACCAAAGAAGAGCAGGGGTGGCTGTACTAATATCATACAAAAATATTTTAAATCAAAAAGTTTACAAAGGACAAAGAGGGACATTATAGACTAATAAAAGTTTTCATGCGATAAAGATATAACAATTATGAACACTTATACACCTAGCGACAGACCATCAAGCAAAAACTGACAAGACTAAAGGGAGAAATAAATAGTTCTACAACAATAGAGAGTCTAATACTCCATTCTCAATAATGGATAGAACAAATAGGCAGAAAATAAGTGAGAAAATGGAGGACTTAAACAACACAATAAACCAACTTGACATAACAGATATGTATGGACCACCACCCAACAACACCAGCGTATACATTTTCCAGGATAAACCATATTTAGGACAAAAATTAAGTCTCAACAGATTAAATTTATTTTATTTTATTTTATTTTATTTTATTTATTATTATTTTTTTTTGAGACAGCATCCTGCTCCATCTCTACAAAAACACATCAAAACAAACAAACTAAAAAAAATAGCCAGGCATGGTGGCAGGCGCTTGTGGTCCCAGCTACTCAGGAGGCTGAAGTGGGAGAATTGCTTAAGCCCAGGAGGTAGAGGCTGCAGTGAGCCATGATTGCACCACTGCACTCCACGCTGGGTGACAGAGCGGGACTCTGTCTGAAAACAAAACAACAAAATTAAAGAAGCTTCTCCTCCAAGAGACCCTCCCATGCAGCCAGGGGTGAGAATTGTTGATGGAGAGTTGGTACACATTGCATGGATTTTCTCCTTGAAAGCAGGGAGATTGCCTTCTTTTGAAGCCCCGGCCCCAGCACCCAGCCTGGCATATTACAGACACTTACTAAATGTTTGCTGAATGAATGAAAGACTGAATTAATGAATAAGGGTTACAGTATGATGATTAATGACAGTCAAGAGGAGGCTGGCAAGGAATCGCCTTGGAAAACCCAAATAATAATAGACAGCAGCAAGCCAGATAGTGAACATCCCCTAAGATGAAACTACATAGTAAGCTAGTATTAAGGGAAATAAATTTGGGATATGGCCAAGTGACAAGAGCAGTGACCAACAAGAATCTTACTGATGGCATGAAGCAGCCAACCAATTCGTGGTAAAATAAATATAAATCCCACTTAGGGAAGCCTGCATTTAATGGGTTTCTCACTTCATCTAGAGACAAGAGAAACCAAATAGCTTCCAATGTAAAAAAATAGACTTGGCATCACTGTGACTTGAGAATCTCAGGAGACCTCTGTTGACACCGCTGCCCAGTGAAGCAGACTCAACGGGAACTCAGTGGAAAAGGTGGAAGGCATGGCTGGTTCCAATCCCAGACACATCTGAGAGAAGCCAGCAGCTCTCAGGTCTCATTAGGAGGAAAATGCTTCTAGAGGTAATGACCATTTTCATGAAATATTGATATTTTTAACCCTTTCATACCAACTATGCAATACACTACTAAGCAAAATATATGACTGTGACATGTGACTTGGAATGTGAACTATCACACCTAGCCAGGCATGGTGGCTCACGTCTGTAATCCCAGCACTGTGGGAGGCCAAGGCAGGAAGATCACTTGAGGCCAGGAGTTCGAAAGCAGCCTGGGCAACGTAGTGAGACCCCATCTTTACAAAAAATTAAACATTACCCTGGCATGGTGACACACAACTGTGGTCCCAGATAGTGAGGAGGCTAAGGGAGAAGGAACACTTGAGCCCAGGGTTGGAGGCTGCAGTGAGCTGTGATCACACCACTACACTCCAGCCTGGGCAACAGAGCTAAGAATGAACTCCAAGGAGCTCAAGGTACCCAAACAAGACTGAGAAGCTGTTAAATAAACAAATGCAGGCATGAGTGGGCAATCCATTTCCTGCTCTGGCCTGCAGAGCCCAGCTTCCGCTTTCCTGGGCTTTTACCTTTCATTGCAAGCCCCTGGGGCATCCAAAGAGGTCAGCCTTAAGCTTTAGGAAGCACGTTAGGTGTGTGCAAAACAGGCAGGAAAGAAAGTCATTGTGAGCAATGACTAATTAATTGCTCCAGCCAGAACTTCTTGACTCCTCTCTCTCTCTCCCTCTTTCCCACCTGTAATTCGTTATCGGGGACTCTTCAATTCCACTACAAATGCGTCTCTAGTTTGTCTGCTTCTAACCACCTCCATTGCTTCTGAGAGTCCTGGATCCTTCGAGAATATCCAGTTCTCCTGCAGGGACATTCCTCTCTTCCCTCCAAAGGAGTGGGCTATTCAGCTGTTCCCAGATCTTTCATCTCTGCAAAAAAAAGGAATAATTTTCTGCTGATTCAAAACGTATCAGTCTGTTAGGAGGGCAGCCTAACAGAAGTTGAAAAGTTTGGAGCAGTCGGGAACAGAAACCCCATGCCCACAGCCAGTCTGACCACAGCATGTGGAAATCTATACCAATAATGCTCCCTGGGAACACAGACTCAGGAATAATTCAGCAGTTGCAAAACATGCCTTGGTCAACATTTACTACTCAGCAAGAACTATTTGAAATGCCTTCTGTGTTTAACACATTGAATCCTTAACCCTACATGATAGATATTATTAGTATCCCCATTTTACAGATAAGGAAACTAAGGCCTAAAGGGGTGAAGTAATGGCCCCATGTCACATAGCTAATCCATGCTGGAGTGTGATTCAAACCAGATCACTGGACTCGAGTGCAAATGCTCCAGACCCCACAGCCATAAAAATGCATAAAGTTGTTACTGCATGAAGATGTTACTCATGGCAGTATTTACAGCATCAAAAATCAGCCCTCAAGTCTCTTTCCTCCATTCTCTCTCAATTGTCTCTCCCCAAAAAATTATTGAAATGACACCACTGCCAAACTCTTGAAGCCTTTTGACTCCTTCAAAGATATGTGGTAATCTCTTTCCAGTTGCAAAGGCTAGAGATATGTTTACCACATACACTGATTTACAACTGTCTTAGTTAGCTCAGGCTGTTGTAACAAAATATCACAGAATAGGTCGCTTGAAAACAGAAATTGATTTCTCACAGTTCTGGAGGCTGATCAAGGTGCCTCCTGATTCATTTGCTGGTGAGGACTCTTTTTCTGAGGTGCAGACTGCCACCTTCTTGCTATGTTCTTATGTGGCCTTTCCTCAGCACATTCACATGGGATAAAAGAGACAGAAAGATCTCTTTCTCTTCTTATAGGACCACTAATCTCATTATGAAGGCCTCATTCATGGCCGGCAAATATAATTAAGATGTAAGTTAAGATGAGGCCATACTCAAGTAGGATGGACCCTTAGTCCAATATGGTTTGTGTGCTTGCAAGAAGAAGAAAAGAGACAGAGACAGACACACACAGAGGACAGAAGTTATGTGAAGACATAGTTACAGAGGCAGAAAGTCCTGCAATGAAAGAGGTGGAGATTGGAGGGATGCAGCTCCAAGCCAAGGATCGTTGGTCACCACCAGAAGCTGGGAGAGAGGCATGGAGAAGATTCTTCTTCTGAGCCCCCAAGAAGGAACCAACCCTGCTAACAACTTGATTTTGGACTTCTGGCCTGTAGAACTATGAGAAAATAAATTTCTATTTTCTAAGCCACCCAGTTTGCGGTACTTTGTTATGGCAGCCTTAGGGAGCTAATGCAGGCACCACCCAACTCAGACACATCACTGACCTCTGATCTCCTATAACATGAAGATCAAAATAGCATGACACATTCCTTATAAGGCTATTGTTAAGTTAATTAAGAAAATGCATGGCCAAGACTTAGCCCAGTGATTGTCACAAATTAAGCTCTCAATAAAGATAAGCAGTCAGGTTGGCTGACAATGTCATCATCATCATCATCATCATTATCATTTTTGATAATTTCCTTGGGCCAAGTAGTGATTTGGGGTCCTGGCAGTAGAACCCAGAGTTGCAAGATCCCATGACACAAAGCAAGACAGTGTAAAATAACTCCCTGCTGCTACCACTTTTCCATATAAAGTTCATGAGCTCATTTTATTATCAGGGACCCAGAGCGGCTTTAAGAAGCAATTGACCGGGCCGGGCACGGTGACTCACGCCTGTAATCCCAGCACTTTGGGAGGCCGCAGCGGGTGGATCACGAGGTCAGGAGATCAAGACCATCCTGGCCAACACAGTGAAACCCCATCTCTACTAAAAATACAAAAAATTAGCCAGGCGTGGTGGCGGGCACCTGTAGTTTCAGCTACTCGAGAGGCTGAGGCAGGAGAATGGCGTGAACCTGGGAGGCGGAGCTTGCAGTGAGCCAAGATTGCGCCACTGCACTCCAGCCTGGAAGAAGCAATTGACCTAGAATCCAACACAAGCTGTGCAAACAGCACGGCGAAACCTCTGCCAACACCAGCATCTGTGGGAGACCTTGGTTGGTACTGTCCAACAAGAACATAGCCAATGCTGGTCCTTCCACTCAGAAAGCCAACTTGTTCAGTCCCAGGGGAGCATTTCATAGCTAAGTCACACAGGTGGATCCCCCAGGTTCCTGTTAGAAAGGAAGAAACTTTTTTTTTTTTTTTTTTTTTTTTTTTGAGATGGAGTCTCACTCTGTCACCCAGGCTGGAGTGCAGTGGCGCAATCTTGGCTCACTGCAACCTCTGCCTCCCAGGTTCAAGAAATTCTCATGCCTCAACCTCCTGAGTAACTGGGGTTACAGCCGCCTGCCACCACGCCCGGGTAATTTTTTGTATTTTTAGTAGAGACAGGGTATCGTCAGGTTACCCAGGCTGGTTTCGAACTTCTGACCTCAGGTGATCCGCCTGCTTTGGCCTCCCAAAGTGCTGAGATTACAGGCATGAGCCACCATGCCTGGCCCAGAAATCTTTTAGATAAAATAATCTCTGCTTTGTTGATTATCTTGCTCAGTGTCCCTTGTATGATATCCAATTGGAAAATTCCTTTTATAGTTAAAAACCAGAAAAGATCTCTCTCTAATGACAAATGGACCAGCTCTGTTCTCTATTAAATAAAGTGCAATGTCTTAGTTTCTCTTATTGCCCAGACCAATAGGAACCCCAGTGCCAAATTTAAAATTTAATTAGAGTAACTCAGTCCTTGAGGGAGCACATTTGGTCCTTTTCATAGCTTTGATTCATTTTTCTCATCCAATAATCTGATTGTATGTGCCTTTTATCCTAAGTGGCCTTAATTCTCTTTGGAAATTACCAAGCCTGGTCCATGAATGCTTCACAACAAATGGCTTTTGAGGCCAGTTAGTAAAAATTACTAGAAAGAGAGAGTAGTCAAGCTGTGTCTAGAAAAATGGATTTAGAACTCTTACCTTCAGGGAAAGAGGAAAAGGAAGAAAAAAATAAAATGTTCACAGCATAATAGCTGGAGCAGAGAGGCACAAGCCCAAATGAACAAAAATGATTCCAGAATAAAACCAAGAATAAGAGTCCATGATGTGAAAAAGAGGAAGGAAAGAAGGGAGATGAAAGAGGAAGGAAGGAAGGAAGGGAAGGGCAGGAAAGAGGAAGGAAGGGAGGAAGGGAGGGAGGGAGGGAAAGAGGAAGGAAGGAAGGACGGGAGGGAGGTAAAGAGGAAGGGAGGGAGGGGGGGATGGAGGGAAAAAAGGAAGGTAAAAAGGGAGGAAAACGGGAAAAGGGAGGGAAAGAGGGAGGGGAGGGAGGGAAAAGAGTGGAAACAATTTTTGAGATAGGTCTGTATAATTCTAACGTATCTAAGAAATAATTGAATATTTGTGATCTCTGAGGGAAACGGAAAGAGACTGCCTGGAGATGGGAAAATAATTATAAATATGTATAGTACTTTGATATAAAGAATGGAGTGTTTTCCTACTAAGCATATTTTTAGATGTATAATCTGAAAATATTCCGTCGAGTCTGAGGTTTAGATAAAGCCTTGCTTGGAATTGCAAAAACAGACAACGGGCTTGCCCAAGGTCGCTGCCCTTGAATAGGAAGTAATGTCTGAATTTCATTTTTGATGAAAAATTTGAGAAATTTGATGCAGAGCCTTGGGGCTGAGAGCGGGAATCCGCAATCCACATTCTGTACACTGCATCTCACAATAAATTAAAGCTGAAAGAGGCAGAACCAGGTTGCCTATGATCTGTCCAGTCCGACTTCTGAATGAAATGCCAGGGGGGTAAATTTCCATATCAAGGCAGGGCGCAGTGGCTCATGCCTGTAATCTCAGTACTTTGGGAGGCCAAGGTGGGAAGATTGCTTGAGCCCAGGAGTTTAAGACCAGCCCTGGGCAACATAGGGAGACCCCATTTCTACAAAAAATAAAAACAAACTAGCCAGGCATAGTGGCATGTGCCTATAGTCCCAGCCTCTCAGGAGGTTGAGAAAGGAGGATCCTTTGACTCCAGAAGTTCAAGGCTGCAATGAACTATGATCATGCCACTGCACTGCAGTCTGGGCAACAGAGCAAAACCTTGTCTCAAAAACAAACAAAAATGTACAAGTTCTAACCCCCAGGACTTGTGAATGTTACCTTATTTAGAATTAGAGTCTTTGTGAGGCCGGGCACGTCGGCTCACGCCTGTAATCCCAACACTTTGGGAGGCTGAGGCGGGGGGATCACGAGGTCAGGAGTTCGAGACCAGCCTGACCAACATGGTGAAAACCCATCTCTACTAAAAAAACAAAAAAATTAGCCAGGCATGGTGGCGCATGCCTGTAATCCCAGCCACTCAGGAGGCTGAGGCAGGAGAATCACTTGAACTCGGGAGACGGAGGTTGCAGTGAGCTGAGATCGTGCCATTATACTCCATCCTGGGCGACAGAGCAAGACTTTGTCTGAAAAAAAAAGAAAAGAAAAAAAAAAAGAAATAGAGTCTTTGTGGTAAGGATCTGGGTATGAGATCATCCTGGAGTTTTGGTGAACCCTAAGTCCACTGGCTGGTTTCTTACAAGAGCAAGGAGAGGGAGGTTTGGGACAGAGATATATAAGGAAGAAGCCCTTGGAGGCAGGGATTGGCGGGAGGTACCACTAGCCAAGGAACTTCAGGAACCTCCAGAAGCTGGAAGAGACAGGAAGGCTCCTCCCCTAAACCTTCAGAGGAAATGTGACCCTGATGACAACTTGACTTTGAATTTGTGGCCTCCAGAACCATGAATGGATACATTTCTTCTTCTTTTTTTTTCTTTTTTTTTTTTTAGGTGGAGTCTTGCTCTGTTGCCCAGGCTGGAGTGCAGTGGCTTGATCTCAGCTCACTGCAACCTCTGCCTCCCGGGTTCAAGCGATTCTGCTTCAGCCTCCCAAATAGCTGGGACTACGGGCGTGCACCACCACACCCGGCTAATTTTCTATGTATTTTTAGTAGAGATGGGGTTTCACCTTGTTGGCCAGGCTAGTCTCGAACTCCTGACCTCAAGTGATCCACCCGTCTCGGCTTTTCAAAGTGCTAGGATTACAGGCATGAGCCACCATGCCCAGCCCATTTCTACGGTTTTAAGCTACTCACTTATAATGTGCTGCAGCAGCCCTAGCACACTAATATGAGTGAAATCCAAGCCAGCTATGGCAAAAAGGTGGAGGGGCCTCAGAAAAAGATTCCCTTTAGGTGGAAATCTTCGGAACTTCCTGCTAGAGTTAAGTCATCAGAGAGCCACAGTTTTTAGGGGAGGGACACGTTTATCATCTCAGAAAGAGCCAGTTTACAGCAATGAGCTCCAAAAAGAAAATAAACAGAAGCAACTGCAGATGAAGTGAGCAGCGTGATTCACAAGTCACATCCACAAAACAGGGGAAGAGGAAGAAGAAAGGGGAAGGGAATTGCTCCCAGGAGAGCATGAGGGGAGGGGGGTATTCAGGAAAGGAAGAAATCATGTATTCATTTCTCAGGCACCTGCTCTTCCCTAAACAGCCCTGAGGACATTCAGGTAAAATAGTCATCAGAGGCCAAGTGCAGTGGCTCATGCCTGTAATCCCAGCACTTTGGGAGGCTGAGGCAGGCAGATCACGAGGTCAGGAAATCGACACCATCCTGGCCAACACGATGAAACCCCCTCTGTACTAAAAATACAAAAATTAGCTGGGCATGGTGGCGCGTACCTGTAGTCCCAGCTACTCGGGAGGCTGAGGCAGGAGAATCGCTTGAACCCAGGAGGCAGAAGTTGCAGTGAGTCGAGATCGCGCCACTGCACTCCAGCCTGGTGAGAGAGCGAGACTCCATCTCAAAAAAAAAAAAAAATCATCATCAGAAAAATAGGCTTTCCTGATTAGACATCAAAATCTAGTTACAGCCAGGTGCAGTGGCTCATGCCTGTAATCCCAGCACTTTGGGAGGCTGAGGTGGGTGAATCACTTGAGGTCAGGAGTTCGATACCAGCCTGGCTCACATGGTGAAACCCCATCTCTACTAAAAATTAAAAAATTAGGCGGGCATGGTGGCATGCACCTGTAATCCCAGCTATTTGGGAGGCTGAGGCAGGAGAATCGCTTGAACCCAGAGGATGGAGGTTGCAGTGAGCCGAGATCACGCCACTGCACTCCAGCCTGGGCAACAGAGCAAGACACCATCTCAAAAAAAAAAAAAAAGATCTAGGTAGAAAACTATGAATCCACTAACTTGATTCATGGTGTTCTTTCCTTAGAGCTGAAAATGATATTGGAAATCAGTCCTTCTTTGTCCAGATTCCTTCACTCATCAAAGAGTGTTTATTAAGTTTCTATTCTTTGTTGTGCTCTGTTCTTGGCATCTGAAATGCAACAGTGAACACAAGCAACAAACTGTGTACTCTCAAAGAGCCTACATTCTAGTGGGGGGAGGTAGGCGATGAGCAAAAAGGAAAATATACGCCAGATGTGGTGGCAGGGCCTGTCACTTTCCCATGGTTTATTTTCGTAATTGCTCTTCTGATCACCATAAATTTTCCTGGTTTTTTTTTTTTTCTTATTTTTTAGAGACAGGGTCTTGCTCTGTCACCTAGGCTGGAGTGCAATGGCACAATCATGGCTCACTGTAACCTCAGTCTCCTGGGCTCAAGGGATTCTCCCACTTCAGCCTCCTCAGCCTTGGGAGGCCGAGGCTGGAGGACTGCTTGAGGCCAGGAGTTCAAGACCAGCCTAGGCAACATAGCAAGACCCCCATCTCTGCAAAAAGCTTAAAAATTACCTGCACTTGACAGGCACGGTGGCTCACGCCTGTAATCCCAGCACTTTGGGAGGCCAAGGTGGGTGGATCCCGATGTCAAGAAATCGAGACCATCCTGGCCAACATGGTGAAACTCCATCTCTACTAAAAATGTAAAGATTAGCTGGGCATGGTGGCGCATGCCTGTAGTCCCAGCTACTCGGGAGGCTGAGACAGGAGAATCGCTTAAACCCGGGAGGCGGAGGTTGCAGTGAGCCGAGATCGCGCCAGTGCACTCCAGCCTGGAGACAGAGCGAGACTCCATAAAAAAAAAAAAAATTGCCTGGGCATGATGGTGCATTCCTATAGTCCCAGCTACTCAGGAGGCTGAAGTGGGAGGATTCCTTGAGCCCAGGAGACTAAGGTTACAGTGAGCCATGATTATGCCGTTGCACTCCAGCCTGGGTGACAGAGCAAGACCCTGTTTCTAAAAAATAAGAAAGAAAAACAGGAAAATATATGGTGATCGGAAAAGCAATTATGAAAATAAACCATGGGAAAGTGACGGAAAGTGATAGGGAGTCATTCAGGTTGCTTGGTCAACAGAGGCCCCTCTGAGGAAGCCATGTATGTGCTGAGTTTTGGTTGATGAGAAGAACCATGAGTGTGCAAGGGGTTAACTCAGCAGGTCTTTGTTGTCCAAACCCTGCACATTCCAAAGAAAGAACTGACTCTGACCAGGAGATAACCTTGAAGCCTGTGAAATATCCCACGTGATGAGTGTTTTTTGCATAACTGGGGCAGTGGGCCACAGCAGATAGTTTATGCCAACACTGTGAATGATGGCGAGGGGTCTTAGACCTCTCTGGTTCAGTTTGACCTCTGGAGGGGCTGGAGATTGAATAACTAATGTCAGCCACATGGGCACTCCATGTTTATGTGACTGACCTCAATAAACACTCTGGAAACTGGCCAAGTGCAATGACTCACACCTGCAATCCTAGCGCTTTGGGAATCCGAAGCAGGCAGATTGCTTGAGTCCAAGAGTTCGAGACCAGCCTGGGCAACATAGCAAGACCTCTTCTTGCAAAAGTAAAAATAAAAAACTCTGGGAATTAAAGTTGCATGAGCTTCCGTGGTTCACAATATGCCCTATGTGTCATCACAGTTGGTGCTGTCTGTATGGCTCCACCAGGAGAGGACAACAAAAAGCTTTATCCTGGTGTCCCCTGAACTCTGTCCTATGTGCCTTTTAGTCTTGGCGGTTTTAAACTTTGGGAGGCCAAGGAGTGTGGATCATGAGATCAAGAGATTGAGCCCATTCTGGCCAACATGGCGAAACCCCATCTCTACTAAAAATACAAAAATTAGCTGGGTGTGGTGGCGTGCACCTGTAGTCCCAGCTGCTCGGGAGGCAAAGGCAGGAGAATCACTTGAACCCGGGAGGCTGAGGTTGCAGTGAGCCAAGATCGTGCCACTGTACTCCAGCCTGGCGACAGAGCGAGAGTTCGTCTCAAAAAAAAAAAAAAATCATAACTGTGAGTATAACAGGCTTTTCTGAGTCCTTCTAGCAAGTCATTGAACATGAGAGTGTTCTTGGGGTCCCTGACACAGAGGAACTGGAGGAAGAATGTTCCAGGCAAAGATAATAGCTAGTGCAAAACAAAAAAAAAATGGAGTTGGGAATGCCAATGAGATTTAGACCAAGAACAACCAAGGGGTCTGCCTGAGGTCACATATTGAGGCAGAGGAGAATTGACCCAGAGCTTGGGTCTGCTGAGCCCCACCCAAGGGTTTTACCTGAAGTCCTGAAGTGTCCTGGAATGGTAGGTGGTAGAGATGGCCATTCTACCATCTCTAGGCTTAGGAGTCACTCACAAACATGGTCTCAAATCCTGGATCTACCCTGATTTGCTATATGCGACCCTATATCAGTCTCATTATCGCACTGCTATAAAGAAATACCTGAGACTGGGCAATTTATAAGAAAAGAGGTTTGATCGGCCTGTGGTGCTGCAGTTTGTACAGGAAGCATAGTAGCTTCTGCTTTTGGGGAGGCCTCAATCATGGTGGAAGGCAAAGGGCAAGCAGGCGTCTTACATGGCAGGAGCAGGAGCAAGAGAAAGGGAGAGGAGAGGTGCCATGCGCTTTTAAACAACCAGATCATGCAATAACTGGGTAATTTATAAAGGAAACTCACGATTCCACATGGCTGGGGAGACCTCACAATCATGGTGGAAGACGAAGGAGCACAAAGAGACATCATAGCTGGTGGCCAGCAAAGAGGGAATGAGAACCAAGCAAAAGGGGTTTCCCCTTATAAACCATCAGATCTTGCAAGACTTATTCACTACCATGAGAACAGTAAGGGGGAAACAGTCCCCATGATTCAATCATCTCCCACTGGGTCCCTTCCACAACACATGAGGATTACAGGGGCTACAATTCAAGATGAGATTTGGGTGGGGACACAGCCAAACCATATCAGGAATCATACAATATCTGTCCTTTTGTGTCTGGCTTATTTCACTTAGCATAGTGTCCTTAATGTTTATCCATGTTTTGGCATGTATCAGAATATCATTTCTTTTAATGGCCAACAAATCTTCCATTGCAGGGATAGGCCACATTTTGTTTATACATTCATTCATCAATGGACATAGTAACTTTTTGGTTACTATGAATAATGCTACTGAGAGCATTAGCATACACGTATCTCTTTAAGCTCTTTAAGTTCCTGCTTTTCATTCTTCTGGATATATACCAAAGGTGCAATTGCTGGTGATTTTATGGTAATTCCATGTCCAACTACTTGAGCATGTACCAAATTTCCACAGCAGCTGCAACATTTTCCATTCCCACCAGCAATGCACAAAGTTTCCAATTTCTCCACATCCTTGCCAACAGTTGTTATTTCCCATTGTTTTTAATCATAGCCAGGAGGTGGGTGTGTAGGGGTATCTCATTGTGGTTTTGATTTGCATCTCCCTGGTGAATAACGATTTTTAGCATCTTTTCATGTGCATATTGCCCATTTGTATGACTTTGGAGACACATCTATTCGAATCCTTTGCCCATTTTTTAATTGAGTTGTCCTTTTGTTTTTGTTGCTTTGTAAGAGCTCTGTATACTCTGAATATTACTTGTCCATCAGATAGATGATTTGAAAATATTTTCTCCAATTCTGTAGGCTGTCTTTTCACTCTCTTGATAGTGGTCTTTGATGCAGAAGTTTTTAACTTTGGTGAAGTCCAATGTAGTAATTTTTTCTTTCGATGCTTATACTTTTGGTGTCATATCCAAGAAATCATTGCCTCCCAGCACTTTGGGAGGTCGAGGCAGATAGATCACCTAAGGTCAGGAGTTCAAGACTAGCCTGGCCAAAGTGGTAAAACCCCATCTCCACTAAAAATATAAAAATTAGTCGGGCATGGTGGCATGCACCTGTGGTGCCAGCTACTCAGGAGGATGAGGCAGGAAAATTTCTTGAACCCAGGAGGCCGAGGTTGCAGTGAGCCGAGATCGCACCACGGCAGTCCAACCTGGGTGACAGAGTGAGACTCCACCTCAAAAAAAAAAAAGAAAGAAATTATTGCCAAATCCAACATCATGAAGATTTACCCCTATGTTTTTGATACAGGAACTAGAAAGAAATTATTTAGGCAGATGGTGAGGGTAAGAGAGTCCTTGGTAAAGTTTCATTTTAATAAAAAGCACCCCCCAAATGATATCTTTTCTAACAAAAAGCAGCCTGAAAAATCAAGCTGCAAGCATAGATAAGCAAGCTAAAAGCTTGCATAGGTAAATGCCAGCAGCTGTGCCAATAGAAAAGGAATACTTGGAAGCCAGGTGTATTCAACGTGGAGGTTCCCTCTTCCCTTTTCTTTGTCGCTATGTGTGCAGTAAAAAGCAGGCAACATGGTGCCGGCCAGGTAGAAACCTCATCTGCATAATAAAAGATTAGGGTGGGATGGCTAGCTTCTTCATGCACTATGCAAATGGCACAGCTGATCGGACCAATGTCTTGTGCCGTATGTAAATTAGACACCACCTTCTCAAGCTCATCGATAAAACCCCATGCATTTCCCCATGGAACTGGAAAACCCACTTGGGAGCCAACCTCTCTCTCTGCAGGAGAGAGAGCTTTTCTCTTTTCTCGTTCTTTAGCCTACTAAACCTCTGCTCTTAAACTCACTTCTTGCGTGTCTGTGTCCTTGATTCCCTTGGCGTGAGACGACGAACCTCGGGTATTTACCCCAGACAATGACGTCGCTTCATTGTCTTCCAAGAGTTTCATAGTTTTAGCTCTTAAGTTTATGTAGAAGTTTTTCCCTTTTAAATACTAACTTAAACTATTTTAAACATTTGTAAAAACTATCACAGCTCTGGGTCTAAGGAAACAAGGGTTACGCTCATAAACATTAAGGAGACACGGCTGGGTGCGGTGGCTCACACCTGTAATCCCAGCACTTTGGGAGGCCGAGGAGGGTGGATCATCTGAGGTCATGAGTTCAAGACCAGCCTGGCCAAGAGGGTGAAACCACATCTCTACTAAAAATACAAAAATTAGCTGGGCAGGGTGGTCCATGCCTATAATCCCAGCTACTCAGGAAGCTGAGGCAGGAGAATCACTTGAACCCGTGAGGCAGAGGTTGCAGTGAGCTGAGACTGCACCACTGCACTCCAGCCTGAGTGACAGAGCAAGACTCCATCTCAAAAAAAAAAAAAAAGAGACACTCTGATTACAGTTAGGGGAGCTTTAAAGGGGAAAGGACATACACAAAATCAGGAGTGTTGAGGCTATGCCAAGACAACTGACTTGATTTGGAGCTATTAAAGGCTGGAAGGAGGCCAGGCACAATGGCTCCTGCCTGTAATCCCAGCTCTTGAGGCCAGGGGTTTGAGACCAGCCTGAGCAACATAGCACAACCCGTCTCTACAAAAAAAAAAAAAAAAAAAAAAGTTAAATTGGCCAGTATGGTGGCACATGCCTATAGTCCCAGCTACTTGGAAGGCTGAGGTGGGGGGATCACTTGAGCCCAGGAGTTGGAGGCTGCAATGAGCTATGATCACACCATTGCACTCCAGCTGAGGTGACAATGGGGAAAAAAAAAAAAGACTGGAAGGATAGTAGAGACACCCAAAAGCAAGTCAAGGAGACTTGGTGTCAGACTAGAAAACATCTGCAATGAGAAACCATCACAGAACAATTATTAAAGACAAAACTTCTTAAATAAAAGGCAGTCTGCAATAGAGCCCTGAAGACCCACACTAAGGCAGATAAGTGTCAAGTTAAAATGCTTTAAAGACAAAGACAGATTTCTACTGAATTCCAAGAAAAAAAAAAGAAAAAGAAGGGAAAAGAGGTGTGGATATGAGAGTAATTACGACCTCTGTCACCTGCTAGGCTCTGCAGGAGAGAAAGGCTTTGAAGAAAAACTTCTGCATCAATTTAGTAAAACAGAGATTATCCCTGGATCCTCCCTGAAGACAAAGGGAGCCCATCTTAATCATTGAGTGATCTGGAACAGTTTGTCAACAGAATCCCACAGCTGCAAGATTATTACAGAACAATGAAGATCTGAGAACCAAGAAAATGAAGAAAAAGAGAAAACAATGGTCTTAGTCCATTTTCTGTTGCTCATAACAGAACAACAGAAATGAGTAATTTATTTTATTTTGTGTGTGTGTTTGTTTGTTCGTTTGTTTGTTTTTGAGACAGAGTCTCACTCTGTCGCCTAGGCTGGAGTGCAGTGGCACGATCTTGGCTCACTGCAACGTCTGCCTCCCAGGTTCAAGCGATTCTCCTGCCTCAGCCTCTCGAGTAGCTGGGATTACAGGCACCTGCCACCGTGCCCGGCTAATTTTTGTATTTTTAGTAGAGATGGGATTTCGCCATGTTGGCCAGGCTGGTCTCGAACGCCTGATCTCAAGTGATCCACCCACCTCGGCCTCCCAAAGTGCTGGGATTACAGATGTGAGTCACCGCGGCCGGCCATGAGTAATTTCTTTTAAAAGTGAATCTATTTGTTACAGTTAGGGAAGCTGAGAATTCCAAGGTGGAGGGACCATATCTGGTGAGGGCCTCCTGGCTGTGGGGACTGATATGGTTTGGCTGTGTCCCCACCCAAATCTCATCTTGAACGCCCACATGTTGTGGGAGGGACCCAGTGGGAGGTAATTGAATCATAGAGGCAGGTCTTTCCCGTGCTGTTCTCGTGACAGTGAGTAAGTCTCACGAGATCTGATGGTTTTATAAACGGGAGTTTCCCCACACCGCTCTTCTCTTCTCTGCTGCCGTCTGAGGTGCGCGTTTCACCTTCCGCCGTGATTGTGAGGCCTCCCCAGCCACGTGGAACTGTGAGTCCATTAAACCTCTTTCTTTTGTAAATTGCCCCGTCTGAGGTATGTCTTTATGAGCAGCGTGAAAATGGACTGACACGCAGACTCTCTGCAGAGTCCCGAGACGGCACGGAGGATCACACGGGGAGGGGTCGAGTGTGCTAACTCAGGTCTCTCTTCCTCTTCTAATAAATCCACCCGTCCCGCTCCTGCGCTAACCCATTAATCCATTAATCTGTGAATGGATTCATCTATTCACGAGGGCACTGCCCTCCTGACCCGATCACCTCTTAAAGGCCAACTCTCAATCCTGCCACACTGGGAATTAAGTTTCAACATGAGTTTCGGAGGAGATAAACATTCAAATCATAGCCGAAATCCAAAGAGATTTGAGGAGCAGAAGTTGATTCAAAGGTTAGCAAAGGCCCATATTGATTGTTTCAGAGAATAATCAATCAGAAAGTTAAGCAACGCATCGCCAGAGCTGTGAGGAACAGACGAAGAATTTCAAAAAGGCTTTAGGATGATAAAGACGCCTGGGCAGCTTTCTAATGCTGTATGCAATGCCGTCCTGCAAACGTGTGTAAGTCAAACACACAAAAGGCAAAACAGCCACTTTCTTTTTTTTCTCTCTCTCTCTTTTTTGAGACAGGGTTTCACCCTTGTGACCCAGGCTGGAGTGCAATGGCACGATCTCAGCTCACTGCAACTTGCAACCTCCGCCTCCCGGGTTCAAGCAAGTCTCCTGTCTCAGCCTCCCGAGTAGCTGGGATTACAGGCACCCGCCACCACGCCAGGCTAATTTTTGTATTTTTAGTAGAGACGGGGTTTCACCATGTTGGCCAGGCTGGTCTCGAACTCCTGACCTCAGGTGATCCACCCACCTCGGCCTCCCAAAGTGCTGGGATTACAGGCGTGAGCCACCGCACCCAGCCAAATCAGCCACTTTCTGTCATCACCGGGGTTCTGCTCCTAGGGGGCCCAACAGCACCACAAAAGCTCCAATTAAAGGGGAAAGCCCTTTAGCGACCGTTGTAAGGACAGGTCCCACCCATTTGCACATGTTCATTTTTTTTTCCTTCCCAGTTGGATCTGCCTGCCGTCAAGACTCACCACTTCCCACCTGTACACTGCTGTCTGTCCTCATTTCAAGTGAATCACCTTGCGGTCTTCTTATGCCAGGTAATTTATGCAAATATTATTGTGAATTACTAGGGCAAATTGCAACAGGATATTCAAATCGTTGGGCAAACATGCCCTGCTGGTGGGATGCAATGACTCACACCTGTAATCCCAGCACAGGTGGGAGGCCAAGGAGGGAGGATTGCTTGAAGCCAGGAGTTCAAGACCAGCCGGGGCAACATAGCAAGCCCCGTCTCTATTTTTTAAGAAAATGTTTTCTTTTTTAATGTTCTGCTGGTCAGAAAACAAAGAGGTCTCTACCCATACTGACTAGACTAGAAAATGCCTGAAACTAGAAACCACCATTGGGCAATTATTAAAGATAAAATTTCTTAAATAAAAGACAATCCAACCCAAGACAATACAATACAATTTGAAAGACCCAACCCAGCTGGATGGGGTACCTCATGCCTGTAATTCCAGTATTGAGGTGGCCAAGGTGGGAGGATCACTTGAGTTCAAGAGTTGAAGACCAGCCTGGGCAACACAGCATGACCTTCTCTTTACTAAAAATTAAAAAAATTAGCCAGGCGTGGTGGCTGGCACCTGTAGTCCCAGCTGCTTGTAAGGCTGAGGTAGGAGGACTGCTTGAGCCTGGGAGGTCAAGGCTGCAGTGAGCTATGATCATGCCACTGCACTCCAGCCTGAATGACAATGAGACCCTGTCTCAAAATATAATAATAAATAAATAAAAAATAAAGACCCACCCCAAGATAGATAAATGTCAAGTTATAAGGCTTTAAAGAGAAGGATTTCTACTGGATTCCAGGGGAAAAAAAAAGAAGAAGAAAAATGACTTATGGATATAAGGGGAATTATGATCTCTGTCACCTACCAGGCCTCTGCAGGATAGAAAGGCTTTGGGGAAAAACTTATGCATCAATTTAGGAGAACAAGAGTTATCCCTGGGTCCTCCCTGAAGACAAAGGGAGCCCATCGTAATTGTTGGGTGATCTGAAACACCCTTGGCAGGGGGCACCAGCATACAGTAGATCAAAATGTTCTATTATTGCATGACAGATGGACATTTGGCTCCTTGCAAGAGACAGAGGTCACTAGGAATGCCACTGAGTCACATGCAAAAGTGCAGGTGCCGCAAAAGGCAAACGTAGGCAAAGGTCAGGAGGGGTGAGAAGTGGAGGGTCATAGACACAGGTCAGCCAGCTCCCTGCTCTGGTCCAGGTAGGTCACCTGCCCTATCTTCCTTGGGAGGGTCTCTGGCTGCAGATGCTCCAGCCACAGATTTGTGGCACCCCTGGTTCATGCACCTTGGTCCATGCCAGCCCCTTGACTTCTGGCAGGATTACATGTGTGGAGATTGACTCTTGCTGTCAGGGAGTCAATGAACTGTCCAGCAGGTAAGAGATAGAGAGACTGGCTCTTTCTCTCGCACCAGCTCAGGTTGACTTGGTTCTATGACAAGACAGCAAATTAGAGGTGTTTACTTCTTCACATTGGATCTGAATGAAGCCGCCAGAATTCTACTGGCCCGTAAGGCTTCTGGAGTCCCTGGGGCACTGATGGCTGTACAGCATCAACCTCAGCTTCCAATAAATATTTATCTCTAACCACGTCAGTAATGATCATCAAAACCTTCTACAGTCCTATCCAATACAATTTGAAAGACCTGTCCTGGCTGGGCGGGGTGGCTCACGCCTGTAATTCCAGTATTGAGGAAGCCAAGGTGGGAGGATCACTTGAGTTCAAGAGTTCACGACCAGCCTGGGCAACACAGCAAGACATCTTATTTACTAAAAATTTAAAAAATTAGCCCGGCATGGTGGCTCGCACCTGTAGTCCCACCTACTTGTAAGGCTGAGGTGGGAGCCAAGGCTGGGTGCCATGGCTCACGCCTATAATCCCAGCGTTTGGGAGGCCCAGACAGGTGGATCACTCGAGGTGAGGTGTTCAAGACCAGCCTGGGCAACATAGTGAGACCCTGTGTCTACCAAAAATTAGCCCAGCACAGTGGCGGGTGCCTGTAGTCCCAGTTACTTGGGAGGCTGAGGTGGGAGGATCTCTTGAGCCCAAGAGTCTGAAGCTGCATTGAGCTATGATCGTGCCCTGCACTCCAGCCTGGACAACAGAGCAAGACCCCATCTCAAAAAAAAGAAAAAGAAAAAGAAAAAGAATTTTTCTGCATCCAAAGAACCCAGATGAGTTTCTGCGAGGCAACCATCCATTCATTCAGCAAACATTTTCATGGTCCTTCCTGGGTGGTAGCTGCTTTTGTTAAATACCACTAGAGGATCTCAAAGAATCTGAGAACTGGAATGGTATAGAAAAGGTATGACTCCATCTTAAACTCCAAAGACTTTTTGGATTTTAAGTATTGATACCGTTCATTCAATTATTCATTAAATAATTATTTATTGAGTACTGTGCACTGTAGTCAAAGCCGGGTCTACTGGGTGCAAAAAAAGCAGCAAATTTCTTGCCCTCCCAGAGCTAATGAGTGAATTAATACTAATAATTACAGCTGCAAAGCTTGCAGCTACTGGGTCAGCTGTTAAACACCCTTTACCTCCGCACATCGTCACCGAGATAGGTGATTTTATTATTCCCAATTCACTGATAAAGAAACTGAAGCACAAAGAGCTTAAGTCTCTGTGACTCCCCGAAGTGTTTTTTGGTCGGTGATTAATTTTTCTAACAATTGGAAACATTTTGGAATATGATGATTTCTGATTACCCTCGTTCTTTCTTGGATGTTTCTCCGCTGGCTCTGACATTTGCTCAGGTGAGAGTTCATAGGACATAAAAGCTTAAACGTAGAAGATTGGATGATAGTCACACATTTCCTCCCGGGCTGCTGATCATAAATGAGCAATTTTTTTAAATTAAAAATCTTGCCAAGGTCACACAGCTCCTAAGTGACAGAGCCCCGCCTGGGACCCAAGCCGGTCTGATTCACATCATGTCCTCTTAACCATGACATTTTCTAAATTAATCACACAAAATCAGTTTGCCGTAGCCAGAAACCTGAGTTCATTCCAGTTAGCGAGGACAGAATCAAAGGTGCCCAGGTCATCCTGTCCACCTGGCTCCTGGATTACGCGATAATGCCGCGGGATAACATTTTTAAAATTATTAACTGACGCCTCTTTTTCCTTTTTTATTTAATTGAGGTGAAATTCACATAACAAAAAATAAATTGTTTTAAGTGTTCAATTAAATGACATTTAGGGCCAGGTGCAGTGGCTCACGCCTGTCATCCCAGCACTTTGGGAGGCTGAGGCGGGCGGATCACCTGAGGTCAGGAGTTCGAGACCAGCCTGGTCAACAGGGTGAGACCCCCGTCTCTACTAAAAATACAGAAATTAGCTGGGTGTGGTGGTGGGTGCCAGTAATCCCAGCTACTCGGGAGGCTGAGGCAGGACAATTACTTGAACCCAGGAACTGGAGATTGCAGTGAGCCGAGATCACGCCACTGGACTCCAGCCTGGGTGACAGAGTGAGACTCTGTCTCAAAAAAATAATAATAAAATACATAAATAAATGACAGTTAGCACCTTCACCATGTGGTACAGCCACCACTACTATCTAGTTTCAAAACATAACAGATGCCTCTTTCTAATTGTGTTTTTTTTTTTCTTGAGACGAGGCCTTACTCTGTCACTCAGGATGCAGTGCAGTGGCATGATCACGGCTCACTGCATCCTCGAACTCCTGGGCTGGAGGTGATCCTCCCACCTCAGCCTCCCGAGTAGCTGGGACTACAGGTGTGCACCACCATGCCTGGCTATTTTTAATTTTTTGTAGAGATGGGGTCTCACTATGTTGCCCAGACTGGTCTCAGACTCCTGGCCTCAAGTGATCCTCAGGTCTCAGCCTCCCAAAGTGCTGAGATTACAGGCGTGAGCCACTGCACCTGGCCCTATAAGAAGTATTTTAAATTAAAAACCCTTAGAAATCAACAAGCACTGGAAGAGACTTTCCCCCGACCTATGTGGCAGGCCAGGTCTCCCTGCTGGCTGAACAGGCAGGCCTCCACAACAACTGTTTCAGCACTGACTGAGTGGTTAACTTAAATGTTAAAAGCTGAGGCCAGGCACGGTGGCTCATGCCTGTAATCCCAGCACTTTGGGAGGCGAGGCAGGTGGATCACGTGAGGTCAGGAGTTTGAGACCAGCCTGGCCAACATGGTGAAACCCCGTCTCTACTAAAAATACAAAAATTTGCTAGGTGTGGTGGTGCATGCGTGTAATCCTAGCTACTCAGGAGGCTGAGGCAGGAGAATCGCTTGAACCTGGGAAATGGAGGTGGCAGTGAGCCGAGATCACACCATTGCACTCCAGTCTGGGTGAAGAGGGAAATTCTGTCTCAAACAAATAAATAAATAGGCCAGGCATAGTGGCTCATGCCTATAATCCCAGCACTTTGGGAGACCAAGGCGGGTGGATCACCTGAGGTCGGGAGTTCAAGACCAGCCTGACCAACTTGGAGAAACCCCATCTCTGCTAAAAATACAAAATTAGCCAGGTGTGGTGGCACATGCCTGTAATCCGAGCTACTCAGGAGGCTGAGGCAGGAGAATCGCCTGAACCTGGGAGGCGGAGGTTGCAGTGAGCCGAGACTGCACCACTGCACTCCAGCCTGGACAACAAAAGCCAACTGAATCTCAAAAAATAAACTAATTAATTAATTAATTAATTAATTAAAATAAAAGCTGAAAGAGCCAGTACCCTTATACAAAGGCTGGCATGTAACAAAAGCCCACCAAGAGTTTTGCCCAGGCCTTTCCTAGGCTTTGAACCATGACAAGATAACGAAGCAATTCTTAACAGGGCCTGTTTAGGATTAAACAAGTTTTACTGGGGGTCTGAAGAAACTCCCCAGGCCTCCACAGACAAGTTATTGGGGGTCTGAAGGAACCCCCCAAACCTCCGTGATTTCGCAGGAGACAAGGTAAGGGTAATCGCCCCAGCACTTGGATCCATTCAGATTAAGTCAATTTACTGAGGCTCCGGAGGAAGGTCTTCAGGACTCAGATCTTAGTTATAGATGAGAAGAAGCTCGTCACTGATGTCTTTAGGTGAATGCACACTTACACGTAGACATATAGCTTAGAAGGTATAGAAGCTCTGGAAGACGTTGTAATTTTGAGTTGCTCTGGTGATATTTTCCAGGCCTTCTCTCTGTAACTAATTGCAGAAATAAAAACTTTCTTCTTCCCCAGTTCATATGTATTTCATTACTGGCCCGTGAGAATAAGCAGCCTGACCTTCAGTGTGGTCCAGGAACACCTACATGAAGATAGGACTGACCCAAGCGTTTAGAGTCTTCTACCCAGAACCACACGGGTAACCTTTGTGTGAATTTTAAAAGGTGTCCCCTCATGGGAATGATCTATAAACTGATGGGGTTTGGGTTTACACACGTGTATACCCTTGACAAAATCAATTGATAACTCACTTAAAATGTGTGCATCTTTGGCCAGGCACGGTGGCTCACGCCTGTAATCCTAGCACTTTGGGAGGCCAAGGTGGGTGGATACTTGAGGTCAGGAGTTCAAGACCAGCCTGGCCAACATGGTGAAACCCTGTCTCTACTAAAAATACAAAAATTAGCCGGGCGTGGTGGTGTGTGCCTGTAATCCCAGCTACTAGGGAGGCTGAGGCAGGTGAATCACTTGAACCGAGGAGGCAGAGGTTGCAGTGAGCCAAGAGTGTACCACTGCACTCCAGCCTGGGCAACACAGCAAGACTCCATCTAAAAAAAAAAATTGTGCATCTTCATCATATGCAAATTTTGCATAAATAACCGTAAACAAACACTCTAGTTAATAATGATGTGCATGACGTATTTAGGAAGAAGCATACCAATGTTTGCAATTTGTTTGAAATGCACCTAGACATAAGATGGATGGGATGAAGAGATGATTAGATATGTGATAAAGTCAGCAGAGTCAAACATTCATTGTAGACTCTAGGTGCTGGGTGTATGGGTGTTCACTGTAACGTTCTTTCAGCTTTACTACTTGTTTCAAATTCTTTATAATGAAATGTTGGGGAACAAAGCACTTCTCTGGTGGACCCAGCTGTGTAGGGCATAGCTTAGCAAGTCAGGTGCTGCCTGGATTTTGGGCCCATCCATCCCTTCAGCTGGGGACCTTGTGCAGCCAGGAATGAGCCCAGCCATCCAGGGTGACCCTTCTCAGCACTTGCATGAGCTAGCTGTTCATTTCTCTTCCAAATTCTTCTTAACATTGCAGGCATTTTAGTTTCCTCCAGAAATGAATATTTCGTTTTTTGTTTTTTGTTTTTTTTTTGAGACAGAGTCTCACTCTGTCGCCCAGGCTGGAGTGCAGTGGCGCGATCTCGGCTCACTGCAAGCTCCGCCTCCTGGGTTCACACCATTCTCCTGCCCAGCCTCCCGAGTAGGTGGGACTACAGGTGCCCGCCACCACGCCCGGCTTATTTTTTTTGTATTTTTTGTAGAGACGGGGTTTCACCGTGTTAGCCAGGATGATCTGCCCGTCTCAGCCTCCCAAAGTGCTGGCATTACAGGCATGAGCCACCGCGCCTGGCCCAGAAATGAAAATTTCTAGCTCAAGGCTTTTGCTTTTCTTTTAAAAGTCTTTTCAACCTTTGCCTGTCTTCTCCAAGCTATTTCCACACCATCTTCATTACTTGATTTTTGTAAGAGGTCTTGAGAGTTGGTCTTTGTTGGTAGTTCGGAGCTTTCTTCTCCTCCTCCTTCCTTGTTTTCCTTCTTCAACATTGTCTTCACCATTCTTGGCCCCTGATATGTATGGTTTGTCTGTGTCCCCACCCAAATCTCATCTTGAATTGTAGCTCCCACAATTCCCACATGTCGTGGGAGGGACCCAGTGGGAGATGATTGAATTATGGAGACAGTTTCCCCCATAGTGTTCTCAGGGTAGTGAACAAGTCTCAGAAGATCTGATGGTTTTATAAGGGGAAACTCCTTTCTCTTGGCTCTCATTCTCTCTGTTTGCTGCCATGTGAGACATGCCTTTCACCTTCTGCCATGATTGTGAGGCCTCCCCAGCCATGTGGAACCGTGAGTCCATTAAACCTCTTTTTCTTTATAAATCACCCAGTCTCGGCTATGTCTTTATCAGCATCATGAAAACAGACTAATACAACCCATTTGCATTTCTGTATGAATTTTAGCATAATTACTTGAGGAAACTCTTTTTTTATTGAGACAGAGAGTCTTGCCCTGTTGCCCAGGCTGGAGTGCAGTGGTGCAACCGTAGCTCACTGCAGCCTCAACCTTCTGGGCTCAAACCTTCCTCCCATCTCGGCCTCCCAAGTAGCTTGGACTACAGGTGCGCACCACCATGCCCAGCTGATTTTTTTCTTTGGCATTTGAGGAAGCATCAGAGTCACATTCTGGAGGAGACCTTGATCAGAAACAATCACCTCTACAAAGTACATCAGCTCAGCTAAGCAGAGCAGCCTCTGTCCAGCAGAGCCAGGTAGGCCTGTCAACCTTTGTCTAGGGTTCAATTTTAATTTCACGTCTCCTCTCAGTTGACTTTGCTTCTCAGATTAATTTCCTTATGTTTTAAATTAATTTAGAGCTCAATTAGTTTGATTTTTAAAGGGCATGCAGTGGCTCCAAAGAGTCTCTTGGGATCAAAACAAGTGAAAGCTCAACCTAATAAAATTAAGCCGTTTATAGCAACTATCCTCACATGCTCCTTCTCCCCAAAGAAGGAAATGGAAGAGATGGGCCTTTATTAGGAAGGCCAGAAGGCCAGGGCGCTACCAGAAACAAGAGGAAAGGCATCCCAGAAGGCCGTGTCCCCTCAGTGGAGAGACTTTTATTCTGCTCATAGATTCTGTGAGCTTGGAATTAGGACCAGGCATAGTCAGGATGGCTTCTCACTGCTCCACCATGTCTGAGGCCTCAGCGGGAGGCTGGGGGTTGAGTCCTCTAGAGATGCCTTCTCTCCCTCGCCTGGTGGTTGAGGCTGTGCATGGGCTCAGACCTCAGCAGGCTGTCAGCCAGAATGCCTACATATGGCGTCTCCATGTGGTTTCTGTGTGGCTGCTTGGGCTTCCTCAGAGCATGGTGGCTGCATTCCAGGAGCAAGTGTCCCACAAGAACAAAGACCAAGTGCACCACATTGTTATGACCTAGACTCAGATGTCACATAGCGTCACTTTTGCTGTACTCTGTGGGTCAGAGCTATCATAGAGCTCTGTCCAGGTTTGAGGAAAAGAGACCTCCATGGAGGGAGGCAGGGTTCTAGAAAAACACACAGGACAGCAGACGTTGTCATGGCCATCTTGGAAAACATAATCTGCCACACCAGCTTCTACTAAAGGGTCACCTTGGCCAATCTCAACATCCCCAAAGGGACCTGTCTCTCATGCCACACCAGCTTCTACTAAAGGGCCACCTTGGCCAACCTCAGCATCCCCGAAGGGACCTGTCTCTCATCATCAGGGCCATTTCTCCACAAGCGACCGTTGGTGACTCCAGGAGGCTCAACCTCAGTCTCCCTCCTGCTCAGCCTGCTGGCTCACAGCCTGTGACGTGGAGGAGAAACCAACTTGATTACAGTAGCTGCTGAGTCTGCGGCTTGTCCATTCCAGCAGCAGAGCTTATGCTGATGAGTAAAACTGTCTAAAGACATGGCCTTCCAGCAAGTCTAAAGAGAAAACACACGCTCCTATGAGATGCATCACCCAAAGGCACTCCTCTAATTCTCATTATGACCAATGTGTTCATTGTTCAGTTTTCACCCTTTAAAAAGCACCTTCCTCATCTTCTCTCTCTTAATCCAGGTAACTATGCCCAACCCAAGACCTGCAGGTTTCTCTCTCTTGATACCTCCCAACTCCATCCATGTCTCTTCACCTCTACAGCCACGTCTGGTCCAGACTCTTTTCGTCTCTCACCTGGCCCATGGCCAGAGCCTCCTCACTGGTCTCTGCACACACATTTTGTATCCACTCCCATCCTCTCACTCTCCTGCATACAACTATCCATGGCTTCCAAGGGTTTTTTGGGTTTTGGTGTGTGTGTGTGTGTATTTTAGAGACAGGGTCTCACTCTGTCACCCAGGCTGGAGTGCAGTGGTGTGATCATAGCTCACTGCAGCCTCAAACTCCTGAGCTCTGGCAATCCTCCCACCTCAGCCTCTTGAGTAGCTGGGACTACAGGTGCATACCACCATGCCCAGCTAATTTTTTATTTTTTGCACAGATGAGGTCTCACTACGTTGCCCAGGCTGGTCTTGAACTCCTGGCCTCAAGCAATCCTCCCTTCTCAGCCTCCCCAAGTGCTAGGATTATGCATGAGCCACTGCATCTAGCCAATGGTTTCCAGTTTTCTTAAGACAAAGTCCCAAATGCTAACCATGGCTCCCAGCCCTGCCTGCTCTGAGCACTGCCAAGATCTCAGGCTTTACCTCCTGCCACCTTCCCCTTAATGCCAGGCTCTGGCCCCTGCCACTTTCATCTTCTCTGAGCTCCTCGGTCCCACTCCCCACTTTGATATGCTCGGTAGCCACATGTGGCTAGTGGTCGCCATAGTGAATGGTCCCGCTCTCTTCTCTTCTTCATGCCCAGAGCAGCAGCAGCTCTGTACCAGGGCCACACTCTATTCCTCTTGCCCTCTTGCAGTTGCTTTTCATCAATTTCTATTTTTCTGTTTGTTCTTGTGATGCAAAAACACATAATATGAGATGGACTCTCGATAAGTTTTTAAGCGTACAGTGCACTTTTCTTAACTGTAAGCACAGTGTTGTGCCCGAGATCTCTAGAACTTTTTCCTCTTGCGCGACTGAAACCGACACCCATTGCATAGCAAATCCCCATTTCTCTCCCTCCACCAGTGCCTGGCAACCACCATTCTGCTTAGATTAGCCAGGCTCTCTATGAGTTTGACTACTTTAGATACTTCATACAAAAGAAATAATGCAGCATTTGCCCTTCTGTGACTGGCTTATTTCATTTAGCCTAATGTCAGCCTGATGTCCTCGAGGTTTATCCATGTCATCCTTCCTTATGGCAGGATAATACTCCACAGTATGTATGTTTTATATATCTACACACACATATAAAAATAATGGATGGGTGAATGTATATACTTACATATAAATATATGTTATTTTTATGTATAATGTATTTTAATATCTAAATATGTATATAATCTATAAAAACTGATACATATAATGGATAAATAGATAAATAAAACATACATGTTATATATAAATATATAAATAAAATGTGATTTTTATATATTATAATTTATAAATAAAATGTTTTATATATTATATATGTTATATATATTACATATATGTAACATTTTATACATCTATTCATCCATCAGTGAACATTTAGATTGCTTCCACCTCTTGGCTATTATGAATAATGTTGCAATAGATACGGGACCGCAAACATCTCTTCAAGGTTCTGATTTCAATTATTTTGGGTATATACCCCGAGGTGGAGTTGCTGGATCCTACAATTGTTGTATTTTTAATTTTTTCAAGAGCCTCCATTCTGTTCTCCATGGTGATTCTGCCATTTCACCTTCTGATCAACGGCGTACAAGGGTCCCCATTTCTCCACATTCTTGCCAACACTCTTATTTTCAACACGTATTTTCTGGGTTTGTTGTCACTGTTACTGGTTTGTTTTATCATGATCATCTTAACAGGTATGAAGTGATACCTCATTCTGGTTTTGATTTGCCTTTCCCTAATGAATAGTGATATTGAGTATCTTCTCACACACCTGTTGGCCATCTGTATGTCTTCTATGTCTATTCAACATCTATTCATTGAAATGTCTATTCAATTCCTTTGCCCATTTGTTAAGCAAGTTCTGGGGGTTGTTGCTGTTGAGTTATAGGATTTCCTTATATATTTTAGATACTAACCCCTTATCACACATTCTTTTTTTATCTCTTCATTTTCAGCCTACGTGTGTTTTTAAATCTAAAGTGGGTCTTTTGGGCCAGGCGCGGTGGCTCACGTCTGTAATCCCAGCACTTTGGGAAGCCGAGGCAGGCAGATCACCTGAGTTCAGGAGTTTGAGAACACCCTGGCCAACATGGTGAAACCCGTCTCTACTAAGAATAAAAAATTAGCTGGGCATGGTGGCGCATGCCTGTAGTCCCAGCTACTCAGAAGGCCGAGACAGGAGAATCGCTTGAACCCAGGAGGTGGAGGTTGCAGTGAGCCGAGATTGCGCCACTGCACTCCAGCCTGGGCAACAGAATGAGACTCTATCTTAAAAAAATAAATAAAGTGGGCCTTTTCTAGGCAACATACAGTTGGGTG
Source organism: Homo sapiens (assembly GCF_000001405.40). Taxonomy (NCBI): domain Eukaryota; kingdom Metazoa; phylum Chordata; class Mammalia; order Primates; family Hominidae; genus Homo; species Homo sapiens. The sequence goes on from NC_000007.14 coordinate 4,546,256, forward strand.
TTGTTTTTTGGATTCATTCAGCCACTCTATGTTTTTTGACAGAGGAGTTTAATCTACTTGCATCTAAAGTAATTATTGATATGGTTGGATGTATGCTACGGTTTGAATGTGTCCACGAAAGTTCTTGTGCGGAAACTTGTTCCCCAGTGCAGAAGTATCAGGAGGTGAGATCTTTAAGATGTGCTGGATTCATGCTGTTATCGCAAGAGTGAGTTCATTATTACGGGAGTGGATTCCTCATAAAAGCACGAGTTCAGCCCCCTTTTTCCCCTCTCCTCCCACCTCTCTCTAACTCTTTTTCTCTCCCCATCCCACCCCTCACTTTGCCCCCCAACCATGGGATGACACAACAAGGTTCTCACCAGATGCTGGCACCTTGATCTTGGACTTCCCAGCCTCCAAAACGGCAACAAACAAATGTCTATTGTTTATAAATTACTCTGTCTCAGATATTCTATGATAGCAGCAAAAATGGACTAAGGCAACTTAGTATTGCTATTTCATTCATTTTTTTCTGTCTTGCAGCTTTTGTGTCTCTTTTCTTGCTGTCTCTTTGTGTTTTGCTGATTTTTTGTGGTGGCCTGCTTTAATTCCTTTCTCATTTTTCTTTTATGCATTTTCTCTAGGTATTTTCTTTATGGTCAGCATGAGGCCTACATAAAACATGTTATAGTTGGCCAGGCACGGTGGCTCACGCCTGTAATCCCAGCAATTTGGGAGGCTGAAGCAGGCAGATCACCCGAGGTCAGGAGTTCAACACCAGTCTAGCCAACATGGTGAAACCCTGTCTCTACTAAAAATACAAAACTTAGCCAGGCACTATGGCGGGGGCCTGTAATCCCAGCTACTCAGGGGGCTGAGGCAGGAGAATCACTGGAACCTGGGAGGTGGAGGCTGCAGTGAGCCAAGCTCACACCACTGCACTCTTAGCCTGGGTGACAGAGTGAGACTCCATCTCAAAAAAAAAAGAAAGAAAAAGAAAAAAAAAGTTATAATTATAACAATTCATTTTAAGCTGATAACAACTTAACTTCAGTCACATACAAAAACTCTACACTTCTACTTCTCCCCTCCCCAATTTATGTTGCCGATGTCACAAATTACATCTTTTTATATTGTGTATCCATTAGCATTTTTATAGTCATAGTTATTTTTATACCTTTGTCTTTTAACTTCTATACCAGAATTAATGGTGATGTACGTACCACCATTACAGCATACATTATTCTGTATTTGTCTATATATTTTACTTCCCAGCAAACTTTATACTTTTATATGCTTTAATGTTGTGTTTAATGTCCTTCCATCTTTCAGTACTGTCCACCTCTCCAGCTTGGCCTCAGACGCCCTCCCCATTCATCACACCAAACTGACCTAGTTATAATTCCCACAGTGCACTCAGCTTTCTCTGTCCTCTGAACCTTTCCATGGGCTAGTCCTCCTCCCCGGAATACCCTTTCCCCTCCCCTTTGTCAGGCTAACTCTTTCAGGACTCTGCTCAGTCATCGCCTCTCTGAAGAGGCACCCCCTGCTCTCTGGGCTGGACGAGGAGACCGTCTTCTCTGTGCCCAGCCCCTGGTCCCCTCTCCCCTAGCAGTGAACACACGGCATCATCATCTGCTGTTCTACCCCATCTCCGTCACCAGCATGGGAGCTCCCTGAGGGCAAGGCTTGTGTTTTAATTGTCTCTACACCCCTGCACTTAACGCAGTGCCTGGCATGCAGTAGGTGCTCAATGCATGCTTTTTTTTTTTTTTTTTTTTGAGACGGAATCTTACTCTGTCACCCAGGCTGGAGTGCAGTGGTGCAATCTCCACTCACTGCAACCTTTGGCTCCCAGGTTCAAGTGATTCTCCTTCCTCAGCCTCCCGAGTAGCTGGGATTACAGGCGCCCACCACCACGCCCGGCTAATTTTTGTATTTTTGGTAGAGGTGGGGTTTCGCCATGTTGGTCAAGCTGGTCTCCAACTCCTGATCTCAGGTGATCCACCCGCCTCGGCCTCCCAAAGTGCTGGGATTACAGGCGTGAGCCACCACGCCCAGCTAATGCATGCTTGTAATAAATAAATAAATGCACAGAATACTAACTTTCCAAGAGAGCTTACTCTCTGGTCGAGGAGTATGTGATGGGTTGGGAAGAGGAAACTTGTATGCACTGAGTGCCTACTTTTTGCTAAGTGCTTTGTTAACTAGTTTACAGGCACGGAAAGCACAGAGAGGTTAAGTAACTTGCCCAAGGTCACAGAGGTAGGATGTAGAGCAAGATGCCAACCTCTCCCTCACTCTCATATTCAGCCATTTGCCATATCCAAACCCTGTCATTTTTTATCTCCAAGATAGGCCCTGCACCTCTCCATGGCTAACTATCTCCAAGGCCACCATGGTAACCGAGGGCACCATCCTCTCGCTCCTGGGAAAGTGTAGCAGCTTCCGTTCTGACTTCCTTGCAACCTGCTCTTTACAGAGCAGCCAAGGGACCTCCTAGAATACAAATCCAACATTGTCACTCCAACTGTGTCAATGGCTCCTATTAGGATAAAGCCCACCTCCTTACTAAGAATCACAGGTCTAGCATGGTCTGACCATGCCACCCTCCCCAGGTTAATTCACATCACTCTTCTCCTCCTCCCCGCCTCATTCTTGCCTCAGTTTCTCTAGCCTGCCAGCTCAAGCCAGGCCCAGGGCATTTGCACTTGCAGTTCTGTCTCTAGAATGATCTTCCACAGAACCCCATGTGGCTCACTCCCTAATATCACCCAGGGCTTTGCTCAAACATCACCTCCTCAGGTGACATTTCAGGTGACCGCTCTGCAACAGTTCCCCTGGGGTCACTCTCTAAACCTGCACCATTCTATGGTTCACAGAAGTAGGGATGAGCCTGGCCTGGCACACACAGCACCTGACGCCCATCCCAGGTCTCCTGTCTCTTGCAGCTTCTGGCTACTTGTGGGAAACCTGTTACCTAACTAAGGTGTGGCGGCAGCAGCAACCGAGGCACAGAGCAGAGTGTGCTCAAGAACTGACCCCTGGGCCCCACAGTGTCTCACACCCCTAATCCCAACACTTGGGGAGCCTGAGGCAGGAGGATTTCTTGAGCCCAGGAGCTTGAAATCAGCCAGGGCAACATAGCAAGAACCTGTCTCTACAGAAAAACATATTTAAAACTTAGCTGGGCATGGTCATGGTATCTATAGTCCCAGCTCCTTGGGATGCCAAGGTGAGAGGATCCCTTGAGACTGGGAGGTCGAGGCTGGAGGAAGCCATGATGAAGCCACTACACTGTAGCCTGAGCAACGGAGTGAGATCCTGTTTCAAGAAGAGACAAGACAGAAAGAGAGAAAGAAAAGAGAAAGCAAGAGAGAGAGAAAGAGAAGAGAAGAGGAGAGAGAGAGGGAGGGAGGGAAAGAAGAAGAATAGGGAGGAGGAGGAGAGAAGGAAGGAAGGAAGGAAAGAAGGAAAAAAAAAAAAAACTCACCCTCCCCAGCCCAGCCTGCCAAGTGCTGTGGCTATAGTAGTCAGGGGCCTGTGTGTGGCCCAGTGCCCAGCCTGGGCTGGAACAGCAACTGTCCCATGCTGTGGGGAAGTTTGCCTAGATAAGAAAGCCCAGTGTCTGCCTTCCAGGCAGTTCACAGGCTTATTCACAGGGAAGATAATGAGTAAATAAACGGCCACATCAGGACATGGTTGCAGATGCCAAAGATGTGTGAGCCCAGTGGAGGAACTGGAGCCAGCTGGAGGCCATGGCAGCTTGTCTGGAGGTCAGCACAGCTGAGTCCTGAAGACCAGTGGGCTTAGCCAAGCTAAGCAAAGTCAGACAGGTTGTGTCCTGGGCCAAGAGGAGGGCATGGGGAAAGTGTAGATGCCCACCATGGCATGTCTGGGACACCAAGTGGTTCTGTGTGCCTGAAAGAACATTGGGGGAGGGGGATTAGAATGGGGTGAAACTGAGGAAGAGGAGGGAGAACGAGTTTGGACCTCTTCCAAACTCCTCCTGGTGAGGAAACACTGGGAGTTTCTGAACTGAAGAGTGGCCAGATCCCAGCCCTCCCCAGCTCACCAGGGCCTCCAGAAGGAGGGACTCTCCTCCAACTTTCACAGTCCTTCAGGGCCCAGCCTAGACCCTCTCCCTCTTACCTGCCATTTCCCATCCACAGGGGCCACTCCTTCACTCCAAGTTCTTTCTGCTCAATGGGAATAACTTTGGCCTTCATTACAGACTTGACCCAGTGCTGAAAAGTGCTCTGCAACTATTCACAATTGCAAAGTCATGGAATCAACCCAGGTGCCCATCAACAGTGGATTGGATAAATAAAAGCTGGCACATATACACCATGGAATACTATGCAGCCATAAAAAAGAACAAAATCATGTCCCTTGCAGCAACATGGATGCAGCTGGAGAGCATTATGCTAAATGAATAAACCCAGAAACAGAAAACCAAATACCTCATGTTCTCACTTATAAGTGGGAGCTAAACATTGGGTAAACATGGGCACAAAGATGAAAATAACAAACACTAGGGACTCCAAAAGCAGGGAGGGAGGAGAGGGACAAGGGCTGGAAAACTACCTATTAAGTACTACGTTCACTATTTGGGCGATGGTTTTGATAAAAGGTCGAGCCTCAGCATTACTAATATATCCGTGTAACAAACCTGCACATGTACCCCCTGAATCTAAAATTTTTTTAAGCGCTCTGCAAACCTCAGGCAACTAGAGAGCGTGAGGCTTGTCATGGCTGCTTCTATTACATGCTGGTAATTCCCCTTGTTAGCTTCTACTGGGAACAAGATTGTCTGCACATTCCTGACTTATTCCTGCCTAAGAGCAGGATACTGAAAGGTGGAGAAGGTGGAGGACAGAAAAGAGAAAGGGGGTGTATTAGGAATCACCAGAGAAACAGAACCGACAGGCTGCACACACACACACACACACACACACACAGATTCATTTTGAGGAATTGGCTCATGTGATTGTGGGAGTTGACAAATACGAAATCCACAGGGCAGGCCAGCAGGTTTGAGTCCTCGGGAAGAGTTGATGCTGCAGCTCAAGTTCAAAGTCCAGAAACTTAGGCAGAATTTCTATGCTGCAGTCTGAAGGCAGAATTCCTTCTTCCTTGAGGGAATAGCCACAGGAAACTAATACAGCATTGGACTGCAGGCAGAGAGGGAATATTCTAGAAAGTAGATCCTCAGTGGTCATCAAAAGGTTCAACACTAGGTGATGCAACTATAGAAACGCCAAGAAGGGGCAAGGTAGGGTCCCCATCTTGGAGAAACTCAGAGCTCAAGCAGGTTCTGTGGCTTTGAGCAGGGGTTCACAGCACAGGAACACCTACTCCTGAAGGGGGTGAAGTATGTCCAAAGAGACCCTGTTAAAAGGCTCTGTTGATCCCAGGCCCTGAGCAGGTGACCTCTAGTTCATTGCAGTCAGGAATTGGACTTCTGTTTATCATTTTGTCTCACGGGCATAGTAGCCATGCCTGGCACACAGTAGGTGCTCAGTAAATATTTGTTAAATGAATAAGTTTATCTGCCCCTCTTCTGCAAATTGAAGATGGAATTGACCCCGGGAGAGTTATCCTCAGCTTAGAGACTCTCCTCATGGGTCAGACTCCCACCTCCAGCTAAGAAACTTTTTTGACTCTTATGATGTCACCTAGATGGCTTCAAATCAACCATGGTGGGAATGTTTACACCATGGGAATTAGCAAATGCTACAAATCAGGCTATTTCCCCAACAAGCCAGTTGTTGAGCACTTTCCAGGATACCACTGTAGGACTGTCACTGCCTACATCCCCCAGCCTAAGGATTGCTTTCATAGTAACTGCCATGAGATGCAGAAGGATGTTCAGCAAGAAATATGGGGAAAGCAAGTTGTCTATCATCTTTGGCATTGGTCTTTTGTCCTGAGCCCTGGTAATATATTTTAGGTTTTTTACAAAGAGTTTTAACAGCTCAAGATACTGAAGGCAGCCACCAAGCCTGGGGCTGACACAGCCTCCTCAAGCCACCAAACTTTAGGCAGTCATAATTTCCCCATCAGGTGGAAAGCAAACATTCCACCTATGAACTCATTAAAGAGGGAGATTACAGCATTTCCCAAAGTGTGAACTGGGGAACCTTGCCTCAGTGTCATCTGGAACACTGCTTAAAATGAGGATTAGTGCTTGAGCTCAGGAGTTCAAGGCCACAGTGAGCTATGGTCACACCACTGCACTTCAGTCTCGGTGGCGGAGCAAGACACTGTCTCAAGAATAAATAAAATGCAGATTAGACCTGCAGAAACCCAGTCTCCAAGCCAGCTGAACCACCACATGCACACTCCCCCGGCTTGAGAACCAGCTTAATGAGCCCACCCCCAGCAAAGCTGCACCAGTTTGCCGCAAACTGCCACCACCTAGGCCATTGAGGCACTTGCAAACATCACTAAGTGGATTCCAACTGAAGAAACTGCCCAGAGACTACACTACTGTGTCCACCAGGAACCACGGCCAACATACCCTACACAACTGACTCTCTACAGGACCCATCTACAAGAATAAGTCTTCCCCTATGGAAGCTACTCCATAAAATTGAAAGAGGCAAGTGTTTCACCAGATATGCAGATATCAATACAGGGACATAGAAACATGAAAAAGCAAGCTATATAACACCTCTTAAGGAGCATGATAATTCTCTCTAACAGACACCAGAGAAAAGAAAGTGTATGAAATGCCAGAAAAGGAATTCAAAATAATGATCTTAAGGAAACTGTGAGATACAAGAGAATGTAGATAGACAATTCAACAGACTTAGGAAAACAATTAGTTATCTAAATGAGAAATTCAACAAAGAGATACATGTCATAAAAAAGAACCGAACAGAAACCTGGAGCTACAGAATTCAATGAATGAAATAAAAAATACAAGAGAGATCTTCAACAACAGACTAGATTAAGCAGAAAAAAGAATTTCTGAACTTTAAGATAGGTCTTTTGGGAAAAAAAAAAAAGCAGAACAAAAAGAATTCAAAAAATAAAGAAAGCCTACAGAACTTAAAGGACACCATAAAGTGAACAAATATTTGCATTATGGGAGTTCAGAAGAAGAGATGAGAAAAGACATCTGATATTTAATAAAATAGGGGAAAACTTTCCAAGTCTTGGGAGAGATGTAAACATCCAGAAGCTCAAAGGTTCCCAAATAGATTTAACCCTAAAGGATCCTTTTTAAGGAACATTATAGTCAAATTGTCAAAAAGTTGGAAACAATGAGTTGAGGAACCTCAGGAGAAATGTCAGGAACCAAAAATCTTGCAGAATGTAGTGTCAGCTGCAGGCAAGAAAAGAGAGGTCTTCCACCCAAATGTCAGCTCTGGTTCACAGGCACCTTGGGAGATGTTTTGTGAAATGAAGGAACATATCCACACTTCTAGATCTCCTGCCCTTTCATCACAACCTCTGTAGCAGGGAGGGGAGTTCTCCTGCAGGACATCCTAATGAAGTGGTTATAAAACGCATGGCCAGAAGAGCCTGTACTAAAGTCAGCATTCACTGGAGAAACAGGACTGATCAGATATATGTAGAGAAAGAGATTTATTATAAGGAATTGGCTCATGTGATTATGGAAGCCAATAAGTCCCAATATTTACATGATGAGTCAATAAGCTGGAGATTCTGGAGAGCTGATGTTGGGGTTTCAGTTTGGGTCTGAAGGTCTGGGAACCAGGACAACTGATGATGTAATTTCTGTCTGAATGCTGGCAGACTCAAAACCCTTGAAGAGCTGATATTTCAAGTCCAAGGACAGGGGGAAAGCCCTATCCCAGCTCAAAGGCAGTCAGGCAGGAAGAAATTCCTCTTACTCAGGGAAAAGTCAGCTTTTTTTGTTCTATCTCGGCCTTTGACGGATTAGATGAGGCCCACCCACATTAGGGAGCACAATCTGCTTTACTTAGTCCGCATAGTCAAATGTTAATCTCATCCACAAACACACTCACAGACACACCTAGCCTGGGCACCCCATGGCCCAGTCAATGTGACACATGAAATTGACTATTGCAGAGCCCACAGTACCATTGGAATAGCCCCACTGAGAAATTCTAACTGCTTGCATTACTTGTGTAGCCCTCCACAGTGTGCAAAGCACTTTGCATGTGCTTTATGTCATATCCAGGTCTTAGTTTCCCCACAGCACTCTGCCCATATTTTCTGTTTTTTTTTTTTTTACTTTAAGTTCCGGGAAACATGAGTAGAATGTGCAGGTTTGTTACATACGTGTACCATGATGGTTTGTTGCACCTATCAACCTGTCACCGAGGTCTTAAGCCTGGCATAGATTTGCTCTTTGTCCTGATGCTCTCCCTCCCCTCACCACCCCCCAACAGGCCCCCGGTGTGTGATGTTCCCCTCCCTGTGTCCATGTGTTCTCATTGTTCAACTCCCACTTATGAGTGAGAACATGCAGTGTTTGGTTTTCTGTTCCTATGTTAGTTTCCTGAGGATAATGGGTTCCAGCTTCATCCATGTCCCTGCAAAGGACATGATCTCCTTCCCTTTTGTGGCTACATAGTATTCCATGATGTATATATACCACGTTTTCTTTATCCGTCTATCATTGATGGGCATTTAGGTTGGTTCCATGTCTTTGCTATTGTGAATAGTGCTGCAATAAACATACATGTGAATGTATCTTTATAATAGGATGATTTATATTCCTTTGGGTATATACTTAGTAAGGGGATTGCTGGGTCAAATGGTATTTCTGGTTCTAGATCCTTGAGGAATTGCCACACTCTCTTACACAATGGTTGAACTAATTTACGTTCCCACCAACAATGTGAAAGCATTCCTATTTCACCACAGCCTCGCCAGCATCTGTTGTTTCTTGACTTTTCAATAATCCCCATTCTGAGTGGTGTGAGATGGTATCTCATTGTGGTTTTGAGTTGCATTTCTCTAATGATCAGTGATGTTGAGCTTTTTGTCACATGTTTGTTGGCCACATAAATGTCTTCTTTTGAGAAGTGTCTGTTCATCCTGTCCTTTGCTCACTTTTAGATGGAGTTGTTTGTTTGTTTTTTTTCATGTAAATTTGTTTAAGTTCCTTGTAAATTCTGGATACTAGACCTTTGTCAGATGAGTAGATTGCAAAAATTTTCTCCAATTCTGTAGGTTGCCTGTTCACTCTGATAATAGTTTATTTCGCTGTGAAGAAACTCTTTAGTTTAATTAGATCCTATTTGTCAATTTTAGCTTCTGTTGCAATTGCTTTTGGCAATTTCATCATAAAATCTTTGCCCATGCCTATGTCCTGAATGGTATTGCCTAGGTTTTCGTCTAAAGTTCTTATGGTTTTGGGTTTTACATTTAAGTCTTTAATCCATCTTGAGTTAATTTTTGTATAAGGTGTAAGGAAGAGGGTCCAGTTTCAGTTTTCTGCATGTGGTTAGCCAGTTTTCCTGGCACCATTTGTTAAATAGAAAATCCTTCCCCCATTGCTTGTTTTTGTCAGGTTTGTCAAAGATCAGTTGGTTGTAGATGTGTGGTCTTACTTCTGAGGTCTCTGTTCTGTTCCATTGGTCTATACATCTAATTTGGTACCAGTACCATGCTGTTTTGGTTACTGTAGCCTTGTAGTATAGTTTGAAGTCAGGTATCATGATGCCTCCAGCTTTGTTCTTTTTGCTTAGGATTGTCTTGGCTATGTGGGCTCTTTTTTGGCTCTATATGAATTTTAAAGTAGTTTTTTCTAATTCTGTGAAAAATGTTAATGGTAGTTTGGTGGGAATAGCATTCAATCTATAAATTACTTTGGGAAGTATAGCCATTTTCACAATATTGGTTCTTCCTATCCATGAGGATGGAATGTTTTTCCATTTCTTTGTGTCCTTTCTTATTTCCTTGAGCAGTGGTTTGTAGTTCTCCTTGAAGAGGTCCTTCACATCCCTTGTTAGCTGTATTCCTAGGTATTTTATTCTTTCTGTAGCAATTGTGAATGGGAGTTCAATCATGATTTGGCTCTCTGCTTGTCTATTGTTGGTGTATAGGAATGCTTGTGATTTTTACACATTGATTTTGTATTCTGAGACTTTCCTGAAGTTGCTTATCAGGTTAAGGAGTTTCTGGGGCTGAGACAATGGAGCTTTCTAAGTATAGGATCATGTCATCTGCAAACAGAGACAATTTGGCTTCCTCTCTTCCTATTTGAATATGCTTCATTTCTTTCTCTTGCCTGATTGCCCTGGCCAGAACTTCCAGTGCTATGTTGAATAGGAGTGGTGAGAGAGGGCATCCTTGTCTTGTGCCGGTTTTCAAAGGGAATGCTTCCAGCTTTTGCCCATTCAGTATGATATTGGCTGTGGGTTTGTCATAAATAGCTCTTATTATTTTGAGATATGTCCCATCAGTACCTAGTTTGTTGAGGGTTTTTAACATGAAGTGATGCTGAATTTTATGGAAGGCCTTTTCTGTATCTATTGAGATAATCATGTGCTTTTTGTCATTGGTTCTGTTTATGTGATGGATTACGTTTATTGATTTGCATATGTTGAACCAGCCTTGCATCCCAGGAATGAAGCCAACTTGATCGTGGTGGATAAGCTTTTTGATGTGCTGCTGGATTCGGTTTGCCAGTATTCTACTGAGGATTTTCGCATCGATGTTCATCAGGAATATTGGCCTGAAGTTTTCTTTTTTCGTTATGTCTCTGCCCAGGTTTTGGCATCAGGATGATGTTGGCCTCATAAAATGAGCACTCTGCCCACATTTTCTTTCTTTCTCTCTTTTGTGCAGTTGGCGGGCCACCATGCACACACCCGCTGTCTGGCATCTTCTTCTGTTTCCTTTAACAACACAGCTTGGCAGGTGTCCTCTGACCAGCCACATAAAACTACCTCCTTTGTTAAAGAAATTGGTCTATGGGACATTTTGAATCCCTCTGAGCCAGGTGGAAATACGGCCTCTGGGCACGACTGGAGCGGTAAGGGAGTATTACAATTATTTATACCATGTTCTCCTTTCCCCTGATATTATAATAATAACTGACACTTAATGCCTGCTCATCCCAGCTGGTTTGCATATGTTACCTCCAATGTTTACAAGATCCCTGCAAGGGAAGGAACGTCATTTGCATTTTACTGAAGAAGAAACTGAAGTTCAGAGGGCTGAATCATTGGCTATGAGCCTCAGGTCTGTCCAACATCCGTCCTCTCTCAACTGTTTCCTCCCTAACGTGGGGATCAGAACCAATCGCAGTGCCTGCCACGTTGCCAGCCCCTCTGGGGAGAAATTGCCCTCTCTGAAGCCCCCGCTGAAGCGAGCCCTCTACAGACCAAAGGACCCAGCCACTCTGGCACCCGCTGACCCACCAGGGGGCCACCCAAGCCACAGCGCATGAAACAGACTCTTAGTCTCCAGAGCTTGAGTGTGAAATAATGGAGAAATTGTCCACATAAAATCAGGGTGGGATCAGAAGCCAGGAGGTGGAGTTGGAGCCTCAATAAGCACAGTTGGGAAGAAGCAGAAGCCGCAAAGAAGTTGAGCTGCTAAATAGAAAAAAAGATCAGCTGAGTGGAGGTGAGAATAAATCTGGAGCAGAGGCATAGAGCGTGTGTAACGAACCAGGAAGCTGCCCTGGCGGTTGGGATGTGGCCAGGCCAGGATTTGGAGCCTGCGGAGCTTCCACGGAGCCACTGCATGGCCTCACCCTTTTTTCTTTGAAACAGGGCCTCACTCTGTCCCCAAGGCTGGAGTGCAGTGGTGCAATCATAGTTCACTGCAGTCTCAAACTCCTGGGCTCAAACAATCCTGCCATCTCAGCCTCCCAAGGAGCTGGGACCACAGGTGTGTGAAAAAAATTTAGCTAATTTTTTCCTATTTTGTAGTGATGGGGTCTCACTCTCTTGCCCAGGTTGGTCTCAAGCTCCTGGCCTCAAGTGATCCTCCTGCCTCAGTCACCCCTTCTTAAAAACAGAGTAATTTTGTGCTTCTGTTTAAATAACACATCCAGAAGAGGTGAGCCCATGGAGGCAGAAAGCCGATGGCATTGCCAGCGGTGGAAAGAGGGGAAATGGGGAGACAGTGCTGTGGGCACGGGCTTTCCTTTTGGGGTGATGAAAACATATTGGAACTAGACAGAGGTGGCGGTGGCACAGCATTGTGAGACATTGTTCCACGGAACGGTTCAACTTAAAATGACTAATTTTATGTTACGTGAATTTAACCTTAAAACAACAACCACAATCATAATAATAATAATTTTAAAACAGAACAACAACCACCCCCCACAGATGAAAAGTTTCCAGCTCTACCAGGCCTGTACAGGGAGTCCTTGCACCAAGCTACTCCTGTGGCACCCCAGGCTCCAAGGAACAAAGTTTGAGAACCACACATTAAATCACTACAGCACATCAAGCTTCCTTCTATAGTACTTTCCAGTATCATCTGCCTATAAAGTGTGCATGAAAGTCTGAAGAGATTTCTCAGGCTCTTCTAACTTATTCAAAGATCATTTTAGAAGTGAAAATAGCCTTAAGGATAACTTTTGGAGAATTTCAGTTTATTTGTGAGTTAATGGCAGCCAGGATATGGTAAAAGAGCATGTTGGTCAAAGGACCTGAGTATGAATTCTAACTCCATGTACAAGAAACAGCTTCTCAGAGCCTCTGTTAGCTGTATTTTCTACGCAATGGCAATAAGACTGCCTTAACAGTCATATGAGAACCAAATGAGATAGGATGCCGGGGCAGTGGCTCACATTCTGTAATCCCAGCACTTTGGAAGACAGAGCAGGGAGGATCGTTTAAGTCCAGGAGTTCGAGACACACCTGGGCAACATAGCGAGACCCCATCTCTACAAAAATTTAAAAATTAGCTGGACATGGTGGTGTGCGCCTGTAGCCCCAGCTACTCAGAAAGGTGAGGTGGGAGGATCATTTGAGCCCGGGAGGTCGAGGTTGCAGTGAGTTGCATGCCACTGCACTTCAGCCTGGGTGACAGAGTGAGACTCTGTCAAAAAAAAAAAAAGAACTAAGTGAGATAGGAATTGGAAACAAGCCCCAGGACATAAAGAATGCCCATGAAGCTGGGCGTGGCGGCTCACGCCTATAATCCCAGCATTTTGGGAGGCCGAGGCGGGCAGATCACCTGAGGTCAGGAGTTTGAGACCAGCCTGGCCAACATGGTGAAACCCCATCTCTACTAAAACTAGAAAAATTTGCTGGGGGTGTGGCATGCACCGGGTGTGGCATGCCCCTGTAATCCCAGCTACTCAGGAGGCTGAAGCAAGAGAATCACTTGAACCCAGGAGGTGGAGGTTGCAATGAGCTGATACCACGCCATTGCACTCCCAGCCTGGGTGACAAAAGCAAAACTCTGTCTCAAAAAAAAAAAAAAAAAAAAAAAGAATGCACATGAAATTTTTCCTTTACAGGAAAAAAAAAGGACAATTCATGCAATAGGTACAGCTATAAAAAAATAAAAACCTGATGTTGAGGAAGAGCATTTATCCATGCGAAAAGATTCATAAAATATTGCAGAGTGAAAGAAAAAGCAGACTTCAAAATACCCTGCTGAATGCACCATTAATTTTGTAAATATGTATGTCTTGTCATCTTACACAAATATATAATTTTATAATTGGATGGAATTTGGTAATTATTCATCAATTTGCAGTATGTATAATTTATGTGTGTATGTGTGGGTGTATACATACATTTAAAACCTAAGATTATTTTCAAAATATTAGGAGTGGTTATTCCTGGGTAGCAGGATGTAAGAGAGATGGTGAATTTTTGTGTTTTCTCTGGGTTTTTTTTTTTTCAAACTGTTTGCATCGAGTATGAATTGTTTATAATAGAAGGTGAAGGAGAATTACCCAGTGGGTACACCTGCCTTTGTCTCAGACGTTTGGCAGTATTCCTGAATCTGTGCAACCTACTTTATAGTTTAGCACTTTGAATTATATATAAACTGAACCATCTGGAAAGTGTTTTTGTATTAGATTATTCAGCTGTGAAAACTGGCTAAAGTAAAACAGACATATCTTAACACGTGTACATACAAGAAAGGTTATGCTGTCAGAGTCCGATTTGAAGAAATTTGCTTTGTTTGGTTTTTTGGTTTGGCTTAGTTTAGCTGAACCTGGTTTTTTTTGTCTGGTCTTTTTTTTTTTTTTTTTTAAGAGATGAGGTCTCGATCTGTTGCTCAGGCTGGAGTGCAGTGGCACAGTCATAGCTCACTGCAGCCTCAACCTCCTGGGCTCAAGAGATTCTCCCACCTCAGACTCCCAATTAGCTGGGACTACAGGCACACGCCACCCTACCCGGTTAATTTTGCTATTTGTTTTTAAAGATGGGACCTCACCATGTTGCCCAGGCTGTATAAGGCATGTTTAGACAATGATTTCAAGGACTTTTTCTGTAGAGGGAAGGTGAGAAATAGGTTGGTAGTTGGGAAAGAAAGTAAAGTCCAAAGAGGGTATTTTCCCTTCTATTTTAAAAGTAGTTAAAGACACACTTTTGTCATGGGTGTATTTTGAATTTTTTAAATTTTCGTGGGTGCAAAGTAGTTGTATATATTTATGGGGTAGTGTATATATTTATGGAGCAGTCATGGGTGTATTTTGGAGACACTTCTGGATGTAATAAGATTCTGTTACTGATAATTCATTTTCTGTCTTCCTGCACTCCTCACTAATATGTCCCAGGGTGTTATGGGTTAAATCACGTCCTTCCAAAAATTCATAGGTTTAAGTCCTAACCCCCAGGACCTGAGAAAAGGACCATATTTGGAAACAGGGTCCTTGCAAATCTAATTAGTAAGGTGAGGTCACACTGGAGGAGGGTGAGCCCTACATCAGTATGACTGATGACCTTATAAAAAGAGGGAAGATGCTAGGCACAGTGGCTCATGCCTGTAATCCCAGCACTTTGGGAAGCCAAGGAGGGAGAATTGCTTGAGGCTGGGAGTTCGAGACCAGCCTGGGCAACATAGCCAGACCCAGTCTCTATAAAAACTAAAAATTAACCTGGCAAGGTGACACATGCCTGTAGTCCCAACTACTCAGGAAGCTGAAGTGAGAGGGTCGCTTGATCCCAGGAGTTCAAGGTTGCAGTGTGCTACAATTATGCCGCTGCACTCCAGCACGAGTAACAGAGCAAGACCCTATCTCTTTAAAACATTTAAATTAGAAAAAAAAAAAAAGCCTGGGCACGGTGGCTCATGCCTGTAGTCCCAGCACTTTGGGAGGCCAAGGCGGGCAGATCACTTGAGGCCAGGAGTCCAAACTCCGTCTCTACTAAAAATACAAAAAATTAACCAGGCGTGGTGATGCATGCCTGTAATCTCAGCTACTCAGGAGGCTGAGGCAGGAGAATCGCTTGAACCCAGGAGACAGAGGCTGCAGTGAGCCGAGATCGTGCCATTGCACTCCAGCCTGGGCAACAGAGTGAGACTCCATCTCACAAAAAAAAAAACAACAAAAGAAAGTAAAGAAAGAAAGAGAGGGAGGGAGGGAGGGAGGGAGGGAGGGAGGGAGGGAAGGAAGGAAGGGAAAAGAAGGAAAAAGAAGGAACAAGAAACAAGACAGTCCCTGGCAAACCAGGACAACTGTTCTACTTAGAAGGCAAGACCTGTTTAGAGTCCAAATTGAAACATGGATGGACAGAGAAGCCCTGCTGCAGCAGGATTGGCTCTGGAAGCCAGAAAGGATACTGCCCCCAAGAGGCTCTATTTTGATCCCTTTGTGTTAATAACAGAGGAGGGAGCCCTTGAGACACAGCTTCTTCCGAAGGCTACCTTTGTCCACTCCCCACTGTAGCGGAATCTCTTGCTTATTTTCCAGAAAAACCATCCCATTCAACAATGAATGACAGCAAAGGAATAGGCTTGACCTCCACACAAAGGTGCCATAATAAAAAGGACATGGAAGAACAGCTTAACTTTCCAACACACGAGAAAACATCCCAGGCAAATGAAGCGCAAAGCAGCTGAAAGCCGAGACCCAAGATTTCAACGTGAGCTAAAACGAATTAAGAAAATAATTGAATTTTTGAAAGAACAACACAAACGTGAAATATAAGAGCTTAGAGATTATGAAAAAGAAATTGACAGTGCTCAGAGAAAAAATTGGAAATCATTTTAGAAACAAAGGGCAAATTACAGGGAAGACACAGGAGAACAGACAAGGAAAGCCTGGCAAAGGATGTTTCATGAAGAAAGAAGAAGGTCAAACAAAATGAAATAGGTGAAGACAAACTTTTGTTGTTGTTTTTCAGAGATGGTCTCACTCTGTTGCCCAGGCTGGAGTGTAGTGGTGCGATCATAGCTCCCTGCAGCCTCAAGTGTTAAGCCATCCTAGAGCCTCAGCCTCCCAAGCAGCTAGGACTACAAGCATGCACCACCATGCCTGGCTAATTGTTTTAATTTTTTGCAGAGATGGGGGTGTCACTATGTTGTCCAGGCTGGTCTCGAACTCCTGGTTTCAAGCAATCCTCCTGCCTCAGTCTGAAGATTTTTTTTCATTTTGTTTTGAGGCAGGGTCTCACTCTGTCACCCAGGCTGGAGTTGCAGTGGTGCAATCTCGGGGCGCTGCAACCTCCACCTCTCAGGTTTAAGTGATCGTCCCACCTCAGCCTCCTGAGTAGCTGGGATTGCAGGTGTGCACCACCATGCCCTGCTAAGTTTTTTTGTTTTTTTTTTTTAAGCGATGGGGTCTCACTCTGTTGCCCAGGCTGGAGTGCAGTGGCGTGATCTCAGCTCAAGGCAGCCTCTGCCTCCTAGATTCAGGTTATTCTCCTGCCTCAGCCTCCTGAGTAGCTGGGACTTCAGAAGTGTACCATCATAACTGGCTAATTTTTGTATTTTTTTTGTAGAGACAGGGTGTTGCCACGTTGCCCAAGCTGGTCTCCAACTCCTGGGCTCAAGCGATCAGCCCACCTCGGCCTCCCAAAGTGCTGGAATTATAGGCATGGGCCACTGTGCCTGGCTTAAGACATTTTTTTGTTAAGTAGTTGAAAATAGGAGATTTGCAGTTCACAGAAGATGGTGTAGACTCAACTCTGCCTCTTCTTCCTACAAAATACAAGTATAAGTCCTGGACATAAAACAGTAGTCTATAAGTGGGCTCTGGAAAGTGGAAAGAGGAAGGCAGACTGCCTAGGGATCTCAGGACTGAAGGAACAAGAGAGTGTCCCCACATCTCACAGTGCCCCACCCAGTGACTGGTGACAATCCAAACCTCATGTGTCCCCTGACCCCCAACCTAACAGCAGAAGACAAACTAGGTAGACACGTTCCTCCCCTGGATCAAAAGGAAGTCCTGGCCGGGCGTAGAGGCTCACGCCTGTAATCCCAGCACTTTGGGAGGCTGAGGCAGGTGGATCACCTGAGGTCAGGAGTTCAAGACTAGCCTGGCCAACATGGTGAAACCCCGTCTCTACTAAAAATACAAAAAATAATAATAATAATTAGCCAGGCATGGTGGCAGATGCCTGTAATCCCAGCTACTCTGGAGGCTGAGGCAGGAGAATCACTTGAACCTGGGAGGTGGAGGTTTCAGTGAGCCAAGGTCATGCCACTGCACTCCAGCCTGGGCAACAGAGTGAGACTCCATCTCAAAAAAAAAAAAAAAAAAAAAAAAAAGATTTCCTGCCAACAACACCACATCGCCCTAGCACCAGCAGGGGGATCCCATCTACAACAAACTGCCCAGCCTGGGAAGTGCTCTTTATCCCAGTGGAGGCTCCTTTCTCCCACTTAGGACACCAAATGGTCCAGTCAAGACTGGGAAATTATCATTCGTCCCTGCACACTCTCTTCCTCCACATAAAGATAGCTTGTGTGCCAATGGCCCCAGTGGGGTTGGGAGCCTGTCAACAACAAAAGATTCAAGCTGGAGGGGTGCCCTTCATCCCCACTGGGCCAGAGAGCTCCTTCACCCATAGAGAGGTGCCAGGTGACCCAACCAGGGAAAGTGCCTTCCACTTCCGCATGTGGCACCAGCAGAGATCAGTGGGAACCCCCACAGCACCAGATGAGCCAAGCAGGCCAAAACAGCACAGCATAGGCTCTGAAAACTGAATTGTTACCGGGCAAGGTAGCCACAAAGTCGGCTAAATCTAAACAGGTTGACTCTCTGCTAAAATAGAAACTTCAAGGCCTGGTGTGATGGCTCACGTCTGTAATCCCAGCACTTTGGGAGGGTAAGGCAGGTGGATCACCAGGTCAGGAGTTTGAGACTAGCATGGCCAATATGGTGAAACCCCATCTCTACTAAAAATACAAGACAAAAAAAATTGGCCAGCCGTGGTGGCGCATGCCTGTAGTCCCAGCTACTCAGGAGGCTGAGGCAGAAGAATCACTTGAACCTGGGAGGGAGAGGTTGCAGGAGATTGCACCACTGCACTCCAGCCTGGGTGACAGAGCGAGATTCTGTCTCAAAAAAAAAAAAAAAAAAGAGAGAGAGAGAAAGAAATTTCAAATAAAACCCAGTACTTCTTAATATAACAGCCAAAATTTCCAGGATAAAATTTTTAAGTTATTTATCATCCCAAGAACCAGGAAAATCACAAGATTAAGAAAAGATCACCCACAGTTGTCAATGCTAACATGAATCAGATGTTGGAATTGTCTGATTTTAAAGATGCCATCATTAAAATGCTATAACGAGCAGTTACAAATGCCCTTCAGACAAATGAAAAAAAAATGAAACAATTAAGGCCAGTCACAGTGGCTCACGCCTATAATCCAGGCACTTTGGGAGGTCAAGGCAGGGAGATCACGTGAGGTCAGGAGTTCAAGACCAGCCTGGCCAACATGGTGAAACTGAGTCTCTTCTAAAAATACAAAAATTAGCTGGGCATGGTGGCGCATGGCTGTAATCCCAATTACTCAGGAGGCTAAGGTAAGAGAATTGCTTGAACCCAGGAGGTGAAGGTTGGAGTGAGCCAGGATCATGCCACTGCACTCTAGCCTGGCACAAAAAAAATAAATAAAATTTAAAAAAAGAAGTTTTTACACTACACTTGAAGTGGTAGAACATTGATAGCAATAGACTGTAAGTTACATTGGCATACTGTAATACCTAGAGAATCACTAAGAAACTATACCAAGCAATACACTCAAAGCACTATAAATAAATCAAGATGGAATTCTAAAAATGTTCAAGTAGCCCAAAGGTGGGCAAGAAAAGAAGCACAGAGAAACAAGAAACAGAAGAAACCAATAAAAAACAAATAACAAATTGGCAGACCTAAACCCTACCATATTAATAATTACCTTAAATATAAATGGCTTAAGAATGCCAAGTAGAAGATAAAGATTGGCAGAGTGGAATTTTTTTTAAATCACAACCCAGGTCAGGCACGGTGGCTCATGCCTGTAATCCTAGCACTTTGAAAGACTGAGGCAGGCAGATTGCTTGAGCCTAGGAATTTGAGACCACCCTGGCAACATGGCAAATCCTAGCCTCTCTGAAAAATAACAAAAAAAAATTAGCTGGGCATGGTGGCATGCACCTGCAGTCCTAGCTACTCAGGAGGCTGAGGTGAGAGGATCGCTTGAGCCCAGGAGGCTACGGTTGCAGTGAACCAAGATTGTGCCACTGCACTCCGGCCTGGGCAACAGAACAAGACCCTGTCTCAAAAAAAAAAATCACAACCCAATGATATGCTGTCAACAAGAAATTTACTCCAAATACAATGACACACAGACATTGAAAGTAAAAGGATAAAATCATGCAAATATTAATTTAAAAAGCAGGAGTAGCTACACTAATGTCAGATAAAGTATACTTCAAAACAAACTTACTAAAGACAAAAAGGGCCCTTACATAGTTATTTTTTTAAATCCACCAGGAAGACGTAATGATCCTAAATGTGTATGCACCAAACAACAGAGTGTCAAAATACCTGAAGCAAAAGCTGAAAGAGCTGAAAGGTAAAATAGATAAATACACAATTATAGTCAGGAACTTCAACACTAACTACACTCTCAACAATTGACAGAACCAAGAGATAGAAAATCAGCAAGATTATGGCAGAACTGAACAATACAAGCAACCAATAGAATCTAATAGGCATGTATAGAACATTCTACCCAACAACAGAATACACATATTTTTCAAACACAGAGAACCTAACAGGATAGGCCATATCCTGACCTGTGTCACAGAACAAACCCCAACAAATTTAAGAGCTGAAATGATACCAAGTATGTTCTCCAACCACAATGAGCTCAAACTAGAAATTAATAATAGAAAGGTAACAGGAAAATCTCTGAACACTTGGAAATTAAATAACATACATCTAAATAATCCATGTGTCAAAGAGAAAGTCTCAAAGGAAATAAAAAATAGAGAGAAGTGAATGAAAATGAAAATGCAACATAGCAAAATATGTGAGAAACAGTTAAAGCAGTCCAGCGAGGGAATTTTTAACACTAAATGCTTCCATTAGAAGAGAAAAAATCTAAAATTAATAATACACATCCAAAAATGAAATCTCCAGCTCCAGAGAGTTTCACTACAGAATACTACCAAGCATTTAAAGGCAAATTAGCACCAATTTTATACAACATTGTCTAAAAAATAAGGTAGGAAGAAAGACTTCCAAATTCATTGTACACTATCCAGTAGCACCGTCTGGAATTGTGCAGTGCACAGCTTGCGCAACCATATATGAATGTAGACCATTGTCTACAAAGCCCAACATGATCTGGCCTTGCTTCCCAACTTCAAGTCTACTTTCCTGGTACAATGAGTTATTTTCTGTTTCTTCAAGGAGGCTATGTTTTCTCCTACCTCTGTGCCTCTGTGGTTAGAGTTATTAGTTCCATTTAACAAATGAGAAAAGTAAGGTTCCAAAAGGGTAAGTAACCTGCCCAAGTCTGTATGTCTTGCTGGTCTCTGGAAGTGACCAGTGAGTAACAAACCTGCAATGTTCAAGAGTCAGAGTAGATGTCAGAATATCTGTTACTCATCTGTGATGAGAATCAAAATGGTCAGATCAGAAATATTTCTTTCTGTCTGTTGTATCTCCTTGCATGAGAGGAAAGATGCTATGGAATTGCATTGAGAAATCATTGAAGAAAGAACTGAAATTCCCAAGGCCAACATGAGCAGCATGTTCTCCCCATTGTGCAGATCAGAAGGCAATGGGGCAAGCTCCAAATCTCAACAAGAGGTCTCATTGGGTCAAAGGTCCAGCAGCCATCCTGATGTTTCCATCCCGTGATGGAGATACTCTTGCCGGTGGGACCCAGACAGCTAGGCTACCATGACCAAACCATGCACATCCATCTCCATACTAAGAAGACCTTGACGCCGGGTGCGGTGGCTCATGCCTGTAATCCCAGCACTTTGAGAGGCCGAGGTGGGTGGATCACCTGAGGTCAGGAGTTCAAGACCAGCCTGGCTAACATGGTAAAACCCCGTTTCTACTAAAAATACAAAAAAATTAGCTGGGCGTGGTGGTGCACACCTGTAGCTACTCTGAGGCAGGAGAATCGCTTGAACCCAGGAGGCAGAGGTTGCAGTGAGCCAAGATAGCACCATTGCACTCCAGCCTGGGTGACAGAGCAAGACTCTGTCTCAAAAAAAAAAAAAAAAAATGCTCTTCTGATGTACTTTACCACCAGGTCAAGCTGAAGCTCCCAAGAAGACATGCCATTGCAGGTTGAGAAGCGCTCAGACAGAAGAGGTCAGACACCCTCCAATCCTGCCGTCCTGGAGCAATGTGGTGCCCTGCTGGTGACCTTGATTCTCTCTGCTCCAGCCCATCTCTAGCCCATCAGAATGATACTCTCTCTTGTCAAAAGGAAGTCTCAGCAGGGGACAGTGGCTCACACCTGTAATCCCAGCACTTTGGGAGGCCAAGATGGGAGGATCACCAGGAGTTCAAGACCAACCTGGACAACATACGAGACCCTCATCTCTACAAATAAATAAAAAATTAGGCAGGTATGGTGGTGCACACCTGTAGTCACAGCTACTTGGGAGGCTGAGGCAGGAGGATCGCTTGAGCCCGGGAGTGTGAGGCTGCAGTGAGCCGTGATTGCACCACTGCACTCCAGCTGGAGTGACAGCAGGATCCTGTCTCAAAAAAAAAAAAACAAGAAAGAAAAAAAGACAATCCCATTGCTCTCATTTTCTAATTCTAATTCTTCAAAGGTCAACGCCTCCCAGCAGCCCCAAAATATCTACAGCACCTCTATAGGTCAGTGTTGTATTCTATATTATTGAATTATTCTGTAGGTTGGTGTTGTTACTCCACACTGATTATAGTGTTTCTGTGGAGGGGCATTATAGTAGGAGGCTAGTTCCTGTGAATGCTTCTACTCTATAGCTGCCTGATCGATTCTCAATGAAGTCGCCACCTCCAAATGTTTTCTGAGCTTTTTTTTTTTTTTTGAATGGTTACAGACAAGGTCTTACTCTGTTGCCCAGGCTGGAGTCCAGTGGCACAATCATAGCTCACAGCAGTCTCGACTTCCCAGGCTCAGGCAATCCTCCTGCCTCAGTTTCCTGAGCAGCTGAGACTACAGGCATGTGTCATCATGCCTGGCTAATTTCAGCTCTTTTTATTTTGGTTTGGCTCTGGTTTTGGTTTTGAGACAGGGTCTCGCGCTGTCTCCCAGGCTGGAGTGCAGTGGCATAATCCTAGCTCACAACAACCTTGACCTCCTGGACTCAAGCAGTTCTCCTGCCTCAGCCCTCCAAGTAGCTAGGACTACAGGCACATACCACCACACCCAGCTAAAGTTTCTTTTCTTTTTTTTTTTTTTTTTTTTTTGAGACAGAGTCTTGCTCTGTCGCCCAGGCTAGAGTGCAGTGGCGCCATCTCGGCTCACCGCAACCTCTGCCTCCTGGGTTCAAGCAATTCTCTGCCTCAGCCTCCCGACTAGCTGGGATTATAGGCACCAGCCACCATGCCTGGCTAACGTTTGTATTTTTAGTAGAGATGGGTTTCACCATCTTGGCCAGGCTGGTCTCGAACTCCTGACCTCATGATCCACCCGCGTCGGCCTCCCAAAGTGCTGGGATTACAGGCGTGAGCCACCATGCCTGCCCATGTTTTTATTTTTTTGAAGAGATGGAGTCTGGCTATGTTACCCAGACTAATCTTGAACCCCTAGACTCAAGCGATCCTCCTGCCTGGGCCTCCCAAAATGCTGGGATTACAGGTGTGAGCCACCACACCTGCCTCCTTTCTGAGCTTTATAGTCAAGAGACCACGATCATCTCCCACCCACATCCCTCCAGCACTCCTTACGCATCCGTTTGTCTTTGTATCTCAGAACGCATCTTTACACTGCATTTCACAGTTCCATTTTCCTAGCAGGTTCAGAGCTCATGCCAGACGCTGTGGAAGGATTGTTTTTTGACTCTCTAATACTGTGGAAGAAAAAGAGATCTTCCAGATATCAGAGTTCTCCTGACAGCTGAAGAAGTGATGGATGAGCTGGGGTCTCAATTCATCAGAACATCAAGGTAGGAGGCTGGTGCCTGCCACTCACTCTTCTCACCTGAGTCGTTCCGACGTGTAAGATCACGCTCCTATTTGGAAGCAGAAAACACTTGTCAAAGCTGGATGCACAGGTCCATTCATCCAAAAGTGGTATGAAAGGGTGCAGATGGAATGGTGAATTGGGCAGTTTGCTCAAGGTGAACTTGAACAGGAAACAAAAGAGGCTGTAGACAGGTGCACATGAAAATCGAAGTCTCATTCTTGGTTTTCTTCCCTGTACTTAGGAGGTCTATGGTGGCAAAAAAAAAATCCTGGTGGGCGCTGCAGGTGTGACACTTCACCTTCTTATTACTTGTGGCCTGCAGTTACTCTGACGCGCACCCTGAAGCATCATTTGCAGTGCCCCCTACTCGGTCCCTACCTCCTCCCTGCCTGTGTGAGGGCTAACAGGTAGCTAAGAGCGCCTGGGACTCAGTAGGTCAGAGTTCTCACCCAAGCTCAGGTGCCAGATCCCTGGGCCTGGGAACATCACAGTCATTTGTAAATTCAGTGCAATCCCAATCAAAATTCCAGCTGGATTTGTTTAAGCAGCTGTACAATTTATTTCAAAATTTACTTGGTGGAATAACAGGTCACAGAAATCTAAGTCCAATTTAAGAAAGAGGGGTAAGCCGGTCAAGGTGGCTCACACCTGTAATCCCAGCACTTTGGGAGGTCAAGGTGGGCAGATCACTTGAATCCAGGAGTTCGAGACCAGCCTGGGCAACATAGTGAAACCCTGTCTCTCCAAAATATACAAAAATTAGCCAGGCATAGTGGCACACGGCTGTTGTCCCACCTACTCTGGAGACTGAGGTGGGAGAACTGCTTAAGCTGGGGATGCAGAGGTTGCAAGGAGTTGAGATTGTGATCACACACTTGTAATGGTTAATACTGAGTGTCAACTTGATTGGATTGAAGGATGCAAAGTATCGATCCTGGTTGTATCTGTGCGGATGCTGCCAAAGGAGATTAACATTTGAGTCAGTGGGCTGGGAAAGGCAGATCCACCCTCAATCTGGGTGGGCACCATCTAATCAGCTGCCAGCGTGGCTAGAATATAAAGCAGACAGAAAAAAAAGTGAAAAGACTAGACTGGCCTAGCCTCCCAGCCAGCATCTTTCTCCCGTGCTGGATGCTTCCTGCCCTTGGACATCGGGGCTCTAAGTTCTTCAGTTTTGGGACTCAGACTGGCTTCCTTGCTCCTCAGCCTGCAGATGGCCTATTGTGGGACCTTGTGATCGTGTGAGTTAATACTTAATAACTCCCCTTTATGTGTGTGTGTATATATACACATATAAATATATACATATTTATAGATGTATATATGTATATATGCATACATATGTACATATGCGCATATGTATATGTATATGCATATGTATATATACATATGTATGTGTATATGCATGTATATATACATATGTATATGTATGTGTATATATGTGTATATGTGTATATGTATATAAGTGTATATGTGTATATACATATGTGTATATGTATATATACATATATACATATACACATATATATACATATGTGTATACACATATACGTGTATATGTGTATACACATACGTGTATATGTGTATATACAGATATATGTGTATGTGTATATATACAGATATATGTGTATATATATACACACATATGTATATATATATACACATATACATATATATACACACATATGTATATATATATACATCCTATTAGTTCCTATTAGTTCTGTCCCTCTAGAGAACCCTGACTAATACACCACTGCAATCTAGCCTGGGTGACAAAGCAAGATCCTGACCTCAAAAAAAAAAAAAAAAAAGGTTAAAGGGAACTTTCCTTAGCACACATTAAAGCCATCATAATTTTTTAAAACTCTATTGGTTGTGCTGGGCGTGGTGGCATGCACCTGTAATCCCAGCACTTTGGGAGGCTAAGGCAGACAGATCACTTGAGGTCAGGAGTTCGAGACCAGCCTGGCCAATATGGTGAAACCCGTCTCTACTAAAAATACAAAAATTAGCCAGACATGGTGGTGGGCACCTGTAATCCTGGCTACTTGGGAGACTGAGACAGGAGAATCACTGGAATCCAGGAAGCGGAGGATGCAGTGGGCTGAGATCATGCCACTGCACTCCAGCCTGGGTGAAAAAGTGAGACTCTGTCTCAAAAAAAAAAAAAAAAAAAAAAAAAAAAAACTCTATTGGTGCAAGATCAAAATAATAGGCCAGTGAAGCAGAAGAGAAACCCAGGAGTCATGTGTAGGACCGTATTCTATCTTAATGCGCCATGAAAGGTGCATTAGGCCGTTCTTGTGTTGCTGTAAAGGAATACCTGAGACTGGGTAATTTATAAAGAAAAGAGGTTTAATTGGCTCACAGTTCTGCAGACTGTACAGGAAACATGGTGCCAGCATCTGCTTGGCTGCAGGTGAGGCCTCAGGGAGCTTTCAGTCATGGTGAAAGGCAAAGTGGAAGCAGGCATCTCACATGGTGCAAAAACAGGAGCAAGAATGCAGCAAGATGCCATGTGCCTTTAAACAACCAGATCTGGTGAGAGCTCACTATCACAAGGACAGCACCAAGCCCTGAGGAATCCGCCCCCATGATTCCAACACCTCCCACCAGGCCCCACCTCCAGTATTGCGGATTACATCTCAACATGGGATTTGGAGGGGAAAACGTCTGAATTATTCATATATCCAAGAGACCTTCCCACCCATCAATGTGTAGAGGGCCGGCTATCTAGTAGATGGCATTGGGGGCCAGTCACGGTGGCTCACACCTGTAATCCCAGCACTTTGGGAGGCCAAGGCGGACGAATCACTTGAGGCCAGGAGTTCGAGACCAGCCCAGCCAACATGGCGAAACCCTGTCTATAGAAAAAATAGGAAAAATTAGCCAGGCGTAGTAGCACATGCCTGTAATTCCAGCTACTCCGGAGGCTGAGGCGCAAGACTCACTTGAACCTGGGAGGCAGAGGTTGCAGTAAGCCGAGGTTGCACCACTGCACTCCAGTCTGGGCGACAGAGCAAGACCCACTCTAAAAAAAACAAAAAGGATGGCATTGAGAAGACCAGTTCTCCAACTGCATCCTGCCCAATGTTACATTCAAAGATAGACTCCAAATCACTCAGTATCTGTTGGAAAAGACAATCAAAACCAAGAGTGGAGGAGACTATCTTTATGAACTATGCTTGGGTAAGAGCTTCTTAAACTTTAGAAACATAACCTATAAGAGAAATAAATTGATGGATTTAATTATATCAAAATTAAATGTTCCTGTTCAATGAAGATACCACAGGTTTTGTTTTTTTTTTTTTTTTTTGAGACAAAGTGTTGCTCTGTCGCCCAGGCTGGAGTGCAATGGTGCAATCTCGGCTCAGTGCAACCTCTGCTTCCCAGGTTCAAGAGATTCTCCTGCCTCAGCCTCCTGAGTAGCTGGGTCTACAGGTGTGCACCACCACCACCAGCTAATTTTTGTATTTTTAGTAAAGACAGGGTTTCACCATGTTGACCAGGCTGGTCTTGAACTCCTGATCTCAGGTGATCTGCCCGCCTTGGCCTCCCAAAGTGCTGGGATTACAGGCATGAGCCACCATGCCTGGCCTACCACAGATAATATTAATAGGCAGGTGACAGAATGGGAGTAGTTATTTGCATAAAATGGACAAGAGATTGGGACCTCGAACATTCAAGTAACTCCCAGAAATCAATAAAACAAAAAGAGGCCAGGCACAGTGGGTAGCCAGGGCACAGAGCAGAGCCCATCCCAGGACTGACCCTGGACTGGGCGTGGTGGCTCAGGCATGTAATCCCAGCACTTTGGGAGGCTGAGGCAAGAGGCTCGCTTGAGGCCAGGAGGTCGAGACCAGCCTGGACAGCATAGCAAGACCCCATCTCTACAAAAAGAGATTAAAAATAAATTTAAATAGGAAAAAGAGAAGAACCCCAAATAGGAAAATGAGCAGAAAACATGAACAGATGATAGATGGAAGAAGAAACCCACAGGTTAACAAGCATATAGAGAGGCCCAAATTCATCCATAAGCAGATAAATGAACATTAATCAGTAAAATTGTATCACTCTGGACCTAATAGGCTGGCAAAAATTGGCACATTGAATGATGCCAAGGGTGGTCAGAAGGGGGTCCTCAGGCACCCCAGGTGGGAGTATGAACTCATGCTATTGTTCTGAAGAATAACACAGCACTGCTTAGCTACACTAAAGAAAGGTGCTGATATGGTTTGGATTTATGTCCCAGCCCAAATCTCAGGTCAATTTTTTTTTTTTTTTTTGAGATAGAGTCTTGCTCTGTTGCCCAGGCTGGACTGCAGTGGCATGATCTCAGCTCACTGCAACCTCCATCTCCTGGGTTTAAGCAACTCTCTGCCTCAGCCTCCTGAGTACCTGAGATTACAGGCATGTGCCACCATGCCCAGCTGATTTTTGTATTTTTAGTAGAGACAGGGTTTCACCGTCTTGGCCAGGCTGGTCTTGAACTCCTGACCTCGTCATCCACCTGCCTTGACCTCCCAAAGTGCTGGGATTACAGGCGTGAGCCACCGTGCCCAGCCTCTCAGTACAAATTCTAATCCATAACGTTGGAGGAGAGGCCTGGTGGGAGGTGATTGGATCATGAAGGCAGATTTCCCCCTTGCTGTTCTCGTGAGAGTGAGTGAATTCTCAGGAGACCTGGTTGTTTATAAGTGTGAGGCCCCTCCCCCTTCTCTCTCTTCCTCCTGCTCCAGGCATGTGAGACGTGCCTGCCTCCCCTTCACCTTCCACCATGATTATGAGTTTCCTGAGGCCTCCCCAGCCATGCTTCCTGTACAGCCTGTGGAACCGTGAGCCAATTAAACCTCTTTTCTGTATAAATTACCCAGCCTCAGATAGTTCTTTATAGCAATGCGAGACTGCACGAATACAGCCACCCTATAGTCTTGCAACTTCACTCCTGGATCTGTTTCCCAAGGAATTCACACACGGATCCAGAAGGGCCCACATTCAAGATCTTTCATGGCAGTGTTTTTTGATGGTGGGGAGCTGGGCACATGCTGTGAATCCATCCCTGTGGGGTGGACAGGTAAGATGCCAGGGTGCCTGCCATGGAATAGCACACAGCAGTTAGAAGCCACTGAAGCTGTGTACACATAGCAGCAGAGATAGAGCTTGAAAGTATAGTCTATAAGACTAAGCTATTTTGGGATAGCCAAAGTTATATATTTTATTTATTATTATTATTATTATTATTATTTAAGATACATTATTTTGGCATAGCCAAAATAAGAAATAAATAATAATAAATATGTATTAATTATTAATGTTATTATTTATTTTATTATTGGTTATTAATAATATAATCACAAATAATAATGATAATTA
The DNA here is from genome assembly GCF_000001405.40 of Homo sapiens. Lineage (NCBI taxonomy): Eukaryota > Metazoa > Chordata > Mammalia > Primates > Hominidae > Homo > Homo sapiens. Next base: position 4,575,122 of record NC_000007.14, read on the forward strand.
TTATTTATTTATTTCTTTATTTTATTTATTATTTATTAGAAAAAGATCTATAGCATAATAGTTTCATAAAATAAAAATATGTGTGTGGAAAACAATACATATAAACCAAAAGTTACAAATTAAATGTATTACAATGCTTGCCTTTGGTGGGGGGAACCAAGTGTAGGGACAAAAGAGAATACATTTTAAAATAAAACAAGAGAGGGGCCTGGTACAGACCAGATTATTAAGATAATCATGGCACAAACTGAAGGACATGATTATCTGAATCTTCTGTACCTCAGACCCAAAAGTGGGGGAACAACGTTTATGGCTTCAGGTATGGCTTGATCCAGGCTCCCGAATAATGCTCTCGAGTCTCACACAGGCTTTCTTCATGTGGTGGCTCTTAGTGGCTTTGGGCTTATAGCCCACATATTAAGCAGCCCCAGCAGGTAAAGGACATTGCTTTACCAATAGTGTCAGCAAAAGTTCCAAGGCTGACATTAAATCAATCCAGGTTACTTCCATATCACTTAACCAATCAATTATTATGGCAAGAGAAATTGAATCAGCTGATTGGCCAAGCTGGGGCCAATTCCCGCCCCTGGAGATGAGGAGAAGGACCAAACCCACCTAACCCCATGATCTGAAAATGAGGGAAGTGTAGTTTCACACACACACACACACACACACACACACACACACACAAATTTTTAAATAGACTGGGTACAATGACTCATGCCTGTAATCCCAGCACCCTGAGAGGCCGAGACAGGAGGATCACTTGAGCCCAGGAGTTTGGACTAGCCTGGGCAACACAATGAGACCCTATCTCTATAAAAAATACAAAAATTAGCCAAGAGTGGTGGCACACACCTCTAGTCCCAGGTACTTGGGAGGCTGAGGCAGAAGGATCGCTTGAGATCAGGAATTTGAGGCTGCAGTGAGCTACAATGGTACCACTGCACTCCAGCCTGGACAGCAGAGTGAGACCCCCCCTTGTCTAAGTGTAAATATGTATATGTATATAGCCCAGGCATGGTGGCTAATGCCTGTAATCCCAGTGATTTGGGAAGCCAAGACAGGCAGATCACCTGAGGTCAGGAGTTCCAGACCAGCCTGAACAACGTGGTGAAACCCTGTCTCTACTAGAAATACAAAAATTAGCCAGGAATGATAGCAGGTGCCTGTAATCCCAGCTACTCGGGAGGCTGAGGCAGGAGAATCATCTGAACCCAGGAGGCAGAGGGTGCAGTGAGCTGAGATCTCACCACTGCACTACAGCCTGAGCAAGGCTCTGTCTAAAAAAAAAAAAAAAAAAGCTATGTATAAATTACAAGTAAACAAATAAATAAAAACTCAACTCCCAAGGAGACAGGAGTCCAGCTCAAATCTGTCTCCCTGTGCTGGCCTTCAGTCAATCATTTTATTAGAATAGGTTCCAGGGATGGATTCTGGGTTTAGCAGGTGCTTGGTGGAAGGAAAGGGGAGGCCTGGAAAGCCCTTGGGCGTGTGCAGTTATCTCTTCATACTTCCTCAGCAGTCACATGTGCAGATTCAAGGGGAGTGAGTATAAAACATGCAGTGCAAATTCAGGCTGTGATGGCAGCAAGCATGTTCTGCGCAAATTCCGGTCAGCCATCTTGGTTCTTTTTTTTTTTTTTTTTTCTTTTAGACGTAGTCTCGCTCCGTTTCCCAGGCTGCAGTGCAGTGGCACGATCTCGGCTCACCGCAACCTCCGCCTCCCGAGTTCAAGCCATTCTCCTGCCTCAGCCTCCCAAGTAGCTGGGACTACAGATGTGTGCCACCACACCCAACTAATTTTTTTTTTTTTTTTTTGTATTTTTAGTAGAGACGGGTTTTCACCATGTTGACCAGGCTGGTCTCGAACTCCTGACCCCGTGATCCACCCCCCCCCCCCCCTCGGCCTTCCAAAGTGCTGGGATTACAGGCGTGAGCCATTGCGCCCGGCCCACCATCTTGGTTCTAACCAATGCCAGCCAGTTCTTTAATCTCATAAGTAGAGGGAGCTTCAGCGTTTCAGAAAGTCGTTTCTTTTCTCATCGGCCATCCTGCAGACTCAAGAATTTGTTAGTGTTTTTGTTTTGTTTTTTTTAACTACATGGGACATGATTTCACCTCCATCTCACTTTCTTCCCAACTGCACTGGGTTGAATAAACATCTAAAATATATCTTAAAGATGCCCAGTGGATTTGATTATCAAGCGGTCATCTCTGCCCTTGACCAGAGAATTTCCAGTGGAGTGATGGGGGCAGAAGACGGATTAGGGTCCATTGAGGAGAGTACAGGATGGGGGAGTAGAGACAGAGAGCTTTGGCGGGCTGACAGAATGTTCTAGATCCTCATAGTCAGGGAGGTTCTGTGACTATACAACTTTTTCAAAATTGATAAAACTGCACACTGAAAGGATTGAATTTCACTAGATATAAATTATACCTCAATAAAACTGACATATATAAAAATATAAAAATTTAAAATAAATCATTCTTATTCAACTATGGCCACTTTCCTTTCCAACCAACTCTTTTTCATTCTACACATGACATTTCAGATGCCACTAATATGAAAGATGACAAGTATAAATATTTCTCTCCTGCTGTATTTTCCACTTTCTCTGTTCTTTTTTTTTTTTTTTTTTTTTTTTTTGAGATGGAGTCTCATTCTGTCACCCAGGCTGGAGAGCAGTGGCGTGATCTCAGCTCACTGCAACCTCCACCTCCCGGGTTCAAGCGATTCTCCTGCCTCAGCCTCCCAAATAGCTGGGACTACAGGTGCACGCCACCACACCTGGCTAATTTTTGTATTTTTGTAGAGGCGGAGTTTTGCTTTGTTGGCCAGGCTGGTCTTGAACTCCTTACCTCAGGTGATCCATTTGCCCCAGCCTCCCAAAGTGCTAGGATTACAGGCGTGAGCTACCGTGTCCAGACCAATTTTCTTCTCATCTTCCCCACCCCCTCCCCGCATAGCTTTTCCTCTCATCCCTGAATAGTCTTGGTTCGATAATTACTCTGCTCCAATAATTATTTTATCATGTATGTTTTATTTCTAAAATATTCACTACCGTGACTGTTCCATAAAGCCTTTATTCTCAATTCCCTGATCACCATTTTTACACTTGTACAGTATTAATAACATCTTCTCTTTTGGTAATGTCTTTTTTTTCTGTCTGATGAACAAAAAGTACTTTGCAGGCGTTTTATATCGCTGTCAGGTAGTTAGGAAAGGAAAAGAGATTTTGCAGATGGAAAAAATATATAGACACAATGTATTGGCAGTTCGGGTGGAAAATGACCAAAAATGAACGTGTCATGAACATGCAATGTTTACCTGGACAGAAGGGCAAGATTTCTCTCATTCAGAGGCTGTGCTAAATCCCCTGAGCACGATGTGCAAACTTACAGCACGCCCTGCCCAGGGGCAGGTCCCAAGCTGACACCAACCCCAATGGGTCACCCTCCAGCAGCAGGCATTTTCCCAGCCACCACCGCAGATAGCTCACTGAGTCCAAGCCAGAAAACAGGGCATCTTCCCTCAACAAACACAGAGTTTCTGGGTTGTTGGGCTTTTCCAGATTTATCTGCTTTATGGCAAGACCCTTCTGCAGAATCTTCCCACTGTGGCCCAGCACCGAGTCAGCTCCAGACAGTGGCAATCCTTATAACAAGGTGGGCATATCAGGTACGGAGCCTGTGCATGATTGTTAAGATGTGCAGAGGGGTTTGCAGCAGACCTGGCCAAATGCAGCTAGCAGTGTTGAGTAACTGGTATGCTGACCACCACGCCACGAGCATGCATCACACTTGCCAGCTTGTCGTGAACGGGAAAAGCTCACTTTGGGAATTCCTGAATGAGCTGGGATTTGAACCAGAAGCCATGCCCCTTCTATGGGCTTTTCTTTCTATAAATCGATCACACGGGCCTCTGGTGAAATTGACAGAGGATTCTCCCAAATCCCTTGTCTCACTAGCCGCTACCCCTCTCCTGTCTCAAGGCAGATCATGTTTCCCAAAAGCAGCCACAGCAGTATCTCCCATCCCACCCGCTCTTCTTAAAGTAAAACAACGGGGGCTGCATCTTCTCCCCTTGAAACTGGGCCAGCCTCTGGGACCGCCTTGACCAGTAGAACAAGGCAGAAGTGACGTTGTGTGACTTCCGAGGCTAGGTCAAAACCCACAAATGCCACAGACATGATGTGTGATACGGCTGTGCTCTGTGTCCCCACCCAAATCTGACGTCGAATTATAATCGTCCATGTTGGAGATGGAGCCTGGTGGGAGGCGATTTGATCACCAGGGCAGTTTCTAATGGTTTAGCACTGTCCCCCTGGTGCTGTCCCGTGATAGAGTTGTCACGAGATCTGGTTGGTTAAAAGTGTGTGGCGCATCCCCCTTCACTCTCTCTTCCACTTGCTACCCCCACGCAAGATGTGCCTGTTGCCGCTTTGCCCTTCTGCCATGATTGTAAGTTTCCTGAGGCCTCCCCAGAAGCAGAAGCCTGTGCACCTCACAGAACTGTGAGCCAATTAAAACCTCTTTTCTAACCAGCTGCAGTGGCTCACGCCTGTAATCCCACCACTTTGGGAGGCTGAGGCAGACGGATCACCTGAGGTCGGGAGTTCAAGACCAGCTTGACCAACATGGAGAAACCCCGTCTCTACTAAAAATACAAAATTAGCTGGGTGTGGTGGTGCATGCCTGTAATCCTGGCTACTTGGGAGACTGAGGCAGGAGAATCGCTTGAACCCGGGAGGCAGAGGTTGCGGTGAGCCGAGATTGCACCACTGCACTCCAGCCTGGGCAACAACAGCGAAACTCCGTCTCAAAAAAAAAAAAAAAAAAAAGTCTTTAAAAGGCATTTGTTTGGCCAGGTGCAGTGGCTCACACCTGTAAGCCCAGTTCTTTGGGAAATCACGGTAGGAGCATCACTTGGGGCCAGAAGCTTGAGACCACCTTGGACAATGTAGCAAGACCCCATCTCTACAAAAAATATAAAAATTAGCCAGGCATGGTGGTGCCCATCTGCAGTCCCTGAGTCCAGGAGATCAAGGCTGCAGTGAGCTATGATTGCACTCCAGCCTGGGTGACAAAACAAGACCATGTATTGAAAAGAAAAAAGAAACTTGTTTACATTTTTAAAGAGGATTTATTTGAGAAACATATAAAAACACCACAGACACTTCATCAGCCACTCTACACAATAAAATAGACATAATAACATGCATATTTTTGCAAGCATAAATACTCAGGTATAGTATAGTAATGACAGTCACACAGGTCAACAGTTATGAACAGATGAACTGTATTCTTAAAGAAATAGGTCAAAAAGCAAAATGTATGAACGTATATCACTCCGGTTTGTAATTGCGTGCGGCCAGCTGTATAACTGTGGTCATCTGAAACGCTGCGACAGACAACCTGTTTTTTGATGAGATCCATTAGAAACCACAACGGACCAGGAGCGGTGGCTCACGCCTGTAATCCCAGCACTTTGGGAGGCTGAGGTGGGTGGATCACGAGGTCAGGAGTTCAAGACCAGCCTGGCCAACATGGTGAAACCCCATCTCTACTAAAAATACAAAAAAACTAGCCGGGCACGGTGGTGCATGCCTGTAATCCCAGCTACTCGGGAGGCTAAAGCAGAGAATTGCTTGAACCTAGGAGGCGGAGGTTGCAGTGAGCCAAGGTCACGCCACTGTACTCCAGCCTGGGCAACAGAGCAAGACCCCATCTCAAAAAACAAAAACAAACAAACAAATAAAAAAAACCCACAATGGGTCAGCACTGCATGTACAGTGGCCCAAAGAGTCACGACCTCGAGATTTCTTTCACAAATTCAGGTGTACTAAAAGAACATCTCTTCGTTTACTGAGGAAGGTCCAACATTTTTATGTACACACACCATGCTTACCCATGAAGTCACTCTGATCATGCACTTTCCTGGAGTTAACTTCCCCCCAGAAACTGCATAAAATGAATTAGAACTCTCTAAAAGTCTTTACACAATTTATACCTCCAGTATTGGAAATGATGCAAAGGCGAAATACCTAGCATCGCGAATTGGTGACCCTGTGTGAAGGGGCAGAAGTCGTACATGATCGAATAATTTGGCAGGGGAGATTTCTTGTATTTCATTTTTCACCTGCATTTTCATTTCTTCTGTAATCTTGGAAACACTTGCTGCACTTATGTTTGGAGAGTGGTTGTGGTCTACTGATTTTGTAAGCATGTGCTGGCCATTGCAATTAAGCGATTTTCTGCTTTTGAAGCACCAATAATAATTAGCCTTTAAACTTTTATCTTTTACCATTAAGTAGCCCCGTATGTATAATATGGCCTTTTATTTTCAAGGGGACAGTTTCACAGGTCTCTTCCATTGTGTCTTAAGGAATACAGGAAGAATGAATGATATTTCGCTTTTCCCAATACCAAATCTGTATTAATCAGGGTTCTCCAGGGAGACAGAACCAACAGAATATGGATATGGATGGATGAGAGGGAATTTATTGGAGGGGTTGGCTTACATGGTTATAGGGGCTGAGAAGTCTTATGATAGACCATCTGCAAGCTGGAGACCCTGGGGTGATGGCAGCTTTGTGGTTCAGTTCAAGTCTGAAGGCCTCAGAACCAGGGGAGTTGATGGTGTAACTCTTCAGTCCAACGCTAAAAGCCTCAGGACCCAGTGGGGGCCACTGGTGTAAGTCCTGGAGCCCACAGACCTGTGAGGCTGGGGCAGATCTGATGTCCAAGGCAGCAGCAGCAAAGTCTGTCCCAGCTCCCAGAGAGACCAGTTTGACTTCTGTATTTGCTCTGTCTGGGCTTGCAGCTGATTGGATGGTGCCCACCAACACTGAAGGCACATCTTCCCCAACCAGTTCACTCAGGCCCACACTAATCTCCTCTGGAAACACCTTTGCAGACACACCTCAAAGACACAATGATGCTTTTTATAATAATAATAATAATAAACTTGGTTAGGTTTCTAGGTATTCCTTAATCCAGTCAAGTTGGCCCACTAAATTAAGTCCATACATCTATCCCTGTTCAACTTGGCCTCTGGGGATCTGCTTAAGTCATACTTAATTTTCGGATAAAGACAATAACAAGATAATAGGTCCATCTCACATGATGTAACTATCATGCTACAATAGAAAATGCACAAAGTCCTTCCCCAGAATTAGGCTTTCGGGACTTCAACATTGGAAATTTTAAGCTTTGTGGATTGTAATTTGGGGGATTTTAGATATTAGGTGGATCACCTAAAGTCGGGAGTTCAAGACCAGCCTGACCAAGATGGTGAAACCTGTAGGGGTGGGTTGCCCCTACACACCTGTGGGTGTTTCTCGTAAGGTGGGACGAGAGATTTGGAAAAGAAAAAGACACAGAGACAAAGTATAGAGAAAGAAAGAAGGGGACCCGGGGAACCAGCGTTCAGCATATGGAGGATCCCGCCAGCCTCTGAGTTCCCTTAGTATTTATTGATCATCTGTGGGTGTTTCTCGAAGAGGGGGATGTGTCAGGGTCACAAGACAATTGTGGGGAGAGGGTCAGCAGACAAACATGTGAACAAAGGTCTTTGCATCATAGACAATGTAAAGGATTAAGTGCTGTGCTTTTAGATATGCATACACATAAACATCTCAGTGCTTTACAAAGCAGTATTGCTGCCCGCAGGTCCCACCTCCAGCCCTAAGGCGGTTTTTCCCTATCTCAGTAGATGGAGCATACAATCGGGTTTTATACCGAGACATTCCATTGCCCAGGGACAGGCAGGAGACAGATGCCTTCCTCTTGTCTCAACTGCAAGAGGCATTCCTTCCTCTTTTACTAATCCTCCTCAGCACAGACCCTTTACGGGTGTCGGGCTGGGGGACGGTCAGGTCTTTCCCTTCCCACGAGGCCATATTTCAGACTTTCACATGGGGAGAAACCTTGGACAATACCTGGCTTTCCTAGGCAGAGGTCCCTGCGGCCTTCCGCACTTTTTGTGTCCCTGGGTACTTGAGATTAGGGAGTGGTGATGACTCTTAAGGAGCATGCTGCCTTCAAGCATCTGTTTAACAAAGCACATCCTGCACCGCCCTTAATCCATTCAACTCTGAGTGGACACAGCACATGTTTCAGAGAGCACGGGGTTGGGGGTAAGGTCATAGATTAACAGAATCTCAAGGCAGAAGAATTTTTCTTAGTACATAACAAAATGGAGTCTCCTATGTCTACTTCTTTCTACACAGACACAGTAACAATCTGATCTCTCTTGCTTTTCCCCACATTTCCCCCTTTTCTTTTCGACAAAACCGCCATCGTCATCATGGCCCGTTCTCGATGGTCGCTGTCTCTTCGGAGCTGTTGGGTACACCTGCAGACTAACAACAGACAAAACAGGCACACAAGGATTAATATGAGATTTATAATCGTAGTACTTCCAATGGTCTTAACCCAAGTGACAGGGTTAAGATTTGCGAGGCCATCAGCAACTCCTGCAATTGCCTCAGTTCCTGGCACCAAATTTAAATGGGCTTTTGATGCTTCGAAAATTTGTTCTTTTAATTTGGAAATGTCTAAAGTGAGATTATCTTCTCTTCCCTGTAGATGGCGTCTAACCATGTCCCAGTGATGCTCAGACTCATTATAAATTTGGGGTGTAATACAAAAATCTGACGTATTCCAGTCACATTGTAACTGGAAACGATGTTCTAAGCTCATGAGTCTGTCTCCCATCCAAATGACAGTTTGTCTAAGATCATTAATTTGATTTGCCAATTTTTGATCAATACTAGATTGTGAATTCCACAATCTTGTAGAATTTTTTTGCCAATCATTAACAAAGTTTACTGACTGAACAGAAGAGTGCAATGCAACTCCTGCTACAGCAGCCGTAGCTGTGACTGCAATTAATCCCATAATCACTGCAATTAAAGTAAAAATGAATCTTTTGGATCTATTTAAAACACCTTTTAATACTTCAGTCAAAATATGGACGGATGGCGAGGCCTCCCACGGTCGGTCCATGGACACAGGGATCCACACGCCCTCTCTTGCTCTCACCAGCAGAATACGGTGTTGCCAATTAAAAGTTGAATCAATGCAAGTAAGCAATCTACAATTTTCACAGGTTATAGTCTGGGAGTCTGGTTTAATAACTATATTTCCTACAACTAGCATATAAGGGGGCTTTACGCAACTTTGTAAAGGAACTGTTAGACTGGAATTCAGGTCAATAGTATAAAATGGCTTACGATCTCTTGTTTCTAAAGTTTGATTTCCAGACCAAATTCTAATGTGGTGTGAGGCCACAGTAAGCCTCCATAATTCTGGATGTTCAGGACCAGAAACAGGACTTACTATTTTTGGTCTTGGGGTAGAGATTCCTTTTTCTCCCCATTCCCAAGGGTAGAAAGACTGCAATTTTTTATGCTTATGTTTGTCTAAACTTTCTGTTAAGTCGCTATCAACAGCTGGACTCACTTGTGCACTTGGACACGACTGAGTTTGTCCTGAGCAATTGTGGTAGAATTGACCTCGAGGTGCCCAATCTATAATAGTTCCGAATTCATTGTTTTGTAATATCACCGCACTATTGGCCACACATTCTTCCCAAACTAAAACTTCTGTATTTTTTGATTCTTTGGGAATTTCCTTGGGGCAAGGTTTCCCTTTAGGTCTAAATTTTAATGATCTTTGATAAGAAAAGTCTTGTAAATAATTTACCCGTGGCCTGAGTGACATCCCGCTTACCATGTGATAAGTGAATCTACAGATGGGACTGACAGTAGGTACTTCTACCAACCAATTTTGGACTGCAGGCATTAAACATCCTGGTGCTCTCCCTAGGCAAATAGGAGGATAATGATACCCAATGGAAATATTTATCATCATCCCTTCTTCCTCAGGTTTGGCAGGGCAGCGATCATCTATGGGGCCAGGTACCCATACACTATCATTAACATATACTTCTGTAGGATTATCCATCCATGTGACTGCCCGAATTAAGGGCGGGAAAGGCACATAGGCCCAGTAGGTATAGTTAGCTGCAGCTGCTCCTGCAGGCATAGGGAGACTTACCACCATTGATACAATCATCAAGGCTGCAAGCAGCATACTCTCTGGGGTTTGTGTCACCTTTGTGTTCTCTAGATATTTTGTAGCTAACTGCGTCAGCTTCTTTAGTTGTGCCCAAGTTGGCGGCTCTGCCTTCTTGGTGGATGGCAACTTCATCTGTTCTTCTGACGTCACCATTTTGTTCATCTTGTGAGTCAACGGTGCTCGATTGCGATGTCTCCGTCTCCGCGGAGGTGCTTTTCTTTGCATCTCTGATGGGTTCATTGTAGAACTTCAAATGTCTAGTGGGTATCCAAACAGGAAGCTGATTTTCTCCTGGTGAAACACAAGCAAAACCTCTCCCCCACGTTATCACCTTCCCTATTTCCCATGTCTTATTTTTATTATCTTTCCACCAAATTAGTTTTCCTTCATGTGGGCTGTTCTTTTTACCAGTAAGATGTTGTTCTGCAGAAGTAGTAGTCTGATTTCTATAAATGTTTAAAAAATTTAAAGTATAGAGTGCTAGATTAAGTTGCATCTGAGGAGTGGTACACTCCTTACTGTCTCCCCCTTCTTTTTGTTTAACTAATTGAGTTTTGAGTGTTCTATTAGTTCTTTCAACTATGGCCTGTCCTTGGGAATTATAAGGAATTCCTGTTGTATGTGAAATTTTCCACTGACTTAAGAATTTTTGGAAAGCTTTACTACAATATCCTGGTCCATTGTCAGTTTTGATTTTTTCTGGAACTCCCATTACAGCAAAACAAGACAATAAATGTTTTTTAACATGGGAAGTACTTTCTCCTGTTTGGCAAGTTGCCCATATGAAATGTGAATAAGTATCAACTGTTACGTGAACATATGATAATCTTCCAAATGAAGGTACATGCGTGACATCCATTTGCCATAATGCATTAGGACACAGACCTCTGGGATTAACTCCTGCCTCTTGAGTGGGCAGGTGTAAGACTTGACACTGGGTGCAATGTTGTACAATATCTTTTGCCTGTTTCCATGTGACATCAAATTTGTTTTTTAATCCTGCTGCATTTACATGAGTCAAAGCATGAAGTTCTTGTGCTTTTATGAGTGCAGATGATACCAGTAAGTCAGCTTGTTCATTTGCTTTAGTCAAAGGCCCTGGTAAATTAGTGTGTGCTCGAATATGTGTAATATAAAATGGGAAATTTCTTTTTCTTACAGTTTGTTGTAATAAATTGAATAGCTGGTTTAACTGATCATCCATGCTATATTTAATTAGAGCTGTCTCAACATCCCTTGTAGCCTGTACTACATATGCAGAATCTGATATAATATTGATAGGTTGGTCAAAATCTTGTAACACTGTAATGACTGCAACCAACTCTGCTCTTTGAGCCGATTGATATGGAGTTTTGATTACTCGTTCTTTCGGTCCTGTGTAAGCTGCTTTTCCATTGCTGGAACCATCAGTAAATACTGTTAGAGCATTTTCTAAAGGTTCACGTCTGGTAATTTTAGGTAGAATCCAAGTAGTCAATTTTAAGAACTGGAAGATCTTTGTTTTTGGGTAATGATTATCAATAATTCCCACAAAATTAGCAAGACCAATCTTCCATGCACCAGAATTGATAAAGGCTTGTCTAACTTGTTCCTTGGTTAAAGGGACAACTATTTTGTCTGGGTCATTCCCACATAATTTTATTATTCGTAATCTTGTCTGACCGATTAATGTAGCTATTTGATCCAAGTACAATGTAAAAGTCTTAACTGTACTGTGAGGAAGGAATGACCACTCCACAAGATCAGTATTTTGAATAATGATGCCTGTTGGAGAATGTGCAGTGGCAAAAATCAAAAGTTGGAGTGGGGCTAAGGGATCTATTCTATTTATTTGCGCTGACTGAATTTTTTCTTCCACTAATTTAATTTCTTTTGTTGCCTCTGGGGTTAACATTCTTTTACTATTTAAGTCTGAGTCTCCTCTTAAGATAGAGAACAAATTTGACATGGCATAAGTAGGAATGCCTAGAGTTGGCCGAATCCAATTAATATCTCCTAGTAATTTTTGAAAATCATTTAGTGTTTTTAATGTGTCTTTTCTTATTTCTATTTTTTGTGGCTTAATTTTTCTATTTTCTATCTGCATCCCTAAATAATGAAAAGGAGTAGAGGTTTGGATCTTATCAGATGCTATTGCCAGTCCAGCATTGGCAACCTCTGCTTGCAGAAATGTATAACAGTCAATTAATTTATCTTTCGTTTCTGCAGCACATAAAATATCATCAATACAATGAATAATATAACAGTCTGAAAACTTTTCTCTAACTGGTTGAAGAGCTCGACCTACAAAAGTCTGACAAATAGTTGGACTATTAAGCATTCCCTGAGGTAACACTTTCCACTGAAACCTGGTGGCTGGTTCTTTATTATTTATGGCTGGTATAGTAAAGGCAAATTTTTCGCAATCCTGCTCTGCCAGAGGGATGGTAAAAAAGCAATCCTTTAGATCAATTATAATTAAAGGCCAATCTTTTGGGATCATGGCCGGAGAGGGCAACCCGGGTTGGAGAGGCCCCATGGGTTGAATTACGGCGTTTACAGCCCTTAAGTCAGTTAACATACGCCATTTGCCTGATTTCTTCTGAATTACAAACACAGGAGAATTCCAAGGTGAGAACGAAGGCTCAATATGACCCTTTTCTAACTGTTCATTTGCTAATAAATGTAAAGCCTCCAGTTTTTGTTTTGGTAGCGGCCACTGATTTACCCACACTGGTTTTTCTGTTTTCCAAGTTAATGGTATGGGTTTAGGAGGCTCTACAGTGGCCGCCCCTAGCAAGGATTCCCTATTCCTTCTCTTTCTTGATTTATTTTAGCCTCAACTGGAATTTTAATGCCATCTTCATTTTTCCCTAGTCCCTTTCCTGGTATATATCCCATCTTGGTCATGATTTTTTGACTCGTGGGGCTATATGATGGAGCGGGCATGGTGATTTCCGCACCCCATTGTTGTAATAAATCTCGACCCCACAGATTAAGAGGAATTGAAGTAATCATTGGCTGAACAGTACTTTCTTGATTATCTGGCCCTAAGCAATGTAAAATCTCCGTACTTTGATACACTTCTGAGGCTGTGCCTATGCCGACAAGTCCTGTAACAGCCTTTTGTTTAGGCCAATTTTTTGGCCACTGATTTAAAGCAATGATAGAGACATCTGCTCCAGTGTCTACCAACCCTTCAAACTGTTTTCCTTGAATAATGGCCTTACACACAGGTCTGTTCTCTGAGACCTGACTTGCCCAATATGCAGCCTTTCCTGTTGGATCAGTGCTTCCAAGCCCTCCTATTCTTTTTATTTCACTATTTCCACCCTTAATGTATGGCAGGAGTAATAATTGAGCAATCCTGTCTCTTGGACTGGCACTCCAAGGAATTGAAGAGCTAATAACCAATTGAATTTCGCCTTTATAGTCTGAATCAACCACACTAGTATGAATTTGAACTCCTTTTAGATTTAGACTTGATCGTCCCAAGATTAGTCCTACAGTCCCCTTAGGCAGGGGTCCATATACCCCTGTGGGGGTTTTTTGTGGGGGCTCCCCTGGAAGCAGAGAGACTGCTTGTATAGTACATAAATCTACTGCTGCACTGCCGCTTGTGGCGGGGGACAATTGTTGTATTGTGGTAACTGGCTTATTCCCTGAAACACTTGGGACAGTGGGGGTTGTTGTCCCTGAAAACCCTGAGGAACAAATGGCTGAATTGGGAATGCCCCAGTTTGTTGTGGGGCCTGAGGCTGGCCCCTTTGCTCGTTTCCCGACAATGGTTGCCCATTTTTATCAAATTTAGAACGACATTGACTAGCCCAATGTTTTCCTTTTTTACATCTTGGACATAAGTCAGGTGGCTCTCTACCTGTTGTAGTTGCTTGAATAGTTATATTCTGTTTATTTAAGACTGGGCAATTCTTTTTTAAGTGACCAATTTGACCACAATTATAACATTTTCTTCCAAATGTTCTAACTTGTCCTCCTAAAACAACTCCTGTTATTGCTTGAGCCATAAGCATAGCTTTATGCATAGCTCCTCCGATTCCATCACAGGCTTTTACATATTCTGAGATTACATCTGATCCTGCAGGAACCTTTCCTTTTAATGGCTTAATGGCTGATTGACACTCAGGATTGGCGTTTTCATATGCCATCAACTCCACTATGACCTTACGGGCTTTTTCATCGGCAATTGACTTTTGAGCAACATCTTGGAGCCTTGCCACAAAATCAGGATAGGGCTCTTTTGAACCTTGTCTTACTGTATTAAATGAGGGGCAGGTACTTCCTGGGTCTTGGATTTTTTCCCAGGCTCTAAGGCAGATAGCTCTAATTTGCTCAATGGCCTCATTTTGCATTAATGCTTGTTGACTAATAGTACTCCAATTTTGACCTATTCCTAATAGTTGATCTGCATCTATGTTAACTGGAGGATTGGCAGCCCTATTTCTTCGGACCTGTTCTTGTACCCCATCAATCCACCAAGTCTTAAATTGTAAAAATTGAGAGGGTGAGAGAGACGATTTTGCCAGAATCTCCCAATCATAAGGAATGAGTCTATGTCCATGAGCAATGGAATCTAATAATGTCCTCATATAAGGGGAGTTGGGTCCATACTGTTTTACTCCCTCTTTCATATCTTTTAGCTTTTTTATCGAAAAAGACTTGTATCTGGCCTCAACTGTGGGAGGCTCTCCCTCTTGGGCTCCTTCTCCAGGTGGCATCGGTTCTAACGTTACTGGGAATTGCCATGCCTCAGTATCTCCTTCCTTTCTTGATTTATCAATAATTTCATGTAATTTACTACCCTGTCTACTAGGTGGTGCCGTAGGATTAAGTCTCCTAGTGGGCGGCTGAGGGTATGGCGCCCTGCCCTGTGGTGCTGGGGGCATTCCTGGATATCCATACTGACTTTCTGGGGATGGCCGATACTGAAGTTCAGCCGGAGGCCAGTATTGATAGGCTACTGGCGGTTGGGTCTTATTTTCTTTAACCTGCTTTTGAGGTTGTAATGTTACAGGCACCTGACCTGCTGGAAGAGGACTTGTGCCTCATGGTTTAGACTCTGATGGCCCCACTAATTCTGGACCTTTTCCTTCTAATTTTAACGTTTCAGGATATATCACCTCCTGTAATTGATTATAGTCAACATTTTGCGTTGACTGAGCCATTACCGGCTCTGCTACATATTCGCAATGTAAACCTTCCGTTTCTTTCTGGGATTTTTTCCTTGTGTTTTCATTACAATCTATTATACAGCTTCCAGGGGCATCAGAAACTGAAACGCTATCTTCTTCTGTTTGAAATGGTTCTAAAGCTGCTTTAATAATGGCCCAATCATTCCATACTGTAAGTGGAATGATATTACCCTTCCTACCTGCTTGTTTTAGTTCCTTACCAATTCTTTTCCAATCTTTTAGATCTAAAGTTCCTTGTTCTGGAAACCATGGGCAAAATTGTTCTATTATTTGAAATAGCTTGATTAGATTTTTTGTAGATACTTTAACTCCCCGTCTTTTTAAAAGAATTTTAATAAAGCTGAGATAAGAGGCATATTTACTTTTAATTTTACTTTTAGTTTGCCCCATTATCACCCTAGCTTCTTCCGAGCGCACAAGCTTACCGTAAGGCTGACTGTAGATGTACTCGGGATCTCTCGTCGACTTGTCCTCAATGACCACGCTCGAGCGTACCTTCACCCTAGAGAAAAGACTCCACGTTGGGCACCAGATGTAGGGGTGGGTTGCCCCTACACACCTGTGGGTGTTTCTCGTAAGGTGGGACGAGAGATTTGGAAAAGAAAAAGACACAGAGACAAAGTATAGAGAAAGAAAGAAGGGGACCCGGGGAACCAGCGTTCAGCATATGGAGGATCCCGCCAGCCTCTGAGTTCCCTTAGTATTTACTGATCATCTGTGGGTGTTTCTCGAAGAGGGGGATGTGTCAGGGTCACAAGACAATTGTGGGGAGAGGGTCAGCAGACAAACATGTGAACAAAGGTCTTTGCATCATAGACAATGTAAAGGATTAAGTGCTGTGCTTTTAGATATGCATACACATAAACATCTCAGTGCTTTACAAAGCAGTATTGCTGCCCGCAGGTCCCACCTCCAGCCCTAAGGCGGTTTTTCCCTATCTCAGTAGATGGAGCATACAATCGGGTTTTATACCGAGACATTCCATTGCCCAGGGACAGGCAGGAGACAGATGCCTTCCTCTTGTCTCAACTGCAAGAGGCATTCCTTCCTCTTTTACTAATCCTCCTCAGCACAGACCCTTTACGGGTGTCGGGCTGGGGGACGGTCAGGTCTTTCCCTTCCCACGAGGCCATATTTCAGGCTATCACATGGGGAGAAACGTTGGACAATACCTGGCTTTCCTAGGCAGAGGTCCCTGCGGCCTTCCGCACTTTTTGTGTCCCTGGGTACTTGAGATTAGGGAGTGGTGATGACTCTTAAGGAGCATGCTGCCTTCAAGCATCTGTTTAACAAAGCACATCCTGCACCGCCCTTAATCCATTTAACCCTGAGTGGACACAGCACATGTTTCAGAGAGCACGGGGTTGGGGGTAAGGTCATAGATTAACAGAATCTCAAGGCAGAAGAATTTTTCTTAGTACATAACAAAATGGAGTCTCCTATGTCTACTTCTTTCTACACAGACACAGTAACAATCTGATCTCTCTTGCTTTTCCCCACATTTCCCCCTTTTCTTTTCGACAAAACCGCCATCGTCATCATGGCCCGTTCTCGATGGTCGCTGTCTCTTCGGAGCTGTTGGGTACACCTGCAGACTAACAACAGACAAAACAGGCACACAAGGATTAATATGAGATTTATAATCGTAGTACTTCCAATGGTCTTAACCCAAGTGACAGGGTTAAGATTTGCGAGGCCATCAGCAACTCCTGCAATTGCCTCAGTTCCTGGCACCAAATTTAAATGGGCTTTTGATGCTTCGAAAATTTGTTCTTTTAATTTGGAAATGTCTAAAGTGAGATTATCTTCTCTTCCCTGTAGATGGCGTCTAACCATGTCCCAGTGATGCTCAGACTCATTATAAATTTGGGGTGTAATACAAAAATCTGACGTATTCCAGTCACATTGTAACTGGAAACGATGTTCTAAGCTCATGAGTCTGTCTCCCATCCAAATGACAGTTTGTCTAAGATCATTAATTTGATTTGCCAATTTTTGATCAATACTAGATTGTGAATTCCACAATCTTGTAGAATTTTTTTGCCAATCATTAACAAAGTTTACTGACTGAACAGAAGAGTGCAATGCAACTCCTGCTACAGCAGCCGTAGCTGTGACTGCAATTAATCCCATAATCACTGCAATTAAAGTAAAAATGAATCTTTTGGATCTATTTAAAACACCTTTTAATACTTCAGTCAAAATATGGACGGATGGCGAGGCCTCCCACGGTCGGTCCATGGACACAGGGATCCACACGCCCTCTCTTGCTCTCACCAGCAGAATACGGTGTTGCCAATTAAAAGTTGAATCAATGCAAGTAAGCAATCTACAATTTTCACAGGTTATAGTCTGGGAGTCTGGTTTAATAACTATATTTCCTACAACTAGCATATAAGGGGGCTTTACGCAACTTTGTAAAGGAACTGTTAGACTGGAATTCAGGTCAATAGTATAAAATGGCTTACGATCTCTTGTTTCTAAAGTTTGATTTCCAGACCAAATTCTAATGTGGTGTGAGGCCACAGTAAGCCTCCATAATTCTGGATGTTCAGGACCAGAAACAGGACTTACTATTTTTGGTCTTGGGGTAGAGATTCCTTTTTCTCCCCATTCCCAAGGGTAGAAAGACTGCAATTTTTTATGCTTATGTTTGTCTAAACTTTCTGTTAAGTCGCTATCAACAGCTGGACTCACTTGTGCACTTGGACACGACTGAGTTTGTCCTGAGCAATTGTGGTAGAATTGACCTCGAGGTGCCCAATCTATAATAGTTCCGAATTCATTGTTTTGTAATATCACCGCACTATTGGCCACACATTCTTCCCAAACTAAAACTTCTGTATTTTTTGATTCTTTGGGAATTTCCTTGGGGCAAGGTTTCCCTTTAGGTCTAAATTTTAATGATCTTTGATAAGAAAAGTCTTGTAAATAATTTACCCGTGGCCTGAGTGACATCCCGCTTACCATGTGATAAGTGAATCTACAGATGGGACTGACAGTAGGTACTTCTACCAACCAATTTTGGACTGCAGGCATTAAACATCCTGGTGCTCTCCCTAGGCAAATAGGAGGATAATGATACCCAATGGAAATATTTATCATCATCCCTTCTTCCTCAGGTTTGGCAGGGCAGCGATCATCTATGGGGCCAGGTACCCATACACTATCATTAACATATACTTCTGTAGGATTATCCATCCATGTGACTGCCCGAATTAAGGGCGGGAAAGGCACATAGGCCCAGTAGGTATAGTTAGCTGCAGCTGCTCCTGCAGGCATAGGGAGACTTACCACCATTGATACAATCATCAAGGCTGCAAGCAGCATACTCTCTGGGGTTTGTGTCACCTTTGTGTTCTCTAGATATTTTGTAGCTAACTGCGTCAGCTTCTTTAGTTGTGCCCAAGTTGGCGGCTCTGCCTTCTTGGTGGATGGCAACTTCATCTGTTCTTCTGACGTCACCATTTTGTTCATCTTGTGAGTCAACGGTGCTCGATTGCGATGTCTCCGTCTCCGCGGAGGTGCTTTTCTTTGCATCTCTGATGGGTTCATTGTAGAACTTCAAATGTCTAGTGGGTATCCAAACAGGAAGCTGATTTTCTCCTGGTGAAACACAAGCAAAACCTCTCCCCCACGTTATCACCTTCCCTATTTCCCATGTCTTATTTTTATTATCTTTCCACCAAATTAGTTTTCCTTCATGTGGGCTGTTCTTTTTACCAGTAAGATGTTGTTCTGCAGAAGTAGTAGTCTGATTTCTATAAATGTTTAAAAAATTTAAAGTATAGAGTGCTAGATTAAGTTGCATCTGAGGAGTGGTACACTCCTTACTGTCTCCCCCTTCTTTTTGTTTAACTAATTGAGTTTTGAGTGTTCTATTAGTTCTTTCAACTATGGCCTGTCCTTGGGAATTATAAGGAATTCCTGTTGTATGTGAAATTTTCCACTGACTTAAGAATTTTTGGAAAGCTTTACTACAATATCCTGGTCCATTGTCAGTTTTGATTTTTTCTGGAACTCCCATTACAGCAAAACAAGACAATAAATGTTTTTTAACATGGGAAGTACTTTCTCCTGTTTGGCAAGTTGCCCATATGAAATGTGAATAAGTATCAACTGTTACGTGAACATATGATAATCTTCCAAATGAAGGTACATGCGTGACATCCATTTGCCATAATGCATTAGGACACAGACCTCTGGGATTAACTCCTGCCTCTTGAGTGGGCAGGTGTAAGACTTGACACTGGGTGCAATGTTGTACAATATCTTTTGCCTGTTTCCATGTGACATCAAATTTGTTTTTTAATCCTGCTGCATTTACATGAGTCAAAGCATGAAGTTCTTGTGCTTTTATGAGTGCAGATGATACCAGTAAGTCAGCTTGTTCATTTGCTTTAGTCAAAGGCCCTGGTAAATTAGTGTGTGCTCGAATATGTGTAATATAAAATGGGAAATTTCTTTTTCTTACAGTTTGTTGTAATAAATTGAATAGCTGGTTTAACTGATCATCCATGCTATATTTAATTAGAGCTGTCTCAACATCCCTTGTAGCCTGTACTACATATGCAGAATCTGATATAATATTGATAGGTTGGTCAAAATCTTGTAACACTGTAATGACTGCAACCAACTCTGCTCTTTGAGCCGATTGATATGGAGTTTTGATTACTCGTTCTTTCGGTCCTGTGTAAGCTGCTTTTCCATTGCTGGAACCATCAGTAAATACTGTTAGAGCATTTTCTAAAGGTTCACGTCTGGTAATTTTAGGTAGAATCCAAGTAGTCAATTTTAAGAACTGGAAGATCTTTGTTTTTGGGTAATGATTATCAATAATTCCCACAAAATTAGCAAGACCAATCTTCCATGCACCAGAATTGATAAAGGCTTGTCTAACTTGTTCCTTGGTTAAAGGGACAACTATTTTGTCTGGGTCATTCCCACATAATTTTATTATTCGTAATCTTGTCTGACCGATTAATGTAGCTATTTGATCCAAGTACAATGTAAAAGTCTTAACTGTACTGTGAGGAAGGAATGACCACTCCACAAGATCAGTATTTTGAATAATGATGCCTGTTGGAGAATGTGCAGTGGCAAAAATCAAAAGTTGGAGTGGGGCTAAGGGATCTATTCTATTTATTTGCGCTGACTGAATTTTTTCTTCCACTAATTTAATTTCTTTTGTTGCCTCTGGGGTTAACATTCTTTTACTATTTAAGTCTGAGTCTCCTCTTAAGATAGAGAACAAATTTGACATGGCATAAGTAGGAATGCCTAGAGTTGGCCGAATCCAATTAATATCTCCTAGTAATTTTTGAAAATCATTTAGTGTTTTTAATGTGTCTTTTCTTATTTCTATTTTTTGTGGCTTAATTTTTCTATTTTCTATCTGCATCCCTAAATAATGAAAAGGAGTAGAGGTTTGGATCTTATCAGATGCTATTGCCAGTCCAGCATTGGCAACCTCTGCTTGCAGAAATGTATAACAGTCAATTAATTTATCTTTCGTTTCTGCAGCACATAAAATATCATCAATATAATGAATAATATAACAGTCTGAAAACTTTTCTCTAACTGGTTGAAGAGCTCGACCTACAAAAGTCTGACAAATAGTTGGACTATTAAGCATTCCCTGAGGTAACACTTTCCACTGAAACCTGGTGGCTGGTTCTTTATTATTTATGGCTGGTATAGTAAAGGCAAATTTTTCGCAATCCTGCTCTGCCAGAGGGATGGTAAAAAAGCAATCCTTTAGATCAATTATAATTAAAGGCCAATCTTTTGGGATCATGGCCGGAGAGGGCAACCCGGGTTGGAGAGGCCCCATGGGTTGAATTACGGCGTTTACAGCCCTTAAGTCAGTTAACATACGCCATTTGCCTGATTTCTTCTGAATTACAAACACAGGAGAATTCCAAGGTGAGAACGAAGGCTCAATATGACCCTTTTCTAACTGTTCATTTGCTAATAAATGTAAAGCCTCCAGTTTTTGTTTTGGTAGCGGCCACTGATTTACCCACACTGGTTTTTCTGTTTTCCAAGTTAATGGTATGGGTTTAGGAGGCTCTACAGTGGCCGCCCCTAACAAGGATTCCCTATTCCTTCTCTTTCTTGATTTATTTTAGCCTCAACTGGAATTTTAATGCCATCTTCATTTTTCCCTAGTCCCTTTCCTGGTATATATCCCATCGTGGTCATGATTTTTTGACTCGTGGGGCTATATGATGGAGCGGGCATGGTGATTTCCGCACCCCATTGTTGTAATAAATCTCGACCCCACAGATTAAGAGGAATTGAAGTAATCATTGGCTGAACAGTACTTTCTTGATTATCTGGCCCTAAGCAATGTAAAATCTCCGTACTTTGATACACTTCTGAGGCTGTGCCTATGCCGACAAGTCCTGTAACAGCCTTTTGTTTAGGCCAATTTTTTGGCCACTGATTTAAAGCAATGATAGAGACATCTGCTCCAGTGTCTACCAACCCTTCAAACTGTTTTCCTTGAATAATGGCCTTACACACAGGTCTGTTCTCTGAGACCTGACTTGCCCAATATGCAGCCTTTCCTGTTGGATCGGTGCTTCCAAGCCCTCCTATTCTTTTTATTTCACTATTTCCACCCTTAATATATGGCAGGAGTAATAATTGAGCAATCCTGTCTCTTGGACTGGCACTCCAAGGAATTGAAGAGCTAATAACCAATTGAATTTCGCCTTTATAGTCTGAATCAACCACACTAGTATGAATTTGAACTCCTTTTAGATTTAGACTTGATCGTCCCAAGATTAGTCCTACAGTCCCCTTAGGCAGGGGTCCATATACCCCTGTGGGGGTTTTTTGTGGGGCTCCCCTGGAAGCAGAGAGACTGCTTGTATAGTACATAAATCTACTGCTGCACTGCCGCTTGTGGCGGGGGACAATTGTTGTATTGTGGTAACTGGCTTATTCCCTGAAACACTTGGGACAGTGGGGGTTGTTGTCCCTGAAAACCCTGAGGAACAAATGGCTGAATTGGGAATGCCCCAGTTTGTTGTGGGGCCTGAGGCTGGCCCCTTTGCTCGTTTCCCGACAATGGTTGCCCATTTTTATCAAATTTAGAACGACATTGACTAGCCCAATGTTTTCCTTTTTTACATCTTGGACATAAGTCAGGTGGCTCTCTACCTGTTGTAGTTGCTTGAATAGTTATATTCTGTTTATTTAAGACTGGGCAATTCTTTTTTAAGTGACCAATTTGACCACAATTATAACATTTTCTTCCAAATGTTCTAACTTGTCCTCCTAAAACAACTCCTGTTATTGCTTGAGCCATAAGCATAGCTTTATGCATAGCTCCTCCGATTCCATCACAGGCTTTTACATATTCTGAGATTACATCTGATCCTGCAGGAACCTTTCCTTTTAATGGCTTAATGGCTGATTGACACTCAGGATTGGCGTTTTCATATGCCATCAACTCCACTATGACCTTACGGGCTTTTTCATCAGCAATTGACTTTTGAGCAACATCTTGGAGCCTTGCCACAAAATCAGGATAGGGCTCTTTTGAACCTTGTCTTACTGTATTAAATGAGGGGCAGGTACTTCCTGGGTCTTGGATTTTTTCCCAGGCTCTAAGGCAGATAGCTCTAACTTGCTCAATGGCCTCATTTTGCATTAATGCTTGTTGACTAATAGTACTCCAATTTTGACCTATTCCTAATAGTTGATCTGCATCTATGTTAACTGGAGGATTGGCAGCCCTATTTCTTCGGACCTGTTCTTGTACCCCATCAATCCACCAAGTCTTAAATTATAAAAATTGAGAGGGTGAGAGAGACGATTTTGCCAGAATCTCCCAATCATAAGGAATGAGTCTATGTCCATGAGCAATGGAATCTAATAATGTCCTCATATAAGGGGAGTTGGGTCCATACTGTTTTACTCCCTCTTTCATATCTTTTAGCTTTTTTATCGAAAAAGACTTGTATCTGGCCTCAACTGTGGGAGGCTCTCCCTCTTGGGCTCCTTCTCCAGGTGGCATCGGTTCTAACGTTACTGGGAATTGCCATGCCTCAGTATCTCCTTCCTTTCTTGATTTATCAATAATTTCATGTAATTTACTACCCTGTCTACTAGGTGGTGCCGTAGGATTAAGTCTCCTAGTGGGCGGCTGAGGGTATGGCGCCCTGCCCTGTGGTGCTGGGGGCATTCCTGGATATCCATACTGACTTTCTGGGGATGGCCGATACTGAAGTTCAGCCGGAGGCCAGTATTGATAGGCTACTGGCGGTTGGGTCTTATTTTCTTTAACCTGCTTTTGAGGTTGTAATGTTACAGGCACCTGACCTGCTGGAAGAGGACTTGTGCCTCGTGGTTTAGACTCTGATGGCCCCACTAATTCTGGACCTTTTCCTTCTAATTTTAACGTTTCAGGATATATCACCTCCTGTAATTGATTATAGTCAACATTTTGCGTTGACTGAGCCATTACCGGCTCTGCTACATATTCGCAATGTAAACCTTCCGTTTCTTTCTGGGATTTTTTCCTTGTGTTTTCATTACAATCTATTATACAGCTTCCAGGGGCATCAGAAACTGAAACGCTATCTTCTTCTGTTTGAAATGGTTCTAAAGCTGCTTTAATAATGGCCCAATCATTCCATACTGTAAGTGGAATGATATTACCCTTCCTACCTGCTTGTTTTAGTTCCTTACCAATTCTTTTCCAATCTTTTAGATCTAAAGTTCCTTGTTCTGGAAACCATGGGCAAAATTGTTCTATTATTTGAAATAGCTTGATTAGATTTTTTGTAGATACTTTAACTCCCCGTCTTTTTAAAAGAATTTTAATAAAGCTGAGATAAGAGGCATATTTACTTTTAATTTTACTTTTAGTTTGCCCCATTATCACCCTAGCTTCTTCCGAGCGCACAAGCTTACCGTAAGGCTGACTGTAGATGTACTCGGGATCTCTCGTCGACTTGTCCTCAATGACCACGCTCGAGCGTACCTTCACCCTAGAGAAAAGCCTCCACGTTGGGCACCAGATGTAGGGGTGGGTTGCCCCTACACACCTGTGGGTGTTTCTCGTAAGGTGGGACGAGAGATTTGGAAAAGAAAAAGACACAGAGACAAAGTATAGAGAAAGAAAGAAGGGGACCCGGGGAACCAGCGTTCAGCATATGGAGGATCCCGCCAGCCTCTGAGTTCCCTTAGTATTTATTGATCATCTGTGGGTGTTTCTCGAAGAGGGGGATGTGTCAGGGTCACAAGACAATTGTGGGGAGAGGGTCAGCAGACAAACATGTGAACAAAGGTCTTTGCATCATAGACAATGTAAAGGATTAAGTGCTGTGCTTTTAGATATGCATACACATAAACATCTCAGTGCTTTACAAAGCAGTATTGCTGCCCGCAGGTCCCACCTCCAGCCCTAAGGCGGTTTTTCCCTATCTCAGTAGATGGAGCATACAATCGGGTTTTATACCGAGACATTCCATTGCCCAGGGACAGGCAGGAGACAGATGCCTTCCTCTTGTCTCAACTGCAAGAGGCATTCCTTCCTCTTTTACTAATCCTCCTCAGCACAGACCCTTTACGGGTGTCGGGCTGGGGGACGGTCAGGTCTTTCCCTTCCCACGAGGCCATATTTCAGGCTATCACATGGGGAGAAACGTTGGACAATACCTGGCTTTCCTAGGCAGAGGTCCCTGCGGCCTTCCGCAGTTTTTGTGTCCCTGGGTACTTGAGATTAGGGAGTGGTGATGACTCTTAAGGAGCATGCTGCCTTCAAGCATCTGTTTAACAAAGCACATCCTGCACCGCCCTTAATCCATTTAACCCTGAGTGGACACAGCACATGTTTCAGAGAGCACGGGGTTGGGGGTAAGGTCATAGATTAACAGAATCTCAAGGCAGAAGAATTTTTCTTAGTACATAACAAAATGGAGTCTCCTATGTCTACTTCTTTCTACACAGACACAGTAACAATCTGATCTCTCTTGCTTTTCCCCACAGAAACCCATCTCTACTAAAAATAAAAAACTAGCTGGGCGTGATGGCGCACTCCTGTAACCCTAGCTACTTGGGAGGCTGAGGCAGGAGAATCCCTTGAACCAGGAGGGCAGAGGTTGCAATGAGCCGAGACTGTGCTACTGCACTCCAGCCTGGGCAACAGAGTGAGACTTCGTCTCAAAAAAAAAAAAAAAAGAAAGAAAAAAGAGAGAAGAAAAATCATCTCTTGGGTGCTGTGGGTATTGTGTTCACTGGGTGACAAGATGGATAGAAGCCCAAACGTCAGCATCGTTCAGTACACTCACACATGAACCCCCTGAATCTAAATTGTTTTTTTTTGTTGTTGTTTTTTTTGAGATGGAGTTTCACTCTTGTTGCCCAGGCTGGAGTGCAATGGTGCAATCTCAGCTCACCGCAACCTCCACCTCCCGGGTTCAAGCAATTCTCCTGCCTCAGCCTCCCAAGTAGCTGGGACTACAGGTGCACACCACCACGCCCTGCTAATGTTTTTGTATTTTTAGGAGAGACGGGGTTTCTCCATGTTGGTCAGGCTGGTCTTGAACTCCCAACCTCAGGTGAGCCACCCGCCTTGACCTCCCAAAGTGCTGGGATTACAGGCGTGAGCCACTGCCCCTGGCCCTGAATCTAAAATTTTTTTTAAGAAACAACTCAGGACCGGGCACGGTGGCTCACGCCTGTAATCTCAACACTTTGGGAGGCCAAGGCAGGCCGATCATGAGGTCAGGAGATCAAGACCATCCAGGCTAACACGGTGAAACCCCGTCTCTACTAAAAATACAAAAAATTAGCCGGGCGTGATGGCGGGCGCCTGTACTCCCAGCTACTCGGGAGGCTGACGCAGGAGAATGGCGTGAACCCGGGAGGTGGAGCTTGCAGTGAGCCGAGATCGCACCCACTGCACTCCAGCCTGGGCAATAGAGCAAGACTCCATCTCAAAAAAAAAAAAAAGAAAAGAAAGAAAAAAGAAGCAACTCAGAAACAAAATCAAATATGGCATGTTCTTATTTATCAGTGGGAGCTAAATCACGTGTACCCATGGACATAGAATGTGTAATAATAGACACTGGAGACTCTGAAGGGTGGGGGCAGGGGGAGAGAGGAATAAGAAGTTACTCAATGGGTACGATGTACACTATTCAAGTGATGGTTACACTAAAAGCCCAGACTTCCCCACTGTGAAATATATCCTTGTAACAAGAAAACATATCCATGTAACAAAACTGCACTGTATCTTTTAAATTGATACGAATAAAAACTACCACCGGGAGGGCGCAGTGGCTGACGCCTGTAATCCCAGGACTTTGGGAGGCTAAGGTGGGTGGATCACCTGAGGTCAGGAGTTCAAGACCAGCCTGACCAACGTCGTGAAACCGCATCTCTACTAAAAATACAAAAATTAGCCAGGCATGGTAGAGCGTGTTTGTAGTCGCGGCACATTGGGAGGCCGAGGTGGGCGGATCGCTTGAGATCAGGAGTTCGAGACCAGCCTGGCCAACATGGCAAAACCCCGCCTCTACTAAATATATAAAAATGAGCCGAGCGTAGTGGTGGGCGTCTGTAATCCCAGCTACTCAGGAGGCTAAGGCAGGAGAATCACTTGAAGCCAGGAGGTGGAGGTTGCAGTGAGCCGAGACGGTGCCACTGCACTCCAGCCTGGGCGACAGAGCAAGACTCCATCTCAAAAAAAACCCAAAAAAAGCACATGATAGAATGTGTGTTTATTGTGTTGTACATGCTCATGTGTTTATAGCTGTTTCGCTTTTATAAATGTGGATGTATTGTTTGCAAATGCCTTATATGCAAAATTAAATGTATGGAAGTTCACAAGTCAAAAAACATGGGATAAAAACATAATTCAGCCAGTAACATGGGGAACCACTGAGAATGAGTACCTCTTCACTGCAACCACAACACAACTTGCTGCCCTGCAGCTTCCGGAATATTCAGCATGCAGATAAAATTATGCAGTTTCTAAGATCCCTTTGACACATTCAGGATTTTATCTGGAGATGGAAGGCAATCCCAGAAAAAGAAATCATGTCTTTTCTGCAAATGAGAGTGAGAATATGGTGTGTGTCAGCATGTGCAAACCCAAATCATCTATCTTCAAGTCTTAGGGTAGTAAATCACTGACTGTAAACTTCTTTGAAAAACACCAAGCCTGTGGATTGGAAGCAGTGCTAGAATTTGTTTTTCGTGGTCTGTCTTTCTTTCTTTCTTTCTTTCTTTCTTTCTTTCTTTCTTTCTTTCTATCTTTCTTTCTTTCTTTCTTTCTTTCTTTCTTTCTTTCCTTCCTTCCTTCCTTCCTTCCTTCCTTCTTTCTTTCTTTCTTTCTTTCTTTCCTTTCATTTTCCTAACCTAAAGCTTAGAGTTGCAGACGTTTTTGATGCACACTGCCAACCTGCTCTCCCTCCTGATGGGAACCATTCAAACTCCCTGGGAAAGACACAGGGACCATTGTATCCACTCCCTGGTCCCTTGTCCTCATTTCCTACTGGTTGCCTGGCCTGAGATTCTGGTCCTGACCCAACCCTTGCTTCTCCACCTTGCCTTATTTGGCTTCAGGAAGCAAGTATCTCAGGTACTAGGCTCTCCCCAGAATACCCCAGACGAGATCCCAATACGAGGCACAGCTGAGCCGGAGCACTCCCCTGCCCCGTGCTGACCCAGCTTCCTGCACCTGTGTGGCCCCAGCATTCCCTGCAAAGCCTTCCCCATGAGGCAGGCTAGGCCTGGGCCCCCAGTCAGCTTCCCAAGTCCCACGCCGTTGGGGGCTCCCCCTGTCAGCACAGCACCTCCTCCCTGATGTGTCTCCTGGCCCACTTCCTGGAATGCCCAGGCCGGCCTCCGCCGGGCCACAGTCACCTTCTAGCAGCCCAAGCCACAGTGTCCACCGCCTGCCCTAAAACTCCAGGGCTCCCCACATCTGCAAAGATCGGACGTCATGGCTTGAAATTCAAAGTCCTCCTTGATCAGGTCCCAACCACCAGCCAGCCTTGTCTCCCTTCACACACTGCACAACACACACACACACACACAATGCATGTGCACACACCACACATACACGTGCACACATGCATGCATACCACACAAGCACATGCACACATACACACCACTCACAAACACACATATACACACCACACACGTGTGCTCACATACACACCACTCACAAACACACATATACACACCACACACGTGTGCTCACATACACACCACTCACACACATACCACACACGTGTGCTCACATACACACCACTCACAAACACATATACACATCACACACGTGTGCTCACATACACACCACTCACACACATACCACACACGTGCTCACATACACACCACTCACAAACACACATATACACACCACACACGTGTGCTCACATACACACAACTCACAAACACATATACACACCACACACGTGTGCTCACATACACACCACTCACAAACACATATACACACCACACACGTGTGCTCACATACACACCACTCACAAACACACATATACACACCCCACACGTGTGCTCACATACACACCACTCACAAACACATATACACACCACACACGTGTGCTCACATACATATGACAAACTAGCACGTGTGTGCACAATACACACATACATCTCACACACGTGCATATACACAACACGCATGTGCACGTACACACATTACACATCTAAGCACACATGTGCACACATGCACATATGCACACAACACGTACATATATACACATACACATATCACATGCCTGCATGTGCATACATGCACACATACCACACACATGCAACACATAACACACATACACCACACACACAGGTACACACATACCACACACATAAGCATGCAGAAATACATACACATACACAATCACACACACACATAAGCATACATCACTCTCACACCCCCGCACACAACCACCACCCTCTGAACCAAACCCTGCCTTGCCTTTTCCCTGCAGGCTCCTCAGCCTGAGACCCCCCGCATTGCTTCTCTTCTCCATTGTTCAAAACTCTACTCACTTCTCAAGCCCCAAGTCAAATGCCACAGCTTCCCCGAGAAGCTTCTCACTCGCCCTAGCTTGCTCTGTGCCCTAGGAGGAATAAACCCTCAAGTCGTGATCATTTGTCCTGGACATTGCCATGCAGGGCCTTCAAAACACCTTCCCACAACTGCAAGGAATTCTCCCCTTGGAAGCCAGGACTCAGCCTCCCAGACACCCTCGAGAGCCGGCACCTCGCACAGGTGCCGCCCATCAGATGCATCTCCACAAGGCCCCCACCCAAACGAGAGCACCTGAGGAAGGACACCACCCTATGGAAAGCGATATGGGACTGAGAGGCAGCCATAACAGAGCCCTGGTGGGGCATACCCCACGTGGGGGGCCGTGGAGAGAAAGTGGTGGGAGGAGCGTCTCCATGGGGTCCTGTGGGGTCACACGGGTGTTACACTGGCTCAGCTGATTCTCCTGCCTCAACCTCCCGCGCAGCTGGGACTACAGGCCCACGCTACCATGCCCAGCTAATTTCTTTAAATTTTGTGTAGAAATGGGGTCTCACTATGTTACCCAGGCTGGTCTTGAACTCCTAGGCTCAATCAATTCTCCCACCTCAGCCTCCCGAAGTGCTGGGGTTACAGGCGTGAGCCGCTGTGCCCAGCCCATGGCCTCCATTTCTGATCTCTGATCTCTGTCCCAACCCCTTCCCACCCAACACGTCACTAAGCTACCTAAATTCCTTTCTATCCAGAGTGGCCTGTGTGGTTTGCAACTAGGAATCCTGCCCAAAATGCCTGCTCCCTCTGGGTTCCAACTGGTGCCTCTGCTAGGGTGTCCTGCTTTGGGGCGCCATACATCATTTCAGGGTTGTGTCTGTGGATTTCCAGCTATGCTGCATATGCCTCAAAGAGAGGCTGTCTTCGTTTGCCAGCTCTGCTCCTCTCCATCTACCTTCCCTTTCTTACCTGGTGTATCAGTAAGGCAAGCCATTGTAACAAACAAGCCTCAAACACTCAACAGCTTAAATGCCAGGCATGGTTTTTCATGGTTTGCCATCCCAGCACTTTGGGAGGCCAAGGTGGGAAGATCACTTGAAGCCAGGAGTTCGAGACCAGCCTGGGCAATACAGCAAGATCCCATCTCTACACACAAAAAAATAAAAATTTAGCCAGGCATGGTGGCATGTGTCTGTAGCCCCAGCTACCCAAGAGGCTGAGGCAGGAGGATTGCTTGAGCCAGGTCAAGGCTACAGTGAGCCATGATCACACCACTGTACTCTAGCCTTGGCAACAGTGGGACCCTGTCTCTAAAATTTTAAATAAAATAAAAATGTACTTCTCACTCACGGAACAGGCCAAGGTGGGGGTGCTCTGCTCCACTCGGTCATGCAGGGATCCACGATCCTTCAAGTCCACATCTGAGGAGTTTGTCTGCTGTGTGTGTGTGGGTGTCCAATGCCTCCCAGCTGGCCATGGGGAGGCTCATGGGACTGCAGGACACAGGGCAAGCATGTGTGCTGTGACTCTGAGCATGTGGGGATGCCTCTGGCAGTAGGAAAACAGGTCCCACGGAGGAAGACACGCGTGTTAGCAGTGAGTTTTAGCCCAGCCTGTCAATCAGAAGAGCCAACCTCCTTCTGAAAGGACAAGAGAGTCCCCCTTTAATGGTATTTTTCCCCTCCTGGAGATAGATAGCCCCTTTTTAATGAAAATATAAAGAGGCCGGTGGGTGGCTCACGCCTGTAATCCCAGCACTTTGGAAGGCCGAGGCAGGTGGATCACCTGAGGTCGGGAGTTCGAGACCAACCTGACCAACATAGAGAAACCCCGTCCCTACTAAAAATACAAAATTAGCCAGGCATGGTGGCACATGCCTGTAATCCCAGCTACTCGGGAGGCTGAGGCAGGAGAATCGCTTGAATCTGGGAGGCGGAGGTTTCAGTGAGCTGAGAGCGCACCATTGCACTCCAGCCTGGGCAACAAGAGTGAAACTCTGTCTCGAAAAAATATGTATATATATATAAAGAAAGCAGCCATAAGGTCCCCTGCAGTGTCAGAGGCTCTCACAGCCTGATTTCAGCTCCTGTTCCCCAAGTGCCTGGTGCTCCACCCACTCCAGGCCATCCCTCATGCCCCCAAACCTCCTACGGTTTCCAGCCTCTGAGCCTTTGCATGTACCGTTCCATCATCATCAATGCCTATTCCTTCTTTGTCTAACTGGAAAATTCATACGCACCCTTTAAGACCTAGTGCAAGTGTTACGTCGTCTCCAGGACATTCCCTGGCACCCAGCTCCCCTGCAGCATTGAGTTATCCCACATCTGTGCCCCCACAGGACATCATCAGCCATGTGGGTATCCATTTCTGCCTACACGTTGGACCCTAGAGGCCTGGGTCAATGCACAGGCCAAGGTGTGTATTTCATAAATGGTTGTTTAATGAGGAAATAGGTGAATGAACACATCCAACCTGTTTCGACTTCCACGCTCTGGGAAGATTTCATGTCCATAGTCACCCCTGCACCACCGCAGACCCCCTTCCTTCCAAAGGCGTCACCCTCCCCGTGAGTCATGGCGTTGACAGAATCCAGCCAGCCTCTCTTTATTTTCTTCTGAAGAGGGAAATTTTTCATTCTCATGGATGACTACTCCCACGTAATGCAAATAATCACCTTTCCGTGGCCCAAGAAAAGCTCTATTTAATCTCGCTGGCAGATGTCTTCAATGGAAAGATCCAGTGCAAATAAAAGTGCGGAGCTGAAATGTCAGGAAACTGAGCCACTCTCTGATCCAGCACGCGCGTGACCGAGGAGCCCCCGCAAGGTCACAGCGGCATGAGAAGCAGGGAAGCTTCCACCCTAGGACCAAGTCCAGAGGAAGAAATAAAAAGCCCTCCCGTCCGCCTCCTCCTCTTGCTTCTCCTCCGCTGTCATCATCATGCTCTGTGTGTGCCCAGCATTTTCTCTTTCTCTAAACACTTTCATACGCACATCACGTTGGATCCTCACCACGCCCCTGTGCGGGCGTCGTGCAGGGCTGGTTATCCCACAATAGCCTGGTTAAGCCCTCTCAGCGACGCAAGACTGAACCCATTCCAGCAAGAGTGCAGGAACCACGGCCTCTGTGCCGTGGCTGGAATCAAAGATGAGCCGAGCTCCCTGCAAGCAGGAGGAAGACTTCGAAACCCCAGGCATGAATCAGGGCTGCTGACACCTGCCAATTTGAGAAAGGTCTCTCCAGGAGAGGAGGCAGCTGCATTCTGCTAGTCGACATGTAAACTGGCTCAACCTTTCTCAACAGCAATGAGATCTGACACCTCCCAGACCCGGGAACTCTAAGACCCAGCGGTGGATGGAGAAAATCCACAACACAGACTTCCAACCTGCCGCAGATGGGCCACCGTATGACTTTGTGAAAACATCAGGTCACTCTGGAGACCCCTGGAAGATGATGGAGTAGGACTTTATTGGTTTTCAGCCTTTAGGGTCTGAAAGCATGTAACATCAAAGACCAAAAAGACCCACATTTCCTAGAAAGATGTTATGCGTTTAGCGGTATTGCACTGACACATGGGATATTACAAAGCACAGGTGTTGAATCTAGATTGTACCTGGTGCTACCCGTGAAGGGGTTCTGATACTAAACCAGATGATATCTGGGCGGAGGAGAAGAGAGACCCAAGAGAGCTCTGCAATTAGTGTGATCTTGGACAAACTGCAACCTCTTTAGCCTTCCATTTGCTTCCTTGTAAAAATACTTCTATAATTGGAGCTAATCATAGTGTCTACATTAGGGCAGATAGTCATTGTGAAGATTAAATTAGATGACACAGCACCAGACATATAGTAAGTGCCCAGTATACGGTGGTATTATTATTAATAGGATCATTCTCTTTTTTTTCTTTCTTTCTTTTTTTTTGAGATGGACTCTCACTCTGTCGCCCAGGCTGGAGTGCAGTAGCTTGATCTCAGCTCGCTCACTGCAACCTCCGCCTCCTGGGTTCAAGCGATTCTGCTGCCTCAGCCTCACCAGCAGCTGGGACTACAAGCACACACCTCCACGCCCAGCTAATTTTTGTATTTTTAGTAGAGACAGGGTTTTGTTATGTTAGTCAGGCTGGTCTTGAACTCCCGAGCTCAGGTGATCCACCCACCTCGGCCTCCCAAAGTGATTACCGACGTGAGCCACCACGCCCAGCCTAATCATTCTCATTTAACGATAATGATAAATGGCCAAGCATGGTGGCTCACACCTATAATCCCAACACTTTGAGAGGCTGAGGAGGGAGGATTTCTTGAGGTCAGGAGTTGGAGGACAGCCTGGGCAACATAATGAGACCCCATCTCTACAAAAATTACAAAAATTAGCCAGAGACATGGACACAGGAAGGGGAACATCAGACACCAGGGACTGTTGTGGGGTGGGGGGTGGGGGGAGGGATAGCATTGGGAGATACACCTAATGCTAAATGACGCGTTAATGGGTGCAGCACACCAACATGGCACATGTATACATATGTAACAAACCTGCACGTTGTGCACATGTACCC
Source organism: Homo sapiens (assembly GCF_000001405.40). Taxonomy (NCBI): domain Eukaryota; kingdom Metazoa; phylum Chordata; class Mammalia; order Primates; family Hominidae; genus Homo; species Homo sapiens. Next base: position 4,608,959 of record NC_000007.14, read on the forward strand.
TAAAACTTAAAGTATAATAATAATATTAAAATAAATAAAATAAAATAAAATGGTAAAAAAAAAAAAAAAAATAGCCAGACCTGCTGGTACGTACCTATAGTCCCAGCTACTTGGGAGGCTAAGGCAGAAGGATGGTTTGAGCCGGGGAGGTGGAGGCTGCAGTGAGCCATGGTGGCACCACCGCACTCCAGCCTGGGCCACAGAGCAAGGCTCTGTCTCAAAAACTAATAATAATAAATATAAATAAATGTAGAAATGAAATTATCCTAGCCTACATGCAAGGATGGGTAAAGGTCCCTTAAATAAAAACAGAATGTGTCATGTCGGTTCTTCCATGCTGTTTCACTGCTGCGCTTCCGCAGAATCTCATCAGCTGAATGTCTCACTCCAGCACAAAACAGGCAGGAGTTACTTTATTTTGCAATTGAATGATCGCTTTGAGTTTTTGTTTTTTTTGTTTTTTGGGGGGTTTTTTGGTTTTGTTTTTGTTTTTGTCCCTGATCAATGTCAAGACCGGCGATCACAAATGTTCATGCCTATAGCGCAAGGCCAGTACCACCAACAGGTTAAGAGACTGGTGGCGGGGCCAGGGTGGGGGCAGGGGGGCTGGTGCTGCACTGTCCTCATGTTGTACTTTTGCTATTGTTCTTGACAGAGGCATTGGGGATGGAAGACAATAGAGAGTGGTGGAGACTGAGGCTAACTGGGGACACATGTGTAGATCAGGCTCTGTATTTTAATATGGGGGCCGGGCGCGGTGGTTCATGCCTCTAATCCCAACACTTTGGGAGGCTGAGGCAGGAGGATCACTTGAGGTCAGGAGTTTGAGACCAGCCTGGCAACATAATGAGATCCTGTCTCTACCAAAAATAATTTTGTAATTAGCCAGTCGGCCAGGCGCGGTGGTTCACACCTATAATTGCAGCACTTTGGGAGGCTGAGGCAGGCAGGTCACTTGAGGCCAGGAGTTTGAGACCAGCCTGAGCAACATGCCAAAATCTCGTCTCTGCTAAAAATACAAAAATTAGCTGGGTATGGTGGTACACTCCTGTAACTCCAGCTACTTGGGAGGCTGAGGCACGAGAATCACTTGAACCCGGGAGTAGAGGTTGCAGTGAGCCCAGATTGCACCACTGCACTCCAGCCTGGGTAACAGAGTGAGACTCTGTCTCAAAAAAAAAAAAGGAAGAAGAAGAAGAAGAATTAGCTGGGTGTGGTGGTGTGCACCTGTAGTCCCAGCCACTTGGGAGGCTGAGGTGGGAGAATCACTTGAGCCCAGGAGGCTGAGGCTGCAGTGAGCTCTGATCGTGCCACCACACTCCAGGCTGACAGAGCAAGACCCTGTCTCAAAAAATTAAAATTATAAAATATATATTTTATATACATATATAAATTTGGGGATGGCGGCCCAATTTCTTTAGTTCTGCCTCTGGTTTTTCTGATTTTTCTTTTTTTTTTTTTTCTTTTTTTTTTATGAGATGGAATTTCTTACTTGTTGCCCAGGCTGGAGTCCAATGACACGGTCTCGGCTCACTGCAACCTCCACCTCCCAGGTTCAAGCAATTCTCCTGCCTCAGCCTCCTGAGTAGCTGGGATTACAGGCATGCACCACCACGCCCGGCTAATTTTGTATTTTTAGTAGAGACGGTGTTTCTCCATGTTGAGGTAGGTCTCGAACTCCTGACCTCTGGTGATCTGCCCGCCTCGGCCTCCCAAAGTGCTGGGATTACAGGAGTGAGCCACGGCACCCGGCCAATTTTTCTGTGTTTTTAGGCAACCACCATCCTCTAGTTTTAAAATGTTGGCCCAATATTTTTTGTTAACACTGTGAGTCAAATAAAACATAACTGCAGGCCAGATTCAACCCTGGACCACCATTTTGTGAACTTTCACTGGGCTTCCTCCACCGCAGTCCTCGCCGTTACCTCCAGTATGTGTTGACAAGAGTAGAGAACAGCCAGGGTCACCATGCATGGTCGTCTAGAGTGTGCACTGCCCAAGGGCACCACACCTAAGAGGTGTCCTCTTAGGCATCTAAGATTTGTACTAAGAATTTCCCCAGTTTTCCAGCAGAGGGCAGTCACATGTCATGCTCCATGGCACGTCACAAAAATGTTCAGCAGTTGGAATAATCTGTCCTTCTTTAATCCACACAAAGGTGTTACAAGAATTAACAGCAGGCCAGGTGTGGTGGCTCACACCTGTAATCCCAGCACTTTGGGAGTACGAGGAAGGAAGATCACTTCAGCTCAGGAGTTCAAGACCAGCCTGGGCAACATAGTAAGACCCTGTCTCTAAAAAAATTTTAAAAATTAGCCAGGCATGGTATTGCATACCTGTGGTCCCTGCTACTTGAAAGGCTGAGGCAGGAGAATCACTTGAGTCTAGGAGGTGGAGGCTGCAGTAAGCTATGATCACGCCACTGCACTACAGCCTGGACAACAGAGCAAGACCCTGTCTCAAAAAAAATAAAAAATTTGTAAACGTAGCAGCAGCCCTGAAGGTGGGGAGTATTGAAATTAATGATCCTACTCTTTTGAGTTATAAAAATGGAAGTTCCAAATAGCAAGCATTGGTGAGGTTGGAGAGGAACCGGGGTCCCTACATTGCTGGTAGAGGTTAAGTAGGTACACCTCCATTCGGAACTTTTCGGCAGCCCTTAATCAAGTTGAACATACAAACATTCATGACCCAGCAATTCCACTCGGTGTATATCCAGCAGCACCCATACCGGGTGTACCCAAAACATGTTCCAGACCATTCATAGGCACACTGTCTGCAATGGCCCACACTGCAATGAGCTCCACTGTCCATCAGTAACGGAAAGGGTAACTTGTGCTATATTCACATGGGAAATATATTCCGCTGTGCAAACGCACCAACTGCTACTATGCATAGTAATATATGAGGACAAATCTCATAAAAGTCACCTTAAGTCAGTGAAGAGAACATCCCATGTGATTTTGTTTCCATAAAGCGTAAACAGCAGGCAAAGCTAATCTCTGGTGTTTGATGTTGCGATAGCAGTTTCCCTTAGAGGTAAATGGGTAGTGGCTGAAAAGAGACACAAGGGGCCAGGCACAGGGGCTCACACCTGTAATCCCAGCACTTTGAGAGGTTGAGGCAAGTCAGGAGTTCGAGACCAGCCTGGCCAACGTGGCAAAACCCCGTCTCTACTAAAAATTAAAAAAAAAAAAAAATTAGCCGGGCATCGTAACACACGCCTGTAATCCCAGCTACGCAGGAGGCTGAGGCAAGAGAATCGCTTGAACCCAGGAAGTGGAGGCTGCAGTGAGCCAAGATCATACCACGGCACTCCAGACTGGGCAATAGAGTGAGACTCCATCTCAAAAAAAAAAAAATAGACACAAGGGAACGTGCTAAGGCAACTCCTGGTACCAGTACCACTTCTTGGCCTGTTAGGAACCGGGAGGTTCAGCAGGAAGTGAGCAGCGGGCAGGAAGGTGAAGTTTCATCTGTATTTACAGCCACTCCCCATCGCTCGCATTACCGCCTGAGCTCCGTCTCCTGTCAGATCAACTGCGCAAACCCTATTGTGAACCGCGCATGCGAGGGATCTAGGTTGTTTGCTCCTTATGAGAATCTAATGCCTGATGATCTGCCACTGTCTCTCATCGCCCCCAGACAGGACCCTCTAGTTGCAGGAAAACAGGCTCAGGGTTCCCACTGATTCTACATTATGAAAGTTGTAGAATTATTTCATTCTATGTTATAATGTAATAATAATAGAAATATAATGCACAATAAATGTAATCTGCTTGAATCATCTCAAAACCATCTCCCCGACCCGGGCCCACGGAGAAATTATCTTCCACGAAACTGGTCCCTGGTTCCAAAAAGCTTAGGGACTGCTGTTCTAAGGGGCTAGGGAGGTTCTGTTTCTTGACCTGAGCGGTAGGCACGTGGGTGAGTTCACTTTCATCCTTTCACAGTCCTGCTTTGCACGTTTTTCTGTCTACATGCTATACTCCAATACACATCTCAAAAGACAATTACATATGTGTGTGTTAGACAGAAAGAAGGAAGAGGGCAGGGAGAGAAAACCACCGCATTCAAGCATCGCCGCCTCTAGGTGTAAGGTTCATTCCAGGACTGCCTGGAGTTGGTGACTTTGCATTCCTGCAGAGGAAACCCACTTCCTTTGCCTGTGTTCTCGGGCCGACTTCCCATATCTGCTGACCAGAAATCCTTCCTTGCAGCCGCCCCTGTAACGGGGCTGGCATTTGCAATTCGAAAGTGTCTTTGGCCTTGTTTTTCCGAGGAAATGAAAACGCTATGCGTTATCAGCATATCATCCAACAATTTATCATCACGTTGGCACCTGACAATGTTGATTTATGATTCCAGCAGGAAGAGCAGCCCTCCAACCCCCCACCAGTTCAGAAATGGAGACATCGAGGAGTCCTGAGCACAGGCAGGAGAGACTATGAAGTTATCGTAGACTCGATGTCCACAAGTGCCGGTGAGAATGACTGTGCAGAGACCATCTGAGCTCCCTGCAGATCTCACGACTCTTTTCCTCCTCCCCTTGCTCCCGGGTGCTTTGTCTCTCACACTCGGCCCCTGTGGAGCTGTTCTGCCTATGCAAGCAGAAATTGAGAGGTGCCTGGGGTTCCTGTCCCCCCAGCCAGCTCTTAGCCAATGGCGAGCAGATTCCAGAAAGTGAAAGCCCCGCTCCCTTTGCCTGAGTCTGGACAGACCCTGGGGCATAACTTACGCTGCAGTGCCTTCCTGCAGGATTGGGCCAAAGCCACCCCAGGGGGATTTTGCCAAAGGACCTTACTCTGGCTTGGCTCCTGGGTCCCCTCCTCCTACTCCCTTCCAGACCTCCCGGGACCACGGCATTCCTACGTGGCTTGCACACAATTCCTTACCACAGAGTTTGCTTCTGGGGAACCTGACCTAAAACCGAGGGGAAAATGGATTCTAGCATTTTTCAGATTCAGAAACGGGAGACCCAAATGGCCCGGGCCTCCCGCCTCCCGCACACAGGCCTGTGTATCAAGTTTCTGCAAGCACAAGCAAGAGGCTTGCAACGTGTTTGCAAGCAGTCATCATCATTTCCAGGATTGGCTATGACTCGGGTTGCAATGTTTTATTTCAGTTCACAGACAGACACAGGCCACACTCCAGGGCTCATGCCCACATCCGTAGCTTGGAACTCGAGATGCACTGTCTAGGATGGCCAACATCAGGACGGCACCCACCAGCAGACAAGCCTGTTCCCAGAATAGCCTTCTTTTTTATTTTTTTGAGACAGGGTCTGGCTTTGTGGCCCAGGCTGGAGTGCAGTGGTGCAATCATAGCTCACTGCAGCCTTGACCTCCTGGGCTCAAGTGATCCTCCCACCTCAGCCCCCCAGCCCCAGTAGCTGGGACCACAGGCATGCACCACCACGCCTGGCTAATTTTTTTTTTTTTTTTTTTTTTTTTTTTTTTTTTGTAGAGACCAGGTTTCACCATGTTGCCCAGGCGGGTCTCAAACTCCTGGACTCACGTTATTCACCCGCCTCGGCTTCCTGAAGTTCTGGCATTACAGACATGAGCCACTACACCCAACCAGAAAAACCTTCTTAACCCATGTGTTTCTGAACCTTGATTTTGTTTTATTTTAATTTTTTATTTTTGAGACAGAGTCTCACTCTGTCACCCAGGCTGGAGTATAGTGGCATGATCTTGTCTCACTATAACCTCCACCTCCCAGGTTCAAGTGATTCTCCTGCCTCGGGCTTCTGAGTGGCTGGGACTACAGGTGCCTGCCACCACACCCGGCTAATTTTTGCATTTTAGTAGAGACTACGTTTCACTGTGTTGGCCAGGATGGTCTCGAACTCCTGACCTCAGGTGATCCACTCGCCTCGGCCTCCCAAAGTGTTGGAATTACAGGCGTGAGCCACTGCGCCAGCCTGAACCTTGATTTTAAATAAACTAATCTAAGTTCCAGTGGTCTTCCCTTAGTTTGAAGCGGAAGATAGATTTTCTTCTCCTGGAATCAAGTCTGCTATGCAGTAGAGCAGGTGGAAGCTCTGGGAGCTCAAAGACCTGGGAAGGTCTGGGAGCTCAAAGACCTGGGAGCTCTGCCACTCACTAACCACGCGCCCTGGGATAGGCCACTGGCCCTCTCTGCCCTCCAAATGTCCCATCTGTGCAATGGACACAAGAACGCCAACCTCTCAGGACTAGAGTGAGAATTGTCCAATAATATTAGGCCAGGTATGGTGGCTCACAACTGTAATCCCAGCACTTTGGGAGGCCTAGGTGGGTGGATCATTTGAGGTCAGAAGTTTAAGACCAGCCTGGCCAGTATGGTGAGACCCCATGTCTACTGAAAATACAAAAATTAGCCAGATGTGGTGGCACTCACTTGTAGTCCCAGCTACTTGGGAGGCTGAAGCAGGAGAATCGCTTGAATCTGGGAGGCGGAGGTTGCAGTGAGCTGAAATTGGGCCACTGCACTGCAGCCTGGGTGACAGAGCGAGACTCTGTCTCAAAAATAATAAAAGTAATAATATTATTATTACTAAATGCAACTGGGCACGGTGGCTCACACCTGTCACCCCAACACTTGGTTGAGGGCTCCACCAGGAGGATCGCTTGAGGCCAGGAGTTCGAGAGCAGCCTAGGCAGCATAACAAGACCCTGTCTCTACAGAAAAAAAAAAAATTGTAATTAGCTGGGCATGGTGGCACATGCCTGTGGTGGCAACTAGTCAGGTGGCTGAGATGGAGGACCGCTTGAGCCCAGGAGGTGGAGGCTGCAGTAAGCTATAATCACACCACTGCACTCCAGCCTGGGCAACAGAATGAGACTTTGTCTCAAAAAAAAAAAAAAACAATAGAGATGCATTGCTTCACAGTTCCAGAGGCTAGACGCCTGAAACCAAGGTGTTGGCAGGGCCCTGCTCACCCTGACCCTGTAGGAGAGGACCTTCCTGGCCTTGGCGCGTGGCTGCATGACTCCAACCTCTGCCTCTCTTATCACATGGCCTCTTGTCTTTTCTCTGTACATCTTGTATGGACATCAGTCATGATGGATTAAAGGTTCACCTCCCTCTAGGGGGACTTCATCTTAACCAATGACAACTGCAACAACTCCATTTGCAAATAAGGTCCCAATCACAGATTCTGGGGGCTAGGACTGCAAAGTTTGCTTTGGTGGGAAACACAGTCCAACTGATACCAATGGATAGACAAATAAGTGGTGGTATTCCATACAATGGAAGGTTGTTCAGTCATAAAAGGGAATGAAATTCTGATACATGCTACGGCACAGATCAAACTCGAAAACGTCATGCTAAATGAATGATGCCAGACACAAAAGGCCACTATTGTACAATTCCACTTATGGGAAATAGGCTGAACAGGCAAATCCATAGAGACAAAAAGTAGATTATAGGGGCTGGAGGGAAGGGAAGAATGGGAAGTGATTGCTCATGGGCGTGGCGTTATTTTTAGAATAAGAAAAAATGTCCTGGAATTAAACAGCAGTGACAGCACAATTTTGTAAATATACTAAAAACTACTGAATTGTACACTTTAAAAGGGTGAATTTATGGTATGTAAATCGCATCTTGATTTTCAAAAAAAAAAGACCCTGTTTAAGAGGATGAAAAGACAAGCTACACACTGGCAGAAAATGTTTGCAAACCACATGCACCCCAAAGGACTGGTATTTGGAGTATATTTTTTAAAAAGGAACTCTTCAAAAATCAACAGTAAAAAACAATCTAATTAGAAAATGGGCAAAAGAAATGAAGAGGCATGGCTGGGTGCAGTGGCTCACGCCTGTAATCCCAGCACTTTGGCAGGCCGAGGCGGGTGGATCACCTGAAGTCAGGAGTTCAAGACCAGCCTGGCCAACATGGCAAAACCCCACCTCTACAAAAATGCAAAAATTAGCCAGGCCTGATGGCGGGTCCCTGTAATCCCAGCTACTTGGGAGGCTGAGGCAGGAGAATCGCTTGAACCCAGGAGGTGGAGGTTGCAGCAAGCCAAGATAGTGCCATTGTACTCCAGCCTGGGCTACAGAGCGAGACTCTGTCTCAAAAAAAAAAAAAAAAGAAGAAACATTTCACTGAAAAAGATACACAGATGGAAAATAAACACATGAAAAGATGTTCAATATCATTACCTACTGGAGAGATGCCCATTAAAACCACAATGAGATATCATGAGACACTTACCACAACAGCTAAAGTAAAAAATAAAATAAAAATAGTAACGCTGGGCGTGGTGGCTCACGCCTGTAATCCCATCACTTTGGGAGGCCGAGGCAGGCCGATCACAAGGTCAAGAGATCGAGACCATCCTGGCCAACGTGGTGAAACCCCGTCTCTACTAAAAAAAAAAATTACAAAAATTAGTTAGGCGTGGTGTCGCGCGCCTAAGTCCCAGCTACTCAGGAGGCTGAGGCAGGAGAATTGCTTCCACCCGGGAGGCAGGGGTTGCTGTGAGCCGAGATCGTGCCACTGCACTCCAGCCTGGGCGACAGATGGAGACTCTGTCTCAACAACAACAAAAATAGTAACAACACAAAATGCTGGTGAGGATGCAGGGAAACTAGATCCCTCATATGTTGCTGGTGAGAATGTAAACTGGTACAGATACTCTGGAAAAGAGTTTGACTGTTTTTTCAAAAACTAAACATGTACGTATCATACAACCTAGCGATTGCACTCTTGGGCATTTAAACGAGAGAAATGGAAAGTTATGATGACACAAAAACCTATACATGATTGTCTGGAGCTGCTTTATTCATAATAACCAAAAACGGAAAACAACTCTGAATTGTAATCCCCATGATTCCATTAATTCCCACATATCAAGGGCGGGACCACGTGGAGGTAATTGGATGATGAGGCCGTTTCCCCCAGGCTGTTCTCCTCATACTGAGTTAGTCTCATGAGATCTGATGGGGTTTTTTTGTTTTTGTTTCTGTTTTTGTTTTTTTTTTGAGACAGAGTCTCGCTCTGTCACCTGGGCTGGAGTGCAGTGGTGCAATCTTGGCTCACCGCAACCTCCACCTCCTGAGTTCAAGCGATTCTCCTGCCTCAGCCTCCCAAGTAGGTGGCATTACAGGCGCCCGCCATTATGCCCAGCTAATTTTTGCGTATTTTTAGTAGAGACAGGGTTTCGCCATGTTGGCCAGGCGGTCTCGAACTCCTGAGCTCGTGATCCGCCCACCTCGGCCTCCCAAAGTGCTGGGATTACATGCGTGAGCCACTGCGCCCCGGCCGAGATCTGATGGTTTTATAAGCATCTGGCATTTCCCCTGCTTGCGCTCACTCCATCCTGCCACCCTGGGAAGAAGGTGCCTGCTTCTCCTTTGCCTTCAGCCACGATTGTAAGTTTCCTGAGGCCTCCCCAGCAGTGCAGAACTGTGAGTCGATTAAATCTCTTTCCTTTATAAATTACCCAGTCTCAGGGGGTATTTCTCCATTACAGTGTGACAATGGACTAGTACAAACCCCTTGCCCTTCAATGAAACAGTAACATCCTCACCCCGAACACTTCTAATTTTATTCATTTATAATTATATAATTAATTTATAATTAATATAAAGGAACAAACCATAGATACCCATAATAACTTCTATGGTTCTCAAGGGAGTTATGCTGAGTGAGGAAAAAAAAGCCAGTCTCAAAAGGTTACATACTATAGGAATCCATTTATAAAACATTCTTTAAATGTAAATGACAACGTTACAGAGAGGAAGAACAGATTAGTCGTTGCCAGGGATTAGGAACTGGGGTGAGTGGGTGGATGTGACTGTAAGGAGTAGTGATGGAATAGTTCTGCATCTTGATTGTGGTGGCCGTCACACAAATCTGCACAGGTGATAAAATTACATCACACACACACACACACACACACACACAGAGCCAGGCGTGGTGGTTCATGCCTATAATCCAGCACGTTGGGAGGCTAAGGTGGGAGGATCACTGGAGGCCAGGAGTTCAAGACCAACCTGGGCAACATAGTGAGACTCTGTCTGTACAAAAATTTTAAAAATAGCCAGGCATGGTGGTGCATGCCTGTAGTCCCAGCTCCTCAGGAGGATGAGGCAGGGGGATCACTTGAGCCTAGGAGGTCAAGGCTGCAGTGAGCCATGATCTCGCTACTGCACTCCAGCCCGGGCAACGGAGGGATACCCTGTCTCAACACACACACACACACACACACACACACACACACACACAGATGTATGTATATTGCTTGCTGTTAAAATCAGAATTAGGTCTGTGGATTGTACCAATGTCAATTTCCTGGTTTTGATGTTGTACTACAGATATGCAAAATGTTACCCTTGGAGGAAACAGAATGACGAGTACGTGGGACTTCTCTGTACTTTTTTTCTTCAATTTCCTATAAACAGAATTATTTCAAAATAAAGAGTGTGCTGTTGTTGTTTTTAGAGACAGGGTCTCACTCCTTTTCCCAGGCTGTAGTGCAGTGGTGCGATCATGGCTCTCTGGGCGGGGAATGCATTGTTGTGATGAAAAATAAGACAGAAGTGGAAGTCACTGGGTTGGAACTCTGGGAAAGATTTTTTTTTTAAGTGGCTGACTATGCCTTTTTTTTTTCTTGAGATGGAGTCTTGCTCTGTCATCCAGGCTGAAGTGCAGTGGTGTGATCATAGCTCACTGCAGCCTCAAACTCCTGGGCTCAAGCCATCCTCCTGCCTCAGCCTCCCAAGTAGCTGAGACTACGGGTGCCTACCATTATGCTCAGCTAAATTTTTAATTTTTCTAGAGACAGGAAGTCTCGCTATGTTGCCCAGGCTGGTCTCGAACTCCTGGCCTCAAGTGATCCTCCCACCTCAGCCCCCAATTACAGACTTGAGCCACGGTGCCGCAGACAATGCCCTTTAAACCACTCTTCTTCCTCCTATCTGGAATATGGATGTGATGGCTGGTGCTGCAGCAGCAGTTGAGACCATGAGGTAACCTTGAGAATGGAAGCCCAGAGAATGCAGAGGATGGCGGGGACAGAAAGACAAGGAGAGCCTGGGACATGGGGACTCCACAGAGCAGGAGACCTGACCTGGGCTGAGCTGCCAACTTCTGATATTTAAGCCACTCTTTTTCTGCTACTTGCAAACTCATCCCTCAGTCCCCACCCAGGGCTCAAAAGACCAGTGAGAATCTGGAGAACCAGGCTGGAACAGGAACAGGAGCAAAGGCATCCCGAGACTTAAGAAGCAAGGGGCCGGGCACGGTGGCTCACGCCTGTAATCCCAGCACTTTGGGAGGCCGAGGTGGGCAGATCACCAGGTCAGGAGATCGAGACCATCCTGGCTAACACGGTGAAACCCCATCTCTACTAAAAATACAAAAAATTAGCTGGGCGTGGTGGCCGGTGCCTGTAGTCCCGGCTACTCAGGAGGTTGAGGCAAGAGAATGGCGTGAACCCAGGAGGCGGAGCTTGCAGTGAGCCGAGATCGCGCCACTGCACTCTAGCCTGGGCGACAGAGCTAGACTCTGTCTCAAAACAAACAAACAAATAAAAAAGCAAGAACCATACCCAGGAAGGTACGGGTGGCCCCATCATTGTCACAAGGCGAGTCCTCTCCTTGCAGGAGCAGCTGGGACTATAAACAGTCACTGGCAGACAGAAGCAAGCCACACCCTTTCCTGGAAGCCAAGTCACGGGTTGGGACAAGAAAAGAGACTGTATAAGTCTGTACATTTTCCTTCTAAAAGTCTCTCTTTGACCCAGGCATGGTGACTCATGCCTGTTAATCCCAGCACTTTGGGGGGCTGAGGCTTCAGGATGTCTTGAGCCCAGGAGATTGATACCAGCCTGGGCCACAGAGCAAGACCTTGTCTCTATATTTTTTAATTTTAGAAATAACTAAAAACAAATAAAAGTCCCTCTTGGGAGATTTTGCTTGTTTATTTTATTTATTTATTTATTTATTTATTTATTTATTTATTTATTTTGAGACAGAATCTCACTGTCACCCAGGCTGGAGTGCAGTGACACGATCTCAGGTCACTGCAACCTCTACCTCCTGGGTTCAAGCCATTCTCATGCCTTAGCCTCCCAAGTATCTGGAATCACAGGCGCCCACCACCACCCTCGGATAATTTTTTTGTATTTTTAGTAGAGACAGGGTTTCACCATGTTAGCCAGGCCGGTCTCCAAATCCCAACCTCAGGTGATCTGCCTGCCTCGGCCTCCCAAAGTGCTGGGATTACAGGCATGAGCCATCGTGCCTGGCCGATTTTGCTTGCTTATAGTTATGATGTTTCCAGAGAGAAACATACCCACTCAGTGTTGCAAATAAAACAAGAGTTACAAATAGATGTTTCCACCATCTCTCCAGTCAGGAAGGCTTTCTCCACCATGCTGACCTGGACATGGTGGACGATCTCTTGTGCCCACATCAGATAAGCCTTGCCAGGTCAGAAGCCCAGTTGTTTAGACAAGCAACGAAGCCTGTCTCAGCAGAGAATTAGAAACACCACAGGGAATATCTCCATATGGCTTAATATACTGTTGTTCCCCCTTGACCACGGTTTTGCTTTCTGCAGTTTCAGTCACTCATGGTCAACTATGACCCAAAAATATGACATGAAAAATTCCAGAAATAACCAGTCATAAGTTTTAAATTGCATGCTGTTCTGAGCAGCATGATTAAGTCTTGCAACACTCGGCTCCATCCCACTTGGGACATAGATACCTTTGTCCAGGGAACCCACACTGCACATACTATCCACCTGTTGTCACTTAGTAGCCATCACGGTTATCAGATCGAGAGATCACAAGAAAAGGATTAGTACAGTATAAGATATTGAGTAGGCTGAGCATGGTGGCTCATGCCTGTAATCCTAGCACTTTGGGAGGCCAAGGCAGGTGGATTGCTTGAGGCCAGGAGTTCGAGATCGGCCTTGCCAACATGGAGAAACCCCATCTCTACTAAAAATACAAAAATTCGTTGGACATGATGGAACATGCCTGTAATCCCAGCTATTTGGGAGGCTGAGGCAAGAGAATCGCTTGAACCCGGGAGGCAGAGGTTGCAGTGAGCTGAGATCACGCCTATGAACTCCAGCCTGGGAGATAGAGCAAGACTCTATCTCAAAACAAACAAACAAACAAACAAAGATATTGTGAGAGAGAGAAAGAAGGAGAGAGAGAGAGAGACCACATTCGCTTAACTTTAGAGAGAGACCACATTCACTTAACTTTCATTACAGTGCATTGTTATAATTGTTCTACTTTATTATTAGTTGTTTTTAATCTCTTACTGTGCCTAATTTAGAAATTAAGCTTTATTATTGGAATGTACACATAGGATAAAACATAGTATATTAGGGTTTGGTACTATCTGAGGTTTCAGGCATCCACTGGGGTTCTTGGAACATAATCCCCACAGATAAGGGGGGACTCCTGCAGTGTTTATGAGGGAATAAAAGGATAGTAAAGCCCTTTGAAGTCCTAGAATTTCCCTCTCATTGTAATTTTCAAAAATTTAAGGGGGCTCTGACCTCACAAGGGGAGTCATATGGTTTGGCTCTGTGTCCCCACCCAAATCTCATCTTGAATTGTAATCCCCAGGTGTTGAGGGAGGGAGGGACCTGGTGGGAGGTGACTGGATCATGAGGGCGGTTTCTCCCATGCTGTTCTCGTGGTAGTGAGTGAGTTCTCACGAGATCCGATGGCTTTATGAATGGCAGTTTCCCCTGCGCTTTCACTCTTCTCTCTCCTGCTGGCATGTGAAGAAGGTCCTTGCTTCCTCTTTGCCTTCTGCCATGATGGTAAATTTCCTGAGGCCTCCCCAGCCATGTGGAACTGTGACTCAATTAAACCTCTTTCCTTTATATTAGGTTGGTGCAAAAGTAATAGTGGTTTTTGCCATTGTAAGTAATGGCAAAAACCACACTTCTGTACCAACCTAATAAATTACCCAGTATTGAGTAGGTCTTTATATTGTGAGAATGGACTAATATAGGGAGGAAAGCCCTAATTTTGACACATTCTAAAACAAAGGACCCCACAACAGGGACTGGGGAAGAAAGGCAGGAAAAAACCCCACTGACTTTTAGAATCTTTCTTCTTTTGCTGCTGATTCAGTTTCTAGAGGAAGAGCAACCAGTTGGGTCTGCCTTGGTTCACGTGACACCATTTGGCTTCTGGAGGGGAGCCCTGCTTACAAACCTCAACCCAACACCACTGGGTGACATCCAGGGGGAAAGGGATGGACACTTCCTCAAGAGGAAACCAAGGGGAATGGAGAACTGGGGAACAAAGAAAAAATAATGTCCATTCCAGTTAATTTAAACTTTTTTAAAAAAGAAAACTGGGCTGCTCACAAACAATGAAATGACCTCTCCCTCTCCCTCTCCCTCTCCCATGGTCTCCCTCTCCCCATGGTCTCCCTCTCCCTCTCTTTCCACCGTCTCCCTCTCATGCCGAGCCAAAGCTGAACTATACTGCTGCCATCTCGGCTCACTGCAACCTCCCTGCCTGATTCTCCTGCCTCAGCCTGCAGAGTGCCTGCAATTGCAGGCGTGCGCCGCCACGCCTGACTGGTTTTCGTATTTTTTTGGTGGAGACGGGGTTTCCCTGTGTTGGCCGGGCTGGTCTCCAGCTCCTAACCGCGAGTGATCCGCCAGCCTCGGCCTCCCGAGGTGCTGGGATTGCAGACGGAGTCTGGTTTACTCAGTGCTCAATGGTGCCCAGGCTGGAGTGCAGTGGCGTGATCTCGGCTCGCTACAACCTCCACCTCCCAGCCGCCTGCCTTGGCCTCCCGAAGTGCCGAGATTGCAGCCTCCGCCCGGCCGCCACCCCGTCTGGGAAGTGAGGAGTGTCTCTGCCTGGCCGCCCATCGTCTGGGATGTGAGGAGCCCCTCTGCCTGGCTGCCCAGTCTGGAAAGTGAGGAGCGTCTCTGCCCAGCCACCATCCCATCTGGGAAGTGAGGAGCGCCTCTTCCCGGCCGCCATCACATCTAGGAAGTGAGGAGCGTCTCTGCCCGGCCGCCCATTGTCTGGGATGTGGGGAGCGCCTCTGCCCCGCCGCCCCGTCTGGGATGTGAGGAGTGCCTCTGCCCGGCCGCCACCCCGTCTGGGAGGTGAGGAGCATCTCTGCCCGGCCGCCTCGTCTGAGAAGTGAGGAGACCCTCCGCCCAGCAGCCGCCCCGTCTGAGAAGTGAGGAGCCTCTCCGCCCGGCAGCCACCCCGTCCGGGAGGGAGGTGGGGGGTGTCAGCCTCCCGCCAGGCCAGCCGCCCCATCTGGGAGGGAGGTGGGGGCGTCAGCCCCCCACCCGGCCAGCCGCCCCGTCTGGGAGGGAGGTGGGGGGGTCAGCCCCCCGCCCGGCCAGCAGCCCCGTCCGGGAGGTGAGGGGCACCTCTGCCCGGCCGCCCCTACTGGGAAGTGAGGAGCCCCTCTGCCCAGCCACCACCCCGTCTGGGAGGTGTACCCAACAGCTCATTGAGAACGGGCCATGATGACAATGGCGGTTTTGTGGAATAGAAAGGGGGGAAAGGTGGGGAAAAGATTGAGAAATCGGATGGTTGCCCTGTCTGTGTAGAAAGAAGTAGACATGGGAGACTTTTCATTTTGTTCTGTACTAAGAAAAATTCTTCTGCCTTGGGATCCTGTTGATCTGTGACCTTACCCCCAACCCTGTGCTCTCTGAAACATGTGCTGTGTCCACTCAGAGTTAAATGGATTAAGGGCGGTGCAAGATGTGCTTTGTTAAACAGATGCTTGAAGGCAGCATGCTCATTAAGAGTCACCACCACTCCCTAATCTCAAGTACCCAGGGACACAAACGCTGCGGAAGGCCGCAGGGTCCTCTGCCTAGGAAAACCAGAGACCTTTGTTCACTTGTTTATCTGCTGACCTTCCCTCCACTATTGTCCTATGACCCTGCCAAATCCCCCTCTGTGAGAAACACCCAAGAATGATCAATAAAAAAAAAAAGAAAGAAAACTGAAGCTCCAGATATGCAAGGTGATACTAAGATAGCATATTTGTGCTTTAAAAGAGTTTGAGGCCGGACAGAGTGGCTCATACCTGTATCCTTAACACTTTGGGAGTCTGAGGTGAGAGGCTCACTTGAGGACAGGAGTTTGAGACCATCCTGGGCAACACATCTAGACCCTGTCTCTACCAAAAATCTTAAATTAGCCAGGCATGGTGGCATGCACCTGTAGATACAGCTACTCCCAGAGGCTGAGATGCAAGAATCGTTTGAGCCCAGAAGGTCAAGGCTGCAGTGAGCTATAATGGCACCACTGCACTCCAGCCTGGGTAACAGATCAAGACTCCATTTATTTATTTATTTATTTATTTATTTATTTATTTATTTGAAATAAGGTCTTGCTCTGCTGCCCAGACTGGAGTGCAGTGGCGTGATCTCGGCTCACTACAACCTCCACCTCCCAGGTTCAAGCATTTCTCCTTCCTCAGCCTCTGAAGTAGCTGTGATCACAGGCATGCCTCACCACACCCAGCTAATTTTTCTGTTTTAGTAGAGACAGGATTTCTCCATGTTGGCCAAACTGGTCTCAAACTCCTGAACTCAGGTGATCTGCCTGCTTCAGCCTCCCAAAGTGCTGGGATTACAGGCATGAGCCACCATGCCCAGCCCCCATCTCTTTAAAAAAAAAAAAAGAGAGAGAGAGAGTTTCCATGTCCAAATGGATTCTATACTTAAATCAACCTGGACAATTATGTGGGTCTCTCCAGTCACACAAAGAGAAGTGAAACAGTCCCTGACATCAACAAGTTCCCATTCTAGAAAGGGAGCAAGATATACATGCATGCCACAGAGCAAAAAATGATTGGTAAGAACTGTTAAAGATAACCTATCCAAGCACCATGGGAGAACAGAGACCGGGGTCGTTAATTCTTCAAAATCAGAGTACGCTTCCTGTTGGCATTTGAGTAGGAGATGAGAATAGAGAACAGAAATTTGGAACAAATGATGTAGAGCTTTGAATGTCCTGCCGAATTTTTCTGTAACAGTATTGTTGAAGTTTTTGAGCAGAGGAATAAACATGATCTTATCTCAGCAACAATGTAGAGATTAGATTGCCCCAGCGGGAGAGATTAAAGGTTAGAAAACCAGTAAGAATGTTGTTGCAATAAGGCAGATGAGAGATAAGGGCCTGCTTTAGAGGACTGGGAAGTGAGGGTAATGATGGGAAACGACATTTCAGGGAGCTGGACTGGGCAGGTCCTGATGAATAATTGGATGGTGGGGGTCAAACAGAAGATAATGCAAGACTTCTGTCTTGGGTGATTTGGTGAATGGTGATGCTATTATTCAATCCGGGAAACTCAGGAGCAGTGTGCAAGGGGAAGAAGGTGAGGTTGATTGGGGTCAGATAGAGCTTGAGATATTTCAGAGATACACTGGTGGAAATATTCTGCAGGCTGCTGGAATTTTTCTTCTTTTTTTGAGACAGGGTCTTGCTCCGTTGCCCAGGCTGGAGTGCAGTGGCACCATCTTGGCTTACTGCAGCCTCAACCTGGCAGGCTCCAGAGATCCTCCCACCTCAGTCTCTCGAGTAGCTGGGACCACAGGCACTCATCACCACACCTGGATAATTGTGTTTATTTTTTATAGAGACGGGATCTCACTATATTGCCTAGACTGGTCTCCAGCTACTGGCCTCAAGCGATCCTCCCACCTCAGCCACCCAAAGGGCTGGGCTGGGATTACAGGCATGAACCACCAGGCCCAGCCCAGGGTGTTGAAAATCTTGAGTCCAAAACTCAGGAAGAAGCCAGGTGTGGTGGCATGCATCTGTAATCCCAGCTACTCAGGAGGCTTAGGTGGGAGGATCACTTGAGCCTGGGAGTCCGAAACCAGCCTGTGTAACATAGGGAGGCACCATCTTTAAAAATTAATTAATTAATTAAAATTCAGGAAGACTGGTCACTGGTCATCATTATCTTTGAACAATGAAATTATGGATGATTTTTATTTGATTATTTTTAGGGTTCTTGATAGGCACATGTTACTTTTATAGTTACCAAAAAGAATTTTTTTGAAGAATAACTAAAGGGGGAGACAGGTTAGGATAAGAGAAATCAAGATGATCGCAGACATGGCAGAACATGCGGACGCAGCTGCAGAATTAGAGTTTGTTCAGTTCAGATCCACAGTTACTGTACATTCCTGCTTTGTCAGGCTCCAGAGCCACCTCTGGATGGTCTCCATCCTCAGAGAACCCCAAGGAGTAGGAAGGTGCAAGGAGAGGAGAGATGAACAGATGTCCCACTTTGCAAAAAAGAAAAAAAAAGGAAGGGCAGATTCTGGAAGCTGCAGAGCTCTACGTCTTGCAGCTAGGCAAAAATTCTAAAATCTTGCAAATCCTATGGGAACAAGGCACAGATGGGTGGTCCTTAGGAGACAGCCAGGACCCACCAGGAATATTCGAACCAAAGGAAGCTCATTTTCCTTCTGGAGAAGGGAAGACTAAAGAGATTGCATATCAGGATTTCAGCCAGACATTTGACAAAGGTCTCATGACAATCCCACGGGCGAGTTAGACGAATATGGGCTGGAGGAGAGTGGAGTAAGTGTGGGTTCAGATGCAGTAGAATGACCCACCGCATGCAAGGATTTGATTACTGAGCTGATGTCAATCCAGAGAAAGGTCCTGAGACCTCACAGTTCTCCTCTTGGCTCTGTCCTGTTTATCATTTTCGTGACCAGAAAAACAGATACTGGCTGAGAATGAAGAGCTTAATGAAACCTCTTGGGAAAAAAGAGCTGGTTTGTCTTTTGTGATGGGAAATTACCACCACCGCGTGCATTTCTGCGGGTCCCAGACGACCAACCACCTCCCATGAAGATGAAGAAGAGTCCAGCCAGGACGAAAGATCTTAGTGGTGTCCTCCACTGTCCTTCCCAAATCCAAGATCCTTCCAGTCTGCAAGCGTCCTTTGGACACTGTCACCCAAAAGTCCGCCATCTTTGCAAAGCCAGTCTGTCTACCCCAGAGCCCATCCTCTTAGGCTGAAGGCAGTTTGGTTTTAAGGGAGGCACAGGGTCTATGCAGCCAGTGACACCTGAGTTCCCATCGCCAACCATGCTGTCCAGGTGTGTGCATTAAGACAAGTGACTCCACCTCTCTTTCGGCCTCAGTTTCTTTTTTTTTTTTTTGAGACGGAGTCTCGCTCTGTCACCCAGGCTGGAGTGCAGTGGTGCGCGGTCTCTGCTTACTGCAAGCCCTGCCTCCTGGGTTCACGCCATTCTCCTGCCTCAGCCTCCCGAGTAGCTGGGACTACAGGTGCCTGCCACCACGCCCGGCTAATTTTTTTTTGTATGTTTTTTTTCAGTAGATATGGGGTTTCACCGTGTTAGCCAGGATGGTCTCGATCTCCTGACCTCGTGATCCACCTGCCTCGGCCTCCCAAAATGCTAGGATTACAGGCGTGAGCCACCGCGCCCGGCCTCAGTTTCTTTATCTGTAAAAGAGGTAGGTTCTACCTACCTCTTGGAGTTTGTGGGGCTTAAATAAGGACATGCTGTATACATCGAGCGTTTGGATTGACCAACACAAAAACAAATCACTAGTGAACATCTCTCAAGTGCCAAGTACTCTACAGGGTGTGGGCGTACAAGAGACACAACCCCGGCCTTCACAGCAGCGTTTACTATCCAGGGCAGAGATGGATGCTAAATGAACAGACATTTACAACGGGCAAACAGGGCCAGAAGCAGTGGCTCACACCTGTAATCCTAGCACTTTAGGAGACCAAGGCAGGTGGATTACTTGAGGCCACGAGTTCAAGACCAGCCTGAGCAACATGGTGAACCCTGTCTCTACTAAAAATAGAAAAATTAGCCAGGTGTGGTGATGCGCACCTGTAATCTCAGCTACTTTGGAGGCTGAGGCATGAGAATCACTTGAACCTGGAAAGTGGAGGTTGCAGTGAGCTGAGATCGTGCCACTGCACTCCAGCCTGGGTGACAGAGCAAGACCCTGTCTCAAAACTAAACTAAAATAAATCGGCTAATAGGCTGGGTGCAGTGGCTTACACTTGTAATCCCAGCACTTTGGGAGACTAAGGGGGGAGGATCACTTGAGCCCAGGAGTTGGAGACCAGCCTGGGCAACACAGTGAGACCCTGTCTCTATTATATAATATATATTATATATTACATATTATATAATATATAATTTTTAATGGGTAAATAAGCCAAAGAATATATAATAACAATCTGAGGAAGAGACCTCGGGGAAAAGGAGGGTGAGAAGATGCCTTTCTGTGGTGAGAAAAAAAAATCATCCCTGGAATCTGATAAATGGCGATCCATTTCCACACCACCAGGTCAGGGTGCTCAAGTCTGCTGGCTTTGAATGGGCATCTGTCTTTCACAATTCCAAGCCGATTTTCACTGGTACATCAGCAAGCTGCTGCTGCTGCCAGGGTCCCCTTCACAGGGCCACCTCCCAGCCAGCCCGTTCCTTCCCCTCAACCCCCCTCCTTTCCCCTCAACCCCCCTCCCTGGGCCAGCGCCAACCAGGTTCTTACCCCTGATCATATGCTTCTACACCCATCAACAGTGAATGAAACTCTGAGGACCCAAGTCTTCCACCCCCACCTGGGCATGGGTTTTGAAGTGTGGGCCATTCAAGGCCCTCTGTGATCTGTTCCAGATGTCTGTCACATCCAACATTTGCTAGAGATTTATTATGTGCTATGCTGAGTCTTTTGCAGGCATTTGCTCATTCAATACTCACCCCCACTCAGGTGATTCATCCCCCTTGATGATTTTGGGGAGCTCAGTCAGGCTCCGAGAGGAGAAGGAGCCCCCACCAGGTCACATGGGTAGGTCTCATGGGATTTGAACCCAGGCTCCAATGCACCCAGGGAAGAAAACCTCGCCCATCCCATCCATCTGTCGAGTTTGGTGTGCGGCCTGCACCTAAAACGCCTGCCTCTTCCTGAAGCCCCCATTTGTCTTGAGAAATAGAAAGAGAGAGAGAGAGAAAAAAAAACAATAATTGAATGAGCAATTCAAAACAGTATTTTAATGCTAAACGTGCTTATATCACGGAGTAGAATGCAAACTATGTAGGAGCATATTTAAGACAAAGCTGACAGTTTCAGGGAGAAGTGGGCCCTGGAGCCCTTCAATCTGAGTCTCAGGATACCGGGTGGGTGCAGAGAGGAGGCCTGGCCTCTCCCCTCCTGACTCCTGCTCTGCCATCAGCCTTGCCCACCCACTCCTCAGTCTCTTTGTCCACACTGTACTCCCCTCAGCCCCCACCCTACTGTGTACGAGACCCCCACTCTTCCCCAGGAACCCCCTTCTTTCCTCTGAACTCCCCGACTCTCTCCTCCACCCCTAGCATGTGTTGGCCATTTAATAAACCACGGTGCGCTGTACGTTTCCTTTTCATGGGCACTTTTCAATGTCTCCAATAAAAGCAGCATCTCCTGGTGGCTAAGAGGTGGCCATTGCTTCTCCAAATGGCCCAGAGCCACATCTTGCCCATGGTACACGCTCTCGGGGACCACAAGCTGAGAGCTTCAAGGGCAGGTATTTCCCTGTAATTTGGGGCCATCCCTACCAAAAAGCTATAGCACCCTTGGAGTAACACCATGTTCCATGAATTCCAGCTTTTTTTGGGTTTTTTTGTTTGTTGTTTGAGATGGAGTCTCACTCTGTTGCCCAGGCTACAGTGCAGCGGCACGATCTCGGCTCACTGCAACCTCCGCCTCCTGGGTTCAAGCGATTCTCCTGCCTCAGCCTCCCGAGTAGCTGGGATTACAGGCATGTGCCACCATGCCTGGCTAATTTTTGCATTTTTAGTAGAGATGGGGTTTTGCCATGTTGGTCAGGCTGGTCTCGAACTCCTGACCTCGGGCGATCCGCCCATCTCGGCCTCTCAAAGTGCTAGGATTACAGGCATGAGTCACTGCACCCAGCCTATAAATTCCAGCTTTGACTGCCTAAGCCTAGTTCATTACCAGCAAGAAGGGGAAACTATCAAGAACTTTTTTTTTTTTTTTTTTGAGACAAGGTCTCACTCTGTTACCTAGGCTGGAGTACAATAGTGCAATCATAGCTCACTGCAGCCCGGACCTCCAGGGCTCAAGCCATCCTCCTGCTTCAGCCTCCCGAGTAGCTGGGAATACAGGTGCACACCGCCACACCCAGCTAATTTTTTGTATTTTTGGTAAAGACAGGGTCTCGCCACGTTACCCAGGATGGTCTCAAACTCCCAGGCTCAAGCGATCCTCCCGCCTCAACCTCCCAAAGTGTTGGGATGACAGGCATGAGCCACCCGCCCGGCCCAAGAACTCTGTGTTTTGTGCAAACATGCATAGCTGTGTTTTCGCTTTAAAGCCACTAAACATGCTTCCTGCCCAGTGCCTGCTGCTGCACCCTAGGATCTCGCCTCCAGACGAGGTCAAAGCCTTTCTTAGGGCTGTTCTCAGCTCCCCCAGGTAGCACGTCTGCATAGTTCACGGGCATTGCTTTAGGGTGATGCTTAATTGCTATTTGTTTCCTTTGCATGGAATCTGCGTCTCTAGCACTCAGCAGGCTGCCTGTCACACAGTAGGTGATCAATAAACGTGGGTAGGATAATTAAAGGAATGCTCTCCCACTCCAGCTGACACGTGCCAGCCTCCCAACCATGTCCCACGTTGTGCTGTTGAGAGCTGCTCAGGGCGGCGCTGCTCTAACTGGTGCTTTGGATGTATTCTAAGAGCTACAGCTCAGACCAGGAGCCCCGGAGAACAACAGGCCAGTTCAGAAGATTACAGCAGGACTGATGGCGTGAAGTCGGGGAGAAGCTGCTGCGGGTTTTCTGTTCAATTCCCATCCTGCACTGCCATCTCCAGGACACAGGAGTCCTCGCCAGGATGATCAAAGCGGCAGCCAACTCAGCGGGAAAACGTGCAACATCACCCTCGTGACCAGGGCTTTTGATCCGGGAAGGTCGGAGCAGATTGGGAACATTTGCTCATCATTCCTCTCCCTTTGCTGTGCAGCGGTGAGAAAATGGGGAAAGGCAGTTGTTCAAAGAACATCTCCTACGCTATTAGCTGGTGAGACCAGAGGACCAAGACAGGGAGTGCCCCGGCCCAGCGCTCACACCCCATGGCAATGTTCCTAGCCGGCTACAGGGATCTTGCACAATACGGATTCCAAGGCAGTAGCCTGGGGTGGGGCCTGAGAGCAGGCACTTCTAGCAAATCCCAGATGCAGCTCATGGTGCAGGTCTGAGCCATGGTCAATCCGTGAGGGGCAAAATGTGGTGCGAGGGCCAGCAGCAGCAGCGCCTGGATGATTTTTTTTTTTTCTTTTTGAGACAGAGTCTCACTCACTCTGTCACCCAGGCTGGAGTGCGGTGTCGCGATCTCTGCTCACTGCAACCTCAGCCTCCCGGGTTCAAGCGATTCTCCTGCCTCAGCCTCCCGAGTAGCTGGGATTACAGGTGCCCGCCCACCACCATGCCCAGCTAATTTTGTATTTTTAGTAGAGAGGGGGTTTCAGCATGCTGGTCAGGCTGGTCTCCAACTCCTGACCTCTGGTGATCCGCCTGCCTTGACAAATGTATCTAAGTGTCCTTTGGCGTGCAGATTATTTTGTCACCACGAGGACACTTTAAAGATACATTGGTGGTGCAACGTTCCTGGAGCTGGTAGGAAGACATTCATTTCTTTCTTTATTTGAGTCACGGACACCAGACCCCTGTGACATGCAATTTACCTGCATAATAAACCTGCACATGTACCCTTGAACCTAAAATAGAAGTTTTAAAAAGCATAAAAAATAATAATAATAAAATATATTTTTCGACTGTGTAAAAAAAAAAAGTGTCTTTTTGTGGGGGGAAGGTGGCAGGACAGGGTCTCACTCTGTCACCCAGGCTGGAGTGCAATGGCATGATTTGGGCTCACTGTAACCTCCGCCTCCCAGGTTCAAGCAATTCTGCTGCCTCGGCCTCCCGAGCAGCTGGGATTACAGGCGCACACCACCACGCCCGGCTAATTTTTGTATTTTTAGTAGAGATGGGGTTCCACCATGTTGGCCAGGCTGGTCTCAGACTCCTGACCTCAAGAGATCCTCTCACCTCGACCTCCCAAAGTGCTGGGATTACAAGTGTGAGCCACCATGCCAGGCCAACACCTGGAAGATTTTTGTTCCACAAAATGTAAAATGCCTCATCCAGGCAGCATCGCCATCAGCTGGAGGCTTGTTAAAAATACACAGTCTCAGGCCCCATGTAGACCTGCTGAGTCACAGCCTTGGTGATTCATAAACACAAGCAAGTTTGAGGCCAGGTGTGGGGATAATCCCATGCCTTTGTCTCAGCACTTTGGGAGGCCAAGGCAGGAGGATCACTTGAGGCCAGGGGTTTGAGACCAGCTTGGAGATGCGAGACCCCATCTCTACAAAAAACTTAAAAATCTAGTTCTTCAATGTAAATAAAGTTTTGGAAAAAAGAAAATTTTAAAAAATGAAAATTAAAAAATTAATTTAATTTATTTTAATTTAAAAATTAGCTGGGTGTGGTGGCACACACCTGTAGTCCCAGCTACTAGAAGGCTGAGACAGGAGGATCGCTTGAACCCAGGAGTTGGAGGCTGCAGTGAGCTATGATCGCGCCACTGCACTCCAGCCTGGGCTACAGAGCAAGGCTCTGTCTCAAAAAATAAAAGGAACAAAACCAACCAGTGACATTTCTGTATGCCTCCCACCTCTGTCCCCGCCCACCTCCCCTACCCAGGAACGACTGTTACCAGTTTCCCCAGCATCCTACAGGAATGTCCACGCTCATGCAGACACATGTGTATGCCATCGTTCTCATAAATGCTCATGGAAAACAGGACAGTCTTGTCCCCGGTTTCCTTCCCAGGCAGATTCTAACCCCTGAGTCACGGACTTTGCAGCTAGCTTCTGAGCTTCTGCCCAATCTCAGATGCTCTGGACTCCACCTTCATTTTATGAACCCAGAATCAGCCGCCGAGGCTCTCCAAGAAGCCATGAGTTGCAGGGACCACACCTTGGCTTTCCAGGACACTCACCTGTCCTATTTCAAAGTGAGTCAGGATCCTTTTGTTTTTGTTTTTGTTTTTGGTGACAGAGTCTTGCTCTGTCACCCAGGCTGGAGTGCAATGGCGCAATCTCAGCTCACTGCAACCTCCGTCTCCCGGGTTTAAGCAATTCTCCTGCCTCAGTCTCCCCAGTAGTTGGAATTACTGGCATGTGCCACCAAGCCTGGCTAATTTTTATATTTTTAGTACAGACGGGGTTTCTCCATAGTGGCCAGGCTGGTCTCGAACTCCTGACCTCAAGTGATCCACCCACCTTGGCCTCCCAAAGTGCTGGGATTACAAGC
Organism: Homo sapiens; assembly: GCF_000001405.40. Lineage (NCBI taxonomy): Eukaryota > Metazoa > Chordata > Mammalia > Primates > Hominidae > Homo > Homo sapiens. Next base: position 4,634,306 of record NC_000007.14, read on the forward strand.
ATGAGCAACCCCACCCAGCCTGTGAGTCAGGAGCTTTCTTAACAAGCTAAAGCACCTCCGTTTCCTCAAGAGGATTTCTTGCGTCTTTCAGATCTCAAAGGGAGAAAATCATGCCAAAAGATTTTGCATACTTCTTAGTTTATTCTTGGGTATTTTCATTTTAGCATCTATCATAAGAGGGACTTTTTCTAAAGAGCTGTTATTTGTATATTGGAATTCTATTTTTTTTTTTTTTTTTTGAGATGGAGTTTCACTCTTGTTGCCCAGGCTGGAGTGCAATGGCGCAATCTTGGCTCACCACAACCTCTGCCTCCCAGGTTCAAGCAATTCTCCTGCCTCAGCCTCCCATGTAGCTAGGATTACAGGCGTGCGCTACCATGCCCAGCTAATTTTGTATTTTTAGTAGAGACGGGTTTTCTCCATGTTGGTTAGGCTGGTCTCGAACTCCCGACCTCAGGTGATCTGCCTGCCTCAGCCTCCCAAAGTGCTGGGATTACAGGCATGAGCCACCGCACCCGGTGGAATTCTATTGTTTTTTTAAAAAATATTCACTGTGTACCCAGTCATCTTATTGAATTTTCTTTTTGTTGTTGTTTTTGGTTTGTTTTGTTTTGAGACGGAGTTTCACTCTTGTTGCCCAGGCTGGAGTGCAATGGTGCGATCTCAGCTCATCGCAACCTCTGCCTCCCAGGTTCAAGCGATTCTTCTGCCTCAGCCTCCCGAGGAGCTGGGATTACAGGCATGCGCTACCACGCCCGGCTACTTTTGTATTTTTAGTAGAGACAGGGTTTCTCCATGTTGGTCAGGCTGGTCTTGAACCCCCAAATTCAGGTGATCCACCCACCTCGGCCTCCGAAAGTGCTGAGATTACAGGCGTGAACCACCACACCCAGACCAAATTTTCTTATTGTTCATGGCAGTTTTCTAGTCAATTGCTGGATTTCTAGGCATAGGTCATGTTATACACAAAAAGTTTTTGATCAGTTCTTTATTTCGGCTCTTCCGAAACTATCTGTGGTGAAGGATCATGTTTTGGTTTTCTAAAATAGGTGACAGCCAGGCATGGTGGCTCACGCCTGTAATCCCAGCACTTTGGGAGGCTGAGGCGGGTGGATCACCTGAGGTCAGGAGTTCAAGACCACCTGACCAACATGGAGAAACCCCGTCTCTACAAAAATACAAAAATTAGCTGGGCACGATGGTGGGTGCCTGTAATCCCAGCTACTCAGGAGGCTGAGGTGGGAGAATCGCTTGAACCCGGGAGGTGGAGGTTGCAGTCAGCCGAGATCGTGCCATTGCACTCCAGCCTGGGCAAAGGAGTGAGACTCCATCCCAAAAATAAAATAGGTGAGAAGTTCATGAAACCCACTTTTGGCTGTCTAATTTCTTTTTTTTTATTTTTTATTTTTTAGACAGGGTCTCGCTCTGTCGCCCAGGCTGGAGTGCAGCAGCCCAATCACGGTCTGCATCCTCACAACCTCTCAGGCCCAGGGGATCCTCCCGTCTCAGCCTTCCAAGGAACTAGGACTACAGGAGTGCTGATTTTTGTGTTTTTTGTAAAGACAGGGTTTCATCATGTTGCCTAGGCTGGTATCAAACTCCTAGGCTCAAGTCACCCTCCCTTTTTGGCCTCCCAGAGCACTGGGATTACAGGTATGAGCCACCAAGTCCAGACTCTAAATGCTTAGCATCTATTTCTGTACTTAACTTGTCATAGACAAACAATTGGCAGACGACAGTGGTCCACAGATCTCATTTTGAGTGTTATTGTTTCAGACCTGTCTCGCTCTAATGTTATTAGATGATGTTAGATTCCAAACCAATAGTGCATTATCTTTATTCTCTCACTCTCTCTTTTTTTTTTTTTTTTTTTTGAGACGGAGTTTTGCTTGTCACCCAGGCTGGGGTGCAACGGCGCAACCTCGGCTCACCTGCAACCTCTGCCTCCGGGTTCAAGTGATTCTCCTGCCTCAGCCTCCCGAGTAGCTGGGATTAACGGTGCCCGCCACCACACCCGGGTAATTTTTGTATTTTTAGTAGAGACAGGGTTTTGTCATATTGCCCAGGCTGGTCTCGAACTCCTGGCCTCAAGTGATCCGCCTGCCTTCGCCTCCAAAAGTGCTAGGATTCCAGGCGTGATCTCGAATGTTGAGTTACCAAGCTCTGTTTCCTACTGCAAGATCATTAACAAGGATTATGCAAAGTACAGAAACCTGGATCCATGAGTTTCCTAGTACTTGGTTTGTACATATGTGTTTAATGTACTTTTTATATCTAAAGCCAGGAAAAAAGGAAAAGAGAGAAGGATATATATCTCCAGGGAGATACATATATATATATACACATACATACATACATATATATACATACATATATATACACACACACATACATATATATACATACACACATATATATATACACATACATATATATATACACATACATATATATATATACACATACATATATATATATATATATATATACACACACACATATATATATATATATATATATATTTTTTTTTTTTTTAGACGGAGTCTTGCTCTGTTGCCCAGGCTGGAGTGCAATGGTGCGATCTCGGCTCACTGCAACCTCCACCTCCCAGGTTCACACCATTCTCCTGCCTCAGCCTCCCGAGTAGCTGGGACTACAGGCACCCGCCACCACGCCCAGCTAATTTTTGTAATGTTTAGTAAAGACGGGGTTTCACTGTGTTAGCCAGGAGGGTCTCAATCTCCTGACCTCGTGATCCACCCGCCTTGTGATCCACCGCCTCAGCCTCCTAAAGTGCTGGGATTACAGGCGTGAGCCACCGCGCCCAGCTGGAATATTTATATTGATATTGAAAAAGTTCATGGGTTTTCTCCAAGCTGGGGAGTAGAGAGGGGCGTAAGAGGAACTTGAGCCAAAAATAAGTTTTAGAACTTCTAACCATACTACAATTTGGTGGGGAGGAAAAACTACATCTTCAAAAACAGATGCTTCAATTAATACATCTCTTTTACTATTAACTAGTGTCACAAGTGACATTAATGGCCTAATGGTTCCTGCTGCAGTGGAACTGTCTCCAAGTCTGAGATCCCGTAATTATACGCTGGACTGCACATGTCTTACAAGATCTTTGCGGTACCCTGCGGAGGAACGGTGTCTGGGATTCCGCCAATTCTAGGGTTCTGGTGGCAGAGGAACATGACATGTGCAGCTCAGGGGTCAGGGAATTTTACCTGGGGGTCTTCAGGACCTACAGTCCTGGCCAGGCCTCCCAACCCTGCTGGCCAGCGGTGAAGACCACTGTGAACTCTGTGCAGGTCTATTTTCCAAGGGTCTTCATTCTAAAATCAACCATTGGTGCCACTGAGGGAAGGGGGATGCCGCCAGAGGGTGTGGCTACCCCGTCCCCAGGCTGTACCCCACGGCAGTATCCTCACTGCCAAGCAACAGCGCCTCTGCTTCCCCCAGACCACGGTCATCATAAAGTTGCCTCTTTATTTTTATTCTTATTTCCCTTTAGTCTCCAACCTCCATTCTCACACCCAGTTATTGTGTTTCATTCTGACACTCTTTGCTATCCATTGCTATGGGCCTGTTTAGCAACTTTTAGAAATGAGATGTGAGGCCAGGCGTGGTGGCTCATTGCCTGTAATCCCAGCACTTTGGGAGGCCGAGGTGGGTGGATCACCTGGGTCAGGAGTTCGAGACCAGCCTGGCCAACGTGGTGAAACCCCATCTCTACTAAACACACACACACACACACACACACACACACACACACAAATTAGCTGGGCGTGGTGGTGTTCACCTGTAGTCCCAGCTACAAGGGAGGCTGAGGCGGGAGGATGGCTTAAACCCAGAATGCGGTTGCAGTGAGCTGAGATCATGCCACTGCACTCCAGCCTGGGCCACAGAGTGAGACTCTGTGCCCGCCAAAAAAAGAGAGAAGAAAAAAAGAAACGAGATGTGATATAAACAAACTTTTTTTTTTTGAGACAAGGTCTTGCTCTATCACCCACGCTGGAGTGCAGTCACCCAGGCTGGAGGTCCTAGCTCACTGCAGCCTCAAACCCCTGGGCTCAAGCAATCCTCCTACCTCAGCCTCCCAAAATGCTGAGATTACAGGCATGAGCCAGCGTGCCAGCCTCTGCCTTCTTCTTTACCTTAAAACTCCCCCTTGGCCAGGCGCAGTGGCTCACGCCTGTAATCCCAGCACTTTGGGAAGCCGAGGCAGGCAGATCACGAGGTCAGGAGATCGAGACCAGCCTGGCCAACACGGTGAAACCCTGTATCTACTAGAAATGCAAAAAATTATCGGGGCGTGGTGGCACGCGCCTATAGTCCCATCTACTCTGGAGGCTGAGGCAGGAGAATTGCTTGAACCCTGGAGGTGGAGGTTGCAGTGAGCCGAGATCGCGCCACTGCACTCCAGCATGGGCAACAGAGTAAGGCTTGGTCTCAAAAAAAAAAAAAAAAAAACTCCCCCTCACCCCTTACTCATGTGCTCCCACTACCTGGTCTGGTCTTTCTATTCCACCAAAATAGTCCTGGCCTCAGGGCTTTTTGCACTTGCTTTTCTCTGTCCCTGGAAAGTCCCTTTTGATCCCTCCCAATCTCCCCATTGCTATCTCCTTGTCAAAGAGGCCTCAGGTCAAAGGGCCACGCCAGAGAGTTCTTCAGGATCACCTGATCCAGATCATGGTATTTTCCTAACCACCAATGCTTACCGCCAACCACCTGATGGTTTTGTTTGTGTTTACTGACCACATCCTCTGCAGGAATATAAGGTCCACGAGAGGGGAGTCCTTACCCATTTTCATCACTTGCGTCTCCCCTGCTCCTTTTATAATGCTTGGCATCTACCAAGCAAGGATGCCTGTTTATGCTAAACGAGGGCTCTACCATTTGAGCTAGTTCCCCAGCTCGAAGGATGCACGTTTATGAAACGAACAAATACACCAGGGGGACATGCTCATGAGAAGATAAGAAGCAGCATTTCCACCAGAGAACATCAGAGCAGCCCTGAGGCAGGGTGTTTGAGGTCAGAAAGGCAGCCAGGTGGGGCCGGAGGGGTTCAAGATGATGACACGGGCAGGGGCGAGACCCATCGGGGAGCAGGGCTGAGCCTCTTGGATCACAGAGAGGATATGGCCACGGGACAGACAGAATGTGATCTGATCTGCACCGCGAGTGGTAAAATAGGCTTAGCATAGAATTTAAAAGCTTAACCTTTTTTTTAAATTTTTTTTGAGATGGAGTCTCGCTCTGTCGCCCAGGCTGGAGTACAGTGGCGCGATCTCGGCTCACTGCAACCTCCGCCTCTCGGGTTCACGCCATTCTCCTGCCTCAGCCTCCCGAGTAGCTGGGACTACAGGCACCTGCCACCACGCCCAGCTAATTTTTGTATTTTTAGTAGAAACGAGGTTTCATCATGTTGCCCAGGCTGGTCTCGAACTCCTGACCTCAGGTGATCCACCCTCCTTGGCCTCCCAAAGTGCTGGGATTACAGGCGTGAGCCACCGCACCCGGCCAAGCTTAACCATTTTCAAGCGTGCAGTTCAGGGGCATTAAGCACATCCACACTGTTGTGTGATCACCACCACCCATCTCCAGAACTCTTTCATCTTCCCAAACTCAAACTCTGTCCCTATCAAACACTCACACCCCTCTCCCTCAGCCCGCAGCCTCTGGTAAGCACCATTCTACTTTCTGTACCTATGAATCTGATGGCTCTAGGAACCCCATATAAGCAGAATCATGCGTGGTCTGTCCTTCTGTGTCTGGCTTATTTCACTCAGCACCATGTCCTCAAGGTTCATCCATGTTGAAGTGTGTGTCAGAATCTCCTTCCTTTTTAAAATTGTGATCATGCCTGTAATCCCAGCACTTTGGGAGGCCAAAGCAGGTGGATCACCTGAAGTCAGGAGTTCAAGACCAGCCTGGCCAAGATGGTGAAACCCTGTCTCTACTAAAAATACCAAAATTAGCCTCGCGTGGCCTGTAATCCAGCTCCTTGGGACGCTGAGACATGGGAATCGCTTGAACCCAGGGGGCAGAGGTTGCAGTGAGCTGAGATCAGGCCACTGCACTTCAGCCTGGGCAACACAGCGAAACTCTGTCTCAAAAAATAATAATAATAAAATAAAGTTGTGATAAAATATACAAAACATTAGGGTAGTGGGGGGGACTAGGAAAAGGGGATGGTTGCTGGGTACAAAAATATAGTTAGATACATAAGTAAGATCTAGAATTTTCTAGCACAGCAGGGTGACCACAGTCAGCACTAATTTGCTGTACATTTTAGAATAACCAAGAGAGTGCAATTGGAATGTTCATCACACAGAAATGATGAATGCTGGGGGTGATGGAAACCCCATTTACCCTAATGTAATTATAATACAAAGATCTCATGTGTCCCATAAATCTATACACCTACTATGTACCCATAAAAATTAACAATTAAAAATTTTTAAATTAAAAATATAGGTCAGGCAAGGTGGCTCACATCTGTAATCCCAAAACTTTGGGAGGCTAAGGTGAGAAGATCGCTTAAGCCCAGGTGTTCAAGACCAGCCTGGGCAACATAGCAAGACCTAATCTCTGCCAAAAATAGAAAAAAACATAGCCAGGCACGGTGGCTTACGCCTATAATCCCAGCACTTTGGGAGGCCGAGGCAGGCAGATCACCTGAGGTCAGAAGTTCGAGATTAGCCTGGCCAACATGGTGAAACCCCGTCTCTACTAAAAATACAAAAAAATTAGCTGGGCGTGTTAGTGCACGCCTGTAATCCTAGCTCCTCAGGAGGCTGAGGCAGGAGAATCGCTTGAACCCGTGAGGCAGAGGCTGCAGTCAGCCGAGATCGTACCACTGCACTCCAGCCTGGGCAACAAAGCAAGACTGCGTCTCAAAAAAGAAAAAAAAAATTAGCTGGGTGTGGTGATGCCTGCCTGTGGTCTCAGCTATTTGGGAGGCTGAGGTAGGAGGAACGCCTGAGTCCGGGAGGTGGAGACTGCAGTGAGCTGTAATGCCACCATTGCACTCCAGCCTGGGCAACAGAACAAGACCCTGTCTGAAAAATAAAAGTAAAAATTTTAAATTAGAGATATATAGATATACACAACATAAACTGCACTCCACCCATTTTAAGGCTAAATCGTACTGCATGGTATGCTCCTCCCTAGGACTGATGTGTCTCGAGGGGGCCTCTTAGCTGCTGGGTGCAGCTGCCCAAGGGGGCACTGCGGGGCCCGATGCCGCCCTCCATCCAGGTCACCACTGCACCTCCACGACCACCCACAGAGGCCCCACTTTGCAGGCGAGAGCCCGGGCTCAGAGGCCAGTGGCCGGCCTGCGCAAGGACACGCAGCAGGTGAACCCTCCGCAAGGCGAGGAGCAGGGCTGGGAAGGGCGAGGGCGCCTCTCCGCGCCCCTCCCCTGCCCGGCCACAGAGCCCGGCCCCGCCCCGGGCCCTGCTCGCGGCCCGCCCTGCGCCGCCACTGCGCAAGCGCAGGAGGAGCAGCGTGGCGCAACCTTAAGGCGCATGCGCGGCCGGCGCAGACTTGCGGAAGGCTCCGTTCCCCTCGCGTGAATCCGCCGATCCGGGCTTTGGGGCCCGCCGGGAGCTCTGTTTATAAACACACGGCGCGGCTGCCGGCGAGGGGTAACCCTAAGGGGAGTGGGGTCGGAGGTCAGAGGTCAGCGGGCGCGGGGTCGCCGGCTGTGAGACCGGCCCCGCCACCCTCGGGGACTGCTGGCTGCGCAGCGTGGCCAGCCGGACCGCCCTACTGCGCACCGGGGCTGCCGGGGCGCCACGTGGTGCGCACGTGGTCCGGCCCCGGCGCGGCAGCTCCCCTCCCCCACCACGCGAGCCTGGCCGCAGCGCCCGCTGGCGGCGCGGCGTTGCACATTGCGCGTGCGCACAACTCGCCGCGAGGCGCCTTCCGGTGGCGCGGCGGGGTCGGTTGCCTCCTCGCGACGGCTGCGCCGGGATGTTCCGGGGCGGTGGGGTCGCCTGCCCAATGTCGGGTGCGCGAGTGACGGGTGGAAGCTGGATTTGTGCGCGTTCTTCAATGCTCCAAAGGGAGGAGGGAGCCTCCGAGAGTCCACGTGGGGCCGGTGGGATTCGCAGGGTCCGTTTTCTAAACATTGGGTGTCCTCGAACCTGGGGGCGCGGGCTGTGTCCGCCCCCAGCAGGGATGACCATGCCTGGGTCAGTGGCTGCATAAATAAATAAACGAATGGGGAGGAAATTGATAAAATATTAAAAGAGTGTTGTTTCAGAGTTTTTACTATGTCACCTCTTACAGATTTATGAGAGTTTGTTGTTTTTTGGAGAAGAGGGGTCTCCCTATGTTACCCAGGCTGGTCTCAAACTCCTGGGCTCAATCCATCCGTCCGCCTCAGCCTCCTGAAGTGCTAGGATTACAGGCGTGAGCCATGGTGCCCGGCCTGTTGATGAGATTCTACGTGAAATATATTGGGCGTTACCTAAGCACTCAGTCAGTGGTAGTTCTTATAGTTGTTGCTTAAAAACAGAAAGAAATGTCATACCGTGTTCTAAAAGGATTTGAGAAAGGTTTGCAAAGACTAAAAAGCAAGTGGCAGGGAAAAATAACATACGCAAACTTCCTCCTGACTTTTTCTGCCATTTTATAGCAAAGGCTCAGAATTGCATTGCCATTGTCGGTTGTTTCGGTAAAATTAGTGTTCCTCAAGTTATCTACTCCAGGGACATTTTTTTTTTCTTGAGACAGGGTCTTACTCTGTTGCCCAGGCTCGAGTGCAGTGGCACAGCCATGACTCACTGCAGCCTCAGCCTCCGGGGTCAAGTGATTCTCCTGCTTCAGTCTCCCGAGTAGCCGGGATTACAGGCGCGAGCCTCCATGCCCAGCTAATTTTTGTATTAATGTACTTTATAGGAGACAGGGTTTTGCCATGTTACCCAGGCTGGTTTCGAACTCCTGGCTTCAAGTAATCCTCCCACCTTAGCCTCCCAAAGTGCTGAGATTACAGGCATGAGTCACCACACCCAGCTCAGCAATATCCTTTATTATTTTATTTTTTATTTTTGTAGAAACGAGTCTCACTGTATTGCGCAGGCTGGTTTCAAACGCCTGGCCTCAAGCAATCCTCCCACCTCAGCCTCCCAAAGTGCTCGGATTACAGGTCTGAGCCACCGCTGCCAGCGCATCTTAAATACAGTCATGCATCGCTTGGGAAAGGGGATACCTTCTGAGAAATACATTGTTAGGCAATTTCATCCTTGTGTGAACATCATAGTGTGTAATTCCACAAACCTGGATGGTACAGCCTGTTGCTCTTAAGCTACAAACCTTTAACAGCATGTTAATGTGCTGAATACTATGAGCAATTGTAACACAATGGTAAGTATTTACGTATCTAAACGTAGAAAAGAGAAGGTAGGCCGGGCGCGGTGGCTCACGCCTGTAATCCCAGCACTTTGGGAGGCCGAGGCTGGCGGATCACGAGGTCAGGAGATCGAGACCATCCTGGCTAACACGGTGAAACCCCCGTCTCTACTAAAAATACAAAAAAAATAGCCGGGCGTGGTGGCGGGCGCCTGTAGTCCCAGCTACTCGGGAGGCTGAGGCAGGAGAATGGCATGAACCCAGGAGGCGGAGCTTGCAGTGAGCTGAGATCACGCCACTGCACTCCAGCCTGGGCAACAGAGTGAGACTCCATCTCAAAAAAAAAAAACGTAAAGATATAGTATTATAATCTTACGGTATTATAATCTTAGAGGACCACTATCATATATGGCGTGGATGGTTGGCTTATTGCATGATTGTAAATACCTACTATGTGCCAGATACTGCTCTGGACTCTGAGGTGCCTGGGTAACCTCTATTTAGGTCAACGGAAAATCTAAACGTGGTTACATTATAAAGCAAAGCCAGGAAGTACATATCCTAATGGTCAGGCTGATGGTACATGTTTAACAATCGGCTTGGGAAGGACTGCATATATACACACACATTTATTATAAATGTTACTGGTATGAAGCGTGTGTATCGTATCAATTGCAAATAATGATAAAACACACAATGCTCTTTTTGTTTGTAAATTCCATAGTCAGTTGATTCTCAGAGAATGCTTTCCTTTAGCATTGCTGAACTCCCGTGTCCATAGCCAACCTGTGCTTGAAACTGAATTGTAATATGCAGGGTTGAGTTGCTACCCAACCCACCATTTTCCCAGTAAATAATGTTTGGTTTGGTGGGGTGGCTCATGCCTACAATCCCAGCACTTTGAGATTGTATGGGAAGCCAAGGCAGGAGGGTCACTTGAGCCCAGGAGTTTTTGTTGTTCTTGTTTTTGTTTGTTTGTTTGTTTTGAAACGGAGTTTCGCTCTTATTGCCCAGGCAGGAGTGCAGATGTGATCTCGGCACACCGCAACCTCTGCCTCTTGGATTCAAGCAATTCTCCTGCCTCAGCCTCCCAAGTGGCTGGGATTACAGGCATGCGCCACCACGCCCAGGTAATTTTGTATTTTTAGTAGAGAAGGGGTTTCTCCATGTTGGTCAGGCTGGTCTCAAACTCCCGACCTCAGGTGATCCTCCCGCCTCAGCCTCCCAAAGTGCTGGGATTACAGGCATGAGCCATCACACCCGGCCAAGCCCAGGAGTTTGAGACCAGCCTGGGCAACATAGCAAGATCCTGTCTCTACAAAAAATAAAACAATTGGCAAAGCATGGTAGCATGCACCTGTGGTCTCAGCTATTTGGGATGCTGAGGCTGAAGGATTGCTTGAGCCCAGGAGTTGGAGGCTGTGGTGAGCCATGATCACACCACTGTGCTTCATCCTGGGCAACAGTGAGACCCTGTCTCAAAAAAAAAAAAAAGTAAAATAAATGTAATGTTTGACAGGAGTGTTGATATTTTCACTTATATTAACAAGTAAGAAATGAAGCAAAACACATATAGATCCGAACTTTATTTGTTCCTCAATGATGTCAGCAACTTCTTTGCTGTATTGGAGCATGGTTTTCTATTACTGGGTGAATAGTTCCTCAACATTTTGTGCTATTCACAATATAATGGCTGCAGACATCACAGAATTTGAAGTTTAACCACATTGTTAATTTTCTGTATTACTTATGTCTAGGGTTTGGCAAATGGATTCTGCAGAGTCAGATGGTAAGTATTTTCCACTTTTCCAGACACGTACAGTCTTTGGCACAGTCTCTTTTGTTTTGCTTTGTTTTGTTTTAACCACCCTTTAACAATGTAAAAAAAAATTTTTTAGCTCAAGCAAGAGCCAGATTTTGCCTCCAAGCCCTGAATTGTAGCATTTTCAGATTTTCACAGTGTAAATATCTCTGCAATAGTTGTTGCAAGCTGCAAAGTGGAGTATCTGAACCAATGCGGAGTATCTGAACTTGGAGTTGGGAAGATAATTTCCAGTATACAGATGGAGTAGAGTAACCTTAAAAGCATAGATTACAGTAAAATAATTAGAACATGATAAGTGTTGAGACCCTTTCAATAGAATTTATTTCACTGCAAGTTTAATGTAGGGTAATTTTTTTTTTTTTTTTTTTGAGATGAAATCTCTCTCTGTTGCCCAGGCTGGAGTGCAGTGGCATGATCTCGGCTTATTGCAACCTCCACCTCCTGGGTTCAAGCAGTTCTCCTGCCTCAGCCTCCCTAGTAGCTGAGAGTACAGGCATGCACCACTATGCCTGGCTAATTTTTGTATTTTTGTAGAAATGAGGTTTTGCCATGTCACCCAGGCTGCTCGCAAACTCCTGAGCTCAAGTGATCCACCCGCCTCAGCCTCCCAAAGTGCTGAGATTACAAGTGTGAGCCACTGTGGCCAGCTTAATGTAATTTAATTTTTAATAATGACTGTGTTTAACAGCCAATTAACCGAAATCCTGAAAGTTCAACAATCGGCTCTCGTGAACAGCTCCAACTCAGCATTAGTCTTATCTGTAAGTGGAGATGGGCTTTGGGGATGGTAGACAGAGTTCCATTTCTTAGCATGGGTCACCCTTAGATACACCTGAAAGTGACCTCCCCCAAGGAGCCACACCCCTGTATCACCCCCTCCCTTGAGCGTGTGCAGGGCTTGTGATGGGCTTCTAACCAGTGGAACATGGCAGAGGGGGCAGGTGCCATTGCTCAGATCTGGTTATGTTATATGGAAGGGGCAAGGGGCTCCTATTCCCATCGCTCCCATGATCACATGACATTATAGGAGACCCCATCTTGGTCCACTGGAGACAGAGACGCTCCTGCTGGCCTTGCAGAAGCAAACAGCATGTTGTGAACAGTCCCTGGAGAGGACCCCATGGCAGGGGACTATGAGTAGCCTCCAGGACCTGAGGGTGGCCTCCAGCAGAAGGCCAGAAAGAAGCTGAGGCCATCAGTCATATGGCCACAAGGAAATGCGTGCTGCCAGCAGGCTGAGTGACCTTGGGAGAGGATTCTTGCCCAGTTGAGCCTCCGGATGAGAATGCAGCCCAACTCACCCTGGATTACAGCCATGAGAGGCTCTGAGCAGAGGACCCAGCTGAGCTGTGCCCAGACTCCTGCCCCAGGGAGACCATGTGGTGCTAGATAGATGTTGGTTTAAGCTGCTGAACCTGTGGTCATTTGTTACACAGGAATAGCAAACAAATACATAATTATTCAACATATGGATGCACCTTTCTGTATGTGTATTACATTTCCCTTTTTTTTTTTTTTTTTTTTGAGACAGAGTCTTACTCTGTCGCCCAGGGTGGAGTGCAATGGCATGATCTCATCTCACTGCAACCTCCGCCTCCCAGGTTCAAGTGATTCTCCTGCCTCAGCCTCCGGAGTAGCTGGAATTACAGGCACCCACCACCACACCTGGCTAATTTTTGTATTTTTAGTGGAGAGAGGGTTTCATTATGTTGGTCAGGCTGGTCTTGAACTCCTGACATCAAGCAATCAACCTGCTTCAGCCTCCCAAAGTGCTGGGATTACAGGCATGAGTCACTGCACCCAGCCCATTTCCCAATTTTTAAAGGTTAAGAGACAAAACAGAAACATTAAAAAGGGCAGAGAACTGTACCAGCATGTTGGCAAGAGTGCCCTCAGATGGTCTAACAATGGGGAAAGAACTGGTGGGTTTTGGTGGGCTTGTTTGCCCCTAAAGAGCTTACTGTCCCAACTCCATCTCCACGGCCTTGGGACTGAAATGGTTGTGAAGTTGGGAGCTAGAATCTAGTGCCTGAGTTGTGACCTCAGCTCCGACACTTCCTAACTATCTATGTGTCTCCATGACCCTCTATCCGCTTATCTTTAAAATGAGATGATGATAGTACCTGACTCATGGAATAGCTGTCACGATTTGGTGAGCCAATTATTTTCACTGTAGCCTTCATCCACTATGGGGCCATCAGGGGCAGGGGCTGACTCCAGCTTCTGGTGGACCTGGATATTTCTACACCATGGGTGATGAGCCCGTCCCTTTGCCAGTGAGTGGTTCAAGAATCAAAGTCAGGCCTGGCGTGGTGGCTCATGCCTGTAATCCCAGCACTTTGGGAGGCCAAGATGGGCAGATTGCTTGAGGCCAGGAGTTTGAGACCAGCCTGGCAAACATGGTGAAACCCCGTCTGTACTAATAATACAAAAATTAGCTGGGCATGTTGGCATGCACCTGTAATCCCAGCTACTTGGGAGGCTGAGGCATGAGACTTGCCTGAACCCAGGAGGCAGAGGTTGCAGTAAGCCTAGGTCGTGCCACTGCACTCCAGCCTGGGCAACAGAGCAAGACTCTGTCTTCAAAAAAAAAAGAGTCAAAGTCAGTCAATATCCGCCATTCCCTGAGCCATTTGAGGAGGACCAGGCATCCAATTTGCAGGGGCCTATGGTCAGAGATTCCAGAAAAGGGTTCCTATCTTCCAAGAGGCATCTGTGGGAAGAGATGGCCTTTCCCTCTCTGGACACCATGGGAGAGGATGACCTATGGACAGCGTGGGGCGATGCGGAGCCTGCTTCTGCAGGAGAGCAGCACAGACCCCACCGTCCATGGAGGGAGCTGGAGCCCCAGGTCAACTCACCTCAAAACTGCTCCAACATCCAGATCCCAGTGATGATATGGACAGAAACATTTCAGCATTGTTTGGACCGTTTTCAGTTGGGTTTTCTGGTACTTGATGAACTAAACTTGCATCCCTTCCACCAGGGCTCTCCACTGTGGGGACGGGATAAGGGACGATTGACATTGGATCTGGTGTCCCCCTGGAGTTGGGCAAGGTGAGAGTGGCACAGCAGCTGGCATTTGATCACAGCCAAACGCCACGGAGGCTCCCTGTGGGCTCCTGCAGTTGCCTTCATGATGGCATTAGTTCCCCCCACTAGTAGATCATTGTATTAGTTCCCTGATAAGACAAAGCACCAAAGAACTCGCTCTCCCCTCTCAGCCATGTGAGGACCCAGCAAGAAAGGAGCTGTCTGCAAACCAGGAAGTGGGGCCCACTGGACATCAGATCTTGGACTTCCTAACTGCAGAACCGTGAGAAATAAATGTTTGAGCTCCTGCCTGGATTCCCAGCACTTTGGGAGACCAAGGTGGGAGGATCACTTGAGCCCAGGAGTTCAAGACCAGCCTGAGCAAAAAGACCCCTTCTCTACAAAAAAAAAAAAAAAAAAAAAAGATAGATAGAAAAAATTAGCTGGGTGTGGTTGCTTGTGCCTACAGTCCCAGCTACTCAGGAGGCTGAGGCGGGAGGATCATTTGAGCCTGGGAGATGGAGGCTGCAGTGAGCTATGATCATGCCACGGCACTCCAGCCTGGGTGATAGAGTGAGACCATGTCTCAAAAAAATTTTTTAATGGTTAGGCTGTCCAGTCTATGGTATTTTTGTTATAGTAGCCCAGGCTGACTGAGGCAGTCCTCCACATGAACTGCTGAATGCTACTGCCTCTGATAACTTGTCATGAAACAGTTATGTGCTGGTGTGAAATTGCTGTTAGCCATGTTACTTGCTCTCCATATTGTAACTAATGATATATTTGGAGCTGAGCAAAGGCTCCATAAGTCCTGCTGAGCATCTGACTTTTTAATTTGCATCAGATGCTACCATCATAGACAGGCACTCAGCAAGCAATTGTTCTTACTATTTCTTTTTTTAGAGACAGGGTCTTGCTCTGCTGCCCAGGCTGGAGTGTGGTGGTGTGATCATGGCTCACTGCAGCCTCGACCTCCTGGGTTCAAGCAATCCTTGAACCTCAGCCTCCCAAGTAGCTGAGACTACAGGTGCACATCACCAGCTATATTTTAAAAAATTTTTTCTTTTTTTTTTTTATTTTTGAGATGGCATTTCACTCTTGTTGCCCAGGCTGGAGTGCAATGGTGCAATCTTGGCTCACTGCAACCTCCACCTCCGCCTCTGCCTCCTGGTTTCAAGTGATTCTCCTGCCTCAGCCTCCTGTGTAGCTGGGATTTTTATTTTTTATTTTATTTTATTTTTATTTTTTTGGGAGACAGAGTCTCGCTCTGTCGCCAGGTTAGAGTGCAGTGGTGTGATCTGGGCTCACCGCAACCTCCGCCTCCTGGGTTCAAGCAATTCTTCTGCCTCAGCCTCCCAAGTAGCTGGGATTACAGGCACGCACCATCACGCCTGGCTACTTTTTGTATTTTTAATAGAGACGGGGTTTCACCATGTTGGCCGGGATGGTCTCGATCTCTTGACCTCGTGATCCACCCACCTCAGTCTCCCGAAGTGCTGGGATTACAGGTGTGAGCCACCGCACCCGGCCATTTTTTAAAAAATTTTTGTAGAGATTGGGGTGGGGGGGAGTCTCCCTGTGTTGCCCAGGCTGGTCTTGAACTCCTGGCCTCAAGTGATCCTCCCACCTCAACCTTCTAAAGCATTGGGATTACAGGCAGGAGCCATTGTGCTTGGCCTCCAGTGATTGTTAAATGAATGAAGGAAAGGCACCTGGGCTCTGAGAAAGAGAAGCACCCTGATTTGATCCTCAGTCTAATGCGACCAAAACAACATGATCATTCCCGCCATCCAACCTCCGGGACAAACGCAAGCCAAGGAAGCACCAAGCCAGCATGAGATCCACACCAGCGAGGGTTTCCAGGCCTGGGCCTGCTGACCGCTGCCTTCCTCCCTCTTTAACTCTGCTGTACCTTGTCACCCTCCTCTCACTTCCAGAGCTCCCCCTCGCTTCTGCTGTGATATTAAGAGGCCCACAGAGCCTGCTCAAAGCTCAGTCAAGGCTAACCAAAAGCCATCTTCCCGTTCACAAACCCGCATCTTCTCTCCACCACCCCAGCCTCAGAGTCTCCTGTCCCGTCCCCCTTCCCTGGAAGCCAAAACATCACGGCCCTGCCATTGCACATTTGCTCTCATCTGCAGAATTTCACAAAAGAAACCAAGGGCCTCTGGGCCCCCACTCCAGCCCCAAGCGCTCTGCCAAGGAGGGAGGCCCCTGCTGTTCATGCTGCCCCGTGTGCAGGCAGACGGATCTTCCCAGGCCGGCTTAGGTCATGAGGTTGGCCTGGCAGGGATGAAACGGGGCCGGATGAGGACTGGATTGCAGCAGGCAGCCCGTGAGGCTTTATCGCCGTTTTCTGCGGAACAAAGGCCCGGCTGGCCCTGGGAGCTGATGCTGCTGCTCTATTGAAATCTCGAGGTGGTTCTCTATTAATCACTCCCCCTGGCGCCTCAGAGGCCCAAAAAGGAGTCAAACAAAACCTCTTTTCTAAGCAGGATGAGGTTTGCAGAGGCCTGAGCAGAAAGATTCCCCTGGCGCCTCTCACCAGCTTAACACACAAGAAAAGCCTGCCTGGGTGCATTGAGGAGGGGAGGTTGGAACGTGACCAATTCCACTGGGGACCCCAAAGAGCTCCGTGCAGGGAGCAGGGTGGGTGAGCGAGAGGTCTCGCCTTCCTGCAGCCCCTCCCTTGTTTTATTTTAGAAACTGCAAAGACCCGATCAAATGATTTTTTTTTTAGTAGACATTCACTAGGAGCAGGGTAGAAAAAAAACAAAACCTCCATTTTCTTTCCTCCTTAGACATAACCTTGAATCACAACTTCTTGGTTTCTCTTTTTTTTTAACCTGATGTTGCTGTTCTGCATTAACCAATAACTGATCCTGCATTATTCATTAACCCATAAATATGAAGTGTGGCCTCTCTTTTTAAACAGACTAAAACACCAAGCAATCTTTTCCCCTGATAAGGCCTCACAGCCCCTGGGGACCAGGCCTGCTGCTCCTGGGTGTGCGTTTGTCTGTTACTGAGAAACAGCTCCCTAATTTTTTTTTTTTTTTTTGAGACAGAGTCTCACTCTGTTGCCCAGACTGAAGAGCACGATCACTGGCATGATCACAGCTCAAACTCCTAGGTTCAAGCAATTCTCCCACCTCAGCCTCCCAAGTAACTGGGACTACGGGTGCATGCCACCATGCCCAACTAATTTTCCTTTTTTTTTTTTTCTTGAGATGGAGTCTTGCTCTGTTGCCCAGGCTGGAGTGCAATGGCGTGATCTCAGCTCACTGCAACCTCCGCCTCCAGGGTTCAAGTGATTCTCCTGCCTCAGTCTCCTGGGTAGCTGGGATTACAGGCACGGGCCACCACACGCAGCTAATTTTTTGTATTTTTAGTAGAAATGGGGTTTCACCGTGTTAGTCAGGCTGGTCTTGAACTCCCGACCTCAAGTGATTCCCCCAACCTCAGCCTCCCAAAGTGTTGGGATTATAGGCATGAGCCACCGGACCCAGCCTAAAGTTTTTTTGTTTGTTTGTTTTGTTTTGTTTTGTTTTGTTAATAGATAGAGACAGTGTCTCGCTATGTTGCCCAAGCTGCTCTCAAACTCTTGGCTTCAAGTAATCCTCCCACCTCAGCCTCCCAAAGTACTGTGATTACAGGCGTGAGCCACCACACCCAGCTGCAACCAAGTTTTCTTTCATAACTTACTTGATGACACTTTGCTGTCTCCTTCCCTCCCTCCTGCTCATTCCTTTCCTCCCTTCCTTTACTTCTCATTCTGTGTTCTTCTGCTTTTGTTTCATTTTTGGCTTGAAACAACAGATGTTTGTTCTCTCACGGTTCTGCAGGCCTGAATTCTGAAATCACGGTGTTAGCAGGGCCACGATTCCCCTCACGGCCCTTGGGAGGAATCTGTTTCAGGCCTCTGTCCCAGCTCCTGGCAGCCATGGGCGTTTCTTGGCCCACAGATGCATCATTTCTTCAATCCTTGGATCCTTCCATCCTTTACCTTTACAAGGCCATCTTCTCCCTGTCTTTTCATGTCATCTTCCCTATATGCGTATCTGTTTCTATGTCCAAATTTCCTTTGTATTTTCATTTATTTACTTATTTTTAGAGACGGGATCACTCTGTTGCCCAGGCTGGAGGGCAGTGGTGCAATCACAGCTCACAGCAGCCTCAAACTCCTGGGCTCAAGCAATCCTCCTACCTCAGCCCCCTTAGCAGCTGGGACTACAGGTGTGCACCACCATGCCTGGCTAATTTTTTTTTTTATTTTTTTGTAGAGATGGTGGTCTTGCTATGTTGCCCCAGGCTGGCCTCAAACTCCCTCGCTCAAGAGATCCTCCCCCCTCAGCCTCCCAAAAGTGCTGGAATTACAAGGCGTGAGCCACAGTGCCCAGCGAGAAAAGGATTTATCATGCGAGATTGGCTCCCATGATCATGGAGGTCGTGAAGACCTGCAGTCGGCCATCTGCAAGGTGGTGGCCCAGGAAAGCAGTGGTGCAAATCCCAGTCTGAGTCAGAAGGCCTGAGAACCAGGAGCACCAATGTCCAAGGGCCAGCAAAGGTGGATGTCTCTGCCCAGAGAGTGCCAAGTTTGCTGTTGCTCCACCTGTTTGCTCTATCTGGGCCCTCAAGGAATTGAACGATGCCCATCCACATCCACACTGGTGAGGACGGATCTTCTTTTTTTTTTTTTTTTTTTTTGTTTTTGAGACTGAGTCTCACTCTGTCACCATGCTGTAGTGCAGTGGAGCCATCTCGGCTCACCACAACCTCTGCGTCCCGGGATCAAGCGATTCTCCTGCCTCAGCCTCCCGAGTAGCTGGGACTACAGGCGTGTGCCACCACACCCAGCTAATTTTCAAATTTTCAGTAGAGACGGGGTTTTACCATGTTGGCCAGGATGGTCTCGATCTCTTGACCTCGTGATCCGCCCACCTCGGCCTCCCAAAGTGCTGGGATTACAGGCGTGAGCCACCGCGCCTGCAGAGGAGGGGTCTTCTTTAATCAGACCTACTGATTCAAATGCTAATCACTCCTGAAAACACCCTCACAGACACACCCAGAAATAATGTTTTACTAGTTACCTGAGTAGCCCTTAGCTCAGACAAGTTAATACATGAAATTAACCATCACAGGTGCATGGATAGTCTAGCCCGCCATGTGCTGTGATCAGATCACAGAGGGAAATCTTACCATGGTTGTCAAAACCACTTCTACTATTGTGAGATTTTTTTTTTAACTAAAAAAAAAAAAAAAAAAGACACTCTAATTAGAGAGATGATTATAGTAATGCCTTTACGGTGCTGCCTAAGGATTAGACCTACAAAAGTGAAAAATTTACAGTACACCTGTGGGTCTACGCTGTTATTTGTCAGGAAGAATTCAAAGAACTCTCAGCTGATCTTTCTGGTTTGTTTTTGTTTGTTTTAGACAGAGTCTCGCTCTTTTGTCCAGGCTGGAGTGTGGCAGCACGATCATAGCTCACTGCAACCTGGAACTCCTGGCCTCAAGCAATCCTCCCACCTCAGCTTCCCAAGTAGCTCAGACCACAGGTGCATACCACCATGCTCGGCTAAGTTTTTTATTTTTTTGTAGAGATGGAGTCTCACTATGTTTCACAGGCTGGTCCCAAACTCCTGGCCTCAATTGATCCTCCAGCCTTGGACTTCCAAAATGCTGGGATTGCAGGTGTGAGCCACTGTACCCAGCCCTCAGCTGATTTTTTTTTAATGCCAGTAATGATTGGAAAATTTCATATTTTGCTTTATGGTTTGCAGCACAAATCAATGCACAGGATTTTACAAAAAAAAAAAATTCAGATATGCCGGGCGCGGTGGCTCACGCCTGTAATCCCAGCACTTTGGGAGGCCGAGGCAGGTGGATCACCTGAGGTCGGGAGTTCGAGACCAGTCTGACCAACGTGGAGAAACCCCATCTCTACTAAAAATACAAAATTAGCCAGGCGTGGTGGCGCATGCCTGTAATCCCAGCTACTTGGGAGGCTGAGGCAGGAGAATCGCTTGAACCCGGGAAGCGGAGGTTGCTGTGAGCTGAGATCGCGCCATTGCACTCCAGCCTGGGCGACAAGAGCAAAACCCCGTCTCAAAAAAAAAAAAATTCAGAGATGTTTCTCTTGCTCCATCCTCCACACAGGCTTTTGTTTTCCCCAGAGTGAAGAAGACATTAGAAAAATGCTAAACCTTTGCCTAACTTCAAAGTTCAACAAATAAGAATAGTGAGGCAAAGGTTTAGCATTCTTCTAATGTCTCCTTCACTCTGGGGAAAACAAAAGCCTGTGTTGAGGATGGAGCAAGAGAAACATCTCTGAGTTTTTTTTTTTTTCTTTTTTTCTTTTTTTTTTGAGGCGGAGTTTTGTTCTTGTCGCCCAGACTGGAGTGCAAGGGTGCGATCTCGGCTCACCGCAACCTCCGCCTTCTGGGTTCAAGCCATTCTCCCACCTCAGCCTCCCGAGTAGCTGGGATTACAGGCACCCACCATCATGCCCGGCTAATTTGGTATTTTTAGTAGAGAGGGGTTTCTCCATGTTGGTCAGGCTGGTCTCGAACTCCCAACCTCAGGTGATCCGCCTGCCTCGGCCTCCCAAAGTGCTGGGATTACAGGCGTGAGCCATCGCACCCGGCCTATGTGAATTTTTTTTTTTTTGTAAGATCCTGTTCATTGATTTGTGCTGCAGACCATAAAGCAAAATATGAAACTTTCCAATCTTTACTGGCATTTTTTTACAGATCAGCTGAGGGCTGGGTACAGTGGCTCACACCTGCAATCCCAGCACTTTGGGAGGCTTTGTTCTCTTTTTCCCCTTCGGTATTCCTCCCAAAGCACAAATTTGTAGTGTTTTGCAGAGTACTTGATTAATGCATGTACTATACAGTTATTTAAAATGATGTTGGCCCGGTGCAGTGACTCACACCTGTAATCCCAACACTTTGCAGGGGGGTGGGGGTGTGGGGCCCAAGGCAGGAGGATCATTTGAGGCCAGGAGTTTGAAACAAGTCTGGGCAAGATAGCAAGGCCCTGTCCCTACAAAGAATAAAAAAATTAACCAGGCATGGTGATGCACACCTGTGTCCCAATTCCTCAGGAGGCTGAGGCCAGAGGATCACTTGAGCCCACAAAATTGAGGCTGCAAGTGAGCCATGATCCTGCCAGACAAGGTGACAGAGCGAGCCCTTGTCTATTAAAAAAAAAAAATTAATTCTGTCAACTAAGAATTTTTAAGAACATGGGGAAATACCACATAAAGTGAAAGAAAAAAAAAGGAAGAAAAGCTGAAAATAGCCAGCTGTAAGGTTAGGCATAAGATTTGTTTCTTTTATGTATATATTTCCTAATTCCCTACAATGAATGCATGCTGCAGTTCTAATTGAGAGAAATATCATTTTTTAAACGAGATGTAACAGAAACGGGAACAACGCTCTAATATCCTTTTCTCCCAGATGCTACCTTTTTCTGACGATTGACTTTTGTAGTCCATTTAAGTTCCTTGTATGCAATTCTTGAGATGCTAGCTTGTTGCTTGGTAACAGTCATTTCTAATGAGGCCTTTTTCTCACTGGTCCCCTTCAGCAGGGCTGAGCTGCAGAGCAATCTGCTGTGAAATGATTTCAGGACAGGGCCACAGTGAAACTACCTGGCCTTCTCAATTACCAAGTGGACATTGGTACCATTGGCAATTTCCCAAAACATTACATTGAACAAATGTACTGGAAAGAATAACACCTTCAAGATTCATGGTTCCCTGTTTTTGCTTCAACTTGCAGGTGTGCAAATCTCTCCTTCTATCTGTCCCTCGCATACTGCTGGTCCCCAGAGTTCTGTCTCTGTCCTGCTGCAGCACATACCTTTTGGTTGCCTACCTATCCGTCCCTTCCCCCTTTTCCTATCCAGAGAACCCAGATTTTGTCCAGATACTCATTTTCCATCAGCTTCAGGGGAGATGAACCCCAGTTCCTAAGAGAGAATCATGGCAGAGCCAAGAAAAGCAAGGTGATCCCAGACACCTCTCCAGGAATTGGGTCCAAGCATGGACACATGATGTCACTGTGGCAAGTGAGACTAGGGGAAACATGCTAGGGGAGAGGAGCACCTGAAAAAAAGGGTGTTTGTTCCTAAAAAGAGATGAATAAAGCAAAAATGGTATCTGGATCCTGCATTGTGGATGGAAGGCCTGCAGTCCCTGCAGCCATCTTGAAATAATCAGAGCCAACGTACCAGGATAGAGGGGATGAATGGCAGAAAGAAATGGAATCCTTGGCCGGGCACAGTGGCTCACGCCTATAACCCCAGCACTTTGGGAGGCCGAGGCAGGCAGATCATGAGGTCAAGAGATTGATACCATCCTGGCCAATATGGTGAAACCCTGTCTCTACCAAAAACACAAAAAATTAGCTGGATGTGGTGGCGTGCACCTGTAATCCCAGCTACTCAGGAGGCTGAGGCAGGAGGATCGCTTGACCCTGGGAGACAGAAGTTGCAGTGAGCCGAGATCACGCCACTGCACTCCAGCCTGGCGACAGAGCAAGACTCCGTCTCAAAAAAAAAAAAAGAGAGAGAGAGAATTTGGGCTCATGCTTGTAATCCCAGCACTTTGAGAGGCTGAGGTGGGTAGATTGCTTGAGCCCAGGAGTTCAAGACCAGCCTGGGCAACATGGCAAAACCCCCATCTCTACCAAAAAAATCCAAAAAAAATTAGCCAGGTGTGGTGGTGCACACCTGTAATACCAGCTACTTGGGAGGCAGAGGTGGGAGCATTGCTTGAGCCCGGGAGGTAGAGGTTGCAGTGAGCCTCAATCTCTCAGGCTCAAGCAATCCTCCTAACTCAGCCTCCCTGAGTAGCTGAGGCTACAGGTGGGTGCCACCAAGCCCGGCTAATTTTTTTCATTTTTTTAAGAGATGGGGTCCCACTATGTTGCCCAGTTTGGTCTCAAACTCCTGGGCTCAAGTGATCCTCTTGCCTCGGTCTCCCAAAGTTTTGAGATTACAGGCATGAGCCACCATGCCCAGCCATTAAACAAGTTATTAAAAACATTAATCTCAAAGGAAAATAGTGATATATTTGACTGAATTAAAATTAAGAAGATGTTCATCAATGTACAGCCACAAAAAGAAAATGAAAATCAAAAGACCAGTCACCGAGAGTAGTAGGAGATACCTGCAACACATATAGCCAACCAGGACCAGTAATTTTCCTACTGTTCAAAGAACTTCAAACCAATAAGGACAAAACAGATGACCCTATTAGAAAATGGGCAAAAGACTGGAATAGGCACTTCACAAAATAGAAATATCATTTCTTAAATGAGATGTAACAGAAACGGGAACAGTGCTCTAATATTCCTTTTCTCCCATATGCTTTCTTGATGATTGACTTTTGTAGTCCATTGAAGTTCCTTGTATTCACAAAGGGGGGCAGTCCAAATGGCCAATAAACATTTGAAAAGGCACTCAATCTCATTAGACGTCATTCAAGTGCCTATTAAAACAGTAGTGAGATACATTTATACTCTTTAGGCTGGCAGAAATTTTAAAGCCAAGTGATAACAAAGATGTAAAGCAATGGGAACTCTTAGACACTACAGGTGGGAGTGTAGATTGGTGCAATCGCTTTGGAAAATAGTTTGGCATTACCTAAAACATTTGAACTTTGCATATCCTATGACTCAGCAAATCTGCTTCTAGACTCAAAACCTAGAACAATCATTCTCAAACCTTAGCCTGCATCAGAATCTCATGGAAGACTTTAAGCTCCCCTCCCAGAGTTTGAATCAGTGGATCAGGGGTGGGACCTGAGAATGTGTATTTCTGACAAGTTCCTAGGTGATGCTGATGCTGCTGGTGTGAGGATCACACTTTGAGAAACATGCACACCACCCAGATATACACACAAGACCTGCTAATGGAGTAACAACTGAAAATGTCCAACACCAGTTGAATGAATAAAGTATGGCAGTGGTCCCCAACCTTTTTGGTACCAGGGACCAGTTTCATGGAAGACAATTTTTCCACAGACCAGAGTGGGGGGGATGGTTTTGGGATGATTCAAGCACATTCCATTTATTGTGCACCTTACTTCTATTATTATTACACTGTAATATAGAATGAAATAATTATACAACTCATCATAATGCAGAATCAGTAGGCACTTGTTTTCCTGCAACGAGACAGTCCCATCTGGGGGTGATGGGAGATCATCAGGCATTAGATTCTCATGAGGAGTTGTGCAACCTGGATCTCTCGAATGTGCAGTTTGCAATAGGGTTCACCCTCCTATGAGAATCTGATACTGCCGCTGATCTGACAGGAGGCGGAGCTCAGGTAGTAATGTGAGTGAGGGGGAGCAGCTGTAAATACAGATGAAGCTTCACTTGCTAGTCTGCCTCTTACCTCCTGCTGTGTGGCCTGATTCCCGGTCCGGGGCGTGGGGATTGGGGACCCTTGAAGAATGGGATATTTCTGTAATGGAGTACTGCAAAGCATTGGAAATGAATGGACTGTAGCTAGGATCAAAATATAGATGCATCTCCAAACAATTCCCAAAGCCCAAAGATAAAAGACCATACACAATAGGAACCCAATCATAAAAACAAAAAGAGCTGGCTGGGGGCAGTAGCTCACGCCTGTAATCCCAGCACTTTGGGAGGCCGAGGCGGGTGGATCACGAGGTCAGGAGTTCGAGATCAGCCCTGACCAACATGGTGAAACCCTGTCTCTACTAAAAATACAAAAATTAGCTGGGCGTGGTGGCACGTGCCTGTAATCCCAGCTACTCAGGAGGCTGAGGCAGGAGAATCACTTGAACCTGAAAGACGGAGGTTGCAGTGAGCCAAGATTGTGCCACTGCACTCCAGCCTGGGCAACAGAGTGAGAACATGTCTCAAAATAATAATAAATAAAAATAAAAAGAGCTCAAATCAAACCACATTATTTAGGGTTGCATGCGTGTGTGCTAAAAGTCTAAGGAAAGGCAAGGAAACGATAATCAAAGTCATTGGCATAGCATTTTCCTCTCAGGGAAAAGGGAGAGAACACATGCCAGTTATTAAGTTGTGACCCTTTTGGGAATAGGCTTTGTGATGTTGGGGCTGGGATCTTCAGCACCCTTTTCCCTTTACCCAGCAGGCTCCTTCTCAGGCTCTTGCCATAGGTGGCGCCAGAGAAAGACTTCAAGGCTGGAACAGGAAGGAAGAATTTCCTCCTTCCTGTTTCTCCCCTTTGGGTCTCCACCTGTTTCCTGCCCCTTTTTAAGGTTCCCAGCAAAACTTCTTCACCCTTGCACCATCATTTCCTTTGGCAGCAGCAGCTAAATCCTGCCTGCCATTTTTCCAACACTTCACAAAAATAGCCTCATTGTGACCCTTCACCATCACCAGCACCTGCCAGCCCACTCTTCAGAAATCAGAGTTTCAGCTTCCCTAAGTTCCTAAATTTCAATAATTCCAACCTCTTCACATGGTGCCTTCCCTCCACTCATCCCTACCAGGTAATAGCTACTTCATCCAGTTGCTACCTCCAAGATACATTTAGAATTCTGTTTTTACTGTGTCAGTTACAGAGGTCACAATTTTATACCTAGCTAATGGTTCTTTAGATCAAGTTCTTTCTGTTAAAATAACTTGGTGGCTCTTGAGTTCATGCTTGTTGCTTCATAGTCACCTCCAGCATTAAGCCGACATCCCATGCAGTAAGAGAGGGAAATGGTGTTTGAGAGCCACATATGCCCCTTTCAAAGAGCTTTCCGCTGGGATGACCAGTTGTCCCTGATTGTGCAGGACTGAAGAGTTCCCCAGGATGCAGGACTTTTGTGGCTGAAACCAAGAAAGTCTGGGCAAACAGGGATGAGTTGGTCACCCTAAACTCTGTGACTTCTGCTTAAACACATTGACTGTAGCTATTTCTATGGTCACTTTGCTCACCTCTGGCTTCAAGGAAGGCTGGGATACGTAGATGTAGGTTTTTAGCAGGGCTCATTATCACCCCAGTCAAAAACAGAGTCCTGTTAATTAGAAGGAAGGGCAGAATGGATATTGGAAAGGCAGCTGGTGGTCCTGCCCTTTAACTCCAGATAGCAATCATTAACCACCCCGCAACATTGCCTGAGATCACATGGCTATCATTAGAGATGTGACAAGAAGCCAGGTCTTCTGCTGGTGGCCCCCATAGGATACACTGCCTGTTTCTCTCTTTCAAACTCATTTCTGGCACCCAAGAAATAAAACCATTTCCATATGTTAGCATTTTCAATCTTCAATGACTAATTATATTCCAAAGGTGAGAGGTTTATGCAGGAAACCTTCCCACCATGTCTTGGCCAGTTACTGGGTGAAAATGGTCACCAAATAGAACCATGGCTATTTTACATATGCACTATTTTTATTTCTGTGTTTGCAGTCATGTTTGGCTCTTTCTTAGTGGGAATTTTGGTTGTAAGATTTTAGTTTTGGGCCGGGGGCGGTGGCTTGCGCCTGTAATCCCAGCATTTTGGGAGGCCGGGGTGGGTAGATTGCTTGAGCTCAGGAGTTTGAGACCAGCCTGGGCAACATGGCAAAACTCTGCCTCTAAAACCAATACAAAAATTGGCAGAGCATGGTGGAATGTGCCTGTAGTCCCACTTGCTTGAGCCCAGGAGGCAAAGGTTGCGGTGAGCCGAGATCGTGTCACTGAACTCCATCCTGGGTAACAGAGTGAGACTCTGTCTCACACACACACACACACACACACACACACACACACACACACACACACTTTAGCGCAGATTTTAGTTTTGGCTGGGCATGGTGGCTCACACCTGTAATCCCATCATTTTGAGAGGCCACGGTGGGCAGATCACTTGAGCTCAGGAGTTTGAGACCAGCCTGGACAACGTAGCAAGACCCCATCTCAATTTAAAAAACAAAACAAGACCAGCCTGGAAAACATAGCAAGACCCCATTGCAATTTTTAAAAATTGTTTTAGTTTTGTGATGGGTTCAAGAATCCTGTGTCCTGTACTCTTTTTTTATTTGGTGTTTATCTGGTTTTTTTTTCTCAAGCATTAAGTATTGTTTTATCCTAGATGTCTTTATTCTAGGTTCCCTTTGGTACCTGCATTTACTCTTATTGACTTGGTAAGAAAATGCTTGTTTGGGAGGATTCCAAATCTGTTAAATCCATATGCTGGCTCACTTTCATTTCAACAGCCAGGTGCTTCGGCAGTATGGCATTAATATACATAAAAAGAGGGAGGCAAACTTATGTCTCACAGATTGAATCTTTTTTACTAACTTTGGAAGACTCTCTTGGCCAGCTTGGTTTGTTCCTTTGAATCATGAATACGATAAACTGCAGAGGGAAAAATATGATCAATAGGTATCAGCCAAGGGCTGCTCGGCCTTGTAGATTTCACGTATATTTTGTGACCTCCCCATAACACATCATCATTGGAGGCTGCATATCTGCAAGGTACACACAAAATAGGCTGCATCTCATCTGCTTTCAGTCACCACAGCACCGTGTATGTTTAGTACAGCCACAATTTTTATAAACGGCCGAACAACGGGCTGGAAGCCAGGGCTTCTCAAATTCCATTTCCTTCTCTAGGATACGAATTTCCTCATAGATGTTGGAAGCTACGTTTCCTCTTTCCTTTCCTCTCACTTCAAAACAGTGAACATGTGAATATATATATTTAGAGTAGCATGAGAAACAAGCAGTTCCTACATCTTGCATGTAATTCACTAATGTCCAATTTCATTGTCTCTCCTTGTCTCCATGTAATTCCTTCTTTCCTGTTCAGAGCTCTGAAGATTTGTAATTAAACTCCCACACTTGGTTTTTTTTTTACTTCAGCTTTGATTATAATTTTAGGTTGAGCCATATGAAAGTAATGACAATTAACCACATGTGACCTTTTTTTTTTTTTTTTTTTTTTTTGAGATGGAGTCTCGCTCTGTTGCCCAGGCTGGAGTGCAGTGGTTCCATCTCGGCCCACTGCAACCTCCACCTCCCAGTTCAAGCGATTCTCCTGCCTCAGCCTACCGAGTAGCTGGGATTACAGGTGCCCGCCACCATACCCGGCTAATTTTTTTTGTAATTTTAGTAGAGACAAGGTTTCACCACGTTGGCCTGTCTGGTCTCCATCTCCTGACTTCAGGTGATCCACTCGCCTCAACCTCCCAAAGTGCTGAGATTACAGGTGTGAGCCACCATGCCCGGCCCTCACATTTGACCATATTTGAATGGCAGTTGTATCTGGTTCAACCTAATTATAAGCTGCATACATTGAGACTGTGCTTATATTCACAGCACTGCACCAAGTTTTTACACATATAACTCCCAGTTAGACTGCAGATTCACATAAAGTGGGGAAACTGAGGCACGCGTGGAGATGAAGTGACTTGACCAGGGTTTGCAGTTAGTAAGTGTTGGAGCTACAGTTAAAACTCAGGGGTCTGGCCGGGCGCGGTGGCTCACACCTGTATCCCAGCACTTTGGGAGGCCAAGGCAGGCGAATCACTTGAGGTCAGGGGTATGAGAACAGTCTGGCCAACATGGCAAAACCCCATCTCTACTAAAAATACAAAAATTAGCTGGGAGGGGTGGCATGCACCTGTAATCCCAGCTACTCAGGAGGCTGAGGCACAAGAGTCATTTGAACCCGGGAGGCAGAGGTTGCAGTGAGCCGAGATCACACCACTGCACTTCAGCCTGGGCAACAGAGTGAGACTCTGTCTCCAAAAACAAAACAAAACAAAAGAGACGGAGCTCTCCCTATGTTGCCCAGGCTGATCTTGAACTCCTGGCCTCAAGCAATCCTATGGCTTCGGCCGCCCAAAGTGCTGGGATTACAGGTGTGAGCCACCATGCGTGGAAACTGGTTTCTTTGGAGAAGGGTCTGACTTCCTTATCACTGTTCTCACACCTCTCAAACACGTGGCTATTTGTCACTTCAGGGTAAGAGGATGTGACAAACGGCAGGACCTTACGATCTACATTAAAAAGCTGCTTACCATGAATCCACTTAAAATGGAAACCAAAACGTTTTAATTCTGTGAAATTTTGTGAGATTTGTGGGGGAAAAAAAAAACATATGAATCAGACTTTACCTAGAAAGATGATTCCAATAAGTTGGTTTAACTTATGCTTCACTGAATTTAGTTCCTACAAAATTTTTGCTAACTTTTAACAGCTGAGACAACATGCGCATATCATGTAAATCACCCATTTTAAATATACAATGCATTGGCTTTTGGTATATTCACAGATCTGCGCATCCATCAACACAGTTTATTTTAGAACATTTTCTTTTTTGTTGTTGTTGAGACAGAGTCTCACTCTGTCGCCCAAGCTGGAGTGCGGCGGTATGATCATGGCTCACTGCAACCTCCGCCTCCTGGGCTGAAGCGATCCTCCTGCTTCAGCGTCCCAAGTAAATAGGACTACAGGTGAGCACCACCAGGCTCGGCTAATTTTTCTAGAGATGAGGGTCTCGCCATGTCACCCGGGCTGGTCTCGAACTCCTCGACTCAAGCAATCTGCCCGCCTCAGCCCCGTAAAGTGCTGGATTACAGGCGTGAGCCACCATGCCTAGCCTTACAACGTTTTCATTATACCAAAAGGAAATTCCTCGCTCTTTAGTTATCACCTTCGTCTCCCACATCCCCATCCCAGCCAGCCCTAAGAAACCACTAATCTGCTGTCTCTATGGATTTGCCTGTTCTGGACATTTCACATAAATGGAACCACACACTAGGTGGTCCTTTGTGATTGGCTTACTTCACTTAGCATAATATTTTCAAGGTTCATTCATACTGTAGCATGCATCAGAACTTCAATCCTGTTAATTGCCAAATAATATGCCACTGTAGCCAGGTGCAGTGGCTCACGCCTGTAATCCCAGCACTTTGGGAGGCCGAGGCGGGTGGATCCCTTAAGGTTAGCAGTTCGAGACCAGCCTGGCCAACATGGTGAAACTTTGTCTCTACTAAAAATACAAAAATTGGCCAAGTGTGGAGGTGGGTGCCTGTAATCCCAGCTACTTGGGAGGCTGAGGCAGGAGAATCTCTTGAATCCAGGAGGCAGGGGTTGCAGTGAGCCAAGATCGTGCCACTGCACTCCAGCCTGGGTGACAGAGCAAGACTCCATCTCAAAAAATAAATAAAATACAATAAATAAAATTGCCTTCTTTGACGTGGAATCGGAAGCCCGACTTTTTAGGTTCTTTCATCAGATCCCAAAGAAACCAACTGCCATTTCCACTGCTGAAGTCTCTCAACAAACATCACTGTGCATTGGTCTGGTCACCAATGGGGGTGTCTTTCCCATGAGTTCCTCCCACATCCTCAATAAAGAAGCAGGAATAATGATTCAAATTTTTCTTTTGGCCAGGCACGGTGGCTCATCCCTGTAATCCCAGCACTTTGGCAGGTTCAGAGGGGAAAATTGCTTGAGCCAAGGAGTTCAAGACCAGCATGGGCAACATAGCAAGACCCTGCCTCTATTATTAAAAATTAAATTAGGTCAGGTGAGGTGGCTCATGCCTGTAATCCCAGCACTCTGGGAGGCCAAGTCAGGTGGATCACAAAGTCAGGAGTTTGAGACCAGCCTGGCCAACATAGTGAAACCCCGTCTGTAGTAAAAATACAAAAATTAGCCGGGCGTGGTGGTGCGTGCCTGTAATCCCAGCTACTCGAAAGGCTGATGCAGGAGAATCACTTGAACCTGGGAGGTGGAAGTTGCGGTGAGCCGAGATCGCTCCACTGTACTCCAGCCTAGGCAACAGAGCGAGACTTCTACCTCAAAAAAAAAATTAATTAATTAACTAATTAAAATTAAAAAAGGAAAAACAAATTTTTATTTGGTCTCTGCCAGGAAAAAAAAGTAGCTTCCACTTAGCAATCAGCTTGTTTTTATCTTACGGAGAGTTAACCTCATAAGTGAGCATGTATCCTTCCTTGTTTGGGCTGCTAGTTAGCTCAGAACCAAAACTGGAATCCGTCTCTCCCAACTACATTAAACTTTACGGTTTGTATTTTGTGTACTCACTATATGCATGGCTTAGTCTTACGTTTTTGATCAGTATTTCTCTGTTTTTCTGTTTTCTCATTTACTGATCTACTTTTATATTGTTGTATGTATATATCTGAGTAAGCAGTCAGAAATCCATTTTTTAAAATTTGAGTTCAGATGAACTTAACCACCATGATGCAATCAGCAAAAGTCAGACTGTGGGAAACTCTAATGAGCAAATGACCCAGTTTCTTGAAAGGGGAAGAAAAGGAAATGGACAGGGAAGCCTAGACTAAAAGCAATTACAAGAACCCTCATACATTGTTCTTGGGAATGTCAAATTCCACAGCCGCTTGGGAAAGCAGTCTGGTAATTTCTTCAAAAGGTAAACATATACTTAGTATGTAACCCAGCAATTCCATCCCTAGGAATCTAACTGGAGAGAAATGAAAACACACGTCAAAGACTAGTCTATGAATGTTCATAGCAACTGCATTATTCATAGGGCCAAAAACTGGAAGCAATCCATGTGTCCATCGAGTCGTGGATTTATTCTTTTTTTTTTATTTTTTACTATTTAAAAAAAAATTTTTTTTGAGACAGATTCTCACTCTGTTGCCCAGGCTGGAGTGCAATGGCATGATCTCAGCTCACTGCAACCTCCGCGTCCCAGGTTCAAGCAATTCTCCTGCCTCAGCCTCCTGAGTAGCTGGGATTACAGGCATGTGCTACTACACCCAGCTAATTTTTGTATTTTTAGTAGAGATGGGGTTTCACCATGTTGGTCAGGCTAGTCCTGAACTCCTGACCTCAAGCAATCCACCTATCTCGGCCTCCTGAAGTGCTGTGATTACAGGCATGAGACACCTGAAGTGCTGGGATTACAGGCATGAGCCTGGCCCATTTCTACTTTTCTACCAATTTACCAAAATTTCTACCAATTCTACCAAAATTTGCTGGGCGTGACGGTGGGCGCCTGTAATCTCAGCTACTCGGGAGGCTGGAGAATGGCTTGAACCTGGAAGATGGCGGTTGCAGTGAGCTGAGATCCAGCCATTGCACTCTACCCTGGGGACAGAGTGAGATTCCATCTCAAAAAAAAAAAGTAGAAATAGTCAAGGAGAAAGCAGATGCTGGAGTGAGGATTGACTTCAATTGAAGAAAATTTTTAGGATGATGGAGGTATCCTTTTTTTCTTTCCTTTTTTCTTTTTTTTTTTTTTTTTTTTTTTGGTGAGACAGGGTCTCCACCCAGGCTAGAGTGCAGTGGTGCGATCATAACTCACTGCAGCCTTGAACTCCAGGGCTCCACTGATCCTCCCACCTCAGCCTCCCAAGTAGCTGGGACTACAGGCACACACCACCAGACCCAACTAATTTTTTTAAATTTTATTTATTTATTTATTTTGAGCTGGAGTCTCACTCTGTTCCCCAGGCTGGAGTGCAGTGGCACAATCCTGGCTCACTGCAGCCTCCGCCTCCCAGGTTCAAGCCATTCTCCTGCCTCAGCCTCCCCAGGAGCTGAGATTATAGGCACTTGATATCACCCCCTGCCGATTTTTGTATTTTTAGTAGAAACAGGGTTTCACCATGTTGGCCAGGAAGGTCTCGAACTCCTAACTTCAGGTGATCCGCCCCCTACACTAGCCTCTCAAAGTTCTGGGATTATAGGCATAAGCCACCACACCCAGCTTAATTTTTTTATTTTTTGTAGAGAGGCAGAGGTTGCAGTGAGCAGAGATTGCACCACTGCACTCCAGCCTGGGCAACAGAGTAAGACTCTGTCTCAAAAAGAAAAAAAAAAAAAAAAAAGTTTTAAAAGACAAACTGCCAGACATGGTGGCTCACACCTATAATCTCACCATTTGGGGAGGCCAAGGAAGGATTGATTGCTTGAGGCCAGAGGTTCGAGACCAGCCTGGGCAACATAGGGAGACGCCCTATCTCTACAAAAAATACAAAAATTAGGCCAGGCACGGTGGCTTACGCCTGTTAATCCCAGCACTTTGGGAAGGCCGAGGCAGGCAGGTCACCTGAGGTCAGGAGTTCAAGACCAGCCTGGCCAACATGGCAAAACCTCGTCTCTACTAAAAATACAAAAATTAGCCGGGCATGGTGGTGCATGCCTATAATTCCAGCTACTAGGGAGGCTGAGGCAGGAGAATCACTTGAACTCAGCAGGCAGAGGTTGCAGTGAGCCGAGTTCGTGCCACTGCACTCCAGCCTGGGCAACAGAGTGAAACGCCGTCTCAAAAAACGAAACAAAACAAAACAAATTAGCGGGCCTGGTGGCACGTGCCTGTAGTCAGGAGGACCACTAGCACCCAGGAGTTCAAGGCTGCAGTGAGCTATGATCGCAGCACTGTGCTCCAGCCTGGGTGAGAGAGTGGGACCCCATCTCTAAAATAAATAAATAAAGATAAACTAAAGAGTCTTTTAAAAAACAAAAATGAAGCTCGGGAGCACAGGTCACTGACGACATCTGGCTGGAATGAGGCAGTGAACATCTAGTTTTCGCCTGCTCAGCATTCATTGCCCCTTCTGCTAACAGGAGTCAGGCTTTGCTTTAAGGAGCGGCCAGCCCTTCTCATGCAGCCTTCCAGAGTCTGCCCCTCAAGGTAATAGACACTGGTCCACCCTTAGCCCAGGCCTGGGCACAGAACCTCTGCTAAGCCGATCGCTGCTTGGGGTCCCTCGGGGATTCCAGATTCCAGTCTCGTATAGAATGATGCAAGAAGGGAAGAGCTCAGAGCGGATTGATCCCCGTGGGGCATCCTGAGACACCAGCGTTGGGTTTTTGTTGCTGAATCCCACAGCAGCCCTGACTCCTGTCTTTTCTGAAGCCTGAATCTTGGCATTCTTCTGTTATGTGAACTACAGGCTAATACATTCCCTTTTTGTTTAAGTTGGCTGGGGTTGGTTTCTGTGGCTCAAAACCACAGCACCCCATGGCAGAGCCTCTGCGGATCGTCAGCTATTCTTTGTGTTTCTTTTCCTGGCCTGTCTTGGGCTGATACAGCTACACTCCCAGAACCCCTTGGACATTAAGACTTACACAAGCCATGAGCAGGGCATGGTGGAGTGAGCCTGTGGTCCCAGCTACTCAGGAGGCTGAGATGGGAGGATCATTTGGGCCCAGGAGGTGGAGGCTGCAGTGAGTTATCATTGCACCACTGCACTACAACCTGGGCGACAGAGCAAGACCCTGTCTCAAAAAAAAAAAAAAAATTTCAGCTGGGCGTAGTGGCTCACGCCTATAATCCCAGCATTTTGGGAGGCCAAGGTGGGTGGATGGGTGGATTATTTGTGGTCAGGAGTTCAAGACCAGCCTGGCTAACACGGGGAAACTCCGTCTCTACTAAAAATACAAAAATTAGGCCAGGTGGGGTGGCGCACGCCTGTAATTCCAGCATTTTGGGAGGCTGAGGCAGGCGGATGACAAGGTCAAGAGTTCAAGACCAGCCTGACCAACATGGTGAAACCCCCGTCTCTACTAAAAATACAAAAATTAGCTGGACGTGGTGGTGCATGCCTGTAGTACATCTACTTGGGAGGCTGAGGCAGGAGAATCGCTTGAACCCGGAAGGCGGAGGTTGCAGTGAGCCAAGATCGCGCCACTGCACTCCAGCCTGGGTGACAGAGTGAGACTCCATCTCAAAATATATATATAGATATATAGATATATATCTATATATATATTGGCCGAGTGTGGAGGCGGGTGCCTCTAATCTCAGCTGCTTGGGAGGCTGAGGCAGGAGAATCGCTTGAACCTGGGAGCGGGAGGTTGCAGTGAGCCGAGATCTCGCCACTGCACTCCAGCTTGTGTGACAGACCAAGACTCTGTCTGGAAAAAAACAAAAAAAAATTCCATGGGAACCAGTAGCAGGGTAGGAAAACGTAAGCAGTAACGAATGAATTCCTGGAGGCTCCGGATGGACAAGTCTGAGTGTTAAAATCTCCAAGGGGACCCAGCCCTAGAGGGCTCTCATACTTTTGTGTTTTTCTCTTGAAGCCCTACCAGATTTTCACAGTAAAGATCAGAGAAAAACAAAGCCAAACCCTCATGCTTCAGCAGAGGGAAGCGGAACACAGACATTTTGAAATACACCAGAGCGCTCTGCTATTCTTTCCAAGGCCTGCCCTCAAGGAAAACTATCTTACCAGAGCTGGCTGGATGGACTGGGGGCGTACCAGAGACTAACCAATTATTAATCTTGAATATGCCTTATTGTCCTCATTTATAAAACCGGGGTAATAGCTATAACCTCATAACGGTGTTGTGAGGATGAAATGATGAATGCTTGCAAAATGCTCTGAGCCGTGCCTTGGTACACAGCACCTGCTTGATATACGCGTGTCTGCCATCATCATTATTATCATCATCCCCTGCCCCCAGACAGGGCAGAGATGTGGACATCGGAGCAACTCTGGATCCCGATGGACGTCCAGTCCTCAAACTCAGTCCAGTCCTAGGGTTCCCAGTTGAGCAGCTTTTGGGAGCTTCTGTGAATCTGGTGTTTGGGCTACGATGATTCTTGCTTTTCTTGTCTCCAAATCCATTCTTGCCAAATAAGCTGCATGTCTTGAGGTAACATGAGTGAGTTTCTAAGTGTCTCACACCCTCACTGACATTCTCTCTCTCTCTCTCCCTCCCCCCCGCCCCTCTCTCCCCTCTCTCTGATACAGCATTTGTCTCTGTCATCCAGGCTGGAGTGTACTGGTGCTGTCACAACTCATGGCAGCCTCGACTGCCTGGGCTCAACTGATCCTCCTGCCTTAGCCTCCAGAGTACCTGGGCCCACAGGCACACACCACCACACCTGGCCAATTTTTAAAATTATTTGTAGAGACGAGATCTCCTTATGTTGCCCACGATGGTCTCAAACTCCTGGGTTCAAACAATCCCCCTGCCACAGCCTCCCAAAGTGCTGGGATTACAAGCATGAGCCACTGCACCCAGCCAACATCATCCATTTTAGTCCTCATTTTATAGTAAGGGAAACTGAAGCCCAGAGAGGCCAATAACTTGTCTGAGGTCACACAGCTTGTTAATCATGAAGCTGCCTCCAAAATTTACACCCCTCCCATGGCACCATCATGCTGCTTTGATTTAAGATAGTGATGCAAGCATCTCAGTCTGCTTTGCTTAACTTCTCCATCCAGGTTAGGGATGGACTGACTCAAATTGCTTCCATTGTTATCACTAGTATTTTGTATGGCTGTTGAATAAATGTATGGAACATCAACTGCCCTCATTAACTCCCCTGCTGGTATCCACACCCCTGTGTAGTCCCCTCCCATACTGAATTAGGCTGACTTGTGTAAACACTAGGCAGAACTAGACTTCCGGGGCCAGATCATAAAAGACCCTGTGGCTTCTCTTTGCTCTTTCACGAAGTCCTTGCTGCAAGGGAAGCCATGTTGTGAGGATGCTCAAGCAGCCCAGTGGACAGGTCACATGACCTCCCGCCAATAACAGCACCAACTTCCCAGGTGTATAAGGGGCCGCCTCAGAAGTGGAGCCTCCAGGCTCAGGTAAATTTCAGCTCCAGCTAACATCTTGATGCAACCTTACAAGAGACCCCTGAGCCAGACCCACCCAGCTGAGTTATTCCCAAATTTTTTCTTCTGAGCCACAGAAACTGTGAGATGATAAATGTTTACCATTTAAAGCCACTAGGTGAGGAGTCGTTTGCCATGAAGCAATAAATGAGTAACATACAACACTTCTATCTTTTTTCCAAGTCCCAACGCCAGTATATTTCATCGGGAATATTTTTCCCCATGCTTTGGTTTGAACATGTTTCCTGTGGTGTCAGAGTCAGATGTATATTTTCCTGAATTGGTGTTTAAGAAATATGTATGAGTTCTAAATGACAGGGTGGCTGTGAAAGAAAAGCAAGTTCGCCTGTTGGAAGCAAGCTGAGGAAACAGGGTTCATCTCTCTTAGATTTTTAGGCTATGGTTTCGAATGGGTAAGGAAGTGTTTCCACAGGAGATAATTCTGTGCCTTACACACAGGCACACACATGCCTGCACATACACACATACACGTGTGCACACATGCATGCACACACACACACGCACACATGCACACACACACACTTTTGGTCTCCTTGCTTTTGCAATGATAGCAAAGTGCAGTACTTTTCAGGAATGGTCAGAGTTTTCATCACTGTGTGATGAGAAATTCTAGAGACTCAGTGAACAGGCAGAAAGCAAGACTGGGGACACAGGAAGGATCCTCGGAGGATACAGAAGCCGTAGGAGGTGACATTCAGTGGACAGGAAAAGGAAGAGGATGAGAAGACAGAAGAATGGTCCAAGTTCCCCGATCATTCGCCAAATAGCTACTGAGCTCCAGGTCTTCAAAGATTTCAGATTCTGAGACTTCTGCTTTGCTTCATCAGCCTGCTTTCAGACTCAGCCAGCGCTGGGGTTCAGGGAATTCCATAAAGACCCTTTCTTGTGATGGGGCTGTATTCTGCTGCCTTGCATATGTCCACCTGGGAGCAATGGTCAAACCAAGGACCCTTTGGGCTTAAGGCAGAAGAATGACCCCATCATTGCTTCTTCGTGGGTCTTGTACAGCTACTGTGTGCCCAGCACATGGTGC
Organism: Homo sapiens; assembly: GCF_000001405.40. Lineage (NCBI taxonomy): Eukaryota > Metazoa > Chordata > Mammalia > Primates > Hominidae > Homo > Homo sapiens. The sequence continues at coordinate 4,672,155 of NC_000007.14, forward strand.
ATGGTGTGATTCCTAGATTTTGGAAGAAAAAGGAAAGACAAGGTGGAGGAATAGCCCAGCTATACCTCATTTTCTAGAGCAGCACCGTCCAACAGAACTTTCTGCAGTGATGGAAGTGTTCTTCCTCTGCACTGATCAATACGGTAGCCATTAGCCACCTGAGCCTAGAGGCTCTGCTTCCAAGGTGGCCCCTTATACACCTGGTGCTGTTATTGGCAGGAGGTCATGTGGCCTCTCTACTGAGCTGCTTAAGCATCCTCACAGCGTGGCTTCCCTTGCAACTAGGACTCCATGAGAGAGCAAAGAGAAGCCACAAGGGTCTACTAAGCACTTGAAATGTGGTGCCTGCCAGGGAGGGGCGGAATGTTTAACTTTATCTAGTTTTAATTAGAGTATAAGTTTAGGTAGTCGTATATGGCTACTGGCTTCTGAATTGCATGGCATAGCTCTTAGGCCTTGCTTTGGGTTTATAAACACAGTCTCTCTAAAGATTTATAACAACTTTTGACAGGGCACGGTGGCTCACGCCTGTAATCCCAGCACTTTGGGAGGTCAAGGCGGGTGGATCACCTGAAGTCAGGAGTTCGAGACCAGCCTGGCCAACATGGTGAAACCCCGTCTCTACTAAAAATACAAAAATTAGCCAGGCATGGTGGCGGGCGCCTGTAATCCCAGCTACTCGAGAAGCTGAGGCAGGAGAATCACTTGAACCCAGGAGGTGGAGGTTGCAGTGAGCCAAGATCCCACCACTGCACTCCAGCCTGGGCAGCAGAGCAAGACTGCGTCTCAAACAACAACAACAACAATAACAAACAACAACAACAAGCTTTTAAATTGGCCAGGCACTGCGATTCACTGAGTGTAATCTCAGTACTTTGGGATGCCGAGGTGAGAGGATTGCTTGAGCCCAGGAGTTCAAGACCAGCCTAGACAACATAGTGAGACCCTGTCTCTACAAAAAACAAATGTTTTTAAAACTAGCTGCAGCTGGGTGCGGTGGCTCAAGCCTGTAATCCCAGAACTTTGGAAGGCCAAGGCGGGCAGATTATTTGAGGCCAGGAGTTTGAGACCAGCCTGGCCAACATGTTGAAACCCCGTCTCTACTAAAAATACAAAAATTAGCTGGGCATGATGGTGAGTGGCTGTAATACCAGCTACGTGGGAGGCTGAGGCGGGAGAATTGCTTGAACCTGGGAGGCAGAGGTTGCAGTAAGGTGAGATCACTCAGACTCCATCTCGGAAAAAAAAAAGAAAAAGAAAGTAGCTGGGCATGGTGGCATGTGCCTGTGGTCTCAGCTACTCAGGAGACTGAGGTGGGAGGATTGCTTGGGCCTGGGAGGTCGAAGCTCCAGTGAGCTATGATCATGCTACTGCACTCCAGCCTGGGTGACAGAGTGAGAACCTGTCTCAAGAAAAAGGAAAGTGGCTGGGCGTGGTGGCTCACACCTGTAATCCCAGCACTTTGGGAGGCCGAGGCAGGCGGATCACGAGGTCAGGAGATCGAGACCATCCTGGCTAACACGGTGAAACCCCGTCTCTACTAAAAATACAAAAAAGTAGCTGGACGAGGTGGCGGGCGCCTGTAGTCCCAGCTACTGGGGAGGCTGAGGCAGGAGAATGGCGTGAACCCTGGGGGGCGGAGCCTGCAGTGAGCTGAGATCGCGCCACTGCACTCCAGCCTGGGTGACAGCGAGACTTTGTCTCAGAAGAAAAAAAAAAAAGAAAAGAAAAAGAATAAATCCACTATTACATTTTTGTACAAGTTTTTGTGTCAACATGAAGTTTTCAGTTCACTTGGGTAAACAGCTAGGAATGAGATTGGGGGATCCTGTGGTAAGTGTAGCTTAACATTATAAGAAACTGCCAAGCTGTTTTTCAAAGCTGCTGTAACATTTTTTTTTAATCTTTCGAAAAATATTTATTTATTTATTTTCAGGCAGGGTCTTGCTGTGTTCCCCAGGCGGGCGTACAGTGGCAAGATATAGCTCATTACAGCTTCTACCTCCTGGGCTCAAGGGGTCCTCCTGCCTCGGTCTCCCACATTGCTGGGACTACAGGCATGTTCCACCACATTCTGATAATTTTTCATTTTTTGTAGGGATGGGGGTCTCACTGTGTAGCCCAGGCTGGTGTCAAACTCCTGGCCTCAAGCAATCCTCCTGCCTCAGCCTCCCAAAGTGCTGGGATGACAGGCACAAGCCCCCACACCCTTCTAGCTGTACCATTTTGCATGCCATTGGCAACATAAGAGAGTTCCAGTTGCTCCACATTCTCACCAACAGTTGCTATTGTCAGTTTTGTTTTCTAAGGAATGTGAATAGGTGTGTAGTGATAGCTCGTTGTGGTTTTAAGTTGCTCCCTAATAATAACATTGATCATCTTTTCATATGCTTGCTTGTCACCCATACTTTTTTTTTTTTTTTTTTTTTTTGAGACAGAGTCTTGTTCTGTTGCCCAGGCTGGAGTGCAGTGGCACGATCTCGGCTCACCACAACCTCCGCCTCCCGGGTTCCAGCGATTCTCCTGCCTCAGCCTCCTGAGTAGCTGGGACTACAGGGGCCTGCCACCATGCCCAGCTAATTTGTGTGTGTGTGTGTGTATTTTTAGTAGAGATGGGGTTTCACCATGTCGGCTAGGCTGGTGTCAAACTCCCGATCTCAGGTGATCCGCCCATCTCAGCCTCCCAGAATGCAGGCATGAGCCACCGTGCCTGGTCCCATATACCTTCTTTGGAGAAGTATCTGTTCACATCTTTTGCCTAATTTTTAAATTAATTAATGTATTTTTAGAGGCAGGGTCTCGCTCTTATTGCTCAGGCTGGAGTACAGTGGCACAATCATGGCTCACTGAAGCCTCGACCTCCCAGGCTCAAGCAATCCCCCCGCCTCAGTCCCCTGAGGAGCTGGGACTACAGGCATGCGCCACCACACCCAGCTAATTTTTGTATTGTTGTAGAGATGGGGTTTCACTATGTTGGCCAGGCTGGATTTGCCAATTTTTTAATGGACTGTTTCTCTAGATATTTTATTGCCTCTTTAACAATAAAATTAAATAAACTCCCTCTTTCACACAGCCTTAACTTCGTGTAGTGGTCTTGTGGATGGCTTACTGCCTTGGAGTTAATTTCGTTCCTTCTCGTTTCTGCTACCAGCTTCACAGGCTTCTGCTAAGGTAAGAGCCTGGGTATGGTGGAGCCTGAAAAGGTTAACTCACTCTTCCTTTGCAAGTTTTTTTTTTTTTAATGGAGTCTTACTCTGTCACCCAGGCTGAAGTGCAATGGCACAATCTCAGTTCACTGCAACCTCCACTTCCTGGGTTCAAGTGATTCTCCAGCCTTGCCTCCTGAGTAGCTGGGATTACAGGCGCATGCCACCACGCCTGACTAATTTTGTATTTTAGTAGAGATGGGGTCTCACCATGTTGGCTAGGCTGGTCTCAAACTTCTGACCTCAGGTAATCCACCCTCCTCAGCCTCCCAAAGTGCTGGGATTACAGGCGTGAGCCACCACGCCAGGCTGCAACCTTTTTACTTTTCTTTTTTTGTTTTGTTTTTGTTTTGAGACAGAATCTCATTCTGTCACCCAGGCTGGAGTGCAGTGGTGTGATCATAGCTCACTGCAGCCTTGACCTCCCAGGCTCAGCCTCTTGAGTAGCTAGGACTACAGGTGTGCACCACCATGCTTGGCCAATTTTTGTATTTTTTTGTAGAGATGGGGGGGTCTCGCTATGTTGCCCAGGCTGGTCTCCAACTCACGGACTCAAACAATCCTCCTGCCTCAGCCTCCCAAAGTACTGGTGTGAGCCACCTGGCCAGCTATGCTTCTTTTTTTGAGCACATGCTTTGTGAGACAGCTTTCACATGCCCTCTGGACCTGGAGAGAGTGAGAGAAGAATTCAGTTTCTAACATCTTGGTTGGTCAATGCCTTTTTACTGGTCCTTTTTAAACCTTCCCTGTGGAAGCTACCAATATATCCAATGACTGACTGCGTAAGGAAAAAGGAATGGCAAATGATTAAACCCATGCCTGGACTTGCCAAGGTCACAGGGAGTTGGCCTCGTGAACTCCTTGCAGTATTATTGTACAGTGTTTTGCTCCTTGGGGAAAACATCATCTAGGTTTGTCAGTTTGTGCACAATTCTTTCTTTCTTCCTTTCTTTTTTTGAGACGGAGTCTTGCTCTGTCGCCAGGCTGGAGTGCAGTGGCGCGATCTCACCTCACTGCAACCTCTGCCTCCCCGGTTCAAGCGATTCTCCTGCCTCAGCCTCCCAAGTAGCTAGGACTACAGGTGCACGGCACCATGCCTGGCTAATTTTTTTGTATTTTAGTAGAGACAGGGTTTCACCATGTTGGTCAGGCTGGTCTTGATCTCCTGACCTCGTGATCTGTCCCCCCTCACCCTCCCAAAGTGCTGGGATTACAGGCCTGAGCCACCATGCCCAGCCTCTTTCTTTTCTTTTCTTTTTTCTTTTTTTTTTTTGAGACAGGGTCTCATTCTGTCCCCCAGGCCGGAGTGCAGTGGTATGGCGATCTTGCTCACCGCAGCCTCGACCTCCGGAGCTCAAGTGATCCTCCAGCCTCTGTCCCGTAAGTAGCTGGGATTACAGCCATGCGCCACCACACCTGGCTAATTTTTTGTATTTTTTGTAGAGACAGGGTTTCACTGTGTTGCTCAGGCTGGTGTCAAACTCCCGACTTCAAATGATCTATCCACCTCGGCCTCCCAAAGTGCTGGGATTACAGGCATGGGCCGCCTCGCCTAGTCTACAATTTTTTTTTTTTTTGAGATGGAGTCTGGCTGTGTCGCCTAGGCTGGAGTGCAGTGGCGCAATCTCAGCTCACTACAACCTCTGCTTCCTAGGTTCAAGTGATTCTCCTGCCTCAGCCTCCTGAGTAGCTGAGATTACAGGTGCCAACCACCATGCCCGACTAATTTTTATATTTTAGTAGAGACGCGGTTTCACCATGTTGGCCAGGCTGGTCTCAAATTTCTGACCTCAGGTGATCCTCCCGCCTCAGCCTCTCAAAGTGCTGGGATTACAGGCGTGAGCCACCACGCCCAGCCTACAATTATTTACATTTAATATTGTTAGGCCTATGGTGCCTGGAAGTACATACATGCCTCTTGTCATTAAATAAATCTGTCATTAAGAAGTCAGAAGTCATCTCAAGGAGTCCAAAGGAAGAGACCGTATGAGGAGGTTGTATGTAAATCTCTCTCTTTACAATTGTGGTAAAATACACATAACATAACATTTAACGTCTTAACCGTATTTTTTTTTTTTTGAGACCGAGTCTCACTCTGTCTCCAAGGCCGGAGTGCAGTGGCGCAATCTTGGCTTACTAAAACCTCTGCTTCCTGGGTTCAAGTGATTCTCCTGCCTCAGCCTCCTGAGTAGCTGAGATTACAGGCGCACACCACCACGCCCAGCTAATTTTTGTATTTTAGTAGGGATGGGGTTTCACCATGTTGGTCAGGCTAGTCTCAAACTCTTGAGCTCAAGTGATCTGCCTGCCTCGGCCTCTCAAAGTGCTGGGATTACAGGCATGCGCCACCGCGCCCGGCCGTCGGAACCATTTTCAAGTGCACAGATCAGTGGCATGAAGCACATTCCCAGTGCTGTGCAATCAACACCATCAGCCACCTCCACAATGTTCTCATCTTGCCCAACAGAAACTCTGTCCTTATTCCACAGTAACTCCCGGTCTCCCCTCTCCCAGTCCTCGGCACCCAGCATTCTACCCTCTGTCTCTATGAATCTTACTGACCAAGGGACCCCATAGAAGTGGAATCACATCACATTTGTCTTTCTGTGACCAGCTTATTTCACTGAGCATAATGTCCTCAAAGCTCATCACTTCACATGTCACGTATGTCAGAGTTTCCTTCCTTTTCAAGTCTGAATCATACCCCACTGTATGTGGTACCACAGGGGTAAACGCACACTTGGATTGCTTCCACCTTCTGGATCTCGTGAATAAATAACGCTGCTGTGAACATAGCATGCAAGTATCTCTTCAAGACCCTGCTTGCAATTCTTTGGGGGTATAAACCCAGAAGTGGAAGTCTGCATTGCATCTTATGGGAACTCTAGTTTGTTTATTTATTTATTTATTCGTTTATTTATTGAGACAGAGCTTCGCTCTGTCACCCAGACTGGAGCGCAATGGCATGATCTCAGATCACTGCAACCTCTGCCTTCCAGGTTCAAGCAATCCTCATGCCTTAGCCTCCCGAGCGGCTGGGACAGGTGCCCACCACCACGCCTGGCTCATTTTTTTGTATTTTTGGTAGTGACAGGGTTTCACCGTGTTGGCCAGGCTGGTCTGAAACTCCTAACCTCAGGTGATCACCCATCTGAGCCTCTCAAAGTGCTGGGATTACAGGTGAGAGCCACTGGGCCCGGCCTCGTTTTAACTTTTTGAGGACCCTGCATGCTGTTTCCCACAGAGGCTGCCCTGTGTTCCATTCCCACCAACAGTGTGTGTAAATGCCTTTGCAGGAAATCAGTATCTCCTGCATCCCTCTGCTTCTCTGCACCTCTCTCCTTTCACCTCTCTCGCTGGTCTCCAGCTTCCTGAGCAACCTCCGCCATCACTCTGACCTATTTCCAGTTCAGGATCCCCATGGCCGCTAGAGTGATTGCATTTCAGATACTGCATGTCGGTGTGCCTGCTGTCTTGCACGTAAAGCCCCTCAGTGGCTTCCCATTGCTCTAGGATCAGCCCCAGATCCTATAGGACCCACCTCAGCCCTTCTTCCCTCCTGGTTCAGCTGAACATGGCCACTCGGTTCCACACACAGTGACCACCTGCCTACCCCTCCACGGCCCATACTTCCTTCTGTATCACACAGAGTTCCCTGGCAGGGGCACTACCCTCACAGTCTCACACCACTTCCCTAATCAGGCATCCCTTAGACCTCAAGGAGGAGCCCCCTGACTCTGTTTACCATCCCCCCCACCTCAATCAAGCAGGTACTCAAGTTACTGCTCCTGCTAAAAATGCGTTCCTTGGCCGGTCACGGTGGCTGACGCCTGTAACCCCAGCACTTTGGGAGTCCGAGGCAGGTGGATCATGAGGTCAAGAGATCGAGACAACCCTGGCCAACCTGGTGAAACCCCATCTCTACTAAAAATACAAAAATTACCTGGGCATGGTGGCACACACCTGTAGTACCAGTTACTTGGGAGGCTGAGGCAGGAGGATTGCTTGAACCCTGGAGGCAGAGGTTGCAGTGAGCCGAGATCGCACCACTGCACTCTAGCTTGGCAACAGAGCGAGACTCTGTCTCAAAAAAAAAAAAAAAAAAAAAAAAAAAAAGCTTTCCTTGCCTCCCAAACACTTATCTCTGCATGCACATATTCAAGGCTGAGAGATGAGATTAATACCTATTTCAGCCCCAGACTGGAGCGTGGGTGTGCAGGTCAGGGAAGCTCCTGCCTTAGACAGGCCCAGTCTCTCGTTTACACTTGCACGTCACCATGCACCAGTCCCTCACCGGATGTATCACAGCTGTGACTTGATTTTACTTTTTCTAGGATGTGTCTTTGATTTATGTCTGCATCTCCCCCTCAACTATAAGCTCCACCAGGGAGGGAACTGTGTCTCCTTTCCCACCCTTAATAATTCGTAAATGAGGGAAATGTGGAAACTGCACCGCCTTTTTAGGGGAACCTGAACTGGCAATGGAGGACCAGGCTACTGAAGTCCGAAAGGGATCCCAATGATGCCCACGTTTGCCACTCCCTGTTTTCAGCTAAGATTTCTCTCTGGGGCATTCTCTCAGATCTGTCTTAGCTGGATCTAGCATATTGAATGAGTGAAGGGCTCCAGAAAGAAAGAGAGATAGGCTGGGCGTGGTGGCTCACGCCTGTAACCCAGCATTTGGGGAGGCTGAGGTGGCAGACTGCTTGAGCCCCAAAGTTGAACACCAACTTGGGCAATATAATGAGACCCTGTCTCTATAAAAAAATTGAAAAAGGCCAGGTGAGGCGGCTCCCGCCTGCAGCCCCAGCACTTTAGGAGGTCGAGGCAGGTGGATCACCTGAGGTCAGGAGTTTGAGACCAGCTTCACCAACATGGTTGAAACCCCGTCTCTACTAAAAATACAAAAATTAGCTGGGTGTGGTGGCAGATGCCTGTAATCCCAGCGACTTGGGAGGCTGAGGCAGGAGAATCGGTTGCAGTGAGCCGAGACTGCACCATTACACTCCAGCCTGGGTGACAGATTAAGACTCTGCCTTAAAAAAAAAAAAAATTAAAAATTAGTCGGGCATGGTGGCTCATAGTCCCAGCTACTTGGGAGGGTGAGGTGGGAAAATCACCTGAGCCCTGAAGGTTGAGGCTGCAGTGAGCTATGATTGTACCACTGCACTCCAGCCTGGGTGACAGAGTGAGACCCTGTCTCAAAAGAAAAAGACAAGAAAGAGAGAGAAGGAAGGAAGGGAGGGAGGGAGGGAAAGAAAGGAAGGAAGGAAGGAAGGAAGGAAGGAAGGAAGGAAGGAAGGAAGGAAGGAAGGCAGGCAGGCGGCCGGGCACGGTGGCTCCCGCCTGTAATCCCAGGACTTTGGGAGGCTGAGGCGGGCAGATCACCTGAGGTCGGGTTTTCAGGACTAGTCTGACCAACACGGAGAAACCCCATCTCTACTAAAAAAATACAAAATGAGCCGGGCCTGGTGGTACATGACTGTAATCCCAGCTACTTGGGAGGCTGAGGCAGGAGAATTGCTTGAATCCAGGGGGTGGAGGTTGCGTTGAGTCGAGATTGCGCCATTGCACTACAGCCTGGGCAACAAGAGCGAAACTCCGTCTCAAAAAAAAAAAAAAAGAAGGAAGGAAGGAAGGGAAGAAAGAAAGGAAGGAAGGAAGGAAAGGAGGAAGGAAGGAAGGAAGGAAAGGAAGGAAGGAAATGGAGGGAGGAAGGGAGGGAGGGAAGGAAGGAAAGGAAGGAAGGAAGGAAAGGAAAGGAAGGAAGGGAAGGAAAGGAAGGAAGGGAAGGGAAGGAAGGAGAGGAAGGGAAGGGAGGGAGGAAGGGAAGGAAGGAAGGAAAGAAGGGAGGGAGGGAAGGAAGGAAGGAAAGGAAGGAAGGAAAGGAAAGGAAGGAAGGAAAGGGAGGGAGGAAGGAAGAGAGGGAGGGAAGGAAGGAAGGAAAGGAAGGAAGGGAAGGGAAAGAAGGAGAGGAAGGGAAGGGAGGGAGGAAGGGAAGGAAGGAAGGAAGGAAAGAAGGGAGGGAAGGAAGGAATGAAGGGAAGGGAAGGAATGAAGGGAAGGAAGGGAAGGAAGGAAGGAAGGAAAGAAGGAAGGAAGGATGGATCAGGGATTCAGGGATGGATCTCAAGTGGTCTTCAGTTACAGTAGAGTATGATGACCTTTAATCTGAGGGCTTAAGAATGATCAGGCCTGGCACTGTGGCTCACACGGGTAATCCCAGTGCTTTGGGAGGTCGAGATAGATAGATCACTTGAGACCAGGAGTTTGAGACCAGCCTGGCCAACATAGCAAGACCCTGTCTCTATAAGAAGTAAAAAAATTAGCTGGGCGTGGTGGCACTTGTGAGGCAGAGGCAGGAGGGTGACTTGGGCACAGGAGGTGGAAGCTGCAGTGAGCTATGATTTTGCCACCGCACTGCAGCCTGGGCGACAGAGCGAGGTTAGAATATAAACATATGTATTGTATATAATACACATATATTTTATCTTCTGTCTATCTTACACTTTAGGGTTGGGGGCCTGGAGTGTCTGGGGCGGGGAGACTGCTGAGGTCATCCGTCCCTTTCTCCAATGACCCAGGCTCAAAACTTTGTGGCTGGGCATTTCAGGGGTCCCCTCTTCCCCCTGGATGGAGGAAAGGGCGCCCGCCGCCTGCAGCCCCGCGGGGAGGGGACGAGGTGCGCCGGGCCCAGCTCTCCCGGGGGCCCGCCGGCCCTCCCGGCACAGGCCTCGCCCCCAGCCCCGCGCTGGCGCGCGCCACGTGGGCTACGCTGGGCGGGACCGGCGGGCGGGCGAGGCGAGGCGCACGGTGGGCTGGGAGGCTCCGCTCCGCGCCGGCGCGATCTGGCCCGGGTTTCCGCGCCCGCCCAGCGCCCCGACCTCCCCGCCCCCCGCGCCGCCGCTGCAGCCGCCGCCGCCGGAGGCCGCTCGGAGCCGCGCGAACATGGCCGAAGTCGGCGAGGACAGCGGCGCCCGCGCCCTGCTCGCGCTGCGCTCGGCGCCCTGCAGCCCAGTGCTGTGCGCCGCAGCCGCCGCCGCCGCCTTCCCCGCGGCCGCACCCCCGCCGGCCCCCGCGCAGCCCCAGCCTCCGCCCGGGCCGCCGCCGCCGCCGCCACCGCCGCTGCCTCCGGGCGCGATCGCGGGCGCGGGCTCCTCCGGGGGCTCCTCCGGGGTATCCGGGGACTCCGCGGTCGCGGGCGCGGCGCCGGCCCTGGTGGCCGCGGCGGCCGCCTCGGTACGGCAGAGCCCGGGGCCGGCGCTGGCGCGGCTGGAGGGCCGCGAGTTCGAGTTCCTCATGCGCCAGCCCAGCGTCACCATCGGCCGCAACTCGTCGCAGGGCTCGGTGGACTTGAGCATGGGCCTGTCCAGCTTCATCTCGCGGCGCCACCTGCAGCTCAGCTTCCAGGAGCCGCACTTCTACCTGCGCTGCCTCGGCAAGAACGGCGTCTTCGTGGACGGGGCCTTCCAGAGACGCGGCGCGCCCGCCCTGCAGCTGCCCAAGCAGTGAGTGGCCCCGCGACCCCCGCCGCCCGCACCCGGGGCTCGCCCACGACCTCGATCTCTGAGGCCCGGGCCTGGGGATCCCCCTCCAGCTTCCTCGGCCTCGACCCCCACCCCCCGGCCCACCCCCGGTAACCCCCGACCGGCCTGGACTCCGGGGTCAACCCCGACCCCCGCCTCCTGGCTCCCTAGGATCACCCCGACCCCGATCCTGGAGGCTCCAGCCTGAGGATCTCCTCCACTTTCCCCGGTCTGGATACCCCGTCGCCCCCGACCCCCACCGGCCTGGACTCTGGGGTCAGCCCTGACCCACACCTTGCGGCTCCTGGGGTCACCCCTGACCTCATCTCCCACCGGCCTGGGCTCCTGGAGCCACCCATACCCCAAGCCCATCTGGCTGGGCCTCTTAGACCCCTGACCCAGATCCCTGCTGCTCCCCAGCTCCCATCGGCCTGGACTCCGGGGTCATTCTGAACTCCCACTGGCCTGGATCCCTGGGGTCATCTACGTCCCTACCCTGCCTAAACACGCAAGGTTAACCGCGACCCCCACTTCCTAGGCCCCCCCGGAGTCACCCCTGACCGCTAACCCCACAAGCCTGGGCTCGCAGGGCCACTCCCACCCCAGCTCCACCCAGCTGGGTTACTGAGGTCACCTTGACCCCAGTCCCTGCTGCCTGGGCCTGGGGATCACCCTCAACCCTTCCAGGTCACCCTGGACCCCCACCAGCTTGGACTCCAGGGTCACCCCAGCCTGACCTGGTTCTCAGGACCACCCCCGACCCCCACCAGCCAGGGCCTCAAGTCACCCCAGTGCCTGATGCCTGCCGTCCTGGACCCCAGTGGCTACCCCTGACCCTGTCTGGTCTGGACCCTTGGGCCACCCCCACCCCATCCAGTCTGGGTCCTGGGGGACCCCAACACACTCACCCAGGACAGTGGGAGGGTGTTGCTCCGGGAAGTGCGAGGTCCCTAGGAGTGTGGGCTGTGCTGAAGGAGCAGAGGCCTGGCGGGGAGGGGCGAGGACAGGAAGCCTGTGCCTCAGTTTACATCCCCAACTAGTGCTCCTTGGATGGAGTAGCGGGACCCCAAGATCAAATTAGATTCCCCCGGGCCCGAGGTCACCAGGGCAGAGAGACCCAGCTGGGCCTGGACGGCTGCCCAGGCCTGTCGGTGCCTTTGGTAGCATCCCGTGGTCACCTCCCGCCCATTCCGGTTCCCTCCTTTCCAGCTCCACTGCCCTCCGCACCCTCTGCTCTGCCCCGGACCTCAAGGTCTGTTGATCAGGAGAAAGCCTGTTTAATTACTCATTTCCTCTGGAGCCACTTTCTTTTTCTATTTAGTGATTGCCTCTAACTCATCACCAGTGTTTATATTTCTTCAATGTGGTTCTTGTTCAGGGTTGTCTGTCTAATTACTCCCTTTTATAAACGCCTTGCGTCTGGGGAATTTTTGCTGGGGTAATTCCCAGGGCCCAAAGTTTGTGTCTGTAAACTTCTCCCCTTTTTTAGTCTTGGCATGTTTGGTTACAGATATCGCATTGAATAATTTAAAATGCAACATCAACAATGACTCACTCCCCCTTGGGGCGTGAGAGGGGAAGTATACCTTTTTCTAACCGTGCTGAAAGGTGTGCATTTTGGTAAAATCAGAACTCAGGAGATAACAAATTTGTTCTTTGCCTCAGATATTAGTGTGTTCTCTCTCTTCCATAACCAATACACTCTCTCCGTTTGGGGCCATTAAATGCATTTCCTGGCCACTCTCCCCTCCAGTAAGAAAATGACAGGTAGGCTCCCCAGGCCCCCCTTAGAGGCCTGCTTTACAGACGCACCTTTATATAACTCAGGTTCACTAAGTACTTCCATTAAAGTCTTGTTTTCAGGTTTCCTGCCCCTGCCGTGGAAACAGGTGCACTCCTGAGTCAGGCCCAGCTTTAGTGAATCTTGAAGGAGGCTTTCACGGTATTTTTTTTTTGTAATTCAAGGGGAAAAAATTTCAACCTCAGATCGTCTACGAATAGGCCAGTAGCAAGCCTGTTATTTATGAAATGTTATCGGTGTATACAGTCCTTGCACATTTATGCTCCAGGGAGCTCGTGTTCTCGGTGGGTGCATTACCAGGCATTGTGGTGGGGCTGTCAGGCTACACAGATGCCCGCCCGCTGACTTGGTGCATTAGATGTGCGTGAAGTGCTTGGCCCACTGCGCCTGTCTGTTTTTATTTGACTTCACCTGCACATGTGAGCAATATCTATGTAGGCAGCAATGTAAAATTTACAAGAACAAAGCAAATGTGCAGAAGGAAAAACATTAAGTGGATGTCCATGTCCACCCTCCTAGAAAAGAGCTATTTGCTTTTTTTTTTTTTTTTTTTTCTGTCATGGAGTCTCGCTCTGTTGTCCAGACTGGAGTGCAGTGGCTCACTGCAAACTCTACCTCCCGGGTTCAAGAGATTCTCCTGCCTCAGCCTCCTGAGTGGCTGGGACTACAGGCGCACAACACCACGCCCAGCTAATTCTTTGTATTTTTAGTAGAGATGGGGTTTCACCGTGTTAGCCAAGATGGTCTCGATCTCCTGACCTCGTGATCTGCCTGCCTTAGCTTCCCAAAGTGCTGGGATTACAGGCATACAGGCGTGAGCCCCTGCGCCCGGCCTCACTTTTTTTTTTTTTTTTTTTAATTTTAGAAAACTTACACCTAAGTAGTCACATATGTAGAACAGGCTGTCATAAACTTTTTTGGTTAGGTAAAGATTCTTAAGCCTGGACTACATTTGGTTAGGTAAAGATTCTTAAGCCTGGACTACAGCCTCACGCCTGTAATCTCAGCACTTTGGGAGGCCAAGGCGGGTGGATCACTTGAGTTCAGGAGTTCAAGACCACCCTGGCCAATGTGGCAAAACCCTGTCTCTACTAAAAATACAAAAATTAGCTTGGCGTGGTGGATCACGCCTGTAGTCCCAGCTACTTGGGAGGCTGAGACAGAAGAATCGCTTGAACCCGGGAGGTGGAGGTTGCAGTGAGCTGAGATCACGCCACTGCACTCCAGCCTGGGCAACAGAGCAAGACTCCATCTCAATAAAAAACAAAATGAAAAAAAAAAAACCAAAAAACGATTCTTAAGCCTATTATGTTGAAAGTCATTAAGAAATTTTAAGGATTTCAGCGCAAGGAAGTTAGATGCGTAAGTTTTTGTCACCCTGAATGGGAAATTCATCACCGAATGTCAGGAATTACTGTGTCTGTTTTCTCTCCGGCTTTGGTACCTGGTATTGCCACTGCTACTGGAAATTGTGAATTTGTTTACTGTAAACTACAGATTCTCTTGCTGTGTTGGAATGTGATTGCCTTGGACGTGCTTGGATTTGGTGGGAGGTCTATGTTGTGTTGGTGCCCACACCATTTTCCAAAGCTGTGTTGTCCGGGGCCACCCTCTTCACCTTGGGACAGGTACATGCCACACACACTTCCAGTAGAGCTCCCACTCAGGAAGGATGCCAGAATTCAACCCCTATTTGTTACTGGAAGTACGTAATTCCAAATCTTCAATATTTTTAATTATTGGTGGGGGAAAAAAAAGACTTGTGACCCAGCTTAGAGCTGATCTTGCTCTACTGGGTGACACTACGCCTGGTGGGTAAGCATCTCGCCAGAGCTCCCAGGCACAGGGGGAGTGTGCGTGGGTTCTGATTCAGCTTTGCTTGGTGTTGACTTGGAGGAACTGCCCGGGTCTCCGTGATAGCGTTTCTTCTAGACCATAAGCTCCCTGTGGCTGGGGCCGAGAATTTATGATGTTTCACCAGAGACCTAGTGCAGGCACTGGCTCCTATTAGGTATGCAACAACTGGGTTCTGTTTGTTGAGTGAACAAATTAATGACCACATGAATTTGCAGCTTCTGTAGGAGAAAAACGGCGTCATCGATTTAGTCTGGTGTCCTAAAAGGACCATGAGCCTGTCATGGGGGGGAATTCAGACAGCCTTCTTCGGTTATGGGGAGGGGGGTGAGGTGTGTGTGTGCACATGTGTGTGTGTGCTGTCATTCTTGATGCCACTTAATTTTTTTTCTTTTCTTTTTTTTTTTTTGAGACAGAGTCTTGCTCTGTCACCGAGGCTGGAGTGCAGTGGCGCGAACTTGGCTCACCGCAAGCTCCGCCTCCCGGGTTCACACCATTCTCCTGCCTCAGCCTCCCGAGTACCTGGGACTATGGGCACCTGCCAGCATGCCCAGCTAATTTTTTGTATTTTTAGTAGAGACGGGGTTTCACCGTGTTAGCCAGGATGGTCTGGATCTCCTGACCTCATGATCCACCCTCCTCGGCCTTCCAAAGTGCTGGGATTACAGGCGTGAGCCACCACGCCCGGCCTTTTTTTTCCTTTTTACATAGTTAATGTATCCAACTGAATTCTTGGTTTGTTTGTTTTCGTTTTCGTTTTTGTTTTTTTGCAACGGAGTCTCACTCTGTTGCCCGGGCTGGAGTGCAGGGGTGTGATCTCAGCTCACTGAAACCTCCGCCTCCCAGGTTCAAGCGATTCTCCTGCCTCAGCCACCTGAGTAGCTGGGATTACAGGCGCACGTCACCACGCCTGGCTAATTTTTGTATTTCTAGGAGAGACGGGGTTTCACCACGTTGGCCAGGCTGGTCTGGAACTCCTGACCTCAGGTGATCCACCCGCCTTGGCCTCTCAAAAGTGCTAGGATGACAGGCGTGAGCTACTACGCCCGGCCCCAACTGAATTCTTGATGCCACTTAATTTTGAATTTCATTTACCCAATTCAAAATTCAAAAAATTTGTTTTCCTCATGAACCTGAGACCCTGTGCATATCCCATACTTGCTCTTCCCTCTTTCTCTAAAGCCTTTTCGCCCAGTATTTTTATAGTAAATGTGGATGGCTTGAATAATTACAATGAGAACAAGACTTCTGTTTGTGGTAACTTTGAGTGGTAAGATTCATATGGGTGTCTTTTTTTCTTTATACTTTTCTGTGTTTTCCATGTTTTCTGAAGTGAATGTGGTTACTTTTTAAAATTATTTTTTAATTTTGTAGAGACAGGGTCTCAACCATGTTGCCCAGGTTAGTCTGGAACTCCTGCTCTCAAACGATCCTCCCACCTTGGCCTCCTAAAGTGTTGGGATTACAGGCATGAGCCACCATGCCCAGCTGCTTTTTTAAATACATACTTTTTATCATGGACAATTTCAAACATAGACATAGAGTAACAAGCTTCCACATGGCTGTGGCCGGCTTCAGCAGCTATCATCTTGTGGCCAGGCTTGTTTTATCTTCACCCCCATTCACCTTTCCCCCTCGCCCCAGTTCTTTAGAAGCAAATCACAGATGTCATCTTACTTTGTCTATAAATATTTCAACCAAAATTTCTAGAAGATAAGAATTCTTAAAAAAAAAAAAAAAACCACAGTGTCATTATCACACCTAAAAAATGAATAATAATTTCTTACTGTCCTCAAATAATCAGTGCATAGGTTTCTCTTACTGTCGGCATGGTTGTTTTTTCTTTTCTTTTCTTTTTTTTATTTTTATTTTTTTTTGAGACGGAGTCTCGCTCTGTCGCCCAGGCTGGAGTGCAGTGGCACTATCTTGGCTCACTGCAACCTCCCAGGTTCAAGCGATTCCCCCTGCCTCAGCCTCCCAAGTAGCTGGGATTACAGGCGCTCGCCACGACACCTGGCTAATTTTTAGTAGAGATATGGTTTCACCATGTTGGCCAGGCTGGTCTCGAAGTCCTGTCTCCAGTGATCTGCCCGCCTCAGCCTCTCAAAGTGTTGAGATTGCAGCCCCCACGCCCGGCACCCTCTGCTTTTTTCTCATGGAGTCACTTGTCCTGTGTAGTTCCCCACACCTGCCTTTACAGATTGGATTCTGCCAGCATCCATTCACTGTGTCCCTCCCCCTTGTCATTCCTGTAAACTGGTTACTAGACCCGGGGATTCCATCAGACTCAAGTGTTTTGTTTTGCTTTTTTGCCAGAACTGCCTTCTAGGTGGTGGTGCACGCAGAGGTGAAAATGTCTGGGTGTCCCCCACAATTTGTAACATTAGCAGCTTTTGGTGGTCATTGCCTTGGATCCCTTAATTTGTTCTCACCTGCACTTTTTTTTTTTTTTGAGATGGAGTTTCACTCTTGTCACCCAGGCTGGAGTGCAGTGGCACCATCTTGGCTCATTGCAACCCCCTGCCTCCCAGGTTCAAGCAATTCTCCTGCCTCAGCCTCCTGAGTAGCTGGGATTACAGGCATCCACCACCACGCCTGGCTAATTTTTGTATTTTTAGTAGAGAGGGGGTTTCGCCGTGTTGCCCAGGCCAGTCTTGAACTCCTGACCTCAGGTGATCCGCCCACCTCAGCCTCCCAGAGTGCCGGGATTGCAGATGTGAGCCACTGCACCCGGCCACCGGTACTTTTTTGTGGTTCATTTTGGCTGCCAGCATCGGATACGTGGCTGGGTTGCCATGCTCCATCTGCTGAGAGGCGTATTGTGAGTGGCAGGTGTTATGGATCACAGCCTCTGCATATGTGCCAGCAGAAAAAGTAATTGTAACCAGCAAAGCATTTTACTACATAAACGTTTTAGCCCCTATAAAAACATCCGGAGATCCTTTTGTTGTTCATGAGCATGACAATTGGGTGTTTTCATGCAGCGAGTGAGATGTGCCACCCTGGAACCTTGTTACGACGTCGCATGTTACCTGTCTGACCTGAAAAATAATTAATAAGTAAAACATACGGAAGCCAGTTTCTCATGGCTATTTCCAACTAGTCACTTGAAGAATATGGAATTAGTTATACAATTAGTTATACGTTGTATAACCATCATAAAATTAGTTACAGATTGATGTGACATTATCTTGAAATTAATGGGAAAAGTGCCCCAGACCTGGGGAAGTCGAATGCCCCACTACGTGGCATCAAGGACAGTGACGGCATTCCTCTTCTCCTGGGGTTTTCCCACCCTTGTCACTGCCCTCACCCAGTCCCCTTAGGTGACCCAGCGCCTGGGTGGGTCACGCTTGGCTGGTGCAGGAGTGGGCGTATGTGCTGAGCTGGGCTTTGCACTTGGGACAAGAAAGGGTGTCAGATCAGTCTCTTTCCAGCGAGTAGACGTGAAAACTCAGGTGGTGCTGTCTCGCTTCTCCACGTGAAGGATCAGCCTGCAGTGCCAAAGGCGAAGGGAAGAGCTGTGATTAGGGAGGGTTGGTCTGTTAGTGAAGGAAGCCACAGAGGAGACAAAGACGGGCATCAGGTCCGACTCCTGAGACCTGGTGGCCCCAGGACTGGAGAGGAGCAGATCCAGGTGCAGGATCTGCTGAAGGAAGGAATGTTCCCGTTGGGTGATGGTTTTGAACCGGAGCTGGGGAGAACAATCACTGCTGCAGAGGTTGGAGGGGGAGCCGCTTCGCGGAACGGGGTGAAGCTTTAGTTTCAGTCCGGTTGTATCTTGATAGCCAAGAAATGAAATGCGGCATCTCCAAATAAAGGCTTTATTCTTAGTGTTTTGCTAGTTGGCAGTTTTTGTGTATCACATATATTTGTTCCAAGTTAGACTGTCAACTGGTTAAAGTTACTTTAAAAAGCTTTGTGGGCAAGTAGCAAGTACATTGGGTCGAGTTAAAACTATGAGCCACTTTCTAGTATTTGGTGTACGCTGAATTTTTTGGGCTTGCCGCCCATTTAAGAAAACTTACATAGAATTTTAAAAGTCAGTCTATGAGGAGGGTGTTGTCGTGTAGTATTATTGAACTGAATTTAGAATATTTGCATGAAAGCCTTTGTCATACTGATGGAGAAAAAGGGTTTGTGGGTGCTAAAAGTGTAGGATGTAGTGGTGTTCATATTTAGTACTTTTGAAAAAGACGCAGCTATGTTTAAAATTTTGTGCTGAAATGAGACTAAAGCATTTGATTTGGAGATAGAGTAATTTACGATTTGCTGTTTTTGCATCTTGTGAATGTCAGAGGATAAACTTGCTAAATTAATGACAACTCAAATTGCAGCAATGCCTCATTTCCATAATTACCCTACATTTAAAGCATTTCATATTAAAATGAGAGGATTATATAAAATGCTTTTAGTTTGATTTCCTGGAAATAGGCCCCTGCATCGTGACTTGTTGGGCGATCTTGTACTTAATTTTCATTGCGACTATTACTTTTCACGAGTTTCTAGTTTCCTGGTAAAATGTTGCCGGGTAATTAAAAAGGATAAAAAACAGAATGTGCGTAACCAAGAAGGCGTGTGGCGTGCTGCCAGGAATCGGAGGAACCAGGGTTCAAGAACTCGCCTCACCTGACCCATTTCTACAGTGTTGATGATGTATGTTTTCCTCGGATGCTGTGAAGATGAGTTTGGGCATGTTTTGCTTTACTTAAACATAACAGTTTCATCATTAAATCATGAACTGCTTGCAAAGCGTAGCTTTTCTCTCCTAAGAATACTTTTCAGGAAGTAGACAAACTGATCAATAGACATACAGAGAGCCTCCCTCTGTCTCCCAGGCTGGAGTGCAGTGGTGCAATCTCAGCTCACTGCAGCCTCCGCCTCCTGGGTTCAGGCGATTCTCCTGCCCCAGCCTCCCGAGTAGCTGGAGTTACAGGTGCCTGCCACCACGCCCAGCTAATTTTTGTATTTTTAGTGGAGACGGGGGTTTTACTGTGTCGGCCAGGCTGGTCTTGAACTCTTGACCTCAAATGATCCACCCACCTCGGCCTCCCAAAGTGCTGGGATTTCAGGCATGAGCCACCACGCCCAGCCCAGGCCATTATACATGATTTGATTAAGAAGAATCTCGTCTGCCCTCAGTACTGCATTTAACCTTGCTGGGAAAGGGGTGAACTGTCTTCCATCTGTTTCCTCAGAGGACGCTGAGCTCTGATCATGTTGCCTCTCTGCCCAGAAACCTCAGTGGCTCCCGTGTACCCAGGGCAAGAGGCCCTGCCCCTCAGCAGAGACCCTGTTATTATGAAGCTGTCCTCTAACCTGTTCCCCTAAGTGTCAAAGGGCATGGTTCTCTTTGGGCAGAATGGCTGCTGGACATTCTCTGCTTATACCAGCAATTCCCAGATTTGTTTTAGTCTCAGGGCCCTTTTATACTCTTATACTCCTACACATTACTGGGGACCCCAAAGAGCTTTGGTTTATATGAGCTATATCTGTTGACACTGACCGTATTAGAAATTAAAATATGCATATTTATTTATCTACTCAAAAATGGTAATAATAACTCTATTTCAAAAATATTTTTATGAAAAAAAAACTATATACCCCCACCCCAAGAAAAGAATAAGAGTTTTTTTGGTAGAACTCTGTAATGTCTGGCTTAATAGAAGACAGCTGGAATCCATGGCTGCCTCCGCTTTTAGTCGGCTGTGATGCGTGTTCAGGCTGAAGTACATGGAGAAAAGCCAGCCTCCTGCAGATACGTAGTTGGAAAAGGGAGTATTTTTGTAGCCTTTTCAGATATTGTGGATGTTCCTTGAGACCTCACTAAAACCTGACAAGGGGTAGTTTCTTTTTTTGTTGTTTTGTTTTGAGACGGAGTTTTGCTCTGTTGCCCAGGCTGGAGGGGCAGTGGCACGATCTCAGCTCACTGCAACATCCGCCTCCTGGGTTCAAGCAATTCTCCTGCCTCAGCCTCCCGAGTAGCTGGGATAAACAGGCATGTGCCACCACGCCCAGCTAATTTTGTATTTTTAGTAGAGACAGGGTTTCATCATGTAAGCCAGCTGGTCTCGAACTCCTAACCTCAGGTCATCCTTCTGACCTCAGGTGATCCGCCTGCCTCAGCCACCCAAAGTGCTGGGATTACAGGCTTGAGCCACCGCACCCGGCTGGGTAGTTTCTTTTTTTTTATTTATTTTTTTGAGACAGTGTCTTGCTCTGTCACCCAGGCTAGAGTGCAGTGGTGCAATCATAGCTCACTGCAGCCTTGACCTCCTGGGCTCAAGCAGTCCTCCTGCCTCAGCCTCCCAAGTAGCTGGGACCACAGGTGAGCACCACCAGACCAGCTAATTTCTTTTATTTATTTATTTATTTTTGGTTGAGATGGGGTCTTGCCGCGTTTCCCTGACTGGTCTCAAACTCCTGGCCTTAAGTCATCCTCTGCTATAATATCCTTAAGTCATCCTCTGCTATAATATCCTTAAGTCATCCTCTGCTATAATATCCGTAGATGTTTTATACTGTGTTACGTTAAAACCTATTGCTCTTTCATTTTGAATGAGTCCTTTGCCACCCCTGTGTGATTTTGTAACATCATACATTGGCCATTGGCAAGAATATTGATTGAGTTATGCAGATCTTCTAATGTTAATTATAAAAAACAAAGTCTGTTTTATCCTGAGGTTCAGCTGATAGTTAAACTTGATCCCTTCGAACCCAATAAACTCTGTTTTTAAAAACAGAAATCTTTTATAGGAACAGGCTTTTTGTAGTCAGTTAATTTTTAAAGCTGTTTTAAAAGTTGAGTGACACAGCATATTTTAAATAGACTTTTTATAGAGCAGTTTTAGGTTCACAGCAAAAGCATATTTTTATAGAAATAAAGTTATATAATTTAGTCATTGGCCTTATTAGCATGTTGTGATATGACTTGGCTACAGTTAGTATATTTTTTTAAATGTACAGTAATTTTTTGATGATTTAGGGTGGCACGATTCATCCTGTTAGTTACTGCCGTTATTTTCCCTGGGGGCCTCTGTCGCCCAAGCCGCTCTCTGATGGTGCCCTTGGCCTTTCAGCCACGGATATGGGTGTCCCCTCCCCTGGAGAACAGCAGAGTGATGGGGGAGGTGGGACAGGGTTGGGGTGTCCCAGGTGAGTCCTGGAGTAAAGTCAGTAACAGAATTTGTCTTGTTTTTTTGTTTGATTTTGAGGCGGTCTTGTTCTGTTGCCCAGGCTGGCCTTGAACTCCTAGGCTCAAGTGATCCTCTAGCCTCTGCCTCCCAGTGTGCTCAGGTGTGAGCCACCTCATCTGGCTTCAAATAATCTCTTTAAAAAAATAACAAAAGTTTTTTTTCTGTAGAGACAAGGGGTTGTTGCCCAGGCTGGAGTACAGTGGCATGATCACAGCTCACTGTAGCCTCTAATTCCTGGGCTCAAACGATCCTCCTGCCTCAGCCTTCTGAGTAGCTGATACTACAGTGCCTACTTCCATGCCTGGCTAATTTTCTTTTTATTATTTTTTATAGAGACCAGTGTCTCACTATGTTGCCCAGGCTGGTCTTGAACTCCTGGGCTCACATGATCCTCCCACCTGGGCTTCCCAAAATGCTGGGATTATAGGCCTGAGCCACGCGCCCAGCCAGAATGTGTTTGTATGGAGACATTGTTGTGTGGGATTTTTCATGAAACTTTTCTAGGTTTTTTTTTGTTTTATTTTATTTTTTACTTTGGAACATTTACATCAAAATAAGCAGACTTTCTGAAAAACTATGCCACTTTGGATAAACATAAAAATTCATTTTCTCCCTCCCCAGTCTGATAGGAACTCTTGGAGGAAATTTCTCTCTCTTTCCCTTCTCACTATAAATCACAGCAAATCAGCAGTACACAGAGAATAAAAGCAATCTTCTGCCTGTTCTGAAAAAGCTTTGCTTCTTGTGATTTGTATCACGAGGGGGAAAGGTCCTTACTGTTTTTCCAGACCTACAGTTGTGATAGAGGCTCCTCCCAGCCCCGCCCACAGACCCCAACAGTGCCCTCTCTCACAAATGGATTCTGGGGCTTGGTCTTTATTTTTGTTTTTGTTGGGGGCAGCATATGGAACCCAAAAATAGTATCATAGCCTAGATTTGGAGCTTTGTGCCAGCCTTGTCTGTAGGATGACCCGTGTGGGTCTCACCTGGTGACTGGGAGTCCACAGGGGTCAGTTAGTAGCAGGGAGCTGCAGGGCGCCTGTCAGCAGAGACCGTCTCATTCCCCAAACCCAGGAGCCAGAGGAACTGACGCCCGGATAAATGCCCAAGCCGCCCCGGGTGGGATTAGTCGTCTACCTTCCCAGAAATACACCCTCCCATCCTGTGACTTGGATACAGTTTACTGATGAAATTAGGGAACCTCCTGCGCCTTACCAAGAAGCTGTGGCTGGAACTTAGTCAATGAAAAATGATTTGTAAACTCTTTGGAGCTGGCTTTGAAAGAATGTTTAAAATGATAGCTGATACTGCCAGACAACAGAACAGGCCGGCCTTAGCCATGAGGCTCCAGAAGAAGGAGAACTGCAAAGTTTGTGTCCGCTACCTCTGCCCTTGGGATGGAGCCATTCTGTCTGCTTGGCTGTACAGCCCTGGCATTGGGAACAGTGATTCATCGCCGCTTGATGAAAACATCTTTCCGTTAAGAATATCCACCTCCCTCGGGTTGGAGTCCATATTAACCAGGGAACACTTGCAGCCCTAATTTGGTTCCTAACCTGCAAGAAGATTTTGCTAGAATATCCAGCTTCCTTTGCAATTCTCTTTTTCTCTGTAAATTGTGGTGTGGACAGATTTTACAGGCCTGCCTACCTTTGGATTGGCCAATCAGGGATGCCATGGCGAGTCTAGAACTTCCTGTGGTGGTAGAAATGTTTTATATCTGTGCTGTCCAACATGGCCACCACTAGGCATGTGTGGCTGTTGAGTGTTTGAAATGTGGCTCAAGGCGGGGCGCGGTGGCTCATGCCTGTAATCACAGCACTTTGGGAGGCCAGGGTGAGAGGATCACAGGTCAGGAGTTCGACACCACCCTGGCCAACATGGCGAAGCCCCGTCTCTACTAAAAATACAAAAATTAGCCAGGCGTGGTGGCTCACGCCTGTAATCCCAGCACTTTGGGAGGCCAATGTGGGAGGATCACCTGAGGTCGGGAGTTCGAGACCAGCCTGACCAACGTGGAGAAACCCCGTCTCTACTAAAAATACAAAATTAGCTGGGCGTGGTGGCGCATGCCTGTAATCCCAGCTACTTGGGAGGCTGAGGCAGGAGAATTGCTTGAATCCAGGAGGGAGAGATTGCGGTGAGCCGAGATGGTGCCATTGCACTCCAGTCTGGGCAACAAGAGCGAAACTCCGTCTCAAAAAAAAAAAAAAAAAATTCCCACAAAAATTAGCTGGGTGTGGTGGCGTGCACCTGCAATCCCAACTACTTAGGAACCTGAGGCAGGAGAATCTCTTGAACCCAGGAGGTGGAGGCTGTAGTGAGCTAAGGATGCACCACTGCACTCCAGCCTGGGCGACAGAGCAAGACTGTGTCTCAAAAAAAAAAAAAAAAAAAGAATCTTGTGCTGAGTCTGACCCCTGACATACATTAGGAGGGGAGGCTTCCATTTGTCCCTGTCTTAACTCTCCTTCTTGAAGCCAAAGGAAAGACGCAAATCATCTAGGAGATTCTGATGGATAATAAAGAAGAGGGACAAGCTTGCTGATGTAGGGGAAATAAATCGCCGAGGCTCTGTCTAGCTTGGATTTACTGTGTGTATTGGCTGTGGGTGGATTACAGGTGAGCTCATAAATATTAGTATTTTGCTCATGTCCTTCCAGATTTGTAATTTCCTTGATAAGCAGGTGTGTGCGCGTGACATGTCTGTCGTCTACCCGTCACACGGTTGTACCAGGTAGCCTTTGCTTAATAAGCCCTCGGAGTACTCGTCCTTTGAGCTCGTGGGACTTGCGGGGTGGTCATTAAGCGTTGGTGTGAATACCGGGTATCTCCGTCTCCCAGAAGCTGCGAGTCCCTCGAGGGCAGGGGCTGGTTCTTTCGGGAGGCATTTTGTTCTCAGTGCCTCGCCCAGTGCCAGTGAAGACACACTTCCAGGTGTCATCTGCTATAACCTGCTAGCCCTTCTAATAGATAAACCCCAAAACCTTGCCTATGGAAAGTCCACAGTAGATGTTTCTGAATGGTGGGCAGAAAATGCCTCCTTCGGGCCAGGTGCTGTGGCTCACGCCTGTAATCCTAACACTTTGGGAGGCTGAGGTGGGTGGATCACTTGAGGCCAGGAGTTCGAGACCAGCCTGGCCAACATGGTGAAACCCCATCTCTACTAAAAATACAAAAATTAGCCAGGCATGGTGGTGTGCTCCTGTAGTCCCAGCTACACGGGAGACAGAGGCAGGAGAATCCCTTGAACCCGGGAGGCGGAGGTTGCAGTGAGCCGAGATCATCCTGCCACCGCACTCCAGCCTGGGCGACAGAGCGAGACTGTCTCAATAAGCAAAAAAAAGAAAATGCCTCCCTTAAGGTGTGATTCAGGGACCCAGGCTGGCACTGTCTGGAGTCCAGCGGCCTGGGCACGGCTGCACCTGCTGCAGTGCTGTCTGCATCTGGAGGAAAAGAGGGAGGCTCAGGGGAGGCCAGGCCCAGAAGTAGCATATCTCACTTCCACTCAAGCCAGTGACCAGAGCTCAGTCTCCGGCCACTCCAAGGGAAGGCAACGTGCTCAGGAAGAAGATGACAGTGGCCTGCTGAACAGCTAGCCGGTATTCACGGCCAACTTTTCAGATCAGGGTAGCCAGCTGCAGCCTGTGGGCCAGACCCTGCCAGCTGCCTGTGTTTGTAAATAAAGTTTTATTGGAACACACCAGGCACATTTGTTAAGTGCTGTCTGTGGCTGCTGAGCTGAGCCGGAGACCATGTGGACCCCAGAGCCTGTGTTATTTCCTTCTGGCCATGCCTGGTGGCCCGTCTGCACACCCCTGCCTTAGGCCACAGACTTCTACTCTTCCACATCAGTGCGTTTACCTGGGTTCATCAGCACCTTTTATTACCAATTTCTCTCCACATTTCTTGTCAGGTTGAATCCTGGGTTTTGGGAATATGAATAGGATCTTTTTTTCTTATTATTTTCTAAAGGTTAGTGTTTACATACAGGAAAGATAGGCTGTGTGTGTGTGTGTGTGTGTGTGTGTGTGTGTGTGTGTGTGTGTGTGTTTCTTTGGTATGAGTTTTATAGTAACTAATTTTTTTTTCTTTTTTTTATTTTGAGATGGAGTCTCGCTCTGTCATCCAGACTGGAGTGCAGTGGCGTGATCTCAGCTCACTGTAACCTCCACTTCCTGGGTTCAAGTGATTCTCTTGCCTCAGCCTCCCGAGTAGCTGGGATTACAAGGGTGCGCCATCATGCCTGGCTAATTTTTGTATTTTTAGTAGAGATGGGGTTTCACCATGTTGGCCAGGCTGGCCTTGAACTCCTGACCTCAAGTGATCCTCCTGCCTTGGCCTCCCAAAGTGCTGGGACTACAGGCGAGAGCCACTGTGCCCAGCCCTAATTTGTTATTAAAATTTTACGTTTTGAAAAAGTTGCACGCCTCCAAAAATGTTGCAAGATGAGTCCAAATAACTCCTGCATGTCCTCTGCCCAGATTTGTTCATTTTTAGTGCTCTGCCATGTTTAGCGTTTTCTCTATATATGTATGTTATCTGAGAGTGCGATTTTATATATGTATGTGTGTGTATATATATATATATATATCGTGCCCTTTTTCTTAATACCACAACATGCATTGCCTAAGAATAAGGATTTTTTTTTTCTCGCTTCACCATATGCAAGAATAAAGATATTTTATTCACACCTACCCCAGGACACCCAAAAATGGGGTGGAGGATATTTTACATAATCACAGTCTGTTATTAAATTTAGGAACATTAATGATGATCCCATATGATTAGCTCATGTGCAGTCCACGTACCTCTTTGTTGTTGTTGTTGTTTGAGATAGGGACTCCCTGTGCCACCCAGGCCGGAGTACAGTGGCACAGTCATAGCTCACTGCAGCCTCGACCTCCCAGGCTCAAGTGATCCTCCCACCTCAGCCTCCTGAGTGGCTGGGACTACAGGCACGTGCCACCACGCCCTGCTAATTTTTTTGTGTGTTTCTAGAAATGGGGTTTCACCATGTTACCCAGGCTGGTCTCAAACTCCTGAGCTCAGGTGATCCTCCCACCTTAGTCTTCCAAGTAACTGGAACTATAGGCCTGCGTTACCATGCCCAGCTAGCTTTTTATTTTTTATGGAGATGGGGTCTTGCTGTGTTGCCCAGGCTGGTCTCAAACTCCTAGGCTCAAATGATCCACCCACCTCGGCCTCTCAAAGTGCTGGTGTTACAGGCGTGCACCACTGTGCCCGGCCCACATACCATTTTTGCCATTTGTCCCAGTATCGCCCAGTGCAGTGCTTTGTCGCTTGCTGGGGCTCCAGCCCAGGATGGAGTTTGGCATGCTGTTGTCCTGTGTTTTTAGTCATCTGAATCTGGGACAGTTCATCAGCCCTTCTTTGTCATTACTGACCTTGACATTTTTAAAAACAGGCCAGTTATGTTCTGGGCTGGCTCTCCACATACATTTGTCCGATTTGACAAAATCCCAACTTCACTCAGGTGGAGCATCTTTGGCCGTGGGACTCGTGGGGTCCTTATCCACAGGGTTAGTTTTTTTTTTTTTTTTTGAGACAGTCTCACTCTGTCACCCAGGCTGGAGTGCAGTGACACGACTCGTGGGGTCCTTATCCACAGGGTTAGGTTTTTTTTTTTTTGAGACATCTCACTCTGTCACCCAGGCCGGAGTGCAGTGACACGATCTCGGCTCACTGCAGCGTCTGCCTCCCAGGTCAAGCGATTGTCCTGTGTCAGCCTCCCGAGTAGCTGGGATTACAGGTGCCCACCACCATGCTGGGCTAATTTTTGTATTTTTAGTAGAGACAGGGTTTCACCATGTTGGCCAGGCTGGTCTCGAACTCCTGGCCTCAAGTGATCCACCCACCTCAGGCTTCCACAGTGCCGGGATTACAGGCATGAGCCACCGCACCTGGCCTCACAGGGTTAGTTTTGATCACTTGGTTTAGGTGTTGTCTGGCCGGCTTTTCCACCAAAGAGTTGCTGTGTTTTTTCTTTTGTAATTAAGTAATTTTTGAGATTCAGTACAAGTGTTAAAATATTAATTTTCTGTCTAGTCACATTTACATTTCTGGTAACAGTTTTTTAATTCATGTGCTTGCGTTTCCTGGGCCATAATCCTCATGTGCAGATAATACTTCTTCTCTTTGTTCCAGTATCTTAGATCTCATTTCTTTGTGTTGTCTGGTTGAATCGGCTAGGACCTCCAAATAACATTGACCGAGTACCATGATAATGGGCTCCTTCTTGTTCCTAGCTTGGAAAGAAACGCCTGTGAAGCGTTTCAGAGTAAATATTGCTCTGCCTGCCTGAGAGCCATTTCCGTCAGGAGGCCTTCCCCGGTGCCTGGCTGAGCTTAGGTCCCACTGGCTTGCACTGCAGCACCCCACGGCACCCTGTGTGGCCTGTCGTTGTTTGTGGTTATATTTATCTGAGACACCTGAGTTTTGTTGGGGCAGGACCACGTTTTTCTTGTTTATTGCATAGCCTCAGTACATACCAATATGCTTGGCACATAGTTGGCACTTTGTAAATATTTGTGGGCAAAATGAATAAACAAATAGGAGAGATCTGAATGCAAAAATAACCTGGTGTAAGAAAGTGATCAGAAGTTCCATTAGCTTAGCTTCTAAAGGTCTGGCTTTTGCTGAGTGCCCTTGGGCAAGTGGATTGACCCCGAGCTCCTGTTTGCCCATCTGTAAAGTGGGCACACTTCCTTTTTCATAAGTAATTGTGAGAATTACTAGAGATACATTAGAAGTATTTACTGGGCCAGATGTGGTGGCTCAGTGGGATTACACCTGTAGTCCCCTCCCAGCACTTTGGGAGGCCGAGGTGGGAGGATCGCTTGAAGCCAGGTGTTGAAGACCAGCCTGGGCAACATGGTGAAACCCCGTCTCTACAAAAATTACAAAAATTAGCCAGGTGTGGTATCATGCACCTGTGGTACGAGCTACTCGGGAGGCTGAGGGGGAAGGATCCCTTGAGCCCCAGAAGGTCAAGGCTGCAGTGAGCTATAATCGCACCACTACACTGCAGCCTGGGCAACAGAGCAAGACCCTGTCTCAAAAAACAAACAAACAAGTACTTACCTCAGTGCCTGGCACATAGACAGTGCTGATAGATAAACATCCCACATACATGCGTCTGTGCTGCCATCATCGCTGCTGTTACTGTCAAGGATGTATTATTCATCCTGTGATGTCAGAAGCGGAGGTTGTTGCAGGGCAGTGGGAAATGACTGCAGTGCTTTGAGCTGCTCACAGTGGAGCAGACTGGCCCTCAGGTCTGCTGAGCTCCCTGCCCCAGCCTGTTCCAGCAGGGGCGGCCGCTCACCAGCAAGGCTGTCATTCCTAGGCAGCATCTTGCACTGGCTGGAGAACGGGCTTCCTATCTCCAAGCTCCCTGCGGCTGTGAAGGCTGCACGATCAGAGCTAAACAGCAGGGGTTTGTTTTCTTGTGTTTTTCTGAGCTGCTTATCTAGAGAATGGGAGCTCAAAGGACGGGGGGCTAGAAGAGACAAACTCAGGTTTTACCTTGAATTAGTTTGAGTAACGTTTGTTGGGTACAGAGACTGGCCAAAACTTAGGGAGGACACTGAGATAAGAAGGTTTGATCTCAAAACAGTTCCCAGTTTTAGCCACCGTGCCCAGCCAATTCGTATGTATTTTAAGGTATTTTTTTAAATGTGGAAAAGTACAAAGGATATGTAACAAGTACTATTGACCGGGCGTGGTGGCTCACACCAGTAATCCCAACACTTTGGGAGACTGAGGTGGGAGGATCCCTTGAGCTCAGGAGTTCGGGACCAGTCTGGGCGACATAGCAAGATTCTGTCCCTGCAAAAAATAAAAAGTAAAAGGCCAGGCGCAGTGGCTCACGCCTGTAATCCCAGCACTTTGGGAGGTCGAGGCGGGCGGATTATGAGGGTCAGGAGATCAAGACCATCCTGGCTAACACGGTGAAACCGTGTCTCTACTAAAAATACAAAAAATTAGCCAGGCATGGTGGCGGGCGCCTGTAGTCCCAGCTACTCGGGAGGCTGAGGCAGGAGAATGGTGGGAACCTGGGAGGCGGAGTTTGCAGTGAGCGGAGATCGCGCCACTGCACTCCAGCCTGGGCGATAAGCGAGACTCCGTCTCAAAAAATAAATATAAATAAATAAAAAGTAAAAAATTATCTGGGCATGGTGGTGCTTGCCTGTACTCGCAGCTACTTGGGAGGCTGAGGTGAGAAGATCGCCTGAGCCTGGGAGGTTGAGGCTGCGGTGAGCTGTGACTGTACCACTGCACTCCAGCCTAGGCAACAGAGCAAGACCCTGTCTCAAAAAAAACCCCAAAAAGCAACAACAACAAAACCAAATCGTATTGTACCCACTAAGAATCCGTGCTTTTCATATTTTGTCATGTTTTTAAGCCCTTTTTAAAGAGACACATGACAGATAAAATTGAGGTCCCCTGTCCTCCACCTTCCCCTCCCGTTTCTGTCCCTTCTCCAGAGGCAGCTCCTGGAGGAATTTAACCCTAGACCTCCCGCGTATGTCACATACACACGTAGACATCTAAGAGGCATTTGTTGTTTGTGGGGTTTTTTTATTTATTTATTTTTTTTGAGATAGAGTCTCACTCTGTCGCCCAGGCTGTAGTGCAATGGTGCAATCTTGGCTCGCTGCAACCTCTACCTCCCTGGTTCAAGTGATTCTCCTGCCTCAGCCTCCGGAGTAGCTGGGATTACAGGCACGCGCCACCATGCCTGGCTAATTTTTTTGTATTTTTAGTAGAGACAGGGTTTCACCATGTTGGCCAGGCTGGTCTCAAACTCCTGACCTCAGGTGATCCCACCGGCCTTGGCCTCCCAAAGTGCTGGGATTACAGGCATGAGCCACCGCACCCGGCCAGCATTCATTGTTTAGTTCACGCGAGTTTTCAGGTTTGCGTTAGTGGTGTCGTGACATCTTCTTCATGATCCTGTTTGTGTTTTCCACTTCTCTGGAAAGACCGCTTCATAGGTTGGTGCCATCAGACATGCGTAACCCTAGTGGGTGTAGCCCCCCATCCTGGACGGGGCCTTGACGGGGCCTCTGGCCTCCTCCCCTGCCTTCCTCTTCTCAGCTCTGACCAGAGGGGATGGAAGCTTGTGTCCCTCTGGGTGACAGACCCAGCCTGCCCGCCCTACCCAGCTCGGGTTCTGGGTTCCTTTGTCCTCGTCCCCAGGGCTGCGTGTCCTGCTCGTCCTCCTGAGCTCCTGGCCTGTGTCTCCACCTAAAAGGCCGTCCTCAGCTCCCCCTGCCAGGTCCGGTTGGGGACCGAGACCCCTGGTTGCTTGCACTGCTGGGTGAGAGTGCCTCTGTGTCGGGGGCTGGGCTGGGCTGGGCTGGACTGGGAAGACTGGCTCTCTCAGGGGATTCCAGGGCAGGCGGCTGGGAGGGCGTTTCTGAGGAAGTGCTGTTTTAGCCGAGGTCTAAGTTACAGGCAGGAGCTGGCAATGAGGAGTCAGGGAGACAGACCTCCAGCCATTGGGCCTCTCCGCTCTGGGGTGAGGGGAGGGAGGGGGAGGACCCGAGGGGGCAGAGCATTTAGGACATGGAGTGGGTAGGGCGTTGTGACAGCCTGGCTCTCAGGGGATGGGAGGACAACTCGCTGAAGTTCGTGGCCCCAAGACATGCGGAGAACCCGCGTCTGCAGGGCTGGTGGCGTCCAGCACAGGGCAGGGTCCTGGTGTCCTCGCCCCACAAGGCTCCCCCAGGGTGGCCCGACCCTGCTGCGCGGGAGGGAAAGAGCCACAACAAGTTGAAGGTGCCCAGGAGACTTGGGTACATTTTGCTCATCTTAGGGTTGGGGACAGAACATCATTAAGAATTGTTTTTATATCTGGCAAAACTAAAAGCTTGAATATTAAAACCAAATGATCCCGGGTAGAGCTGCAGCTGGGGACTGGTGCGCCATGCAATTGACATAGCGCTGCTCGGGCGACCAGGAGGCCCTTCAGTGCTCCGGAGGCACTTTCAGAGCATCGTGACTAGATAAAAGTAGGTGAAAAGGGAATCGCAGCCTGCCGAGAGCTTTAGAGAGACTCCCCTAACCATGATTTAATCTGGGGAAGGGAGAAAAGTAACATATGGCAGTCACATTACATTATGACCATGAAGGCTAAATACTCCCAGTCACTATAAATACAGAAAACCAAACCTGGTGGGAAAAAATGCGTGTATACGTACCCCTACGTGTGGAAAACTGGCTACCGCATGCTTAACAAAATAACTTGGGAATGAATTACTCATGGTGAGGCTTCCGATCAGTGTCTAACCCTGGTAGCGTCTGCCAGTAGCCACACCGAAAGGGTCTACCAAGGGTACACTATGGACATTTTTCATTTAAAGGTGAAAGATTTTTTAAAATGCATTGCTAAGAAACATCCCTGGCCGGGCGTGGTGGCGCACACCTGTAATTCCAGCACTTTGGGAGGCTGAGGCAGGTGGATCACTTGAGGTCAGGAGTTTGAGACCAGCCTGGCCAATGTGGTAAAACCTCGTTTCTACTAAAAACACAAAAATTAGTCGGGCGTAGTGGGGCACGCCTGTAATCCCAGCTACTCGGGTGGCTGAGGCAGGAGAATCACTTGAACTCAGAAGGTGAAGATTGTAGTGAGCTGAGATCACGCCACTGCACTCCAGCCTGGGCAACAGAGTGAGACTCTGTCTCAAAAAAAAAAAAAAAAAAGAAAAGAAAAGGAAACATTCCTTTCATCAAAACACAAATAAATATTTTTCAAAAATTAAAAAAAAAAATGCTCAAAGGATTACCGGGTACTTTGTGAATAAATGTTTTCCCTATTTCGGAACTGGATAAGCTAAGCTGGGATCCACGCAGCACGCAGCAGGAGGGATTGCCCTGTGTGCTAGGCAAGGCTGACATCAGTGACAGCAGCGTCAGGCTGTGCTCGGATCACGGGCCCATCTGTAGTTATACTTTTTAAATTTTTTTTCTTCTGTTGTTTCTGTAGAGATAGAACCTCACTGTGTTGCCCAGGCTGGTCTCAAACTCCTGGCCTCGAGCCAGCCTCCCAAACCAATCTATGTTTCATTCTTTTTTTTTTTTTTTGAGAAAAAGTCTGGCTCTGTCACCCAGGCTGGAGTGCAGTGGCATGAACTCAGCTCACTGCAACCTCCACCTCCCTGGTTCAAGTGATTCTCCTGCCTCAGCCTCCCGAGTAGCTGGGACTACAGGCACATGCCACCACGCCCGGCTAACTTTTGTATTTTTAGTAGAGACAGGGTTTCACCCTGTTGGCCAGGCTGGTCTCGAACTCCTGACCTCAGGTGATCTGCCCGCAGCAGCCTCCCAAAGTACTGGGATTACAGCATGAGCCACTGCACCTGGCCTAAAAGTTTATTTTTCATCAGTCTACATTCTCCAATTTTTTAAAGTCAGAATTTTATTGTTTTGTTGCTGTTATTAGAGACAAGATCTCACTCTGTTACCCAGGCTGGGGGCAGTGGCATGATCACAGCTCACTGCAGCCTCAAACTCCTGGGCTCAAGCCATCTTCCCACCTCAGCCTCCCCAGTAGCTGGGACTACAGGCGCATGCCATCACCCTGGCCAACTTTTTTTTGTAAAGACAGGGTCTTGGTATGTTGCCCAGGCTGGTCTTGAACTCGTGGGCTCAAGCGATCCTCCCACCTTGGCCTCCCGCAGTGCTGGGATTACAGGCATAAGCAATCATGCCTGGCCTTAAGTGAGAATTCTTCTGTGTCATTTCCTTCTCTTTCTCTCTCTCTCTCTCTCTCTCTCTCTCTCTCTCTCTCTCTCGCTCTCGCTCTCTCGTCGCCAGGCTGGAGTACACTGGCGCAATGTCTGTTCACGGCAACCTCTGCTTCCCGCATTGAAGCAATTCTCCTGCCTCAGCCTCCCAAGCAGCTGGGACTATACAGGCTTGTGCCACCATGCCCGGCTAATTTTTGTATTTTTAGTAGAGAGGGGGTTTCACCACATTGGCCAGGATGGTCTCGATCTCCCAACCTCGTGACCCCCCCCCGCCTCAGCCTCTCAAAGTGGGATTACATGTGTGAGCCACTGCCCCGGCCTTCACGTGTCATTTCTTTTTGTAGGAACCAATTTTAAAAGAAAGCCGATTTTAAGAGCTCAGCTTTTAGGTTATATATCTATATAAACTATATCATTTCCAACTTTCAAAATTATATATATATATGTATATATATATACGTATATATACGTATATATACGTATATATACGTATATATACGTATATATACGTGTATATACGTGTATATACGTGTATATATGTATATATATGTGTATATATGTATATATGCAATCCATGCTTATAGAAAATTGAAAAATACAGAAATGCGAGCAGGAGAAAAGCCACATAGAACTCTCCACAAAGGTAACAGCGAACGTCATTTCAGCGCGTTTTCCTCCTGTTTCCATTTAAAGAGATCTATAGCAGGGACTTGGCTGAAACCTTGTATTTGCATATTCACAACGGCTGCTGATCAGAATCACAACTGGTTAGGGGCTTAAATACTTAAAATAAAATACCCCTTTTCTGTGAATGATCTGTTTAAGTGGGTAAAGTGCTCTGGCACCCTAAGTTAGGAGTTTATATCTGTGACACTCCTTCCCTCCAGCTAAACAGCAAGGGGAGGTGGTCAGGGAAGTTCCAGGAATGCAGGCCTCTGGCCCTAGAGTGGGGTGGGGCTGTGGATGCTGACAGTTGGGGGCCCATCGGAGACAGTCCCAAGCAGCATGGCTGGGTGTCTGTGGTTCCCTCCTATCAAGAAGGAACCTCTCCACCCTTCCTCAATGTGGGCAGAATCCTGACACCCACCCCACCAGCTGGATGAGGTAATGCCAACAGTCACCAAAAAGCAAAATGTGATTTACAGTTCTGTCTGAATTGTTTTCGGAGTGCAGAAATGTAAAGGAGGTCTTCATCATCCTCGTGAAAGACACGTACAGGGTGAAACGTTCGAAAGCTATGTGAATGAGGCATGATTTCCTTTGTCAGTATCAGCCAGGTCATCGCTGACCCCGGAGTTGGGCTGACCTTCCTTGGCCGCCCGGATGCCGACCCCCAATGCCCCTGTAGCCTGGAACTGCTGGGTCGGCCTGTGCCTTCTCCCTCTCACCTCCCCCCGGGACTTCTGAGTTCCTTCTCCAAGGAGGGCTGTGCCCTAGACTTCCGGGCCACTTCCCTCTACCCTTGTGCAGGAAATAACTTACCTACTTCATGCCCTAATTGAATTCCATTGCATTTTCTTCTTAAAATAAAAGACTAAAAACTAACGGTTGCTTCCTGCCTTTGTCCGTAATGGCCACCTTCCAGTCTTAGAGAAGCAGCGATGTCTCCCCTCCGGGTTTCCCATGATGTTACGTTGCCCTCTTTGTTACCACCCCTGGTGCGGTGGACACAGACATTGCCCAAACACTAACGGAGAGGGAAGAGGTGCGGGGAGCTCAGGGCGTTCGGGGTGGTGTTCTGGTGGAGGGGACGCTGGTAAAGAGCAGGTCTGGCTCAGTGCTTATTTCAGGGAAAACTCTTGTGATGAATGGGCCATCCGGGATAAACAGATGGGACGGAGAGTGCAATTTACATAACAATTAAGCTAGTTTAGTACATCCGGCAATGCTGCTGAAAGCAGGCCTCTCCCTGGGCGGGCTTTCCGTGTTATTAATCTACTTTATGACCCAGTTTCCCCAAATGGATAATTTCGCCTTGGTAGTGTTAAGATGTATTTAGCGACTCAAGTATCTGCAGCAGCGAGAGGGTGGGTGTGGGAGTCGGTGAATTGTCTCTTACGCCTTCCTTTCCGGGTTTTCCTGGAGAAGGCTGCCTCACTGGGTCTTTGCAGTTGGCGTGTTCCCCGGTGCCATTCGTATCTGATTCATGCGTGTGCGACCAGTACTCCATTTCACTTTTTTTTTTTTTGAGACGGACTCTCTCTCCGTTGCCCAGGCTGGAGTGCAGTGGCACGATCGTGGCTCTCTGCAACCTCCGCCTCCTGGGTTCAAGCAATTCTCCTACCTCAGCCCCCCAAGTAGCTGGGATGATAGGGCCCGCCACCGTGTCCGGCTAATTTTTGTATTTTTAGTAGAGATGGGGTTTCACCATGTTGGCCAGGCTGGTCACGAACTCCTGCCCCAAGTGATCCACCCTCCTCAGCCTCCCAAAGTGCTGGGATTACACCCATGAGCCACTGCGCTCAGCCTGTTTTCACCTGTTTTCTGAAATCTGAGTAAATGTGGAGGGAGAGAGTGCCCTGGTGCTGGGGTACCGCCTAGTAACTGGTGGGGAGTGAACTGGAAGGATGAGACCAGTTCCTTTTCCCAGCCTGGAACCCGCCCCGCCCTCCAGGAGTGCTTGGAATGTGCTCTTTGAAGGGCCCGAGTCTTCCACCAAATAAAGGCTTTTTCAGATGCTGATTTTGGTGCTGATGCTGTGTGGCTTTGTTTGGGTTCAGTTTTTATCCTGGCTGGCAGAGAGGTCTCTAAAAATGAGTCCCCGATGCTTTGTAAACATGACCTAGTTGCCGCAGTGACCCCAGCCGCCCTTAGGAAAACTGGAAGCCCCCGTGGATCGGGATCCGGCCTCCTTCATCCAGGGCTGCTGGTCGGGGGAAGCTCACCCGAAGGTAAATCAGAGTGGATCTTGGGAAGAGACCACTTCCTTGGGAAAGGTTGATTAGGTTAAACTCTAACTTGACCTTCAGTTATCCAAAGTCTCTCTCCAGGGTTAGGGTGGAATTTTACATGGCAGAACAAGAACTAAAGATGACCAAGTTTAAGAAATTGATATCATAAAAGTATAGCAATTTGCCCCGAATGGTATAAACTTGTGTGTGGCCTGGTAAGGAGAGTTCTCCCTGGTGTTTTTGTGGCTGCAGCAGGCGGGAGGCTGTTCCCTTCCTGGGGCTCCCAGCCTGGGGTGAACTTCATTCCTGCCAGCTTCTCAGAGCCTGGTTGGATATTGGTGGCCGTCAAGTGCTGCTTTTAGAAAAGAGGCTGGTAAGGCCGGGCTTGGTGGCTCACGCCTGTAATCCCAGCACTTTGGGAGGCTGAGGCGGGCGGATCACCTGAGGTCAGGAGTTCAAGACCATCCTGGTCAACATAGTGAGACCCCGTCTCTACTAAAAATACAGAAATTAGCTGGGCGTGATGGCGTGTGCCTGTAGTCCCAGCTACTCGGGAGACTGAGGCAGGAGAATTGCCTGAATCCGAGAGGTGGAGGTTGCAGTGAGCCAAGATCGCCCCACTGCACTCCAGCCTGGGCAATGAGCGAGACTCTGTCTCAAAAAAAAAAAAAAAAGAAAAGAAAAGAAAAAGAAAAACAAGGAAAAAAGAAAAGAGGCTGGTGGGAAAATGTAGTTCCTGGAAGCCTCGCCTAGCTGTTGCTGTGCACACTGGGGGCCCGAGGCCCCAGGATACCCCCGTGCCTTACCCACGCTATTTGCTGCCTGGCATCCCCACCCTGTCATCCCGAGAATCCCACTGCATGTTTTGGATCTGTCCGGGATCCCTCCTTGTTAGGCCAGGTCAGCGTGAGGCCGCCTACTGTGCCTCCTTCCCAGTGTCACGTTGCTGCGTCCACGAGCCTGGCTTCCGCTTCCATTCTCAGGGTCTGGACAGGGCCAGGCTCTTCCCAAGCGCACAGTCCACATAGGCTGCTTATCTGGACTCGATGTCTCCGAGCAGATCGAGGCTGGCCCACCCCTGCTGGCCCGCGACCCCTGCTGGCAGATCGAGGCTGGCCCGTGACCGGGGCAGGCGGACCTTCTCCGGGAGCCCTGTGCACAGTTGGCTTCGCAGCAGGCCTGTGTGGTCTGCTAGAAAAGGGGAGGTTGCAGAAGATTTTAACTTTGTTAAAATCATGAACTGGTTTTGCCGCAGTAAAGCGTAATTCACATGATACAAAACGTCAAATTGCGTTTTACGCCATTGGTTTGGACCCTGGAGCAGTGAAGTTCCACAGTGTCATGATAATTCTTGGCGTTGAGTGACCTCACGATGTGCTGTCCGTCTTCTCGCTGTTCAGCCAGCAGTTCACTGTCTGTAAAATAGGTCCAAAAGCCATCCCCACCTCCAAGGAGGGAGAGAGGATCGAATGAGTTCACTTAGAACAACGCGTGACACGTTTGAACACGGAAGAACACGGAAGCCTGTGTGTTAGGCGTTAACATTGTTCCCGCGTGAAGGGGTAGAAGAACAGGCAAAATCCATGATTTTTAAACGTTAAATTGTGTGGCGGTCAGTTAGTTCAGCGCCACTTCTTCTTACGGTTTTAATTGTAGTGTCAAAAAATTTCACAAAATTCAGTTTCTTGGTTTCCTCATCTGAATGAGAAGGTTGGCACTTAAATAGAATCTGTGACTGACTGTTTTGATGACTTTGGACGAGTAGTTCATCTGCTCTAAGCCTCAGTTTCCTCAGTCGCAAACAACACAAATGCCTGCTTCCTTTCTAAGATAACAGAGGTCTCAGAAAGTACAGGATAGGCCAGTGTACTGGCTCACGCCTGTAATCCCAGCACCTTGGGAGGCTAAGGCAGGAGGATTGCTTGAGCCCAGGAGTTTGCAGGCGGATCACCTGAGGTCAGGAGTTCAAGGCCAGCCTGGCCAACATGGTGAAACCCCGTCTCTACTAAAAATACAAAAATTAGCTGGGCGTGGTGAGGGGTGCCTGTAATCCCAGCTCCTCCGGAGGCCGAGGCAGGAGAATCGCTTGAAGCCAGGAGGTGGAGGTTGCAGTGAGCCTCAATCGCGCCACTGCACTCCAGCTTGGGCAACAGAGTGAGACTCCATCTCAAAAATAAATAAAGAAATACATAATAATGATAATAAATAGCTGTGTATTTTGGAGAAATGGGTGCAGCCGGGTGTATGGCCTTCTGCTCCTTGTGGGACCACAAGGGCATGTTCTTGCTTTGGAAGGGAGGGTCACATTCAGGGCGAGGGTGCGGTGGTGGCTCTGCAGCCCCAGCGGTGCAGGTTCTGGGCTGGTCTGCACGGGCCACGATACTGTTCATAGAAGCTGAGCTCAGCTGGAGCCACCAGTTCCCACCACTGAGAATTACAGCCATTCCACGTCGTGGATTTTTCCCATTTGTTTTCAGCTTGTTGTGACTCTTGTTCCTTCTCCTCGTCTGTGTAGTTCCTTCTGGGTAGAGATGTGTCTGTCCGCATTACCTGTCGACACCGTCCTAGCCACTGGGTTCTGGGAAGCCCCATCACGGTGCCTGAGCTTCACGGAGTTGCAGAGCAGCCTGGCTTTAGAGAACGCTTAGAGAAGATGGAGATGGATGGAGACGGCTGTCCATCAGCTGTGCAGGGCCAAGCTGGGCCTGGATCCTACTTAGTCTCTCTGACTTCTTCTACTCAAGCATGATGTCCGTTCCTGATGCCTTGCCCCGGGCAGCATGTGCCCAGCTCTGTTCAGGAAGCGTTGTGCTGGTGTGCCCTCCTGGGTCCCGACACCTGGGGGTGTTTTCACAGGGTGGGAAGGCTGAGTGTCCTGGGAAGCGTCCATGGGATGTATCAGTCAGGGAGGCTGGGCGCAGTAATAAACACGCCCAGAGTGGAAGGGCTTCCTGTGAGAGGGTGTGGCAGTCCGGGGGTGGGTCCCAGCCAGCCGCCAGCTCTCCCTGGAGTGATTCCTGGATGTTGAGGAGGGAGAGATCTGGAGTTAAGGAAGATGTGACTTTCTCAGTGGCCCTCAGACGTCTTGGCAAGTGAAGAGTGTGAAGAGGTGTGCCCCATCCCATGGCCACTGGAGAACTGGCAGAAGCTCCTAGAGCAGTTGGATGGGGAGATCAGAGTGGGTCTCAAGAGTGCCACTCCTCGGCATTGTGTGGATGGGCGGTAGTGAGAATAATTACTAAGGGCGTCATACCCTCTCGTATCTGCATCACCCATAAGGGGTGGGCAGTGGTGCTGCCGTGTCTTGTCAGGAGGCCAGCTCTGTGTCACCCACCAGGCTGGGCTCAGCCACAAGTCGGCAACGTAGTGCCTCCAGGGCAGATGCCACGGACCGTAGAGAAGCAACGCAAGGTCAGAGAGAAAAGATTGCGGCCGGCCGGTGTCAAGGCGGGGGACCTGTGAGCTGGGCCTGGAGCTGAGGCAGAACTTGATGGACTATGACTCAAGGTTGAGATGGGGCAGGGACTCCGGGGGAGGGGCAGAGGGCAGGTGCCGCCGAGCAGGAGGGAGGACGCGGCAGGTCACAGAGCCCACCAAGTCCGAAGCTGGAAGTTCAGATTCTTTGATATTCAGAGGTGGATCATCTGTGCTTTTTTTTTTTTATCAGTCTCTCACTTTTTATCCATCATCTAATTGTGACAGCTTATTTGCCTTTATACCATAAGATGGGGAGTAGGGTTGAGATGAAATCCAAGCATCGTTTCCCTTCCCCGATGGTCGCCTCCCTGGGGTGAGACGTTCGACGTGTCAGACTTCACCAAGAGCATCTCCCGCCTCGGTGCAGTAATGGACTTGGAAACGATTTACTCCGGCACTTGGTTCCTGTCTCCATAAATGCGGCTGCTTTAAAGGGAATGTAAAAAGGGCTGTAAATTGGTATTGATTGCCGGTGGTCTTGAAGAACCCCAACTGAGGATTGACCGTTCCTTGGAGTGAAGGCTCCGCATTCAGACGCCTTTCGCCTTACGTCATCATAATTGAGAAGGGAAAGGAGACGTGTTAGTTTCAGTCTGATTATTTACCATCAAGGCATAAACACTTCTCAGAGGCAGCTGAACCCATTTGTCCTGCCCCGCGCGCTTATTTGAGAAGGAACACGGAGAGTTGTTAGAATCAAACCACCGCTCTCTGAATTCTGGGTGTATTATTGCAGTCTCGAAAAGACTGGTCATGTTTGTCTTTAAGTGTACCAGCGATCAGGCTTCTCATTTTACACCTCAAGGGTTTCCGATCCTCTTACCTCGCTCATCTGTTGCCCTCTCAGATAGGAGATACTTGGTTCTGTTTATGCTGCAGAGTGTGTTCAAATCCGTTTATGATTAAATACTGCTCAAACAGCCAGGGCAGGGTTTATTGACACACAGCGGCGTGATGAGGATGGAGTGGTAGGGGATGAATCATTGCTCTCTGTTCTGTTTATTTCCAGTTGACAAGAGGTGACATTTATTTTTAAATCGTGCTCAGAGCTCTGTGACTTCTGCAGAACTCCAAACGAGATTTCATTTTTAAAATACATTAAAGAGGGGCGATAATGACCAGTGCCAGCAAAGGGGGCATGCCTTCTTCCTGGCCCCCTTAGGCCGATAACTCCACATCTGGAGCTCATAGATAACTTTGGTTCAGGTCATTTAATCCAAGTACATTTGTGGCTTGAAAAAAGAATTCTTTTCCTGCCCTATTAATTTGCTAGTTACTTACATTTTGAAATAGTCAACAAAGTTCATAGCTGTGGTCACAGCCCATTGTGTAATTTTAAAGTCGTTGAAAATTATTATTTCTTTTCTGTACTGATCGTAACAGTGCTCTGTGCCAGGCCCCAAGCTAGGCTCTGGGGTTGGGGCGGGCTGGGATTCCCGCTCACTGAGATTCCCGCTCACTGGGATTCCCGCTCACTGGGCTTGGTGTCGCGGAAAAAACGAAGGCAGAGAAAGAATTAGACCACGGTGCAGCCACTGCAGCTTCTGGGCCGGGAAAGCCCTGCGAGGTCAGCTCCCTAAACAAGAGAATTTGCATAACCACCGTGTTTTTTTTTTTGTTTTTTTTTTGAGGCGGAGTCTTGCTCTGTCGCCAGGCTGGAGTGCAGTGGCGCGATCTCGGCTCACCACAACCTCCCCCTCCTGGGTGCAAGTGATTCTCCTGCCTTAGCCTCCCGAGTTGCTGGGATTACAAGCACGTGCCACCACGCCCAGCTAATTTTTGTAATGTTAGTAGAGACAGGGTTTCACTGTGTTGGTCAGGCTGGTCTCCGACTCCTGACCTCGTGATCTGCCCGCCTTGGCCGCTCAAAGTGTTGGGATTACAGGCGTGAGCCACCGCACCCAGCCCCGTGTTTTCTTTTGAGTTTTTTCTTTTTTTCTTTTTTTCTTTTCTTTTTTTGGAGACAGAGTTTTGCTCTTGTTGCCCAGGCTGGAGTGCAGTGGCGTAGTCTTGGCTCACTGCAACCTCCACCTCCCGAGTTCACGTGATTTCTCCTGCCTCAGCCTCCCAAGTAGCTGGGATTACAAGCATGCGCCACCACGTCCGGCTAATTTTTTGTATTTAGTAGAGACGAGGTTTCACTGTGTTGGTCAGGCTGGTCTTGAACTCCTGACCTCGGGTGATCCACCCACCTCAGCTTCCCAGAGTGCTGGGATTACAGATGTCAGCCACTGTGCCCAGCCTCTTGATTTCTTACCCATCTTTAAGATGGTTTTTAAAGTTGTCTATTTTTGAGCCCTGAAAACTGGCCCGTAACTCCCAAATCTTGTCACCTTTACAAGACAGAACAAGGAGAGAACAGAGATCATCTTTTCATGTTGACCCTATTTTCACTGTGTGTGTCTGTTTGTTTGTTGAGACAGTCTCGCTGTGTCACCCAGGCTGGAGTGCAATGGCGCGATCTCAGCTCACTGCAGCCTCCACTTCTGGGGTTCAAGTGATTCTCTTGCCTCAGCCTCCCGAGTAGCTGGGATTACAGGCGTGTGCCCC
This sequence comes from Homo sapiens, assembly GCF_000001405.40. Classification (NCBI taxonomy): domain Eukaryota; kingdom Metazoa; phylum Chordata; class Mammalia; order Primates; family Hominidae; genus Homo; species Homo sapiens. The sequence continues at coordinate 4,714,433 of NC_000007.14, forward strand.
CATGCCCGGCTAATTTTTGTTTAGTAGAGACCGGGTTTCGCCACATTGCCCAAGCTGGTCTCCAACTCCTGAGCTCAAGCTATCCGCCCACCTCCGCCTCCCAGAGTGTTGGGATTACGGGCGTGAGCCACCAGCCTGGCCCCTCTTTTCACTTTGAAAGGAAAAGTTTAGGTTTAAAGACATTACTTTTGTGTGTCAAAGTAGGAGTGCGTGCTTGCTTTGCTTTGTTTTTTCAAGGCTCATCTTAAGGATTTTGGCTTACGTATTTTCTAAGTAGGCGTTACATTCCCGCGGTTCAAAACTCAAAAGGTATGCGGTTAAAAATTTTGTTTTGGTTTTTTTTCCTCTCTCTCATCTCAGTTTCCCTCCTTAGAGAATCAGTTCCCAGCGTCTTGCAAAGGAAGGGCATAAAACCCAGATGTTTTGTCCACCTGAGTCCGATTTCTCCAGAGAGCTGCGATGAGCATCATGCTTTTGTGTGCTTTTGGGAAGTCTGCGTGCACGTGGAGTTGTGTGTATTCAGGGAGTGTCTTGTTGTAACGTGGTTCTGCATCTTTTTCTTGGTACAGAACAGAAGCCACACACCAGCGACAATCAGAGGTTACATAGGCTTGGGGCGTAGCTTTTCTGATCAGATGAGTTTCACGGCTTTAGTACAGAAAATATTCAAAGCCAGTGCAGCTGGAATTGTGATATAGTGCACGGTGGAATTGTGATACGGTACATGGTGGAACTGTGACGATACGGGGCACGGTGGAACTGTGGCGATACGGGGCACGGTGGAACTGTGATGATATCGGGCATGGCGAAATTGTGATACGGTGCATGGTGTTTTGTTTCAAGGAGAGATCGTAAGTCATGGCTTCAGTTTGCTGGCAAAGTGTGTCTCAGAGTGAAGCCGATAGGATCAAGCCCAAGTGTTCAGGGCGCTCAGCTGTGGGTGGCCCGTGTACAGGAATGGGATCGCACGGTGGTCCAGATCGTCTGTGCACCCATCCTTGCCCTGCCTCCCTCCTTCTAGGGGGTTGGCTGGAACTCGGGCCCCGCTGGCCGGCGGTAGGAGCTGGAATGCCCGAGCTCTGAGAAGCTCTTCATCTATCAGCAGTCAGCTTTCCACTTAAGCAGAGCCAAGTTTAGAATGAATGAATAGGATATTTTGAAATGCTCTGGTGTTGTGAAATACGGAACTTGGCGAGTTCTTGCGGCCATCCCTTTTGTTCCCTGCTGTGACTGACTGGCAGGAACCTGGGCTTGTCAAGTCAGTCTGTAGTGCACGCCGTTAGATTGGTTGTCATTGGCCAAGCCAGCTCCGGGCACCCTGAGGTTCCCTCACAGCGAATCCACCGAAGAGCGCTCCCATCCACAGCCGGCTCTTTGAATACTTAAAGAAATGTAGGAAAAGCAAAACTCACAAGACAATCCTTCCAGCCACTGGTCACAGGATGGCCGTTGCTGAACTTCAACATTGGCCACCAATATCTGCTGTCTGTGCTTAAAGGATCAAAAATGCAGACCTCAGTCAGGCGCAGTGGTTCACGCCTGTAATCCCAGCACTTTGGGAGGCCAAGGTGGGCAGATCACTTGAGGTAAGGAGTTCAAGACCAGTTTGGCCAATATGATGAAACCCTGTCTCTACAAATTAGACAGGCGTGGTGGTGGGTGCCTGAAATCCCAGCTACCTGGGAGGCTGAGGCAGGAGAATTGCTTGAATCCAGAAGGCAGAGGCTACAGTGAGTTGAGATTGCGCCTCTGCACTCCAGCCTGTGCAACATGTGCAACAGAACAAGACCCTATCTACAAAAAAAAAAAAAAGAAAGAAAGAAATACAGACTTCAAGGTGGAGGTTCACTTGAAGCCAGGAGTTCAAGACCAGCCTGGGTAACATAGCAAGACCCTGTTTCTACAAAAAAAAATTTTGTTGTGGTCAGCTGGATGTGGTGGCATGCACCCATAGCCCCAACTACTTGGGAGGCTAAGGCAGGAGGATCACTTGAGCCTGGGAGTTCAGGGCTGCCGTAAGCTATGATGGCACCACTGCTCTCTAGCCTGCGTGACACAGCAAGGCCCTGTGTCCCAAAAAAAAAGAGAAAAGAAATACAAACCAGCAGAATGGGCCACCTCCAAAAAGCCAGTACAGTGGGAGGGGCCCCAGACATGTCACTGTGGCCTGCTGTGGCCACGGGCAGGGCCAGAGCCTGAGCCTGGGTCCTTCTCAAGACCCAGTGCTGCTCTTGGAAGCGGGTGAGTACAGAGGCCAGTGAGGGCACAGCAGGTTCCGGGTGGAGGTGCTCCTTGGAAGCTGTGTGAGAGGGGCTGTGGGTGTCTCCATTTTACTGGTTTGGAGCTGGCTTACATAGGCGTCACAAAACAGATGTCTACAAGTTTTCATTTTATGAACTATTTTAAGCTGATTGCTTGATTTTTCTTTATCTTAATAGAGATTAAAATTGGTTGGTTTGTGTCTGGCTTGTATGTGCAGCACATCCCCAGGTGAAGGGCAAGTTGTACGTGGTGGGAGGCGCATGGCTGGGAGGCGTGTGGCTGGGAGGTGGTGGCTGGGAGGCGCGTGGCTGGAAGGTAGTGGTGGGAGGCGTGTGGCTGGGAGGCACGTGGCTGGGAGGTGGCTGGGAGGCGTGTGGCTGGAATGTGGTGGCGGGAGGCACGTGGTTGAGAGGTGCGTGGCTGGGAAGGCATATGGCTGGAAGGTGGTAGCGGGAGGCGTGTGGATGGAAGGTGATGGTGGGAGGTGCATGACTGGGAGGTGTGTGGCTGGGAGGCATGTGGCTGGAAGGTGGTGGCGAGAGGCATGTGGCTGGAAGGTGGTGGCGGGAGGCATATGGCTGGAAGGTGGTAGCAGGAGGCGTGTGGATGGAAGGTGGTGGCGGGAGGTGCGTGACTGGGGAGGTGTGTGGCTGGGAGGCATGTGGCTGGAAGATGGTGGCGGGAGGCATATGGCTGGAAGGTGGTAGCGGGAGGTGTGTGGATGGAAGGTGGTGGTGGGAGGTGCATGACTGGGAGGTGTGTGGCTGGGAGGCATGTGGCTGGGAGGCATGTGGCTGGGAGGCGTATGGCTGGGAGGTGCCTGGCTGGGAGGCACGTGGCTGGGAGGCAGTGGCAGGACGTGCATGGCTGGGAAGCAAGTGTCTGGGCTGCGTAGCTGTAAGGCAAGTGTCTGTGAAGCGCATGACGGGAGGTACTCCACCCTAGCCCCAGAGGCAGGGCCCTTCCCTGCACCTGACCTCACTGCCCGCCTGGTCCTGGTGGCCTCCTTGTCTCTCTGAGCATTGCAGCTTCATCTGCACGAGGAGGCGCTTGAACCCTGCCTCTAAATGCTGTTTCTTCTGAAGCTTTGCTGCACCGTGTATGTTTAGTTACAAACACACTAGTCCATGCTCCAGGTGAAGACCGACCACCGCCGTGTGTTGCCCGCGTCTTTGGGCTCTGGTCTCAGATTGGGTGATGGTTTTCTATTGTAAAAGTGGGAGAATATTAAGCATTTTTGCCTCGTCACGTTTTCTTCCTGATAAATGTCCACAGACCCTGGTTTATGGTTTTTTACTCCCCCTGTGTGCCATTTCAGTGTTGAAGGAAAGGAAAGTGGGGGTCGCTGCCTCTGGGGGCCCTGTTGCCCGTGTTCCCACCAGCTCCATGGACACACTTTCCATTTGGAAACAATCACAGATTCACAAGGAGCAGCAGACGTGTTGCAGAGGTCCCTGCACAGCCCACCAGCCTCCTCCGACGCGTCCATCAGCATCACAGCCGGGAAGTTGGCATCGGTGCGCTGTGTGTGGTTCCGTCATCTCATCCCGTGTGGCTCTGCGACCGCCACCTCGGTCACCACGCAGAGCCATCCCCACCGTGGCGGCCACGCAGCCATTGTAACCCTGGAAACCAGTAAATGCGTCTCCATGGCTGCAGGCCTGTCGTTATGAGAAGGTTTCAGAAGCGGGCTCGTCCGCAGCTCAGGGCCGTCTTTCTGAGTTGTGGGCCTCAGGAGTGGATTCCTTTTTATTGCTGAGATGCCACTGGGTGGAGGTTCCCCTGTTTGTTTGACCCCCTGTCTACTGAAGTACATTAGTTTTTCCATTTTTCGGCCTACTACAAATACAATAGCTGCTGTGAGCAACCATGCTTAGGTTTTGAGCGGACCTAGGTTTCCCTCGTCAGGGTGAGTACCCGGGAGTGCAGTGCCTAAGGCCTGTCCTTGGCATAGGTTTTGTTTTTAAAGCAACTGCCGACCTCGCTTTCAGAGTGGCTGCCATATTTTACCTTCCTTCCACCCATGTATGAGAAGCCCAGTGTCTCTGCAGCCTCACCAGCATTTGCTGTATTTGTTTTAATTTTAGCCATTCTGATAGGTATGTAGCTTTTGTTTTTTTGTTTGTTTGTTTGAGACGGAGTTTCACTCTTGTCACCCAGGCTGGAGTGCAGTGGCACAATCTCGGCTCCCCACAGCCTCCGCCTCCGGGGTTCAAGCGATTCTCCTGCCCCAGCCTCCCGAGTAGTTAGGATTAGAGGGACCCGCCACCACGCCCGGCTAATTTTGTATTTTTAGTAGAGACGGGGTTGCACCATGTTGGTCAGTCTGATCTCGAACTCCCAACCTCAGGTGATCCACCCACCTTGGCCTCCCAAAGTGCTGGGATTACAGGCATGAGCCACCACACCCAACCTTGTTTTTTTTGTTTTTTTTTTGTTTGTTTTGTTTGTTTGTTTTTGAGACAGGGTCTCACTCTGTTGCCCAGCTGGAGTGCGATGGCACAATCATGGCTCACTGCCGCCTTGAACTCCTGGGCTCAAGTGTTCCTCCTGACTCAGCCTCCCGAGTAGCTGGGACTACAAGCGTGCACCACTATGCCTGGCTAATTTTAAAAAAAGATTCTTTTAATAGAGATGAGGTCTTGCTGTGTTGTCCAGGCTGGTTGCAAACTCAGCCTCAAATGATCCTCCCGCCTCTGCCTCCCAACGTGCTGGGATTACAGGTGTGAGCCACGGTGCCTAGGGAGTAGGTAGCTGTCTTAGCTTTGTGTTTCCCTAATAGCTAACTACACTGCACATATTTTTTTGACAGAATCTCACTCCATCACCCAGGCTGGAGTGCAGTGGCGAGACCTTGGCTCACTGCAACCTTTGCCTCCTGGGTTCAAGCAATTCTCCTGCCTCAGCTTCCTGAGTAGCTGGGACTACAGGCACACGCCACCATGCCCATCTAATTTTTGTATTTTTAGTAGAGATGGGGTTTCACCATGTTGGCCAGGCTGGTCTCGAACTCCTGACCTCAGGTGATCCACCCGCTTTGGCCTCTCAAGGTGCTGGGATTACAGGTTTGAGCCACCGCGCCCGGCCTGCATTGAACATCTCTTCATGTGCTTATTTACCATCTGCAGAGCCTCTTCAGTGAAATACCTCCTCGTGTGTTTTGTCCTCGTTCTAATTGAATTGTTTGGTTTTTATACTGAATTTTGAGTTTTTCCTGTATTCTAGATAGGAGTCTCTTCTCCCAGCTTGTGACCTCTTTATCCTCTCATTGGACGCCTGCGCCCATCCAGAGCTTTACGTTTTGATGACGTCCGATGTGTTGAGTTTTTTCTTTTTCTTTTATAGATCCTGTTTTTGGTGTCATGGCTAAGAACTCTTCACCAAGCCCCAGGTCCTGAAGGATTTTTTGAAATTTGAATAGTTTTTCCCTCATTGGTTTCTCCCTGGCTGCCTTGTTTCTGGTTTTCAGAAGCCTGGTTGAGTTTCTTCGGGTTCATCCTGCATGGGGCTCACTCATCTTCAGTCTGTAGGTTTATCATTCTGACCAAATCTGTACATTTTTCAGCCATTATTTCTTTGAGGGTTTTTTGCCTCATCTGCTTTCTGTTCTTCTTCTGGGATTCAGTGACATGCATGGGAGAGCTTTTGTTATGTATGGTCTAGTGTGTCCCTGAGACTCTTAAGATTTGATTTTCAGCCTCTTTTTCTCTGTTGTTCAGGTTGGGTAATCTTTACTGTTTCAGCTTCAAGCTCGCTGATTTCTTTCCTATGGCTTTTTCATTCTGTGTGAGCCCATTCATTGAGGTTTCATTTCAGCTGCTGTACTTTTTAGATGTAAAATTTCCCCTGTGCCTCAGTGGGGATGGGCAGCCTGTGGCCAACTTCGATGCTGGCAGAGCCAGGCCGGGGAGACTCCAGCCTCAGCCCCATCTCTCCCGAGCAGGCAGATGCTTCCTGAGAATTAGGCAGACCTGTTGGAAACTGGCTTTGTATGCTGCGTGCCTAGCTTTTTACTTTTTTTTTTTTTGAGACAGAGTCTCTGTTGCCCAGGGTGGAGTGCAATGGCGCGATCTCGGTGCAGTGGCGCGATCTTGGCTCACTGCAACCTCTACCTCCTGGGTTCAAGCGATTCTCCTGCCTCAGCCTCCTGAGCACCTGGAATTAGAGACATGCACCACCACGCCCACTTAATTTTTGTATTTTTAGTATAGACGGGGATCCATAAAAGAAAAAAAAAACTCAACACACGTGTTAGTCAGGCTGGTCTCGAACTCCTGACCTTATGTGATCCGCCCACCTCGGCCTCCCAAATTTAGCTTTTTACCTAGGTCTTTTTTGTCTTTCAGTTAAGTTTTGTAGTTTTCTCTGCACGGGCCCTCCGTGCCCCGTCCCTTTCTTGCTTTACTCTGTCACTGTTGCCGTAAGTGCTTTCCCGAGTCAGCAGCCTCCCTCTGTGCATCAGGGCCCTGGAGGAGGTTCTCCGTTCAGTCTGCACGCTTGGCTCAATGCAGCAGCTCAGACTGGAGCTTGGATCCTGGACATCGTGGGGGCTTTGCCTGTGTGTGGCAGTGCACAGGGGCCTTGGAAACCCCCCGGAGCTCCCCAGCCTTGAGCTGCCGGCCTAGCCCTGTGTCGCTGCAGCCCATAATGGTGCAACCTTCTGATGACCTTGGTGAGAAGCGACCATTCCCTGCGACCCCCAGCCTGTTTCCTGCAGGTGACAGTGGCTCAGTAAAATGCCTTGAATTCTAATCTCCAGGCGTCGGCTGTCAGTTAACTTCAGAAAGAACTTTTTCTGAAACTTTGAGAATAAGAATAATTCCAGCTCTCCAATGATAAGAGCTCACAGATGGCAGCCTAAGAAGGACTTTTCTCTTTTCTTTTTCTTTTTTTTCTTTTTTTTTTTTTTTTTTTGAGTCAGAGTCTTGTTGTGTCACCCAGGCTGGAGTGCAGTGGTGCGATCTTGGCTCACTGCAACCTCTCCCTCCTGGATTCAAGCAGTTCTTCTGCGTCAGCCTCCCAAGCAGCTGGGATTACAGGCGTGAGACACCACGCCCAGCTAATTCTTGCATTTTTAGTATAGACAGAGTTTCACCGTATTGACCAGGCTGGTCTTGAACTCCTGACCTCATGTGATCCTCCTGCCTCGGCCTCCCAAAGTGCTGAGATTACAGGCGTGAGCCACCACGCCCGGCCTGTTTTCATTTTAATATTTGAGTTTTGTTTTTCCAAATTAGATTTCTCAAATGTAAATGCATCCCTTTCTCGTGCAGGAGTAACGGGGACGCGCACAGCCGTGTTACTTTCTCCCAAAGGAGGCAGCCGGGGTGAGACTGGTGACCCCGCTGCATCCCATACCCTCCACCCATCCCAGCAGCCTCATGCCTGTGGGTGGGACGTGCTAGAGGAGGGGACTTTGGTGGGGCCTTGGGCTCTTGGTCACATCCTGCCCTGATTCAGAAGATGGCGGGGCAGGAGGTGTCTGTGTCTCAGCAGATGCTGGATTTCACGTCCACGGCCGCCTGGAAATAAATGCCAGCACCGTGCAAGCTGGCTTTGCATTCTCTGCCTTTCCCGAGCGTCCCTGCCTCAGATTCCAAAATCTGTTGTTCTAGAAACTCTCTAAGGTTTTACCCAGATTCCCATTGTTGCCTCTTATGTACTTTGGTCGTTCGTATTTCCTAGGCTTAAAACCCATTCTCCTGTGAAGAGGCCTTCCCTGAGATCCTGGCCAGAGGAGGTCCCGTGGCCAAGTGGCAGCGGTGCCGGACATACACGGCAGGGCAGTGGGCTGCTCAGCACCAGTGGCCTCAGCCCAGTGCCAGCGTGCTGGGACGGGTACACTCGTGCCTGTTAACCGCACACCTGCGTGCAGCACGGGCACACTCGTATACAACGGGCACACATGCACGTCAGCCGCACACTCATGCACGTTCATGTGCTGTCTCTAGTGTTTTCTGAGAAACGGGATTTTCCTTGGGTGAAACGAGGAAGTCGTAGGAGACCCACCTCAGATGCTCGGGTGCACATCTGGGGAGAGTCAACCGCCCAGCATGGCTTTTGGCTTTGGGGGATTCCGTTCCTTTGCTGCTGCCTTGGCCACAGGCCTCCACAGCCCTCTGCTGTGTCTGTGCACCTTCTCCATCCCTCTCTCGTTTGGGCTCCGGTTCCCGCAGAATTGGCATCCAGGTGAGGTGCCTGTGGGCAGAGCTGTTGATGGAAGAGGGTGTGGTCAGAGGCAGGGCAGTTATTGTAGGAAGAACCCCCAGGAGCAGGTGGCCGACGCAGGCACCCTCAGATCTGAGATCCAGACAAGAGGCAGCGCTGGGTTCAGATCACCACACAACCTGTATCAGCTTGTGATCCCGAACAAAAACCCGTCTTCCCAAGCCTGTTGACGATGATGGTAACGGCACCGTGCTCACTCCAACGCCGTGGCTGTGAGCGGAGCCAGCTTCAAAGCACTGGGTCCAGGGCGCCTGCTCGCGGTCACCCATAGGGTGGGTGGACACCCATGGCGGCTTGCACGTTGCACGTCCCCCGGCTCAGCACCGAGCAAGTGGGCCTGGACCCTGAAGGATGTGGCTGCTGCCCGACTCCAGAGTGACAAATATAGCAAAAGAGCTTGTTGGTAAATACTGCCTGAAAACATTGGCTTAATTTGTCTTCTCAAAGCTGTTTTTGTTTTCTGTGGGGTTTTTTTTTTGGACGTTCCCAGCTGACTAAATTTGCCTTCTTCCTTCAGGGACCATCTTGGAATAATCTTGCTCAGCTGAATAATGTTGCAGACTAAAAATAGCAAATGCAGCCCCGAGCCTTCCTGTTGCCTCTAGGGCCTGTCCATCCCGTCAGCCCACGGTGCCTCTACAAACACAGGTCCCTCCTCGCCGTGGTACAATCGCCACGGCACAGGACCGAGCGTGGAGAGTTGCAGCAGTGCAGGAAGCTTTTCCTTTCTCTCAAAACAGTTACTACCAATGTTTGTTTATTTGAGATAGGGTCTTGCTCTGTCTCCCAGGCTGGAGTGCAGTGGTGCAATCGTAGCTCACTGCAGCCTCAACCTCCTGGGCTCAAGCAATCCTCCCGCCTCAGCCTCCCAAATAGCTGAGACTACCAGTGTGCACCACCACACCTGGCTGACTTCTTTGTATTTTTGGTAAAGATGGGGATCTCACTATGTTGCCCAGGCCGGTCTCGACCTCCTAGGCTCAAGCGATCCTCCTACCTCAGCTTCCCAAAGTGCTGGGATTACAGGCGTGCACCTCTGTGCTCGGCCCATTCGATTTTTAAAACCTTAAATGACCCTGCATCTTCTGCTGCCTACTTTTTCGAGGGCTTTTGGTACTTTGGATTATTAAGTTGTGTGAGTGAACATGGTAATGACCTTGCCATAGCAGCTCTTGGTGCTCTGAATGGCTGCGCACCAGGCAGTGCCCAAGACCTCCGTGCTCCCAGCTGGGATTCTGTGCACATCCAGAGTTTGTGTTTTGGGGGTGGTTGTTGTTGTTGTTTTCTTTTTGAGATGGAGTCTTCCTCTGTCACCCAGGCTGGAGTGCAGTGGTGCAATCTCGGCTCACTGCAACCTCCGTCTCCCGGGTTCCGGAGATTCTCCTGCCTCAACCTCTCGGGTAGCTGGGATTACAGGCACCCACCACCACGCCCGGCTAATTTATGTATTTTTTTGTAGAGACGGATTTCACCATGTTGGCCAGGGTGGTCTCGAACTCCTGTTCTCAAGTGATCTGCGTGCCTTGGCCTCCCAAAGTGCTGGGATTACAGGCGTGAGCCACTGTGCCTGGCCCAGAGTTCGCTTTTTCTTTGGTTGGGGAGCTCTGACTTAATTTCTCTCTGAAGCCAAGCATTTCTATTTTGTCCAAATGTGTCAATCAGGGGTCTGTGCCTCGTTGTGTGTGTGTGCGCTGCGTGGCTCCACGGCCCCCATCCTAGACTGTGGTCCAGGCCAGGGCTCTGGGCTCAGCAGACAGCCAGGCTGCTTCCACTGGTCTGTGAAGCTTCTGTCTCAATGCTCAAGGTGGCCTCAGTGTTCAGCATGGTTGCCAGTGCCCCGGTCATTATGTTTCCATTCCAGAGGGGAGAGAGGAGGGAGGGATGGTGGGCGGTGATCCTCTGGGTAGCTCTCTGCCCACCTCTTCTGAGACTCCCACGAGGGCTGTGCCGTAGGCCACACCCACTTTGCATTGCTGGCCCCCAGCTGCAAGGGGAGCAGGAAAGTCACCTTTTAGCTGAGTGCGTGGCCACACAGAAAAATAGTGGGGACAGGGAGAGGAGAAGTGGGTTTGGGGGGAGCCCCGCCCTCCTAACCCTGCCTGCTGCCCTCTGTCCCCAGCAGGAGCTCCCCCGAGGCCATCCAAGCGCGGTGCACCCGCCACCCACAGCGTCCTCCGCGCCCACGTTGCCCTAAACCCCACTGTGCTGTGCTCTCTCGCAGTTCCTGCAGGCGCGCGTTCTCTCTCTGAATTTGTTTCATTTCACTGCGAGTTGGGGTCGCGGGGGTAGATCGGAGCTGCCTCTTGAGAATAGCAGTGCCCAGGCTTTGGCCCAGGTGGCCGGAACGCCCCTTGGAGCACCGACGCCATCGGCTCCGGGAAATGCAGCGAGCACAGAGCCCAGTCCCTTGGTCTGACCGGGGGCGCTGCTTTTGTTCAGAAAGCGGTGGGGGTGATGTCATCGGATTTTTTTTCACTGCTGTTGCCCAAAGTGAAACCGGGCTTAGTTGTTGTCTCAGGAGCCCAGCCAGCCAGGGGGACACGGCCTCCTGCCCACAGGCAGAGGCCCGGGGCCAGATGTCCGCTTTCTCTTTCGCTCCGCAGGAGTGAGAAGCAAGGACCTCACTGCCTTTGTGCGGCCGGGCCCCTCCGGCCAGTCTGCGTGAACGGACTCTCCGGGCCTCGCCCATGCTCCGGGCGTGTGGCTGTGTTGGGAGGACGGGAGCTCTACTGCTTGGCAGTGGACACACCAAGGCTGCCGACTGGCCCAGTGGGTGGCGATGCCACTTACATGTGATTTCTCAATCTCCGTCAACTGCCGTGGCTGCCCGGGCTGGGCTGCCCTGTAGGTTTCAGTTCTTCAGGGCAACAGGCTGGGATCCAGGCAAGGTGCCTGCACTCAGAGGGGTAGGGAGCCAGGGGCACATGTGCTGGGCGTGGGCTGGGGCTTCTGGCTGGCAGGGGTGTGGGTTTGGGCCTGGTGGGATTCCCCATATTAGGAAGGTGAGCTGAGCTCGGCTGCAGTGGCTGAAGCAAGGAAGTGATTTGTCAAGCCATTTAGACACTGTCCCTGTTTTCTTTCAACAAACAGAACTTTTTTTTTTTTTAAGCAGCGAAGACCTTTTGCTCTCTGTTGGGGTGTGATTGGGGTTTGCATTTGGGGGCTCTCTTGAGCTTTGCCGCTGTCTTCAAGGATGGTATCTAAAGGGAAAGTCTTAAAATAAATAACTTTGAATTTGGATAGGAATGTCTATGCAGTGAGGGACAGGAGGCTTCCGTGTGTTTCACTAGAACGTTCTTGTTTTTGGCCTACGAATGCTTTTACTTAGGAAGCACGAGACCTGTGCTGCAGACCGTCTGTTGGAGCTGGCCGCGGCAGGACGGCGATCACCTTCCTGGCAGGCCCCTCCTGGATTCTGCCCTCTGCTTCTGAAAGCGTTTCCTCCATCAGCTTTAGCAAAACTGGGCCTGGCAGATCATTTGAAGTCAGGAGTTCGAGACCAGCCTGACCAACATGATGAAACCCTGTCTCTACTAAAAATACAAAAAAGTTAGCCGGGCACAGTGGCACGTGCCTGTAGTCTCAGCTACTCAGGAGGCTGAGGCAGGAGAATCGCTTGAACCCGAGAGGTGGAGGTTGCAGTGAGCCAAGATTGTGACATTGCACTCCAGCCTGGACGACAGAGCGAGACTCCGTCTCAAAAAAAAAAAAACCGTGCCTGGGCCTTGGAGGTGCCTGAGTCCAGAAGACAGACAGCGGGAGCTCACTCCTGCCATGTCGCTCTTGTTTCTTCTCCCCTCTGCAGGGCGGCAGCTGCTTTGCCCTCAAGACTTCTCTTTTCGCCCACTCTATTCATAGGGGGAAATGACAACACAGGCGCTTTCCCTCAAACTCTGTGTATTCATACATCACCAGAGTGTTCAGAGAAGTGGGATATTTTGGTGAGTTAATTTACTTAATGTGCTTAGCACACAGTACCTGGTATATATAATAATAGCAGATATTAGTTGTCAACTACTAATTTTAATTTTTTTTTTTTACAAACGGGGTCTTGCTCTGTCACCCAGGTTGGAGTGCAGTGGCACAATCATAACCCATTGCAGCCTTGAATTCCTGGGCTCAAGTGATCCTCCTGCCTCAGTCTCCTGGAGTAGCTGGGACTACAGGCATGCACCACTATGCCAGGCTAATTTTTTTATTTTTATTTTTTGTAGAGACGGGGTCTCACTCTGTTGCCCAGGCTGGTTTTGCACTCCTGGCCTCAAGTGATCCTCCCACTTTGGCCTCTCAAAGTGTTGGGATTACAGGCGTGAGCCACTGCTCCCAGCCTATTATTATTATAGAATTTCATGTTAAGGTTTGCAGGTTATTCTTTTACTTTATTTTTAAATTTTATTTGTTTATTTTTTTGGCAAGGGCGTCTTACTCTGTTACCCAGCCTGGAGTGTGATGGTGTGATCTCAGCTCATTGCAACCTTCGCCTCCCGGGTTCAAGTGATTCTTGTGCCTCAGCCTCTGGAGTAGCTGGGATTACAGGCATGCAGCACCACGCCCAGCTAGTTTTTATATATTTAGTAGAGACCCGTTTCACCATGTTGGCCAGGCTGGTCTTGAACTCCTGACCTCAGGTGATCCTCCTGCCTTGGCCTCCCAAAGTACTGGGATTACAGGCTTAGCCACGGCGCCCGGCCTGATTTTGCAGGTTGTTCTAAAGTGCGGTGTTTCTCCTTTTAGGCTTCAGTGCTGAGGGCGGCCTGCTGTCCGTCCCTGCGGCAGACTGGGCCCTGTCCCACCTTCCCGTCACTCCTCGATGTCACATCAGAGTGCTCTCTCCTGGGTGGGAACCCGCGCACGGAGGAAACACTTTACCAGAGTAAACGAGATTATAACTTGTTTGCCAGAGAACCTCTCCTGTGGCCATGCCTGAACCTCTCCTGGGACTGTCCGTGGTCTTCACATTGGTGCTTGGACACCCGTCCTTCGGGAGGGGAGGAAAAGCGGCCGGTAAAATGGAGACAGTCGGTGGCGTGTGTTTGCCGATTGGACTGGCATTGGTATAGACAGATACCAATCACTGCACAGACATTTCCAGGGGCCCTTCCCCAGCCATGTTTAGTGGCACTGACCTCAGGCAGCTGGGCCCCCGGGACAGCAACCAGGGGACTGCCCTGGCCCTGGATGGCAGCCGGGACCGGCTCACAAGCTTCTGTTTGGAGCAGTTCTGTTGGCAGCCCCCCGCCTCCAGTGGAGATGTGACACGACTCTTTCTTGCCTGCCAAACGTTCTCTGATTCTTTGGATCATCGATCCTAACACAGCAAAGGCGGTATTGTTGCTGTCCTTTCAAGGTTAATCCAGGATCAGAAAAGTCTAATCATTTCTCTGTGGTTTTTGGAATTTCCAAAGAGCACCCAGATTTTAACCCTCAGTCCTCGGGGTTGTCCGGCTGCGGCTGTGCTGCTGTTGAGCATTAAGCTCATTCCACTTCACATGTAAACTTGTTTCTATGCATTCACCTCCTGGGAGACTCCACATTCCTGAGAGAACTGCATGGTTATGAACTCTTACTCGTGTGCACTAAAGTGCACGTGCTGTGTGTGTACTGACCCTCTGCCCTGTGGGAGCCACGTGCTGTGGGGAGAACAGACCAGCAGCAGATGGGACTCCTCCTCCAGGAACCTGCTACCAGCTAGGCGTGGTGGTGCAAGCCTATACTTCTGGCACTTTGGGAGGCTGTGGCAGGAGGATCACTTGAGGCCAGGAATTTGAGGCCAGCCTGGGCAACATAGTGAGACCACGTCTCTTTTTGAAAAAAAAAAAAAAAAAAAAAGAAAGAAAAGAAAACGTATTTTTCTTAAGTCGGGCATGAGAGTGAGCCAGGGAATTCAAGGAAGGCTGCCTAGATAGAGAAGGGGACCCTGGGGAACAGTCTTAGAGGACGCAAAGTCTATGCAGATAAACCAGCGTCTGGTACTTGGTATCAGTCAGGTGGCCAGTGAATAATGACTACGTGGAATTACTGTGGACAGCATTTTGAGATCTGCAGATTAAGCCATTTTGACTTCCCAGAAGCATTTTCTTAAATCAGCGTAGAGACAGAAGATGAAAGTTAACCTGAATTGCTCGTCGCAAGCAAGCTCTGCCCGGGTCAGCCCCAGAGGGTTGCAGAACACTGTGTCTGTGTCCGCTGTCTTAAAGAGCCTAGTCCATCTTTACGCGGTCTTTTTACGTCTGTTTAAGCCACACAGCATGGTGGGGAGCGGAGGTGATTTCGGAGCCTACTCTCCGATCCTCAGGATCCTCTTCGGGAGCAGCAGGCAGTGGCTTTCTCCTGGGCCAGGCAGGGTTGTCTGGGGAGTGGAACGTCTGCTAGAAATGCAGATCGCTGGGGCCACCGCCGTTTGGCCGTGTCAGTCATCTGGGGGTCCCTTAGCCTCCGCAGAGTAAAGCTGTGGGAGTCACCACGGGTCCCCATGTTGGGATTGGGAAGCAGTCACCTACCAGATGAGCGTTCCTTCCGCGAAGGGAAGGTGGGGGGATTTTGAAGGAGCTGTGAACACCGAGGGTGCCGTCCTCGCCTGTGCTGCCATGGGGTGCTCAGGACTGCCGGGCCCCGGGAGCCCCACCCGGCAGGACACACACCTGAGCCCCAGGGAGGGTCGGTGGCCATGGCTGTGCTTGGCCGCCTCTGTGGGGCTCTATCCTAATTCAGTGAGGTCTCTCGCCACCTTCCTCCAGGGTCTTCCTGAGACAGAGACCGAGACTTCAGCTTCAAAAAGAAACCCTGGCCGGGTGCAGCAGCTCACGCCTGTAATCCCAGCACTTTGGGAGGCCAAGGCAGGTGGATCACCTGAGCTCAGGAGTTTGAGACCAGCCTGGCCAACATGGTGAAACCCCATCTCTACTAACAATACAAAAACTAGCCAGGCCTGGTAGTGGGTACCAGTAATCCTAGCTACTCGGGAGGCTGAGGCAGGAGAATCGCTTGAACCCGGAAGGTGGAGTTTGCAGTGAGCTGAGATCCAGCCACTGCCCTCCAGCCTGGGCGACAGAGCGAGACTCTGTCGAAACAATTTAAATAAAAAAAAGAAAAGGAAAAAGAAAGCCCGGCTTCGGTCAGACCGTTGTCTGCGTTTTTCACCGCGTGTCACCGACTCAGCATATGGGCTTGAGTATCTCGCTGTCTTTTCTTTTTCCAAATAGGACATGCTTATTTGCCTGATTACAAAAATAGATGCATTCTCCCTATTTAAACAAATTAGGCCCTATGAACGCATAAGAACTTATAAACACTAAAACTGCTACCGGGTTTTAATTCACACACACCACGCACACCCCCACATTGTTGTCACTGCGAGAACGGAGGGCCCAGAGCCGAGTACACTCGGCCAGGGTGAGTGATGGGCAGGCACAGAGCTGTGTCTCTGACCACCCTGCTACCCAGCTTGCCACCGCTGTCAGCCGTGGGGTTCAGGAGAACAGGGTTGTGGCATGGACCCAAAAGTGGAGTCACGGTTGCAGCTCTGGTTCCTGGAGGAGGGACGCAGGCCCAGTGGAGAGGGCGTGGTTTGCAGGCACCAGTGCTGGTTCCGTGTCTGTCGGGGAGGGGATGGACGTTTGTGTTGCTGTCAGGGACCTTGCCGACCCAGCCCCCGCCCCGCCTTCAAGTTTGTGCCTTATTTTCCAAAGCCGCCACACTTGAGACGTCCTTGCTGCGGGTTCGTCTGTAACCTGTGTCCCTTCACTGCCATGCACTGCTCTTAGCTGCTGGCGAAGACGTGGTCTCTGCAATAGAGAGGCGCCTATGGCTGCAGCCACCTGTGTTCGTTTTGGGGTTGTCATAAATAAATGCCTTCCATTTTTAATAGAAAGACAGTATTTTAGGTTAAAAAATTTAAGGTTGTCAGAATTCTCTGATTTGGGGATTTTATATGTTAACGTTTCTTTCAAAACCATTTCCTGAGGATGGGCGCGGTGGCTCACTCCTGCAATCCCAGCACTTTGGGAGGCCGAGGCAGGAGGATCCCTTGAGGCCAGGAGTTGGAGACTAGCCTGGGCAACATAACAAGACCCTGTCTCTACAAAAAATCAAAACCATTTGCTGAACAGTCTTATTTCTCGGAGGAGTTTAAGCAAACACTGCAGGGCCTCCGGCATTCCAGTTTCAGGCCTTATCTGATGTGGCCCACCCTGGGACCGTCACCTGACTTCCTGTCCCTGCACAGAGAACTTGCTGGTAGGAGGTGGTGAGGGGCCTCCGAGGTGGTGGGTGAGCATCCCTGCAAGTCAAGCTCTGCTGTTCCCCGGCCTTCCCTTGAGACTCTTGGGGGCCTGGGCCCTGCGGGACGTTTTCCCCCTGCCTCAGAGCCAAACCACTTAACAGAACCAGGCGAGCCAGGTTTAGTACTTTATCGGGTATCCTAAAGACACGTTGCAGCCTGCAAAATTCGAAAAGTACCTGGAGTATGTAACAGCTTTTGCCTCCCATTCTTGAGTCTTTCATTTCTTCAAGGACATGGTAGCAACATTTAAAGAACCTTTTGAAAAGAGAGAGGCGGCCGGGCACAGTGGCTCACGCCTGTAATCCCAGCACTTTGGGAGGCCAAAGCGGGTGCATCACCTGAGGTCAGGAGTTCAAGACCAGCCTGGCCAACATGGTGAAACCCCATCTCTACTAAAAATACAAAAATTAGCCGGGCATGGTGGTGGGCACCTGTAATCCCAGCTACTCGGGAGGCTGAGGCAGGAGAATCGCTTGGACCTGGAGGCGGAGGTTGCAGTGAGCTGAGATTGCACCACTGCACTCCAGCCTGGGCAACAAAGCGAAACTCTGCCTCAAAAAAAAAAAAAAAAAAAGAAAACAGAGAGGCCTGCTTATAACACCATCCTTATCCTGGGCTGTTTTCCTTTGTCCTTCCAGTCCTTGTCTAATAACAAGAATAACTGAAGCACATTTTCAGTAACCGCTTGCTACGTGCCAGCCGTCCGGTCAGGACTGATGTTCACGGCATGGAGACCTGAGGCCACACGGAGGCCGGGCTGGCCAGGGCGGGGCTCAGATTCAGTGACTTGCCCAGGTGCCCCCAGGGCATCTGAGCAGCCCAGGCTCCAGCCAGGCAGGTCTGACTTCACCTCCCTTGCCGTGAGCCGCTGCACTGTTCCACTTGGGCTTCTGCTACATTTATCAAGCTGTTGTAAACGTTTCCATATTCCCCCACGCCTCAGTATTTAGCGAGGGCTCCTTATGTGTGACACGCCCTGTGTGCGTCTGATGACGTTGCTTGGAATCATTTGTTCAGTCCACAAGAACTCTGATTATGCACCATCATTACCCCAGTTTGGCTGATGAGGGAAACCAGGCCAGTGTATGAAGAGACTGACCAAAGATCCCAGTGCCGACAGTTCTCCATTCATTCATTCATTCATTCAGTCACCATCATAGCCCACTGCGGCCTCCGCTGCCCAGGCTCAAGCCATCTTCCCTCCTCAGCCTCCCAAGTAGTTGGGACTACAGGTGTGCGCCACCACACCTGGCTAATTTCTTAAACAATTTTTAGAGACAGGATCTCACTGTGTTGCCCAGGCTGATCTCGAACTCCTAGGGTCAAGCGATCGTCCCACCTCAGCCTTCCAAAGCGCTGGGATTACAGGCGTGAACCACCGTGGGATTACGGGCATGAGCCACCGCGCCAGCCAATATGCATAGTTTTAAATGGCCATAGTAACGCAAGGCTTCAAACAGAAGTCCTCAGGTCTCACTTCGCAGAGGCAGTGGCTTTTAAAGCATCCTGATTAACAGTCTGAGCTGCTATTCACTGAGTTTTCGCCCTGTTGTAGACACACATGGCTTTCCGTTAGAGAAGACAGGGTCTGGCTCTACTGCTGCCCTCCTCATCCGGAGCCGCGGGTCTGCGCTGCACGCCCCTTACACGTGTGCCTCTTTCCCATAGCGCAGAGTTTATCTTCTTACTCGTCCAGCGTTCTCTGTACCTATTGTGAATTGATCTCTGGACGCTGACCCAACTCTAGAACTTCGCTCAGCAGTTGGGTAAGACGACATTCCTGTCCTTCAGTTCTCCTGGGAACTTTCTCCTGAGAGCCCTGGCTCTCTCCTGCACAGCTCTGGGCTCCTGCACAGCTTCTGTTCTGGGGCTTTTCACCCTCTTCCTGGATTCTTTCAGTTAGGACGTAGTTTTGATTTTGCAACAAAGGTCAAAAATAACGAGGGCCAAGTTTGTTTCTTTTATACGTGACGGTCTTTTTTTTTTTAATTTTATTATTTTTTTATTTCAAGCTGGGTTCTTGCTGTGTTGCCCAGGCTGGTTTCAAACTCCTGGGCTCAAGCAATCCTCCAACCTCATCCTCCCAGAGTGCTGGGATTATAGATGTAAGCCACCCTACCCAGCCACACATGACCATCTTAATGTCAGCTATGACCTGGAGGCACCAGACTTTTTCTATTACGTTGCTTGTTGCTCCGTTATGCAGTGTGCCTTTATGGTCCACTGTGGCTGCTCGGCTCCTGCCATCACAGCAGTATCTGGCTGTTGGGAAGGGGAGGAGTGAAGAAGGCCCTTGGTTCCTCATATAGACATGACCCATTTGTATCCCATTGACCAGCTCATAGTCTCATGGTTGCAAGAGGGGCAGAGAAACATGGTCTTCAGTTGGGTGGACGTTTCTCTGTCTCCATGTTTGCTATAGAAGCAGGAGAGAAGGTGCTCTGGGAACTACAGCCTCAGCCACAGTCCAGGAAGCTGCCCAGTGCCCACATGGGAACTGCATCCTGCAGGTATCGCTCGTGAAAACCGGCCTGGCGTCTTCTGGCCCTTGCTCTTGGGTCTGCTGTTTCTCTCACGGGAGAGGCTGCTCTGAGGTCCCCGAAGCTGCAGGCTGGGTGGGACGGTGGGAGCCTTTCCCTGGTCTTTAGTCCGGCTGACATCCTCTCTCTGGCCGTCATAGCCAGCGCCATGGGATTGGGGAAGCCACAGGGACCTCCCAGCACGCGCCAACCCTGGACTTCCCCCAGAGCTCATCTGGGTGGCAGGTGCTGGCCACGTGGAGTCTGCCCTCCACGTGCCGTGGGTGAAGCTTCACCTGGCGCAGGGAAGGCCATCAGACTTCCAGCTCGTCACCCATGTCCTCAACCCCTAACCACTGAAGCGATGCCTGTGTTTTAACCTTAGTAACCGTGCCGCCCAGCTCCTAGAAGACACGCGACTCCACAGCAGTTAGGAGACAGCAGATGCATTCCCAGAGCTCCTGAGAAGGAGCGGCTTGTGTGGGGTGACTCTATCTCAAGCCGTAGGCCTCCCAGACAGAGCCTCTGAAGCTCCTGTTTTCTTTGTCCTTCCTGAGACAGATCTCATCCAGCCTCTTCCTTTTGATGTTTTCTGAGTCACTTTAAACTGTGCAAGATTTCCCGTTTCCCCTGGCTGTGGCTCTTGTGGTCCTGGCCTTGGTGGGCAGGTGCAGGGCCCGCTCCCTCCTTGGGAGGATGAGATGCTCTGTGGCTTCCACCACTCCCCAGATCGTCTGCTTCCTCCTTGCCCCTCAAACTCCTTTGCCTCAGTCCCTGTCTTCCTTGATGGGGGCATTCCCCAAGTGTCTGTTCTTGTGGAAGGGGAGGTGCCCCCCGGCCCACCCCCCCGCTGCCCAAGTGTGCGTGGGCATCGGTGCACGGGGCTCCCTCCCTGGGGCTTCATGGGGGGCTCAGGAAGGCTGGGTCTCAGGCTTTTCTCCTGCGCCATTGTCTGCTGATAGCTGGGCTCAGCTCTGGAAGCTTGGGGGGCTGAGAGCCTCTGGTCCTCCTGCAGAATTTCAGGTCGCAAGGCTATTTTTGGCGTGAGATGTCACTGTCTGCCGCTTCTGTGTTGGGTGCCCTCGTCCAGGCCTCGGGTTCACCCCATCCAGAAAGTAAACCCGTCCTTCCGCTGGGAGAGACGGGGCGAGGGGACAGCGGTGGACAGGAGCGATCTGTCACATTCATTTTAAAAATCGCCTCCGGAAGCTTTCACGGGCTCTTCCTTCCCTCTCTGATTATTTCTCTGAGTCTGAAATGATGACAATTGTATTTATATTTATGTCATCGAGAATTAAGTGAGCTATTTTTATTTTCCTGACAGCTTTCTGTTTGGCCGGGCAGGTGGTAGGATTTGTGGCCTAGGGAGGGGATGGGAATGAAGGCACATGACATGCCCCAAGTCACTCGGGCTCAGCACTGGTGGAGCGGTGGCCAGTTCCAGCTCGCTGTGTAGAGACGGCTCTGTGGTCTGAGGCTGAGCCAGGCAGTGTCATCTCCAACCAAGTCACCAGTTTGGCCCAACTTCCAGGAGCCATCAGCTTCTGGGTGGACCTGGGAAAAACCCAGGGCTGGAGTAGACCCTCAGTGTGGGAGCTTTTGGGCAAGAATTCTCCCCAAAAACAGCTTGCCTGAGATCGACTGCACATACCTTACAACTAACCCTTTCCATTGTTCCAGTCCGTGGTTTTCAGCGCATTCGCAGAGTTGCGCGGCCACCAAGTCAACTTCGGAACATTTTCCTGACTCTAGAAAGAACCCCCTAGCTCTTAGTCATTCTCCGTCCCCCCTGCCTGTCCCACCCGTCACTCCAGCCCTAGGCAACCACTAAGCTCCTTTCTAAGTCGGGCAAGAATGTTCTGGAGAGATGTCCTCCACAGATGGGCACTTGCTCGTACAGGAACCTTTCCGCCGGGCTGGTGGACGGAGATTTCTACTCTGTGGACACACTTAACCTTAGCGGAATCTCCGCCGGTCAAGACCGGCAGTGTGTGTGGCTGGGTTTAAACCACCGTGCAGCACCTTCACGATGCAAAACGTGCTCGTTCAGACTCCAGCTAGAGCCCTGCACCTCCATCAAGATATTACAGGGAGAGATGTAACTGGCAAACTCCCTGAGCATGCTGGGGAAACATCTATTTAAAAATCAAGCCAGGTGCAGCGGCTCACACCTGTAATCCCAGCACTTTGAGAGGCTGATGCGGGTGGATCACTTGAGGTCAGGAGTTCAAGACCAGCCTGGCCAACATGACCCCGTCTCTACTAAAAATACAAAACTTAGCTGGGCTCTGTGGCGCGTGCCTGTAATCCCAGCTACTCAGGAGGCTGAGGCAGGAGAATCCCTTGAACCTGGGAGGCGGAGGTTGCAGTGAGCCGAGATCGCACCACTGCACTCCAGCCTGAGTGACAGAGCGAGACTCTGTTTCAAAAAATAAATAAAATCAAGTAGCATGCTTCATAGCATTTTCTCCTCCTCCTAGTAATGAGGCCACCTGCCTCAGGACAATCACTGTTACGGCAGATACTGTGAAAATATTTATTGTTAAACTTTAATTGGAAAGCTACTATTACAGTAGGAAATTGTCATCTATAGATGGCATTAGATCCCTAGATCCCTGCCTGTCCTATAAAACATCGTTTTGTTTTAGTGAAAACTCAATACATATGTACATATCATCTAGAATCAGTTTTGTTTTTTTTTTTTTTTTAAGACAGAGTTTTGCTCTGTTGCCCAGGCTGGAGTGCAGTGGTGCGTTCTCAGCTCACTGACATGGCCGCCTCCTGGGTTCAAGCAATTCTCCTGCCTCAGCCTCCCGAGTAGCTGGGATTACATGTGTGTGCCACCATGCCTGGTTCATTTTTTGTATTTTTAGTAGAGAGGGGGGTTTTGCCTTTTGGCCAGGCTGGTCTCGAACTCCTGACCTCAGGTGATCCGCCCACGTTGGCCACTCAGAGTGCTCGGATTACAAGCCTGAGCCTCCGTGCCCAGCCCATAATCAGGTTTTGAACTGGAAAGCACCTTTGAGATGGTGTCTTCTATTCCAACCATTCTGTTTTATTAGCAAAGATCACAGAAGCGCAGAGAGGTTAGGGTGAGTGGTTCTAAACCAATTTTCTCTTTTGGTGGCGTTCACCTTTGTCTCAAATCCGCACACCTTACGGCTCTCATTCCTGCCACAATTTGCTCTTTGAAAGGGAGAAGTCAAGCCTGGGAAGGCCTTTCCACCCCACTGGAGTTGGGGAGTGATTTAGCCCAAGGTCAGATGGGCTCTGGCTAGTACCTGGCTTTCAGGTGCCAGTCCAGAGGGGGACCATGCTCCTCTTCTGTGCGTGTGTGTGCATGTGCGTGTGCAAATGTCTTACGAAAAAACACCTCTTCATGTCTTAATATCCAAACCCCGATCTCCAGGATCCCCTTCTTCTTGTGACCTCAGTCATGGGCCAGAAGCCACATCTTCTTTCTACTTGGCCTTGATGGCTGCAGCGTGATCCGATCCCATATTAACATAGGGACTTTCACGACACAGAAAGTCAGAGGTCTCAACTGTGCCCTTCTGACAAATAGGAGAACATGGTCTGTTTCGTTGATTTGCAGTGGTTGAGGGAACTGGAGAAAAGAGACAAATGGCAAGGGCCATAGAAGCTATCTTTAAACATTTGTCATCATGACTGCCATCGTGTCCAGCACTGGTGGAACGGGTAGGTGTGTGTGCATGCGTGTGTGTGCGTGCACGTGTGCATGTGTGTGTGTGCGTGGGTGTGGGCGTGTGCGTGGGTGTGTGGGCGTGTCCGTGCATGCATGTGTGCATTCATGCACGTGTGTGCGTGCCTGTGTGTGTGTGTGTGTGTGTGCATGCATGTGTTGATACAGACATGGACACTGTGTTCATTCAGCACCGTCGTTCACAGCTGGAGTTCACCTTAGGTCCCCTGCCTGGACCCTCAGCCAGATGCTGGCCCCAAACCTCTTTCCTTGCTTCCCTAGGTCAGGGACACCAGTCCCATCCTCAGACACCAGCTTGGGTGGATGTCGGCTCTGGGACCCACAAAAGCTAACAGCCCCCAGGACTGAAGAGCCCTTGGGTATCATAGAGCATCTTAGAAAATGGGTGATGCAAGGCCGGGTGTGGTGGCTCACGCCTGTAATCCCAGCATTTTAGGAGGCCAGGGCAGGAGGATCACCTGAGGTCGGGAGTTCCAGACCAGCCTGACCAACATGGAAAAACCCTGTCTCTACTAAAAATACAAAATTAGCTGGGCGTGGTGGCGCATGCCTGTAGTCCCAGCTACTCGGGAGGCTGAGGCAGGAGAATCACTTGAATCCAGGAGGCTGAGGTTGCGGTGAGCCAAGATTGCGCCATTGCACTCCACCCTGGGCAATAAGAGCCAAACTCTGCCTCAAAAAGAGAAAAAAAAAAAAAAAGGGTGATGTGGCCAGTCACGGTGGCTCATGCCTATAATCCCAGCACTTTGGGAAGCCGAGGTGGTTGGGTCACCTGAGGTCAGGAGTTTGAGACCAGCCTGGCCAACATGGTGAAACCCCATCTCTACTAAAAATACAAAAATTAGCCAGGCGTGGTGGTGCGTGCCTGTAATCCCAGCTACTTGGGAGGCTGAGGCAGCAGAATCGCTTGAACCCAGGAGGTGGAGGTTGCAGTGAGCCAAGATTGCGCCATTGTATTCCAGCCCGGATGACAGAGCAAGACTCCGTCTCAAAAAAAAAAAAAAGAAAAAAGAAAATGGGTGATGGAGCTTTCTAGTCAAAATACTGATGCAGGAAATCTCCACTGGGCTGGACTGAAGAAAGTGTAAAGGACATCAGACGTTCCTCTCAATGTGACTTAAGAGGACAGAATTGTGGAGTATTTTCAAATAGCCTTGGGATGCCCTTCTAAACCTCAGGGGTGACCGACCACCCACCCTTATCCCCCAAGATTCACTCGCTGGGCCGTGCCTCCCAGACAGCTTCTCATCTTGGAAACAGTCTCAGAGTCCCTTTTGTGTTTGGAAGTAGAAACCTGGTGCCCACAGGCCTGACAGCGCCTGGCACTGAACGATGCGGCCCAGCCTCCTCTGACCAGTATCTCGGGGAGAATCAGGACTGGCCCAGTTGAGCCAGCTTAAGTGCCTGATTTTCTCTCTTCCATGTGGGCAGCCTGGCTAGCAGACCTATGGGAGGAGCCGCACATTTGTAATGCTGAGTCACTTCCTTTGAAGCGGGTCCCTGGGAAGAAGACGCAAGAGGACCCCCTGCCGACAGCCAGGCACCCTTCGTCACCCTCTGACCTGCTCCTCAGTCCCGTCTTTCAAAAACGCTTTGACGAAGAGCAAAGGGACTTTCATATGAAAGAGGGGTGTCTGCGCACGTCCATGCAGGATTTTACGTAGATTGACTATTTAAACATTGCTGCAGATTTAAAAACACAGTCAGGCATAGACCCAGCAGCCTGGTGCTTCATGCAGGTTCCACTACAAGAGACCTTAGCGTCTCTCAAGTGTTGAGTACTTTGCCCGTCCTGAATGCCTTCGGGAACTCTGAAAAGCGCATTATCACCGGTGGCTTATGTACATTCTTTCTTAACCCCCTCCTACAATTTTAAACAAGAGCCTTTTCCAAACAGCTGCGCAGGCGGCCAGCGTTCCTTATCTCTGTGTGGGCAGGCTGCTGCTTTACATTGTTTTTGTTTTTGTTTTTGTTTTGTTTTGTTTTTAACTGAGTCCCACAGTTAGCAACTTGATAGTTGCTGCCTCATCAGTTTAGAAATTGAAAGGTGACCTGGATAAGTAATGCTCAGCTTTGTAAAAGGTGGCAGTTTCTTCAAGCCAGATGAACCCTGGATACTGTTCACAGCACACTGGTGTTGACCCTGACGCTTGCGGCTGGCTTTGTTTGCACTTGGTCGTCTCCAGTAGAAAAACCGAGGCTCACGGTTTTAAGCCCAGAACTGATCGTGAAGCCGGTCCATTAAGCTCTGGGTGGATAATGCACGCTCTCTGCGACTCCCGCCTGCCGGAGCAGGGGTGGAATTGCTCCTTCCGTTGTCAGATCTTCTAGGCAGTGGCAGGGAATCATCTTGAAAATGTCTGCATAGGTGGTTGCCGTGCTATTTCAGTCTTCCAGTGTGTCATTTGAGAGGTGGCAGATCCCACCTGGGTGCCACAGCAGTTGCCCTGGCAGACAGGAAGTAGCCGTGTCTGTCTGGAGCCTGCGTGGGAGATGGCATCAGCGGCACTTGTCTGGGGATATTTATATCTCTTCTGTTCTCACACACAGTAGAAAGACAACTGACGGCTGGGCACAATGGCTCTCGCCTGTAATCCCAGCAGTTTGGGAGGCTGAGGCAGGTGGATCACCTGAGGTCAGGAGTTCGAGACCAGCCTGGCCAACGTGGTGAAACCCCGTCTCTACTAAAAATGCAAAAAATTGGCCAGGCGCGGTGGCTCACGCCTGTAATCCCAGCACTTTGGGAGGTCAAGGCAGGCGGATTACGAGGTCAGGAGATCGAGACCATCCTGGCTAACACAGTGAAACCCCGTCTCTACTAAAAATATAAAAAATTAGCCGGGCGTGGTGGCGGGCGCCTGTAGTCCCAGCTACTCGGGAGGCTGAGGCAGGAGAATGGTGTGAACCCAGGAGGCGGAGCTTGCAGTGAGCTGAGATCGTGTCCCTGCACTCCAGCCTGGGCGACAGAGTGAGACTCCCTCTCAAAAAAAAAAAATAAATAAAAAATGCAAAAAATTAGCCGGGCGTGGTGGTGGGCGCTCGTAATCCCAGCTACTCAGGAGGCTGAGACAGGAGAATTGCTTGAACCCAGGAGGCTGAGGTTGCGGTGAGCTGAGATCCTGCCATTGCACTCCAGCCTGGGTGACAGCGAGACTCCCTCTCAAAAAATAAAATAAAATAAAATAAAGAAATAGAAAGACAAGTGACTTCCAAATAAGCCAAAGTCTCAGTTCCTAAGTGTCCTGATAAAAGCATCGAAACTGCTCTCTGGGGCCCAGGTTTGAGAGTTACGGTCCAGTTACTTAGACACACAGACACGCACCTTCCCTGGGTGTTGGCGTCTTCTTGAGTCTCCTCCTGCACCTCACACCCGCTCCTCCTCCTGTTGCAGGTGTACCTTCCGGTTTCCCAGCACGGCCATCAAGATCCAGTTCACGTCGCTCTATCACAAAGAAGAGGCCCCAGCCTCCCCGCTGCGGCCACTGTACCCCCAGATCTCCCCTCTGAAGATCCACATCCCGGAGCCGGACCTCCGGAGCATGGTCAGCCCCGTCCCCTCCCCGACGGGCACCATCAGGTGAGTAGCCCCCCAGCCTGCCCTTGGGCCCCCAGGAGAGAGGGGGATGATGCGAGCGTGCCTGTCGTACGCAGCACCGGGTTCCAAATCTCTCTGGAAAGTTGCACGTGCATGGAAATACAGAAAGTGTTGTACGTCCATCCGGGACCTGGCTGAAATTTCCGTGAATTCTCTTACAAAGGGAAAAATCACTGCCTGATCATCACTTTTCCCACTGGAAATTTTACATATTAGAGCTTGTTAAAGCAAGCACAGGTTTTTTTGTTGTTTTTTGTTTTTTTTTAAAGGGCGTTGAAAATGTTTTTTTTTTGTTTGTTTGTTTTGAGATGGAGTTTCGCTCTGTCACCCAGGCTAGAGAGCAGTGGCGCGATCTCGGCTCACTGCAACCTCCACCTCCCGGGTTCAAGGGATTCTCTTGCCTCAGCCTCCCGAGTAGCTGGGATGACAGGCGCCTGCTACCACGCCTGGCTAAATTTTTTGTATTTTTAGTAGAGACGGGGTTTCACGATGTTGGCCATGCTGGTCTCGAACTCCCAACCTCAAATGATCCACCCGCCTTGGCCTCCCAAAGTGCTGGGATTACAGGCGTGAGCCACCGCGCACGGCTGAAAATGTTTTAAAGTAATATTTGTCCACCAGGATTTGGTGAACTTTGTTTCTTTAAGCTTCATTTGTGAAAATTCTCTATGACCTTTTAGAAATTAATCTAGATTTTGAAGAAAGTCCTCAAACTTCCTCATCTCTGGCATGTTATACAATGATGAGCCCCTGAGTAGGGGTTGCAGGTGAAAAGTATAAACAGAGCTCTGTGTAGGGAGTGCCGGTGAGCCCTAGACTGAGTCACACACGAACCTCAGGCGACAGCCTGGATGCATGGCACACAGCCCTGGCCCTGGTCCTGTCATACAGGGATGCAAAAACAGACGTGTACTTGAGGCTGGAGGGTTCATACATTCTTTAATGATTTACCTCTTCATTGCGGACATTTCTAAACGTGGCTGGCTTTTCTCTCCCAACCGCACGTCTGTGGCTCTGCAGATGCGTGGCTGCGCGTGGTTTGGTGCCGGAGCTGTGGCTCCTCCGCAGCACCAGCAGTTTCTGCGTCGCTCGCGCGTCACCAGCAAAGGTCACCCCAGTGGAAAAAGCAGATCACATCTTAGGGCTGTTGTGAACATGGTGTTGACCTCACATATACCCTGAAAGGGGCTCAGGGCCCTCGGGGACATCTGTGAAGCACGCTCTGGGCATGCTGATCTGTTGGAGCGAGCGCTGTGGCAATCCCAGGCTGGTCACGTCAGTCCCTCCCTGCTGATCTGCGCACTCTGCTGAACCCCGGCCGCACCTTGGCTTGCTTTTTTCTTTTTTTCCTCTTGCAGCTGTAGGAGAAGAAAGGGCTTTTGTTTGTATTTCAGAGACAGCGTCTCACTCTGTCGTCCAGGCTAGAGTGCAGTGGCGCAATCATAGCTCGCTGCAGCCTCCAACTCCTGGGCTCAAGCGGTCTCCCCACCTCAGCCTCCCAAGTTGCTGGGACCACAGGCATGCACCACCACACCCACTTAATTTTCTTATCTTTTGTAGAGACAGGGTCTTGCTATGTTGCCCAGGCTGGTCTGAAACCCCTGGGCTCAAGAGATCCTCCCTCCTCCACCTCCCAAAGTGCTGAGGTTACAGGTGTGAGCCAACACACCCAGCCCGTACATGGCCTGCACCTTTTCAGGGTCCACAGTTAGAACTACACACTGGCTTCTCTTGGAACACAGCCATCAGGGGCACAGCTCCTCTACCCTGCTTTGCCGACAAGTTACCAGTGACCTACAAGTTACAAGGTGGGAATCATCTCCATTTGAGTTGCTTGGAGTAGGTCTCCTTTTTTCCAGAGCCAGTGGGTGGGAGTGTCTCTCGTGGAGAGAGAAGTTCAGGGACAGTGCTGCTGCGGAAAGGAGAGGCCCCGGGCTCAGGCCGGGCATGGTCACCTGTGTGACTCTGTGCGGTCACTTCAGCCCCCCACCTTCCCGGGCCCGGTTCCCGTCTGAGTCAGTGCTGTGACGTCATGACCCTCTGGGATGATGATGATGGTGAATCCTAAGTGACTGAGAGCCTGGTGTGTGCCCGCCTGGCCCTGTGCTGAGCAGTGCACATGCAGTATTTTATGTAGTCCATACAGCTTTGAGAATGTTCCAGAAGTAGATAGTGGTGATGGTTATTCAATTTTGTGAATATCCTAAAAGTCACTTTAAAGAGTGAACTGGCCGGGCGCGGTGGCTCACACTGGTAATGCCAGCACTGTGGGAGGCCAAGGCGGGTGGATCACTTGAAGCCAGTTCGAGATCAGCCTGGGCAACATGGTGAAACCCCGTCTCTACTAAAAATACAAAAATCAGCCAGGCATGGTGCCATATGTCTGTAATCCCAGCTACTCGGGAGGCTGAGGCAGGAGACTGGCTTGAACCCAGGAGGTGAAGGTTGCAGTGAGCTGAGATCACGCGACTGCACTCCAGCCCGGGCGATAGAGCGAGACTCCATTTCTCAGTAAATAAATAAATGGTGAATTTTATGTTATGGGAATTGCATCTGAAGAAAGCAGTTGAGCGCAGTATATGTACTTAAGTCTTCACCTAGTACCACCTTAAAGGCGCTGTAGAAATGGTGGCCAAGACCAGCTCACGTGCTAGTGGAAGCTCACACCAGAAGAGGCTGGTCCTGCTGCTTTTGGGGCGGGTAGCAAAGGCCTCAGGTCCAGAGAGAAGCAGGCCAGGCAGCGATCCGGGGCTCCTGAGGAAGGGCTAGGCCAGCGCCCCCGCCTTAGCCTGGGAGTGGGTTATTAATCAGCAGGTTGTAATCCAGCTAAACAGAAGCTTTTTTTTTTTTTTTGAGACGGAGTCTTGCTCTGTCGCCCAGGCTGGAGTGCAGTGGCGTGATCTTGGCTCAGTGCAAGCTCCACCTCCCTGGTTCAAGCAATTCCCCTGTCTCAGCCTTGAGAGTAGGTGGGAATACAGGCACATGCCACCACGCCCGGCTAATTTTTGTGTGTTTTTAGTAGAGATGGGGTTTCACCGTATTGAAAGAAAGAAAAATGTTTTGGTTTGCTCCGGGAGGGGGCTTAAAAAAATAAAACTATTTCCCAGTGTTAATCCAAATTTGCATAGTAAAGTCGCTTTTATTACAAGAGAGGTTGTGGTTTGCGAAGGAGTTAAGTGATACCTGTGTTTTAAATTACGGCAGGGAAAATACTGTTTATTTTTATTTTATCTTAGCTTCAGGGGGTACACGTGCATATTTGTGACATGGGTATATTACTGGTGGGGATTGCGCTTCTGGGGTTCCCGTTACCTAAAGGGTGAACCGCGTACCCCGTAGGTCATCTTTCACCCCTCGCCCTCTCCCGCCTCCCTGCTTAGGAGTCCCAGTTTCTCATTGTTTCGATCTTCCTGTTCCCGGGTACCCACTGTTCAGCCACTGCTTGTAAGCAAGAGCAGGCGCTGTGCGGTATTGTTTCTGAGTTGGTTCACTTGGGATAAGCGCCTCCAGCTCCATCGCGTTGCTGCCCAGGTCAAGATTTCATTCTTTTTTATAGCTGGGAGTAAAGAAATTGTGTACTGAGCACCTGAAGCTCTTGCAGCTGGAGCTGTTCTGAGAAGCTGGGTGGCGGCCTCCTGTGACTGCGAGTCCCCGTCAGGGGGTGCGAGCAGCTCCCTGGGCCTGCACCTGCCCTGCTCTTGCTGCGGGAGCCAGGAAGGTGGGGGGCCACCCCTTTCCCCTCCTTCCGCCCAGTCCTGTTCTTTGAAACCGCCCTGTGCAAAGACCGGATTCTTGTTGGGGAGAATTCTGTGCGGAGAAAGTAGTAAGTTAGGGACTGGCTGTCTGGCTTTTTGGCCTTCCATTGTTACAATAAAAGCCTCTCTGTTTACATCCGTTTATCTTAGCACCCTGGAATTCAATTGAGTGTTTAGAAACCTCAGAGGCCCTTGAGGTTTTCCCTGCCAAGATACTTTTCAGTTTGAGTTTCTGCTGTAGGGTGGAGCCGGCGTGTTTACAAACACTCCCTGCCCTTCCCTGCCACCTCCCCACTCTCCTCCTCTCTGGCTGCGCTCCCTAACAGATCGGGAGGTGGGAGCGGGGCCAGGCCAGAAGAGCTGGCTGCCTGCAAGGCTGTCCCCTCCCAGTGCCGCCCCGCCCCCGCGGTGCCTGCCTTCCTAATTTGGTGTGCATTCGCCTCGCCAGTCCTCATTGGCCGTGGAGTGGCTGGCTCGGTGTAGGCCGGGCTCGCCCAGGGCCCCTCATTCCCAGGAGTCGGGAGTGGCTTGGGAGCGGCTTTTTCCTGGGGGAGCCTCCCTGATCAGCTGCCCCTGCCCCCGCCCCCCGCGCCACCCTGCGTCCTTCCTTTCCGTTTCTCGCAGGCCCTCGCTCCTTTTCCCAGGGTGGGTGGGTATGGGTGTGGGTGTGTGGTTTTGTGTGTGTGTGTGTGTTTCTGATTTATTTTTTTCTGCCCTGAAGTACTCCACCCAGAAAATGAATGAACTCTCTTTGAAATAAATTCTGCTATCTTTAGCAGAAGTTTGACCTTTTCTTTCCTTTTTGCAAAGAAGGATTTTTACAGGCCAGGCGCCCGGTGGCTCAGGCCTGTAATCCCAGCACTTTGGGAGGCTGAGGCAGGCGGATCACCTGAGGTCAGGAGTTCGAGACCAGCCTGGTCAACATTGTGAAACCCCATCTCTACTGAAAATACAAAAATGAGCCAGGTGTGTAATCCAAGCTACTTGGGAGGCTGAGGCAGGAGAATTGCTTGAACCTAGGAGGCAGAGGTTGCAGTGAACCAAGATTGCACCACTCCAGACTGGGCGGCAGAGCGAGACTCCATCTCAAAAAAAAAAGTGTTTTTAGGAAGGAATTAAAGTATTTAATGAAAGAATTCAAGTAGTTAATCATTTTCTAGGTTCCATCAGACAGACACCAGTCTAAAAAGTGTTCCTTAGAGGTAGAGTTTTAAGAAAACTGCTGAAATTCAGTGAAAGGACATTGCACAGAGTGACTGTTTTTGCTCATGAGGGCAAGACTTCAAGAGCTGTTTCTCTTAAGGCTCTTCCTGATTTCTCCAACGTGGAGATCAAAAATGAAAGTAACTCGTACAATTCGGCGAAGGTCAGCAGTATGTAAATATACAGTAAAAATGCAGCAACTGACTTCAAAATCTTTCCCTTTTAATCATGATTTTTAAACAGTTCTGTCTTATTGCTAGATAACATTCAGTCCTAACTTGGTTTATGTTGTTTTGTAAAGTTAGAGGTCTTTTGAGTTTGGAGGTTATTGGATCTACGTTAGAAATACTCTCCTTTTTCTGACAACTTTGGTAGCTTCCTGCAGGGTGATTCATCTCTTTCAAAGTTTCTGGTTGGCTGGGTGTGGTGACGCACTTTGGGAAGCTGAGGCAGGAGGATTGCTTGAGGCCAGGAGTTCCAGACAAGCCTGGGCAGCATAGTGAGACCCCCATCTCTAAAAAAAAAAATTTTTTTGCTAATTAGCCAGGTGCAGTGGCTCATGTCTTTAGACCCAGCTACTCGGGAGGCTGAGGCAGGAGGATCGCTTGAGCCCAGCAGTTGGAGGCTGTGGCGAGCTATGATGTCACCACTGCACTCCAACCTGGGCAACAGAGCAAGACCCTGTCTCAAAAAATTAATAATTAAAAAACACAAGTTTGTGGCTGCAGCCTTCCGTGTGTTTTCAGCAGGGCTGCAGGAGGATTGTGGTGCGAATGTGTGAATCACCCCTAGCGGGAATCCTGCCTGGCTGATCTGGGCTGGCTGTGCCAGCATTTGCAAATCCAGTGAGGGTCCCTCTTCCCTTGTCTGCCTGTCCCTGTCCCTGTAGGCCTTGCTGCCCCTCCCCACCCCACCACACCCTCTTATGTCTTTTCCCAGCTGAGAACTCTGGGGAAGTAACTATTGTTTCCTCCACATGGGAAGGTTGGGACTTTCTGTCTTCCTTTTATTTTTCCCTCCTGCCTAGATCCCTTCGAGGGGCAACTTTGGCGCTAAAGTGTTGGGAGTTCGGAATGAAGCTTGGTAGGGAAGTCCTTGTGTTTGTCCGAATCTGTTGAAAGGACATCCCCACGCCCGCGTTTCCTGTAATCTCGGAGGGTCCTAGCGCCCGACTTCTCAGGTCAGCCTCGGGTGACAAGCGGCTTGTGTGGAGTAGGCCTGTTGCATGGCTTCTGTGCGGGCATGTTACGCACGAGGACAGCCCTTTCCGGGTTCCATGAGCCTCAGGGGAAGCAGGAGGCGCCTGCAGACACGGAGCTGACCCCGGAACCTGCCTAGCTGCGGGGCCGCCTCTCCGCTCAAGCACCCACTCAGCTCTGTGAGGTCTATGCCTAACATGAGAGCAGCTCCTGTTGAAGCCACCATGCTGGTTATTCTCACCAGGGCAAAGTGCACTTCAGAAACAAGTTAATTTTATTTTCTAAATTATTATTTTTAATGCTGGTTCCAATTTGGGTTTGGGGGGTTGATTTTGTTTTTGTTTGTTTGTTTTTTGGGACAGGGTCTCACTCTATTGCCCAGGCTGGAGTGCAGTGGCACAGTCACAGCTCACTGCAACCTCAACCTCCCGGGCTCAAGCGATCCTCCCACTGCAGCCTCCTGAGTAGCTAGGACTACAGGCACCCACCACCACACACACCCAGCTCATTTTTTATTTTCGTTGAGATGGTGTCTTGCCCAGGCTGGTCCTGAACTCCTGGCCTCAAGCAGTCTTCCCACCTTGACCTCCCAAAGTGCCAAGATTACAAGCCTGGGCCTGTTTTTGTTGTGGTTGTTGTTGCCTTTGTTGTTTTTGTTTTGTTTTGAAGCAGGGTCTTGTTCTGACACCCAGGCCGGAGTGCAGTGGTCCGGTCACGGCTCGCTGCAGCCTCGACCTCCGGGACTCAAGCGATCCTCCCACCTCAGCCGTGACTACAGGAGCAATCCACTAGTTAATTTTTAAAAATAGCTTCCCAGCATTTTACAATGTCGGATTTATCTTAAAGGAACACATTCTTTAAGATCATTCTAAGAAATTCGCCTCTGAAAATTTTCTTTCCCTATTTGTTTATTTTTC
The DNA here is from genome assembly GCF_000001405.40 of Homo sapiens. Classification (NCBI taxonomy): domain Eukaryota; kingdom Metazoa; phylum Chordata; class Mammalia; order Primates; family Hominidae; genus Homo; species Homo sapiens. Next base: position 4,748,116 of record NC_000007.14, read on the forward strand.
CTTTTTCAGATTACGAAGAGACTATCTATCTATCTATATGCATCTTACAAAATGCAAACATTTCAGAAAGTGAAAATTCCCCCACACAACGCTCCCCAGAGCTGAGCCCTTCTCTCTCACTTCTGTGTCTCTGAGTCGTATTCGTACGTGACTGTCTCTTGGTTTTTCCGTTTTAGATATTACACATGAGGTTCCTATATGGAAATTAAGGATTTAGCTTCCCCCCTCCCCATCCCAGTAAAGTTACATCATCATGTCTGGTTTACCTTGCATGAGCGTTTTCTGTATTAGAACTGTGTAGTGATTGTAGCGCTTAGCCATTTCCTTCCTTGTACTTTTGGCTTATTTCCGCCACACTCCCCCCGCTCTTGGGGTTAATAATGGCCTCTTCTCCCTTTACTGTGAAGGCCTTCCTCTGGGGCCCCTCTGACCATGGGATCATCTTCTCCACCATCCTGGGAATCCCCTCAGGAGGTGGTGGTGGAGAGAGGGCTGTTTCCTGATTCCCACGTCTTCCTCTTTCCTGATTTGTTCCTTTGTTTTACCAGAGTCCATCCCCCAGTCGCTTCCTGGGAAAGGGCACAGGAGACAGACTTTTCATTTATTCACTGATTTAAGAGACAAGGTCTCACTTTGTTGCCCAGGCTGGTACTTCTGGGCTCAAGCGAGCCTCCTGCCTCAGCCTCCCGAGTAGTAGGGACTACAGGTGTGCACCACCATGCCCGGCTAATTTTTGTATTTTTTGTAGAGGTGGGGTCTCCCCATGTTGCCCAGGCTGGTCTTGAACTCCTGTGCTCAAGTTATCTGCCCACCTCAGCCTCCCAAAGCGCTGGGATTACAGGTGTGAGCCACCTCGCCTGGACCCCCAGGTTCCTGTCCACGCTTCTGGGACTGGCTGTGCCTGGCGGGCCTCTGAGCTGAGTCTCTCATGCCTCTCCTTTCCTTTCTCTCTCTACTTTCTGAGGGATTTTCTCCAGTCTCTCCTTCCACCCTTTCTTGGATTTGTATTTCTCTTCTTTTGAATTCTTATTTTTTAATTTGAAGAGCGTGTTCTTGCTCTGCAGGTGTGCTTTGCATGCTGTTCTTACTGTCCTACAGAGACGGCATCGTTACCTCCCTAGGGACGGGAACCATGTTTCATCTCCTCCCAAGCTCCCGTAGGCTTCCCTGGGTCCCTCTTCTCTTCTGTTTTGCACCATGTTCCACCTGGTAGAAGCTTCCTCAAACCACAGATGTGCCTTGGCCGGCTGTTGTGTTTAACAGTGAGGTCCTAAAAACCCTCTTAGAGCGGCTGGTATTGGAGCAGGGGCTGGGGCAGGGACCCCAAGCGTCCTCCTCTGCAGGGAGGTTCCCCCAGGAGGCTTCAGGTGCCGCCTTGGGACGCAAAGGTCATCGCAGACCCCCGCAGCCTTCTCGCCCCTCCACTGCCCACAAGGCTCCGTCGCAGCTCCTTCCTCCAGCCCCTCCAGGCGGGTCCCTCTGTGTCTCTAGGGCTTCAGGAGGGATCAGGTCCCTTCTGACAGAGCACTGTCCTCCCTGGGCCTGCCGGAAGCGATAACTGTCCCGACCCTAGGCCTCTCAGGGTGGCCTTCTCAGCCTCAGAGCAGAGCCAAGGGCATTGAGGGTGGACTGGAAGGACCGCAGCCCTGTGCCCTGGGGAAGGCTTGTCTTAGGCTCTGGGGACGGAGCCCAGCTGGCGGCTCCAGAGGTGGCTTTAGGTCTGTTGTTGGATTTGCCTTTCTCAGCGTGACTTCTCATCATAACGTGACCCAGCGACCTGTGTGTCCCACAGCCCGTCCGTCCCTCTGCAGTCTCCCTGCACTGGCATGTCCTGGGTGGTCCCAGTGGCACCTTCTAGGCCCGGCCCCTGGATGCGGTGGAGGCTGCCCGGGGTGGGTCAGCATGGGGTTGTCCCTGTGAGCACAGCTCCGGGAGACCCGTACTCAGAATCCTCCAGCTCTCTCGCCTGAGGCGGAAATGTGACTTGGGAATTGTCCTCCATATAAAGGAAGCAAAATCAGGGCCTAGGGGTGAGCTGCTTACTGTGCTTCTTCCCTCTCTCAGCCTCCAATCGGGGGGCACAGGCGTTTGATTCCCGCGACGTCTGTGGGCTGTCACTGTCCAGCCTCTGCGTCCCACACCTGGGCAGCTAGGGACTGGGGGGGGCCTGACCGAGGCCTGGGGTACTTACCCCAGAAGGAGTGATTCCCTGTTTCCTGGAATTGAGCTGGTGGTCCCTGTCAGGGAGCAGTGGGGTCCCCTCAGCTTCCTGCTCTTTCTCATTCCCGCAGGAGGAAATGTGTGCACGTGTATGCCGTCGTTTTCAGCACTTTTTTTTTTTTTTTGAGACAGAATCTCGCTCTGTCGCCCAGGCTGGAGTGCAGTGGCACGATCTCTGCTCACTGCAAGCTCCGCCTCCCAGGTTCACGCCATTCTCCTGCCTCAGCCTCCCAAGTAGCTGGGACTACAAGTGCCCGCCACCACACCCAGCTAATTTTGTTTTCTGTATTTTTTAGTAGAGACAGGATTTCACCGTGTTAGCCAGGATGGTCTCGATCTCCTAACCTCGTCATCCACCCGCCTCGGTCTCCCATCTTTTTTTTTTTGAGACAGAGTTTCACTCTTGTTGTCCAGGCTGGAGTACAATGGCATAATCTCGGCTCACTGCAACCTCTGCCTCCCGGGTTCAAGCAATTCTCCTTCCTCAGCCTCCCGAGTAGCTGGGATTACAGGCATGCACCACCACGTCTGGCTGATTTTGCATTTTCAGTAGAGACGGGATTTCTCTAAATCGGGCAGGCTGGTCTCGAACTCCTGACCTTAGGTGATCTGCCCACCTCGGCCCCCTCAAAGTGCTGGGATTACAGGCGTGAGCCACCGTGCCTGGCCTTCAGCACTTTTTTTTTTTTTTTTTTTTGAGATGGAGTCTTGCTCTGTCGCCCAGGCTGGAGTGCAGTGGCGCAATCTCGACTCACTGCAAACTCCACCTCCCAGGTTCATGCCATTCTCCTGCCTCAGCCTCCAGAGTAGCTGGTACTACAGGCACCTGCCACCATGCCCGGCTAATTTTTTGTATTTTTTTTTTAGTAGAGACGGGGTTTCACTGTGTTAGCCAGGATGGTCTCGCTCTCCTGACCTCATGATCCACCCTCCTCGGGTAATCCCAAAAGCATTGGGATTACCAATCCCAAAGCACTGGGATTACAAGCGTGAGCCACCGTGCCCGGCCCAGCATTTTCTTTAGATTGCTAAGGGAATGTTTCCGTGGACTCCCAGCATCAGACATGGGATGTCTTGATTAGTTTTCCGGATGGCTCCAAGGCCTCTGGCTTTGGAGCTGGGTGTCCCATCCCACCCTGGCTGGGCGCCCTCAGACCTGTCTTCCCCCAGGGCACTTTACAGCTCTTAGCGGCTGTGAGGCTCGAGCAGCCTCTGCTTCCCGCCTCCGTCAGCTGCAGGCCTGGTATCGGGGGCCTTGGTATCAGGAGCCTGGTACCAGGCACAGCCCCGTGGCCGAGGCCCGCCTGCGGAGGACAGTTGAATGGGGCTTATTGAGAGACGGGCTGCTCCGAGGGCTGGAGGAGCCATGTGAACAAACACATGTGGTCCCTCAGCCCAGGTGGCTGGAAAACCTCAGAAGCTGCGCTGTCGTACCTGTCCCGGCTGGAGTGACACCAGGATCCGGCAGCCCAGGCCAGGTCCAGTGCTGGGGAAAGTGGCGGAGAAACCACCCTACTCTCTCGCCTGTGGGAGCCAGGCTTCGCCAACCTTTCTTATTTCCACTTGAAATCATTCTCTGGGGAATGACAACTTTTCCTGTGGGTTTTACTCCATGAGGTTTTTTGTTTGTTTTTTGAGATAAGGTCTCACTCTGTTGCCCAGGCTAGAGTGCAGTGGTGTGATCATAGCTCACTGCAGCCTCGACCTCCCAGGCTCAAGCCATCTTCCTGCCTCAGCCTCCTGAACAGCTGGAACTGCAGGTGTGCATTACCACGCCCAGCTAATTTTTAAAATGTTAAAACTTTGTTTATTTATGTATTTATTTATTTATTTTTAGAGACAGGGTCTTGCTCCGCCAGAGTGCAGTGGCACAATTATAGCTCACTGTAGCCTCAAACTCCTAGGCTCAAGCAGTCCTCCTGCCTCAGCCTCCTGAGTAGCTGAGACTACAGGTGCACACCACCACACCTGTCTAATGTTAATATTTTTGTAGAGATGGGGGTGTCACTATGTTGCCCAGGCTAGTTTCGACCATGTGGGCTCAAGCGATCCTCCTGCCTGGGCCTCCCAAATTGCTGGGCTTACAGGCATGAGCCACCGCACCCGGCAGACATGAATTTTCTATGATCTTCTGCAAAATAACTGCTGGGAACAGGAGCAGGTCCCTGCCACACGTGCTGGGCCATCACTGTTTGTTGTGGAGTGCTGGGGGGTGCCCCTCATTGGTCCTCAGGAAGGATCCAGGAGCCCGCCTGCCACCTCATGGGCCTCGGATGAGATTTTCCGAGCTGAGTGGCCATTCCCCAGCCTGTGGCCGGAGATCAGAGTGTATGTGAGTGACACCTCGGCTCAGTGGTCCCCAGCAAGGACTGACATTTCAGTTCTTCCTGCTGAGTCCAAGGGGGACGTCCAGTGGCTTTGGGTCTGGGACCGGGTGCACAGGCGTGTGCTGGCCCCATTGTCTGCAGCCCCTCCGGCCATGAGGCCATCCTGCCTCAGCAGGGAGGTGTTTGGTTCCCAGAGGCCTTTGACAAAGCCGATTTTGGGGGCTGTGTGCTGTTACCAGTCAAAACCTTTCTCTCCCCTTCTCATCTTACTTGTAAACTTGGGTTTTGTATTTTGGATTCAGAACTAAATTCAGAAAAGGTTTCCTTTTGACTGTTTCCTACCTCGATCGAGCCATTTGTGGGTGTTCATTTAAGTTTCGACACGTGTGGAACTTACCTATCTCTGCCATATTTGGGGAGTCCGTTGTAAGAGAGAATGGGAATTCCAGATCAGAGTCCTTAACGTTCCATGTGGGTGACACTGAGTCCTTCCTGAAAATGCCCCAGACCTGAACTGATCATTAATGTCAGCTGTCAGGTTTTTCTCAGCCACAGGATTTTTTTCATTCATTCCTCTGCTCCATCCAAAAAATGTTTCTTGAGCCCCGCCTGCACCCAAGGGGGCTCCTACTTAACCTAAGTTTTGGAGATCTAGGAGTCTTGTGCCTGGACAGTTAGGGAAGGATGTTCCTGGCAGAGGAAAGGGCAGCAAGGCGGGAGGAGGAGAATGGACCTTCTGGATGGTTCTGGATGGTTCTGGGTGGTTCTGGATGGTTCTGGGTGGCCTGCAGGGCAGTGCAGCAGGGAGCATCCTACCCGCCACGGGGGCTCTAAGTCAGCTGAGAGGGGGGATGTCAGCATCACAGGTGGGCAGGGTCCATCTCAGGACGGGGCTAGGTGGGTGCCCGTGAGCTCAGGACAGTGGGATCTCTTTCTCTCGGGAGGTTCTGCACCCACTCTTCGTGTCTTCATTGGCTTTCTCTGAATACCTGTAATAGAAATCATTTTCAGAAGCAAAACATCGCCGTGGTTTGCTGACGGAAGCCTGCCTTAGTGAGTTAGGGAAGCAGGCCAGAGCACACCCCTCAGCCGGACGGACGCAGCCTCCTGCCTGTGGTCCCGGCCTCAACCCAGAGCCTCACCTGCAGCCGGGGGTGTCGGTCACTCCCAGCCATCTGTGGTTGCTCCAGCCTGGGAGGGAGAGGGGATGAGGGCAGGGGCATCTCAGCGGCTCAGGGCAAAACTGCAGGGGTCATCTCTTCCCGAGGGCGGTGTCTCCAGGAGAGCCACCTGCCACGCCTTCACCCTGCAGGGCGATGGCACCTCCACAGCCTCTTTCCAGGATCTGCCTCTGTGACCACACGGGGTTGTCCTGGGCCCGAGCCTTTTCCCACAGCGCCGCCTTGTGGACACCTGTGCAGGAGCCAGCAGCCCGCGGAGGCTACCTGCTCCGGGTGCACATCCTGTAGGGGTGTGTGTGGGGGGACCTGAGGAGGGGCCCCACAGAGCTGCCTGACCAGGTGCTGCCCTGGGCCCTGCATAATGGCAGGAGGAGGGCCCGCGGTGCTCTCAGCCCCCGAGCAGAAGTCACCACTGGAAGGAAACTTGCCTGCCGTTTCCAGCATCTTGTCCCCGCCGCTGCGTGACCTTGGCCGGGCAGTGTGGTGGCACTTAAAATTGGAAAGTGTGAGCTTCTTCCCCACAGCCCCACCCTCTGGGTAGGTCCTGAAGCCCTGAGCCCCACAGGGGCCCCCTCTTCAGAGCCATGAACTTACAGTGTCCTTCTCTCTCCTCAGTGTCCCCAACTCCTGCCCAGCCAGTCCACGCGGTGCCGGCTCCTCCAGTTACCGCTTTGTGCAGAACGTGACCTCGGACCTGCAGCTGGCAGCAGAGTTTGCAGCAAAGGCCGCGTCGGAGCAGCAGGCAGACACGTCTGGAGGAGACAGCCCCAAGGTCTGAGCCCACCTGGCGCCGTGGTGCACCTGGTGACCCAGGATCGGGCCATAGTGACCCGGCGCGGGCGGCACAGACAGCCCAGGGCCTGCGGGCGTGTGCTCGAGGTGGTCTCAGCCCACAGGGAATGGAGCCGCAGCTGGCGGTAGAGCCGTCGGCCCTTTCTCGTTTTCGTGCCCAAATCATCCCCGTTGGTCATTTGCTGGTGACAGGGGTGGCGCCGTCACCGAGGGCCCCTCCCGCCACGCTCCTTGTTCATCTGCCGCTGGCAGCCCGGCGTCAAAGCCTTCATACAGCCCTTGAGCAGGATGGCGTTCTCCTTATAACTTTGTCTTAGTTCATTTTTGTCCAATAGCTGTTTTCAAATTGATTTCTGGAAGAGGTGAGAAATTTCAGAATTAAATTATAATAAAACCGAAGTTTTCCTTCCCATGAGGCAAAAATGGTTGTTCCTAGTTGAATGCAAGCACATTAATGGGATAGTTGGAGGGCACTGGGACGGGTGCCGGCAAGACGCGCACATTCTCGTGGGAAGGTTCCTCCCCATCAGCTGTGACGGGTGGGTGGGGTAGACTCAGGGACCTTGCTGGAGCTCATCCCGTGAGCCGTGTTTCTCCGCAGGATGAGTCAAAGCCGCCGTTCTCCTACGCGCAGCTGATCGTGCAGGCCATCTCCTCCGCCCAGGACCGGCAGCTGACCCTGAGCGGGATCTACGCCCACATCACCAAGCATTACCCCTACTACCGGACGGCCGACAAAGGCTGGCAGGTGAAGCCGAGTCCCCAGGGCCGGATCGCCTCTGAAGGCCCTTAGAACATGGAACTCACAGGCATATTGCTTCCCTTAAAACAGAAGAGGGCCAGTGAGGGGGCTCACGCCTGGAACCCTAGCATTTTGTGAGGCCGAGGCAGGAGGAGGATCAAGACCAGCCTGTGCAACATAGAGAGAACCTCTTTTCTACTAAAAATTAGCTGAGTGTGGTGGTGCACACCTGTGGTCGCAGCTACTCGGAGGCTGAGGTGGGAGGATCACTTGAGCCCAGGAGGTGGAGGCTGCAGTGAGCTATGATCACACCACTGCACTCCAGCCTGGGAGACAGAGAAAGACCCTGTGTCTACAAAGAAAAAAAATATCTTTTTAACTAAGAAGATAAATATAAAAGAGGGATGTTTTCACGAATGGCATATGGTACATCTGAAAGGCATTAGCGCTGTGATACCATTGTGTCTAAATACTCTTTTTTATTAGTTTCCTTCTTCTGAGCCCCAGAACTGAGAAGATGGATCTACACCTTGTTAGATTTTTGTGCTTGCTGTGCCTCACAATCCCACGTTAAGTTGGAAAAATGTACCATATACTGTTATTCAAACAATCCACATGTCTGAATTGTGGATGGCATTTTAAGAGCTTTGTCCACACCAGCCATGACTGATGCATGTTGCATTTGCCTGTATTTTCTCCAATGTCAGTGTAGCGCATCCACTAGCTTTGGTTTTTTGTTTGTTTGTTTGTTTTTTGAGACAGGATCTCGCTCTGCCATCCCGGCTGGAGTGTGGTGGCGCGATCTCAGCTCACTGCAACCTTCGCCTCCCAGGTTCAAGCGATTCTTCTGCTTCAGCCTCCCAAGTAGCTGGGGCTACAGGTGCCCACCACCACACCTGGCTATTTTTTGTATTTTTAGTAGAGATGGGGTTTCACCATGTTGCCCAGGCTGGTCTCAAACTCCTGACCTCAGGTAATCCTGCCAGCCTCGGCTTCCCAAAGTGCTGGGATTACAGGCGTGAGCCACTGTGCCCGGCCAAGACCCAGTGTTTTCTTTCTCCCAGATGTGCTCCTAGACCAGGATCTGTCTTTCTGTTTCACTTTTTCTGTAAAGAATGGTAATGGCAGCCAGGCACAGTAGCTCATGCCTGTAATCCCAGCACTTTGGGAGGCCGAGGTGGAAGGATTGGTTAAGCCCAAGAGTGTGAGACCCCATCTCAACTAAAAATACAAAAAAATCAACCCAGCATGGTGGCCCACGCCCATAGTCCCAGCTAGTCAGGAGGCTGAGGCAGGAGAATCCCTTGAACCCGGGAGGCGGAACTTGCAGTGAGCCGAGATCGTGCCACTGCACTCCATCCTGGGCGACAGAATGAGACTCCGTCAAAAAAAAAAAAAAGGTAAAATGGTAATTATGCGGTGTCAAATTTTGATAGGAATGACCTGCCCTGTGCCTCGGTGCTGCTCCCGTGAGGCCCAGCCAGCACAGCACCAAGGGCTCTGCACAGAGGGACGGCCTCCCCTCACCCTGGTCCCGCATCTGCTGCAGATTTGAGGTGGGTGGGACTCATTTTCTGATTTGCTGGTGATGGGTGAATATCTCTGCTTCCCTGCAGAATTCTATCCGGCACAACCTCTCTTTGAACCGTTACTTTATCAAAGTCCCACGTTCCCAGGAGGAGCCTGGGAAGGGGTCCTTTTGGCGAATAGACCCTGCCTCTGAAGCCAAGCTCGTGGAACAGGCATTCCGGAAACGGAGGCAGAGGGGTGTCTCCTGCTTCCGCACCCCCTTCGGGCCTCTGTCCTCAAGGTAAAGTTCTCTGAGCGCCCGTCCTCCAGCTGTTAGGAAAGCTGAGCTGCCCTGGAGTTTAGAGATACGTGGCGCAGTCAGCCCTCCGGATCTGTGGGCTCAGGCTCAGTGTACGGGCATGCAACTGATCACAGGTCAAAAATATTCCAAAAAAAAGAAGGCCGGCGCGGTGGCTCACGCCTGTAATCCCAGCACTCTGGGAGGCCGAGGCAAGTGGATCACCTGAGGTCAGGGGTTTGAGACCAGCCTAGCCAACATGGTGAAACCCCTGCCTCTACTAAAAAAATTCAAAATTAGTCGGGCATGGTGGCAGGTGCCTGTAATTCCAGCTACTGGGGAGGCTGAGGTAGGAGAATCGCTTGAATCTCGGAGGCAGAAGTTGCAGTGAGCCGAGATTGTATGTACCACTGCACTGCAGCCTGGGCGACAAGAGCAAAACTCCGTCTCAAAAAAAAAAAAAAAAAAAAAAAAAAAAAAGTAATACAAATGAAACAATACACACTACAACAGCTGTTTACATAGCAGGTACATTTGTTAGGGATTATAAGTAACCTGGCGATGATTTAAAGCTTACAGGAGGATGTGCACAGGTTGTATGCAAATGCGACACCATTTCTATGAGGAACTTGGGTAAGCATCTGCAGATTTGGTACCCACAACCCCCGCCCCTCAAGTACCGAGGGGTGACTGCTGGTTTCGGCACTTAAAGACTGCACCATTTTCTGTTTTTGTTTTGAGAGAATATCTCAGGACCAAGAACTCCTAAAATAGTAAGGTTACTAAGTAAGCCACTGACTGTTGTATTAAAAATAAGATTTTAGTTCTTAGAAGTGGAAATGTGTGTAGCAATAGGAACGGTTCCTAAGGCCAAGAATAAATGGATTGCGGTTGTGGGTCTTTTGGTAGCACTAAGCTTTCTGTTGCAGTGTGTGAGAGGACCCGGGGAGAGCCCAATCTTCGAAGGGACAGATGAGGGGTATGACCTGGGGAGCCCACAACCGCCTTTGCTTTTCGCAGATGCTGGGAACGCAGCTCTGCTGCCGGCGGGGTGGACAGACCCTCCCCCAGCCATTGCTGCCCACCTGCTGCGTCAGGGCCTCCCCTGCCCAGCTCAGTCTTGGCCAAGCCCAGTCTGGAGGAGCATGCACCGCCTGTGAGCGGTCTGGGCAGCGCTTCCCAGGTTGCCCATCAGATGAGCCCGTCCCAGGTGTCGAGGAGGAGATCTCCTGAGCGGCAGTCTCGGAAATCCTTCCCCGTGGAAGGACACGTTAACCTCTCGTGCTTCCCATTTCAAAATTCTGTTTCCAACACGATTTGATGAAAGATTGAAATATCTGAAAATTCATTTCGAGCACAGGGTCTGGCATTGTGATTCTCAGGTGAACTGGGCGTATGGTTGAGGTAGGACTTCAAAAAAGTGTTCGAACGTCATTTGCAGCATTTAAACTGAGCTCCAAATGACGTTCAAACACCCCTCTCGGGTAGAGTTTTCATGGTGGAACGGTTGCGCCCACCAAACAGAAGCTTATGTTTTTGGCACAGAAGGCCTGGGCCATTTTCATGGACACCTGGCTGGACCTCGGTGGAAGTGAACTCCGTAGGTTGTTGCGTTCACTGCAGCACCTCACATGATACCGTCCCCTCTCATGGAACGGAGCCTCCCCCATGCAGCCCCCACTCAAATGGAGTTTTAAAGGCTGGGTTCAGGTTACGGGGGCGTTTCTCACCGTCTGAATGCGGAGGACAGAGACGAGCTCCAGGGAGCGTGGGCGGGTGACGGCGCTGAGATGCGTGATGTCTCGGAAACGTCCTCGCATCCCTCAGCGCGGGCGCTGACTGCCGCGGCCCTTGCCTGTCTTCCAGGAGCGCTCCAGCTTCGCCCACACACCCCGGGCTGATGTCCCCTCGCTCCGGCGGCCTGCAGACCCCAGAGTGCCTGTCTCGGGAGGGCTCCCCCATTCCACACGACCCTGAGTTTGGGTCCAAGTTAGCTTCTGTCCCAGAGTACCGGTATTCCCAAAGCGCACCCGGTAAGGAGCGGGCGGCCCTCTTGCGGGGCGGGGCGGGGCGGGACTCGTGGGGGTGCGGGAGGGGTCACCGTCCGCTCTCCGCCCTCCGTGCAGGCTCCCCCGTCAGCGCCCAGCCAGTGATCATGGCCGTGCCTCCCCGACCGTCCAGCCTCGTGGCCAAGCCCGTGGCCTACATGCCCGCCTCCATCGTAACCTCACAGCAGCCCGCGGGCCACGCCATCCACGTCGTGCAGCAGGCCCCCACCGTCACCATGGTCAGGGTGGTCACCACATCTGCCAACTCGGCCAACGGATACATCCTCACCAGCCAGGGCGCGGCGGGGGGCTCCCATGATGCGGCGGGCGCAGCCGTGCTGGACCTGGGCAGCGAGGCCAGAGGTAATGCAGCCGCGGCTGGCAGCCTTCGCAGGACCCTTTGTGGTGGTCCCGGCCGGCAAGTCCCCAAGGCAGCGCCATTGGCCTGGGCCTGGGGCTTGAGGAGGATGATTCTCTGCTTCTGCCTCTCGCTGCCTTGTCCCTTTAAATCAGCATGAGCTGGGCAGGTGGCTCATGCTTATAATCCCAGTGCTTTGGGAGGCCAAAGCGGGTGGATTACTTGAGGTCCGGAGTTCGAGGTCAGCCTGGCCAACATACTGAAACCCCGTCTCTACTGAAAATACAAAAATTAGCCAGGCATGATGATGCGCTCCTGTAGTCCCAGCTACTCAGGAGGCTGAGGGAGGAGAATCGCTTGAAGCCTGGAGGCAGAGGTTGCAGTGAGCTAGACTGCGCCACTGCACTCCAGCCTGGGCGACAGAGCAAAACCCTGTCTCAAAAAAAAAAAAACCCATGAATCTCCGCAGATGTGTCCTTCCTTGTTGAACAGGGCCCTCGGATGCACATAGCTGTGTCCTTGCCCTAAGGTAACGTTAAATTGAGTTGTGTTGCGGCCTTGCATGCATTTGGAATTTAGTGTTTTCTGCAGGAGAAAGAATGAGCCTGGGAAGACTGTTCTTTTCGACTCCCTCGTAAGTTAAAGACTTTAGAAGTCATTTAGGGAAAAAGTAGTTCTGAATTGCTAAAAGAAATCCGATCCCAGGGCTTGACGGGGTAGACACTGAACATGCAGCTGACCCCAGAAGCTCCTCTCCGGAACGCCTGCAGTTAGGCAGCGCCCTCCTAGGCCACTCTCCACCCTGGACTTCCTCTCCGCGGTGGTGTTTGTTTCAATGCTGCCGTAATGAAACTGCAGTTTGGTGAGGGAAGGCCAAGTTACAGCTGTAATCAGGATCATTTCATTCCAAGTAATACGTTTTCTTTCTCAGACTAAATTTGGGTTGGTTAAAGCTAAGGTATTTAAAATACTGTTCTAGGCCGGGCGCGGTGGCTCACGCCTGTAATCCCAGCACTTTGGGAGGCTGAGGCAGGCAGATCACTTGAGGTCAGAAGTTCAAGACCAGCCTGGCCAACATGGTGAAACCCCATCTCTACTGAAAATACAAAAATTAGCCGGGTGTGGTGGCAGGCGCCTGTAGTCCCAGCTACTCAGGAGGCTGAGGCAGGAGAATCGCTTGAACCCGGGAGGCGGAGGTTGCAGTGAGCCGAGATGGCACCCCTGCACTCCAGCCTGGGCGACAGAGCAACAAAATTCTGTCTCAAAAAATAAATAAGTAAGTAAAATATTGTTCTAAAACCCTAGTAATTTTCTTCCCAAACCTATTTCACCCATGGGATTTTCCTCTAGCAAACCTATTTTTTCCCAGTGCCGACCTCACTTTCCCCACTTGTCCGACCTGCTGCCCAGGCGTCGAGGAAATCGATTGTCTCGTTGGCCGAGTGTGGTGCTGACTTGGTTCCTGTCCCGCAGGCCTGGAGGAGAAACCCACCATTGCGTTTGCCACAATCCCCGCGGCTGGTGGAGTCATCCAGACGGTGGCCAGCCAGATGGCCCCCGGGGTCCCCGGACACACGGTCACCATCCTGCAGCCCGCCACACCCGTGACCCTCGGGCAGCACCACCTTCCAGTCCGGGCCGTGACCCAGAACGGAAAGCATGCGGTTCCCACGAACAGTTTAGCCGGCAACGCTTACGGTGAGGCCCTGGCCCTGTTCTCCATGCCACATCCCAAGCTCTGTGGCTCCCAGTAGTCAGTGCGGCATGAGAATGTTCTCCCAGTATCTCCCGATCCTCCACTCAGTTCAATTTATTGAGCACCTGCTATACTCCAGGCACTGGGGTAATGCAAAGAAAAAGAGGGTGGAAGGGGCCACCTATCATCCCAGCACCTTGGGAGGCCAAGGCAGGCAGATCGCTTGAGCTCAGGAGTTCGAGACCAGCCCGGGCAACATAGCAAGACCCCATCTCTACATAAGATTCAAAAACTTAGCCAGGTGTGGTGTTGCACGCTCATGGTCCCAGCTGCTTGGGAGAGTGAGGCTGTAGTCAGCTGTGATTGCTCCGCTACCTGCCAGCCTGGGTGACTGAGCGAGACCCTGTCCCTTTAAAAAAAAAGTGGGGGGAAAGAAAACAGGGTGGAAGGAAAACCCAGATCTGCCCACTCTCTGGAGCTCACACTCCATGGGGTGAGGCAAGAGGTCAAAGGAAGGAGGAGAGTTGGGGTGCTGGGGTGCAAGGGTGCTGGGCGGGGGTGCAGGGTACCAGGGCACCGGGCGCATTGTCAGTGGGGTGGCTCAGGGCAGTGCATCTGTGTAAAGGAGTGAGGCAAGCCGTCGATGTCCAGCAGGATCTAGACAGCAATGAGAGGGGCCTCCACCCAACAGGCTGGAGCCAGCAGAGACAGGGCAGATGAGGTGGGGAGGGGACGGCAGGGCCCGCAGGGAGCAGAGCAAGGGTAGCCGTCCTGCCTGGCAGGGGTGCACTGACCTCCGGTTCCGGCTTGGTGGCTTAGCCCCTGTATAGGGGACTTGAAAAAAGCAGCTGGGTCCTAACCAGACCCCAGAGTAACCCTCTTCTTCCTCCACTCCAGCCCTCACCAGCCCTTTGCAGCTCCTTGCGACCCAAGCGAGTTCATCCGCGCCGGTGGTGGTCACCCGGGTGTGCGAGGTGGGGCCCAAGGAGCCAGCAGCAGCCGTCGCGGCCACGGCCACCACCACCCCAGCCACTGCCACCACCGCCTCTGCCTCCGCCTCTTCCACTGGAGAGCCCGAGGTCAAAAGGTCCCGGGTGGAGGAGCCCAGTGGTGCTGTAACCACACCGGCTGGAGTGATCGCAGCTGCCGGCCCCCAGGGGCCAGGCACCGGGGAGTGAGGTCACCTGCAACGCGGGGGAGTGGGACTCACCCAGCGGCGACCCCGAAGCTGGACCCGGCAGCTCAGGCGGCCGCACCCACAGACGGAGGAGAACAGCCCGCGGCGGCCTGTGGGCATCGGCGGCACCTGGACACACCCAGCCCTTTCCATTTGATCGCCTGCCTTCCCGTGGTTTAAGACAAAAACACATAAACAAGTTCAGACAACTGATTGTATGATTCTGGGAATTCTTTGCTTTCCTTTCCTTCTCCCTCGGCACCACCTCCTCTCCCCAGGCCTCCCTGTCGGGCATGGGGAGGAGGTTGGAGCTCAGCATCTTGAGGAATGTGTCAAGACAGCCCCTCCGCTCCGCGCTGCACGGCCAGCCGCCTTTGTCCGGGAGGACAGACAGAAACGCAGCAAGGCACACACCAAGGCTGCCGGGGAGGCCCGGGCACCGGACAGATGCCTGTTGGGAAGCCAGGAGCTGCCGAGCCACGGACCACCTAACAGCCTCTCCGCCCGGAACGTGACATAGAGAGTGTTGGCATTAACTCGGGGGGTGTCCGATTTCACTTCAGACCCCAAGTTTTTCTTTGTTTGTTTAAACATGGAATTCAGACTTCATTGTACACCTGAGACAGACACAAAAGGGATCATGTATTTTTGAGGATTTTACCTGTTGACGTCTGATGACCGGCCGTAGGTCCAGGGTTCCCGCTGGGTTTAATCCCCTCGAAGAGTAAACCTGCCGCTCTGTCTGATAACTTCAAGTAAGAGCAGCGGCTTCCTGGGTTGGCGTTCGCGGTGGAAGGTTCCTAGGATGAAAGGTGAGCCTGGATCCGCCGGCCGCAGACATCGCGCTGCTGGGGACGATTGGGGCCGCTGCTCTGCAGACCAGACCTTCCCGAATTATCCGTGGCTCCGATGTCCCGGTGCTGACGGCCACATGGGGACCTAACAGTGCCAAACGCCATCTGCTCCAGCTGCTTTTTCACCCAGTTGCAGAGTCCTCACCACTCCCACATTGATCTGCTGTTTTCAATTGGAACCATTTCTCCTGCCTGAAACTCCAGGGCCCCTCCCTGGGCTGTCCGTGAGCAGGAGACCCCACCCCAGCAGCAGTGGTGAGCAGGCCTGTGCCTCCACGCCCAGCCCCCGCCAACGCGACTGGTTTTGTTTGCCACACGGTGAGAACCGGAGGACGGGATGCTCCAGCCAGTTGGGTGGTTCTGGGGTCCCTGAGGAAGCCCCCTCCTGCACTTCCATTAAGACAGCCAGTGGTTCCTGGATCTTTGTCACCAAGCAGCGTTGAGCCAGAGCTGTCTAATGCTGAGCCCAGCTCAGGAAGGAGAGAGGAGTCCTTCAGTGTGTCTTGGAGATGCGAAGTGCGTCCTCGTAAAGGTCAGCTGTCAGTTTTGCTGGCCGCTCCGGCGCTGGCTCTCCTGTCCGGGACCACAACGAGAAACAGCGACAGATTCGACGCAGAGCTCCGGAAGTGCCTGAGGAGCAGTGGTTCTTGGAAATCGCCCGTCCTCCGCATCACAGCCTCTCACCAGCAAAGCAGCCTCTGCCCAGGCCCTGGCGGGAGAGCTGCAGAGGGACCCAGGTGCCTGGAGGGCATTTGAGGGAGGTGGCTGGACAGGTGTCTCCCTGAAGAAGAAGGGAGAACACTTTTCAAAGTGATTCCGAGGCAGTGCGGGAGGACACACGTGCTGTGCAGTGGAGTGGGGTCGCCCGTGGCCCCCATCAGAGTCCCCGTCCCCCAGGACAAGTGCAGAACCTCTGTGGGCCCCCTCCTTCCACCTAGATAGAGAAAACCCCTTGTTCGGTTTCCTTCCCGTGTCCCGTTGTTTTTCTAAGCCCCCCGAATTGAGTCGTTTCTATGGCACTAACCTTTCCATGGGAAATAAGCTCTTTGTGGAAGTCCGTACCTGTTGCCCTGGGTGAGGTTTCAGAGAAACGGGGGCAGGATGAACACAGCCGGCTGTCCTGGGTGCAGTTACGTCCGTGGAGGGTGAGAGATTGCGCCCCGTTCCACACTTGTGTCGCCTGCTGTTGTCTGTGGGCCTTTTCTTTCCGTGGTGCCTGGTGTGTGCGTGCATGGCGTGAGAGAACGGGGGGTGGGGGTTGGAGGTGGCTCCCCGACACCGGTGCCTGTGTGGCCTGAGCCGGCGCCCTCCCGGGAGCGCCCGTCACGGGGGGCCTCTGTGATTACCTGCTGCTGCTCTCTCCCGCGTGGTGACTATATGTCCTCAGGGCTGCCTGTGGCCACCCTGATGGGAGACCTCTGTTTGCTTCTGGGCCACTGCAGGTTGGCCTCCTCAATACAAGCTGATGTCTGCAGGGAGCGCCGCGTGCTGGGATTGCACCACGTGTTGGTCACAAATCGAGGTCGCCTTTTGGCCTGGTCTGCTCAGGCTGGCCCTGACCCACGTGGTTTCCTGGCTTCTGAGACGCAGCGCATTCTTCCTGTTAGCGGTAGCGTTCTCTGATTTCACTGCTTCATTGCCAAGGGCGTGGAAAGGGGGTGGTGGATGGAGCCGGGAGGTGGCGAGCACAGGACCCCGGGGCTGCATTCTGCCGTGTGGGGTTCTGCACTGTCTAGCTTCTGCGGGGACTGCAAAGAGGGATGAAGGGACGTGGTCCTAGGGGTCGGCTCAGACTCGGAGCAGGGCAGGGAGAGGAGGGCAAGGAGAGGAGGCCTGGGTCCTGGATCCACTGCTCTGGGCTCATAACCATGAGATTTTGAAAGAGTTTTTGGTCATCTGAGCAGGTACCATGCCTGGCTCATGCCGGAACTTGTCTTGGAACCGGTAGCCAGAGGCCCAGGAAGGGACAGGGCCCAAAAGGGTTGCATGTCCCGGCCACAAAGCCCTCCCTGTGTGCCCTGAGCCAGCCCAGCAAGCGCCTCCCAGCCAGGCGCTTTCGCAGAAGCAAGAGCACAGGCCAGGGGGACCGGGAGAGCCTCAGCCCCCAGCCTGGGCGGCCTGTGACCCTGAGCCGTGTGGAGCCAGGACCCAAGAACCTTCTCTAGGTTCTCAAGGGTGAGCTGACCCGGGCAATGTGCAGGAATGTGGGGAGCAAAAGTAGCTGATTCCAGCCCCGTTCTGGGGTCACTGGGGAGGCAGAGGCTGAGGGCCTGTTCTCTGGTCACCAGGGACTGGGGGCACGGTCCACAGCGGATGAGAACAGCAGGTCACAGTAGTGGCTTTGGGAAGGGCCCCTCCTGCTTTGCCCTGTTCGGAAAGGGGCTCCCTCAGAGCCCCTGGGCCCAGTAACCCGCTTCTGTCTCCTGACTCCTGCTGGATAAATTGCCAGGTTTATCAAATACAAGAAAACACCTGCTTTGGCTAGGAGGTAAGTCCCAAAAAGAACGTCTTAAGTAGAGCAAAGGCATCCACCGAGGCCATTTGGTGGCCCCTGGGAAGTGGGGAAGCAGGGCCTGAGCGTCCCCAGGCTGCTAGGGCAGCAGCTGGCTCAGGGCACACTCTCTCGTGCCAGCTTCTGCCACCAGCCCAGTGTCCACGGAGCCGCGGGGCCAGAGGAGCTCAGGGAGACCTGGCTGTCTAGGGCATGGTACCCAGTATCCCGGTGTGTGCCCATCCTCAGCCACTTGTGTCTTTCTTTCCATGTGGGAGTTCTCCCGGTGACACCTGCCCTCCGTTGAGGGTGGAATCTGTCACTCATGCCTTTGAGGGACCCAGATGGACCATCCCTCTTCTGCTTGCTTTCTACATTCCTAAAAACCTCAACGTTAATCCCTCACCAGTCGGGCCGAGTGTGGCCTCATGGTTCTGCCGCGGCCCAGTCTTCTCCCACTGGCTTCACGCTAGAGGGCGCCATGCGCTCTGGGTGAAATGAGACGCTGGTGTGGGGTCCCCATGTAGAGACCCTCAGGTCCCTATCCAGAGACCCTCCAGGCAGTGCTGGGAAGACACTGGTGGCGGGGACCATGACCAGGCGGGTGGAGCCATGTGTGTCTCACACCTGCCGCCCCTCACTTTCCTTCCCGAGGTCTGGTAGGTCCTCTTTGGGATTTGCTGTTTATTTGTATCTCCCTTTTCTTTGATTTAAGAACAATGCCAAGTGAAAAAGCTGGGAATGAATTTCTGAGTTGCTGAGTGTTCCCTGCTCCTAGGTACCACGCTCTGTGCTTCTCAGGCAGGGAGGAGATGGATTCGGTGGAGT
The DNA here is from genome assembly GCF_000001405.40 of Homo sapiens. Taxonomy (NCBI): domain Eukaryota; kingdom Metazoa; phylum Chordata; class Mammalia; order Primates; family Hominidae; genus Homo; species Homo sapiens. The sequence goes on from NC_000007.14 coordinate 4,766,637, forward strand.
TGGGCCAGGACGGGGGCTTCACCCTGCCCCCTCCAGACTGCCGAAGCCCCCAAGAAGTTTTGAGCCCAGCTGGGCCTCGCCTCCCCGGCTCCTGGGTCCATTTTCTGTACTGGTTTGAGATCACAGGCATCATTCAGCGAATGCTCTTGTGTCCTCTGCATAAAGAGGGCCCTCCCTGGAGCACCCCCGGGGAGCTGGGACTCTCCAGAAAGCCCCGGGTGAGGGCTCCGTCTTGAGAGAGAGAGAAATCCCTTCTTTGGGCGATTCAGTGAGTTCAGGAGGAGGAGGAAGCTTTTCCTTGGCTTTGAAATCAGTGTTTTTATGGAGACAAAGAACAGACCTCAGTGGGAAAAATGAAAACGTAATGGAACACGGGGAGGTGTCGGAGAAGAAAGGATTTTCCCCTTCGCTTTCAGAGCCGGCGGGAGTGCAGGTCTGTTTTGCTTCAGAAGCCTCACATTCTGCTTTGCCCTTGAGTGACTTCATGCGGGATGAGGAACTGTTGACCCCTCTAGAGAGGACACCCCAAGTCCATCCTGGGCTCCTCCTCACCCCTCTGAGAAAGCCCCCCTAAAAAAAGGCTTCAGAGTCACCGGCATGCCGCCTCACGTTGCAGGACGGAATCGCGCGCTCCTCACGCTGGAGTAAGTTACGAAACATGATCGTCAGGCTCTTTGCAAACGCAGAGCCCCAGAACGCTGGATGGAGGCCTCCTCGGCCCTGCGGGCGGCCTGGCTGCGGTAGGTCTGCTGCAAGGAGCCACCACGGGGACTGCGCCACACTCCTGATGAAAACGTGTTTACCCACAGCCTCGCCTCGAGCCTCCTTGACAATACCGCTGCTTCAAAGCAATATTATTTAATGAGAATACTTTACATTGCTCACATGTGCTGCTATGAAGACAGGATTAGTCTGTAGACGGGACTCAGCTCCAGAGGTTCCTGGGTAATGTATTGTGGCTCTTGGAAATGAGGGTAGAATTTGAAATATAACAAATGGTCTCTCGCCCGGTTCTGTCCCTTATTTTTAGATTGTTTTCCTGCATCTTACAATTTCCTTTTCTTTTCAAAGTTCCTTTCTCCAGGCCTGTTTTTCAGTGCTCAGGACACGGTTTTCATCACATACTTACTGTTTTTTTGGTTGGGTTTTGATACGAAAAGCTGCTACGTTTGGTGACCAGAGGGAGGGTTTGGAATCTGTGCTTTGCAGGGGATCTCGGTGGGTACCGCGGCCCCTCGCAGGGTGGCGAGTGGGGTCCGTGCCTCGAGAAGGGGGCCCTTACCCACACCGTGCGGCTTGAATTCTGTCGGAGTTGAATCTGTGGAAAGGATTGTCCCATTAGAGCTGCTGCGTCCTTTCCTCTGTCCTCCCTGTCACCCAAACCCCGAAGTCACAGCTGCTTAGAAGAATGGGATTTTGGGGATACAACCACACACATTTCCCTCTGGACTGAAATTTTAAAAACAGACCCATTTCACTGACTTCTTTTTTTTTTTTTTTTTTTTTTTTTTTTTGAGACGGAGTCTCGCTCTGTCGCCCAGGCTGGAGTGCAGTGGCGTGATCTCGGCTCACTGCAAGCTCCGCCTCCCGGGTTCACGCCATTCTCCTGCCTCAGCCTCCCGAGTAGCTGGGACTACAGGCGCCCGCTACCACGCCCGGCTAATTTTTTGTATTTTTAGTAGAGACGGGGTTTCACCGTGTTAGCCAGGATGGTCTCGATCTCCTGACCTCGTGATCCGCCCGCCTCGGCCTCCCAAAGTGCTGGGATTACAGGCGTGAGCCACCGCGCCCGGCCCACTGACTTCTTTAGGGAAAATAGTTTCAGTCTTGGGTTGTCTTGTGAGCCCACGGGCATGGGACCCTGTCTCTGCTGGGCTTTTCCGGCCCCGTCCCAGCTCCTCCTCAGGCAGAGGCTGCAGCCCTCAGCTCTGCTGCTGGATGGAACATTTCAACCCCCTCCGGGAAGGTGGGCAGGGTGGAGGGCCCAGGGCTAGGCCTGCCATGCACCATGAGCAGGGGTGCTACCTGGGTGTGTGAAGTTGGGCTGGCTTTTCCTGGAGGTGGGTGAGAAGGCTCTCCGGGCAAATCAGAAGGCCACGAGAGAGAGAGGAGCGGGGAGAGTGGTGAGGAGGATTCGTCTCTGACTGATGAACCTCGCCGTGCCTGTCTGTCACATCCAAGTCTGTGCCAGCTGCTGGGAGGTCAGACTCCTGCCCTGAGAAACAGCCCAGTCCTTGGAGAATGAAACCCTGAGGGTCAGTGAGTGGAGGCCTTCCCTCGGGGCCAGCCATTCCCGGGAGGCCTGAGTGTGACCTGGAAGCTCTGTGGGTCACCAAGACTGGCATTTTCCTTGTATTTTTGTGCAGGGCTGAAGTGAGCGTTCCTCCTCTGAATTGGTGAGGCTTTGGAAATTTTTTGTTTCTTCTACTCATCCTAATGGCTGGTTTTGGCTGCCCGGAGTATCAGAGAATATCACTAAGAGGGCAGTCAGTTTATTTTTAGGCATCTTTCTTTCTGTCCAGGGAGAAACCCCTCGGAAGAATCTTAGTCACTCTTTGCACCTGCCCTGTCATTCTCGCCATGGGGAAAATGCGTTGAAAAGAAAAATACCGGGGCCAGGGAGAAGCCGTGAATGTATTTATTTGCTTTGGTGAAGCTGCTGAACACTGGCTGCGGAGGGCCCCCCGCCCCCATCCCGCTTCAGGCCCCAGTGACCCAGTTGCGTCTTAAGTTCCATCGTCCAGATTTCAGGCCACCAGAGGCTGCCAAAGGTGACTGAAGCGGTCTCCAAGTCACTCTGTCACCACTTTTTTTTTTTTTGAGATGGAGTCTCGCTCTATCGCCCAGGCTGGAGTGCAGTGGCCCAATCTCGGCTCACTGCAACCTCCGCCTCCCAGGTTCGAGCGAATTCTCCTGCCTCAACCTCCCAAGTAGCTGGGATTACAGGCACCTGCCACCACACCCGGCTAATTTTTGTATTTCTAATAGAGATGAGAGTGTTACCATGTTGGTCAGGCTGGTCTTGAACTCCTGACCTCAGGTGATCTGCCCACCTCAACCTCCCAAAGTGCTGGGATTATAGGCATGAGCCACCGCGCCTGGCCTCTGTCACTTTTTTTGCTCCTTACCCAGTTTTTGTTTTTTGTTGTTTTGTTTTGTTTTAGCGTGATACTACAATGGAAAGACTCCTAGTTGGTTATTCTTTATCTCGGATTCTTTTTTCTGGAATTGTTTGCTCATTTGAGTGGTTGGTGGTTTGCCCTGTGTCAGACACGGTGAAAAGAGTGCAGGAAAGCTGGGGCCAGGGGAAGCGAAGTGGCTTCAATCCGGGCTGACAGCCAAGAAGAGTTTTCCTCCCTTCGGTGACAGGGCCTGCCCCTCCGAGTCTAGAGGTAAAAGCAGCTTCTAGAACTGGCCCCTAAGTCTCCAAATGTGTTGGCTAAGCTGAAATGAGAGACTCTGAATTAGAGTTTTTGTTTGTTTGTTTGTTCTCTGCATGAAGTTCACAGGCCTGTATGGATGTTAAATTGTGTCTATAGCCTCTAAATCTCCAGGTTAACTGGTCCAGATTTTTTTTTTTTAATCAGTAACAATGGGAATTTAAAATCAAATATTTGGCCAGGTGCGGTGGCTCATGCCCGTAATCCCAGCACTTTGGGAGGCCGAGGCAGGCGCATCACCTGAGGAGTTTGAGACCAGCCTGACCAACATGGTGAAATCCTGTCTCTACTAAAAATACAAAAAATTAGCCAGGCGTGGTGGCGTGTGCCTGTAATCCCAGCTACCAGGGAGGCTGAGGCATGAGAATCGCTTGAACCTGGGAGATGGAGGTTGCAGTGAGCCGAGATCATGCCACTGCACTCCAGCCTGGGCAACAGAGGGAGACTCTGTCTCAAAAATAATAATCAAATCAAGTATTTTAAGTTTGGCTCTTCTTTTTTTCAAGAAAGGCTTTTTGGATACCTAGAATACCTTCATGTATGTGGCTTGATTTCTGTTTCAGGAAAAGGGGGGCGGGAGGAGAGACAACAGCCGTGTTCCAGAGTCTGTCCTGAGATGTCGCTGAGTCCAGACACTTGGGCTGCACGTGCCCTGCAGATGACAAAGGCCGGCAGCTCAGCACACGTGCAGGAGGGGTTAAAGCCAATATTGAGTTTTTGTTCTTGTTGTTTTAATCTGAACGATTATTCTCCTGTAAAAATAATTTGGGAGGGGCGGGTGTTGTTCGGTGTGTGTGTGTGTGTGTGTGTGTGTGTGTGTGTGTGTATTTTTTTTTTTACAGTGGCGCCTGTCTAAAGTATTTTTCACAACATGTTTGATAATCAGTGCTTTAAAAAGCAGCAGTGTCCTATGAAGTGGAAATGTCAGTTCTAGAGCATTGGATGTGAAGTTCTGGTCATGTCACCTTGCGTGTCTCACCCTGGAGGAGTGAAGGTGGGCGCCCGGCGGGGGGGTGTGGCTGCACCCCAGCACCGGGAGGGGGCACGCACGACACCAGAGGAAGGGACAGCCCCACCCATGTCAACAGCAGGCAACCTGTGTTTTCATTTCAAGTGGGATACAGTATTTTTTTAATAAGGAGCCATACTTTTTTTTAAGAGTTTGAGATCTGAATGTGATTTCTAATTGTATCAGACGTTAATGTTTTAAAGCTATAACAAAGTTTAAAATTTCTACTTTTTGTTTTTCATTTATTTTAACTGTTCTTTTATCTATTAAATTGTTGTATGTGGATGGGGAAGTTTTGTTTCTCCTCTTAGCATTTGTTTCTATAACCAGAAATAAAATTCTATATTAAAGAAATGACCCTGCGGCTCCGGTGTGGTCCTTCTGCGCAGGTGGCTACTGAAGGTGGCGGACGGACAGACGGCCTGGACACACAGACACCAGGCCCCTGGACACATAGGCTCCCGACCCCCTGGATACACAAACACCTGACCCCCTGGACACACAGGCTCCTGACCCCCGGACACACAGACCCCTGAGCCCCTAGACATACAGGCACCTGGCCCCCTGGACACAGAGGCTCCCGACCCCCTAGACATACAGGCTCCCGGCCCCCTGGACACACAGGCCCCTGACCCCCTGGACACACAGGCCCCTGACCCCCTGGACACACAGACCCCTGACCCCTGGACACACAGACCCCTGAGCCCCTGGACATACAGGCTCCCGGCCCCCTAGACACACAGGCTCCCGACCCCCTGGACACACAGACCCCTGACCCCTGGACACACAGACCCCTGAGCCCCTGGACATACAGGCTCCCGGCCCCCTGGACACACAGGCACTGCGCCCCCCTGCTCCAGAGGCTGAAGGGCGGCTGCTGATAAGGGAAGTCGCCCATAGGTCCCTGGTGTCCCGTTCCTGGCTCACACAGGAGATGCTTCTGCAGGTGCCTGTGGCTCCTGGAGTCAGTGACCCCCACCCACTGAGAGTGCTCTAAGCGAGGATGTTTGCAGCTCCAGGAATGTGAAGACAACGTGTGTCTCCCCTCAGACATGGCAAAGGCAGAAACCAGCTGAGCCAACCCCCTGCCCCTGGCACACGCCCACATCCTGGCTGGGGGGCACTTGCAGGTACTCGTTGCTGCCCCAGTGGCTCCTGGGCAACTGTGGGTCCTTCCTGCTGGCCCTTGGCTAGATGAGAATTTCTACCCATGTCCAAGATGGGTAGAAATGTACGTGGGTAGAAATTCTCTCAGGCCTTACTTATTGTAGGTGTGGGGCCTGGGGGGTGGGGATGGCATTGACTTTGGAACTACACAGACCTGGGTTCAAGTTCCTACTGTGTCCTTACCAGCTGTGGGACTTCAGCTTGCAATGCGCCCCACTTCTTCACATGCAGCACAGGCACCCCCACCCCACAGGCCTGGCGCCCCGAAGCTCAGCTGCGATGCCATCAGTCACTGTCTCTTCTGAGAGTCCCCCAGACTTATGAGACCCTTGGGTGTGTCTGTGTGACTGCCTCCGACAGACTTGACAGTGGTGCATGCTTGTCACATGTCTCTCTTCTGTCAAGGTTCTGTAGTGTTTGCATGTGACTCCCTCAGTTCAATAACTTGCATTTTTCCGATGGCACAGTTACCCACCATTGCAGGTAAGGTTTCACTGCTTCTCTGTCTTCCTTCAAGTTACTCCATTTCCATTGTAAGAGGTTAACATAACTTTAACAGATTAGTTCTAGTTTAAGATGTCAGCCCAGGCTGGGCGCGGTGGCTCACGCCTGTAATCCCAGCACTTTGGGAGGCCAAGGCGGGTGGATCATTTGAGGTCAGCAGTTCAAGACCAGCCTGGACAACATGGTAAAACCCCGTCTCTACTAAAAAAAATACAAAAAATTAACTAGGCATGGTGGCTTGCACCTGTAATCCCAGTTACCTGGGAGGCTGAGGCAGGAGAACTGCTTGAACCCAGGAGGTGGACGTTGCAGTGAGCTGAGATCACGCCACTGCACTCCAGCCTGGGGGACACAGCAAGACTCAGTCTCAAAAAAAAAAAAAAAGAAAAAAAAGAAAAACATTTTAGCCCAATAGCAAACATGAGTGAGAAGCGTATGTAGGCTTCCTCCAGGGATCTGCGTTGGCTAATTATTAATTGCATCTTTCCTTTTTAAGATGTTGTCTTTGTGTTTGTTTGTTTGCTTGCTTGTTTAGAGACAGGGTCTTGCCATGTTGCCCAGGCTGGTCTTGAACTGGGCTCAAGCGATCCTCCTGCCTCGACCTCCCAGTGTTTGGATTACAGGTGTGAGCCACCGTGCCTGGCCTTTTTTGCTTTTGATTAGCACAACCATTTTTCACTAGTGAGACCTTAAAATAATATTTTACACTAATGTAAATATTTTGTAAGAAACAAGTCAAATATTACCCCTGGTAAAATTGCTTAAGGTCGTGTCTGTGTGAAGAGAGAGAGGGAGAGAGAGATTGAGATTCCTGGCACACAGTTGGAATCTCAGTTAAAGTTAGCTTCCCTGTGAACCTGGTATCTATACAACAAAGAGGGGTGCATCTCTCAGAACCCCAGAAGACATACAATTGTGCACTGCAGCTCTATTCGTTATTGTCAAAATCTGGAAACCGACCAAATATTCATGGACGAACAAGAAAAGCTAAGTACGGTACGATTCCATTTGCATGAAGTATAAAAAGACGCAAAACTAATCTCTGGTGATAAGAGAGACTAGCAGTTACTTGTGGGGGAAGGGAGTGGGCGTTGACTGGGAGGGGGCCACAGCGGGGAACCTCTGGGGAGCTGGAAATGGTCTAGGTCTTGAACTCAAACCATGGCAGGAACATTTACACCACAGAAATTATCAAACACAAATCAACCCCCGGCTCCCCACCGTCGCCAATGGAGCCGAGGCTTAAGACATTTGCAAATTTACCACCGATTTCTAGAAATGTAAATAGTGGAGTTCATTTAAGATTTGTGCGCTTTGGTGTGGACGTTTTACCCTAGTAAACGTTAAACACTGGCAGTAGGCTTTCCATAGACTACCTGTCACCAGCTTTCCTTTGCCAGTCTTCAACCTGCGGCTCCAGGGGCACCCGCCGCACTCCACCGACTCCCATCCACCGCTCACCATCCACCGATTCCCATCTCTTCATTCTCTGCACCAGGTGCCCTCAGACATCACTGGGCGCCCTAGGGCATCTCAAAGCCATGTTTGGAACTCCTGCAGGAAGCCCTCCCTCCTCCTCCTCCTTCCTTCCATCCAGGGGTCTTCTCGGGGCTTATCCCTTCAAGGCCTAACCTTGACCCACCCTATCTACGCAACATTGATTCCCACCCCTACCCTATTCCCCAGAACCTTCAGCAGTGCCTAGCGCAGCTAGGACTCAATCATCGCTTGTCCACTTAATGAATGACTCTTGGCACAAATTTCCTCGTCCTTTTCTGCCCCAGACAGACACCCCACAAACATGAAGTTACCCTTGATTTTTCCACTTTCTTCCTCCTGCCTGCAAATTCCTCAATCACAGGTGGTGCAAATCCTACCTCTAAATGGTACTGAATCTGCCTACTTTCGGGGCAACCTCCCTTACCTGGACCACAACTGCACCAGCCTCCTTTCTCCCTCAGGAGCTTCCCAATCCATTATCTCCCCTGCGGCCAGAGATCAGTTTCCTCCTGGGGTGCATTTAAGCCATAGGAAGCAGATCGCTACCCTAGGCCCGTCCCTCCCCACCCCTTGGTCTGGACACCCTCTGGGCTCATCTTAGGCCGCAGTCGCCGAAGCCTTCCTCCTCCGGTTGGACCCCCAACCAGGTCAGGCTGTCATAGCGTTTATCATGACGCTGGCGTGTCGCCCTGTGTCCCTCGGCCGTCTGCAGGATGGCAAACTTATGGCCAGGGCCCAGCACATTTGGGCACCCAACACATCCGTTAGAATGAACAGAAACTTCCCCTCTCCGAGCCTGTGGCCTCATCTGTAAAACAGAGATCGCGAGATCCCATGAATACCGTGGGGATTGAATAAGGGATTTTTTCGTTTCAAGCAGCAGGAACAGCGCGGGATGGGTGCTCAATAAATGGGAGCTCAAAAAATCCCCAAAACTGCCCAGAGCCGCGGCTATTCCTTGCAAACTGCTGGACACTGCTGGGCTCAGCCCACAAGTGTCGGAGTTTGCATCAGATTTTCAGGTCGTACTTAGCAAAGGGACTCCCGCACGACAAAGCTGTTTACGAAACAGAAACCAGAACTGGGGCAGTGACACTTTGGGGCCAGCAATGCCCTCTCCCAAAGCCCCAGGCGCCCAATTTCCGCCGAAATGCTTTCCGGGGTCGAAGGGCGCCGGGGCTCCAGAGTGCCGAGGTTCCGGGGTCGCGCGATTCCGCAGCTCCCAGGCGCCGACCCGGACCCCCGGCCGCGGCACCTACGCCCCGCCCCAGTCGCTCCACGCCAAAGCCCATTGGTCGGCAACCTGTCCCTCCTGCTCATGTGATGCGGCACGTGACGCAGCCACGTAAGGCCGCTGCGCTCACGTGACGCGGTCCCGGAAGTTGACCGGGGTGCGGAGCTCCTGGGCTGCAGCTCCTGGAGTTTCCGAGGTTCGTGCGCGTCTGGTGGCGGCGGCGTGATGTTCTCGGCAGGAGCGGAGAGTTTGCTCCACCAGGCCAGGTACGGGGGAGCTGCGGCCCCGGCCCTCCTTCCTGCATCTCTCCCTAGGGGCACACGGGGGTGGGTCTCACAGGGCAGGGGCTTGGGCGCCAGCCTTGCAGGAACCCGACTGGACTCGCCCTCGAGACTTGGGGATCGGGTAAGGCAACACGGCGGCCAGGCTTGGGGTGAGGAGGTCGGGGAGGGTCATGGTGGGTCCCCGGAGGAGGTGACACTTGAGCAGAGTCTTGGTGAGTGAAAGCAAGTGGGGTGGGACCCAGTCGACAGTTTAGTCAAAGGCTTGGCGGTGAGAACTCCGCGTCTGGCAGGAAATCGGGCAGCCGGGAGATTTCAGTGCCTCACAGTCAAGAACGCAAAGTCACAGTGTCCGGAGGCCTGCTAAGGAATAAGGCTGTGTGCCAGGCTGGGGAGCTGGAGGCCATCCGAGGGCTTTGCGGAACCGTGGGAGGGTTTTGTGACTTAAAAAGATCTCTCTTGCGCGGATGTATTAGCTAGGCTGAGAAATCACCCTCCAGGCTGGTTTCAGGCTGTGTCTGGACTCCCAGTAACGAGTGAGTAGCTCCTTCCTCACCAACTAACCAGTCATGGGGGAAAACAGTGTAAGCCAGGACTGAACAGACTCACGGTCCACCAAACAGGCAAAGACTTCATACTACATGTTTAAAAGAAGAAAATGCTGACCGGGCGTGGTGGCTCACGCCTGTAATCCCACCACTTTGGGAGGCCAAGGCAGGCGGATCACCTGAGGTCAGGAGTTCGAGACCAGCGTGCCCAACATGAGGAAACCACGTCTCTACTGAAAATACAAAAAAAAAAAAAAAAAAAAAAATTAGCCGGGCGTGGTGGTGGGTGACTGTAATCCCAGCTACTCGGGAGGCTGAGGCAGGAGGATTGCTTGAACCTGTGAGGTGGAGGTTACAGTGAGCTGAGATGGCGCCACTGCACTCCAGGCTGGGGGACAGAGCGAAACTCCGTCTCAAAAGAAAAAAGAAAAAAAGTAAAGAAAATACAGCCAGCACTACAGCCCCTTGGTAAACGTAAACAAACTTGGTGAGGTGAGAGGCCGAAGCAGGAGAAGTGCATGAACCCAGGAGGCCGAGGGTGCAGTGAGCCAAGATCGCACCACTGGACTCCAGTCTGGGTGACAGAACGAGACTCCATGTCAAAACAAACAAGCAAACCTGGACTCAGAGCTAGACCAATTGGTGGGAAAGATTCGGGTGGTTGAAATTGCTGTGATTATAGTGAGTGAGGTCTTGAAGGCAGGTTAAGTTCTAAAGCCCGAACAGGACAAAAATCTCTGATCAAAATAACCCTTAAGAGTCCACTCATTAGGAAGAGGCTTGGTGAATATGCAGCACCATCTCCCAGCAGCTCAACATAGGCAACCTTCCCTTCAATCCTGGACAGATATGTCATTCATGTGAATGTGGGGACTATATGAAAATGAAAAATACTGGCATCTCAGCATGTAACATGTTAATCCCAAGGTCCTTGCCAAGAGACAAGGAAAAACACCCACTGAGAACTTCATTCCCAGTCACATTCTGCTCAAGGTCATAAACTTGTGACATGAAAAACAAAAGGAAGAGCCCTCTTTATTTATTTATTTATTTATTTATTTATTTATTTTTATTAGAGTCTCTTTTGAGACAGAGTCTCCCTCTGTCGCCCAGGCTGGAGTACAATGGCGCAATCTCAGTTCACTGCAACCTCCGCCTCCTGGGTTCAAGCAATTCTCCTGCCTCAGCCTCCCAAGTAGCTGGGATTACAGGCGCCCGCCACCACACCCGGCTGATTTTTTGTATCTTTAGTAGAGATGGGATTTCACCACATTGTCCAGGCTGGTCTCGAATTCCTGACCTCAGGTGATCCGCCTGACTCGGCCCCTCGAAGTGCCGGGATTACAGGTGTGAGCCACCATACCCGGCTGAGCCCTCACTATTTAAATACCTGTTTCTCTGCCTCCCTGGCTCGGGTGGGCAGCCGTTTTTGAGGATAGAGTGTGGTTGAATTTCCCTATGTAACATACATGAGTTCTGCAGTTGCCCTCTGTTAGGGTTTCAAGAAGGTTAATCTATTAGGGCTTACCAGTTTTCACAATATTCTTAAGCCTGTGATTTCTGATGATATTTTAAAATAAATGACTGTAGTTTGAGGGTTAAGGTTTGGAGCCGGCCAGGCGCAGTGACTGGCCCACGCCTGTAATCCGAACACTTCGGGAGGCCGAGTTAGGAGGATCGCTTGAGGCTAGGACTTTGAGACCAGCCTGGACAACATAGCGAGACCCGTCTCTACAAAACAGAATTTTTAAAAAACTTAGCCAGGTGTGGTGGCACGTACCCATAGTCACAGCTACTCAGGAGGCTGAGGCAGGAGGATCACTTGAGCCAAGGAGGTTGAGGCTGCGGTAAGCTATGATGGTGCCACTGCACTCCAGCTCGGGTGACAGAGGGAGACCCTGTCTCCAAAGAAAGCCAAAAAGATTTGGAGTGAACTTTAGTTTCTCTCTAAATGTGTCAGAGATACGGAAAGCAAGGGTGCAAAAAGTGATCAAAGATAGCGCTGCAAGCTGAAGGATAAATGGAGAGAGCGGGAAGCGAGTAAAGGATGGGGGCATGGAGGGGTGCCCCGCAAGGTCGGGGATTTCCAGGAGGAAGAGCCTCAGCCCACTAGCTCGGGAGCTAGTGGGGCATGTATCAGGCACAGGGTCTGTGCGAAGGGACAGAAGCAAAAGAAACAGGACATGGAGTCTGGAGAAGGAAGGCGGGGCCGGGCTCTTGGAGGCAGCGTTGGGGTCTGTAGGAGTTTGGATTTGAAAGCAGTGGGGAGCTGTTGAAGGGTTTGGGTGGGTTGGATTTTAGAGAGAAGCTTGAGACTTGGAGAATATGCTGAAGGGAATTTAATCGGGATGAGGGGTTCCACCTTTCTGGGAAAGATTTTCCATTGTGTGTATATATGTATATGTGTGTATATATAATTTATATATAACATTTTATATATTATATATTACATATATATTTAGTAATATATAATATAATTATATGTTATATATTATATGTTATATTATATATCATTATATATAATATATAATGATATATAATATTTTATATATAATCAAAAAAAGAATAAAAAAAATTCACTGGGCTTAGTGTAGTCCCAGCTACTTGAAAGGCTGAGGTGGGAGAACTGCTTGAGCTAGAAGATCAGGCTGCAGTGAGCTGAGATTATGCCACTGCACTCCAGCCTGGGTGACAGCATAAGACTCTATCTCAAAAAATATATATATAGATAGATAGATAGATATAAAAATATATTTTTATATGTAATATATATAAAATATATATTATATACATTTTTGAGATAGAGCATATTATATATTATATATAACATATATAACAACTATATAACATATATAACATAACATATATAACAACATAATATATAGCATATATTATGTATAACATATATTAGATATAACATATATAACATTAGAAATAATGTATATAACATAACATAACGTATATAACGCATATAACAACATATATAACGTATATAACATAACACGTTATATATGATATATAACATATAACATGTTATATATCATAACGTGTTATATGTCATATAACATGATTATTATATATCATATATAACATGATAACATATATATCATATATAACATATATAACATTATATATAACATATATATTATATTATATATATATATTTTTTTTTGAAGTAGAGTCTTACTCTGTCACCCAGGCTGGAGTGCAGTGGCACAATCTCAGCTCACTGCAGCCTGATCTTCCAGCTCAAGCAGTTCTCCCACCTCAGCCTTTCAAGTGGCTGGGACTACACCATGCCCAGTGAATTTTTTTTATTTTTATTTTTTTTTGTTTTTGAGACGGAGTTTTGCTCTCGTTGCCCAAGCTGGGGTGCAATGGCATGATCTCAGCTCACTGCAACCTCCTCCTCCCGGGTTCAAGTGATTCTCCTGCCTCAGCCTCCTGAGTAGCTGGGATTACAGGCTTGTGCCACCACGCCCAGCTATTTTTTTTTGTATTTTTAGTAGAAACGGGGTTTCTCCATGTTAGCCAGCTGGTCTTGAACTCCTGACCTCAGGTGATCAGCCCGCCTCGGCCTCCCAAAATGCTAGGATTACAGGTGTGAGCCACCGTGCGTGGCCGAATTTTTTTTATTCTTTTGTAGAGATGGGGTCTCACTGTTTTGCCCAGGATGGTCTCAGACATCTGCACTCAACTCATCCTCCCACCTCAGCGTCCCAAAGTGCTGGGATTACAGGTGGCCTGGGGAGGGCACAGCCACGTAGGGGGCCCTTCTCAGGGAGTCCCCAGAGTCCCCTGGCACAGCAACCCCTTTGCGCATTATTGGTTCTTTCTTTTAGACTGGGATAGAAACCTAAAAACAGGCTTCCATTTGGGACTTTTCAGTATCTTACCTGTGGCTTACTAGGGAGATTTTAAAATTAAGCCAATTAGTTATTCGAGTAAAAAAACATAATGGGCTTACCTTACAATATGTCATGACATTTGTTCTTTAATATATAAGATTTTATTCTCAGGCCAGGCGTGGTGGCTCACGCTTGTCATCCCAGCACTTTGGGAGGCCGAGGTGGGCAGATCATGAGGTCAGGAGTTTTGAGACCAGCCTGGCCAACATGGTGAAACCCCGTCTCTACTAAAAATGCAAAAATTAGCCGGGCGTAGGCCAGGCGCGGTGGCTCACGCCTGTAATCCCAGCACTTTGGGAGGCCGAGGTGGGCAGATCACGATGTCAGGAGATCAAGACCATCCTGGCCAACATGGTGAAACCCTGTCTTTACTAAAAAATACAAAAAAATTAGCCGGGCGTGGTGGTGGGTGCCTGTAATCCCATCTACTCGGAAGACTGAGGCAGGAGAATTGCTTGAACCCCGGAGGCGAAGGTTGCAGTGAGCCGAGATCATGACACTATATTCCAGCCCGGGTGACAGAGCAAGACTCCATCTCGGGGAAAAAAAAAATTTATTCTTGTTTCCATAAGCAAAAGGCTCATTGAAGACATCTTTTGAAAGGCACCTTATTCTAGAGTAAATTTCCTACTCTTGAATGAGACCCCTAAAAAGAATCGGTTTTAGTCCTTCTGCCCTGGGAACAAGAAAATCTAAGTGCATGGGGCCTCCGTGAGTGAGATTCGTCATAGTGCGCTGCAGCGATGGATCGGGAAATCCCAGGGTGAGAGGAACCAGCTCAGGGAATCAGCGAATTTATCTCGAGAGCCATGAGCCGTGGAACCGTGTTCCTCCACACACTCGGCTTCTCTTTTCTAAAGAGGGATTTTCCCTGCTCCAAGGGTTATCCTTTTTTTGGTTCCGAGCAGCGAGTGCTTCTGGGTCCTGAAGTCCTCTTCTTTGTTTAGGGAGATCCAGGACGAGGAGCTGAAGAAGTTCTGTTCCCGGATCTGTAAACTGCTGCAGGCGGAGGACTTGGGGCCGGACACCCTCGACTCCCTGCAGAGGCTCTTCCTCATCATCTCAGCCACGAAGTACAGCCGGAGGTGAGTGTGGCGACGGCTCAGGCCGGCTCCTCACACAGCGGCCCCAGGAGAACCCAGCCCACGCCCAGCAGGTCACTGCAGATGCTCCTTGGGGGTTGAGTCATTTGTCCACTTAAACCAGTGCTGAAGGTCCATCCTCATGTAAAATGCTCTGTCCACTGGCCCAAGGGTGCCCGGCCAGGTGCTCTGGGGCACCGGGTGCTCCTGCCACGGTCGTGACGTGTTACCGCCCACCACGGGCATCTCGCCTTCCAGGCTGGAGAAGACATGCGTAGACCTGCTGCAGGCCACCCTCGGCCTGCCTGCATGCCCCGAGCAGCTCCAGGTGCTTTGCGCCGCCATCCTGCGAGAGATGTCCCCCTCTGACAGCCTCAGCCTGGCCTGGGACCACACGCAGAACAGCCGGCAGCTGAGCCTGGTGGCCTCCGTTCTCTTGGCCCAGGTAGCGCAGCAGTCACCACCCCAGTTGGCACCGGATGGCTGCTTCCCAAGGAACAGGGGAGACAGGAAGCAGGGGCGCCAGAGCCGGCAGGTGGCTGCTTGTTGTAGACGCATCTCGGTGCTGAGTGCCTGGCACACTTGAGGCTGGGGCATGCCCTGTTGACTGGAACGGGGTCCCATGCCCAGCAGGCCCACGTGGTATGTTGGTGCTCAGGAGAGGTGGTGGAGTTTGGTTTCTCAGACAGAGCCTTGAGACAGCGAGTCAGTGGAGGCTGGGCCTCCAGACCTTCTTTTTGGGGTTTTTGTTTTGTTTTTTAGAAACAGGGTCTCACTCTGCTGTCCAGTGTAGAGTGCCATGGAGTGATCAATGCTCACTGCAGCCTCGACCTCCCTGGCTCAAGCAATCCTCCCATCTCAGCCTCCTGAGTAGCTGGGATTACAGGCATGCATCACCACACCCAGTTAATGTTTGTATTTTTTTGTAGGGACCTGGGGTCTCACTATGTTGCCCAGGCTGGTCTCAAACTTCTGGGCTCAAGCAATCCACCCTCCTTGGCCAGGAGTTTTTGCCAAGTCCATGTCCTCCCTCCCTCTGTGTCGGGAGCAGGCCTGGGCACTCAGCGTGGGGATCCAGGGGTTCACAGGCTGCCTTTGTGTGAGAGAAGCTGCTATCTCTGCTCATGGGTTGCCCAGGGGTGCAGAGTCTGCAGGAAGGTTGCGATGGAGCTGGGCTTTTCCCTCCGTTCCCAGCCTGCAGCGTCATGAGTTGCCTCCTGTGCTGGGGTGCAGCCTGCGGTTGCTTTAGTTCTGTGTGGGCGAGAGCTTGTGGGCCCCGGCGTACTCAGGGCGTTGTACTTCATCACTGGGGTCATCCTGGTTGGTGCCCAGCCCCCTCACCTCACAGACCTCCTGCAGGCCACCTCCAGGCCTCCGAGATGACCCCGGTAATGCTGTGGTAGCTCCTGGCCTTTGGAACAAGATGACTCCGGCTCTTCTTGTTTGTTTCACCCGCCCTTCTCCTCAAGCAACTCATTTTTTTCAGTGGAAGATGATCTTGCAGAACTGCTGCCAGGCGCCAGCGGTGCACCCCCCGCCCGGCACGTGGCCTCCCAGCCACCCAGCCGCCCTCCTCCCTGCCCTGACGGCCCTGCCCCTGTGCTGGGTGTCTCTGGTGCTGCTCAGATGTTTCAGCACCTGGGTGTGCAGAGTGAGGTGGGTGGTTTAAAGACTGGGATCCACACTGGAGGCCCCGCAGGACGGGGTGTCCTGTGTCTGCGGCCAGGGCCATGGTGGCCGCCAGTGTGTTTTTAGCATTGAATCAGCCGTGCCCTCACCCAGGCCCCCTCCAGCCTCAGCGATGCAGCTCCCAGGGAGAGAGGCTGGAGGCGGAGCAGGCACCTTGTGGCCCGGGGTGGGCCTGCGCGGGACATCCTCCCTGCCACCTGCTAGGCCGGGGTCTCAGCGACCGACGCTTCTCAGGAGTGTCACACAGACTTCCGAAATGGGGGAGCTGGTCTCTGGCACAGGCCAGTACCCCAGCGTTTGCCCTGTTTGATTTGAAGGGTGACAGAAACGAGGAGGTCAGAGCCGTGGGCCAGGGCGTGCTACGAGCGCTGGAGAGCCGGCAGCCTGAGGGACCCAGCCTCAGACACCTCCTCCCCGTCATGGCCAAGGTCGTGGTCCTCAGCCCGGGCACCCTCCAGGAGGGTACGCGGGGCCCCTCCCAAGAGGCTGTTGGGGGTCTGCCTTCCCAGGTCCTTCCCTGAGGGCCCATGGTGGGTTGGGAGTGTGGGGGGCAGGTGGGGGACACGGGGAGGCCCGAGGGTTTGGGACGCTGCAGGATTCTGTTTTCTGAGAAAAGTCGGCCAGCATCCCAACAACCCAGGCATCTGTAGGATTCAACCTCACCTCCCCATGCCACCCCACCCACTGCAGACCAGGCCACCCTGCTCAGCAAGCGGCTGGTCGACTGGCTGCGCTACGCCAGCCTCCAGCAAGGGCTCCCACACTCCGGCGGCTTCTTCTCCACGCCCAGGGCCCGGCAGGTGAGGCTGGGACTGTTCTGGAACCATGGGGAACAGAGTCACAGACAACCCCTCCCTGAGAGCTCCTGTGCCCACAGCGGCGAGGCCTGCTGTCGTTCCGCGGGGTCCAGGACGAGCCTGCCTCTGCTGCGGGGCTTGGGTCAGGCAGGGCCACAGCCCCCTGACCCGTGTGGCTCTGGGGGTCTGTGCGCGGGTTCAGTCCCAGGGCCTGCGGAGCAGGGTGTGCGACGCGCGTCTGCCTGGGGGTCAGGTGGGGATGGTGTTTTTGCATCACACAGGGCGGGCCGCTGCCCGGGCTCATGTTCAGGCAGCTTCTCCTCCACCTCCTGAGGAGCTTGTGCTAAAGGCTGGCGTTTTTCCCGGCCTCGGCCCCCTCCGCCCACTCCTGCCTGTCCTTCCCACAGCCGGGCCCCGTCACCGAGGTGGACGGGGCGGTAGCCACAGACTTCTTCACGGTGCTCTCCAGCGGCCACCGCTTCACAGACGACCAGTGGCTGAACGTGCAGGCCTTCTCTATGCTGCGGGCGTGGCTGCTGCACAGCGGCCCCGAGGGCCCGGGCACCCTGGACACAGGTGTGCGGGGTGGGGGGATGACGTCAGACAGGGGTGGGAGGTGGGCGCACTATGGGTTGGTCGCAGGGGGACACGGGCGGAGGTGGGGGGACTCGGGTGTGCCCAGGATGCAGCAGAGGTCAGGACTGAGCAACGCAGCCTGCTGACCTGGAGCTAGGCGGAGAGCACTCCCTGGCCAGCATCTTTGGGGTCCAGGGTCAGCACCGGGGATCCTCTGGACACCCCGTGACCCTCATGCAATGTGCAGATGTGAGAGCTCCCACTTAAGGCAGGCACCCTTAAGGTTGTTGGAGTGACGCCACTGAGCTCCTCCCGGCTGCTCTGTGGACTTGTTGGGGAAGAAGCCTCAGCCACCCTGAAGGGCGGCCGTGATGGGGAAGCTGCCGGGTGGGTGGACGTCCTGAGACGGTGACGCCTCACGCCTCCCGGGAGGGGCTGCGGCCTGTGCTCTCCTCCTGCCCTTCCAAGCAGGGCAGCAGGCATGTCCCAGCCCGGGAGCCACACGTCAGCCTGCTGAGAGTTCCCACCTCCCGCAGATGACAGGTCAGAGCAGGAGGGCTCCACTCTGTCGGTGATCTCCGCCACCTCCTCTGCCGGCCGCCTGCTGCCGCCCCGGGAGCGGCTTCGGGAGGTGGCCTTCGAGTACTGCCAGCGCCTCATTGAGCAAAGTAACCGACGTGAGTCCCCCACCCAGGGCACTGGCCTCCCCAGGGCTCGACGCACCTGCTCTGCAAGGCCACCTGAGGCCAGCACAGCTTCCCTGAGCTACTGCTCCACAGAGGGGGTCCCTGGGTAGCCGGTTTGGAGCAGGGGCATTTTTGCTTCTGGGGTCAGCCCCAAGTGTTCTTCAGGCTCCACCCCAGCCCCCAGCCCGGCCCTGTCCCACCTGGGCCCCTCGCCTCAGTCCCACTCAAGTCCTCCTGGGGGCCTGTCCCACCCCCCTGCTCCCGGTCCTGCCTGGAGCTTCCAGAGCACAAGCTGCCCCCTCATTGGGCCACTCTAAGGCTGAGACAGAGCCGGCTGACTTTTTCCCCTCCTTCCAGGAGCCCTGAGGAAGGGGGACTCCGACCTGCAGAAAGCTGTAAGTGGCTGGGGACCAGGGGATGGGAGGCAGCGACTCGGCCCATTTGATGTGGTCCATGTCCCGCAGTGCCTGGTGGAGGCCGTGCTGGTGCTGGACGTGCTGTGCCGGCAGGACCCGTCCTTCCTGTACCGAAGTCTCTCCTGCCTGAAGGCCCTGCACGGGCGGGTGCGCGGGGACCCGGCCTCTGTGCGGGTGCTGCTGCCCCTCGCCCACTTCTTCCTGAGCCACGGTGAGCCCAGGGTGGGGTGGCGCTGACTCGGGGCTCTGCTTCTGCCTTTAGTTTTAGGATGGAATTTCTTCTTCCCTTTTTTTTTTTTTTTTTTTTGATTGAATAGAGACAGGGGTCTTGCTGTGTTGCCCAGGCTGGTCTGGAACTCGTGGCCTCAAGCGATCCTCCTGCCTTGGCCTCCCAAAGTGCTGGGATTACGGGCATGAGCCACCGTGCCCAGCTCATATTTCTTTTTGATGGATTGCTGTGCCAGATGTTGGTAATTTTTAAACTTTTAAATAGAGAAATAAACAGACTCTTTTTGCTGTGTCCCTAGCCCAGGAAACCTGAAAGTCTAGGAACCAGCACCTTCCAAAGAATGTGCCATAGTGTGTGTGACTCACGAGCTGTCCGTGTCCCTGGGCGAGGGAGACCAAGTGCCGCTTCCCCAGCGTCCCAGCGTAGGACGCCTCGGAGCCCTTGGTGTCCTGGAGAGCAGGCCTGAGACTCAGGGCCCCTAACCAGTCACAGAAGCACGGCCAGGGCGAGGTCAAGACGTGTGCCCTGGCGGGCCCTGGTCTTGCAGGGGAAGCGGCTGCAGTGGACTCGGAAGCCGTCTACCAGCACCTGTTCACCAGGATCCCGGTGGAGCAGTTCCACAGCCCCATGCTGGCCTTTGAATTCATCCAGTTCTGCAGGGACAACCTCCACCTGTTCAGCGGGCACCTCAGCACCCTCAGATTGAGCTTCCCCAACCTCTTTAAGGTATATTTGGGCATCCCTGGGTGCCAGGGCAGGGGCATGGTAAGTCCCTGGGGCTCCTCCCCTCTTTCCAGCGGGGTTCAGGGCGAGTCCTGGCTGAGCATAGAGCCCTGTGAGTCCCGGGCCTGGAATGCGGTGTGCAGGGTGAGGTGGGGATCTGGGGTGTCCCTGCAGCGTCACGTGATTGACGGTGCTGTCCAAGAACTCCCTTGTGGGTGTTTTGGAGAGGGGGCTGTGACACAAGACGGTGAGTTTGTTCTCACAGCACTGGGGCAGGGCTGCTGCCTGGTAGGATCCCTCCCCCGGGAGCCCTGCCTGGTGCCTTGGGCACTTGGGTGCCATTTGCCTTTTTTTTTTCTTTTGAGATGGAGTCTCATTCCTGTCACCTAGGCTGGAGTGCAGTGGCGCAATCTCAGCTCACTGCAACCCCCGCCTCCTGGGTTCAAGCGATTCTCCTGCGTCAGCCACCTGAGTAGTTGAGATTACAGGCACCCACCACCATGTCCAGCTAATTTTTGGTATTTTTAGTAGAGATGGGGTTTCGACATGTTGGCCAGGCTGGTCTCGAACTCCTGACCTCAGATGATCCTCCTGCCTTGACCTCCCAAAGTGCTGGGATTACAGGCATGAGCCACCGCACCCGGCCTGGTGCCATTTGCTTTTGA
The DNA here is from genome assembly GCF_000001405.40 of Homo sapiens. NCBI lineage: Eukaryota > Metazoa > Chordata > Mammalia > Primates > Hominidae > Homo > Homo sapiens. Next base: position 4,787,091 of record NC_000007.14, read on the forward strand.
AGTGTCTTTTGCAGCCTCGCCTCGCTGTAAGGTCTTTTCAACTGAGGTGGGGAATCCTCTTTCTGGAGAAAAACCAGGACAGTGGAAAATTATTGACCTGTTGGTACGAAAGTAGATACAGGCTGGGGGCAGTGGCTCACACCTGTAATCCCAGCACCTCGGGAGGCCAAGGCAGGAGGATCTTGAGGCCAGGAGTTCAAGACCAGCCTGGGCAACACAGGGAGACCTCTTGTCTACAAAAAGTAAACAGCCTCACATGGTGGTGTGTGCCTGTAGTCTCAGCTGCTCAGGAGGCTGAGGTGGGAGGATCACTTGAGCCTGGGAGGTTGAGGTTGCAGTGAGCTATGATTGCACCACTGCACTCCAGCCTGGGCGACAGAGCAAGACCCTGTCTCAAAAAAATAAAAAGCGGGAGGAGGCAAAGGTAGAAGCCCTCCTGGGGACTGCAGGTCTGGGACAGCTGTGGGGCCCTAGCTGGCTCCTCCCTCTGCCGCCTGCTCCACAGCTCCGAGCCGTGTCCGAACCGCTGTGCTGTGCCCACAGTTCCTGGCCTGGAACAGCCCACCCCTCACCTCCGAGTTTGTGGCGCTCCTCCCGGCCCTGGTGGACGCTGGCACAGCCCTGGAGATGCTGCACGCGCTGCTGGACCTGCCCTGCTTGACGGCGGTGCTGGACCTGCAGCTCAGGTGGGCCCCTCACCCTCTGCCAGCGCTGCGTCTCCCAGCCAGCTGGTTCCACACACTGGGCCCCCTCCTCGCTGCTCCTGACCCCTACACCGGGGACCCTCCTTCTTCCCCCCCCAACACCTGACCAGTCCTCCCCTGCAAAGCCACCTCTAGGACAGGGTGTGTCTGTCACCCTTGGCCACTTGCCAAGGGCAGCCCCTGCACCCTGGAGTGCCTCACCCGTCTTCACGCCCAGGCCTGGAGCCTCCCATGCCAAGCCCTTCCTGGCACCCGAGGTGCTGTGATATTAGGGACACCTGCCGTGTGTCTCCCTGACGGGGGTGCCCTTGAGTGCAGGGGCCGCATCCCAGCCTGGCCTTGGGCGTCTGTCCACGCAGGTCAGCACCGGCTGCATCCGAGAGGCCACTCTGGGACACCTCTCTCAGGGCCCCCAGCTGCCTGGAGGCCTTCCGGGACCCGCAGTTCCAGGGTCTTTTCCAATACCTGCTGCGCCCCAAGGCCAGTGGCGCCACTGAGAGGTACGGGGCCCTAGGGCCAGGGGGCCACCAGTGGCTCAGAGAGCCCGGCCACAGCCACTGGGGTGGGGCTCACTGCTCAGCCCTAGGCTGAGGCCAGGGTGCTTTGTGTCCCACACAAGGCTGCGTCCCCGTCATCACCATTATAGAGGCCCTGCTTCTGCACCACGGGTCTGCCGGGGGCGGGGCCTGGTCTCAGCTCTCTCTGCTGCCCACATCAACCCTCATAAGCTTGGAGGTTGGCCCTGTGGGTGCTCCATTTTGCAGATGGACAAACCGAGCCTGAGCCCAGGAAGCAGGAGGCCTGGGACCGGCCACAGGCCTCCTGCCCTCAGCCCACGCCAGCCTTTGTCCCGATGGCTTTACTGTCCCGGGTGTGCTGACGCCAGGGGTCTCCCCAAACCCAGGGGAGCAGGAGGTCCCGAGAGGCGATGAGTGAGGATGGGAGCGGGCTCAGCTGTGCGAGAGGGAGCAGTGGCGACGTGGCCCCGGCCTGCAGTCACCAGGTCGGGGAGCGGGCAGCACTCACGGCCACACTGTGTCCTCAGGTTGGCGCCACTCCACCAGCTGCTGCAGCCCATGGCCGGCTGTGCCCGCGTGGCCCAGTGTGCCCAGGCCGTGCCCACGCTGCTGCAGGCATTCTTCTCAGCAGTGACCCAGGTGAGCTCGCTGCCTGGGGCCCCCCATTCCCACAGGCCTCACAACTGAGGGGCAGGCCAGAGCCAGCACTGGGGGGCCCTCTTGAGCTCTGCAGAAGGCTGCTCCCGCCACACCCACCATCCACGGTCCCTGTGAGGGTCAGGGAGGCACATGCCACAGCCCCGGCAGGCCCCGTCCCTTGTCCCATCCCCTTTATTCCAGCAGGCCCCGTTCCCCAGTCCCCGTCCCATCCCCTTCATCCCGGCAGGCCACGTCCCCCAATCCCCGTCCCATCCCCTTCATCCCGGCAGGTCCTGTCTCCCATCCCAGCAGGCTCCATCCAACTGCCCCAGCAGGCCCTGTCTTCCGTCCCCAGGACAGGGCAAGTGAGTGGCCTGGGCTCTGGCCACACAGCTGGGGCCGGAGCAGTTTGTCCCCCTGCTGCCCCTGATAATTCAGCATCCCCATCTGAGGCCAAAATAAAGGCTCCCACAGGCTGGTGCCCCCCATCTCCCCCATTGCTGCTTCCCACCTCGGGGAGCTCTACAAGCCAGTGCAGGAGAGCCTGGGAGGTGGGGAGGCCGGCAGGGGGCTGGGCGTTGCTTGGGCGCACCCTTGGCCAAACAAGACGTGTGCCTGGCCTTGCAGAGCGGGAGTTGGCAGAGGAGCCGTGGAACAGAAGCGACACCTCTGCCGGGGGCACTTGGGCCAGCCCAGGGCTTCCCTCCCTGTGCCCGGATGCTGCCAGCTGAGTCTCTGTGTCCCTGGGTGTTGGGGAAGGCAGTGGACGAGGAGTCTCCAGCCCCTCACCTGCCCCCCAGCCCTCACCATGGCTTCACCCCCAACCTTAGGGCCTGCAGTGGGGGTGGGGCTGAGCCTGTTTCCCACTCCTGACCCCCAGGTGGCTGACGGGTCCCTGATCAACCAGCTGGCGCTGCTGCTCCTGGGCAGGAGCGACTCGCTCTACCCGGCCCCAGGGTACGCTGCCGGTGTGCACAGGTAGGTCCCTCCTGCGCTCCTGCCACAGCCCTGGGCGGGTGCCTCCTGGACTCCTCCCCCTCTCCCCTCCCCCCTCCCCTTCAGTGGCTTCGGCACCACCCCTAGCTGGGCCCTCAGCAGCCTCAGACCCTGCCACCCCCACCCACAGCCCCACACCCAGCCCCAGGCACTTCTCTCTGCTTCTCAAGAACATTCCCGTCCTTCTTTCTGCCGAGCCTGTCCTCTTCAGGGTTAGCTCAGGTCCCTCTTCCCCGTCTTGTCCCCTGGGGTCCTTCTCTCCAAAGGCCTGATGCATGCAGGCCCATCCTGGTTCCACTCTGAGCCTGGGCCTGAGGCCAGCGCTGGTGCCAGCCTTCTCCCCAGTGAGAACAGTTTCTCTGAGGCTGGCAGTCTTCTGTGTTCCTCTATCGGAGGGTGCAGCATACACCTACCACTCAGACGCTTCCCGGGTTTCTCCAGGCCCTTGGCCTGGATGGGGATGGGGTCATAGGTCTGCACAGAGCAGGCGTAGACCCGGCTTTCTGGGCAGTGTGCTGAGTTCTCAGTTCCTGGCCCTGTGTACGCTGAAACCCTCCCTGGTGGTGGAGCTGGCAAGAGACCTGCTGGAGTTCCTGGGCAGCGTGAATGGTCTCTGCAGCAGGGCGAGCCTCGTCACCAGCGTGGTAAGGCGGGCGCTGGCCTCCCACAGCCGCTCCTGACCCAGGAGGCCTGGGTGGGGGCTGAATCTCTGTCCCCGGGCCTAGGTGTGGGCCATCGGCGAGTACCTGTCGGTGACCTACGATCGGAGGTGCACCGTGGAGCAGATCAACAAGTTCTTCGAAGCCCTGGAGGCTCTGCTATTCGAGGTCACCCAGTGCCGCCCCTCTGCTGCCCTGCCCAGGTGTCCCCCCCAGGTGGTCACCGTGCTGATGACCACGCTGACGAAGCTGGCCTCCCGGAGCCAAGATCTGATCCCCAGGTGCCTGGTCAGGGAGGGAGCGAAGCCTTCTGGCTCCTGGGGAAGAGAGGTGGCTTCTGAGGTCTTCCCATCCAGGTGTTGTGAAATGGTCGCAGCAGCGCAGGTCCTGGGTGGGCCCTGCTGAGCTAAAGCCACTCTGCTGGGCGCTTCAGGCCTGGCCCCTCCACACAGACCCCTGTCCTGGGAGGGGAGCATCTGCAGCTGACGGAGGGACCTTCTTTCCCCAGGGCCTCTTTATTGCTGTCAAAGATGAGGACCCTGGCTCACAGTCCAGCCACCAGCTCCACGCACAGCGAGGAGGGCGCGGAAGCCATCCGTACCCGGGCCACAGAGCTGCTGACCCTGCTGAAGATGCCTAGCGTGGCCCAGTTTGTGCTCACACCCAGCACGGAGGTGTGCAGCCCCCGCTATCACCGCGATGCCAACACGGCCCTGCCCCTGGCCCTGCGCACGGTCAGCCGGCTGGTGGAGAGGGAGGCCGGCCTCATGCCAGGGTGAAGGGACAGTGGCCAGGGACTTCGGTGCAGATTAAGAGCCTGGGCAGCCAGCTTGCTACTGAGGCCAGGCTGATAGGAGCTCAGGAGGGCGCGGGAGTCCTGGGAGAGGAGGCAAGGCCCACGGTGGGCTTGGCACCCTCACAGACACGCGGGGCTGGCCCCCCTGCTCACCCTCTGGGCTTTGTCTCCGAGCCTTTTGCTCCCAGGCAACACTGAGCTGAGCTGAGGGGTGCCATGGAGCGGCTCTGATTGGAGGCTTGAGGCCCTGTGGCTGGGTCGGGTGGAGGCTGCTGGGTCTGTTTCCTAGTCTTTTGTTTTTGGACAGTTGATGGGCAAGAAGAGCTGCAGTAAAAGTAAATCTCCTTTAATAAGCGTCTGTATGAAGAGTGCGCGATCAGTTCCGTTACCTGCCCTGCACCCTGGGGAGAGGACCAGGGATGGGAACCCCTGGCAGCTGCTGCCAGTCCTGGAGGCTCAGCCCGGCGTGCCACTGCTGCTACAGAAACCAGGTCATTTGTGCACAGCCCGGAAGGCAGCGGCGCGAGTTCCCGGGTGTGGTCACCGCTCTGGGTGGTGCGCTTGTCAATGCCCCTTTTGATGCCCTTGAATAGCCTGAAGATGAAGGGGACCGGGGGAGGGTTGCAAGCGCCATGGCCTATGCAGGCTGCGGCCTCTGGCCATTCGGAGGGAAGGCCCCAGGGAGCCACCTGAGTGGAGCTCAGAACACTGGATTCGCGCGAAGGGGAGGTGTCTGGGCGTGCGGCCCCAGCCCCGCCACCTTCCTGGGCCCTGTGGTCCCACCCTCCGGACTACCAAGGCACAGCTGTGTCGCACGTTCCGCCCGGTGCCTGGGACGGGCTCAGCCGCCAGGGGGCGCCGCCGCCCCGAGAGCCTCACGCCCCGCCCCCAGGCTCAAACTCTTCCCCCTCCCCACTCTGGCTCCGCCCCCGGTCTCCTCTTTTGCTCTGGCCCCGCCCACCTCCCCTCCGGCCTCGGCCCCGCCCCCAATCCCCCATAGCTCTGCGACTAAGAAACCACAGGCTGAAGGCGACTGCAGGGTCCTGCCCCTTGCCCAGCCTCAGGACTATGGAGGGGGCGAGTGACGCGCAAGGAACGGAGCAGGGGACACCGTGCGGGCTCAGGAGCTCCCCAGATGCCCGAGCCGAACCGCGGGGTCCTCACCGCCAGGTTCCAGCCCAGGAAGCGCTCGCCTGCCCCACAGCCTGGGCCTTGGGTCGCGTTCCGAGCTCCAGGACGGCTGGTGTCCCCCGCGGCCTGCGATGACAGCCCAGGGCCGCTGAGCCGGGGCCGCAGGAAAGGCTGGCGCTGGCAGGCGCTTCCGTCGGCAGCACTGTGTTTGTGTTTCCACGTGGAAACAGCAGCGCACGTGTACAACTGTGCATACCAAGGCGTGCGTGCCAGTGCGCGGGTCTCGGGATCACTTCCCAGTGCGGTGCACGACCCCGCCTGCAGCAGTGGGTGTGGGGGCGCTGCTGGGCTCATCCCGAAGCTCAGAGAGCGTGGGGCTGCCCCTAGGCTCGGAATGAGTCTCCCACTGAGTCCGCAGCTCCCCTCCTGCCCTGGGGCGGGGCTTCCCTGACCTGAAGGCGTCGGGGGTGTCCTGGCTCCCAGCTCCCAGGCACTCGTGGGGCCACCGCCCAGGCCAGCTGGTGCTAAGTCCGCAGCCTGTGCAGCAGCGCCCGGCTTAGGACTGGGAGTGTGACTTGAAGGGCCGTCCCGCTCATCCAAGGGACAAGGAGGAGCTCATGGCCACAGGGCCTCGGAGGGCATGACCCCAGCCCAGGGAGGAGCAACCTTCAGGTGGCCTCCAGGAGGCAGCTGGGAAAAGGGCAAAGCTCACCAGCTCTCAACTTTTTTTTTAAATAAACTGAAATTTTAGAATAGTTTTTCAGATTTACAGAAAAGATGATAAACCTTAGAAACATTATATGCTAAGTGAAAGTGAGAAGTGACAGCCTGCTGGCAGTCCTCACAGCCCTCGCTCGCTCTTGGCGCCTCCTCTGCCTGGGCTCCCACTTTGGCAGCACTTGAGGAGCCCTTCAGCCCGCCACTGCACTGTGGGAGCCCCTTTCAGGGCTGGCCAAGGCCGGAGCCGGCTCCCTCAGCTTGCGGGGAGGTGTGGAGGGAGAGGCGCGGTGGGAACCAGGGCTGCACGCGGTGCTTGCGGGCCAGCGCGAGTTCCGGGTGGGCGTGGGCTCTGTGGGCCCCGCACTCGGAGCCGCCGGCTAGCCCCGCCAGCCTGGGCAGTGAGGGGCTTAGCACCTGGACCAGCAGCTGCTGTGCTCGATTTCTCACTGGGCCTTAGCTGCCTTCCTGCGGGGCAGGGCTGGGGACCTGCAGCCCGCCATGCCTGAGCCTCCCCCCTCCCCTCCGTGGGTTCCTGCGCAGTCCGAGCCTCCCCAACGAGTGTTGCCACCTGCTCAGGGCACCCAGTCCCATCGACCACCCAAGGGCTGAGGAGTGCCTTTGGAGCAGGGCACGGGACTGGCAGGCAGCTCTACCTGCAGCCCCTGTGCAGGATCCACTGGGTGAAAGCCAGCTGGGCTCCTGAGTCTGGTGGGGACTTGGAGAACCTTTATGTCTAGCTAAGGGATTGTAAATAAACCAATTGGCACTCTGTATCTAGCTCAAGGTTTGTAAACACACCAATCAGCACCTTGTGTCTAGCTCAGGGTTTGTGAATGCACCAATAGACACTCTGTATCTAGCTACTCTGGTGGGGACTTGGAAAACCTTTTTGTCAACACTCTGTATCTAGTTAATCTGGTGGGGACATGGAGAACCTTTGTGTCTAGCTCAGGGATTGTAAACGCACCAATCAGCACCCTGTCAAAACAGACCACTCGGCTCTACCAGTCAGCAGGATGTGGGTGGGGCCAGATGAGAATAAAAGCAGGCTGCCCGAGCCAGCAGTGACAACCCACTCGGGTCCCCTTCCACACCGGGATGCTTTGTTTGTTCGCTCTTTGCAATAAATCTTGCTGCTGCTCACTCTTTGGGTCCACACTGCCTTTATGAGCTATAACACTCATCGCAAAGATCTGCAGCTTCACTCCTAAAGCCAGCAAGACCACGAACCCACTGGGAGGAACGAACAACTCCAGACGCGCCGCCTTAAGAGCTGTAACACTCACCGCGAAGGTCTGCAGCTTCACTCCTGAGCCAGCGAGACCACGAACCCACCAAAAGGAAGAAACTCCGAACACATCCGAACATCATAAAGAACAAACTGCGGACACGCAGCCTTTAAGAACTGTAACACTCACCGCGAGGGTCCGCGACTTCATTCTTGAGGTCAGTGAGACCAAGAACCCACCAATTCCGGACACAAAAGAATCCAGACCCAAGGCCACATACTGCATGACTCAGGTCAGAGGCGTGGGAGCCACAGCAACCGCGTCTTAAATAGGGGCTGGGTAAAAACGAGGCTGAGACCTGCGGGGCTGCATTCCCAGGAGGACAGGCATTCTTAGTCACGGGATGAGACAGGAGGTCAGCACAAGGTACAGGTTCAAGATGCGGGTCCCAAAGACACTCCTGATAAAATAGGATGCTGTAGAGAAGCTGGCCAAAACCAAGACAGCAACGACAGTGATCTCTAGTCATCCTTGCTGCTCGTTAGTTGCTAATTATAATTCATTAGCATTCTAAAAGACACTCCCACCAGCGCAGTGACAGTTTCCAAATGCCACGGTAACGTCAGGAAGTTACCTATGTAGTCTAAAAAGGGGAAGGACCCTCAGTTCCAGGAAATCTTCATCCCTTTCCTAGAAAACTCATGAATAATCCGCCCCTTGTTTAGCATGTAATCAAGAAATAACTCTAAATATACTCACTAGCGCTCATGCTGCTGCTCTGCCTTTGGAGTGGCCATTTTTTTTTTTTTTTTTGAGACAGAGTCTTGCCCTGTTGCCCAGGCTGGAGTGCAATGATGCAATCTCGGCTCACTGCAACCTCCACCTCCTGGTTTCAAGCAATTCTCCGGCCTCAGCCTCCTGAGTAGCTGGGATTACAGGTGTGTGCCACCACCCCCAGCTAATTTTATTATTTATTTATTTTTTTTTTTTTTGAGACAGAGTCTTGCTCTGTTACCCAGGCTGGATGGAATACAATGGCACAATCTCAGCTCACTGCAACCTCCGCCTCCCAGGTTCAAGTGATTCTCCTGACTCAGCCTCCTGAGTAGCTGGGATTACAGGCGCTTGCTACCATTCCCAGCTAATTTTTCTATTTTTAGTAGAGACGGGGTTTCACCATGTTGGCCAGGATGGTCTCAAACTCCTGACCTCAGGTGGTCAGGCCTTGGCCTCCCACAGTGCTGGGATTACAGGCGTGAGCCAACGCGTCTGTCCCACCCAGTTAATTTTTGTATTTTTAGTAGAGATGGGGTTTCACCATGTTGGTCAGGCTGGTCTCGAACTCCTGAGCTCAGGTGATCCACCCACCTCAGTCTCCCAATATGCTTGAATTATAGGCATGAGCCGCTGCGCCTGTTTCTTTTCTTTCTTTTTTTTTTTTTTGAGGCAGAGTCTTGCTCTATTGCCCAGGCTGGAGTGCAATGGCGCGATCTCGGCTCACTGCAAGCTCCGCCTCCCAGGTTCACACCATTCTGCCTCAGCCTCCCAAGTAGCTGGGACTACAGGTGCCCACCACCACGCCCGGCTAATTTTTTGCATTTTTAGTAGAGACGGGGTTTCACCGTGTTAGCCAGGATGGTCTCGATCTCCTGACCTCGTGATCTGCCCGCCTCGGCCTCCCAAAGTGCTGGGATTACAGGCGTGAGCCACCGTGCCCGGCCTGTTTCTTTACTTTCTTAATAAACTTGCTTTCACTTTATGGACTTGCCCTGAATTTTCCCTTGCTCGAGGTTCAAGAACCTTCTCTTGGGGTCTGGATCAGGACCCCTTTCTGATAACACTTACATGAAATATCCACAAGAGGTGTAGACAGAGGCAGAAAGTGGGTTTGTGGTTGCCAGGGCCTAGGGGCAGAAGGGAATGGGGAGAGCCTGCTTAGTGGCCGTGTTTTCCCCGTTGGAGGTGACCAAACTAGACAGTGGTGATGGTTGCATAACACTGTGAACGTGCTGCTTGCCATTGAATTATACACTTTAAATAGCTAACTCTATGTGAATTCCACTTTAACTTAAAAAGTGGTGACAACTGAATATGTACAAAGCGTAACTGCTATATTAATAGTAACAAGTCAACGTCGGTTTTCAGGTTTTGCAGTGGGAGAAGCTGGTGGAGGTACACGGGACTCTGCTATTTTTGCAGCTTCCTTTGGATCTATAATTATGTCAAAATAAAATGCTTTTAAAACACAAAAACAGGCCGGGCACGGTGGCTCACGCCTGTCATCCCAGCACTCTGGGAGGCCGAGGCAGGCAGATCACCTGAGGTCAGGAGTTTTGAGACCAGCCTGGCCAACATGGTGAAACCTGGTCTCTACTAAAAATACAAAAATCAGCTGCGTGTGCTGACAGGTGCCTGTAATCCCAGTCAGGAGACTGAGGCAGGAGAATCACTTGAACCTGGGAGGCGGAGGTTGCAGTGAGCCGTATTGCACCATTGCACTTCAGCCTGAGTGACCAGAGTGAAACTCCATCAACAAAACAACCAAAAAACAAAACACCCATAAGAAGTGTTACCTTTCACAGTGTTGTAGATTGTCTGGGGCCTGGCTGGGAAGTCGTTCTGCTCCACGTGGTGTCCCCGGGATCACTGGTGGGACTGCATTCGCCTGGAAGCTCAGCAAGACCAGAACAGCCAGTGGCAGCCCTCACCAGTCCCGCACCTCAGCTAGGTGCTTCAGCGGCCAGAGGCTAGCTGGGCCTCCCCGACTCCACGGGGCCTCCCTTCCTTGGGGTGATGCCAAGAGCTTCTTTCCATGGATGCTGAGTTCCAGGAGCATGAAAATAGAAACCAAAGGCCCTTCAGTCTGGCTTGGAAGGTCCCAGAATATCACTTATGCTGCATCCTGTTGTTCGGAGCAAGTCAGAAGGCCGGAGAATATTGCAGGGAAGAAGAGATAAGCCCCCTTCTCTTTGTGGGAGGAACTGTTGGTGGCCACCTTTGGAAATGCCTTGCCACTGTCTTTCCTCTGGCCACAGTCCACACCCCTCCCACATAAAAAATATACTCAACCCCCTTCCACCGTTAAGGCATCAAATCAGAGTCCAGGATCCTGGGATCTGCACCAGGTCCAGAAATGCAGACCGTCCAGAGCTGTGAGACATTCTCGGCAGTGCTAACACACACGTTGTGGGACTCCTAGGAAAAGAAACAGAACAAGGCCAGGCATGGTAATCCCACGCCTGTAATCCCAGCACTTTGGGAGGGCAAGGCGGGCAGATCACTTGATGTCAGTTTGAAATCAGCCTGGCCAACGTGGTGAAACCCTGTCTCTACTAAAAGTACTAAATTAGCCAAGCGTGGTGGCAGGCGCCTGTAATCCCAGCTACTCAGGAGACTGAGGAGAATTGCTTGAACCTGGGAGGTGGAGGTTGCAGTGAGCTGAGATTGCACCACTGCACTCCAGCCTGGGTCACAGAGCGAGACTCCGTCTCATAAAAAAAAATTAAATATTTATATTTTATATAATAAAATATAAAAAATGTTTATAAAATATACGAATATATTACGTATACATGAATATGTAATATATTCATATATAATTATATATTTATATATATTCATATATTTTACATATCTTAAATATATATACAAACACTATATATATATATATATTTTATCCAGTATTTTGGGAACCTGGCAGTGGTCGCCGTTTCGAGCCAGGCGCAATGCGGAGCCGCACACAGAACTGCGGGTCGGCAGAGGGCGCGGGGCGGACGCGCTGCACCTCGCCGTAGCGCACACCAGGGGGCAGCGTGGAGCTGCACGAGGCCCAGGGCCTGGGACAGACCCAGGACACCGATCTGGGGACCCCGCACAGACCTCTGTCCCAGTGAGAGGTGCATCTGCAACTGATGCCGGGACCCTCTTCCCCAGGGTTTCTCTGTTGCTATCAAAGATGACCCTGGGCCACCAGTTCCACCACAGCCAGGAGGGCGCGGAAGCCACCCACACCCAGTTGGTGGAGCTGCTGAGGATGCCCAGCGACCCACGCTGTCACCCCGAGGCAGCAAGTGCCCTGCCCTGGTCCTGCGCATGGTCAGCCAGCTGGTGGAGAGGGACGCTGGCCTCCTGCCCGGGTTAGGGCCGGTGGCCAGGGGGACGCTGGTGAGGATTAAGGGCCTGGGGCCGCCAGCCTGGTATCAGGGCCACGCTGGTGGCTTTAGTAGGGGAGAGGAACTCAGGAGGGAGCAGGAGTCCTGGGAGAGGAAGCAGGGCCCAGGGTGGGCTCGGCGCCTCAGAGACCATCAGGCCGGTCCACTTTCCAACGCCTGGGTGTCTAGACCTTTCTCTGGGGCCTGTGCTGAGCAGCGGGATCAGAAGTCCAGCATCCTCTGCCAGGTCTGGCCCTGCTTCAGCTGGGAGGGGCTGTTGGAGCTGCTTCCTGCAGTGCCCTGTGTCTGGGTGGGACGGGGGCAGGGAGAGTCAGTTCAGATGATCCCCTGATGACAGCTGTCACTGCATTCTCCCGTGCCGGTGGCAGGCAGAGGCCATGGGGAGCCCCTGCGGCCCCTCCGAGCAGCCCACGCCTGCTGCCCGAGTTGAGACCCCAGCAGGGCACCCTCTAAGAACGGGAAAAATAGTTTATTGAACCGTACTTCTCCATTGAAGTCTTTAAACATAAAAGCTCTGTAACAAACATCACAATTTCACGTCATCTGCCATATAAATAGAACCTACACTGAGATGCATGTTATCAACAGGCATGTCCCCAGGGTGAGGCTCCCCACCCGGGACCCAACTTGGTCAGTTACAAAACAGGGACGAAGGCGGGAGGAAGCCCAGTGTCACCAGGTGGGACCGGGTGCCGGGCCTGTGGGGGTGTCCTCGCAGCCCCCCTAGAGAGGGGGCGTGCGGAAATGGATCTTCTTGGCTGTTTCCACGTCGGACTTCGCGACCAGGAACCGCATCTTCTTCCCGCCATGACGGATCAGGTCCACAGCTCTGAAATCCATGCCAGAGGTGGGGGTGGGCAGGAGGGCACCAGGGGAGACCCACAGGGTGCAGCCGGGCCTCTCCTTTACCCCAGGTCCACTCCCCTGAGCAGGGCATCTGGGAGAAGGGGCCGGGCGTGCATGCGGTGGGGGTACCTCAGGTAGCCAAGGCCCAGGAGGCTGCTGCCATTCACCTCCAGGATACGGTCCCCCAGCGACAGGCGCCCGTCGGCCGCTGCGGGGCTGCCCGGGAGCAGGGTCTGGATGTAGAGCCCGGGGGCGCCCAGGTGCGTGTGCTGGGGACAAGCAGAGGCCTCAGAGCTCCGCAGGCCCGACTGGCTGTCCCCAGCGAGGACCACTGCAGCCCCTCCCTTGGCACCTACAGGCCCCCGCCTGGCATCCAGCCAGGCCCACTCATGGTTTCACGCGTCCCTCCAGAAAAGCAGTGGACACCACCGTCCCCACAGGCCCAGGACAGACCCCAAAGGCTTGAGGACAGAGGCAAGAGACAGCAGGCCCAGGGGGCGTGGCCGTTGGACAGGCTGGGTTCCCCTCCCAGCTGCAGAGGCCAACCCCACTCTCCTCCCCGAAGGCCTTCCTGTAGCCACGTGGCCACGCAAGCTGCGGCCAGGCTTGCATGAACAGGCGGGGCCAGGCAGCCAGTATGGGGGTGCGGCGAGGGTCCTGGGCCACTCACCATCCCGTCGATCAGGCCCATCCCCAGCCCGGAGGGGCCTCGTTCCAGCTCCACCGTGAAGACGTAGCAGAAGTCCTCGGTGCTGGAGCTGCGGCTGGACGGGGCTGGAGGGGACTCCTCCGCAAGGGCTGCAGAGTCTCCTGGGTGGGGGCCAGGAAAGGTGGGTGGGAGTGAGGCGCCAGGAATCACGACGAGGAATGGGATGTCCTGGCCTGGCTGCCTCTGTAGGGCGTCAGGGATGGGATGGCCTCCTGTGGCTCCCAGGAGACGCTGTTCAGGCAGAATGTGACCGGCAACCCAGACATTAGGGTCGGGGTCCGCCCATGGGCGACACCCCCATGTTCCCTGAGGGAGCACCTCAGTCCCCGCCCCTGGCAGTCCCAGGACACTCGCCCCTCTGGGGGCGGCTGTTTTCCAGCTCCAGGGACCCACGCGGTTCTGTGCCACCTCCTCAGCAATCTCTGCTCCTCCTCCTCCTCCCTCCACACCCAGATGTGGCCATGTGCACCCTGAGGGTTCCCACCGCTGACCAGACCGGGGCCCCAGGCCCTAGCCCAGCCCAGCCCAAGCACCTGCCCTGAGGGCCACCAGCTGGTGCCCTCTCCATAATGGTGATCCTGCCGTGGGTGCACTTAGGTCAGAGATGAGCTGTGCACCTGAGCAAGTGGCCTGCCTGGGACCCAGCTTGGCCAGGTGGCCCCAAGCCACAGGGGACACTCTGACTCTGCACACGCACCCAGGACACTTCGCTCCTGCAAGGCACACCCAAGCCCCTCACAGGAGGCCAGGGCCGGCTGGGGCTGCCTCACCCTCAATGCCCTCCCCAGCCTAGGCCAGCTGCGCACACACACTCATGCACACATATACTCACAGCCATGCACACATGTGCAAGCATGCCCATGCACACGTGCACTTACACCCATGCACAGATGCACACACAATGCACACCATGCAGACACACCCATGCAGAGATGCACACACAATGCACACCATGCAGACACACCCATGCAGATGCACACACCCATGCACACACGCACCAGCACACCCATGCACCTGTGAGCACACATATCCACACGCACAAGCACACAGGCACACACAGGCCCTGCCCTGGAGGACTCCAGCTCCACCTTCTCCCTGAAGACCCCTGGGTTCCCCCTCAGCACATCCTCTCCACTGGCTCAGCCATCCCTTCCTCTGCCCAGTGCAGGAGTGACTCTGAGCCACTTTCTAGACTCTCTCCCTCCCAGATCACAGTGAGTATCTGCCCAAGACGTGTCAGCGACTGAGCGACCGTGTGGCCCAGCTGCTGGGGGCTGAGCAGCCCTGAGCCCTCTCCATCTGGCCCCGTCTCAGGTTGCAGGTGTCTGTGGGGCAGGTAAGGAAACCTAGGACCCAAGGGGGGAACGATCCCAGGGGACCGGCCATCAGGGTGCTGTGCGGGGTCTGGGGTGGGTTCCCGCCTGAGCACCAGGCAGGGCTCACCTTCCGGAGCTGCACCCCGGAGGCCGCTGAGTCCGTTCCTCTGCCTCTCTGGGAGCGCTTTTCCACAGGGGCCGCCGGACTCTGGCCAGTCGGGGTCCCCAGGCTCAGGGCCAAGTGGAGTGCTGGGAGGCGTGAGCAAGCAGGACGAGTCCGTGTGCGGGGGGCCAGCCTGGGAGCCCCCACGGCTGGGTTGCCTTCCAGGGGGGGCCTGTGCCCAGGGAGCCCCCCTCAAGGGAAGAGTACGCTCCGGGGCCACTTCCCGGGCTGCTGGGCCAGGGTCCCTGGGAGCCAGGGGGCAGCTCGGGGCCTCCAGGTGCCCGTCAAGGACCACGTGGTGCATACCCTAGGGAGAGGAAGGGTGACAGCTCAGGTAGAGGAGTGGCCAGGTGGACACAGCACTCGGGCAACTGGGCAGCCTGCAGCAGAAGGGCCGCCAGGCCGCGGGGCAGAGGTCAGCAAAGGACTCCCGCAGCCTGTGCAGCTTGAGACGCGCAAGAGGCAAAGGGGCTTCCCCGCCATCCGGAGCACAGCCTGCGCTGGGCCAGGACTCCCGGGGTTCCCAGAGCTCCCGCCTGCTGCCCCCAGCCCAGCTTCCAACCCTTCTCCTGTCCTCCCGGGCACCTCGGGGCACGCTGGCTGGGGGGCCCCCTCCCCAGGTACCTCGGGGCATGCTGGCTGGGCCCCCTCCCCGGGTACCTCGGGGCACGCTGGCTGGGGGGCCCCCTCCCCGGGTACCTCGGGGCACGCTGGCTGGGCCCCCTCCCCGGGCACCTCGGGGCACGCTGGCTGGGCCCCCTCCCCGGGCACCTCGGGGCACGCTGGCTGGGGGGCCCCCTCCCCAGGTACCTCGGGGCATGCTGGATGGACCCCCTCTCTGGGCACCTCAGGGAATGCTGGCTGGACCCCCTCCCCGGGCACCTCGGGGCACTCTAGCTGGGGGGCCCCCTCCCCGGGTACCTCGGGGCATGCTGGCTGGACCCCCTCCCCGGGCACCTCGGGGCACTCTGGCTGGGGGGCCCCCTCCCCGGGTACCTCGGGGCACGCTGGCTGGGTCCCCTCCCCAGGCACCTCGGGGCACGCTGGCTGGGCCCCCTCCCCGGGCACCTCGGGGCACGCTGGCTGGGGGGCCCCCTCCCCAGACACCTCGGGTCATGCTGGCTGGACCCCCTCCCCGGGCACCTCGGGGAATGCTGGCTGGACCCCCTCCCCGGGCACCTCGGGGCACTCTGGCTGGGGGGCCCCCTCCCCGGGCACCTCGGGGAATGCTGGCTGGGTCCCCTCCCCGGGCACCTCGGGGCACGCTGGCTGGGGGGCCCCCTCCCCGGGTACCTCGGGGCACTCTGGCTGGGCCCCCTCCCCGGGCACCTCAGGGCACGCTGGCTGGGGGGCCCCCTCCCCGGGTACCTCGGGGCACGCTGGCTGGGTCCCCTCCCCGGGCACCTCGGGGCACGCTGGCTGGGGGGCCCCCTCCCCGGGTACCTCGGGGCACTCTGGCTGGGTCCCCTCCCCGGGCACCTCGGGGCACGCTGGCTGGGGGGCCCCCTCCCCGGGTACCTCGGGGCACACTGGCTGGGCCCCCTCCCCGGGCACCTCAGGGCACGCTGGCTGGGGGGCCCCCTCCCCGGGCACCTCGGGGCACGCTGGCTGGGTGGCCCCCTCCCCGGGCACCTCAGGGCACGCTGGCTGGGTCCCCTCCCCGGGCACCTCGGGGCACGCTGGCTGGGTGGCCCCCTCCCCGGGCACCTCGGGGCACACTGGCTGGGCCCCCTCCCCGGGCACCTCGGGGCACGCTGGCTGGGTGGCCCCCTCCCCGGGCACCTCGGGGCACGCTGGCTGGGTCCCCTCCCCGGGCACCTCGGGGCACGCTGGCTGGGGGGCCCCCTCCCCGGGTACCTCGGGGCACACTGGCTGGGAGGCCCCACTGCCAGGCCTGCCAGGGCTGCCGGGGCTGGCTCTGCTCCGCAGACCCCACAGAAAGTGGCGGACGTAGAGCAGGTGCTGGTAGATGCTGTCGTCCAGGCAGTTGGCTTCCAAGTCCACCTGGAAGCCGTCGCTGGGCAGGACGATGGGTGGGGGGTTTTCGTAGGACTCCAGAACATCCTCTGCAGGGGAGAGAGGATGCCCGTAATGGCCACAGGAGAAGCTGCCTCCCTCGCCAGGCCGCCCCGCCCAACGGTGTGGGAACCCAGGGGCCAGCAGATTGAGCCCTGAGTCCCCTGCCCTGTGGACACAGGAGGCTGGGATCCTGGCCACAGTGACTGGCCCCACCCTAGGACTCATCCCTTCTGAATTCCCGCCGACCACCCGGTGTGACATCCGAGCAGTTCAGGACTGAGAACAAGGCCTTGTAGCCAGGAACCCTCCAGCCCCACTGAGCCGCTCTGCACTGGGCCTGTCTCTGCCCCACTGGTCTCTGATGGTGTCTCCGGGTAACTGGAGCTCCCCCAGCCCGGCAGAGCTGGACGCAAGCTCCTCCCAGGGCTGGAGCCGACTGCCTCCCTGCAGGAATCACGGGACCCAAACGGCCTGTGTGCGGGCTGCTCTCTGCCCCCAGGAACAGGAGCACCTTTCAGGCGGCGGAAGAGTGCGTGCATACTGAGCTCCTAGCTCCCAGCACAGAATTCAGGCCACAGAAATGAATCAATGCGGAGGAAGGACTTAGAAGGTGTCAGGTGGAGCCAGGGTTCCTGTTCAGAGATGTTCTCCACGGTGACCCGGGGCTGCGGGGGGGCATCCAAGGCCCCATCGCCTCTGCGCCTCCCGCCATCCCGTACTCTGTTTTGTTGAGGTGTTAACACATAATGCAGATGAAGGGAGATGTGTGTATAATCTACACATTATAATGCACCCCTGGCCGGGGGTGGCGGCTCACGCCTGTAATCCCAGCACTTTGGGAGGCAGGAGCAGGCAGATCGCCTGAGGTCAGGAATTCGAGAGCAGCCTGGCCAACATGGTGAAACCCCGTCTCTACCAAAAATACAAAAATTAGCCAGGCATGGTGGCACACACCTGTAATCCCAGCTACTTGGGAGACTGAGGCAGGAGAATCGCTTGAACCCAGGAGGTGGAGGTTCCAGTGAGCCAAGATCGAGCCACTGCACTCCAGCCTGGTGACAGAGTGAGACTCTGTCTCAGTCAATCAATCAATAAAAGGCACCCTCGGCCAGGCACGGTGGCTCATGTCTGTAATCCCAGCACTTTGGGAGGCTGAGGTGGGCGAATCACCTAGGTCAGGAGTTCGAGACCAGCCTGGCTAAGATGGTGAAACCCGTCTCTACTAAAGATTCAAAAATTAGTTGGGCGTGGTGGCGGACACCTGTAATCCCAGCTACTAGGGAGGCTGAGGTAGGAGAATCGCTTGAACCTGGGAGGTGGAGGTTGCAGTGAGCTGAGATTGCACCACTGCACTCCAGCCTGGATGACAGAGCAAGACTCTTGTCTCAAAAATAAAAATAAAATAAAACGCACCCCTATGTATGCACGTACACATGTATGCGCACACAGACCCCTCCGTATGGACATGTGTGTGTGCGTGTGCACATACATGGCTCAGGGATGCGTCCCCACGGCTGTGTACCACCATTGCTCCCTTCCTGGGTAGCCATACAACAGGGGAGGCCCCATCCTCCGGCTCCGTGAGGGAACGAGGGGGCCTTGGACCTGAGCCTGGAGTTTGGAACTTGGGCATGGACTCTCGGCTCCTTGACTCCCCCGCCGAGGAGGTCCCCGGATCCCCAGGTTGGGGATGGGGCGGGGCGGGGGGGTCCTCTGGGTGGAGGCTCCTCCAGGGAGGTCCCCAGGAGAGAGGTCCCCCACACCCCACTTCAGTTGGGATGAGAGCATGCTGCCTCCAGCCTCGGGGCGAGTCTCCCACTGAGTCCCCAGCCCTCTCCTGCCCTGGGGCAGGGCTTACCTGACCTGAAGGCCTCGGGGCTGTCCTGGGCCCCTGGCTCCCAGGTGCTCATGGGGCCCATGGCCGAGGCCAGCTGGTAGTGAGTCAGCAGCCGGTGCAGCTGTGCTGGGCTCAGTGCGGGGAACGCAGCCCGCAGGGCTGTCCAGCTCATCTGGGTGACAAGAAGGAGCTCATGGTCACAGGTCTCTGGGTGCAGACCCCAGCCCAAAGAGGGATGGCCTCCACAGGTGGCCTGGGGGTAGCCAGCTGAGGGGCCCTGTGGTCCTCACTCCCACCAGGGGCCATCTGTGAGGGGGACGGTGTCACAGCAGCAGTTCACCCCTGGCACTTCCAAGGGCAGCTGCTCCAGGGAGAGGCCGGCCAGTGCCATCGGGAACCCCCTGCCCAGGGAACCCACCCCCGTCTCAAGCAAGGGCCGGCCTCACAGGCGGCCGCCAACCAGAGAAACCACTACTGGGAAATGAACAGTGAAATCAGATTCCTGCCTCCAACGGTGTGAAAGAAATCAATCAAGTCGGCTAAAAACCTGCCTGGAAGGCAGGGACATTCATCATTTAGGTGACAGGAGGCAGGGAAAACATTTGTTTGTTTGCTTGTTTTTTGAGACAGAGTCTCATGCTGTCACGCAGGTTGGGGTGCAGTGGCTCAATCACAGCTCACCGCAGCCTCGACCTCCCAGGATCAAGCGATCCTCCCACCTCAGCCTCCTGAGTAGCTGGGACCACAGGCTTGCACCATTATGTCCAGCTCATTAGTTTTTTGTTTTTGTTTTTTTTTGTAGAGATGGAGTTCTCACTATGTTGGTCTCAAACTCCTGGTCTCAAACTCCACGGCTGGTCTCAAATTCCTGGCCTCAAGCAATCCTCCCGCCTCAGCCTCCCAAAGTGTTGGGATTGCAGGTATGAGCCACTGGCTCCGGCCCAGGAAAACGTTTTAGGCAAGACAAAAAGCCTACACCGTAAGGAAGGGTGGATCCCTCCAATAAAATTAAACAGCCTCTGCGGCCCGCCAGGACCTCCATCATCATCCTTCTGGGGTTCCTTTCCCCGGCTCCCAGCCGGTTCTTATTTTCTGCAATTCATTTCTTCAGCTCTCTGGTTTGTCCTGTTTCTATGGAATAGATCTTCTAGTAGCTTCCCAAAAGGGGCGCATTGCAGGAAACCCACTGCCCTGCGTGCTGGAACTGTCTTCACCTCCACCCTGGACTGGTCATCTGGCTGGCACAGAACTCCAGGCGGGAGGGCGTCACCCTTCGGATTCTGCAGGTGCTGTTTTGTCCTGTGACTCCCGTGCTGCTCGTCCAAAGCAACCTGAGTGCAAATCTTCAGGGTCTGCCTTGTACTGATTCTTGTCTGGAAGCCTGTGGGTTCTCTGCACCCATCGTCCTGCAGCCCTGGGATGCTGAGTTTTGCTGTAAGCCCACTCTTGGCAGCAGCTCCTCCACCTCAATGCGTGGCTCTGGAGACTGCCTGCACCTGCCTTCCCCGCGCCCTCCACCCCTCTGCTGGCTCTTTCTGGACTCCCACTGTTTGGATGTGGCCTCGCTGCTGGGTCCCCTCTGTTCTCACCTTTGCCTCCTCGCTCTGTTTCTCTCCCATGTGTTTTTCTGCCCATATCCAGGGGCCTGGGCTGTGGCTACCAGATGTCCACGCTGAAGGATAATCGGTGTCTCGGGCGTCGTGCAGGAGGGGTGAGGGCACAGAACGACGTCCTCCAACACCACCGGCCCCCACCACCCTCACCCCTTACACACCCTTCAAGAAAGCCTCTGGTTTGCCCGGGGGTGGTTCTGTTTGATTGTGAGTTCCTAGAACCTTCTCTACTCTCACTTCTGTGCTTGGTCCGGGACCAGAGGTCGGGGCCAAGAGATCAGCTTCAAGGGAACAGAACTCTCCTCCTTCTTCCCTCTCCTTCTCCCCCTCCCTCTGTCTGTCTCCTCTCCCTCCTCCCTCTCCGTCTCCCCTCCCTCCTCTCTCCCTCTGTCTCCCCTCCCTCCTCCCTCTCCTTCTCTCTCTCCCTGTCTCCCCTCCCTCCTCCCTCTCCTTCT
Organism: Homo sapiens; assembly: GCF_000001405.40. Taxonomy (NCBI): domain Eukaryota; kingdom Metazoa; phylum Chordata; class Mammalia; order Primates; family Hominidae; genus Homo; species Homo sapiens. The sequence goes on from NC_000007.14 coordinate 4,807,613, forward strand.
CTCTCCCCCCGTCTCCCCTCCCTCCTCCCGCTCCTTCTCTCTCTCTGTCTCCCCTCCCTCCTCCCTCTCCTTCTCTCCATCTCTCTCCCCTCCCTCCTCCCTCTCCTTCTCCCCCTCCGTCTCTCTGCCCTCCCTCCTCCCTTTCTCCCCCTCCGTCTCTCTCCCCTTCCTCCTCCGTCTCCTCTCCCTCCCTCTCTCCTCCTTCCTACCCCTCTTCTTCTCTCTCCCTCTCTCTCTCCCCTCCCTGCCTCTCTCTCCCCCCCATCTCTCTCCCCTCCCTCTTCCCTCTTCTTCTCCCTGTCCCTCCCTCTCTCCACTTCCTCCTCCCTCTCCTCTCCCTCCCTGTCTCTCTCCTCTCCCTCCTCCCTCTCTCCCTGTCTCTCTCCCCTCCCTCCTCCCTCTCCTCTCCCTCCATCTTTCTCCGCTCCTTCCTCCCTCTCCTTCTCTCCCTCCCTCCCTCTGTCTCTCTCCCCTCCCTCCTCCTTCTTCCTCTCTTCCTTCTCCTCCTCTCCTTCCCCTCTTCCTCTCTCCCCCGTCCTTCTCTCTCTCCCCTCTCTCCCTGTATCTTCTTCTGCCTTCTTACTCTCCTCCCTACCCTGGCATCCCTCCGCCCCCTCTCTCTCCCCGCTCCTCACCCTCCTCTCTGGAGGGCTTTTCTCCCAGGCTCTGCACAGCTTTTTATTTCTGCTTCCACAGTTTTATTTTCCAAGACCGCTCTTGTTCTCTCATGGATACAATCTTATTATTATTTTATGGATACTATATCTTCTCTTATTTTTATGAAGCTATAAGTGACTCTTTCACTAAGCTTCTCCTTGAATTGTCTGTTTCAGGGGTCATCAAACTAGGGCCAGCGAGGCCTATTTTTATAGGGCCCCCAAGCTAGAAATGGTTTTCACGTTTTTAAAGGGTTTGAGAAAAACAAAACAAAGAAGGAGATGGGACATAGACAAAAGCGGCCGCAAAGCCCGAAGTCCTCACAGCTTGGCCCTTTACAAGAAGCAGCCCCGCGGCCCTGGTCTCTCCTTCCAACGCCACTGCCCCTCCGCGTCCCCTTCCGACGCCACTGCCCCCGTTCCAACGCCACTGCCCCTCCGTTTCTCCTTCCAACGCCACTGCCCCTCCGCGTCTCCTTCCAACGCCACTGCCCCCCGTTCCGACGCCACTGCCCTCCATTCCAACACCACTGCCCCTCCGTGTCTCCTTCCGACGCCACTGCCCCTCCGCGTCTCCTTCCAACGCCACTGCCCCTCCGCGTCTCCTTCCAACGCCACTGCCCCCCGTTCCGACGCCACTGCCCCCCCACGTCTCCTTCCAACGCCACTGCCCCTCCACGTCTCCTTCCGACGCCACTGCCCCCGTTCCAACGCCACTGCCCCCCCGCGTCCCCTTCCGACGCCACTGCCCCCCCTTGTCCCCTTCCGACGCCACTGCCCCCCCGTTCCAATGCCACTGCCCCTCCGCGTCTCCTGTAGACGCTCTGCTCAGGATGCGGGGCGCAGGACAGGCGCTTCCTGGCCTCAGCGTGGGGTGGCCCGGCCGCTTCTGGAAGACCCCTGGCGCTGTCCCCCGCCTCCCCGGGCTGTCACTGCCGACTCGGGCCTGCCCATCTCCCGCAGGGGCGCTCGGGCCTGGCCGCCAAGCTGGGCGAGAGGCCGGGGCCCCCCTTCCATCACGAGGTTCCTGCCCTCGGCTCGGCCTAGTTTCCCTAGCCAGGAGAAGTCCTGTTTTCAACGTTCTAGAAATATCCCCGCCCGGCTGAGCGGGGGGAGGCGGAGATCCTGAGTGTCGCTGCTGCCTCCTTTCCGTGCACACAGGAAACCACACATCTGACACGCACAAGCCAACGAATTTCCCCCGAGGAACACGCTTGTGTGTCCAGCCCCCAAAACAAGAACAAGAACGTGGGCGGCGGCTGCTCGGGAGCCCCCAGGCCCGCCCAGGCACCACGGCAGGTCCCGCCCCACTTCCAGCCCTGCAGACACGCTCCTTGAACTCGACTCCTTCAGCTCAACCTGCCCTTTCAGGAGTATTTTACATCTTATTTTATTTATTTATTTATTTTATTTTATTTAATTGATTTATTTAGAGACGGGGTTTCGCTCTGTCGCCCAGGCCGGAGTGCAGTGGCGTGATCTCGGCTCACTGCAACCTCCATCTCCCGAGTTCAAGTGATTCATACGTCTCAGCCTCCCGAGTAGCTGGCTAATTTTTGTATTTTTACACCACGCCTGGCTAATTTTTGTATTTTTTTAATAGAGACAGCGTCTTGCTCTGTCACCCAGGCTGGAGTGTGGTGGTGTGATCTCGGCTCACTGCCAGCTCCATCTCCCGGGTTCCAGTGATTCATGTGTCTCAGCCTCCTGAATAGCTGCCTAATTTTTGTATATTTACGCCATGCCTGGCTAGTTTTTCTATTTTTAGTAGAGATGAGGTTTCAGTGGTGGCCAGGCTGGTCTCGAACTCCTGACCTCAGGTGATCCACCCACCTCGGCCTCCCAAAGTGCTGGGATTACAGGCGTCAGCCACCATGCCCGGCCTTATTTATTTTCTTTTATTATTTAATTTTATGACAGGGTCTTACTCTGTCACCCAGGCTGGAGTGCAGTGGCACGATCACAGCTCACTGCAAACCCCCTGTGCTTAAGCAATTCTCCTGCCTCAGCCTCCCCAGGTAGTTGGGAATACACATCACCATGCCTGGCTAATTTAAAAAAAAATTTATGTTTGGAAAGATGATGTGGGGTGGTCTTACTGTGTTACCCAGGCTGGTCTGGAAGTCCTGGGCTCAAGTGATCCTCCTGCCTCGGCCTCCCAAAGTGCCCAGCCGACGGTTCAGGTGTGTCCGTGTCTCCCAGGAACGAGTTTGCTCAGTCACGTTGCTCTGCCGTATTTCACTGTACTGAAGAGACTGCTTTATTCATCCCTCATGTTGTTGATAAATAGAATATGGGTTTTTCCCAGTCTGGGGCGGTTACGAGTGGCGCCACTGGAAGCATCCCTAAGCGGGCCGTGGCGAGGGACCCACGGAAGCATCTCCGTCGGGGAAATTGCTCAATCGGAGCACATGCACTCGGTCAGCTTCAGCTGACGCTGCCAGACGGCTTTCCAAAGTGGCGAGCCTCATTTACAACGTCACCAGGAACACCTGAGGGTTCAAACCACTGCACCTGCTCACCAGGGCCTGGCTTTCTTCCTTTCAACCATTCTCATGTGTTCGGTGTTTAAAACGCTGAGATTAGGCCGGGCGTGGTGGCTCACACCTGTAATCCCAGCACTTTGGGAATCTGAGGTGGGCGGATCACCTGAGGTCAGGAGTTTGTCCACCAGCCTGGTCAACATGGTGAGACTCCATTTCTACTAAAAATACAAAAATTAGCTGGGTGTGGTGGCACATGCCTGTAACCCCAGCTACTCAAGAGGCCGAGGCAGGAGAATTGCTTGAACCCAGGAGGTGGAGGTTGCAGTGAGCTGAGATCACACCACTGCACTCCATCCAGCCTGGACGACAGAGTGAGACTCCGTCTCAAAAAACAAAAAAAAAAACTGTTGAGGTTTGTTTTTGCTTTTGTTTTTTAAGGCTAGTCAAGTGAAGCAATGCGAGTGGAGAAGAAACAACAAAATCTGTAACTGGTTGTGATGAATTAGTTCTAAACACCAATACACTCGGACCAGCCTGAAATGTGGAGAGTTTGGGCTGCGTTTCTCTGATGACGAATGAAGTTGTCCATCTTTCATGCGTAATTCTCTTTTCTTACAGCCCCTTTTCGAGTTTTGCTGTCAAGGTATTACTGGTGTTTTAAAGTGAGGTAGGGTTTCCTCTTTTTCTACTTTCTGGTAAGAATTTGGTACTGATGGTATTATTTCTTTTTTTTTTTTTTTTTTTTTTTTTTGAGATGGAGTCTCACTCTGTCACCCAGGCTGGAGTGCAGTGGCGCAATCTCGGCTCACTGCAAGCTCCGCCTCCCGGGTTCACGCCATTCTCCTGCCTCAGCCTCCCAAGTAGCTGGGACTACAGGCGCCCGCCACCGTGCCCGGCTAATTTTTTGTATTTTTAGTAGAGATGGGGTTTCACCTTGTTAGCTAGGATGGTCTCGATCTCCTGACCTCGTGATCCACCCAACTCGGCCTCCCAAAGTGCTGGGATTACAGGCGTGAGCCACCGCGCCTGGCCTAATTCTTCTTTAATGTTTAAAATAATTCACCAATGAAACCATCTGGACCTTGAATCTTCTTCAGGGGAAAATGTTAATCAATTTAATTTCTTTTTTTTTTATTTGAGACAAGGTCTCATTTCTGACGTCCAGGCTGGAGTGCAGTGGCACAACCATAACTCACTGAAACCTCAGTCTCCTGGGCTCCTGGAATCCTCCTGCCTCAGCCTTCTAAGTAGCTGGGACCACGGGCATGCATCACCATGCCTGGCTACTTTTTCTGTGTGTGTTTTTGTAGAGATAGGGGTTCCACCATGTTGCCCAGGCTGGTCTTGAACTCATGGTCTCAAGGGATCCTCCTGCCTTGGCCTCCCAAAGTGCTAGGATTACAGGTGGGCGCTACCACACCTGGCCTTTCAGTTTCTCTAAAGCATGCAGGACCATTCAGATTTTTAACTTCCTGTTGAATCAGTTTCAATAAGTATTCTTTTTCTTATTTGTCCATTTCATCTAAATTGTCAAATTTATCAGCAAAAAGTTGGTTATGATCTCCTCTTACTACTAATTTTTAATTTTTACTGTGGAATCTGAGTGATGGCCTCCTTTTTCTGATACTAGCAATTGTGTTTTCTCCCTTATTCAACTTTCTATTTTTATTTTATTATTATTATTTTTGAGACAGTCTTGCTCTGTCACCCAGGCTGGAGTGCAATGGCATGATCTCGGCTCACTGCAGCCTCTGCCCCCCAGGTTCAAGGGATTCTCCTGCCTCAGCCTCCCAAGTAGCTGAAATTACAGGCACGTGCCACCACGCCCAGCTAATTTTTGTATTTTTAGTTGAGACGGGGTATTGCCATATTGGGCAGGCTGGTCTCAAACTCCTGACCTCAAATGATCCACCTGCCTCAGCCTCCCAAAGTGCTGGCATTACAGGTGTAAGCCACCACACCCAGCCTCTTATTCAACTTTTCAAAGAACCCACTCCTGGCTTTATTGCTTATCTCAACCCTGTTTGCTTCCTAGTTCACTGATTTTTAGCTCTCATCCGTCATCTCCTCTGCTTTCCTTGGGTTTGATTTGTCATTCTCTTTCTTACCTCATGATTATTCATTCTTGGCCTTCCTTGTTTTCTAACATATACATATAAGGCTATAACTTTTCCTCTTAAGACTGCTTTAACTGCAGCCCACAGGTTTGGATATTTTGTATCTTCATTGTTGCCAATGAACTTAATGCTGAGTTGGGGTTGGCAAGCTTTTGGTGAGGCTCAGACAGCCTCTGCTTCATCCTTACCCCAAGGTTCTTCTTTCTCTCTCTCTCTCTCTCTCTCTCTCTTTCCTTTCTTTCTTTCTTTTCTTTCTTTCATAGTTGAGGTCTTCCTCTGTTGCCCAGGCTGGAGTGCAGTGGTGTGATCATGGCTCACTGAAGCGTTTAATTCCTGGACTCAAATGATCCTCCTACCTCAACCTCCCAAGTAGCTGGCACTACAGGCGTTTGCCCCATGCCTGCCTCTCACCCCAGTGTTTCCACTGGGGGCCTGGTGTTTACTTCCCAAGGGGTCCTGGACTCGTCATCTCTGTCTCCTCTACACTGTGAAGGCACCACAGATTCCACTCCCCTTTTCAATGCTTTTGGTTCCGTTTTAAAGCCTCTCTCCATCGCACTCCCTGGAGATTCAGAATGTTGGCAAGTGTCTTAGGGAAAAGCCGGCCATGCAATTCAGGCCCCTGAAGTCTCTGAGCTTGCCTCCCTCCTGTGAGATGGCCAGTGCTGTGCTGTTCCAGTTTCTGTTTCCCCACCAGTGGCCCCTGCCTGGACAAAGCCTAGATTCTCAGCCTCACACCGTCACCTGCTCCCAGGACAGCAAATGTCCCCAGGGAAAAGCAACAGGAACTTCAGTCAGCTCTTTGTGGAGGCTCACTCTCTCCTCATCCTTCAGGAGCTCGCTCACGCCTTTCAACAGATGACTTTGTGTTTCTTTCCGGCTGTGCGGGCTGTCCTCAGTGGAACTGCAGGCTCAGCTGCTCCATCCAAGCCTCAGTGCTTGCCACAATGTCTATCAACTGTTCTTCTGTTTTAGCCCCATCTTGACATCGGTGTCCAGAGGTACCTGGTGCCACCAATTCCTGAGCCTCTTGGTGGCTTCCTGTAAACTGGGTTGCTTCTCAGGAGTCAGATTGCTTTTTTCTTTTTTGTAGAGATGGGGTCTCGCTGTGTTGCCCAGGCTGGTCTCAAACCAATGGCCTCAAGTGATCCTCCCACCTCAGCCTCTCAAAGCACTGGGAGGACAGGCATGAGCCACCGTGCCTGGCCGAGTCAGCTTTCTTCAATCTGCTAAGGCAGTTCACCCATCTGCTTTCTGCCTTCCAAAATCGCATTGCTTTTGCCTCCTCTAGATTTTATCCTCATGGGTTTGTGGCATTAAAAAGCATTGCTTTACTTCTGTTTAGTGATACTGTAGGAGAAGCAAACTAAATTCATGTGTTCAATCTGCCACACGTAGGATCCAGACAGCCTCATTTTACGAATTTTCTACAGTCAATAAAAATGCTTCACTTTTTTTTTCTTTTGAGACAGGGCCTCACTTTGTCGCTCAAGGTGGAGTGCAGTGGCATGATCTCGGCTCACTGCAACCTCTGCCTCGCGGGTTCAAGCGATTCGCCCTGTGGCCACTGTCACCATCACAGTACAGCATGTTCAGCGTTTTCCAGGCAGGAGAGGAAACCATCGGTCTATTTCCATTAATTACCTGTGATGACTGTGTTGGGAAGGGGGGTGGTGAGTGGCTGACTGTGTTGGGAGGGGGGTGGTGAGCAGCGAGGGAAGCAGGGAGGGGCATGTCGGTTTCCCATTGCCGTTGTGACAAATGCCCACACGCCTGGCGGTCACGGCCACACAGTGCACTCTCACAGCTCCGCGGCTCCACAGCTCAGCCGGGTCTCACAGAGCTGACAGCAAGATGAAGCCCCCGGGGGAGGATCTGTCTCCCTGCTCTTCCGGTTGCTGTCAGAATTCAGTTCCTGTGGTTGTAGGACTGGGGTCCCGTTTCCAGACTGGCTGTCAGCTGGGGTCACTCCAGCTTCTAGAGGCCACTGCACTCCTGTGCTCCTGGCCCCTCCTCCAGCCTCAGAGCCACATCCCCTCTTCTTCTGTTTCTCTCTGACCTTCTGGACTTGTCTGAGTGGACTGGGCCACCCGGATACCCAGGTCATCTCCGAATCTCAAGGTCCTTAATCGTAGTCACACGTACAGAGGCTTCTTTGCCATGTGGGGTAATACGGTCACAGGGTAAGACGGTCACGGGTCTCAGACATCTTTGGGCCATTATCCTGTCTACCGCAGGTGGACACAGCCATGGAATGGAAGCAACTTTTCTGATTACCTACGGTAGCTTTGAGGTTTCCAGCCAAGAAGCCCCGTCCCGGCCCCCAGGCTTGGTTTGTGAGCCAGGGACCCACAGCATGTGGCCCCGCCCCTCCCCACACTCGCCGCCTCCCATGCGCACCCCTACCTGGATGAGCTGGGCCCTGGGTGTGGCCAGCAGGTTGAGGGTGCAGGAGAGCTTCTGGAAGAAGTGCTCTCCAGCCGCCCCGAAGCCGGCGCTCCGCATCCACTCCAGGAGCTGCTGCAGGCGGGCGCAGGCCTGGACACCTCTGGGCCAGTGGAAGCAGCTCAGGGAGGGGCCTGTGGAGGGAAGAAGGGAGGGTGATGCCTGGGCTGCCCTCCTGGGGGGACACAGACATGGGCCTGTCCCCAGAGCCTGCCCTTCCCGGCTCTGGGCCACTGAGGACATCACAGCTCGATGACAGGCAGGACACCTTCCCTCGGTTTTCAAGGCAACTGACCAGCCTTGAACCCCTCTCTGGAGCGGGGGTACGGTGGGAGGTGAACGTAGCAGGGCAGGGTGGGCTGTGACTGCCGCTGACTCCACAGTGCAGCCCCTAGCTGGGACCCTCTCCCACTCCCAGACACATGTGCCGGGGGCCTGCCCCCACCTGGGTCTCCCCACGCCCCACAGTGGCCCTGGCTGGGAGTGGCCAGTGCTCCTGAGCCCTGCAGGTGATGGGGGAAGTCACTCCACAAGGCAGGGTCCAAGGCCAGAGTCCGCGGCTGCACAGACCTGGGTTCCATCCTGGCCCTGACATGTCCACCGGGCAGTTCTGGGACAGTCCAATGATGCCCTGAGCCCGTTCCCTCCCTGTCACGGGGAAGGGGTCCCATGCAGACCTCTCGGCCGTGGCTTCTCTGAAACCCCGATGGGACCCTGGCTCCTACGGGATGCGCTGTGCTGATCTGTCCCCCCTCACTCTGGCCTCTCACCCCTCAGGGACACCAGACGCTCAGGGAGCAGGAGGCCAAAAAGGGCAGAGCCGCCTCCAGGAGCTGGCGAGGGAGGCGCCAGCAGCCGTCATGTCCAGGAATGTGAGCCCCCGACCCCTCAACCCTGCACGAGGCCCTCACCCCTGTCGAGGAGCTGGTTGAGAAGCAGTGTCCCGGAGAAGAAGAAGAGGTAGGCGAGCATCTGCGAGGCCACCTCGGGGTGCACCTGCAGCTGCCGCAGGAGGTCCAGGGCTGCCTGGTACACAGACACCACGCGGCGCAGCTCCTCGGGCAGTTCGGGGGCCGAGGACCAGCTCTCACGGCGCTCCGTCTGGAATGGCGGGCACTCCAGGAGTGCCGGGAGGCAGATGTACAGGGACTGGCGGGGGCAAGAGGAGAACAGCAACCAGCATTTCCAGGAGCGCTGGCGGCCGAACGGGGGGCCTGACCCAGCGAGCTCCCCACCCACGCACTGCTTGCAGGGACCCGGCCTCGGTAGCTTCCTGCTGGACAGGCCATGGCTTTGCAAATGTCCAGTGTGGGATGTGGGGACACAGGAGCTGCCTCCTGGGGCTGCTGGGAGCAGAGGTGGGGTGCAGGGGGCTCAGGGGGATCTGCTGTCGGAGGCACAGATGAACTCAGAAGGCGCACAGAGGTGGCGCCTGGGGGGATGGGCTCCAACAAAGGGGCTCCAACAAAATGACGGGAGAGTCACCACTCCCCCAGAAAGTGGCTCACCGCACCCCCGATGCACCCCAAGCTGGCCAGGGCCACAGGGGGACCGGCGGCAGCACCTCTGGCACCCGTGGGTCCAGGGTGACAACAGGGCCATGTCCCTTGCGCCCCATGCTGGGGCCTCCCCCACCTCATCCCTGACCCTCGAAATACTGGCAGGAAGGGGGCGTTTCAAGGCGAGGGAAAGGGAGCTGGGATGGTTCTAGGGCTTCTGTGCGACCTGAGGAGGAGCGGGTGTGGGGGGTGCAGCTGGGCCTGTGCAGAACCTGCAGCCACTGCTCCCTGATGAAGTGGAGCTTGTCACGGTCCCCTCCCTCAGCCCCCCAGAAGGCTCCTTAGGAGAGCCACAGGCACAAGCTTGAGCCCCACTTGATCCCAGGAGCTGCCTGAGTGCAGAAGCAGAGCCCGTCCGTGCACCTTGGAGACATAGTAGACGCACTGCTGGAAGGCGTACAGCACCACCTCCTCCAGCACCGCCATGGCCTCCTCGCTGGCCGTCAGCGTGCAGGAGAACAGCGATTCCTTCGAGCCTGCCGGGAGACAGCCACGCCAATGGTCACAACGGGCACAGCGCTCAGGAACGCAGCAACTCAGCCAGCCGCCAGCTCTTTCCCTGGCGCGGGCACCACCCAACGCGCCCATCTGGGGTCCAGATGCGATAAACTGGCCGAGGGACTCTGGGCCCTGGCTGGGACGAGCGCAGCAAACCTGCCGCCACTCTTACCTGGGGAGGGGAATGCCGGGAGGGGCAGGAGGGGTCCAGACACCCAACATCTCAATGCCCAGCCCAGCCCAGCCCAAGCGCTCATTCACTCCCACGTTCTGGATACGTTTTCTGTTACAACCAACTGCACCCAACATAGCAGGTCCTAACTGCCTCCCCACAGGTCACCTCTCACTCGCGACACGGGTCACAGGACTCTGGCAGCAGCCCCTGAGTGGCCGCCACTCTGTGGAATCATAAGTCTTTTGGGAAGAAAAAGCCCAAATCAGCTATTTCACCCCCACCCCCGGGTGTCAGCCGGGGCGGCTGGAGCTGAGGCTGGGGGGAGCTGCCCACGGAGTGGTTCCTGCCGTCTGGGTGGGGGCTCTTGTGAAGGTGGGAGGCCCCCAACAGGGTGGAGCCTTCCCCGGGGGCTTCCAGAAAGTGAGGGAGCATGTGGTGGTCTCAGTGACTGAGGGTCCCATCAGCACCTGGGGAAGGGGCCAGGACCCTGGGTGTTCCGCCTTTGGGCGCCTTCATTCTCTCCTGGGACTGTGGGCGGCCAACCACAGTGGTGTTCCCTGTCAGCCGCGTGGGCGGCCACAGCTCCCCTCCTCTCCCTCCTGTGGGGCCTTCTTCCAGGAGGGGCAGAGGGGCCGCATCGTGGGGGCTGCCTGTCCAGGCCGCCTGCCAGGGCTGCATGGGCGGCGCCTGGTGAGCCAGGCCAACACTCACCCCAGCGCGGGCCTCCCAGGAGCACAGGCCCCCAGCTGCCCCTCTGCCGGGCAGACTGCACCGGAGGCCGGCCCACTCATGGCCAGGACAATGGTGCGCCAAGCCCTTGGACAAGCCCCTGTCACTTTCGCTCTGCCGCTCCTGGTGCTCCTCCTTCAGGGGCTTGGGGCTGCCTGGCCCCCACCCACCAAGCCCGCTCCCCAAGAACCTGTGAAGCCCCCCAGTGCCTGCCCCACAGGGTCACATCTGGGAACCAGGCAGGGCAGCTGGAGGGACCCCGGGGTCCGGGGCAGTAAGGGGCTCTCGGGCTCTGCCAACCTCAACACTGTGCCCAGAAGCCTCCAGGCCTGTGGAGACACACAAGGTGGCCCGACGGCGCCCACAGCGAGTGCCGGCAAAGGATATTCACAGCCACGGCAGGCGGGTCAGGAGGCTGAGCTCTGTCCCGTCCACCTGTCCTGGTGCCCTGACCCTGGCTGCCTCAGGCTGCCAGGTCTGAGAACCCAGCCCCACATCACTCCCTGGGCAGGGGCGGGGCACTGGTGGGAAGAGGGAAACGGGGCATGGGAATGACAGGAGAAGGTGGCAGGGACTGTGCTGAATGAAACCACAAAGCAGCCTCCAGCCACCCACCACGGGCCTGAGACTCCATTTCTTCTTTTATTTAATTTTTGGTAGAGATGGGATCTCACTATGTTGCCCAGGCTGGTCTGGAACTCCAATCTACCCGCCTTGGCCCCCCAAAGTGCTGGGATTACAGGCATGCACCCCTGCACCCGGCCCTGAGACTCCATTTCTCTCTCTCTCTCTCTCTTTTTTTTTTTTTTTTAAAGACAGAGTCTCACTCTGTCGCCCAGGCTGGAGTGCAATGACACAATCCCAGCTCACTGCAGCCTCAGCTTTCCAGGTTCAAGCGATTCTCCTGCCTCAGCCTCCCAAGTAGCTAGGACTACAGGCACATGCCACCATGCCTGGCTAATTTTTGTATTTTTAGTAGAGACGGGGTTTCACCATGTTGGCCAGGCTGGTCTCAAACTCCTGACCTCATGTGATCTGCCTGCCTCGGCCTCCCAAAGTGCGGGGAGGACAGGTGTGAGCCCAGCCCTGAGACTCCATTTCTAAACCCCCGGAGACGCCTCTCCCTGTGGTACCAGGGCTGGTGGGCATTTCTGAGGATTTCCGACGCCCACGAGCCATTAAGAGGACACACCAGCCGGCTGCCCCTGCCCTGCCCCGAAACTCCAGGACCCCTGAGGAAGCTGGCCCTATCCCTAAAGAAGAAGGCGCTGAGCTCCAGCCACGAGGAGAATCTGAGGCGCACACGATGGTGTGAGGCGGCGCGGGAGGGGCCTGGGTCAGAGCTTTGTACAAAACAGTGTTTGCGGAATGACAACAGCCACGTGACCCACCCTCGGGACGCGACAGCCCTGCTCTCCGAATTCTTCCCACAGACATTTCCTGCAGAGGGTCGGGAGGCTGACGGGGCTCTGCCCCTCCGGCCCCTTCTAGGGGCTATTTCCCACTCTGTTCCCTGGTGCCTGCCTGGCCCTCGACACCCGGAGCCTGCAGGCATCCCTGGGCCCTGGCTCCCATCGCCGGGCCAAACACTGCTCAGGCCCCTGACCAAAAATAACTTCCTCCCAAGACCAAAGGCAGCAGCTCCAACAGCCCAGAGCAATTTTTCCCATGAAGAGCAGCCAGCACGGGGACCACATGGGACCCAGCTGCCTGCGGCCACCAAACCCAGGCAGCCACGAAGCCACGTGGAAAGTCAGCCGGGGACTCTCCAGGAACACAGAGCCGAAAAATCACAGGTCCCTGAGCTGACTCTTCCTGTGGGGGCCGGAACAAAAGGGGCTCCTAAGCTGGCCCCGTCCCCCTGTCACACGGAAGGACCAAGTGCACTGCAAGGTCAGTGAGGGTCACCCTTGGCCGGCCGCAACTCCGGAGTTGCCTCCATCCCAGGGCCACCTGCCGGCTGCAAATCCAGCCCTGGAGGATGGCAGAGTCAGGTCTGCAGGGAGAGGCGACGGGCGCTGTAGTCCCGGGAGCCCAGGAGCCCCAGGGGAGGCCTGTAGCTGGGCAGCTGGAGGTGGGAACCTTGCGTGGAGACTTAGGGACCCACAGTCGTTTACGTCACTTTCCAGGAAAAAGCCAGAGGAAAGGTCTACCCTAGGCCCAGGCCCCATGGACAGGCAGGGGCTGCCCCATCACGTGGGGGGCAAGGGCACAGGCCAGATGCCCGGATGCCCACCAAGGCCAGGAGGGGTTGACACTACCCCCACATATTGAAGGCAGCCCCGATTCCCAGGACTGGGGAGACCCTGGCAGATCCCCACATCCCCTTCCCTGTGAAGGAGGGGAGAAGGAAACAGTGGGAAGGAACCGTGGCCGGCAGGAAGGAACTCGGACAGATCCTGGCCGGCTCTGCCTCCCCCAGGAGCGGGGGCCCCACCCCACAACCTCATGGCCAGGGCCAGCCCGGCCTGTTCCACGCGCCCTCAGTCCAGCCTGGTCTCTGCAGCCCGGCCCCCGCCCGGAGGCTGAGGACTGGGCCCCGACGCATTGTGGGAGCCTGTCCCACCACAGGGTCACTGTGCAGATGCCCCGCCACCTCCCTCTCACCACGGAGAGCCCCTCCTCTCAGGAAACCTGCCCCTAAGGCATGGGGGGGCACAGCAGGGTCCCAGCGCCCCCAACACAGCCTGGCCAGTACCTCGCCTGGCCTTGTGTCCTCCGGGCTGTCTCAGATGCAGCCACAGCCACAGCCCCCTCCCAGGGATGGGGACACAGCTGAGTACACAGAGACCCCGCAGCGTCTGGTAGACTGAGCCTGTGGGAGCTCCTGTCCCTGCACACCGGGCCTGCGCCTCCCTCGAAGCTCAGAGACGCAGCCTGGAGCAGCTCTGAATGCACCACTCCCTACCCGGATCCTCCAGAAGCCAGACCGCCACGCCACGGCCACTCAGGACCCTCTGGCACTGTGCCCGCCTGACAGCCCACCCCACAGATGTGAGGGCAGTGGGTGGACAGCAAGGCCGTTGGGGGCAGAACCAAGGCTTCCCATGAGAGGTCTGGCCCCCAGTTCCCTGGGCCGGCTCCTCACTTCCGCAGCACAGCAGCACAGTCCTGCTGCCCCGTCTGGCTCCATTCCAGGCCCCACACAGTCCTTAGCAGACACATGAGCCGAAATCCTACCCCGGCTTCCGGGCCCGGCCCCATGCCACCTTCCTCTCGAAGCCCCCTAGACTGCCCCGATGGAATCCCTCTCCCTTAGTATTTTCAGAACACTTCCTACTGCATTTCAGAAATCCTGAAATGGTGGCCAGGCACGGTGGCTCATGCCTGTAATCCCAGCACTTTGGGAGGCTGAGGTGGGGCGGATCAGGAGTTTGAGACCAGCCTGGCAAACATGGTGAAACCCCATCTCTACCAAAAATACAAAAACTAGCCGGGCGAGGTGGCATGCTCCTGTAATCCCAGGTACTCGGGAGGCTGAGGCACGAGAATCGCTTGAACCTGGGAGACGGAGCTTGCAGTGAGCCAAGATCGCACCATTGCACTCCAGCCTGGGTGACAGAGCGAGACTCCGTCTCAAAAAAAGAAAAAGAAATCCCGAAATGTGTATTTCCCACATCTTAATCTGTGAAACCGACATAATCTACAATTTCACAACAATGACTGGCAACATCTGTCCTTCTGGAATAACGGTGTGTCTCAGAACGGGCGGCGGTCTCATGGCCGACGCTCTCTCTACCGCCCCTTACATTTGGTTCACGGTGGCATCTGTGTCTCCCCTACTGAGTGATCTGTGTACCCCCCGGGCCCTCCTGCAAGCAGAAGAGTGGGGCTGCGGTCAAGGGGACGCCACCGCACGGAGCACACGGGATGATGGGGACAGACTGAGTGCCAAGGTGCTGTGGGGGGAGGTGCCAGACTGGCCCGTGCCACCAGCACCAGCCTCACAGGCCGTCCCCGAGCAACTGACACATGGCAGCCTAGGGACTGAGGAAGCCCCCGGCATGAATCCACCCCTGCTATCATGGCCAACTAGGTTCCGAGGACGGCGAGGAGATGCCACACTCCCCTGCCTGGGGTGCTGGCGGGGGGAATGGAGGGCAGCGCCAGCCGTACCTGTGATGTCCAGCTGCTCCTCCATGCTCTGCATGTAGAGTGGGCATTTCTGCTGGATAAAGTACAGGAGCTCGATGGAGTTAGACATCCAGAAAAGAATGGGCTGCAAGTCTGGAACCAGATCAGCCATGGCGCAGCTGGCCAGCGAGATGGGCTCCTGGCTACCAAGACAGAAAGACTAAGAGTTACGCGGGGACCCGACCCTCAGGAGGCTGAATCTACCACTCTTTCTACATAAGGATGCGCGTTTTCATGGGACGCTGACAACAACTGCAACCATCAACCTGACACTGCTGGGCGGGGACGTTTAACAATACGTGTACCCGCCTGGCACCTGCCTACAACACCCGACAGCCAGAGGACCCTACAAACCTAGCAGGAAGACAGCTGGGCGCCACAGCCATTGGTAAAAAACCTCGGTAAGTAGATGGCTTGCATGTCTTCTCTTTTGGAATGAGATCATAAAGTGGCTGTGAATGCTGAGAGAATGTGTGCCAATATGTGTGTGTGTGCGTGTATGCGTGCATGGGGGTGGGGGCTGGTCCATGGTTTTCAGAACAAGAAATGTCAGTTCCATTATATTATTTAAGTTAACAAGGTAATTACCAAAGGAAATAAACAATAATAGAGCTATTTTGGGAGGTGCACAAAGGCAAAATGAAATGCTACTTTATTAAAGCAGGAAGTCAGAAAATCACGTGTAAAGTCCATGAATCGCGGGGTAGCAGGCAAAGCATGAGATTTGAAGACTCAGAGGCAATCGTTAGAAACCCAAACTGAGGCCAGGCGTGGTGGCTCACGCCTGTAATCTCAGCACTTTGGAAGGCCAAGGCGGGTGGATCACCTGAGGTCAGGAGTTCGAGACCAGCCTGGCCAACATGGCAAAACGCCGTCTCTACTAAAAATACAAACATTAGTCTGGCTAATTATTAAAAACCTTTTTTTTTTTTTTTTTTTTTAGAGACAGGGTCTTGCTATGTTGCCCAGGCTGCTCTTGAACTCCTAGCCTTAAGCAATCCTCTTGCTTTGGCCTCCTAAAGTGCTGGGATTATAGGCATGAGCCACCATGCCTAGCCCTGATTCTGTATCCATGGGGTTCATTGTTACTCTGAGTAACAAAAGCAGAAGTAGCTCAGGCCCCTGCCTGGCCAGCCCAATGCAGGTAGGGGTTGGGGGGGCGCCCTTCCCTCCCAGGCCTGCTGCCTTCCGGCTCAGTGCTCCCTTTTCAGGGGATGACGGCATCATCAGGGCTGCCTCCTCCCTCAGCGGCAGCCTCCACCGTCAGGCTGGCTTCCAAGCTCAGAGCTCCCAAACCCTTTCTCCCACATCTCTGGCACCAGCCGCAGGATGTGTCTGTCTGGTGTGACTTGACACTGCCTTCTAGTGTCCTCAGCAGCCTCTTGGAACGTCTGAGGGGTGGACGTGGCAAGGCTGTGCTGAGGTGCCCGGGTAATTCCTCATTTAAAATGCCAGCCACACATCTTTCTCACAGGTTGCTCATCTGGTCCATGCACCAGCTCAGCATTAAGCCACTGGACAAGATGCCTGGGACGCCCCAGGGTCCTGGCAGCTCAGAGGATGCATTCATCCCTAAGTCTCCATAATCGCACCTGGCGGACACAAATAGCCGTGTGCCCCTGAGCAGTGAGCAGAAGGCCGTGTGTGCCCCTGAGCAGTGAGCAGAAGGGATCCTTTTGCAAACAGATCAAATCACACAGATCTGACTTGGGTCTGCCTGGGGTGTGGAGGGCGGCCCTGCTGCCTGCCCCATGGCTGGCCCGGGTACCCCTTGTCACCTGTGTCCCTTACTGGGGGGATTCTAAGGGGTGAGCCAGGCAGCTGCCACTCTGCTGGCCGCAGGGCATGGTGCCAGCCCAGTGCCTGACCCCAGTCCCGGGGCAGAGCCAGGCTCAAGGCTGGACGGCCGTCAGAGTGACCATCGCGTGCTCAGTCCCAGGTGTGTGGACCCGGCCTGGGGTCCTTTGAAAGGTGCCAAGCCCACAGGAAATGCCACCAGGACCTTAAGGCAGCCGGTTTGTGAGGGCATCTGGGAAGGGCTGAGGCCCTGTTTTCCTCCCTGTTCTTTCCCCAGCTGGGCAGCCGAGCAGGGCTGGGGGAGGAACCCCAGGCTGCGTCCCAGATTCTCCCCGGTACCCAAAGTGTTGCCTGCTCTCTCTGACGTCACTTCACTTTTGTCCACAAACAATGTTGACCTCTCTCGCGTGCACACACCCGGGGAGGGAAGAAACTGGACTGAGACCATCTCTCCTGTTTTTGGCGGCTAAGCAGGTCCGCTGCCTGCTCATGTGTCTGGCACAGCTCAAAGTCCTGCTCCTTTTTGCCCATTCTGGACACTGGCTTGAAGGACACGCATGTCTGCAGATGGGCAGAAGGAGCTTTTTATACAGTTAAAGAAGGATTCGCTGGGCTCTTCGGAGACTAATTCCATCTTGTTTTCAAAATTTGCTGCCCTTCTCAATTTCACCGGAACCCGGAGGGTAGACAGGCCTGTCCCAGGAAACAAGTGACCAGGCTTTGCAACTGGAGTTTCGGGATCAGACTCGGGCCAGGTTGGCACTGAACGCGCCCCCACCTGCCAACCTGGGGCCATGTGAGTGGGGGCCCAGGGAATGATGAAGATCCAGCCCATCCTACCCAGGCCTGTGTGGACGGAGGAGCAGGTCTGGTGGAAAAGGAAAACCCATGTTGTTCTAGAAGAGGGCAGAGGGGAAGGGCACTCGGGGGGGGACAGCACAGCCTGGCAGGAGGAACAGGCGTAGCTGGCTGGGGCAGTTCTAGAAGAGGGCAGAGGGGAAGGGCACTCAGCAGGGGCAGCACGGCCCGGCAGGAGGAACGGGCGCAGCTGGCTGAGGCAGGCTGGTCAAGGCGCGGGTATCTCCTGCGGGTGGAGGGAAGCACTGGAGTCCCACTCCTGGGAACCAAGGCGATGGAAACACTCGCAGGGCCCACAAGGAGCACAGAGACCAGAGCATGGGCTGCCGGCCACAGCCTATGCATGCCTGTCGCGTCCATCAGGAGAGGACCAGGGAATGGCGTGCCCCAAAAAATGGGTCAGCCACATCCACCCACCTGGAGAGGTTGTGAGTGAGAAAGCAAACCACAGACAGCTCAGCCAGCGCCATCACACCCAGGAAGAAAGGAAGAAAGAAAGAAAAAAGGAAAGAGAGAGAGAAAGAAAAAAGCCGGGTGCGGTGGCTCACGCCTGTAATCCCAGCACTTTGGGAGGGCGAGGTGGGCAGATTACAAAGGTCAGGAGTTCAAGACCAGCCTGACCAACATGGTGAAACCCCGTCTCTATTAAAAATACAAAAATTAGCTGGGCGTGGTGGCATGTTCCTGTTATCCCAGCTACTCAGGAGGCTGAGGCAAAAGAATTTCTTGAACCAGGACCCGGGAGGTGGAAGTTGCAGTGAGCCAAGATTGTGCCACTGTACTCCAGCCTGGGCTACAGAGCGAGACTCCGTCTCAGAAAAAAAAAAAAAAAAAAAAAAAAAGGGAAATGAAATGGTGAATATGTTGCAGGAAACTGTTAAAGGTGCTCTTTGGGGCCAGGTGCGGTAGCTCACATCTGCAATCCCAGCACTTTGGGAGGCTGAAGCTAGAGGATCACTTGAGTCTTGTCTCTACAGAAAAAATCAAAAAATTAGCCAGGGCATGGTGGTGCATGCCTGTAGTCCCAGCTACTCGGGAGGCTGAGGCAGGGGGATCACTTGAGCCCAGGAGGTTGAGGCTGCAGTGAGCTCTGACTGTACCACTGCACTCCAGCCTGGGCAACAGAGTGAGACCCTGTCTCAAAAAATAATAATTAATTAAATTAAATGAAGTAAAAACAAAGAATGATTTGAGACACAGTAGTGTTAAAAGCAAGCTGAAGCTGGAATAATGTCAGTAATAAAATGAAAGCCCGGAAGTGAGGATGGGGGTCGAAGCATCCTAAGATCTAGTGTTCCACAAAAGGAGGAAGATATTAATATTTTCAGAATTACTTTGAAACTAATAAAGAAGGAAAAGGGGAGTTTTTAAAAATCCAGTCAGAAGCCAGTTGTGATGGCTCACACCTGTAATCCCAGCACTTTGGGAGGCTGAGGCGGGTGGATCATGTGAGGTCAGGAGTTCGAGACCAGCCTGGCCAATATGGTGAACCCCTGTCTCTACTAAAAATACAAAAATTAGCCGGGCGTGGTGGCGCGTGCCTGTAATCCTAGCTACTCTGGAGGCTGAGGCATGAGAATCGCTTGAACCCAGGAGGCGGAGGTTGCAGTGAGCTGAGATCGAGCCACTATACTCCAGCTTGGGCAACAGAGCGAGACTCCGTCTCAAAAAAAAAAAACAAAAAAAAAAACCCAATCAGATAGGAAAGTATAAAAATCAAAGGCAAAACGCACAGAAAATAGTGCAAAACAGATGGTAAAAATGTGGCCAAAGACATCAGGAATGGCAATAAACCTAAATAATTCGACTTGCCCATTAACAAAGATAAGACAGGTGAACAAACAATGGCTTTCAAAACATAAAACAAAAGGGCACAGAAAGAGTGAACCTAAACTTTCCCTGGTTCCATGGACGGGCATGGAAAAATCTGATGAGGCGAGTAGTAAACCAGTGAAAGGGGATGTGGTACTCACTCCAGGGAAAGAAAGATTCTAGGCCAATAAGAATCATCAGGACAGGCCAGGAGCGTGGCTCATGCCTGTCATCCCAGCACTTTGGGAGGCCAAGGTGGGCAGATTGCTTGAGGTCAGGAGTTCAAGACAAGCCTGGTCAACATGGTGAAACCCCGTCTTTACTGAAAATACAAAAATTAGCCGGGCATGGTGGCAGGCGCCTGTAATCCCAGCTACTCAGGAGGCTGAGGCAGGAGAATCGCTTGATCCTGGGAGGCGGAGGCTGCGGTGAAATGCGATTGCACCAGTGCACTCCAGCGTAGACGACAGAGCGAGACTGTCTCAAAAAAAAAAAAAAGGGCCGGGTGCGGTGGCTCACGCCTGTAATCCCAGCACTTTGGGAGGCCGAGGTGGGCGGGTCACCAGAGGTCAGGCGATCAAGACCATCCTGGCTAACACAGTGAAACCCCGTCTCTACTAAAAATACAAAAAATTAGCCGGGCGTGGTTGCAGGCGCCTGTAGTCCCAGCTACTCGGGAGGCTGAGGCAGGAGAATGGCGTGAACCCAGGAGGCGGAGGTTGCAGTGAGCCGAGATCGTGCCACTGTACTCCAGCCTGGGGGACAGGGCGAGTCTCCATCGCAAAAACGAACAAAAAGAAATAAATAAAAAATGAAGTAAACCAATCTTCATTAAAGAAAGGGATTCGGCCAACACGGGTCTCCCTCCCCGAGGACTCTGGCCCGGATGTTCTTCCAGCAAACCTTCAGGGCCAGCCCTTACCTCATACAAACTGATCTGGAGAACTAAGAAACGGAGAAAGCTCCCCAATTCATGTTCTGTGAACCTTGTTACTAAAATCAGACAAGGACAGTGCAAAACAAACAAACAAACAAACAAAAAAAAACGTAGACCAGTTTTACCGATAAATTCAGATGGGAAAATCCTAATTAAAAGATCAACAGTCAACATCACTAATTCTCGGGGAGATGCCAATCAAAACCACGAGACGCCACCTCACTCCTGTTAGAATGGCCATTATCAAAACAATGACAGATCACAGGTGTTCAAAAGGACTGCACGCTGTTGGTGGGGATATAAATTAGTACAGCCTTTACAGAAAACAGTATGGAGGCTCCTCAAAATATTAAAAATATAGGCTGGGTGCAGTGGCTTACGCCTGTAATCCCAACACTTTGGGAGGCTGAGGCGGGAGGACTGCTTGAGCGCAGGAGTTCGAGACCAGCCTGGGCCAACATAGTGAAATTCCATCTCTACAAAAAACACAAAAATTAGCTGGGCATGGTGGCGTGCACTTATAGTCCCAGCTGCTTGAAGGCTGAGGAGCGGGAATCGCTTCAGCCCAGGAGGTGGAGGTTGCAGCAAGCCGAGGTCGCGCCAATGCGCTCCAGCCTGGGTGACAGAATGAGACCCTGTCTCAAAAAAAAGAAAACCTAGGAATGTAGCACTCCACATTAACAGATTAAAGGGGGAAAATATGTTGATCACAGATGCAGAAAATGATTTAGTCAAATTCAGTGATCATTCACAATTTGAAACACAGAACACAAAGATTTGAGGCAAACAGGGCAAACAAAATGTTAGTAATATTAAATCCCAAATCATCATCATCATAACATCAGTTTCAGGTGTGGGATCACGGGGGAGTGACAGATTCCGTACTGTTCTGTGTTTTGGAAGTGATTCATTATTTTACAAAGGAAAAAGGAAAAGCCCCCCAGGCATGCAAGAGGGATGGAAACGGCTGTTTTTAGGTCCTAACGATGACGGTTCTGGAACACACAGCACGAGCGGGCAGCTGCAGCAGGGAGGGCCCGGGCCTTCCCGTCAACGAGGAAGCTGGGTCCACCCAGAGCTGCGCTTCAGCTTCAAACTGCAGGCTGCCCAGCAAACAGGCACTGGGGTGGAAGGTTCCAGTCCTCCCTGCACCTCAGCACTTAGGAGGATGAGGGCTGGGTACACTCCCATCCCCTCCACACCCTGCCTCAACACTAGAACTCCAGCTGTCCTGGAACAGAGCCCCAGAGGGAGGCCACCACGCCTGTTACTGGGCCCACTCCCAACTCCCATGCAAACTTCTCCTCAACACTGAAAGCCCACAAGATGTCAGGTGCCACTGTAGGGGCCCGGGCCTGGACCACCTCCTTGCCGTGGGTCAGGCTGTCCATCACCCTTCGATGCTATCCGGGGCCTGGCTTCTATGGAGCCCCCTCCTGTCAGGCTGGGAGGCAGAGCCTGGGTCCCTCACACAGTCCCAGATCTCAGAGGCCAGGACCCACCCCCAGTGCATGGCATCGGGACCTGGCTCTGGGGAGCGGGTGTTTGCCAGTGAAAGTGGAAGGCGTTCGGAGCTCAGCTCTCCCTGGGCCGGGCAGTGGGGATGCTGGGGACTCCAGGTCAGTGGTCCCCAAGCTGTCCCATGCCTGTCCCTCCTACCTTTGAAAGAAGGATGGACCCAGGGTGGACATCAGCAGGCACATATGGCAATAATGGGCTTTATGGATGGACCATTTTTGGTACGTGAGGCACTTACAGGGTTCGGCTGTGTCTCAACCCAAATTTCATCTTAAATTGTAGCTCCCACAATTCCCACATGTTGTGGGAGGGACGCGGTGGGTGGTAACTGAGTCATGGGGGCGGGTCTTTGCCATGCTGTTCTCCCGATAGTGAATGAGTCCTCATGAGATCTGTTGGTTTTAGAAAGGGTGGTTCCCCTGAACACACTCTCTCGCCTGCCACCATGTAAGATGTGCCCTTGTTCCTCCTTTGCCTTCTGCCATGATTGTGAGGCCTCCCCAGTCACGTGGAACTGTGAGCCCATTAAACCTGTTTCCTTTATAAATTACCCAGTCTCGGATATGTCTTTATTAGCAGCGTGAGAACAGACTAATAAAGGCACGGATGGGAATCACGCAAACCTCTGTGTACCACAGCTTGACTTAAGGGGGTGCTGCCAGCCACTCAGCCTGAGCCCCCCAGACACACCCCCTCCCTCACTGCCTAGCGTGGCCACCACCTTCCACTCTGCCTTCGTCAGTGTTATCTCACGTGTGTGTCTTAAACAGGATGGCTTGGCTGTGAGTATCATACGTACGTGTGTGTGCGTGTGGGCATTTAACCATATCACAGACACTGTGCTAGGTGCTTTTTCCCAACATTGTCTTGGATTCAGCTGCACTGAGAGAGCAGTGGCTGAAAGTCATTCCCTGCCACCAGGAGGAGACATGTGGCGGCTTCAGCTCCTGTGCGGACACACTGCCTTCCACCAGCAGGTGTCTCTCTAGGGCCCACTCGAGAGTGGGAGCGTAGGCCGCAGGGGCTGCACGTCTGTATCAGATCAACCGAATGGTTTCCCAAGTGCCCCAGCAGCGTCTAGGGTAGAGATAGTGCTTTCTGCGCAAACAGCCGTTGGAGAGTGGCGGTGCACTACCTTACCTCTAACCCAGGAGCTGCGCCTTTCCCTGAAGGAGCAGGTTAGTTCTAACACAGAATCGGGAGAGCAAGGGAGGAGAAGGCTCAAAAGAGGGCCTCGTGCAGCCATAAAAAAGCACGACATCAGCCAGGCACAGTGGCTCACGCTTGTAATCCCAGCACTTTGGGAGGCTGAGGCAGGTGGATCACCTGAGGTCAGGAGTTCGAGACCAGCCTCACCAACATGGAGAATCCCCATCTCTACTAAAAATACAAAATTAGCGGCTGGGCGCGGTGGTTCACACCTGTAATCCCAGCACTTTGGGAGGCCGAGGCGGGTGGATCACAAGGTCAGGAGATGGAGACCATCCTGGCTAACACGGTGAAACCCCGTCTCTACTAAAAATACAAAAAAACAAAAATTAGCTGGCCGTGGTGGCGGGCGCCTGTAGTCCCAGCTACTCGGGAGGCTGAGACAGGAGAATGGTGTAAACCCAGGAGGCAAAGCTTGCAGTAAGCCGACACTGCGCCATAGCACTCTAGCCTGGGCGACAGAGCGAGATGCCGTTTCAAAAAAAAAAAAAATACAAAATCAGCTGGGCGTGGTGGTGCATGTCTGTAATCCCAGCTACTTAGAAGGCTGAGGCAGGAGAATCGCTCGAACCTGAGAGGTGGAGGTTGCCGTGAGCCGAGATCTCATTATTGCACTCTAGCCTGGGCAACAAGAGCGAAACCCCATCTCAAAAAAAGAAAAAAAAAAAAAAGCACGAGATCATGTCCTTTGCAGGGACATGGATGGAGCTAGAGGCTATTATGCTTAGCAAACTAACACAGGAACAGAAAACCAAATACCTTCTCACTTACAAGTGGGAGCTAAATGATGAGAACACATGGACACAGAGAGGTGAGCAACAGACACTGGGGCCTTTCAGAGGGTGGAGGCTGGGAGGAGGGAGAGGATCAGGAAATATAATGAATGGGTACAAGGCTTAATACCTGGGTGATGAAATCATCTGTACAACAAGCCCGCACGACATAAGTTTACCTATGTAACAAAGCTGCACTCGTACCCCTGAACTTAAAATAAAAGTGGAAAATAAATAAACTAATAAAATTGTGAAGATTCTCAAAAAAAAAAAAAAAAAAAAAGCCAGGCACAGTGGCTCACGCCTGTAATCCTAGTACTTTGGGAGGCCAAGGCAGGTGGATCACTTGAGTTCAGTAGTTCGAGACCAGCCTGGCCAATATCGTGAAACCCCATCTCTACTAAAAGTACAAAAAAAAAAAAATTAGCCAGGCATGGTGGTGCACACCTGCAGTCCCAGCTACTCGGGAAGCTGAGGCAAGAGAATCCCTTGAACCTGGGAGGTGTAGGTTGCTGTGAGCAGAGATTGCACCACTGCACTCCAGCCTGGCGATAGAGCAAACAAAACAAAACAAAACAAAAACAAACAAAAAAAGAAGACCTCACCCATCCAGTCTTAAGGGTGCCCTGAAGCAATTTCCCAAAACTCAGAGCTTCCCAGGGTGATGACTAAAGAAGCAAAAAAGGCCGCTGCTTGGATGGAAGGACAAAGCCCAGAGCTGACCCCAAGGCGTGGGGAGACCCCTCGGGACTTGGCTCCCCCGGGAAGTGTGAGCCCCCAGGACCTGCTGCCCAGAGGCGGGCACAATAACCGGGTCATACTCACAGTTGCGCCTGCTTCTCTGCTAGTTCTTTGGTTTTCTCCTACAATTACAAAGCGGGAGAAAAAGCAAGTGAGCAAAACAGGCTAACACAGGGACGCGTTCAAATACACGATACCATCGACAGGAAAACAAGCCATGCTGCCCCAGGCATCCTGTGTGACGCTGACTATTTATTCAAGCTGTGCTGGAAAGGACATTTTCCATGTGACTTCAACATCTTCCCATTCCATTACCGACTATGACCTACAAGTTTGCTACAATAGAGTATCTCACAACTCTCTAGCTTACATAACAACCGGCTATTTAAAAAATAGTAGAGGCTGGGCAAGGTGGCTCACACCTGGAATCCCAGCACTTTGGGAGGCTGAGGCAGGCAGATCACTTAAGGTCAGGAATTCGAGACCAGCCTGGACAACATGGTGAAACCCCATCTCTACTAAAAATACAAAAATTAGCCGGGTGTGGTGGCGCATGCCTATAATCCCAGCTATTTGGGAGGCTGAGGCAGGAGAATCCCTTGAACCTGGGAGGCAGAGGTTGCAGTGAGACGAGATCACGCCACCGCACTACAGCCTGGGTGACAGAGCGAGACTCCGTCTCAGCAAAAAAAAAAAAAAAAAAAAAAGAATTATTCTTGCCTTAGTAGTAAGTTATTATCCGGCTGAATGTAACCGTGATGGCTGAGTGCGCGTAGACTAAGCGTGTATATTTGGTAAGGAATGAGGACGGGGCAGCGGCGACACAGTTGCACATTCTCAGGAAACAAACGCGCAAATGATATTCGCATGGGATCTGGACAGCACCCAGCGGAGGCTTCGGATTCCCACAGTGGGTGCAGGGGGAAGAGGTGGACTCAGGCTCGGTCTCATGTCTATCAGCTCAATCTCTGGACCAGGCAATTCACCTCTGGGAGCCTCTGTTTCAGAGCCTGTAGCATAGGGGCAGGGTGAGCCCTGGTGTGCTGCAGGGAGTGGGCCAGCCACACAGCGAGCCCCAGGTGGCTGGGACACAGGCTGGGACCCGGGTCCCTCAGCAAGTGACTTACGGCCCCCTGGCTTCAGTTTCCCTGGCTGTGACATGGGGTGTGGCATCTACATCGTCAGGGTGGTTGTGATAAAGAAATTAAACAGCGTTTGGTTTGCAAGTAAGTGCCTGGCGCAGAGGAGACTCGGGAAATGACAATGATCGTGCGAAAACCCATGACTTCTGGCCAGCAGGTAACTCTCGGTCACAGTGGCCACGATGTGGACACACACTACAGGGACATCACCTGGCCCTGTGTCCATGACTGCACGGAGGGGACACGGGCACGCTGCAGTGGCACTCCCATCAAATCCCAAGCCGGGAACCCGAGGGGAAGAGGCACGGACACCCAGATTACAACACCCACGGTGCACAGAGACGGCTCCCACTGACATCTGGACAGGGAAGCCTGAGCTGGCTTTTACTTTTTAAAAGTCTCAGACATTTAAAATGTGGATTTCGATATGAGAAAGTGATAAGGTTTCTACACAGTCAAGTGGTTCCCCCTTCCCCTGTCTGCCGGGGATAAGCGGGGCCCAGACTAGCGAGGATCTGAGGGTCTCTGAACGAACTTGAACAACTACGAGTTGTCCTTCGGGTCCCTGGGAGCCAAGTCACTGTGGGGTGGGGCCCAGCGGGGGGCCATGACTGTGTGATGCCTGTTCCAGCACTCATGGGCCCAGGGCGGTCCTGCTCACTGGCGGCCACACTGGATTCCTGGGGACATTGGCAATGCCTGCAGCCATGGGTGTATTGCGTGTGTGTGTGTGGCGGGGCGGCAGAGGGTGACCGGCATCTAGGGGTGGAGGCCGGGGATGCTGCTGAATCCTCTGCAATGCACAGGCCAGCCTCACAGCAAGGAGCTCTCCTGCCACAGTGTCCACAGGGCCGGGGATGAGAGAGGCTGGCCTGGAGGAAAGTTCGTCAACGCACAAAAGGTGACGGGCCCTGCACCTCCAAACTCGGATCAGGGATGGCTCCAGCGGGTATGTGCTCAACCGGCCCCTGGCAGCAAGCACAGGGCGCCGGCACACACAGGGGCTTCTGGGGCTCTTGGGCAGGGGCCTGTGAGAGCTATCAATGTCACCTCGGCCTCGTGGTGCCCAGGCTCAGGGGCAGCTCACTCCTGGCACGTGACAGTGCTGGGCCCAGCTGGACCCCAGGGAGGGTACAAGCCCAGAGCTCAGGAGGTGACCTAGGACCCCACGCAAACCCCACCCTCAGGGGCAAAGGGCTGCAGCTGACACCTTGGGTTCTGGGGCTGCTTCTGGTGGCCTGTGGGGCTGGGGGGCAGCGACAGGCAGGGAAAGGCCGCCCTGCGCTCAGCAGCACAGCACCGTGGGGGTCAGATAGAGGCGCTCCCGCCTCCCAGCCGGGGCCAGCTCCGGGCCCCCTCTTCCCCCAGACCGGCACAGGACCCAGACCGCCCACCCCAGCACACTGACCCAGACAGTCTCGCGGATCAGCCTGGCTATCTTGAGCAGGAGCTGCCCGAATGTGCCCGGCTGGAAGTGGGTGGCCGAGTGCTGGATGCAGAGGCACAGGAGGAAGGCGGGGGTCAGCTTGTGGTCGTCGCCCCCCGGCTCGATCAACGTCATGATCCTCTGCAGCAGCGTGTCCTCCAGGTGGGGCTCAAACTCCAGGAGCAGCTGCTGGCGCCGGGGCAGGGCGGCCTGAGTAGGGGAGGCGGCTCCCCGGGCCCCGAGCGCGGCCCCGCACAGCCGGCAGCTCTGCGGCACAGCCCGGAGGCGCGCCAAGGCCCGGGCGGGCAGGGGCTGGGCCTGCGCGGGGTCCTTGAATAGCAGCAGGTAGTAGAGCCCCAGGGAGAGCAGGTCCCCGTGGTGCAGCACCACGGTCCTGTGCCCCACCTCGGAGAAGTTGACGGAGATGTGCGCCCCGGGGATGGGCTCCAGGACCAGCCTCCCCGCGGCCTGGCCGCTGTCCGGGAGCGGTTGCCGGCGGATGGTGCAGTGTAGAGGCAGGATGTCGGGGGCTGAGAGGCTGATGCTGGGCTTGCTGGAGGGGGTCCGCTGGCCCACCGTGTGCCGGTCCCGGTTGAGCACATACACCAGGCTGTCCTGAAACAGAGACTCCGCTCAGGGCAGGCGTAACGCGAGCAGCACACGGGAAAAGCGTCCCGTGTCTAGTCACTGGTTGCTGAAGCAGCGTGGCTGGGATGCTGTCGCCACGGGCTCTCCATGTCCCTGGCCACCCCCACACCAGAACCCCGACGGCTCTCAGGAACCCGCCCCTCGATGTCCGGGCCCATCCCAGAGGAGGTCGGTTTCCCGGAGGAGCACACGAGAGACCCAGGAGACACCCAGCTTTGAGACAGCGACAGGCCAGGTCAGGGCTGGCCGGGAAACAGGCACTGGTTCTACAGACCGGGCCAAGGACTACATAACTTCCCCCAAGTCATCCCCAAAACTGTGTGGGAGCACTGCCGCCTGTGTGGGAGCACCACCCCCAGTGTGGGAGCACTGCCGCCTGTGTGAGAGCACTGCCCCGAGGGAAGATGCCACCTAAAACCTGGGCACAGGAGCCCTATGGCTGTAAAGTGCTCATGGAAATGAGCAGCAAAGGAGCTGGCTGCACAGGAGGGCGGGGGTAGGGTGAGCAGGGGGCGGGGAAAACAGTTGTCTGGCAGGGCAAGTGTCCGGCAAGGTGAGGCGAGGTGGCCCTGCGCCTGGCATTTGCTCGGGGCGACAGCCTGCCTGCTCTGATGGAAGTGGTGAGAAACGGCTCTGGGCAGATAGGGGTGGCATGGGCCTTTGCTCGGTGCCCCTTCAGAGAATGTGGCCACCAATTGGTGACTCAGCAGCCCCCTCGCCAGAAGCAGGAAGCAGACTGGCCCTGGCCAACTGCCCATGCCCTTCCCCAGAGCCAGGCGGGAGACCAAGGCTGGGAAGGCGTGAGGAGTTCTCCCTGAAGGCGCCTGGTGCTGAGGGCACCCACTCTGGGATTGGGGAAGTGAGGAGCCCCCACTGCCGCCCACCGTGGCCTGGACAGGGAAAATGTGGATGACTCCACATGTGCCCCCGCCATCCCACTCCACAGCCTCGGCACAGCCAGAGGGGCTGCAGCCACAGAGCTCGCGGCCGACTGGGCTAAAGGCAGGCGGAGGCCTTGACTTCTGAGTCCCGCCTGCTGTCCCTGCAGTGGCACCGGGCAGTGGGTGTCAGGAGGGGAGGCTCACGTGCTGCTGGCTGTAGCCCTGCAGAAGGAGCAGATGCGGGGACTGGTACAGCGAGTACCGCATGGCGTCGGGGCCGGGCTCCTCGGGGCCCTGGGCGGCAGCGGGCAGGGCGTTCACTGGGCTCAGGCTGGTCTCACTGACTGTGCGGCGCAACCGGGGTGGAGGAGAGCTCCGGGCATCCCCCAGGGCCGGGGTCGGGGTTCCCTTCGCGCGACTCCGCTGCAGCCTCCGGGCCTGGGCGTTTATCCCTGGAACAGAAGCAACACAAGGTGAACAGTTAGAAGTCTCATAGCACCAGGACTGGGCGCGGTGGCTCACCCCTGTAATCCCAGCACTTTGGGAGGCCGAGGTGGGGGGATCGCCTGAGGTCAGGAGCTCGAGACCAGCCTGGCCAACACAGTGAAACCCCATTTCTACTAAAAATACAAAAATGAGTTGGGCGTGGTGGTGCGCATCTGTAATCCCAGCTACTCAGGAGGCTGAGGCACGAGAATGGCTTAAACCCAGGAGGCGGAGGTGGCAGTGAGCTGAGATTGCACCACTGCACTCCAGCCTGGGTGACAAGAGCGAAACTCCATCCCCCGCCAAAAAAAACAGGTAAGTCTAATAGCGCCCATGTCCCGGGTCCTTCTGAGTTCAAATCCCACTAAGCCACGTCTCCTAATGCCGTTACTGTTCTGTCAAAACAGGTCTGGTGGAGACTCAAGGACTCTGCCCTCTAGCCACGCCCCTCGAAAAACCAGACAGTGCCTTGGCACCACCGTGGCACCCACAGAACAGTCTCAGAGCAGGCAGCCTGCCTGTCAAATCCTCAGGCTGAGGGGACCACGCCTCCCCTGCAGCAGCCCAGGGTCACACCGCGGCCTGCCCGACCAGCCAGCACCACGGCCCACAGGCCTCAAACCACAGACGTTTTCCCACGGCAGCCTGGGCCTCTGCAGGGTCACCACGCCGCCTCCAGAGCCCTGCCCCATCCATCTGTGCACCAGGCGAAACTCCCCTGGGGGTGGTGCTCTGACGAGACGAGACGGACTGGTCAGCATCCTGCCCCTACTTTACAAGGAGGAGGTGTCACTGTGCCACATCACCCCAGCCCATGGGGCTGCCGATGGCCTGCTCCTGCAACAGCATCGCTGCCTCCTTCCCAAGGCTGTCTCTGATACCCCCAAGCCAAAGCAGGCACACACACAAACACACGTGTGCATACACATGCCCACAAATACACATGCACCCACACAAAAATGCACACACACATGCACACACATGCACCCAAAAACACACATGCACACACATACACACACGCCAACACACATGCACCCACACACATTAACACATACATGCACACAAACATGCGCACAGTTCAGAGATAACACACACCCTTAGAAGACTTAATATCTCATAAATACAGACACGCTCTCTAAATGCATGCTCTGGGAAAGCCAGCCGGCTGCGATAGATGAAAACCGCTCACCAGTCCCCAGCTGACCCGGCGCTGTCTTTTCTGAGCCCTCTGCTGAGTTCCCTGTACGCAGCCTTTCAGGTTAAGATCCATCCCCATCTGTGGCGGCCTTTCCTCCAACCATTCCCAATAAAACCAAACAAAAGCCGGATGGAGGGAGGCGTCAGCTGGCTGAGGAAGACCCTTACCAGCGCCAGCAGCCCCGCCGTCCTTCCCAAGGCAGCCGGCAGCCTGTGCATCTGCAGCCCGCAGGGGGCCAGGGCGTGAGGGAGGCCGCCCAGCCGCAGTGCGAGGCTGCTGGGCTGGGCTGCTCACCACCCGTGCTCCTGCCGCCTGCAGAACCCGGCCCAGCCTGGCAGGCGGCAGGTGCCCAGCAGGTGGGGCCCAGTTCCCCTACCTCATCCCACCCGCCACTCCCACAAGCGTTACCAGCCCCACAGCTCAGCCTCATTGCACAACTATGGGGCCAGATCCGAAAGAAGAACAAAAACAGCTCCAAATGATGCTCCGGCCCTCAACTTTCTCCCAAATCCAGGGCCAGGTTGTAGGAGGTGACCTCAGAGTGACCTGCTGGAAGTCCCAGGGCCATGGGGCAGGAAGGGTTGCTTCTCCTCCTAGAGTCCCAGGGGCTCCCAGAGGACCTGGCCACAAATGCGGCACGGGATGTCCCAGGCCTGTGTCCCCTGGGGCTGCAGCCCCAGGCAAGTGGCTCGCAGCTGAGTGTACCCTGCTCCTCCAGGCAAGGCTCCACAGCCTCCTGAGGCCCAGGGCTGGGCTCTCTGCAGGTCGGAACCAATGCTGACACGCAGGGGCCACTCCCAGGGTCTCCTTCCTGGTGCTGGGTAGGCCTGCATGTGTGCAGAAGGGCCAGGCTGCCAGCCTCCAACGAGGGGCCGGAGGTGAGGCCTCTCCTCTGGGCGGTGGGGCTGTCCCTGCACCCAAGGCCACAAGCATGACAGAGCCTCCCTCTGAGTGCAGGTGTGGGGGAGGTGAAGCAGCAGCAGCCACTGCCAATACTGGCACAGCCGTGGGCATGGCCAGTGTGGACAGCAACTGACCACGCCACTCTGCTCCTCAGTCCCCTGCTGTGGAACAGCCAGCAGGACCCGTGCACTCGTGCACACATGCATGCACACGTGCACACGTGCACACGTACATTCAGCACCGCTTGAGTTAGCAAAGCCCAGAACCCACCCAATCACCCCCCACAGGGAGCCGCCATGCACGGGAGGAGAGCTCTGCAGAGAGAAGACCGTAGCCAGCTGTGTACGTGACCACAGGGTGAAAGAGCAAGCTACAGGTAACACGTGACGTGATGTAACACATGATATGACGCGTTGGCTCAGTTTTTTTTAAAAGCACCTAAAACACCGCTGTATATAGCTTACGGTTTCTATATATGTGCATGCAAAGCTATTTTTTACCCCAAAGTCATTCAGGAGTAGGTTGTTTAATTTCCATGTAATTGTATGGTTTTGAGCAATCTTCTTAGTACTGATTTCTAATTTTATTGGGCTGGGGTCGGAGAGTGTGCTTGGTATAATTTCCGTTTTTTTTAATTCGCTGAGAATTCAAACAAATGTGTTTTATGGCCAAGCGTGTGGTCAGTGTAGAGCTATTTTATAAAAGAGCAATGCACACAGTGCGTTTACCACATGGCGGCTGTCCTCAACAGGTGGCAGGGGAAGCCTAGGCATGGTGGAAAAAATGACTTCAATTTCATAGGATTTAGTATAGTGCCAGTATGTAACAGAATATATGTTATATATAATTTATGATAAATATATTATCATAACTTTATATCATGTTTGACTTATTTCATTTTTTTAAACTCTAAACAAATATGATAAAAATCTTTACCTGTCAAATCTGGGAGGGGAACCCAGGTGTCAGATAAATGTAACTGATGATACTTTATTTTTAAAAGCTTTCCTGTTGGTTTGTTTTGGGACAGAGTCTCACTCTGTCGCCCAGGCTAGAGTAGCAGTAGCAAAATCTTGGCTCACTAGAACCTCTGCCTCCTGGGTTCGAGTGATTTTCCTGCCTCAGCCTCCCAAGTAACTGAGATTACAGGCACGTGCCACCATGCTGGGCTAATTTTTTTATCTTTAGATTAGAGACAGGGTTTCACCGTCTTGGACAGGCTGGTCTCGAACTCCTGACCTCAAGTGATCCGCCCACCTCGGCCTCCCAAAGTGTTGGAATTACAGGCGTGAGCCACCGCGCCCAGCATAAACACTTTTGTTAAAATAAAAATCACAGAAGTTTGAAAGGCCTCTTGCTCACGTGTGGCTTTGTGACTTGGCCCTGTCCCAAGATGAGGCTGCGGCAGATGGGACCCAGCACTCTGCTCCCAGGGGGTCGGCTGTCAGGCTTGTTGGGGGCCGACATGGCCTCCCAAGTTCCCATAGAGAGAGCTGCAATCGTGCCCTGTTTGTGCCTGACCTGATACAGCTTCGTCACCTGAGTCACCTGAGCGTCTCAGCTCTGTGCAGACCCAGGGCGGATCTGCCTCAACTGGGACAGAAAGTGCCCCCACTTGGCCTTTGGGTGGAGGGAGACAGGAGCCGAGGCACGTGGAGAGCATCCCTCGTGATGCTGACCCCAGCCACCTTCAGAAGCATCGCATGGCGCCATCGCTAGACACACAGCGTGGAGTTGTCAAGGCCCTCAGACCCGGCAGCACACTGCTCAGGAAGGGTAGGCCAGGGCTTTGCAATTTTAGGGACTGCCTGATTTGGGGGTCTTATATAGGTGTGCTCTTTGCCAAGAACAGGGTCACCCCAGGGGCCCTTATGCTACCAATGGGAGATTCCGCCAACATGAAATAAGTTCAGTGAGAAATACATCATCAAGAAACCACTATTTCTGGCCGGGCGCGGTGGCTCACGCCTGTAATCCCAGCACTTTGGGAGGCCGAGGCAGGTGGATCACGAGGTCAAGAAATCAAGACCATCCTGGCCAACATGGTGAAACCCCGTCTGTACTAAAAATACAAAACTTAGCTGGGCGTGGAGGTGGGCGCCTGTAGTCCCGGCTACTCGAGAGGCTGAGGCAGGAGAATGGCTTGAACCCAGGAGGTGGAGGTTGCAGTGACCTGAGATCGCACCACTGCACTCCAGCCTGGGTGACAGAGCGAGACTCCGTCTCAAAACAAAACAAAACAACAACAACGAAAAGAAACCACTATTTCAAAACAAATGAATTCTAATAAAGCAAAATGGCAGGACGGCCGCAGCCTTTCATAACAGTAATTTTAGATGGGAAGTTATTCATCTTAAATAAAGCGCCAGACCCTGCTGTGGGTGAAGGAGACACCTCCAGGCTGCAAGCCAGAATACGCCCATGTCTTCTGTTGCCTACCCCATGTGAGGGACAAGACAGGCCGAGGTCAGCTGTGGCCCCAACGCCCTCGTCTTCTTCAAGGACCCCTGGGAATGTTCCTGCCCTGGCGTGACTGAGTTCACTGGGATCAGAGGTGCTGCGTAGGTTTAAGGGATGCCCAGAAATCTGTATTGGTAAATGCCATCTGGAAGTTTCTAGAACAGCAGCCAGGGAGGGGAGCCACTGCCAGGGCACTCCCCCTCCCCCAAAGCCCTGTCCACAGCGGTTCCTTACAGGGAGCAAAGTGACACCCACAAGCGCTGGGAGAGCTTGGTGGGAGCATCCAGTTTGATCTAGTGTTGATTTCAGTCCTTCTCAGGATAAGTGTCTGTCAGTTCCTGCAGAGGAAGCCGGCGGGCGCGGGTCTCCCCTACTGCCCCGTGTTGATCCACTCTAGTGGAGAGGCAGAAAAGCAACCCAGCCCAGGAATAAGGCGGGGTCTGGGTAACTGGGACCTTGGTGGGCAGCCCTGCTTCACCCCAGCAACCCTCAGGAAACTGCCTGGCTCCAAACATCTGCTAATACATGGGGTCCCAGCCTCAGAAGCAAAATGTACACTTTCTGACATTTTAAGAAGAGAACACAAGGCCAGGCCCAGTGGCTCACGCCTGTAATCCCAGCACTTTGGGAGGCCGAGGCGGGAGGATGGCTTGGGTTCAAGCCGAGGCTGATCAACATCGCCAAGTCTCTACAAAAAATACAAAAATTAGCTGGGTGTGGTGGTGTGTGCCTGCAGTCCCAGCTACTTGGGAGGCTGAAGGGGAGAATCACCAGAGCCCAGGAGGTCGAGGCTGCAGTGAGCTACGATCACGCCACCGCACTCCAGCCTGGGCAACAGAGCAAGACCCTGTCTCCAAAAAAAAAAAAAGATGCAACAAGGCCAGAGGCTGGAATAGCAGCGTAGGCCTCGTAAGGGACCATGGTTTGCAGACAGGCCTGCCTGGTCATGAAATGTCTGCCTTTGACAATGGGATAGAAGGAGTAGAAAGTGCAGGGCGCCGGGGCAATGGGGAAGATGGGGATGGGACGGTCGTTGTTGACATCTTCTTCTACTCTCACAGCAGAGGCCGTAAGGAAAGGAGGGCTGAGCTCCATGTCCCTGAAGCTCTGTTAGCGGCCTTCCTCCCCAGCCTGGGCCAAGCCGAGCTGCTGAGCACATCCTCATCTCCAAGGTGAGAAACTCACTCCTGGAGGAAGCGGCGAGGGAGACAGCATGCAGCCACAGCCACACGGCTTTGTCTAGGCCACCCCCCTCCCCTCCTCGAGAAGGCAGTGCCTAGTGACCCGCTGCTGGCAGAGAGGGCAGGGCTCTGCGTGCCGGGGGTGCACAGGGAAACTGGACAAGCAGCTGGTGACCGTCACCAGCTCCCACGGACTCTGAACAGCCCTGGAAAGAAAAACACAGGCTCTTCCTGAACGTTGCTCAATTCCTCTATAAACTCAGCCGGCAGCTTTCGCCTCCTGATCCTGTTTTCTCTTCCCTCCCTGGCTCTTGATGGTTTGGAATAATGATATATACAACTTGGAACCGTTTCTGTCACCCATCCCCACTCGCAGGCCTCAGAGATGAAGTGACTAGGAGTGGAGACGGAGGGGATAATGAAACGTTCCTGGGCTGGGGAACTTTACCACTACTGGGGAACCGGAGACCATTGTACTTATTTGCTATGTTGCCCAGGCTGGAGTGCAGTGTGGATTCACAGGCGTGGTCACCATAATACCCTGCAGCCTCGAAATTCTGGCCTCAGGGCCTCAGAATAGCTGGGACTATAGGTGCGCACCCCCATGCCCGGCAAGAGACAATTTTTTTTTTTTTTTTTTTTTGAGAAGGAGTCTTGCTCTGTCACTCAGGCTGGAGTGCAGTGGTGCCATTTCAGCTCACTGCAACCTCTGCCTCCCGGGTTCAAGTGATTCTTGTGCCTCAGTCTCCCGAGTAGCTAGGATTACAGAAGCCCACTACCCCCGACCCCCGCCAGCTAATTTTTTGTATTTTTAGTAGAGATGGGGTTTCGCCATGTTGGCCAGGATGGTCTCGATCTCCTGACCTCGTGATCCGCCTGCCTCGGCCTGCCAAAGTGCTGGGATTATAGGTGTGAGCCACCGCGCCCGGCCAAGAGATGATTTTAAAGTGGCCCCTAGTAACAACCGGGGACGCGCTGCTCAATAAACTCTGCAGTTACTGCTGCAAAACACAGAGGTCAGATGGGCCTGAAACGAGTCTTCTGTTAGCTGAGGCACCCTTTTCTAAGCTAGCAAAGGACACAGAGCCGTAGGACCATCAAGCAGTCCTTGAAAGAAAATCATTTCAAATGTACAAAAAAGAACTTCTCAGGCATCATTTGGTAAGCATTTCTCTATGCCATGGCCAGCCTGACTCTGGGCATTTTGCATCTAATTCCATTTTATTCTCATTATAGAAACCCTACAAAGGCTGGGTGCGGTGGCTCATGCCTGTAATCCCAGCCCTTTGGGAGGCTGAGGCAGGTGGATCACCTGAGGTCAGGAGTTCAAGAGCAGCCTGGACAACATGGGGAAACCCCGTCTCTACCAAAAATACAAAAATTAGCCAGGCATGGTGGTGGGTACCTGTAATCCCAGCTACTCGGGAGGCTGAGACAAGAGAATTGCTTGAACCCATAAGGCGGAGGTTGCAGTGAGCCGAAATCACGCCACTGCACTCCAGCCTGGGTGACAGAGCGAGACTCCATTTCAAAAAAAAAAAAAAAAAAAAAGCCTTACGAAGGAACTGTGGCTAAACAGGAACATATTAGCCTCATTTTGGGAACCAATTCTGCCATGAGGGAAACAATTCTAGGGAGAATATATACGTAACTTCCTCTTGCCATCAGGAACAAGACAAGGATGCCTGCTGTAACCACTTCTCTTCAAATTTGTACTAGGTCCTAGCCAGTACAACAGGCAGGGAAAAATAGGGGAAAGATACAGGATTGAAAACAAAGAAGTTGCCAGGCGCAGTGGCCAACACCTGTAATCCCAGCACTTTGGAGGCCGAGGCAGGCAGATCACGAAGTCAAGAGATCGAGACCATCCTGGCCAACATGGTAAAACCCTGTCTCTACTAAAAATACAAAAAATTAGCTGAGTGTGGTGGCACGCGCCTGTAGTCCCAGCTACTCGGGAGGCTGAGGCAGGAGAATTGCTTGAACCCGAGAGGCAGAGGTTGCAGTGAGCTGAGATCGCACCACTGCACTCCAGCCTGGCAACAGAGTGAGACTCCATCTAAAAAAAACAAGAAAAGAAAAGAAAGAAGTTCAATTATCATTATTTTGCAGACAATGTGATTGTGTATGTAGGAAATGCAAAAGAATCTATGGAAAAATTATTATAATTAACAAGTGAATTTAGCAAGGTGACTAGACATGGTGAATAAGCAAAATTCAGGCTGTTTTGTTTTGTTTTTGAGAGAGGGTCTTGCTCTGTCACCCAGGCTGGAGTGCAATGGCACGATCACAGCTCACTGCAGCCTCCACCTAACTGGGCTCAAGCAATCCTTCTGCCTCAGCCTCCCAAGTAGCTGGGACTACATGTGCACACCACCACGCCCAGCTAATTTTGTATTTTTTATAGAGACAGGGTCTCACTATTCTGCCCAGGCTGGCCGCAAACTCCTGTGCTCAGGCAATCCTCCCGCCTCAGTCTCCCAAAGTGCTGGGATTACAGGTATGAGCCACTGCACCTGGCCAGTAATATATTTAAAGATCAGAAGCAAATCATGTTGGATTCATGACCCAGGAGTCAACCACATGTGGCCCCTGAGTGCTAGGACTGAGGAAAGGGACCGAATTAAGAAACGAGGGGTGTTAGAATTTGACCTACGTAGGAAAAAAAAAAGGAAGAAAGA
This sequence comes from Homo sapiens, assembly GCF_000001405.40. Taxonomy (NCBI): domain Eukaryota; kingdom Metazoa; phylum Chordata; class Mammalia; order Primates; family Hominidae; genus Homo; species Homo sapiens. Next base: position 4,845,063 of record NC_000007.14, read on the forward strand.
AGCGAGAGGTGTCCTGTATATGAAAATTATATTTACAGAATACTTTAGAAACCTAACCTAAAGAAAGCTAATGTAGGCTGGGCATGGTGGTTCATGCCTGTAATCCCAGCACTTTGGGAGGCTGAGGCGGGAGGATCACTTGAAGCCAGGAGTTTGGGAGCAGACTAGGCAACACAGCAAGACCCCAAATCCACAAAAATAAAAAGATGAACCAGATGTGGTGGGACACGTCTTAGTCCCAGCTACTCAGGAGGTGGAAGCAGGAGTACCACTTGAACCCAGGAGATGGAGGCTGCAGTGAGCTATGATTGTGCCACTGGGCTCCAGCCTGGGTGACAGAGCAAGACCTCATCTCTAATAAATGAAGTCAGAAAATGAAGGCATATTCTGAGAAAACACCAGAATCCCATCTCTAATCGATCAATAAATGAAGTAAATGAATGCATACACTAAGAAAACACCAGAATGAAAAGCACCAAAGCGTTGAAAATGATTCTCTCCGGGAGGTGACCTGACAGGTGATTTCTCCTCCTTTCTCTATACTTTCACTTACTTTCCAAATTTTCGGCAAAATGAGAGGTTCCATTTTTTTAGACGGGGAAGAAATTATTTTTTTACATACTCTAGGGTATTATTTCCATGATGAAACTTGGACCGCCTCACACTAATTAGAGTCTTACTCAGGGAACAACAATCGCGCTCTCTGAAAAGCAACTGAAAACCTAATTAAGATAATGGGTAACTGAGGAGATAAAATGCTTAAGCCATTTGTTAGGCAGACACAGATGGAGACAGAGCTCTCCGGGGCTGTGCCGAGGAGAGAGCAGCGTGGCGTAACCGAGAACTTCCTCCAGCCGAAACCAGGGGCTGTAGCCAGTTACCCCGGGAAGCTGTGAGCCCTTCGTTAGAGAGGGTCACGGTGACCAGCGAAGCACAGTCCTGCTCACCGCGTCCAGCATGGCGCTGGGCACGCCACCAACAGCGACAGCCCTATGGAGGGCGCTGTTTCATCTCAGGCACCACTGCTTATTTGTCTCTTTTGTTCCAGAGCTACAATCTTCTTTTTTTTTTTTTTTTTTTTTTAAAGAGACGGAGTCTCGCTCTGTCACCAGGCTGGAGTGCAGTGGTGCGATCTTGGCTCACTGCAACCTCCGACTCACTGCAACCTCCGACTCCCTGGTTCAAGCGATTCTCCTGCCTCAGCCTCCTGAGTAGCTGGAATTACGGGTGCCTGCCTCCATGCCCAGCTAATTTTTATATTTTTAGGAGAGACGGGGTTTCACCATGTTGTCCAGTGTGGTCTCGATCTCCTGACCTCGTGAGCCACCCGCCTCAGCCTCCCAAAGTGCTGGGATTACAGGCGTGAGCCACCGCGCCCGGCCCTATTGCTTTTTTAAGTATCTTGAGTTTTAACTTTGGTGGGGGAGTCTTTCCTTGCCATCTAGAAAATGATTCCAACTCCCTTCCCTCCCCTGCATCTGTCTTTTTTTTTTTTTTTTTGAGACGAAGTCTTGCTCTTGTTGCCCAGGCTGGAGTGCAGTGGTGCTGTCTCAGCTCACTGCAACGTCCGCCTTCCAGGTTCAAGCGATTCTCCTGCCTCAGCCTCCCAAGTAGCTGGGATTACAGGTGTGTGCCACCATGCCTGGCTAATTTTCGTATTTTTAGTAGAGATGGGGTTTCACCATGTTGGCCAGGCTGGCCTCAAAACTCCTGACCTCAGGTGATCCACCCACCTCAGCCTCCCGAACTGCTGGGATTATAGGCATGAGCCACCGTGCCCAGCCACAACCACATTTTTTAATGGACAAGGATTTGAATAAACATTTCTTCAAAGAATAAATATACATGGCCAATAAGTACAGTAAAATACAATAAAAAATGCTCAACATCATTAGTCATTTGGGAAATGCAGAGGAAAACCAAAATAAGATACCACTTCACACCCACTACCATGGTTATAATAAAAAAGGTAAACAGGCCAGGCATGGTGGCTTACACCTGTAATCCCAGCACTTTGGGAGGCCAAGGTGGGTGGATCACTTGAGGTCAGGAGTTCAAGACCAGCCTGTCCAAGATGGTAAAACCCCGTCTCTACTAAAGATACAAAAATTCCCTGGGTGTGGTAGCAAGTGCCTGTAATCCCAGCTGCTCATGAGGCTGAGGCAGGAGAATCGCTTGAACCCAGGAGGCAGAGGTTGTAGTGAGCCAAGATGACGCCAATGCACTGCAACTGGGCAACAGAGCAAGACTCCGTCTCACCAAACAACAACAACAAAAAAGTTAAACAATATCAAGAGTGCAGAAAGACTGGACCCCTCATACACGATTGCTGGAAAGTAAGATGGTGCAGCCATTGTGGAGAACAGCTTGTCGGTTTGTTAAAATGTTACACATGAATTTACCTGTGACTCATAAGTTCAACTCCTAGGTATATGCCCAAGAGAAGTAAAAAATACACGTCCACGCAAATGCTTATGCACAAATGTTCACAGCAGCATTATCCAGAATAGTCAACAAGGGAGAAATAATCCAAATGTCCATCAACGGGTGAACAGATGAACAAAATCTATCCATACGATAGGCTACTGTTTAGCAATGAAAAGGAACAAAATACTGATGATACCTCTTACAACATGGATGAGCCTCAAAAATATGCTACGTGAAAAAAGCTAGATGCAAAAAAAAAAAAAAAAAAAAAAAAAAACACACAGGTATGACTCTATATATACGAAATATCTGGAAAAAGCAAATGTATAGAGCCAGAAAACTGATCAGGGGCTGCCTGGGTCTGGGGGTGGGACCGGCTGACTGCTAATAGACACAAAGGATCTTTTGGTGATGAAAACGTGCCGGCCGGGTGCAGTGGCTCTCGCCTGTAATCCCAGCACTTAGGGAGGCCGCAGCAGGCGGATCGCTTGAGCTCAGGAGTTCGAGACCAGCCTGGGTGACATGGTGAAACCCTGTCTCTACCAAAAATACAAAAATTAGTCAGGCATGGTGGCACACATCTGTAGTCCCAGCTAACTCGGGAGGCTGAATCGGGAGGACTGCTTGAACCTGGGAGATGGTGGAGGTTGCAGTGAGCTGAGATCACACCACTGCACTCCAGCCTGGGTGACTGCACAGACTGGGTGACTGAGTGAGACCCCGTCTCAAAAAAAAAAAAAAATTGCTAAGACTGGACTGTGATGATGATGATCACACAACTTTGTAAATTTACTAAAAATTCATTCAATTGTATACTAAAAACAGGTAATTTTATGGTATAAAAATACCTCTTATAATAAAAGTTTTTTAAAAAAAAAACCCAGCAAAGACATTTCTTTACGTCATAAGCCCCCAGTCCAACAGAGACAAGGAAGATAGCTCCAAGAAGCTGAAATTGATAAGATATCGAATATATCTGAACATCTTAAAAGAGGGAAGACAACAGAGTGTTAAGGGAATGCGGAAATAATGAAAAGTAGCAAGGAAAAGAATGGACAAGCAAGAAGGACAATAATTAACTACAAAGAAAAATAAAAGTTGGACAGGAAGGAAAAACAATATTTGTATAGACCCATCTTTAGTTGTGAAAAGCTATACATGATCATAAAAAGGTAAACCCTGATTATTAATTTAAAAAAAAACATGGCTCTATTGAGAAGATCGGGCAATAGGAATTGGAAATTTGGAGAGGCGGGTGGTGAAAAGACCTAAGTTCTCATTTTCCACTGAAGGAAGTCACTAGAAAATGTCTGAAATTTTTAAAAACCAAGACATAGTAGGATACGTTTGTTAAAGATAGGGAATTAGGCCGGGCATGGTGGCTCACACCTGTAATCCCAGCACTTTGGGAGGCCGAGGCGGGCAGATCACCTGAGGTCAGGAGTTTGAGACTAGCCTGACCAACATGGAGAAACCTCATCTCTAATGAAAATACAAAATTAGCCGGGCGTGGTGGCATATGCCTGTAATCCCAGCTACTCGAGAGACTGAAGCAGGAGAATCGTTTGAACCTGGGAGGCAGAGGTTGTGGTGAGCCGAGATCGTGCCATTGCACTCCAGCCTGGGCAACAAGAGGGAAATTCTGTCTCAAAAAAAAAAAAAAAAAGGGAATTAAAAGCCAGAAAGAAAGAGTTCACAGTTGAAAGTGGTTATGGGGAGTTCAAAACTGGGAAGAAGGAACGGCTATGGCAGAGAACTGCTGTTTTGCTTTTAATCGGTAATGAGAAACTATTGCTTTAACTGTGCACATATATATATAACTTTGGTGAAAATAAGTAAAAATATTTAAGTGTACATAGTTTTCATTCTACTGCAAGAATGAATTAATGAATGAATGAACGTTGATGGGATCAATTCCATCAACTCCTAAACACACTTGTTTATCTTCTAACATCTCTGGAACTGGAAGGCATCCTGTATTCTGTGGAATGTCGGCCAGGCTGCAGCTGTGAGGCTACAGCTTGGTTTTTGTTGCCTGGGGCAAGGTTCTGAAACATTTCAGTTCATTCAGGACCATCCAAGGCATGAACATGCCTTCCAGCTGTTATCTGCAACAAACCTGCAGACCGAATGGCAGGTGGCTTGGAAGAATGTACTAGAGACAGCAGGGGGTGCCACATCACCAATCCTCTTGAGGACAAAGAAAATGATACTGTGTGGGGAGTGTGGACAGGGACGGCTCTCATTTGAAAAGACTTAGAATCTTAATTCATTTCACTCCTGCATACCTTTCTGCGTACGCACAAAACGAACACAGATCACAATCTGTGTTGAAATAAATCTTTAGCTACAATACAGCTTAAGTACAAAAATAAAAATCCTAGGTAATAAGAAAGTATTATGTCCTAGTTTAATTGTATTTTTTATGGTGGTTAACACTGGTGATCTTACTACTGATAACATCTTTTCTTGGTGAAATATAGTATATGTAGGAATGTATGTTGCAAAATTGTTCCTAACAATCCCCAAATACATAGAGTGTTTCGTCTACACCAAGGAATATTCCATAACCATTAAGATGAATGAATTGGAGGTATAACACACGATGTATTTTCCAGAGAGGATCTGGTATGAAAAATACAGAAAACTAAGTATATGATTCCCTCATTGTTTTCTTTTTATTTTTTTCTTCATTCCTTTTACCCACACTACACAGACGATCCCTTTAAAAAAAAAAAAAAAAAAAAAACCTTTGACAGAAAGAACCCTGTATGTATGTATATACATGTGTAAGAAGTCCCCTGCAGAATAATATAAGCACAGAAAAAGCATGGAAGGTCACTATGGTGGGCAGAATTCTAAGATGGCTCCATGGTCTCTGCCCCCTGGGCTCACTCTGTGATTATGCTGCATGGCAGAAGAGATTCTGCAGATATAATTAAGGTTGTCTATCAGCTGACCTTGAGATATGGAGGTTATTTGCTGGGCCGAACCTAATTACGTGTGCTCCTTCAAAGCCCAGAGTTCTCTCCAGCTGGTCACGGAAGAGAAGTCAGAGAGGTTTGAGGTGTGAGACGTGTGTGATGCCAGGGCAGCTCTCCAGGGCATCACGGGGCAACCTGACAACAGTCACTGGGAGCTGAGAGTGGTCCACGGCTGTGAGCCAGAGAGAGACAAGGGGAGAGATGCAGAGACTTCAGTCCTAAAACCACAAGGAATTGAACTCTGCCAACAACCTTGTGAGTCTGAAAGAGGCCCCTGAGCTCCAGAAAGGAACGCAGCCCAGCCGATACCTTGAGTGCAGCCGTGTGAGACCTGGGCAGAGGGTCCAGCTCTCCCGTGCCCAGACTCCTGACTTGTGGAAAACGTAAGTTAAATAGTATAGTTTTAAGCTGCACTTGTAGTTGCAAGCAATAGAAAACAAGTTCAGGGCCGAGTGTGGTGGCTCACACCTGGAATCCCAGCACTTTGGGAGGCCAAGGCAGGTGGATCATCCGAGGTCAGGAGTTCAAGACCAGCCTTGCCAACATGGTGAAACCCCATCTCTACTAAAAATGCAAGAAAAAGTAGCCGGGCATGGTGGCACACACCCGTAATCCCAGCTACTTAGGAGGCTGAGGCAGGAGAATCACTTGAATGTGGGAGGTGGAAGTTGCAGTGAGCCGAGCTCATGCCATTGCCTGGGTGACAAGAGCAAAACTCCGTCTCAAAAAAAAAAAAGAAAAAAAGAAAAGAAAAGAAAAGTTCGGATTTTAGGGCCAGGAAATGGGGTGCTACTGTAACAAATACCTAAAATGTGAAGGTGCTTTGGTAACCAGGCAATAGGTGGAGGCTAGAAGGACTCTGAGAAGCAGGATGGGGAAAGTCTAGATTCCCTTGAACAGGCTACTAGGAAATGTGCACAGTAAAGACATTGCTTCTTTCTCAGAATAAAGTGAGAACTTTCCTAAATCACCTCAGAGAAAGGCAAAATTGCTGCAAACAGCAGAAACCTAGATGGCTCACAAGACTGCCAGCGAAGGCTCAGAAGGAAGCGAGGGGCATGTTACTGGAAACTGGAGGAAGGAGGGTTCTTGTGATGTGAGGGCAGGGAGCTCACTGAATATGTCATCCTGCAATTGCTGGAAACAGAATTTGCAAATGGTGAACCTGAAGAGATGGCTGAGGAGGTTTCCAAGCAGAGTGTAGAAGGTGCTGCCTGGTTTCTTCTTGCTGCTTATGGTTAAGAGGCAACAGGAGAGAGAGAAATTAAAGAACTGTTCAGCAAAAAAAGAACCAGGACTGGACAAGTTTGAAAATGCGCAGCCTTCCCAGATGACAAGAGATGCCAAAAGTCAGAAATGGCTTCTGATGAGAGGCACAGAGGAAAAACCAAGTGTGGGTCTGGACAACCCTTTGCTGAAACCCAGGAAGACCAAAAGGTCAGGGTACCTGGCCACATAAATGACTCAGTAGAGTCAGGGTGTTCCTCATATATTTTTCTTAGTCAAAACAGAGGACCTCAAGGAAGTTCAAGAGCACTGTCCCTCCACCATCTCACCAGAAGCTGAAAGTAGAGAAGGGATTATCTCAGAGACATTTATGGATGTGGCTTCTGTCTACTGGAGTGAATTCTCAGGAAATCCTCATCCGGCCCACAGGCTCTTCAGAAAATTATACCAGCAGAAACACTGGCTGGCCTAGACTGAAGGGAACAGAGACACTGAAAAATGAAGGGGGTGGCTACAGACAGGAAGTGGCTGATAGACATGCTACCGTCCATGCAGAGGGAAAGATGACTCAGAGGATGAAGCCAAGATCCCAGAGGGTGGCACCAAGAGGACAGAGGGCAGAGCTGAGAGACTACCCCAGGCCTTGGAACGGAACAAAAGAACTTCCACTGGAATTTGCCTCACTAGAGTTCAAAAATGCTTTGGGCCAGGCCAGTGGCACCTTTTTACCTTCCGTTTCCTCCTATTATTTATTTATGTATTTATTGAGACAGGGTCTAGCTCTGTTGCCCAGGCTGGAGTGCAGTGGCATGTTCAAAGCTCACTGCAACCTCAGACTCCTAGGTTCAAGCAATCCTCCCATCTAAGCCTCCTGAGTAGCTGGGAACACAGGTGTGTGACACCATGCCTGACTAATTTTTTATTTTTTGTAGAGATGGGGGTCTTGCTATGTTGCCCACATAGCACAGAGTGGCTGGGATTACAGGCATGTGCCACCACACCCTGATAATTTTTGTGTTTTTGGTAGAGATGGGGTTTCACCATATTGGCCAGGCTGGTCTCAAACTCCTGACCTCATGTGATCCACCTGCCTCGGCCTCCCAAAGTGCTGGGATTACAGGCGTGAGCCACCGCGCCTGGCCCATTTCCCTCACTTTTGAACCAGAGTGATTGTTACCCTATGCCTGTCCCACCCTTGCAAGTTGGGAGGGCTGGGGCAGATATTTGTGTCTTTAGTGTTACAGGTCCACAGATGGAAAGAAATAGCGCCCCAAGAGTGGTACTTAATGGATTATACCCAGACGCCCCATTCACACCTGATTTAGATTAAGATGATGAGATTTTAGACTTGAAGTGATACTATAAGAGGATGAGACTGGGGGACCTTGAGATGGGGTGAGTGTATTTTGCATGTGGGTGTAGCTATGGATCACTGGAGGCCAGAGGGCAGGCTGTGGCAGCCAGAATTCTAAGATGACCCCCAGTGACCCCTGCTTTGCATAACCCGCCCTCCAACCTTGAGCGTGAGTGGGAACTGTTCGTGTCATTTCAAGATTATGTTTTGTTGTATGACAAAAGAGATATTTGCAGATATGTAAATAAGTTTTCTCATCAGTTCACTTTGGGTTAATCAAAAGGGAGATTATCCAGGTGGGCCTCACCTAAACACATGGGCCTTTTAAATAGCAGAAAGGAAGTCAAATACTCAAAGAATGATGGAGATTCCATGTGCCACTGCTGACTTTAAGATGCTGGGGGTAGGCCGGGCATGTTGGCTCACACCCGTAATCCCAGCACTTTGGGAGGCCAGGGCGGGCAGATGACCTGAGGTCAGGAGTTTGAGACCAGCCTGACCAACATGGAGAAACCCCGTCTCTACTAAAAATACAAAATTAGCCAGGCATAGTGGTGGGTGCCTGTAATCCCAGCTACTTGGGAGGCTGAGGCAGGAGAATCGCTTGAACCTGGGAGGCAGAGGTTGTGGTGAGCCGAGATCACGCCACTGCACTCCAGCCTGGGCAACAACAGTGAAACTCTGTCTCAAAAAAAAAAAAAAAAAAATACGCTGGGTGTACATGGAAAGTTATTTGGAAGTGATTTTGAACTTCTAAATATATGTGTGTTGTGAAAGAGAAGACTATCATTGCCATTTACTAGACATTCTCTCCTTCCTCTTAATAGCATAAGCCCTAAGCTATTGGTGAGGTGATGTACCCAGCTAAGAAAAGAGACATTTTCCTGTCTCCCTTGCAGGTAGGCACAGCCATGTGACTACGGTGCAGTCAGTGAAAGATGAGGGGATGCCGCTGTTGGGACTTCTCCGAAAGCTCCATAGGTGGGCAGTTTGCAGGTACACCTTTGCCATTCCCCGTCTTCCTTCTTTCTTCCTGCCTTAAATGAAGATGTGATGGCAGGGGCCCCATTAACCATCCTGCACCTTGAGGTAACCCTGAAGATAGAAGGCATGAACTAGAATGATGGGGCCGAAAGTAGAAAAAGCCTGGTCCCTGGTGACCAGGAAAGCCACCGTTACCAGCCCCGAACTTACTGTTAGGTGAAAGAAAGCTGTATTGTGCCCAAGCTACTCTGACCTGGCCAAATGCAATTCCAAACTGATGAGGGGGCATTAGGTGGGGTTTTCTGTTTGCTTTTGTTTCTGGGGAGGGTGGTGTTTGGTTTTTGTCATTGTTGATAAAGAGGTTACCACTTTGGGCCGGGCGCGGTGGCTCACGCCTGTAATCCCAGCACGTTGGGAGGCCGAGGCAGGCAGATCACCTGAGGTCAGGAGTTCAAGACCAGCCTGGCCAATATGGTGAAATCCTGTCTCTACTAAAAATACAAAAATTAGCTGGGTATGTTGGCGGGCGCCTGTAATCCCAGCTACTCGGAAGACTGAGACAGGAGAATTACTTGAACCCGGGAGGCAAAGGTTGCAGTGAGCCGAGATGGCGCCACCGCACTCCACCCTGGGCGACAGAGCGAGACTCCGTATCAAAACAAACAAACAAACAAAAACAAAAAGATACCACTTTGGTATTGGTTGTTTAATTATATTTCACACATATGAAAGCATTTGTAACTTAGACTAATAACAAAATAAACACCATTTCATCCACCACCCAACCTAAAAAGAATGCACTAGTTCCAGAGTCACATCAACCCTCCCAAGCACATCTTCCTGCCTGTCCCCACCTCTCACCCCACCAAAGGGAATCACTTTCCTGGATTCCGTGTTTAACATGGCCTTTTTTCATTTATAGTTACACCACACATTTTTGGAACCCTAAATTACACTGCTCTACTTTGCTTATTTTGAAACCTTATGTAAATGGTATCACACTGTGTGCATTTTTGTGCTTTTCCCTCAACATGATGACACACAGCTAACACTGACGCAGGCAGCTACGGTCTAATTTCACAACTTTATGGTATTTATTGCATGAATATGCCACCATCCAGCCATTCCCTCATTGATGGATATGTGGATTGTTTGGAACTTTCGGCTACTACAAAACGTTGACATAAACACTCTCATACTCATTTTCAAATGCTTCCTGACTTTTCTACCACCACGAGAAATACCAGAGAAAATTATGGTAGTTAAATGGCACACTGGAGGTAAACTAGAAGGTGTGTAGAGTTCTGGACACGGCTGTGGTCCCACAGACTCTGGTCACCCCAAAGACTAAGGGGATCAGTAAGATGAAGTACATCAGTGTCCCACAGCATGAGGGTGAAGACCTACGAGGAGACTAATTGGAACGCAGAGTGTGGGCCCGTCAACTGTGCTAGATAAGACCAAGCTGCTTCCCAAAGGGGCCAAAACAATTTGCACCATGTTCTCACTGGCACCGCGTTCGAGTTTCCGTTGCTCCTCATCCTCACCATACCTAGACACTGTTAGACTTTTTTATTTTTGTAAAAAAAAAAAAAAAAAAAAAAAAAAAGAAATGCCTCTCTGGTCTCATATTGTATTTTCCTTGTTACTACTGAGATTGGGCATCTTTTCATGTTTATTGGCCGTTCCTAGCTCCTCTTCCGTGAAGTGCTTATGCGCTTCTTTGGCCCATTTTTTAAACTGGGTTGTTGGGGATTTTATTGTTTTCGATTTTTGAGACAGAGTCTTGCTCTGTCGCTCAGGTTGGAGTGCAGTGGCCTGATCTCAGCTCACTGACACCTCCGTCTCCTGGGTTCAAGTGATTCTCATGCCTCAGCTTCCCAAGCAGCTAGGATTACAGGTGCGCATCACCATGCCCAGCGAATTTTTGTATTTTTAGTAGAGAAAAATACAAAAGGTGGAGTTTCACCACATTGGCCAGGCTGGAATCAAACTCCTGGCCTCAAGTGATCCGCTCGCCTCGGCCTCCCAAAATGCTTGGCTTACAAGCATGAACCACTGAATCCAGCTTTTTTTTTTTAGACAGACTCTCACCGTCACCCAGGCTGGAGCGCAGTGGCTTGATCTCAGCTCACTGCAACCTTCACCTCCTGGGTTCAAGCGATTCTCCTGCATCGGCCTCCTGGGACTGACAGGTACATGCTGGGACTACAGGTACATGCCACCACACCCAGCTAATTTTTGTATTTTTAGTAGAGATGGGTTTTTGCCATGTTGCCCAGGCTGATCTCGAACTCCTGGTCTCAAGCGATCCACCCGCCTCGACCTCCCAAAGTGCTGGGATTACAGGCATGAGCTACCGCACCCGGCCTGTTGATCTTTAAAACAGACTTTTTCCTTTGTCACCCTTAATATATTCTGGATAGTAATCATTTGTCAGTTTTATCTTATCACAAAATCTTCTCCCAGCTTAGGGCCTGTTTTTCAGTTTTTTACTTTTCACGGTTCATTATCTGATGAACAAAATCTCTTAATTGTACCAATCTCTTCTTTCATGACTTGAGCTTTTTTGTGTCTTCTTTATGCTGTTACTTAATTTCTAACTTACTGTTCTGTGGTGAGAGAACATGTCCTATAAATCAGATACTTTGAAGTATGTTAAATATTACTTTTGATATAGCAAGAGGTTAATTTTTGTACATGCCCAATGCTTATTTGAGAATAACATGCATTTTCCAATTGTGGGGTGGAAGGTTCTATAATAAACATTCACCAGATCATTCATGGCAAACAATGGCTGATAGGGATGGGTGAGAAATCCGGCCCTGGCCATCTGTTTACATATTGTCTATGACTGATTGCCCTCTACAAAGGCAGAGTTAAGTAGCTGTGACAGAGACCGGATGGCTTCACAAAGCTGAAAATATTTACTATCTGGTCCTTAATGCGAAAAGTCCACCAGCCACTACACCGGACTGTGTTCAAAAACTGTTTCCCTTCTATTTTTATCTGCTTGATATCAATTAATGAAAGGCTGTTTTGAAATCTTCTATGATAATGACACATTTAACAATTTCTGTTCATCTTTGTTATTTTATGTTGAGGCTGAGTTATTAGGTGCAGACAAGTTTTAAATCATTAAATGTTCCTGATGCTGTAGGACTTCTATCATTAATGCATGGTGCTCTTGCCCTTAATAATTATTTTTGCTCTGACACCTACTTGAATAATGTTGTTATTATCCCAGCTTCTTTTCATTAGCGTGCCTTTTTTCCATTCTTTTATTTTGGTTGTGTCTCTTTTAAGTAAAACAGCATACAGTTGGACTTGGTTTTCCCGTGGAATCTGACCATCTCTGCCTTTTTTAATCAGGAAGTTTGGTCCATTTATTGTAGTGACAGTTATACTTGGTTTCATTTCCATGACCATAGATCGTGTTTTCTTTTTACTCTATTTTTTTGTATGCTTTCCCCCTTTCTTTCCTGCCTTCTTCTGGATTCAGCTTAACTTCATTTTTTACTTTTACTTACTTGAAATTTTAACCTTTTCATGTTTCCCTAAACATTACTACGTTCTAGACTTAGTAAGATCGAAAGGTTCATCAGTGACTCTACCCTCCTTCAGAACAATGTAAGTACATCTGAATTCATATCTTAGATTTAAATCGTACTATTGTCCAGTATTTTAGTTTCACTTTGCTTGTTTGCCATTTATTTTTATTGCATTTTTAATGGAGAAATAAGTCATCTGTTTTCAAAACAGTGCTTGAATATACCAGGAGTACAGATACCATAAAACAAAGCAAACTCCACTCACTAGGTACATCACATGAAAAAATGGTCTGACATTCAGGTAATAAAAATTAGAAATAAAAAGTCCCAAGGTTCCAGCTTGGTAAAACAGACACAGTTACAGGTAATGTTTAATAAACTAATTTTTTTCCCAATGTGTAAACAAAATGACCAGACTAAATTTGTGCCTGGCCATTTCAACCTAACGCCATAGCCATTCAAAATACAGATATTGTGCACACTTCACCCGATTTATTATTGTGGTGAAACGGCAAAGATGTGAGAAAAAGAAATACTGTGTACTAGATATCAGAAAGTAATGGTGAAAGAAAAGTCTCTACAGCATAAAAGGACATGACTATATTCCAACTTTGGAAAATTAATGCAGGACAGGAAAAGAGTTTAAGTAATTGCAGTTTAACATGAAAAGTGCAGAGTTAGAGGAGGGACGGGAGGGGTTAAAGCAAGGCTAATTGGAAAGCCTGTTAAGTTTGCTGTCTAGATTAAGAAAGACTCAACTTTCATTCATTCACATCTGTTGCCCCTCACATTTCCTAATCATAGATGCTCTACTGCTTAATTATGAGATTTTTTTTAACTTAAAGTATTGCTGATCTTTTGTAGACTAAAAGAGCAGAAAGCCAGTAAGATGTCAAGTGCTTGCTAGAAATTACTTTTTTATGTTTCTACATGTAAAATTTAGAGATGAATTTTGATAAATCGTTTAAAAATAAAAGTGTTTAAAATTCTTGAAGAAAATGCCTTTTTGCTTATGTGTGCAATTGGAAATTAACTTTCCTATAAGGAGGTATTCTGTGGAATGAACAAAACTTCTCATATGCAGTGATCAAATGGTCATCCAAGATCAGAAACATATCTCATAGACATTACATTTAGTAAAGTTTTGCTAAAATGTGGTGTTTCATCATAACCAATATTTGGTGTTTTGTGCCATGTGGCCACAGGATTGTCAGTTTCACATCATGGTTTAGAGAATATTATTCCTTTTTTCTTGTGAAATGACACATAAGCATACTGTGTGCATACAGGCAAAGAGAAGAGAGGGAGGCAAAAAGCTTTTTTGTTTTAGGACTAATGATTGAGGACAAGAGAATATGGAGCTTTGATAGCTCAAAGAAAATGTTTGATTGCTAATTACTCTAAAACAGTTCTACAGATTAAAACCAGTGTGTCCTTTCTCCATAGTGTGCCATCAAAACCAAAGACCTACTAATGGTTGATGTCAAAAACATACCTTAAAGTTGACATTTCATTTTAAAGGGTTACAGCTACCTCATAGGGACTGAGCTAGATGTACTTTTATGCTTTCTCTGAAGTACAGTACACCGCTGCACAATGGTATCCAATTTTAAGATTAATAGTGAAGAAACCTCTTCAGGGAAAAATAAAATTCACCAATTTGAAAAATCTAAAATTAGTTCTACTTTCTAATAAAAAATATAAAGTGCCTCATCAGTATAAGGAATTCTGATACCAGTTTGTATTGCATATTTTCCCAACAATGCATCAAGCATAAATCCAGTCCAGATGTCAGTCACGGGTACAAACATAGCTGAAAGGTTTTTTCATTTTAAGGGCAGTAGTCCTTTGAAATAGTTAATGTAACTGTTGCTGATACATTAATAACAGTACCTCTAGCTGTCACATACTAATGTGGACTTCTGATCAAGACTGGCTCAGTAAAGGAAGTTACCAAATGAGCCTCAATCTATTTCAAGTCATATCTAGTCCCGTACCCCTCATTCTCCTTCCTTAGTATTTGAAGACAACAGGTTCAGTTGGCAGATATTGTTCATGGACCCTTGAGGTTGTTTTTAACCATTCAACCTGTTTTACTGAATTCTTGATAACAGGAATTGGATTTGCAGGGAGAACAGGGATACCGGAAAGATCTATACTGATGTTCCCTGAGAGGCCAATAGAGAAGATGCTGTCTGAATTTTTCTAATGGAGTTGTACTTGTCTTTGTATTGAGTTTCTCCTCTTCCGTTTTGGTTTTCTTGGTCCTTTCTTCTTTATGAGGCAAGAATATCCTCTAGACTCCAACTATAGGATTAGATATGTTTGTTGCTGAGTTTCCTGAAGGTCTGGATGGCTTATGAGACATGTTGAAGAAACAACTCTGGCGACCATGGCCTTTGGTGATGGAGAAATGGCAGGCTGAGAGACAGCGTGAGGAATACTTTCGTTTAATGCAACCCCTGAACTTTCATTGGTATTCACCTGTTGCAAGGAAAATTCAGTAGCCTGTATGTTAGCCACAGATGCTGTCATTACAGCCAAGGCAGGACTGTTTCTACCCTGAGAACTGCTAATCAATGGGCCTGTCTTCATAGTGCTAGTAGATGAAGGCACAGACATGCTGTTTTCACAGCCTGCAGACAAGTCAAAGCTGCTGTCGTTCAAATCTGTCAATCTTCTACCTTCTGTTGAGTGTGCTTTCTTGTCCTGAAGCACATGATGAGGCAGCAGCTGGTGAAGTTCCTTTCTTCTTAAATGCATTGCAGTAATTTTCATACCCATCTCAAACATCTTACTATTCACTGCTTGCCTATAAACAGTATCTGTGAAAGACTGGATATCATAGGTGAGATCAATGCTGAGAATTTCAGAATTATCTGGCTTTTTTAGCCCTAACCCAATCACCCACATTGTACGAAATTCTTCCATATCAGGATTTTCTTTGGGTGCTGGAAATGACTGTGGATTCACATGTGCCAGTGTAATAAATTCATTCTTCTCCAAGCTCCCAACCAGGATTCGGATCTTTGATTCCACCAAGCCCACCCATTCTAAATGTTGTTTTTCTGTTGATGCACTTGCCAGAAGTACAATATAATGCTTGTACTTTTGAAAGAAGCTTGGAGCTTCAAAGAGTTTGGACCACTCTGCCTTACTTAGCAAAATCTCGTGTGTGATAGCAAGCCCCTGTTTAAACTCCTCAATCATGACCATCCTGGTTGAAATAGACACGTTGTATGTGGAGTTCTGCTGTGGGTATGCTGGTGTGATGATAGGCATAAGATGGTACCTATCACTGGGATTTACTCTTGGGTCCCATACAGGCAAATTAAGATTCCGTTCTTCAGGCTCCTTCAGTAACACTGGGTTTGGCCATTCCCATTCTGAAAATACCAAGAAGAATTTCCGTACAAGAGTTGACGCTACTGCATTTGGATAAAGCTGACAAGTTCTTGCTACTAGCATGGCCCAGGAAACACCTCCGAGGAAACCTAATATATTGGAATAGATATTGTGGCACTTGGCCCACAGTTTGATGGCTCTCAGAGTCAGCCTGAAGTTGTCAATGTTTGGCACTAGATGTAAAATTTCATCGGTTACCCGGCAACCATTAAGGCTTCTTATGCATCTAATGTCTAAATTTTTAAGTAGACTGTCATCTCTTAAGTCCAAATCTTCTGGAATAGTCTGTAGTGCTAATCTTGCAAATAAAATATCAATCTCTATCCCATCAAAACACAGTTTGATAACTGGCACAAATGCCTCCTCGACAGCCCTTAAATCTTTCACTTCCTCCTGTAGTTTCAGTTTAGCATAGAATGAGGTGAAAAAGTCGCTTCGATCCACATGACTTGGTGCAACGCACAAGGCGTCAATATCTGCGCCTTTCGTATGTACTCCTAATCTGTAAGAGCCAAACGTAAAAATCTTTCCTCCAACGTTTTCAATTACAGACTGGGGAAGACTCTTGCTTTCACTGATTTCGCGTATCCATTCCTTTACCAGATTATTTAATTTTTCCAAAACTAAAATCCTGCGCTGCAGTTCCTCTTCCTCTTCGAAGACCCCGAAGGGCCTGAGGGTTTCTATTAGCCTCTGGGTGAGGAGGCAGTCCGTCTCCTTGGGGACCGCTAGACTGATAGGCGAGGAGACGCCGTAGCGATTCGGCGGCGGCGCCGGCTGCGGTGGTCCCTGGGTTGTCACCGGAAACGGCATCATCTTTCAGCGCCCGCCCCGCCAGGGCACGTCCCCCACCACCGCGACCTTCGCGGCCGCCGCCCGGGTCATGATCCGCTGAGGCGGAAGGGCAGGGCTTCTAGCTGCCCTGGTCCGACCCCACTCCCACTCCCGCTGCGCGCCCGCCGCTTCAGGAGCTTCTCCTCCTTCCCCTCAGCCCCAACATGGCGCCAGACCCCTCAGCGGCTGCGTTCCAGAACCTACCGTACACGCGCGGGCGCCTGCGCACCCGCCGCCAGCGCGAGGGCTCACGGGAGCCACAGCGTTCTGGGCTGGGGCTCCTACCGCTGCGCGGGGGGCTATACATGGGGGTGGGCAGGATTCACGTTGTTGATGACCGGCCAAACTCAACCCTTTATTGCCACTATTTTACATATTTGCCCAACTTTACCCATCTAATTCTTTGCTCTCCAAGTCCCTTGACATCGCAGATGTGCATCCTTTTTGGGGGCACCCTCAGCACTCTTCACCCTAGCGTGCACCCTTTGGAAGTCCAAAGACCCCTTCGTGGTGGGAACCCGCGGTGGAAAGCAGCTTCTGTCTTGTTTCTTGGGCCGTTGCTGGACATTGGTTTAGCTGGGGCAGCATTTCGAGGTCGACATTTGTGTTCTGGCCATGCTTTAAGGGCGCGATACTGCTGTCCTCTGGTTCCCGTTGAGAATTCCGCAGCTAGGTGAACTACTGCTCGTCTGTCTTTTCTTATGGCAGCTATAAAAGTGTCTGTCCCTAGTGCCCTGTGATCCCACCACTGTGTGTCCAGGCATAGATTTCTCTTTAATAATCTTACCCAGGCTGGGCGCAGTGGCTCACGCCTGTAATCCCAGCACTATGGGAGGCCGAGGCGGGCAGATCACCTGAGGTCAGGAGTTGGAGACCAGCCTCAACATGGAGAAACCCCGTCACTACTAAAAATACAAAATTAGCCGGGCGTGGTGGTGCATGCCTGTAATCCCAGCTACTCGGGAGGCTGAGGCAGGAGAATTGCTTGAACCTGAGAGGCAGAGGTTGCGGTGAGCCAAGATCACACCATTGCACTCCAGCCTGGGCAACAAGAGTGAAACTCTGTCTCAAAAAAAAAAATAAAATTAAAAATAAAAATAAAAAATAAAAAATATAATCTTACCCAGGATACACTATGATTCCCGAATCAGAAGTCATGCTTTTTATGATCTCCAGAAGCTTCTTGGGCACTTCCTGGGAATATGTTCTCCCACTTGTCTCCTGATTCTCTTCATCTAGACACGTTGTCAACCTTCTCACTCTGTCCTCCATGTCTCTTAAGCCGTGTGTCTTTCTGGGTGATGCCAGATTACCTCCAAGTCCTCTCTTCAGTTGTATTTAGTCTGCTGTTTAAGCATCATTGAAATATCCACTTAAATACTTATATTTCACTATTTTGTTCTTTTCCAAGCTTCTCTGCCTTTTAGATGGCATTCTGTTCTTTCATGTTTTTCCCCCTACCTTTTATTTCTTTAAACGTGTTAAACATACTTATTTAGTACTCTATAACTAATTATTCTAATTCCGAATGCTCTTGAGAAACTGTATAGTTTGTTGTTATCCAAGAACTCAGAGTGGTATTACCTCTTGGGTCTTGTAATTTTGGATTGTGAGCTCATTTCTGGTGAAGCTTGGAATGCCTGTGTAGACGCTGTGTCCTTCCAAAGAGGATTTGCTTTGTTTCCAGTAGATGTTCTTGTACACTATAGAATTGCAGTCAGTGTAATTTCTTATCCAGGGATTATCCACAACATCTAGATGGTGCAACTTTGAACCCCAAATACATGTAAGAGGACATGTGGTTTTCATTTTTAAGGAACAGTCTTTAGTTTTTCCCACCCAAGTCAAGAGAGAGAACTTCCTTTGCCATCTCCTTTCACCAGGTAGCAGATTCTTCTTACTCCATTTTTTCACTCAATGTGTCACCCTTTGAGGATTCCAATTGTATTTGGAGGGGTCT
Source organism: Homo sapiens (assembly GCF_000001405.40). NCBI lineage: Eukaryota > Metazoa > Chordata > Mammalia > Primates > Hominidae > Homo > Homo sapiens. The sequence goes on from NC_000007.14 coordinate 4,863,789, forward strand.
CAATTCTAACTCCCTACCTTTTAAGGTCCCAAGAGCTTTCTGTCTCTTCTTGGACAGCTGCTAAACTTAAGTTTCTCAGTTTCCAAGACTGGCCAATGCCTCTAGGGCGGTTCTAGTTTCAGAATCAGCTACAATCCTGAGGTTTCAAGGTATCCCTTTTTCTTCCAGCCCTAGAGACTTCCTTTATTTTCCTGGGTACTCAGCTATGCATTCAAAAAAATGATTTCTTATATTTATCCAACATTTCCAGGCACTTTACATAGAAAGATTTTCTGGGATAATTAATCCCATATATTGCCAGAAATATAAATACCTTCTTTTTAATCCATTTCAACATTGGCTTACATGCTCAAAAACAGCTATCAGCAAGGTCTTTGGTGACCTCCATGTTGCCCAACCCATGACCCCAATGATTTCCATCTTCTTTGACCTATGGTAGCTTCATCTTGGCCTCTGCGACACCATACTCTTTGTCTTCCACATGTCTGGCCAGTCCTCAGTCAAATTTGCTGATTCCTCCTCCTTTACTTGACCTCTAAATGTTGGGAGTTCCTCCAGTTTCCATTCTAAGCCCTCATTTCTCCTCACTGCATGTACATTCACTGCCTGGTTAATCTGCTGATTTCCACAGCTTTAAATACCACTTACTTACAGATTAATTCATATTTTAATCAGACTCTCTTCTGAACTCCAGATCCATATTATCTGACTGCCTGTGGTTGCCACCTATATTTGGATGCCTTTAACTTAACATAGTTTAAAGAGAACTCTAACTCATCCTCCCACAGTTTGCTTCTCTCTCAGTAGTCTCCATTTTAGGAAATGACATCTCTTTCTACCCAACTCTTGATACAAGAAACCTGGGAGTCATTCTGGACACCTCCCTGTTTTGCATCCTCAACATCCAATTCATTTACAAGTTCTGTTGATTTCACCTCCAGAATATACTTAAAATCCCTCTACTGCTTTCTACCTGTTCCCTTATAACTCTAGTCCAAGCCACCATCAACTCTCATTTCAACTTCTACAACAACTAAATTAATCTCCTATTACTGACCTTTTCAAAGTATTCTCTACCTAGGAGCCAGAGTCATCTTTTAATCCCTCCAATGACCTCCCATTATACACAGTGTAAAATCCAAAATACATAACAAGCCAGGTAGATCTTTTCCCCAACTATCTGTCTAGCCGCACCTTCTGCAACTTTCCCCTCTGCACCAGCTGCAATGGCCTTCTTGCAGTGCCTGCCTTTGCTTCATTCTCTCTCATCCCTGGATCTTCACACAATGCTGTTCTGTCTGACCAGAATGCTCTTCCTGCCCCACCGACTGCCCACTGCTCTCTACCTGGTTGGTGTGTTGTCATCTTTGAGACTGGCTTACATTTCACCTCTTGAGAGTGAATTTCCCTCACCCCCCATTCCAAATGAGCACATGTGCTTCTTTTTCATAGCACATAAAACAACTTGTAGTTGCAGTCATGTACATTATGACATTTTGGACAACAGACCATATATACAATGATGGCCCTGCAAGAATACAATATTGTATTTTTACTGTTTCTTTTCTGTGTGGTTTTTTTTTGTTGTTGTTCCCAAGTTTTATTCAAGAACTCATACAAAATATTTCAGATAAATGGAATTTAATCCTTGTCTTCCTCCTCTTCTTTGTCCTGGTTAATCTGGAAGTAATGTAATTCGTAACTCTCTTTGCTGTTAGCAACTATGCGCAGCCAATATTCTTCAAATATTTTTTGTTGAGATACTTCAAATACCTTTTTGAGAAAGGGACCTCGGATGTCACAGTGATCTTGCTCTTGCTCCTTTCGATGGTCACCACCCCTCCACCAAGGTTCCCAGCTTTTCCATTCACTTTGATCCTTTCTTGCAAAAACTGCTCAAATTGGCAGCATCTGTGATTCCATCTTCTACGGGGTGGGTGCAATCAAGAGTGAACTTCAGAACCTGCTTATTTTTTTTGCCCCCCTTCACCACAAGGTTTTTCACAGGAGCCATGGCAGCAGCGGAGGCAGAAAGGGAGGTGAGTGAACCCCTTTTCTGTGTTGAGATATGTTTAGACACACAAATATTTACCGTTATGTTCTAATTACCTTTAGCATTCAGTATACAGAAATATACTGTAGAGGTATGTAACCTAGGAGCAATAGGCTATGCCATATAACCTAGGTGTGTAGTAAACTATACCATCTAGGTTTGTGTAAGTCACTCTAGGATGTTCCAACAATGACAAATTGCCTAATCATGGATTTCTCAAAACATATCACCATCATTAACGATGCATGACTGTATATGTTTTTTGAGTGATTATATCTGTGTGTGTGCGTGTGCATGTGCGTGTGCATGTATGTGTGTTTTAAGAGATAAGGTCTCCTCTGTTACCCAGGCTGGAGTGCAGTAGTGTGATCATAGCTCACTGCAGCCTTGAACTTCTGGCCTGTCTTGCCCTCCCAAAGTGCTTGGATTACAGGCATGAACCACTGCACCCAGCCACATCTTTGTTTTGATTGCCTGCTAGACTCTTGACTCCATGAAATCATTTATTTATAAATCCATGAAATGGATTTGTTTTGTCTATTGCAACATATCCAGCGCCTAATCAAATACCTAACACAGAGTAGCCAAATTTTACTTATGAATAAATGAGAACAAAAAAAATATTTCTCATCCAAGTCTCTGGCAAATCAATATCTAGAAAACCTGTTTCTTGAGTTTTGATTAGATAGAGGGGCAATTTCAAATCTATACGTTGTGACCTTGGGGAAATCATTTAATTGTCCATTTCACAGCTGCTCACAAAAGACAGCTACAGAGTTTCTATGGCTGCATTCCTATAACACTCCACTCCACTGCAATGCCTTTTGATTTGAAAGTGTCTCCAGGGGAGACTTATCCTGGGTCAGTGAGGGGTGAGGAGAGCAGCACAGTCAGTGCTATGGTTTGGATGGGGTTTGTTTGTCCCCACTAAAACTCATGTTGGAATTTGATCCCCAAAGGGGAAGTGCTGGAGGCAGGCCTAGTAGGAGGTGTTTGGGTCATGGGGACAGATCCCTCATGAATGGCTGGTACTGTGCTCACCGTAGTAAATGAGTTCTCGTTCTGGCAAGACCAGATCGAGAATGGATTGGTTTCCAAGAACAGTAGGCTGCTATAAAGCCAGGGCACCCCTCAGGTTTCCCTCTTTGCACCTGTCTGCTTCCCCTTTGACCTTTTCTGCCATGTGATGACGCAGCACAGAAGCCCTCACCAGAAGCCAGGGCCGTGCCCTGGAACTTCTCAGCCTGTGGAACCATGAGATAAATAAACCTCTTTTCCTTATACATTACCAGCCACAGGTATTCTGCTGTGGCAACAAGAAATGGACTAAAGCAGAGCCTAAAGGTGTTGAGGGGCACACAGGCACACGAGGCTTCTGAGGAAGCTGCTGTCCAGCCATGCTCACCAGGAAATGACATGCACATATGCTCTGTAATCCAGCAGCTCCGTTCCTGGAAGAATGCCTCCGAGAACTCTGCACAAGCCCTCAACAGGTTCATTGTGTCACCATTTTAGTAGGAAGAAGCTGTACCCAATTTGAGTGTCTGTGCTTAAGGAAATGAATATGTAGTATAGGCATATAATGGAAAACTATGAATCAGTCAAAAGCAATGAGCTGACTAGAGCACCATGGGTAGGTGTCAAAAACATAATGTGAGGCCAGGTGTGGTGGCTCATGGCTGTAATCCCAGCACTTTGGGAGGCTGAGGTGGGAGGATCACTTGAGCCCAGGAGTTTGAGACCAGTCTGGCAACATAGTGAGGCCCTGTCTCTATTTTTAAAATAAATAAGTAAATAAATAAATAAATAAATAATGTAATGTGAGTTACAAAAGGAACAATGAGCTTTATAGCTCAATCCCACTTAGGTAAATTAAACATATACAAAATATTATTTATGTATTAAGGATACATATGAATCCAAATATATGAAAGGTAAGTTGGAATGGTATTCATTAATACACTAGAGTGGGTTCCCAAGGACAATGACAATGAAAAAAGAAAATGATCCTATCCATCCACCAGAGCATCTGCCAACAGATTGGAAACCCATGGCCACACAAAGCAGAGAGAAGCTTGGCCCTTTCTCTGCACTTACTTGTTCCCCATATTGGTGAGACGGCTGTCCTGCATTAGGCATTCGGTCATGGCTGCAGGCCAGAGTAAACTAACTTTCATAACTTTGACTTTAACATCATTGGTTTCTTATTATGGGGAAATGAACTGTGTTTTTTTTTTCTGAGATGGAGTCTCACTGTGTCGCCCAGGCTGGAGTGCAGTGGCATGATCTCGGCTCACTGCAAGCTCCGCCTCCCGGGTTCATGCCATTCTCCTGCCTCAGCCTCCCGAGTAGCTGGGACTACAGGCGCCCGCCACCACACCTGGCTAATTTTCTATATTTTTAGTAGAGACGGGGTTTCACCGTGTTAGCCAGAATGGTCTCAATCTCCTGACCTCGTGATCCGCCCGCCTCGGCCTCCCAAAGTGCCGGGATTACAGGTGTGAGCCACCTTGCCCGGCCATGAACTGTTGTTTTTTAAATAACATATATGTGTACGGGTGGCAGCCTCTGGATTAGCTATCAGCAACCCTCACAACTTCTTTGCCTTGTACTAGAGGGTGCAAAGCCGAAATCTTTGTCCAGCTTCCTCTGCAGCCAGAGCCAGCTGTGGGTGGCAACGGCATCAGTGAAGCTAGCCTCCCCTATCGTGTGTGTTAGCCACGCTTGCTTCACCTTCCTCCAGCTGCAAACTTGTGCCAGCTTCACGTTTTCTAGTGGATGTTTTGCCGTTTTCTTGCTGATCTTTAGACATGCATTACTTTATTCTAGTTATTCATCACATCAGTTTTAGATATTGCAAACATTTTCTTCTAGTATATCACCTATCTTTTATCTATACAGTGTCCTTGGTCAAAGAAAAATTTTGAATTTTGATATAGTCAAATCTATCTACTTTTTTTCCTTACAGATTGCACTTTAAAAACAAAACAAAACAAAAAAACAGGCTGGGCACAGTGGCTTATGCCTGTAATCCCAGCACTTTGGGAGGCCAAGGCAGGCAGATCATTTGAGGTCAGGAGTTCGAGACCAGCCTGACTAACATGGTGAAACCCTGTCTTTACTAAAAATACAAAAATTAGCCGGGCCTCATGGCAGCTGTCTGTGATCCCAGCTATTCAGGAGGCTGAGGCAGGAGAATGGGCTGAACCCGAGAAGTGGAGGTTGCAGTGAGCTGAGATTGTACCACTGCACTCCAGCCTGAGTGACAGAGCAAGACTCCATCTCAAAAGACAAACAAACAAACAAAAACAGATGAGGTCTTGCCCTGTTGCCCAGGCTGGAGTGCAGTGGCATGATCACAGCTCACTGCAGCCTTGACCTTCTGGGCTCAAGTGATCCTCCCACCTTAGCCCCCTGAGTAGCTGGGACTACAGGCCTGTGGCACCACACACAGCTAATTTTCATATTTTTCTGTAGAGACAGAGTCTCATTATGTTGCTCGGGCTGGGCTCCAACTCCTGGCCCAACTGATCCTCTCACTTCAGCCTCCCAAAGTGCTAGGATTACAGGCGTGAGCCACAATGCCCAACCACTTTGCACTTTTTAAGCCTTCTTTATGAAATCTTTCATTTGGCTATATAATTTTACCTTTGACACGTAGGTCTCTGATGCATTTAGAGGAAGGACCCAATTTCCTTTTTTTTTTTTTTCCATATAGCTGAAGCCAGTTATCCCAACATAATTTACAAAATTCTTTCCCCAGGATTTATGATGCATGCTATAGCCCACCCAATTCCCACAGGGTATTTGGTCTGCATCTGCACTCTCTCTTCTGTTCCATTGCTTTATTTGTCTCTTCCTGCCCCTAAAACCACATAGTTTCAATCACCATGGCTTTAAGGTATGTCTCAAGACTAATAAGGTCAATCCCTCCCACCCTTGCTTGTCTTGTTCAAACCTATCATAGGCATTCGAGAATCTGACTCTTTCGCAAAGATGGACACTCAGGCCAGGTGCAGTGGCTCGTACCTGAAATCCCGGCACTTTGGGAGGCCAAGGCAGGAGGACCACCTGAACTCAGGAGTTCAAGACCATGCTGGGCAACATAGTGAGACCTCATCTCTACCAAAAAAAATAAAATAAAGAAATAAGTCGAGTGTGTTGGCATGTGCCTGTGTTCTCAGCTACGCAGAGGGGCTGAGGTGGGAGGATCGCTTGGGCCCAGGAGATCGAGGCTGCAGTGAGCCATGATTGCACCACTGCACGCTAGCCTGGGCAACAGAGTAAGTCCCTGTCTCAAACAACAACAACAGCAACAACAACAAAAACAAAGATGGACACCAAGTCTTGCAAGGACAGCACGGCAGGGAAGGGGCGCAGGGCGAGCTGACCTCTCAGTCTGTATATATCTGACACCTCTGAAAACACTTCTGCCACTTAAACCCTCAAAACAAAAGAACGATACATTCTCTGTCAGTATATTCTCTAAAACCATGAGAGACGCTACTCAGTATGATTTAAACAGATCCCCAAACATCTTTCAACCAACATTATAGGTCACTGTTGGGAACCAACAGATATTAACGTGGTTTTTTGTTTTGTTTTGTTTTGTTTCTTTGAGATGGAGTCTCGCTCTCTTGCCCAGGCTGGAGTGCAGTGGCACAATCTCAGCTCATTGCAAGCTCCACCTCCCAGGTTCAAGCAATTCTCCTGCCTCAGCCTCCCAAGTAGCTGGGATTACAGGTGCCCACCACCATGCCTGGCTAATTTTTTTATATTTTTAGTAGAGACGGGATTTCACCATGTTGGCCAGGCTGGTCTGGAACTCCTGACCTCAGGTGATCCACCCTCCTCGGCCTCCCAAAGTGCTGGGATTACAGGCGTGAGCCACCGTGCCCGACTATTTTATGTCTTTCAAACAGTTCACACCAGTGACAACATCCCTCTGTGTTTTTGGTGTTAATGCTAAACTCTGTCAGTGGCCCCTTATGGAACGTAGCTGGACGTCACCCGAGTCCCCAGGGCAGGAGGGGGTGCTGCCCCTCCGGGACTCACTCAGCTCAGGGGACAACAGGGCTGTCAACGGTGCCTCTATGATCAAACTGAAGGTTACTGATTTTTTAAGTGTAAGCAGTAAACTGAAGGATGAAACTGGCTGTGAGCAACTAACCATTCAAGTTTATTTTCTCTTTGAATTGGAAATGCTCAAACACGTCTTTAAAGTTCAATAACTTTTCTAGTTTTAGGCTGGTGAAAAAAGGTTTGGGGTTGTTTTGCTTTTAGCCAGACCACATACAATGAAGGTTTCCCACGGTGACTCTGTCATTGGGAATCCACTGGAAGGGAAGTCCCAGTTAAGTGGCAGTGAGTTATTCCCATGTAAAAAGAGGAAAAGCAATCCTTTCACCTCCACTGTGCTAAGATAAGAGTTATTTTCAAGTCAGAGTCATAGCGGAAGAAAAATATTTCAAATGAAAACAACCACAAAGAGGTTTGCGGACAAGGGAGGACAGAACTCACGGCACCCCGTCGGCAGAGGAAGGCAGCGGCGCTTCCCGCGTGCACACAACAGTCCCTGCGGCCCGCACACCCCTGGCTGTCATCGGGGAGGCCGAGTCCTGCTACCTGTCCTGAGTGACAAGGCGGGACGACAAATGCAAACTCAGAGCTGGCACTCAGCGACAACACAGACCTGCCACCCGCCTGCCAGCTCCATCGCAGCACTGGGGGCAGGAGGGCAGCCCACCACGCCGCCAGGTGGCCAGGGCTGCAGGTTCCTCTGTCGCTCAAGCCACATCCACACTCCTGGACGGCCACACCATCCCCACACCACCCTCCCACACACACACAAAGAAAACGGACCCCACTCGGGAGTCTTGCAGACGCATAGGAGCTAAGACCCACAGAGGGGCCTCCTCTCCTCAGGGCACCAACCCTTCCACAGGTATTTAATAAGCACCTACTGTATACCAGACATTGGATGGGCTGTTTTTCAGTCAAAAGCCCAGTGAGTGCTGGGGTGGTGTTCCCAGGCTTTGTTTAGCCTGAACCTTCCTGGCTAAACCTCGGCGGCTTTACAAACTCTCTAGGGTGCCTCTTTACAAAGTGCGCATCCAAAGCCACGGTGATGTCCCTGTCTCCAGGAACGCATGAATGCCAAGACTCTGCACGTCACCATCCCTGAGACCCTGGGTTTGCCAGGCACCCAGCCCCTCCGAGAGTGGCCCAGGAGAAACAAATGTCGCCACTGTGGATCAGGCCTGAGGGCCTGGGGCAGGTACTCAGCCATATGGTCCCAGTGGGCAGGGGCTCGTGTGGCCGAGTCCAGGCAGCCAGGTCCAATACTGCAGCTCTCAATAGAGGGCAGGTCTGCCTCCAGGGAACATCTGGCCATGTCTGCAGACATCTTTGGTTGTTACAACTTGGGGGTGGGGGCACAGGAGCCAGGGACACTGCTCATCGCCCTGCAACCACGGACGCCTCCCTCAGCAAAGATGCCCCAACCTAAAATGTAACGGGAGGAAGGGAGAAAGCAAGGAAGGCCAGCCCTCCCCGGGCTCTGCGCGGGTTTAACACTTACCCCTCCTGCAAAGGCAAACCAAGCCTCCCCTCACCGTTCCCCAGCCCCTGACAAAAACCACATGGCCCTGTCATCGCCCCTCCCCAGTGCATCTAAGTGGCTGCTGTCTTATCTCGGTGACAGGACCCAGGCCCCTCTGTGGGGCACCAGCCCTAAATACAGCCTTCTAGGAAAGGGGAGTGAGAGCCACTTCCAGCCCGGCCATACCTCCAGCACCAGCCTCCTCCTGGAAGAGACCCTCTAGGTCTTGTGACTCTGGAAATCAGGGGGAACCTGGTGGCTATGAGAAGGAGACATTTATGGAAAACAAAAACCCAAAGTGCCTGCGTGCATTTCTACAGGGGGGTAGCAGTGAACTAAGTGATGAGTGAACCGGCAGGAAGCGCCTGGCTGACACCTTCCCCACCAGACTCTGTAGGGGAGTCCGAGGTGAGGGGCAGGGGAGAGGCCTGAGAGACTTTGGCGAAATGCTTCCCCTGAAATGGTGCAACCCGTTAGCCCAACCCAGAACCAATGTGACTCTGTTTTTCTTTTGAGTCAGAGTCTCGCTCTGTCACCCAGGCTGGAGTGCAGTGGTGCGATCTCAGCTCACTGCAACCTCCGCCTCCTGGGTTCAAGCGATTCTCTGCCTCCCAAGTAGCTGGGATTACAGGTATGCACCATCATGCCCGGCTACTTCTTTTATATTTTCAGTAGAGACGGGGTTTCACCATGTTGGTCAGACTGGTCTTGAACTCCTGACTTCAATTGATCTGCCTGCCTCGGCCTCCCAAAGTGCTGGGATTACACGCGTGAGCCACCGCGCCCGGCCAAGTGTGACTCTTACCATAGGAGTAATGGGAAATTATTGAAAAACAGTGTTACAGTGTTGAGCAACCTGGGGCTGGACTCGTTAACACAAACGTACATGGTCACACATGCATGCACACACATGCACACCACACAGACACACACACATGGTCACACGTGCACATCACATCACCACATGCACAGGCCAGGGGTCCCTTCCCTTTCTCGCCACTTTTTCCAGGTGAGATCGAACTGTTATCTCACCAGGGATCAGGGACAGCCCCACGCTGGGTCCTCTTGGGAGAGAATGCAGGAGCTGAAGGGGCCCTGGCGTGCGCTGGACCTCACTGGGCCTGCCCTGCAGGGGCAGATGTGATCCTGCCATCCCGCCGTCCTTTTGAAACTACACCACCCACTTCAGTAGGATTTGTTTCACTGCAGCCCCCCACCTTCCCCCAAAGCGACACGGTGACACATGCCCCACACTGAGGGCCACTCTCAGGACAAACAGACACCACAGCAGCCCCATCGGTGCCCAGGGAGGCGCAGGACAGGCGGGCTGCTGGAAGGCGCAGAGCTCACCATCACCGGAGGTATGTAATGGAGAGGACACGGTGGGTGTTAGGAAAGCCTCCCCACCACGATTCTTCCACGTCACTCCAACCTGAGGCAGGCTGGCGCCCACGGCTGCTGGAGAAGCTGCTACAGTGAAAAACCCCTCGGCTTCCCACCTCCTCCCCTTCTCTGGCTCTCAGTCGTTCCCCTTGGAGGGGCGAGGGAGGAATCGCCTAGTGCCGGCTGCAAACTCACTCAGGGGGACGTGGGACACAGCAAAGGCTCAGTGCCCTCCCCGTTCCGTGCCTCCAAGCCAGCAGGAGAGACCTCTCAGAGGCGGGTTCCAGGGATGTGCACAGAGGCCGCCTCCAACCCACGGAAAGGCCGTGCAGGTGTCTCACGCAGGGAACAGTTCCAAGTGGGAGACTGTGTGTGTGAGCACCTGTGTGGACATTTCTCTGTCCAGGTACCCATGTGTCACCACAACAACCGAACACACTCTAGCGCAAAGCTTCTGGGCGCGGGCCTGTTTGAGGCAGGGCTGTCCAGCTACAGTAAGGTCTGTGCGGGGTCATCCCCAGCGGAGCCTGGCTTATCCACGTGGGGACCCCCTGGGTCTAGCCTTCCCCCGGCTCCAGGCAGAGGCTCAATAACCGTTCTGTAATGAGCAGAAGCATGTGTGCATGCCTCTACCAGCTGCTCCATCTCAAACCACCCGGCCGCCTCAGTGAACCTTCTTGGCATGGCTGAGGGTCACAGGAGTCCCTGGGCCACAGCCAGAGAAGGTCAGCAAGGAAGGATGAGTGCCCGAGGCCCAGGGGGCCAGCTCTGGGTAGGTAACACAACCTGCTCCAGCCCAGATGAGTGTGTCAGTATGGCTGGGCAGCCTGATGGACTCTCTTTGGCAGGTTTCGAAAACCGCCACGAGCTTAGACAGGCTGTGAGCAGGGGTGCTTTCGCTCGCCCTGAATAATTTAACAGGAATGATTCCAAAAGAAGTGCATGAGCTTGGCCGGGTGTGGTGGCTCACACCTGTCATCCCAGCACTTTAGGAGGCCAAGGTGGGCAGATCACCTGAGGTCCGGAGTTCGAGACCAGCCTGGCCAACATGGTGAAACCCCATCTCTACTAAAAATACAAAAATTGGCCGGGCGCGGTGGCTCACGCCTGTAATCCCAGCACTTTGGGAGGCCGAGGCGGGCGGATCACAAGGTCAGGAGATGGAGACCATCCTGGCTAACACGGTGAAACCCCGTGTCTACTAAAAATACAAAAAATTAGCCGGGCGTGGTGGCGGGCGCCTGTAGTCCCAGCTACTCGGGAGGCTGAGGCAGGAGAATGGCGTGAACCCGGGAGGCGGAGCTTGCAGTGAGCCGAGATTGTGCCACTGCACTCCAGCCTGGGCGACAGAGCGAGACTCCATCTCCAACAACAACAACAACAACAACAACAACAACAACAACAACAACAACAAAATTAGCCGGGCGTGGTGGTGGTGCATGCCGTAATCCCAGCTATTCAGGAGGCTGAGGCAGGAGAATCGTTTGAACCTGGGAGGCAGAGGTTGCAGTGAGCTGAGATCATGCCATTGCACTCCAGCCTGGGCGACAGAGAGAGACTCCATCTCAAAAAAAAAAAAAGAAGCACGTGAGCCTCAGACAAGCTCCTGTCTCCTGCAACATGCACTCTGGCCCCACCATCCTACACTGGCAGTCGCCTATCACCTGTGAAGACGGCGGGCCTTCCCAGGGCTCCTCCTCGCCCGGTGACACACAACGCAATGGCCTGAGGACAGGCCAGGCTGATCCCCAGCCACACAGCAGCAACCCTGGCCCGTGCTCTGCAGCCCCAAGGTGGCCCTGTCCCACTCGCTTTTTGCCCGCTGCTTGGCAGAGGCAACGCATGGTGGAAGAATGACCGAAATTCTGTGTCTGACATTGAAGAGCCTTTGTTCCCGTGCAGAAAACATCCCACCATGCGCCTCCTCCCTTTCGGGTTTCCTGGCCTCACAGGAGGTCTTTTTGAATCAGGAGGGGAGGGACCCCATCTCTGCCACCGGATCACCGGTCCTTCCAAGGGACCACTGGATCGTGACATGGCAGGGTCAGGATGAAAACCAAATCCCAGAAGTGGCGACCTCTGGGTGGAGGAAGGATCCCCAGGTGCAGGCAATTGGGGGTGCTTGTCTGAGCAGACTTTAAGAGCCATAATTAAAGCAACCACAAGTTACTCTTTTTATTGTTATTTTTTTGAGACAGGGTCTCACTCTGTTGCCTGGGCTAGAGTGCAGTGGTACAATCCTGGCTGCAGCATCTGCGGCTCAAGCCATCTTCCCACCTCAGCCTCCTGAGGAGCTGGGACCATAGGTATGCACCACCATGCCTGGCTAATTTTTTTATTTTTTGTAGAGATGGGGCCTCACTATGTTACCCAGGCTGCTCTCAAACTCCTAGGCTCAAGCGATCCTCCTACCTTGGCCTCTCAAAGTGTTGAGATTACAGGTGTGAGCCACCACACCCGGCCAAATTTATTTTATTTATTTATTTATATTTGAGACTGAGTTTCGTTCTTGTTGCCCAGGCTGGAGAGCAATGGCATGATCTCGGCTCACTGCAACCTCCGCCTCCCAGGTTCAAGCGATTCTCCTGCCTGAGCCTCCTGAGTAGCTGGGATTACAGGCGCCTGCCACCACGCCCGGCTAATTTTTGTATTTTTAGTAGATACGGGGTTTCACCATGTTGGCCAGGCTGGTCTCCAACTCCTGACCTCAGGTGATCCACCTGCGTTGGCCTCCCAAAGTGCTGGGATTACAGGTGTGAGCCACCGCGCCTGGCCAAAATTATTTTTTATGACACACACCTATTAAGATAATCAACTTCTTTCCACCAATTGAATAAATCACCAGACACAGTGGGCCCCAGGCCCCGGGGCTCTCAAACTCTGCGGCAGGCACTCAACGCCACCCGTGCTCTCGGCACTCCTCAGACCGACAATGATCGGCTGCCCGTGGCCAGGCCCTCCTCAGGAAGGCCTCCCACCACCCAGGCACCCACAGACCCGCGGTACGCTGAGTGCACCGTGGTCACCTCTGGAGACCTTGCAACCCGGCAATGCCACGTAGGTTTTGGCCTGGGACAGATTCCTTGATTGTCTTTTCACTTCATTGCCCCAAAAACTCCCCGACAAGGTCGCAGGTGCTAAAGGACTTGGAGGGACCCTGTATTTAACAAGGCGTGCGTGGTTGCTATGGTCAATGAGATGACTGCTGGAGAGCTGGACAATAATCTGATCAGACAAAAGAACAGATGTGGCCTCAAATATTGCAAGAATATATCAGGAGCCTCTGAGGAACACCAGCCAGCCTCCTGCTGCGTAGACAAACTACAACTTCCCAGACAGCTGAGGTGAAAGTGGTGAGTTTAAGAGGAAACCTTTGGGAGGCCAAAGTAGGAGGATCGCTTGAGGGCAGGAGGTCAAGACTATCCTGGGTATCACAGCGAGACTCCTGTCTCTACAAAAAGTAAAAAATTAGCTGGGTGTGGTGGTGCACCTATAGTCCTAGCTACTCAGGAGGCTGAGGTGGGAGGATCGCTTGAGCCCAGGAGGCTGCAGTGAGCTGTGGTTGCACCACTGCACTCCAGCCTGGGTGACAGAGCAAGACCCTGTCTCAGAGAACAAAAGAGGAAGGCTTCAAACATCCAGGACACGGGCTCCGACTGCCTCCTGCAGAGCGAGCCCGCCCCACGCATGTCCCCTGCACCACTCCTTCTCCGCCTACCTCGGCTGGCCTTCTCAGCGCTCAGACCCACGGCTCTTCCTGAACCTGTGGCCCCCCTCACCTGCCGTGATGGTGTCCACCTCCTTGGCTGCCAGCTCCTCCACGTCCGACCTCTTCCTCAGCTCAAACCTCCGGGATAAACCTTCTCGGGGTTTCCATAATTCCTGGATCAAGAGGGGCTTCTCACTGTCCCCAAACACCCGAAAGCACCGGGCCTGCCACCGCTGCCCAGCATCGCCGGCTTGGCCCACCACGTCACACAGCACGTACTGGCCGGCCTGCCTGGGGTCCAGGGCGTACCGCTCCAGCGCCTCCTTCACCAGCTCACGGGCGCTGGAGGTGCCGGTGGCCAGGACGCTCTTGTAGTGGGTTCCTGTGCAGACACTGTCCCCAAACACCTTCAGGACACCAGGGGCCGACAGCTGGGTGGAGAGCTCGGCGGGGTCATCGCTGGCGCCCAGGCTGGAGAAGGTGGAGTCCAGGTCCCGGTACTTGTAGCTCAGCGTCCGGGACAGCATGCTGGACAACAGCTGGCTCTGCCGCTTCAGTTTGCTCTTGGTGGGCGGGGACATGATGAAGTGCGTCCCATAAAACATGGTGGGTGAGGCTTCATGGATGAGGACTGTGGGCTTCAGCCAAAGGATGTGGGGAGGCCGTGACCTGGGTGAAAAAGTGAGAGAGGTTAGCGCCAACCATCGTGACCACCAAGAGCAAATGAGGCCACAGGCGGTGACTCCTGCCCGTCATCCCAGCGCTTTAGAAGGCCAAGGTGGGAGGACGGCTTGAGCCCGGGAGTTCCAGACCAGCCTGGGAAACATAGTAAGGCCCCGGCTCTACAAAAAATTTAAAAATTAGCCAGGCATGGTGGTGTGCACTGTACCCACTGCTCTGAAGGCTGAGGCTGGAGGATGGCTTGAGCCCAGGAGTTCAAGATTGCAGTGAGCTATGATAGTGCCACGGCCCTCCAGCCCGGGCAGCAGAGCAAGACCCCATCTCAAAATCTAATGGACATAACAGGCCGTGGGCATCCTGGCCCCGCAGACCTGACACCAGAGCACCTGAGCAGAGGATGTGGCTGGAGCCTGCAGGGCCACCAGAGACCGAGAGGACTAAACGGGCTGGAGCGCCCTTCAAGGAAAGCCATTACTGGGAAACACAATGAGGTCGCCTAAGTAAGACACGCTCCGCTGCAGGGCTTGGATTTCTGGAAAGTGCTGGGCGCAGCGCCCGTGTGCAGTGAGCATCAAGGAGCGCCCCACCCGGAGCCGGCCCCAGCACCATCACAGCCACAGAAGAGCAGCGGGCAGCCCAAGGGCAAAGCTTCGCCTCTCCGTAAACCTCGTGTCTCCTACCCCACAGGCTGCGACGTGGGAAATGGGTCACAAACACAGTGCAACCAGGAAAACAGGCGAATCGCAGCCACGTTGGCAGAATAGACCATCAGACATTCCAGACACAAACCCCCAGAATCTACCCCTCAGGGCAAGAGACCCGTCCTGGCTTGAAGGAGATACTCCCTGGGATGGCAGCACTGAGTGGCCTCGCAAGCACGGCGGGCACAAAGGGCCCCTCTCGAGCCGGTGCAGGCATGGCCGGAATGCAGGCGTCCCGCCCACCACAGGCCGCGGGTGCCCGGCGCTCCAGGCCACAGAGATGCAGTCTCCTGGGGAAACGGGAAAACAGCCTGGGACGCGTTGGCGTGTCATACAATCACACTTCTAATGTCCGTAGCGTGCCCAGGGCCAGGAGTTCCAGATGGTTTCTCAGTCTCCCTCCAGAACCTCTGTGGGGGCAGGAGGGCAGAGAAAAAGGAAGGCAGGTCTCCGATTTGGAAAAGGTGAGGCTGGACTGCAAGGCAGGAAAATACTGGAAAACTGCGCACACATCTCCCCATTACTGTACCCCACTTCCGTGCTCATGTTCTCACCAAAGACAAAGGTGGCAGACGAGTGAGCCAGGAGGAAAGCCTATTTTCTGGAAAGCTCTGGAAAGAGTGGTCCAGGTCCCAGTGAACACAGCACGGGTCGCCTGCCACTGCGACCGGGGTCAGTACTAAACACCGCAGCAGCCAACTGTCACTGTCCAGGCTTGACTCACTCGTCACGCTGCGGGCGCTGCAAAAGGCTTCTGGAAAGGACGGTGGCTGCCTAGGGCCACAGAAAGCAACCAGGGAACCCCTCCAAAGAAAAGGAGCCACACTGTCCCTTAGGAAACTAAACAGTGGAACCGCCCCAGCCTCCAAAGCTGACACTGCGAACTGGCCTCTTTCTAATATCACCGGGGCGTGGGTCATCTTCTCTGGAGCCTCTCACTGCCCGCCAGAGCTGTCATGGGTGAGTCCTGAAATCAGACCACCACTCGCTTCCTCCAGAACCAGCCCAGGTCAGCCAGCAGCTGTGCTTTCTCCGAGGACCTTGAACTCTTCAGAAATACTTCCGACAGCTTCGCACACCAGAGACTGGGTTCCCAACGCGGACGTCTGCCCTGCGGGGTGGGTGGCTGGCCCTTCTCCTGTTCCTATAGCCCACTGCGGACACTTCACCACGGCAAAGGCTTTCGCTGTGCCTGGCTTTCTGAAGAGGTGAATTTGCTGTAACAGGTCACGGAGTTCCCAGTACAGGTCATAAGCAGATGGAGCCTTGAGGTTCCATCGAGCCAGGCCATAAAGGAGTAAAGGAGCAAAGCCTTTGTTTCTCTTCCTCTGAGGAAGGTGCAACGAGTGGCCTTGTCAAATCCTAAGAAGCTCAGAGCCGGCCGCAGCTTCCCCCACGGACTCATCAAAGGCCTCGGTTTCATTTACAACAAAAGCATTTTCAGACAGTGCTCACATCACAAACGTGCGGCCTGGCCTGTGCACACCACACCAGCGGCTTCCAATCGCCCTCTAGTCTGACCTCAGTCTCCTGTGGTCAGTTTTCAAAGTGAGTACTTGGAATCACAGAACAAAACCCCTCAAAGAGCCTCTCCAGCCGGCACTTATTAACCATCCATGAGAGCTGCACAACCCTGCTCCAAAGCACCTCTCCAGATGCCCCAGGCTTAGAAGCCTCCAGGCAGCACACACTGGCAGAGGGTCGGCCACCACCTTTTCATAGTGCTCATTTCCAACGGGTTCCCCAGGGTGCAAAGGCAAAGTGCAGGTGGTGGATGGTACAGCCTCTGCCACCAGGCAGCTGTGGCTCAGGAAACCTCTGCCTCCGGAGATGAAGTCTGAATGCTGATATAAATACGATACCAAAAACTGGGGAAGCCCCCTCCAGGCAGGAGAAAGCCCATATCACAGAAAAGTCATGAAGCAGAGCCAAGTATTTAAAAGGCCAAGGCAGGAGAATGGCTTAAGGCCAGGAGTTCAAGACTAGCCTGGGCAACATAACAAGATCCCAATCTCTACAGAAAATAAAAATAAAAAATTAGCTGGGCATGGTGTGCACCTGTAGTCCCAGCTACTCGGGAGGCTGAGGCAGGAGGATCACCGGAGCCCAGGAGTTCCAGGCTACAGTGAGCTATGATTGCGCCACGTCACTCCAGCCTGGGCAATGGAGTGAGACCCTCTCTGTTAAAAAAAAAAAAAAAAAAAAAAAAAAAAAGATGGCTGGGCACGGTGGCTCACGCTTGTAATCCCAGCACTTTGGGAGGCTGAGGCGGGCAGATCACGAGGTCAGCAGATCGAGACCATCCTGGCTAACACTATGAAACCCTTTTTCTACTAAAAATACAAAAAATTAGCCAGGCGTGGTGGTGGGCACCTGTAGTCCCAGCTACTCGGGAGGCTGAGGCAGGAGAATGGCGTGAACCCGGGAGGCGGAGCTTGCAGTGAGCCAAGATCATGCCACTGCACTCCAGCCTGGGCGACAGAGTGAGACTCCCTCTCAAAAAAAAAAAAAAAAAAAAGACAAAAATTGGCTGGGCATGGTGGTTCATGCCTGTAATCCCAGCTCTTTGGGAGGCCGAGGCGGGCAGATCACTTGAGGTCAGGAGTTCAAGACCAGCCTGGCCAACATGGTGAAACCCTGTCTCCACTAAAAATACAAAAATTAGCTGGGCATGGTGGCGGGTGCCTGTAACCCCAGCTACTTGGCAGGCTGAGGCAGGAGAATCGCTTGAACCCCAGAGGCAGAGGTTGCAGCAAGCCGAGATCACGCCACTGCACTCCAGCCTGGGCAACAGAGTGAGACTCCGTCTCAAAAAAAAAAAAAAAGACAAAAATTATAAAAAGGCCCCCAAATACAATGGAAAAGTGAGTTGATATTTGGGGCCCAGGGGTGGATATATGTTTTGTAAGGTCTGACATTTACATAATTCTTCTTTAATAAAAAACAAATAGAAAATTACAAACACACAACTGCTAGGTCTCCTCCCAGGGTCTTAGAAGCTTGAACTTCAGAAATGTTGTTCCCCCCACTTCCCCCCACCCCTGCTTTTCCCACAGTTTCCGGAGCCGGATTCGAAGGCAGAGGCAGAGTTAGCAGTATCATGAAACAGGAGAAAATGTAAGCAGAGAGAATATGATTGACTCCTTTCCAATAACTCCTTCTTAAGCCCCCAGAAGTCCCTGTTACACAAACCTTATCTGTTTTGGGATTTTCAGAAAGCATTTCTCTCCGTTTGGTCATCCTCCCTTGGCCAGACCAGAGGGTGCCCACTTGTTCACACGCTGCCCGCTTCCGAATCCCAGAAGGCGGAGCCTGGCCTGTTTGTGAGAATGGGATGGACTCGTTTTTTAAAAGGCCAAGGGGAGTGCAGGAAAATCCGACCGGGCGGAGCACGCCCTGGGTAACAAGATCTGTTTTTCTGGAAGTGCGACCGGCCTCTTCTGCCCCATTCGCTCCTCTGTGACACAAATACTTGGGGAAAGCGCAGGGCTCGGACAGCGAGGGTGTGGGGCGCTGGCTGGTGCTGCTCTTAGAGAATGTTTTCTCTTGTTCTCAAGGAAGGGTCCAGTTTCTGATGAAAAACAAGCTCAAGTCCCAGCGGCGAGTACAGGGAGTGAGGTCAGTGCTGCGCTGACGACATGGGTGGAGCGACCTCTCTGCTCCAACAGGACAATGTGGAACCCATTATCATTTCCAGCAGGAGGGAAAACGAAGCGCAGACTTTACACACTCAGCTCTCTCCCCTCCTTCCATGAATCCTATCTTTACAGCCCCAGCCCGAGCCACGCTTTCAAATGCAAACATAATTCAATCAGATTTAATTCTGACCTGCTAGCTGCTGGAGAGGAGACCGACTTGCCCCCCAGCAAAAGGGACTTTCAAGACTGGTTCCTGTCTGGAATGCACAAGAGGTGGCCTATATTAACCGCGGGACACGAGCAATCAGATTCTTCTGTGCAATTCAGATTAGCCAAACACTTGACAGGCGACAGGGCAGGGCAGGATGGTCCGCAGCCCCGCCAGGGCCCTGCCAACCCCACCAACAGGCTCCTCCTGCGAGGCCCCAGGAGCTCGGCTCAGCATCTGTTATCTTGGATGCAGTATTTGTCGAGGGGCTGGAAATGGTACATAAATAGCCGGGAAACAATGCTTTGAGCTGGCGCACGAGTGGGGATCGGGCTGCAACCGGGACGGGGTATGTGCAGGGGACGTCTCGCCGGCCCAGGTGGGAGAGCGCGCGGAACCCTGCGCCCCGCTCCCCCGCTGCGCCCCGCTCCCCCGCTGCGCGCCCCGGACGAAGCTCCCCCTCCAGGGCACAGCCGGGAAAACTGAGGGCCGAGAGTCCCCTGGAGTTGGGGGTCCGGGGCCCACGCGGACAGCCAGGCTCAGGAGCTCTCGGGGGTCGGCAGCGCGGACCCCCGGATCCCCGCAGGCTGGGCCGCCCTTGCCCGCGCTAGCCGGCCTCCGGGTACCGCCCCCCGGTCCAGGCCGGGGCCCGACAGCCAGTCGGTTCCCATGGCAACTGGGCAAACCTGCCCTCCGCGCCCCGACCAGCGGCCGGGAGTGTCCCCGAGCGCGCCCCGCGGCCTCCGCGCCCCAGGTCCCCGGCAGCGGCCGAGCAGCGCCCCTTACGAGCCACCCCCGGTTCCGCAGTCACTCCTCGCGCACCCCACACTCACCTCCGGCACAACCCGCCGCGCCGCCACGTTCCCGCGCTGCTCCCACCCGCCGTTGGCTGGGGCCGGCGCCCAGACCCGCGCGTGCCGCGGCGCCTCCTGCCGGCGGCGCAACGGGCGGGGCGGGGCCTCAAGGGGACGGGGCCACAAAGGGTGGGGCGGGGGAGAACAGGTGGGCTGGAGCTGGGCCTCGGCGCCCAATAGGCAGAAAGAAAGCCTCGAGGAGGCGGGGTCTCCAGGAGAGGGGCGGGGCCAACCTGCTAGAAAAGGCGGGCTGTGCTCTGGCGCCTCCTGCCGGCCGCCCAATGGACGGGGATGCAGCCTCGAGGGGGCGGGGCCTCACCGGAGAGGCGGGGTTTTGAAGAAAGGGGTGGGGCTGGTTGTGGAGAGGCGGGACTTGCAGCCCACCCACAGACTGCAGCTTAAGGAGGGGGGGTCCCCGGAGGAAGGGTGGGACCAGTTCTAAGTCCCTGAGCTGCTTGTGGGCTCTGGGCTCCTGCGGTTGGGTGGGCTATTTCGAGACAGCACCTTCTAGTAGCCCAGTGAGTGGGTGTAGGGGAGGGTAGAGCTGTGCCCCCAATTAATAAACATCTTCTAAGACATCGAAAAGGAACAAGGGAGGAATTTCCTCTCCCCTACCATCTGTCTCCCACCCAGAGTTTTAAAAGACAAATCAGGTCATGGCATTCCTGCTTACAATTATGCAAAAAAATGACCAGGTCAGCTCTGGGGCTCTGGCCCCAACTGCTCTCCCTGGGGACTTGTTTAAAAAGCAGCTCGTGACCTCGGCACTTTGGCTGGGGTTTTCCCTTTGAGGAATGTGGGCTAGACCTGGGAGATTCAGGTGGTTCGGAATATCAATATGCAGAATGTGGGCCTCGGGAGTGAACCTTTTTGTGGACAGCTATCGTGGTATGATTTCCGTAGTCATGACCCCATATTCGCGATGGAGGTCGGAGCAGACATTGATGAGTGTGGGAACAGACATTTATTGACCACCTGTGTGCCAGGCCCTAGGCAACTTTACCTAGGTCACCTCACTTAATGCTCACATCAATTCTTGTGAGACAGAGATGTCTGAGACATTCCAGGCCTCCCCTTTCCTCCACCTATCACCTGCTAATCCTAAAGTCCACCTCCTAAACCTTTTCTAATAAAAAATAGTGCCTCAAAGTCAACACAGAGAGACAGATTTGAGCCAGGCTCCTGTCTCCTTATTGATCAACTCACAATACGGACAAAAAAAGCTTTTGTCTCAAAAACTTAATGCAGTAAGATTGGCTTTTTTTTTTTTTTTTTTTTTTTTTTTTTTTGGAGACAGAGTCTTATTCTATTGCCCTAGCTGGAGTGCAGTGGTGTGATCTCAGCTCACTGCAACCACCACCTCCCAGGTTCAAGCGATTCTCCTGCCTCAGCCTCCCGAGTAGCTAAGGTTAACAGGCACCTACCACCACGCCCACCTAATTTTTGTATTTTTAGTAGAGACGGGGTTTTGCCATGTTGACCAGGCTGGTTTTGAAATCCTAACATCAGGTGATCCACCCACCTCAGTCTCCCAAAGTGCTGGAATTACAGGCATGAACCTCTGCACCTGATCAAGATTGGCTTCTAGCAGAGCAAGCGCAGAACCCTTTTGTTCAGTAATACTCCCATTTTTCAGATGAGAAAATAGAGACGCAGAGAGGTCAGGCTGCTGGAGGTAGAGACAAGAACTGAGCCAGGAATACAGGACCCTCTGTATACACACCAACCTCCTCGCCTACCCCAGGAAGGGATGCTTGAAAGGAATGACGTGCTTGAATATTTCATTCAGGTGCGCATGAAGAGACAATGGTCAGAGCTGAAGGAGAGCCTGGGTTCAGGCCTGGGTTTTCCTCCTGAGATATTCCTCACCCTGCTCCTGGCCCATCTCCCACAGTCCCCACATCCTTCTTCCACAGGGGTCGGATAACTACAACCCATGGGCCAGATCTGGGCTGCCTTCTGTTTTTGTAAATAAAGTTTTATTCAAACACAGCTACCCTCATTTGTTTAGATATTATCTACGACTGCTTTCCTGCAACCAGGATTTTACAGCCCCAAATATCTAAAATATGACCTGGCCCTTTATAGAGAAACTTTTCAGATTGCTTCTTGATCTAGAAATGCTGACTTTTTGGTATGAATATGCTGTTTCATGCCTCGAGATCTTCCCTCAGGCCGGTCCCTTGACCTTCAAACACCTTTTCCAACTGTATTAGATTAGCTGAGCTGCTATTAAAAAATGCCAGATCAGGTGGCTCGAAAAACGGAAATGTTTTATCTGGCAGCTCTGGAGGCTGGAAGTCCAAGGTGAAGTTGTCAGCAGGTTTGGCTTCTTTGAGGGCCTCTATCCTTGGTTTGCAGACGGCCACCTTCTGGCTGTGCCCCCACATGGCCTTTCTTCTGGGTGTGCACCTCTCACCTGTCTCTTTGTGTGTTCAATCTCCTCTTTTTATAAGGACACTAGTCAGATTAGACTAGGGCCCATCCTAACAGCCTCATTTTATCTTAATCACCTCTTTAAAGGCCCTGTCTCCAAATATAGTCACATTCTGAGGTGTGAGGGGTCGGGGCTTCAACAAACACGTGAATTTTAGGGGGACAAAATTCAGACCATAACAGCAAACTTCATTACCTGGCTAACTTCTTTTTTTTCAAATGTGTGTGTGTATATATATATATATATATTTTTTTTTTAGATGGAACCTTGCTCTGTCGCCCAGGCTGGAGTGCGGTGAGGCAATCTTGGCTCACTGCAATCTCTGCCTCCCAGGTTCAAGCGATTCTCCTGCTTCAGCCTCCTGAGTAGCTGGGATTATAGGCACCTGCCACCACGCCTGACTAATTTTTGTAATTTTAGTAGAGATGGGGCTTCACCATGTTGACCAGGCTGGTCTCGAACTCCTGACCTTGCAATCTGCCTGCCTCAGCCTCCCAAAGTGCTAGGATTATAGGCATGAGCCACCACACCCGGCCGCTAATTTCTACTCATCCTTTGAGACTCAGATAAGGCGTTTCTTTGGTAGTAGCCAACCTCCAAGATGGCCCCAGTGATTCCCACCTCTTGGTTTTCATGCTCCTGTATAGGCCCATGTTGAATAGGGCAGACTTGTGTAATCAGTAAGATACTGCCAAAATGACACTGTGACTTCTGGAACACAATCATAAAAGACGTGGCTTCTGCCCTTGCTCTCTCTTAGATCAGTAGTTCTGAGGTCAGTGAGCCATGGTGGATGTGAGTCCTCCAGCCCCAGGAGACTTTAGGTGACAGACATCCCAGC
This sequence comes from Homo sapiens, assembly GCF_000001405.40. Taxonomy (NCBI): domain Eukaryota; kingdom Metazoa; phylum Chordata; class Mammalia; order Primates; family Hominidae; genus Homo; species Homo sapiens. Next base: position 4,886,895 of record NC_000007.14, read on the forward strand.
TGGAGTCCATTGAAGGACCCTGAGCCAAAAAAGCTCCCTCCTCCCTGCAGCAAAGCTACTCCCAAATTCCCAACCCTCAAAGACTATGAGATGATAATTTTTTTTTTTTTAGATGGAGGCTTGCTCTGTTGCCTAGGCTGGAGTGCAGTGGTGCAATTTCAGCTCACTGCAACATCCACCTCCCGGATTCAAGTGATTCTCCTGCCTCAGCCTCCCGAGTAGCTGGGAATACAGGCACCTGCCACCACCCCCACCTAATTTTGTATTTTTAGCAGAAATGGGGTTTCCCCATGTTAGCTAAGCTGGTCTCGAACTCCTGACCTCAAGTGACCCACCCACCTCAGCCTCCCAAAGTGCTGGGATTACAGGCATGAGCCACCACATCCAGCTGATAAATGTTTATTATTGACCTCAGCTACTAAGTTTTGGCAGCAGTTTGTTACGTAGCAATGGATAACTAATACCCCTTATCCAGAAAGATCTTCCTGTCTCCTAGACCTGGTTACATGTCCTCTTGTGTGCGCCCACAGTCTTTTATTTTTGTTACCTTTTTATTAAGCAAGTCCACATCAATCACACTATGTTCCTTAAACCTAAACCAGATGTTATTACTCCTCCACCTATAACCCTCTCATAACTTTTCCTTTTGCACTTAGAATAAAGTAGGTTTGCAAAACCCAGCTCCAACTGCTCTCTTCCTTGGCCTTGGATCTCCAGCCCTCAGAACTTCTTTCCTCAAGCACTCTGAGGTCATCTCCCTTCTCCGAGACCTTTCCTCTTTGGTCTCCTTGACCCCACAGCCTTCCCTCTGTGTTTTCATGCTGGGCCCCTTCCCAGCGCAGAAACTCATCTCCCTTCCTGTCTTCTGACCACCTCTTGACCATCACCCCCGAGTCATTCTCGATTTTATTATACATATATATATTATACATATATATAATATAGAGAGATTTAATTTATATATATTTATAAATATATAATTTATATATATATATATATAGAGAGAGAGAGAGAGCATGAGACAGAGAGATAGGGTCTTGCTCTGTTGCCCAGGCTGTAGTGCAATAGTGCAATCATAGCTCACTGAAGCCTTGACTTTCCAGGCTCAAGTGATCCTCCCAACTCAGCCTCCTGAGTAGCTGGGACTACATGCCTGGCTAATTTTTTTATTTTTATTTTTTGTAGAGATGGGGTCTCCCTATGTTGCCCAGACTGGTCTCAAACTCCTGGCCTCAAGCGATCCTCCCATCTCGGCTCCTGAAGTACTGGGATTACAGGTGTGAGCCACCACACCTGACCACCTGTTTTATTTAATTCATAGAGTTTATCACCATGTCAATGTATTTGCTTATGTATTTAACACACACTAGAATTTGTGTTTTTGGAAAGCAAGGGCTTCATGTGTCTTGTTTACTATTATACTTGGCAACTAGCCAGTGCTCAATAAATATTTGTTAAATGAGTAGATGAAGGAATAGATTTCCATCCACTCTCACCCCCTCCCTCCAGGGAAAGTCCAAAGCTGTATTCATCTCCGTATCCCAGCATCTGGCTCCTGGGCAGTTTTTGAACTGTCGGGTTAAGTATCTTTGGAAATCCACTGGCCAAAAATAGAGTGTTGAGCTCTCCTGCTTGGCCACCAGAGAGTGACAGAATCCGGCAACTGACTCCAGGAAAGGACCTGAGCCCAGGGGAAAGGGATCTGGTTAAGGTCCAAAGTTCCGGTGCCCAAGGGATGGCCGTCCAGGGGCAGAGACTGGGCTTTTTCGGGGCCCAGAGGAGAGAGGAGGCAGGCTTTAGGAGGTGCACAGGGAGCATTAGATCCCAACCTTTCCTTCCCAGACTGTTACATCTGGTATCCCTAGAGGGGTGTGGCAGAACAAGTGATTTAATCCTTGGATTCCATTCTTCAGGCCCTCCACACCTATAAATAGCAGTGCTTGTGGCTCATGCCTGTAATCCCAGCACTTTGGGAGGCCAAGGCAGGAGGACCACTTGAGATCAGGAGTTCGAGATCAGCCTGGCCAACACAGTGAAACCCTGTCTGTACTAAAAATTTTAAAATTAGCCAGATGTGATGGCACGCACCTGTAGTCCCAGCTACTCGGGAGGCTGAGGCACGAGAATCGCTTGAACCCAGATGGCAGAGGTTGCAGTGAGCCAAGGTCATGCCACTGCACCCCAGCCTGGGTGACAGAGCAAGACTCAGTCTCAAAAAAAAAAAAAATTGTTATCACCTTCAAAGGAGAGACCACACCAGCTAGGCAGGCACGCCCCATTCTCTCCTGCCCCTGGGTCTCGGCAACCACCAATCCACTTTCTGCCTCTGTGGCCACAGCTCTCGTGGATATTTCATGTAAGTGGAGTCATACAATATTTGACATTTTGTGTCTGGATTCTTTCCCTTGGCATAGTTTTTGAGGTTCATCTTCTTTCCTCTAAATCTGAAACTATTCTAAAATTTCAAAGTTTATTTCAAAACATTGAGAGCAGGTAAGCCCTGCGGGTTGCCTGTGGCTCTAGAAAGCTGGGTTTGAATTGGCAAAGTTTGGGCTCAGATCTGCTCCACGTGCTTCCATATTCTGGGAGCAGCACTTACCAGGGGCATGGTCTTCTCGTGATAGATGGCAGAGATGCAAGAGGCCAAGCCAAACCACATGAGATTATCTAAAGCATCTGCTAATGTTAGATCCACCGACATTTCATCGGCCAAAACAAATCACATGGCCAGGTGCAGTGGTTCATGCCTGTAATCCCAGCACTTTGGGAGGCCAAGGAAGATGGATTACTTGAATTCAGGAGTTCAAGACCAACCTAGGCCACATGGTGAAACCCTGTCTCTACAAAAAATACAAAAATCAACCAGATGTAGTGGTGCACACCTGTAGTCCCAGCTACTCAGGATGCTGAGGTAGGAGGATCAGTTGAGCCTAGGAGGTGGAGGCTGCAGTGAGCTGTGATTGCATCACTCTACTCCAGCCCAGGCAACAGAGCAAGACCTTGTCTCAAAAAACACAACAAAACAAAAAAGCAACAAATCACATGCCTATTCAACGTCCAGGGGTCAGGATAGCATGCTCTTCCCAAGCTGGTAAGTGGCCATGTCTGGGATGAGGAGGAAGAAAGATGTGTGAACAAATCATCCAATCTGCCAGACAGAACTAAACACCACCTCCACTCTGTATGGTGGACATCGTTATGTCTGCCCACTTTGTTTTTTCAGAGATAGGATCTCACTCTGTCACCCAGGCTGGAGTGCAGTGGTGCAATCATAGCTCACTGGGCTCAAGCAATCCTCCTGCCTCAGCTCCTGAGTAGCTGGGACCACAGACATGCACCACCACACCCAGCTAATATATTTTTGATTGTTTGTAGAGATGGGGTCTAGCTATGTTGCCCAGACTGGTCTCGAACTGCTGGGTTCAGGTGATCCTCCTGCCTCGGCCTCTCAAAGTGCTGGAATGACAGGTGTAAGCCACTACACCTGGCCAAGATGTTTTTTAAAAGATGTGCAATCTCACCACTGTGAAAGGGAAATAAATCTTGGACCCCAAAATCACTAAACCAAAGGGAAAAGTCATGCTGGGAACTGTTTCAGGTAAACCTGCTTCCCATTTTATTCCTAAATGATAGCTACAAAGATTAAAAAAAAAAAAAAGCTACATACCTCCCTCACAATTTATCCACAAGGAAATTCCTTGTGGGCCTCAAGATCTTTACCCTAAAACAATTCTGTTGAATTTCCCCCGGCAACATAAATTGACAGCTGGTCTTCACAGGTGTGGGACAAAGGACAGAACTCGAAGTCATCTCTCTGCCCACTGAAGACAAATGCATATCTGATTGCTTCCTCTGCCCTAGTATGTATTAATAAAAATGCAGATTCTCGCCGTGCGCGGTGACTCACACCTGTAATCCCAGCACTTTGGGAGGCCAAGGCAGGCAGATCACGAGGTCAGGAGATCGAGACCATCCTGGCTAACACGGTAAAACCCCGTCTCTACTAAACAGACAAAAAATTAGCCGGGCGTGGCAGCGGGCGCCTGTAGTCCCAGCTACTTTGGAGGCTGAGGCAGGAGAATGGTGTGAACCCGGGAGGCAGAGCTTGCAGTGAGCCGAGATTACACCACTGCACTCCAGCCTGGGTGACAGAGCGAGACTCTGTCTCAAAAAAAAAAAAAAAAGGCAGATTCACTAAGCCCATCTAAGGCATAAATGACTATTCGTCTACCCAACTCTCACATGTAAATTGTGTATCCAGTGAAAAAACTGATCAAAGACTCAAAAGAATGTAACTGTATGAGGCTGGGCGCGGTGGCTCATGCCTGTAATCCCAGCACTTTGGGAGGCCGAGGCGGGTGGATCGCTTGAGGACTGGAGTTCGAGACCAGCCTGGCCAATATGGTGAAACCCCATCTCTACTAAAAATACAAAAAATTAGCTGGGTGTGGTGGTGCATGTCTGAAATCCCAGCTACTCGAGAGGCTGAGGCAGGAGAATCTCTTGAACCGGGAGGCGGAGGTTGCAGTGAGTGAAGATTGCGCCACTGCACTCCAGCCTGGGCAACACAAGCGAAACTCCATTTCAAAAAAAAAAAAAGAATGCAACTGTTTGTCTCCTATCATCTATCTATCTATCTATCTATCTATCTATCTATCTATCTATCTATCTAATCTATCATCTACCTATCTAATCTATCATCTACGTATCTATGTATCTATCTACCTACCTATCTACCTATCTATCTATCTATCTATCTATCTACCTGTCTGTCTATCTATCTATCTATCTAATCTATCATCTGTCTATCTACCTACCTACCTACCTGTCTATCTATCTATCTATCTACCTACCTATCTATGTATCTATCTACCTATCTATCTAATCTATCATCTATCTATCTATCTATCTATCTACCTACCTATCTATGTATCTATCTATCTATCTAATCTATCATCTATCTATCTATCTATCTATCTATCTATCTATCTATCTATCTATATCTATCTATGTTCTGGAAGCGCCCCCTGCTTCAAGTTGTCCCACCTTTCTTGATTGAACCCCTGTCCATCTTACACATACTGATTGATATCCCATGTCTCCCTGAAACGTAGAAATCCAAGCTGTACCCCAGCCACCTTGGGCGCGTGTCGTCAGGACCTCCTGAGGCTATGTCCCAGGCACATCCTTAACCTTGGCAAAATCAGCTTTCTAAATGGATTGAGACCTGTCTCAGATACTTTTGGTTCACACCATGAAAAATGATAATTAAGTGAGATAATGCAAATGTTCATTAGCTCTATTGGGCCATTCAACCATGTGTATATATATTTCAAAACATCACGCCATAGACGATAAATACAAACAATTTTTATTTGTGAATTAAAAGAACAAAATAAAAAATAAATCAAGGCCGGGCACGGTGGCTCACGCCTGTAATCCCAGCACTTTGGGAGGCTAAGGCGGGCAGATCACCTGAGGTCAGGAGTACAAGACCAGCATCGCCTACATGGTGAAACTCCGTCTCTACTAAAAATACAAAAATTAGCTGGGCATGGTGGTGGGTGCCTGTAGTCCCAGCTACTCGGGAGGCTGAGGCAGAAGAATCTCTTGAACCTGGGAGACAGAGGATGCAGTGAGCCGAGATCGCATTACTGTACTCCAGCCTGGGTGACAAAGCAAGACTCTGCTATAAATAAATAAATAAATAAATAAATAAATAAATCTGAAAAAATTAATTAATTAAAAGATGTGCAAGCAGGACAGGTAGAACATACTAAGAGTGTTGATTTCTAGGTGATAGAGTTTATGACTAATTGCAATTTCTCTTTTGTTTTTTGAGATGAAGTCTAGCTCTGTCGTCCAGGCTGGAGTGCAGTGGTGTGATCTTGGCTCACTGCAACCTCTGCCTCCTGGGTTCAAGCGATTCTTCTGCCTCAGCCTCCTGAGTAGCTGGAACTACTAGGCGTGCCACCACACCTAGCTAATTTTTTGTATTTTTAGTACAGGTGAGGGTTCACCATGTTGACCAGGCTGGTCTCGAACTCCTGATATCATGATCCTCACGCCTCTACCTCCCAAAGTGCTGGGATTACAGGCGCGAGCCACCGCACCCAGCTGACTAATTGCGGTTTCTAAGATAGCCACCTCAATACATAGATCCCATCCTATGCACTCGTCTTGCTGTAAGAGGAGTGGATGTACCTCTATCAGGTGTGGGGGAATGGGGTCTACACGCACTCCCCTTGAAGCTAGCAGGACCCTTGCAGCTGCCTTGAGCAAAAGTGGTACCAGAAAGGTCCGATCCAGACCCCAAGAGAGGGTTCTTGGACCCCGTCCAAGAAAGAATTCAGGGAGAGCCCACAGAGTAAAGTGAAGTTTATTAAGAAAGTCAAGAAATAAAAGAATGACTACTCCATAGGCAGAGCATCACCAAGGGCTGCTGGTTGGCTATTTTTATGGTTATTTCTTTTATTTATTTATTTATTTATTTATTTATTTATTTATTTATTTTTGAGACAGAGTCTAGCACTGTCACTCAGGCTGGAGTGCAGTGGCGCAATCTTGTCTCACTGCAACCTCCACCTCTCAGGTTCAAGCAGTTTTCATGCTTCAGCATCCCAAGTAGCTGGGATTACAGACATGCACCACCACACCCGGCCAATTTTTGTATTTTTAGTACAGACATGGTTTTGCCACGTTGGTCAGGCTGCTCTTGAACTCCTGACCTCAGGTGATGTGCCTGCCTCGGCCTCCCAAAGCACTAGGATTACCCATGAGCCACCACACCCGGCCCAGTTATTTCTTGATTATATACTGAACAAGGGGTGGATTATTCATGAGTTTTCCAGGAAACGGATGGGCAATTCCCAGAACTAAGGGCTCCTCCCCTTTATAGACTATATAGGGTAACGTCTTGACATTGCCGTGGCATTTGTAAACTGTCATGATGCCAGTGGGAGTGTCTTTTAGCATGCTAATGTATTATAATTAGTGTAAGCATTGAGGACGACCAGAGGTCACTTTCCTCGCCATCTTGGTTTTGGTAGGTTTTGGTGGGCTTCTTTACCACACCCTGTTTTATCAGCAAGGTCTTTGCGACCTGTATCTTGTGCTGACCTCCTATCTCATCCTGTGACTTAGAATGCCTTAACCTCCTAGGAATGCAGCCCAGTAGATCTCAGTCTTTTTTACTCAGCCCCTATTCAAGATGGAGTCACTCTGGTTCAAACGCCTCTGACCAAAGAATATGGCAGGAATGATGATGCACGACCTCCAAGGCCAGATCATAAAAGGCAACAGTCTCCCAGCTGGCTCTTTCTTTCTCTTGAGACACTTGCCTTACGACCTAGCCGCCATGTTGTAAGGAAGTCCAGGCCACATGGGGAAGTCCAGGCCACACGCAGAAGTCACATGTGAATGTATATTAAGCCTGTCTTTTCAGTTATTTCTGATAGAATAAAAAGTTTGTTTGGATACCTGGGGCCTTTCTGATCCTGGAGGGACTACCCCTCGCAGGAGTAGCCAATTCCTAGAGATAGTAACAGAGTGGCTTTTAAGCGTGCCTTTCATATGCAAACCAAGCGATCACAGCTCACCCCCTCCACCTCCTCTATTGGGCCATCAGATTCCAGTCCAATATTCCCCCATCCTAATCACCCCAGGGCCAGGTACCGGACATCTCAATGAGATGGGATAGTTCCCTTGACCTTGACTCCCTTCGTGGGCGGGAACTGGAATGGATTGTTTCACTCAGCCCGCCCCTGGCCACTCCTCTCGAGAGGGAGCTTGCAAGCTAGCAAGTGCAGGAACCAGAGGGAACCCACGCTGGAACCGGCCAGTCATTTGTCTCTGGTGGGAGCAGGCTCTGTGAGGACCCTGCAGCAGCCTCTACGCCCCTGCCCTCTAGGCACCCAGGTTCTTGTTCCGTGTCCAGGAAGAATCAGGTCACCCAAACAAGTTGAAGGGTAGGTGGTGTATGTGGAGGTTTTTATTGGGTGATGGATGTGGCTCTCAGCCATCCATGGGGAATTGGAAAGGGGATCCTGTGGGAAGAAAATGATCTTTGCTGGAAGCTGCACTGTCTGAAGTTAGCCTCATTTAAACGTAGTCTCTGACTCTCAGCCACTTGTATCCCCAACGCTCAGCCGCTTGCATCCCCGACTGCTTGCATCAGCCAGCTGAAGTCTTTTTTTTTTTTCTGAGACAGAGTCTCGCTCTGTCACCAGACTGGAGTGCAGTGGCCCAATCTCGGCTCACTGCAACCTCCGCTCCCAGGTTCAGACGATTCTCTTGCCTCAGCCTCTTGAATAGCTGGGATTACAGGCGACCACCACCATGCCTGGCTAATTTTTGTATTTTTAGTAAAGACGGGTTTTGCCATGTTGGCGATGCTAGTCTCAAACTCCTGACCTCAGGTGATCCGCCCTCCTCGGCCTCCCAAAGTACTGGGATTACAGGCCCGAGCCACGGAGCCCAGCCAGCTGAAGTCTTTTTATGGACACAGGCTAGGGGTGGGATGGGCCAAAATGGCAATTATTTGGCGGGGTTGCGGTGTGGAGAAACGGGGTCAGCGGTTTTGACTTAGGGCTGAGGTTCCAGGCTTGAGGGTGGAGTTTAGCCAGGAGCCCAGGCATTCTTTTTTTTTCTTTTCTTTTTTTGAGACGGAGTCTCGCTCTGTCACCCCAGCTGGAGTGCAGTGGCGAGATTTCAGCTCACTGCAACCTCCATCTCCCGGGTTCAAACAATTCTCCTGACTCAGCCTCCGGAGTAGCTGGGATAATAGGCGCGCACCACCACATCTGGCTAATGTTTGTATTTTTAGTAGAGACGTGTTTCATCATGTTGGTCAGGTTGGTCTCGAACTCCTGACCTCGTGATCTGCCCATCTTGGCCTCCCAAAGTGCTGGGATTACAGGCGTGAACCACCGCGCCCGGCTGAGCCCAGGCATTCTGTATCATCAGGACAACCTGTACACCCCAGAACCTGCTTCAGTTACTCAACTATCAAATTCTAAGCCTGTTTAGCGTGCCCTGCTCACTCCTTCCCGGGAATCATGACAAAGACTCCTGCCCACGTTTTCCCATCACTCCTTCCTGACGAAGCCTAGTGCTTCCCCACATGACCCTGCATGGTATGATGTGTCCCCTCCTTTTGGGATCTGTGAGTAACAAACGATGTTTTTGGCGGCAGTTGTCACCTGTGATCTGTTGGTCTCACCATACCTGAATAATGGTAAAACCTACATTTTTATTATTGATTTTTGAGAGAGGGCCTTGCTCTCCTGTCTCAAAAATAAATAATAGGCCAGGTGGTGGCTCACACCTTTAATCCTAGCACTTTGGGAGGCTGAGGCGGGTGGACTGCCTGAGCTCAGGAGTTTGAGACCAGCCTGGGCAACATGGTGAAACTCTGTCTCTACTAAAATACAAAAAGTTAGCTGGGCATGGCAGTGTATGCCTGTAGTCCCAGTTACTTGGGAGGCTGAGACAGGAGAATTGCTTAAACCTGGGAGGCAGAAGTTGCAGTGAGCACAGATTGTGCCACTGCACTCCAGCCTGGGTGACAGAGCGAGACTCTGTCGCAAAAAAATTAAATAAAATAAAACAAGGTGTTTGGCCAACTTTCCCAGCTGGGTCCCTAGCCAGCCACCAGCATCAACCAACAGATGTGTGCATGAACATGCTTTCAACTGATTCCAGCCTCCATTTCCACCTCCTCTAGCTGAGCCGCAGACTCTAATTCCTGGCCCGTGAAAACCACAAAAGACATAGATGACTATTGTTCGAAGCCACTATTTTAGGATAATTTATGATATGCAGTAATAGAGAGCTAATACAGGAGTTTTCATTTTCTTTGTCTTTTCTAAATACCCCATTTTGTTTTTTTCTTTAGTGTTACTCCACCCCCATTTATATCAGCAATAATTATCCCATTTTCTTTCTTTATTTTTCTCTATTCTTTTCTTTTCTTTTCTTTTTTTGAGACAGAGTCTCGCTCTGTAGCCCAGGCTGGAGTGTAGTGGCCCAGTCTCAGCTCACTGCAACCTCCACCTCCCGGGTTCAAGTGATTCTCCTGCCTCAGCCTCTGGAGTAGCTGGGATTACAGGCACCCACAACCACAGCCGGCTAATTTTTGTATTTTTAGTAGAGACGGGGTTTCGCCATGTTGACTGAGCTAGTTTGGAACTCCAGACCTCAAGTTATCCCCCTCCTTAGCACCCCCAAAGTGCTGGGATTACAGGCATGAGCCACCACGCCCGGCCTTAATTATCCCATTTTCTACAGTGAACAGAGATCACTTTTATAAAAAGAATTGGCAGGTGTTATATTTAAAAAAAAAAAAAAAAAAAAAGACAATTAGGCCAGAGTGAGACATCTTGATTTTTTTTTTTAAGTTCTTTCTACTCCATTGGAAACAATAATATTCAGCAGAGGGATTATTCTTCTTAATATAAATGTTTATCAAATACTGTGTTAATACAAAATAGCAATTTCACAAACACAGAAAGGGTCCAATACCAGCAGGACATTTTTTTAAAAGTCATGCCGCAAACGCCACTCTCAGACATTGTAGACATTATAGGTCTATAAAAGTGAATATGAAAGACAATCATACAGTTTCCGTTTCCTCCCACCCCAGAGAAAGGCCTTAAGAAGCAGCGAGGCCTGCACCTGCAGAGGTGGGAAAGCTCCTAGCGGAACCTGGCAGTGTAAACAGGACTGGTGGGAAGTGCATTCGGTGAAAGGCCAGAGCCTGAAATTTGAAAATGCTGATGGAGGCAGAGTAGCCCTTCCAACACTGGGTGCCCTCCTTCCTTTCTCCAGTGTATTTAATCTCTTTCTTTCTTTCTTTCTTTTTTTGAGACAGTCTCACTCTATCACCCAGGCTGGAGTACAATGGTGTGATCTCGGCTCACTGAAACCTCTGCCTCCCGGGTTCAAGAGATTCTCCTGCCTCAGCCTCCCAAGTAGCTGGGATTACAGGTGCCCACCACCATGCCTGGCTAATTTTTGTATTTTTAGTAGAGATGGTGTTTCACCATGTTGGCCAGGCTGGTCTCAAACTCCTGGCCTCAAGTGATCCACCCACCTTGGCCTCCCAAAGTGCTGGGATTACAGGTGTGAGCCACCGCACCCGGCCTATCTCTTTCTCTTGCCTTCTAAACCCTCCTGACCTAATGCTGGCTTAAGTTCAGGGCCACGCTGCCCACTGGGTCTCTAGGACCACCTAGCCTCAAGGTCCCCCACGAACATGGGCCATCACAAAGACAAGAGGCCATAAAATGTGATCCTGTATTCCTCCTAGTGGGGTCAGGGTTCTGGGTAACCAGATTCTTGGAAGCTCCTAATTTCTTTCTCCTTACCTGTCCCCACATGGCCTGGGGGCACTCTGGATCCCAAGGTATGACACCATGCTGAGCCCTGCCAATTGCAGCAAATACACACTAAGCACTGATTACCAACAACTATGGCTTTCTGGGAATGTACCACTAAGAACAGCTTTCAGAACTTAGGATTTAGACGCACTCATGGGTCATAACATCATTTGGTGGGTTGCAACCAGTAATTTGAAACAATGACATAAGATGGGATGGGATAGGATAGGGTAGGGAAGGATAGGATAGGATAAGATTGGATGGTGCTGGGATTTGTGTCCCTCCAAATTCTACGTTGAAAACCTAACTCCAAGGTGATGGTATTAAGAAATGAGGCGTTTGGGCAGGGCGCAGTGGCTCCCGCCTGTAATTGCAGCACTTCAGGAGGTGGCCAAGGTGGGCAGATCACTTGAGGTCAGGAGTTCAAGACCAGCTGGCCAACATGGCGAAACCCTGTCTCTATTAAAAATACAAAAATTAGCTGGGCTCCATGGTACGCATCTGTAATCCCAGCTACTTGGGAGGCTGAGACAGGATAATTGCTTGAACCTAGGAGGCAGAGGTTGCAGTGAGCCAAGATCACACTATCGCACTCCAGCCTGGGCAACACAGTGAGACTCTGTCTCAGAAAAAAGAAAGAAAGAGAGACAGAGGAAGGAAGGAAGGAAGCAAGCAAGCAAGCAAGCTAGGAAGGAAGGAAGCTAGGAAGGAAGGAAGGAAGCTAGGAAGGAAGGAAGGGAGGGTTTGGAAGGTGATTAGGTCAGGGAGGCTGCATCTTCACGAATGGGATTAGTACCCTTACACAAGAGGCCTGAGAGAGCTGCTTTGCCCATGTGTCAGTCATGGGAGGACACAATGAGAAAACACCACCTACGAACCAGGAAACAGCCCTCACCAGACACTGAACTTGCCAGTTCCTTGTTCTTGGACTTCTCAGCCTCCAGAACCGTGAGAAATAAATTCCTGTTGTTTATAATCCACCCAGTCTATGGTATTTTGTTATAGCAGCCAAAATAGACAAAGGCTAGGACAGGATAGGATAGGATAGCAAGTATCAGAGCATATCACCAAAGTCAGTCCCATTTCAGTAAACTACAATCACTGTGTAAAATGTATTTTTCTTTTTTTTTTTTTGAAACGAAGTCTTGCTTTGTCGCCCAGGCTGGAGTGCAGTACCATGATCTCAGCTCACTGCAGCCTCCGCTTCCTGGGTTAAGCAGTTCTCTTGCCTCAGCCTCCCGCGTACCTGGGATTACAGGCATAAGCCACTGTGCCCAGCTAATTTTTGTATTTTTAGTAGAGACAGTGGGAGGGAGCTTCACTGTGTTGGCCAGGCTGGTCTCGAACGCCTGACCTCAGGTGATCCACCTACCTCTGTCTCCCAAAGTGCTGGGATTACAGGCTTGAGCCACCTCGCCCAGCGTGGAAAATGTATTTCTTAGTATGGGTCTTCAACAAAAAGGCTTGAAAAACACTGCCCTGTGGGAGTAAACAGAAGACGGCTGACCTCTGCCACCTGGACCCCAGGTGATGAAATGGGCGGGTCACATGATACACAGGTAAACCTAACACCTAACCCATAAGGGCTGCTGGCCCCAGCCAGGATGTAGCACCCTCCTCTTTTAACACTGCAACAGGGGCAAAAATCCATTGAAAGTCCATCAGGAAGCCAGATGTGCAAAGAGAAAGTTGTCAGGACAAGCTGAAGGTATGTGAGCAGACAGATCTCCACTGTCTGAGCAACCTTGGTGTCCTCATATGGCTCATGGCTGTAATCCTCGCACTTTGGGAGGCCGAGGTGGGCGGATCACTTGAGGTCAGGAGTTCAAGACCAGCCTGGCCAACTGGTGAAATCCCATCTCTACTAAAAATGCAAAAATTAGCCAGGCGTGGTGGCAGGTGCCTGTAATCCCAGCTACTCAGGAGGCTGAGGCAGCACTGAGTGCACCACTGCACTCCAGCCTGGGAGACAGAGCGAGACTGTGTCTCAAAAAAAAAGAAAAAGAAAACAGTAATTTCATCTTGTGAGGTTTTGGAAGAGCAAAATACAAGAAGAGGGATGTGAATGTGTGCACGTTCATAAGTGCGCATATTATCTGTTATACTGGTAAAAAGGGATGGTGTGCAGAGATGTGTGCATGGGGTGCAGGTCATGGTGTGTCTGTAAATTAGCTCTCCAAAAACAGGAAGCTCTGATCTGTAGCATTCACCCATCACCATGGTGTAAACACTCACACCTTGGTTAATTTCACCCTACCAGTCTTCTAATAACTTGCGAAGGCCTGAATATGTAAGTCCGTCTCCAGGGTGCCCTAAGGATGTAAGAACACTGATACCTTCCATGACTCCTCACCTCCCACCCCAGCAGTGGAGCAACATGAGACGGGATGGTATACCCTCCTCATGTAAAGTGCTCATGGCTCTCCCTCCAGCAGCATCCCCCCCACAACCCATATCCCCTCTTCTGCCACCCACCAGATCAGCAGCAGAACAAGTGTGGGACTCCTCCTGCCGCCTCCTCTCCACACCTTGCTCTTCCTGCTAGGGTTGACTCTTCTATATCTTCCATATAAACCAGCTCCCTGGGCCGGGCGCAGTGGCTCACACCTGTAATCCCAGCACTTTGGGAGCCTAAGGTGGGTGGATCACCTGAGGTCAGGAGTTCAAGACCAGCCTGACCAACATAGTGAAACCCCATCTCTACTAAAAATATAAAAATTAGCCGGGTATGGTGGTGGGCGCCTGTAATCCCAGCTACTCGGGAGGCTGAGGCACAAGAATCACTTGAAACCAGAAGGCAGAGGTTGCAGTGAGCCAAGATCACACCACTGCACTCCAGCCTGGGCGACATGAGTAAAACACTATCTAAAAAAAAAGTGGGATATAGGCCGGGTGTGGTGGCTCACACCTGTAATCCCACCACCTTGGGAGGCCAAGGTGGGCGGATCACTTGAGGTCAGGAGTTCGAGACCAGCCTGACTAACTCGGTGAAATCACGTCTCTACTAAAAATACAAAAATTAACTGAGCATAGTGGTATGCGCCTGTAATCCCAGCTACTTGGGAGGCTGAGGCAAGAGAATCTCTTGAACCCGGGAGGCAGAGTTTCCAGTGAGCCAAGATCACGCCACTGTACTCCAGCCTGGGTGACAGAGAACCGATCTCAAAAAATACATAAATAAATACAATTTAAAAACCAAACAGAAAAAACTCAAACCCTGATGTGTGTATAGCACTTGTGGATCATAATCTCCATTTTATAAATCAGGAAACTGAGGCACGGAGAGGATAAGGGACAGGCCCAAGGGTCTTGCACACTGGTCTGTGGAGAGCTGGATTTGGGTCAGGTTCGACTGGCACCAGACTCTGGACTCTTACCTCACCATTTCTGAATGTCTCTGTGACAGAACTGGCCCTGCACAGGGACCCTTTGGGGCTGGGTTTGTTGTCACCAACTTCACATCCCTGGCTTCCCTGGCCGGGCTTCACAAGAGGTACAGCTGGGAAGTGGCGGAGCCGGGGGAGCCTGCACCTGGCTTGTAGCATTTGCGACGACCAATTACATACATTGCTTTTCATCCTTGGCAATGCCACTTTGGCAGCACAAAATTGGCCCTGGCATGAGTATTTACACCATGGAAATTGACAATGCTACACACCAGAGGTTTTAAAACAATTATTCTCTTTTTTCTTTTTTTGACGTGGAATCTCGCTCTGTCACCCAGGCTGGAGTGCAGTGGCGCAATCTCGGCTCATTGCAACCTCTGCCTCCCAGGTTCAAGCATTCTCCTGCCTCAGTCTCCTGAATAGCTGGGATTACAGGCGTGTGCCACCACAGCCGGCTAATTTTTTATATTTTTGGTAGAGATGGGATTTCACCATGTTGGTCAGGCTGGTCTCAAACTCCTGGCCTCAAGTGATCCACCCGCCTTGGCCTCCCAAAGTGCTGGGATTACAGGCGAGAGCCACCACGCCCCACCAAAAAAAATATTCTTTAATTTTTTTTAAGGTCAGCTTTCCTCCCTGGGCAAAAGATTTGGAGGCAGTGTGTTTCCTTGCAAGCAGCCAGGTCTGGCCAAGGGCAGGAGGCTTGGGTATTAGATAGTCCTGGCTTCAACGCTTTGCTCCGCTGGTTAGAAGCTGGGTGCCCTCGGGAAAATCACCAAACCTCTCTGGGCTTTGGCTTCCTGCTTTGTAATATCAGCAAATTATCCTTACCCCACGGGGGGAGTCTGTGTGAATCGGTGAAGACAGCATCTAGAAACCACCAAGGGAGACTGGCACCCCGGAGGAGACCCAGACAGGTGAGCCTCTGCCTGCCCCGCTTCCAGCTCTTTCTCGTCACACCTGCTGAATACCACGCCTGTGACATTAGCATGCTCATTGGAAGTGGGTGCTGGAATTGTCACTGGCTCTTTCTGAATCCCATAGATGCTGTCCCCAGAGCCTGCATTTCGGCATCTGGTTACGCTGTACATGGTGGCAAATTTGACAGGTGCCCATCTCCCAACCCTTTGACCTCTACCTGCCCCCTCTCAGCACTCGTGGTGCATGAAGCCATCATGGGCACCCTTAGCACCCCAAGCTGCTCCCACCTCCCACTTCCTGAGCCCAGTAGCAGGGGCTCAGGCATCGGTAGAAGGAAATGCTCTGTAGCTTTTGCAAACTGATACGGAAAAGAGAGTTTGGGATATGGTGGCTCATGCCTATAATCCCAGCACTTTGTGCGGCCGAGGCGGGCAGATCACTTGAAGTCAGGAGTTCGAGACCAGCCTGGCCAACATGGTGAAACCCTGTCTCTACTAAAAATACACAAATTAGCTGGGTGTGGTGACGGGCACCTGTAGTCCCAGCTACTCGAGAGGCTGAGGCAGGAGAATCACTTGAACCCAGGAGGCAGAGGTTGCAGTGAGCCGAGATTGCGCCACTGCACTCCAGCCTGGGCAACAGAGCGAGACTCCATGTCAAAACAAAACCAAAAACAAACGAGAGTTTGGGAAGCTGAAAACTGGGGACTGTAAAAGTGTTCTGTAAGCCTTCAGTGCTGTCAACCCCCTGTGCAAGCCCCCTGCCCACGACCAAAGTGACTTTAGATCTCCAGTTCTGGGTCCATCTGCATCCCCCTCCCCACCCTCAAGCGCTATCCTATGATTCTCCCTCGCGGAGCCTGAAGCTGATGGAAAGGAGAAGGCTCAACGCCACTCACACCACACCTTCAGCTTCCAATCCAGTGGGAAAGGCAGCTCTGGTCTGTGATGCTGACTCAAATCCTTCCCTGGCCGGGAGGCTGTCGACCCTGGGGACAGCCCTAGCCAAGCTCTGTCTGGGCCTTACAGAGAAGTCCTCCCAGGTGGGCACGCAGCCGGGGTGTGGGAGGTGTGTTGCTGGGGCCACTGATTCAGCTGCCCTCCCAAATGTGAGTCTACTGAGCAGGACACTGCCTCACTCCCACCTGCCTTCACTCATCCTGCCCTGGCAGTGCCCACTGAGCGCAGGTGCAGAGGCCAACGAGTCCAGAACGTCACACAGGCCAGCCTGCTGCCGACTGCTCTCCTGACTCCCTGAGGCATGACGACAGCTCTGCTGGGTCACCGGGAACCTCACGGCCCCAGGGATGGAAAGGAAGAGAGTGTTGCTGTCTGAATTTCCGGTGCATGCCCTCCCCACCCTTTTTTTTTGAGACGGAGTTTCGCTTTTGTTGCCCAGGCTGGAGTGCAGTGGTGCAATCTTGGCTCACTACAACCTCGGCCTCCCGAGTTCAAGCGATTCTCCTGCCTCAGCCTCCCGAGTAGCTGAGATTACAAGCAGGTGCCACCATGTCTGGCTACTTTTTGTATTTTTAGTAGAGACGGGGTTTCACCACGTTGGCCAGGCTGGTCTCGAACTCCTGACCTCAGGTGATCCACCCACCTCGGCCTCCCAAAGTGCTGGAATTACAGGCATGAGCCACTGTGCTCGGCGCCCCTCTCTACACCACACACCCGGTGCGCAGCCTAGAATGCTCCCAGGACAGGGCCTTGCCCACCGGAGAGAATGGCCTAGGAAACTTCTTTTCCTTTCCTGCACTACTTAGGATACATTCAGAGGACATCCAGGGTCTGGGCTTGGGTGAAATGGAATCCTGGGAAAATCACTTCCAGAATGATGCTGGGGAAGAGAAAGGGTTTATGGGAAGCATGCCCTGAATTGGAGTGAGGGGAGGAAATGTGGCCAAAGCCCTTCAGAATGCCCTCCATGTTCTCACCAGACTACAGTTGGAAATTCCACCATTAGTGATTCATTCCTTTGGCTGACACCCCTGAAATCATGTGATCTTTAGGATCAGGGGTTGCTTTCCATTGGAAAGCCAACAGAACTAATGAGGAGAGCAGGTGGTGTTGTGCATTTGTTATCCTGCTGCATCTTCAAGCAGCCCATAAAGTGCTGCCTTCCCCATTTAGCAACTGAGAACACTGAGGCTCAGAGAGGTTAGGAAACTGACCAAAGCTCCCACAATGCCGGGGTTATGCTGAATTTGATCCCAAGTCCAGCAAGACACAGTCCCTCCCTCCAGGAGCTCCCAGGCCTGGGACCAGTGCAAGTAGCTGCATGATGAAGGATGGGGCTCCAAGCTGTGACGCCGGAGGGCAGGGGGCATGACAGGGAGCAGAGGGGAAGCCCCTAAGTCAGAGGAAGGCCAGAAGTTCCCCAGTGCTGATGCCTGAACTGGACTTTGAAGGATGAGTAGGAGTAAGTTGCATGGACAAGGGGATCAACAGTTCCCACCAGTGGGACCAGCACCTCCAAAAATCCAGGGGCATGAAGGAGCAGGCTGTCCTGGGGAAATGCAAGCCCAGATGCCCAGGAGGAGGGGGCACAGGAGGTGCAGGTGTCAGACTGAGGAGTCAGCAGCTGCTATGGGGCCACTAAAGAAGTCCCAAGTCATCCAAATAGGAAAAGAAGTCAAAGTATCTTAGAAGAAAAGAAGAAGGAGAAGGAGGAGAAGAGGAGGAGGAGGAGGAAGAGGAAGAGGAAGAAGAAGAAGAAGAGGAAGAGGAAGAGGAAGAAGAAGAAGCAGCAATGAGAAGAAGAAGAGGAGGAGGAGAAGGAGGAAGAGGAAGGGGAAGAGGAGGAAGGGGAAAAGGAGGAGGAAGTGGAGGAGGAGGAGGGGAGGAAGGGGAAGAAAGGGAAGAAGGAGAGGAATGGGAGGAAGGGGAGGAAAGGAGGGAGGGAAGGAGTAAGAGGAGGAGGAAAGAAGGAAGCAAGGAAGAAGGAGTAGTCCCAAGTCACTGGTCCCAGGAAGGTGCTTTGGTGTCCGTCAGCATCGTGATCGCAGGATTTTATCTTGGCCTGGCATGGTGCCACGCCTTGGGAGGTCTCCTAAACAACACCCCAGAACCCCCAGAACCCCCTCTCCCAGCCCCAGGCCCAGGCAGAGGTCAAGTTTTCAGTGTCTCTGTCCCCATTTGGGAACGAGTCTCTCTCCAACCAGCCCTCCCCTGCAAAAGTTTCCCCACTGACCTCCAGCCCTGACCCCAGCTGGTGGGAAATATTTGGTGAGCTCTACAGGTCAGGCTTACCGAAGACAGCTTCCAGGCATTAGGAGTGCCTGTGTAGACACACGTGTGCACACACATGCACATATACACACACACACACGCACATATACACGCACACACACATGGGCAGGAGGACAAAAGCTATCCACACAGCATCTCCCAGCACGGAGGCAGTCTGGTCTGTGGAATGTGTTGAGATAATTTAATACTGGCTTGGACACACTGGATTCCAGGTGCAGGAACCCTGGAACCCCCTGGAATGTGCTAGAGATAAGCATAAGGCATCCTGTCTGTGCCCACTCCACCCTGGTTGGGAGTCGCAGAATGAGGACCTCCTGACTTGAGACAGATTCTTTATCCAGAGAATCTGAGATTCCAATTCAGATCCTGGAGCTGGGCCTGCTACTCACCTCCCCAGTAAATGTCCAGGCAGCATTGGACAGAGAGGCTGGCCCCGCCCTGACGGGGGCTGAAGAACAGGCCCCCAGCAGCCTTGTTGTTGGGCTACTGAGCACTTCAGAGGTTGGGAGGACCTGGAACAGTCGCCCCAGATCCATGTGCCTTCTGTTTGGGGTACACCTGAGTAGCCTCTAACAGCCACTGATTGGCACCAAGAGAGAATCCAAATGTTGGCATCACAAACCTTAAGTATGGAGCAGGGAGCAAGTGCCTGGGGGCTGTTTGCCCCATCTTATGAATGAATAGCTCTCGTAATGTCTCTGGATTTTTGGAGATGGGAAGAAATGGCCAAGTAACAGCATCCTCATTCCCAACTCTACTGAGAATCAACTACGGTGGAACAGAACATCAGGGGCTGCATGGGTGTGCGCCTCAGTTTCCCTCTACCGCCCCCAAACTGCCTACTCCAGGAGTTTCCCAAAAGGGAGGGGGAGATGAGGAGATAGGCATGCAAATGCCCATTTGGAGATTTTCAGCTACTCTGGCCATTATCCCATTTCAGAGCACACCAGACAGGAAGGGCAAAGAGGTCCCATCATGAGTGCCAAATTGATTGGTACTGGCTGCCCAGAACACTGTGCTGGGAAGAATTCTGACATCACCCATGTGCTGCACTTGATTGGTGATGTCTGCCATGGTCACAGCCATTCACCATCCCTCATCTTCAAGCTGGGCTGTCCCCTTTCCCTGAACCAGAGACAATTCGCCAGCCTGGACTTTGGTAACAGAGAGGGAGGCCCTGGCCACCCAGGTATAAACAACCCACAGGACTCTTTGCCAGATTCTTCAGGACCTTAGGAAACACAGATTGGCCCGTCATTCCCCAATTTTCCAGGACCATGCCTGCTTCCTTTTCTGAAGATGTTAATGTTGCTTGTATTAGGAAACACTCATCTAAAATAGAAACACATTACAGGGTTAATTTCTCCTCTGTAAGAATGGCTAAATGCTTTCTTTCTCGCTGGGGACTCGAGGGATGATCTGGCTGTCACCAGAAGTCACCTTGGAGCCATCAAGAACTCTACCCAATAAAGGGAAGACAGGCCTTGGCGCTGTGCTCTGGGTTAACGTTCACAGAAACGTGCTCCACTCCTAAAGCCCAAACGACCTCTCAAGTCTGGGTCACCTCATTTGGACACCTTGGTCTGCAGGGTGCTGGGCAGATAGAGGTACCTCCAGATGGCATAGTAGTGGGTACCAGCACCAAATGCTACAAAGAGATGCCAGATGGCGTGGGCAAAGGGGATCCTCCCGTCACTCTTGAAGAAGACCATGCCCAGGCAGTAGAAGACCCCTCCGGTCACCAGCTCCCAGATGCCCTCGGTGTTGGGCTGTCGGCAAGGACAAGGGTGGGGCACAGGTCAGAGGGGCAGTCAGTGTGGCTGAAAGCACCAGCCAGTCCCCACCACCCAAAACCAAAAGACATGCAGATGGCAAACCAGCCCAGACTCCCAGGTGGGAAGCCTCAACACTGACATACCAGCAATTCTCCCCAGACTAGTTCTCAGATGATAGACATTCTCATTTCTATTAAAACTTCACCAATTTTTTTTCTTTTGACAGGGTCTCGGTCTGTTGCCCCAGCGGGAGTGCAGTGGCACAAGCGTAGCTCACTGTAGCCTCCAACTCCTGGGATGATCCTCCTGCCTCAGCCTCCCCAGTAGCTGGGACTACAGATATCCCATGGCACAACCATGCCTGGCTAATTTTATTTTATTTTTGGAGATGGGGGCATCTCACTATATTGCCCAGGCTGGTCTCAAACTCCTGGTCTCCAGTGCTTCTCCCACCTCGGCTTCCCAAAGTGATGGCATTACAGGTGTGAGCCACCACACTCGGCCTCAAATAATATTTTTATAACTTATCTTATCTGGTTTTGTTTTTTTTTTTTTTGAGACACAGTTGCTCTTTTGCCCAGGCTAGAGTGCAGTAGCGAGATCTCAGTTCACTGCGACCTCCACCTCCTGGGTTCAACCAATTCTCCTGCCTCAGCCTCCCGAGTAGCTGGGACTACAGGCATGCACCACCATGCCCGGCTAATTTTTGTATTTTTAGTAGAGATGGGGTTTCACCATGTTGGCCAGGCTGGTCTCCAACTCCTGACCTGAGGTGATCTGCCCACCTTGGCCTCCCAAAGTGCTGGGATTATAGGCGGAAGCCACTGCGCCTGGCCTATAGCTTATCTTTTGTAAAAATGTAATACATCTGGGTATATACCCAAAGAATTGAAAGCAGGGTCTTGACAGATACTTGCACACCCATGTTCATAGCAGTATAATCACAACAGCAAAAGGTGGAGGCAACCCAGGGGTCAGCCAAGGAATGAATGGATAAACGAAATGAGCTCAAGGCCGGGCACGGTGGCTCACGCCTATAATCCCAGCACTTTGGAGGCTAAGGAGGGCGGATCACGAGGTCAGGAGTTCGAGACCAGCCTGGCCAACATAGTGAAACCCCATCTCTACTAAAAATACAATAATTAGCCGAGAGTGGTGGCACGCGCCTGTAATCCCAGCTACTCAGGAGGCCAAGGCACGAGAATCACTTGAACCTGGGAGTTGGAGGTTGCAGTAAGCCGAGATCGTGCCACTGCATTCCACGCTGGGCAACAGAGTGAGACTCCATCTCAAAAAAAAAAAAAAAAAATGAGGACAGGACAGAGTTATAGTTTGCAGAGATGCAAAAAGTTCTTGAGATGGATGGTGGTGATGGACGCACGACAATGTGAGTGTGCTTACTACCACTGAACTGAATATTTTACCACAGTTTTTTAAAGTAATGGCATGGCAAACAAAAAAAAGTAGAGAAAATAATTTTTGTTTTTGCTTCATGGCAAAAAATATTTAGAGAAAAAAAACATGGTAAGAAAAAAGTAGTAGTCCTGGCCCCCAGATGTGAGTACTATTAACACGAGTTGTTCTTAGTGAAAGAAACTCTCCGCAGGGCACGGTAGCTCATGCCTGTAATCCCAGCACTTTGGAAGGCCAAGGTGGGCTTAAGCCCAGGAGATCGAGACCAGCCTGGGCAACATAGTGAGACCCCATCTCTAAAAAAAAGAAACACTCATAGAATAGGAGGGAATTAAGCAAGAAGAACCTGCCAAGCCCTCGCCAGACCAGGAATTCAAGACCATCCTAGGCAGCACAGGGAGATCCTGCCTCTACAAAAAAAAAAAAAAGAATTGTTTTTTTGAAACAGAGTTTCACTGTTGTAGCCCAGGCTGGAGTGCAGTGGTGCAATCTCGGCTCACTACAACCTCTGCATCCCAGGTTCAAGACATTCTCCTGCCTCAGCCTCCAGAGTAGCTGAGACTATAGGTGTGCACCACATCTGGCTAATTTTTTTTTTTTTAGAGATGGGTCTTGCTATGTTGCCCAGGCTGGTCTCAAATCCCTGGACTCAAACTATCCTCCCACCTCAGCCTCCCAAAGGACTGGATTATAGGCATGAGCCACTGTACCTGGCCTACTGCCTCTTTAGACAAGTCATGCCAGGCCTCAGTTTCCCCGCCTGCCAAAGGAGAGGGTTTGTGACAATCTCAACAGCCAGGTCCAGCTCGGACACTCTTGGTCTCTTGCAGGGACTCATCTATGCAGGGCTGGCAGCACTTACCATGGAGAGGATGACCAGGGCGGGGAAGAAGCCCATTACGACGTAGCAGAGAAGCTCCACAAGCTTGTACCTGGCAGGAAGACAAGCCGTGCCGGCCTTAGGACATGCCTCCCCACGAAGAAACTGCACACAGCTCCCTGTTCTTGGGGAAGAGGGAACACTCTGGCCAGAACAGTGAGAAGAAAGGACGCTTTCTCTGTCCAGCACGCCTTGGCTCAGATTTCACCCAGCTACATCCAACAGGTGCTGGCAGTTATGTGACCCTGGGCACTTTCCCTCCCTGAGACTCACTTTCCACACCTGTAAAATGCATGCTGGTGCCAGAGCAGGGATTACAAACATTGGGCATAGCACACACATGGGCACTTCCGATGCTCAGCCCATGGTAGACATCACTATTCGATCCTAGCATCTCTTCCCACAAGGCCCAAGCAGCCACTTCCAATTGAGCTGGGTTGCTGCAGCAGCTGAAGCCTCTTTGCTGTCCCTGGACTAAATGACTTCCAGAGGTTCCTGGGCTCTGAGACTGCAGGAAGTCTGTTATGTTCTTTTGCTTGTATCGTCCTGTTTCTTTCCCCACTGAATTATTTCCATCCCCATCACTCGAAAGAATGGGAATACAGAGAGTGTGGCTCTCTCAAGACCTCTCCCCTTCATCTGCTAATAATTTAGGTAGGGCAGGTGGCATGTGACCACCCCCGCCTCCCCCCCTAACCCCGGCCCAATGGGGCTAGGAACCTATGTTTTTTTGTTGTTGTTTCTTTTTGAGACAGAGTCTTGCTCTGTCGCCCAGGCTGGAGCGCAGTGGCACGCTCTCAGCTTGCTGCAACCTCCACCACCCGGGTTCAAACCATTCTCCTGCCTCAGCCTCCCAAGTAGTTGGGATTACAGGCACCCATCATGACACCCAGCTAATTTTTGTATTTTTAATAGAGACAGGGTTTCATCATGTTGGCCAGGCTGGTCTTGAACTCCTGACCTCAAGTGATCTGCCTGCCTCGTGGATCACTCGGCCTCCCAAAGTGCTGGGATTACAGATGTGAGCCACCATGCCTGGCCACCTATGATGTCTTTTTGACAACTTCAAGTTGACCCTAGGGTCTGCAAGACCTGGTGGCCACCCATGAGCCTGAATGACGTGACAGCCAGAGCTGTGCTCTCACGATTATGAGATCATCCTGGACTCTCGGCAGCCCAGGAGTGCTGGGGAGGCCAGAGCATCTAAGGGAATCCCGCCTCCCTGAAGCCCCCAGGCCTGGCTTACCGCTCATGGAAGAAGAAGACATAGATGGTGCCCACGGAAGCCATAATCCAGACCAGCCAGCGCATGTGGGAGGCCCAGGGGCCCAGCTCCCGAAGGTTCAGCCTGGGAGAGAAAGAGCCAAGGCCATGGCCCTGAGGGGGGCCCACCAGGACCCCGGCCCTCGAGGACCGGCCTGTCACAGGAAATGGACCCCAGGGAAGTCCTGTCACCTGTGACTCCACGGCTGGGACATGGGCGCTCACAGGAAGACGGGTGAACAGGCAGAAAGGGTGCTAGATAACTTGAAACAGCAAGCAATGATTAGAGGAAAATTAGCAAAATTGATAATATCTAGAAGAAAAGGTAAGTAGCACCTCATACTGGTGGGATTATGAACAAGTAAAGCCTGTTTGGGGGCGATTGTGCATTCTCTGTAACCGCAGTTCCGGCAGCTAACCAAAGCAATGCTGTTTTGTTTTATTTATTTTATTTTATTTCATTTATTTTATTTATTTTATTTTATTTATTTTATTTTATTTTATTGAGATGCAGTCTCTCTCTGTGCCCCAGGCTGCAGTGTAGTGGCACAATCTCGGCTCACTGCAACCTCCGCCACCCGGGTTCAAGCGATTCTCCTGCCTCAGCCTCCTGAGTAGCTGGGATTACAGGCATGCGCCACCATGCCCGGCTAATTTTGTATTTTTAGTAAAGATGGGGTTTCTCCATGTTGGCCAAGCTGGTCGCGAACTCCTGACCTCAGGTGATCCACTCACCTTGACCTCCCAAGTGCTGGGATTACAGGCCTGAGCCACCGCGCCCGGCCTCCAATCCTTTGTTAATAATTATTTTAAGAGACAGGGTCTTGCTACTTGAGAAGCTGGGGTGGGAGGATCGCTTAAGTCTGGGAGGTGGAAGCTGCAGTGAGCCATGATCCCACCACTGCACTCCAGCCTGGGCAACAGAGTAAGTAAGACCCTGTCTCAAAAAAATTAAAAATAATAATAATTAAAAAATAAAAAATAGGAAGAAGAACTGTTTTTACCAACATAGATAGATCTCTAAGCTATATTGTGAGGTGTTCAGGAGGGTGGAGGGTATGAACCAAGAAGAATAAGATGACAATATTGTGTGTATGTATAAAGAGATAACTGTTGGCCGGGCGCGGTGGCTCACGCCTGTAATCCCAGCACTTTGGGAGGCTGAGGCGGGCAGATCACGAGGTCAGGAGATTGAGACCATCCTGGCTAACATGGTGAAACCCCGTCTCTACTAAAAATACAAAAACAAAATGAGCCAGGCGTGGTGTCGGGCGCCTGTAGTCCCAGCTACTCAGGAGGCTGAGGCAGGAGAATGGCGTGAACCCGGGAGGCAGAGCTTGTAGTGAGCCAAGATCGCGCCACTGCACTCCAGCCTGGGCAACAGAGCAAGACTCTGTCTCAAAAAAAAAAAAAAGGGATAACGGTCAATGCACAGAAAAAGATCTGAACCTCTTCCTAAGTGGTTTTGTCTGGAAAGGTGTAGTTAACAATGGTGGTGATGACTGAGGAAGAGGGTCCTTTAAGTTTTTTCTGGAATGAATTTCTTT
This sequence comes from Homo sapiens, assembly GCF_000001405.40. NCBI lineage: Eukaryota > Metazoa > Chordata > Mammalia > Primates > Hominidae > Homo > Homo sapiens. Next base: position 4,912,709 of record NC_000007.14, read on the forward strand.
TTTTGTTTGTTTTTTGATATGGATTCTCGCTCTGTCACCCAGGCTAAAGTGCAGTGAGGCAATCTCAGCTCACTGCACCCTTCGCCTCCCGGGTTCAAGTGATTCTCCTGCCTCAGCCTCCCGAGTAGCTGGGATTACAGGCGTACCACCATGCCTGGCTAATTTTTGTATTTGTAGTAGAGATGGGGTTTCACCATGTTGGCCAGGCTGGTCTCAAACTCCTGACCTCAGGTGATCTGCCCTCCTCGGCCTGCCAAAGTGCTGGGATTACAGGCGTGAGCCACGCGCCTGGCCTGGAATGAATTTCTGAAATGAGAATGTGTTATGTAAAACTTCTGCCAAAAAAAGTGACCTGCTTGGAGTCTGTCATTATAAAGAATTTAAGTAACACCGAAAAGTTTAAGAGTAAAAAATAATAACCCATCTCATTACCCAAAATAACCATCAGTGAACATCATTCTAGATATCCTTCCAAGTAGACCTAAAAATAGGTCACTGGGTAGAAGGATAGGACGGGATGAAGGGAAAGGAGAAAGGGTGAGAATTAAAGTTATACACATCTTTTTTAATTAAAAGTATTACATTTAATTTTAACTTGACTTCAAAAGAAGAAAATGGACACTTACAAATTTTGCTGAACTTCAAACAAATGTTTCTTCACCATAAAATTCACTTGGACTCTAAAGTTAAGATAAATTATGTAAAGCACAAGAAAACTGGATTTTCTGCCTGGCGCAGTGTCTCACGCCTGTAATCCCAGCACTTTGGGAGGCCGAGGCAGGTGGATCCACCTGTGGTCAGGAGTTCAAGACCAGCCTGGCCCAAATGGTGAAACCCCATCTCCACTAAAAATACAAAAATTAGTTGGGAGTGGTGGCGGAAGCCTATAATTCCAGCTATTTGGGAGGCTCAGGCAGGAGAATTGCTTGAACCCGGGAGGCAGGGTTTGCACTGAGCCAAGATCACGCCATTGCGTTCCAGCCTGGGCAACAAGAGCGAAACTCTATCTCGGCAAAAAAAAAAAAAAAAAAAAAAAAGTGGATTTTTTTTTCAAGCCATTCTCCTGCCTTAGCCTCCCGAGTAGTTGGGACCACAGGTGCCTGCCACCACGCCCGACTAATTTTTTGTATTTTTAGTAGAGACGGGGTTTCACCGTGTTAGCCAGGATGGTCTCGATCTCCTGACCTCATGATCTGCCCACCACAGCCTCCCAAAGTGCTGGGATTACAGGCGTTAGCCACTGCGCCTGGCAGGTGGATTTTTTAAATTACATGTTTCAGTTTCTTGTTTGTTTTTTTAGAGACCGGGTGTCACTCTCCCAGGCTGGAGTGCAGTGGCACAATCATAGCTCACTGCAGCCTTGACTTCCTGGGCTCAAGCGGTCCTCCTGTCTCAGCCTCCTGAGTAGCTGGGAGCACAGGCACATGCCATCACAAACTAGTTTCTTTCAAAAACTCCTCATGGATATGGTATTCTTGGACTTCTTTCATGCGTGACCATGGTGCCTATTGTTTTTATGTCTGCATGACAACCCCATTTGATAGTTTATTCTGAAGTTTATCTCTGGGAAATTATTAGAAGTGTCTCCACTGTGTGTCAGCATTAAATGGTGCTGTGGCCACATTCAGAAGCCAGCTTGTTTTTTTCACATTGCAAATAATTTACTTTTTCAGTCTCAATGCCTGCAGAATTTGTCTCTTTCATTTCCATCAGCTTCTCTCTGATTGCTGTAATTTAGACTTTTTGAAAATGTATTCTCCCTGTTTATGTAAAACCTTCAATATTTATTTGGTTTTCGGTTTGTTTGTTTTTGTCCCCAACAAAGAGAGGGAGCTGGGGGTTTTGTTTGTGACAATACCCTCAGATACCAGCACAGGGCCTGGCACAGGGCAGTGCCCAGTCAATCACAACCAGGGGTAAAGGTAAAGAAGAGAAACTCAGGCCGGGCACGGTGGCTCGCACCTGTAATCTCATCACTGTGGGAGGCCGAGGCAGGCAGATCACCTGAGGTCAGGAGTTTCAGACCACCCTGGCCAACATGGTGAAACCCCATCTCTACTAAAAATACAAAAATTAGCAGGGTATGGTGGCATGTGCCTGTAGTCCTAGCTACTCAGGGGGCTGAGGCAGGAGAATCATTCAAACCCGGGAGGTGGAGGTTGCAGTGAGCCGAGATCATGCCACTGCACTCCAGCCTGGGCAACAGAACAAGACTCCATCTCAAAAACATAAACAAAACAAAACAAAAAATAAAAACAAAATAAATATATACTTTTAAAATGTGGCCATTGCAATGGCTCACGCCTGTACTCCCAACAGTTTGGGAGGCTGAGGCGGGAGGATGGCTTGAGGCCAGGAGTTCAAGACCAGCCTGGGCTACATACTGAGACCCATCTCTACAAAAATAAAAATATTAGCCAAGCATGGTGGCTTGCACCTGCAGTCCCAGCTACTTGGGAGGCTGAGGTGGGAGGATCACTTGAGCCCAGGAGTTGGAGGCTGCAGTGAGCTATGATCACAACACTGCACTCCAGCACAGGCAACAGATCAAGACCCTGTCTCTTAAAAAAAAAATTAAAAATTTAAAAGCTATATTAAATAAATTAAATATTAAGTAAATATAAATATAAGTATATATGTATGTATATGCATGTGTATGCATACGTCTATGTCTATTACACATATTTATATATGTGTATATATGTAGACACATATGCATACATATGTACATATTAATATTTGCTTTTCTGGATGGGCACGGTGGCTCACACCTGTAATCCAAACACTTTGGGAGGCTGAGGTGGGCAGATCACTGGAGGTTAGGAGTTCGAGAGCAGCCTGGCCAACATGGTGAAACCCCGTCTCTACTAAAAATACAAAAATTAGCTGGGCGTGGTGGCGCGTGCCTGTAATCCCAGCTACTCGGGAGGCAGAGGCAGGAGAATCGCTTCAACCAGGGAGGCAGAGGTTGCAGTGAGCCAAGACCTCGCTACTGCACTCTAGCCTGGGTGACAGAGTGAGATTCTGTCTCAGAATTCTCAGAAAAAAAAAAAACAATGTATATATTTGCTTTTTCTGCATAAAATAACTCAAGAAGTGAGTTATTTTCTGCATAAAATAACACAGGAAAGTGGGTATAAGTAGCTGCTTCCAGGAAGGAAAAAAGGGTGGCGGGAAGCTTTTAACCTAACTCCTTTGTGCCAAGTCAACACATTACCCAGCCAAATAGAAAAATAAATTCAAACAATGAAAAGAAAGGCCGCCAAGGGTTTGCTGGGCGGCGGGACGGTACTCACCAGGGTGCGTAGGAAGCCGCTATGAAGAAATAGATGACCATCCGGTCGAACATGTGTAGACAGTGTTCCACCATCCTAGGGCGGCAGAGAAGCCGGCAGTCACAGCCCCTGCACAGCAGGGAAGGGCCAGTGCCCCCAGAGCCGTGCCCTGGACTGATCGTGCCTGCCTACAGGTTAGCAGGGCTGGGCTCCTCTGTCCAGCCAAGACCCCTTGGCCCTCAGAATCCCCATCTGTAAGTGACCAGAGCAGTGGTCTTCAAACCAGGCTCCTTATCACCCTAGGGGCTGCATGGAGACACCTTGCCTCGGGGGTCCCACTGAGGGCCTTGCGCCCCTACAGGTAAGGATTGAACATCCTCCGTCCCACTTTTTTTTTTTTTTTTTTTTTTTTTTTTTAAGATAAGGTCTTGCTCTGTCTCCCAGGCTGGAGTGCAGTGGCACGATCTCAGCTCACTGCAACCTCCGCTTCCCGGATTCAAGCCATTTTCTTGCCTCAGCCTTCCAAGTAGCTGGGATTACAGGCACCTGCCACCATGCCCAGCTAGTTTTTGTATTTTTAGTAGAGACGGGGTTTCGCCATGTTGGCCAGACTGGTCTCAAACTCCTGAACTCCAGTGATCCACCCGCCTCGGTCTCCTAAAGTGCTGGGATTACAAGCGTGAGCCACCGCACCTGGCCATCCTCCCCTACTTTAATCAGAGCCACTGTGCATTTCTGCTTTATATACTGGGTTTTTCCAAAGATTTATAATGGGGAAAGAATTCTGTGGACAAAGTGCAAAAATGGCCAGATGGAGTGGCTCACACCTGTAATTCCAGAGCGTTGGGAGGCTGAGGCAAGAGAATTGCTTGAGCTCAGGAGTTGGAAACCAGCCTGGGCAACACAGTGAGACCTCATCTCTACTAAAAATTAGGAAGATCAGCCAGGCATAATTGTGTGTGCCTGTAGGCCTAGCTACTCCAGAGGCTGAGGCAGGAGGATCTCTTGACCCTGGGAGGTGGAGACTGCAGTGAGCCATGTTTGTGCCACTGCACTCCAGTCTGGGCAACTGAGCTAGATCCTGTCTCAAAAAAAAAGTGCAAAAACTACTAAATTACGTGCCCCTCAAGACTGTCTGGGAGCTGACATTCTAATGCTAGAAGAGCTTAGTGGTTCGGATCCAAGCTGTGGAGCCAAAAGGCCTGGGTTCGAATTCCAGCTCTACACTTCAGGAGTACATAACCTTGAGCAAGTTACCTATTCGCTCTAGGTCTCAGCTTCCTTCTCTGTAAAACACGGAGGATGCCAGCAACCTGACACGGGGCTGTGGGGAGGATTAAATTAGCTAATACCCAGCACAGTACATAGTAAGTGCTCAATAAATACCAGCTGTTTTGGCCAGGCATGGTGGCTCATGCCTGTAATCCCAGCACTTTGGGAGGCCAAGGTGGGTGGATCACCTAAGGTCAGGAGTTTGAGACCAGCCTGGCTAACATGGTGAAACCCTGTTTCTACAAAAAATACAAAACATTCCCCGTCTCTACTAAAAATACAAAAAATTAGCCGGGCGTGGTGGTGGGCACCTGCAGTCCCAGCTACTTGGGAGGATGAAGCAGGAGAATGGCATGAACCTGGGAGGCGGAGCTTGCAGTGAGCCGAGATCATGCCACTGCACTCCAGCTTGGGCAACAAGAGTGAAACTCTGTCTCAAAAAAAAAATAAAAAATAGATAAATAATAAAAATAAATAAATAAACACCAACCATTTTTATGATGACCTCACCTTGTATAGTGAGCGATAACCCTCAATACATGGGACTGGAATGGTGCCAGCCTCCACAATGGTGCCAATGAGTCAAGCCCCTAGTATTCACACACTGGGACCCTCCCCTCCCAAAACAAATAAGGTAAACTCAGGGAACAAATAGGACATTGCAGAAATGATGGTGTGTGGTTCCTGAGGCCAGATCATAAAAGACATTACAGCTTCTGCCTTGTTCTATTAAGTCGCTAAGTTTGGGGAAAACAAGCTCCCATGTGGCTGTGAAGACAGCCACACTACAACCCAGCACTAGCTCACCAGCCAAGTGAGGGAGCTTAGAGCCTCCAGCCCCAGTCAAGCCATCAGATGACAGCAGCCCCAGCCAGCCTCTGACTACAGGAAACAGCACAGACTGGAGCCACACAGCTAAAGCTCTCAAACTCTTATTTGAGACAGAGTAAGTGTTTCTTGTTATTTTAAGCCATAGTGCTCTGGGATACTTGGTTACAAAGCAATCACTGACCAGTACAAACTGTGGCTCTGTCTAGCAAAGTGCAGCCCTGAACAAATTTGACTAATGATTGTATGCACGGCTCAACTGCATGTCTTCCTAGAAATTAAAGGGAGTGGCATATAGCTTTATGGGGGGCCTGGATTCCCAGAGTCAGCTTGAGTTGAATGTGGCTGCTATGCAACCTTGAGCAAATAAGGTTTCTTTTCTTTTTCTTTTCTTTCTTTCTTTTTTTTTTTTTTTTTTGAGACAGATTCTCACTCCGTTGCCTTAGCTGGAGTGCAGTGGCACTATCTAGACTCACTGCAACCTCCGCCTACCAGGTTCAAGCAATTCTCGTGCCTCAGCCCCCTGAGTAGCTGGGATTACAGGTGTGTGCCAGCCCCAGTGCCTGGCTAATTTTTGTATTTTTAGGAGAGACAGGGTTTCACCATGTTGGCCAGGCTGGTTTCAAACTCTTGACCTCAAGTGATCCTCCTACCTCGGCCACCCAAAATGCTGGGATTACAGGCATGAGACACCTTGCCTGGCCTGTAATTTTTTTTTTTTTAATCAAAACTAGCCAGGCACAGTGGCTCACACTTGTAATCCCGGCACTTTGGGAAGCCAAGGAGGGCAGATCGCCTGAGCCCAGGAATTCAAGGCCAGCCTGGGCAACATGATGAAACCCCATCTGTACAAGAAATACATAAAATTAGCTAGATGAGGTGGTGCATGCCTGTAGTCCCAGCTACTCGGGAGGCTGAGATAAGAGGATCGCTTGAGCCCTGGAGGTGGAGGCTGCAGTGAACCGAGATGATGTTATCACACTCCAGCCTGGGTGACAGAGTGAGACCCCATCTCAAAAAAAAATAAAAATCAAAACTGTAATATCAGGGATTCTAGTGCCTGCATTGCAGAATTATTAGAAAGATTAGGGAATGGCGCCTGTAGCATGCCTGGAACGAAGCCCAGAGGGGAGCTGGCCCGTCGTGACCACCCTGCAGCCAGCAAGGGCTTTTCTCTTGGTCCTCTCAGAAGCAAGCAAAACAAGTCAGGCGTGAAGGCTCATTTCCGAAACTCCAGCACTTTGGGAGGCTGAAGCAGGTGGATCACTAGAGCCCATGAGTTGGAGAACAGCCTGGGCAACATGGTGGAACCCCATCTCTACAAAAAGATACAAGAATTAGCCAGGCATGATGGCACACACCTGTGGTCTCAGTTCCTCAGGCGGCTGAGGCAGGAGGTGCTTGAGCCCTGGAGGTGGAGGCTACAGTGAGCTGAGACTGTACCACTGCACTCCAGCCTGGGCAACAGATTGAGACTCTTTCTCAAAAAACAAACAAACAAACAAAAAAGAAAACAAGTTGGCCAGGCACAGTGGCTCACACCTGTAATCCCAACACTTTGGGAGGCCGAGGTGGGTGGACCATCTGAGGTCAGGAGTTCGAGACCAGCCTGGCCAACATGGCGAAACCCCATCTCTACCCACCCCCCAAAAAAATACAAAAATTAGCTGGACGTGGTGGTGCATACCTGTAGTCCCAGCTACTCGGGAGGCTGAGGCGGGAGAATTGCTTGAACCCAGGAGGCGGAGGTTGCAATGAGCTGAGATAGCGCCACTGCACTCCTGCCTGGGCTACAGAGTGAGACTCCATCTCAGAAAAAACAAAAAGCAACAACAAAAAAAGTGAGCAAACCAGGCTCCCGTGGGCGAGGTGGTCCGCCCTGAAGAGACTCAACCGCAGCCTGTTTAAGGCAGGGCTTGTGCCTCCTGCAAAGCCAGCCTCCTGCAAAGTCGCCCAGCCCAGCCCCTCCCAGCTCAGTGGAGAATGTCACCAGGCAGACCGGATATCCTGGTTCACCCCCCGGGCTGCCATGGGTCCCCCTGCCCCGACCCCCTACCCGGCATGGGTCCCCTCTGGGCGGGAGGCACCTGAGGTGGCTCTTCTTCCAGGAGATGGTGTGAAACACAGTGGACACCACGAAGAGGCCGCAGAGGCCGAGGCCGTAGATCCAGGCAGAGATGGTCTCCCAGTCATCGTCCGACAGGAAGTAGAGGTTGGAGCTGCCCAGGATGCTGGGGATGATCCAGAACTGGAGGGGCAGGGACGGCAGGGACAGGTGCAGCAGCTGGGTGGCTCAGAGCACACCTCCTGCCCCTTCCCCGGCTGAGCTGCCCAACGTGGCAGCACTCGGCTCTTGAAATGTGGTCAGTGCCACTGAAGAACGGAATCATTTTATTTCACTTTAAGGGATTCAGGTGTAAATTTCCTTTCTTCCTTCCTTCCCTCCCTCCCTCTCTCCTTTCCCTTTCCTTCTTTCCTTCCAGCCTTCCTTCCTTCCTCTCTTCTTTCCTTCCTTTCCTTTCCCTTTTCCCCTTTCCTTTCCTTTTTTTCTTTTCTTTCTCTTTTCCTTTCCTCTTTCTTTCTTCCCCTTCCCTCCTCCCTCTCTCCTCCCTCCCTCCCTCCCTCCCTCCCTCCCTTCCTCCCTTTCTCTCTTCCGTCCTTCCTTGTCTTGTCCCCCATGCTGGAGTGCAGTGGTGCAATCGCAGTTCACTACAGCCTCAACTTCCTGGGCTCAAGTGATCCTCCCACCTTGGGCTCCCAAGTAGCTGGGACTACAGGCACCCACCACCACGACTGGCCAATTTTTATATTTTTTATAGAGGTGGGGTCTGGCTATAATGCCCAGGCTGGTCTTGAACTCCTGACCTCAGGCTATCCTCCCACCTTGGCCTCCAAAGGATTGGGATTATAGGCGTGAGCCACCATGCCCAGCCTCAGGTGTCAATTTCAACAGCCATGTGGGGCCAGTGGCTGCCAACCTGGACAGTGCAGGTCTAGATCTTTGATTCAATTCTCAAAGGGGTCCATGTATGAAATGGTCAAAGACCACGTCCCAGAGAGTGGCCATCCCCACCACATCCCAGCCCCTCTCTGGGCCACCACACAGAGAAGTATGATGTGCCACATGTGACCCATCATCACCACTGATGTCCTGACCTCATCTGCTTGGACTGCCCTGAAGGAAGAGCCCAGCCCTAAGCAGCACAGGCGCCCAGGTACCATTCAGCTTGTAAACAGGTTTAAATAGTGGATGGCGGCCAGGTGCGGTGGCTCACACCTGTAATCCCAGCACTTTAGGAGGCCGAGGCGGGCAGATCACGAGGTCAGGAGTTCGAGACCAGCCTGGCCAATATGGTGAAACCCCGTCTCAACTGAAAAATACAAAAAATTAGTCAGGCATGGTGGTGCGCACCTGTAATCCCAGCTACTCAGGAGGCTGAGGCAGGAGAATTGCTTGAACCCAGGAGGTGGAGATTGCAGTGAGCTCAGATCGCGCCACTGCACTCCAGCCTGGGCGACAGAGCAAGACTCTGTCTCAAAAAAAAAAAAAAAAAAAAGTAGGCAGGTGGGAATTCAGCCCCTACCGTGTGCATCCTCCAGGACTCACTGAACGCAATCTGCCTGCAAGATCAGCCCAGGTGAGTCCCAAAGGAAAGAGGTATCCCGCTAGCCTCCCCGACACCCAGGCTGGGCGCCGGATGGGGACAGGTCAACAGCAATGCACCAGAATGGGATGGCTCCTTAATAAGAGGCCTTCAGCCACCCACATGTCCATCTGCGTATGGCAGACTGAACATCAACAGGGAAGATAGAAGCCTTGCTGTAGGGGATGGAATTATAACTTTAAAAAATCATTTCTGGCCGGGTGCGGTGGCTCACACCTGTAATCCCAGCGCTTTGGGAGGCTGAGGCCAGGAGGATCACCTGAGGTCAGGAGTTCAAGACCAGCCTGGCCAACATGGTAAAACCCCCTCTCTACTAAAAATACATAAATTAGCTAGGCATGGTGGCATGCGTCTGTAATTCCAGCTACTTGGGAGGCTGAGGCAGGAGAATCGCTTCAACCCAGGAGGCGGAGGTTGCAGAGAGCCAAGATCACGCCACCATACTCCAGCCTGGGTGACAGAGAGAGATTCCATCTCAGAAAAAAAGAAATCACTTTCATCAATCTTATTACATCATCTTAAAAAAATAAACAAAAACTGGCCAGGTGCAGTGGCTCATGCCTGTAATCCCAGCACTTTGGGAGGCTGAAGCAGGTAGATCCCTTGAGGCCAGGAGTTTGAGACCAGTCTGGTCAACAGGGCGAAACCCCATCTCTACTAAAAATACAAAAATTAGCCAGGCGTGGTGGCGCACACCTGTAGTCCCAGCAAGACTCCATTTAAAAAAAAATAAATAAACAGCAGCTATCCATGCTACTTCATAATTTGGGGACATGCTTCTCATTAGGCTGTAGACTCCAATTATGTTTTGTGCTATTTTAAAATATATATACATTTTTTTTTAGAGATGGAATCGCTCTCTGTTGCCCAGGCTGGAGTGCAGTGGTACAATCATAGCTCACTGCAGCCTCGACATCCTGGGTTCACATGATCCTCTTGCCTTGGCCTCCTGAGTAGCTGGGACCACAGACACATGCCACTGCGCCTGGCTCCTAGTTTGTGCTATTTTGCGATCACCTACCATGCCTAGTATTCATTGAGTTCCTCTCTCACTCATTCATTCATTCCACAAACCTGTGAGCACAGGACATGTCCTCAGGAATGAAATGATACATGCCCATCACCCTGCCCTCACCCTGTGCTCATAGGTGCTAACTGAGGGAGCATCCAACAAATGAATAAGTTAACAGCAGGGGCCTGGTACCTGTGACTCAGTCACCCACTTCCTGGAGCCTGCTGGACTATGAATATGCCTTGTGTTTATAGCATCAGTGGTCAGAGGAGATCATAAATAGGTTTTTGTCCCCAGCCTCACAGCTTCTCCCAGGTATGATGGCAGAATCAATTCAGCACTTTTTTTTTTTTTGTAAACGAGTTTCACTCATTCTGTCCTGCACTCAACTGGAGTAAAGTGGCACAATCTTGGCTCACTGCAGCCTCTGCCTCCTGGGTTCAAGTGATTCTCCTGCCTCAGCCACCTCAGTAGCTGGGATTACAGGCGCATACTACCACACCTGGCTAATTTTTGTATTTTTAGTAGAGATGGGGTTTCACCATGTTGGCCAGGCTGGTCTCGAACTCCCAACCTCAAGTGATCCGCCCGCCTCAGCCACCCAAAGTGCTGGGATTACAGGTGTGAGCCACTGCATCCGGCCAATTCAGCACCTCTTTCCTCAGGAGTGTGCTGTCAAAGAAACACACTTGTCAATGTGCCTACATTGTGCCAACATGGTGCCTTCAGCAACACTCACAGCCACCCTTGGGAGTGGCTCTTACGATGTCCATTCTACAGATAAGGAAACTGAGGCTCAGGGCCACTAAATGATGGAGCTGGGATTCAAAGGCAGGTCTTCTCTTCCTAGAGCTTTATTTTTGGGGTGCAGTGTAGACTTGTGTCGATGAGTTAGCTTGTGGCTTTGGGCAGATTCTCTCACCCAAGCCTCAGTTTCCTCCCTTGCAAAAGAGGGAATCATGTGTTCATTCTCAAATATTTTCCGAGCCCCTACGATGCACACAGCATGGGACTTCAGAGATGAGCCAGTGAGAACCAGTCTCTGCTCAGCAGAGCACCTGCTCAAAAGGGACTGACTGAGAAAATGCAAACTTAGAACCCAGTGTGGGCTGGGCACGGCGGCTCATACCTGTAATCCCAGCCCTATGGGAGGCCAAGGCGGCGGCTCACACCTGTAATCCCAGCCCTATGGGAGGCCAAGGCGGGTGGATCACGAGGTCAGGAGATCGAGACCATTCTGGCTAACACGGTGAAACCCCGTCTCTACTAAAAATACAAAAAATTAGCCGGGCTTGGTGGCGGGCGCCTGTAGTCCCAGCTACTCGGGAGGCTGAGGCAGGAGAATGGCATGAACCCAGGAGGCAGAGCTTGCAGTGAGCCGAGATCGCACCACTGCACTCCAGCCTGGGGAACAGAGCGAGACTTCGTCTCAAAAAAAACAAAAACAAAACAATAACAACAACAACAACAACAGAACCAAGTGTGGTCCAGGCACACACTAAGTTCGAATCAGCACCAGCCACTCCTTTCTATGACACCGGTGGCCCATTGTTAAAGGCCTGGGCTCAGGCCAAACACACAATAGCCCCCGGGGTCTAACAGGTCAGGGCGGGGGGTTTGAGAATTAATTCACCTCCACACACGCTATCTGGGCACTTCCCTGTGCCAGGTGTGCTGAGATGTCCTGAGATATCAAAGAATCCAGCAGGGGTTCTGTTTGAACTCATGTCTGCATTGCCAGGGCCTGGAGCACTGCCTGCTGCCTTGAGGGTACCCAGGAACTGTTTGCTGAATGAATGTGTGATGGACAGCTGGCATGGTGATGGGCCGTGAAGGCTACAATGGCTGGGGAGGCAGGCACTGGCTCAGAGCTTCCCAGCATCTGGGCAGAGGGGAAGACTTTGTTGGGGAACATTTCAGCAAGGCTTGGGAATGATGGAAAGGGTTTCATAGGCAGGGCTGGAGTGGAGACAAGAAATATTCCCGGTGACAGGAACAGCCCGTGCAAAGGCATGGAGTCATGTCTTCCATTTAGGAAACAGTGAGGGATTCAAGTGTTTGAGCCTGAGAGCAAGAGCATGGTGGTGGGAGGTGCGTGGACAGACGGGCTAGGAGCTTGCTAGAGTGACAGGATGCCATACTAGGTACTAGGGAGCCATCGAAGGTTCTTTTTTGTTTGTTTGTTTTTGAGACAGGGTCTTGCTCTGTCACCCAGGCTGGAATGCAATGGCATGATCTCGGCTCACTGCAACCTCCGACTCCTGGGTTCAAGAGATTCCCCTGTCTCAGCCTCCAGAGTAGCTGGGGTTACAGGTGCCCGCCACCATGCCCAGCTAATTTTTGTAGTTTTAGTAGAGACGGGGTTTCACCATGTTGGCCAGGCTGGTCTCAAACTCCTGACCTCAGGTGATCTGCCCACCTCAGCCTTCCAAAGTGCTGGAATTATAGGCATGAGCCACCATGCTCGGCCCCATCGAAGGTTCTTAGAGCAAGACAGAGACATGGCCAGCACTGCAGTCCAGTTTACCCCAGTGGCCTTCCCTCGAGACGCCACAGTGGCCTTCCCTGAGGGCCACAGAAGACCCGAGGAACAGGCCACTTAGGACATACGTGAAGGAGGTGACTTCCCCCACCCCCCTTCCCCGGAAGTGTCCCCATCTCAGCCCTGAGCCCCCCAAAAGCCAACTCACAGCATGGGTGGCACAGTTGGCCGCATGTTCATACTCTGTGGGCTGGTACCTCTTGTGGGCAGGGACTCGGTGGTTCATGAACCTGGAAGGAGAGGGAGAATTCCAGGAAGCTCCGCTGGGCAAGAGGTGCCATCCGAATTCCCAGGAAGCCTGAAGACCTTACTTCCTACTGGTAGGAAAAGAAGAGCACTCCCCTTCTCCCTTTTTCATCTCCCCCTCTCTCTCTGTCTTCTTCCTCCCCTCCCTCACTCTTTCCGATCATTAAATGGTTTTGGATTATCCAATATTTTGTGCCTAATCCCCAATGCAGTATTTGTTACAAAATTTTACTAAATGCTAGATAAGGCATTCTCTTCATTTAACTTTTTTATTTTTATTTTTTGAGATGGAGTCTCGCTCTGTCGACAGACTGGAGTGTAGTGGTGTGATCTCAGCTCACTGCAACCTCTGCCTCCCAAGTTCAAGCAATTCTCTTGCCTCAGCCTCCTGAGTAGCTGGGCGTGTGCCACCACGCCAGGCTAATTCTTGTATTTTTAGTAGAGAAGGGGTTTCACCATGTTGGCCAGGCTGGTCTCAAACTCCTGACCTCAGGTGATCCGCCCGCCTCAGCCTTCCCAAGTGCTGGGATTACAGGCGTGAGATACCACGCCGGGCTTTTTTTTTCTTACACGGGGTCTCACTCTGTCTCTCAGGCTGGAGTGCAGTGGTGCAATCATGGCTCACTGCTGCCTCCACCTCCTGGGCTCAAGTGATCCTCCCGCCTCAGCCTCCTGAGATGCTGGGACTACAGGCACAATCTACCATGCCCGGCTAAATTTTTTTGTATTTTTTATAGAGACAGGGTTTAATCACGTTGCCCAGGCTGGTCCCGAACTCCAAGCGATCCTCCCACCTTGGCTTCCCAAAGTGCTGGGATTACAGGCGTGAGCCACCGCTTCCGGCCTCATTTCCTGTTTCTTATTTTCTCTAAGTACAACTTACAGACAATATAGCTCTGCAAGGGGCAGCTTGAAGGATTTTTACAGATGCGTAGACCCACTAAACCACCATCCAGGAAGAGCTACGGCTCACTCCTCACCCCCAAGAAAGTGCCCAGTGCCCCCTCCCATGGGTACCTCTTCCCAGGGAAACCACCCTCTGCCGTTGTCTTCTTGGACTTGTTTCCCCTGTTCTTGAACTTGCTCAATAAACTCCCGCAGAACACGCTGTTTTCTGTCTGGCTTCTTTTGCTTAACGTGATTTTTGCGAGATTCATCCACATTTTGGGGTACAGCAACTGGTAGTTTTCTTTTTTTCTTTTTTCTTTTTTTTTGAGACGGAGTCGTGCTCTGTCGCCCAGGCTGGAGTGCAGTGGTGCGATCTCGGCTCACAGCAAGCTCCGCCTCCTGGGTTCACGCCATTCTCCTGCCTCAGCCTCCTGAGTAGCTGGGACTACAGGCGCCCGCCATCATGCCCAGCTGATTTTTTATATTTTTAGTAGAGACGGGGTTTCACTGTTTTAGCCAGGATGGTCTCGAATTCCTGACCTCGTGATCCGCCTGCCTCGGCCTCCCAAAGTGCTGGATTTACAGGCGTGAGCCACCGCGCCCGGCCAAGCAACTGGTAGTTTTCATGGCTATTGTATTCCACTGGGTGAACAGACCACAAGTGAATTCTCCAACCCACTGCAGGGGGACACTCCTGTTTGGGGATATTATGGAGAACTCGGCCCATGAACTTTTTTGTGCATATTTTTTGGTGAACACGCGCACTTATTTCTGCTGAGCTCAGGTGAAATTGCTACATGACTTTATCTTAAAAATAAACGTTCCTGGCCAGGGGCAGTGGCTCACGCCCGTAATCCCAGCACTTTAAGAGGCCGAGGCAGGCGGATCACTTTAGGCCAGGAGTTCGAGACCAGCCTGGTCAACATGGTGAAACCCCATCTCTACTAAAAATACAAAAATTAGCTGGGAGTGGTGGCATGTGCCTGTAATCCCAGATACTTGGGAGGCTGAGGCAGAAGAATCGCTTGAGGGAGGTGGAGGTTGCAGTGAGCCAAGATCGTACCATTGCACTCCAACCTGGGCGACAGAGTGAGACTCCATTTCAAAAATATATATATATATTAGCCAGGCGTGGTGCCACAGGCCTGTAATCGCAGCTACTTGGGAGGCTGAGGCAGGAGAATCACTTGAACCCGGGAGGCAGAAGTTGCAGTGAGCCGAGATTGTGCCACTGCACTCCAGCCTGGGTGACAGAGAGAGACTCATTCTCAAAAAAACCAAACCAAAACAAAACAAACAAAACAAAAATTCCCGATGTTTTGGTGTCTTTTTAGAATCTTCAAAGCGTTATCACCTCTGTTTAATCCTCACCAGAGCACCACGTGGAGCTATTGGCCATTTTACAGATGGAGAAGCTACAGGGCAGGGAGGTGAGGGAAAGAAATCACCTGGTGGGAAGGGACTCAACCCAGCCCTGGTTGACTCCGACGTCTGGTTCTGCCTTGACGCAAGTCTGTGCTCGGGGACTTAGTCAGTCTGGGAAGACAGACAAGGGTTGGCTGGGCAGGGAAGAGGCATCCAAGAACTGGGTCTAAGGTCTGCACACACCTGGCTGTCGGACCAGCAGCCGGGACCACAGCAGCGTGCATGTCTTCGGCCCACACAGGCTCGGAATCAGCTCACCTGGACGTTGCCAAGCAGCAGCCACCCAATGGGGTTAAACTCCACTAAACACACCAAAAACTTTCCCCTCAGGTCCGATGGTTACTTTGTAGACTGCCCCCCAAACAAATGAGTGTATGGTTCAGGACAAATGACTCCATGCAGTATATATGGGTCACTAAGCATTTATTGGGCACTTTCTGTATGCTGGCGTCATATCAGGAGTGCATGGAGCATTTATTCAGCATCTCCGGTGTGCTGGCTCCACGCTCATCAAGACCCTGGAACATTCGCTGAGCACCTTCTGTGTGCTGGCTCCATGCTAAGTACAGTTCATGAAGCATTTGTTAAGCACCTCCTGTATGCTGGATCCAGGTCAAGTACAGTTACAGAGCCTTCATTGAGCACCTTCCGTATGCTGGCCTCATGCTAAGTACAGCTCATGGAGCACTTATTAGGCAGGTTCTGTGTGCTGACTCCATGCTAAGTATAGTTCATGAAGCATTCATTGAGCACCTTCTGTGTGCTGGCTCCATGGTAAGTGCAGCTCATGGAGCATTTATTAAGCACCTTCTGTGTGCTGGCTCCATGAAAAGTGCAGCTCATGGAGCATTTATTAAGCACCCTCTGTGTGCTGGCTCCCCTTCTGTATGCTGGCTCCATGCTAAGTACAGTTCATGGAGCATTTATTAAGTACCTTTGATGTGTTGGCTCCGTGCTAAGTATAGTTCATGAAGCATTTATTAAGCACCTTTTGTGTGCTGGATCCATGCTAAGTGCAGCTCATGGTGCATTTATTAAGCACCTTCTGTGTGCTGGCTCCACGCTAGTACAGACCTGGGGCATTGATTGAGCACCTTCTGTGTGCTAGCTGTATGCTAGCATAGTTCAGGGCTCATTTATGGAGCATATTGTGTATGCTGGCTTTACATATGCTGGTATGGGCAGGGCAGGAGTGAAAGCTGGGCAGGGGGGTCTGCCAGGCACTGACACTGTGATTTGCCCTGGGACACTTGGCGCCTGGGTGAGTCCAGGGGTCTCCAGGTTCGGGTGACTGCTCTCTGCCTGCATCCAGCTGGGACTCCATGGTCACGTGATTCCAGTCAGTCAAGTGACTTCAACACCAGGGTCACACCGAGCCCATTCGACAGATGAGAAAACTAAGACCCCTGGGGCCAGGCTTCTGCAGCAAGCCAGAGAGACACCAACCCCCATCTCCCACGGCCGCAGCAGCCTCGCAGGGGCAGACTGAAAACTGGAATTACAGTCACAGAGAACATGGAGGACCCACCCTGGGGACCCCATTGAAGCCCCCCCCAGGAGCCCAGAACACGCCGCCCATCCACCCACCTTCCTCAAGGTGGGCCAGGAAGCTGCCTGTGGCCAAGACTGGCTTATGTTTGTTTGTTTGTTTGTTTTTTGAGATGGAGTCTCTTTTTTTTTTGAGACGGAGTCTTGCTCTGTCGCCCAGGCTGGAGTGCAATGGCGCTGTCTTGGCTCACTGCAACCTCTGCCTCCCGGGTTCAAGTGATTATCCTGCCTCAGCCTCCCTAGCAGTTGGAACTACAGGCGCCCGCCACCACACTCGGCTAATTTTTGTATTTTTGGTAGAGACAGGTTTTCACTATGTTGGCCAGGTTGGTCTCAATCTCCTCACCTCATGATCTGCCTGCCTCAGCCTCCCAAAGTGCTAGGACTACAGGCGTGAGCCACTGTGCCCAGCCAAGACTGGCTTATTAACTAATAAGTAATAACAACGAAAATAGTGATATGGGTTGAACCGTGTCCTCCCAGCATTCACACATCGAAGCCCTAACTCCTGGTATTCAGAAGGGGACCTCATTTGGGAACAGGATTGGAGCAGATTTCATTAGTTAAGATGAGGCCAGGGCCGGGTATGGTGGCTCACACCTGTAATCCCAGCACTTTGGGAGGCCGAGGCGGGCATATTACAAGGTCAGGAGATCTAGACCATCCTGGCTAACACAGTGAAACCCCATCTCTACTAAAAATACAAAAAAAATAGCTGAGTGTGGTGGCGGGCACCTGTAGTCCCAGCTACTTGGAGGCTGAGGCAGGAGAATGGCATGAACCCAGGAGGTGGAGGTTGCAGTGAGCCAAGATCACGCCGCCACTGCACTCCAGCCTGGGAGACAGAACAAGACTCCATCTCAAAAAAAAAAAAAAAAAAAAGAGCCCAGACTGCAGTAGGGTGGGCCCCCATCCAATATGAGTAGGGTTCCCTAAAAAGACAAAACAGGCCGGGCATGGTGGCTCACACCTGTAATCCCAGCACTTTGGGAAGCGGAGGTGGGTGGATCATCTGAGGTCAGGAGTTTAAGACCAGCCTGGCTAACACGGCAATACCCCATCTCTACTAAAAAAAAATACAAAAATTAGCCAGGCGTAGTGGTGGGCGACTGTAATCCCAGCTACTCGGGAGGCTGAGGCAGGAGAATCGCTTGAACCTGGGAGGCGGAGGTTGTGCTGAGCCAAGATCGTGCCACTGCACTCTAGCCTGGGCAACAAGAGCGAGACTCTGTCTCCAAAAAAAAAAGAGGAAAGAGACAGAGAGGACAACATCAAATGAAGACAGAGACACACGGGGACGACAGCCATGTGACGGTGGAGGCAGAGATTGTGGCAATGCGAAGAAATATCTGCTTTTGTAAGCCGCTGCTGTGTCGTCACCTGTGATTCCAGCCCTCGGACAAAAACACAGGTGCATGTCGTGCTTGTTTTTTTCTTTATTTTTATTTCTTTTTAATTTGAGACCGAGTCTTGCTCTATCACCCAGGCTGGAGTGCAGTGGCGCGATCTCGGCTGACTGCAACCTTCGCCTCCTGGGTTCAAGTGACTCGCCTGCCTCAGACTCCTGAGTAACTGGAATTACAGGCGCCCGCCACCAGGCCTGGCTATTTTTTGTATTTTTAGTAGAGATGGGGTTTCACCATGTTGGCCAGGCTAGTCTCGAACTCCTGACCTCAGGTGATCCACTTGTCTCTGGCTCCTAAAGTGCCGGGGTTACAGGCGTGAGCCACTGTGCCCGGCCTTTGTTGTTGGTTTTTGTTTTTGTTTTTTTGAGAAAGGGTCTTGCTCTGTGGCCCCACTATCATAGCTCACTGCAGCCTCGACCTCCTGGGCTCGAGCAATCCTCCCACCTCAGCCTCCCGAGTAGCTGGGACTACAGGTGCACACCACCACACCCGGCTAATTTATTTTTATTTTTATTTTTGTAGAAGTGAGGTCTCACTATGTTGTCCAGGCTGGTCTCAAACTCCTGACCTCAGTTAATCCTCCCACCTCAGCCTCCCAAAGTGTTGGGATTACAGGCATGAGCCACTGCGCCTGGCCTCTTTACCTTTTTCTTTTGAAACAGGGTCTCACTCTGTCACCCAGGCTGGAGTGCAGTGGTGTGATCACAGCTCACTGCAAGCTTGAACTCCTGGGCTCCACGGATCCTCCCTCTTCAGGTGCACTCCACCATGCCCAGCTAATACTTTTTAATTTTTGTAGAGATAGAGTCTCACTGTGTTGCTCAGGCTGGTCTCAAACTCCTGGGCTCAAGCAATCCTCCTGCCTCAGCCTCCTGAGTAGCTAAGATTACAGGTACATGCCACCACACCCAGCTAATTTTTTAATTTTTTGTAGAGACTGGGTCTTGCTCTGTTGCCCAGGCTGGTCTCAAACTCCTGACCTCAAACAATCGTCCTCCCTTGGCCTCCCAAAGTGCTGAGATTACAGGAATGAGCCACCGTGCCCGGCCTCACAGTATTCATTTAGAGAGACTCTGCCCAAAAGCCCTCCAGGAGGCCGGGCCAATTTACGCTTCCCACCAACTGGGCAGGGAGTCCGGAGACCAACTATGAGGGTGTGGTTTGCACTGGTCTCCAAGGTGGGAAACCTATTCTCCCCGAGGTCTCTCCCTCTACCTGCCACCAGGTGCAGGCCTGCAGCCCTGGCTTCCCCTGCTCCTGTAACAAACACCAGGAAACCACCAAGGGTGCCAGCCACATGGGTCCCAGGGTGATGTCACGGTTGCCGTGGCGACCTGGGGCGGGCAGTTATTTATTTATTTCTGAGTTCCACAAGACTCTCCTTGTCTCTCAGTCACTGTGGCCATTGAATGCTGGCGGAGAGGGGAGAGGGAGGCCCGGAGACAGGGCCGTGGGCAAACGACCAAGAAACAGTGTTCCCACCACCCTGAAGACCCGAGCACTTTCCCTTTAACTCCTTGCGACCTCATTTCTTTCCTCCCTAAACCTCTAGTCAGGCATTTTAAGAAAAAGTGAATTCATATTTTAATTTGCTTTATAATTTACATAAAGCAAAATTTCCTCTTTTTTTGCTATAGTTTTGTGAGTTTTGACAAATACGGAGAGTCCTGTAACTGCCACCGCCACCATCAAGGTGAATAACAGATTCACCATCCCCCAGAATTCTCTCCTGCCCCCTCTTTGCACCTGAAGCCTCTGCCCAGTGCCAGCCGGGCAGCTAAGGCCCTGTCCCCTGTCCTCTGTGGTGCATTTTTTTTTTTTTTTTGAGAAGGAGTTTTGCTCTGTCGCCCAGACTGAAGTGCAGTGGCATGATCTCAGCTCACTGCAGCTTCCACCTCTTGGGTTCAAGTGATTCTCCTGCCTCAGCCTCCTGAGTATCTGGGATTACAGGCATGTGCCACCACCCCTGTCTAATTTTTGTATTTTTAGTAGAAACAGGGGGTCTCATCATGTTGGCCAGGCTGGTCTTGAACTCCTGACCTCAGGTGATCCACCTGCCTTGGCCTCCCAAAGCACTGGGATTACAGGCGTGAGCCACCAGGCCTGGTCTCCGTGCTTTGCCTTTTCCAAAATGTCACCTATGTGGAGTCATACAGTTTTACAGCCTTTTTTTTTTTTTATGTTTAAAGAGAATCTGTTGTATAAAGTTGAAAGTGAAAAGAAACTGTACTCTGAATGCCAAAAAGGGATTTACTTGTTTTCTCTTAAAATGTATTGTGATCAGGCACGGCAGCTCACGCCTGTAATCCCAGCGCTTTGGGAGGCCGAGGCGAGAGGATCGCTTGAGACCAGCTTTGGCAACATAGCAAGACCCGGTCTCTACAAAATATTAAAAAATTACCTGGGTGTGGTGGCATGTGCCTGTCGTCCCAGCTGCTTGGGAGGCCGAGGCAAGAGGATCACTTGAGCCCAGGAGGTCAAGGCTACAGTGAGCCAAGATCGTGCCACTGCACTCCAGCCTGCATGGGAGAGCATGATTGTCTCAAAATAAAACAAAATGTATTGAAGGTAAATTTGTTTTATACTAAAAGAAAATGGCCCCTCCTAAATGTAACGTTATCTTTCCTGGTAATTATTCTCGACTCTTCCATCCCTGTCTTTGCTCCTGCATCCCCTTTGCCATCTGGCTTTGTTGTTGGGCAGGGAGCATCTGAGATTCCTCCTCCCTGGTGTTGCACGTCCCTTCCTTTTTATTGCTGAGCAGTATTGCTTTGCATGGACATACCAGAGTTTGTTCATTCATTCTCCAGTTGAGGGATAATAAATGCATTTTTTTTTTTTTAGATAGGGTCTATCACCCTGGCTGGAGTGCAGTGGTGTCATCATAGCTCACTGCAGCCTCGCATTCCGAGGCCCAATCATTCCTCCTGCCTCAGCCTCCCAAGTAGCTGAGACCACAGGTACACACCACCATGCCTGGTTAATTTTTAAATTTTTTGTAGAGACAGGCTCTTGATATGTTGCCCAGGCTGGTCTCAAACTCCTGGACTCAAGTGATCCTCTGGCCTCAGCCTCCCAAAGTATTGGGATTACAGGCATGAGACACTGTGCCCGGCCACAATGCCTTTTTTTTTTTTTTTTTTTGAGACAGTCTCCTAGGCTGGAGTGCAATGGTGCAATCTCAACTCACTGTAACCTCTCCCTCCCATGTTCAAGCAATTCTCCTGCCTCAGCCTCCCAAGTAGCTGGGATTACAGGCATCCGCCACCACACCCAGCTAATTTTTGAATTTTGACTACAGATGAGGTTTTGCCATGTTGGCCAGGCTGGTCTCAAACTCCTGACCTCAAGTGATCTGCCCACCTCGGCCTCCCAAAGTGCTGGGATTACAGGCGTGAGCCACTATGCCCGGCCCACAATGCTTTTATTTTTTCCACCACCACACCCAACTAATTTTTTTGGATTTTTAGCGGAGACAGGGTTTTGCCATGTTGCCCAGGCTGGTCTCAAACTGCTGGTCTCAAGCAATCCTCCCGCCTCTGACTCCCAGAGTGCTGGGTTACAGGTGTGAGCCACTGGGCCTGGCAGGGATGCATGTTTAACAAGTGAAATGCGTAGATAAAATTGAGACTGTGTTAGAACAGAGGTGGCAGTCAGAGAGGCAGCCTCGACGGTGGGAAACTTCTCTCGAAAGAGCCGACGTTTCCAGCAGGCTGTGGCTGGTTAAACTAAAGGAGGGAAGTGGCCTTTTCTTCCTCCTCCCTGGAGAACAGACTCCTCATTTTGTAGCCAACCCTTACTGCTTACATGAGCACATGGCCATGGCTTGGTGGAGGACTCCCAAACTGAGCCAGGACCCAGAGCCAGATGCTGGCAGGAGACGAGGAGAGAATGTTGAATTCTCACCCTGAACTTGAGGAGGTACAGGCTTTGGAGCTTGGCACTGTTGGGCAGAAAATGCCTGCATGGGCAGTTGACCGCTGTGTGAGCTAGGGAAAATTGCTTAACGTCTCTGGGCTGCAGCTTCCAAGTATGTAAACGGGAATAATATTACCTAGCCAGCAGGTGTCATAAAGAATACGGTTTAAGGCCGAGCGGGGTGGCTCACGCCTGTGATCCCAGCACTTTGAAAGGCTGAGGTGGGCGGATAACCTGAGATCAGGAGTTCAAAGCCAGCCTGGCCCACATGGTGAAACCCCATCTCTACTAAAAATACAAAAATTAGCCAGGCATGGTGGCGCACACCTGTAATTCCAGCTCCTCAGGAGGCTGAGGCAGGAGAATCTCTTGAACCCGGGAGGCAGAGGTTGCACGGAGCCGAGATCGCGCTACCACACTCCAGCCTGGGAGACAGAGCGAGACTCTGCCTCAAAAAAAGAAAAAAAAAACTAGCTATACATGGTGGGGCACGACTGTAGTCCCAGCTACTTCAGAGGGTGAGGCGAGAGGATCATATGAGCCAGGAGGTCGACGCTGCAGTGAGCTATGATCGTGCCACTGCACTCCAGCCTGGGCCACAGAGTGAGACCCTGTCTCAAAAAATAATAAAATACTGACGACTGGGCTCCACACCCAGAGATTTCAGTTTATTCGGTCTGGGGTAAAGCCTGGATATTGGCATGCTTAGAAGTTTCTTTATTATTATTATTTTTTTAGCATTTAAAAAATGGGCAGAGACAGTGAGACCTTATTTCCACAAAAAAATAAAAAAATTAGCCAGACGTGGTGGCATGCATCTATACTCCCAACTACTCAGGAGGCTGAGGTGGGAGGATCACTGGAGCCCAGGGAGGTTGAGGCTGCAGTGAGCCATGATTGAGCCACTGCACTCCAGCCTGAATAACAGAGCAAGACCCTGTCTCAAAAAAAAAAAAAAAAAAAACCAAAAAAATTGTATACGTTGATGGTGCTAGACCATGATGCTTGGCATTGTGGAGTGGTTCCAATGTCAGTTTCTTGCTTTGGACCCTGTACTTGAATTATGTAAGATGTTCCACTAGGGAAATTGGAGAAAGGATTCTCAAGATCTTTCTACCATTCTTGCAACTACCTGTGCATTTATAATTATTTCAAAATAAAAAATTTTGGGCCGGGCGCGATGGCTCATGCCTGCAATCCCAGCACTTTGGGAGGCCGAGGCAAGCAGATCACCTGAGGTCAGGAGTTCGAGACCAGCCTGTCCAACATGGTGAAACCCCATCTCTACTAAAAATACAAAAACTAGGCAGGCGTGGTGGTGGGCACCTGTAATCTCAGCTACTCGGGAGGCTGAGGCAGGAAAATCACTTGAACCCGGGAGGCAGAGGTTCCTATGAGCTGAGATCGTGCCACTGCACTCCAGTCTGGGTGACGAGAATGAAACTCTGTCTCAAAAAAAAAAAAAAAGGAAAAAAAAATGTAAAGTGTAACCACATACAATGCAAAGATGTTCATCAAAATCAAATGAAAAAAATCAAGTAATAAAATTATATACACAACATGATTTCATTAGTGTAAAACACACACACACCCCAACATTTTAGAAACATAAATGCATAGAAATAGACTTGAAAGAAAACAGGGAGATTGGTGAGTTTGGGGGTGCTGGTCACAGAAGACTTTGCCCCCCTCCCTTATTTTTTTAATTTTTAGGATTGGGTGGGAGATAAAGAGTCTTTCATTTGATTTGTGTTGTTTGAATCTTTATAAGATTGTATTCAAATTTTACTCATGTAACTACAATAAAAGTGTTATTTTTATTTCATTACTAATTTATTTTGTAGAGATGGGGTTTCACTGTGTTGCTCAGGCTGGTTTTGAACTCATGGGCTAAAGCAATCCTCCTGCCTCAGCCTCCCAAAGAGCTGGAATTGCAGGCATGAGCCATCACAACCAGCCTAAAAAATGCTAAAATTATACAGGAAATGTTTGCCACAGAATATTTTATTTTATTTTTTTGAGACAAAGTTTCAGTCTGTTACCCAGGCTGGAGTGCAATGGCGCGATCTCAGCTCAGTGCAACTTCCGCCTCCCGGGTTCAAGCAATTCTCTTCCCTCAGCCTCCCAAGTAGCTGGGATGACAGGTGTTTGCCACTACACCTGGCTAATTTTTTTTATTTTTAGTAGAGACGGGGTTTCACCATGTTGGTCAGGATGGTCTCAAACTCCTGACCTCAAGTGATCCACCTGCCTCGGCCTCCCAAAGTGTTGGAATTACAGGCGTGAGCCACCATGCCCAGCCCACACAGTCTTTAAAGGGTATCTTAGTCCATCTTCTGCTGGAATACCTGAGACTGGGTAATTTATAAAGAAATTATTGTGGGCCGGGCATGGTGGCTCATGCCTGCAATCCAGCACTTTGGGAGGCTGAGGCGGGTGGATCACCTGAGGTCAGGGGTTCGAGACCAGCTTGGCCAACATGGCGAAACCCCATCTCTACTAAAAATACAAAAATTAGCCAGGCACAGTGGCGCGCACCTGTAATCCCAGCTACTTGAGAGGCTGAGGCAGGAGAATCACTTGAATCCGGGAGGTGGAGGTTGCAGTGAGCCGGGATTGCACTACTGTGCTCCAGCCTGGGCAACAGAGAGAGACTCTGTCACAAAAAGAAAAAAAGAAAGAAAAAGAAAGAAAGAGAAAGAAAGAAAGGAAGAAAGGAAGGAAGGAAGAAAGAAAGGGAAATTATTATAAATTATAAATTATTTTTTGCTGTTTTGTTTTTTAGAGAAAATAATGACAGGTTCTCGCCCTGTCATTCACGCTGAAACGCACTGGCACAATCATAGTTTGTTGCAGCCTCCAACTCCTGGATTCAAGCGATGTTCCTGCTTCAGCCTGCCAAGTAACTGGGACTGCAGGCATGCACCACCATACCCAGCTAATTTTTAATTTTTTGTAGAGACAGAATCTCGCCATGTTGCCCAGGCTGGTCTCAAACTCCAGGGCTCAAGTGATCCCACCCTGCCTCAGCCTCTCGAGTAGCTAGGACTACAGGTGTGCGTCACTACATCCAGCTAATTTTTAAACATTTTTTTGTAGAGATGGGGTCTCACTATTGTTGCCCAGGCTGGTCTCAAACTCCTGGCCTCAAGCAGTCCTCCTCCTTTGGCCTCCCAAAGCACTGAGATTACAGGCATGAGCCACATCACCTGGTCCTAAGAAAACAATTTAATTTCTTTTTCTTTTTTTTTTCTTTTTTTCTTTCTTTCTTTTTTTTTTTTTTTTTTTTTTTTTTGAGATGGAGTTTTGCTCTTGTTGCCCAGGCTGGAGTGCAATGGCACGATCTCAGCTCACTGCAACCTCCACCTCCCGGTTCAAGAGATTCTCCTGCCTCAGCCTCCCCCATAGCTGGGATTACAGGTGCCCACCACTATGCCAGGCTAATTTTTGTATTTTTAGTAGAGACGGGGTTTTGCCATGTTAGTCAGGCTGGTCTCAAACTCCTGACCTCGTGATCCGCCCACCTCAGCCTCCCAAAGTGCTGGGATTACAGGCATGAGCCACCACGCCCGGCCCAACAATTTAATTTCTTACAGCTCTTTAGGCTGGGAAGTCCAGGATCTAGGGACTGTGTCTGGTGGGGGCCTTCTTGCTGCTGAGGATGCTGTAGAATCCCGAGGCAGTGTGGGGCATCCCGTGGTGAGGGGCCTGTATGTGCTAACTCGAGTCTCTTTTTCTCCTCTCTAAAGCCACTAATGCCTCACCCTCAAGACCGCAGCTAATCCTAATCACCTCCCAAAGGTCCCACCCCTCCAATACCACAGTCAAATTTCCCACCCTCTTAATACTGTTACAACGGGGATCAAGTTTCAGAATAAGTTTTCGAAGAGACAAACATTCGAAACACAGCAAGGGGCAAGGCCAGGTTGTCGACTTGGAAAGGCAGAAGGTATGAAAGAAAGCAAAGCCAACCTTTGGCTGTAGCAGAGGAGAGACTGGGGGAGACAGGCATGAGAAATGTTATTTTATTTATATTTGTGTGTTACTTGACCAGCTACAATGTTCATGTACTACCTCAATGATCTTTTTAAAATCCTATCAAATAAAAAACATTTTAAATAAAGTCAAGTTTTGAAATCAACACTCAAGGCCAGATGACATCAAACAAGCTGCATCAAAGTTGGGGAGGGGAGGCTGGGCTCGATGGCTCACGTCTGTAATCCCAGCACTTTGGGAGGTTGGGGCGGGTGGATTACCTGAGGTCGGGAGTTGGAGACCAGCCTGGCCAACATGGTGAAACCCCATCTCTACTAAAAATACAAAACAATTAGCTGAGCATGGTGGTGTAATCCCAGCCACTCGGGAGACTGAGGCAGGAGAATCACTTGAACTAGAGAGATGGAGGTTGCAGTCAGCTGAGATCGTGCCACTGCACTCCAGCCTGGGTGACAGGGCGAGACTCCGTCTCAAAAAAAAACCCAAAAAAAACAAAGTTGAGGAGGGGAGGTGCTAGGTAAAAGGAATCCTGGAGGCTGGGCCCGGTGGCTCGTGCCTGTAATCCCAGCACTAGGAAGGCAGGAGGACTGCTTGAGGCCAGGAGTTCAAGACACGCCTGGGCAACATAGCAAGACCCTTTCTCTACAAAAAAAAAACTTAAAAATTAGCCAGGTGTGGTGGTGTGTACCTGTGGGCTCAGCTGCCCAGGAGGCTGAGGTGGGAGAATAGCTTGAACCCAGGAATTTGAGGCAACAGTGAGCTATGATCATGTCACTGCACTCCAGCCTGGGCGACAGAGAGAGACCTAGTCTCAGAAAACAAAAAAAGTCTTGGAAACTACCCAAATGCCCACCATGGTAGAATTAGCATAGAAATATTCACACAATGGAACACTAGATAGTAATGAGAATTAATGAATTACAGCTTTCAGAAGAAATAAGGACACTCTGCAGACTGCAGACAAATGTCAAATGGCGGTGCACACACTTCCAATCTATTTCTTTCTTTCTTTCTTTTTTTTTTTTTTTTGAGATGGAGTCCTGCGCTGTTGCCCAGGCTGGAGTGCAGTGGCACAATCTCGGCTCACTGCAACCTCTGCCTTCCAGGTTCAAGCAATCTCCTGCCTCAGCCTCCTGAGTAGGTGGGACTACAGGTGTACAGAACCACACTGGCTAATTTTTTTTGTATTTTTACTAGAGACGGGGTTTTGCCATGTTGGCCAGGCTGGTCTCGAACTCCTGACCTCAAGCAATCCATCTGCCTTGGCCTCCCAAAGCGCTGGCATTACAGGCGTGAGCCACCGCACCTGGCCCAATCTATTTCTATAAATTTCAAGAACAGGCAGCGCAGGTCTGTTGAAGGTCCGATGACGCCAGGAGAGTGGCTGCCCTTGACGGTAGTGAGGACTGACTAATGGGGTGTGAAGGGGTTCCTGAGGCCTGGCATGTTGAGCATCCTGACCTGGGTGCAGGGTCCGGCACACCCCAGCTCCCCCGGCTCGCTCCTCCGAAGTCTGGCAGGAGCCAGGCCCAGTCTCAGAGCTCAGCTTCTGCAATTCCTCCCTCTCTCTCTCTGGCCTGACCCAGCTGGGGTCTATGGCCCCCAGAAAGAAGCCTGACCCCTTTCATGAATGAGCCCGGGCCCCGGAACGCGGCTGCAGCCACCCCTCCCAGGCTGGGCTGGTGCCTGTCAGTGGCGACCCTGAGTCCCTTGGACAGAGGACTAGAGAGATTTGCCCGGGCTCCTACACAAAGGGGGTTCTGTCCGTCTGTCCCACAGAGGCAAGGGACCACGCAGGGCCAAGTTGGCCCCGGCCGTGCTAAGCCTCTCTCCCCCTCTCCGCTTGGCCCTGGCCGCTTCTTTGTGTCCATTCATGAATTCAAGGCTCCTCCTGAAAGGCCGGCGGTATCTTGGCTCAGTCTTTGGGAAACAGTCCTTGGGCCGGTGCCACCTGGGAATGGTCATGAAATAAAATCCTGGGGCAGACAGTGATGGGAACAGGAAGGGGAAACTGAGCAAGGGGTGGAAGGGGCCCGGGCTTGCATCTCGTGCCAGAGGCGCGGGACTCTGGCATGATCTGCAGGAGACAGCACTCAGGTGCACTGTGCGTGGCATCCCATGTGAACGGCCCCCTGGGCCTGGGGGTACTGACCCGACAGATCTGAGACCAGCTCCCAGCCTTGGCGCCCACCCTGTGGCTCCCCGGGAAATCTCTTCCCCTATGGGATGAGAAGGGTCCGTATCTCCAAAGCTAGGACCATCTCCCAGCCTCAGGAGGCTCCCAGATGCTATCAAGTGAGAAGGGGCCATGGTCATCGCTGGCTGCTGTGAGTGGGGTTAGGAGGAGGGGTCGCCCCAACAAAGATGGGGGCCCCTTAGGCACCTGTTCGTCCTCAGCTAGCTCCTGGGTCGGCCTCTGTGAACATGCCACAGACACCAGCCCTAACCATCAAGCCCTCCTTCCACCTGACCTAGGGGCTCTCACCCACCAATCATCTCCCAGAGATTCCTGTGACATCACCAGCAGCCAATCAGAGTGTCCCAGGTTGGCAGGTCAGAGGCAGCCTTACTTTGAGAGTTGGTAAGTTTTCAGGCAATAGCAGAAAAAGGACACTTCTGACCGGGCGCGGTGGCTCGCGCCTGTAATCCCAGCACTTTGGGAGGCCGAGGCAGGTGGATCACTTGGGGCCAGGAATTCAAGACCAGCCTGGCCAACATGGCGAAACCCTGTCTCTACTAAAAATACAAAAATAAGCCGGGCGTGGTGGCGGGTGCCTGTAATCCCAGCTACTCAGGAGGCTGAGGCAAGAGAATCGCTTGAACCTGGGAGGCGGAGGTTACAGTGAGCCGAGATGGCACCACTGCACTCCAGCCTGGACGACAGAGTGAGAACCTGTCTCAAAAAAAAAAAAAAAAGACACTTTTTTTAAACAGTGGAATACTGCATTTTATTATTATTTTTCTTTATACTTTTTTAAACTGCTGTTTTAGGTTCAGGGGTACATGTGCAGGTTTGTTATGTAGGTAAATTGCATGTCACGGGGGTCTGGTGTCCCTGACTCAAATAAAGAAATTAATAAATATCTTCTTAATAGCACCAGGAAGGTTGCACCACAAATGTATCTTTAAAGAGTCCTTGAGGTGACAAAATAATCTGCATGCCAAAGGACACTTTAAAGATACATTTGTGGTGCAACTTTCCTGGTGCTGGTGGGAGGTCATTTATTTATTTATATATTTTTGAGATGAAGTCTCGCCCTGTTGCCCAAGCTGAAGTGCTGTGGCATGATCTCAGCTCACTGCAGCCTCCACCTCCTGGGTTCAAGTGATCCTCCTGCCTCAGCCTCCCGAGTACCTGGGACTACAGGCACGTGCCACCATGCCCAGCTAATTTTTGTATTTTTAGTAGAGACAGTGTTTTGCCATGTTGGCCAGGCTGATCTTGAACTCCTGACCTCAGATGATCCACTGCCTTGACCTCCCAAAGTGCTGGGATTACAGGCATGAGCCACCATGCCTGGTCTTATTTTTTATTTTTATTTTTTCTGTAGAGATGGGGGGGGTCTTGCCATGTTGCCCAGGCTGTTCTCGAATACCTGGCCTCATGTGATTCTCCCGCCTTGGCCTCCCAAAGTGCTGGGATTACAGGTGTGAGCCACCTGGCCCTGCCTGGGAGGACATTTCTATTTTTTTTTTAATTAAAAAATTTTTTTAATTAATTAGAAATGGAGCCTCACTATGTTGCCCAGGCTGGTCTTGAACTCCTGGCCTCAAGCTATCCTCCTGCCTCAGCCTCTCAAAGTGCTGGGATTACAGGCATGAGCCATACACCCGGCCCTAGGAGGACATTTCTAATTCCCATTACACTTTCCATCCTGTCTATACCTCTTTTTTTTTTTTGAGACAGAGTTTTGCTCTTGTTGCCCAGGCTGGAGTGCGATGGTGCTATCTCGGCTCATTGCAACCTCTGCCTCGCGGGTTCAAGCGATTCTCCTGCCTCCGCCTCCCAAGTAGCTGGGACTACAGACACGTGCCACCACCTCACCCGGCTTTTTTGTTTGTTTTTTAGTAGAGACAGGGTTTCACCATGTTAGTCAGGCTGGTCTTGAACTTCTGACCTCAAGTGATCCACCCACCTCAGCCTCCCGAAGTGCTGGGATTACAGGATGAGCCACCGCGCCAGGCCCCATCCTGTCTATACTTCTGTCCTAACTCCATCCCAGCCAGTGACCCCTTAGATAGTTGGAGTACACTTCAGGAGGTCCTGCCCTTTTCTTTTTTTTTTTTTTTTTTTTTTTGAGACAGAGTCTCTCACTGTCACCCAGGCTGGAGTGCAGTGGCGCAATGTCAGCTCATTGCAACCTCCACCTCCTGGGTTCAAGCGATTCTCCTGCCTCAGTCTCCTGCGTAGCTGAGATTACAGGCGCCTGCCACCACGCCCCGCTAATTTTTTGTATTTTTAGTAGAGATGGAGTTTCACCATGTTGGCCAGGCTGGTCTCAAACTCCTGACCTTGTGATCCGCCTGCCTCAGCCTCCCAAAGTACTGGGATTACAGGCATGAGCCACCGCGCCTGGCCTTTTTTCTGTATTTTTAGTAAACACGGGCTTTCACCATGTTGACGAGGATGATCTCGATCTCCCGACCTCGTGATCCACCTGCCTCAGCCTCCCAAAGTGCTGAGATTACAGGCGTGCGCCACCGTGCCCAGTCAGTCCTGCCCTTTTCAACTCACACCCTACCCATTTCACAGAAGAGAAGACTGAGACCCAACTGCTCTACCCTGATGTCCCCTAGCAGTGCCCATTACCTAGCTTGTGTCAAAGGGCAGGGGGAGGGTTTAGGCTGAGCACTCACACTGTGGCCACAGAAAACCTCTAGATATGGAGACCAGTAGCCAGCATGTTAGCCCTGCAGTCCAGCCCTGGCTGTGCAACCCAGGAAATGGTACTTAACCTCCCTGAGCTTGTAGCCCTTCTGGAAAATTCCTATCCTAGACACTTCACAAACTGCCTTGAGAGCCGAAGAGGAGGGCAGCTTGAAGACAAATCACTGTTGTTGACTGATTATTTTATTTTACTTTATTTTTTGAGACAGGATCTTGCTCTGTCACTCAGGCTAGAGTGCAGTGGCATGATCACAGCTCACTGCAGCCTCAAACTCCTGGGCTCAAGTGATCCTCCCACCTCAACCTCCTGAGTAGCTGGGACTATAGGTGCACGCCACCACCCCCAACTAATTTTCTCTTTATTTTTTGTAGAGATGAGGTCTCACTATGTTGCTCACTATGAACTCTTTAGCTCAAGCAATCTTCCCACCTCAGCCTCCCAAGTAGCTGGGGACTACAGGTGCACACTACCACATCCAACACTCCCTCTCTACAAAAAATGTAAAAATTAGCTGGGTATGGTGGCACACACCTGTAGTCCCAGCTACTGGGGAGGCTGAGGAGGGAGGATCGCTTGAGCCCAGGAGTTCGAGGCTGCAGTGAGCTATGATCGAACCACCGCACTTCAGCCTGGGCAACAGAGCAAGAAAAAAAAAATTGGAATCTATTCTGAAGGAAATTAGCAAATCCTTCCCATCCCTCCCCTGGCCCCAGGGAAACTTTAGCCCTGGGCTCACTTGGAGGGAGCAAAGGTGGGTCTAGTTCCAGAGATGAGGGGAGCCAGGGGTGAGCCCACCCTCCTGCTGGAGCCAAGAGGCATGACCTGGGCCAGCCCACCCCACGCTGGATCTGTGGAGCAGGCTCCGGAGTGGCCGATGCTCTCCGTTTTTCAACCCTCTCAGCACTCCTACTATTCCTGCGAAAGGACTGGTGGAAGATCGAGGAGGACTTGGAATGGCCATTCTCCACCAGAATAGTCCAGCCCGGCCAGTGGCCATGGGTCCAGTGTGCCATCACAGAGCCAAGAATAGCAGAGAGACAGTCTCTCTGGGTCCTGCTGAACCCCGCTACTTCTGGTCTTTTCAGTCCTGAACACCAACAAATTCCTTTTTTTCTTTTTTCTCTTTCTTCTTCTTCTTCTTCTTTTTTTTTTTTTTTTTTTTTTTTTGAGACAGAGTCTTGCTTTGTCGCCTAGGCTGGAGTGAAGTGGCACGATCTCGGCTCACTACAAGCTCCGCCTCCCAGGTTCACACCATTATCCTGCCTCAGCCTCCTGAATAGCTGGGACTACAGGCGCCCGCCACCATGCCTGGCTAATTTTTTTTGTATTTTTAGCAGAGACGGGGTTTCACCATGTTAGCCAGGATGCTCTTTCTTCTTTTTCTTCTTTTCTTACCTCTCCCTCTCCCTCTCCCTCTCCCTCTCTCTCTCCTTTTTCTTCTCCTTCCTCCTCCTCCCCCCGACCCCTTCTTCTGGACACCAACACACTTCTTTTTTCTTTTTCTCTCTTTCCTTCTCCTTCTTCTTCTTTCCCTCTTCTTTTTCTTCCTTCTTCCTCCTCTTCCTCTTTCTTCTTCTTCTTCTTCTTCTTCTTCTTCTTCTTCTTCTTCTTCTTCTTCTTCCTCTCTCTCTTTCTTTCCCTCCCCTTTCTTTCTTTTTTTTTCTTTTTTTGAGACAGTCTTGCTCTGTCACCCAGGCTGGAGTGCAGTGGCGTGATCTCGGCTCACTGCAACCTCTGCCTCCCGGGTTCAAGCAATTCTCCTGCCTCAGCCTCCGGAGTGGCTGGGACTACAGGTGCCCGCCACCATGCCCAGCTAATTTGTATATTTTAGTAGCGACGGGGTTTCACCATGTTGGCCAGGCTGTTATTGAACTCCTGACCTCGTGATCCACCTACCTTGGCCTCTCAAAGTGCTGGGATTACAGGCATGAGCCGCCTCACCCAGCCCTTCCCTCCCCTTTCTCCCTTCCTTTCCTTTGGAGATCTCACTCTGCCGCCCAGGCTGGCATGCAGTGGCGCAATCTTGGCTCACTACAGCCTCTGCCTCCAGGGTTCAAACGATTCTCCTGCCTCAGCCTCCTAAGTAGCTGGGATTACAGGTGTGCACCAACACACCTGACTAATTTTTGTATTTTTAGTGGAGATGGGGATTCATCATGTTGCCCAGGCTGGTCTTGAGCTCCTGAGCTCAAGTGATCCTCCCGCCTTGGCCTCAAAGAGTGCTGGGATTACAGGCGTGAGCCGCCGCACCCGGCCTCTTTCCTTCTTTCCTCCAGGACAGAGGAGTGAAAATTCCAAAGCAGAGAGCTCTGAAATTGGTACAAGCCAGTTTCCAGCCCAACTCCTTTCCCAAAGACCAGAATTCAGCATTCATTCCTATGTAACGCAGCTGCCTGCTCAGAGAAGATTCCTCTGGAGACGTACACCTCTCTGGGGCAAAATGCACACACTCACACGCACGCACACGCACGCACACACACGCATGCACACGCGCACACGCACGCACACACCTGCACACGCACGCACACCCACACCCGCGCGCACACCTGCACACATGCACACACACGCGCGCACACCCACACACACGCATGCACACACATGCACACATACACGCACACACACGCACACCCCACCCCGTGCACACAATCCCAGGAGCTTCACAGAGTCGAAACACCATCCCCGCATCCTAAGAATAGCCATGCTCCAAACATGGACGGATCAATTTGTTTCCCTCTGCGGCCTTTCTCTGAAAGAAATGAAACCTTGGCTTTATCTAAGATAATAATGAAAATCCAAGTACTTTAAAAAGCTGAGTCCAGTGATGCTGAAGGGAAGTGGGGGTGCAGAGTCTTCACTAAGGGAGGATCTTGAAAAAGCATAAAATTGCAACCGCGAGTGAAACAAAGGATTCAGACAATGATAACCAATGGATGCTAAGACCACCAGGTGAGAGGCTGCTGAGTAATAGGATGCTGAAAAGGACCTCAGTATCTCTCATCCCAGGGGTTACCTTAGAGCCCTCATGGATCAACCTAGCACCACGGGTGGCAGGTCTACCAGATATCTCCCAGTAAGATGAAGTACACCATATGGCCTATAATCCTCCTGGCCTTTCTTCCTTCTTATTTTTAGAGACAGGGTCTGGTTCTGTTGCCCAAGCTGGAGTGCAGTGGTGCAATCATAGCTCACTGCAGCCTCGAATTCCTGGGCTCAACGGATCCTCCCCAGTAGCTGGGACTACAGGCTTGTGCCACACTACTAGAAAGAAATACCTGAGACTGGGTAATTCATAAAGAAAAGGAGTTTAGGCTGGGTGTGGTGGCTCATACCTGTAATCCCAGCACTTTGGGAGACCGAGATGGGCCGATCACCTGAGGTCAGGAGTTCAAGACCAACGTGGCCAACTTGGTGAAACCCCATCTCTACTGAAAATACAAAAATTACCTTGGTGTGGTGGTGCATGCTTGTAATCTCAGCTACTCCAGAGGCTGAGGCAGGAGAATCGCTTGAACTCGGGAGGTGGAGTTTGCAGTAAGCTGAGATGGCGCCACTGCACTCCAGCCTGGGTGACAGAGCAAGACTCCGTCTCAAACAAAAGAAAAAAGAAAGAGAAAAGCGGTTTAGTTGGTTCATGATTCTGCAGGCTGTACAGGAAGCATGGCGGCTTCTGCTTCTGGGGAAGAC
Source organism: Homo sapiens (assembly GCF_000001405.40). Classification (NCBI taxonomy): domain Eukaryota; kingdom Metazoa; phylum Chordata; class Mammalia; order Primates; family Hominidae; genus Homo; species Homo sapiens. Next base: position 4,947,303 of record NC_000007.14, read on the forward strand.
TCAGGAAGTTCCCAATCATGGCAGAAAGCAAAGGGGGAGCAGGTGTCTTACATGGGAGCAGGAGGAAGGGAGAGAAGGAAGAGGGGTGCTATGCACTTTTTTTTTTTTTGAGACAGGGTCTCGCTCTGTTGCACAGGCTGGAGTGCAGTGGTGGGATCTCAGCTCACTGCAACCTCCACCTCCCGGGTTCAAGCGATTCTCCTGCCTCAGCCTCCCGAGTATCTGGGATTACAGGCGCATGCCTCCAGGCCCAGCTACTTTTTTGTATTTTTAGTAGAGACGGGGTTTCACCATGTTAGCCAGGATGGTCTCAATCTCCTGACCTGGTGATCTGCCTGTCCCAGCCTCCCAAAGTGTTGTGATTACAGGTGTGAGCGACTGCACCTGGCCTTTTTTTTTTTTTTTTTTTTTTTTTGAGACAGAATTTTGCTCTGTTGCCCAGGCTGGAGCACAGTGGTGCGATATCAGCTCACTGCAAACTCCACCTCCCGGGTTCAAGCGATTTTCCTGCCTCAGCCTCCTGAGTATCTGGGATTACAGGGAGTGCCTCCACACCTGGCTAATTTTTTGTATTTTTAGTAGAGACAGGGTTTCACCGTGTTAGCCAGGATGGTCTTGATCTCCCGACCTGGTGATCCACCCACCTCAGCCTCCCAAAGTGCTGGGATTACAGGCGTGAGCCACCGCGCCCGGCCACTACACACTTTTTAACGACCAGATCTCACAAGAACTCATTCACTATCTCAACCAAGGGGGATACTGCTAAACCATTCATGAGAAACCGCCCCCATGATCCAATCAGCTCCCACCATGCCCCACATCCAACATCGGGGATTACAACTGAATAGGAGATTGGGGCAGAGACACAGATCCAAACCATATCAAACTCTATACAAGTGCTATGAACTGCATGTTGGCATCATCTCAAAATCCACATGTTGAGGCCGGGTGTGGTAGCTCACACCTGTCATCCCAGCACTTTGGGAGACTGAGGCAGGCAGATCACCTGAGGCCAGGAGTTAGAGACCAGCCTTGGGGGGGATCCCCATCTCTTCTAAAAATACAAAAATTAGCTGGACGTGGTGGCGCACATGCCTGTAGTACCAGCTACTCGGGAGGCTGAGGCAGGAGAATCACTTGAACCTGGGAGGCAGAGGTTGCAGTGAGCCAAGATCGCGCCACTGCACTCCAGACTGAATGACAAGAGCGAGACTCCGTCTCACCGAAAAAAAAAAAAAGAAATCCACATGTTGAAATCCTCACTCCTCAATGTGATAGTATTAGGAGGCGGGGCCTCTGGAAAATGACAAGGTCATGAGGGTGGAGCCCTCACAAATGGGATTAGTGCCCTTAGAAGAAGAGGCCAGAGAGCTCTTACTGCCAAGTCTATAAGAAGTCTGCCATCTACCACCTGGGAACAAATCTGACTGTGCTGACACTTTGATCTTGACTTCCAGCCTCCAGAATTGTAGGAAATACATTTTTGTGTTTTTTTCTTTCCAAAATTCTTTTTAGGTTCTATAAATTTCTATGGTTTATAAGCCACCTAGTCTAGGCTAAAATGTAGTGGCACAGTCACGGCTCACACAGCCTCCATCTCCCAAGCTCAGGTGATCCTCCCACCTTGGCCTCCAGAGCAGCTGGGACTACAGGGTTTCACCACCATGCCTAACTAGTTTTTGTATTCTTTTGTACAAAAGATGGTTGCAGTGAGCTGAGCCAACATGGAAAAACCCATCTCTACTAAAAATAGAAAAATTAGCTGGGCGCAGTGGTGCACACCTATAACCCCAGCTACTCGGGACGCTGAGGAAGGAGAATCACTTGAGCCTGGGAGGCAAAGGTTGCAGTGAGCCGAGATCACACAGCTGTACTCTAGCCTGGGCAATAGAGTGAGACTCTGTCTCAAAAAATTATTATTATTAAATTATTAACTATTGTCACCCTGCTTGCTATCAAATATTAGGTCTTATTCATACTAACTATTTTTTGGTACCCCTTAACCATCCCAACCTCCCCCCAACCTGCCCACTCCCCTTCCCAGCCTCTGGTAACCATCCTTCTACTCTCTGTGTCCAAGAGTTCAACTGTTTTGATTTTTTGATCCCACAAATAAGTGAGAACATGCAATGTTTGTCTTTCTGTGCCTGGCTTATTTCACTTAATAGAATGATCTCCAGTTCCATCCATGTTGCTGCAAATGACAGAATCTCAGTCTTTTTTTTTTTTAGATGGAGTCTCACTCTCTTGCCACGCTGGAGTGCAATGGTGCAATCTCGGCTCACTGCAACCTCTGCTTCCAAGGTTCAAGCAATTCTCCTGCCTCAGCCTCCCGAGTAGCTGGGACTACAGGCACCCGCCACCACACCTGGCTAATTTTTGTATTTTTTGTAGAGACGGGGTTTCACCATATTGGCCAGGATGGTCTCGAACTCCTGATCCACCCGCCTCAGCCTCCCAAAGTGCTGGGATTACAGGCATGAGCCACTGTGCCCGGCCAGAATATCAGTCTTTTTATGCCTGAACAGTACTATGGCATTTTATAAGAGTAGCGTGAACAGGCTAAGACAATTTGATCATAATTTTGCATCAATGTTAAATTTCCTTTTCCCCCCATCTCCTCTCTCACATTTAACAAATGACCTGCCCACGTTACCATTTCCGGCTAGGTATTTTTAGAATAATTTTTTTCACTGTGGTAAAACACACATCAAATGTACTATCCTAACCATTTTTAAGCATACAATTTGCTGTCATTAAGTACATTCACCTTCTTTTGTGTGTGTGTGTGTGTGTGTGTGTGTTGTGTGTGTGAGAGATGGAGTCTCACTCTGTTGCCCAGGCTGGAGTGCGATGGGCAATCTCAGCTCACCACAACCTCCACCTCCTGGGTTCAAGCGATTCTCCTGCCTCAGTCTCCTGAGTAGCTGGGATTACAGGCATGCACCACCAGGCCTGGCTAATTTTGTAATTTTAGTAGAGATGGGGTTTCTCCACGTTGGTCAGTCTGGTCTTGAACTCCCTACCTCAGGTGGTCCGCCTGCCTCGGCCTTCCAAAGTGTTGGGATTACAGGCGTGAGCCACTGCACCCAGCCCCACATTCACCTTCTTATACCACCGTCACCACCATCCATCTCCAGAACTCTTTTTATCTTGCAAAACTGAAACCCTGTCCCTATTAAACACTAATTCTTCATTCCCTACCCACCCTCACCTGCCTCTGGCAGCCACCACTCCACTTCCTGTCTCTATGGATTGGACTCCTCGAGGGACCTCAGATAAGTGGAATCATACAGTATTTGTCCCCTTGGGGCTGATTTCATTTAGCATAATGAATGTCCTTGTGGTTCATCCAGGCTACCGCGTGTGCCAGAATTTCCTTCCTTTTTAAAGCTAAATTTCTTTCCTTCTTTTTTTTTTTTTTTTGAGATGGAGTCTCACTCTGTCGCCCAGCAGGCTAGAGTGCAGTGGCGTGATCTCAGCTCACTGCACCCTCTGCCTCCCGGATTCAAGCAATTCTCGTGCCTCAGCCTCTTAAGTAGCTGGGATTACAGGCATGCACCACCATGTCCAGTTAATTTTGCATTTTTAGTAGAGACAGGGTTTCACCATCTTGGCCAGGCTGGTCTTGAACTCTTGACCTCAGATGACCCACCCGCCTCAGCCTCCCAAATTGCTGGGATTACAGGCGTGAGCCACAGCGCCCGGCCTAAATTTCCTTATTTTGATCTCATTGCATAAGAGAGTGCCCTGAAGGGTTTGTAGGTCTAGGGGCCTGATGTCCACAGGCAACTCCCACAGTCCAGGAGGTGAAGGGCAGCCCCAACCCCATGAGGCACCTACAGCTCCAGCCTGCCTGCAGCCCTATCCTTGGAATCCCAAGAAAGCAACTCCCTTGATAACTATGATGGCAGCCTCAAAAGTAGCTTCTGTCCCTTTATTTTCTTCCCACTGGAGCCCAAATCCAGACGGTTTAACTGCTTTTAAACCCTCAGTTTAAAAGCCCTTAATGGTGCCATAGAGCCCATGGAACAGTGGTCGGGTGTGCTCGGGACTCGTTGGGACCAGGCTCAGTATCCTCTCCACGCCCAGCCTGTGTTGCAGCCTCACCAGACCCTGCCCTGGGTCCCTGCACTTCACCCCCCAATGGCCTCATTCTTCAATGTCCTTCCCTCACCCTGGAAAACTCCTATTCATCCTGAAGAGCCCACTTACATGCTGCAACCTCCGAGGCTTGTCCTGTCCTGTCATGGACACCTGTGGTTTCTGCCCATCCAGCATCTAGCACTACTCATTCTTCCCCACCCCACCTCCTGAGACAAGGTCTCCCTCTGTCACCCAGGCTGGAATGCAGTGGCACAATCATGGCTCACTGTAACCTCAATCTCCTAGGCTCAGGTGATCCTCCCATCTCAGCCTCCAAAGTAGCTGGGACTACAGGCATGAGCCACTACAACTGGCTAATTTTTAAATTTTTTGTACAGACAGGGTCTTGCTATGTTGCCCAGACTGGTCTGAAACTCCTGGGCTCAAGCAATCCTCCCGCCACAGCCTTCCAAGTAGCTGGGACTACAGGTACGTGCTACCATGCCCAGCTAATTTTTTGCCTTTTTTTGGAGAGTCAGGGTTTCACCATGTTATCCAGGTTGGTCTTGAACTCCTGGGCTCTAGTGATCTTCCAGCTCAGCCTCCCAAAGTGCTGGGACTACAGGCTTGAGCCATCATGCTCGGCCTCAACAAGGTTTTTGAGTGCATCAGTGAACCAACTAACCAGCTGTGGGTAGTGGACAAGCCAGGGACGCCCACCACACGCCAGACCATGCTGGCCCCTTGGGGAACACAAGAGGGTTTGAATGGCCCCAGCCTACTCCTGCTCCCAGCGGCTTGCAGTCTGGCTGGGGAGAGGTGTGCAAAGCTGAAGGACATGTGGGGCCATCCCCTGCTCATTCCTGAAGGATCCTAAAAGGCCCGGGACTTGGGACAAGCCTGGAAGGGTGGGCTGTGCCTGGATGAATCTGAAGATGCATTTCTGCACTGCTGATGAAGTGGGGGTTTCCAGGTAAATCTCACTTCCTATTTCTCCCTGCATATTGGTCAACTCAGCTCTTCAGTCAAGGAGGAAAGAAACACACTGAGACCTGCTGGTGCTGAAAGAACAGCTCCCCCCAGGCATAGGCCGGGCGGCCACTGCCCGAACCTCCGCCCAACACTGCATGGTATCAGCCCATCGTTTATTTGGCACCTACTGTATACCACTCTGCACGCATTTCCTCACAGTTAGTCCTACCAAGAAGGCATCCTTTTTTTGTTTTTCAGATTCTCATAGGAGCATGAACCCTATTGTGAACTGCACATGTGGGGATCTCGGTTGCGTGCTCCGTATGAGATTTTTTTTTTTTTTTTTTTTGAGACAGAGTCTTGCTCTGTCGCCCAGGCTGGAGTGCAGTGGCACAATCCTGGATCACCGCAGCCTCCGCCTCCTGGGTTCAAGCAATTCTCCTGCCTCAGCCTCCCGAGTAGCTGGGATTACAGACACACACCACCACACCTGGCTAATTTTTGTATTTTTAGTAGAGAAGGGGTTCACCACGCTGGCCAGGCTGGCTTCAAGTGATCTGCCTGCTTCGGCCTCCCAAAGTGTTGGGATTAAAGGCGTGAGCCACCACACCTGGCCTTTTTTTGTTTTTTGTTTGTTTTTTTGTTTGCTTAGTTGGTTTTTTAGAGACATGGTCTCGATATAATGGTCAGGGTGGTCTCAAACTCCTGGCCTCAAGTAATCCACCGGGATTACAGGCATGATACACCATGCCCAGCCAAGGAAGTCATCTTAATCCCTGTTTCCTCCATCCCTACAGTTCCCCATCTCACCTGGACGTATTCCTATCTGAAGTGTTATCACATAGTTATTATCTGTTGTCTGCTTCCCACAGAAGAATGTGAGCTCCAGGAGGGCAGGGAATTGTCTTGGTCAGCACCGCCTGGCTACTTCCAACAGGTGCACTTGGCAGCTGGAAACACCATCAATATCAACACATTCCTACAACTCCTGAACTCCTGCAGATGTAGGGCTACACATGACCTGTATAAAACCCAATTCCAATTCTTTACACTGGCAACTAGATGGATGTTGAACCCTCAGCCTGAGTGGTTTCATTTTCGTGTGATTCAGTCTCTTTTTTTTTTTTTAAGATGGAGTCTCACTCTATCGCCCAGGCTGGAGTGCAGTGGCAAGATCTTGGCTCACTGCAACCTCTGCCTCCCAAGTTCAAGCAATTCTCCTGCCTCAGCCTCCTGAGTAGCTGGGACTACAGGTGCATGCCACCACACCCGGCTAATTTTTGTATTTTTAGTAGAGACAGGGTTTCACCATGTTGGTCAGGCTGGTCTCGAACTCCTGACCTCAGGTGATCCACCTGCCTTGGCTTCCCAAAGTGCTGGAATTAAAGGCGTGAGCCACCGCACCCAGCCTCAGTCTCATTTTCATAAAATATTTTGGTTTTATTGAATTACTTTGGACTTTAAATTTTTACAGTTGTTCATCTGAAATTTACATTTTGCCTTTTATCGTATTTTTTGGAGATGGAGTTGTTCTATCACCCAGGCTTGAGTGCAGTGGCACGATCATAGCTCACTGCAGCCTTGAACTCCCAGGCTCAAGGGATCCTCCCACCTCAGCCTCCTGAGTAGCTGGGACCGCAAGCACACAACCATGCCCAGCTAATTTTTTTCTTTTTGGAGAGGCTGGTCTCAAACTCCTGGCCTCCAGAGATCCTCGCACCTCAGCCTCCCAAAGCACTGGGGTTACAGGCATCAGCCACTGCACCCAGACAGTTAGGCTTCTTATGCACTGGATATTAAAGTGGTATCTCATTTTGCATTGTCTTGGTTACCACTGCGAGGGAGCAGTTCTTCACATGCTCACCTGTGTTCTCTTCCAAGAAATCCCTGTCCGTGTCTTTTACATTTTCTATTTGGTTATTTGTCTTTTTCTATTTCTTATTCTCTATATATTTTGGATATTAATTACTTGTTGGTTAAAGGTGTTGCAAATATGTCCTTTGCACTGTGGCTTGTCTTCTACTTTCTTCATGGCATTTTTGATTAACAGAAACTTAATTTTTTTTTCTTTTTTTGAGACGGGGTCTCCCTCTGTCACCCAGGCTGGAGTGCAGGAGCTCAGTCTCAGCTCATTTGCAGCCTCGATCCCCAGGCTCAAGCAAGCCTCCCACCTTAGCCTCCTGAGTAACTGGGACTACAGGCACACTTCACCATGCCCAGCTAATTGTTTGTATTTTTTGTAGAGATGGGGTTTCACCATGTTGCCCAAGCTGGTCTTGAACTCCCGGACTCAGGTGCTCCTCCCACCTCGGCCTCCCAAAATGTTGGGATTACAGGCATAAGCCACCTTGCCCGGCTGCAACTTAATTTTTAATGTAGTCAAGTTCATCAATCTTTTTTTTATGATTTGTACTTTATGTGCCTTCAGAACCTTACCCCAAAGTTCAAAAGTTATTCTTTTATAGATTCTCAAAGTTTTCAACTTTTTAATTTATTTCATGTTTACATCTTTCATCCCTCTAAAAGTGTCTTTTCTGTATGGTGTGAGGTAGGGTTCCTATTCCACTGTTCTCATCTGAATAATGAATTGTCTCAGTACCACTTATCCAATAGATCATCCTTGCCTAGGTTTATCAGCAACACCATCTTTGGTAAAAATAAAATGCCTTTTAAAAAGTTGAGATGGGATCTTGCTATGTTGCCCAGAGTGTTCTCAATCTCCTGGCCTCAAGTGATCCTTCCTGCCTTGGCCTCAGGTGTAGCTGGGATTACGGGCACGTGCTACCACACACAGCTTAAAACACCTTTACATGCATGAATCTATTTCAGGCCTCTTTATTCTGCTCCATTCGTCAATTTGCCCAGCCATGCACCAACACCATACTGTCTTAATTCTTACAGCTTTATGATATGAATGTTTCTTGATGTAGAAAAGCCATTCCAGGTGACCAGGTGGTTACTTACATCAAAGACTCTAGGTTAGAACCTAGGGGGTTAGCTGGCCTACCACCCGCTGAGAAACAGAGACTCCAAGAAGGACAGCATTTTTTACAATGTCACACAGAATTTAATTTGGAATACCCATCTCTCACCACAGAAGATACCAATACGGTAGACACAATCTACATGTGGTTATTGAGCACTTGGAATTGACTAGCCCAAATTCAGACGGGCTGTAAGTATAAAATGCACATTAGATGAAGACTTGTGGGGAAAAAAATGTAAAATATCTCCTAAATAATTTGTTCATATTCATTGTATACTGATATAATAATGCCTTGGATATAAAGAGTTAACTAAAATATATTCTAAAAATTATAATAATTTCACCTGTTTATTTTTACTTTCTTATAACAAGATGGAATATTAGGCACACATTAAACTGAGTGTCTACTAGAAAATTTAAAGCTGGCCGGGCGTGGTGGCTCACTCCTCTAATCCCAGCACTTTGGAAAGCCAAGGTGGGTGGATCATTTGAGGTCAGGAGTTCGAGACCAGCCTGGCCAATATGGTGAAACCCTACCTCTACTAAAAATACAAAAATTAGCCAGGCGTGGTTGCGGGCATCTGTAGTCCCAGCTACTTGGGAGGCTGAGGCAGGAGAATCGCTTAAACCTGGGAGGCGGAGGTTGCAGTGAGCAGAGATTGCGCCATTGCACTCCAGCCTGGGTGACAGAGTGAGACTCCAACTCAAAACTAAATAAATAAAATAAAGCCACATCTGTGGCTTGTATATTACTCATGGACAGCCCTGGATTATACCATTAAATTCATTCAATCAGCTGGGTGCAGTGGCTCATGCCTGTAATCCCAACACTTCAGGAGGCTGAGGCAGGAGGATCACTTGAGCCTAGGTGCTCAAGACCAGCCTGGGCAACATAGTGAGACCCCATCTTTACAGATACTTTTTTTTTAATTAGCCAGGCATGGTGGTGCACACCTGTAGTCCCAGCTACTCAGGAGGCTGAGACAGGAGAATCATGTTTGCCTAGGAGTTTGAGGCTGCAGTGAGCTATGATCACACCACTGCATTCCAGCCTGGGTGATAGAGTAGATCCTATCTTTAAAAAAAAAAAAAATCACTTAATCAAGAAGCCTTTACTACAGACCTAATTTGTGGACTGTACAGTTGTAAAGACTGCACAACGAGGAAGGGAACAGAAATAGAACTAATCCATGCGATCCATTTCCTCCCTGGACCCATCACCCATAGAAGCTGCATTGGCCCAAGCATGAAAGACTGGCCCGTGCTCCAGCTCCAGATCCCTATTCCAATTCCAGAGCAGCCAGCGCAAGTGTCCAAATCTAGAGACCATTTAGACCAGCTCTCATGACTTTACACATCAACCCACTGGGGTCAAGAGAGGTTGAGACATCTACCAAGGTCACACAGCAGGTGTGGGACAGGCCCGGGCTGGTTGCTGAGACTTCAGAGCTCCTTCCCTTCATGTCCACGTCGGCAGCCTTAAACCCAGGGTTTCTCTCTTTCCCGTGAACAGTCCACCAACTTACGTCTCACAAAATCCCCTGGAGCCAGCCTTTACAAGTCCAAGTGCCCACTTTGGGAGGCCGAGGTGAGAGGATCACTTGAGCCCAGGAGTTCAAGACCAGCTTGGGCAACATGGCAAGACCCCGCCTCTATTAAAAATACAAAAGTTAGCCAGGCTTGGTGGCAGGCGCCTGTAGTCCCAGTTACTCGGAAGGCTGAGGCGGGTGAATCACTTGAACCCGGGAGGTGGAGGTTGCAGTGAGCTGAGATCACGCCACCGCACTCCAGAGTCGGCAACAGAGTGAGACTGTCTCAAAAAAAAAAATATATATATATATATATAAATTATCTGGGTATTGTCGTGGTCCATACCTGGAATCCCAGCTACTTGAGGCTGAGGCAGGAGGATCGCTCAAGCCCAGGAATTTGAGGCTGTAGTGAACCATGATTGTGCCACTGCACTCCAGCCTTAGTGTGGGTGACAGAGCAAAACCCTGTCTCAAAGAAAAAAAACAAAGGCCGGGGGCGGTGGGTCATGCCTGTAATCCCAGCACTTTGGGAGGCCGAGGCGGGGGGATCACGACGTCAAGAGATTGAGACCATCCTGGCTAACGCGGTGAAACCCCAGTCTCTACTAAAAATACAAAAAATTAGCCGGGCATGGTGGCAGGTGCCTGTAGTCCCAGCTACTCGGAAGGCTGAAGCAGGAGAATCGCTTGAAACCAGGAGGTGGAGGTTGCAGTGGGCCGAGATCATGCCATTGCACTCCAGCCTGGGCAACAAGAGCGAGACTCCATCTCAGAAAAAAAAAAAAAGTAAGTCCAGTCCAGTCACACAATCTGGTCAACAGAGTCAATCCGCAGGAACTTATCCTCAAGTCCTTCCCAAGTGCATCACATCTCTGGGTGGGATTCCCCATTTAGGAGAGATAGACTCATCATGTCCCCCAGGGGGAAACAGAGGGTGAGACTGAGGGGGAAGGAAGGGTTCCGTCCTGTCCGCCAGCCTTCCCTACCCTGGACACCATCCTAGCCCTGAGCTCCTCTTGTCAAGCTGTGCTCAATATGACCAGAACTTGTGGAGACTTCAGGAGCACCAGGGCACTCTCAACAACCAGTTGCAAGTGACAAGCCACACTGATGTGAGTAGGAAGAATACTGCCAGCCCATCTCCCACTCACCACCCACTGGAGCCTCAGCACACACCAGGCCCCTCTGTTCACGAAGGCAGGGGACCCCAGGTGGCAGAGGGGGAAAGGTGACCTGGAGGACAGCCTGGTGCCCCCTCCAAAGAGGCCCCCGCGGGCTGCTCCCAGCAGACGGGTCTGTGCTCGCCGAAGACCACTGGGGACCGAGGAGCAACTTTAGGAGGGGATTTTTCATGCCAGCTTCCAGGCAAGCACATCTCCCAACAAAATCTTAAAGATATGTAAAAGGAGAAACCCCCTCCCCACGCCCACCTTCTTCACTGGAATTCCAAGCAACAGGAGCCTAACTTCTACTCAGATATCACAATGTCTGTTAATCACCATTTTACAAAAGAGACGGAGGTTCTGAGGGGACCACGGAGTTCACACTATGAAAAGACCAGGATGTACAGGTGCCTCCCCCCACCGCACCCCGAGCCTCAGTTTCTCCATCTGAAAAGAGCACTTACTCTTTCCTCCGACTTGCTGGAAGGGTGGACAGAGGTGGTACCAACGCCTTTTACCATGAACAAGAGTGCCCAAGAGAGACCGAGCGTAACTGCCCGAGCGTAGCTGGCCTGGGCTCCAGGCGCTGCGCAAAGTGCTCTGCAAGGACCAGCTCGCTTAATCCTCACGGCGACCCAGGACACGGGGACTCGCATAACCCCCGTTTTGCAAACGTGGAAATGAGGTTCAGAGAAGTGAAGCGACTTGCCCAATGGCACCCAGCGAGGAGGCGCGGGCGCCCCGGTTACTCCATCCCAGCGAGAAGACGAGGCTGCCTGGGTCCTGGTTTTCTCGGGCGGGGGTCAGGGGTCCGCCGATCCCCTCTAGCGCTCCGGGCGGCGGGGCCCGAGAACCAAGGTGGCCTCCGCGGCCCCCGCCGCCGCGCGCCCCTCCCTCCCTCCCCGCGGACCTCCGCGGCCGCCGCTCACCTCGCGTATTTCGTCTTCTGGAAATCCAGCAGCCGGGGGGCGAACATCGCGGCGCTTCCATGGGAATCTGGCCCCGGGCTCAGAGCGCGGGTAGCTGGCAGAGCCTGGGGGGCGCGGCGGCGGCAGCAGCAGGTTGGAGGGCGCGCGGCGGGGGCCAAGGGGACCTGGTCGGCGCCCGGAGCCGGAGCCGGAGCCCGAGCCGGAGCTGGAGGCGCCCGGAGCCGCCGACGCCAAATCCCGAGCAGATGGTGGCGGGGGCGGGGCGGGCGGGGGCACGGGGGGGCTCCCGGGCTCGCGCTGCCAATCGCCTAAGCCCGGCCCCCTCCCTCCCGCGACCCCGCCGCCTCCGCTGAGGTGGAGGAGGGTCGTGGGGAGATGGGGGGGTGGGAGAGGTGGGGGTGAGGAAGTGGGCGTAAGGAGTGGGGGCGGGACGGGGGGGGTCCTGGCTGCGCGCGCGAGCCACCCATCGCCCAGGCCTGGGGCGGCCCTGGCCCCGGCCCCTTTTCCCGGTGCCCTCCCTGGAAGCCAGGAGGTGGGGGGTTGGTGGGGTGGGGAGCGGGAAGTGGTAGTAGGGGGAGTGGGAAGGATTGGGAAGGCGGGGGCGCCAGGTGGGTGGAATGCAAAGTTGCGGGGCTGAGGGAGTCGGGGAGTGGGAAGGGGACGGGAGTGGGAACAGGGGGTGCTGGAGGGGTTGGGGGAAGTGGGAAGTGGGGGGTAAGGAGAGTGGGAATGGACGTGGGATGAGTGGGAAGTGGGGGCGTTGGTGGGGAGTGGGGGACTTGGGGGTGGGGGAGCGGAAAGTGGGGGGTTGGGGGGAGTGGGGGACCTGGGGGTGGAGGGAGTGGAAAGTGGGGGAAGTTGGGGGGAGTGGGGGACCTGGGGGTGGAGGGAGTGGGAAATGGGGGTGTTGGGGGGTGGAGGGAGTGGAAAGTGGGGGGTTGGGGGGAGTGGGGGACCTGGGGGTGGAGGAAGTGGGGGGTTGGTGGGAAGAAGGGGAACTGGAGGTGGAGGGAGTGGGAAGTCGGGGTGTTGGGGGGGGAGTGAGGGGGTTAGTGGGAAGAGAGGGACTCCGAGGTTGGTGGAGGTGGGAAATGGGGGTCTTGGAGGGAGTGGGGGACCTGGGGGTGGGGGGAGTGGGAAGTGGGGGTGTTGGAGGGAGCGGGGGACCTGGGGGTGGAGGGAGTGGGAAGTGGAGGAGTTGGTGGGGAGTGGGGGACCCGAGGGTAGGGGGACTGGAAAGTGAGGTTGGTGGGGGGTGGAGGGAGTAGGAAGTGGATAGGGGACTTCCCAATCCAGCCCCTTTTTCCCAGGTATCCTCCACCAGTACTTTTTCCAGTGAGGAGAAAAAAGCCCTCCAGGGCTAGACAGGGCTGGACCGACCCCGCTGGCCCCAACTTGGCTGGAAGGACAGCGGACACTGTGCCCGTCGTCCCCAGTGTAGCTGGGCCCAGCACCTACCGCCTGCCTGTGGCTTGCTTGCTCCCCCCACTGCCTGGCTCCCTACTGCCACGTCCCTGCTAGGCACAAGGGCCCCTATGGGACCTGCCCGGGAAGGGTCAGGGCCTCTGGGAAAACCCTCTTCCCCCAAGACTTCATGACTCTGAGGACCCTCCTGACCGCCATGACAGGGTCATTTGCATCTGGTGGCTGGATTCCCGAGTACAAATTCCAGCTTTCTCCCGTAGGAGACCTGGCCCAGGTTCTGGGCTTTGGAAAACCAACCACCCTATGGGAGGCTTGGAACCCCGGGGGGCTGATGGAGGGAAGACAGGCTTCCATGTGAAAGACATGCCAGCGGCACCTGAGGAACCCTAGGATTGGTCCCCAGATCCAAGAGAAGGCCCTTCGTTTGCACACACACTTCACCCTCCTTCCCAAGCCCCAGCCCCTATTCCTTTTTATTAATACAGTAATGCTTTATTTGAGATCCTGCTGAACATTCAGAAGATAACCCCACCCACTCCCTCTGCCCCCAGGGAGCTAGGACCAGAAGTGGGAAAAAGACAAAGGACTTCACCTTTTTTTCTTTTTTTTTTGAGACGGGGTCTTACTCTGTCGCCCAGGTTTGAGTGCAGTGGCGCCATCTCAGCTCACTACAACCTCTGCCTCTCGGGTTCAAACGATTCTCGTGCCTCAGCCTCCCAAGTAGCTGGGACTACACGCGTGCACCACCATGCCCAGCTGATTTTTGTATTTTTAGTAGAGATGGGGTTTCACCATGTTGGCCAGGCTGGTCTCAAACTCCTTGACCTCAGGTGATCTGCCCGCCTCAGCCTCCCAAAGTGGGGAGATTACAGGTGTTGCTGACTCCATCTAATTTATTTCGCCACTTCCACTGGGGAGGACCAGAGGGTTATAAGTAGATGCCTTCAGAGGCCATGGCAGGGCTGAGGGCTGGGGGGTGGGGTGGGGGATGGCTGAGGTGGGGACCAGAAGAGGGAACAGGAGTGCTTAGGAGGCAAAGGCCACCAGACCACCCTGATGATGGATTAGAAGTGGCAGATGCAGCCGGGCACGGTGGTTCATGCCTGTAATCCCAGCACTTGGGGAGGCCAAGGCAGGCGGATCACGAGGTCAAGAGATCGAGACCATCCTGGGACTATAAGTCCCAGCTACTCGGGAGGCTGAGGCAGGTGAATCGCTTGAACCTGGGAGGCGGAGGTTGCAGTTAGCCAAGATCGCGCCACTGCACTCCAGCCTGGGTGACAGAGCGAGACTCCCTCTAAAAAAAAAAAAAGAAAGAAAGAAAGAAAGTGGCAGATGGTCTCTCTCTCTCCTGGAGCTGAGACACTCTTCTGCCCTGGGACATGAGAACTCCTGGTTTTCCAACCTCTGCCTCCAGGATCTCAGCCTCCGTCCCAGCCTCATCTATCTATCTATCTATCTATCTATCTATCTATCTATCTATCCACCTATCTATCTATATTTTTTTAAGCCAGGTGGGGTAAGCCACTGCTCATGCCTGTGATCTCAGCATTTTGGGAGGCCAAAGCAGAAAGATTGCTTGAGGCCAAGAATTCAGGACCAACCTTGGCATGGTGAAACCCCATCTATACAAAAAATTTTAAAATTAGCCAGGCATGGTGGCATGCGCCTGCAGTCCCATCTCCTCAGGAGGCTGAAGCAGGAAGATCGCTTGAGCCCAGGAGTTGGAGGCTACAATGAGCTATGATGGCACCACCGCACTCCAGCCTAGGCGACAGAGTGAGACCCTCTCTTAAAAAAAAAAAAAAAGACAAGGGCCAGGTACGGTGGCTCACGCCTGTTAATCCCAGCACTTTGGGAGGCCAAAGCAAGTGGATCACCTGAGGTCAGGAGTTCCAGACCAGCCTGGCCAACATGGTGAAACCCCATCTCTATTAAAAATAAAACAAATGAGCAGGGGGTGGTGGTACACGCTTGTAATCCGAGCTACTCGGGAGGCTGAGCCATGAGAATCACTTGAACCCGGGAGGCAGAGGCTGCAGTGAGCCGAGATTGTGCCACTGTACTCCGGCCTGGGTGACAGAGCAAGACTCTGTCTGAAAAAGGAAAAGAGAAGAAGAAAGAAGAAAGAAGAAGAAGAGGAGGAAGAGGAGGAGGAGGAGAAGGAAGAGGAGGAGGAGGGAAATGAAACAGAAGAAATGACTTTTTAGGCATTGGTGCATAGTCAGGAGGAGTCCCATTCTTGAAGCCTTGTTTCTGCCGCGTGTCTGGCATCTACATTTGCGTGTCCCAGCTGGGATGCTGTGCGTCACAAGTCACAAAACAAGCGAGACCTCGGATAGGAGCAATGAATGCCTCCTATCCCCTCCTGCCGATGAGGGAAACTGAGGCTCATGGGCTGGGGACCTTCCCAAGGTCACAGGGCCTATGGGGGCAGGACTGTCCTGGAGCCCAGCTGGGCTCTGGGCTGATTTCCCGACACAGAACTCCTGCTCTGGTGATTTCTCGGACCTCCAGAAGATGGAAGTCAAACAGAAGTAGTAAGCAAAGCCAAGCCCTGCATGCCATGGCATCTGCCCTGACCTTGACTTCTATGGCCCTTGCTCTGACCCCACAGGTCCAGGCCTCGCTGTCCACTGCACCGGGACACACCTGTCCCCAGGTACCAGCGACACCTCTGCCCCAGCCAGGCTCAGACAGCCACTGGTAACCACAGCTCCCAGGAGGCTGGGGCTGGGCCTGTCCAGGGTCCATGGCCTGCCGCCCTCTTCCTGGCCCCAGCCTGCTGTTGACCTTCGAGCCGACCTTGGCAATGGAATCTTTAGGGCCGCAGAGGGGACCCCCGAAGTGAAACTCAAGCCTAGAAATGGATTTTCTGTTTCTCCAAGAGCAAAAGATGTTGAATAAAAAATTAGTTACTATTTTTACTGTCGGGATCCAGTTGTTATGGCAACTGAGGGCCTGACTCCTGCTCAGGAGGAGGCGGGGTTGGAGTATGATGAGGGAGAAGGCAGGGATGGGGCTTGGGGCAGGCACCAGCTGGGGGACAAGCTGGTGCAGGCGGCAGGTCTGCCCCTCCAGACAGAAGTCTCCCCGTCTGCTCGCCTGATTGTGCTCACCTGACTGTGTTCCTAATGACCCTGTCTCCCTTTAGCCACACTCACCTCCTGCCACCTCTGAGGGCTCCAGCTTGGCCCAGCCTGGTCACCTAAGCCTCTCTCTCCACTGCCTCTGGGAGTGGGTGGTCGTGCCCTCATCTCCAGATGAAAACCGAGGCCCCTGCCTCAGGGACAACTCACACTGAGTAGATCACTCCATCAACCTCACCTGGCCAAAACCCTCCCTCCGTCCCTGCTCTCCGTCTCAAGGTAGCACCAGTAGCCACCAGGGCCAGGTTGATGGCAATTGAAAGTTTTGCAGGTTTGCCAGGAGTGGTGGCTCACACCAGTAATCCTAGCACGTGAGGAGGCCAAGGTGGGAGGATCACTTGAGGCCAGGAGTTCAAGACCAGCAGCATAGCGGGACCCCATCTCTACAACAAATTAAAAATTAGCTAGGTGTGGTGGTGCACACCTGTAGTCCCAGCTACTTGGAAAGCTGAAGTAGGATCACTTGAGCCCAAGAGTTTGAGGCTGCAGTGAGCTACAGTCGTGCCACCGCACTCCATCCTGGGCAGCAGAGCAAGATTCTATCTCTAAAAAAATAAATTTAAAGGCCAGGCACGGTGGCTCACACCTGTAATCCCAGCACTTTGGGAGGCTGAGGCAGGCAGATCACTTGAGGTCAGGAGTTTGAGACCAGTCTGGCCAACATGGTGAAACCCCATCTCTACTAAAAATACAAAAAATTAGCCAGGCGTGGTGGTGTGCATCTGTAATCCCAGCTACTTGGGAGGCTGAGGCAGGAGAATTGCTTGAACCCAGGAGGCGGAGGTTGCAGTGAGCCAAGATTGTGCCACCGCCACTCCAGTCTGGGTGACAGAATAAGGCTCTGTTGCAAAAATAAATAAATAAATAACTTAAAAAGGAGAAAGGTGGAAAAGGGAGAGGGTGGATAGGGCTCAGGAGGATCGGGGAGTGAAAAATTACAAAAAGTATAAAGCAGGCATTGGTCCACGTGAAACCATCTGGGTTTGCTATCGGTGCTTATCCAAGTTAGGTTCCTGCCCTCCCCTGGAGGCTGGGACACAGGAGCCCTCTCCTCCTGCATTGCTGGAACAAACTGTAACTTCTGGCAGCCTTGAGCTTTCTCAGGCAGGCACTTTTAGAGAGACAGGGGCCATCCTAGGGATGCAACCTTGAGCGGCTGGAAACGAGGTTCGTGTTTGTTCAAGTTTTTATGGGCCAAGGCTGAGGCCCAGCTGAGAAAGCGCTCAAAAGAGCCGGGCTGGAGTTTGGCCAAGGAGAGTGTCTTTGCCGGCGGCCTGGGGGTGGCCCTAGGACGGGGAAACAACGTTGCCTGGGGTATTAGGGTCTGAAGGAAGTCAGGGAAGTCTTCTCAGCTGAGTCTTGCAAGATGGCTGGAAAACGAGCAGGAGGACAAGAAGGAGCAGGTGAGAAAAAGGCATCCAGGTGGGGAAGTGAGTTCCAAGCAAAGGGAACAGCATCAACAGCACCTGTAGGCAGGCATGGTAGCTCACGCCTGTAATCCCAGCATTTGGGAGGCCAAGGCAGGCGGATCACTTGAGATCAGGAGTTCAAGACCAGCCTGGCCAACATGGCGAAACCCCACCTCTACTAAATATACAAAAATTAGCCAGGCATGATGGCAGGTGCCTGTAATCCCAGCACTTTGGGAGGTCAAGGCAGGAGGATCACTTGAGGTCAAGAGTGTGAGACCAGCCTGGCAAACATAGAGAAAACCTGTCTCTACTAAAAATACAAAAATTAGCCAGATGCGGTGGCGTACGCCTGTAGTCCCCACAGCTACTGGGAGGCTGAGGCAGGAGAATCGCTTGAACGCTTGAACCTGGGAGGCAGAGGTTGCAGATCACACCACTGCACTCCAGCCTGGGGGACAGAGAGAGACTCTGTCTCAAAAAAAAAAAAAAAAGAAAGAAAAAAGAAAGAAAACACAATACCCACATTTGTGTCAGGTTATGGCATACAGAACCTGAACTGACGCTGATACTAAATGTAATAGTCTAACTCCCCCTACCCATTTTTTTGAGACAGGGTCTCCCTCTGTTGTCCAGGCTAGAGTGCAGTGGCATAATCATGGCTTACTGCAGCCTCGATCTCCTGGTCTCCAGCAATCCTCCCACCTCAGCCTACCAAGTAGCTAGGATCACAGATGCACACCATGACACACCGCTAATCTTTTAATTTTTTGTAGAGACAAGGTCTCACTGTGTTGCCCAGGCTGATCCCAAACTCCTGGGCTCAAGCGATCCTCCTTCCTCAGCCTCCCAAAGTGCTGGGGTTACAGGCATGAGCCACCCCGCCCGGCCTTGACTCCCTTTTTGATGTTTAACTGCTTGTGATATTGTGATACAATAAGAAATATTATTTGGTTCCTTCCCTTGGTTCCTGAGGCAGAGCTTCTGAAACCTTTGCAGACGGGGGCACTAGGAGGATCTTTAGTTGTAATATTTGATCTTTGACTGTTTCCTGACACAGAGCTCCTAAGACCTCCGTAACGTCCTGAGTGATAGGAGCATCTTTTGTTCTAGTGAGGTGACTCCTGGGGGGCTCCTGGGTAGCCTCAGGATGCGGGGGCTAGTTACCAGGTGAACCAACCACATGATTAGAGGGTTAGAACGTTTACTCCTCCCCCTGACTTCCGGAGAGGGGAGAGGGACTGACAAGTGAGTTTATCACCAATGATTCAGTATATCATGCCTATGAAATGAAGCCTCCAAAAAACCCAAGAAGGGCGGGGCATGGTGGCTCATGCCTGTAATCCCAGCACTTTGGGAGGCTGAGGTGGGCAGATCACCTGAGGTCAGGAGTTTGAGACCAGCCTGGCCGACATGGTGAAACCCCATCTCTACTCTACTAAAAATAAAAAAAATTAGCCAGGCATCGTGGGGCGTGCCTGTGGTCCCAGTTAGTTGAGAGGCTGAGGCAGGAGAATTGCTTGAACTCAGGAGGTGAAGGTATGGTGAACTGAGGTCACGCCACTACACTCCAGCCTGGGTGACAGAGCAAGACTCTGTCTCAAAAAAACAAAACAAAACAAAACAAAAGGACAGCACTCGGAGAGCTTCGATGCTGAACTTGTGGAGGTGCCGGGAGGGTGGTGTGCCCAGAGAGGGCATGGAAGCTCCACCCCTTCCCACAAAACTTGCCCCTTTGGCCTCGGCATCTGGCCATTCCTCTGCATTTTCCGTAATGCCCCTTATAGTAAACTGGTAAACAGGCCGGCCATGGTGGCTCACACCTATAATCCCAGCACGTTGGGAGGCTGAGGCGGGCAGATCACTTGAGGCCGGGAGTTCAAGACAAACCTGGCCAACATAGCAAAACCCTGTCTCTACTAAAAATACAAAAATTAGCCAGGCGTGGTGGCAGGTGCCTGTAATCCCAGCTACTTGGGAGGCTTAGGCAGGAGAATCGCTGGAGCCCAGGAAGAGGAGGCTGGTTGCAGTGAGCCGAGATCACACCTCTGCACTCCAGCCTGGGCGACAGAGCAAGCCTCCGTCTCAAAAAACAACAACAACAAAAGTGCTTTGTGTTAAGTATAGAGTGGTGTGAGAGTAGGAAACACACTTTGGTCTTATTTTATTTTTATTTCAGAGACAGGGTCTGGTTCTGTCACCTGGTATGATCACAGCTCACTATAGCCCTGAACTCCTGGGTGCAAACCATCCTCCCACCTCAGCCTCCCTAGTAGCTGGGACTACAAGTGCACACCATCATGCCTGGCTACTTTTTTTTTTTTTTTTTGTAGAGAATGAGGGTCTCACTATGTTGCCCAGGCTGGTCTCAAACTCCTGGCCTCAAGTGATCCTCTTGCCTCAGCCTCCCAAAGTACTGGGATTATAGCCATGAGCTACCACACACTGCCTATTTTTATTTATTATAAAAAAAAAATTTTGGCCAGGCATGGTGGCTTGTACCCGTAATCCCAGCACTTTGGGAGGCTGAGGCAGGTGGATCACTTGAGGCCAGGAGTTCAAGACCAGCCTGCCCAACATGGCAAAAACCCATCTCTACTAAAAATATAAAAATTAGCTGGGTATGGTGACACATGCCTGTAATCCCAGCTACTCGGGAGGCTGAGGCATAAGAATCAATTAAGACTGGGAGGCAGAGATTGCAGTGAGCCGAAATCATGCTGCTACACTCCAGCCTGGGCAACACAGGCTCTGTGTTTTGAGACTCTGTCTCAAAAAAAAAAAAAAACATATATATATATATATATATATACACGTATATATAATATACGTATATACGTATATATATGTATATATATACGTATATATATGTGTGTATATATACGTATATATATGTATATATATACGTATATATATGTGTATATATACGTATATATATATATACACACATATATATATGTATTTTTTTGTAGAAAACGAGGTCTCACTTTGTTGCCCAGGCTGGTATCAAGCTCCTGGTCTCAAGTGGTCCTCCCACCTCAGCCTCCCACTGGGATTACAGTCATGTCAGTGTACCCGGCCTATTTTTATTTTTAATTTTTAATTTTTAATTTTTTTGTAGAAACATGCTATGTTGTTTAGGCTGGTCTCAAACTCCTAGTCTCAAGCAATCCTCCCATCTCAGCCTCTCAAAGCACTGGGATCATAGGTGTAGGCCACCATGCCTGGCTTTGTTCTATTTTTAAATCTTTTTTTTTTTTTTTTTTTTTTTTAACAGCGTCTCATTCTGTCGCCAGGCTGGAGTGCAATGGCGCGATCTCGGCTCACTGCAACCTCCGCCTCCAGGGTTCAAGTGATTCTCCTGCCTCAGCCTCCCGAGTAGCTGGGACTACAGGCGTGCGCCACCACGCCCAGCTAATTTTTGTATTTTTAGTAGAGACAGGGTTTCACCATGTTGGCCAGGCTGGTCTTGAACTCCTGACCTCAAGTGATCCACCCACCTTAGCCTCCCAAAGTGCTGCGATTCCAGGTGTGAGTCACCGCGCCCGGCCAAAGCTTAAATAGTGCTGAAAGCTTTTAAGTATCATTTTCCCTCTTCCCCTGTGACTGACATCTGGGGAAGTTGATAAGAAGCCTCAGTGCTCCCTCCTTTGCCGCCAATGGGAGCTTTAAACCACACAAGCCCCTGAGTGCACAAACCCTCACCCAGTCACACCCACCAACCACCATACTAACCCTGAGCCAGTCTCCTTTCCCTGTTCTCGCAAGACATTTTATTTATTTATTTATTTTTAGACGGAGCCTCGCTCTGTCGCCAGGCTGGAGTGCAGTGGTGCGATCTTGGCTCACTGCAACCTCTACCTCCCAGGTTCAAGCGATTCTCCTGCCCCAGTCTCCTGCGTAGCTGGGATTACAGGCGCCCTCCACCCGCCACCACGCCTTGCTAATTATTTGTATCTTTAGTAGAGACGAGGTTTCACCATGTTGGCCAGGCTGGTCTCAAACTCCTGGCCTTGTGATCCACCTGCCTTGGCTTCCCAAAGTGCTGGGATTACAGGCATGAGCCACCACGCCCGGCCTCTTTTAGTTATTTTTAAATGTACAATTTGGCCGGGCGCGGTGGCTCACGCCTGTAACCCCAGTACTCACTATGTTGCTCTCATCAAGATCAAGAGACTCCATCTCTACCAAAAATACAAAAATTAACTAGGTGTGGTGATGCGTGCCTGTGGTCCCAGCTACTTGAGAGGCCTAGGTGGGAGGATTGCTTGAGCCTGGGAGGTTGAGGCTGTGGTGAGCCGAGACAGCACCACTGCACTCCAGCCTGGGCAACAGAGTGAGACTATGTCTGAAAAGGGAAGGGAGGGGAAGGGACGGGAAGGGAAAGTAAGGGAAGGAGTAAGGGAAGGGAAGGGAAGGGAAGGGAAGGGAAGGGTGGGGGAGGGGAAGGGAAGGGACAGCCTTGGAAAATAAAAAATGAAAAACAAAATTAAAGAAGGAAATGAAAAGTAAGCCAGAGGAAATGTATGCAATACTAAAATCTTATATCCAAACTATAAAAAGAACACTTACAAGTCAACTCTGAGAAGACAAAAACAAATCCAATTTTTAAAATGGGATTTAAAAAATTTGAACAGAAATTTCACAAAAGAAAATATACAAAAGGCCAGGGCTGGGCACAGCGGCTCACACTTGTAATCCTAGCGCTTTAGGAGGTCAAGGTGGGAGGATCACTTGAGGCCAGAAGTTCAAGACCAGCCTGGGCAACATAGCGAGACCCCATCTCTAAAAAAAAAAAATCATATAAATTAGCCAGGAGTGGTGGCATGTGCCTGTAGGCCCAGCTACTAAGGAGGCTGAGGTGGGAGGATCGCTTGAGCCCACGAATTCAAGGCTGCAGTGAGCTATGATCATGCTGCTGCCGTCCAGCCTAGACAATGCTGTGTCTAAAAAAAAAAAAAAGAAAGATATTCAAAAGGCCAATTAGCACAAGAAAAGATGCTCAACATATTAGCCAGCCGGGAAATGCAAATCAAAACCACAGTGATAGACCATTACCTGTCCATTACAACAGCTGAAATTAAAGACTAGTGATACCAAGAATGGCAACTGGACCTCTCCTTCAGTGCCAGTGGGAAAGTAAAATGATGTACCAGTTTGGGAAACAGTTTGGTTCTTACTATATGATTTAGCAATTCCACACTTAGAGAATGAACATGTATTCACCCAACAACTTTTACACGAATGTGCATAGCAGTTTTATTCATAATTGCCCCAAAATAAAAGAAACTCAGTGTGCACCGGCTGGTGAATGGATGAATGAATTGTGTCATATCCTTGCGGTCGAATACTACTCAGCAGTAAAAAGGAATGAACTACTGATACATGTAACATAGAAGAATCTCAGAAACATGCAGAGGCCAGGCACGGGGGCTCACACCTGTAATCCCAGCACTTTGGGAGGCTGAGGTGGGAGGATCACTTGAACTCAGGAGGTCGAGATCAGACTGGACTACATAGTAAGACCTCATCCCTATTAAAAATCAAAAAAATTAGCCAGGCATGGTGATGCGTGCCTGTAGTCTCAGCTCCTCAGGAGGCGAGGCAGGAAGATGGCTTGAGTCTGGGAGATCGAGGCTGCAGTAAGCTAAGATCATACCACTGCACTCCAGCCTGGGCAACAGAGTGAGACCCTGTCTCAAAAAACAAAAAGCATGCTGAGCAAAAGAAACCAGACACAAGAGTGCATGCCATATGATCCCATGTGTGTGAAACTACAGAAAGATAAATTGTAGTCTAAAATGAGAAAAAGGGCCGGGTGCGGTAGCTCAAGCCTGTAATCCCAGCACTTTGGGAGGCCAAGGCAGGCGGATCACCTGAGGTCAGGAGTCCGAGACCAGCCTGGCCAACTTTAGTTGGCCATGTTTTTAGTAGAGATGGCAAAACTTCATCTCTACTAAAAATACAAAAATTAGCTGGACATGGTGGTGGATGTCTGTAAAGCCAGCTACTCGAGAGGATGAGGCAAGAGAATCGCTTGAACCTGGGAGGCGGAAGTTGCAGTGAGCCAAAATCACGCCACTGCACTCCAGCCTGGGCGACAGAGTGAGACTCCATAACAAAAATAAAATAAAATAAAAATACAAAAACTTAGCTGGGTGTGGTGGGGGGTGCCTGTAATCCCAGCTACTCAGGAGGCTGAAGCAGAAGAATCGCTTGAACCCAGGAGGTGGAGGTTGCAGTGAGCCAAGATCACACCATTGCACTCCAGCCTGGGTGACAGAGCAAGACTCCCATCTCAAAACAAATAAGTAATATAAAGTGACACAAACCAGGTGCCCAAAAGCAGGTGGTTGCCTAGCACCAGGGATGGGGATTATGGAGGGATGGACTGGAAGGAACAGGAGGGAATAGTCTGGGGTGATGGAAATGATCTCTATCTTGATTGTGGGGGGTTACGAGGGTGTATAAATTTGTCAAAACTGGTAGAAAGGTACACTTAAATGGGGTGCCTTGTACCACGTATAAATTACACCTAAATAACATTTTTTTTTTTTAGTTTTTTTTTTTTTTTTTTTACAAATAATGGGCCAAAATGGCAGGAAATTACTGCTTCTGAAAGCAGACTGAGTTCGGGAATAATGTCCTCTATGACAACACCAGCACACCTTCATGTAGATACGGCTGATGACAGTTCTTGGGAACAAAATGATGATGGACAAATTGTGAATAATGGCGGTCCTCCACTACTGTCAATGATTTCACAGGTCAGATGCACATTAAACTAACTGTAACCAGAAAATGCAATGAAGCCGTGCCGTGATGACTCATGGGGTGGGGGAGTTACAGCCTCGGCTCTCGGGCAGGCTCACGGGGTGAGTGCAGGTTGCACGCCTTTGGCCGTAACTGCATGGAATTACAGCCAGCACAGATGATACGGATTTTCATAGACAGAACTTCCATGCTTCTTCCCAGGAAAACAGCAAAACATCACTTGTTGACAATAGTTTAGTCTGCAGGTAGCTATCTTGCCCTTTCTGATTCTTGGTGCTGGTTAACATTAAGACAAAGAAAACAGGCCGGGCGCGGTGGCTCACGCCTGTAATCCCAGCACTTTGGGAGGCCGAGGCGGGTGGACCACCTGAGGTCAGGAGTGCGAGACCAGCCTGACCAACATGGAGAAACCTTGTCTCTACTAAAAATACAAAATTAGCTGGGTGTGGTGGCACATGCCTGTAATCCCAGCTACTCAGGAGGCTGAAGCAGGAGAATCACTTGAACCTGGGAGGCAGGGGTTGCGGTGAGCCGAGACGGTGCCATTGCACTCCAGCCTGGGTAACAAGAGTGAAACTCCGTCTCAAAAAAACAAACAAAAACAGGCCAGGTGCGGTGGCTCAAGCCTATAATCTCAGCACTTTGAGAGGCCGAGGCAGGAGGATCACTTGAGGCCAGCAGTTTCAGACCAACCTGAGCAACATAGAAAGACCCTATCTATACAAAAAAACTTAAAAAATTAGTCAGGCATGGTGGCACACACCTATAGTCCCAGCTACTCAGGAGGCTGGGATGGGAGGGTCCCTTGAGCCTGGGAGGTCAAGGCTGCAGTGAACTATGATTGATTGAGTCACTGCAGTCTAGCCTCACTGACAGAGTGAGACCCCAACCCTCCGCCCCCCGAAAAAAACAGGGCCGGGCACAGTGGCTCACACCTGTAATGCCAACACTTTGGGAGGCCGAATCAGGCAGATCACCTGAGGTCAGGAGTTCGAGACTAGCTTGGCCAACATGGTGAAATCCTGCCTCTACTAAAAATACAAAAATTAGGCGGATGTCGTGGCGGGCGCCTATAATCTCAGCTACATGGGAGGCTGAGGCACGAGAATCACTTGAATCCGGGAGGCAGAGGTTGCAGTGAGCCAAGATCATGCCATTGCACTCCAGCATGGGCACATGAGTGAAACTTCGTCTCAAAAAAAAAAAAAAAAAAAAAAAAGCCAGAGGCTTCAAAAATAACCTGAATGATTCCAGACTACCTAGAAGGAAGGAGTAGCTTCCTCTCACCCTCATTGGGAGAAATGCAGAGATAGGATAATTGTCTTTATGACTCCAAAAATGCCTGAGACAAGAACATGTCAACAAATAACTCCAATGAGAGCCTCTCAGTTCACATATGACCCCATTTCATCCTTGCAAGAACACCGGGCAATAGATAATATCTTAAAATTCCCATTTTACTAATAAAAAATTCCTAGCCAGACGTGGCAGTTCACACCTGCCATACCACCACTTTAGGAGGGCAAGACGGAAGGATAACTTGGACCCAGGAGTTCGAGATCAGCCTGGGCAACAAAGCGAGATTCTGTTTCTTTTTTTTTTTTTTTTTTTTGAGACAGGGCCTTGCTCTGTCGCGCAGGCTGGAGTGCAGTGGTGCGATCTCTGCTCACTGCAAGCTCCGCCTCCTGGGTTCACGTCATTCTCCTGCCTCAGCCTCCAGAGTAGCTGGGACTACAGGCATCCGCCACCACGCCCGGGTAATTTTTTTATTTTTGGTAGAGAAGGGGTTTCACCATGTTGGCCAGGCTGGTCTGGAACTCCTGACCTCAAGTGATCCACCCGCCTTGGCCTACCAAAGTGCTGGGATTACAGGCGTGAGCCACTGTGCCCAGCCGTGAGACCCACTTTTCTCTTAATTTCCCCAATTCCTAGAATAGTGCATGGCCCACAGGAAATCCGCAGAATATATTTGCAGAATGAATGAATGACTTGCCAAAGGAATTAGGGCAAATAAGTAGATATCGAGTAAACATCCACAACCACCTGCCCCATACCCTTTTCAGCTCTGGGGAGATGGTGGCTCCTGTGGGGTCGGGGATTGGGGGTCTCCGTTCCTTTCATCCTCCAGCCTCGTGGGGGAGTCAAGTCTCCGTAGGCGGAGAGCCCGGATGCAGGCGCGGCTAGGCTGCCCTCTCTATGGTGAGCCCCCCGGTCCCTCCTCCGCAGCACCCGGAGTGCCTCTATGGTTCTTCCTGTCGTTAGTCGGGAGGGGGCGCTGTACGCGCGCTGTACGCTTGCGCGAGGTGACGCCGGGGCAGGGCCGGAAGGAATGCAGCGGCTGCCACGGAGCTCGTAGCTGCAGCTTTGGAGGAGTAAGCGGCGTGGTAGCGAAGGTCGCCGAACCCGCCTGGCTAGCCGGCGAGTTGAGTGGCGAGTGAGTGTCGGCTGCGGGGCGCGCTCGAGCTTCTGGGCGGGTCTGTGAGGCGAGGCGGCCTCCCTGCGTGACGCCTCCGTTGAGCTGCGGGGGTGGGGGCGGGGGCGCGGGCCGTGAGCACCACAGAGCTGAGGGGCGCGGCCGAGGCCCGGGCGGGATCGGGCCGGGGAGCTGGGCTGGGCGTCTCCAAGCCCCCTGCGGTGGCGAGGCGGGAGCGACACCCTCCCGCCACTTCGCGAAGTTTCGCGAGCCGGCCCCTCGGGCCGCTTCCCTCCCTCGGGCCCGAGGCCGCCGCGGAGGCGGTGTCCGTGCACCCGAGCGCGGCCTGGAGGAGCGGCGGGAGGCGGCCCGTGCCTGTGAACCCCAGCCCAGGCGGGCGGCGTTTTTCCTCCTCTCCCCTCACATCTGGAGCGCGTGTTGTTCCGTGAAACTTGGCGACTGTCACCCGGCACTCGCGAGGGCGCCGCAAGTGCGTCAGACCTTTCTGCGGGGCGCTGGGGGCTGGCCCGGCTCGGGGGTCCGGGCGCTGGGCAGGGAGCGAGGCCGCTGTCCCCGCGTCGAGGTGGTTCTGCTCCCGGTGGAACGGGACCAGGGCTCTAAGACTTGGGCCACTTGCAGCCAACGTGGAGCGTGCGCGGCGTGCGGGTTACAGAAATTTCTGACAAATCCGCCAGGGCTCTGTGAATCCTTAAGGGCCTGGGTAGCAGTTGTCCTAGGTACTTTGATAGTGCAAAGAGAACGTTATTATTTTTTTTTTTTTCCTTTTTTTGAGACGGAGTCTCGCTCTGTCGCCCAGGCTGGAGTGCAGTGGCGCGATCCCGGCTCACTGCCAGCTCTGCCTCCCGGGTTCACACCCTTCTCCTGCCTCAGCCTCCCGAGTTGCTGGGACTACAGGCGCCCGCCACCACGCCCGGCTAATTTTTTGTATTTTTTAGTAGAGACGGGGTTTCACCGTGTTAACCAGGATGGTCTCGATCTCCTGACCTCGTGATCCATCCACCTCGGCCTCCCTAAGAGCTGGGATTACAGGTGTGAGCCACCGCGCCTGGCTGTATTTTTTAATTTAATATTTAAATATGTATTTAAAATTTGTGTATGAATTTACATAAATGGTATCACACTTTCATTTAACGTTAATTTAACTGTGTTGTATCATATGAATTTTATTTATTCCTTTATTGAAGTCCAGTAAGGCCATTTCCAATTGCTTTTATTGCATATTTGCTGTAATGACCACCATCCCTGTCCGTATATTCTATTATGCATATTTCTTGGAGAACACACAGAGGTTTCTTTAGCTAATATACCTGGAAGTGGAATTGCTAAGTCACAGGGAATGTACATTTGTAATTTAGGGCGTATTGCTGATTGCTATTCAGAATATCTTTTCCAAGTTACTATCCAAACCAGCAATGTATAAGATTTCCCATTTCTTACATACTTGCCTTTTTTGCCACCCCAGTGGTTTGAAACATAATTCCTTTTTTTTTTTTTTTTGTGACGGAGTCTCACTCTGTTGCCCAGGCTGGAGTGCAGTGCGGCGATCTTGGCTCACTGCAACTTCAGCCTCCCGGGTTCAAGCGATTCTCCTGCGGCAGTGTCCGGAGTGGCTGGGATTACAGGCGCGTGCCACCATGCCTGGCTAATTTTTGTATTTTTTAGTAGAGCTGGGGTTTCACCGTGTTGGTCAGGCTGGTGTCCAACTCCTGACCTTGTGACCTGCCCGCCTCGGCCTCCCAAAGTGCTGGGATTGTAGGCTTGAGCCACTGCGTCTGGCTGAAACATAATTCATTTTCTGATTTGCCTTTCCCTGATTATTAGTGAGGTTGAGCATCTTCTGTGTTTTCTTTTTTGTGAATTGCCTATTAATACCCTTAGCCCATTTCTTTGTTAGCATATTTGTATCAAGATGTCATTTCTCTGTCAGTACTTTGTCTCTTTAATATGTGTATTTTAAACATATGTTTTAATGTCATAGGTTTTGAGTTTGTGTGGTTTTTTTTTTTTTGACCCACCTCCTTGGATATGTTTTCTTAAGGAATGTTTTCAGCATAAGCTTCAGATGTCCCCCTGACCAGATACATGGCAAGAGTTTTGATACTCCCTCATTCTTACTGTTCCTCTTTGCTTCCTTTTCAGCTCTTTTGAAACAGATGGTCACCATGTTTAGATATTAGCAGTCCCGTATGTGCATGTCTGCATTTGAAAATGGAAGAGGGAAACAACAATGAAGAGGTAATTCACTTGAACAACTTTCACTGCCATCGGGGACAAGGTAAGTTGTTTGTTCTCACTTCATCCCTTTCCCTGTGGCTTTTTCCTTTTAGTATCACAGCTGTATCTTTTGAAATGAACCTATTTTGTACCATTTAGAATCCAGGGACATTTCATTTTTGACATAAAAAGACTAGTTAGACTAGAATTATATCAGATAATGATATTGCTGGCATGAATGAAGTGTAAGACTCATTCATTGCAACTGGATTAATAAGCTGTTAATTTACTGGCAAGACGCTGTTAATATGTAGTCATTGAGTCTTAAGAGACAGTGTCAGCATCAGTTTTTGAAGGCGTGGTGATTATAAAGGAGTGCTCCACTAGGCATTTATGATCTGAAATACTACAGGTGATGCTGAACCAGTCTTGTCCTCCCATGATGCCTAATTTCTTTTTTGCCAGAAGATTCTGGCTTAGCCTTGAGGGGAATTTTGGAACATGTATTTTTTTGTTCTGCAGTTTTGGTTTTTTTTCTTTCTTTTTTTGAGACGGAATTTCGCTCATTGCCCAGGCTGGAGTGCAATGGCGTAATCTCGGCTCACTGCACCCTCCACGTCCCGGGTTCAAGCGATTCTCCTGCCTCAGCCTCCCGAGCAGCTGGGATTATAGGCATGTGCCACTATGCCCTGCTAATGTTGTATTTTTAGTAGAGATGGGTTTTCTCCATGTTGGTCAGGCTGGTCTTGATCTCCTGACCTCAGGTGATCCGCCTGCCTCGGCCTCCCAAAGTGCTGGCATGAGCCACCCGCCTGGCCACATTTGTTAATTTTCATTACAAAAGGGATAAATATGGGCCAGACAAATGGCTCACACCTTTAATCCTCGCACTTTGG
Source organism: Homo sapiens (assembly GCF_000001405.40). NCBI lineage: Eukaryota > Metazoa > Chordata > Mammalia > Primates > Hominidae > Homo > Homo sapiens. Next base: position 4,977,272 of record NC_000007.14, read on the forward strand.
GAGGCTGAGGCAAGAGGATTGCCTGAATCCAGGAATTCAAGGCTGCAGTGAGCTATGTTAGGCTACTGCACTCAAGCGTGGGAGACAGATTGAGACCTTGTCTCTATTTAAAAAAAATTTGTTATGATAAATATGCTGTTTTAAAAAATAAGTTCTCCTGAAGAATATAAAATGAAAAATATACTCTTTCCCCTCCTTCTGATCTGCAGAGGTGAAATAGTTGTAAATTTTTTTTTGTTTTTTTGGAGACGGAGTCTTGTTTTGTTGCCCAGGCTGGAGTGCGGTGGTGTGATCTTGGCTCACAGCAATCTCCACCTCCCGGGTTCAAGCAGTTCTCCTGCCTCAGTCTCCTGAGTAGCTGACATTACAGGCGTACTCCATCACGCCTGGCTAATTTCTGTATTTTTAGTAGAGACAGGGTTTCACCATGTTGGTCAGGCTGGTCTTGAACCCCTGACCTCGTGATCTGCTCGCCTTGGCCTCCCAAAGTGCTGGGATTACAGCCATGGGCCACCATGCCCAGCCTGGTGGTAAATTTAAACAAAATAGACAGTTCACTGAACACCTGTCCTCAAAGTTCGTATCTTATCCTGTAGTTCTCAGTCTGGGGTGCAGGTGAGTTTCTTCCCTGCCAAGGCTGAGAAGGAAGGTCCCCTTTCCAGGTACTTAGCCCAATGTAGGTACTTTTTTCTGATTTGTACAGTGACACTGTTGGAGCCAATAGTGGCCTTGTCTGATCCCACCTCTGTACAGAGGCAACCACCGTCATCAGATTTATTTATATTTATTTATTTATTTATTTTCGAGACGGAGTCTCACTCTGTCACCTAGGCTATAGTGCAGTGGTGCGATCTCAGCTCACTGTAGTCTCCACCTCCCAGGTTCAAGTGATTCTCCTGCCTCAGTCTCCCAAGTAGCTGGGATCACAGGCATGCGCCATCTATGTCTGGCTAATTTTTGTATTTTTGGTAGAGACGGAGTTTCCCATGTTGGCCAGGCTGGTCTTGAACTCCTGACCTCAAGTGATCCACCTACCTCAGCCTCCCAAAGTGCTGGGATTACAGGTGTGAGCCACTGCACCTGGCCTTCCCTTAATCTTTATCAATTTTGCTTAACATGCTTCTCAGTAAGGCAAAACCATTAAGAGTATACACTACCTGGCCATAGATTGGTGATGTTGGTCAGTTCTGGAAATTTTGTAGCTGTTTCCTGTCTTCTGTAACTCTTCTCCCACAGTCTCCAAGTCTCTAAGTCCACCTCTTTGTCTCTGAGATGCATTCTGGATGATTTCTTCAGATGTGTCTTCTAGCCCACAAATTTCTCTTCAGTAGAATGTAATCTTCTTTTAACTCATCCACTGTTTTTCGGTTATGGTATTTTAGCTTTTAATTCTCTTGGTTATTTTCCTAGAGTTTTGCTCTTTGCCTATATTTTTAGTCTTTTTTAAATTTCTTTAACCAATAAACATAGCTTCTTTGTGAGTTTGATTGCTGTGATCTGTTAAGTTCTTGGGAATCATATTCTGTTTTTCCTGCTGGCTCCCATGGTGCCTCGTTTTCTTGTGTATTTTCTAAGTTTGACTCTAAGCTCATGTCTTGAGTTCTTGATAGAGTTGGTTTCTTTATAGAGAATTGCTTTTGCTTCTTTCAAGTCCCCGAGGGCAGTGTCAGTTTGAAACGACTTTAGATTCCTGTCTTGAAGTTTTCGGATTACACAAACTCTTTTTTTTTTTTTTTAAGACGAAGTCTCAGTCTCTTGCCCAGGCTGGAGTGCAGTGGCGTGATCCTGGCTCACTGCAGCCTCCGTCTCCAGGGTTCAAGTGATTCTTCTGCCTCAGCTTCCTGAGTAGCTTGGATTACAGGTGTGCACCAACATGCCCAGCTAATTTTTGTATTTTTAGTAGAGATGGGATTTCACCATGTTGGCCAGGCTGGTCTCGAACTCCTGACTTCAAGTTACCCCCCTGCCTCAGCCTCCCAAAGTGCTGGGAGACGTGAGCCACCGTGCCCTGCAAACCTTTTATTTATTTATTTATTTATTTATTTATTTATTTATTTATTTATTTATTTATTTTGAGAGAGAGTTTTGCCCTTGTTGCCCAAGCTGGAGTGCAGTGGCATGATCTCAGCTCACTGCAACCTTCGCCTCCCAGGTTCAGGTGATTCTCCTGCCTCAGTCTCCCGAATAGCTGGGATTACAGGCATGTGTTACCTCACCCGGCTTGGATTACCCAAACTCTTAAAGCATTTTTTATTTTTCAACAAGAGACTCTACCTGGGTATTTAACCTTCCTTACAGTGAGGAAAGAAAGCCATTTGGTTATTTACATGCCAGTTACTCACTCTTCTGAAGCCTTTCCACATATTCTTTATTGTGTATAGTTTTTAAACTTGGTTATTGTATACCAATGTGTATATAATATACATAAAGAAAAATGAACAAAATAAAGATGCACAGCTCAATAATTTATCACAAACCAAACATTTATGGAACCACAACCCAGAAATCTTCAAGAAATAGAATGTTGCTATCCTCTTTAAACACTACATAAAGATTTTGTATAGTCTTCTTTTGCATCTGACTTCTTTTCACTCAGCATTATGTTTGTGAGGTTTATTCACGTTGGGTAGAGCCACAGTTTATGTATTTTCCATTGCTAAGTGGTATTCCATTTATATCACTTAGCAATGAAATTTCCCATCTACTTTTGATAGGCATTTGAGTTCTGACTGTCACAAATAATGTAGCTGTGAACATTCTCCTGCTTGTCTCCTGAACTCTACTTGCCCCACACCCTGGCATCCACCTTCCTATTGGCTATGTTTGTGTCTTCAACAGAATTGTTTGTTGGAGATTTTTTTCCCCTCCTAAGCTTTTAAAATACTTTCTTTTTGGGTTTCCAAGTGGTGTGATAATAACTACATTTTTTTAAATTACTAAGCTTTATTTTTTAGAGCAGTTTTAGGTTTACAGGAAAATTGAGCAGCAATGACTACATTTTTACAATGAAAACTTTCTTGTAGGCTTCTACTCATCTAAAAAGCAACTTATATGTGTGAATTGCTTTAACAACTCTTCGACAATACTGAGTTATGTTATTTTTTGTAGTTAACTAGGGTAGGCATGAAGTAGCATAAGTGACATTTCTTTGCTAATTGGCTGTGTTTTTCAAATATTTGTTTACTAATTGTATTTCCCTTGCGTGTGAATTGTTTACTTCTCTCTTCTCTTTGAATTCCTAATGTTTCCTGGTTATGAAATGTAATACAGGTTTGTTCATTACAGAAAATGTAAATGATAGAGAAAAGTATAAACTTAGCTCATTTATAGAACAATGATTTGAATACCAGATACCATGTTTTAGTATTTTTTAACAATTTAACCTCATAGAAATTGAGTATATTCAATGTTTTTGTCTCCTTCTGCAAATGAAGAGGGATGTTTAAATATATCTTCAAGATTGTCTAGAAAAATCACTAAAATGTAATCAAATTGACACCTTCTCTTACAGTTCTGTTCTCCTACTTCCTGAGTCTCACACGTGTAATTATTTTTAGGGTCTTGCTGTCCCTCTGTGCTTTTTGTGTCACTCAGAAACATTGATCTTTAAACACATAAAAATTCTCATGAAATCTAAAAAGCAAGGGAATGTACGGTCACTGTATTCCATCTTTTCAAGCCAATCTTGTTTTCCTGACACTGCTTTCCTTTCCATTATTCTCTGGACTCCTAGGACAGTGTTAACTCCACAACTAAACTAAAATGTTAATGGAAACTGGAAATAAGGCCCAAAGCTGAGTTGAGCAGACTGGGATTTTGTTGTAGCTCAGTCTCAGTTGCTTTATGTGCGTCTTTAAATGGCCTTCAGATGGAACCATCTGGCCATTTTAAGCAGGAAGGGCCTATTCATTAGAGAACCACGTGGCAGGTAATCTACTCTGGCTGGTTAACTTAGATCTTTCACTCACACGTGGTCAACTTCAGTTGGATGAAGGCAGCAACAACTATCTAAGGGTTGAAAGATTGGAGTACGGCTGGGCGCGGTGGCTCACGCCTGTAATCCCTGCACTTTGGGAGGCCGAGACGGGTGGATCACAAGGTCAGGAGATCAAGACCATCCTGGTTGACACGGTGAAACCCCGTCTCTACTAAAAATAGAACAAAATTAGCCGGGCGTGGTGGCGGGTGCCTGTAGTGCCTGCTACTCGGGAGGCTGAGGCGGGAGAATGGCATGAACCCAGGAAGTGGAGCTTGTAGCTTGCAGGAGGTGGAGCTTGTACCGCTGCACTCCAGCCTGGGCAACAGAGCGAGACTCAGTCTCAAAAAAAAAAAAAAAAAAACTGGAGTACTAGCCTGGCTTACTTTGCAGGAGTGCCTTCTCTAGAACTGCTAGCATGTCAGATCAGCTCAAGCATGAGGTCATATGAAGACGTGGGCAGACTGAAGTCCGACAGGCTTCCCCACTGCTTTTGCCCCAGGGTGCAGATATTAGAACAGAGGCTACCACTTGTTTCTGTAGAAGAAAAACTTTGTCCTTCATTTCCTGTGCCTCCAAATGTCACTTAACCTCCAGAAGAGTTCTGTTGGTAAGCATAATGAAGGGATTAAACTAGAAATGAATTTTGACAGTTTATAGTGAGAGCTTCTGATTTCTGCCATGTGGAACTTCATGTCTGTAGCATTTCAGTATTTGAAGTTCTTAATATTGTTGCAAATATAAAATGAATTGGGGAGAGATGAACCTCTCAAACATGTTTTGTTTTTTCAAGAAATCATATCTACTGTTCCATCTGTATTTCATGTAGAGGTGTACTTATGTATCATTTACTTGAGAAAACACATAAAAACAGACCATTTTAAAGCTAGTCCGTGTCTGGTTTGTCGCCACATCAAATATGCACATGTAATGAGTTGTCTGGAACTCAGGCCTTTCCCTACAGACGCGATTTTTGCTGGTGGCTAATTCTCAGGTCAGCCTTCAAAGGTTTGCATAACCTCATTGCACACCAGTGAATTCTAGGACGGAGAATTACCACTGATGACAATGGTTTTAAAGGAAAATGTACTCTGAATTCTTGTCGCCCTCTGTAATAGGAGGAGTTTGCTGCTTTTTTTCCTCTCTTTGGGCCTCTGGCGTTGTCTTCTGTGGACTGGGCAGGCTGTGGTGGTAGGGAAGGGGGGAGCTTAGAGATGAAGAGTATGTGGGACTCCTGAAGTAACGGCAAAGGGAAATGCATTGAGATGTCAAGATGAGGGAGAAGGCTTTGACATGGGTCCCCAGCGGGGGCTGTAGAATCAACGAACCTCTCCAAACCGGTCCCCAAACACTGGCACCTGGATGAGAAAAGGAGCAGAGCTGAGCACTTTTTCTCTGCCCTCTTTCTGCCAGACCTCCTGTTCTACTATTACAGGCCTTACTATTGACATCTGGCAAAAGAGAACCAGTAGAAAGGGAAGTGTGTGAGAACTGCAGGTATAGCACCTAGGAGGTCATCTTAGAAATCTACTGGAGCAAGAGAAAGAACAGAGAAAAGGGGAAGTCCCCATTACCCTCCGAGCAAAGAAGCTTCCTTGCTACTGAATGTGGCTAGAGCTGTACCCCACCCACTCTGTCTGCACTACTGTGCAGTCGTTCCAAGGTGGTTGTCTGATTTGACTGTGAAGAGCCTGGATAGTTAACATCTGTTGGGTCTGGGTGGTGATACATCAGTGTGTGTTATCTCACTCTATATAGCCTTACTTTGGAAGTATTTCATGCTGATAATAGACAAAGCTAGTGGGTTTGGTGTGAAGAGAGTCTGTTCATAGGAAAACATGATCTGTTCATCAGTCTAGCTTAGCAGCTAGCTAAATAAATGAAGTGTAACTCAATGGCTCATAGAGCTTTATATTACCATAGAGATTTATGTTACCACAGGGGTATAAAAAGTATTAATGAATTAACAGAAGGTCTTTTATATTTCATTTATTTATTACATCTCTTAGCAGACTGTTTTTACTGTAAATGTGAACACACAGTTTTCCACTTCTTTCTTGTTCATAGTTTTCTTGACAAAGAGTAGCTACTTTTCTTTCAAATTTTCCAATTTTGTAGTTTAACCAATAATAGTTTCAGTGACTTCAATACATTAACACCCAATTGATACATAAACTTCAGAGGAGTTTGCCTTAATCAGTATGTTCATTGCTTTTTAAATTTTTTATCTTTCACAAAGATAGAAATTCAGTGCAGTTGTTTGTTTATTTGTTTAGTTTTTCTGGGCTACAAACATCTTAATTTCTTGATAGGCCAGTTGTAACGTGTGACTAAGGACTATATTCTTCAGACATTGCATTTGAAGCAATGGGCAGGTGTGGGATTTGGAAGCAGTATGAAAGTAACATCATTTGTTTCTGCAGACTTTGTAATTTTCTTCTGGAAAACCCAGATTATCCAAAGAGAGAAGACAGAATCATTATAAATCCCAGTAGCAGTCTGCTGGCCAGCCAAGATGAGACAAAGGCAAGTGTCATGTTCATGTTTTGCAGTCACTGCCTGGAAATGCTGTGCTTTGTTGTTGTTGTTGTTGTTGTTGTTGTTATCTCTGTGGGAAGAAGGTGCTTTGTTGGGACAAGTTTTTAAAGACTAGCCGAGGGACATAGGATTTCAGAATATATCTATACTTCAGTGCGATCTCCCAGTCTGAGCCACTTTGAATTCTGTCTTTAACTTCTATCTTTCCTTGTAATTCTTATCTTCCTTTTCCCACAAAGAATTGAACGAATCCTCCATATCTGTAATCCTACAAAGCAAATTCCTAAAGCAAAACAAGAATTGGCCAAAACTCTTAACATTTTATTATGAAAATTTTCAAACCTACAGAAAAATTGAAATATTTTACGTTGATCACCTGTATACCTACCACTGGTACTACTAAAAAGTTAACAGTTTACTGTATCCTCTTTATCATACATATGTCCTCTGTCTGTCCATCAGCACATCTTTGTTATGTTTCATTTCATGATAATGCATTTCAAAGTAAATTGCAAAAACATCAGTACACTTCCCTGTAAGTACTTCAGCATGCAGATCATTACCCAGAGTGGAATATCTTTTTTCTTTTGATGTGAGATTTGTATACAGCGTATCCTATACATCTGTTTAACCAGATCTCATATCAAGATGTAAACAGTTTGGTTTTTAAAAACTTTAATCATTGTCATTATTTGTGATCTAAACTGGCATTTAGTTTGTTACATGGTAAAGTATGGTTGAGAACTAACTTTATTAAGATGTGTTGCTTGATCTTCCAACTCCCCATAGATTCTTTGACTATCTCTCTTACGTATTCTATAATAGAAAAAAAATAGTTGTTTGTAAATATGGTATGGAAAGAAGATGGCTGTAAGATTGGTTTAAATCCCCAACTATACTTCTTTACTAGTTATAACTAGTAAAACTAGTCTGCCGGCTCCAGACAGGTTTGTTTAACCTCTCTGAGCCACCATTTTCTCATCTCTCTTATAGGGCTGGTAACTTCCTTATAGAGTAATTAGAACAAATGTTATTCTTTTCTGCACATAAATTCTTAAAATGATTTCCCCTACATGGGAAATGTACTGCCTGGCCTTTGATTTTATGCTTCTGTCTCGTTTCAGTTGCCTAAAATAAGACTTTTTTGACTATTCTAAATTGACTCCTCTTGACCAGCACTGCTTCATCCAAGCTGCTGACCTCCTCATGGCCGACTTCAAAGTGCTCAGTAGTCAGGACATCATGTGGGCCCTGCACGAGCTCAAAGGACACTATGCAATCACCCGAAAGGTACTCTACTTGGTCTTCCTGTTGGGGTCACACCTCTTGACTACATCTTCACACGGTAACAGAATGAACAGCTTGTGGAAATTGGGATGGTTTATGATTGCTAAGGAATTTATGAGGGTGAAGATAAATAGATGGGTATTTGCTGATCGTGAAGGGCTAAATGAAAAGAAATAATAGATAGATGAGAAGTAGAGAAGTTCTGCTTTGACCGTAAAAACATGGAGGGTAATACATTCTACTGTGGAATGCAGGAGTATGAGAGATGCGTTCTAATCCTGCTCCTTCCTGATTTGCTTTCCGACTTGGGACAGGTCACACAACCATCCATCCCCCAGGTGGCTCAGTTATCAGTGATAGGACGTAAGGTCTGTAGAGAGTCCGGGAACACAGCAGTGCCCCCTCAGAAGAGAATGGGCAGCTACTGACAGCTCCCAGCGTTCTCCCCCCAGGATCCTAAAATAGATGGCACTTAAAGGCCTTGGTTGAGGGTGAGGAGGGTGCTGGTTTGTGGTGGGTAACACAGGCGTCTTCCATGAAGGACAGCACACGGTGCATGCTTTGTAGCTGTGGCCAGAACAGGAGCGCACGCACCAGCAGAGACCTTGGCTTACTCCTCTTGGTCGCTCTTACTGCCATTAAATTCTATTCTACTGAAATTCTTGTGATTCTCAGCAACACAGTGATGTTTCTTTTGTCCAAAGGACAAACGTGGAGTTATCGTAGTGGTTAAAATACTCATTGGGTCTTACCTGTAGGAAGGGAAGAACCAAGCCAAGGACTGTGGCTTATGCTGAGGTCTAGGCCAAGCCCCTTCCACCTTTTTTTTTTTTTTTTTTGAAATGGAGTCTCGCTCTGTCGCCCAGGCTGGAGTGCAATGGCGTGATCTCAGCTCACTGCAGCCTCTGCCTCCCCAGTTCAAGCGATTCTCCTGCCTCAGCCTCCTGAGTAGCTGGGACTATAGATGCTCACCACCACGCCTGGCTGATTTTTGTATTTTTAGTAAAGATGGGGTTTCACCATGTTGGCCAGGCTGGTCAGCAACTCCTGACCTCAGATGATCTGCCTGCCTCAGCGTCCCAAAGTGCTGGGATAACCTCGTGAGCCACTGCACCCGGCCAAAAAAAGACTGAAAGAAAAATAGGCTTTGAAAGGGTAAAACAGGAGGCAACCTAAGGTAGACCAAGGGTCTCCACAAGGGCCTCCCTGAGCAAGGGACATTTAATCACAGACCCACATAGGAGTTTGGTGAAAGGGGTCGTGGAAGATGTTAGTATCATTTATTGGGGTGAGAACTAGTATAAACATCTGCTTTGGAGAGAAATAATCATGAAATCAGTCTGGGAAACGTTGGTTGCCAATGTGCTGAGAAGGGCCTGTGAGACATCTGAGTAAAAATAATTCATTGGGAGGTTGAATGGACTAGAAAGTTTGGAAAATACAGACTGTAGATAGGATTTTTTTTTTAAATCTCCTTGGGTTTTATGGTGATAGGACTTTGAGAGTCATCAGCATATGGAAAATCTCACCAGCCAGGATGAGGTACCCAGAGATACCAGGTGAGAAGAGAGGACTCCTGACATGTAAAGACCAAGCGGAGGAGGCAGGCAGACAGGAAGGAGGAAGTTGAGAGACTGGAGCGTCCGTATTATCATCATCATCATCATCATGGTTATTCTTGTTTAGAAACAGGGTCTCTCTCTGTCACCCAGGCTGGAGTACAGTGGCCCAATCATGGCTTATTGCAACCTTGACCTTCTGGGCTCAAGCCATCCTCCTGCCTCAGCTTCCCATGTAGCTAGGACTGCAGGTGCACGCCACCACACCTAGATGATCTTTCTATTTTATTTTTTGTAGAAATGGGGTCTTGCTAGATAGTGCAGGCTGGTCTTGGAACTCCTGGCGTCAGGCTATCCTCCCACCTCAACCTCCTAAAGCACTGGGTTGCCACCATGCCCAGCCTATGTTATTAAATGCTGCTAAGAGTTTGTGCAAGATGAGGACTAAAATGTAGATGGTAGACTTGTAGACTTGGCCACTCAATAATAAGCATAGATTAGTAAGTGCAAAGGCAGGGTAGATGCCAAATTAGAGACAGCTGGAAAGCTTGTGCTCATAAGGGTGAGGTGGTGAAACAGCAGATAAACAGCTCCTTTGATAAGTTTCTCTACAAAGAGGGGAAGAAGAAAGAGGGGCTGGCATTGAAAGAGAGATGAGATCACCTTCTGAGCACCGCCACACTGGGGATTAAGTCAGCAGGAGTTTCAGACAAACACTGCATCATAGCCACCCACCTTCTCATTGCCACCCAGACTGGGACCCCAGCCTGCCCTGCACCCTAACAGCGTAGCCACAGGACATGAGCCCCGAGGCCTCGTATCCCCTGCCACAGTCAGGAGTCCCACCCAGTCTTCCTGAAAGGCTCCCACTCTTCCTCCTCTTCCAGGCAGAATGGCCTTACCTCACACACCCTTCCTTCCATTTCACATCAGGTACCCCTTCTCCCTCCTGTTTTTAGGATGGCAAAGACTTGAGCACTTTTTTTTTTTTTTTTTAGACAGAGTCACACTCTGTCACCTAGGCTGGAGTGCAATGGTGCGATCTCAGCTCACTGCAACTTCCGCTTTCCAGGTTCACCGATTCTCCTGCCTCAGCCTCCCAAGTAGCTGGGATTACAGGTGCATGCCACCACGTCCAGCTAATTTTTTGTATTTTTAGTAGAGACGGGGTTTTGCCATGTTGTCCAGGCTGGTCTTGAACTCCTGACCTCAGGTGGTCCACCTGCCTTGGCCTCCCAAAGTGCTGGGATTATAAGCGTGAGCCACCGCGCCCACCCTGACTTGAGCACATTTAAATCCTGATAAGGAAAATCTAACAGGGAGAAGCTGAAGGTAGGAAAGAAAAGGGATCCTCACCAGTGGAAGGATTTTGAACTCCAGCATCCTGTTGAAGGGTGGGGTGGATATAGGTGCACGCAGAGAAGAGTGTGGGGGAAGCAGGTTAGGGGAGAGTAAAGAGGAGCATTGACCAGAGAAACAACATGGAAGATTTGCCTATAGAATGGGACTCACCAGCCCATTGTCGTGTGATTTAACCTGTACTTATTCAAGGACAGCTTGGACAGTTTTGTTTTGTTTGAGACAGGGTCTCCTGTGTTACCCAGGATGGAGTGCAGTGGCGCAATCATGGCTCACTGCAACCCTGCCTCAGGCTCAAGTGATTGTCCTATCTTAGCCTCCGAGTACCTGGGACCACAGCTGTGGACCACCACGCCCAGCTATTTTTTTGTATTTTTAGTAGAGACGGGGTGTCCCCATGTTGCCCAGGCAAGCCTTGAACACCTAAGCTCAAGTGATCCACCCCCGTCATCCTCCCACAGTGCTAGGATTACAGGTGTGAGCCGCTGCACCCAGCCAACAGTTTTTCTTTTCCCTAGTTAGTCTTTAATCTGTCAGTAAGTATTTTGCTTCCACCACTGTACCAGTTTATGAAAGTCAGAGAAAATGAAAATAAAGAAATGCTGCCTATTTATTTTACCACTGCCTATTCCTTTTTTTTTTTTTTTTTTTTTTTTTTTTTTGAGACATAGTCTCACTCTTGCCCAGGCTGGAGTGCAGTGGTGCAATCTTGGCTCACTGCAACCTCCGCCTCCCGGGTTGAAGCCATTATCCTGCCTCAGCTTCCTGAGTAGCTGGGATTACAGGCGTGTGCCACCATGCCCGGCTAATTTTTGTATTTTTAGTATAGACGGGGTTTCACCATGTTGGCCAGGCTGTTCTCGAACTCCTGATCTCAAAGGATCCGTCCGCCTTGGCCTCCCAAAGTGTTGGGATTACAGGCTTGAGCCACCGCACCCAGCCGCCACTACCAGTTGTTAGCCATGCTGGGAAGAAAGCTGAAACTGTGTTAAAATGGCATTTGGGGGTTGCCTGTCTCATGTATTCTTATTTTCCATTTACAGAAGGAACCTTTCCCTTTCTCAATTTTTAGGCCTTTTCTGATGCCATTAAAAAATGGCAGGAGCTATCACCAGAAACCAGTGGAAAAAGGAAAAAGAGAAAAGAAATGAACCAGTATTCTTAAATTGATTTCAAGTTTGAACAAGGTAATGCAAACTATGTTGGTGGCAGTGTGTAGCTGCAACACCGTACCTTCTTCACAGTCAGTGAAGGAAGCTGTGCTACAGGTGTCTGCTGAGCATCTGGACAGGAACTATTTTCTCAGCACGTCAAAATTTTTAGAAAGTGGCTGCCCTTGTTGGCTTCCTTCTTCCTACTTAAGATAAACTGTGAGAGGAAAATTTTGTGTGGTGTTAGAAAATTCATGTGTGAGAAGGTATTTGAGTGTGCTGTTAAGCTTGGGGGAAAAAACTGGTCTCGAAGGTTTGATGCGAATTGGCTGTGTTATTAGGTAAAAACTACCCAGACTTATGAATGAGGGCTTACTGCAGAGGGTCACTTATGCAACTGAGAGAATGGCTAATAACCACGTTTCTCCAAAATTCTGTCATTCTTATTGGTGAAATAACTGCTGAAAACCCTTTTGAAGAGGTTACTTCAGGTCTGATCCCCAAAAATGTAAACTTGAGTGTTATAACAACTCAGATTTTATCTGAGTTACTTCCACCCAGTAAAGGAGTTTACTACAACTTTTCTAGAGATCATCCCTTTCTGTTACATGTGTACTTAATTACCACACTTGATTTCAGGTATGACTAAGTGGAAACTCAGGTAACTATAAAGCTGGAAAGTATTTGTATTTACTATGAACTTTTCAGGCTCTAAAAGAAAATCCCTTAGGCTATGACCCCTGAGGTTCCTAAGCCAGTCTGTGGAGCAGTGCTCTGCTGACATGACATTGGCCCTGGCCTGTGGCAGAATGTAGAACTAGGGACAGTGTGCAGGTGGTTTTTCATTCAGCCAGATTTACCCAGAGTTCAGAACAGGCATCCTTGTACATAGCCATACAGCGTTTGTTTCTGACTTCAGTGGTGGAGAAAGTGCTACTTTGCAAGATAGTTGACTTCCTTGTTGGTCAGCTCTGTCTTTTAGACAGTTCTTCCTTTATATTTGTCAGCATGTACTTCCTGAAATGTCCTGCCATGGTTGTAGTTCTTGCCTGTGGAGAGAGATTCTGGCTGTTGCCCATTCGTCAGCCTGACTGCCCTTCTCCTCTTCCTGTGCGCCCCCCTCTAGCTTGTCAGGGTCTCTTTGAAAGTTGGGGTATAGAAGACTGCACATCATACTCCACATGAGGTCTGCTCACATTCAGCCTTGCTCTTTTCACCCACATTGCTGTCAGGTCATAAACCTGTCTCAGTTTTGGTGCATCTCACATTTTCCCCTGTTAACTTCATTTTATTTGATTCAGTTTCTTGTTTTAGGTATAGCACTTTAATTTAGGTGCTGATTCTTTAATTTTACTTATCAGATAATCTTGAAGGACCCTGGAAGTATAAGATAGAAAATACACTTGATTTACGTTAGTAGTTTAATGTTTATGGCTCACACTTAGCCTATTTTAACAGCTTTTTATAAGGACACAGGCTAAGAATCCCTCATCTGTTCCAGGGATTCCATTTTTCTCCTTTTCAGTTTGTTTTCCATGGAAGCACTGCTCTTTGGGCTATAATTGCTTGACTCAAACAGTGAGACAGGGTTCTCCCTCCTCTGTCCTTTTTATGGTCGTGCAGGAAAATACATTAGAGGGAAGTTTATAGACTTAATTGCATTTATTTTTAAAAATAAAGGACTGAGGCCGGGCGCGGTGGCTCACGCCTGTAATCCCAGCACTTTGGGAGGCCGAGGTGGGCGGATCACGAGGTCAGGAGATTGATACCATCCTGGCTAACACTGTGAAACCCCGTCTCTACTAAAAATACAAAAAATTAGCCGGGCATGGTGGCGGGCGCCTGTAGTCCCAGCTACTCGGGAGGCTGAGGCAGGAGAATGGCATGAACCCAGGAGGCGGTGCTTGCAGTGAGCCGAGATCGCGCCACTGCACTCCAGTCTGGGTGACAGAGTGAGACTCCATCTCAAAAAAAGTAAATAAATAAAAATAAAGGACTGAAAATAAATCTTACTACTTTAACGTGATAAACTACAAAAAGAACCGAGTAAAGATGAAAGAAATAATAGTGAAAATTTTAATTTGTAGCATTGATAATTATAGTAATTAACATTTATTGAGCACTTAATATGTACCAGTCACTTTTCTAAGTGCTTTAATGGATTATTTCATTTATGTTTCAAATAGCCTTATGAGATGTATGTGCCATTGTTATCATTTTATAGAAAAAACTGAAGCACAGAGAGGTTAAGTAACTTGGCAGATGTTACACAGCTAGCGAGTAGCCGAGCTGGGAATCTGGCTTCAAAGCTTACTCTCTAACCATGTGCTTTTCTGTTCCCATAATACCAAAAACTGGTTTTGTTTTTTGTATTTTTTTTTTTAATTTTGAGAGGGAGTCTGCTTCCCAAGCTCAAGCAATTCTCCTGCCTCAGCCTCTCAAGTAGCTGGGTTTAATTACAGGTGTGCGCCATCACGCCTGGGGGTTTCACCATGTTCAACAGGTTGGTCTCGAACTCCTGACCTCAGATGATGCACCCTCCTCGGCCTCCCAAAGTGCTGGGATTACAGGCATGAGCCACACTGCGCCTGGCCCCAAAAACTTGTTTTCTGAAGAAAAAGTTTGAATTTAAAAATATGTGAGAATGAGCAAGAGAAAAGGAGAATCAAAATAAAATGTATTAGTAACCAGATAGTAAATGTTAAGATCAAGAGATTACCAAGAACAGACAAGCCCACCCTGCCTGCCTGCTCTTCAGTGTGTTATTGGGTCCTTCCAAGGGAAGTGACAGTACATGTCTGGTGAATGAGCTTGTGATGAGTGAATGGGATTCCCTCCCAATAGGCAACTGAGAGCAAAGTTCTGGGTGGAGGGTCCTTGGTGCATCCTCCACTTACTCTTCATGCCAATGGGTACCTCAGGCCTGTCTGTCCAACCTCTGGACTTTCTTAACTCTGCCCCAGTCTCCATCCTTAACCACTCAGGGCCAGCCTCTTACATGGGATTCCTTCTTCCAATCTAACCCTCCTCCAGCCCCTCCCCTGTGTGGCTGGGGTAAGGCAGAGTCTGATCCCATCTGGCCTGGCCTGTGCCCAGAAGTGCCCAAGAGGCAAGTGTCCTCTTGCCCACAGGACCCCAGGAGATGATGGGCACACTAAAGTTTGAGAACTACTGCCTCAGGCAACTTTATAACATGCCTTTCCAATTCAGGTTTGGATCCAAATCCTCATTCCAGTACTTATTAGCTGCTTATAATTTTTTGTTTGTTTGTTTTAAAGAGGCAGGGTCTGGTCAGGCTTGGTGGCTTATGCCTGTAATCCTAGCAGTCTGGGAGGCTGAGGTGGGCGGATCACTTGAGGTCGGGAGTTCGAGACCAGCCTGCTGAAAATGGCAAAAGCTCATCTCTACTAAAAATACAAAAGTTAGCCAGGTGTGGTGGCGCATGTCTGTGATCCCAGCATCCCAGCTATTCCGGAGGCTGAGGCAGGAGAATCGCTTGAAGCTGGGAGGTGGAAGTTGCAGTGAGCCAAGTTTGTGCCACTGCACTCTAGCCTGGGCAACAGGTCACAGAAGCAGACTCTGTCTCAGAGGAAAAAAAAAAAAAGGCAGGGTCTCTGTTGCCTGGGCCAGAGTGCAGTGGCACAATCATGGCTAACAGTGGCCTTGAACTGGGCTCAGGCAGTCCTCCTGCGTCAGCCTCATGAGTAGCTTGGACTACAAGCTCGTACCACCAGGCCCAGCTAATTTTAAAAAATTCTTTGTAGAGATGGGGCTTGCTGTGTTGTCCAGGGTGGTCTCAAACTCCTGGCCTCCAGTGATCCTCTTGCCTTGGCCTGTCAAAGCGTTGGTATTACAGGCGTGAGCCACTGCACCCAGACCTTATTAGCTTCTTGATCCTGTTTCTCCATCTGTAAAATGGGCTCTTGTGAGAAGTAAACAGGACAAGGTTTGTGATGAGCTTGGGACAGTGCTTAGCCAGCAGGAGTAGGTGTATCGATCCCCCCCTTTGTTTTTTTTTTTTTGAGATGGAGTCTCATTCTGTCGCTAGGCTGGAGTGCAGTGGCAAGATCTTGGCTCACTGTAACCTCCGCCTCGCAGGTTCAAGAGATCCTCCTGACTCAGCCTCCTGAGTAGCTGGGACTACAGGCGTGCACCACAACAGCCAGCCAGTTTTTTGTATTTTTAGTAGAGACGGGGCTTCACCGTGTTAGCCAGGATGGTCTCGATCTCCTGACCTTGTGATCCACCCGCCTCGGCCTCCCAAAGTGCTGGGATTACAGGTGTGAGCCACCACACCTGGCCTCGATCCCCGTTTTACAGATCAAACAAGTTCAGTGAGGTTAGGACATTGCCGAAGGCCCCATAACATGGATGTGAGGAGCCAGGTTGGACCTGTGTGCATTCATTAGATGGGTGGGAGGCTGAGGAATTCACAGGACGCTAACCTGGCCCTCTGGACATCTGTGTGTGCTGCTTAGGTGCATGCAGGAGCGGGGGCAGGGGCTGCTGGTGTGGCAGCAGGAGGAGCCCTCTGAGTTTGACTTGGCCTACGCCAATTTCCTCTCCCTGGATATCAGCATGCTGCGGCTCTTTGAGACCTTGGAGACGGCACCACAGCTCACGCTGGTGCTGGCCATCATGCTGCAGAGTGGCTGGGCTGAGTACTACCAGTGTGAGTGAAGGCCAATGGTTGGTCCCCCTGTCGTGGCTTGGGAGGTCTCTCTCAAATGTCAGAACTGTTTTTATTCTTTTATAAAGGCTGCTTAGAAAACAGGATAACAGGCTTTAGTCAGGCAGATCTGGCTTGAAACCTAAAGTCATTCTGCAGCTGTTTGCGTTTGGACAAATGCCTTGACCTCTCTGAGTATGTTTGTTCTCATCTGAAAAATGGACATAAATCCTCCTGCCTCATAAGGTTGATGAAAGGATTAAGTGAGGTGATGCAAAGAAAGCCCATTTCCTGGTACATAAGTTCCTGGTACAGAGTCTCACTCTGTCGTCACCCATAGTGGAGTACAGTGGCCTGATCATTGCTCACTGCAGCCTCGACCTCCCAGGCTCAGTTGATCCTCCTGTCTCAGCCTCCTGAGTAGCTGGGACTACAGGCATGTGTCAACCATGCTGGCTAACTTTTCTTTTCTTTTCCTTTGTTTGGTAGAGACGAGGTCCCACGTTGTTACCTAGGCTGGTCTTGAACTCCTGAGCTCAAGTAACCTCCTACCTCAGCCTCCTAAGGTGCTGGGATTACAGGTGTCGGCCACTGTGCCTGGCCCACAAGTCTTAATTGTAACTTTTATAATTTTGAAGATAATAAAGTGTGTAAGGTGCCTGATACAGAGTAGGTAACTTTTTTGTTAAGAAACAATTTAATACGTTGGGATGTGCACAGGTTGCGTGAGGCCAGAGTTGGAGACCATCCTGGGTAACAGAGTGAGACCTCATCTCTTCAAATTTTTAAAAAAGAAACAAGAAACAATATATTGAATGCCTTCATCCAGTCGGGTTTTCATTGTGCCTCTCTTTTCTGCCTGTTACTGTGCTGGGGACACAGCAGTGAACAAGATGAACCCAGCCCCTGCGCTGCCAGGATGATAGACTAAAACAAGTAGCTACTGTATAGCATGTTGAGTGACTGGAAAAGGGAGAGGCAGGTGGCAGAGGCTCACAGGGCCCCCTAAGCATGGGTGAAGTTTATAGTGAGGAGCTTTGGGAGGGTTTTTGCCCATAAAGGGAAGGTGACTTGCCTGTTTTCACAGACTCAGACAGTGGCCAAGCTAAAGAGGGCCCCCACCCACATCCAACTCAGGGTCCAAGCCTTCCCCTTTGCCTTCCTCCACCGCTGCCATAAATGCCAGAGCCTCTCAAGGAACCAGTCCTCATTCTACCGTCACTTGCTGTGTGACCCGGAGAGCCTTCCTGTGGAAGATGGAGGTTGGACTCAATCTCCAAGGGCCCTTTCATCTTGTTAGTCTGAGTCTATGTATTGATTGAAAAAACAATAATAGCAGCTGTCACTGTTAGCCAGGTGCCAGCTATTAGCCAGGCCCGGTGGGAAGCACTTACAGTCATCATTGCTCATGTTCACAGCAGCCCTATAGGTTTGTGCTAGGTTGATCTCCATTTTTAAAGAGGTGCAGAAAGGTGAGTGACTTGCTCTGGGTCACTGGGCACTCACTGGGCACATGTTTTTGTCTGTTGAGGGTGGGGGAGGTCTAGAACCAGGGCCAAGTGCAGACAGTCTGCACTGCATGTATGGCAGGGGGTAAGGGGGCGAAACAGATTTTCCCTACTTTTTATTTAGCAAACCTCTCTTTCGCTGCTGTTATGTGCCAGGTACTGGGCTGCTGGGGGATCCCAAGTGAGCAGAGTCTGTTTTCTACCCTCGAGGAGCTCAGAGAAAAGGAAATAGATAATTACTGTGTGATGAGACTCCAGACAGAGGTGGGTGGCATGTTACAGGGATACCTGACACAGCTGAGTGGGTGGCGTGGGGTCAGGGTGGGGCCTGTGGGGTAATGGAGGAGTAGGCCAGGGAAGTGAGGCATGTGCTTTTGGTGACCTAACAGCCTGGGCAGAGCTTGTCAAGGTCACGGAAGGTGGCATGCTGGGGAAACTGGAAGAACATCAGCCCTGCTGAGACCTGGGTGAGGGTAACAGGCACAGCTCTGTTTCCAGGCTAGGTGTGGGTTCTGGGCGCCTAATAGGTTTCCAGTAAACGTCTGTCGAGTGACTGGGATGGACGGGGACGGGAGGAAGCAGTCAGGAGATGTGCCGGTGCCACTTGCATCCCTCCTTGGAGGCCCTTGTGCCTCTGCTCCAGGATGGGACAACCAGGAGATGGGATAGGACCCTAGGACCCCTGTTGTAAACTTCTGGATCTTGGAAAATCAAGACTAGGGGTCAGTCCGATGGCCTTTGGTCTTGGAGGGGAGGGAAGGGGAGTGGGGAGACCTTCTGTCCACACAGCAGGGACATCTTTCCTGGCCCTGAGGGCAGCTTTAGCCAGAGCCTGTTGCCACCCCATGGGATTTTCTACTCCCTTTTTGAGACTAAGAAAGAGGGAACTGAGACTGTTGATTTTCAGACACAAGAAAGGCTTGTGTTCTTCCCAGAAAGAAAGGGTTATGGGGCCCTGGAAGACGCCCAGGGTGCAGCCAAGGCCCAGGGGTGCTGAGTGCTGGGTGGGCCACAAGTCACACCCTCTCATCTTTGACAAATACCACCTGGATATAGCACCTGTGCAGCAAAGCACTGTGGTGAGGGGCAGGTTCCATGTTAGGAGTCGTAGCTTTGTTTTTGGTTACGGGAACTCGCTGGGTCTTCTCCAGCCTCAGATTTGCCTTCAACAAACGAGGGATTCTAATACCTACCCCAGGGTTGCTGGGAGGGCCCCCACGGTGCCCGCGACCCCTGGGGAATGCCAAGCAGGCTGGCTCCTGGACTCACTGTTCCCTCCTACTCCTTGCAGGGGTTGGCATCTGCACATCCTTCCTGGGCATCTCGTGGGCACTGCTCGATTACCACCAGGCCTTGCACACCTGCCTCCCCTCCAAGCCCCT
Organism: Homo sapiens; assembly: GCF_000001405.40. NCBI lineage: Eukaryota > Metazoa > Chordata > Mammalia > Primates > Hominidae > Homo > Homo sapiens. Next base: position 4,996,701 of record NC_000007.14, read on the forward strand.
CCTGGGCCTGGGCTCCTCTGTGATCTACGTCCTGTGGAACCTGCTGCTACTGTGGCCCCGAGTCCTAGCTGTGGCCCTGTTCTCAGCCCTCTTCCCCAGTATGTAGCCCTGCATTTCCTGGGCCTGTGGCTGGTACTGCTGCTCTGGGTTTGGCTTCAAGGCACAGACTTCATGCTGGACCCCAGTTCCGAGTATCCTCTATTTCTCCTGGTTCAACGTGGCTGAGGGCCACACCCGAGGCCGGGCCACCATCCACTTGGCTTTCCTCCTGAGTGACAGCATTCTCCTGGTGGCCACCTGGGTGACTTACAGCTCCTGGCTGCCCAGCAGGATTCCACTGCAGCTGTGGCTGCCTGTAGGAGGCGGATGCTTCTTTCTGGGCCTGGCTCTGTGGCTTGTGTGCTACTGCTGGCTGCACCCTAGCTGATGCTGGGAGCCCAACCCTGACCAGGTGGACAGGACCCAGAGTCTACTTTCCTCAGAGGGGTATCAGCTGCCTCAGACCCAGTTAGCACAGAACTTTTTTCCCAAGGGTAAGGCTGAGGCTGCTTCGCCAGTGAAGGGAGAGGTGAACGGCGTCCTTTGAAGCAGGATCAGACCCAGCCAGCAGAGATGGAGAGTGACTGCTGGCAGAAGGCAGGCGAGGATAAGCTAACGATGCTGCTGTGGCCTCCATGCACTCAGCAAGAGTGGGATGCCTCTGCTGGGCCGTGCACCAGGGATGGTGCTGAGTGGGGCAGAGGCCTGCCTTCAAGGAGTTCACAGTGAACAAGATGAGAAGGGCTGGGCCCTGCAGGGTCAAGAGCCCCAATTACGTACAAGACACTTTGGGAGGAAAGACGACTACCTTTTCTTTTCCCCCTGCCATTGGTATAGCTGGTGCCCCAAAACTTTCACCTCCCTCCCTGGCCACCTCTAAAATGATTGGTATAGGGGCTTCCCCACCCCTTAGCTCCCCTATCCTGGGCTAGAAGGCCACAGGGACTGTCCTCTAGAATTCTTCCTCCCCTCCCCCACACCATTCATTCAATTCGTGAAACAAATCTTCACCGAGAGCAGTTTATGTGCTAGGAACATCATTCTATCCTTGCAACCTGGAACAAGACCAGCTACCACCTTAGCTTCATCCCCTACTTGCACCAACCAGTCCCGGGTTAGATCTCAAATGCCGGAAGTCAGGGATGCCCAACTCTGGGCAGCCCCAGTCAGAACCTCTGGGATCTCAGTGAAGCTGGCCTGGCCTCTGCTCTTGCTCTCAAGGGGCTGCTTTTCAACCAAGAGCCTTGTGAGCCTGGTCTGAGCCTTGCACAGCCACTGAGTATTTTTTATTCCTTAGCCAGTGTACCTCCTACCTCAGAGTCTATGTGAGAGGAAGAGAATGTGTGTCCCTGTGGGTCTCTGCAAGTGACAGATGTGTTGTTTTTAACAGTATTATTAGGTTATGATTAAAGCCTCATGAAATCCTCTAACCTAGTCTGTGTCATCAAACAAAATCTACGGAGTTCAGAACCTGAACTGGAAGAGGTCAGGGACATAAAATCTACCTCTCAAAATCAGTCAAGGTCCACGGAACAGAGAGGACTGGCTTAGGTGGGGCTTCTCAACCTTGTAAAGTTTCAGGAGCTGGTGAGCCAGCCTGGGGTTGACAGCTCAGCTGGAGGTCGGAATCCAGATTTGGGCTGACTTAGTGCATCCTCTTCACCACGAGCTCTGCTGCTGGGCCCAGCAGGAGTGGCCACAGACACATTTAGGGCCAGGAAGTGAATATAGGAGCCTGGTGAAGAAAGGTCTTTTTGCTGGGAGCTCTGAGAGGTTAAGTGATGAGGTGCCTTAGGAGATGCAGATGTGGTGGGTGATGGTGCTGGGGAAGTGGAACCTTTTGCTGTTCTAGGAGGTCTGTGGTTTGGACAAACAAGGGACAGAAAAGTCACTTGAGATAGAGAAGAAAAGGTTCCAGTCACCGCTGCGATGGCATCCAGGATAGTCTCAGCTCTGTTACTATTCTGGTGGAGACACAAAAACCAGGATGAGTAAAACATTGAGTATATCAGACAGCGTTAAGCGCTAAAAGAGAAAGGGAAAGGGATAGGGAGAGAGAGTAGGTATTTGTGTGTTGGGGGTGGGAATTACAGCTTTGTATAGAATGGAACTAAAAAACTGCCCTTCAACTCCCTCCATTTCCTTGGCTGGCCTCTTCCCCCACATCTCCCTGTTGTTTGTCCACAGGGAGCTTTGATTCATTGAGAAGCCGGAACAGAGTGGGGAGAGCCATGAGGTGCAGCTAGTGGGAGCCTAGGGCGTCGGAGAAGGATGACCAGAGGGCTTGGGGGCAGGAGTGTCACCTATGAAGGGAATGGATCCTGGGGACAAGCTGCATTGTCGGCTCTGACTAGGTGGGGCGGGGCGGTGTAAACTGTTACTGTATGCATTATGCAGATGAAGGAACTGAGACTGGATCATGAGGGGGATTCAGTTCTGATCCTTGTCACTCTGAGGCTCGTGTCCTTTCTGTCCTACCAAGCTTTGTCTCTGCTTCTCAAGGTGGTGATACATCTACTCATTCATAAAGTTCTTCAAGAGGGTGGTGGTTTTGAGTTGTAGTTTCAATGAAGAGGGGGAAAAAGAAGTAGAAACTAGGTTGTTTTTATGCTTTGGAATATTGATTGAAAGAATCAAAAGGACATAAGAGGTTAAGGCAGGAAAGGTGGAACAAGAGCTAAACAACAAAGCCTGGAAAATAGACTAATATCTTAAAAGGCTGATGGATTGAAAGAAAGATTCGGGTGAGGGGGGACAACTGAAGGTATGAATCATGGGTAAAGAGGAGGGTGTGGTGATCTTTGCCAAGCACCAGCACTGGCAGTGGCAGTATGTGGGGCAGGGTCTAGCGCTCATGTTCACGACATAGAGGAGGACCTGGGCCTAGAGCCACTCAGTATACTGGTGGCAGAGCTGGGTTAAACTTTGGTCTCCTGGCCCCACCTTCCAGGGCTCTTTTCTCTATTTTGTGCACTTGGAGAAGGCAGTTAAAAGATCAAAGATGTGGAAAGCACATGTGAAAAGTTAAGAGGACACCCACATAGTAAGAAACTCAGGGCCAGGTGCAGTGGCTCACACCTGTAAGTAATCCCAGCACTTTGGAGACCGAGGTGGGAGGATCAGTTGAGCCCAGGAGTTCAAGACTAGCCCTGGCAACATAGTGAGACCTCATTCTACAAAAAATAAGAAAGAAAGAAGCCAGGCGTGGTGGTGTGAACCTATAGTCTCAGCTACTCAGGAGACTGAGGAGGGAGGATTGCTTGAGCCCAGGCTGCAGTGAGCTATGATCATGCCACTGTGTTCCAGCCTAGATGACAGAGTGAGACCCTGTCTCAAAAAAAAAAAAAAAAAAGAAAAAATCGAATTTAGGCTTACCACTTGAGGTGGACTTGATACTCCTAAAAACTGAGGGGTAAAAAAGAGGTGCAGGTTGAGGTGCCAGGAACAAAGAATCCAAGACTGCAGCTTTGAGGCTTTCAAGGGAAGAGGGTCCATCATGACCAAGAAAAAATTTTCAGCACATGCTATGCATGTACCAGATGCAAGGAGTGCTACAAAAAGTCTGAAGATGGCGACCTCCAGGGAATTAAGTCACCCCAGCAGGAAGGCAGCCATTCCAAAGACATCCCAACACAGTGTGTAACAGCCACAGGCAGTTAAGCTAATCAGGAAAGTGAGCACCCAGAGAGAATGGAAGGAGAGAGGAAAAACTGAAGAAATGTGTAGAAAGACAAAAATAAGGTTTAACATTATGATTTTAGACAAGGCGGCATGAGGAAATGTAAATTTTTTTTAAAGTGGTTAGATAAAATATCCAAATAGAAATACGTCTTGTAAACCATGACAAAGCTTACAGCCTCTGAGTACAAAATGTCACTTTTTTAAAAAACTTAAAATATTAAAAATGCTGGATGTGGTGAAGAATGCCTATAGTCCCAGCTGCCCAGGAGGCTGAGGCGGGAGGATCTCTTGAGCCCAGGCGTTGGAGGCTACAGTGAGCTATGGCACCACTGCACTCCAGCTTGGGTGACAGAGCAAGGCTGTCTCTAAATAAATAAATAAACATAATTACATTCAAATAAATTATTTTGAATTACATTCAAAAAATAAATTATTTTGAATTACATTCAAAAAATAAAAAAAATAAAAATAAAAAGTCCAAGCACTACAAAAAGGTTTAAAAGTCTTACTATCACTACCACCATCCATACTCTTCCCACTATTAACAATTTATTTGTGACTGCAGAAAAGCATGATTATATAGAAATTACTCATAATTTATCGCATATATACGCAACACACACACTTTATGTGTACACATGGGTCGTACAGTACACATTCTGTGATGTGCCATTGCCTTGGTTACATAGTCATATATCTCAGAGCTCAAACTACCTTTTCAAAATCTCTACGGAGTAGTGTGCTATATGGTATTACATCATTATTTAGTGAATTCACCATTGTTGGCCATTCAAGTTGTTTGAAGATTTTGCTGTTAGAGCTATAGAAATCAACATGCTTGGCATATTTTTTCTTGTGTAACCTAAGCTAAATGTTTGGCAGTGGAATCACTTGGTCAAGGGGTATGTCTGTCTGTCTGCCTGTCTTTGTTTTTTTCTTTCTCTTTCTCTCTCTTTTTCTTTCTTTTTTTTTGAGCACTTGGTCAAGGGGTATGTCTGTCTGCCTGTCTTTGTTTCTTTCTTTCCTTTCTCTTTCTCTCTCTCTCTTTCTCTTTCTTTCTTTCTTTTTTTTTGAGACAGAGTGCTGCTCTGTCACCCAGGCTGGAGTGCAGTGGTGTGATCTCGGCTCACTGCAACTTCTGCCTCCCAGGTTCAAGCAATTCTCCTGCCTCAGCCTCCCGAGTAGCTGGGAATACAGGTGCCCGCCACCACACCCGGCTAATTTTTTTGTATTTTTAGTAGAGACGGGGTTTCACCATGTTGGCCAGGCTGCTCTCGAACTCCTGACCTCAAGTTACCTGCCCGCCTCAGCCTCCGAAAAGTGCTGGGATTACAGGAGTGAGCCACTGTGCCTGTCTTAATTTTTTTTTTCATTGTGGCAAAACACACCTAAAAATTACTATCCGAATCATTTGTTCAGTGTGCAGGTGAGTGGTTTTAAGTACATTCGTATTGTTGTGCAACCCTCACCACCAGCCATGTCCAGAACTCTTTTCCTCATCTCGGACTGAAACTGTATACCCATTCAACATGAACTCCCCACTCTCCCCACTGCCCTCCGTGTCCCTCCCGCTAGCAAACACCATTGTATTTTCTATCTGTATGATTTTGACTACTATGGCTACTTCGTAGAAGCAGAATCATTTGTAACTTTTTGTGACTGGCTGATTTCACTTAGCATAATGTCCTCAAGGTTCATGCATGTTACAGCATGTATCAGAAATTCCTTCCTTTTAAGGCTGAATAATATTATATTCACTGTATGGAGGTATGTATTTTAAATTTGCAGACAGATATTCTGAAAATATCCTTCTAAAAGGTGATAACCTTCACTCCCACCACAGCAAGTAGGTCCAACCGCCCTTCCCCCACCCTCACCAATCCTGCCTACTATCCAGCCTCTTCATGTTGCCAGTTTACTCCATGGAAGAGGAATCTGGTTATTGTTCTCCTTTGCATATATAAGTAAGACTGGTCACCGTTTCACAGATTTATTGGCGACTTTTTTTTTTTTTTGTTCCACCTGTTATCTTTACCCACTGTTTTCTTTGGGGCTGTCTTTTTCTTAGTAATTTGTATGCGTTCTTAATAAATTAAGAAATTCGCCCTTTTAATATCTTATGCTGCAAATATCTGTTCCCAGTTTATTTATCTTTTTACTTTGTACATAGATCTTTCTTCTTGCTGTTTACTTTTTATTTTCTTTATATATTTTTTTGAGACAGGGTCTCACTCCATCACCCAGGCTGGAGTGCAGTGGCGCGATCTCAGCTCACTACAACCTCCACCTCCTGGGTTCAAGCAATTCTCCTGCCTCGGCCTCCTGAGTAGCTGGGATTACAGGCGTGTGCCACCAACTGCGGCTCATTTTTTTTGTGTTTTTAGTAGAGACAAGGTTTTGCCATGTTGGCCAGGCTGGTATTGAACTCCTGATCTCAAATGATCCGCCTGCCTTGGCCTCCCAAACTGCTGGGATTACAGGTGTGAGCCACCACGCCTGGCCTATTTTTTACTTTTTATTATGGAAAAATCCAAAATATAAAAATATATACATCAAATATATTAAAAAAGTAGAGAAAGAGTACTCTGTATACCCATTACCAGATTTAATCTCCACCACACCTCAAATTATTTTAAGGGCCAGGCATGGTGGCTCACACTTGTAACCCCAGCACTTGGGAGGTGGAGGTAGGTGGGTCACTTGAAGCCGGGAGCTGGAGACCAGCCTGGGCAATATAGTGAGACCCCATCTCTAAAAAAATTAGCTGAGTGTGGTGGTGTGTACCTGTAGTCTCGGCTACTCGGGAAGCTGAGGAGGGAGGATCACTTGAGCCCAAGAGTTAGAGGTTAAGTGAGCTATGATTGTACCACTGTACTCCAGTCTGAGTGACAGAGTAAGACCCTGTCTCTTAATAAAAAATTATTTTGAAGCAGATCCCAGACATCATTTCATCCACAAGTATTTTCAGTGTTTATCTCTAAAGACAAAATTTTTTAAAAATGTAACTATGAAACTATAATCATATGTATATGGTTTTTAAATATAAAACTTTATTTCTAAGCAAACATCAATTATTTTCTATATGGTTTCTGAGTTTTATGCCATGCTTACAAAGTCTTCATAACAATATTATAAATAAATTCACCCTTGTTTTCTTCTAGCATTTATTTTACTCAAAAACCACTCATTAAATTCAAAATTATTGTCCAGTGCATGCAAAGTTCTTAAGTCCTGGAAAGAGACAGAGTCACAGGGTACTCAGAGCCAAGAGAGTTAATTTTCCTGCCCCCTTTCTCACCTGCAAAACATCTACTGCCATGAAACACCTTTTCAGACCCTGTCCTCCTCTTCCTTCTGCAGACAACCTTCCCGACCTCACTATGTGGGTCAGAGCCTCCTATGGACTCCTTCGCCTCTGGCTTTCTTTTTTTTTTTTTTTTTTTTTTTTAGTAAGAGTGTTATTAAAACATTATTCACATATAAAATGTACCCTTTTAAAGTATGCAATTCAGTGATTTCAGTATATTCACAGTTGTACAATCTTTGCCATTATCTAATTTTATATTTTTTTCATCACCCTCAAAAGAAACCTTCCACCCATTAAGTGATCATTTCCCATTTTCATGTCCCCCAAGTCCCTGTCAACCACTAATCTTTGTCTCTATGGATTCCCAAGACATTTCATAGAAATAGAATCAAAGTATGTGGCCTTTTGTGTCTGACTTCTTTATTGCTAGTACTTTTAGAGTTTCATTTTAACATTTTACATCATACTCTTTATGGAATTTACTTTGATGAAAGAAGTAGAGTTATACAGCTTGACTCTTTTTTTCTCCCAGATAGTCCTGCCATAGTCTCAACACTGTTTTCTGAATAATTCATCTTTCCTCTGATGGATCAGAAATGTCACCATTATCATCTACTAAATTCTCAGTTTATTTCTGGATTTCCTATTTTATTCCATTATCTATCTAAATCTTTGCTAGAATCAAACTCGGTTTTTTTTCACTTATTTACTTATTTTAGTGATGGAGTCTTACTATGTTGCTCAGGCTGGATTCAACCCATCCTCCTGCCTCAGCCTCCCAAGTAGCTGGGACTACAGGTGCGTGCCACCCCACCCAGCTTAAATGTTTTAATTCTGGTAACTTCAAAATATATTTAAATATTTAATCTAACTGCCTCCTCTCGCCTAATATCTTTCTGTTGAGATTTTCTTCCTGGCTATTCTTTCTTGTTTATTTCTACAGATGAACCCAATATTATCTTGTAAAATGTTGAAAAGAAATTTTTAAATGTTTTTATTTAACCTATCACACTGAGTTGATAGGTTAAATTTAGCAAGAATTAATACCCCTTAATAGAGATTTTATATTTTCTTTATATGGTCCTGCCTATTTCTAGTTAAGTTTATTTTCAGATAAATTGATGATAGTATTGCTATTTAAATGGGATCTTTTCTTTCACTGTATTTTCTAACTAGCCATTTTGTACAGTAATTATACAAAAAGTAACTACTAAAATTGTCTTATAATTTCTGTTAGCTTTTCTGGCAAAACAAACCACCCAATACTTAGTGTCTTAAAATAAGAAACGTTATTTCTCAACTCTGTGGGCCAACTCGGTTTATTTCTGCAGAAACCTGGCACTTTAATTGGCCTTGATAGAGGAGAGTGGCTTCCCTCAGATGTCTGGTAGTTGGTCCTGTGTCAGCTGGAGCAACAGGGATGAAGAGGCTGTGTGTTTCTCATCATGCCGGGGCCAACCTAGGCCCATTCACAGAGCAGTGGCCTCAGTCTCTTAAAATGGTAAAAAAGGGCAAGTCCCAACACACAAACACTTTTCAGGCTTCTGCTTGCATCATGTTTGCTAATGTCCCATTGTTCTAAAGAAAGTCACATGGTTGAGCTCCTAGTGTGAAGAAATATACTTCATTTCTGAGAAGAGCTGCAAAAGATTGGAGCTGTTTTTGCAATCTCCCCCAGACTCCTAACATTTCTTTTTGGCCTATTTTCATCAGGTTTCTAGTTATTATTTGATACCATTTAAATTAATAAATCCTCCTTAACATAAGAGGTCATTTTAACTCTTAAATTATTTTCTTAATTGTACTGGTTAGGATTTCCAAAACATTATTAAAGTATAATATCTTACTTTAAAAGGTTACTGATGGGCCTGTAATTCCAGAACTTTTGGAGGCTGAGGGAGGAGGATCACTGGAGGCCAGGAATTTGAGACCAGCCTGGGTGACATAGAGAGACTGCCCACTATTTCTACAAAAAATTTTAAAAATTAGCCCAGCGTGGTGGTGTGTGACTGTGGTCCCAGCTACTTGAGAGGTTGAGGTGGGAGGATCACTTAGCCTGAGAGGTCAGGGCTTCAATAAGCCAAGATGGTGCCTCTGCACTCCAGCCTGGGTGACAGAGTGAGACACTGACTCAAAAAAAGAAAGGAAAAAGTTACTGATGGTTATCTAATGGGTCGTGGGATTACAGGGCTTCCTTTTTATTGTTTTGCTTCTTGCTAGTCTCTACTTTTTCTACAGTGAATGTGTGTTACTTATATAATCAAATCGTTCGTTTGTTGGCACATCATCACTTTGGGATGGCTCAGAGTGTTCCAGTTCCCCCCAAAGTGTAAACCACGGTAACCATCCTGGTTGTAACCAGAATCTTTGTTCTACGATTTGGAATTGGAGTCTCCTTATAATCTAAAGATTTTGTAGTTGTTAACGTATTAACATTTTTGATTTTATAGTATATTCTTACATGTCTTTTAAGCACATACTTCTGGCCAGGAGCGGTGGTTCATGCCTGTAATCCCAGCACTTTGGGAGGCCAAGGCGGGTGGATCACTTGAGGTCGGGAGTTCGAGACCAGCCTGGCCAACATGATGAGACCCTGTGTCTATTAAAAATATAAAAATTAGCCAGGCCTGGTGCCAGGCACCTGTAGTCCCAGCTACTTGGGAAGCTGAGGCAGGACAATCGCTTGAACCCAGGAGGTGGAGGTTGCAGTGAGCCGAGATCATGCCATTGGACTCCAGCCTGGGTAACACAGCAACACTTTGTCTCAAAAAACAAAACAAAACTAAACTAAACACATACTTCCTCAAAGTGCCATATGGTACATGTTAACTTTTTAATTAAAATTTTTTATTAAAAAATATATACATCTGTGTAGCATAATATCTTCTTTCTTACTTTAATGGAGATTAAAGTATGATGCTGAACTTTTATAATGGCAAAAATAATCTAGCTATTTCTAAGATACTAAGACTCTGGTTTTTGTTTTGATTTTGGTTTGTTTGTTAAATCAGGAATGAATGCTCAATTTTGCTAAATGGCATTTCAGTATCTACTGTGATGACTATACTTTTTCCTTCAATCTGTTAATATAGTAGCACATTGGTACAATTCCATTTTTTTTTTTTTTGGAGGAGTCTCACTCTGTCACCCAGGCTGGGGTGCAGTGGTTCGATCTTGGCTCACTGCAACCTCCGCTTCCCGGGTTCAAGCGATTCTCCTGCCTCAGCCTCCCAAGTAGCTGGGATCATAGGTGCCCACCACCATGCCTGGCTAATTTTTGTATTTTTAGTAGAGACGAGGTTTCACCAGGTTGGCCAGGCTGGTCTCGAACTCCTGACCTCAGGTGATCCACCCACCTCGGCCTCCCAAAATGCTGGGATTATAGGCATGAACCACCGCGCCCAGCTGGTACAATTCCTAATAATGGACCATGCCTGCATTTCTGGAACCTCACTGGGTTGAGGAGTTTTTTTGTTATTGCTGGTATAGAATAATTATGTCTCCATACATCTGACTATTCTGGACATTTCATAGAAATGGAATCATACTATATGTGACCTTTTGTGTCTAGCTTCTTTCAATAGTGTGTTTTCAAGGTTCCTCTATGCTGTATTATGTATCAGTACATCATTCCTTGTTATGGCCGAATAATTTCTCATTGTATGGACAGACCACATAGAAATGCTTCTATGGCATCCACCAAGTTAGTGTTCGTATCATCTTCCTCCTTTATTTCACGTCTCTGGTGGATTACATTATAGATATTCTGGTGTTGGAAAACCCTTTCATTCCTGAAATACACTTGACTTGGTTGTGATCATTATGCATTTGATAAATTGCTAGATTGGATTTGCTAGTATTGTATGTAGAACATTGGTATCTTTCTATAAATGAGCTTAGCCTGTATTTTATTTCTTGTGCTCTCCTCATTAGCTCTGGTATAGGGTGGTGTTAGCACAGTAACATGTGTATAAGGGAGGAAATATTTCTTCCTTAAAAGCCTGATAGACCCTAGCCATAGAGTCGTAGGATCTGGTCCCTTTTGGAAAGTAGGTCTCGCCTAGCATTTCAGTTTCCTCTCTAGTTATTGGTTTATCCAATCTTTCTACTTCTTCCTGGGTCAGTCTAATGTGCAGGCAGTAATGTGTACAAAACAGCTTGATGAGATATCACAAAACAACACCCAGGTCAAGAAATACAAAATTGCCAATATTCCAGGAATCTCACTGGTGATTCCTCCCAATCACTGCCTATTTCCTTTCCAAAGTAATTATTACCTTAACTTCAGTGATAATTATTTCCTTGCTTTTCTTTATAGTTTTATCTCATAACCATGGAACCCCAAACACAATAGTTGTTCTTTGCCTGTATTTAAATTTAAAAAATTTTAATTTTAGTTTTTGTAGGTACATAGTAGGTGTATATATTTATAGGGTACATGAGATGTCTTGATACAGGCATGCTACATTTAACAATCACATCATATAAAATGGGGTGTCCATCCCCTCAAGCATTTATCCTTTGTGTTACAAACAACCCAGTTATACTCTTTTAGTTATTTTTAAATGTACAATTACATTATTATTGACTATAATCACTCTGTCATGTTATCAAATACTAGGTCTTATTCATTCTATTTTTTTGTACCCATTAACCATGCCCACCACCCACAACCACCTCCACTACCCTTCCCAGCCTCTGGTAACCATCGTCCTACTCTCTATCGCTGCATTTGAATTTTATATAAATGAAGTTACACAATATTTATTCTTATGGACTGGCTTGTTCCACTCAGCAACATGGTTTTCTCCCCCCATGTCCTGTTTTCAGTATTTTGCAGCAGAGTGCCCAACATAGAACATAATCGCAAATATTCCACTGTGCAAAAGAGTTGCTAGCACTTAAGCACAAACAGGAGACATGATTCTTTTATTTTTAATAAATACTTAAACACAACTCAGGTCCTACAAGTATCTGGACTGTAGGTCTGGGTAGTGGAGCTGACTCCCGCTTGGGCCCACAATGATGTCATCATTCCCCCCTTCATCTCAGTGATCAATACGTGGCATCAAGTGCCAATGGTCACACGTGATCACAATGAGCTCCTTTTCTAGAGCCTTCTGCAACCCTCTACAGACACCAACTGGCCAGGATAAAGACAATTACAATTTTTCGGTCAGTGATCTGTAACAGTTAAGTATTTTAAGCCTGTCCATGGCGAAACCCCGTCTCTACAAAAAATACAAAAATTAGCCAGGCTGGTGGCACTCACCTGTAATCCTGGCTACTCGGGAGGCTGAGGTGGGAGGATCACTTGAGCCTGGGAATAGAAAAAGAGAGAGAGAGGGAGAAGCGGGGGAGAGAGAGAGAGAGAGAAAGAGAAGTATTCTTCATGAGTCTCTTGATTCTTTTACTGGGGAGACAGATGCATTTAGGTGATTTTCTTCAGCTCATCCTACAGGACCAGCAGGTCCCTGTTTCTGAGGACCACACACCCTTGAAGAAAGCTTTGCCCCTTTCCTCTCTGAAGATGGTCCTCCAGCAATCGAGGGTGTCTGTGTACTTGAGTTCAGCCTCTTTGTGCCTGGACTGCATCTGCATCCCATCCACCTAGGCAGGCAGATCATCTGAGGCCAGGAGTTCGAAACCAGCCTGGTCAACATGGTGAAACCCTGTCTCTACTAAAAATACAAAAATCAGCCGGGAATGGCCACACATGCCTATAATCCCAGCTACTCAGGAGGTTAAGGCAGGAGAATCACTTGAACCCCGGATGGAGGTTGCAGTGAGCTGAGATAGCACCACTGCATTCCAGCCTGGGTGATAAGCAAGACTCCATCTCAGAAAAAAAAAAAAAAAAAAAAAAAAGAGTGTTATGTGTCGCTGTTGTTACTCTTTGCTCAATATTTTTTTTGAGCATACCACTTTGTTTATTCATTCTTAAATTGACAGACTTTAAGCCAGTTTCTAGTTTGAGATAATTAAAAATCGAGCTGCTATGAACATTCATGTATATGTCTCTTAGAGAACATGTGTACCTATTTCTGTTGGGTATATTCCTATGAATGGGGTTGTTGAATTGTAAGTTATATGTAACTTCAAGTTTGGTAATTACGATAAAAATTTTTTCCAAAGTGTACCACTGGTATAAAAATAGACAGACCAGTGGAACAGAATAAAGAGCGCGGAAATAAAGCCAAATACTACAGCCAACAGATCATCGACAAGGTAAACAAAAACTTAAAGTGGGGAAAGGACACCCTATTCAACAAATGCTGCTGGGATAATTGGCAAGCCACACGTAGAAGAATAAAACTGGATCCTCATCTCTCACCTTATACGAAAATCAACTCAAGATGGATCAGACACTTAAATCTAAGACCTGAAAGCATAAAAATTCTAGAAGATAACATCGGAGAAACCCTTCTAAACTTTGGCCTAGGCAAGATTTCATGACCAAGAACTCAAAAGCAAATGCAACAAAAAGATAAGTAGATGAGAGTTAATTAAACTAAAAAGCTTCTGCACAGCAAAAGAAATAATCAGCAGAGTTAACAGACAACCCACAGAGTGGGAGAAAAATCTTCACAATCTATACGTCCAACAAAGGATTAATATCCAGAATCTATAAAGAACTCAAACAAATTAGCAAGAACAAAACAAGCAATTCTATCAAAAAGTGGGCTAAGTACATGAATAGACAGTTCTCAAAAGATGATATACAAATGGCCAACAAGCATATGGAAAAATGCTTAACATCACTAATGATCAGGGAAATGCAAATCAAAACCACAATGCGATACCACCTTACTCCTGCAAGAATGGCCATAATCAGAAATAAAAAAATAATAGTTGTTGGTGTGGATGTGTTGAAAAGGGAACACTTTCACACTGTTAGTGGGAATGTAAACTAGTACAACCACTGTGGAAAACGGTATGTGGATTCCTTAAAGAACTAAAAATAGATCTACCGTTTGATCCAGCAATCCCACTACTAGGTATCTACCCAGAGGAAAACAAGTTCACTCTTGGTCCTTTACATTCCGTGGGGAGAAGCAGTAGAAAATTACCGGGTTATTCACCCCGAGTCTAAGCAGCTGAATAGGAAAATAGCTTTAATAGCCCTGTTAGGACCTAGGCCAAGGACTTTTCCTTTGGGCTTGTTGTGAATGATTACAGGTTAACGGTGGCATTTTTCTTTCAGCTGAGGGGAGGCAACCACCTCAGTAATGATCCTAATTGGATCCAACTGGGGAACTCCAGAAAGTTTCAGTAACAAATTTGCAACGGTTCTGGGCCTTTTAATGTGGATTCACAAAAGATAATGAGGCTATCCTGTCATTTCTACCCTATGGAAGAGGAAACTGACATTCAGACAGTCCATGGGATCTACCCACTCCGTCATAAAGAACCGAAGGACCAACATTCGCGACAGGACCTCCCGTTTGGCATTTCGTTTTCAGATGTGCCTAGAAGAAGGAGACAACTGCCTCTTGGACTGTTGAAACCTGGTTCTGCTTGAATTGTCAAGATATCACCTAAATCCTATCCATATTTTGTGCAGCAGGTTTGTGGACGCCTACCACCATTCATTCATTGCAGTGGCTCAGAGAAGATGAAAAGAGGACTCTGTGGCCAATGAAGATCCTCGACAGAGCTCACATGACCAGAGTGGACTGGCTTCTACCCTAAATACACATCACGATATTTCTCACTCTGACCTTGCTCCACTTTATACAACACCACACAGCTCGAGAGTGGCTGAGCTGCCGTGGGAACCCGAATGCCATCTGACTCCAAAGCCTTACTCTCAACCACCACTCTGATGCCTCCTATTCTTTCCTGAAATCTTCAGTATAGTCATTATTATGGAGTAAAAAAAGAAAAAGGAAGGAAGGAAGGTAGAGGGAGCCCCTCTATCTCCATTCTTTGTTTCCATGAAGAACCTCCAGTCCATTTTCGGGGGCGTGCTGTTGGTGTAACATACTTTCTGGCCCTCTCTCTCCCATTCCTGTCACTCATTGTCCCCCAGGAAGAAGCCATATGTGGATGATAAGACTGGAAGAAGCCACTCTTAAGTTCGGTGGTGTGCTGGTAAATGTTTAGCAGCTGGCTTTGGGGCAGCAAGAAAGTCCTGAGTTGTAGCACGTGCCATTCTCCATGGTGTAAAAACACTTCCGCCATAGCTGCTTCCAAGTATGTAAATTGTACCTCAATAAAGCCAATTTAAAAAGTAAAGTCAACCAGTTTGTAAAACTCTTGAGACTTTAACGCTCAGTCCAGCAAGCTGTTACCTGCTGGATCCAGCAACACACAACCCGTAACATAGTGAGCTGGGTCTCAGCTCCCTGCTCTTCACAGACCCCAGAGCTCTCTCCTCTTTGCAGGGTTCCTCATCCATCCTTCCATTGCTTCTGCTGCTGCCCTGAAGGCATCATGTCTCTCCCCTCTCCTCCTGGGGCACCTAACTCTCTTAACAGTTTGGGACTTTGAGGAGTTTTGCCTTTCACAAAAAGAAAGAAGGGGGGAAAAAGGTTATGTCTCAGCAGCTTTCGCTGTCTACCCTGCAGCACAAATTCCACTTGATGGAGGAACACAAAGGTCGGACTCCCTGCCGTGAAGAGGAGAAAGGGAAATTCGAATTTGGAAGGAGCTCTACTCTCCCCTGCTCTGTCCTCCACAAGAGAATGGGACAGAACACTCTTTAGTCTATAGCTCTGTCCCACATGTGTTGCCAAAGACCGCCGTGCCTGGTGGGTGACATCTCTCCAGGCTTTTGAAGACATCTGAGCCTGGATTTTGAGCACATTCCTAACCTCCCTACTGGGAGGGTCTTCTCCTTCAAGGTCTGCCTTCTGACAAGCCCTTGGTCTTTCCCACCTGCAGTGGCTGGGTGGGCTGGGGGGTGGGGTCAGGGTGGAGATGTGAGCGCATTGTGATTGGCAGCCCCGCTAGAACCCCATGGAGTGGAGAAGTGACAGTCTCCAAAGGAGGGGAGCGTACAGTTTCCGGAAGGGAGGAAGGATGCGGTGGGAACCAAACGCATCCATGCAGGATTTCAAATATAAACGACTCTGTAGACTACAAGCACCTACTCCTGACAACCGAAGCCGGAGGAAGCATAAGAATATAAGAGACGGGGGCTTCGGCGAGGGCACGTGATCAAAACCTCCCATAACACTCCACCTGCCCCAGTCCAGCCAGCCTGCTGTCCACAGTGTGCCCACCAGTGTATCAAACCTCAGCGCTTTATTTCCTGGGATCCTAGTCAGGCTCCCATTAACCTCCTGTGTTGTCCCCACAGCTCCTATACATGGGAGAGGGCCTGCGTTGGGCCAGATCCCAGAGCTGGGGCCTAATTTGTGATGAGATGCCCTGGGAGGCAAGCATGCTTCAGCATGTACCCGATCAATATCCAGACACCCAGGTCCGGAGGTGTCTGAGTCCGTCAGTAGGACGCTGGGCAGGTCTAGGTTCAGAACCTCCGCAGTTTTTCCCTTGGCTTTCCCGGGGCTTGTCCACAGCATCCCCTGCTGCCCATTCTTGGCTGACTTTGTGTCTTGTAGATCCCTCATCAGATCTGTTCATGAAGCCTCCCTCCAGGGTGACACAGTGAAGTCAAGTAACAGATGTGGAGATGCTTTGGAGAGCTTGAAACAGAAGACTACATAATGGCAATGGGCCAGTATCATAAAGCCAAGATTGAAGAAGACAGAACTGAATGCCTCCCTCATCTGCAAAACTTGCCTTATCTTTCAGTATCATCCTGTTTCAGTGGACAGAAATCAATCCATCATATATTTGAGCCCTGGTCTTATAAGCAAGTTAAATTTTGCCTAAAATAAGGCCCTGCCTCAAGCAGATCATGGTTTATTTTTATTTTATTTTATTTTATTTTATTTTTTTGAGATGGAGTCTCACTCTGTCACCCAGGCTGGAGTGCAGTGGTGCAATCTCCTCTCACCGCAACCTCCACCTCCTGGGTTCAAGCGATTCTCACCTCAGCCTCCCAAGTAGCTGGGATTACAGGCATGCGCCACCATGCCTGGATAATTTTTGTATTTTTAGTAGAGACAGGGTTTCACCATGTTGGCCAGGCTGGTCTTGAACTCCTGGCCTCGAGTGATCCTCCCACCTCTGCCTCCCAAAGTGCTGGGATTACAGGTGTGAGCCGTCATGCCCGGCCAAGTCATGGTTTAGAAAGGGGAGATGGTCAAATATAATTGTTATGACTGCCATAGTACCTACTATGTTGCAGATACTCTGCCTAGGTTTTTAACCCTTACAACACATCCCTAAAACATTGTACAGATGAAAAAGCAGAGGCACAAAGAGGTTTAAAACATCTCCAAAGTCACATAGTTACTATAAAGCCAGTAAGCCAGTAACTGGCTCTATGTCTATCTGACTCCAAAATCTGTTTTGTCCCCTTCTTTGCCTATGCACAGAGGGCAGTGGGAACATGAATGGAGTTGGAGGGAGGGGTAAGAAGGAGACATCAGTGGTCTACCCTCTTTCTGTGATAACAGACTCCTTCTTTTATCTGACAGCTGCTCCCTGACAAGAGGAATACCCATTCTTTCTTCCTAGGTCAAGAAAGAGGGTCCAAGGCATGGTCAATCACAACACTGTCCCTCCAGTCATGGGCCAAGTGCTGGGCACATGTCACCAGCCAGGCTACTCTTAGCCTTTCCCATAATTTTAATAACCTGAGACTGGGAGAAAGAAGCCTCTCTCTCTCCTGGGGTGATAAAACTGTATGTAAGTCTAGAGTTCCCTGTGAGTACAGTCTCCCCTAGCAAGAAAGGATGAGACCAACTCATAATAAGAAGACAAAATACGTGTACATATGAGTGTGTGTGAGAGAGAGAGAGAGAGCTGACAGCATTGTTTGAGTGTCTGGATCTAGCCATTCCTGTGGTGGCTCCGTCTAGTCCTTGTTTATATGAGTGAATACATCCCCTTTTAACTGAAGCCAGTTTGTGTTGGGTTTCTGTCCCTTAAAATCAAGAGTCCTGAGAAATACAATATTGGTCAAAAAAAGTCTTCATAGAACAGGTGAACCAGGAAAAAAGGGATTCACCAGAAAGATAAGAAGAGAGGCAGAGAATGAATGTAACAGCAGCTACATTTGAGGAAGTACGAGCAGCTCAGGATGACTTGAGCTGAGATGTGTAATCCCAGCACTTTGGGAGGCCAAGGCAGGTGGATCACCTGAGGTCAGGAGTTCAAGACCAGCCTGGCCAAAGTGGTGAAACCCCGTCTCTACTAAAAATATAAATATGAGCCAGGCGCGGTAGCGCACCCTTGTAATCCCAGCTACTCCGGAGGCTGAGGCAGCAGAATCGCTTGAACCTAGGAGGTGGAGGTTGCAGTGAGCTGAGATCGTGCCATTGCACTCCAGGCTGGGTGACAAGAGTGAAACTCCGTCAAAAGAAAGAAAGAAAGAAAAAAGTTGAACTAGATTTGGTCTGATGCAGTTACAGATTTACAAACTGTGCCCCCACCCTCCTGCAGACACCTTCCACTCCTCATTCTTGAGGGATTAGGGATGGAGGTCATGCTTCTGTATCGACTTCATGCTGACCAGGGTCACTGAGTCCCCTAAAGTGAGAGGAATGAAACTCTTGGGCTTCTGAGTTCAAATGAGTTCTGGGGTCACCTGGAGTAGCTTGAAAGGCTGGTATTGTTGTAATACAGGCTGAAGGTGGAAGTGTTGGAGCCTGAAGGACAAACAGCTCCCCATCCATTTAAATAAATAGGGCCGAAAAGTAACAGAACAGTGGCCACGAGGGGCCCCAGCAGAGGAAGAAACCAGGTGAGGTGCGGTATAGTGGACTCGACTGCCTTCTAAATCTCAGTGGTTGGCCGGGTGCAGTGGCTCACGCCTGTAATTCCAGCAAAAGAAAACCCGAGGCAGGGTGATCATGAGGTCAGGAGTTCGAGACCAGCCTGGAAAACATGGTGAAGCCCCATCTCTACTAAAAATACAAAAATTAGCCAGGCATGGTGGCATGTGCTCTAGTCCCAGCTACTCAGGAGGCTGAGGCAGGAGAATCGCTTGAACCTGGGAGGCGGAGGTTGCAGTGAGCCGAGATTGTGCCACTGCACTCCAGCCTAGGTAACAGAGCAGGACTCCATCTCAATCAATCAATCTATCTATCTATCTCTCTCAGTAGTTGAACTACCCTTGATATGGTTCAGCTCTGTATCCCCACCCAAATCTCATGTCAAATTGTAATTCCCAGTGTTGAGGGAGGGAGCTGGTGGGAGGTGATTGGCTCATGGGGGCCGACGTCCCCCTTGCTGTTCTCGTGACAGTGAGTGAGCCCTCGTGGGATCTGCTTGTTGAAAAGTGTGCAGCACCTCCCGCTTCACTCTCTCTGTCTCTCCTGCTCCACCATGGCCAGACGTGCCTGCTTCCCCTTTGCCTTCTGCATGATTGTCAGTTTCCTGAGGCCTCCCCAGCCATGCTTCCTGTACAGCCTGCAGAACTGTGAGTCAATTAAACCTCTTTCTTCATAAATTACCCAGTTTCAGGTAGTTCTTTATAGCAGTATGAAAACAGACTAATGGACCCTTCTGGATGAAGGAATGCAGCCATTCTGCTTGTTTGACTATTTCCTTTCTATTCATCTCTATTTCCCGGGAGGTGTTTATCCAAGTGCAGTAGGAGGTATTGGTGACTGCACAGTCCCCTCAGTGTTCTGCTAGTGAATAGTTGAAGGTTGATCAGTGATCTCCTGCATTTTCAGTCTGGCATGGAAAAGCCCCCGTGTAACTGGTGAAGATATCAGTGAGCACCAGGAGGTATCTAAATCCTCCAGGAGCCATAGGCATCACGTTGATGTCCGTTTGCCAGTCTTCCCTGGCAAGGTTCTTCTGAATTGTACTGCCTTGGCTAAAAGAGGTATGGGAGGGGCTGGGCACAGTGGCTCATGCCTGTAATCCCAGCATTTTGGGAGACCAATTCGGGTGGATCATTAGAGGTCAGGGGTTCAAGACCATCCTGACCAACATGGTGACATCCCATCTCTACTAAAAATACAAAAAGTTAGCTGGGTTTGGTGCTGGGTGCCTGTAATCCCAGCTACTCAGGAGGTTGAGGCAGGATAATCGCTTGAACCTGGGAGGAGGAGGTGGCAGTGAGCTGAGATTGTGCCATTGCACTCCAGCTTGGGCAACAAAAGCGAAACTTCATCTCAAAAAACAAAAAAAGAAGTCCGGGCGCGGTGGCTCACGCCTGTAATCCCAGCACTTTGGTAGGCCAAGGCGGGTGGATCATGAGGTCAGGAGTTCAAGACCAGCCTGGCCTAGATGGTGAAACCCTGTCTCTACTAAAAATACAAATATTAGCTGGGCATGGTGGCATGCACCTGTAATCTCAGCTACTCAGAAGTCTGATGCAGGAGAATTGCTAAAACCCGGGAGGGAGAGGTTGCAGTGAGCTGAGATCGTGCCACTGTACTCTAGCCTGGGTGACAGAGCAAGACTCCATCTCGAAAGAGAGAAAGAAAAAAGAAATTCCTCAGGGAAGTACCTCGGCTTATTTCGTAAAGAGGTACTGAAGGAAGCAGAGGCACGTGGAGGACTTCCCCACCTCGTGCAGCTATTTGGGCCGTGGCGTCTGAAATTTATTATTTCACAGTCACCCCTTTGATGACGTTGGCAGTGGACTGCAGTCATCTGTTTAGGCCTTTCCATGGCCCACATCAGTGCCAGTATTTCTGTTTGTTGCACATTTGATTTCCTTGTTGTTGGCATTTAGAAGGCCCCCTGTTTTCCAGATCGCATCATGGGCATGGACCACAGAGATTGCGTCTTGTGAGTCTGCAGAAACAGTCAAGGCCTTGTACTCTCTTAGGCCCAGGGCTCAGGTTAATGCAGATTTTCCCAGCCGTCTGTGCTGAAGTCCCTGCGGGGAGGCTCCTGGCTGGTTTCCCGTAGGTTGTCAACTACACGTGCTGCCCTTCATTGGCCTCTTTTCGTGAAGCTCCTGCCTCCCACAAACGATGTCTCCCTTTCTTCTTGAACCACATCTCTGTTATTGAAACTCTAGAAGTCGGCTGGGTGTGGTGGATCATGTCTGTAATCCCAGCACTTTGGGAGGCCGAGGCGGGGGGATCACCTGAGGTCGGGAATTCAAGACCAGCCTGGCCAACATGGCGAAACCCCATCTCTACTAAAAATACAAAAATTAGCCGGGTATGGTGGTGGACACCTGTAATCCCAGCTTCTAGGGAAGCTGAGGCAGAAGAATTGCTTGAATCTGGAAGGCAGTGGTTGCAGTGAGCTGAGATTGAGCCACTGCACTCCAGCCTGGGTGACAGCAAACTCTATATCAAAAAAAAAAAAAAAAAAAAAAAGGAAAACCTGGATGTCTGCCTCTACTAACTGGGAGGGGTTAATGTCAGAGCCTATGGCCATTTGTGGAGCTTTCTGGAGCTATCTGGGGCACTCTGACATATGAAGTCGGTGCTGAGGACCACCTGACACATTTTGCCTCGGGGTCCCAGGACATCGAGTCCTGGAGGCACTTTCTCAGTCATTCTAGAAATGCTGACATGTTCTTATCAGTTGAACCTCCCCCTTAGCTTACCCCCATTAAAAGGGGGTTTGCTAATTTCTTTCATTTCTCTCAACAACATATTCTGGGAGTGTTCTAAAGGTTCCCTCGCTGTTCTGACATTGGGTCCACACTCAAGATGGATTGCACTGCTTTTCACCAGACTCAGGATGTCTCTCAGCCTCCCAGACCCAGAGACAGATGTTGCTGTTTGCTCAGCCACCTGCAATCCAGGAAGAGAGGCCTCAACAGATACCAATCCTAATGGCGCCTGGGTCTTGGACTTCCAGCCTCCAGAACTGTGAGAAAAGGAATTTCTGCTATTTAAGCCGCCTAGTTATGGTATTTTGTTATGGTAGCCCAAGACCTCCCTCCCCACCACCACCACAAACACATATGTTTCCTTTATAAATATAAATATAGAGAGAAATTTGACCAGGCGCAGTGGCTCACACTTGTAATCCCAGCACTTTGGGAGGCCGAGGCAGGTGGATCACATGAGGTCAGCAGTTCGAGACCAGCCTGGCCATAATAGTAAAACCCCATCTCTACTAAATATACAACGATTCGCCAGTCGTGGTGGTGGGTGCCTGTATTTCCACCTACTCGGGAGGCTGAGGCAGGAGAATCACTTGAATCTGGGACGTAGAGGTGGCAGTTAGCCAAGATCAAGCCACGGCACTACAGCCTGGGCATCGGAGCAAGACTCCAACTCAAAAATAAATAAATAAAGAAGGATATTTATATATTTCTCCCTATATTTACAATATTTATATATATAAATATAAGTTGTATATAAATATGTCATATATTTATATTTATAAAGCAATCTATATATTTAATACATTAATACATTAAATTTCTGTTTTATATACATTATCTGTATGGACATATAAAAAGGAATTTTTATGTTTCTTTGCTGTTCTGACACCTCCCTGCCCTTCTTTTCCCAGTTGTTTCTGGCCTTTGTCTCTGATTCTTGGAGACAGCCCCTATATTCTTGGAATTTCCTGGGTGATAGGCGTGTCTGTTACTCATGGTGACCCCCCAGGGTCACACCTGAGTTTATGCCAACCAGCTGACTTGTGATTGACTCTGGTCAACCACACTAGAAAGACCAACCATGTGATTTGAAGGTTGCGACTTTGAGCCACATGGTATCAGGCCGACGTCCAGAAAGGAACTGGGGGGCTGGAGGATGACTCCACTGCCTGGCCAATGATTGAGTCAACCAGGCCAATGTAATCAAAGCCCCAGATGTGGAGGCCCAGGTGAACTTCCCTGGTCGGTGATACACATCAATGTGCTGAGAGGATGGTGCGTCCTGAGGACACAGAAGTGTCATCTGTGGGACGCTCTCAGAGTTTCCACTATGCGTCTCTGCTTTTGTCCGGTCTTAACTTTTGTCAGTGTTTTTCTTATGTAAAACTGTAGTGAAAGTATCATGCTTGGTCGAGAACAGTGGCTCATGCTGGTAATCCCAGCACTTGGGAGACCGAGGTGGGAAGATCACCTGAGGTCAAGGGTTCGATGCCAGCCTGGCCAATATGGTAAAACCCCCTGTGTCTACTAAAAATACAGAAATTAGCTGGGGGTGATCACTTGTAATCCCAGCTACTCGGGAGGCTGAGGCAAGAGAATCGCTTGAATCCGGGAGGCGGAGGTTGCACTGAGCCGAGATCATGCCACTGCACTCCATCCTGGGCGACAGAGCGAGACTCCACCTCAAAAAAAAAAAAAAAAGAGAAAAAGAAAAAGAAAGTGTCATGCTTTTCTGAGTTCTGCGAGTTGTTATAATTATCAAACCTGAGGGCACGGTGGGAATCTCCAAATTTGCAGGCAGTTGGTGAGAAGTACATGTGGTCTGAGGACACTCAAGCTTGCAGCTGCGTCTGAAGCAAGGGCAGCCTAGTGGGGGCTGGTGGCATTTGACCTGTGGCATTTGACGTAACATCAGGGAGTTGACATCAGAATTGCGTCACACAGGCCAGGTGCGGTGGCTCATGCTTGTAATCCCAGCACTTTGGGAGGCAAGGTAAGAGGATCGCTTGAGCTTGAGTCTGAGGCCGCAGTGAGCTATGACCGTGCCACTGCACCCCAGTCTGGGTTATAGGACAAGACTCCGACTCCAGAAATAAAAAAGAAAAATCACAAAGAATTGCATGGCAGAGTGCCTGTCTTTAACAGCTTTAACTGTGGCAGGAACTGTTTTGTTTTTTTGTTTTTTTTGCAGCAGAAGACAGAGTCTCACTCTGTTGCCCAGGCTGGAGTGCAGTGGTACAATCTCTACAACCTCCACTTTCCGTGTTCAAGTGATTCTCCTGCCTCAGCCTCCCAAATAGCTGGGATTACAGGTATGCACCACCATGCCTGGCTAATTTTTGTATTTTTACTAAAGACAGGGTTTCACCATGTTGGCCAGGCTGGTCTCGAACTCCTGCTGGGATCAATGGAGTGAGCCACCGCGCCCTGCCACCTTTAGAGTTTTCTTACCACCTGGTTTTCCTCTCTCGGTATCTTTCCCTCATTTCCTGCTTTAAAACCCTAGCTTGGGGTCTGGGTGCAGTAGCTCATGCCTGTAATCCTGTAGCAGGACGAGCCTCAGACAAAACTCCTCAGACACCGAGTTAAAGAAGGAAGGGGTTTATTCGGCCGGGGGCATCAGCAAGACTCCTGTCTCAAGAGCCGAGCTCCCCGAGTGAGCAATTCCTGTCCCTTTTAAGGGCTCACAACTCTAAGGGGGTGCACGTGAGAAGGTCGTGATTGATTGAGCAAGCAGCGGGTACCTGACTGGGGGCTGCGTGCACCGGTGATTAGATCAGAACAAAACCAGATAGGGATTTTCACAGTGCATTTCTATACAATGTCTGGAATCTATAGATAACATCACCAATTAGATCAGGGGTCAATCTTTAACTACCAGGCCCACGGTGCGGCGCCGGGTTGTCTGCCTGTGGATTTCATTTCTGCCTTTTAGTTTTTATTTTTTCTTTCTTTGGAGGCAGAAATTGGGCATAAGGCAATATGAGGGGTGGTCTCCTCCCTTATTCCCCCCCTTTGAGAATCTCACTCAGTAGTGGGAGTTCTCACTTTCATTTTTACTACCTATGTCTTCTTGCAAGACACTTCGATAGTGATTCATATAGTACACTCGTGCTGAAGCATTTTGGTGAACTAAGGTAGCGATGAAGCTTTTTATCATTTGAAGAAGTACAGTTAGCAAACAAGGGAGCAGTAAGCAGGTTGTTATTACTATTATAACTCTTAATATAAGAGTTTTAAATCTTAGTGCTGGGAACCATTTTCCAAACATGGCCCCAGGATCAAATCTATGCCACACTTGCACGGGCACATGTGCCAGTTTTGTCATATCTCTAACTATGTCTTCAACTACTTGCCCTTGATTATCTATGTATAGGCAGCAATTAGTAAGGTTAAATTTCCTACAGACCTCTCCTTCAGCTGCTAGCAAGTAGTCAAGAGCCAATCTATTTTGATAGATAGCATTTCTCATCTGAGTTTCTTGCCGGGCCAGAATAGTCAAGGCTCTGCCAGTTTTGTTAGTGATTATTTTTAAGACAGCTTGTAACCGTACGATTCGGTTGATCATGTAAATGGGGGTCCAGTATCCTCACGAGCCGTCTTTTGCCTAAGTAGCAGGCCTATAATATTGTATGATTCTCTTAGGGGTCATTTATCATTTTTTCAATTTTTTATAGCTATGCTTCTCTTTTCGCAGGAAGCATAGACAGGGAAGCCCAGGAGTTTGCCTGTTTTTATGGGCAGTAGGAAGAAAGATGGTTTAATAGTGCCAATAAAACAACTACCTGCCTACTGGTCAGGTAATTTGGCATAAGCTCTATGCCTACATATCCAGTATAATCCAGTGGGGGCCATCCAGTCCCGGTGGGACTCTGCGTGGGTCCACATGGTTTGCAACTTTGGGGATTTACTAAATGGATTTCTTTCTTTTCTTTCTTTTTTTTTTTTTTTTTTGAGACAGAATCTCGCTCTGTTGCCCAGGCTGGAGTGCAGTGGCACGATCTCTGTTCACTGCAAGCTCTGCCTCCTGGGTTCACGCCATTCTCCTGCCTCAGCCCCCCGTGTAGCTGGGACTACAGGCGCCCGCCACCACGCCTGGCTAATTTTTTGTATTTTTAGTAGAGACGGGGTTTCACCATGTTAGCCAGGATGGTCTCGATCTCCTGACCTTGTGATCCACCCGCCTTGGCCTCCCAAAGTGCTGGGATTGCAGGCATAAGCCACCGCGCCCGGCGTTGGATTTTTTTCTGTGTGATTTGAACTCCACCAAGTGACTGTTTTTGTCTCAGACAACTACGTCGTCCTATGGGGTAAGTGAATTCTTTTCCTACACTAGCTATGCAATATTGTCCAATAATTGAGGCGTTTAGGACCTAGAAATTATCAGGGTGATTCTTTTGAGCCGGGAATTCATCAGGAACTGGGTCCGTAGGTACTAATTCTCGGGCTTCCCATGGCCATTGATCTCCCATGACAGTTCTTCCGCATACATAACATGAAGTGACACTGAGAGACTGCGCTACATGCTCGGCTAATTGCAAAAACCAATTTCTTGTTTTTCCTGGAATTTCTGGTACTGGCACATTTAGTTCATCATAGAAAGTTTGAAACAGTGGCTCAGGAGAGCGTTTGTAAACTTCTCCTCGAACCAAGATATTTACTCGAGGGTTCAGTCCGGCCCCGTGATTCCTAAGGTCACACGTTCCTCTTTTTTCTAGCGAGAATCGAGGGGCTTGGTTATTACTAGCTCTAAGGGGTTACATTGTCCTTTAGTACAGGAAGGGCCATTTTTTCCTTTCTGAAGGTGGGCTGGATCCTTCTCATTTTTTTTTTTATCCAAGTGGCCTAAATGACACAAGACCAGTGTTTACATTTATTTCCACACAGTCCTAATTTCTGACAGATGTACTTATTTTCTGCCATATAGCCTCTTTCCTAATTAAGAGAACCACACCTTATTCCTAACTTACTACTATTAATGAGAGCACAGGCATCAAATTTTAAGGTGACTTTTTTGGGCACCCCTTTTTCTTCTGTTTTGGCTAACACTTTACTCGTATCGTTTATGAGCCCCCACCAGTCCTCAGTCCTTAATCTTATTTTAAAAACTGTGGTCATGGGGGAGGCTCAGATGGGTCATAACACACATCAGGTTGGTCATTTCCTGGGCTACATACCTTGTACAGAATAACATTATACAAACAAGTTCTTTTTAGAGTTCCAGTACACTTACAATAACCATAAAATAATAGGACTGTAGCAACCTTTTGTCCTACCTCAGTGACTTGATGTATACACTGGGAACAGCCCTCAGTCTGAGGAAGGTCAGTTGAAGTCCCTACTGTACAAGTCCAAATTTTAAGGAAAATGAGTCCCGCGATGAGTTTCCTCATGCTTCGGCCGTACGTGGATCAGTCAGCTTCCGGGTGTGACTGGAGCAGGGCTTGTCGTCTTCTTCAGAGTCACTTTGCAGGGGTTGGCGAAGCTGCTGCTATCCACGTACTGCTCACAGTCTACTGATGTTCAAGGATGGTTTCGGAGATTGGGCCTGCTGGAATAAACGGAGTCCAACAACTCTACACAGTTATGTTCAACTGGGCTGTCTGGTACCGGGAGCAAGGTGGTGGGGTTTAGGGTGTTGTAAACTTCAGTGGTTATGTGGGGATTTTCATATAGCAAGCTTTGGTACTTGGTTAATCTAGCATTTGTTAACCAATGATGTCCTTTGGTATTTATTAAAGTTACCACAGCATGGGGGGCCTTTATATTCACGTTTTGCCTAAGGGTTAGTTTATCTGCTTCTTGTGCTAACAGGGCCGTTGCTGCTAGGGCCCTTAGACCTGGGGGCCAGCCTTGGGAAACCTTGTCTAGTTGTTTTGGGAGATAGGCCACTGGCCTTGGCTAGGGCTCTACAGTCTGGGTTAAAACTCCAACTGCCATTTTCTCTCTTTCTAACACATAAAGAGTTTTGCAGGTCAGGTAGCCTCAGGGCTGGGGCCGACATGAGTTTTTCTTTTAACTCATGAAAACCTCGTTGTTGTTGGTTGTAATAGATGTAGTTTATCTAATCTACATTTTTATTAACTGTCACCTACTAAAATATTGACTTAAATCCTGCAGCTATTTGATTTCAAACTTTAAATTGATCTGGTATTCTTCGTGGGACTCCAGTTGCGTCTAAATAGACATGAGAGTCGAAAGACCCATAAGGGGCTTCTCTTGCTTTACGATATCATATTTTTTTTCCTTCTGGTTGATGAAATGCCAGGGTGAAAGGGATAGCCAATTGGACTAAAGTACAAGTGCCACTCCAGTTATTCGGCAGAGTGTCCAGTAAAGGTCCACCACAATACCACCATACATCTGCTCTGGGATGAACAAGGGCTGGCTGATTGATAAGCTCTTGAAAATTCTTAACCTCACTGCATCCTTTCAGGTCTCCAAGGAATGCTAAGTTTCCTCCCTGTCATGAGAGACACGAAGTGAACTTAGTGTTGGGAGACAGAGGCTGGATGGCCCTTGGGGGCTGATCCACAGGGTGCTAGACTTTGGGATGTAGCAGAGAGAGCTTGGCACGACTTATTACTCCAGGCTGTAGAATCCCAGAGAAGGGCTACCATGCAGCCTACGCCTGGTTGACTGGAGAACCACCTTAGTGGAAAGGGGACAATCTGGGCCTCTGGCCTGCCATGTGCACACACATAACAATTGCTTTTGTTTAACGTGCAGATGGAATATGTGATCCAATTAACCAGGCATTTGCATCTTGGTATCCTGTCTTAATTGCTAAAGTTTGTTTTAAGTCTTTAACTTCTATGATCCTCTAGTAAAATGAATGTATGATTTTAGGAAATTACAAAAACCGGTTGGGGCAGTCCACCCTTGCTCTTTAGTGGTCCACAGAACGTTGGACCAACTATGGCATGAAAACTCTACATCGGGGGGCAAGACTCCTGGTTGGCACTGGGGTCTTTATCGAAATCTCCCCGGATTAAATGGTCCTAGTTTACTAACGCCCAGTCTGAGGAGAGTCAGGAGGGACAGAAGTACTTTTGTGAAGTAGAGAGCTGTCTTTGACTTGGCAAGTCCCCACAGGGTATAAAAAGGCAAGCATTAAATGCAATAGTTTGAGGTGAAATTGACTTGGTTATGTTAATAACTAGATGGTCAGCAATAGAATGAGGAAAGAAGGAAGAGTAATAGAATAGATGAAAAGAGTTAAATTTTTCTTAGCTTTAGTTTGGTAGGGTTTTCCTATGGGACTATAGCCTACGACTCTGGAGGGGGTGGCGCTTTCTTGACTCGGATGTGATGAGTCCATCCTTTTATGCTGTACGAACAGCAGTCTTGGTGGTTAGCAGCACAAGGTAGGGTCCTTCCCAGGCTGGCTCGAATTTTTCTTCTTTCCACTTTTTGATGAGAACGTGATCTTCAGGCTGGTGCTGGTTTACCGGAAATTCTAGCAGTGGTACATGTGCTAAACCACTTTTAGTTTTTGAGAGAAAGAAAAGTGGAAGATAAATCAAGTATATAATTTCTAAGAAATTGACCTTTTGTTTTAAATGTGGGGACCCTGGCAGTGGACTTTATAGTCCTTAGTGCCTTTTTACTGAGAAATTTCCTTTAGCACCTATTTTTATTACTTTTTAGACCAAAGAAAGCTAAACACTATTTTATATTTAATAATGCTTTTTGTATGATTTTTATACCAGATAAGCTAAATTGTATATTAGTGTGTTATTAATGTTAAACCTAACTTTAATAAAACCTTGTAAACATATTTATCTAATTTTTAATGTTTGACCATAAGGTAAGATTTTATAGACTCTTTTTAACCTTTTATAATTTTTGCTAAAGAGCAGGTTGGTGCTTTAAGAAAAACCTGTTATGCTTTTACTTTAATGTCCAGTTCACAGAAAAACTGGATGATACTTCTTTAACTTTAGCTAATATGTTTACACACAGAATTTTCTTTACAATTAACATTTTAAAACTTGCTTAAACCTTCAAAACAATATATTTTTTAAACTTTTTAATGTAGGTAAAAATCCACATTCTTATGCCTCCTTATAATCCTTTTACCAAAGGTATATTTTACTTTTCTTATACATCTTACACATAAGCTGTTTTTTCTTCAATAGTTTTACATTCAGGAGGCCTAGTTACTTTTAAATTATACAACTTTTTTGCATAAATTCTTTTTTATAACATTTTTCTCTTTCACAGACAATGACTTTCGCAGACAATTCTTCAACATGCATCAACTTTCTGACTTATTACAAATATTTCTTTCTTTAAACAACCAGTTAATTTGTTTCAGGACAAGAATTTACCATATAATACTCTTTTTATATAAATTCCGTCCCCCCCTTTTTTTCCTTTTTTTCCGAAGATGATAACCATTCTTTTCCAAAGCAAACCTTTTTTATGTCTGTGGACTAGACTGTCTAACGCCACAAGAATAGAAGTTACTATAATACGTGTTACACTGTTAACTTTCAGCAGACTTTAGTTGAAAACCTTGTAAGTTTGGGATTTTAATTGTCCTTTGCTATTAATACGACCTTGTTTTGTCCAAATTAGAATTGGTATAGATGGCTTTTTTTTTTTTCAATTACCCGGGAGGAACCATCGATCGTCCTGTCCTGAAGGGAGTTCCTCCTAGGTCTGGTCAGACCTTTGTATGGTAATTAAGATTTAGATCCCCTGTTAGGAAACCTGCTGGGTTAAGGGAATTTTCAGTGATTAATGTTAAATCATCTTTCTTTCTTTCTTTCTTTCTTTCTTTCTTTCTTTCTTTCTTTCTTTCTTTTTCTTTCTTTCTTTCTCTCTTTGACTCCTTCTTTGTCTGTCTCTTCCTCTCTGTCTCTTCCTCTCTCTCTCTGCCTCTTTTCCTCTCTGTCTCTTTCCTTTCTCTCTCTCTGCTGCTCTTTCCTTGCCTCTGCCAGCTGCTTATGCTGCTGTTCTCTCAACCACTGTGTGTTGGGGGCGGGGGGTCTAAAACCAGCTGTAATCAAGTGTCTATGTACGGGAACTGGTCTGGGTGCCTTGGCTTACAGGTTACCTTGTGCCATACCTTCGAAACAGGGGACCTGTCCAGGCTTCCTTCTAATGGCCAACCCACCTCTAATGCTGGCCAGTCTATCTTACACAAAGTTTTAAGTTTTCCTGGTGTCATAGTACTCCATAGTCTCCCTTAAATCCTTTTTTTGAAATTTTTCAACATAGTTCCTAGTGGGGTGGGCTTACTTTGGTCCTCACCCATGTTTCCTCAAGACAAAACACCACACTCACACCACACGCACACCACAAAACAAAGAATGGGTAAAAATGGCACACACTTTTGTAGTTTACACCAAACCAAAATCAAAACCAAAATCAGAGTATCCAGAAATCCAAGCCAGGTCAAAACCAAAACCAAAGTATCAAGCAATCCAAGTCAAGTCAAAAACAAAAACCAGAGTGCTGGTACAGGCACACCATGGGTGACCAGGCCATGCTTCCACTCAAATGGAGTAGGCAAGTTCCCAAAACCAGTCCCATCAAGCTATTCAAACCAAGTCAAAACCAAAACCAAAGTGCCAATAAAGGCACGCCGTGGGTGATCAGGCCACGCTTCCACTCAAATGGAGTGGGTAAGTTTCAAAGACTAGTCTTACCAAGTTTTAGATGTCCAGACTCCAAGTGCCCATTCCTTCCCAGTGTTCAGCCACTGCGTTGATCCTTCACGGGGGCCTGCCACACACTGCTCTGGCAAGGCGTCCCAGCAGGGCAAATGCCTACCTGGGAGCGCTCGCAGGATCCGCGTCGCTCGGGCTGGTCAGAGTCCCCCTCAAGGATGTTCCATGGGGCAGGCTTAAGCCACCTAAGGAGCTGCCTCGACCATCTGCCAGTCACCTCGCTTCCTGGTCAGGGAACCAAGAAATGCAGCAGGATGAGTCACAGATAAAACTCCTCACACACCAAGTTAAAGAAGGAAGGGGTTTATTCAGCCAGGGACATTGGCAAGACTCCTGTCTCAAGAGCTGAGCTCCCTGAGTGAGCAATTCCTGTCCCTTTTAAGGGCTCACAACTCTAAGGGGGTGCACGTGAGAGGGTCGTGATTGAGCAAGCAAGGGGTACGTGACTGGGGGCTGCACGCACCGGTTATTAGATCGGAACAAAACAAGATAGGGATTTTCACAGTGCTTTTCTATACAATGTCTGTAATCTGTAGATAACATCACCAATTAGGTCAGGGGTCGATCTTTAACTACCAGGCCCAGGGTGTGGCACCAGGCTGTCTGCCTGTGGTTTTCATTTCTGCCTTTTAGTTTTTACTTTTTCTTTCTTTGGAGGCAGAAATTGGGCATAAGACAATTTGAGAGGTGGTCTCCTCCCTTAATCCCAGCACTTTGGAAGGCCAAGACGGGCAATTCACTTGAGGTCAGGAGTTGGAGACCAGACTGGCCAACATGATGAAACCCCGTCTCTACTATTTTTACAAAAGTTAGTCGGATGTAAGGTTGGGTGCCTGTAGTCCCATACTTAGGAGGCTGAGGCAGGAGAATTCGCTTGAATCCAGAGGTGAAAGTTGCAGTGAGCCAAGGTCATGCCACTGCACTCCAGCCTGGGAGACACAGCAGGACTCTGTCTCCAAAACAAACAAACAAACAAAACCTCTAGCTTGGGATTGGCCTTCTCTTCTATTATTTTTCTTTTTAAAAAATTTTTAAAAAAATAGTTGTTGATGCTATGTTGCCCAGGCTGGCCTCAAACTCCTGGCCTCAAGTGATCCTCCTGCCATGACCTCCAAAAGTGCTGGGAATGTAGGTGTGAGCACTGCACCCAGCCTTGTGTTTTTTTTCTACATAAAAAATAATGCAGGATTGTCTTCTAGAGCTAATTAATATATATGTTCAAATAACCAAAAGCCCATTGAGGAAAAATGTCACATGACAGCAAATAATCAATCCAGACCAATATGATCACACTCGCTGTGAAGGTGAGAAAACTTCATCTTTATTACGTTTCCCCAAGAGACGCACTGCATTGTTCTCTTGAAAACACACAGCTCATGTTCTCCTTTAAAACACACATCCTCTTTAAAGTAACATACAAACATGCCAATACAAGGTAAAAAGTTACATCAGAATTCTCACATTTCAAAAACATACAGTAAACATCAAATAAAAATTTATTTTTATAAGAATTTAGGGGAACTATCATGTAGCTGTAAGTGTAGTACATATATTAAGTATCATAGATAAAAAGAGTGCTCCCTTCAGCAGCACATGTAATAATAGATACAAAGATTTAAAGATAAAGATTTAAAGATAAAAGATTTAGGATAAAAAGAATGCTCTCTTAAAAAGGAAAACAAAATTATATTTATGTGTATATAGCAGCTGTAACAGCCATCTCACAACTTTATAGGAACAGTGTCTATTCAAAAATACCAATATTTTCAAAATATTTAAAATAAATGTAGTAATAATTCTTCTAATAATGCCCATCTTTTTCAAAATCAATAAAATATATAGTATATATTAGACATGTTAGTATATATCTAAGATGTTAAAAATCACAACTGAATTCTCACAATTCAGTCACAAATCTAAACAGCAAATAAAAATGTGTATGACAGGAATTTAGGGGAACTACCAATAGCTATAAATAGAAGAGATTATTATGGAAGTATCATAGATAAAAAGTGTACTCGCTTCAGAGGCACATATAATAATACAGAAAACAATTTAAAGATAATAAAAGATTTAGGATAAAAAGGATTCTCAAAATGAAAAGAAAATTATCTTTATGTATGTATAACAGCTGTAACTCTCATCAAAAAATCTACAGGAACAGCATGTTTTCAAAAGTACAACAATTTCCAAACTATTTGAAATAAACCTATTAATAATTCGATGGCCAACATTTTCCAAACCAATAAATGCATAGTGTGCATGAAGCTGTCTGTTACAGTCTATGACACTCATATTTCACAAAGAATTCTGTGCCTGAGTGTCTGCACTGTGCCTTCAAATGCTCCTGGACTGTGGCAACCAAGTCCGTAAGAAACAGGACCTCCAGGTTCCACCCCAGGGAAGTTGGAATTCAGCAATATAAAAAGGGAGGTGGTGCCGCAGGAAGGGGTGGAAACAGAAACACCCCTGGTTTCTTACTGTTCTCTGTGGATTCCTAGAAGTACCACCCCCCCCCCACCCCCAGTCCTAGGACGACAACGTGATCACTCTATTCGGCTTCATCTAGAACAGTCCAGGTTCTTCTAGATGATCTGCACAAATGGCTCCTCTCCTTCTTCCTGGTGCCTGCCATTAGCATTGGAATAAAGTTCCTGATGAAAATCCGCATCTCCCCTGGGCCCAGCATTCTGGAAG
Organism: Homo sapiens; assembly: GCF_000001405.40. Classification (NCBI taxonomy): domain Eukaryota; kingdom Metazoa; phylum Chordata; class Mammalia; order Primates; family Hominidae; genus Homo; species Homo sapiens. Next base: position 5,030,713 of record NC_000007.14, read on the forward strand.
TGAGAAAGAGGATGTCACACTTCAAGGAGGCAGCTCTCTAGACAGGAAGGTTATTCACGTCCCATGTCAAGTCTAAGTAGAGTTCAGAGCAATTGAGAAATCCAATTTTATCTCCTGTCCTTCGTTCCATAGCCTGCTTCTGAACCATTATGTTCAACTGTGAAACTCACACTTTGGTGACCCTGACTCCAAAACTCACTTAATACACCCAAGGGCAGCCCCAGTGATCTGCTTCATAGCAAGGACTTTGCGTGGGTCTGCCCAGGGAGTAGGGCACCCTCAGAGAATGTGGCTTTGGACTTCATCACAGCTGGGGCCTTTTGTGTCACTTAAGATCTAAACTTGTAACCATGCTAGATCTGTTTCTACTGTGACAACATCACGAACCCTGAGTCCAGAAGCCTAATCCATAATCCTACCTCCTCATGATGAAGTCTCATGCTCTGTGCTCAATGTGGTTAGCTGCACGAGATGTAAACCAAAGCTTCACTGAACCCTCGACCCAAATCGGTAACTCAAGTGCGTCAATCATAATGAACCTCCCCAAATTCAGTATTTATGATTATTTTTGAGTCAGGGTCTCACTCTGTCGCCCGGGCTGGAGTGCAGTGGCAGGATCAGGGCTCCCTGCAGCCCCGACCTCCCAGGCTCCAGCGATCCTCCTGCCTCAGCCTCCTGAGTAGTTGGAAGTAGAGATGCCTCCCACATCGCCTGGCTACTTTTTGTATTTTTGTGGAGAGGGGATCTTGCCATGTTGCCCAGGCTTGAAGCCAGATCAAGCAGTTGGGTTCCTCAGATTTCTGAAATAGACCCCAATATTCTGCCTTTACCCCAGAGGACACAGATGTACCTTCTCTCAGGCCGATGACCTCAGGCCTCCACAGTCCCTGGAGCTCTAGGAAAGGCGGGCCCGATCTCATGGCCACACCCAGTGCTCTGGGTCATAACCCTGGATCTGGAAAAACAAATGCCCCTTAAGAAGATGGGGACTCCCCAGGATACTCCTCCCTCCCCTCATCCAGCCTCCAGCCCACCCGATTCCTCCCCACCTCCTCCATCTCCCCAGGCCCCACCCACCTCCTCCAACTCCTCCGGGAAAACCCAAGCCCTGCAGCGCACGGAATGGAAGAACTGGAACCAAAGCTTGTGGGACAAGGCTATCTGAGAGCAGTTCTTCCCGTACAGGAAGTAGAAGATGTTTTGTTTGGGGGTCTCGCTGTCCTCCTCCATGTCATTGGTCAGGTAGCTGGGAACAGAAATCAGGTTACTGCTCAGGGGCACCACCAGGAGAGACCTCCAGCTGAGGTCAGCTTCCCAGAGAGGAGGGCAGGGGACCGTCCTCAGCTCAGGACGGGCACCCACCCTGCACAGAGCCACACCTTCCTCAGGAGGGCTCTGCTGGACAGAGACCTGCTGAAGGGCGTCTCCCACTCCTTCAGGATGGAGACAAAAACCCAACTGGTGGCCGAGAGTGGTGGCTTATGCGAGGAATCCCAGCACATTGGGAGGCCGAAGCAGGAGGATCACTTGAGGCCAGGAGTTTGAGATGGGCCTGGGCAACATAGCAAGACCCTCGTCTCTATTAAAAATATAAAAAATACGCCGGACACAGTGGCTCATGTCTGTAATCCCAGCATTTTAGAAGGCTGAAGCAGGTGGATCGCTTGAGACCAGGCGTTCGAGACCAGCCTGGTCAACCTGGAGAAACCCCGTCTCTACTAAAAATACAAAAAGCCTGGTGCGGTGGCACACCTGTTAGTCCTAGCTACTCAAGAGGCTGAAGCATAGGAATTGTGTGAACCCAGGAGGCGGAGGTTGCAGTGAGCCGAGATTGGGCCCCTCCACTCCAGCCTGAGGTACAGCAACACTCTGTCTCAATCAATCAATCAATCAATCAATAACTGTCCAGGTGTGGTGGCACAGCCCTGTAGTCAGAGCTAATCAAGGGGCTGAGGTGGGAGGATCGCCTGAGCCCAGGATATGGAGGCTGCAGTGAGCTTTGATCTCACCACTGCACTCCAGCTTGGGGGACAGGGCAAGTCTATCTCAAAAAAGTAAAATAAATTGGATACATTGATATTTTGCTAGGACCCTGCCTTCTACAGGCATCTAGTCTAATGGGACTGGGAGTAATCAGGGCAGATGACCTAATCCCAGTGTCACATTATAATAGGATGTAACTGGAGAGCTATGGGCATGCAGAAGTTGGAAGATGAGGGAAGGCATCACAGAGGCTGTGGGGTGAACTGACTTCAAGGAATGGGTCCTTCCCTTCAGAACCACATGTGTGTGGGACACCCAGACAGAAAACACAAACGCAAAGTCGAGTGGAGGGCATTTGGAAGGAGCAGTGAAGCCAAGCCAGGAAACACCAAGATGGTGAGCCAGTGTGGTTGTAGAGATTGTAGAGAGGGTGGAATTGGCACTGTTACCCTGGCCTCGATAGAGAAAGACATCAGCTAAGGAGGTTGTTCAGGTGGGCAGTGAGGTTGTTGTGCTGTGGAAAGATGTTCAGGCTGCACTAGGGAGCCCCCTGGCTTGGGGAGAGACTCCAGGAGACCCTGGCAGGGAGCATTTGACAGTGGATTCGAATGATGCAAGGGGGACCTGAACTGTGGCCTCTGTCGTGGGAACCCGGAGGAGGACGATGGCATTTGCGGTTGATGTGGGAAGGAGAGAGAGAGAAGAACCAGAAACGTCTGCTTGCTGGGGGAAGTGTCGTGTCCGCTCCTCCGCTCCTTTTCTTCTCCCCTTAGGAGCAGTTTATGGTTCCTTTTGCTTTATTCTTTTTTTTTTTTTTAGAAAAAGTCTTGCTCTGTCGCCCAGGCTGGAGTGCAGTAGCTCAACCTTAGCTTACTGCAACTTCCACCTCCTGGGTTCAAGGGGTTCTCTTGCCTCAGCTTCCCAAGTAGCTGGGATTACAAGTGCACACCACCAAGCCCAGCTAATTTTTCTATTTTTACTAGAGACGGGGTTTGGCCATGTTGGCCAGGCTGGTCTCGAACTCCTAACCTCAGGTGATCCACTTGCCTTGGCCTCCCAAAGTGCTGGGATTACAGGCATGAGCCACTGTGCCCAGCCTGAGTTTCTTTTTAGAAACAGTTTAAGAACAAGATAGTATAATCCTGTCTTTTTTGTACACAGAGTAAAGAGGACAAATAGGTGAAAGAATAAATGACAGGCTGGAATCTCACCTTCCTCTGCTGTCCCAGGGCGTTGGATACTGATGGATAGGAGTCAGCAAACCACTCACAGAGCCAGGAAGAAATGAATGCGTTGGTATTGCCAGGAGAAGAGGCTGGCCGGGCTAGAATACGCTATGACCATAGCCAGGAGATACTGATGGAGCGAAGGGAACACAGAGAGGGAGAGGTCACATCTTGGGAGAGGAAGATCATGGAGATAGTGGAATGGGGGTCTGGGGAGGGGTTGCCCATCAGAGAAGGGTCCTCAGTGTTGGGGTAACTGTGCTCATGTGCAAATTGCGGGGTGGAGGGGTATTCAAAGGTCGGATGCAAATTCGAGAAGCCGGAGGAAGGGATGTCGGTGATGCTCCCAGGATGGTGGGCTCTGATGGGATCTTTGAAAGTGTGAGTCTAGGTCAGCTGGTGTCAGGAGGGTCTTTTGTGTGCCAGGCAGAGAACTGTCCCAAAGAGCTGAGAGTAGAGGGGCCAGGAGCTTCAGAGCTGCGGCCAGACTGTGGCCCATGGCTCAGATCCCAAACGACCTGTAGGAGAGGCAGGGGCCACTCATTCACTCGGCAAGAGACCAGCAGAGTCCTGAGGGAGACGCTGGCAAATCATAAAGAAGACCAAGAATAGCCGGGAGTGGCGGCTGAAGCCTGTGATCCCACTAGTTTGAGAGGTGGAGACAGGAGGATCACGTGAGCCCAACAGTTTGAGAACAACCGGGGCAACATAGCAAGACCCTGTTTGTATAAAAATTATTCAAGCGTGATGGCATGTGCCTGTACTCCCAGCTACTCAGGAGGCTGAGGCAGGAGGATTGCTTGAGCTCAGGAATTAGAGGCTGCAGTGAGCTGTGATCATGCCACTGCACTCCATCCTGGGGAACTCAGCTAGATACTGTCTCAAAAAGAAAAAAAAATGGGCACCAAGACTCAAGACTGTGGGAGCTGGAGGGGCACAGTGGCTGATGTCTGTAATCCCAGCACTTTGGGAGGCCAAAGCGAGTGGAACACCTGAGGTCAGATGTTCAAGGCCAGCCAGGTCAACATGGCAAAACCCTGTCTCTACTAAAAACACAAAAATTAGCCAGCCATGGTGGTGCATGCCTGTAATCCCAGCTGCTTGAGAGGCTGAGGCAGGAGAATGCCTTGAACTCGGGAGGCGTCGGCTGCAGTGAGCCAAGGTTGAGACACTGCCCTCCAACCTGGGCAACAGAGCGAGACTCTGTCTCACAAAAAGAAAAGAAAAAGACTGTGGGAGCATCTGGTGGGAGATGCTGGAGGGAGAGAGGAGAGGAACTGTGGGTTTGGAAGCTGTGCCCTGCTCCAGGCGGTGCGTTGAAGCAGGAACACCGTTCCGTAGAAAACAACCTTACTTTGTCCGACACCCTCAGATCTTTGTCCCAGACCAGGAGTCTTTTAACGACAGGATCCTCTGTGATTAGAGAGCAGATGTCAGCGTGAGAAGCAGGACAGGGTTTCTGTGGGAGCAGCAGAGCAGCGAGGAGAAGTGTGCTTCCCGGGGGGTAAGTCTCAGGATTGTGGCCGCAGGTGAGGTGGATGGGAGAGGGGAGAATGACTTTCACTGGGCAAGGGACAGAGGCTCCTGCTCGGAGAGTCCCCTGAGAAGAGGCCGAAGGAGGCCCTGGGTGTGAGAATCTATGGGATGTAGAGCTGGGAATAAGCCAGGATGCCCTCCCAGCAGACACGGAGAACCACTGCAGAGTCATAAAGGAATTCCCATCATTTCCTCATGAGACAGTCACATCAGGGTGCGACCATGGCCTTGGTATCCCCCACTATGGATGGAGACACTTAGGTTTAGAAAAGTCAGTAAGAGACATTAAGTTTCAGAGAGCACAGCTGAAGCCACTTTCTTTGATTTTTTATTTTGTTTTATTTATTTATTTATTTACTTACTTACTTATTGAGATAGAGTCTTGCTCTGTGGGCCAGGCTGGAATGCAGTGGCACAATCTCAGCTCACTGCAACCTCGACCTCCCAAGTTCAAGCGATTCTCCTGTCTCAGTCCCCTGAGTAGCTGGGATTACAGGCGTGTGCTACCACGCCCGGCTAATTTTTGTATTTTTAGTAGAGATCAGGTTTTACTATGTTGGTCAGACTGGTCTCTAGCTCCTGACCTCAGGTGATCCACCTGCCTCGGCCTCCCAAAGTGCTGGGATTACAGGTATGAGCTACCGCAACTGGCCTTGCTTTTTCTTTTGAGACAGAGTTTTGCTCTATCACCCAAGCTGGAGTGCAGTGGTGCCATCATAGCTCACTGCAGCCTCAAAGTCCTGAGTTCAAGCAATCCTCTTGCCTCAGCCTCCCAGTGTGCTGGGATCTCAGGCGTGAGCCCCCGCACTCAGCTCAAAACCAAGCTTTCTCATCCCAAGCGCTGACCTAATCCTAATCCTCTATCGTCTCCTAAACGTCCCTCATGAGTGATCACTTCTGAGTCCTCCCGCATGGAGAGCTCACCCACTGGGGGCATATTTTTCCCATTGGAAAAGTGTGGTTATTGGAAGTTTCCTCTTTTTAGAAAGAACGGGATTGGAGGTGCTCTCTGGGGTGTCCTCCTACCAAGCAGCCTGTTGAAGGCCTCAGGTGCTCAGGGAGCACGGGTGACACTCGCTGTCACTTCAGCTTCTTCTTGAGCCCACACAGTGTCTCCGCCACCCAGGTCTCCTCAGGCTCAGAGGCGAGCTCCTTCTCTGGCTCCTCCTCTGACTCCTCCTCAGATTCGTCCGACCACTCCCTCTTCCTTTTCCAGCAAAGGGACCTACCCCAGGGGCTGGGATCTACCCCAGGGGCTGAGTAAAGAAACCAGGCCACGGTGTAATGCTTCTGCAACTGACCACCTTAGACCCCGACCCAAAACCCCAAACTACTCTCCATCCTCCCCAGCCTCACAGACTGTTGGTTTCTCCAAGCCATCTTTCTGTCTTTCTCCTCTGCTGAGCCCCATGTGGTGCTCCTTCTCCTCCCCATTCTTGCATCTCTCTGTCCTGAGAACACTTCCTCATGTCCTTCCCTGGTCCCTGGCTCTCTGAGTCCCTCTTTTTCTGTTTGTTTGTTTGTTTTGTTTTGTTTTGTTTTGAGACAGAATCTTGCTTTGTCTCCCAGGCTGGAGTGTAGTGGTGCAATCTCAGCTCACTGCAACATCCATCTCCCGGATTCCAGTTATTCTCCTGCCTCAGCCTCTCAGCTCTCAGGTAGCTGGGATTACAGGTGTCTGCTGTAATGCCCAGCTCAGTTTTGTACTTTTAGTAGAGATGGGGTTTCACCATGTTGGCCAGGCTGGTCTCAAACTCCTGGCCTCAAACTCCTGGCAGGCCAAGTGAACTGCCTGCCTTGGCCTCCCAAAGTGCTGGGATTACCGGTGTGAGCCACTGCACCCGGCCTGAATTTCTCCATTCTTCCCACACACCCTTCTCAGGTTCTCCTTCCTGATCTCTGACCTTTTTTTTGTTTGTTTGTTTTTTGAGACAATATCTCTCTCTCACCCAGACTGGAGTGCAGTAGTGCTATCTCGGCTCACTGCAACCTCTTCCTCCCAGGCTCAAGCGATGCTCCTGTCTCAGCCTCCCGAGTAGCTGGGATTACAGGCGCGCACCACTACCATCTGGCTAATTTTTGTACTTTTAGTAGAGATGGAGTTTCACCATATTGGCCAGGCTGGTCTCGAACTCCTAACCTTAGGTGATCCGCCCACCTCGGCCTCCCAAAGTGTTGGGGTTACAGGCGTGAGCCACTGCGCCCGTCCCCCTTCCTTCGTCTTAGTCAATCCTATCCTACCTCTTCTTCCTCCAGTCCCCTCACCTGATGGTCCTGACATGTCATCATCCACCACCTCCTGGAGGGGGTACCCCGAGGCGCTGGGCTGGGGGCTCTGCTCCTCATCCTGGAGGTGTGGTTGATGGCTGGTCATGATCTTTCCCAAAATCTGTCCCATCCCATGGAACCTAGTCTCTATTCTGTCCAAGGCCTTCTTCTGGACTCTGCTAAGACCCAGAAGAGTGTGTTGTCAATTCTCGAGGCTGGGAGAAGTCAGGAGTGGAGAACAGCTCTGAGAAGATGCTTTGTCCACCTGAGCTCCCAGGCGCCCACAGAGTCCAGTCCTTCCTAGGAAGGTTGGAATCTCTGATGTCATTGGTTATTCCAACCTGGCAACCATTTGGAAGAAAAACACATGTAACTGCCAGGCTGATCTCTTGTCCTGGGTGAATGGTATCTCCTGCCACTGTCCCAACCTCAGACCACTGTCCAAAAGCATCTTCAGGGTCTCCGCATCCCTCTGTTCCCTGTCCCAGCAGAGGCTGTGTCCTCTCCACTCAAAGCCTGAAGTATGTTGGGGTCTCCTCTTCTCTGTACATGCCCATTTCAGAGTCCAGTCTGGTGGGAGAGGGAACAGGGTGGGAAAGAAAACTAGGCTAAGCAGAAACTATGAAACCTTACAAGAGTGAGATGATCATGTACAAGAGATCCCAGGAACATTGACCTTGATGAAAAAATGACATCAGAGCACTCAATTTGGCAGAGCTTTTCTGCCGAATGCTTACTGACATTCACTGTCCGAGATTCTATACTGGGGGTACAAGCGTCCTCTGCCCTAAGGCATCTTTGAGTCCAAGAGACATTTTGAGGCCTGAAAATCATAGGAAAGTGCCCATGAGCTCACACATATTTCCAATGGTGTCCCCAATTTCAGGGAGTCCATGGATTACCTAAAGCTAGCCTCTCCAGTTCGGCTAAGAAACTCTAGTCTATATATCAAGTTTTGTATCATACGTATTGCTCTGAACTCAGAAATTTCCCTACCATTTATGGATTCTATGAATAAAATATCGCATGTACAAAAAGACTAAGTCGAAAAATCTCAGCTGTGCACAGTGGCTCATGCTTGTAATCCCAGCACTTTGGGTGGCCAAGGGAGGAAGACTGCCTGAGGCCAGCAGTTCAAGATCAGTGTAGGCAACATAGCAAGAGCCCATCTGTAAAAAAACAAAACCAAACCAAATTAGCCAGGTGTGGTGGCTGGCACCTGTGCTCCACCTACTTGGGAGACTCGTGACAGGAAGATCGCTTGAGCCCAGGAGTTAGAAGCTGCAGTGAGCTATGATCTTGCCACTGCACTCCAGTCTGGGCAACACAGCAAGACGTGTCAAAAAAATTTTTTTGATAAAAAATAAAAGTTGCATGACATTCAGAGACCATCCGAAAAACCTGTGGGTTCCTGGCCGGGCTCAGTGGCTCATGCCTATAATCCCAGCACTTTGGGAGGCCAAAGGGGGTGGATCACTTGAGGTCAGGAGTTAGAGACCAGCCTGGCCAACATGGTGAAACCCCATCTCTACAAAAAATACAAAAAATTAGCCAGGCATGGTGGCGGGTGCCTGTAATCCTAGCTACTTGGGTGAGGGGGTGCTGAAGAATCACTTGAACTTGGGGTGCAGAGGTTGCAGCAAGCCAAGATCACACCATTGCACTCCAGCCTGGGCAACAAGAGCAAAACTCCATCTCAAAAAAATAAAGAACTTGTGAGTGAGTTCCCACATGGCTTCGTAATGTGCTGTGGCTCTCCTAGGAGTCTCTCACTCATGGGAAAGACACAGACTGAGTGAAGAAGCAGATCCCATTGCTGTGGAAGTCCCATTGTTAGGAAACTCTGCTTTTCTGGAGTTCAAATTTGCATTCATGACGCTTTAAACCGTCAGAGCTGGGTAGGTCCTCCTACAACAAAAGAGTTTGCTCTCTCTCTCCTAGTTAACAGGCTTTCAAATATTAGAAGATCAATGTCCTGACCCCATTAAAATTGCTCTTTTGTGGAATGAAAAGCTCTGATTTAACCCGTCTTCAAGCCTGGTTTGCATATTCCCCTCTCTTCTGGCCACCTTGTCTAGACACACTACACTGAGGCCGTGCCCATCTTAAATGATGTTGATACGTTGTCAAAAAACGTAGCGAAGCAGGTGCGGTGGCTCATGCCTGTAATCCTACCACTTTAAGAAGCCAAAGCAGACAGATCACCAGAGGTCAGAAGTTCGAGACCAGCCTGGCCAACGTGTTGAAATCCGTCTCTACTAAAAATACAGAAAAAATGAGCTGGGCGTGGGAGTGCACATCTGTAATCCCAGCTACTTGGGAGGCTGAGGCAGGAGAATCGCTTAAACCTGGAAGGCAGAGGTTGCAGTGAGCCGAGATTGCGCCACTGCACTCCAGCCTGGGCGACAGAGCAAGACACTATCTCAAAAAAAAAAAAAAAAGGCTAAACAGCCCAGGTTTGGTCTGATATGTTCAGAAAAAAGCAAAACAGCCACCTCTCGCCTTCTCTTTTCCCGCAGTGATGCAGTTGAATACAGCAATGGCTGCAGGTATGCGGCAGAAATATCATTCAAGTGACACAGAAGGGCTTTCCTGGCCAGACACAGCGGTCACTCCTACAATCCCAACACTTTGGTTGCCAAGGTGGGAGGATTTCTTGCAGCCAGGAGTTGGAGGCTGCAGTGAGCTGTGATCCCACCACTGCATTCGAGGCTGGGCCTCAGAGTGAGGCCTGTCTCTAAAAAAACTCTTCACTCCCCACAAGAAGGGATTTGCAAATACCAGCCTTTCAGCACGAGGATCACATGGAGGAACATTAAGATATAGATGCTGGGACCTGGCCCTATTGATTGTAATTCAGAAACTGAGGTGGGGCCTGATTTAACCCCATCATTGGAATCCATTCAGATTTGGAACTCTCTGGGTTGAACAGTGTAAGAGAGATCCTAAGAAAGCAAAGTCACTATGGACTAAAATGAGCAGACAAGGTTTTCTTTCTTTCTTTCTTTCTTTTTTTTTTGGAGACAGAGTCTTGCTCTGCCACCCAGGCTGGAGTGCAGTGGCGTGATCTCGGCTCACTGCAAGCTTCGCCTCCCAGGTTCACGCTATTCTCCTGCCTCAGCCTCCCGAGTAGCTGGGACTACAGGTGCCTGCCACCACACCCGGCTAATTTTTTTGTATTTTTAGTAGAGACGGGGTTTCGCCGTGTTAGCCAGGCTGGTCTCCATCTCCTGACCTTGTGATCCTGCCCGCCTTGGCCTCCCAAAGTTCTGGGATTACAGGCGTGAGCCACCGAGCCCGGCCGTAGACAAGGTTTTCTGAGCATAGTGAAATATGATCTGGGCCTCACTTGGGAGGGCTGTGGCCAGGCCTTGAGTCCTTGGCTCAGTGAGACTATCTGAAACAGCCTCCAAGCTGCGCTCCCTGCTTCCTTTGCTGTTGGATGACCTCCTCCAGCGGCTTTGGTGCTGATGGGAATAAGTCGACCTGCAGAGGAAGTTCAGCCCAAGTCTCAGCCCAGCAGCCTCCCCACACCTGACCGGGGTCTGGTCATGCTGCCATCTCTGCGGTTCTCTGCAGAGTTGTGGTTTCTGTACCTTGAAGAGAATTTCCCCTTCTGGAACCCAGAAACCCAGTAAACCCTGAGGAAAAAAGCAAATGAAATTACTCTGTGGCAGGGAGATGGAAAAGAGGCTCTTTGTTTTTGTTTTTTTGTTTTTTGTTTTTTGAGACACAGTTTCACTCTTGTCACCCAGACTGGATTGTAGTGGCTCAATCTTGGCTCACTGCAAACTCTGCCTCCCATGTTCGAGCGGTTCTCATGCCTCAGCCTCCAGAGTAGCTGGGACAATAGGCACACACTACCATGCCCAGCTAATTTTTGTATTTGTAGTACAGATGGGGTTTCGCCATGTTGCCTGGGCTGGTCTCGAACTCCTGGCCTGAAGCAATCTGCCTGCCTTGGCCTCCCAAATTGCTGGGATTACAGATGATGTGAGCCACTGTGTCCAGCCCTCACTGTACGGGTTTTCTAAAAAAAAAAAGATTAAATTTGTCTTATTTGCCACAAGGTAAATTAACCTTTTCTCCTCTCCTTTTTAAAGAGTATTTCCTTGATAAACGTGGTAATATAAATAACTTTTGTGCCTTTGACATGTATCTAAATCTTTTAAAAAGGTGAATGAACTTCTTGCCAACACTACAACCCAGGAATTTTTTTTTTTTTTTTTTTTTTTGAGACGGAATCTCACTCTCACCCAGGCTGGAGTGCAGTGGTGTGATCTCGGCTCACTGCAACCTCTACTTCCTGGGTTCAAGCAATTCCCCCGTCTCAACCTCCTGAGTAGCTGAGACTACAGCGCCTGCCACCACGCCTGGCTAATTTTTGTATTTTTAGTAGAGACGGAGTTTCACCTTGTTGGTCTGGCTCGTCTTGAACTCCTGACCTCAGGTGATCCACCCACCTCAGGCTCCCAAAGTGCTGGGATTACCCGCCTGATCCACCACGCCCAGCCACAACCCAGGAATTTTTTTCTTAAGAGCCTGAGAGTCTTGTCTTTGAAATGTAAACCTCGAGGAAGATAGTGTCCCTATCTTCCTGTTGCCTAGGGAGTTTAGCCTAGGCACCTTGAGCTGTTACTACCTGCTTGTCAAGGAGATATGAGAAGTTTTGTTTTTTCACCGGATACAGGTAATTAACTAGCATGGGTGGCCACCTTGATTTCCAGGTGAATTTAGGATGAGTGTTTAAGAATGCATAGCAGGCCAGGTGCGGTGGCTCACACCTGTAATCCCAGCACTCTGGGGGAGGCCGAGATGGGCGGATCACTTGAAGCCACACAGAAATCAAAAGAAGGAGTTTGAGTCCAGCCTGGCCAATATGGCGAAACTCTGTCTCTACTAAAATACAAATATTAGCTGGGCATGATGGCACATGTCTGTAATTCCAGCTACTCGGGAGGCTTAAGTATGAGAATCACTTGAACCCAGGAGGTGGGGGTTACAGTGAGCCAAGATCACACCACTACACTCCAGCCTGGATGACAGAATGAGACCCTGTCTCAAAAAAAAAAAAAAAACATAGCAAGTCCTTTTACATGAGGATGAGTTACCGTTTATCTTGAGAGCGTGTATGCAGTGGATCATGTCTGCCAGGCTATGTAAAAAGGAGGCTTTGGCTGGGCGCCATGGCTCACGCCTATAATTCCAGCAGTTTGGGAGGCCTAGGCGGGCGAATTGAGAGGTCAGGATTTTGAGACCATACTAGCTAACATGACGAAACCCCGTCTCTACTAAAAATACAAAAAATTAGCCAGGCGTGGTGGCATGTGCCTGTAGTCCCAGTTACTTGGGAGGCTGAGGCAGCAGAATCGCTTAAACTGGGGAGGCAGAGGTTGCAGTGAGCCGAGATCATACCACTGCACTCCAGCCTGGGTGACACAGCAAGACTCTGTCTCAAAAAAAAAAAAAAGGAGGCTTTATTTCTCTTTGCATCTCATTAATGGATCACCTGCGATGGGCATCACAGTTTGGTTTAATGTTTATTCAATAATAAAATTGTTTTCTTTATTTTCTGAATTTGTGGAGAGAATATTCTAGGTTAACAGAAGAATTTATTTATTTATCTATTTATTTATTTAGAGGTGGAGTCTTGCTCTGTCGCCAGGCTGCAGTGTAGTGGCGTGATCTCGGCTCACTGCAATCTCCGCCTCCCAGTTCAAGTGATTGCCCTGCCTCAGCCTCCCAAGTAGCTGGGACTACAGGCGCGCACCACCACACCCAGCTAATTTTTTGTGTTTTAGTCGAGACAGGGTTTCACCATGTTGGCCAGGATGGTCTTGGTCTCCTGACCTCATGATCCACCTGCCTCAGCCTCCCAAAGTGCTGGGATTACAGGCATGAGCCACGGTTCCTGGCATCAGAAGAATTTATTTTTAGTCTTTTCCTTACCAGTTTTTATGAAACAACTGGGCAAGAACACTAAGAACACTGTTAGAGTTCACCAAAAAATTGTGATGAATCATTGTCCTTATGATCCCATTTTTGAAAACTGACATTTTAATTGTAAAGCAAAAATAAAATTCTAAGCCCCCACAACTGACTGAATGGACTCCCCTGTCGGCCAGCAAGATCCAAAATAAACATGAAAAACTAATTCAGGTCATGATGGGAAGGAGGGGGTCGGACATGCCTTGTCATACTCTCCTCCCTTCAGAGTTTAGGCACAGCTGACCAACATTAACACTAGAATACAGATCATAAGACTGACAGAACAGGCTCTTTGTATCAGTAAGATACCCAACTCCATCCAGACTCTGATATAGCATCACATGACAGATAGCAGTCCCTGAAGGAAATCATAGTATTTTATCCCATAATATATTTTCTTTGACACACTTTAAAATAGTCCTGCAAAGCCATCTCTTTGGGGGAAATTTGCATTCTGTAGAGAATCTCCTTCCCTTACAGAAAAGAAGTCTTTTCTGGAGATTCTGACACCTTTTAAGATCCAATAAGAGATATTTATCATCTATTCTCTCTGAAGCCTGTTCTGAGGCTTCATCTACATAACAAGAACCTTGGTTTCCACAATGCCCCTTATCTTAACTCAAGCTTTTCTTTTCTTTCCCTCCCTCTTTCTTTTCCTTCCTTCCCTCCTTCCTCTCTCTCTTTTCCTCCCTCTCTTTCTCTCTTTCTTTTCTTCTCTGTTGCCCAAGCTGGAGTGCAGTGGCACCATCATGGCTCACTGTAGCCTCAACTTCCCAGGCTCAAGCAATCCTCCCATCTCAGCCTCCTGAGTAGCTGGGACTACAGGCATGCACCACCACACCTGGATAATTTTTTTTTTTGTAGAGGTGGGGGTCTCGCTGTGTTGCCCAGGCTGTCCTTCAACTCCTGGCCTCAAGGGATCCTCCCAGCTCACCCTCCCAAAATGCTGGGATCACAGGCATGAGCCACCGCAATGGCCCATTTCTTCATGTCGTTTTCCAACTGTTCAGCCAACGCTTAACTCTGAACCAACTGCCAATCTTTGAATCTGCTAGTGACCTGAAAGCCTTTCCAGGCTGACCCAATGTGTACCTCTCATGTATTGATTTATGTCTTTGCCTGTAACTGCTGTCTCCCTAAGATGTATAAAACCAAGCTGTAACCCAACCACTTTGGGCTCACGTTCTCAGGACCCCCTGAGGCTGTGTCACCAGCCATGGTCACTCAAGTAGGAGGCCCAGAATAAAACTCTTGACAGACTTTGAGTCTTTTTGGTCAACATAACCTAACCCTAAACATAATCCTCCTGGGGAAGGTGAGATCACAGGTATCTCTTTTCTTCGTTCGATCTGTGTATTTCCTGATTTCTCTACAGTTTTTAGGCATTCGCTGTGTGATCTAGAAAAGCTACAGAGTCTCGCTCCGTCGCCAGGCTGGAGTCCAGGGGCGCGATCTCGGCTCACTGCAACCTCCACCTCCCGAGTTCAAACTATTCTCCTGCCTCAGCCCCCGAGTAGCTGGGATTACAGGCACACGCCACTACTCCCAGCTAATTTTTGTATTTTTGGTAGAGAAGGGATTTCACCATGTTGGCCAGGATGGTCTCTATCTCTTGACCTCGCGATCCGCCCGCCTCGGCCTCCCAAAGTGCTGGGATTTATAGGCGTGAGCCACCGCGCCCAGCCACAAATTCTATTTTCTTTCTCTTCCTTGGAAAGCATCGCTGGGCATTTATCCTGTCCTAGTATTTGAGTGAAACTTCTCTTAGCATTTCAGCGCAGTGACCACGATACACCCTTTCCTTTCCTTCTCTTTATGGGAAACTCGGTTCTAACCCAGAGGCCTTGGGCTCCAGGACCCAGTCAGGCAGCCCTGGACTTGACCCTAAAAGGGAGTAAAGACAAATGCGAAGTTCAATCAGGGGTTCAGAGCTCCCAAAGCTCATAGCCTGGAGCTTCTTAACCTTTAGGCAGGGTAGAGACATTTAAAACGGCCCCTAAACTTGGGGGGCGCGTAGGCTCATGGGAAATAGAGTAGGGTGCTTGTCCTGGGACCAGCTGTGGGCCCCGGAGGCTGACTTCCGGTGCACTCCTGCGCGTGTGCACCTCTCTCTGTGTGCGTGTTCGCGCATGCGCGCCGCCGCTGCACTGCCCTCGCTTCCTGTGCGTCCTCAGGTCACCGCTTGCTCTAGTTCCCAGGCTTTGGCCTCCAGTGGACGAGAATCGCGGAGCCTGCGGGGCTGGAGGTTGAGCGCCCGGGCCAGCACCTAGGCGGGCGCGGGGGTGTGCAGGCCAGGGTTCGCGCGGGCCGGGTGGAGGCTTGAGCGGGGACCCCCGAGCTTGAGCCCCGGAGCCGGCGGCGCTGGGGCCAGAGGGGCCGGACGGGAGGTGGCGGAGGTGGCGGCGGAGGCGAAGGGGCGGCGGGACGCGGGCCTGGCCCGTGTGTGTCCTGGCGGCCTGGCCCAGGCTGCCGCTGTACGGTGAGCCCGAGGGAGGCGGATCTGGGTCCCGGGAAGGACACCCGCCTGGATTTGCCCCTTAGGCCCGGCCCGGGCCCCTCGGGAGCAGAACAACCTTAGTGAGGTGGACAGGAGGGGACCTCGCGAGCAGACGCGCGCCAGCGACAGCAGCCCCGCCCCGGCCTCTCGGGAGCCGTGGGGCAGAGGCTGCGGAGCCCCAGAAGGGTAGGTCTTGGGTTTTCGGGCCCGGAGCGAGAAGGGCCTGAGTGAAGTCACCGTGTGTTGGGGACCTTAGAGTGTGGGGCAGGGGGAGGGTCTCGATCGCTTGCAGGAGAGACGTGTGTTTGGGTTTGAGGGCAGGGTCCGGCTGCACCGAACAGGCGCTGCATGGGAAATCTGGGAGGACGAGGCTTATGGGGGCCTGGAGGGTGTCACCAGCCTCAGCTGCGGACGTCGTCTCCACTCCCCGCTAACCCCTAACAGCCCTTCCTCCTCCTTTCCGTGCTCCAGATTTCGACCTCCTCTAAACGTCCGTCAGCGCCTCTGTTCTCTCATTTAAGTGTCTGCTGATTCCCCCCTTAGATCTGCCCTGGAGACTGGTAGTAATGCAGGAACAGTCTGCAGGGATTCTCTCTTGCTGCCTCAGTTGCTAGGGGAAGAGACTGGGCCTTAGCAGGTGGGTGACTTGACCGGGTCACTGGCTTTGTGGGTAGAGTTGCTCATAGTAGAACTCAGGAGTCTTATCTCCCAGGCCAGTGTTCTTTCTCCCGTATCCTAGTTTTCTTAATAGAAGATTATTAGGTGCAGCAATAACCAAGTTCAGTTAGATAATTTAGAAACAAAACCATATTTTATACACATTCATTTCATTTCTGAGAGCTCACATACTCAATTCCTATGGCTTCTTTGATTTTAAGCAGTTTAAAGAGACAATAAGAAAATGCGGGCCGGATGCAGTGGCTCACACCTGTAATCCCAGCACTTTGCGGGGGCTAAGGCAAGAGTATCCCTTGAGACCAGGAGTTAGAGACCAGCCTAGGCAACATAGGGAGACCCTGACTCTACAAAAAATACAAAAGTAGCCAGGCATGCTGGGATGCACCTGTGGTCCCAGCTACTCAGGAGGCTGAGGTGGGAGGATCAATGGAGGCCAGGAGGTCGAGGCTGCAGTGAGCTGTGAATGCACCACTGCACTCCAGCCTGGGTGGCAGATTGAGACCCTGTCTCAACAAACAGACAAACCACAAAAAACATGAGCTGTATAATGGGAATTTTTTTTTTCTTTTTGCAGGTTGTATTTGATGATGGCAGACTATTTGTAAAAGGAGTCATGTTACCCATGAGAGTCTCACTCATCTGATTACTACCTGATTATCTTAGAGTTACAAAGTTACAAGTGCATGCTTCGCCTATCACTCTTTTTCACTCTCTTTTTTTTTTTTTTTTTTTTTTTTTTGAGACAGTGTCTCTCACCCAGTCTGGAGTGCAGCAGTGTGGTCTCGGCTCACTGCAACCTCCACCTCCCAGGTTCAAAGGATTCTTGTGCCTCAGCCTCCTGAGTAGCTGGGACTACAGGCATGTGACACTATGCCTGGCTAATTTTTTTGTTATTTTTAAGTAGAGATGGGGTTTCGCCATATTGGCCAAGGAAGGCGGATCACTTGAGGCCAGAATTCGAGACCAGCCTGGCCAACATGGCGAAACCCTGTATCACTCTTTTAGGCCCTTCTGAGTGTTTGCAGGCTGAGTGTTCACAGGGTGTTAGCCTATTGAGCTTTCTTTTGTGGTTCTTACGCAGGAGATTCCTGCCTTTGCAGGCCAGAGCACTCATGACTTCAGTGACCTGCTTCTCCCCCTCTAGGTCTACCAGCCACAGTCTCTGCACGTTTCCAAGAGCAGCAGAAAATGAACACATTGCAGGTGAGTTTTCATGCTTGTGTATATGTTCCTCAACTTTATTTTATGATGCATTTTAAGAGGTTTGTAAGGATTCTTACCTTTTTTTTTTTCTTTTTTTTTGAGATGGAGTCTTGCTCTGTTGCCCAGGCTGGAGTGCAGTGGCATGATCTCGCTTCACTGCAACCTCCACCTCCTGGGTTCAAGCGATTCTCCTGCCTCAGCCTCCCGAGTAGCTGGGATTACAGGCGTGCGCCACCATGCCCAACTAATTTTTTGTATTTTTAGAAGAGACAGGGTTTCACCATGTTGGCCAGGCTGGTCTCAAACTCCTGACCTCAGGTGATCCTCCTGCCTCAGCCTCCCAAAGTGCTGGGATTACAGGCATGAGCCACCGCGCCCAGCCAGGATTCATACTTTAAAATGGGAATGTGGAAATAGACATTGTCCTGTAAAATATAGTTAGTGTGGCAGATCAGCACCAAAAATGATTTGTGAAGCTTGTATGTGTGGATAGTAGATTTTAAGGCTGTTGAAATTGAGCCGCACCCAGGACTGATATTCTTGGCAGTCATCACAAAAGGAAAATGCCATCTGTATTAGTCCATTCTCACACTGCTATAGAGAAATAACCAAGACTGGGTCATTTATAAAGAAAAGAGGTTTAATTGGCTCACGCCTGCAGGCTCTATCATAGGAAGCATGGCTGGGGAGGCTTCAGGAAACTTACAGTCATGGTGGAAGGCAAAGGGAAAGCGGGTACATCTTCCATCACCAGAGCAGGAGGAAGAGGGAGGGGGAGGCGCTACACACTTTTAAACAACCACGTCTTGTGATAAGTCACTGAGTGTCAGGAGAACAGCACCAAAAGGGAAATTGCCCCCATGATCCAATCACCTCCCACCAGGCCCCACCTCCAACATTGGGGATTACAATTGAACATGAGATTTGGTTGGCGACACAAAGCGAAACCATATCACCATCCATGACATCATTTGCATTCATTATAAGGAGAAACCAACTTTGTTACTTGTGGATTTAAAAGATTTTCTAGGACTTGGAAAAATTTCTTCATTCAAGTTGATATAATTGCGGATAGCTTTCCTAATAACAACCATTAAGTTACCATAACTTATGGCTTATTCTTGGTGCTTATGTAAGCAGAGGGCCTGCCTGCTGCCCAAGGAGAACTTGGTGCATATAATTTTTCCAGGGAAGGAAACATTGTGATCCCAGTAGACAGAATTCTGTTTTTACTGTTGAGTCCTAGATCATGGGGGGAATGAATGACATGATCATCCTTCAAATATTTGTTCGTCTTTCAGTTTGGGTTGCACAGCAAACAATACAGTTACTCTCTTGTGAAGATTTCCTCATTTCTGTTTCTCATTTCAGTTCTCAGTGTTTTAGTTTTGTCCTTTTCACGTTGCTGAGTCAGTCTGTAAAGATTACCAGTGATTTCATTGCAGTCAAATCCAGAGGGGATTTCCTAGCCCCTACCTCCCAGGACCCTTTGTCTGCCTTTGACATCTGTTACTTCCAAACTGATACTTTCTCCATGGAGTCTCTCTTTTCTTGGCTTTTAAAAAGATTCGTCTGTAAGTATTTCTGCTTGTCTTTAAATGATGAAGTCTGTTTTGTTTTGTTTTGTTCTGTTTCTTTTTTTCTTTTTTTGAGATAGGGTCTTGCTGTGTCACCCAGGCTGGAGTGTAGAGACGTGATCACAACTCACTGCAACCTCAGTCTCCTGGGCTCACACGATCCTCCTGCCTCAGCCTCCTGCATAGCTACAGGCGCAAGCTGCCACACCCGACTAATTTTTTTATATTTTAGTAGAGACTGGGTTTCACCATGTCACCCAGGCTGGTCTTGAACTCCTGAGCTCAGGCAGTCTGCCCGCCTCGGCCTCCCAAAATGCTAGGATTACAGGCGTGAGCCACTGCTCCCAGCCTAGAGATGTATTCCCACTGTATTGCTCAGACTGGTCTCAAACTCCTGACCTCAAGCAATCCTTTCACTTTGGCCTCCCAAAGTGCTAGGATTACAGGTGTAAGCCACCACACCTGGCTAATAAGGAATCTTTTTGAAAGGGGCTAGGAATAACCCATAATACTCTCTTAATACATGTGGCAATTGGGTTAAATCTTTTAATAGTTCCTATATTATGTCTCTTGCGTGCTCATTGTTTTGAAGAAACTGGGTTGGTTATCCTCAGTTTGGATTGTGTTACCCTTGTTTCACCTTTAGCACATTTAAAAAATATATCTTTTATGCCTTGTTAAATTGGTAGTTTGATCTGGAAGTCTAATCAGGTTTATGTTCAATTCTTTTCACACAGCTGTACCGTACGTGGCATTTGTCTACTTCTGGAGGCATGTGTTACCTTCTTTGTTTTTGTGAACTTAAGAACTATTGACTGTTGATTATTGCTGTGATTTACTAGTTCATTAGGGGAGGCAAAATGGTGATGTGCTAATTCTACCATTTCTTCTTTATTTACTAGCCAAAATACCTTTCTTTTCTTTTCTTTTTTTGGAAACAGAGTCTCACTCTGTCACCCAGGCTGTCGTGTTTACGGCTCACTGCAGCCTCAAACTCCTGTGCTCAAGTGATCCTCCCACTTCAGCCTCCCAAGTAGCTGGGAGTATAGTCATGTGCCACAATGCCCAGCGAATTTTTTAATTTTTAGTAGAGACAGGTTTTGCTATGTTGCCCAGGCTGGTCTTGAACTCCTGGGCTCAAGTGATCCTCTTCTTTGACCTCCCAGTGTTGGCATTACAGGCATGAGTCACCACAGCTGGCCTAGAATACTTTTCTAAAGATAAATTTCTGTTCTCTATTTGGTTATGTAATTCATGCAGGAAAGACAGTTTCTAAAATGTTGAGTAGGCTTCTAAGCAGGAAGGTTTTTTTGTTTTGTTACCATTATGAGCTCGTGGGTTTAAACAGATAGTAAATATTTCAGTACATCAAAGTTGTGATTCTTTTTGAAAATTAAATGGCTCCATCTTTGGCCAGACAAAATCCCTTTAAGTTGGTTTCTGAGTCCTTTTGAAATATATTTGATATATTTGATAGCAAATCTATACATACAATATATATTTGATAGCATTATTTTCTGTTCAGCATTTTATTTTGAAATCATTTCAAATTTTCAGAAAAATTGCACGGATTTTACAAAGAAATCCCAGCTACTTCCTTTTGTTCAGATACTTCATTCTTAACATTTTCCCACATTAATCATTTATATGCATATATACATATATGTGTGTACATATTTTTATATATTTTTTTTCTGAACTGTTTGAGAGTGGGTATGATTTGTCATGCCTCTTTACCTTATAAAGTTTTAGATTATATCTCATAAAATCAAGAACTTTCTATTAAATACCCATAGCACAGTAATTGAATTCAGGAAATTTATCATTGATTTAATACTTTTATCTAAACTGTAGTTCATTTTCCAGTTTTGCCAATTTCCCAATAATTTCCTTTATAGCAATTTTTAATTTTTGGTAGAAGATTCAGTCTAGGACTGTCAATTGCCTTTAGTTTTCATGCTTTTTAAGGCTGTTTAATACGGATTTGTTCCTCAGTGCCATTATAATATTTGCAGAATACAGGCCAATGATATTATAGAAGTCTTTAAATTTAGGTTTCCCTGATCTTTCTTCATGATTAGATTTAGTTGGTGAATTTTTGTCTGGAACACTACATGGGACCTCTTAAATTTATGGCTCAGAATAGGATCTGTCTTGGGAAACTTCTGTGCATGCTTGAGAAGATGGCTTGTTCTGCTCTGGTTGGGTGGAGTGTTTGATAAATGTTAATGAGATCAAGTTGGTTGGTTGTGTTGTTCAGGTGTATTATATCCTTGTTGATTGTGTGCCTACTTGTATCAATTGTTGGGGAGAGGGGATTGAAATCTGCTGCATTTGTGGTTCTCTTTCTCTTTGCAATTTTACCACTTTTTGCTTTATGTATTATATTAGATACATAAATGTTCAAGGTTATTACATCCTGTTGATTAATTAACCACTTTGTAAAATGGCCTTCCTTATCCCTGCTAGTATTCCAGGCTGAAATGTACTTTGTTATTTATGTAGCATTCTTTTGAGTAATGCATGCATGGTATATCTTATTCCATCCTTTTACTTATAACGTATTTGCATCTTTATATCTAAAGTATTATTTCTTGTAGGCAGCAAGATTTGGATCTTGCTTGTTTTCATCAGTCTATTTCTGCCTCATAATTGGGGATGTATAGACTGTTTACATGTAATGTAATTATTGATAAAACTAGTTAGGTTATAGTCCATTGCCTTTGCTTTCTTTTAGTCTCATCTTCTTTGTTTCTTTTTAAAATGTCTTTGTTTGTCTTCCTTCCTCTTGATTAATTGATAATTTTTTATGATTCTACTTTATATCTTTTGTTGAGTTTTTAGCTATCACACTGTTTTGTTATTTTAGTGAGTTAGAATTTATAGTATGCAACTTTAATTATCATAGTTTATTCTTAAGTGATATACCATTTTTCTTAGAGTAAGAGAAGCTTACAATAGGATACTTTCATTTCTCTCCTCTTGGTCTTTACACCGTTGTTCATTTTATTTTTACAGGTGGTATCAGTGCCACACAGAATCTATTACGTTGTTGTTAATTAAACAGTTATCTTTGATTGATTGATTGATTGATTGATTGATTGATTTTGAGTTGGAGTCTCACTCTGTCCCCCAGGCTGGAGTGCAGGGGTGCGATCTTGGCTCACTGCAACCTCTGCCTCCCAGGTTCAAGTGATTCTCCTGCCTCAGCCTCCCGGGTAGCTGGGATTACAGACACCCACCACCACACCCGGCTAATTTTGGTATTTTTAGTAGAGATGAGGTTTCACCATGTTGGCCAGGCTGGTCTCAAACTCCTGACCTCAGGTGACCTGTCTGCCTCAGCCTCCCAAAGTGCTGGGATTACAGGTGTAAGCCACCACACCCAGCCCAGTTATCTTTTAAAAAGATTTAAGTAATGAGAGAAAATACACAGTTACCATTTCTGGTACTCTTCATTCCTTTGTGTAAATCTAAATTTTTATTTGCTGTCATTTTACTTCTGCCTCAAGGACTTTCTTTAACATTTCTTCTAGTTGATGAATTCTTGTACGTCTGCAAATGTCTTCATTGTGTCTTAGCTTTTAAAGGTGTTTCTGCTGGATATTTCTCCACAGTGCTTTAAATATGTTTCTCTATTGTCTTCCTGCTTACATTTTTTTCTAAGAGAAATCTGATCTCATATTCATCTTTGTTCCCCTGTATATAACATGTCTTTTTTTCTTTCCCCCCTTATGTTGTAAACTTTTTATCACTAGTTTTGGGTAATTTGATTGCAATATGTCATGGTATCATTTTTTTCATGTTTCTGTTTTGGGGATCACTGAACTTCTTGGATCTTGGGTTTATGGTGTCATCACTTTGGGAACATTTTTATCATTATTTCTTCACATACCCACCACCTCCCCTCCATTGATTCTTGTTGCCTGTATATTAGGCCACTTGAAATTTTCCCACAACACACTGTTGCTCTTTATTTGCTTTTAATTCTTTTTTCTCTGTTTCATTTTATGTAACTTCTGTTGCTGTCTTTATATTCACTAATCTCTTTTTTCCACGATGCTGTTAATCTTGTCCAGTATAATTTTCATCTCAGATATTGTAGTTTCTATCTGTAGAAGGTTAGCGTGGGTCTTTTTTACATCTTGCCTGTCTCAATTTTTTTGAACATGTGGAATAGAATGATGAACTCTCTCAGTGCTCTGTGTGGGTTGTAAACTCTGTCAATTCTGGGCCAGTTTTGATGGACTGATTCTTTTCTTCCTTATGGTTGTAATTTCCTGCCCATTTTCCCATCTCGCAACTCTTACACCTCACATCTGTCTCTGTTCTTCTTCCCTGCTCTGTGGCCTGGAAACACTCAAGGCAGAAGTTGATTGGTTCACCTTGTTTATTTCCCATCACTCATAGATAACTCTACTGCCTGATAATCAGTGCCTTGAAAACCATTGCTTCAGCCCGGGCGTGGTGGCTCATACCTGTAATCACAGCACTTTGGGAGGCCAAGGAGGGCAGATCACAAGGTCAGGAGTTTGAGACCAGCCTGGCCAACATAGTGAAACCCCTTCTATACTAAAAATACAAAAATTAGCCAGGCATGCTGGTACACGCCTGTAATCCCAGCTACTTGGGAGACTGAGGCAGGAGAATCGCTGGAACCCGGGAGACGGAGGTTGCAGTGAGCCAAGATTGTGCCATTGCACTCCAGCCTAGAAGACAAGAGTGAGACTTTGCCTCAAAAAAAAAAAAAAAAACCATTGCTTCATATATGTTCTCCGTTTTATTTTTCTTTCTGTTTTTGATTTTGTTGTTGCTGCTGTTCTTTGTTATGTGCCATTTCAGGTTGGAGGGTATATCCAGTACCTGTTAGTTTATCACAACTGAGGGCAGAAGTCCTCATGTCTCTCTCTATATATATTTTTTCTAATATATATATTTTTTTCTTTGTAGAGACAGGGTCTTGCTATGTTGCCAAGGCTGGTCTCAAACTCCTGGCCTCAAGCAGTCCTTCTGCCTCAGTTTCCTGAGTGCTGGGATTACAGGCATGAGCCACTGCACCTGGCCTGGATCCAGTTTTGTCCATGTCCAAATGGTGTTTTTCCCTGAGCTGTTTTTGATTTTCTTCCACCTCATATGAACTGTAGTGTCAGCTTATCTAGTTCCAGGAAAAAGCTTTTTGGTATTTTTACTGGGGTTGCATATTTATAAAGTAATTTAGGGTAACTGACTTACCCTAGGTAGGGTAAGTTGACCTTAATAATACAACTAATTTTTTTTGTTTGTTTGTTTTTTAGTAGAGATGGGGGTTTCACCATGTTGACCAGGCTGGTCTTGAACTCCTGACCTCGGGTGATCTGCCCGCCTCGGCCTCCCAAAGTGTTGAGATTACAGGCGTGAGCCACCGTGCCCGAGCACTTTTACTTTTTCTTAGTTATATTCCTCTAATTGTTTTATCTTCTCTAATTGTAGATAATGAGCATTTTATTAATACCTTGTTCTTGATCTTAGTAGGAAGGTATGTAGTTTTTCCCTGTTAAGTAAAATCCTGACTTTTGGACCGAGAAGACTGAGGCATAAATGTGTGTGTGTGTGTGTGTGTGTGTGTGTGTGTGCGTGCGTGTATATACACACAAACTGTATATATATGTGCTTGTGTGTAATTGAAATACATATGTCACATATATATCATACATACTATTGCATATTAGGGTGCAATATTTATATTTGTGTATATACATGTTATTGATGTTAATGAAGTATCCATCAGTTTCTATTTTCTTTAGTTTGTTTTTTTAAATCAGCTTTTTCTGTCAAGCTTTTTCAGGTATCTTCACGGATACAAGATTTTTCTTCTTTGCTGTGTTATAGTGGCTTATCATATTAATAGATTTCCAAATATTAAACTAGTCTATATTATTGGAATAAGTCCCATTTGGCTATTGTATATTATGTTTTTAATCTGGTACTGGATTTTGTTTGATTATGTTTCATTTTGGGTTTTTGTATTGATGTAAGTGGTATTGGCATGTAATTTTATGTTATTTATTGGTTGATCAGTCTTCTAACCCCTACTACCTCCTTGCCTTCTGGACTAACTTAACCCAGAAGGTTATTACTCTCTCTCGGTGATTTTATCAGCTCCTGTGGCCTGACTGTGGATAAGCTTGGATGTTCTGCTTTAGTTTCTCAGCCCACAGCCTAGCGGCCCTGCCTCTGCTATCTCTTGGGATCTACATGGTCCTAGCTGTATCACTGGATTTGAACCCCTTGTTGATATGTTCTTTATAAATAATAGGATAATGCAGCCTGCTTACTGGGCACTTCCTTTTTCTAAACTACAAGTTTGGGCAGGGCGTGCTGGCTCAAGCCTGTAATCCCAACACTTTGGGAGGCCAAGGCAGGTGGATTGCTGGAGCCCAGGAGTTTTGCATTTTTCTTTTTTTTTTTTTTTTTTTTTGAGACAAGGTCTCACTCTGTTGCCTAGGCTGGAGTGCAGTGTTGCATTCACAGCTCACTGCAGCCTTGACCTCCCAGGCTCAAGTGATCCTCCTGCCTTAGCCTCCCAAGTAGCTAGAACTACAGGCGTGTGCCATGATGCCCAGCCAATTTTTTTTTTTTAATTTATTTTTAGCAGAGATGAGGTCTTACTATGTTGCCCAAGCTGGTCTCGAACTCCTGAGCTCAAACGATCTTCCCATCTTGGCCTCCCAAAGTGCTAGGATTATAGGCATGAGCCACCATGCCCAGCCCCAACCACTTAAAAATTGAAGCTGCTTCCCGTTTGCCATTGGTACTTTGTACACCTCATCATATTCTTCTTCCCCTTCATCCCATAGAATGCACAATTCATCTTTAAAGACTTCAAGTTAACTGAGTCTGTGAAGCCTAATCTGATGGCATAAAATTAAAATAATTTGATCCTCTTTTGTTAAATCATTCTGCACCTTGTCTGCATTACTCTAATAACAGCTTTGGGCATTCATTCATTTAACGAATATTTATTGCTCCAAGATTGAGATGTTTGAGATAAAACTCAGCCATGCAGATAGCCAGAGGCCACTGGCTATGAGAATAAAAGAGCCAAAAGAACAAGGAGCTGAAACTAGGTGAGAGCCCCAGAGCAGTGAGTTAGGAGGAAGAGGACCAGGAGCTGAGTGGTGGGCACTCCAACATGAAGAGGTCCAGGGCAAGGGGAGGGCCTGGCAGCAAGGAAGACTAAAAGAAGTGACAAGGAGTAAAATGCTTGTGTTTGTTTACATGTTTATCTCCTTTTTAGGTTGTTCACTTTGGGAGCAGGCATGGTGTTTCACTCATCTCATGTCCCCAAAGCTCAGCTAGTTCACTTGCAAAATAGGAGCTCAGTTGTGTTTTGGGTTTTTATTTTTGTGGGGCAATATATATATATTTTTTATATATATTATATATATTTATATATATTATATATTTTATATATTATGTATTATAACCCCAAAGGATATGTGTTTCCAATATGATTTCCCTTCCATAATCTGTAACATAAAATAAGGTATACAATGTTTATGGTTAACTTTACCGGTGGGCTTTGTAAAACGTTATCCCCCTATCCCTTTTCCGTATCTCCCAATTCTGATCATGTTGCCATTACAGGGGCCAGTGTCATTCAAAGATGTGGCTGTGGATTTCACCCAGGAGGAGTGGCAGCAGCTGGACCCTGATGAGAAGATAACTTACAGGGATGTGATGTTGGAGAACTATAGCCATCTAGTTTCTGTGGGTGAGAATAGCTTGCTTTCTGAATGCTCTCAGTTGAATGGGGTTTTATCCTTGAGTTTGAAGAAATAAGTGATGACACCATTTAATTCCTTGTGGGCACTAGCTGGAGTGTTTATATTATTATTCATTGAAAGGTTCTAACTTTGATAAGGTAAAAAATGGAGCACTTCTGTTATGCAGCTTATGAGGTGGCAACATCTTGTACTTCAGAGATTCTGAAGCCAAGCAGCTTCCCCAAGTCCTCCTTCTTTTCCCATTAACAGGATATGATACCACCAAGCCAAACGTCATCATTAAGTTGGAGCAGGGAGAGGAGCCGTGGATAATGGGAGGTGAATTTCCATGTCAACATAGTCCAGGTAAGTTAGTAGCGTATCAAAGGTTAAAAAATGCTCATCCCAGACCTTTGGGAGAGACTAAAGAGTTGTTTATATGTATTCAGTACCCTCAGTAACACCTCCCAACCCCCAAATATCACTTTCCTTCCCGCACACATACATGAACTCTTTTGTTGATTTTACATTTGATTTACATTGGTAGGGATTTTTTCATTCTAACCGGTACTGGAGACCCATTCACTTCCTCTTTCTCCAGCATTATTGGTAACTTATTTACTCCCTTGCCATTACAGAATTGTTTTGGGTTTGTTTGTTTGTTTGTTTGTTTGTTTTGGAGACAGAATCTTGTTCTGTCACCCAAGCTGGTGTGCAGTGGTATGATCTCAGCTCACTGCAACCACCACCTCACAGGTTCAAGCGATTCTCCTTCCTCAGCCTCCCAAGTAGCTGGGATTACAGGCACATGCCACCACGCCTGGCTAATTTTTATATTTTTAGTAGACACAGGGTTTCACCATGTTGACCACACTGGTCTTGAACTCCTGGCCTCAAGTGATCTGCCCACCTCAGCCTCCCAAAGTGCTGAGATTACAGTCCTGAGGCTCCCGGCCTTACAGAATTGTTTTGTTTTGGGGCATTCAGAAGTCTGACATAAAAATCAACTTGAGACTTTTATGTTCATTCCTTTTATCTTCCATTTTCTTTCCTTCCTTGCTTTAAAAATACCTTGGACTTATTTTCTGCCCTCGATTTTATTTACTTCTTTAGGCATTCAGATACCAAAACCTCATCCTCCACCTATGCTTGTGAACTGAGTCACAGCTTGTGGTGTCTGTTATTTCCCAAAGTCCATGCTCAGTTGATGTGACGCTATAGCACTCCCTCAGCCTTCGTCTCTTTCCCCACTGCTCATGACCCGTCTGTGTGTTCATTTCCCCTTCCCCATAACTGGAATCATGCTCTGTCCATAGTAGACATTCAGGAAGTGTGAATTTCATAAGTGAATGTCGGTTCCTTTTCTTGCCTTTTCAGGACTGTCCCCCTAGGACCTGTTTTCCACTTTTTTGGTTTTCTTTGTATCCCTTAAAAGAGTTTATCTAATCTCACCTTCTAAGACCTTTTTTCCTGTGTATTTTTGCAGCTTGCCTCCAAATTGATACGTCTGACACTTTTAACCTGGAGTCTAGTTGAATATTTTACTTGACAACATAGCAGTTACCAGGGAGATAGTTCACTTCCTTCTTTCTCAGAATGTCTGATGATAAACTGTGCACATTCCAAAATCATGAATTCTGTCTACCTTCCTCACCTCCCAGTATTTGATTGTGCTAGTCTTGTCTCCATGGTTTGTGTTCTTTGTCTTCTGTGAAATGCCTGGCAGAGCGTCAGCACATTCTGTTTCTTTCGACATTCGTGTTCAGTATTCTCCCATACCTGGATTTCAGTGGATCCATCTTCCATTCAAATGATCATTGTCCTTTTCCTTCATCTGCATTTTACTTGCCCACATAATACATATTTTCCCTCCCTTTCTTCCTCTCCTCCCTCTCTCCCTTCCTTCATTCCTTCCTTCCATTTTGAGACAGAGTCTCACTCTTGTCGCCCAGGCTGGAGTGCAATGGCATGATCTCGGCTCACTGCAGCCTCCCCCTCCCAGGTTCAAGCGATTCCCCTGCCTCAGCCTCCCAAAGTAGCTGGGATTACAGGCGCACGCCACCATGCCTGGCTAATTTTTATATTTTTATTAAAAAAAAAACCACACATAACATACAATTTACCATCATAACCATTTTTAAGTATACAGTAATGTTAACTGTATTTGCATTGTTGAGCAATAAACTTTAGAACTTTATGCTTTACATTTGAACTGAAAAGGTTAGCTCCTTGAAGTTTCCTTCATGGTTCATTGACCACTCCAGTCTTTCCTTCTCTTAATATCTATTCCAGTCAGCGATTGTTACCTCAAAAAGTTAGATATGATTTTACAGTCCGATAGGATTATATGCTCTAAGATCATATTCTCTGATAGGAGTGTATGCTCTATGAATATAAGCTCTAAGATTGTGTGCTCTGTGATTATATGCTCTGATAGGATTATATATTCTAAGATTATATGCTCTGATAGGAGTGTATGCTCTATGAGTATAAACTCTGATGGGATTATATATTCAAAGATTATATGTTCTGATAGGATTATATGCTGTGATAGGAGTGTATGCTCTATGAGTATATGCTCTGTTAGGATTATATGCTCTGAGTATAAGCTCTGATAGGAGTATATGCTCTGTGATTCTATGCTTTGATAGGAATATATACTCTAAATGATTATATGCTCTGAGAGGTAGGTGCATATATTTGTTGCTTGAGCTTCTTCTACCGAATTATAGTCCTCCAAAGAGGAAAGACCTTTTTACTCTTCTTGCTTTTATAATGCAACATACAGTAGGCATTCAGTAGGTTTTTATTGACTTACCAAGGAGCTAGGTAAAAGAAAGATCTTTATCATTAATCCATCAAGAGATCATTTATTCTGAACCACAGATTCTGATAAAACAGATAGGGGTTAGATTAGAACCTGTAAGCACCCATCAGATTAGGAACTACTTTAATTTCTATTCAGAGAGATTCAAAGAAAATATGAATATTTTCCAAGGGCATAGGTTTTGGTTAGGAAATAAGATAAAAGCTGCATGAATTACTTTAAAATTCAGCTTTCACATGGATAATTTATACTCCAATGCACATTGTGCAACTTTAAGAAGCTATTTTAAAATGTAAGGGAAAGAGATTCAATGAACTGGGAAGAGATTTGATAAATGTCTTCAAGTTTCCCCCAAAGTATAGATAGATTTTGAGTATAGCCAACACCAGGAGTCAAATTGAATGAGGAAGATCACGAGTACAGACTTGTGGCTGAGAATAAGCAAGGCATAGCCTAGGCTTCCAGGAGCAGAAGATGTTGACAGATTAGTGGAATGCTAGCTTGGATATATATTGTGAGTCCAAGTAGTGAAAAATCCCGTTAATAACCTTTCTGTTTCTTCTGTTGGTGTTTGGGGTGCTGGAGCTCAGAGATGTTGTAGATTTCTGAGCAGAGTACCATCAGGGTTGCATTGAATGTGGGTGATAGCAGCTAAAAATAGTTTGTGCATCCAAAAATTTGTAAGATACATAAAAATAAAAGTACATCATAGGGGCAGCTTTAGGAATCTGAGATATAAGATTTTACACCAAATGAAACCCAGGAGTTTGGGAACTCTTGTTTGTATTCAGAATTAAGTAAAAGAATTATACAGAGACATGACTGGTTTTAGGAAATTTAAGTCAGCAAATTGAAAGAAAATTAATGGCTCAACTTAATGAGCATTTGTTTTATGTTATAAACTGTTCTAAGCAGTTTACATGTACTAATTCAGTCCTTTGACAACCCTATGATTTAGGCACTCATATTCACATTTCAGATGAGTGAAACTGCATCACAGTTACACAGCTTGACCAAATGCCCTAGTTAGTAAATTGTTGGGGGTTTGAACTGAGGTGACCTGCTCTGGTGGTCATGCTCTTAACCACTGTGCTATATTGTGCAAGCAGGGAAAGCAGAATTTAATGGCTAGGAAGGTTAGCTAGTATTAAATATGACTTTCAAAACACTTCAAAGATCTGATCTTGGGTTTTTTGTTTTGTTTTTCTTTTTCTTTTTTTTTTTTTTTTATAGTAGAGACAGGGTTTTGCATGTTGCCCAGGCTGGTCTTAAACTCCTGAGCTCAGGCGATCCATCCACCTTGGCCTCCCAAAGTGCTAGGATTACAGGCATGAGCCACCATGCCCGGCATGATCTTGTTTTTAAGATATTCCCTGGCCGGCCACGGTGGCTCGTGTTTGTAATCCCAGCACTTTGGGAGGCTGAGGTGGGTGGATCACCTGAGGTCAAGAGTTCAAGACCAGTCTGGGCAACATGGTGAAGCCCTATCTCTACTAAAAATACAAAAATTAGCTGGGTGC
Source organism: Homo sapiens (assembly GCF_000001405.40). Classification (NCBI taxonomy): domain Eukaryota; kingdom Metazoa; phylum Chordata; class Mammalia; order Primates; family Hominidae; genus Homo; species Homo sapiens. The sequence goes on from NC_000007.14 coordinate 5,061,761, forward strand.
GGTGGCGTGTGCCTGTAATCCCAGCTACTTGGGAGGCTGAGGCAGGAGATTCGCTTGAGCCTGAGAAGTGGAGGTTGCAGTGAGCCAAAATGGTGCCATTGTATTCCAGCCTGGGTGATAGAGCGAGACTCCATCTACAAAAAAAAAAACAGATACCTTGTCTTCTGGTCTATCTTATGTTTCTTTTGGACATTCACATGCCTGGATCTCTCCTCCAGATGAATGTGAATCCTCTCTGTAAACGTGAGGAAATCAAAGCATTCAGAATGCTTATTTGCATTTATATGCAGACTAGTAAGGCATGGATTTTGGAAGGGATGCCACCATCGTAGTCTTGATATGAAGTGATATCTTGCAGTTTAATATAAATTGTAATAGATGTCTCCCACATGTAATCCATAATGGAGTCTTTCCTTTGCACGGACACCTAGCACCTGTTTTTGTTCCTCCTGATCCCATTTGTATCGGGGAACCTGCCCCGATAGTCACGTAGGTTCTTTTCTATTTTCCCTAAGCATCGGCTGGTTTGAGAAATAAAGGAACAGAGTACAGAAGAGAGAAATTTTAAAGCTGGGCGTCCGGGGGAGACATCACATGTCGGTAGGTTCTGTGATGCTCCACAAGCTGCAAAACCAGCAAGTTTTTATTAGGGACTTTCAAAAGGGGAGGGAGTGTACAAACAGGTGTGGGTCACAGAGATCACATACTTCACAAGGTAATAGAATATCACAAGGCAAATGGAGGCAGGGCAAGATCACAGGACCACAGGACCGGGGCAAAATTAAAATTGCTAATGAAGTTTCAGGCACCATTGTCATTGATAACATCTTATCAGGAGACAGGGTTTCGAGAGCAACCGGTCTGACCAAAATTTATTAGGCAGTAATTTCCTCTTCCTAATAAGCCTGGGAGCACTATGGGAGACTGGGATTTATTTCATCCTTACAGTCTCGACCATAGACGACGGCCACACCTAAGGGGGCCATCTATAGGCCCACCCCTAGGCGCATATTCTCTTTCCCAGGGATGTTCTTTGCTGAGAAAAAGAATTCAGCAATATATCTCCCATTTGCTTTTGAAAGAAGAGAAATATGGCTCTGTTCCACCCGGCTCACCGGCAGTCAGAGTTTAAGGTTATCTCTCTTGTTCCCTAAACATTGCTGTTTTCCTGTTCTTTTTTCAAGGTGCCCAGATTTCATATTGTTCAAACACACGTGCTCTACAATTTGTGCAGTTAACGCAATTATCACAGGGTCCTGAGGCGACATACATCCTCCTCAGCTGATTAAGAGATTAAAGTAAAGACAGGCATAGGAAATCACAAGGGTATTGATTGGGGAAGTGATAAGTGTCCGTGAAATCTTCACAATTTATGTTCAGAGATTGCAGTAAAGACAGGCATAAGAAATTATGAAAGTATTAATTTGGGGAACTAATAAATGTCCATGAAATCTTAACAATCCATGTTCTTCTGCCATGGCTTCAGCCAGTCCCTCCGTTTGGGGTCCCTGACTTCCCACAACACATTTGATCTAAGTCCTCCCATCTTTGCCTGGATCTGACGTACTTTCAACCACTTCTCTGCTCATCATTTGGTTTTATTTCACCTTTTCTACCAAAGTTTGAAACATAATATTTGTAAAGCAACAAAGTTACCTGTATTCAATATGAATTTACTCTTCTATTTTCTACCACTGTCTCACCTTAATTCTTTCACTGTGTGTGTGTGTGTGTGTGTGTGTGTGTGTGTGTGTTTCTGTTTTGTATTCCAAACCAAAGGAAAAAGAGAACTATGCATTTGTAATTATTTTTATTTATGGAGATTGGCTCTAAAGCCAGAGTCAACCCCACAATGGGGGCTCTTGAATACCAGTACCTTTCCATAGCTAGTGTGTTCAGATTTACAAAGTTTGTTTACTATTTTTCCTTTTTAGAAGCCTGGAGAGTTGATGACCTGATAGAGAGAATCCAAGAAAACGAAGACAAACATTCAAGGCAAGCTGCTTGTATCAATAGCAAAACCCTGACTGAAGAGAAAGAGAATACATTTAGTCAAATTTACATGGAAACAAGCCTTGTTCCTTCAAGCATAATAGCTCATAATTGTGTCTCATGTGGAAAGAATTTAGAATCTATTTCGCAATTAATTAGTAGTGATGGAAGCTATGCTAGGACAAAACCTGATGAGTGTAATGAATGTGGGAAAACATATCATGGAGAGAAAATGTGTGAATTTAATCAAAATGGGGATACCTATTCTCACAATGAAGAAAATATTCTTCAGAAAATTAGTATTTTGGAGAAACCCTTTGAATATAATGAATGCATGGAAGCCTTAGACAATGAGGCTGTTTTTATTGCTCATAAGAGAGCTTACATAGGGGAGAAGCCCTATGAGTGGAATGATTCTGGACCAGACTTCATACAGATGTCAAATTTTAATGCATATCAGAGATCACAAATGGAAATGAAGCCCTTTGAATGCAGTGAATGTGGAAAATCCTTCTGTAAAAAGTCAAAATTCATCATCCACCAGAGGGCTCACACAGGAGAGAAACCTTATGAATGTAATGTATGTGGGAAATCCTTCAGCCAAAAGGGAACCCTCACTGTACATCGGAGATCACACTTAGAGGAGAAGCCCTATAAATGTAATGAATGTGGGAAAACCTTTTGTCAGAAGTTACACCTCACTCAACACCTAAGAACTCATTCAGGAGAGAAACCCTACGAATGTAGCGAATGTGGGAAAACCTTCTGCCAAAAGACACATCTCACCCTGCACCAGAGGAATCATTCAGGAGAGAGGCCCTATCCATGTAACGAATGTGGGAAATCCTTCTCCCGCAAGTCTGCTCTCAGTGACCATCAGAGAACTCACACGGGAGAGAAGCTTTATAAATGTAATGAATGTGGGAAATCCTACTACCGAAAGTCTACTCTGATTACACATCAGAGAACACACACGGGAGAGAAGCCCTATCAGTGTAGCGAGTGTGGGAAATTCTTTTCTCGGGTGTCATACCTCACTATACATTATAGAAGTCATTTAGAAGAGAAACCCTATGAATGTAATGAATGTGGCAAAACCTTCAATTTAAATTCAGCCTTCATTAGACATCGGAAAGTACACACAGAAGAGAAATCCCATGAATGTAGTGAATGTGGAAAGTTCTCTCAGTTGTATCTCACCGACCATCATACAGCTCATTTAGAAGAGAAACCCTATGAATGTAATGAATGTGGGAAAACCTTCCTTGTAAATTCAGCCTTCGATGGGCACCAGCCACTTCCAAAAGGGGAGAAATCCTATGAATGTAATGTATGTGGAAAGTTATTCAATGAGTTGTCATACTATACTGAACATTATAGAAGTCATTCAGAAGAGAAACCTTATGGATGTAGCGAATGTGGGAAAACCTTTTCCCATAATTCATCCCTCTTCAGACATCAAAGAGTACACACAGGCGAGAAACCCTATGAATGTTACGAATGTGGAAAATTCTTCTCTCAGAAATCATATCTCACTATACATCATCGAATTCATTCAGGAGAGAAACCCTATGAATGTAGTAAATGTGGAAAAGTCTTCTCTCGGATGTCAAACCTCACTGTCCACTACAGAAGCCATTCAGGAGAGAAACCCTATGAATGTAATGAATGTGGGAAAGTCTTTTCTCAGAAGTCATACCTCACTGTACACTATAGAACTCATTCAGGAGAGAAACCCTATGAATGTAACGAGTGTGGGAAAAAATTCCACCACAGATCAGCCTTCAATAGCCATCAGAGAATTCATAGAAGAGGAAATATGAACGTACTTGATGTGGAAAATCTCTGAAGTCAGATCTCAATTTTTAGAAAACTCTCTGAATATAATGAATATGGGGAATCCAATAGGAAGTCAAAGCGTTTATCTGAGAGTTCGTGTTCCTGAACGGTGAGAAGCATTTAGGCATTAGAGTCATTTTAATCCAAATTTTCACAGAGAAGAATCCCGAAGAATGTAACAAGAAGCAAAGCCTTCAGCAAGATCATACGACTCATCGGACACTAATTTATATAGGAGTGAAGTTTTATAAATATTTAATATTTATTTTGGATTCAAATTGTATTTACATATCAGGGAATCATACAAAGGCAAAATCTGTCAATATGGTGAATGTGGAAAATATATTGTCTTGGAAATTTGTTGTAAAAGCCATATTTCTAATGGAAAATCAGGTGTTTACAGGAAAGATCTCAGAGGCTATGAGCTCTGAATAAATCTTCATTGTATAAAATGAAGTTTTTAAATTGTCAGGAGTTGATCATGAGGACAGTAGCATTAAATAAGTATATGGCCGTTTTTTATCATGTCTTAAAAATGCAATCTAATGGTAATTCTATGCAAGTTTGGAATTGGATGACTTGTGAAGAGGCAGTTTTCTTATTTGAGTATTAGGATGGCAAAATGTATTAAGACAGGACATATTGTTGGTGAGATAATATTTAATAGGTATAAAATGGTAAAATACCTAGTTTTCTATTTAGAGGAATTTACAAATGGGTTTTTAACAAATGCCTCATTAGTACAGGAGGCAGTCGTTTTGTAAAGTTTTCAACTGCATCTGAGTAAGATAAGATTTTCTAAAAGACTATTTTGATAAACTATACATACATAATTTGGAATTGTTTAAGTCTATTTCAGTGAAAGAGAACAAGCATACTGCCCATACTCTAAAATATCCCCAGCTCTCACACCACCCTTGTTTTTTAACCCATAGGTTTGAGTGTGCCTAGTGCCAATATTTTGTAATTTAGAAATTTTATTCACAAACTTCTGTTTGGTACAAATACAGTGTCATTGTTTTGTGCATTCTCCTTTTTCCCAGTATTTCAGAACAAATTGATTCAAGTTTCTAGCAGATATTTTTTGATCAATTAACTTAATGTCCTCGCTCCATTTCTTGCTGGAACAGTTTAGGTACCTACCACTTCTTCACATGACACAGGGGAATCCTGATTAGTCAAAATAATAATGATTTCATTCTCTTTGCCAGTAACTTGTTTTATAGTGGTCATATGACCTGATACTGGGTAAACAAAACAAAGATGGACTTGTTCTGGGAAAAGGTAAAATGGTAATCAAATAGATTGTGTTCCAGGAATGCAAAGGTGGCTTAATATTCACAAGTCAGTTGCTATTATACACCACCTGTAGAAAAGTAATCTGGCATGCAGAACATTCTTGTGGTACAATTAATGTTCGTTTATGATCTTAGCAAATGATGGATTGAAAGGGACTTACTTAACTGCATAAAGAGACTTAAACTACAACAAACAATATGCTTAATGATGAAATAGTGAACATTTCTCCTAAGATTATAAAAATAAGACAAGGATATCTGCTGTCAATGATTTTATTCGGCATTGTTCAGAAGGACCTAACCAGAAAACTAATGCAAGGAAGAGAAACAAAAGGCATAGAGATTAGAAAAGAAGTAAAACTTTAAAAACGAAAAAGAATATAAATCTCTATTTGCAGATGCCATGAGTAAATTTGGTAAGTTCCCTGCATAAAAGTTATGCAAAAAGCATTTTATGATATACCAGCAAAAAACATGGAAAATGAAATTTTGAAAAGCAATGCCACTTCAAAGATCCCTCAAGTGCCTAGAGGGAGAAAATGAGTTAATATGCTTTGAAGAACTGTATCCAGAAAATAAAATTACAAAGGAGGAGAGGGATAGGATTCCAGGACAATCTCAAAACTATTGCTTTTTCCTAAATTCATTGCAACCTTAAAATCCTAGCAAGTTCTTTAATGTAAATTAACAAGCTAATTCTAGAATTCATATGCATATTCAAAAGTCGAATAATTGTCAAGGCTATCCTGTAGAATGGACAGAGAGGATTGAAATTTCTAAATATCAAGACCTGTTATAAAGCCATAGAAATAATGAAGGTGTTAATTTGGCACAAGGATGAAAAAACTGACTAGTGGAACAGCATACAGATTCAAAAGTAGACCCACGTGTATACCATCACCTGAGTTTTGAGAAAGGTGACATTGAAGTGTAGTGGGGGAAAGGGTGTTCTTTCCAGTAAATGTACTTTGCCAATAAAATTTTGTAATTTGATAAAAAGTTATTTGGAGGTGGATTGCAGATCTGAATATGAAATGTGAAAGCTTTACAAAGAAATCTTAGGACAGTTTGTAATCTTGGAGTAAGCAAAGGTTTATTGAGACCCAAAAAGCATTAACCCATAAAATTAGAACTTAATATTAAATTTGAGAACTTCTATTTATCAGAAAGACCACCAGTAAGAAAATGAACAGGAAATCATGGGGAGGAGAAGATATTTGCAGTTCATGTATGTGACAACAGCACCGAGTATAGCAGAAGTGTTGGCAAACTTTATAAAGCAAGGCACCAGATGGTGAAAATTTTCAGCTTTGTCACAACTGCTCATCTTTGCTATTGTGTGAAAGCATCCATACACCATGCATTAAAAAAAAAATGAGCATGGCTGCTTCCCAGTAAAACCATTCACAATCCCAGGTGGCAGTCTGGATTTGGTCTGCACTCATAGTTTTCTGGTCCCTGATCTCGAATATGTAAAGAGCACCTACAAATCAACAAGGGGGAAACTGGAAAAGGCAAAAGACTTTAGAGGATATCCACTCACTTTAGAGGATATCCAGACGGCCAATAAGCATGAAAAGATGTGTTAGCTTTATTAGTAATCAGGGAAATGCAAACTTAAAACATGTAGCACTGCTACCCATCCATGGAAATGGTTAAAATGAAAAGCATGAAAAAGCATCACGTTTTGGCAAGGATGTAAGCAAGAGGAACTGTACACTACTGGTGGAATTGCTCATCGATAAAACCATTTTGAAAGCTGGCACTAAAAGCCAAGCATATGTATACTGTTTTACCCAAACCCAGCAAAAATGCATGTGTCTGTCCACCAAAGGACATGCACTAGAATATTTATAGCCTAAAACTGCACAAAACAGAACTATCTTAAGGCACATGTGCAATGGAATGAATAAAGAAGTGGCATATGTCCATGGAATACTGTAAAACAGTGAGCATGAATGAACTAGAAGTCCGTGTAATAACGCAGCTGAATTTAACAAACCTTGCTGAATGAAAGACTCCAGACACAAAAGCCAACATGCTGTATGATTCCTTCTATATAAATTATAAAGACGGGCAAAACTTGTATACGTGGTTTAAAATTAGGGTAGCAGTTAGCCTTGGCCAAGGCTGAAAGGGGGCATTTATCTGGTGCTGGGAATAATCTGTTTCTAAACCTAGGTGCTAAGTATTTGAGTGTGTTTTGAGCTGTGCACTTAAGATATGTGTATTTTTCTGCATGTGTGTTAAACTTTCCATAAAAGTTTTCTAAAATCACAAATGGCTAACATTTGTGTCGCTCATCACTCTAATCATATTTTTCTAGATGTGTATGAATATGCTGCACAACAGGAATTAAATGGCAGATTTTGCATAATTCTGTGCAGGAAATACATATTTATAGTAATTTTGATGGCAACTACTAAGATTTCCTACGCTGTCCTTAAAGCTTAGCATAATGTATATTTTAAGTGAAATATTTGAGAAGGTTAAAGAATCATTACATACTTTGTCATCCTATACTTTTGCATATATAAATAGGTCTGAGCTGCCTCTTCAATAAAGAAGCTAATGTGTAACATTTCATATTTCCCTAAACAAATTGTTTTTTGCATTTCTGAATTCGGGATTCATCTTAACTTTTACTGTAGGGGTGACCTTTCTTGGCAGTGAATGAATATAATGCTGAGTTGGATTTGATGGAAAATTATTTTAAAAGTATTCAGCTAAATATTTGAGCAAATCTCAGATACACAGTTAACAGCCCAGATGTAAGTGAGTGAAAGAAACAGGTCAGCAAAACTTTGCACCATTGAAAAAAAAAAAACACTTTGGGTGAGGGCTGGCTGAGCTTGTAAAAGCACAGCAAGAAGGACGTGACATTGGATGGCATAGACTGTGTGCCTCTTTTTTTTTTTTTTTTTTTTTTTTGGTGGGAAGGCATTTGTTTTTTGTTTTTCTTTCTCTTATTTTTAGAGTCAAGTTCTCACCACAGCCTGCAGTGCAGTGGTGCAATCACAGCTCACTGCAGCCCCGACTTTCTGAGCTCAAACGAGCCTCCCACCTCAGCCTCCTGGGTAGCTGGGACTACAGGTGCATGCCCCCACACCTGTCTAATTTTTTTATTTTTTTCGTAGAGACAGCGTCTTGCTGTGTTGCTGGACTCAAACTCCTGGGCTTAAGTGGTCCACCCAACTTGGCCGCCCAAAGTCCTGGGATTCCAGGAGTGAGCCACCTCGTCCGGCCATGTGCTTTTCATTCCACCTTACTCATTGAGGGTTAAGCTGAGCTGAAGTGTGAACAGGTGACTAATGCTTTGCTGAAGGAGGGGGAATCTGGGAGTTGGTTGGGACTTGGGGGTGTGATTCCCCCACAATGGCTCCCTTTGCTCTGTCACTCCTTTGGCCAGAACCACCAGGCAGTATGTAAGCAAGGCAGGGGCTCGCCCTTCACCCCCACCGGAAGTGCCCATTTCACAGATTTTCTCCCCCCACGCCCACATTTGCTGGTGCTTGGCTTGGGGTTGGCGAACTTTTCAATGTTGTCTCTAAATTATGGCAAAAGACACAAATGCAAGACTACTACTTTATACCTGAGGCCAAAAATTCACCCACTGTTCCTTATTCCATCCCAAATTATGTCCAGATATGAGGATGCTAGGCTCTTCAAAGAAGGGAAGCAGACCAGGCACACCTGTAATCCCAGCACTTTGGGAGGCTGAGGTGGGAGGATCTTGAGCTGAGGAGTTCAAGAGCAGCCTGGGCAACACAGCCAGGCCCCATCTCTATTTATTTCGTGTGTGTGTCTTTTGTTTGTTTTTGTTTTTTGAGATGGAGTTTTGCTCTGTCGCCCAGGCTGGAGTGCAGTGGCTCAATCTCGGCTCACCGCAAGCTCCGCCTCCCGGGTTCATGCCATTCTCCTGCTTCAGTCTCCCGAGTAGCTGGGACTACAGGCGCCCGCCACCATGCCCGGCTTATTTTTTGTATTTTTAGTAGAGACGGAGTTTCACCGTGTTAGCCAGGATGGTCTCGATCTCTTGACCTCGTGATCCGCCCGCCTCGGCCTCCCTAAGTTCTGGGATTACAGGTATGAGCCACTGCTCCCGGCTCTAATTTTTGTATTTTTAGTAGAGATGGGGTTTCACCATGTTGACCAGGCTGGTCTCAAACTCCTGACCTCAGGTGATCCACCCGCCTTGGCCTCCCAAAGTGCTGGGATTACAGGCGTGAGCCACTGAGCCCAGCCAACATCCTCTATAAACCCCCTCTAAAAAGCAGAAATGGGGTTAACCTGTACCAGGAAGTAGCTATGTGATTATTTTTTCTTTCCAGGCAAGATTGCAGCACTTCCCTGGAGAAAATGAGTTCTGGCAAAAATAACCAGACATTTGAGGAACTCAGTCACCAAAGAACAAACTGCACCACCTATGCTAAAGACTCTCAAAGAAATAAGAATATATTGGTAATGTTTGGGAGACTGAGGCAGGAGGATCTCTTGAGGCCCGGAGTTCAAGACCTGCCTGGGCAACATAGTGAGACTCCGTCTCTACAAAAGATAATTTTAAAAATTAGCTGGGCATGGCTGCGTGTACCTGTGGTTCCAGTACTCAGGAGGCCGAGATAGGAGGATCGCTTGAGCCCAGGAATTTGAGGCGACAGTGAGCTATGATCATGCCACTCCATTCCAGCTCGGGCAACAGTGAGACCCTGTCTCAAAAACACAAAAACAAAAAAAAACAGGCATGCAAAGAAGCAGAAAAACAGAACCCATAATGAGTAGAAAAATAACAAAGACCCAGAAATGGCATAGATGATGGAATTAGTGATCAGGACATTAAAACAGCTACTATGAATATTCCCCGTATGTTCAAGAAGAATGGAGAATGAACGAGAGTGAGGGACCGGAAACGACTGTGTTCCATGCTGAGGGTGGCAGAGGCTGGCCTGGATGCTGGATGAGGCTCAACTCGGGGGCCTGGGCTGTTGCACTGGGGCTGGACTGGGGATCACGGAAGAGGGCCAGGCCCGCGTGGGTCTCCAGGGCTGTGCTCAGGGGCGTGGTCTTCTGCAGTGGGGGCTTGGCTGGTGAGTGGAGACTCTGCGTGACTCTGGGGGCGTGGCCGAGAATGGGTGTAGCTCTGTACTAGGGCGTGGTCATGCGTAGGGGTTTGGGTGAGGCGTTAACAGTGGGCGGGCGTGGCTCGGGCTCGAGGGCGTGGCTCAGGCTCGTGGAGGCGTCCGAGCTCCAGGGCAGCTCTGGGGCAGAACTGTCCGGATCTAACAATCCCTGGGGAGCCGGAGACCGGTGACTGGTCCGTGGGCTAACTCAGGGCTGCTCGGGAGACATAGGCGGGCCGTGGGGGCAGGTGAAGGGTGCTGGACGTGCGAGCCTGGCACGCAGAAGCCAGAGGGCAGAGAGGAAAGGGCGTGAAGAGGGGGCGGGGCCCCTAACGCCCACCTTGTCCCCCGACAGCCGCCCTGCCCGCAGGCCATGTGGCCCCCGCTGTTGCTGCTGCTGCTGCTGCTCCCGGCCGCCCCGGTCCCCACCGCCAAAGCCGCTCCCCACCCGGATGCTAACACCCAGGAAGGCCTTCAGAACCTGCTCCAAGGTTTCAACCGCCCCATGCTGGAGGGGAGGGGCGAGGAAGGGGACTGGGGGCGGGGGGATGGACGGGAAGAGAGGAAGTCAGGGACGCAGGGAAAGGAATAGAGGAGACAGAAAGATGAGGCACTACAGACCCAGCACAGGGAACTGGATAAGGACAAGGGACCAGACAGGGGTGGGAGGATGACTGGTGGGGTCCCGAGGGTCAGAGGGTGGAGAACATGGGTTGGGCTGCTGGGCCCCTTGGCTTCGAGGCCGGCCACACACCTGGAACCCCCAGGGCACCTGCTGCGGGACAGGGACAGCGTCCCCGATGCCCCCCCTCCCCCAGGCACAGCGACAGCACAGAGGACCAGGGGGCTGCCTGGCTGAAGAGCATCACCCTTTCTAGCCAGCACCAGGAAGTCCCCCTTTATCCCCTTCCCCAGGAGTCGGGGCTGGCGGAGACGGAGAGCTGCGGGCAGACTCACACCTGGCCCCGGGCTCTGGCTGTATTGATGGGGCTGTGGTGGCCACGCGACCAGAAAGCCGGGGAGGAAGACCTGCGGTTCCGTGAGAGGCGTCCAGGGCTGCAGGCCACGGCGACAGGCTCCGGGGAACATGGGGCTTTCCCTGTCCACTCCCAAGGAGTGTGGGCCTCAACGCATTGGCAGGGGACGGCCGTGTGCCCTCTCCAGACCCCACCCCCAGATGCATTTATTAGAAATAATAAAGTTCTTTCTTAGCTAGAGGTGCTGTTTCCTTTTGGGATGGGCCCGTGCCTGGTAGGCCAGGCTGTTCTGGGTTCCTCCCAGCTCCAAGCCTGGCCCTGTCTCCAGGAGGCACCTGCACTGGTTGAGTTCTCTGGGCCCCGTGTTCAGGCACTGTCTCTGTCTTCTGATGAAGCAGCTGTGTCCTCCAGTCCCTGATGCTGACGTCCCCAGACCCTTCTCTGCACTCAGTCTGCCCATGTCACCTGAAGCCCCATATGTGTACTCGATCCCTCAATGTCACCTGCAGTCCTATTTGTCCACTGGGTCCCTATCACCTGCAGCCCCAGCTGTGCACCCAGTCCATCACCTGCAGTGGGTTTGTACACTCAGTACCTGTCACCTGAAGCCCTGTCTGTGCACTCCGTCCCTGACTGTCACCTGTAGCCCTGCCTGTGCTTCCGGTCCCTGACCTGTCACCTGCAGCTCCATCTGTGCACCTGGTCCCTGACCTGTCATCTGCAGCCACTCTGTGCTCTGTCCTTAACTGTCACTTGTAGCCCTGTCTGAACACTCCGCCCCTGACTCTGTCACCTCTAGATGCTGCAGCCTGTGGGTGTCCCATTTGCTGGTTCCTAACCTCTCCAATGGTGGGGCACTCGGCTCTTACTCAAGGCCACCTGAGATCTCAGAGGAGCATGCTGAGTTGGGCACAGCAAGCGTGTCTAGTCCTGCTCCCCCACGGAGCACTGCTTACCACACTGAGCCTCCTGGCCCCAGCCTCAGTAACAGCACACGCTGGAGCCGCCCTTGTTACTTTCTGTCTCAGTGACTTCAAAAATACCAGCCCTGGTGGTTTTTTTTTTTTCTTTTGTTTGAGACAGAGTTTTGCTCTTGTTGCCCAGGCTGGAGAGCAATGGCACAATCTCGGCTCACCGCAACCTCTGCCTCCCAGGTTCAAGTGATTCTCCTGCCTCAGCCTCCTGAGTAGCTGGGATTACAGGCGTGTGCCACCATGCCCAGCTAATTTTTGTATTTTTAGTAGAAACAGCGGTTTCATCATATTGGTTAGGCTGGTCTCAAGCTCCTGACCTCAGGTGATCCACCCACCTCGGCCTCTCAAAGTGCTGGGATTACAAGCATGTGCCACCGCGCCCAGCAGGTGGTTTCTTAAAATGTTAAACCCACACCTGCCTATGACCCAGTCATTCCATGGCCTGGACACTTACCCAAGAGACATGAAAGCACACGCCTCACAAACACTTGTACACAAATGCTCATGGCAGCTTGATTTATAATTGCCGAATTTTAGAAACAACCCAAATAGCAACAGGTAGAATGGATAAACACCATGATATAGCCTCATGAGGGAATGTTCATCAGCAATAAAAAGGAAAGAATTACTGATACATGCAACATGAATGGGTCTCAGAAACATATTCTGAAAAAAAATAAAAGCCACTAAAAAGTACTGCATATAATTCTTTTTTTTTTTGAGACAGAATCTCGCTCTGTCGCCCCAGGCTGGACTGCAGTCGCGCGATCTCGGCTCACTGTGATCTCCGCCTCCCGGGTTCACACCATTCTCCTGCCTCAGCCCCCCGAGTAGCTGGCACTACAGGTGCCTGCCACCGCGCCCGGCTAATTTTTTTTGTATTTTTAGTAGAGACGGGGTTTCACCGTGTTAGCCAGGATGGTCTCGATCTCCCGACCTCATGATCTGCCTGCCTCGGCCTCCCAAAGTGCTGGGACTACAGGTGTAAGCCACTGCGCCCTGCCAAATACTGCATATAATTCTATCCTTGATGAAATCCTAGAAAGGGCAAAATCTCAGGCCAGGCACAATGGCTCACACCTGTACTCCCAGCACTTTGGGAGGCTAAGGTGGGTGGATTGAGGTCAGGGGTTCAAGACCAACCTGACCAACATGGTGAAACCCTGTCTCTTCTAAAAATACAAAAAAATTAGCCAGGCATTGTGGTGTGCACCTGTAATCCCAGCTACTCGGGAGGCTGAGGCAGGAGAATCACTTGAACCTGGGAGGGGGAGGTTGCAGTGAGCCAAGATCCAGACTGGGCAACAGAGCGAGACTCTGTCTCAAAAATAATAATAATTAATTAATTAACGGGGTGTGATAGTGTGCTCCTGTAGTCCCTATTCAGGGGGCTGAGGTGGGAGGATCGCTTGAGCCCAGGAGGTTGAAGCTGCAGTGAGCCGTGATTGCGCCTCTGCGCTCCAGCCTGGGCAATAGAGTGAGACCCTGTCTCAAAAAAAACTCGAGTCTACACTGACCGCAGATCCGAGATTGCCTGGGGATGAGGGTGGGAGAGGATGGGGTGACAGGGACAGAGGGAAGCTTCTGGGGGTGATATGCTTCGGCTGTGTCCACACCCAAATCTCATCTCGAATTGTAATCTGACTCGTAATCCCCAGGTGTCAGGGGAGGGACCTGGTGGGAGGTGATTGAATCATCAGAGTGGCTTCCTCCGTGCCGTTCTTATGATAGCGAGTTCTCACGAGATCTGATGGTTTTATAAGTGCCAGTTCCTCCCGCCCGCTCTGGTGAAGAAGGGGTTCGCTCCGCCTTCTGCTATGATTGTAAATTTCCTGAGACCTCCCAGCCATGTGAACCGTGAGTCAATGAAGCCTCTTTCCTTTATAAATTACCCAGTCTTGGGTATTTCTTTATAGCAACATGAAAACAGACTAATACAGGGGGCTATTGGCCCATCTTCTTTGTGGCGACGGTGTCACAGGTGTACATATCTATGTCAAAACTCATTGAAACCACACAGTTAAATGGATGCAGTTTACTATATCCATCAGACCTCGGTAAACCAGCAAAGCCAGCTCTCTGTGCTCAGAGCCCCGCCCGGAAGGAACCCTGCAGCCTTTTCAGATCCTTGTCTGTTCCTCCCGGTCCCCTCAGTCTCCGTGAGAACCTGGGCCAGGTTCCCTCTGCACCATGGAGAATGGCGAGTGGGTGGAGGTGCCCCCCCCCATTGTCCCTGCCCATAATCACGCCTGGGAGGTTGTCACTGCCGCTGCCCCTGCACCCCCAGAGCCACACTGAGAGTGGCGTAGCCTTTGCTCCCTCTGTGTGGCATGCCTCACCCTGAAGGTCTGCCCTGGCCTCCTGCCTGGCCACTCTGCCATGGCACGGTCAGTGCCCAAGGAGGGATGCAATTTAGGGGACCTGCCTTGAGGTCTGGCATCTCCTGGTGTTGTCTATTTGCTTTGTTTGGTTGCTAATTGGCATTCCGTTTTTAGGCCTGATATAAGTTACTTGAGACCCAGTTGTATCCCATCATCTTTGGCCCAGGTAAAGCCTCCCCTCCCAAGTGGTTGATTGTGAACAGTGCAGCCCACCTGTTCGTCATCCCGCCAATCCCCAAACCCAACACACCCACAGCTGCTGACCACGCTGAAACCTTCGGGCCAACACCTGCGTCATGAAAATCAGTTCCCTTCACAGGAGTTTCCTTTCCTTTTCTTTCTCTTCTTTTTCTTTTTTGAGACGGAGTTTTGCTCTTGTTGCCCAGACTGAGTGCAATGGCGCAATCTCAGCTCACTGCAACCTCCACCTCCCGGGTTCAAGTGATTTTCCTGCCTCAGCCTCCTGAGTAGCTGGGATTACAGGCATATGCAACTACACCCAGCTAATTTTGTATTTTTAGTAGAGACGGGGTTTCTCCATGTTGGTCAGGCTGGTCTCGAACTCCCGACCTCAGGTGATCCGCCCACCTTGGCCTCCCAAAGTGCTGGGATTACAGGCGTGAGCCCCCACACCCAGACTCCTTTCTTTCTCTACCTTTCCTTCCCTTCCTTCCCTCCCTCCCTCCCTTCTTCCTTCCTTTTCTTCCTTCCTCCCTTCCTCCTTCCTTTTCTTCCTTTCCCATTTTTTCTTTCTCTCTCTTTCTCCCTTTCTCTCTTTCTCTCCCTCCCTTTCTCTTTCTCTCTCTTCTTTTTTTTTTTTTTTGAGATGGAATCTTGCTCTCTTGCCCAGGCTGGAGTGTGGTGGCGCGATCTCTGCTCACTGCAAGCTCTGCTTCCCGGGTTCACGCCATTCTCCTGCCTCAGCCTCCCGAGCAGCTAGGACCACAGGTGCCCGCCACCACGCCCGGCTAATTTTTTGCATTTTTAGTAGAGACGGGGTTTCACCGTGTTAGTCAGGATGGTCTCGATCTCCTGACCTCGTGATCCGCCTGCCTTGTCCTCCCAAAGTGCTGGGATTACAGGAGTGAGCCACCGTGCCCGGCCTCTCTTTTTTCTTTTACTTTCTCTTTTTTCTTTTTCTTTCTCTTCTTTTTATTTCTGTTTCTTTCTCTTTCTTTTTCTTTCTCTTATCTTTCTCTTTCTCTCTCTTTTAAAAAAAATTTCTTTTCTTTTTCTTTCTTTCTTTTTTTTTTTTTGAGGCGGGGGTCTCGTATGTTGCCCAGACTGGCTCAAACTCCTGGCCTCAAGTGATCTGCCCACCTTGGCCTCCCAAAATGCTGGGATTGCAGGTCTGAGCCACCACACCCAGCCCTGTTTTCCATTTTAACTGAAATGTCCTGACCAATAGTTTCCAGAAACGGCATTTGACTATTGTAGCCACAAACCCAGGATGGGCTGGGCAGTCTTCTGCATACAAGTGTGTGTGTGCACGAAAATGATTGCTTTTCTTTTCCATAAACCCTCTTACAAGCTCCTGACGGCAGAAACGGGCTGTGTTTCCTGCTGTGTCACACAACACTGAGCTTGGCAGACGTTCAGTTCTCGAAGCCTTTTTCTCCCATCGAGGACAAGCACGCAGGTGGCTGTGTCTGTCACACGCTGTGCAGAGAGGCTGTTCCCAGACACTCCAGCCCCTGCTTCCACTTTCCTATTGCCTCCAGTGGTGATCGTGTGGGACAGCGTAAAATGCTAGGGTCCTGTTGTTCAAAGGCTGAAAAGTGAAATTTACACTCATGGATAGATGGGTGAGTTGGCAGTGATTGAAAATAAATGGGGCTAGGTGTGGTGGCTCATGCCTGTAATCCCAACACTCTGGGAGGCCAAGGCGTGGGGACCACCTGAAGTCAGGAGTTCGAGACCAGCCTGGCCAACATGGTGAAAACGCATCTCTACTAAAAACACAAAAATTAGCCAGGTGTGGTGGCAGACGCGTCATCCCAGCTACTCGGGAGGCTGAGGCAGGAGAATTACTTGAACCCAGGAGATGGAGGTTGCAGTGAGCCAAGATCACGCCACAGCACTCCATCCTGGCTGACAGAGCAAGATTGTCTCAAAAAAAATAAATAAATAAAAATAAATTGACTACTCACAGGAGTACTTTGATCTCTGTTGGGAGGTAAAGAACCACTATTTCTTTACAATTCTTTTCAATAGAGTCAGGGTTTTGTCACGTTGCCCAGGCTGGCCTGGAACTCCTGGGTTCAAGCGATTCACCTGCCTCGGCTTCCCAAAATGTTGGGATTACAGGCACACCCAGTCTACAACCTTTTCTTTCTTTTCTTTTCTTTCCTTCCTTTCTTTCTTTCCTTTCTCTCTTTCCTTTCTTCCTTTCTTTCCTTTCTTTCTTTCTTTTTTTCCTTTCCTCATTTCCTTTCTTTCCTTTTTCTTTGTTTTCTTTCTTTCTTTCCTTTCTTCCTTTCAACAGGGTCTCACTCTGTCACCCAGGCTGGAGTGCAGTGGCATAATCTCAGCTTACTGCAACCTCCGTCTCCCAGGTTCAAGTGACTCTCCTGACTTAGCCTCCCGAGTAGCTGGGATTACAGGTGTGAGCCACCACGCCCAGCTAATTTTTCTATTTTTAGTAGAGACAGAGTCTCACCATGTTGGCCAGGCTGGTCTTGAACTCCTGACTTCAAGTGATTTGCCTGCCTTGGCCTTCCAAAGTGCTGGGATTACAGGTGTGAGCCACAGTGCCCAGACTAAAACCACTCTTGCTTAAAGCTTTGTGGCTAAAGTGATGACACCTTCTCCGCCTGCTGTGTCCTGGGCATAGCCGGGGGCATAGCTGGGCATTTCTACACTGCCACAGGCTCATTTTCTGGTAGGTCTTCACTTGAGCCAAGCCAGAGGAGCGGGCCTGGGGTGACATTGGCCTTCAGCAGGCTCAGTGGCCGAGCAAGGGAGATGTGGGAGGATCTAGAAAAGGGGTTAGGCTGGGCGTGGTGGCTCACGCCTGTAATCCCAGCACTTTGGGAGGCCAAGGCAGGTGGATCATTTGAGGTCAAGAGTTCGAGACCAGCCTGGCCAACATGGTGAAACCCGTCTGTACCAAAAATACAAAAATTAGCTGGGCATAGTGATGGGTGCCTGTAATCCCAGCTACTAGGAGGCTGAGACAGAAGAATTGCTTGAACTTGGGAGGCAGAGGTTGCAGTGAGCCGAGATCACACCACTGCACTCCAGCCTGGGTGATAGAGCGAGACTCAGTGTCAAAATAGAAAAGAAAAGGGTAAGTATGGTAGTCACACCTGTAATCCCAGAACTTTGGGAGGCTGAGGTGGGATGATTGCTTAAGTCCAGGCATTTTGAGACCAGCCTGGGCAACATAGCAAGACCCCATCTTTATAAAAAATAATACTAAGCTGGGTGTGGTGGCCGGGGCCTGTAGTCCCAGCTACTCAGGAGACTGAGGTGGGAGGATAGCTCAAGCCCAGGAGTTGGAGGCTGCAGTGAGCTATGATTATGCCATTGTACTCCAGCCTGGGCAACGAAGCAAGACCCCATCTCTACATAAAAATTTAAGAATTAGCTAGGCATGGTGACCTGTGCCTATAATCCCAGCTACTCAGGAGGCTGAGGCAGGAGGATTGCTTGAGCCCAGGAGTTTGAGACTAGAGTGAGCTATGATCATGCTACTGCACTCCAGCCTGGGTAACAGAGCAAGACTCTATCTCTTTAAAAAAAAAAAAAATGTGGGCCGGGCGCGGTGGCTCACGCCTGTAATCCCAGCACTTTGGGAGGCCAAGGCAGGTGGATCACGAGGTCGAGACGATCCTGGCTGACACATTGAAACCCTGTCTCTACTAAAAATACAAAAAATTAGCCGGGCATGGTGGCGGGCTCCTGTAGTCCCAGCTACTCGGGAGGCTAAGGCCGGAGAATGGTGTGAACCAGGGAGGCGGAGCTTGCAGTGAGACGAGATAGCGCCACTGCACTGCAGCCTGGGTGACAGAGCAAGACTCCGTCTCAAAAAAAAGAAAAAAAATGTGGAGGGCTGAGGTGGAGGGCTCAGAGAGGACAGAACTGTGCAGATGGCAGGGCTGGGAGTGATGGGTAGGCAGGGCTGGGATAATCAGCTGAGCTCAGGTGGGGTGGGTATGGCTGGTGGTGGAGCAGCCCGCACTGGGCCTGGGTGAATGTGCATAGTGTAGACATCAGCAGCAAGGGGGGGACCCTGAATGGTGCAAGGAGAGGCTGCAGGAGATGTGACAGCTGCCCTGTCCCTTGGCTTCAAGCAACAGTGTGGCTTAGGTGGCACTTTGGTTGCCTCTGTGACCCCAGGCTGATAAAACCACCCAATCACATGGCAGCTACTTCTACCAGAAGGTGAATGCCCATCAGGCACTGGGACCCTCCTCTGCATCCCCGGCGTTTGCCTAAACCCCAGACGAGCAGGGCCAGCTGCTGTTCCAGCATCTGTGCTAGAGCTTGGCTCACACTGTTCCACTGCCTGGAATGCCAGCCTCTGTCCTCTCCTCCGGCCCATTAGAAAGGGGGAAACTGAGACATCATGGCAGAGCCTATAAGATGTTATCAACATTCTATGTCAATTTATTTTTTATTTTTTAATTTGCTTTTTTTTTTTTTTTTTTTGAGATAGAGTCTAGCTCTGTCGCCCAGGCTGGAGTGCAGTGGCATGATCTCAGCTCACTGAAACCTCTACCTCCCGGGTTCAACCGATCCTCCCACCTCAGCCTCCCGAGTAGCTGGGACTACAGGCATGTGCCACCATGCCTGGCTAATTTTTGTATTTTTAGTAGAGAGGGGATTTCACCTTGTTGGCCAGGCTGGTCTCGAACTCCTGACCTCAAGTGGTCTACCCACCTCAGCCTCCCAAAGTGCTGGGATTTCAGGCGTGAGTCACCATGCCTGGCCATGCCAATGAATTTAAATATTTGGATAAAACCAACAACTTTCTAGAAAATTACTGAAACTGACATAAGAAATCGAATCTGTAACTTAAAATCCCCCCACCACGGCCCAGCGCGGTGGCACATGACTGTAATTCCAGCAGTTTGGGAGGGCAAGGTGGGAAGAACTCGTGAGGCCAGGAGTTCAAGACCACCCTGAGCAACATAGCAAGACCCCCCGCCTCTGTCGCTACAAAAAATTTCCAAATTAGCCGGGCATGTTGGTGTATGCCTGTAGCCCCAGTTGCTTGGGAAGTGAGGAGGAAGAATTGTTTGAACACAGGAGGTCGGGGCTGCAGAGAGCTGTGATTGCATCTCTGCACTCTAGCCTGGGTGACAGAGTGAGACTCTCTTTTTTTTTTTTTTTTTTTAAGACTTTAGAAAATGGCCTTTTGAGGACCTGGCTCTTGCCTTGAATGAATGAGGGGACCTCTTCACCCTTCAGACCCCCAGAATGGCAGGTTCCCTCTCCCCATGGGTATTTCTGCTGGGACTCTCTCTGGGTTCACCTGAAAGGTACAGAGCTCTTCAGCTCCCTTCCACTCTTCAGAAAAGACATCCCTCGCCACAGCCTGAGTCCACTGGAGCACACAGTTGATGACTTTTAGGCTGTTGATATTTCTCTGGTAACGTGTTTTTTTATTATTATTATTATTATTATTATTATTATTATTATTATTTTGAGATGGAGTCTCGCTGTGTTTCCTAGGCTGGAGTGCAGTGGCACAATCATAGCTCACTGCAGCCTCCACCTCCTGGGCTGAAGTGATCCTTCTGCCTCAACCTCCCACGTAGCTAGGACTACAGGCACATGCCACCATGCTGGCTAGTTTATTTTTTGTACAGACAAGGTCTTACTCTATTGCTCAGGCTGGTCTCAAACTCCTGGGCTCAAGCGATCCTCCCACCTTGGCCTCCCAAAGTGCTGGGATTATAGGAATGAGCCACCATGCTGGGCCTCTTTGCTTAAAAAAAAAAAGTCACTATTTGCTGTACCCCAGTTTCCATTTACCATGTGTCTGGGGTGCATCCTGCCCAGTCATCTGAGAAGGAAGTGCCAGGGATTCAATTATTTCCAAAAACTGGGTTTCCAGGTTTTGCCATTGAGAAATAAATTGGGATTTGGGTCAGGTGCAGTGGCTCATGCCTGTAATCCCAGAACTTTGGGAGGCCGAGGCAGGTAGATCACTTGAGGCCAGGAGTTCAAGACCAGCCTGGCCAACATGGCAAAACCCCGTCTCTACTTAAAATACGTTTTTAAAAAAGAAGAAAAAGAAAAAAGAAAATTAGCCGGGCATGGTGGTGGGTGCCTGTAATCCCATCTACTCGAGACACTGAGGCAGGAGAATGGCTTGAGGTGGAGGTTGCAGTGAGCCGAGATTGCACAACTGCACTCCAGCCAGCCTGGGCGAAAGAAACCGGGATTTAGAAATGCCTCAGGTATTGGGCTCCTGTCTCCTCTTGCGGGGGTGGGGGAGAGTGGTATTTTCACGCCTTCCAGGAAGCAGGGGGGTGTCTCCAGTCCCATAACCTTCTTCTCACCTGGATTTGCCATGCTGGTGAGTGCTGCAAAAGTGCTGAGTGAGCCAAGCACACCTTGTCCCCTCCCTAGCTGGTCTCTCTGGGACAGCCTGGTCCACAGTTCCTTCTGCTTTTCCAAACAGAAGACCTTTGTGGTTTTCTAACTTCACCTGTGACTGGCAGGTGCAAAGTGCTGGGAAACCCACGCGGTCAGTCTCCCCCGGCCTCCGCCCCGGTCCCTCTACTTCCTCCAATTCAGTGTCGTTCATAATAAAACGGATTTTGATTGCTATGCATCTGACACTGGTGTTTATGGCTTGGGGGATTACAAAGTTAGGAAAGGAAGAGGGGCTGGTATCAACCCCCAAACTAGCATGCTTACGTGGATTGCAAGGAGTCTGGCATGGTGATGTGTGCCTGCAATCTCGCAATGCGTCCGTTATGTGCGCTTGCCTTCGTCCAGCGTGGTTATCTGCACTCGCAATGCGTCTGGCATGGGTACCTGCGCTTGCGATGGGTCCGGCGTGATTATGTGCGCTTGGCTGCATCTGGCGTGGTTATTTGCGCTTGCAATGCGTCCGGCAGGGTTATGAGCGCTTGCAATGGCTCCGCACGATTATCTGTGCTCGCAATGAATACGGCAAGGTTATGTGTGCTTGCCTGCATCCGGCATGGTTATCTGCGCTTGCAATGTGTCCGGCACGGTTATGTGTGATTACAGTGCCTCTGGCATGGTTATCAGCGCTTGCAATGCATCTGTTATGTGCGCTTGCAATGTGTCTGGCATGGTTATGTGTGCTTGCAATGCTTCCGTTATGCGTGCTTGTACTTGCTGGGGATATGGACCAGCTGCATCGCCTTTGTTTCTCTCCATCCCACTGCCTCATGATAACCACCATGCCAAAGCAGCAACTGTCCCCCACAATCTGAAGGACGTGACATCGAAGCTTCCCTTGAAACCTACTGAGGAGCTTGTAAGAAACTGATTTGGCACAAACAATCCCCACTGCAACTCACTCAATCCACAATGAGGACTTTTTTTTTGAGACAGAGTCTCGCTCTGTCGCCCAGACTGGGCTTGAACTCCTGGGCTGAAGTGATCCTCCTGCCTCAGCCTCCTGAGTAGTGGGGAGTACAGGCACGCACTCCACACCAAGCTAATTTCTTAATTTTATTTTGTAGAGACGGGGTCTTGCTATATTGCTCAGGCTGGTCTAGATCTCCCAGGCTCAAGTGATCCTCCTGCCTTGGCTGGGATTACAGGCATGAGTCACTGCATCCAGCCCCCATCCCCCTTTTTTGGCTTAACCCCACCAAGATAAAGGGAACATGAATACAGTTAAAGGTAGAAAAGAGACGTCCACACAGTGTTAGGAGAAACATTACTAATGGCAACCCCTGGTAGAGCAAAGCTGAAGCCCAGGCTGGGTGCAGTGGCTCACGCCTATAATCCCAGCACTTTGGGAGGTTGAGGCAGGTGGATCACGAGGTCAGGAGTTCAAGACCAGCCTGGCCAAGATGGTGAAACCCCATCTCTACTAAAAATACACAAATTAGCTGGGTGTGGTGGCAGGGGCCTGTAATCCTAGCTACTTAGGAGGCTGAGGCAGGAGAATCGCTTAAACTCAGGAGGTGTAGGTTGCAGTGCGCAGAGATCGCACAACTGCACTCCAGCCTGGGCAACAGAGCAAACCTGTCTCAAAAAAAAACCCTGAAGCCTAAGTTCTTCAGAGGCAAACACTCCTCGGGAGGGGAGTCAAAGAGGAAAAGGCTCTGGGATTGGCGGAAGCATATGCGCCAGAGGGTGGAGATGTGCAGTGGGCTGCGAACAGGAGGCCTGTTCAAAGTCAGAGTGAAGGCTGGGCACAGTGGCTCATGCCTGTAACCCCAGCACTTTGGGAAGCCAAAGCAGGAGACTCTCTTGAGGCCAGGAGTTCGAGACCAGCCTGGGCAACATAGTGAGACCCGCATCTCTACAAAAAATAAAAATAGAAAAATTAGCCAGATGTGGTGGTGCACACCTGTAGTTCCAGCTACTTGGGAGGCGGGGGTGGGAGGATTGCTTGAGCCCAGGAGCTGGAAGCTGCAGTGAGCTGTGATTGCACTACTGCACTCCAGCCTGGGAAACAGAGCCAGACCCTATGTCCCTTTTTTTTTTTTTTTTTTTTTTTTTTTGAGACAGAGTCTTGCTCTGTTACCAGGCTGGAATGCAATGGCATGACCTCAGCTCACTGCAACCTCCGCCTCCCGGGTTCAAGCAATTCTCCTGCCTCAGCATCCTGAGTAGCTGGGACTACAGGCGCCCGCCACCATGCCCGGCTAATTTTTGTATTTTTAGTAGAGATGGAGTTTCACCATGTTGGCCAAGATGGTCTCCATCTCCTGACTTCGTGATCTGACTGCCTGGGGCTCCCAAAGTGCTAGGATGACAGGGGTGAGCTAACCCGACGTCTTTAAAAAAAAAAAAAAAAGTGTAAATGAAGAGTGGTAAGACATGAGACCCCCTCTACACTGGGCTGGGTGGTCGCTCGCCCCAGTCTGCAGAGGGAAAGAAAAGGTCTGAACTTGGAGGTGTGAAAATGGAACCTCTCTAGAAAGCTGCACCCTGGCCAGCGACACCACAGCTGTGTCTCCTGGAGCTGGGAGCATCCCCACTCACACCTCAGGGAGGGAGTGGAGTATTCCCAGGTGCAGATATGGCCCGGTGCAGATACGAACCCAACCAAGTTAAAGCCCTCTTGAGGGTCCTGCCGCTGTCCCCATGACAAGTGCGAGGCAGCCCTGCCCCCTGGTGGCAGCACTCAGAACTGCATCAGCAGGTGGGCTGCCCTAGGACCGGGGGACATCGCAGGCAACATAAATGCCCTTGTGGGTTACAATCTAATAAGGAAGATGTTCAATCATCTTATTAAAATAATCGGCCGGGCGCGGTGGCTCACGCCTGTAATCCCAGCACTTTGGGCGGCCCAGGCGGGCAGATCACGAGGTCAGGAGATCGAGACCATCCTGGCTAACACGGTGAAACCCTGTCTCTACTAAAAATACAAAAATTAGCCGGGCGTGTGGCGGGCACCTGTAGTCCCAGCTACTCCGGAGGTTGAGGCAGGAGAATCGCTTGAACCCGGGAGGCAGAGCTTGCAGTGAGCCGAGATTGCGCCACTGCACTGCAGCCTGGGCGACAGAGTGAGACTCCGTCTCAAAAAAAGAAAAAAAAATTTAGCCTGGCGTGCTGGCCTATAATCCCAGCAACTTGGGAGGCAGAGGAAGGAGAATTGCTTGAACCCGGGAGGCGGAGGTTGCAGTGAGCCGAGATTGCACCACTGCACTCCAGCCTGGGCAACAGAGGCAGACTCTGTCTCAAAAAGAAAAAAAAAATTACTGCTGTGAAGGGAACAAGGGGCTGAAGTAATTACAGGGGGGCCAGGGACAAGGTGGCATTTATGAGAGGTTGGGGATGAGATTTTGAAGATGGTCTCTGGGTTCCAGGCCGAGCTCACTCTGGTGCTCCTCTGGGCGGTGGAGCGGGGCTCTTCGCTGGGCTGCTTATTCCAGGCTCTGAGCTCTGGGCGGTGGGCTCAGGCTCTCCCAGGGATGTCGGTGTCTGTGCGGTTGCCACTGCCCAGTGGCCTGGGTTCTGCTTCTCCTCTGGACTCAGGTTCTCTCTGGGGCTGACAAGATCCAGGTGGGCAGAGAATGAGGTGAAGGCTTGAAGACCAAATCATGGGAGATGCCGGGAATGGGTGGTGCTGTCCACTCTGACCGCAATTTCCCATCAATATCCAGACCTGTGCCTGCAACATCAAGACCTGTGCCTGTTCCTAAAGAGTGCGGGTACCTGAAGCCCCCCACAAGGGCTCCCCCTCTACAAGACCTGCCCCCAGGATCTTAGGGCCTGGGAAAAGCAGGAGCTAAGATGAGGGTTTTGGGGGAGAGGAGGGGACCCCTTCATTGACTCCATGGACCAGCCTCAAAACAGAGATGGAGGCAGAGATGTTCAGAGATAGTACCAGTGTCAAGGAAACTCCTGTGTCGCCCCTAGGTCAGGCTGCCCTGGAGAGAAGTCCAGAGCCCCTGGAGGGGATAGACTGAGCTAGAGAGATAAGGGGGTGGCTGGTGCTCCCCTACTTCATCAGATAGGACTGTGAAGCCTGGGAGCAGGCTGGGAGTCCGAGGATATGGGAGAACATTCACAGCTGAGAAGTAAAGGAGAGGGTGGGCGCGGCAGCTCATGCCTGTAATCCCAGCACTTTGGGAGGCCGAGGTGGGCAGATGACTTGAGCTCAGAGGTTCAAGGCCAGCCTGGGCAACATGGCGAAACCCCGTCTCTACCAAAAATTACAAAAACTAGCTGGGCATGGTGGTACGTGCCTGTAGTCCTAGCTATTTGGGAGGCTGAGGTGGGAGGATCGCTTGAGCCCAGGAAGCAGAGGTTGCAGTGAGCTGAGATCACACTACTGCATTCCAGCCTGGGTGACCGAGCGAGACCCTGTCTTAAAAAGAAGAAGTAAAAGACTGATTCATCCCCTCCTGGACACATAGCCCCTCTAGAGCTGTCTTTGACAGTCTCGGCTGCCATAACAAAGTCCCATAGACTGGCTGCCTTATCAACAATAGATATCTATTTCTCACAACTCTGGAGACTGAAGATCTGAGATCAGGGTACATGGTCAGCTTCTGGTGAGGGTCCTCTTCTGGGTTCCAGATCACAGACTTCTAGTTGTGTCTTCATGTGGTGGAAAAAGAGGGAGCTCTCTGGGGTCCCATTGATTGATCGATTGATTGATGGAGATGGAGTTTCACTCTTGTCACCCAGGCTGGAGTGCAGTGGCATGATCTCGGCTCACTGCAGCCTCCACCTCCCCGGTTCAAGCCATTCTCCTGCCTCAGCCTCCCAAGTAGCTGGGATTACAGGCATCTGCCACCATGCCCAGCTAATTTTTTGTATTTTTAGTAGAGACGGGGTTTCACCATGTTGGGCAGGCTGGTCTTGAACTTCTGACCTCATGATCCTCCAGCCTCAGCCTCCTTAAGTGCAGGCATTACAGGTGTGAGCCACCGCACCCGGCCATCCCTTTTATTAATATAAGGGCACTATGCCATTCGTGAGGGTAACACCCAATCACCTCCCAAAGGCCCATGTCTCATAATACCATTACCTTAGAGGGTAGGTTTCAACATATAAATGTTGGGGGGAACATGTTCAGTCTACTGCAAGAGCAATGGGGTAAGTTTCAGTATTGGGGTGTGCATGAAATGGGGGACAATATTGCAGGCAAAGACACTGGCTGAGAGCAACCCCTCCAGCTCGTACCCCAAATACCCCATTAAGATCTCATTTATTTGTCCACAGAATGGGAACAGAAATAGCACTTTGGCCAGGCGCGGTGGCTCACGCCTGTAATCCCAGCACTTTGGGAGGCCTAGGTGAGTGGATCACGAGGTCAGGAGTTTGAGACAGGCCTGGCCAATATGGTAAAACCCCGTCTCTACTAATACTACAAAAATTAGCCGGGCATGGTGGCTTATGCCTGTAATCCCAGCTACTCAGGAGGCTGAGGCAGGAGAATCACTTGAACCCAGGAAGCGGAGGTTGCAGTGAGCCGAGATTGCGCCATTGCACTACAGCCTGGGCAACAAGAGTGAAACTCTGTCTCCGAAAAAAAAAAAAAAAAAAAAAAAAAAGGAAGGAAGAAATAGCACCGCCCATGGGAATGGGATTCCCGCCCTCTTGGGCTGCTGTGTTTGGCTCCAGAGTGTAGAGCCTGGGCTTGTGAAGACAGGGGGAGCCTTCCAGGCCTCTAATTTCCTGAAGCCATTTGTGGGGACTCCTGAACACACCTGGAGGAAGTCCCGCCTCTCTCCAGAAGAACAGGGCAAAACACTGCCCTCTGACGACAAATTGTAGTTGCTTTTCCCAGGAGCACTGAGCTTTAATTTTTTTTTTTTTTTTTTTTTTTTTCCTGAGACAGAGTCTTGCTTCGTCACCAGGTTGGAGTGCAGTGGCGCAAACTCGGCTCACTGCAACCTCCGCCTCCCGGGTTCAAGCGATTCTTCTGCCTCAGCCTCCTGAGTAGCTGAGATTATAGGCACCCACCACCACGCCCAGCTAATTTTTGTATTTTTAGTGGAGACAAGGTTTCACCATGGTGGCTGGGATGGTTTCGAGCTCCTGAACTTGTGATCCACCTGCCTTGGCCTCCCAAAGTGCTGAGATTACAGGCGTGAGCTACCACGCCGGCCTGAATCTTAATTTTTGTTCCGCAAACGCCCTCCTTCTGCCCTCAGGCCTGGGAGGAAAATGCTCCTTCTCTAACTCCGTGGAGTCTCTGCCCCAAGGGGATCCATCAAACAGGAAATTCAGGATTCCAATTTGTAGGGACAAGTACCAAATTTCCTTCCAGAAAGCTTGACAAATTACCTTCCACCAACTGCATGCAAGAAAACCTCTCACCTCTACCAGGCTGGTTAGAAACTTACAAATTTTTTGCCAATATTTTTGCAAAAACACAGTATTGCATTTACAGTTTTTTCATTTGCTGAATCAAAGGTAAGCTGGGAGGCAGGATCACTTCCAGAACAGCAGAATAAACACCTCTGATAATCGGCCAGGCGCAGTGGCTCACGCCTGTAATCCCAGCACTTTGGGAGGCTGAGGCAGGCAGATCATGAGGTCAGGAGTTTGAGACCAGTCTGGCCAATGCGGTGAAACCCCATCTCTACTAAAAATACAAAAATTAGCCAGGCTTGGTGGTGCACGCCTGTAGTCCCAGCTCCTTGGGAGGCTGAGGCAGGAGAATTGCTTGAACCTGGGAGGCGGAGGCTGAAGTGAGCTAAGATCGCACCACTGCACTGCAGCCTGGGCAACAGAGGGAGACTCCATCTCCAAACAAAAAAAAACTCCAAAATAACTGAAAATCTCCTCCTCCATAAAAGTCACACAAATCCTGGCAAAAATGGTCAAAACCAACTTCTCCATAACTTTAGAAATTAACCAAAGGCTTATAACAATTCGGGGAATTTAAGAAAAATACCTGAATATCTCTAAGATTGTCAATCGAGAAAAATGATGAGACAAGCGTCAATTATTTTAGGAGGTTTATTCACCAAAGTTAACGATGCACACCTGGGAGACAGGTCTATGTCTTTCTCCAAAAGTAATTTTGAGACCCCACCATTAAAGGGGAAAGGGCGAGATATTGAGAAGTACACAATTTTCATGTAAGAAGGAGGTAGGAAAAATAGTCATTCATGCCTGTTGTCTGGTTCAGTGAATCTGTTTCTCCCCGCCCCCAAAGAGGGTCTCATTCTGTTGCCCAGGCTGGAGTGCAGTGGCACAATCTCAGCTCACTGCAACGTCCGCCTCCCGGGTTCAAGCGATTCTCCTGCCTCAGCCTCACAAATAGCTGTCATTACAGGTGCCCACCACCACGCCTGGCTAATATATGTATTTTTAGTAGAGACGGGGTTTAACCATGTTGCCTGGGGTTGGTCTCGAACTCCTGACCTCAGGTGATCCACCCGCCTCAGCCTCCCAAAGTGCTGGGATTACAGGCATGAGCCACCGTGCCTGGCCTGTACTTTTTTTTTTTTTTTTTTTTTACATAAGATAACATAGACAAAATGGGGCAGGGGAGCAATCAGATATGCATTTGTGTCTGGTGGGCAGGGGGTTGACTGCACCTGTAAAAGGTAAGCTATCAGTTTACATTGCCCTGGTGAAATTTTCACAGAAACACCTTAAAGATCTTGCAGCTCACTAGGAATTTCCTTGTGAGCAAAATGTGAGGGAGGCTTGTAGCTTTTCATCTTGTAGCCATCTTATTTAGAAACCCAAAAATGGGGAGGCAGGTTTGCACAACCCAGTTCCCAGCTTGACTTTTCCCTTTGGCTTAACGAGTTTGAGGTCCCAAGATTTTTTTTTTTTTTTTTTTCGAGATGGAGTCTCGCTCTGTCCCCCAGGCTGGAGTGCAGTGGCACGATCTTGGCTCATTGCAACCTCTGCCTCCTAGGTTCAAGCAGTTCTCCTGCCTCAGCCTCCTGAGTATCTGGGATTACAGGTGCCCACCACCACACCTAGCTAATTTTTGTATTTTTAGCAGAGATGGGGTTTCACCATGTTGGCCAGGCTGGTCACGAACTCCTGACCTCAGGTTATCTGCCCGTCTCAGCCTCCCAAAGTGATGGGATTACAGGCGTGAACCACCATGCCCAGCCTGGGGTCCCAAGATTTAATTTCTTTTCACGAGACCAGTGAGCTTTGTAGCATGTGGACTTCCCATTTCCTTCTTCCCAACTCTGATAGCTTTAAAATCCAATAGGTTTGGCCAGGTGCACACTTGTAATCCCAGCACTTTGGGAGGCTAAGGTGGGTAAATTGCTTGAGCCCAGGAGTTTAAGACCAGCCTGGGCAAGATGGCGAGACCCCATATCTACAAAAAATACAAAAATTAGCTAGGCGTGGTGGCACAAGCCTGTAGTCTCAGGTACTTGGGAGGCTGAAGTGGAAGGATCGCCTGAACCCGGGAAGTCGAGGCTGCAGTGAGCCATGATCATGCCACTGTACTCCAATCTGAGCAATAGGGGTGAGACCCTTCCATCTCAAAAAAAAAGAAAAAAACCCAACAGCCTTTACCCACAGTAGCTGTAAAAACCAGTACTTTAGGCCGGGCGTGGTGGCTCACACCTGTAATCCCAGCACTTTGGGAGGCCAAGGTGGGCGGATCACGAGGTCAGGAGATTGAGACCATCCTGGCTAACACGGTGAAACCCCATCTCTACTAAAAATACAAAAAATTTGCTGGGCATAGTCCCAGCTACTTGGGAGGCTGTAGTCCCAGCTACTCGGGAGGCTGAGGCAGGAGAATGGCGTGAACCCGGGAGGCAGAGCTTGCAGTGAGCAGAGATCGTGCCACTGCACTCCAGCCTGGGCGACAATGCGAGACTGTCTCAAAAAAAAAAAAAAAAAAATTAACCATTTTGAGAGAAAATGGGTTTGAAACTCGCCAAAAAGCCCTATCTTCAGAGAATTGTCAGTACTTCACCTATAAGGCAACTGTCTAGAAAAGCCCCACTCAGATGACTTTTTAAATTTTTTCCTTTGAGGTAAAGTCTTGCTCTGTTACCAGGCTGGAGTGCAGTGGAGTGATCTTGGCTCACTGCAAGCTCCGCCTCCTGGGTTCAAGTGATTCTTTTGCCTCAGCCTCTCCAGTAGCTGGGACTACAGGCACGTGCCACCATGCCCAGCTAATTTTTTTTTTTTTTTGAGACGGAGTCTCGCTCTGTTGCCCAGGCTGGAGTGCAGTGGTGCGATCTTGGCTCACTGCAGGCTCCGCCCCCCGGGGTTCACGCCATTCTCCTGCCTCAGTCTCCCAAGCAGCTGGGACTACAGGCACCCGCCACCTCGCCCAGGCTAATTTGTTTTTTGCATTTTTAGTACAGACGGGGTTTCACCATGTTAGCCAGGATGGTCTCGATCTCCTGACCTCGTGATCCACCCGCCTCGGCCTCCCAAAGTGCTGGAATTACAGGTGTGAGCCACCGCGCCTGGCCTACCCAGCTAATTTTTGTATTTTTAGTGGAAACAGGGTTTCACCATGTTGGCCAGGATGGTCTCGATCTCTTGACCTCGTGATCCACCCTCCTTGGCCTCCCAAAGTGCTGTGATTATAGGTGTGAGCCACCGCGCCCGGCCTCAGAGGACTTTTATCCACTTTCAGTAACAACTCCCCTAGAAGGTTAATACCCTATTCCCAGGACATTTTTCAAAAACAATCAGTAGCAATTGAATAACATTGCAGCTCCCTGGGGTGGCAGTACCAGCTAAGACACACAAGAGGCTGGCCAGAAAGCATAAAATGATAATTTCGAGCATGAGAGGTCTATACAGGGTTTTGAAAAGGTCTAACATGTTCCAGTGATCTAGAAGGACATACAATATATAAGGCCATGCAGATGCCTGTGAAATACCACAGACACCTCCAATGTCTCACATCTGTTGTCCTTAGATTCTGAACTGGCAGGAAGTGAAAGCTAAGCGCAGGCTTGTCGACTGCTGGGGTGTTGAAGATGGACCCCAACACACAGGGGACCCTTGGCAAAAACTGGAAGACTTATTCGCTTAAAGCATTTAAGGAAATCTGTACAGTCGCTAGCTGAACACTAAACTGAGCAGAGACGAGAACCAAGAGCAAGAAAATCTGAAAACGGGGAAGGAAATCTGATTACCAGAGTTACCATAATACAGTATTTAAAATCTCCAGTTTTTGTTTGTTTGTTTTTTGTTTGTTTTTCTGAGACACAGTCTTGCTCTGTCACCCAGGCTAGAGTGCAGTGGCACGTTCTCAGCTCACTGCAACCTCTGTCTCCCTGGTTTAAGCATTTCTCCTGCCTCAGCCACCGGTGTAGCTGGGATTATAGGCACTCGCCACCGTCCCTGGCTAATTTTTGTATTTTTAGTAGAGACGGGGGTTTCACCATCTTGGCCTGGCTGGCCTCGAACTCCTGACCTTGTGATCCACCCTCCTCGGTCTCCCAAAGTGCTGGGATTACAGGCGTGAGCCACCACACCTGGCCCTAAAATCTCCATTTTTATGCAGAAAAAGCGATACATGCAAAGAAACAGAAATGTGTGGCTCATATACAAAATATATAAAAAGTAGTCAATACAAACTGGCCCTGAGGAGTTCCAGGGTTGGGCTTATTAGACGAAGACTTGAAGCTGTTATAAATATGTTCAAATAACTAAAGGAAATGTTGTCTAAAGAGTGAAAGCAGAAGAACAATGTTCCACCAAATAGAGAATATCAATAGATACCAAAATCAGGTATCTCTATTAGAGGCTGGGTGCAGTTGCTCACACCTATAATCCCAACACTTTGGGAGGCTGAGGTGGGAGGATTGCTTAAGCTCAGGACTTTGGGACAAGCCTGAGCAACATATACCCCCATCTCTACAAAAGTTTTAAAAATTAGTTGGGCATGGTGGCACATTCCTGTAGTCCCAACTACTCAGGAAGCACTTGAGCCCAGAGACTGAAGCTACAGTGAGCTATGATCATGTCACTGCACTGTAGACTGGGTGACAGAGTGAGACCCTGTCTCAAAAAATCAAAAACAGAAATCCAGTAACAGCAAAAAACACTAAATAGAAGTTTTGAGTTAGAACTTCACTAGAGGGGCTCAGCAGCAGATGTGAACTGGCAGAAGAAAGAATCATCAAACTCGAGGATAGGTAAATTGAGATTAACCAGTATGAGGAGCAGAAAGAGGGGAGAAAGGCTTATGAGACTTGTGTTGTACCATCAAGCATAGCAACATACGCGTAATTGGAATTCCATAAGGAGTGGGGAGAGAGAAAGGGGCACAAAAAGTATTTGAAGAAATAGTGGACAAAACTCCATAAATTTGATGAAAAACATTAATCTACAGAGCCAAGAAGATCAATGTACTCTAACTAGGATAAACTCAGAGATCCACACGTAACTATATCACAGTCAAACTGTGGAAAGCAGCCAGGTGCGGCTCACACCTATAATCCCAGCACTTTGGCAGGCCAAGGCTGGAGGATCACCTGAGGTCAGGAGTTGGAGATCTCCTAGCCATCATGGCAAAACCCCATCTCTACTCAATACACAAAAATTAGCTGGGCTAATTTTTTTTTTTTTCTTTGAGACAAAGTGTCTCTCTGTTGCCAGGCTGGAGTGCAGTGGGCGCAATCTTGGCTCACTGTAACCTCCACCTCCCAGGTTCCCTCCTTATGGAATGGTGGTAGGTGCCTGTAATCCCAGCTACTCGAGAGGCTAAGGCAGGGAGAATTGCTTGAACCTGGGAGGCGGAGGTTGCAGTGAGCCAAAATCGTGCCACTGCACTCCAGCCTGGGTGACAGGGTGAGGCTCCATCTTAAAAAAATAAAACAAAAAACTGTGGAAGGCTACAGACAGAAACAACTTGAAAGCAGTAAGAGAAAAAATAATATACAAGGACACCTTTATAAGATCAATAGCTGACTTCTTATCAGAAACTATGGAGACCAGAAGCAATGGAATGAATATTACAAGTGCTGAAGGAAAAAGACTGTCAACCAAGAACTCTATACCAGTGAAATTATCCTTCAAAAATGAAGGTGAAATCAAGACATTCCCAGATAAAGAAAAGCTGATAGAATTCATCACTTGGATGCCTGTCCTCTGAGAAATACTAAAGGGGCCAGTTGCAGTGGCTCATGCTTATAATTCCAACACTGGGAGACCAAGGCAGGTGGATCATGAGGTCAGGAGTTTGAGACCATCCTGGCTAATATGGTGAAACCCCGTCTCTACTAAAAATACAAAAGTTAGCCTGGCATGGTGCCACACACCTGTAGTCCCAGCTACTCGGGGAGGTTGAGGCAGGAGAATTGTTTGAACCTGGGACGCAGAGGTTGCAGTGAGCCAAGATCGTGCCACTGCACTCTAGCCTGGGTGACAGAGTGAGACTCCATCTCAAAAAAAAAAAGAAAATTTAAAAAATACTAAAGGGAGTC
Organism: Homo sapiens; assembly: GCF_000001405.40. Classification (NCBI taxonomy): domain Eukaryota; kingdom Metazoa; phylum Chordata; class Mammalia; order Primates; family Hominidae; genus Homo; species Homo sapiens. The sequence continues at coordinate 5,095,349 of NC_000007.14, forward strand.
TCAGACTGAAATATAAGGACACTAGGCAGTAACTCAAATCCACATGAAAAAATAGAGCCATCAATAAAGGCAACCAGTTAGGTGAATGTAAGAAATAGTATAAACGAGGCCAGGTGTGGTGGCTCACGCCTGTAATCCCAGCACTTTGGGAGGCTGAGGCGGGTGGATCTTGAGGTCAAGAGATCGAGACCATCTTGGCTAACACGGTGAAACCCTGTCTCTACTAAGAATACAAAAAATTAGCCGGGCGTGGTGGCGGGTGCCTATAGTCCCAGCTACTCAGGAGGCTGAGGCGGGAGAATGGCGTGAACCCAGGAGGCGGAGCTTGCAGTGAGCCGAGACCGTGCCATTGCATTCCAGCCTGGGTGACAGAGCGAGATCCTGTCTCAAAAAAAAAATTTTTAAAAAAGTATAAATGTATTTTTTTTGTAACTCATTTCTTTCTTGTAAGACAACTGCGTAAGCTAGGCGTGGTGGCACGTGCTTGTAGACCCAGCTACTCAGAAGGCTGAGGCAGGAGGAGGATTATGTGAGCCCAAGAGTTTGAGGCTGTGGTGTGTTGTGGTTGCATCTGTGTATAGCCACTACACTCCAGCCTGGGTAACACAGCAAGACGACCCTGTCTCTAAAAAAGACAACTACAGTGAAAAAAGAAATAATGATAAAAACTGTATTGATAATCTCAGAAGGTATAATTTGTATGACAATAGCACAAAAAGGGGAAGAAAATGCAGTTATATTGGCGAAGGGGTTTTTTTTTATTTTATTGACACATAATCATTGTACGTATTTACGGGGCACAGTGTGATATTTTAATACAGGTAAACAGTGTGTAATGATCAAATCACTAAAATTGACACATTGATCACTTCAAATATTTATCATTTCTTTGTACTCAAAAACACTCAAAATCTGCTCTATTTGAAAATATACCATAAATTATTGTCAATTATAGTCACCCTATGGTGCTATAGGACATTCAAATTATTTCTCCTTTGTTAGCTGTAATTTTTTTTTTTTTTTTTTGAGACAGAGTCTAGCTCTGTCACCCAGGCTGGAGTGCAGTGTTGCCATCTCAGCTCACTGCAACCTCTGCCTCCCAGGTTGAAGTGATTCTTCTGCCTCAGCCTCCTGAGTAGCTGGGACTACAGGCATGTACCACCATGCTCAGCTAATTTTTGTATTTTTAGTACAGACTGGGTTTCACTGTGTTGGCCAGGCTGGTCTCAAACTCTTGAGCCAAGGTGAACTGCCTGCCTCTGCTTCCTAACATGCTGGGATTACAGGTATGAGCCACCGCACCTGATCTGTAATTTTGTATCTGTTAACCAACCACTCTCTATCCTCTCCCATCCTTCTCAGCCTCTAGTAACCGTTATTCTACTTTCTTTTCTTTTCTTGTTTTTGTTTTTTGTTTTTTGTTTTTTGAGACAGAGTTTCACTTTTGTTGCCTAGGCTGGAGTGCAATGGTGTGATCTCTGCTCACTGTAATCTCTGCCTCCTGGGTTCAGCCTCCCAAGCAGCTGGGACTACAGGCATGAGCCAGCATGCCTGGCTTTTTTTTTTTTTTTTTTTTTTTTGTATTTTTAGTAGAGATGTGGTTTCTCCATGTTGGTCAGGCCGGTCTCGAACTCCCGACCTCGGGTGATCCACCCGCCTCATTATTCTACTTCCACGAGATCAACATTTTTAGCTTTCACATATAAGTGAGAACTTGTGGTATTTATCTTCCTGTGCCTGGCTTATTTCACTTAACCTAATGTTCTCTACGCTCATCCATGTGACCCCAAATAACAGGATTTTACTCTTTTTAAGGCTGAATCATATTTCATTGTGATCTATAACACATATTTATCCATTCATCTGTTGGTGAACACTCAGATTGATTCCAAATCTTGGCTATTGTGAAAAGTGCTGCAATCCACACGGGAGTGCGGGTGTCTGTTCAACACAGAGACTTCCTTTTCTTTGGATATATATGCTAGAGGGGGATTGCTGGATCATATGGTTGTTGTATTTTTCATTTTTTTGAGGAACTCCCATACTGTTTTCTACAATGATGGTACTAATTTACGGTCTGTCAACAGTGTCTAAGCGTTCCCCTTTCTCCATCTCCTCACCAGCATTTGTTATTTTTGTCGTTTTGATAATAGCTTTTTCTTTTTTTTGAGATGGAAGTTCACTCTTTTCACCCGGGCTGGAGTGCAGTGGTGCGATCTCCGCTCACCGCAGTCTCCGCCTCCCCGATTCAAGCGATTCTTCTGCCTCAGCCTCCTGAGTAGCTGGGATTACAGGCGCCTGCCACCACGCCCAGCTAATTTTTGTATTTTTGGTAGGGACAGGGTTTCATCATGTTGGCCAGGCTGGTCTTGAGCTCCTGACCTCAGGTGATCCTCTTGCCTTGGCCTCCCAAAGTGCTGGGATTACAGTCATGAGCCACCACGCCTGGCTTTTTTTTTTTTTTTTTTTTTTTTTTTTTTTTTTTTGAGAGACAGAGTCTTACTCTTGTTGTCCAGGCTGGTGTGCAATGGCACGATTTTGGCTCACTGCAACCTCTGCCTCCTGAGTTCAAGTGATTCTCCTGCCTCAGCCTCCCCGGTAGCTGGGATTACAGGTGCTTGCCACCATACCTGGCTAATTTTTGTATTTTTAGTAGAGACGGGGTTTCACCATATTGGCCAAGCTGGTCTTGAACTCCTGACCTCAAGTAATCCACCCACCACAGCCTCCCAAAGTGCTGGGATTACAGGCGTGAGCCACCGTGTCTGGCCAATAACAGCTATTCTAACTGGGGTGAGATGATATCTCATTGTGGTTTTGATTCACCATTCCCTGATTATTAGTGATGTTGAGCCTTTTTTCATAGATCTTGAGCCATTTGTATGTCTTCTTTTGAGAAACGTCTATTTAGCTCACTGCCCATTAAAAAAGTTGGATTATCTGTTTTGCTGTTGAGTGTTTGAGTTATTTTTATAGTCTAGATATTAATCTCCTGTTAGATAAGTAGTTTGCAAATATTTTCTCCCATTTTGCAGGTTGTCTTTTCACTCTGTCAACTGTTTCCTTTGTTGTGCAGAATCTTTAGTGTGACATAATTCCATTTCTCTTTGTTATTGTTGTTGCTGCCTGTGCTATTTTTTTTTTTTTTTTTTTTTTTTTTTTTGGACACGGAGTCTCACTCTGTTGCCCAGGCTGGAGTGTAGGGGTATGATCTCAGCTCACTGCAACCTCCACCTCCTAGGTTCTAGCCATTCTCCTGCCTCAGCCTCCCAAGCAGCTGGGACTACAGGCACATGCCACCACGCCTGGCTAATTTTTAGATTTTTAGTAGAGATGGGTTTCACCATGTTGGCCAGGCTGGTCTCGAACTCTTAACCTCAAGTGATCTGCCCACCTCAGCCTCCCAGAGTGCTGGGATTACAGGTGTGAGCCATCGCAGCTGACCAAGATCTTGTTAATAAAAATTTTGCCCAGACCAGTGTCATGAAGTGTTTTCCCTGTGTTTTCTTCTAGTAATGTTATAGCTTTGGGTCTTATATTTAAGTCTTATATTCATTTTGAGTTGATTTTTGTATATGACGAGAAATGGGGATCAGGTTTGATCCTTCTGTTTATGGATACCCAGTTTTTCAACCATTTATTGAAGAGACTATCCTTTCCCCAATGAATGTTCTTGATGCCTTTGTCAAAATTGCATCACCTGGCCAGGCACAGTGGCTCATGCCTGTAAACCCAGCACTTTGGAAGGCTGAAGTGGGTGGACTGCTTGAGCCCAGGAGTTTGAGACCAGGCTGGGCAACATGGTAAAACTCTGTCTCTACAAAAAACACACACAAATAGCTAGGTGTGATGGTGCATGCCTGTGGTCCTAGCTACTTGAAAGGCTGAAGTGGAAGAATCACCTGAGCCTGGGGAGGTCAAGGCTGCAGTAAGCTGTGATTGCACCACTGCACTCTAGCCTGGGTGACAGAGTAAGAAACCATCTCAAAAAAAAAAAAAAAAATTCACTGTAGATGTACGGATTTATTTCTGGGTTCTCTATTCTGTTCCATTGGTCTGTGTGTCTGTTTTTATGCCAGTGCCATGAGGCTTTAATTACTGTAGCTTTGTAGTATATTTTGAAGTCATTTAGTGTTATGCCTTCAGCTTCGTTCTTGCTCACGACTGCTTTGGCTATTTGGAGTTTTTTGTGGCTCTATATGAATTTTAGGATTGTTTTTGCTATTTCTGTGAAGAATGTCTTGGTATTTTGATAGGGATTGCATTGAATCTGTAGATTGCTGTTGGTGGTCTGATCATTTTCACAGTATGAATTCTTGCGATCCATGAGCATAAGGTGTCTTTGCATTTTTCTGTGTGTCCTCTTCAATTTATTTCACCGGTGTTTTATAGTTTCCCTTTCAGAGACCTTTCTCCTCCTTGGTTAACTTTATTCCTAGGTACTTTTTATAGCTACTGTAAATGGGATTGCTTTCTTGACTTTTTTTTTCAGCTAGTTCATTGTCAATGTATAGAAATACTGCTGATTTTTGTATGTTGATTTTTATATCCTGCAACTTTACTAAATTTCAGTTCTAAAAGTTTTTTGGAGCCGGGCACGGTGTCTCACACCTGTAATCCCAACACTTTGGGAGGCCGAGGTGGGCAGATCACAAGGTCAGGAGTTCGAGACCATCCTGGCCAACGTGGTAAAATCCCATCTCTACTAAAAATACAAAAATTAGCTGGGCATGGTGGCGTGCGACTGTAATCCCAGCTACCTGGGAGGCTGAGGCAGGAGAATTGCTTGAACCTGGGAGGCAGAGGTTGCAGTGAGCCGAGATTGTGCCATTGGACTCCAGCCTGGGCAACAGACGGAGACTCCATCTTAAAAAAAAAAAAAAAAAAAAAAATTTTTTTTGGTGGAGCTTTTAGGATTTTCTATATATAAGACCATGTTGTCTGGAAACAGGGATGATTTCACGGCTCTTCTCTAGTTTGAATTCCCTTTATTTCTTTCTCTTGACTAATTGCTCTGTCTAGGACTTCCAGTACTATTGAATAAGAGTGGCGAGTGTGGGCATTTATATCTTGTCCCAGTTCCAAGAGGAAGAGCTTTAAGCTTTTCCCCATTCTGTATGATGTTAGCTGTGGGTTTGCTATATGTAGCCTTCATTGAGCGGCAGTACATTCGTTATATGCCTATGTTGTTCAGAGTTTTGTCATAAAGCAATGTTGAATTTCATCAAATGCTTTCTCAGCATCTCTTGAGATGATTATACAGTTTTTGTCTTTCGTTCTGTTGATGTAATGTGTCACATTTATTGATTTGCAAATGTTGAACCATCCTTGTATCTCTGGGATAAATCTCACTTGATCACAGTGAAGGATTTTTTTTTTTTTTTTTTGAGACAGAATCTCACTCTGTCACCTAGTCTGGAGTGCAGTAGTGCGATCTTGGCTCACTGCAACCTCCGCCTCCCAGGTTCAAGCAGTACTTCTGCCTCAGCCTCCCAAGTAGCTGGGATTACAGGTGTGTGCCACCACGCCCAGCTAATTTTTGTATTTTTAGTAGAGACAGGGTTTCACCATGTTGGCCAGGCTAGTCTCGAACTCCAGACCTCGTGATCTGCCTGCCTCGGCCTCCCAAAGTGCTGGGATTACAGGCATGAGCCACCGCGCCCGGCCGTGAAGGATCTTTATAATGTGCTGCTGGATTTGGTTTGCTAGTATTTTGTTAAGGATCTTTGCATCTGTGTTCATCAGGGATATTGGCCTGTAGTTTTCTTTTTGTGTTGTGTTCTTGTCTGGTTTTCGTCTTAGAGTAATATTGGCCTTGTAGAATGATATTGGAAGAATTCCTTCCCTTCGATTTTCTGGAAAAGTTTGAGAAAAATTGGCATTGGTACTTTAAATGTTTGGTAGAATTCAGCAGTGAATCTGTGGTTCTTCTTTGATGAGATTTTTTTTTTGAGATGGAGTTTTGCTCTTTTTGCCCAGGCTGGAGTGCATTGGCACGATCTTGGCTCACTGCAACCTCCACCTCCCAGGTTCAAGTGATTCTCCTGCCTCAGCCTCCCGAGTAGCTCGGATTACAGGCACGTGCCACCACGCCTAGCTAATACTGTATTTTTAGTAAAGACAGGGTTTTACCACATTGGTGAGGCTGGTCTCAAGCTACTGACCTCAGGTGATCTGCCCACTTCGGCCTCCTAAAGTGCTGGGATTACAGGTGTCAGCCACCAGACCCGGCTGAATTTTTTTTTTTTTTTTTTTTTTTTTTTAGACAGAGTCTCCCACTGTCGCCCGGACTGGAGTGCAGGGGCGCGATCTCGGCTCACTGCAACCTCCACCTCCTGGATTCAAGCGATTCTCCTCCCTCAGGCTCCCGAGTAGGTGGGATTACAGGCACTTACTACCATGCCCAGCTAATTGTTTGTATTTTTAGTAGAGAGAGGGTTTTACCACATTGGCCAGGCTGGTCTCGAACTCCTAACCTTGTGATTCACCTACCTCAGCCTCCCAAAGTGCTGGGATTATGGGTGTGAGCCACTGCACCTAGCCCAACTTTTTTTTTTTTAGACGAAGTCTTGCTGTGTCACCCAGGCTGGAGTATAGTGGTGTGATCCTGCCTCACTGCAGTTGCGAACTCCTGGGCTCAAGTGATCCTTCTGCTTCAGCATCCTAAGTAGCTGAGACCACAGGTGCACACCATCATGTCTGGTTAATTGTTTAATTTTTTTCCCCGCAGGAACAGGGTCTTGCTTTGTTGCCTAGGCTGGTCTCAAAACCCTGGCCTCAAGGTTTACTACATGCATACAATGTGTATTGATCAAATCAGGGTAATTAGGATATCCATCACCTCAACTATTTGTCATTTCTTTGTGTTGGAAACATTTTAAATATTTTCTTCTAGCGATTTTGAAATATACAATAAATTATTGCTAACTATAGTCACCCAACTGTGCTATGAAACACAAGAACTTATTCCTTCTATCTAACTGTATTTGTGTACTTATTAACCAATTTCTCATCACTCCCTCCTTCATTCTGTTTCCCACTGGAGTGCAGTAGTATGATCATGGCTCACTGTAGCCTCTCTTTCTCCTCTAACTAAATGATTTCAAATGACTTATCTTCATCTTCATGTTCATTGATTTTTTGTTTTGTTTTGTTTTGAGACAGGATCTCACTTTGTCACCCAGGGTAGAGTGCAGTGGTGTAATCATGGGTCACTGCAGCCTTGACTTCCTGGGTTCACGTGATCTTCCCACCTCAGCCTCCTGGGTAGCTGGGACTACAGGTGTACACCACCATACCCTGATAATTTAAAAAAAAATTTTTTTTTTAAATAGGGTTTTGCCGTGTTGCTTATGCTGGTCTTGAACTCCTAGCCTCAAGCAATCTGCCTGCTTCAGCTTCCCAAAGTTCTAAGATTACAAGCATAAGCCACTGCTGTTGAAGCTCTAAATGGCATTTTTTCATTTTAGTCCTTGTTCACCTCAGCTCTAGAATTTCTTTTTTTGTGATTTCTGTATCTCTGTTGAACTTTACATTTTGTTCATATATTGTTTATCTGATTTTGACGAGTTGTATCTGTGTTCTCTTGTAACATGCTGAGCTTCTTTAAAACAGTTATTTTGAATTCTTTTTCAGTTAATTCATAGATCTCCTTTTCTTTGGGGTTGGTCATTTGAAATGTGTTGTGTTCCTTTGGTGATGTCATGTTTCTTTTCTATGCAGTTATTCTTGGCTTTTCTGCTCTACTCGGTGGCTGCATCTTTTTAACTGGACTCTGGGAGTTCTCCCAGAGCTATTTTAGTCTGTGGATAGTTGTTAAATCATTGTTTTTGTGGGAGTACAAGGGCTAGGACCTCCTAGTCCACCATCTTGATCACATTACACCAAGAATCAGTCCACTCTGAGATCATCCGTCTTCTGGCCACCCTTTGGTTTACATTTTAAGAAAATGTGGACAGAGCTGTAACTTTCCTCTCCTCTCTCCAGAGAGCTGCCTACCTCTCTGGAGATAGGTATTTTGGCTATTCATTTCCTAGGTTCAAGTTTATCCCAAGACTTGTACAGTCTCTTCATCACTGCAGGGAGGTGGCCTCTTATCCCCTTAGCCCAGAAGTTTCAGATTCCCCCAGGATTCGGCAGTTTTGAATTCCCAACTCTTCCACTCCCTCTCATCCCTCCAGCCCTCATCCTTCAGAGACCATCCTGTCACTTAGGCACCACAGTGTTGGGGGAGAAGATCAGTAATGAGGCCCTGGGGCTTTGGATCAAGCCAGACCCTTAAGTGGGCCCTGGGAAACCTATTAAGTAACTATTTTCTTATTAAGAGTATAAGTATTCCCTTCTTACTGGGAATAGAAGTTGAAAGATTGACAGAGATAAGGGAGAAAGGTGTGGTAGAGTCCGTCTCCTCCCATTTCCTACAAAATCCTTCTACAGTTGACTCCGCTCTTACTTTTGTTTACAGAGGAGCTGACGTTTCATCTGGGCCTGAAGAATGAGTAAATTTCCAGGTGGGAAAAGGTCATTGTGATATTGGAGAGGTATGTATAAGAATGGGGAAAATGGTCCAGTATGGTGGCTCATGCCTGTAATCCCAGCACTTTGGGAGGCCAAGTTAGGTGGATCACCTGCGGTCAGGAGTTCAAAACCAGCCTGACCAACATGGTGAAACCCCATGTTTCTAAACTAAAAATACAAAATTACCCAGGCGTAGTGGCACGTGCCTGTAATCACAGATACTTGGGAGTCTGAGGCAAGAGAATCACTTGAACCTGGGAGGCGGAGGTTGCAGTGAGCCGAGAGCGTGCCATTGCACTCCAGCCTGGGCAACAAGAGTGAAACTCCATCTCAAACCACCCCCTCCCCCCGCCAAAAAAAAAAATAGTTCTGGGAGAAATGAGTGAGTGGGGCACATTCAGGTTGTTGTATAGCTCGTAAGGAATGAGGTAGAAGATGGTAGAGGTTGAGACCACAAAGCTATGCTGGGTCCATATTGTGACTGTTGGAACCTGGGCTTCTTCCATTCAGAATCCAAGTCATCTTCTCCTCAACTTAAAGTTGATCTCTTCCTCTCTTAGGAGTCATTGTTAGGACTTGTATTCCTTCCAGGATAGGAAGGTGACCAATTGAGCCTGGCCAACTAAAGAGTGGAGAGTTAGAGAAGGCTGGAACTCAGGTATGATGGTCTTGAGTCTGGACATGTCCATTACTGGCTTGTTGTTTTTTAGCCTCCCAGCTAATTAATCAGAGTCAATAACATTATTAGCAATGCTTTAACAACCCTTACCTAGTACTTCCTATGTTCTAACACTTTATATCCATTAACTAATTTGGTCTTCCTTCCTCTACAAAATCGATTCCACTGTGATCCTCATTTTGCAGTTGAGGAAACTGAGGCAGAGGGTTAAGTCACTTGTCTCTAGTTAGTGGGAGAGCAAAGCTTTGACCAAGGCAGTCTGGCTCAAACACACACTCTAATCACTCTGCTAGGGGGTCTCACGCTGGTATGTGAGATGAAATTTTTAGAGACAGGGTCTCGCTCCATCACCCACACTGGAGTGCAATGGTGTGATCGCGTCTCAGTGTAGCCTTGAATTCCTGGATTCAAGTGATCCTCTTGTCTCATCCTCCCAAGTAGCTGTGGCTCCAGGACTACAGGTGCACTCCAGCATGGCAGGCTAATTTTAAAAAAATAAAATTAGTAAAGACGAGATCTTTCTATGTTTCCCAGACTGGTCTTGAATTCCTGGCCTCAAGCTATCTTCCCACCTTGGCCTCTCAAAGCGTTGGGATTACAGGCGTGAGCCACCATGCCTGCCATGGATGTCTTATTTTATTTTATTTATTTTTTTGAGACGGAGTCTCGCCCTGTCGCCCAGGCTGGAGTGCAGTGGCATGATCTCGGCTTACTGCAACCTCCGCCTCCCAGGTTCAAGTGATTCTCCTGCCCCAGCCTCCCAAGTAGCTGAGATTACAGGCACCCGCCACCATACCCAGCTAATTTTTGTATTTTTAGTAGAGACAGAGTTTCACCATGTTGGCCAGGCTGGTCTCAAACTCCTGACCTCATGATCCACCCACCTCAGTCTCCCAAAGTGCTGGGATTACAGGTGTGAGCCACCGTGTCTGTCCAGATGTCTCTTTTAAATGAGTGTTACATACTCTAGTCTTCTTTCTCCAGGGATGGTTCCTTTTGGGGTGTGGGTGCCAGGGACTGAGTTCAAAGCTCTTGATAGAATTCACCAACTGAGATTGGGCGCGGTGGCTCACGTCTGTAACCCTAACACTTTGGGAAGCTGAGGCGGGTGGATCGCCTGAAGTCAGGAGTTCAAGACCAGCCTGGCCAACATGGTAAAACCCCGTCTCTACTAAAAATACAATAATTAGCCAGGCACGGTGGCAGGCACCTGTAATCCCAGTTTATTCAGGAGGCTGAAGCACGAGAATCACTTGAACCCAGGAGGCAAAGGTTGCAGTGAGCTGAGGTTGTGCCATTGCACTCCAGCCTGGGTGAAAAGAGTGAAACTCAGTCTCAAAAAAAGAATTCATAAACATCCCAGTCTCCAGAACCATGAGTCAAATAAACTTCTGTTCTTTATAAATTAAAAAAAATGCACCAATGGCTGGGCATGCTGGCTCATGCCTGTAATCCCAGCACTTTGGGAGGCTGAGGTGGGTGGATCACTTGGGGTCAGGAGTTCGAGACCAGCCTGGCCAACATGGTGAAACCCCATCTCTACTAAAAATACAAAAATTAGCCAAGCATGGTGGCACACGCTTGTAATCCCAGCTATTCGGGAGGCTGAGGCAGGAGAGTCACTTAAACCTGGGAGGCAGAAGTTGCAATGAGCCAAGATTGCACCATTGCACCCCAGCCTTGGATTACAGAGCGAGACTCTGCGGAAAAAAAAATATATAAAAGAATTCACCCAACTGAAACCCATGTTTAAAGTAAAGAGAAAATCCTATAAAAAGGGAGTCTTGGGTACAGAAGGCTGGTGGGGCACAGAAGATTCCAAATCTCTCTCTCTCAATCTCTCCTCTCTCTTTTGTAGCCCAGAGCCTGGTGAGCTACCTGAGCAGGGGGCACTCCATCCAATGTCTTCACTTTTAATTTCCCTGGTACCTACAACCTCTGGTCACGTGCCTCATTCTGGTTCTGCACTTCTTTTTCTCTGTGTGCCTCTGAGTCTCTCTTTCAGTCCCTTTTCATTTTCTCCGCATTTGGGTGGGAAGATACAGACTGATAAGAGAGACAGAACGGCAGCATCCCCCTACATACAAGAACAGACTGAAATCAGTCAGTCCTAGGGACAGGTCCCAGCTCAGAGAGAAGCTATATGACTCCTTTACCAAGTCAGTCTCTCTAAGGCTCAGCTTCCTCCACCGTCAATTACGTTATTTTTTAAGAGACCAGAGTATTGCTCTGTCATCCAGGCTGGAGTGCAGTGGCACAATCATAGCTCACTGCAGCCTCGAACTCTCAGACTCAAGCGATCCTCCTGCCTCAGCCTCCCAAGCAGCTGAGACTATAGGCCTGCACCACCACACCCGGCCTCTCCTCTGTAAATTAATAATAAGAATGCCTACTACCACACACTAGTCTTGCAAAGATTAAATAATATCATGCTTGGCCGGGCGTGGTGGCTCACACCTGTAATCCAAGCACTTTGGGAGGCTGAGGCGGGTGGATCACTTGAGATCAGGAGTTAGAGACTATCCTGGCCAACATGGTGAAACCCCATCTCTACTAAAAATACAAAAATTAGCTGGGCATGATGGTGGGTGCCTGTAATCCCAGCTACTCAGCAGGCTGAGGCAGGAAAATCGCTTGAACCCAGGAGGTGGAAGTTGCAGTAAGCTGAGATCTCACCACTGCACTCCAGCCTGGGTGACAGATCGAGACTCCGTGTCAATAAATAAATAAATAAATAGATAAATAAATAAATGTATTGTGCTTATGGTGCACTTAGCCTATCTCTTGCCCATTGTAATGGCTCAACAAATAGCAGTAATAATAACAGCAGCAGGCGTTGCTGTTTTCTGTTCTCTCACTCCCATCGGTATTTAGAGGGAATACGGGGATATTGCCGAGGAAGGGAAAGTTGGAGACAATGTCAGCGTCTCTGGGCCATTGTCCAGGAAAGCACGGAGGAAAAGCTGGGGTTGGGGGCCCGGGGACTGGGAAAGGGGAAAGAGAGATGGGGTGGAAACGTAAAGCCATCCAGGGTCTTGGAAACGGAGCAGCTAGGAGGTGATGCTTGTCTATGGCATGCCTCTGCCACCCAGATACCTGCATTTTCTTCTCTCCCCCACTGGTTATTTACTCTCTCCAGATATGTCTTCCATCCTGAGATTTTCAGCCGGTGTAGACTGTAACAAGCATGTGATGAGCCAGAAGCAAAGTAAAAGGACTAAGGACATCTTGCGATTTGGGTAATTTTTATTCATTAACACTTCCTGGGCCGGGCACGGTGGCTCATGCCTATAATCCCAGCACATTGGAAGGCTGAGGTGGGAGGATTCCTTGAGGCCAGGAGTTCGAGGCCAGCCTGAGCAACATAGCGAGACCCCTGTCTCTACAGGTAATTTTAAAAATTAGCTGGGCATGGTGGTGTGCACCTGTGGTCCCGGCTACTAAGGAGGCTTAGGTGGGAGAATCACTTGAGCCTGGGAGATTGAGGCTGCAGTGAGCTGTGATCATGCCACCGCACTCCAGCCTGGGTGACAGAGTGAGACCTTGTCCCTACAAAAAATAAGACTTCCTAAATACAGGAAGCACTGCAGGAGATGTTTTCTATACATCATTTAAATTAATCGCTAAAACAGGCCAGGCGCAGTGGCTCAGCCTGTAATCCCAGCACTTTGGGAGGCCAAGGCAGGTGGATCACCTGAAGTGAGGAGTTCAAGACCAGCCTGGCCAACATGGTGACACCCAGTCTCTACTAAAAATACCAAAAAAATTTTTTTAAATTTAGCCAGGTGTGGTGGTGCACACCTGTAATCCCAGCTACTCAGGAGGCTGAGGCAGGAGAATCGCTTGGACCCGGAGGCAGAGGTTGCAATAAGCCGAGATCATGCCACTGCACTCCAGGCTGGGTGACAAGAGCGAAACTCCATCTCAAAAATAAATAAATAAGCCGGGCGCGGTGGTTCACGCCTGTAATCCCAGCACTTTTAGAGACCGAGACTGGCAGATCACGAGGTCAGGAGATCAAGACCATCCTGGCTAACATGGTAAAACCCCATCTCTACTAAAAATACAAAAAAGCCGGGCGTGGTGGTGGGCACCTGTAGTCTCAGCTACTCAGAAGGCTGAGGCAGAAGAATGGCGAGAACTCAGGAGATGGAGCTTGTAGTGAGCCGAGATCGCACCGCTGCACTCCAGTCTGGGCGACAGAGCGAGACTCTCTCTCAAAAATAAATAAATAAATAAACAAACCAAAACAATCCTGTGGGTTTAAGGACGTTGCTGATGCTTGAAAATGTTAAAAAATTCCCCCTAAGCTCTCCCGACTCATAAATGAAAGAGTTAAGAGGAAAACGCAGATATGAACCCAAAGCTCCTGTTTGTCCCTTCACTGTGCCCCAGGCGAAGACAAAAGCTAGGCTCCTGCCTCAGGGAACTGGAAAATTTGATCTTGGGGCACTCTCAGTGGCCACAGCCCTTGAGTTCCTCATCAAGGTGGGTAGATGAAGAATCTAAAACCCAGAGAAAAAAATGTAACTTGTCAACATCACATGCCATTCCACAGGCCAGACAGGAACAGAAACCAAGCCTTTAGACTCCAGCCCCCAGACTTCCCTGAGGTGACCCCAGAATTGGATGAAGAAGGCAACCACATCTCAGATTGCACTGTACACTGGCAAACAGCTGTGCAAATGGGCACTTACACAAACAAATTCGTATAGCTAGAAAGAGCTTTTTCTTTTTTCTTCTTGAGATGGAGTCTCACTTTTGTCTCCCAGGCTGCAATGCAGTGGTGCAATCTCTGCTCACTGCAGTCTCTGCCTCCCGCATTCAAGCAATTCTCCCTGCCTCAGCCTCCCAAGTAGCTAGGATTACAGGCGTCCACCACCACACCTGGCTAATTTTTTGTATTTTTAGTAGAGATGGGGTTTCACCATGTTTGCCAGGCTGGTCTCAAACTCCTGACCTTAGGTGATCCACCTGCCTCAGCCTCCCAAAGTGCTGGGATTATAGGCGTGAGCCACCACACCTGGCCCCTTCCCCAACTGTTTTTTTTTTTTTTTTTAAGAGACAGGGTCTTGCTCTGTTGCCCAGACTGGACTGCAGTAGCTTGAACATAGCTGCCTTCAGCCTCGAACTCCTGGACTAAGCGATCCTCCCACCTCAGCCTCCCAAGTAGCTGGGTCTACTGGTGCACACCACCATGCCTGGCTGAATTTTAAATTGTTTGTAGAGACGAGGTCTTTCTGTGTTGCCCAGGCTGGTCTTGAACTCCTAGGCTCAAGTGATCTACCTGCCTCGGCCTCCCAGAACGCTGAGATTACAGGCATGAATCCCTGTACCCAGCTAAAAGAGGCTTTTTGGTATGTACATTGGTCTGAGGCCCTTCTAAGATCTGTGAATGGGTGTCTGTGAATAGGTATCATATTATGCATCACTTAACGCCTGCCTTACTGACTTACAATTCTAAAGTAAACTGATGTCTTCAAACTTTTTTCGAGAAAGGGTCTTGCTCTGTTGCCCAAGCTGGAGTGCAGTGGCTTGATCACAGTTCATAGCAGCCTGGCTCTGCCAAGACCAGCTCGGTCGTGGAGACCCTAACCCAGCGGCGCTAGAGGAATTAAAGACACACACACACAAACATAGAGTGTGGAGTGGGAAATCAGGGGACTCACAGCCTTCAGAGCTGAGAGCCCCAAACAGAGTTTGACCCACATGTTTATTGACAGTAAGCCAGTGTTAAGCATTGTTTCTATAGATTATAGATTAACTAAAAGTATTCCTTATGGGAAACAAAGGGATGGGCCAAAACAAAGGGATGGGCTCTGGCTAGTTATCTGCGGCAGGAGCATGTCCTTAAGGCACAGGTCGCTCATGCCATTGTTTGTGGTTTAAGAACGCCTTTAAGCGGTTTTCCACCCTGGGTGAGCCAGGTGTTCCTTGCCCTCATTCCGGTAAACCCACAACCTTCAGCGTGGGCCTCATGGCCATCGTGAACATGTCACTGTGCTGCAGAGATTTTGTTTATGGCCAGATTTGGAGGCCTGTTCCCAACACGGCTCCTGAAACAAAATGTGTTTTCTTTTTTTAAATACGGTTTACCTTGGAAATAAAAGTATAATTACAAACATAACTTTCCTTTTTTTTTTTAGAGATGAGGTCTTTGCTCTGTGGCCCAGGTTGGAGTGCAGTGGTGCAGTCATAGCTCACTGCAGCCTCAAACTCCTGGGCTCAAGTAATCCTCCTGCTTCAGCCTTCCAAATAGGTGGGACTACAGATGCGTGCCACCATGCCTGGCTAATTTTTAAATTTTTTGTAGAGATGAGGTCTCCCTATGTTGTCAAAGCTGGTCTCAAACCCCTGGACTCGAGATCCTCCCACCTCTGCCTCCCGAAGTGCTGAGATTATAGGCGTGAGTTGCTGTCTGGCACAAACACAACTTTCAATGGAACCATAAAGTATCAGAACCAGAGGCCGCATGTGGTAATCCCAACACTTTGGGAGGCCAAGGTGGGCAGATCACCTGAGGTCAGGAGTTCGAGACCAGCCTGGCCAACATGGCAAAACCTCATGTCTGCTAAAATTACAAAAATTAGCTGGGTGTGGTGGTGCATGCCTGTAATCCCAGCTACTTGGGAGGCTGAGGAAGGAGAATCAGTTGAACCCAGGAGGCAGATATTGCACTGAGCCTAGCTCGCGCCACTGCACTCCAGCCTGGGCGACAGAGCGAGACTCTGTCTCAAAAAAAAAATATCTGAACCAGAAGAAACATAAAGATCATCTATTTGGGCCAGGCGTGGTGGGTCATGCCTGTAATCCCAGCACTTTGGGAGGCCAAGGCGGGCGGATCATGAGGTCAGGAGATCGAGACCATCCTGGCTGACATGGTGAAACCCCGTCTCTACTAAAAATACAAAAAATTAGCCAGGGGTGGTGGCGGGGGCCTGTTAGTCCCAGGTACTCGGGAGGCTGAGGCAGGAGAATCGCTTGAACCCAGGAGGTGGAGCTTGCAGTGAGCCAAGATCGCGCCACTGCACTCCAGCCTGGGCAACAGAGCAAGACTCTGTCTCAAAAAAAAAAAAAAAAAAAAAAAAAAAACATCTGGTCCAACTCTTATTTTCTGGTGAGGAGACGAGCTCATACACTGATCAGCTCACCCTTACACGGTAGATGTTCAAAGATGGATTTCATGGTTCTCAATGCAGTGGCTGTTAGTCTAAGCTCTAAAAAAGTAACCTCAACATACTAACAGCCTCCTGTGAGGAGAGGAACCATTAGTTAAATATCAAGGAATGGCTCTGATGATGAAATGTATCAGCCTGATCCGGTAGTTTGCTGGACATTGGTGGGCATCCACCCTGGTGGGTGTGTAAGTGTCTTGAAGCAGGGCGTCAACCTAGCCAGGTAAGGCTTCTGAGGGAAGGCGAGTTTGTGTTCAGTTTCAAAGGGGTAAAGTTTTTAAAAATTATTTCAATAGGTATTTGGGGAACAGGGGGTGGTTGGTTCCATGGATAAGCTCTTTAGTGGCGATTTCTGAGATTTTCGTGCACCTGTCACCCAAGCAGTGTACACTGTACCCAATGTGTAGCATTTTATCCGCCCCCATCCCAACCTTCTCTCCAAGTCCCCAAAGTCCATTGTATCTTTCTATTTTCTTTTTTTTTTTTTTTTTTTTTTTTGAGACAGAGTCTCGCTCTGTCGCCAGGCTGGAGTGCACTGGCGCGACCTCGGCTCACTGCAACCTCCACCTCCAGGGTTCAAGCGATTCTCCTGTCTCAGCCTCCCTAGTAGCTAGGATGACAGGCATGCGCCACCATGCCCAGCTAATTTTTGTATTTTTAGTAGAGACGGGGTTTCACCATGTTGGCCAAGATAGTCTTGATCTCTTGACCTTGTGATCTGCCAGCCTTGGCCTCCCAAAGTGCTGGGATTACAGGCGTGAGCCACCGTGCCCATCCCATTGTATCATTCTTATGCCTTTGCATCCTCATAGCTGAGCTCCTACTTACAAGTGAGAACATACGATGTTTGGTTTTCTATTCCTGAGTTACTTCACTTAGAAGAATGGTCTCCAACTCCATCCAGGTTGCTGCGAATGTCATTATTTCATTCCTTTTTATGGCTGAGTAGTAGTCGATGGTATATATATACACACCACATTTTCTTTACTCATTGACTGTTGGGCATTTGGGCTGGTTCCACAGTTTTGCAATTTCAAATTGTGCTGCTATAAATATGCATGTCTTTGTCATATAATGATGTATTTTCCTCTGGGTAGATATTCAGGGGTAGGACTGCTGGATCGAATGATAGATCTACTTTTAGTTCCTTAAGGCATCTTTAAAGGAGTACAAAGTCTTAAGGATTGGGGTACACGAAGAAAAAGAGGAGGAGAAGGATGTACCTCAGTTGAATGAGTCCAGAGGAAGGCTGGATGGTTGACCTTTGGCTGGGTGCGCAGATGGACGTGATTCTAGTAATTTGGGGCAGTATTAACCATGAAGCTGATTTATTGCAGGTACCTCATCTGAGATTGATGGTAACTGATGGCACATGCCAAGGGGCATTTTTAGGGAAGGATCCAACAGAATTCGAAACAACTGACTGCAGCACAAGGCGGGAGCCTCTGGCTCTCTGAGGTTCCAGGGCCAGAACCCCAAGTCAGGGGGACAGTGAGAGGAGGCACCCATGATGGAGAAATAAGGACAGCACAACTAATTCCTTCACTTATCTTGAGATGGAGTCTCACTCTATCGCCCAGGCTGGAGCACAGTGGCGCGATCTCGGCTCACTGAAACCTCCACCTCCCGGGTTCAAGTGTTTCTCCTGCCTCAGCCTCCTGAGTAGCTGGGATTACAGGTGCCCGCCACCACACCCAGCTAATTTTTATATTTTTAGTAGAGACAGGGTTTCACCATGTTGGCCAGGCTGGTCTCTAACTCCTGACCTTGTGATCTGCCCACCTCGGCCTCCCAAAGTGCCAGGATTACAGGCATGAGCCAGCACGCCCGGCCATTCCTTCACTTATGATAATTCAGCAAACAACACAGATAAACATAATTCAAATCTTTGATTGCAGGAAACGGAATTTAGCGGAGTTGCCTACATGACAGGGGGATTAGAGGGTGGCACCGAGCCTGCCTGGGGAACAAGAGTCATCACCCAGGACGTGGCATACACGTGCAGCCTTGGAGGATGACTAGAACTTTCCCGGGTGGGTAGATCCAGGAAATGAGAACAGCTTGAGCAAAGTCACGGTGCATTCAGGACGTGAGTCCCTCACTCCAACCGGGGTACGTGTTGCACAAGGGAAGGGAACAAAAGATGATGCAGGGCATGATCTTGTGAAAGACCCCAAGTGCCTTTGTGCGGCTGAGGTGGGTGGATCACCTGAGGTCAGGAGTTCAAGACCAGCCTGCCCAATACAGAGAAACTCCATCTCCACTAAAAATACAAAAATTAGCCGGGCATGGTGGCGGGCACCTGTAATCCCAGCTACTTGGGAGGCTGAGGCAGGAAAATCGCTTGAACCAAGGAGGTGGAGGTTGCAGTGAGCTGAGATCGTGCCACTGCACTCCAACCTGGGTGACAAGAGCGAAACTCCGTCTCAAAAAAAAAAAAAAAAACAAACACGAGTGCCATGCTAAGGAGTGTGGACTCGACCCTGATGGTCGAGAGGGATGGTTAAGCAAAGAATTGATACCTGTGGATCCGAAGGGCTGTTCTAATTCGTGGCATGGAAAAGTGATTCAGAAGTTGGCTGCAACTGGAAGATCAGGGAGGATCTGTTAGGAAAGAGAAAACAGGGCTAGGCCCAGTGGCTCACTTTGGGAGGTCAAGGCAGGCAGGTCACTAGAGGTCAGGAGTTCGAGACCAAGCCAGGCCAACAGGGTGAGACCTTTTCTCTACTAAAAATACAAAAATTAGCCAGGTGTGGTGGCACGCATCTGTAATCCCAGCTACTCGGAAACCCAAGGCAGGAGAATTGCTTGAACCAGGGAGGCGGAGGTTGCAGTGAGCCGAGATCGCGCCACTGCACTCCAGCCTGGGCAACAGAACGAGACTCTTTCTCAGAAAGAAAAGAGGAAACAGGACTCAGGGGAAAGAGAAGGATTTCCAAGGTGGAGGTGCATCTGTGGTGCCCAGTTGCATTCGAGGGTGCTGGAAAGAGAATTAATCTGGAATGAATCTTCCTGATTTCGGCACTGGGCCAGCTCCATTCCCAGAAAGGGTGGGGAGGCTTGGGTTAGAAATAACAGCTTGAGCTTGGGACAGGTTGAGTTGGAATGGTTGGTGGAACTGTTCAGGAGGCAGTAGAAAATATGGTTCTGGGCTGGGTGTGGTGTGGTGGCTCATGCCTGTAATTCCAGCATTTTGGGAGGCCAAGGCTCACTTGAGCCCAGGAGTGTTCGACACCAGCCTGGGCAACATAGCAAGAGTCCCATGTCTACACAGATAAAATAAATTAACTGAGCATTGTGGTACACACCTGTAGTCCCAGCTACTCAAGAGGCTGGGGCAGGAGTTTCACTTGAAGCCCATAGCTTGAGACCAGCCTGGGTAACACAGCTAGAGTCCCATCTCTACAAAGCTTTTTTTTTTTTTTTACCTTAAAAAAATTTAAAGTTTTTTTAAAATTAAAAATTTTTAAGTTTTTTAAAATTAAAAAAATTTTGTTTTTTTAAGTTCCTTAAATTTTAAAAATGCTTCAGCTTTTTTTAAAAATTAAGCTTTTTAAAATTAAAAAAGTTATAAAGTCTTCTAGCATTTAAAAAAATGTTAAGAAGTTTTTAAAAATTTTAAAACATGGGCTGGGTGTGGTGGCTCACACCTGTAATCCCAGCACTTTGGGAGGCTGAGGCACGAGGATCACTTGAGCCCAGAAGTTGGAGAACAGCCTGGGCAATATAAGGAGACCCTATTTCTACAAATAATTTTAAAAAAAAAATAGGTGTGGTGGCAGGCACCCATGGTCTCAGTTACTTGGGGGCTGAGGCAGGAGGACTGCCTCATTCTGGGAGGTTGAGGCTGCAGTGAGCTGTGTGATCAGACCACCACACTCCAACTTAGGTAACAGAATGAGACCCTGTCTCAAAAAAAAAAAAAAAAAAGTAGGTAGGGTGCAGTAGCCCACCCCTGTAATCCCAGCACTTTGGGAAGCCGAGGCAGACAGATCGCTTGAGTGCAGGAGTTCAAGACCAGCCTGAGTAACATGGCGAAACCCTGTCTCAACAAAAAATAGAAAAATTAGGGCAGACACGGTGGCTCATGCCTATAATCCCAGCACTTTGGGAGGGTGAGGCGGATCAGCTGTGGTCAGGAGTTTGAGAGCAGCCTGGACAACATAGTGAAACCCCATCTCTACTAAAAATACAAAAATTAGCTGGGCGTGGTGGCACATGCCTGTAGTCCCAGCTACTCGGGAGGCTGAGGCAGGAGAATCGCTTGAACCTGGGAGGCAGAGGCTGCAGTGAGCTGAGATTGCGCCACTGCACTCCAGCCTAGGCAACAGAGTGATATGAGACACTGTCTCAAAAAATAAAAATTAGAAAAATTAGCTAGATGAGGCAGTGTTCACCTGCGGTCCCAACTACCTGGGGGGCTGAGATGGGAAGATTGCTTGAACCCAGGAGGCGGAGAGCACAGTGAGCCAAGATCACACCACTGCCCTCCAGCCTTGGCAATGGAGCGAGACCCAGTCTCAATAATGATGATGATATATGATTCTGCATCTAAGAGGAAGGACTGGAACTCTCCTCATGACCATGGCAGCAGCTGCTCTGACTCGTGAAGGCTGCTCTTCCTCATGAGGCGGCTGCCCCCGTGGAGAGGGTGGATGCTCTTCCCTGGTAGTTATTTTCTCTGCAACTGAGGGAGAAATGATGAACCCAGGATTGCAATGGGTTTGTCCTGAATCCAGCAAAGGGGAAGAAAAGGGAATCATAAAGCACCCATCCCAGGGCAGGAGAGATGATGGATGCACTGTTCTATCAGCTCAGGGCCGGGAGGTGTGCAGGGGGTCAGGCAGCCTCTGTGCACAGAGGATTCTCCCGCTGCTTCTGAGACTTCACCCACGTGGCTCTGTCTGCAGGACTGGTCATTCCTGCTGCTCAGAACCAGCCCACTCCACGCAGAGATCACCTGGGAGAACCCAGACTCCTTCCAGTCCTTCCCCGCCGGCTGCAGCTCTTCCTTCTCACTGTAGGCTGGGAACCAGGATGCCTGCCTTCCTAGGTATGGACGAGGTAGGTTTTAGGAGGTGGGATAGAACTGGGAGGGTGGGTGGCTACGTCTGAAGGAGACCCCTGGGTGCCTGGAAGCATGCAGGGCACAGCACAGCAGCTCCGGCCATCTGAATTTCCGGGGAACATTGGACTGGGGGAAGTGAGGGGTGCCCAGGATGGATTGAGGGGAGGATTCTGGGTTCCTGGGAGAAGGTGGGGACAGAGTGAGAAAGGGTAGCCCTCAGAAGGCTGGGCGTGGGGTTCTGGGGCCTAGGACAGGCAAAAGGCATACAGGTGTCTAGGAGGGAGGTGTCACAGTGACACCTCTCCAGCCTGCACTCCTGTCCCTGCCGCAGACCCCAACGCGAGCTGCTGGCCTGAGTCCAATGGGACAGCCCTGCAGGAGTTCGTGATCCTGGGCTTCTCCGTGTGGCCCCCGGGGCTCCGCGTGCTGCTCTTCGTCCTCTTCTTGCCGCTCTACCTGGTCACCCTGGCGGGGAACCTACTGATCCTGGGCCTGGCCCTGGTGGACCCCGCCCTGCACTCGCCAATGTACTTCTTCCTGGGGGCGCTGTCCGCGGCGCAGGCAGCCTACACGCTGGTGCTCACGCCACGCATGCTGGCCGGCTTCCTCCTGCCCTCCAGGGGCCAGGCTGTGGACCCCTCTACCTGCGCCGCCCAGATGGGCCTCTTCGTGGCCCTGGGGGGCTCCGAGTGCCTGCTGCTGGCTGCCATGGCCCTAGACCGCTACCTGGCTATCTGCCATCCACTCTGCTACCCTCGGCTCATGACCATGGACGTCTGCTGGGGCCTGCTTGGCCGCCTGCTGCGCGGGTGGCTCTGTCCTGGCCCTGGGCCTCACCGCGGTCATCTTCCAGCTGCCCTTCTGCCGCGGCGGCCTGGTCAACCACGTCTTCTGCGACCTCCCGGCCGTGCTGGTGCTGGCCTGCGGGTGCCGGGCCCTGCAGGAGCGCGTCCTCCTGGTGGCCTGCCTGCTGCTGCTGGTGCTACCCCTGCTCCTCATCCTGCTCTCCTACACCCGGGTGCTGGTGGTCATCCTGGGTGTTGGGGGGGTCGCGGGCCGCCGCAAGGCCTTCAACACGGTGGCGTCCCACCTCACCGTGGCTGTGCTCCACTACGGCTGTGCCACGGCCATGTATGCCAGGCCCCTGAACAGCCGTTCCCTTGAGGAGGACAAGCTGGTCTCGCTCATCTATATCAACGTCACCCCGCTGCTGTACCCGGCCATCTACACGCTGCGGAACCGGGACATGCAGGAGGCCCTGCAATGCATGGTCGGCCAGAGGACGCTGGGGATGGCCACCAGGTGGATTTTGCCTGATGCTGGGTGCCAGGCGGTGTCTGTCCTGAGATTTCTCCCACTGAGGGGAATCTCACCATTCTGGAGCCATCTAAGCCTCCCCAACGCCTACGGGGTGTAAATCTAAGTATAGCACGCAAAGACCAGCAATCCGACTCCAGCCTAGCGCTGCTGTGTCCGTTGACGTCTTGCGCTGGATGGTTCTTTGCTGTTGGGGGATGTCCCATGCGTTACAAAGTGCTCGGCCGCGCTCTGAGTCTTTCTCTATTCACTGGATGCCGGTGGCACCCTCCACCCCACTACCCTGTGTGATAATCAAAAATGTTCTTGGGCTTGGCGCAGTGGCTCATGCCTGTAACCCCAGCACTTTGGGAGGCCAAGGCAGGAGGATCTCGAGTCCAGGAGTTTGAGACCAGCCTGGCTAACACAGTGAAACCCCGCCTCTACAAAAATTGTCCAGGTGTACTGCTGTGTGCCTGTAGTCCCAGCTAAGTGGGAGGCTGAGGCAGGAGGATCACTTGAGCCCAGGGGGTGGAGGCTGCAGTGAGCTATGATTGCAGGACTGTACTCCAGCCTGGGTGACAGAGCAAAGCCCCATCTCAAACAAAAAAATACCTCCTGAAGGGCCCATTTAGGAGCCAGGAACCTCAGAGGCATGGTCAGTGCAGGTAACCTCTGCCTACCTAACCACCTGGCTGGTGGATGTGCACGCCTATCAAGGCTGATTGGGAAGAATTATGTCTACTCCAGTGAGGAGCACCAAGAAGGAAGCTGACAATGGCTTCAGGAGTCTTGGGAAAGAGGAAGAGTCTCTTCATACCATTTCCATCCTTATCTGTGGCTTCTTGAGGCTGGTGTCAGGAAACCTGAAACACAAAAGCCCTAGCCCTGGAGCAGAAGAGCCTCCCAGCCTTCTCCCCAAATGCTACCGGTATATGGAACATGATCACCCCTAAACAGATTTAAGACAGCTGGTTTTTTTGTGTGTATGCATTTTGCTTTGTTTTGTTTTTTTTTTGTTTTTTAGATGGAGTCTCACACTATTGCCCAGGCTGGAGCGCAATGGTTCGAACTCAGCTTACTGCAACCTCCGCCTTCTGGGTTCAAGCGATTCTCCTGCCTCAGCCTCCCGAGTAGCTCGGATTATAGGTGCCCACCACCATGCCCAGCTAATTTTTTGTATTTTTAGTAGAGACGGTTTCACTATGTTGGCCACGCTGGTCTTGAACTCCTGACCTTGTGATCCGCCCGCCTTGGTCTCCCAAAGTGCTGGGATTACAGGCATGAGCCACCACACCTGGCCTACGACAGCTCTTTTTAAGGACTTTTTTAGAGCAGTTTAGGTTCACAGCACAATTGAGAGGAAGGTACAGAGACATCCCATTTACCCCTGTCCCTGAACAAGATGCACTTCACTGAGGTTATGTTAGATTCCAGAGAAACATTGGTTGAGGGACTCTTCTTTCCAAAATATTTTTGCTTCCAAAAGCTGTTTCAAACACCACAACACCAAAACCCTGTTTTGGGTTTTTTGGTTTTTTTTTTTTTTTTTTTTTTTTGAGACAAAATCTTGCTCTGTCATGCAGGCTGGAGTGCAGTGGTGTGATCTCGGCTCACTGCAACCTCTGCCTCCTGGGCTCAAGCAATTCTCTTGCCTGAGCCTCCCAAGTAGCTGGGATTACTAAGATTACGGGCATGCACCAGCATGCTCGGCTAATTTTTGTATTTTTCATAGTGATGGGGTTTCACCCTGTTGGCCAGGCTGGTCTCAAACTCCTGACCTCAGGTGATCCGCCCACCTCAGCCTCCCAAAGTGTTGGGTTTACAGGTGTGAGCGACCGAGCCCAGCCAGAAATACAAACTAGTTGACTGTGAGTTATCAGATGTCATGAAATTGTTAGCTTCCAGGTTCAGGGGCTCTGTGATACGTGACGACAAACAGAAGAAATGGTATGTGGTGCTGCAGTGGGCCTCCCTGGTTTAATAATATGTTCATCTTATTCCAGTTCTGTATCACAAATACAGAAGGGTATAATTTAGCATAGAAAGTCTCCATAGATCTTCTATATATTATGGTATGTATGTCTACAGATTCACAATTATGTTCTGTTCACCAGTGCAACACAAAAATAAAAATTACCTGTCTGTAGCACACTCGGAACACACCCCTGCGTCCCTCTGGGATGTTCTCATGCTTTTTAGATCTGTTAGTCGTAATGATTTCATTTCTTCCCATAGCCTGGGCAACAAGAGTGAAACTCCATCTCAAAAGAAAAAAAAACTTCATATCCACAGTTGTCTTTATAATTAAGTATAGACTGGCTAAAGTGGCTCAGGCCTGTAATCCCAGCACTTTGGGAGGCCGAGGTGGGCAGATCATGAGATCAGGAGTTTGAGACCAGCCTGACCAACATGGTGAAACTCCATCTCTACTAAAAACAAAAAGTTGGCCAGGCACGCTGGCGGGCACCTGTAATCCCACCTACTCGGGAGGCTGAGGCAGGAGAATCACATGAACCTGGGAGGCAGAGGTTGCAGTGAGTCGAGATTGCACCACTGCACTTCAGCCTGGGTAACAGAATGAGGACTCTGTCTCAAAAAAAAAAAAAAAAAAAAAAAGTATACTTACAAAAATAGATCACTCTAGCATACCATCACCCTTCCGTCGTTAGTTTTAACAGACCATGCTTTTTTGTTGTTTGTTTTTGAGACTGAGTCTCACTCTGTCACCCAGGCTGGAGTGCAGTGGTGCGACCTCCACTCACTGCAATCTCCGCCTCCCGGGTTCAAGCGATTCTCCTGCCTCAGCCTCCCGAGTAGCTGGAATTACAGGCGCCTGCCACAATTCCCGGCTAATTTTTTGTACTTTTAGTAGAGCCGAGCTTTCACCATGTTGGCCAGACTGGTCTTGAACTCCTGACCTCAGGTGATCCACTCGCCTCGGCGTCCCAAAGCGCTGGGATTACAGGCGTGAGCCACAGCGCCCAGCTGACCATGCCTTCCTTAAGCCACCAAAGTGGCCGAATTTCACCCCGATATGGGACCTCTGCCTAGGGTGGCGTCGTAGTTTTGGTTGAGGGCTGTTTCCCTGGCGATGTCCCTCCTAGAGGTTCGGCGACCTCGTGATGTGACTTTGTGACGATCCCACGGTCTCTTCACCCATGCAGCTTCTCCCTCGTGTGGATCCCGTGGTGGCGGATGAGGTTCGCCTTCCGGGAGGTCTTCCCGCAGTCGGAGCACTCGTACGGTTTCTTCCCCGCGAGTCCGCCTGTGGGTCAGGAGGCAGGAGTCCTGGGAGCAGCTTTCCCGCACTCCGCGCAGCCGCAGGGCTTCTCCCCCGTGTGAGTCCTCTGACGCAGGATGAGGTGTGACTTCTGGAAAAAGGCCTTTCCGCATTCCCTGCAGCCGCAGGGCTTCTCCCCCGGGTGGGAGCGAAGGTGCTCGATGAGGCGCGACTTGTGGGAGGTTTTCTCACACTCCCAACACTTGTAAGGCTTCGCTCCGGCGTGAACTGTGCCCGGGACACACAGGCGTGTCTTCCGGAAGATCGTTTTACCACTTCTGTCTCTAGCGGGTTTCTCCTTTGTGTGAGTTCCCTGTTTGTCAGGGCAAAGCTTCTCCCTGAAACCACTCCCCCGTTCACTGCACGCAGAGGACTTCTCCCCCGCGTGGACCCCGTGATGTACCCTGAGGTCCGATCTGCAGCACAAGGCTTTCCCACACTTCGTGCATTCGTGGGGTTTCTCACTACTGGCTCCCTGAGCTGCAGGAACTCCCTCGTCACAGCTTAAAGCACTGCCACACTGGTGACCTCCGCGTGGATTCGCTCCTGAAGGTGGAGTTTCAAGTTTCGAATAGAGAAGTTTCCGTGGCCGTCGCACTGAAATCTCCTCCTCGCCAGGTAGGCGTTAGGAGTGAAGTCCAGGTTACACATCAAACTCTTTCTGCACAAGTCACGTGTGCGGACCTGCTGTTTTGATGGAAGGAGGTTTGGGTTCTGATGGAGTTTTTTTCCAAGTTCGTTACATTCATGAAGCTCATTTCCGGTCCAGTCTTTCTTGTCTAGAAACGTATGGCTCAAATGTTGGTCTTCGTGTTGCTGTTGGCTATCTGGCTGGGTAGCAACTTGCCAAACTTCTTCTAGAAAAAAAAAAAACAAAACCACAAACTCGTGGTTTTTTTTTTCTTTGAGACGGAGTCTTACTCCATTGCCCAAGCTGGAGTGTACTGGCATGATCTTGGCTCACTGCAACCTCTGCCTCCCAGGTTCAAGTGATTTTCCCGCCTCAACCTCCTGAGTAGCTGGGATTACAGGTGCCAGCCACCATGCTCAGCTAATTTTTGTATTGTTAGTACAGACAGGATTTCACCATGTTGGCCAGGCTGGTCTTGAACTCCTGACCTCAGGTGATCTGCTGGCTTCCGCCTCCCAAAGTGCAGGGATTACAGGCGTGAGCCACCGCACCTGGCCATAAATTTGTTAATCTTGGAGTACTGTATCACAAAACTATTGCAGAAAAGCTTGAAGGGAGGATTCATTTTGTGGTTTTAAGCCTAATTGCCTGTAATCCCAGCTACTCAGGAGGCTGAGGTGGGAAGGTCGCTTGAGCCTGGGAGGTTGAAGCTGTACTGAGCCATGATCACACCACGGCACTCCAGCCTGGGTGATGGAGTGAAACTCTGTCCCAAAAAGTAGTAAAACCAAGTGCCCGGTCCCTTTCTTGAGGCCTAGGTTACACAGAGGCCTTCACTATCCACCCTTCCCATGTTCTCCCGACCTATGCTCCCTTTCATTCTGTATACCAACTGGATTTTCTCAAAGCATGAGGTCCTTTTTGTTGTTGTTGAGATGGAGTCTCACTCTGTCGCCAGGCTGGAGTGCAGTGGCGCAATCTCGGCTCACTGCAACCTCAGCCTCCTGGGTTCAAGCGATTCTCCTGCCTCAGCCTCTCAATTAGCTGGGATTACAGGCACCCACCACCACGCCCAGCTAATTTTTTGTATTTTTAGTAGAGACAGGGTTTCACCATGTTGGTCAGGCTGGCCTCAGGTGATCTGCCTACCTGGACATTCCAAAGTGCTGGGATTACAGGCTTGAGTCACTGCACCCAGCCATGAGCTCTTTATTGTTAAAGGAATTATCTTAGAGCTAGCGGCATTTTCTGCAGTGACTTATTCTCACGTGGACCTATGGATCTTTATGATGTCCAACAGAAGAATACTAGAGTACACACAAGCCATCCTGGCCTCAGATTCCCTGCTGTCTCCTGATGCCTGTATTACCACTTGTTTTTGTTTTGGTGACAGGGTCTCACTCCGTCACCCAGGCTGAAGCATGGTAGTACAATCATGGCTCATTGCAGCCTCAAACTCCCGGGCTCCAACGATCATCCCACCTCAGCCTTCCAAGTAGCTGGGACTACAGGTGCATGCCACCATGTCCAGCTAGTTTTTAAAATTGTTTTTGTAGATACGGGGGTCTCACTATGTTACCCAGGGTTGTCTTGAGCTTCTGGCCTCAGGCGATCCTCCTGCCTTGGCCTCCCAATCAGCTGGGATTATAAAAATTAGCCAGGCACGGAGGCTCATGCCTAGTTTCTTTTTTTGTAGAGATGGAGTTTTGCTATGTTGCCCAGGCTAGTCTCGAACTCCTGGCCTCAAGCGATTCTTTTGCCTCAGCCTCTCCAAATGCTGAGATTACAGGCATGAGCCACCACACCTGGTGTATCTTCATTTGCATTTTAAACTAAAGATGCTACCTGCTGCCTCACCTGTGAGGCTCATGTCCGACTCAAGGGTGTCACTCCTCTATTTAGAAGTTCCTGGCTGGGTGCAGTGGCTCAAGCCTGTAATCCCAGCACTTTGGGAAGCGAACATGGGCAGATCACCTAGGGTCAGGAGTCTGAGACCAGCCTGGTCAACATGGTGAAACCCCATCTCTACTAAAAATACAAAAATTAGCCAGGCATGGTGGCGCACGCCTGTAATCCCAGCTACTTGGGAGACTAAGGCAGGAGGAGTGTTTGATCCCGGGAGGCAGAGGTTGCAGTGAGCCAAGACTGTACCACTGCACTCCAGCCTGGGCGACAGACAACGACTCTCTCAAAAAAAAAAAAAAAAGTTCCTGGCCAGGCGCAGTGGCTCACACCTGTAATCCCAGCACTTTGGGAGGCCGAGGCAGGTGGATCACCTGAGGTCAGGAGTTCGAGACCAGCCTGACCAACATGGAGAAACCCCGTTTCTACTAAAAATACAAAAAAATTAGCCAGGCATGGTGGCACATGCCTGTAATCCCAGGTACTCGGGAGGCTGAGGCAGGAGAATCCCTTGAACTTGGGAGGCAGAGGTTACAGTGAGCCAAGATCACACCACTGCACTCCAGCCTGGGCAACAAGAGCGAAATTCCAACACAAAGAAAAAAAAAATAGTTCCTGAGCTGAACTGCTGATTTTTTTTTTTTTTTTTTTTTTTTTGAGATGGAGTCTCAGCTCTGTAGCCCAGACTGGAGTCCAGTGGCGCGATCTTGGCTCACTACAAGCTCCGCCTCCCAGGTTCACACCATTCTCCTGCCTCAGCCTCCCAAGTAGCTGGGACTACAGGCACCTGCCACCAAGCCAGGCTAATTTTTTTTATTTTTTATTTTTTAGTAGAGACGGGGTTTCACCATGTTAGCCAGAATGGTCTCGATCTCCTGACCTCATGATCCGCCCGCCTCAGCCTCCCAAAGTGCTGGGATTACAGGCGTGAGCCACTGCGCCCAGCGGAACTGCTGAATTTCTGAGAGGTAAAGAGCACCTGTTCATCTCCGCCATCAGATTTCTAGGGTGAGACCCATCCAGGGGTATTTTTAAAGCTCCCCAAGTAATTTTCGTGTGGATCATCAATTAATTAGCAGCGTCCTGAACAAACACGTGAGAAAGAATCCTTGTCCTGATCCAAAGAGAGATTAAAGGAGTGTCCCCCAGAGCTTCTCGAAGAAACACGGACAAATGAAATAACAGCTCTTCTCCCCATGGGGTTATACTGAGTACAGCCCATTAGGCAGAATGGAGCCATATTACATGGTTTTGAAAGAAGAATTTAAAAGTCATATAAAAGGTAATGTAGTAGGCTGAATAGTAGAGTAACCAGATGCGTGAAGTAGACAAAGTTGACATTAACCTCTAAGATCGGCCAGGCACAGTGACTCACACTTGTAATCCCAGCACCTTAAGAGGCCGGGGTGGGAGGATCGCTTGAGCCCAGGAGTTCAACACAATCCTGGGCAACATCGTGAGACCCCATCTCTACAAAAAAACCTTGAAGATGAGCCAAGTTTTTCTTTCTTTTTTTTTTTTTTAAGAAACAGGGTCTCGCGTGATCATAGCTCACTGCAACCTCGACCTCCTGGACTCAAGCGATCCTCCAGCCTCAGCCTCCCAAAGTGCTGGGACTACAGGTGACAGCTGCCATGCCTGGAGGGTTTAATTACTTCTGATTCCATTACTGGTGCCAGCTGATGTTCGATTTTTGTTTTTTTGAGATGCGGTCAAGCCTGTTGCCCAGGCTGGAGGAACCACAGCTTATTGCAGCCTCAACCTCCTGGGCTCACGTGATCCTCTCCCCTCAGTCCCCGATTAGATGAGACTACAGGCGCGTGCCACCACACCCGGCTAATTTTTGTATTTTTAGTAGAAATGGGGTTTCACCCTGTTGGCCAGGCTGGTCTCAATCTCCTAAACCCATGTGATCTGCCTGCCTCAGCCTCTCAAAGTGCTGGGATTGCAGGTGTGAGCCACCATGCCTGGCCCCTGAATAAGCATTTAATAGAAAATAACCCAGCCCCTTCGTTTTCTGCAGCAGAAACTTGGTGATCAGCATGAATCAACGCCACACGAAGGTGAGCTGGGAGAGAGACAGCAATGATTTAACCTCATCAAGTTGGCCAGGTGCAATGGCTCACGCCTGTAATCCCAGCACTTTAGGAGGCCGAGGCGGGCGGATCACGAGGTCAGGAGATCAAGACCATCCTGGCCAACATGGTGAAACAGGATCTCCACTAAAAATACAAAAATTAGCCAGGTGTGGTGGTGCGCGCCTGTAGTCCCAGCTACTCGGGAGGCAGAGGTTGCAGTGAGCCGAGATCACGCCACTACACTCCAGTCTGGCAGACAGAGTGAGACTCCATCTCAAAAATAGTCATTAAGTACACTAAAGGACAGGAATAGCTTTCACCAGTTTGTGGGTATTAAGAAGAGAAAGGGGACTAAATTTTACGTGTAGCAAAGATGTTTTTGAGGCATTTCACAGTGAAAGAAAAAGATGAAAACAACAAATGGCACGCCCAGCCAAAATCCCAGGCTTTTAAGAACAGTTGCCTGAAACAAGAGGACATCCGGCCAGGCGCCATGGCTCACACTTGTAATCCCAGCACTTTGGGAGGCCAAGGCAGGTGGATCACCCGAGTTCAGGAGTTTGAAACCAGCCTGACCAACATGGTGAAACCCAGTCTCTACTAAAAATACAAAATAAGTCACGCATGGTGGCAAGCGCCTGTAATCCCTGCTACTCAGGAGGCTGAGGCAGGAGAATGGCTTGAACCTGGGAGGTGGAGGTTGCAATGAGCTGACATCGCGCCACTGCACTCCAGCCTGGGCAACTGAGTGAGACTCCATCTCAAAAAACAAAACAAGACAACATCCATGGGTTCTGCTTTGCAGACTTCCAGGAACCTCATCCCCCGGCCCCCTGCAGGCCACCCGCTCACCTGGGAAGCTCCACGTCCTTATCTCTTCCTCCTCCATCCATGGCTCCTTCCCCTGCTCCAAACTGGAGATCACAGCTGGTTTGCTGACTTGACACCCTGTTGGGGAGAAACAGTTAAAGGATTTGTGCTGAGCCAGCTGGGCCTTCCAAGCAAGCAGACAGTTCAGCCTGCAAAACAAAAGGTGGACGTCTCAGCCACATAAGAGCTGTTTCGCTTGGCAGGATAACTTCACGAGGACTCCAGTGGGATCGAGACTCTGACCACTGAAACCCAAGGCCAAGCACTTTTATTTTTCACACAGGGTCTTGCTCTGTTGCCCAGGCTGGAGTGCAATGGCACAATCACAGCTCACTGCAGCCTCAATCTCCTGCACTCCACTCAAGTGGTCCTCCTGTCTCAGCCTCCCGAGTAGCTGGGACTACAAGCATGCATCACCACCCTCAACTAATTTTTTAATTTTTTTGTAGAGATGGGGTTTTGCCATGTTGCCCAGGCAAGTCTTGAACTCGGGCCTCAAGTGATCCTTCCATTTGAGACTCGCAAGTAGCTGGGACTGCAGGCACATGCCACCATGCCTGGCTAATTTTTTATTTCTCGTTTGTATAGATCGGGTCTTGCACCTGTAGCTCAAGCAATCCTCCCACCTCGGCCTCCTAAAGTGCTGGGATCACAGGCATGAGCCACCATGCCCAGCTTAGCCCTTTTAGTGCGTGAGCAGTTTCCCAGTTTTATACAACTAAGAAAAAGAGTTCATGTAACCCGAGGACCACGGGGAAGTCTTCCTCACCCACAGAGAGCAGGTGGCTGTAGATCTCCAGCATCACATCCTGGTACAGGGTCCTCTGCTCCAGGTCCAGCTGCTGCCACTCTTTCCGGGTGAAGCCCACAGCCACGTCCCCGAATGACAGTGACCCCTGGAACAGCACATGGCTGATTAATGTGGAGTGGTTGGCACTGGGTACCATGGCAAAGGCGTAGAGGAGATTGATCTTAAACCTTCCGACGTCAGCTTTCCCCATATTAGGTTACATAGGAAGCTGAGCACACCCCTAACTTTGTACTACACTTTGTGGAAGAGAAAAAAATAATCATTAGAAAAAAAATCTCGACTGGGTGCAGTGGCTCACGCCTGTAATCCCAGCACTTTGAGGGGCTGAAACGGGTGGATTGCTTGAGGTTAGGAGTTTGAGACCAGCCTGGCCAACATAGTCAAATCCCATCTCTACAAAAAATATATTAGATGGATATGCTGGTGGGTGCCTATAATCCCAGCTACCAGGGAGGCTCAGGCAGGAGAATTTGTTCAACCCAGGAGGCGTACGTTGCAGTGAGCCGAGATCCCGCCCTTGCACTCCAGGCTAGACAACAGAGTAAGACTCCATCTTAAAAAAAAAAAAAAAAAAAAAGCATGTGAGGGTTGGGGGGCTTTCGTCACTGTGGCAGAGGTCAAGGGGGGATGCTGGGTAGAAAGAGCTGCAGTGGGTCCCCCGGACACATGCTGCTGGAGTGGTGAGGGATGTTCATAGGCAAATGGGTGACCCAAAGTGTCCCCAATGGTGAGACAAGCGCGTGCAGAGGAGGGGCAGGAAGCAGGGCACAGCCCAGGGGCAGCAGCAGGGACCGGGAGCTATGTGGGAGTGGGGAGAGGCAATCCACAAAGAAGCCCAGAGCTCTGATCACCCTACGGACCCTGGGTTCTCTTCCAGACCACACTCTGATCTCTAGAAAACTTATGACCAAGGGCTAAAGGCTGCTGAAGCCAGTGACTTGTTTTTTTGAGATAGGGTCTCACTGTGTTGCCCAGGCTGGAGTGCAATGTGCAATATCAGCTCACTGCAACCTCCGCCTCCTGGGTTCAAGTGATTCTCCTGCCTCAGCCGCCCAAGTAGCTGGGATTACAGGCACACGCCCAGCTAATTTATGTATTTTTAGTAGAGACAGGGTTTCACCATGAGGCCAGGCTGGTCTCGAACTCCCGACCTCAGGTGGTCCAGCTACCTCAGCCTCCCAAAGTGCTGGGATTACAGGTGTGAGCTATCATGCCTGGCGTCTACGTAGTGTAGTATATGTATATACATTACATATATATATATATATATATATATATATATATATAATCAATGTAGTTTACATACATGTATATATATATACAATGTCTACATAGTTTTTATACATACACATACAATGTCTACATAGTTAATTCATGTCTTTGTAATTTCTATGTAATTTATTCATACATAATTTCTATATAAATATATAATTTCCATGTAAATATGTAATTTCTATAGATATGCCTCTTATGGGTTTATTCATGAAATAACATATGAAAAGCACAGAGACCACAAAAGTGCTGGACAGACAGCGTTTAACGCGGTCATTGTCATCTTCAGTACACAGACTGCCCTAACACAGAGTCACTCCCAGTGGGATTTGCCTTCCTACAGTGGCTTCTGGCTGGGCACGGTGGCTCATGCCTGTAATCCTAGCACTTTGGGAGGCTGAGGCGGGCAGATCACGAGGTCAGGAGATCGAGACCATCCTGGCTAACATAGTGAAACCCAGTCTCTACTAAAAATACAAAAAAGTTAGCCAGGCATGGTGGCAGGCGCCTGTAGTCCCAGCTACTCGGGAGGCTGAGGCAGGAGAATGGCATGAACCCAGGAGGCAGAGGTTGCAGTGAGCCGAGATCGCGCCACTGCACTCCAGCCTGGGCGACAGAGCAAGACTCCATCTCAGAAAAAAAAAAAAAAAAAAAAACCAACAGTGGCTTCCAAGAAAGACAACAAGCGAAACCTCCAGCTTCACCCACAGGGCGGGTGTGGCTCGCCACCTTGTTCTAGCCTCTCCTACTGCTCTGAGACATTTCTGGTGTGAAACACCTAGACATCCCTGGCTTCACAAAGCACAAAGAAACCCAGGCTCTGTGAACGTTTTCCTTCCTGGAGTGGACAGTGGTAATGTTCACGAGGCCTCATCTTCCTCTGGGACCAGGCCCTTCCTGCCCCTGTGCACAGCTGCCTGGACAGAGGGCCTAATACACCTGAGCTAGGCTGGACCAACAGAATCCTCCCCGAAAAGCTTTCAAAATTGGATCAGTGAAGGGAGATTCAGTCCCTCACAGCGGCAGAACTTGCAGCTGGGAGGAGAGGAGCTGGGGCTACGCTATTTCTGGCCACATAGAGTCAGCATGAGAAGAAAGTCACAGAAGTGCCGGGTGCAGTGGCTCACGCCTGTAATCCCAGCACTTTGGGAGGCCGAGGAGGGTGGACATGAGGTCAGGAGATCGAGACCATCCTGGCTAACATGGTGAAACCCCGTCTCCACTAAAAATACAAAAAATTAGCCAGGCATGGTGGCGGGCACCTGTAGTCCCAGCTACTGGGGAGGCTGAGGCAGGAAAATGGCGTGAACCCGGGAGGGGGAGCTTGCAGTGAGCTGAGATTGCGCCAGTGCACTCCAGCTTGGGTGACAGAGTGAGACTCCATCTCAAAAAAAAAAAAGAAAAAGTCACAGAGGCAGAGAACAGGGAACAAAGATTCCTGGCGATACCTGGTTTGCCAGATGCCTCTGGAGCCTGACTGCACACCTGCTCTTCCCAGGACTCGCATGCTGCCTTATAGATTTTTTTTTTTTTTTTTTTTTGAGACAGGCTCTCCCCTCTGTTGCCCAGGCTGGAGTCCAAAGGCACGATCACAGCTCATTGCAGCCTCGACCTCCTAGGCTCAAGTGATCCTCCCACCTTAGCCTCCCGTGCAGCTGGGAGTACAAGCATGTGCCACCACGCCTGGCTAATTTTT
This sequence comes from Homo sapiens, assembly GCF_000001405.40. NCBI lineage: Eukaryota > Metazoa > Chordata > Mammalia > Primates > Hominidae > Homo > Homo sapiens. The sequence goes on from NC_000007.14 coordinate 5,130,627, forward strand.
GTATTTTTTGTAGAGATGGGGTCTTGCCACATTACCCAGGCTGGTCTTGAACTCCTGGCCTCAAGCAATCCTCCTGCCTCAGCTTCCCAAAGTTCTAGAATTACTTTTTTTTTTTAAATCCTAACCTACTTCTAGTTGGATTTCTGGCTTTTCCAACTTCAAGGATTAGAACTTCTAACCAGTGCAGTCCACACTCACACATTCCTAGAACCCGGGGTGAAGAGCAGGAGGAGGAGAATGCTTCCAGGCTGATGGAAAACACTGATGTCACTCACATGCAAAGAGAGCTAACAGCCAAGTGGGCGGATCACCTGAGGTCAGGAGTTCGAGACCAGCCTGGCTAATATGATGAAACTCCATCTCTAAAAATACAAAAATTAGTCGGGCGTGGTGGCACATGCCTATATTCCCAGCTACTTGGGAGGCTGAGGCAGGAGAATCACTTGAACCCAGGAGGTGGAAGTTGCAGTGAGCCAAGATCGTGCCATTGCACTCCAGCCTGAGCAACAGAGCCAGACTCCATCTCAAAAAAATTTTTTTTAATTAAAAAAACCCATTATGGCAAGCAATTTCAGATGAGATCAGGCACGTTCAGGGTGGTGTGGCGGTAGACATGGCAGGCTGTTTCAAGAACACGCAGTTCATTCATTCGTTCCTCTAGATAATGCAGTGTTACATCCAGGTCACTTGGCACCGCACAAGGCTGTCTCTGTAGACCTGAGTGTTCGGCATCCCCAAACAACCAGAATCACAGACGGCTGCTTTGGCATAATATCTGCTGTTTATACAGAGAGGAAGAAAAGTCACAAGAGATTTCCTGTTGTGTTTCTTTCAAGATGGTTGTTATTGAGGAACGGGCCTGCTACATCTTGCATACAAAGATCAAATATATCTTTAAATGCCCTAAAGAGCTGTATTTCCCCTGAGAAGTAGACACGGTTGTCCAAAACAGACAACACAAGTCATACATTAGATGGAATCTGCCTGCGTTTTTAAAGTGACAGAAATGTCAGATATAAATTTACAAGGCATCGGGCTGGGCATGGTGGCTCATGCCTGTAATCCCAGTACTTTGGGAGGCCGAAGTGCGCGGATCACTTGAGGCCAGGAGTTCGAGACCAGCCTGGCCAACGTGGTGAAACCCTGTCTTCACTAAAAATACAAAAATTAGCTGTGTGTGGTGGCAAGTGCCTGTAAGGAGGCTGAGGCAGGAGAATCGCTTGAACCCAGGAGGCAGAGGTTGCAGTGAGCCAAGATTATGCCACTGTATTCCAGCCTGGGTGACAGAGCAAGACTCCGTCTCAAAAAAAAAAAAAATTTATAAGGCATCTCATAACTGCGGCAGCCTCTACAGTCTCTCCACCCTGCCCTTCCCACAACCTTGATCTTCCATTCTCTTCCTGTTTTCACCGATCCTGATTTCCGTTTGTATTTTGTTTTATCGGATACCCTTTTTTTTTTTTTTTTAAGACAGAGTCTCACTCTGTCACCCAGGCTGCAGTGCAATGGCACGATCTCAGCTCACTGCAACCTCTACCTCCTGGGTTCAAGTGATTCCCCTGCCTCAGCCTCCTGAGTAGCTGGGATTACAGGCTCGTGCCACCACACCTGTCTAATTTTGTATTTTTAGTAGAGACAGGGTTTCACCATGTTGGCCAGGCTGGTCTTGAACTCCTGACCTCAGGTGATCCGCCTACTTTGGCCTCCCACAGTGCTGGGATTACCAGCGTGAGCCACCACGCCCAGCCTTTATCAGTCATGTTCTTATGAGCATCCGAAATCCCTGCTAAAAAGGGCAGTAGAAAGAAATGCCACACTCACCTGGGCCATAGTTCTTCTTCTCTATTCTGGAAAAGCAGACACCTGTGAAGGCAGACATCAGGGTGGGGAGAGAGGATATGAGAGGCCACGCTTGCCCTTGGGCTCCCAATCAACTGCTGGGACCACCCCCGCCCTCTCCCAGGCGCAGGTGGGAGAAAACCTCCTCTGAAGGGTCCCCATTATCAAAGCAAAGCCCTCACCTTACAAATGTCATAGAGACTCAATCTTGTGAGGCCTTACTTGGATTTTTGTTTTGTTTTTTGAAATGGGGTTTCACTCTGTCGCCCAGGCTGGAACACAGTGATGCAATCACGACTCAATGCAGCCCTGGACTCCCAGGTTCCAGCGATCCTCCCACCCCAGCCTCCAGAGAAGCTGGGACTATAGGTGTGTCACATGCCCAGCTAATATATATATATATATATATATATTTTTTTTTTTTTTTTTTTGAGACAAGAGTCTTGCTCTTTCGCCCAGGCCGGACTGCAGTGACGCTATCTCGGCTCACTGCAAGCTCCGCCTCCCGGGTTCACGCCATTCTCCTGCCTCAGCCTCCCGAGTAGCTGGTACTACAAGCGTGCACCACCATGCTTGAATAATTTTTTGTATTTTTAGTAGAGACGGGGTTTCACCGTGTTAGCCAGGATGGTCTCGATCTCCTGACCTCGTGATCTGCCCTCCTCGGCCTCCCAAAGTGCTGGGATTACAAGCGTAAGTCACTGCGCCCAGCCATGCCCAGCTAATTTTTAAATTTTTTGGTAGAGACAGGGTCTCACTGTATTGCCCAGGCTGGTCTCAAACTCCTGGGTTCAAGCAATCTGCCTGCCTCAGCCTCCCAAAACCTTGGGATTACAGGGGTGAACCACCACGACTGACTGAAGTTTTTCTTAATGAGTATGTGCATCTGTGTCTCAGTAACCAATGTGCAATTTACTACAATCCCCACCCATTACCCAAAAATGTAATTACTAGAAATTTATTCTGAAGAAACAGGCCGGACACAGAGGCTCACGCCTGTAATCACCACACTTTGGGAGGCCGAGGCAGGTGCATCACCTGAGGTCAGGAGTTCAAGATCAGCTTGGCCAATATGGTGAAACCCCATCTCTACTAAAAATACAAATATCAGCCGGGTGTGGTGGCATGTGCCTGTAATCCCAGCTACTCAAGAGGCTGAGGCAGGAGAATCTCTTGAACTTGGGAGGCAGAGGTTGCAGGGAGCCAAGATTGCACCATACCACTGCACTCCAGCCTGGGCGACACAGCAAGACTCCATCCCCCTCAAAAAATTATAAGAAAACTTTTTTGAGGGGATAGGGTCTTGCTGTTGCCCAGACTGGAGTGCAGTGGCGTAATCTCGGCTTCCTGCGACCTGTGCCTCCTGGGTTCAAGTGATTCTCATGCCTCAGCCTCCCACATATCTGGGATTACAGGCACACACCAGCAAGCCTGGCTAATTTTTTGTATTTTTACTAGAGATGGGGTTTCACCATGTTGGCCAGGCTGGTCTCCAACTCCTGACCTCAGGTGATCCACCCACCTCAGCCTCCCAAAGTGCTGGGATTACAGGCGTAAGCCACCATGCCCGGCCTATTTTTATTTTTTGTAGAGGCCAGGCGCGGTGTTTCACCCCTGTAATCCCAGCTACTTGGGAGGCTGAGGCAGGAGAATCGCTTGAGCCTCTGAGGTGGAGGTGGCAGTGAGCTGTGATCGTACTACTGTTCTCCAGCCTGGGCAACAGAGTGAGACTCCGTCTAAAAAACCAAAACATATATATATGCTTTTTGTAGAGTCAGGGTCCCGCTATGTTGCTCAGGCTGGTCTCGAACTCCTGGCCTCAAGTGATCCTCCCGCCTTGGCCTCCCAAAGTGCTGGGATTACAAGCATGCATCACTGTGCCTGGCCTGTTTCTTGTTTGTATACATCAACTACAAACTACAGCACATGTAATAAGTTTGTAAACATACATCTATAAACAAAAAATTCTGGGCCAGGCACAGTGGCTCAAGCCTGTAATCCCAGCACTTTGGGAGGCGGAGGCGGGTGGATCACTTGAGGTCAGGAGTTCGAGACCAGCCTGACCAACATGGTGAAACCCCATCTCTACTAAAAATACAAAATTAGCCGGGCATGGTGGCGGGCGCCAGTAATCCCAGCTACTTGGGAGGCCGAGGCAGGAGAATCACTTGAACCAGGGAGGCGGAAGTTGCAGTGAGCCAAGATCGAGCCACTGCACTCCAGCCCGGGCAACAAAGAAAAACCCCATCTCAAAAAATAAAATAAAAAAGATTCTGAAGAAAAGACACAGAATATTAACAATGATTATCTTTGCATGGTAGGACTTTTGTTTGGTTGGTTTTGTTTTGGTGTTTTCTCTTCAGATAGGGTCTCGCTCTGTCGCCCAGGCTGGAGTGCAGTGGCACATTCACAGCTCACTGCAACCTCTGCCTCCCGGGCTCAATTGATCCTCCGGCCTCAGCCTCCCAAGTAGCTGGGACTACGACACATACTACCATGCCTGGCTAATTTTTGTATTTTTTGTGGAGACAGGGTTTCACCATGTTGCCCAGGCTGGTCTCGAACTCCTAGGGGCTCAAGTGATCCTCCTGCCTCAGCCACCCAAAGTTGCTGGTATTACAGGCATGAGCCGCCTCACTGGGCGGATTTTTTTCTTAACATATTGATATTTTCTAATTTCTTCAACAAGAAATTGGTGCTGTTTCACATGTAAATATTTCATAACAATATACATGCATTTTACTGGGTTTTCTCCCCATGGGCTCCTATCAAAGTCCTTCCCCTGGTGAAAGGGAAGCCATGGGGAGGGCTGAAGGCAGAGAAGGTGGGACGGGCCAAGTCTTAGCCATGATTGTGGAACAGTGGAAGAAGAGCCTGTCTGGTGCTCGGGGGCCCTGGGTGTGAGTACTGGCTCACCCTCTACTGTGCGTGGCGGTTCTGAATGTCTCTCTCACACCCATTTTGTTTAGTCTTTGACGTGAGAAGGAGAAACAAAAAACTCAGGTTAAGAAAGCAAACTCTGGCCAGGCGTGGTGGCTCACGCCTGTAATCCCAACACTTTGGGAGGCTGAGGCAGGTGGATCACCTGAGGTCAGGAGTTTGAGGCCAGCCTGGCCAACATGGCAAAACCCCATCTTTACCAAAAATACAAAAATTAGCCGGGTGTGGTAGTGGGCGCCTGTAATCCCAGCTACTCGGGAGGTGGAAGCAAGAGAATCGCTTGAACCCAGGAGGCGGAGGTTGCAGAATGCCGAGATCAGTCACTTTAAAAAAAAAAAAAAAAAAAGATTGGCTCCCCCCGCAACCCCCACCCCAAAGAAAGCAAATTCTATGGCTTGACTATAGTGTAGGATCCAGGGACAGTGTGGTCCGGGCTTGTCCTCTGAGCACCAGGGACATGCTCTGGCCCTGAGCCCACAAACTTGTACTCCCTAAAGCAAGAGCCTCTTTCTCCTCCTAGCAAACCTTCCACTCAACTGAAACCTAGATGATCCCTCAACGTGACCACCCAGCAAACCCATGTTTGCTCTGTCCCCCAGCGGGCTGGGACCATTTCAGGCACATGGACCTTGGGTTTTTTTATGGAGTTTTGCTCTTCTTGCCCAGGCTGGAGTGCAGTGGTGCGATCTTGGCTCACTGCAACCTTTGCCTCCTGGGTTCAAGCGATTCTCCAGCCTCAGCCTCCCGAGTAGCTGGGATTATAGGCACCCACTACCACACCCAGGTAATGTTAGTATTTTTAGTAGAGACAGGGTTTTGCCATGTTAGCCAAGTTGGTCTCAAACTCCTGACCTCAGGTGATCTGCCCGCCTCAGCCTCCCAAAGTGCTGGGATTACAGGCATGAGCCACCATGCCCAGCCCCAGGTACATGGACCTTGGGAGCTGCCACCCTCCACGTGACCCTCCGGCTTCAGCCCTAAGCTATGTGAAGAGGTCTCAGAACTGGGGTCTCGCTTTCCAAAGTAGATTCCTGCTCCCCGTTGTCAAGTTCTTCACAGGAATGCTTTTACTCCCAGCATGCCTGGGTCTCGAACACTTGGGCAACTCCACTTGGCTGCCAAGGCTCTGCTCCCCTACTGAGAACTTACCTTCAGGTGGGGACTCAAGCTTCAGCCTCTGAGGTTCTCGGGACCAGGGTAGAAACAAGCTTGCTATGCTGAGAGGAGGGACCCACCTTGCTGACAAAGTCCGATCCTGAGCTTTTGCAAAGACACCAGGAAAACCTGAAATTAAAATGACGCAGGGAGGCTCACATGAAAATATTAGCACACCTGTCATCTCAGTACTTTGGGAGCCTGAGGCAGGACAATTGCTTGAGGCCAGGAGTTCGAGACCAGCCTAGTCAACAAACACCCCACCTCTACAGGGGGAAAAGAAGACATTGGCAGGGTTACCTTTACCGCTGATAGAGAGAAACCAATCTGTGGCAGAAGGGAAAGTCAGAAAGCCTAGAACACGAGACAGAGTCCATGCTCTGTTTCTGGCTTTGAAAATGGAGGGACCGGCTGGGCACGGTGGCTCACGCCTCTAATCCCAGCACTTTGGGAGGCCGAGGTGGGTGCGTCGCCTGAGGTTAGCAGTTGGAGACCAGCCTGGCCAATATGGTGAAACCCTGTCTGTACTAAAAATACAAAAATTAGCCAGGTGTGGTGGCGCACGCCTGTAATCCCAGCTACTAGGGAGGCTGAGGCAGGAGAATCACTGGAACGCGGGACGCAGAGGTTGCAGTGAGCTAAGCTCGCACCACTGCACTCCAGCCTGGGTGACAGAGTGAGATTCTGTCTCAAAAAAAAAAGGAGATCCCATTGGAAAGCAAGCTGGTGGGCTTCGGGAGCTGAGCATGGCCCCCAGCTGACAGCCAGCAAGGAATCGGGGACCTAAGTCTTAAGACAGAATTCTGCAAACCCCGAATGCACTGACAAGCAGATTCTTCCCAGAACCTCTGGCTAAAAGCCCAGCCCAGCCCACGCCTTTCTCAGAGCCTGATGCTACCTGGAGCGTGGAACCCATAGGTGAGGCCACCAGGATTTCTGACCTCCCAAACTCTGTGTTAGTAAGTGGGTGTGGTTTTAGTCACCAAATGAGTGGCAATCTGTCATACAACAATAGAAAATTACTACAGGCCAGGCACAGTGGCTCACGCCAGTAATCCCAGCACTTTGGGAGGCCAAGGCAAGTGGATCACTTGAGGTCAGGAGTTCAAAACCAGCCTGGCTAACATCGCGAAACCCTGTCTCTACTAAAAATACAAAAATTAGCCAGGCATGGTGGTGGGCGCCTGTAATCCCAGCTACCTGGGAGGCTGAGGCATGACAATCACTTGAACCCAGAAGGCAGAGGTTGCAGTGAGCCGGGATTGCACTGCTGTACTCCACCCTGGGTGACAGAGTGAAACTCCATCTCAAAAAAAAAAAAAAAAAATGGCAAGCATAAAGAGCAAACCTGAATACCAAAAGAAAAATATATATATTGCAGCCAGGCACGGTGGCTCACGCCTGTAATCCCAGCACTTCGAGAGGCTGAGGTGGGCGGATCATGAGGTCAGGAGATCAAGACCATCCTGGTTAGCACAGTGAAACCCTGTCTCTACTAAAAATACAAAAAAATCAGCTGGGTATGGTGGCAGGCGCCTGTAGCCCCAGCTACTCAGGAGGCTGAGGTAGGAGAATGGCGTGAACCCAGGAGGCAGAGTTTGCAGTAAGCCGAAATCGCACCACTGCACTCCAGCCTGGGCGACAGAGCAAGACTGTCTCAAAAAAAAAAAAAGAAAAGAAAAGAAAAGAAAAGAAAAATACATATATTGCATAGATCCCACTGACTCAAAAAACAATACAATTAGAAAATAAAAAGAATGCAAAAAAAAATTAAATCACCAAATATGAAATGAATCCATACTCAAAAATATTCCCAAAGAAACACGAGGCCTATATGTTTTTCAGGAATTTTATAAAACTGTCTTCAAGACTTTTGCAATGTGTATAAGTGGTTTATTCAGGTTTTCTATATGTCAGTCAATTTTAGCAATTTACAATTTTCTACAAATGTGTCTTACTTAATTTCAGAGTTATGCCATTAAATGATTTATAGTAACATCTCATTTTTTAAAAATCTACTGGCCAGGCACGGTGGCTGATGCCTGTAATCCCAGCACTTTGGGAGGCCAAGGCAGGTGGATCACCTCAGGTGAAGAGTTCGAGACCAGCCTGGTCAACATGGTAAAACCTCGTCTCTACTAAAACTACAAAAAAAAAAATTAGCTGGACATGGTGGCACATGCCTGTAGTCCCAGCTACTCAGGGAGGCTGAGGCAGGAGAATTGCTTCAACCCAGGAGGTTGAGGTTGCAGTGAGCCAAGATCATGCCACTGCACTCCAGCCTGGGCGACAGAGGGAAACTCCATCTCAAAAAAAAAAAAAAAAAAAAAAAAGAAGGCCAGGCACGGTGGCTTACGCCTGTAATCTCAGCACTTTGGGAGGCTGAAGAGGGCAGATTGCCTGAGGTCAGGAGTTCGAGACCAGTCTGGCCAACATAGTGAAACCCCATGTCTACTAAAAATACAAAAAAATTAGCCGGGCATGGTGGCGTGTGCCTGTAATCGCAGCTACTCCAGAGGCTGAGGCAGGGGAATTGCTTGAACCAGGGAGATGGAGGTTGCGGTGGAGCCAAGATCGCACTACTGCACCCCAGCCTGGGTAACAGAGCAAACTCCATCTCAAAAAATAAAAATAAATAAAAATAAAAATAAATCTACTGTATCTGAAATCATCTCATCTTCCATTCTAAAAATAGCTTATTTTGGCCAGGCACAGTGGCTCACACCTGTAATCCCAGCACTTTGGGAGGCCGACACGGGCAGATCACAAGGTCAGGAGATCGAGACCATCGTGGCTAACACGGTGAAACCCCGTCTCTGCTAAAAATACAAAAAATTAGCCGGGCGTGGTGGCAGGTGCCTGTAGTCCCAGCTACTCGGGAGGCTGGGGCAGGAGAATGGCATGAACCCAGGAGGTGGACCTTGCAGTGAGCCGAGATCGTGCCACTGCACTCCAGCCTGGGTGATAGAGTGAGACTCCATCTCAAAGAATAAAAAATAAAAAAATAAATAGCTTATTTCTATTCTCCCTTCATCAGTGCAGACTGAAGTTTGTCTAATTTATTAGTTTTAAATACAAATCAAATTTTTTTTTGGAGGGGGGAGGTTTAACAAATCCTTTCCAATAAGTGATTTTATTTTATTTATTTATTTATTTATTTATTTATTTTTTGAGACGGAGTCTCGCTCTCTTGCCCAGGCTGAAGTGCAGTGGCACAATCTCGGCTCACTGCAAGCTCCGCCTCCCGGGTTCACGCCATTCTCCTGCCTCAGCCCCCCGAGTAGCTGGGACTACAGGCGCCCACCACCACGCCCGGCTAATTTTTTGTATTTTTAGTAGAGACGGGGTTTCACCGTGTTAGCCAGGATGGTCTCGATATCCTGACCTTGTGATCCACCTGCCTCGGCCTCCCAAAGTGCTGGGATTACAGGCATGAGCCACCACGCCCGGCCCCAGTAAGTGATTTTAGCTTTTTAACTTTTTACTTGAGTGACTTGAGACTCAAAGGAAAGTCTCAAGAATAGTACAAAGAATTTCCAAATACCCTTCTCATCTAGATCTCCCAAATATTAACATTTTACCACATTTGCGCAGGCGGCTGATGAAAAAGGTCCCACCACAAGGTGGCAGAGTAAACACGACAGCACCTGGGCGAGGCTTTGTGCAGGCAGGAAGGCCCTCACACCAGAGGCCGTCCCAGGGCTGTGGCATGGGGGCCATTACCCAGGAGAGGGCACAGGGCCAGCTCCTGGGTATCTCTGAGAGCCTTAGGGTCCTTTTGTTGTTGTTGTTTTGATATGGAATCTTACTCTGTCACCCAGTCTGGAGTGCAATGGCACGATCTCCAACCTCCACCTCCCGGGTTCAAGCGATTCTCCTGCCTCAGCCTCCCGAGTAGCTGGGATTACAGGCCCCTGCCATTATGCCTAGCTAATTTTTGTAGAGACAGGGTTTCCCCATGTTGGCCAGGCTGGTCTTCAACTCCTGACCTCAGGTGATCCGCTTGCCTCAGCCTCCCAATATGCTGGGGTTAAAGGCATGAGCCACCGCTCCCAGCTAGCCTTGGGGTCTTAATAGCCACATGGTTTGTCTTATACATGGCCGGCAGATGTTGGGTACAGTTTCCCAGGTATGCACACCAAGAGATCTCTAAATCACTACAAATCTGCATGTACTTGGGCTATGATTCAAACAACTGGGGCCAGGCATGGTGCCTCACACCTGTAATCCCAGCACTCAGGGAGGCCAAGGCGAGAGGATCCCTTGAGCCCAGGAGTTCAAGGCCAGCCTGGGAAACATAGCGAGACCCGTCTCTATTAAAAAATAAAACAGGCCAGGCGTGGTGGGTCACGCCTGTAATCCCAGCACTTTGGAAGGCCAAGGCGGGTGGATCACGAGGTCAGGAGATCAAGACCATCATGCTAGCTAACACGGTGAAACCCTGTCTCTACTAAAAATACAAAAAATTAGCCAGGCGTGGTGGCGGGTGCCTGCAGTCCCAAACTACTCAGTAGGCTGAGGCAGGAGAATGGCGTAAACCCGGGAGGCAGAGCTGGCAGTGAGCCGAGATCACGGCGCCACTGTGCTCCAGCCTGGGCGACAGCTCAAAAAAAAAAAGATTTGTAACAAAATAAAACAACTGGGGCCAGGCATGGTGGCTTACACCTATAATCCCAGCACTCAGGGAGGCCAAGGCAAGAGGATCCCTTGAGCCCAGGAGTTCAAGGCCAAACTGGGCAACATAGCAAGACCCCTGTCTCTATTAGAAAATAAAAAAGGCCAGGTGTGGTGGCTCACGCCTATAATCCCAGCACTTTGGGAGGCCAAGGCAGGTGGATCACCTAAGATTAGCAGTTCAAGACCAGCCTGGCTGGTCTTGATGGTGAAACCATCTCTACTGAAACTACAAAAATTAGCCAGGTGTGGTGGTGGGTGCCCGTAATCCCAGCTACTGGGGAGGCTGAGGCAGGAGAATCACTTGAACGCGGGGGGCAGAGGTTGCAGTGAACTGAGATAGTGCCACTGCACTCCAGCCTGGGCAACAGAGCAAGACTGTCTCAAAAAAAAAAAAAAAATACTCAATTTAGGTTTAATGTCTCATGATTTGATTCAGGTGATACATTTGTGGCAGAAATTTTTTTGTTTTAACTTGCTCTATTTTTTTGTTTTAAGTGGGAAAACACTTTATTCCATAAAACAGAGTAAATGTTCCTCTCTTCCTTTTAATTTCTCCTCATATGCTTTTAGCTTTGGGGGTTTGCGCTTTTTCTCTTTTCTTTTCTTTTTTTTGAGACTGAGTTGCGCTCTGTCGCCCAGGGTGGAGTGCGGTGGCGCAATCTCTGCTTACCACAAGCTCCGCCTCCCAGGTTCACGCCATTGTCCTGCCTCAGCCTCCCGCGAAGCTGGGACTAGAGGCGCCCACCACCGCACCTGGCTGATTTTTTGTATTTTTAGTAGAGACGGGGTTTCATCGTGTTAGCCAGGATGGTCTCGATCTCCTGACCTCGTGATCCGCCCGCCTCGGCCTCCCAAAGTGCTGGGATTGCAGGCATGAGCCACCATGCCTGGCTTTTCTCTTTTTTAAATATCTTTTTCTGGGAGACACAGACTGGACAAATGGGAGTGGATGTGCCCTATTCCTTTTTATATGCTAACCACCTGAGCTGAATGTCATTAAGTTTCATTCTTTTTATTTAATACATATATTAGGACTACAATAAGTTAAAAAGAAAAAACTTAAATCAATTCTTGGAAAGGTTTTATTAAAACTAATAAAATAATTGGTTTGTATTTAAGATTAATAAAATCGACCAGAATCCAGGCACAATTGAGCAAGAGAAGGCATGAAAAAGACAATTTCAGATACGGTCGAGGTTTGATTTTTTTTTTTTTTTTTTTTTTTTTTTTGAGATAGGGTGTCACTCTGTCGCCCAGACGAGAGTGAAGCAGCATGATCTTGGCTCACTGCAACCTCCGCCTCCCAGGCTCAAGCGATTCTCTTGCCTCAGCCTCTTGAGTAGCTGGGATTACAGGCGTGTGCCACTACTGCCCAGCTAATTTTTTTGGGGGGGTATTTTTAGTAGACACGGGGTTTTACCACATTGGCCAGGCCGGTATCCAACTCCTGACCTCAAATGATACACCTGCCTTGGCCTCCCAAAGTGCTGGGATTACAGGAGTGAGCCACAGCACCCGGCCATGGTCGAGTTTTATAATTGTAAGATTACTCTAAGCCTGGCGTGATGGCTCATGCCTGTAATCCCAGCACTTTGGGAGGCCAAGGCGGGCGGATCACGAGGTCAGGAGTTCGAGACCAGCCTGACCAACATGATGAAACCCCATCTCTACTAAAAATACAAAAATCAGCCTGGCGTGGGGGTGCCCGCCTGTAATCCCAGCTATTTAGGAGGCTGAGGCAGGAGAATCGCTTGAACCGGGGAGTTGGAGGTTGCAGTGAGCTGAGATTGTGCCACTGCACTCCAGCCTGGGCGACAGAGTGAGACTCAGTCTCAAAAAAAAAGAAAAAAAAAGGAAAAGAAAAACCTCTTTCAGTAAGACCCAAGCGCAAGTGTGATAGAAAAACCACCATAAAAACATTTGCTCTTATCAAGATTTAAAACCATAGTACCAGTTTCATTCTCTCCCCAAATCAAGTGAGTTTCATCTTAAAAAAAGCATCAGACAGACATCCTCCGCCAACTCCATCACATCACACCACCCCGAGTGTTGCTCACCTTTCTTCACCAAGGGCTAGAAAAGAACAGTCTACACGGAACTGGCGCAGCCGCCTCCTTCTCCGCCAGTCTCCAACAGAGGTGCTGGCACTGTCCCGCCTTAGTCTGGCGTCTCCCGTCTCCCTACTCAATTTTCTCACACCCTCAGTCCAACCCTCATAACTCTACTTCCTGCAGGGGTACTTTGACCAACACCCAAATATGATCATGCCTCTGCCTTGAAGTACTGCATTTGCAGCTGGAGCAAGAGGGAGACCCCAGCCTCGGACCTTGCTGGTCAGGCCCCCACCCCGCCCCCAGCCTCACGGGGCGCCCCCCCTGTGCCGAGTCCTCAGTATCACCCATCATTACTCCTTAGGGATGCTCCTCCCTGGTCCTCAAAGACCCTATTGTCCTTTCATCTGCAACATCTTATTTTTCTTTAAGTCTGACCTGAAGTCAGTTGACCTTCCCCAGTTGAAACTGATCCTCCCTCCCCTGGGTGTCCATGCATCCTGACAGTTGAGGTAACTAACAGGGCGCCTACCCCTGGATCGCCCCCACATGTTAACGTGACCAACACCTCTGTAGGACTGCATCCAACGAGGGACCCCAGCTCCGTGCTCCCCCAGATCGGACCCAGGCACTCAGTAGATGTTTTGAATGAGCCCAGACGCCTGAAATAACCCCCCTCCACACCCTGCCTTCGTTTCCCTCCTAGCTCAGTGCCCACCACTGGCTGTGATCAGGGTTCTGCATGAGCCAGGTTGGAGAGGAAGAAGGGGGTTACCCTCTGCAAGAGACGGGGACTTTCCCCAACAGCCCCACTCTTCCCCCTAGAGACCCAGGCACCGCAGTGCAGTGGAGATCAGGGGCCTGGATGGGCAGAGAAGCTCCAGGGGAAGGGACGGCAACAAACCCACTCTTGGGGAAGAGCGGGGTCCCCTGTGCAGAGAACAAGCCCCCAGCTCACCCGCGTCCAAGTGGTCACAGTGGCAGGTGCCCTGCGCGAGCTTCCAGGGGACGGTGGGGTCCGAGGAGGCAGAGCTGCGGGGAGGGGCAGTGAGATGAGGGGCCAGCCGCTGCTCGGGACCCACCACTACCTGTGGCGTCCCCCAGCCCAACTTGGCAGCACCCGACAACCCGCGGAGACGTCTGGAGGAGCCGCCCCCAGGACCCCAGTGCAGTGCCGGCTCTGCAGCAAGTGGGTGCCGGCCACGCTGGCGCTGCGCACAGCCCGGGAGCCAAGACGCCGTTCCTCCCACACGTGTCTGAGGTGTCAGTCGCCATGGGAACAGCCTGGGGTCCGGAAGTGCGCGCATTGCAGTCTTGCACCTCAAAACACTGCGTAAAAGAACCCCCTGGGACTACAACTCCCAGAACCCCCCCACGATGCCATGATTCCGGTTAGGCCACCCTGCACTTCCAGCCACAGCCATGGCTGCAGTCACATGGGAGGTGGCCATGGGCTGGCAGGGTGTGGCGCTATGGCTCTGGCTGACACAGAGCTGGGGGTGAATGCGCCCTCTTACATGTCCCCCATGGCCAAGGGTGGCCCTCATGGGCCCCACGTGTCTGATCTGATCTGCCCCAAGCCCTGTTCCATCCTGTGGGGCGGGATATGGCTGGCCCGAACTCGAAGTCCCACCTGGGACTGGCACTGGGCCTCCTTCCTAGAGAGTCTGTTACCTGGGGAGATCATAAAAATATTTATTTATTTAGAGATAGAGTTTTGCTCGTCGCCCAGGCTGGAGTGCAGTGGCATGATCTTGGCCCACTGCAACCTCTGCCTCCCAGGTTCAAGCGGTTCTCCTGCCTCGGCCTCCCTAGTAGCTGGGATTACAGGCACCCACCACCATGCCCAGCTAATTTTTTGTATTTTTAATAGAGATGGGGTTTCACCATATTGGCCAGACTGGTCTCGAACTCCTGACCTCAGGTGATCCACCCACCTGGGCCTCCCAATTGCTGGGATTACAGGTGTGAGCCACCATGCCTGGCCAAGAATTTTTTAAGACTATGCTCTGGCTCTGTCACCCAGGCTGGAGTGCAGCTGCACGATCAGAGCTCACTGCAGGCTCCAACTCCTGGGCTCAAGTGATCCTCCCCCATCAGCTTCCCCAGTAGCTGAAACTGCAGGCCCGCACCACCATGCTGGCTAATTTTTTTATTTCTTATTTTGTAAAGATAGGGTCTCCCTATGTTGCCCAGGCTAGACTTTAACTCCTGGGCTCAATGAATCCTCCTGCTGGGATTACAGGCGTGAGCCACAGTGCCTGGCTAAAAACTTTATTTTTATATTAAGGCCTATCCTTCAGTCCTCATGATAGTCCCCAAAATAGATGTCATTACTTTCATTTCATAGGCGAGGAATCAGAGGTAGCCCATCTCAATATTTACCTTGGAGGAACCCCTGCATAAAAATGATGTCTGGGACCCGGGCGTGGTGGCTTGCTCGTGTAATCCCAGCTACTTGGGAGGCTGAGGCGGGAGGCTCAGTTGAGGTCAGAAGTCAAGGCTGCAGTGAGCCAGGATTGCACTGCTGCACTCCAGCCTGGGAAACAGTGAGACCTCCATCTCTTTTTTTAAAAAAATTTTATCTGTAGGCCAGGCACAGTGGCTCACGCCTGTAATCCCAGCACTTTGGGAAGCCAAGGCAAGTGGATCACTTGAGGTCAGGAGTTTGAGGCCAACATGGCTAAGTCTCGTCTCTTCTAAAAATACAAAAATTAGCCGGGCGTGGTGGCACCTGTAATCCTATCTACTCAGGAGGCTGAGACAGGAGAATTGCTTGAACCCGGGAGTGGAGGTTGCAGTGAGTAGAGATCGTACTATTGCATTCCAGCCTGGGCGACAGAACACGAGCCCATCTCAAAAAAAAAAAAAGGCCGGGTGCGGTGGCTTACATCTGTAATCCCAGTACTTTGGGAGGCTGAGGCAGGCAGATCACGAGGTCTGGAGTTCGAGACCAGCCTAGCCAATGTGGTGAAACCCTGTCTCTACTAAAAATACAAAAATTAGCCGGATGCAGTGGCGAGTGTCTGTAATCCCAGCTACTCGGGAGGCTGAGGCAGAAGAATCACTTGAATCCAGGAGGCGAAGGTTGCAGTGAGCCAAGATCACACCATTGCACTGCAGCCTGAATGAAAGAGCGAGACTCCATCACCAAATAACTTAAAAAATAAATTTATCCAAAACTTACAAAGTGAGAGTAAAAGAAGTTTAATAAAGTTTAAAATGATGCTTTTTGTATGCTTGACCATTTCTACCTTTGAAGTTAGTAATGTTTAAAACTTTGAGATATCCTAGTTTATTTAACTTAGTAAATTAGAATTCCTGTTTTACAATGTTAATGGAATTGTCTGTAGAGTTCAAACAAGCATAATATTTGTCTAAAATTGATATTCCTTATGGTTTCATATATCATGGAGGGGGACACTGAATGTCTCCATGTGATTTTATTTGAAAATTATCCAATGATTTCAGTTTTTAATATGTTTAAACAGTAAGCTTCATATCAATCTATTTTGAATTACTGGACACAGCCACTGAGACTTTTTAAAATTTACTCTTAGATCCGGCCTATGGTTTGTTGTTTTGAGCCAGGGTTTCACTCTGTTGCCCGGGCTGGAGGGCAGTGGCATGATCACGGCTCACTGCAGCCTCAACCTCCCCAGGCTCAGGTGATCCGCCCACCTCAGCCTCCTGAGTAGCTGGAACTACAGGCATATGCCACCATGCCCAGCTAATCATGCTCTTTTTGAGTGGGAGAAAAACAATCCTTTTATTTTATAACATGGGATCGCTTGTTGGTTTTTTTGTTTGTTTGTTTTTCTGAGACAGCTTGGAATGCAGTAGTGCGATCTGCAGCCTCGACCTCCAAGGCTCAAGAAATCCTCTCACCTCAGCCTCCTGAGGAGCTTGGGCCACAGGCACATGCTGCCATGCCCAGCTAATTCTGTTAATTTTTGTAGAGATGTGGTCTATGTTGCCCAAGCTAGTCTTGAATTCCTGAGCTCAAGGGATCCTCCCATCTTAGCCTCCCCAAGTGCTGGGATTAAAGGCATAAGACGCCACACCCAGCCGCCCAGCTGGCTTTTCCTTTTGTTTCTACAAAAATATTTTGTCTCTTTGTAAAAGGTTTTGTATCTGGTTTCCTGGATCAAGTTTGGACATCAGTAATTGGAGTCCTTTGCACATTCAACTACATAGATTTCTAACTTGTGGTAGATTCTACCTGTGGTTTCTACCGTGTGGTTCTAGAGAGAATTATCAACACTAGGCCGGGCGCAGTGGCTCATGCCTGTAATCCCAGCACTTTAGGAGGCCGAGGCAGGCAGATCACGAGGACAGGAGTTCGAGATCATCATGGCTAACATGGTGAAACCCTGGCTCTACTAAAAATACACAAAATTAGCCAGGTGTGATGGTGTAGGCCTGTAATCCCAGCTGCTCAGGAGGCTGAGGCAGGAGAATTGCGTGAACCCAGCAGACAAAGGTTGCAGGGAGCCGAGATAGCACCATTGCACTCCAGCCCTGAGCCCACAGTGTGTGACTCCATCTCAAAAAAACAAAACAAAACAAAAAGAAAACAAATAAACAGTAGAAATCATCTCCATAAAAATGATTCATTTACAAATCTTGTGGGTGGAGACTCTTTTCAGAATAATCCTTTTGGGGCCAGGCACAGTGGCTCACACCTGTAAACCCAGCACTTTGGAAGGCCAAGGTGGGTGGATCACCTGAGGTCAGGAGTTTCAGACCAGCCTGACCAACATTGCGAAACCCCGTCTCTACTAAAAATACAAAAATTAGCCAGCAGCTCACGCCTGTAATCCTAGCACTTTGGGAGGCCAAGATGGGCGGATCACCTGAGGTCGGGAGTTTGAGACCAGCCTGACCAACAGGGCAAAACCCCGTCTCTACTAAATATACAAAAAAAATTAACCACGTGTGGTGGCGCATGCCTGTAATCCCAGCTACTCGGGAGGCTGAGGCAGGAGAATCATTTGAACCCAGGAGGCGGAGGTTGCAGTGAGCCAAGATTGCACCACTGCACTCCAGCCTGAGCAACAAGAACGAAACTTCATCTCAAAAATAAAAATAAAAAAATAAAAACATTAGCTGGGCGTGGTGGTGGGCCCTGTAATCCCAGCTACTCAGGAGGCTGAGTCAGGAGAATTGTTTGAAAGAGAATCACTTGAATCCAGGAGGCAGAGGTTGCAGTAAGCCGAGATTTCGCCACAGCACTCCAGCCTGGGCGACAGAGCAAGACTCTGTCTCAAAAAAAAAAAAAAAAAAAAAAAAATTATATATATGCATATAAAAGAATAATCCTTTTGGGGTTTTACGTCATTTGTTCCTTTCTTCCTCTTTAGGTCATTTTGGTTATACATATTTTCTTCCAGATTGTCCTTTAATCAGGACATGTTTTTAACTCAGATATTTGTTATGCCTATTACTTTTTCAAGATTTCTCTACAAATTTGTATTTTAGATCAGTGGGGAAAAAATACACTATGTAGACCCTCAAACACCATGGGTTTGAACTTCGAAGGTCCACTTATATGCAGGTTTTTTTTTCTTCAACCAAACACAAATAGAAAATACAGTATTTGAGGGATGTGAAACTCAAATAAATACAAGCCCAACTTTTCATATACACAGTTCCGCAAGGCCAACTGTGGGATTTGAGTATGGCAGATTTGGGTATGAGGGTGATATGGTTTGGGTCTGTGTCCCCGCCCAAATTTCATGTTAAATTATAATCCCCGGCTGGCCGCGCTGGCTCACACCTGTAATCCCAGCACTTTGGGAGGCCGAGGCAGGTGGATCACCTGAGGTCAGGAGTTCGAGACCACCCTGGCCAACATGATGAAACTCCGTCTCTACTAAAAAAACAAAGATTAGCCGGACATGGTGGTACATGCCTGTAATCCAAGCTACTTGGGAGGCTGAGGCAGGAGAACTGCTTGAAGCCGGGAGGCAGAGGCTGCAGTGAGCTGAGATTGCACCACTGCACTCCAGCCTGGGCAACAAAGCAAGACTCCATCTCAGGAAAAAAAAAAAAAAAAAAAATTATAATCCCCAGTGTTGGAGGTGGGTCTGGTGGGAGGCGATTGGATCATGGGGGTAGGTTTCCCCTTTCGTGCTGTACTCGTGAGAGTGAGTGACTTATCATGAGAGCTGGTTGTTTAAAAGTGTGCAGCACCTCCCGTCTTTCTCTCTCTTCCTCCTGCTCTGGCCATGTAAGACATTCCTGCTTCCCCTTTGCCTTCCGCCATGACTGTCAGTTTCCTGAGGCCTCCCCAGCCACGCTTCCTGTACAGGCTGCAGAACTGTGAGTCAATTAGACCTCTTTTCTTTATAAATTACCCAGTCTCAGGTAGTTCTTCATAGCAGTATGAGAATGAACTAATACAAAGGGGTTGTGTCCTGGAACCAATCCCCTCCAAATATGAAGGGCTGACTTTATTTTATTATGGTACAAAGGCTAGTACAGTGGCTCCCACCTGTAATCCCAGCACTTTGGGAGGCCAAGGTAGGAGGATCGCGTGAACCTGGGAGCTTGAGGCTGCAGTGAGCTATGATCACACCACTGCACTCCAACCTGACCAGCAGAGCGAGACCCTGTCTCAAAAAAAAAAAAAGTAATAATAGGCTGGGGGAGGGGGCTCATGCCTGTAATCCCAGCACTTTGAGAGGCCAAGGCGGGCGGACCACAAGGTCAGGAGTTCAAGACCAGCCTGGCCAACATGGTGAAACCCTGTCTCTACTAAAATACAAAAATTAGCTGGGTGTGGTGGCAGGCATCTGTAATCCCAGCTACTAGGAAAGCTGAGGCAGGAGAATTGCTTGAACCCAGGAGGCAGAGTTTGCAGTAAGGAGAGACAGCGCCACTGCACTCTAGCTTGGGCAACAAATTGAGACTCCCTCTCAAAAAAAAAAAAAAGAAAAGAAAAAGTAATAATAAATGGTTGAAAATGTTTTCCTTCCCAATAAATTCATGGTTGCTATGAAACAGTAGCAAAAAAAATTAAATTCCTATATCTATTTTTAGAGAGTTTTCCAATAATTTCTCTTTTATATTGATTAGTGTCACCAGAGATTTGTCTATCACTTGTTTATTTTTCCAAAGATAAAATCTTTATTATTTTTCCTATCTTCCCTAGTAAGAGAGAAAATAAAACTCTTACAGCTATCATCTTCTAATATCAAGATAACATGAAAACTCCTGTAAAATGAATGGGAAGGGGAATATTCCAACTCTAATTACAAAATGAGAGCTAAGAACGTATGCAACTATATTATTTAGGACATGGATAAAACTGCTGTAATAGAGCTCCCAAAATAAAAGTGCTCTAAAAATTACTGATAAAGCCGAACGTGGTGGCTCATATCTGTAATCCCAGCATTTTGGAAGGCTGAGGTGGGTGGATCACTTGAGGCCAGGAGTTCAAGACCAGCCTGGGCAACATGGTGAAACCCTGTCTCTACTAAAAAATACAAAAATTTGTCGGAAGTAGTGGCTCATGCCTGTAATCCAGCACTTTGGGAGGCCGAGGCAGGTGGATCCTGAGGTCAAGAGATCAAGACCACCCTGGCCAACACGGTGAAACCCCGTCTCTACTAAAAATGCAAAAATTAGCTGGGTGTGGTGGTGCGCACCTGTAGTCCCAGCTATTCAGGAGGCTGAGACAGGAGAATCGCTTGAACCCAGGAGGCAGAGGTTGCAGTGAGCCAAGATCACACCACTGCACTCCAGCCTGGCAAGAGAGCAAGACTCTGTCTCCAAAAAAAAAAAAAAAAAAATTTGCCAGGTGTGGTGGTGCACACCTGTCTGTAGTGCTAGCTACTTGGGAGGCTGAGGCAGAAGGATTGCTCGAACTCAGAAGGTGGAAGTTGCAGTGAGCCAAGATCATGCCACTAATCCACAGCCTGGGCAACAGAGTGAGACTATCTCAAAAAAAAAAAAAAATCACCAATGATTATTTCTCATTAAAAAAATCCATGTGACTCCGAAGGAGTCAGAAAACTAGACTCCTAAATGAGTGCTCTAGCTGGGCTTGGTGGTTCACACCTGTAATTCCAGCACTTTGGGAGCCTACGGTGGGAGGATCGATTGAGCCCAGTTCAAGACCAGCCTGGGCAACATGGCAAGACATCATCTCTAAAAAACTTTTTTTTTCTCACGCCTGTAATCCCAGCACTTTGGGAGGCCAAGACGGGTGGATCACGAGGTCAGGAGATCGAGACAATCCTGGCTAACACGGTGAAACCCCGTCTCTACTAAAAATACAAAAAATTAGCCGGGTGTGTTGGCAGGCGCCTGTAGTCCCAGCTACTCGGGACAATGGCGTGAATCCAAGAGGCGGAGCTTGCAGTGAGCCAAGATCGCGCCCCTGCACTCCAGCCTGGGCGACAGAGCAAGACTCCATCTCAAACACAAACAAACAAACAAAAACACCCTTAGGTAATGATCACCAATGACTGCTGACATCTTTTTGAAAAAAAAAAAATAAGAAAACCAGACATCCTGTCCATCTATATGGCTGTACACGACATCACCTATGAGTAATCCTGGGGAAAAAAAAAAAAAAAAAACTTGAGTCTAAGCCTCTTGATCTAATCAACAAATTACAGGACATAAAAGGGCAGCAGAAAAATATGTCAAATGACACCACAATGAGACAATCTGCAAAATCCAGGCTGTAAGAAATTCTACACTTTTTTCTACAAATAAAATGCCAACAGAGAGAGGGACGGAGGAAAGGAAGAGAGGGAGAAGGAATCTATGGATCACAAGAGAATCAAGGAACATATCACTAGTGATATATGGATCCTATTATCTAAACAAGAGCTCACTGAGCTTTCCAATTCATGTGCTTCCTCTTGTTAACCGCACTGGCTCATTCCGGGTCTTCTGTGCCATCCTGCTTCCAGGTCTCCACTGGGAAAAAATAGCAACAGGAAAAATGGCATTTTATCAGGGCCATGTACTGGGAAGATGCTTAACACTGTCTCCATGGTTTGATATTTTATATATATAATATATAATGAATATATATAACATAAAAATATATATTTGTATGTAAAATATAAAAATATGGATATATAAAATATAAATATAAAATAGGCCAGGCATGGTGGCTCACGCCTGTAATCTCAGCACTTTGGAAGGCCAAGGTGGGTGGATCACCTGAGGTCAGGAGTTTGAGACCAGCCTGGCCAACATGGTGAAACCTCGTCTCTACTAAAAATAGAAAAATTACCTAGGTGTGGTGGCAGGTGCCTATAATCCCAGCTACTCTGGAGGCTGAGGCAGGAGACTCGCTTGACCCGGGAGGTGGAGGCTGCAGCGAGCTGAGATCATACCATTGCGCTCCAGCCTGGGTGACAGAGTAAGACTCTGTCTCAGAAAAAAATATATATAATTATATATATGTAATATAAAATGTTATTTATATGTAATATATTGCATAAATATATTTTATATGTAATATAAATATATTTTTATGTAATATAAAAATACATAAATGCAAAACTATTTATATATAAATTACAATATATTTTATATAATATGGTTTGTATTATATATTATATACTATATATTATATAAATATGTCTTTATAAAGATTTTTATATCATATAGTTCATATTATAAATATATAGTTTATATTATATATAATATGTAACAGATGATATCTTTTTTTTTTTTTGAGACAGAGCGTTGCTCTGTCACCCAGGCTGGAGTGCAGTGGCTCGATCTTGGCTCACTGCAAGCTCCGCCTCCCGGGTTCATGCCATTGTCCTGCCTCAGCCTCCCGAGTAGCTGGGACTACAGGCACCCGCCACCACGCCTGGCTAATTTTTTGTATTTTTAGTAGAGACGGGGTTTCATCATGTAAGCCAGGATGGTCTTGATCTCCTGACCTTGTGATCCACCCACCTCGGCCTCCCAAAGTGCTGGGATTACAGGCATGAGCCACTGCACCCGGTGACTTTTTTTTTTTTTTTTTTTTTTTTTTGAGACAGTCTCGCTCTGTCACCCAAGCTGGAGTGCACTGGGGCAATCTGGGCTCACTGCAGCCTCTGCCTCCCAGGTTCAAGTGATCTCCCCACCTCAGCCTCCCAAGTAGGTAGGATTACAGACATGTGTCACCATGCCTGGCTGATTTTTTGTTTTGTTTCTTTGAGACAGAGTCTCGCTCTGTCACCCAGGCTGGAGTGCAGTGGCCCAATCTTGGCTCATTGCAACCTCTGCCTCCCAGGTTCTGGTGATTTTCCTGCCTCAGCCTCCCAAATAGCTGGGACTACAGTCACATGCCACCATACCCAGCTGATTTTTGTAATTTTAGTAGACATGAGGTTTCACCATGTTGGCCAGGATGGTCTCAATCTCTTGACCTGGTGATCTGCCCACCTCGACCTCCCAAGGTACTGGGATTACAGGTGTGAGCCACCGTGCCTGGCCCTTTTTTAATATTTTTAATAGAGAAGGGGTTTCACCATGTTGGCCAGGCTGGTCTTGAACTTCTAACCTCGAGTGATCTGTGTCCTTCAGCCTCCCAAAGTGCTGGGATTATAGGCATGAGCCGTCACACTGGGCCTATAATACATATTATATATTATATATAAATAATATATTTTTATATTACAATGTTTTCCTTTTCAGAGGCAGGGTCTCACTCTGTTGCTGAGGCTGGAGTGCAGTGGTGTGGTCAAAGCTCACTGCAGCCTCAACTTTCTGGACTCAAGAGATCCTTCCACCCCAGCCTACCAAGTATCTGGGACTACAGGCGCACACCACCATGCCTGGCTAATTTTTGTATCTTTTGTAGAGGCAAGGTTTCACTCTGTTGCCCAGGCTGGTCTTGCATTCCGGGCTTCAAGCGATCCTCCTGCCTCAGACTCCCAAAGTGCTAGGACTGCGGGTGTGAGCCACCAAGATCAATTTCTTCATTCCCCCAAAAATAGAAGCCATGGAGGCTCCTGACTGCCTGGTGGCTGCCAATGATTTTTCACCAACAGACCCCTGCCCCTTTTTTTTTTTTTTTTTTTTAACATCATAAGGCAGCCTCCTGTCTCCTCTGCAGAGCACCTGTTTCACCTTTGTATACAGGACACCTCCAGTGAACTTTGACTCCTCATGGTAGCCCTGAGAGCAACTAACCCTGTTCTGCACCTGGGGAAACTGTAGCCCAGATTGTTTAGCCAACGTTCAGTAAGTTAGTGACCAGGTAGTGTATTAGTCTGTTCTCGCACTGCTATAAAGAAATACCTGGCCAGGCGCGGTGGCTCACACCTGTAATCCCAGCACTCTGGGAGGCCGAGGCAGGCGAATCACCAGGCCAGGAGATCAAGACCATCCTGACTAACACGGTGAAACCCTGTCTCTACTAAAAATACAAAAAACTAGCCAGGTGTGGTGGTGGGCGCTTGTAGTCCCAGCTACTCGGGAGGCTGAGGCAGGAGAATGGCGTGAACCCGGGAGGCGGAGTTTGCAGTGAGCCGAGATCGTCCACTGCACTCCAGCCTGGGTGACAGAGCGAGACTCCGTCTCAAAAAAAAAAAAAAATCAAAACAAAACAAAAACAAACAAAACAAAACAGAAATACCTGAAGGCCAGGCACAGTGGTTCACGCCTGTAATCCCAACACTTTGGGAGGCCAAGGCGGGTAGATCATGAGGTCAGGAGATGGAGACCATCCTGGCTAACACAGTGAAACCCCATCTCTACTAAAAATACAAAAAATTAGCCGGGCGTGGTGGTGGGCGCCTATAGTCCCAGCTACTCAGGAGGCTGAGGCAGGAGAATGGCATGAACCCGGGGGGCAGAGCTTGCACTGAGCTGAGATTGCGCCACTGCACTCCAGCCTGGGTGACAGAGCGAGACTCCGTCCCAGAAAAAAAAAAGAAAGAAAGAAAGAAAGAAAGAAATACACAGTGGCTTACGGCTATAATGCCAGCACTTTGGGAGGCCAAGTCTGGCAGATGACCTGAGGTCAGGAGTTCAAGACCAGCCTGGCTAACATGGTGAAACCCCATCTCTACTACAAATATAAAAATTAGCCAGGCATGGTGGCGGGTACCTATAATCCCAGCTACTCTGGAGGCTGAGGCAGGAGAATCACTTGAATCCAGGAGGCGGAGGTTGCAGTGAGCTGAGATCACACCACTACATTCCGGCCTGGGCAACAGAGTGAGACTCAGACTCAAAAACAAACAAACAAAATTTTAAAAAGAAAAAATAAATACATAAATAAATAAACCCAAGACTGGGTAATTTATGAAGGAAAGAGGTTTAATTGACTCACAGTTCCACATTGCTGGGAAGGCCTCAGGAAAATTACTGTCATGGCGAAAGGCAAAGGAGAAGCAGGCACCTTCTCAGGAAGCAGGATGGAGTGAGTGCAAGCAGGGGAAATGCCAGTGCATATAAAACCATCGGACACCTCAAGACTCACTCACTATCAGGAGAGCAGAATGGGGGAAACTGCCCCCATGATCCGATTACCTCCACCTGTCCCGCTCTTGACACGTGGGGATTATGGGATTACAATTCAAGATGAGATTCTAGGTGGGGACCCAAACCCTAACCATACCAGGTAGGGACTAGAAATCTGCTTCCCAAACTCCTACTCCAATGCTATGCTCTCTGGACACTGTGTCCCAGTCCTGGAAGGAAAGAGAACAAGAAACTCAGATGGCCTGGACTGAGGGCAAAGGAGGGTGAGGCTGGCACTGACATCCTCAGAGGCTCCTGCAGGGTCGTGTGTATGAAACCCAAGCCCAAGCTTCATGCCCTGCCCCCCAAAAGCAGGGAATGCACACTGTAGCAAATGCTAAGCCAGCTCTCTAGCACGTGAAACAGTCTTGTTCAGAGACAGGAGAGGGCTGCTCTCCAGTGGTTCTTCAAGGCTGCTTTCTCCCTGCCTAGTCTGAAGGATTGCTTTCTCTTTTCTGCATTTAGTATTTTTGGACTGCGGTTGACCTCGGCTAACTGACTGTTAGTAAGAGGGGAAACCACTGTAGTTCAAAACTCCAGTCTTGGTGGGGCGCTGTGGCTCAGGCCTGCAATCCCAGCACTTTGGGAGGCTGAGGTGGGAGGAGCACTTGAAGCCAGGAGTTCCAGACCAGCCTGTGCAACATAGCGACATCCCATCTCTACAAAAAATGTAAAGATTAGCCAGGCATGGTGATGTATGCCTGTTGTCCCAGCTGATTGGGAGGCTGAGGTGGGAGGATTGCTTGAGCAAACCTCCTCTAAACCATGAGTTCAAGACTGCGGTCAGCTATGATTGCACCACTGCACTCCAGCCTGTGCAACAGAGTGAGACTCTGTCTTAAAAGTAAATAGGCTGGGCATGGTGGCTCACGCCTGTAATCCTAGCAGTTTGGGAGGCTGAGGCAGGAAGATCATCACATTCCCACTTCTGTCCTCATCGCCCATCCCTCACCTCCCTTCTCATCCTAAAAGAGCTAAAGGATTGCTTTTATTGATGAACCGTACATTGTATGCGAACACACAGAACCTCAGTGTGCAGTTTGATGGGTTTAGACACCCATGTAACTGAAACACAATCAGGATACAGCAGTGTCCATGCTCCCAGAAAGCTCCTTCATGTCTCTTTTCACTCAATCCCCTTCCCCTTGGACTGCAAATAGGAAAGGTTCTGATACTTCCCAGAGCACTCAAACTTTCTGGGTCTCTCTGCCAGCCAGCGGTTCTGGGCAAGCCATCTACCCATCAGACCATCAGGCCCCTGCGAAACAGCAGTCACCGGCCACTTCCCTGAAGACACAAGTAATCATGCTGTCCACTCTGCTGGCTGTCACCATGAGGTCACCCAGGTCAAGCAGCGAGTATACTTTAAAAAAAAAACAAAAAACACTTCCTCTGGCCAGGCGCGATGGTTCACACCCGTAATCCCAGGACTTTGGGAGGCCGAGGCAGGTGGATCACCTGAGGTCAGGAGTTCCAGCACTGGCCAACATGGTGAAAATAAAAAAAAAATTAGCTGGGCGTGGTGGCACACGCCTGTAATCCCAGCTACTTGGGAGACTGAGGCAGGAGAATCGCTTGAACCCGGGAGCCAGAGGCTGCAGGGAGCTGAGATCGCGCCATTGTACTCCAGTCTGGACAACAGAGTGAGACTCCATCTCAGAAAAAAAAAAAGAAAGAAAGAAAAGAAATGGCAAACTTCCTCTAAAACTTTTCACACAAAGCTTATTCTTCCTTCTCTGTCTGCACCCGAGACCTCACGCTCAGTTTATCCGTGGCTAAAATCTGCGGCAAAGCCAGCCCTGATCAAGAGGGTGAGGATGCCTGTAATTACCTTAGCAACAGAACATGCTGTGCATTTGAATCACATCATCTCATCCCCATAGCAACACAGAATCGCAGAATCACTGTGCTCTGGAGCCAAGTGGCAACAGCGCTGAGTCCAACCTCTTAGATTAAAACAAAACCCAACAGAAACAAACAAAAAAAGTCGTTTACCATTCAGATAGCTTTCATAGTCTTGTACTTATTTTTTTGTTGTTGTTTGGAAATAAAATGAACTTTGATACCAATAAGATAGCAAGGAACATCCACTTGGGCTGCTGGGTTTTTGGCTGATTTAATCAGAGGCTTTGTCCTATGTTATTAGGAACAAAAAAGAATTTTTTGATTGATGGAAGTAGAGCGAGTCGGCCAGGGATGAACGTAGAGATGTTGATATCAGAGACCACAGAGCTGTGGCAAGAATTCCTCATTCATTTATGAAACACGTCTTCATGAGATTGCATCCTTCTCTGCCTCTGAGGTCGGCGTGCAAAGAACGACCTTCTCTTTTATCAGCTGGGGACTGTAAAAGGGAAATATGTGCCCGGCGCGGTGGTTCACGCCTGTAATCCCAACACTTTGAGAGGCCGAGATGGGCGGATCACGAGGTCAGGAGATCGAGACAATCCTGACTAATACAGTGAAATCCCATCTCCACTAAAAATACAAAAAAATAGCCGGGCGTGGTGGCACGCACCTGTAGTCCCAGCTACTCAGGAGGCTGAGGCAGGAGAATGGTGTGACCCCGGGAGGCGGAGCTTGCAGTGAACCGAGATCATGTCACTGCACTCCAGCCTGGGCAACAGAGCAAGACTCTGTCTCAAAAAAAAAAAAAAAAAAAAAAAAAGAAAGAAATATTTTCTCTGCAGTCTCCTGACACCAACTCCTGGCCTCAAGGAAGTTCTCCAGGGCAGAGGGTAACAATACGAAATGTAAACATGGGATGTGGGTGTGGTTCAATACCTCATCCTGATATCGGCTCTACCTTTTG
Source organism: Homo sapiens (assembly GCF_000001405.40). Taxonomy (NCBI): domain Eukaryota; kingdom Metazoa; phylum Chordata; class Mammalia; order Primates; family Hominidae; genus Homo; species Homo sapiens. The sequence continues at coordinate 5,158,593 of NC_000007.14, forward strand.
GCTATGTCTTGGTCTAATTCAAAACCATGAACTCTGGGGCAGGGGATATCTCAGTAGCCTCCTTAGGAACATGCTACAAGCTGAGATCAACAGAGCAGGGGACATTGGAGGTTGCACTTCAAAGATGAATGGGGGCCAGGAGCAGAGGCTGATGAGTGTAATCCCAGCACTTTGGGAGGCCGAGGTAGGTGGATCACTTGAGGCCAGGAGTTCAAGGCCAACATGGTGAAACCCTGTCTCTACTAAAAATACAAAAAAATTAGGCGAGCATGGTGGCACACACCTGTGGTCTCAGCTACTCAGGAGGCTGAGGCACAAGAATCGCTTGAACCTAGGAGGTGGAGGTTGCAGTGAGTCAAGATAGTGCCACTGAACTCCAGCCTGGGCAACAAAGCAAGACTCCATCTCAAAAAAATAAAAAAGATGAATGAATCCTCTCCAAGCAAGAAACGTCCTGGGGGCAGGAAAGCATCCATTTCTGCATCCTCAGCATCTAGCACAGTTTCCAGCATATATCAGGTGCTGAAAAAAACTTTTTAAAAGGCCAGGCACAGTGGCTCACGCCTGTAATCCCAGCACTTTGGGAGGCCGAGGCAGGAGGATCGCTTGAGCCCAAAAGTTTGAGACCCGCCTGGGGCAACATGGTGAAACCCTGTCTCTACAAAAAATTAGCCAGGCATGGCGGCACATGCCTGTACTCCCAGATACCCAGGAGGCTGAGATGGGAGGATAACCTGAGCCTGGGAGGTCGAGGCTATAGTGAGTCGTAATTGAGCCACTGCACTCCAGCCTGGATGAGTGAGACCTTGTCTCAAAAACAAAACAAAACAAAAATCTTAAAAAAAAATAGACTGGGGGCCAGGCGTGGTAGCTCATGCCTGTAATCTCAGCACTTTGGGAGATCGGGGCCAGCGGATCACCTGAGGTCAGGAGTTCAAGACCAGCCTAGCCAATGTGGCGAAACCTTGTCTTTACTAAGAATACAAAAAAAATTAGCTGGGCGTGGTGGCACGCGCCTGAAGTCCCGGCTACTCAAGAGGCTGAGGCACAAGAATCGCTTGAACCCGGGTGGTGGAGGTTGCAGTGAACTGATATCCGGCCACTGCACTCCAGCTTGGGTGACAGAGCGAGACTCCATCTCAATTTAAAAAAAAAATTATATATATATATATATATATATGTACACACACAAAAAAATTAGCTGAGCATGGTGGCAGGCGCGGTAATCCCAGCTACTTCGGAGCCTGAGATGGGAGAATAGCTTGAACTCAGGACGTGGAGGTTGCAGTGAGCCGAAATCGCGCCAGTGCACTCCAGCCTGGGCAACAGAGCAAGACTCCATCTCAAAAAAAATAGATGCTGGGTTTTGCCATGTTGCCCAGGCTGGTCTCAAGCTCCTGGCCTCAAGTGATCCTCCTTGCTCGGCCTTCCAAAGTGCTGGATTACAGGCTGGAGCCACCATATCTGGGCCTGAAAAAACTATGTCCTCGTGTTACAGGAGCATATTTGACAGGCTCATTTAAATATCCCCACTTCCATCAAGAACTGACCAAAGCTACCAAGGGTCATGGGGGAGAAATCCACCAGCCTTATCAAACCCCTACAACCCTACGGTTTCACATATGGGTGGACCAAGTGCCTACAAACAGCCAGATAGGACTTGCAGTTTGGCACAGAAGGATCTTGGAAGTCACCACACTGAGCTCACAAATAAAAAGCTGTACAAACTGAACAGTCAACAACTCCTCTGAAATCCATCCGTGGAGGGAGGTCACAGGGCAAACTCCCCGCCGCAAAATTGGAGAGACAGGCGGATACAGAGAATTAAAACTTACCTGCATAGAAACCCACGGGCAGAAGCCCCACACCGGACCCAGTGAAGAGGGGTGGGAAGAGCAGAAGGCTGAGGAGCTGAATTGCTGTGCCCGGCTGAAGAAGTCTGAGACAGAAACTCCCAGCAGGGCCGGGCGCGGTGGCTCACGCCTGTAATCCCAGCACTTGGGGAGGCCAAGGCGGGGGATCACGAGGTCAGGAGTTCTAGACCATCCCGGCTAACACGGTGAAACCCCGTCTCTACTAAAAATACACAAAATTAGCCAGGCGTAGTGGCAGGCGCCTGTAGTCCCAGCTACTGGGGAGGCCGAGGCAGGAGAATCGCTTGAACCCGGGAGGCGGAGCTTGCAGTGAGCAGAGATCACGCCATTGCACTCCAGCCTGGGCGACGGAGCGAAACTCCGTCACAAAACAAAACAAACCTCCGAGCGGACCCAGACAGGGCGCCCTGTGCTCTTGTGAGTTTTACCTACAGAGGCTCAACCAGGTTCTCAGAGTGAATATTAGAGAAAAATCCCCTCGTGCCTCCAGCAGGGGGAGGGGAAGAGAGACAAGCCCGGGCTTTCCGTTCTTAACAAGGCCAACCCTCAGGAGAAACTACTTAACCACAGCTGAACCTGCTGGGGCTTCATCAGTGCCTACCTGACCTGGGGGAAGAAAAATACCCAACTCCAGCTGGCCCTAGCCTTCCACCTGGAGAAAAGGAAAAACCCAACCCCAGCCCCCAGGAGCCGTCCTGTCCCGCCTCAGCAGGTGACTTGGGGTGTTAATAAGCACTTATGAAGTCCAGTCCAGAGGCACAGGCTCACTAAAGGATTAAGATCTGGCCGGGCACAGCCGGGCGCGGTGGCTCACGCCTGTAACTCCAGCACTTTGGGAGGCCGAGGCAGGCGCATCACGAGGTCAGGAGATGGAGACCATCCTGGCTAACACGGTGAAATCCCGTGTGTACTAAAAATACAAAAAATTAACCGGGCGTGGTAGCAGGTGCCTGTAGTCCCAGCTACTCGGGAGGCTGAGGCAGGAGAATGGCGTGAACCCGGGAGGCAGAGCTTGCAGTGAGCACAGATTGCGCCACTGCACTCCAGCCTGGGCGACAGAGTGAGACTCTGTCTCAAAAAAAAAAAAAAAAGATCTGTCCGGGCACAATGGCTCATGCCCAGAATCCCAGTACTTTGGGAGGTTGAGGTGGGAGGATTGCTTGAGCTGAAGAGTTTAAGACCAGCCTGAGCAATATAGTGAGACCTCATCTTTAAAAAATAATAATAATTTAAAACAAAGATTAAGACCTGCTCAGAGGACTATTACAGAAGGCTTCTCCTCCCACCACACCTTACCACTACTCTCCCCCAGGTCTATTTATAGCAGCTCCTTTTACCCAATAAATTATGTCCAGTTATCGGAGAAAAAATTACAAGGCATAATAAAATGCAAAAACCATCCAGAAGCTTTGTAGAAGGTGTTTTTTTAAAAGGTCAGCCGGGCGCAGTGGCTCACGCCTGTAATCTCAGCACTTTGGGAGGCCGAGGAGGGTGGATCAGCTGAGGTCAGGAGTTCAAGACCAGCCTGGCCAACATGGTGAAACTCCCATCTCTACTAAAAACACACAAAAATTAGTTGGGCATGGCGGTGTGCGCCTGTGGTCCCAGCTGCTCAGGAGGCTGAGGCAGGAGAATCGTTTGAACCCGGGAGGCGGAGGTTGCAACGAGCCAAAATGGCACCACTGCCTCCAGTCTGGGTGACAGAGCGAGATGCCATCTCTAAATAAATAAATAAATAAATAAGTAAATAAAGAGGTGGGGAAAGCTATACCATGATAATACTAAACAAAGAAGACCTCAAAGCAAAGAAAGTTATCAGAGCTTAAGAGGCATTACAGCCAGGTGTTCCATTCACATCGATAATCCCAGCACTTTGGGAGACCAAGGTGGGGGGGATTGCTTGAGCCCAGGAGTTTGTGATCAACCTGGGCAACATAGCAAGACCCTGTCTCTACAATAAATAAAAATATATGTACATATATCAGCTGGTCATGGTGGTGCATACCGTAGTCCCAGCTACTTAGGAGACCAAAACTGGAGGATCACTTGATCCTGGGAGCTCCAGATTTCAGTGAGTCATGGTCACACCAGTGTACTCCAGCCTCGGTGACAGAATGAGACCCTGTGCCAGGAAAAAAAAAAAGAGGGGCATTACAGAATGATAAAGGAGTCCGTTCTCCAAAAACACATAATTAATCCCTAATGTGTATGCACCTAACAAAAGCATCAGAATACATGAGGTTAGAAGTGCTGGAACTAGGCCGGGCACAGTGGCTCACGCCTGGAATCCCAGCACTTTGGGAGGCCGAGAAGGGTGGATCACCTGAGGGCAGGAGTTCAAGACCAGCCTGGCCAACATGGTGAAACCCCGTCTCTACTAAAAATACAAAAAATTAGCCGGGCATGGTGGCAGGCGCCTGTAATCCCAGCTACTTGGGAGGCTGAGGCAGGAGACTCGCTTGAACCAGGGAGGTGGAAGTTGCGGTGAGCTGAGATTGCGCCATTGCACTCCAGCCTGGGCGACAAGAGCGAAATTCTGTCTCAAAAAAAAAAGTGGTGGAATGGCACAGAGAAATTGATAAAGTACGATGGTATTTCAAGACTTACTGTAAAGCTACGGTAATCAGGACAGTGTGATATTAGTGAAAAAAATAGATAAATAGATCAATGAGCCAGGTGCAGTGTCTCACGCCTGTAATCCCAGCACTTTGGGAGGCCAAGGCAGGTGGTTCACTTAAGGTCAGGAGAATGAGACCACCCTGGACAACATGGCGAAACACTGTCTCTTAAAAAACAAAATAGATCAGTTGAATAGAACAGACATCTCAGAAACAGACCCACATAAATAGAGTCAAATGACCTTTGACGGAAGAGCAAAGGCAATACAATGAGCAAAGACAAAGACGGTCTTTTTAACAAATGTTGCTGAACAACTGGATGGACATCCACATGCAAACAACTGAGTCCAGACTCTGACCTTACACACTTCACAGAATTAATTCAGATGGATCAGAGACCTAAATGTAAAGGTCAAAACCATAAAACTTTTAGAAGGTAACACAGGAGAAAATCTAGATAACTTCAGGTTTGGTAATGACTTTTTAGATACAACGCCAAAGGTGGGATTCATGAAAGAAAGAATTGGGCCGGGTGCAATGGCTCACGCCTGTAATCCCAGCACTTTGAGAGGCTGAGGTGGGCAGATAACCTGAGGTCGGGAGTTTGAGACCAGCCTGACCAACATGGAGAAACCCCACCTCTACTAAAAATACAAAATTAGCCAGGTATGGTGGCACATGCCTGTAATCCCAGCTACTCGGGAGGCTGAGACAGGAGAATCACTTGAACCCGGGAGGCAGAGGTTGCAGTGAGCCGACATCATGCCATTGCACTCCAGCCTGGGCAACAAGAGTGAAACTCCGTCTCAAAAAAAAAAAAAAAAAAAAAAAAACAGAAAAAAAATTGCTAAGTTGGACTTCACTGAATTAAAAAATGTCTTCCCTCTGAAAGATGTTGTCAAGAGAATGAAAAGACAAGCCGCAGACTGGGAGAAAATATTTGCTAAAGATATAGCTGATAAAGAAGGACGGTTGGCCGGGCGCGGTGGCTTACTCTTGTAATCCCAGCACTTTGGGAGGCCGAGATGGGCAGATCACGAGGTCAGGAGATCGAGACCATCCTGGCTAACACGGTGAAACCCCGTCTCTACTAAAAATACAGAAAATTAGCCAGGCGTGGCAGCATGCACCTGTAGTCCCAGCTACTGGGGAGGCTGAGGCAGGAGAATGGCGTGAACCTGGGAGGCGGAAGCTTGCAGTGAGCCAAGATCACACCACTGCACTCCAGCCTGGGCGACAGAGTGAGACTCAGTCTCAAAAAAAATAAAAAATGAAGAAGGACTGTTAACCAAAATATACAAAGAACTCTTGAAACTCAACAATAGGAAAACAACCTGATTTTTAAATGGGCCAAAAGACCTTAAGAGACATCTTTCCAAAGAAGATATACAGGTGGAGACCGGTCACGGTGGCTCACACCTGTAATCCCACCACTTTGGGAGGCCGAGGCAGGCAGATCACAAGGTCAGGAGATCGAGACCATCCTGGCTAATACAGTGAAACCTCGTCTCTACTAAAAATACAAAAAATTAGCTGGGCATGGTGGCAGGCACCTGTAGTCCCAGCTACTGGGGAGGCTGAGGCAGGAGAATGGCATGAACCCAGGAGGTGGAGCTTGCAGTGAGCCAAGATCACGCCACTGCACTCCAGCCTGGGTGACAGAGCAACACACCATCTCAAAAAAAAAAAAAAGATACACAGGTGGCAAATATGCATATGAAAAGATGCTTCATATCATATGTCATTGGGAAAATGCAAACTGAAACAATGAGATACCTCTACAAACCTATTAGGATGACAAAAATCCAGAACACGGCAGAGCACAGTGGCTCATGCCTGTAATCCCAGCACTTTGGGAGGCCGAGGCGGACGGATCACCTGAGGCCAGCAGTTCAAGACCAGCCTGGCCAACATGGTGAAACCCCGTCTCTACTAAAAATACAAAAATTAGCTGGGCGTGGTGGTGGGCGCCTGTAATCCCACTACTTGGGAGGCTGAGGCAGGAGAATTGCTTGAACCCGGGAGGTGGAGGTTGCAGTGAGCCGAGATCGCGCCATTGCACTCCAGCCTGGGGGACAAGAACGAGACTTCATCTCAAAAAAAAAAAAAAAAAAATCCAGGACACTTGGCTGGGCGTGGTGACGCATACCCATAGTCCCAGCTCCTCAGAAGGCTGAGGCGGGAGGATCAATTGAGCCCAGGACGTTAGGGCTGCAGTGAGCTATGATGGCACCACTGCTCTCCAGCCTGGGTGACACAGCGAGACTCTGTCTCAGTGGAAAAAAAAAATTAATGCTGTATGATTCCAACTATATTACATTCAGAAAAGGCCCAACTATGGAGACAGTAAAAGGATCCGTTGCTAGGGTCTGGAAACAAAAGGTTGCCAGGGACAACCTTTTGTCCCTGGGACGGATGCACGAAGGGAGGGACGCATGAAGAGGCAGAGCACGGAGGATTTTTCGGGCAGGGAAACGCCTCTGAGAGAGCTCTAACAGTGGATGCATGTTCTGACACATTTATCCAAACCCATGACATGCACGACACCAAGACGGACCCTAATGCAAACTGTGGACTTTGTGTGAAAATGATGTCAATATAGGTTCCCTGATTGTAACAAATGTACCACGTTGGTGGAAGATGATAATGGGAGAGGCTATTAGCACGGGCAGGGAACATGTGAGAACTCTCTGTACCTTTCGCTCAATGTTGCCATGAATCTAAAACTGGCCTAAAAAAGTCAAGTCTATTAAAAAAAAAAGACGCGGTGAGCATTGGGAAGAAAGGGACAGGGCACATGCCTTCCTCATGGAAATCATGCAAACATATATTAAAAAAAAAAAGACACAGTGAGCATTGGGAAGAAAGGGACAGAGCACATGCCTTCCTCATGGAAATCATGCAAACATATCTTCTGAAGAAGACCCCACTTTTTTTATTTTTATTTTTTTTGAGATGGAGTTTCGCTCTTTCACCCAGTGGCATGATCTTGACTCACTGCAACCTCCAACCCCCAGGTTCAAGCTATCCTCCAGCCTCAGCCTCCCGAGTAGATGGGGTTATAGGCGCCCACCACCATGCCTGGCTAATTTTGGTATTTTTTAGTAGAGACGGGGTTTCGCCATGTTGGCCAGGCTGTTCTTGAACTCCTGACCTCAGGTGATCCACCTGCCTCAGCCTCCCAAAGTGCTGGGATTACAGGCATGAGCCACCGCGGCCGGCCAGACCCTACTTTTGAGTGGGGTCTTCTGCAGATGAGCCTGAGAAGGCCAGCAGGATTAGGTGACCAGGAAGAAAAGAGATCTTTGCATCTTCAGATGTATGGGAGCACCGCCCATGGCAAATCTAAACATGAGCAGCTCCGGGCACCATGAAGTGGGCATAGGAAGATCAAAAGAGACTGAAGAATCTTTCTTTTTTTTTTTTGAGACGGAGTCTAGTTCTGTCACCCGGGCTGGAATAGAGTGGCATGCTCTCAGCTCACCGCAACCTCCATCTCCAAAGTTCAAGCGATTCTCCTGTCTCAGCCTCCTGAACAGCTGGGATTACAGGCATGCATCACCACACCGGCTAATTTTTGTATTTTTAGTAGAGATGGGGTTTCACAGTGTTGGCCAGGCTGGTCTCAAACTCCTGGCCTCAAGTGATCCACCTGCTGCAGCCTCCCAAAGTGCTGGGATTACAAGCATGAGCGACCATACCCGGCCCAAAAGAAGCTGAAGAATCTTAATTTTAACTTTCAAATTTTATTGATGTAATTATTGTTAGAGTCAGGGTCTCGCTCTGTCTCCCAGGCTAGAGTGCAGTGGTGCAATCACAGCTCACTGTAGCCTCCAACTCCTGGCCTCAATCAATCCTCCTGCCTTAGCCTCCCAAAGTGCTGCACTTACAGATGTGAGCCACGGTGCCTGGCCCTTAATTTTTAAAAAAAGCTTATGTATCTCAGAAAATATTTCTTTCCGGCCGGGCCTGGTGGCTCACACCTGTAAGCCCAGGACTTTGGGAGGTGGAGGCAGGCGGATCACCTGAGGTCAGGAGTTCAAGACCGGTCTGGCCAACATGGCGAAACCATGTCTCTACTAAAAACACACAAAAAAGTTAGCAGGGCGTGGTGATGGGTGCCTGTAATCCCAGCTACTCAGGAGGCTGAGGCACAAGAATCGCTTGAACCCGGGAGGCGGAGGTTGCAGTGAGCCAAGATCGCACCATTGCACTCCAGCCTGGGCAACAAGAGTGAAACTCCATCTCAAAAAAAAAAAAAAAAGAAAAAGAAATTGTTTCTTTCCAACAGGAGAGAGCCCAGCACTTATAGGGAAGCCCTGAGCATGGATTCAGGTTAAATGGCATTGGATCATGGCGGGTAACTGCAAGAGAAGCAACTACAGGGTTGTGAGGGGATGAAGGAGCCAGAAGGAACAGATCTCAGGATACAGATAACAGCCTTGAATCCGCCAGGCACGGTAGCTCATGGCTGTAATCCCAGTACTTTGGGTGGCTGAGGCAGGCAGGTCACCTGAGGTCAGGAGTTCGAGACCAGCATGGCCAACATGGTGAAACCCCGTCTCTACTAAAAACTACCGCGGGAGGCTAAGGCGGGTGGATCACAAGGTCAAGAAATCAAGACCATCCTGGCCAACATGGTGAAACCCCATCTCTACTAAAAATACAAAAATTAGCTGGGCGTGGTGGCACACGCTGTAGTCCCAGCTACTTGGGAGGCTGAGGCAGGCGAATCACTTGAACCCAGGAGGTAGAGGCTGCAGTGAGCCGAGATTGCACCACTGCACTCCAGCCTAGCACCAGAGCTGAGACTGTGTCTCAAAAACAAAACAAAACAAAACAAAACAAAACTACAAAAATTAGCTGGGTGTGGTGGGATGCACCTGTAACCCCAGCTACTCAGGAGGCTGAGGCAGGAGAATCGCTTGAACCCAGGAAGCGGAGGTTGCAGTGAGCCGAGATTGCACCATTGCACTCCAGCCTGGGTGACAGAGCAAAACTCTGTCTCCAAAAAAAAAAAAAAAGTAGCTTAAACCAATAGCCAAGGGAGTTAGAGTCACCAGATACTTGGTTCTCTATAGAAATTAAAGATAACATCTTGGGCCTGGTATGGTGGCACACACCTATATTTCCTTCACTTTAGGAGGCCAAGGCGGGCGGACTGCTTGAGCTCAGGAGTTTGAGACCAGCCTGGGCAACATAGCAAGACCCCTGCCTGCACTAAAAATACAAAACATTTGCCGGGCGTGGTGACACATGCATGTGGTCTCAGCTACTCAGGAGGCTGAAGTGGGAGAATCACCCGAGTCCAGGAAGTGGAGGCTGCAGTGGGCAATGATTGTGCCACTGCACTCCAGCAGCTGGGAGAAGGGAGTGAGACCCTGTCTCAAAAAAAAAAAAAAATCAGTGAGAGGAAGCAAGGACTGACCTTCACAGGGTCCAGATGCCTGGCACAGTGAGGCCAACCACCCACACCAAGGTTTGCAGCGAGAAAAAAGAGGGCATTTATTTGCAGGGCGCCAAGCAAGGAGAATCTGGCAGCTTTACATCCAGAACTCCCTGCTGGCTTGCAGGTAGGCGTCTTTAAAGGTAAGGAGGCGGAGGTTACGGCAAAGTCATAAATCAGTATGGAGGCTATACGTTGGTTTGGCCCTAAAAGGTGGGATATCTTAAAGTGGGGGCTTACAGGTCATAGGTGGATTCAAAGATTTTTTTTTTTTATTTCTAATTGGTTAAGGAAGAGAAAACTTTGTTTAAAAATGCGGAGTTGGCCAGGCGCAATGGCTCATGCCTGTAATCCCAGCACTTTGGGAGGCTGAGGGGGGCGGATCACCTGAGGTCAGGAGTTCAGGACCAGCCTGGCAACATGATAAAACCCCATCTCTACTAAAAGTACAAGAATTAGGTAGGATGCGGTGGCGGGCACCTGTAATCTCAGCTACTTGGGAGGCTGAGGCAGGAGAAAGGTAGAACCTGGGAGGCAGAGGTTGCAGTGGGCCAAGATGATGCCACTGCACTCCAGCCTGGGCAACAGAGCAAGACTCTGTCTCAGAAAAAAAATAATAATATAATATAAAAATAAAATAAAAGTACAAAAATTGGCCAGGTGCGGTGGCTTACGCCTGTAATCCCAACACTTTGGGAGGCCAAGGCGGATGAATCACCCAAGGTCAGGGGTTGGAGACAAGCCTGGCCAACATGGCAAAACCCCATCTCTACTAAAAATACAATAATTAGCTGGGCGTGGTGGTGGGTGCTTGTAAGCCCAGCTACTAAAAAGGCTGAGGCAGGAGAATTGCTTGAACCCGGAAGGCAGAGGTTGCAGTGAGCCGAGATCATGCCACTGAACTCCAACCTGGGCAACAGAGCGAGACTCCATTTCAATAAATAAATAGGCGGGGTGGGGTGGCTCACACCTGTAATCCCAGCACTTTGGGAGGCCGAGGTGGGTGGATCACGAGGTCAGGAGTTCGAGACCAGCCCGGCCAAGATGGCGAAACCCCGTCTCTACTAAAAATACAAAAATTAGCCAGGCATGGTGGCATGCACCTGTAATCCCAGCTACTTGGGAGGCAGAGGTTGCAGGGAGCAGAGATCGCACTACTGCACTCCAGCCTAGGCGACACAGCAAGACTCCATCTTGAAAAAATAATAATAACGATAAATAAATAAATTCTAAGAGGTAGCACTTAGCCATCAGAGGTGAGAGAAATACACTGATCATACGGGTGGCAACGCTGGAATGAGAACCATGGCGTCCTAACCCCAAGCAATCAGTGGCAATGGGAAATAGACCTAGCGGTGTTCCTAATGGATTGACAGCTACCCAGTGATGTCGTGGCTTGATCTACACAACAAAAACAACAATAAAAGAGGTCAAGAGCAGGCCAGGTATGGTGGCTCAAGCCTGTAATCCCAGTACTTTGGGAGGCCAAGGTGGGTGGATCACCCGAGATCAGGAGTTCGAGACCAGCCTGGCCAACATGGTGAAACTCCATCTCTACTAAAAATACAAAAATTAGCCAGGCATGCTGGTGCGTGCCTGTAGTCCCCACAGCAACTTGGGAAGCTGAGGCAGGAGAATCGCTTGAATGCTTGAACCTGGGAGGCAGAGGTTGCAGATCACGCCACTGCACTCCAGCCTGGGGGACAGAGAGAGACTCTGTCTCAAAAAACACCACAACAAAAAACAAAACAAAAACACCAGCACCCACAAAGGCTCAGCGGCATGCAGCAGTGTGGTGCGATTGGAGTCCCTCTGGTTCCTAGAATTGGAGTAAGGGGTCTGGCCTCTGTCCTCCAGGTGCCGGGGAGGGAAGGAAGTAGGGGAACCACACACTCAGTGTCACAGGAGGGTGTGGCATGGGTGCTGGGAAAAGGTGGTGCTGCCATCTAGGGCAGGAGCTGGTTCCACGTTGACTTGGGGGGATCAGAGAATGCAGATTCCAGGAGACAGAGTCCAGAGTTTTCAAAGGAAATGGGCAGGTGGTGGCCACTGAGGGCAGTGCCTAGGTTCCTGGCTGCTGAGCTTCTTTTATTTTTCTTTGTATCTTTTTTTTTTTTTTGAGAGAGTCGTCTTTCTCTGTCACCCAGGCTGGAGTGCAGTAGCGCAATCTCGGCAGACTGCAACCTCTGCCTACTGGGTTCAAGCGATTCTCATGCCTCAGGTTTGCCAGAAGCTGCGTTTACAGACGTGCACCACCATGCCCACCTAATTTTTGTATTTTTAGTCGAAACAGAGTTTCACTATGTTGGCCAGGCTGGTCTCAAACTCCTGACCTCAAGTGATCCACCCGCCTTGGCCTCCCAGTGTTGGGATTACAGGCGTGAGCCACTGCACTCGTCCTGGCTGAGCTTAAAAATAACACCATATTTCATTAGATCTAGGGCACCATCACCTGTAAGATGCATGTTTCTCTTAGGTACTACTAAGAAAGAGAAATCAGGCCAGGCAAGGTAGCTCATATTTGTAATCCCAGCACTTTGGCAGGCTGAAGGGGTCGGATCCCCTGAGCCCAGGAGTTTGAGACCAGCCAGGGCAACAGAGCAAGACCCATATCTACAAAAAAAAATTTTTTTTTTTAAATTTTCTTTGAGATGAAGTCTTGCTCTGTTGCCCAGGCTGGAGAGCAGTGGTGTGATCTCTGCTCACTGCAACCTCTGCCTCCCCAGTTTAAGCAATTCTTCTGGCTCAGCCTCCCAAGTAGCTGGGGGTTACAGGCGCATGCCACCACGCCTGGCTGATTTTTTTTTCTTTTGTTTTTTCCTTTGTATTTTTAGTAGAGACGGGGTTTCACCATGTTGGCCAGGCTGGTCTCGAACTCCTGACCTCAGGTCATCCACCAACCTTGGCCTCCCAAAGTGCTGGGATTACAGGCATGATCCACCGAGCCCAGCCTCTACAAAAAAATTTTAAAAATCAACTGGGCATGTTGGCACACGCCTGTAATCCCAGCTACTGGGGAGGCTGAGTCAGGGGGATCACTTGAGCCCAGGAGGTTGAGGCTACAGAGAGCTATGATCATGCCACTGTACTCCAGCCTCAGCAACAGAGCCAGACCCTGTCTCTGAAACAGAAACAAACAAAAAAAGACAGAAAGATAAATCACTGACAGTTAATTTTGCCAACATTTTTATCTTGTACTTTTTCAAGCATTCAGAGAAGTTTAACAGAATTGTATCATGAACACATGTACGGCCACCTCCCAGATGCTACTACTGGCATCTTACCCTATTTGTCCTGTCATGTATCTATCCCTTGATACATTCATCCATCCTTTTTTCTTTTTTTTTCTTTCTTTAATTTTGAGACAGAGTCTCACTCTGTGTCCAGGCTGAAGTACAGTGGTGCTGCCTTGCAACCACCCCCGGCTAATATTTTGTATTTCGACTAGGGATGGGGTTTCACCACATTGCCTGGGATGGTCTCAAACTCCTGACCTCAAGCCATTCCCACCCACCCCCTTTGCTTCCCAAAGTGCTCTCAAAGCATGAATCACTACACCTGGCCAGAATATATATATATAGTTGTTGCTGTTGTTTTTGTTTTTGCCTTTTTTGAGATGGAGTCTCACTCTGTCGCCCAGGCTGGAGTGCAGTGGCGTGATCTCGGCGCACTGCAACCTTTGCCTCCTGGGTTCAAGCGATTCTCCTCCCTCAGCCTCCTGAGTAGCTGGGATTATAGGCATGTGCCACCACATCTGGGTGATTTTGTATTTTTAGTAGAAACGGGGTTTCACCATGTTGGCCAGGCTGGTCTCAAACCCCTGACCTCAGGTAATCCACCGCCACGGCCTCCCAAAGTGCTGGGATTACAGGCATGCGCCACCGCGCCCGGCTGATTCTATATATATTTAAAGGGCTTTGGCTCACACATGTGTCTGCATTTGTTAACCATCAGTGAACGTTCACTCAAAAGTTATGCATTGCACCGTGTAAATTTCCCCTGCCAAAAACGAAGCGGTAAACACATATTCAACTCTAGTTAATAGTATGCATGCTGAAGTGCTTATCGTGATGTTTGCCAGCTACTTTGAAATGCATTTTTAAAAATGATGGGGCAGGTGTGGTGACTCACGCCTGCAGTCCTAGCACTTCAGGAGGCTGAGTCAGGCAGATCACTTGAGTCCAGGAGATCGAGACCAGCCTGGGCAACATGGCAAGACCCTGCCTCTAGAACAACTACAAAAATTAGCCAGGTGTGGTGGCGTGCCTGTGGTCCCAGCTAGCCGGGAGGCTGAGGCAGAAGGATCACCTGAGCCCAGGAGGTCGAGGCTGCAGTGAGCTACGATCATGCCACTGCACCACTGCACTCCAGCCTGGGTGACAGAGCAAGACCCTGTCTCAAAAAAAAAAAAAAGAATCGCAGAAAGTTCCATCATGCCTGTTCCACTCAATCTTCACTGCCTGTTCTGACTAGCTTTGCCTATTCTAGAACTTCTTAGAAATGGAATCATTCTAGATTCCTTAGAACGTGTTTGAGATCCATGCAAGTTGTGGGCATCAGTAGTTCACTTATTTTTATTGTCAGGTGGTTTTCTAGGGCATAGGTGCCCCATAGTTTGTTGAATCCTTCTGCTGTTGATCAACACCTGAGCTGTTTCCAGTGTTTGGTTATTATTGACAAAAAAAAATCATTGATTTCTTTTTTGTTGTTTTTGGTTTTTGTTTTGTTTTGTTTTTTTGAGACCGAGTCTCACTCTGTCGCCAGGCTGGAGTGCAGTGGCATGATCTCGGCTCACTGCAACCTCCGCCTCCCAGGTTCCGTGATTTTCCTGCCTCAGCCTCCCGAGTAGCTGGGATTACAGGCATGCGCCACCACGCCCAGCTAATTTTTGTATTTTTAGTAGAGACGGGGTTTTACCATGTTGGCCAGGATGTTCTCGAACTCCTGACCTCAAGTGATCAACCCACCTCGGCCTCCCAAAGTGCTGGCATTACAGGCATGAGCCACTATGCCTAGCCTTTTTTTTTTTCTTTTTTTTAAGATGGTGTCTTGCTCTGTCACCCAGGCTGGAGTGCAGTGGCGCAATCACAGCTCACTGCAGCGTCAACTTCCTGGGGCCAGACGACCCTCCCAGACGACCCTCCCACCTCAGCCTCTCGAGTAGCTTGGACCACAGCTGTGCACACAGCGCTGTGAGATTACAGTGAGCTATGATGGCGCCACTGCACTTCAGCCTGGGCAACAGAGGAAGACTCCCCCTCTAAAAAAGAAAATGCACTCAGTGTTGAAAAGACGCTTTATCAAAGAAGATATACGGATGGCAAATAAGCACAGGAAAGCATGCACAACATTACTGACCACGAGGAATTGCAAATTAAACCACAACAGGCCAAGTGAGGTGGCTCATGCCTGTCATCCTAGCACTTTGGGAGTCCCAGGTGGGTGGATCACTTGAGGCCAGGAGTTCGGGACCAGCCTGGCCAACATGATGAAACCCTGTCTCTACTAAAAATACAGAAATTAGCCAGGTGTGGTGGCAGGTGCCTGTAATCCCAGCATCTCAGGAGGCTGAGGCAAGAGCATTGCTTGAGCCTGGGAGTCGGAGGTTGCAGTGAGCTGAGATTGTGCCCTGCACACCAGCTTTGGTGACAGCGAGACTCCATCTCAAAAAAAAAAAAAAATGTATAGAACTATACACCTAACACAGGTGAATTTTGCCGTATGTAAATTATACTTCAATCAACCAAAAAAAAGCACCTGAAAATATACGTAACTACACCAACAAAAAAGAGAGAGGCCACATCTCCACATCTTTGTACTGTGTGTGTGTGTGTGTGTGTGTGTGTATGTCTGTCGTGCATAGCAGAGGGGGGAAGAAGTGTGTTCGGAGGCACACCTGCTGCCATAACGATGGCCGGCAGCTTTAACTACCATGCATTTTTAATCACAGAAGGGTTCAGTGCTCGAATTTCCAGGAGCTGACCACCAGGTCTGAAATTCAGCCTGGCCCTTCTCTGACATGTGCAGCCTCTTGTCCAATCCTGCCCTGTCCGCCCCACTCCTCTAGTCCTGATCACGGGACTTGAGGTGTTTCCCGGAACAATAGTCCCATTCCCGCCTCCCAGGAGGGGAGCCCATGCCAAGTCAGCCAGCCTAGGAGGGTCCCCTTGGGTCCAACATGCTGGGAGTTGGTGGCCTCTTGTGGCCAGAAATAGAATTATCACATATTAAAAATGATCACTGGCCGGGCGCGGTGGCTCACGCCTGTAATCCCAACACTTTGGGAGGCCAAAGCAGGCGAATCACGAGGTCAGGAGATTGAGACCATCCTGGCCAACATGGTGAAACCCTGTCACTACTAAAAATACAAAAATTAGCTGAGCATGGTGGCGCACGCCTGTAATCCCAGCTACTCCGGAGGCTGAGGAAGGAGAATCGCTCGAACCGGGGAGTCGGAGGTTGCAGCGAGCCGAGATCGCACCACTGCACTCCAGCCTGGCGACAGAGCAGGACTCCATCTCAAAAAAATAAAAATAAAAATTAGCTGGGCATGGTGGGACGCTCCTGTAGTCTCAGCTACTTGGGAGGCTGCGGTGGGAGGATGACTTGAGCCCGGGAGGTCAAGGCTGCAATGAGTCATAATTATGCCACTGCACTCCAGCCCGGGTGACAGAGCGAGACCCTGTCTCAGAAAAACTGAAAGAATTTTTTTTTTTTTGAGACGGAGTCTCGTTCTGTCGCCCAGGCTGGAGTGCAGTGGCGCGATCTCCGCTCACTGCAAGCTCCGCCTCCCAGGTTCACGCCATTCTCCTACCTCAGCCTCCCGAGTAGCTGGGACTACAGGTGCCCACCACCACGCCTAAATAATTGTTTGTATTTTTAGTAGAGATGGGGTTTCACCGTGTTAGCCAGGGTGGTCTCGATCTCCTGACCTCATGATCCGCCCGCCTCGGCCTCCCAAAGTGCTGGGATTACAGGCGTAAGCCACGGCGCCGGGCCCAAGAATTTTTAAAAGATCATAGTAGGCCGGGTGTGGTGGCTCATGCCTGTATCCCATCATTTTGGGAGGCCCAGGTGGGAGAATCGCTTGAGCCCAGGAGTAGTTCTGGACAACAGAACAAGACCCTGTCTCTATTAAAAATATTAAAAGATCACATTAAGGGTTGATTCTGCTTATGGCTGGGGTGGGAACGGCATTTCCATACAGGGTTAGAGGCCTGTACATTAGTGCAACCTTTTCAGCAGCACAAGTCAAAATCTAAAATACACACACCCGGCCGGGCGCGGTGGCTCACGCCTGTCATCCCAGCATTTTGGGAGGCCGAGGCATGTGGATCACGAGGTCAGGAGATTGAGAGCATCCTGGCTAACACAGTGAAACCCCGTCTCTACTTAAAAAATACAAAAAATTGGCCGGGCATGGTGGCGGGCACCTGTAGTCCCAGCTACTCGGGAGGCTGAGGCAGGAGAATGGCGTGAACCCGGGAGGTGGAGATTGCAGTGAGCCGAGACAGCGCCACTGCACTCCAGCCTGGGCAACAGAGCAAGACTCTGTCTCAAAAAAAAAAAAAAAAAAAGAGAAAAAAATACACACACCCTCTGACCTATGGGAATCACAGAAGTCTTGCCCAAACAGATTTTCCTCTAGTTCTAAGTAAAAGAGACAAGAATATTCACATCTTTGTGTTAAGTGAAACCACAGGAACACAATTGGCTATATCCAGAATGCGGGACATTCTGTAGGACAGGGGCTTCAGTCTCGCCAACAAATCCCTGACATAAAAACGGGCAGTGAAGCCGGGCGCAGTGGCTCATGCCCGTAATCCCAGCACTTTGGGAGGCTGAGGCGGGCCGATTGCCTGAGGTCAAGAGTTTGAGACCAGTCTGGCCAACATGGTGAAACCCTGTCTCTACTAAAAATACAAAAAAATTAACTGGGCGTGGTGGCATGCACCTGTAATCCCAGCTACTCGGGAGGCTGAGGCAGGGGAATTGCTTAAACCAGGAAGGTGGAGGTTTCAGTGAGCCAAGATCATGCCATTGCACTCCAGCCTGGGTGACAGAGAGAGACTCCATCTCGAAAAAAAAAAAAGTGCACTGAAGAGACCATTGATTATAAAGAAACTTAAGACCAGGCACATTGGCTCACATCTATAATCTCAGCACTTTGGGAAGCTAAGGCAGGCGGATCACCTGAGGTCAGGAGTTCAAGACCACCCTGGCCAACGTGGTGAAACCTCATCTCTACTAAAACTACAAAAATTAGCTGGGAGTGGCAGCATGCACCTGTAGTCCCAGCTACTCCGGAGGCTGAGGCAGGAGAATCGTTTGAACATGGGAGGTAGAGGTTGCAGTGAGCTAAGATCGCACCACTGCGCTCCAGCCTGGGCAACAGAGCG
Organism: Homo sapiens; assembly: GCF_000001405.40. Classification (NCBI taxonomy): domain Eukaryota; kingdom Metazoa; phylum Chordata; class Mammalia; order Primates; family Hominidae; genus Homo; species Homo sapiens. The sequence continues at coordinate 5,176,930 of NC_000007.14, forward strand.
AGACTCTGTCTCCAAAAAAAAGAAAAAGAGAGAGAGAGAACGAGAGAAAGAGAGAGCCAAGAATATCTCCACGGGATCATAGACAAACTGGGGGGAGGTGGTCAGGAATTCTGTGGACCTGTGCTTGGCAGCACCCACTCGAAGCAATCAGATTAACACCTGGAGTAGACCCAAAACATTCCCCACACGCACCCAGACCCATTGTCACAGGTACCAGGGGCTTAGCATAAGCTGTGGCCAGCACGGAACAAACGATAAGCCGCTCTGGCACAGCGGTGACTCCTAGGAAGCCAGGCTTAAAGATGACGTCAGAGCCATCCCCGGCCATCTGGAAGGCTGCCTGCCCAAAGCTGCGCCTTCTCGGGAGAAATCACAGGAAGAATGCCAAGCTACCAGTTCCTGACTGACCAGGGCAAAAGGGGAAATTCTCTGAATGGTGATAGCAGCCTCCAAGCCACACACACGTCCAGTGGGAAAGGGCAAAAATCTAACTGGCCAAGGGGCTTAAACACAACTTTTTTTTGAGAGAGAGACAAGGTGTCACTCTGTCACTCAGGCTGCTGGAATGGAGTGGCATGATCATGGCTCACTGCAGCCTTGAACTCCTGGGCCCAAGCAATCCTCCCACCTCAGTCTCCTGAGTAGCTGGGACTACAGGCATGCACCACCATGACTGGCTAATTTGTTTTATTTTTTGTAGAGATGGGGTCTCGCTGTGTTGCCCAGGCCCGTCTTGAATTCCTGGGCTCAAGTGCTCCTCCTGCCTCGGCCTCCCAAAGTGCTGGGATTACAGACATGAGCCACCGTGCCTGGCCAAGCACAATCTTTAACCATTAAGTGGCTTATGCTGACCCAGGGGCGACCCCTAGGTAGCCAAGTTAAAAGGTAAAAACAGGAAGAAAAAATCTGAGCAGGGACATCTGAGTCTGCATAGTGTGAGATGAGGATCGTAGTGGTGAAACTTGTTCAGCCCAGTCACAAAGTAATACATCACCTAGCAAACAACAGTAACCACAACCCCTGACTGGAGTTGGGGGAATCAAGTGTCAGAGTTGCTAAAATACATTATCTAAAACGTCCAGTTTTTGGCCGGGCGTGGCAGCTCACGCCTGTAATCCCAGCACGTTGGGAGGCCAAGGCGGGCAGATCACGAGGTCAGGAGATTGAGACCATCCTGGCTAACACGGTGAAACCCCGTCTCTACTAAAAATACAAAAAATCAGCCAGGTGTGGTGGCAGGCACCTGTGGTCCCAGCTCTCGGGAGGCTGAGGCAGGAGAATGGCATGAACCCAGGAGGCAGAGCTTGCAGTGAGCCAAGATCACGCCACTGCAATCCAGCCTGGGCGACAGAGCAAGACTCTGTCTCAAATAATGATAATAATAATAATAATTTTTAAAAAAATCCAGCTTTCAAGAAATAATTATGAGACATGCAAAGAAATAGGATTGGCTGGGCACAGTGGCTCATGCCTGTAATCCTAGCACTTTGGGAGGCCGAGGTGGGTGGATCACTTGAGGTCAGGAGTTCAACAACAGCCTGGGCAACATGACGAAACCCCATCTCTACTAAAAACACAAAAAAATTAACTGGGAATGGTGGCGTGAGCCTATAGTCCCAGCTACTCAGGAAGCTGAGGCATGAGAATGGCTTGAACCCCGGAGGCGGAGGTTGCAGTGAGCTGAGATTGCATCACTGCACTCCAGCCTGGGGACAGAGAGAGACTCCATCTCAAATAAATAAACAAATAAACTGCAAGACTTGTATATTTAAAACCACAAAACATTGTTGAAAGAAATCACAGACCTAAATAAATGGGAATACGTCCCATATTCATGGATCAGAAGACTTAATGTTGTGGGTTTTGTTTTTGTTTTTAGAGATGAAGTTCTTACTATGTTGCCCAGGATGGACTTGAGTATCTGAACTCAAATCATCCTTCTATTTCAGCCTCCAAAGTACCTGGCACTACAGGCATGTGCCACCATGCCCAGGACTTAATATTAAGATACCAATTGTCTCAAAAATTACTTACAGGGTCAACACAATTCCTATCAAAATTCTGACTGTAGTTTTGCAAAAACTGACAAGCTGGTCCTAAAATTCCTATGAAAATTAAGAAACCTGGAATAGCTAAAACAATCTGGAAGACAGACGTACCAAGTTAGAGGTCTCACACTTCCCAGTTTTAAAACTTACTGCAAAGCTACGGTAATCAAGACAGTGTGGTACTGGCATAAGGATAGACATTAGATCAATAGAATAGAACCAAGAGTCCAGAAGTAAGCCCTTATGTTTTTGACAAGTGTTTCAATTTGAGGGGGAAAGAATTGCCTTTGCAAACAAATGGTGCTGGGAAAACTGGATCGTGACCATTTTTTCTGATAGCAACTCAACTGTTAATTTTATTGAATGTCCCTTGTATGTGATGAGTTACACTTTTCTTGCTACTTTCACGATTCTCTTTGACTTTCAACACTTTGACTATCATGTGCCTAGCTGTTAATCGTTTTTTAGTTTATCGTACTTGGAGTTCATCAAACTTTTTGAATATTTAGATTAATATTTTTTAAATCGAATTCAGGAAGTTTTCACCCTCTATTTCTTCTAATATTCTTTCTCCCCCTCTTCTCAATCCTATCCTTCTGGGATTTGCATTATGCATATACAGATATTCCTCAACTTACAATAGAATTATGTCTTGATAAACCCATTTTAAGTTGAAAATATCATAAGTCAAAATGCATTCAATACACCTAGCCTGGCAAACATCATAGTTTATGGCCGGGTGCAGTGGATCACGCCTGTAATCCCAGCACTTGGAAAGGCTAAGACAGGAGGATCACTTGAGCCCAGGACTTTGAGATCAGCCTGGGCAACATAGGAAGACTCTGTCTCTACAAAAGAAAAAAAAATTAAATTAAACAATATGGCACTTCTGGAAATCAGATTCCTCTCTCCCCACTCCCTGGGGTTTGCTGTTGTTGTTGCTTGTTGCTGCTGGTGTTTGTTTAGTGACTTTTCTGGACTTTGTAAAATCTGTGTTCTTTGTTCTGTGCAACCACTGAAGACTTTGCTTAGTTATCTCAGTGGTCAGCTAATAACTGGACAGAGATATTCCTAGACGTCTACTTGCTTTGGCAGCACATACACTAAAATTAAAATGATACAGAGAAGATTATCTGACCCTTGTGCCAGGATTACACACAAATTCGTGAATTATTCCATATTTTTAAAAAAATGATTTAAAAAATTAAAAAGTGATCTTTTTAAATGCTTTAGACCATTAAGTTTCCCAGCATTTGCTGACAAACTCTGTGTGTGTTGAGGCATGTTTTCAATACTCCAGCAAGCAACTTACAACTCTGCCTTAGCCTTCATTTCCTCTTGTGCAGACACTCAAGGTCAGCCAGAGGTGAGAGTTTAGGACCTTCTCAGGTCTTCCTGGGTGTGCGCACAGCCCTGTACATGCACGTAGCCCACTAGATTCTCAGAAACACAGCAGGGGTTTTTTAAAGTATCTTATTGGCATCTCTTTTCCCAGTTATTCCTTTAAAAAATTTTTGATCAAGCCAGGCGCAGTGGCTCACGCCTGTAATCCCAGCACTTTGGGAGGCCGAGGCGGGGGATCACAAGGTCAGGAGATCGAGACCATCCTGGCTAACATGGTGAAACCCCATCTCTACTAAAAATACAAAAAATTAGCCGGGTATGGATGTCTGGAGCCCATTCCTTTGGCTTCAACTTTTCAGACAGTGTTATCTTGTAACTGTCCTTGAAGTGAGCTGCTAAGCAGAGGAAAACTTGTTCTTCTTTTCTTTTTAACCCTTGCCTTGCCACGGTTACACCACATCAGGTAGTTGAAATGTTAAACAATTGCCACTGATTGTTTTGGACAAATGCCTTGGGCATAGGGCTATTTGCACAGATACTGGCAAACTCTTGGATCAAATAAAGACAAGCTTTGAGAATAGCATTTTTCAGCAAACTGGCAGACAAGTCAAATAGTGACAGTTTTTGGGGGATGGGGCTTTTAGGGAGCTCCAAGCCCAGCCTGCCTCTTCCAGTGACTGGCAAGATGCTTGTTTTCACAGCTACCATGGTTAAAAGCCAGCCTATTTTCATGGATCTGGAAGAGAGGGATGCTTTTAGAGCAAATTAAAATGGCACAAAATCAGTGTTTATACTGAGATTCAGCCCTCTTACTTGAACATATACTCTTCAAATTGTTGCAAGCCTTTAGATAATTTCCAGGTCTGAAGAAATTGATTTTGACCATTTTTGTCAGCATTCTCTTTGCTTATATGGAGGAGTGAGTTTTTGGAGATTCTTGCTCCACTATTCTGGAAGCATTTCCTTTTATCCATTCAATATTTTTTGTTTCCATTGCCATTCTTTACATTTTTAAAATTTTATTGTAAATTGACCATGTGTGTATTTATGGTGTACAACGTGATGTTATGGCTTATGAATACAACGTGGAATAATTAAATCAAGCTAATTAATACATCCATCACCTCAAATATTTATATTTTTTGGTGGTGAGAACATTTAAAATTTATTTTCTTAACAATTTTTTTTTTGTTTTAGAGACAGGGTCTCACTCTGTCACCTAGGCTGGAGTGTAGTGGCATGATCACGGCTCACTGCAGCCTCAACGTCCCAGGCTCAAGAAATTTTCCCACCTCAGCCTCTCAAGTAGCTGGGACTACAGCTGTGCGCCACCATGGCTGGCTAATTTTTAAAATTGTTTTGCCGAGATGGAGCCCCACTATATTGCCAAGGCTGGTCTCTAACTCCAGAGCTCAAGTGATCCTCCCACCTTGGCCTTCCAAAGTGATGGGATTACAGGCGTGAGCCACCACGCCTGACCTCTTAACAGTTTTGAAATGTACTATACAGTGTTGTTAGTTATATTCACCAGGCTGTGCAATAGCTCTCAAAAAAGCATTCCTTCTTTCTAACTGAGATTTTGTACCTTTCTTTTTTTTTTTTTTTTTTTTTTTTGAGATGGAGTCTCGCTCTGTCGCCCAGCCTGGAGTGCAGTGGCGCGATCTCTACTCACTGCAAGCTCCGCCTCCAGGGTTCACACCATTCTCCTGCCTCAGCCTCCCAAGTAGTTGGGACTACAGGTGCCCGCCACCATGCCCGGCTAATTTTTTGTATTTTTTACTAGAGACGGGGTTTCATCGTGTTAGCCAGGATGGTCTCGATCTCCTGAACTCATGATCCGCCCGCCTCAGCCTCCCAAAGTGCTGGGATTACAGGCATAAGCCACCGCGTCTGGCCTGGCCTTTTTTTTTTTTTTTTTTTTTTGAGATGTAGTTTCACTCTGTTGCCCAGGCTGGAATGCAATGGCGCGATCTCCGGCTCACTGCAACCTCTGCCTCCCGGGTTCAAGCGATTCTCCTGCCTCAGCCTTCCGAGTAGATAGGATTATAGGTGCAAGCCACCATGCCCAGCTATCTTTTTGTATTTTTAGTAGAGACGGGGTTTTGCCATGTTGGCCAGGCTTGTCTTGAACACCTGACCTCAAGTGATCCAACCACCGCAGCCTACCAAAGTGCTGCGATTACAGGCATGAGCCACCGTGCCTGGCTCCCCACTCTATCTTAATAGCATTCTTAGGTTGTGAGATATTCAAGCTCTTCTGTGTTTTTTTTTTGTTTTTGTTTGAGATGGAGTCTCGCTCTGTCGCCCAGGCTAGAGTGCAGTGGTGTGATCTCAGCTCACTGCAACCTCCGCCTCCCGGGTTCAAGCTATTCTCCTGCCTCAGCCTCCTGAGTAGCTGGGATTACAGGCATTAGCCACCACGCCCGGCCAATTTTTGTATTTTTAGTAGAGATGGGGTTTTACCATGTTGGTCTTGAACTCCTGACATCAGGTGAACCACCCACCTCGGCCTCCCAAAGTGCTGGGATTACAGGCATGAACCACCGCGCCCAGCCATAGCCCTTCTTTTTAAAGAAACTAATGCTCAGCGAGGTTAAGTGACTGATGTAAAGTCATATATCCCCGGAGAACCAAGCCAGGGTTTGAACCCCAACACACCTGTTTGATATGAGTGTTCTGCATGTCCAGCCCTTCCTCCACTCATGTACCCTTTCACTCCAGTCCTTAGTTCCCTCCTCCACACCAGCTGTTTATCCCACAAGTTTATTTAGGCACTGATCTGTGGGAGGATTGCTCAGCTCCGAAGCTAGCAAATAAGGAGACTCCACGCACCTGCAGATGAGGGTTCTGCTCTCAGGTTGAAAGCAGAAAGTCTCTTCTCTCTGAGCTGGGCATCGGGCCGGTCACCTGGAGGAATCCCAAAGTGATGATAGAAGGCCCTGAGCATCCTTCCTGCTCTCCATGCCATCAGGAATGTCAGCTGATGCTGTCTCCAGGTGAGCCAAGACATGCAGGTGCATTCCTGCGTCACACGCAGGTCACGTCCCTGGCAGAAACCCAGCCTGCTCTCCAACAACACCCTTCTGGCAGTTCCCAATACCACGCAGATGATAGAGCAATTAAACAAAAGCTGGATGAGTGAGCAGCGGCTCTCAGCTCCAGCCCATCCTGGCCACCAGAAAAGGAGGACCAGGGTTTAGTTCTTGAGGTGAAACCAGCCCAATTGTCCCCATGGAACTGATGTTTATGGTTTCTTTGAATAAACATAGAAATTGATCCTCCCAGTCTTTTTTTTTCTTTCTTTTTTTCTTTTTTTTTTTTTTTTTTGAGACAGAGTCTCATTCTGTCACCCAAGCTGGAGTGCAGTGGTGTAGTCTCAGCTCACTGCAATCTGCCTCCTGGGTTCAAGCGATTCTTCTGCCTCAACCTCCTGAGTAGCTGGGATGACAAGCACCCTCCACCATGCCCGGCTAAGTTTTGCATTTTTAGTAGAGATGGGGTTTCACCATGTTGTCCAGGCTGGTATCGAACTCCTGACCTCAAGTGATCCACCTGCCTCGACCTCCCAAAGTGCTGGGATTACAGGCGTGAGCCACCGCGCCCAGCCATTCACATCTCTTTTGACTGAGAGCTTTACACTAAGATGAAGGAATTTTGACAATGGGCTCATGCGTTTGGGATTCACCATGTGCCCTATTACCCAGATGGATGGTAGAGTGGCCTACAGAAGGCTACTGAAGCAAGCCTATGGAAGGCTCAGTCATGACTGCAGCTAAGAGACCACATCCTGTAAGACTGGGCTGTTGTTCAATAATATGCAGTACACACCTGCAAACCAAGAGTGGAGGTGGTAGTTTTTCCTTGCATATAACATCTAATAACTCACTTAAGGAACTTTTGTTTTCATCTACCCAACTCAGGGCTTACTGGAGTTTGAGATCCTAACACACAAGGAATTCGCTTTTTTTTTTTTTTTTTTTGAGATGGAGTTTCGCTCTTGTTGCCCAGGCTGGAGTGCAATGGTGTGATCTTGGCTCACCACAACGTCCGCCTCCCGGGTTGAAGTGATTCTCCTGCCTCGGCCTCCCGAGTAGCTGGGATTACAGGCAGGTGCCACCACGCCCGGATAATTTTGTATTTTTAGTAGAGATGAGGTTTCTCCATGTTGGCCAGGCTGGTCTCGAACTACTGACCTCAGGTGATCCACCCGCCTCAGCCTCCCAAAGTGCTGGGATTACAGGTGTGAGCCACCTCACCCAGGCCATGGAATTCCCTGTTTTATCCCAGGGAACAGAGTTGTGGTTCTGGTCCATTGGAAACTGAGTCTACTTCGCGGTCATTTTGGGATCTTCATTCACTGAACCAATAGAGAGAGAAGGAGTTTCTGTTCCAGCTGGGATCATAGATTGCTATGAGCAAGGGAAAGTTGGGTTGCTGCTCAGAATGAGATCGAGGAGAACTATGTCTAGAACCCCGAGGATTCACTCAGGCACCTCTTTATGTATCTTCATTCACCAATAACCATGGCGGGTGAGACATGACTATACAGTGGTAAGTAAAGAAAGAGACTTTTTTTTTTTTTTTGAGACGGAGTCTTGCTCTGTAGCCCAGGCTAGAGTGCAGTGGTGCAATCTCGGCTCACCACAACCTCCGCCTCCTGGGTTCAAACGATTCTCCTGCCTCAGCCTCCCAAGTAGCTGGGACCACAGGCGCCCGCCACCGCGCCTGGCTAATTTTTTGTATTTTTAGTAGAGACGGGGTTTCACCATGTTAGCCAAGATGGTTTTGATCTCCTGACCTCATGATCCGCCCTCCTCGGCCTCCCAAAGTGCTGTGATTGGCAGACTTATTAAAGAAAGTATGAAAGTACATTACCAAGCCAGGTGCGGTGAATCACGCCTGTAATCTCAGCACTTTATTATGAATGCAGTAGCTATGAACATTCTTATTTATGTCTTTTAGTGAAAATATGCACTAATTCTACTGTATATGCACCTAGAAATGCATATACAGTGCATTTGGCCGAGTCAAAAGGTATATATATGTTTAATTTTAGTAAATAGACCGTGCGTGGTGGCCTGAGGTCAGGAATTCAAGACCAGCCTGACCAACAAGGTGAAACCCCGTCTCTACTAAAAATACCAAAATTAGCCGGGCGTGGTGGTGGGTGCCTGTAATGCCAGCTACTTGGGTGGCTGAGACAGGAGAATCGCTGGAACCTAAGAGGTGGAGGCTGAGGTTACAGTGAGCCAAGATTGTGCCACTGCACTCCAGCCTGGGCGACAAGAGCAAAACTCCATTTAAAAAACAAAAAAACAAAAAACAAAAACAAAACTTTAGTAGGTAGTGCCCAAGTTTTCCAAAGTGGTTGAAACAATTTAGACTTTCATCTTGCAGTGAGCCGAGATCGTGCCACTGCACTCCAGCCTGGGCAACAGAGCGAGACTCCATCCACAGTGTATGAGAGTTCCAATTGCGCTCTATGGTCATCCACACTTGGGATTGTCAGTTGCTTTAATTTTAGCCAATTTGGTGGATGCTTAGTAATACCTCATTTGCCCTTAATTTGCATTTTCTTTTTTTGTTTGTTTGTTTGGTTTTTTTGAGATGGAGTCTTGCTCTGTCATCCAGGCTGGAGTGCAGTGGTGTGATCCCGGCTCACTCCAACCTCTGCCTCCCAGGTTAAAGCGATTCTCCTGCCTCAGCCTCCCGAGTAGCTAGGACTATAGGTGCCTACCACCAGGCCCAGCTCATTTTTGTATTTTTAGTAGAGACAGGGTTTCACCGTGTTGGCCAGGCTGGTCTCGAACTCCTGACCTCAGGTGATCCTCCCACCTTGGCCTCCCAAAGTGCTGGGATTACAGGTGTGAGCCACCACACCCAGCCTTAATTTACATTTTCTTAATGAGTATTAACGATGACCACCTTTTCAGGTGCTCATTAACATTCTGATATCCTCTTTTGTGAAGTGCTTGTGTTCAAGTATTTTGCCCAGTTAAAAAAAAAAAAGCTGTCTATATTTTTCTTATTGATGCGCAGAAGTTCTGGGTATAATTCCTTTGTCAAAAATATATATATTGCAGGCCGGGCGTGGTGGCTCATGCCTGTAATCCCAGCACTTTGGGAGGCCAAGGCGGGCAGATCACGAGATCAGGAGATTGAGATCATCCTGGCCAACACAGTGAAACCTCATCTCTACTAAAACACAAAAAATTAGCCTGGTGTGGTGGCACACGCCTGTAGTCCCAGCTACTTGGGAGGCTGAGGCAGGGGAATCGCTTGAACCCTAGAAGCAGAGGTTGCAGTGAGCCGAGATCGCACCACTGCACTCCAGCCTGGTGACAGAGCAAGACTCCGTCTCAAAAAAAAAAAAAAAAAAAAAAAAAAAAAAAATATATATATATATATATATATATATATATATATATAAAATAAATATATGTATCTCTAAATCTTGCCTTTTCTTCCTCTCTTAATGGTCTCTTGAAAATAGCCCATTCTTCTCAATGTTGATGAAGGCCAATCTCTCATTTTGTGGTTACTACTTTTTTTCTTTTGAGACAGAGTCTCGCTCTGTCACCCAGGCTGGAGTGCAGTGGTGCGATCTCAGCTCACTGCAACCTCCACCTCCCGGGTTCACGCCATTCTCCTGCCTCAGCCTCTTGAGTAGCTGGGACCACAGGCACCAGCCACCACACCCGGCTAATTTTTTGTATTTTTAGTAGAGACGGGGTTTCGCCATGTCAGCCAGGATGGTCTCGATCTCCTGACCTCGTGATCTGCCTGTCTTGGCCTCCCAACATGCTGGATTACAGGCGTGAGCCACCGCGCCCGGCCTGTGGTTACTACTTTTTAAAGAACTTGTTTTGTTTTGAGACAGGATCTTGCTCTGTCACCCAGGCTGGAGTGTAGTGGCGCGGTCATAGCTCACTGCAGGCTTGAACTCCCAGGCTCAAGCCATCCTCCCGCCTTAGCCTCTGAAGGAGCTGGGACCACAGGCGCACACCACCACGCCCAGCTAATTTTTGTATTTTTGTAGAGACCGGGTTTCCCCATGTTGCCTAGTCTGGTTTCAAACTCCTGGACTCAAGCAATCCGCCTGCCTCAGCCTCCCAAAGTGTTGGGATTACAGGCATGAGCCAACACATCCGCTTTAAAGTACCTGTTTAGACTACTTTGTTTATCCCAAAATCATGAAGGCATTCTCGTTTCCTTCTAGAAATTCTATTGTTTTTACCTCTCACATCTAGGACTGTAATCCATCTCAAATTAATTTTTGAATATGGTGTGAGGTAGGGGTACTTATTCCTTTTATTGAAAAGACCATCCTTTCCTCAATGATTTCCAATGCGTTCTTGACCCTATAATTAGAATTAACTTCTGTAAGCACTCATTAGATCGTTCCACTTTCCTGCCTGTCTTTAACGGCAGACCATTGCTCTTATGGACAATAATCAGATAATGGTCAGTTCCTTGCGTAACAATACGCAGCTTGATCTGGCCACCTCCTGTCTCTCCTGCCAAATCTTGCCTTGTGTCTGCCTTTCCACTCTGAACATAGAGTTCTTTGGACAGGTCACACCCTCATCCTCAAGCCCTTCCCATATAGAGTGTTTTCATGCCCTTAGACTAGTTACTCAAACTTCAGGTCTCATCTCTTCCAGGAGCCTTCTCAATAGCACAGTCCCTGTCCCTTAAATATAGGTTGTGTGACTTCTATATATGCATTCATGGTCAGGCACAGTGGCTCATGCCTGTAATCCCAGCACTTTGGGAGGCCGAGGCAGGCAGATTACCTGAGGTCGGAAGTTCGAGACCAGCGTGACCAACATGGAGAAATCCCGTCTCCACTAAACATACAAAAATTAACTGGGCGTGATGGTGCACACCTGTAATCCCAGCTACTCGGGAGGCTGAGGCAGGAGAATCACTTGAACCCGGAAGGTGGACGTTGCAGTGAGCCGAGATTGCGCCATCGCACTCCAGCCTGGTCAAGAAGGTGAAATTCCGTCTCAAAAAAAAAAAAAAAAAAAAAAAAAATATATATATATATATATATATATATATATTCGCTCATTGTACCCCCGAGTTTCTAATTATATTTATTTATTTTATTTTTTGAGATGGAGTCTCACTGTGTCGCCCAGGCTGGAGTGCAGTGGCATGATCTCGGCTCACTGCAGCCTTCACCTCCTGGGTTCAAGCAATTCTCCCATCTCAGTCTCCTGAGTAGCTGGGATTACAGGGCCGTGCCACCACAACTGGCTAATATTTTACATTTTTCCTAGAGACAGGGTTTCACCATGTTGGGCAGGCTAGTCTCAAACTCATGACCTCAGGTGATCCACCTGCCTCAGCCTCCCAAAGTGCTGGGGTTACAGGCGTGAGTCACCATGCCCAGCCTATTTTATTTTACTTTTTAGATGGAGTCTCACTCTGTCGTCCGTCCAGGCTGGAGTGCAGAGGTGCAATCTCGGCTCACTGCAACCTCCACCTGTGGGGCTCAAGCAATTCTCCCACCTCAGCCTCCCTAGTAGCTGAGATTACAGGTGCCCACCACCATACCCAGCTAACTTTTGTACTTTTAGTAGAGACGGGGTTTCACCATGTTAGCCAGGCTGGTCTGGAACTCCCGACCTCAGGTGATCCACCCGCCTCAGCCTCCCAAAGTGCTGGGATTACAGGTAAGAGCCACCACACCTGGCCTTCTATTTATATTTAAATATCTCCCCATTATAACTTCTCTGAGGGAAAGGAGGAGGCCTATTTAGTTCACATGAGAGGTGCGTCCTAAATACTGTTGAATGAATGAATAAATTTAAGGGACGATTCTGTCCCAGGAACCCAGACAGTATGGACCTTGGAGAAACAGGACGTTTCCAGTCTCAGATCTAGCACTTGGCTAATAATTATTTCTGAGCCTCGATTTTCAAATCTGTAAAATTAAGATATACTATTCTCTACTTAGGATTGTAATGGGCATCAAATAAGATAATGTGGCTGGGCACAGTGGCTCACATCTGTAATCCCAGTACTTTGGGAGGCCGAGGTGGGAGCATCACTTGAGGCCAGGAGTGCGAGACCAGCCTAGGCAACAGAGTAAGACCCCCCCCGCCCCCACCCCATCTCTACAAAAAACTTAAAAGTTAGCAGGGTGTGGTGGCATGCATTTGTGGTCCCAGCTACTTGGGAGGCTAAGGTGGGAGGATCGCTTGAGCCTGAGTTTGAGGCTGCAGTGAGCTGTGATTGAGCCTCTGCACTCCAGCCTAGGCAACAGAGCGAGACCTTGTCTTTCAAAATAATAAAATGATAAGGTAATGCGCAGAAGCATTCAGCACAGTGATTGGCACATGGAGGGCCCATTGGGGTGTTTTTGTTTTTGTTTTTGTTGTTGTTTGAGACAGAGTCTCGCTCTATGGCCCAGGCTGGATGGATTGCAGTGGCATGATCTCGGCTCACTGCAATCTCCGCCTCCTGGGTTCAAGCGATTATCTTGCCTCAGCCTCCCGAGTAGCTGGGATTACAGGCGTACACCACCAAGCCCGGCTAATTTTTCTTGTATTTTTAGTAGAGACGGGGTTTCACCATGTTGGCCAGGCTGGTCTCGAACTTCTGATCTTAGGTGATCCGCCCGCCTTGGCCTCCCAAAATGCTGGGATTACAGGCCACCGTGCCTGGCCATTGAGTGTTATTAAGAGGAGGGTACGCAGAAAACAGACTCCCGCCAGCTCTGCCCCATGCGCATGAGCGGCCGCCGCTCGCCCTCAGCCAGGCCCAGCGCGCCCCGACGCGTCCCCACGCCTGCGTGATCCACCGGAACCCAAGCCCAGGCAGGCGGTGAGAGGGCGGGGCCTCCGCAGTGCGACTGCGCCGCTCGAGGCCGTGCGTCGCGGGGGCGGGGCCGCGCAGGCGTACCGGGTGCCCCGGCTCTGGAGCATAAACAAGAGCGGGGACGGGATGAGGCGGCGGTTGATCCCAGGGTGGCGAGTGGCGGCGACCGAGGCGGCGAGCGGGGCCCGGCGCCGACCCTGAGTGCAGCCTGACCCGCCCTCGCGCGCGCGCCCTCCCCGGCCGGGCCCACTCGCCGCGCGCCCAGCCATGAACCTGGCGAGCCAGAGCGGGGAGGCCGGCGCCGGCCAGCTGCTCTTCGCCAACTTCAACCAGGACAACACGTAAGGCCGGGGTCGGGGGTCGGAGTCGGGGTGAGGCCAGGGTCGGACCCGGGCTAGGGGGAGGGCCTCGCTGCCAAGCTCGGCGGCGTCGCAGGCTCGGCCTCCCCGCGGGCCAAGGCGCGCAGAGGCGTCCCCAGGGGCGGGCCCGGGGCGTGCAGGGAGGGGCGCCCTCCAGGGAGACCCTCGGGTGCTGGCCTGGAGCTGCGGTCCCGGAGCGGGAGAGGTGGTGGAGAGGGGGCTGCTTTCACCCTCTTGCGGGGAGGCCCCCTGGCTTCAGACTTAACTACTTCTCGCAAAGTTGGGGCCGAACTTTGGGGCTTGACTTGTCTTGGCCGCCTGTGGAGCGCTGGGTGTGGGTCGCTTCCTCTCCTCTCGTCTCCTCTTCCCGCTGCTTGCTCAGCGTCTCCCACTCACTCTCCTTTGAATCAGGCCCTTCTCCTTGTCTTTTCATCGTCTTAAGACCCTTCTCTCTCTCTTGATTTTCTTTTCTTCGTTTCTCACTGTTTTTTTGTTTGTTTTTGTTTTTTGGGGTTTGTTTTGTTTTGAGACAGAGTCTTGCTCTGTTGCCCAGGCTGGAGTGCAGTGGTGCCATCTCAGCTCACTGCAACCTCCGCCTCCTGGGTTCAAGCGATTCTCCTGCCTCAGCCTCCCGAGTAGCTGAGACTACAGGCACGCGCCACTGTGCCCAGCTAACTTTTTTGTATTTGTAGTAGAGACAGGGTTTCACCATGTTGGTCAGGCTGGTCTCAAATTCCTGACCTCAAGTGATCCGCCCACCTCAGCCTCCCAAAGTGCTGGGATTACAGGTGTGAGCCACCGTGCGCGGCCCTCCCTGTTCTTTTTGGGACATCAACTTTGATGTCTTCTCCAGCAAGTAACAAACTTAGCAATAACCTTGGCATCTGACCTAGCTAGGGAGAAACTGAGCCAAGAGAGGCGTTACGGACCAGTGCCCCAGGAGTCTCAGAGCTCCAGCGGGTGGGTCATCCTCAGGGCAAGAGAAGGCCTTAATGCCAGCCCGTGCATTCGGAACGCTGTTTGTCCCCACTGATACGGGTTGGATGCTGCCTGGGAGGAGGACTTGTGGGGATGGTTAATAGATGAGCGAGCTTTCTGGAGAGAGAAGGGTGAGTTATGGGGTTGGCAGGGAGGAGAGCCATCTTGGAAGTGAGTAAGAGGAAGTGAGGAAAGAGAAGGAGTGGGGCATTTGGCATCTTACTAAGTCATTGGTTGAGTTGTTACTGGCTGAGTGGAATTAACATAGCAGAAGGTAAGATTCTTTAGGAAATTAAAAGTGAATTGTAGAATGGACAACACTCAGTGGGTGGTGTACAGCAGGCACTCAATAGCACCTCCCCAAAGCTGTGAAGACAGTCGCACAGTGGGACTGTATTGAGAGTCGGAAGGGGCAAATCACCTCATCCAACTACAGATGAGGAAATCCTTCCGAAAGGCTCCAAGCTGGTCTGGGTTTTGGAATTGGTTAATAGTGGAGCGGGGGCAGGAGTGGAATCTCGCCTCCTGAGCTCTCTTCCAATGTTCTTTCTGCTCTGCCATGCTGTTTTTTTTTCTGTTTACAGAGTAGAATTCTGAAGACAGTGAATTTAGAAATAATAGCATAACAACGTGTAAAGATGAAAACTCCCAAGTACTGTAGCGTTCTGTGTGACCAAAAGCCAGAACAACAAACAATTCGGACAACCTGTTGCAGTTCAAGTGGAATAGACTATGTTAATCCAGATAGGGAAAAGGACACATCCCAAACCAATTCTAATTTGGTTTTTAAGCCCAAGGCCACAGTATTTTGAGACCAGTAAGAAATGGTAGTAGTAGTAGGGTGGTTTATGCCTTGTATAAATTAGAGAGTTTCCAAAACATTGTCGGCCACTCTTTCAGTTTTTCACTAATTATTTCTATCAGAATGAAATCAAATAGAGAAAAGCATTCTCTTTTACTGTTACTTCAGCTGGACTGCCATGTTCCCTGTGTCACAGAAGAGTGTCACTCTGGCCTGAAATAGGACCTTTTCACACTTGGACATTTTCACACTTACCCACTTCTCCATGCTCCCCGAAGTTATTACAGTTCAAGAGATTTCTGTTACTTTGAGATTTCATAACTTTGACTTGCCAGAGAGACCTTGATGTAGTGTAAACCTAAATTGGAATGAATAGTAAGCTAGGATTATACTAGAAGTTGACTGGGCTAAAATGACGGTAATTTGTTTTAAATCTACACTTGAAAGAAATAGAGAAGTTCCCGGAGAGAGCTTTTATGGCTTATACCTTTTCCTCCCTTCTTAATCTCCAGAATTTATTGAGGAGCACAATTTTTAGCAAGTGAAAGAATGACCGTCTAGAACTCACATTTACTGTATGCAGTGAGAAAATTTGGAAGCCAGTTCACTTACTAGAATATATATGTTATAGGGTCATTTCCCTTTTTTTTGTCTTTTAAATTCTTTTTGTATTTGTTACATACCAAACTATAACTGTCCTGCCTTTCTTTACTGGTAATATGATTTCCAATGTCGTACTTTTTCATGATTCCTATCCTAAAAGTGTGCATAAGTTTTATTTGTTTTTTACCATTTGTTTTTTGTTTTGTTTTGTTTTTTTACCTAGAGAAGTGAAAGGGGCATCAAGAGCAGCTGGTCTTGGCCGTCGCGCTGTTGTCTGGTTAGTTCCAACCCTGGTTTCTGAAAGTATCACCTTGGAAGGCTTATGTTAGAGGACTTTTTTGGCTTTTTGAAATTGCAGTGAACCAGTTAATAAGTGGGAGAGGATCACTTGAATCTGAAATGGAAATATCAAGGACTACATTTTTCCAGTGGATACCACAGCTTGTGGGAAGTTAGTGATGTAGCAATGTCTGTTTTAAATGCCATGTCTAAAAGGGATGGAATGAAGAAAGGGACTTGACTTTCCAAGTCTTGTGTTTGTAGAATTGATGTTATGAAGTGTGTGGAGACAACAGGAGAAACCTGTTGTTTTCTTCCACCATGTCTCTTCTAGGTTATGCTTATTGTGCTGGGAAGGTACTGCTCTCCTCTCTTTGTTCATCTGTAAATCAAGGGTTTGGGTTTTTGTTTTTGAGATGGAGTCTCACTGTTGCACAGTTTGAAGTGCAGTGGCATAGTTATAATGATCATAGCTTACTGCAACTTTGAGTTCCTGGGCTCAAGCGGTCCTCCTGCCTCAGCCTCCCGAGAAACCGGGACTACAGGCGTAGGCCCCACACCTGGCTAATTTTTTTTTTAGTTTTTGTAGGCACAGGGTCTTGCTATGTCGACCAGGCTGGTGTTGAACTCCTGGCCTCATGCGATCTTCCTGCCTCAGCCTCCAGAGCATTGGGATTACAGGTGTGAGCCGTTGTGCCCGGCCTGAAGATGGTTTCTAAGATCCTTCACCCTTAAAGTTTTAAGTAATTCTGCCTGCTATGCAAAGGATATGTTTGAGGAGGGCAGGGGGTGACTTAGGAGGATATCATCCAACAGCAGTGACCAGTGGGAAGGAGACTGTCTCGCCATCAGGACTTGTGTGACCCACAGGACGTGCATCATGCAGCCAAGGGAGAACTTAGGTGACGCCCAGTTTCTGGCTTGGGTTCTGGGTGAATGTGATAACATCGTGGTGAAAAAGCCGAGAAGGAGAGAACTCTGCTTGGGGATACTGATGAGTTGGAAAGGCCACAGGGATATGGAGGTGGAGGATGTGAGGGGGAGCGGGGATGGGGGTGGGCTGTCCATAGCCCTGAAAGAGAGGGCACCAGGGCCTCCCAGGTCTGGGCTGGCAGCCACAGTTGAGGTTGCTTTTGGTTTACAGTGTCGGGCTCTATCCGCCTAAGCACGCAATCAAGTATGGCTTCTCCGCAAAGATGATGAAGAAGGAGAGTCTTTACGGACTGACGATTAGGGAAGGGGGAGAAAAGGAAAATAAGCAAAAAATCTGACTCACATCTTCATTTTTGAGTGGCAGTCACTGTCTCTTTGATGTTCAATGTTCAAGTTTAAATTCATTGACGGAGACTTTCAGTTAAAAATGATGGATCAAACATAAGCATTTATTTTGGTTCCATCCCCAGACCCTAATAAAATGTTAATCAGTAAAATGTCAAAAATATACATTTTCTAATTTTAAACATTTCTTAATTTTTTATTTTTGTAGAGATGGGGTTTCACTTTGTTGCCCCAACTGGTCTCAAACTCCTGGCTTCAAGTGATCCTCCCGCCTGGGTAGCTCAGATTGCAGACGCAAGCCACCACCCTTGACCTCAAAAAGATATTTTAAAAGGCTTAAACTCATACGATAGAAAGAATGAGAAAGGAGATATTAGCCAGTTTGGAAGCTAGCGAGTGGTAAAGGAAGTGGGATCTCAAATTGCTAGTGAAGAAAGCAGAGAACCAACCTAGTTTAAACTGCAGAATCCCCTCCAGGCTCAGGAATGGGCAGGCCAGGGCTCCAGAGGCGGGCTTGTGGGGCCGTGAAATGAGGAGGATGTGTTCAAGTGCGTTTAAAAAGCAGTGACTCTGTCCTTCCCTAGAGAAGGACAGGCCTACTCTCTGGGGAGGGTAGAGCAGGGTCTCTGGGTTTGGGCACCAGGCACAGTTGAAGGTGGGGATACTGGCAAAATGGGGGATTGAGCCAATACATATTTTTTTGGTTGTGATTTGCTAGTTTTCCCCTTTGTCAATGAAAGAGCCCACTAATGGGGACAGGCACAGTGGCTCACGCCTGTAATCCTGGCACTATGCAAGGCCAAGGTGGGAGGATCCCTTGAGTTCAGGAGTTCAAGACCAGGTTGGGCAACACAGGGAGACCTCGACTCTACACAAAACAAAAATTAGCCGGGTGTGGTGGCACGCGCCTGTGGTCCCCAGCTACTCGGGAGGCTGAGATGGGAGGATCCCTTGAGCCCAGGAGGTTGGGGCTGCAGTAAGGCGAGATCGCACCACTGTGCCCCAGCCTGGGTGGCAGAGTGAGACCCTGTCTCAAAAAAATAAATAAAAATAAATAAATCCCACTCTGTTGACTTAAAAATAAATAAATAAACATTTTTTGGCAATAAAGCTATGTATTAGGGAAAATCTCCTACTTACCTGTTGCTCTGCCTTTCCCATTAGTATGTCTGCCATTTTATGGTCAGGTCAATTTTGAAATTGTTTAAAGCCAAATCTCCAAAGGGGTGTTGAACTTGATTGTTGATGTTGAGACGAAAATATCAATCATATTTATATTTAATACCATTCTTTAAAAATACTCATCTAGGCCAGGCACGGTGGTCACGCCTGTAATCCCAGCACTTTGGGAAGCCAGGGCAGGTGGATCACCAGGTCAGGAGTTCGAGACCAGCCTGGCCAAGATGGTGAAACTCCATCTCTACTAAAAATACAAAAATTAGCCGGGTGTGATGGTGGTCACCTGTAATTCCAGCTGCTCGGGACGCTGAGGCAGGAGAATCACTTGAACCGGGAGGCTGAGGTTGCAGTGAGTTGAGATCACATCACTGCACTCTAGCCTGGGCAACAGAGCAAGACTCCATCTCAAAAAAAAAAACTTATCTTTTGCTGGGCGTGGTGGCTTACACCTGTAATCCCAGCACTTTGGGAGGCTGAGGCAGGTGGATCACCTGAGGTCAAGAGTTCGAGACCAGACTGACCAACATGGTGAAACCCCATCTCTACTAAATACAAAAAATTTGCTGGGCACGGTGGTGCATGCCTCTAATCCCAGCTACCTGGAACTACCTGGAAGGCTGAGGCAGGAGAATCGCTTGAACCCAGGAGGTGGAGGTTCCAGTGAGCCGAGATTGTGCCATTGCACTCCAGCCTGGGCGACAGAGCAAAACTCCATCTAAAAAAAAAGAAAAACCAACTTATCTTTACTGATAAAGTGTACTCATACTATGGTATATATATCTCAAAAAATATTTGGAATATTTTTGTTTCCCTTTCTTAACGGATTGGAATGCACAGTTTTGTAAACTGTGGGGTTAAACTTCTAGCTGAGGTATTTAATATCCTAAATCAGCTTCCAAATATCTGAACTTGATTGGCAAAGTCCAGTTTTAACAAATGCTGTGTGTAGGGAGCACAGCAGAGAACTGGGATGTCTAACCCAAGGATCAGGGACTAAGGCTCGTTAATTTTGCCCATGGGAGAAGCCCCCTCGAAGCTCATTTTATACATAATGCTAATAAGCTTGGTGATTTGGTTTCCAAGTCACCAAGAAATTAGGAAGGACGGGCTGTTAATGACGGCAGGATGGTCACGAGGAAAAGTGACAACTGTCGGCAAAACAAGAGATGGAAAAATATTTTTATAAACTCAGTGCTACAGGCCGGGCATGGTGGCTCACACCTGTAATCCCAGCACTTTGGGAGGCCGAGGCAAGTGGATCACCTAAGGTCAGGAGTTCAAGACCAGCCTGGCCAACATGGTAAAACCCCATCTCTACTAGAAATACAAAAATTAGCCGGGCGTGGTGGCAGGCACCTGTAATCCCAGCTACTTAGGAGGCTGAGGCAGGAGAATTGACTGAACCCAGGAGGCAGAGGTTTCAGTGAGCCAGGATCGCGCTGCTGCACTCCAGCCTGCATGACAGAGCGGGACTCCGTCTCAAAAAACAAAAAAAAAAAAAAAAAAAAAAAAAAAACCATAAAATAAATAAACTTAGCACTACAGTCTGGCTGTTTGATATGGGGTACACCAAACCCTCAACTCGAAAGAACTTGTCATCCCTTGTTTTAAGGACACAGGAAGGTATACAATTTAAGAACAATTTGTTTTTTTAATCAGAAAATGGGAGTGGGGGAGTCCTGCTTAAAATAGCAACCCTTAGTTATCTGGAAAATGTTTTCCTGAACATCAGTTTCCCGAAAGTTCTGGGTTGCTGAGATTTTGTTTTAGTTTTAGCCTAGGGATATTACTCTATTCTTCTTGGTTCTTTTATTAATTTTCAAAATAGTTACAGGTAATAATACCTAATTATTTCATTGATACAACAATTGATGTAACTAATTCAGTATAGTAAAGAAGCAAAAAATTTTTGCAAAGAAAAATTATATGAGCTGGTAGAGTTTTGTTTCTGTTCTTTTTATCCTTCTAAGATAAATCAATGTGATTTTACAGATTAATACTGATTATAGCAACTCTTCTTGGAATACATTTCTTCCACATACGTGTGAAAGAGTAGTTGGAAATCTCAAGTTTTTAATAAATCACATGATCATTAAAATAGCCCTGATCCTATCTTGGGGTACAAATACTTAGTGTGAAATGTGCCCCTTCCCTGTTTCAGCCTTCTGTTTTACCTCCTCATTTTCATGTTCTCCCAGATGTTAAAAGTGATCCTGGTATCTGATTCCTCTGTACCCCGGTGCTTCCTGCTTGTTCGCTCATCTTTCTTCTGCTGAAAGCTGGACTTGCTTCTTGTTTTGCTTTCTTTGGTCAACTGGGTTCTGGAGAGGCACTTTTCTGATGAGGAAACCCCTTCTGTGGTGTCCCCGAGGCCCCTGCTGGGAGGGGCTGCTGAGCTGTGGGCTCCTTGAGCCTCCTCGCAGAAGCGGGTGATGAGTATGGACTCATAAACGCAAGGCCATGAAACCAATCCTCTGCTTTTTCCTTGTAAGCCAACGACGGGGCCTTTGATTCCAGACTCTAAGGTAGCTTTGGAGTCCGTTTCGTTTCCAGCCCACTGCTCAGCCATGGCACAGCACAGGGGTGGAGCCACGGGTAGTAAAGGCCTGCAGAAGCACAGAGAGATGCCTGCGCCCACCTCGATTTTAAATACCTTCGTTTAAAATTTAGAAAATTCACTTACTTAACTTTTTTTTTTTTTTGGTTGGAGTCTCGCTCTATCACCCAGTCTGGAGTGCAGTGGCGCAATCTCCGCTCACTGCAGCCACCTCCTCCCAGGTTCAAGCAATTCTGCTGCCTCAGCCTCCCAAGTAGCTGGGATTACAGGCGCCTTCCACCATGCCTGACTGATTTTTGTATTTTTAGTAGAGACAGGTTTTCGCCATGTTGGCCAGGCAGGTCTCAAATTCCTGACCTCAAGTAATCTGCCCGCCTCAGCCTTCCAAAGTGCTGGGATTATAGGCATGAGCCACCACACCTGGCCAGCTTACTTAACTCTCATATTCTGACATATACTGTGTGTACACATCAGACCACTTGAGAAACCTCAGTTTGTTTTGAGGAAACCAGTAAGGCTGATTCCTTGTGCTTATATCCCAAACTTAAAGTTTTATAGAGTTTGTTTTTTAGTATTCTTATTTTAATTTTCCCTCCACTTTATTGTGGTGTAATTAAAATTGTATCTGTTGAAGGTATACAGTGTGATGTTTTATATACACACGTCTTTTGAAGTGATCACCAGTCCAGTTAATTAACATATCTATCACCTCAAATAGTTACCTTTTTGTGACAAGCACACTTAAGATCTGCTGTCTCAGCAAATTTCAAGCACACAATACCTTATTATCAACTACAGTTACTATCCTGTATGTTAGATCTCCAGAAAAAGTTTTTTGGTTTCTTTTCTTGAGACAGTATCTCGCTCCGTCTCCCAGGCTGGAGTGCAGTAGCAGGATCAATCTTAGCTCACTGCAGCCTCAACCTCCTGTCCTGGGCTCAAGCAATCCTCCCATCTCACCCTCCTGAGTAGCTCCCTGGGACTACAAGGGCACCACCATGCCTAGCTAATTGTTTTATTTTTAATGTTATTTTTGTAGAGATGGAGTGTCAGTATTTTGCCCAGGCTAATCTTGAACTCCTGGGCTCAAGCAGTCCTCCTGCCTTGGCCTCCCAAAGTGTTGGGATTACAGGCATGAGCCACCACATCCAGCCTCAGAAAAGTTTTATAGGATTTAAGTAATAATATTGTCTGTATTTTATTGACCTTGTGGCATCTTCCTGTGCCAAGCACTTGATACAAACAGTGTGAAATGATTTGCTCTGTGCTGATTTGTGGAGGGCACGCGGGGAACTTGCTGGGAACTCGCTGGGAACGTGGGAGCTGGTTTCTACATTGTCACTGTCTGCACGTATCAGCTCTTATTTCTGAATTTGGCTTTTTTGCAGGTCCCTAGCTGTTGGTAGTAAGTCCGGTTATAAATTTTTCTCCCTTTCTTCTGTGGATAAGCTGGAACAGATCTATGAATGCAGTAAGTGTTTGCTTTATTTTTCCCCTTCTTAAAAAAAAAAAAAAAAGTTGTACTTGAATTGGAATGCGATCTAAAATTCAGACGCTGTGGTTGAAGTCCAGACACCCTCTTACCAGTCCTCTGCTTCCACCTTCATCTCCCCAAGAGGTGGCAACTGGTGACACCTGTGGCCGTCTGCCCTGATCTGTGCATTTGCCTACATAGGAGGGCAGGTACCGAGGGAGCTCTGTTCATGAGGGTCTTCAGTACATGAGCACATACCATGTGTACTGGTCTGTAACTTCTCTCCCTTTTAATGCCATTTAAACCGTCTAAATTACTGTCATAAAGGGCTTCCAGAAAATTGAAAATTTTACAGCCCCTGTAGGAACAATTTATTTTCCCGCGTTGGCATTTTACAGCATTGAAGTGGCCCGCGTGTCGGAGAGGCGCATGGAACAGCGGGAGGTCATGCGCTTTGGCCTCTTGCTCAGTCATGTTTTGTGTGGTTCTAGATGGATTACTTCATCTCTGGGCCTCAGTTTCTTTTATTTTTTGCAAAACAGAAATAATGCAGGTCTGTAAGATTATTGCCAGGATTAGAGATTATGTATGTGTGTACTTAACAGTGTGCAAAAATAGTATTTGCTGAGTAAAGCCTGTGATGGAGACTGTGACTGGAAGCTTTGGACCCTTTCCACGTGCGTAATTTTTAATTAAGATAGTTATGGATTCACATGTAGTTGCAGGAAATAATACAGGTCCCTTGCATCCTTTACCCTGTTCTTCCCAGTGTAACATCTCGCAAAGCCCCAGTGTAATATCATAGCTGGGATATTGACATCCACCTCTCCTGAGCACACTCTCCAGTCCTCCTTGTGCTCGTTTGTGTGTGCGTAGGTTCTGTGCAGTCTTTTTTGTTTGTTTTTTTTTGAGACGGAGTTTTGCTCTTACTGCCCAGGCTGGAGTGCAGTGGTGCCATCTTGGCTCACCGCACCCTCCGTCTCCCCCAGGTTCCAGCGATTCTGAACTTTGTGCTGGTGACTTTTAATTATGGTGTTCTCCTGGCCCGCCAGCAGGTGCGGCCTTTCGGACTCGCTCCTGGGCCCTGGCCTCCTCTCTGCAGGTGAGCCTGCAGGTGCCCCTCACCTCCATCGGGGATGTGTCTGATTCTTCCCAGCAGTGTCTTTCCTGTTGCTGCCCCCAAGAGCAAGTACCCAGGCCCTTTGCAGGGAGAGAGTGGGGCAGCAGAATTTCCATGATCAGCGTCCCTGACTCATGGCTCCTGGTGGCTGGCTTAGGTTTTACTCCTTTCTTTGTCCTTAGACTTGCCTGCTGGTACTTACTAAATCTTCCAAAAAAGCCTTTCTTCTGCCACGGAGGCTGGGAGATGTGATCTGGGCGATAACATAGGTGTGAGCCAGGGCTGTTTATCCCAGGCGCCGCCCGCCTTCCTGAAGTCCTGTCACCTGGCTGCCTTCACGTGAGCCACACGGGATTGCTCCCCACAGTGGTTTCTGCAGTGGAGGGCAGCCCCGTCTCCAGGCTTTTACGAATGACTGAAACTCAGTCCAGATCCAGATGAAGCGCCTGAATTGTGCTGTTAAATTGTTGCTGGAGTCACTGTAGTCATCTGTTTTGAAATGCACAGAGGTTTTTCCCTTGCTGGGGGCCAGTGCTTATAAAGAGTGGAAGAATGCCAAAACCTGGTCTTTCCTTTTCCTCAAATTGAAGTTTAGTTACTGGCTTCTAGTGCCTTATTTCCCAGAGATTTTTAGTGGAACAAAATGGGATGTCTTGATAGTATCTTTTAGAGTGGATATTGGCCGGGCGCAGTGGCTCACGCCTGTAATCCCAGCACTTTGTAAGGCCAGGACAGGCAGATCACATGAGGCCAGGAGTTGAAGACGAGCCTGGCCAACATGGCAAAACCCTGTCTCTACTAAAAATACAAAAAAATTAGCCAGGCATGGTGGCGCACACCTGTAATCCCAGCTAATAGGGAGGCTGAGGCACGAGAATCACTTGAACCCAGGAGGCAGAGGTTGCAGTGAGCCAAGATTGTGCCATTGCACTCCAGCCTCGGTGACAGTGAGACTCTGTCTTAATAAATAATAAAAAATAAAGAGTGGATGTTTCCTGACCAACATGGTAAGGTGGGTGCATGAATGTCTGTGTTCTTCTTAGTGAACTTTGGCCCTTAAAAATAGATGATGAAATGGACAAAGAATGTTTTGAGGGTTAATACTTTAAACTGATCTATTACATTGTTCTATTCCAAGAATATTATCTGCCTTTCCTCTTTCACACTTTTTTTTTTTAGTAGATAAGAGAATGTCTCTAGAAAACAGGTTAGCTACTAAGTGAAATGTCAAGATTGTTTTCTAGCATTTTTCTATAGGTGGACTCAGAGGAAAGAATGTTTCTTCATGTCTCAGTATTTAGTTCAGGCTCAGTATTGACGTCTACCCTCAAAACTTTTAACAATCCATCATAAAATCAGATCTTTGCTGTCACTCACTGTGGCTGTTACAGAAAGAATGGGCCAGAGCTGGTCTTAGAGAAAAACAAGATGGACAGCTACTTGTTGTTCTTTTGTTTACTTAGAAAAGAAAATTCACACACACACACAAAAGCTTGGTCTAGCAGTACTGGAAGATAGATTTTCTACCATCAATGTTGTAATTTCAAACTTGAAAGTTGCAGGAACTGCCAGATAGGCTTTGCACATTGTTTATGGGCGCCTCATATATGTATATATATGGGGACAGAGTCTCGCTCTGTCACCCAGGCTGGAGTACAGTGGCATAATCATAGCTCACTGTACCCTTGACCTCCTG
Source organism: Homo sapiens (assembly GCF_000001405.40). Lineage (NCBI taxonomy): Eukaryota > Metazoa > Chordata > Mammalia > Primates > Hominidae > Homo > Homo sapiens. The sequence goes on from NC_000007.14 coordinate 5,202,478, forward strand.
GGCTCAAGCGATCCTCCCTCCTCAGCCTCCTGAGTAGCTGGGACCACAGGCACATGCCACTACACCTGGCTGATTTTTTTTTAATTTTTGTAGAAACGGGGTCTTACTATGTTGCCCAGGCTGGTCTTGAACTCCTGGCCTCAAGCAGTCCTCCCACCTCAGCCTCCCAAAGTGCTGGGATTATAGGCGTGAGCCACTGCATCCAGCCTCTCATATGATCAGTGCTGGGATTACAGGCGTGAGCCACCGCGCCCGGCCTCTCATATGATCATTTTCTTTCTCCATGTGCATTTTTGTTGTCGTCATTTTTTGAATATACATAATGCACAAAATGTGGTCTCTTTTCCCTAAAATATTCTACAACAGTATCCTACACTGTTAGGCAAAATAAATGAAGGGTATGGGTTTATTATTTGTAAAAGATCACAAAAGTTTAGAAGTTGGCTTTTTTCAAAAGCTGCACTGTGTGTTTTCTTTGCATTTGCTAAACTGGATTCTGAGCTAGGAAAACATCTCATAAACATTCCGTTCTGAAACCCAGCACAAGCAGACTGCTCCTTAGCTCAGCAAAAGTGACTACAGCCTGCGTTGATTATGGAAGTGTAGCTGTTGACATATAACATCTTTTATCAACCTTCCTGCTTGGCCAAGAAACTAATCATTTACTTTACGGGCCATCATCTGCATCTTAAGGTTTGAGAAATGGTGTTTTCTGACGTTAGTCTTATTTGACAGGCAGTGCACTGGTTGGAATATTAATTTCAGTGAGATTTATAGTAATGTATCCTACAGAGGAGAAACCACGAGCGTCCCTTGGCCTAAATCTGTGGTGCTGGAATGCTGGCCTCTTACCTTGCATCCTGGCGGAGCCGCAGACACACACGGAAGTGGATTCAAGCAGTTATTTCATGGCCTCATTCTTCCCTTCCCACTCCAGAGCTTCATCGTTGCCAACTATAAACCACGCCAGCAGAAGCAAAAAGCAACATTCTTTTTTAAATCAAGTAATTAATTTCTTAGATTTTAGTCAGGCAATCTCTAGGAGGGAAGTTTGGCAGAAAGTGTGGCTGAGGCCACCTAGAATGAGTGCTAAAAGCAAGGCCTCATTCCTCCAGTGGGATGGAAGTCACTAAAGTTTACGTTCAGCCTTTTTTTTTTTTTTTTTTTTTTTTTGAGACGGAGTGTCGCTCTGTAGCCCAGGCTGGAGTGTAGTGGCGCAATCTTGGCTCACTGCAAGCTCCGCCTCCCGGATTCGCGCCATTCTCCTGCCTCAGCCTCCCGAGTAGCGCCACCATGCCCGGCTGATTTTTTTTGTGTGTGTATTTTTAGTAGAGACAGGGTTTCACCGTGTTAGCCAGGATGGTCTCGATCTCCTGACCTCATGATCCACCCGCCTCAGCCTCCCAAAGTGCTGGGATTATAGGCGTGAGCCACCACACCCTGCCACGTTCAGTCTTTCTTAGTGTCAGCGTGAGTGCCTCTTGGCACTGGTGTCCTGGGACGTGCCATCTTGAGTCAATACATCTGTGCAGTCTGGTTTCTTTGCTTTCTTTTGATTATTATGGCATCTTTCACCTAGCAGCCTGATCCATTGTCCACCATTATTTCATGGGAGGGCTGAGCCAGGTTTGTACTTCAGTTTACTGGAAAGTGATTGTTCTGGGTATGCGGGTTCCATGTATATTTATATGTTTGAAAGTTCATCTGGGCCGGGCGCGGTGGCTCACGCCTGTTATCCCAACACTTTGGGAGGCCGAGGCGGGTGGATCACCTGAGGTGAGGAGTTAGAGACCAGCCTGGCCAACATGGTGAAACCGCGCCTCTACTAAAAATATAAAAATTAGCCGGACATGGTGGCGCGCTCCTGTAATCCCAGCTACTCTGCAGGCTGAGGTAGGAGAATCACTTGGACCCGGGAGTCAAAGGTTGCAGTGAGTCAAGATTGTGCCACTGCGCTCCAGCTTGGGCTGTCTCAAAAAAATTAAAAATAAGAAAGTTCATCTGTATGTGAAGTGTAATAGAAAAATATTAGAGCATCTTGAAATAATACATTAGAAAAATGGCAACAAACCTAAACTACTAGCAATATATAAAAGTAGGTTGCTTTCTGAAAGGTGTATTCCTGAAAAGATCTAGTCAGATTTGGTCCGTAGAACTTAATGTCACTGCGAAGTGCATCCTTTTGTGTTATGGCTGTTACCACTACTACTACTACTGCGTTTTTTTTTTTAAAACACAGGGTCTCGCTCTGTCACTCATGCAGTGGTGCCAGCACGGCTCACTGTAACCTCAACCTCCCGGGCTCAAGTGATCCTCCCCCTTCTTGCATAGCTGGGACTGACTACAGGTGCACACCACCATGCCCAGCTAATTTTTTTTTAAGAGTTGGGGTCTCACTGTGTTGCCAAGGCTGGTCTTGAACTCGTGGGCTCAGGCCATCTTCCTGCCTCAGCCTCCTAAAGTGCTGGGCCTACAGGTGTGAGCCAACATGCCCGGCCTATTAGTCTTTTTTTTTTGAGACGGAGTCTCGCTGTATCATCCAGGCTGGAGTGCAGTGGTGAGATCTCGGCTCACTGCAGCCTCCGCCTCCTGGGTTCAAGCAATTCTCCTGCCTCAGCCTCCCAAGGAGCTGGGATTAGAGGCATGCACCACCACGCCCGGCTACATTTTGTATTTTTAGTAGAGACGGGGTTTCACCATGTTGGCTAGGCTGGTCTGGAACTCCTGACCTCAGGTTATCCATCCGCCTCAGCTTCCCAAAGTGCTGGGATTACAGGCGCGAGCCACTGCACCCGGCCCTGGCCTATTAGTCTTAAGTAATGACAAAAATATGTTCACTCCAGAGTGATTGGTCGTTCATTTCTGCCTTTTGCAGAGCCACCTCTCCTACTTTTGGTTACTGACTCTTGTAAATGTGATGAGAGTTATAGATCTATCTCCCCCAGAACACTCAGTGTTTAGCATATGGTTTCAGCGACGTTAGAGATTCAGGAAGCCCATCCAGTTATCCACGGACACCTGGTCTTTGCAGTTGGCCGTCACACTTAGTTTCTGTCCTGCCTCTGCTGCTGCCCATGTCCCCACAGGAGGAGGTGGCTCACTGTGCAACCTCCACCTCCCGAGTTCAAGTGATTCTCCTGCCTTAGCCTCCTTAGTAGCTGGGACTACAGGTATGTGTCACCACGCTCAGCTAATTTTTCTATTTTTTTTAGTAGAGATGGGGTTTCACCATATTGGGCAGGCTGGTGTTGAACTCCTGACCTCAAGTGATCCACCTGCCTCTGCCTCCCAAAGTGCTGGGATTATAGGCATGAACCATCGTGCCTGGCCTTATTTACAATTCTTACATCAACTCAAACTGAGTTCTTTTTTTTTTTTCCCCCATGCAGTCATGTGCTGCCACTGTTTTTTTTTTTTTTAACTACCTGTTTCTGCCGTTTGCCTGTTTTTCTGTTGGGTTATTTATCTCCTAATGACTTAAAGCAAATTAGCCATTTGTTAGGGGTTGCAAATATTTTTTTTTTCTGGACTGTCATTTGCCTTTTGACCTTGTTTATGATTCTTTTCACCATTCTGAAGTCTTGAATTTCTATGTATTCAAATGCATTGGTCTTTTTTTCTAAGGCTTCTAAATACTAGAAAGGGTTTTTCCTGCTCCCAGCATGTACATAAAACATTTCCCAAGGTGGTCCTGTAATACTCTGGGGTCATGTTCTACCTTCAATACTTGGAGTGTATTGGATGTAAGGAATCCCTCCCTTGCATTAAGGGGCTGGGAAGGATGCTTGCCTGTGTCCTTACTTATGTAGAGGGGCTTACTCTGAAGCATTTAGGGTGAATGTCAGAAGGAGCTTCTCTTCCAAACTTCAATAAAGAAAAAATCATTGAAGCAAAATGGTAGAAAGTTAATATTTGTTGGATTAGGTGTTGAGTATATGGAGGTTCATTTTACTGTTCTCTTTTATGAATATTTGCAGTTAAAAACGAGCTTTTCTGCCTTCATCCTCCCATCCCTGTTTAAAGCATTCTGAAAGCTCTGCTTTTTCTCATTAACATTTTAGAAAAACCATTTCCAAGTGATGGTTGGTGGTATTACCTTCTCAGCACCTGCACGTAAGCAACTGAAGACATCATTTTTCTTTCTAACATTTTATTAAAGGAAATTTTCAAACTGAAAAGTGGAAAGTATTTTACAGCTAACACCTGTGTATCCACCACTTAGATTCTTCCCTTGACATTTTACTATACTTGTCCTAACACACACACACACACAGACACCATCTATCTTTTTTATGTTTATTTCTTTTTTTGAGACAGCATCTAGCTCTGTCACCCAGGCTGCCAGGCTGGAGTGCAGTGGTGCAATCATAGCTTGCTACAGCTTTGACCTCTGGGGCTCAAGCGATCCTCCTGCCTCTGCCTCCAGAGTTGCTGAGGCTACAGGAGTGCACCGCCATGCTCAGCTAATTTTTCGATTTTTTTGTAGGGACACGATCTTGTTATGTTGTCCAGGCTAGTCTCAAACTCCTGGGCTCAAGTGATCCACATCAGCCTCCCAGAGTGCTGAGATTACAGACAAACCACCACACCTGGCTTTATTTTGTGTGTGTGTGTGCATTTCCAGGTAGACGGCAGGCATCAGTACATTTCTCCTCAATACTGAGTAGAGTTCAATGTTTGTTTTTTTCTTGTAAGATAAAATTTACTTACAGTGGAATGCATCTATCTTGAGTGAACACTATGTGAGTTTTAACAAATGCCTGCATCTCTGTGAACTGAAACCCTATCAAGGTTTACCATCACTCCAGAAAGTTCTCTCATACTTCCTTCCAGTCTCAGCTCCCTTCTGCCCACATTCCCCAAGAGGCAACCAGTGTTCTGGTTTTTTTCTACTGTAGATTAGTTTTGTCTTTTCTAGAACTTGATATGAATGGAGCATCTACTCTTTTGATGACGTTTCTTTTGCTCTGCATTTTTTTTAGATTTATCCACATCTTATGTCTCATTTGCCCAGTATGTGAATATATGACAGTTGTTGATGTATTCTTTTCATGACAGTTATCTGGGCTCTTTGTAGTTCAGCTATTATGAACAAAGCTACCATGAACATTCTCGTACAAGTCTTTTAATGGACAGATATTTTCACTTAGATAAATATTGTAGTGGAATTGTTGGCTAGATATGTGTTTAGTTTTGTAAGAAACCCCCATAACCTTCTCCTAAGTGACTATACCATTTGTGGTTCTGTCAGTGCTGTATGAGAGTTCTGATTGCTCTATGTCCTCACTAACTTTTTTTTTTTTTTTTTTTTTGAGAGAGTCTCTGTCGCCCAGGCTGGAGTGCAGTGGCACAATCTCGGCTCACTGCAACCTCCACCTCTGGGGTTCAAGCAGTTCTCCTCCCTCAGCCTCCCAAGTAGCTGGGATTACAGGTGTGCACCACCACACCTGGCTAATTTTTGTATTTTTGGTAGAGACGGGGTTTCACCATGTTGGCCAGGCTGGCCTGAGACTCCTGACCTCAGGCGATCCGGCCATCTCGACCTCCCAAAGTGCTGGGATTACAGGCGTGAGCCACCACACCCAGCCTCCTCACCAACTTTTGATATTACTAGTTTTTTTCTTTTCAGCCCTTCTGATGTGTGTATAATGATAACTTCATGGTTTTAATTTGAATTTCTCAGGTAACTAATGATGTTGAACATTTTCATGTGCTTGTTGGCCGTTTATATATCTTCCTCTGTGACATGTCTGTTCCAGTCTTTTGTTGCTTTTTAGGTTTGGTTGTTTATCTTTTTATTATAGAGTTGTTAGAGCTCTTTAGATATTCTGGATACCAGTCCTTTGTCAGATATGTTTTGTGACTATTTCTCCTAGTCTGTGGCTTGCCTGTTTTCTTTCTTTGAGCAAATGGTTTAAATTTTGATGCAGTCATATTTATGTTGTTTTTTTTTTTCCTTCCATTTATGGTTTTTGCTTTCTAGGCCCTGTCCAGGAAACTTTTGCCTACCCTGTAGTCAGGAAGGTGTTTTCCTATGTGTTCTGTGAAAGCTTTATATAGTTAACACTATACATAAAAGCTAAAGTTTTTATATTTAAGTCAATAATCTATCTCATTAATTTTTATGTATGTTGTGAGGTATGAATCAAGGTTGTTTTTTTCCTAATGGATTCCTATTCCATCATCATTTGTTGAGAAGATTTTTCTTCCCTCCTGGGATTGCTTTGGTGCTTTACAGTCCTGTGACCTGTGAGTCTGTTTCTGGACTCTTTAGTCTCTTCTAATGATCTATTTGTCAGTCTTCAACTTTGTTCTTTTTCAGGATAGCTTTGCATTTTCTAGTTTCTTTTCCTTTCCATATAAAATTTAAAATCCACTTTGTCTGCAAAAGAGCCTGTTGGGATTATGATTAGGATGGGATTGGACCTAGAGATCAGTTTGAGGGTTGATACGTTAATAATATTGAGTACCCAGAATATGGTATATCTCTTCATTTATTTAGCTCTTTTTAAATTTGTTTTGGTAATATTCTGTGATTTTTTTTTTTTTTTTTTTTTGGTATGGAGGTCTTACATCTTTTGTAAAATTTATTCCTAATACTTTGGATTTTGACATTATCATAAAAGAAAATTATTTCACTGAGTTTTCCAGTTTGCTGCTGGCCTAAACATATAGTTAATTTTTTATATTTTAATCTTGTATCCTATGACTTTGCTAAATTCATATATTAAATAGTTGCTCCATAGATTCCTTAAGATGGCAGTGAAGGCTGTTTGATGTCTTGCTTTCTAATGTTTGTGCCTTTTATTTCTTTTTCTTGCCTCACTGCAACGTGTAAGACCTCGAGCACAAAGTAAGGAGAGTGGGTATCCTTGCCTTGTTTCTAGTCTTAACGGGAAGAGATCAAATATCTTCACCATTAAGTACAGTGTCAGCTGTAGATTTTCTTAACTGTTTCTTAACCTTCATCAGTGAAAGAAGGTTCTTCCTAATTCCAGGTTTCTTAGGTTTCTACCATGAATGAGCATTGCATTTTCTCATGCTTTTTCTGCATCTGTTGGGTTGGCACAGTCTTTCTCTGTGCAGTTGAATTGGAATTTATCACCACCTCTAATGGCGACTTGCTCTTTGAGATGATCGTCTCATACTGTTCTCACTTTGAAATCTCCCACCTCCATCCCATCACAGTTAACACCTGCTGCTGCTTCAAGAGAGGTTGGTGCTGTCGGTCTGGGGCTCCCTTCTCTTTCCTTCTTCAGGTGACCAGCCCCCTAAGTGGTTTGTTCCTCCAGGCAAGCAGTCTCAACCATAAATCCATCTCAGTATATCTAGTAGCTCCTGTATTTGAAGACAGAAACTTCCCTTGCCCATGCATATCCCCCAGCCCCTCCCATATTTCTACTTCTCCAGAACATAACTTCTTTTTTTGTTTTGTTTTTTTGGTTTTTTTGGTGGAGTCTCGTTGTGCTGCCCATGCTGGAGTCTGGTGGTGCCATCTCGGCTGGCTGCAACCTCCGTCTCTCAGGTTCAACTGATGCTCCTGCCTCAGCCTCCCAAGTAGCTGGGATTACAGGCGCCCACCGCGATGCCCGGCTCATTTTTTGTATTTTTAGTAGAGATGGGGTTTCATCATGTTGGCCAGGCTGGCCTCGAACGCCTGACCTCAGGTGATCTGCCTGCCTCAGCCTCCCAAAGTGATGGGACTCCAGGCGTGAGCCCCTGCGCCTGGCCTGTAGCATAACTCCTATAGATAGTTGCCTAAGTTTTTTTCCACTTCTCATTCTCTTTCATGTTTCAGCCATTCTTCCTACACATCTCCATCAAAATATGTCAAGGTCGCCATATAAGCTCCTCGTTCCCAGACTCAGGGGACGTGTCTCATTTCCTCTTCCCTCCTCTGCAGTGCTGGGCACAGTTACCTGCTTGCTGTTCTTCAGATGCCCTCTTCTGTTGACTTCCATCTCATACACGGTCTTGGCTTTTCTCTTACTCAATCTCCTTTGCTGACCTTTGGCAGTTTCGGTGCCACACAGGGCCCTGGGCCCACATCTCTTTGGCCTCCTCTCCGTGATGGCAGGCACTGCCCTGTTTACCACTGTATACTTGGGATGGTCTCTACTGGTGTAGGATCTGCTGTTTGTGTTGAATGGGTGAAGTAAATAAGTCAAGTTTTACCAAGCAAAGCAGTAAGAACCTATTCTTTGAAAAAAAATAAAAATACAGTTGATTCTTGTTGTTCACAGTTCTAGTCTGTAAGTCTCTGGGACGCTGGATTAGCGAATCATGAAGTGTTGCTCCCAGGGGAAGGATTGGTAGGTGGCCTCTGGTCGCAACATTTTCATCAGCTGATCAAAAGACAACCTCGTTTTGTGTGTGCTTCCCTGCCTCAAGACATGCTGACGTAATGGGGATTGTTGGTTCACTAACATTGAACTCGCGGCTCGCATAGAACTCAGCCCACACATGTGCTTTCTCCGCGGGGTACATCCCAGGCTGCTTGTGCTTAGGGATACTCGACGACACTCAGCACTGTGCCAGGGCCAACAGTGAAATCAACAACAAGCACAAAAGTGCAAAAAGCAGACACTCAGTAGCCCTATGTAGACCAGGAAAAGGACAGTTGTTTTCAGAATCAACACGAGAAGATAGGACGTTGCCCTGTGTGACCTCAGCCAGGAACATGTGCATCATGTGACTCAAATCTTTTCCCGAGGCTGGGAGCGGTGGCTCACGCCTGTAATCCAAGCACTTTGGGAGGCTGAGGCGGGTGCATCACCTGAGGTCAGGAGTTCAAGACCAGCCTGGCCAACATGGTGAAACCCTGTCTCTACTAAAAATACAAAAATTAGGCAGGCGTGGTGGCATGCAACTGTAGTCCCAGCTACTCAGGAGGCTGAGGCAGGAGAATTGCTTGAACCCGGAAGGCAGAGGTTGCAGTGAGTCGAGATCACGCCATTGCACTCCAGCCTGGGCAACAAAAGCAAAACTCTGTCTCAAAAAAATAAAATCCCACTTCGCATGTGTCTACGGACGGCTGTAAAACACCGTGAGTGTTTATGCGGGGTCACAAAGAAACCTTACCTAGCAGGTGAGTTCACAGATACTGAGCCTGTGCATGTTGAGGAGCAGCCCTATTTGGAAGTAAGTTCTTTTCACCACTGATTGGATTTAGGAGGCCAGTGGAGAGGCCAGTGGATTTAAATAAAATTGTACTTAATAAAAAACCAGTTTTGTGTATACCAGGTTTTCCTATGTGTCCCAACCCTGAAGTTAATGAAGCTGAGAGTCCAACTCTTCTTTCACCATTCAGGAAGTAGATATCAGGCCTTACAGCTAATTAGAGCAGAGCTGAGACTGGAATGTGATTGTTAAACTCGCCTTCCTGCAGGGTCGCCGTGGCACCCAGTACTCACCAAGGTTGCAGTGCCGCACACACGCCCAGTACATGTGTTAGGACGCGTGCCGCTGAGCTTCACCAAGAGCACTTCTGCCTCTTGGATGTAGCACTGGGGTTAACAGCATTTCACCACCCACTGAAACTGAATGGCACAGAGATTGAGTTTTGTTTTTTGTTGCTGTTGTTGTTGTTTTGATGTTTTTAAAACAACACCATTTGGGGAGTTTGGGGAATATCCAAAATCTGGTCATAAGGTCCATTCCATCCGTTCAGCCAGTGTGGAAGGAGCTCCTCGTCTATGACAGGCGACATTAGACCTGGGGGTGGTGCAGCCGTGAATGGGCCAAACACGGCACCTGTCCTCAGACCATCAGTCCAGCAGGGAACTCTGTCTCTCAGCCATTGCCTAGATTCTCAGTGGTAAGCGCGGTGACTACTAGAGGCAACAGGTACAGGATGCAACCGGGCCAGTGCGTGCAGCCCCTAATACTACCAAGTACTACCTGAGAATGGGGTGCCTGGAGAGTGAGAGGCTAGACAGTGGCCGGGGAAGGGCCTTGTGCCCCTGGATTTGCACATCTGGCTGCCGGATTTGAGAAGTGAGGGTGGCAGCCTCAGGACACCAGCCATGATCATCATTCAGTCCTACCCTCCTTTTTGGGGCAGGACTGGTATTACAGACAGGGTCTCGCTCTTTTGCCCAGGCTGGCATGCAGGAACGTGATCACCGCTCATTGCAGCCTCAACCTCCTGGGATCAGGCACTCTTCCTACCTCAGCTACACAGGCATGCACCACCACGCCCAGCTAATTTTTGTATTTTTTGTAGAGATAGGACCTCACTATGTTGCCCAGGCTGGTCTCGAATTCCTGCCCTCAAGCAATCCTCCCACCTTGGCCTCCCAAAGTGCGGGGATTACAGGTGCGAAGCACCGCATCTGGCCCCAGCCCTCTTTCTCGCCCACCGCCTAGCAAGCAGGGCTGCCGTGACTTAGTATCCATGTCAATCTCCTGAGGGAAAGAGGGGACTGGTCAGAGAACCAGGGTCTGATCTTTAGAGAAATTATTTTTACTGCAAATAATTGACATTCTGGGTTATGCACCATCTCTTCTGAGTTGGGTTGGCCTCGTGTCTGAGTGGTGCTGCATGCCAGGTGCTAGAGGTGTATCCGCTGACAAAGATTCCTGTGTCCACGCACTGGCATGATCCCTCCTGATCGTGCCTTTCGTTGACAGATCCTGGAAGACGGTGGCCGCTAGTCTGAGATGCTGCTGAGCAGAGAAGCTGCAGACAGAGCCTGTCCTCCCTGGCCCCCCGACCCTGCCACCATCTCCCCATTTGTGGCAGACGCTTGCATCTGTTCCTTTTGAATGAAGGTCGCTTGCTGTTGTCAGAAAGAAGGTTTATGACAGCTTTCTGGTAAAAGCAACTGAAAAGACACTGAATGGATGCTGTGAAGAGCTTAGGATGATGTACTTGTGTTTATGGCCCGTTCCATTTGAAGTGGTGTCGCACTGCAGGATGGCGCGTAGGTCAGCGAGGGGCCGCGGGTGCGAGGGTGGTCCTGTGAGAGGAGCAGGCCGTGTTTTTGCTGCAGCTTTCCCATGTTTCATTCACACACACAAGTACTTGTCACTGTGCTGCAGCTGGCCACAGTATCCAGTTAGTCACACGCAGCGCAGGTCTGTAGCCAGGAGCCACAGGCCACAGCATACAGCCTAGGGGCATAGTAGGCCTACCATCTAGATTTGTGTTTGCACGACACAATTGCCTACGGGGCTTTTCTTTGTTTTGTTGTTGTTGTTGTTGTTGTTGTTGTTGTTGTTTTTGAGATGGAGTCTCGCTCTGTGGCCCAGGCTGGAGTGCAGTGGCGCGATTTTGGCTCACTTCAAGCTCCGTCCCCCGGGTTCACACCGTTCTCCTGCCTCAGGCTCCTGAGTAGCTGGGACTACAGGCGCCCGCCACCACGCCTGGCTGATTTTTTGTATTTTTAGTAGAGATGGGGTTTCACCATGTTAGCCAGGATGGTCTTAATCTCCCGACCTTGTGATCCACCCACCTCGGCCTCCCAAAGTGCTGGGATTACAGGCGTGAGCCACCGCGCCCGGCCCCTTCAGGGCATTTCTTAGAACGTATGTCAGCGTTTTGTGACATGAGTGTAATAGCGACATCTTTTTAATAAATATGTGTCATGCCACTTTGGACATGTGTGATTCTTTGGCCAGCCTCAGTATGCGAGCACGTAGGCTAGCGCTCAGCACATGAGTCTATGGAACCCAGGGGAAGCAATTGCAGTTTCGTAGTAGTTTGTGTCTTAATTAAGGGAGCCCCTAGACCTTACTCTTTCACTTTACCTAGGAGTTTGGTTCCTAAACTCACCATTCAAATCCAGCAACAGAACTGACTGAAAGGAACCTTTGTCTTTCGTGTGAATGCTCGTGAGGGGCCATCCTTAGAGTGGAAATGCTCCTGAGGCTCCAGCGAATCAAGACCCTCAGACCCCCGGGCTGTCCCCACCCCATGACCACATGTTCCGCAGGCACCCTCAGCGCTGTGCCCTGCGTGTCGCCCAGGCAGGTGTTTGTTTTTGAGCGCAGATTCTGCCTGTGGCCATAGCCATGTGGAGATGTTCACGCATGTACTTCCCTTTGTGATTTCAGCCGATACGGAAGATGTGTGCATTGTAGAGAGATTGTTCTCCAGCAGCCTAGTGGCCATCGTCAGCCTTAAAGCACCAAGGAAGCTAAAGGTTTGCCACTTTAAGAAGGGAACTGAGATCTGCAACTACAGCTACTCCAACACGATTCTGGCTGTGAAGCTCAACAGGCAGGTGAGCGCTGCCCCAGCTGGGTGTGGGCTTGTCTGTTGCTCCCTCCAGCACTCTGGGACAAGCCCACCCCACCGGCATGCCCCTCCGTCATTCCCTTGCTGCCTGGCCCCACGTTGCCGGGCACAGATCCTTGCCTACAGAGACCAGCTCTGTTTCCTCACCCACCAGCTTTGCTCAGCCCATTCCATTCACGACAAATGCCCGGGCCTCTGCCACACTGCTCCCATACAGGCGTCCCCGGCCCCACCCAGAGGGTGGATGGCAGTCTCTTTCACCTATTACCTGGTTTTGCTTTTATAAATGTTACTTAAAAAAAATATATTTGGCCGAGCACAGTGGCTCACGCCTGTAATCCCCACACTTTGGGAGGCCGAGGCGGGCAGATTGCCTGAGGTCAGGAATTTGAGATCAGCCTGGCCAACATGATGAAACCCCGTCTCTACTAAAAATACAAAAATTAGCCGGGCATGGTGGCAGGCACCTGTAATCCCGGCTACTCGGGAGGCTGAGGCAGGAAAATCGCTTGAACCCGGGAGTCGGAAGTTGCAGTGAGCCAAGGTCATGTCATTGCACTCCAGCTTGGGCAACAAGAGTGAGACTTCGTCTCAAAAAAAAAACTTACAGACTTTTTTTTCCTTTTGTAAATTGTTAGTTTAACTTTGAATTCAAGATGAAGGATTTATTACTTTATCTCCCCCTAAACTAATAAGACTGTCTGGCACAGAGGAAGGACGTGGTGGGTGGCATGTGTGCGTGTTTCACGCACGTGTGTGTGTCTCCCAGCTTGTGCTCACGCCCAGGGTAACAGCACCACCCGGGAGACCCCTGGCAATCTGATTCTGCCCGCACTCCCTGCAGGGAAAGCTGATTAGGCTGCTGGCTGTAGAGTGGACATGATGACAGCCAGTAGCTGCACCCTGAGATACAGTGACTAGGTGAAGTCACAGTAGAGACGTTCTTGCCTTACGCAGTTGAAACTAGGAAGTGGTCTGTTAACTGACATAGTTGGTTAGAATGGGAAATTATAAGACATCATATCTTGAGCATTTAAAAATTGTGTTCACGTCCAACTAATGTAGAGCTGGTCATCTTTCTTGCATAAGTTGTCTCAGCGATGCATCGTCTGCATGTCTACATTCATTTTCTTCCAAATGGAGCAGGAACTTGCAAAGTAATCTGAGTGCACAATAAAATGTTAGACCTTTTAAAACCCCCTTATTTTCATTTTACCTGTGCTGCACTCAGCATCAGTTTTAAAAAGCAAATCTTTCCAAATCTATTCACAGCACACTTGTCTTAGCTGTAGGTTAGCATTTGCCTAACACTAAACTAAATGGCCTGGTTAGAATTCCCAGTAGAGATGGGGTGAGTATGAGGGAGAGGTGCATCCGGCCTGGCTCCTTCTTGATTGTTGATGGAAAGCAGCTGTATCCTTGGCGCTTCTAACATTGGTCTGCATGGTGTTCTAGAAGGAACTAAGATTGTGAAGCCAACGCAGGGGTGGATCACCTGAGGTCAGGAGTCCAAGACCAGCCTGGCCAACATGGTGAAACCCCATCTCTACTAAAAATACAAAAATTAGCCAGGCCTGGTGGCAGTCACCTGTAATTCCAGCTACTTGGGAGGCTGAGGCAGGAAAATCACTTGAACCCGGAAGGCAGAGGTTGCAGTGAGCCGAGATCACACCACTGCACTCCAGCCCGGGTGACACAGCGAGACACTGACTCCAAAAAAATAAAATACAATAACAATAGAAGGAATGAGAGCGTCATAGTCCAGGAGTCAGTCAACTGGAGATTGGGGCAGGTATTGCACTGGCCGTTGCTTCACGTTTGGTTTCGTTTTGTCTCTCGCCTAGAGGCTGATAGTATGCCTGGAGGAGTCCCTGTACATCCACAACATTCGGGACATGAAGGTGCTGCATACGATCAGGGAGACGCCTCCAAACCCTGCAGGTGAGCTAACTTGTGAGGAGAGAATCCCATTTTTCTGATTTTGCCCTTGAAAGATAGCTATAGGTGAGAGAGATTTTTTCTTTTTATAGGTTCCGCAGATGAGACAGATTTTAAAAGTATTGATCCCAAACCAAGCTGCCTTCCTACTGATGCTGGTCATGTGACCACATAAGCTCATTGGTTTGATCAACTTTCAAGTTTGAGGTTACTGATCAGTTCAAACCAAAGGCCTTTAATCTCTTGACAATACTGGTATCACCTAAGGTGGGGATTTGGGGTTGCAGAACTTTCCTAACACAGCAAACAAGATTGTATCCAAGCTATTATTTGTTCCTAATGCTCTGTTAAATGAATGCTGAATTATGTCTGACATCCAAGAAGGAACTCTCAGGTGGAAGTTTGCATCTCGTCCTCCGTGTGTCATTTGCAGGCCTGTGTGCGCTGTCAATCAACAACGACAACTGCTACTTGGCGTACCCAGGGAGCGCGACCATCGGAGAGGTGCAGGTCTTCGATACCATTAATTTGGTGAGATGCCTTTCCTGCTCGAATAGCTCTCTAAAGTGTGGCTTTTTCCTGAAGAGGAGCACTGTGGTGTCCCTGGCATCCTGACTTGGCTCAGCAATACAACCGCTGCACTTTTTTGTTTGTTTGTTTGTTTTTGAGACAGGGTCTGGCTCTGTCGCCCATGCTGGAGTGCAGTGGTGCAGTCCTAGCTCACTGCAGCCTCAACCTCCTGGGCTCAATTGATCCTCCTGCCTCAGCCTCCCGAGGAGTTACAGTCATGCAACACCACACCCAGCTAATTTTTTATTTTTGTAGAGATGGAGTCTTGCTGGGTTGCCCAGGCTGGCCTCAAACTCCTGGCCTTAAGCCATCCTCCCGCCTCGGCCCCCTAAAGTGCTGGGACTACAGGCGGGTGCCCCGCGCCCAGCCCCACTGCTCTCTTCTCAGTAGCAGAGTAGGTCTGGCTCATTCTGCTTCTGGATCTGCTGCGGCGTTCAGAGCAGTGCTGAGCTCCTCGCCACGGGAATGTTTGAAGGAACATAGAAAACCTTAGGGATAAATTGCTTTGCTTTTTCTAAAGTTGGAGCAGCATTTCCTTGGATGCCCAGCCCCAGTAAATCAAGTGGGTTTGGCATTTGTTTGGACCGTAATGGTGTTTTAGGAACAGCTAATTGGCACTTGCGGACCAAGTGTCAGCCCTGGGGCGTGGGCGGTCACTGTGCGGTGGCCACTCTTTATTGGTGTCCCTTTTTCAGAGAGCTGCAAACATGATTCCGGCTCACGACAGTCCTTTAGCGGCACTGGCCTTTGACGCAAGTGGAACTAAACTTGCCACGGCTTCGGAGAAGGTGAGTCTGCTTTTCCCCGGGGGAGCACTGGTGCCAAGGCGTCCACAGACTTTTTCAGTTCTGTTCACACAGCCACCTTAGAGGCAAGGTCCTATACTTACCAGCTCCGGGAGAAGCAAAGACAGCCACCCACTTGTCAGGCCACAGGCGTGTACTGCCCGAGAGTGAGCGGAGCTTGCAGTGTGCCACTGGGACGGGAGAGCTGGTCCACATTTGTAGTAGAAAATACAGAAATGTCCAGAGGAGACAGAAGTGCCGTGTGTAACCACACCGCTCACCCAGTGTGTTTCTAAATGATGAAACTACCACATAACAGTAAAGAACCCAGACAGTGATGAAATGTGAAAAAGCAAAGACAGAATTCTATCCAGCCAGTCTGAACACATTTCAGTGTATTTCATTTTCTCTTTAGTCAACAAAATTGGGATCCTACTATGGGTATAATTTATCCTTTTTCACTCTGCATGACATTTGTCTAAGTTCAAAAACACTTGTAATGGCCGCGCAGTATTTAGTTGTGATTCATGTCAACATCACCCTTTTGGGACTTTGTTTCTAATATGTTGCTGCCGTAGGTAGTAGTGTATTTAAGTCATGTATCAATGTTTTATATGTATTTCTAACTATGAATTCAAGAGATTCCAGTAAGAAGAATGTCTGGCTTTAAAGGAGATGGCCTCTAAATGTCCCCGTGTACCTGTGACCGCGTGGCGAGGCTCCCTGGCCCCCAGGAGACTGAAGGCTCCTTGTTCTCTTCCTCATTTGGACTGTGCCTCTCTTTTCGTTTCAGTTCCTCTTTTCTTGAAAGTTGCGTCTTCCATTCTTCTGTCTTGAGGTCGCGTCTGTTCTCCCGCCTCCGTTTTCTCCGCTCTTCATTGGCCACCGATGACCTTTACTTTGATTTGGATATGATTTTGCTTCTCATTGAAATCCTAAAATAGCCTCCCCTTTCAAGCCATCTCTCCCCTCAAACTATTGACCAGAGAAGATACAATAAAACGTCGGCTCACTTCCTTAGCTTTCCTGCCTGGGCCTTTGTTCTTCAGTCTCACACCCGAGTTCTGTAATAATGATGTCACCGCTTATGGGTCACTTCTGGGTCGTGAATTATCCTGGATCTTTTATCTTCATTACCTCATTTGTTTCCCCTCAGCAAGGTAAACAGTTCTCTGTTTCATAGCAAGGGCTCAGAAAGGTTAAGCGGTGTGCCCGGGGCCGCCCAACTGGGCAGCAACAGAGGGGTCAGACTCCAAGTCTGACTTTGATTCTAATTATGCTAGACTATCCCAATAGCACCTTGTCCTTTTCTTTTCCCTTTGAAATGGCCCTGAAATTCTGTTACCCTTTGACTAATCAAAGTCTCACTGTTAATGTTTCTTTAGTAGCTCTTATAAAGGCCCAAAAGTACTTGATGGAATTTTAAGGCCCATAAAAATAGATTTTTTTTTTTCTGGACTATAAAGAGGAACCTTGATTGCTTGTACATGGAATGCTCTCATCTGTGGAGTGAGAGCAGCAAGGCCTTCCCAGCCCCGCTCTGTCCCAGGTGCTGAGGCCCCCTGAGGCCTGTGACTTAATCCTGCTTTCAAGAATCTTGCGGTCATGTGGCAACAAAACAACTCTTAATTAATTAGTATTGCACGGTAGACGTGCGCCACAAAATTATGTCTCATCTGAAAGTTTAGGCTGCAGAGGACAAAACCTTTGCCGTGGTTATTTTTGTATATGGATGCAGAAAATAGTTCATTCTCTAATTCTCAATGTTACAAGCTCAGTTTGTGTCCCTCCATCCAGAGAGAACCAAGTGTTCTCAAGTACCAGTTTTTTTTTTTTTTGAGACAGGGTCATGCTTGCTCTGTCACCCAGGCTGGAGTGCAGTGGCACAATCTCTGCTCTATGCAACCTCCATCTCCCAGGCTTAAGTGATCTTCCTACTTCAGCCTCCCAAGTAGCTGGGACTACAGGCACCTGCCACCACGCCCGGCTAATTGTTGTACTTTTTGTAGAGATGGGGTTTCACCCTGTTGGCCAGGCTGGTTTCAAACTCCTGAGCTCAAGCGATCTACAAACCTCAGCCTCCCAAAGTGCTAGAATTACAGGAGTGAGCCACTGTGCCTGGCCTATATTCTGATTTCTAATAGCTGTATACTATCCCATTGTATGAGTTTACCATAATTTATGTAAACAGTTCCTTGGTGTTCTACACTTAGGTCATCTGCTGCTTTTTGCTTTTTTTTTTTTTTTGAAACGGAGTCTTGTTCTGTCCCCCAGGCTGGAGTGCAGTGTGGTATGATCTCAGCTCACCACAACCTCTGCCTCCCAGGTTCAAGCAGTTCTCCTGCCGCAGCCTCCTGAGTAGCTGAGATTACAAGCGCGCGCCACCACACCCAGCTAATTTTTGTATTTTGAGTAGATGGGGTTTAACCACGTTGGCCAGGCTGGTCGTGAACTCCTGACCTCGTGATCCACCCGCCTTGGCCTCCCAAAGTGCTGGGATTACAGGAGTGAGCCACCACGCCCAGCCACTTTTTACTATTTACAAACACAGAGATAGTGCAGTGGCATGATCATGGCTCACTGCAGCTTCCACTCCTGGGACAACAGGAACGAATCATCAGGCTTAGCTGATTTTTTTGTTTTTTGTAGAGGTGGGGTCTTGTTATGTTGCCCAGGCTGGTCTTGAACTCCTGGACTCTAGTGTTTCTCCTGTCTTGGCCTCCCCAAGTGCTGGGATTACAGGCATGAGTTACTGCATTCAGCTTAGATAGTCTTTTCTTTCTTTCTTTCTTTCTTTTTTTTGAGACAGAGTCTCTCTGTAGCCCAAGCTGGAGTGCAATGGCGCGATCTCAGCTCACTGCAGCCTCCACCTCTGGGGCTCAAGCGATTCTCGTGCCTCAGCCTCCCAACTAGCTGGGACTACAGGTGCGTGCCACCACACCCACCTAATTTTTTTTTTTTTTTTTTTTTGAGACGGAGTCTTGCTGTGTCACCCAGGCTCAAGTGCAGTGGTATGATCTCGGCTCACTGCAACCTCCGCCTCCTGGGTTCAAGCGATTCTCCTGCCTCAGCCTCCTGAGTAGCTGGGATTACAGGCATGCGCCACCATGCCCAGCTAATTTTGTATTTTTAGTAGAGACGGGGTTTCACCATGTTGGCCAGGCTGGTCTGGAACTCCTCACCTCAGGTGACCACTCACCTCGGGCTCCCAAAGCTTGGGATTACAGGCGTGAGTCACCGCACCTGGCCCACACCCAGCTAATTCTTTTGTATTTTAGTAGAGATGGGGGTTTCACCATGTTGCCCAGGGTGGTCTCGAACTCCTCACCTCAGGAGATCTGCCCACCTTGACCTTCCATCAGCCTAGATATTCTTAACAGTTTTTATATTTAACAGTTTGAACCTCCTAAAATTTGTATAGTAGGAGGGTGAATGTTGAATAATTCTTCCTGCCCTGCAAATTTGGAATGCTACCCATTTTAAGGCCTTTCTTTCCATCAGTCTATTTCTTTTTGTGCTAATTTAATACCGTTATATCACTTGATAGTATTCTTTTAATATTAAAGCATTCAAAGTCCTGCTCGTTATTTTCTTGGCGCTTCTCTGTTTATTCCCCCAGATGTTCATGTCTGTCTCATCATCCACAGATCTGATATTAACTTGGGGGAAGTTGGCATCTTCAAGACACTTCCCATTAAAGCAGGCACATGCCGAGCTCCCTTGTATTCCTAGTTCTTTGTCTTAGTAAGATTTTCTTCATGTGCATCTTACCATTTGGTGAGTTGGGATTGACTCCTTATAAGGTAGTTGAGATTTCCAGCTAATCGGCTCTCTGGATCCGTAACTGAATTTAAAGTGGCAGGAAAGACCTTGGTGGGGTCCGAAGCCTCGTCAGACCACAAGGTCTTGCCCGTGTACCACACACAAATCCAGGCTTTTATTTTTTTTTTTTTTCCCCCCCCGAGATGGAGTCTTGCTCCAGAGCTGGAGTGCAGTGGTGCAGTCTCGGCTCACTGCAACCTCCACCTCCTGGGTTCAAGCGATTCTTCTGCCTCAGCCTCCCGAGTAGTTGGGATTACAGGCATGCGCCACCACACCCAGCTAATTTTGTATTTTTAGTAGAGACACAGTTTCTCCATGTTGGTCAGGCTGGTCTCAAACTCCTGACCTCTGATGATCTGCCCGCCTCGGCCTCCCAAAGTTCTGGGATTACAGGCGTGAGCCACCACGCCCGGCCCAGGCTTTTATTTTTAATAGTTTAAACTTCAGATGACTCAGAACAATAGAATGATATGCCACTTTTGCCCTGAAGACTGTTAGTGTTGAGAGTAAGTAGTCATTTAAAATAGGTTTAAAGAGAAGATTGAACATTAAGTCAACAATAGAACAGGGGAGTGTTTTTCTATGCTCGTGGCAAAAAGTGTGGAGATGATGTTCAAGGGGGGCCCTGGGGGACCCCAGACTCCTTGGTGGCCCAGGGCAGAGCTGTCCTGGAGATAGCCGTGTGGCGCATTTGCAGTCTGCTGTGAAAGATGGGAAATTCCTGTTTTAACTCAGCTCAAATTCTTCTTTTCTCTTTTCCTTCCACAGGGGACCGTGATTAGGGTATTTTCCATTCCAGAAGGACAAAAACTCTTTGAGTTTCGGAGAGGAGTAAAGAGGTAAAGTACGTGAATGTCCAGAATGGATTCTGGAGGTTGTATTTGGATTTCAGTTTTATGTTATCTATGAACAAACAAGTAGAACCCCCAGGAGAATTCCACACGAGCATTTCTAGCCCGGCTGGGTCACCGGGTAAGATCTGGGCGTCGGTCTTGTCATGGGAATTGAAGAGCACTTTCAGAAAAGCAAATTGGGTTTTTGTTTGCGATCCCACCAGCTAGCGTGAGAGTTGTGAAGAGCTCACGCAACCAGGTGGGCCCTCCAGTGCCCGGCAGCTCCCAGCCTGCTGTAAGGGACGGGGCGGCGACGTCATGGGTAGCACACCCTCCCCTTTAAAGGCCACGCTCTGAGAACCTGTTCCAGCTCTCCAGCTCCGCCTCCACCCTCAGCAAATGGCATTGGCCCCTTCTTTTAACCCAGAAGCCGCAGCCTGGAGTTCTCTTGTCTTCCTCCCTCCAGGCTGCAAAGCTTCCCTCATCGGTGCTTACATGCCTCCTGTGGCGCCTGCTTTGGAGGCAGGACTGTCCCTCCCTCGTCGGACAGTAGAGCGGGGGAGGCCTCGGGCTCTGGAGCCCGTGCCTCAGATTGGAGCCCTAGGGAGCACTTTCAGTCGCATGGCCGTGGTCGGCGGGACCCCACCTCAGGTCTGTGGCTCCACGTCTCGGATCAGTACCTCCCTCCCTGAAGGTGGCTGTTGAAAGAGGAGGGGCTGTCTTTCGGGGACTCTCCCGCCATCTGGTCCCCTTTCCTCATGGGATCCCCACAGGTGCAGCAGGTGCACCTCAGTATCCCCAAACGTCACCGCTCCTCCAGCTCCTGCCTCCTCGTGTCCCTTGGTCTTCTTCCTTACACCACATCTTTCTGGAGTTTTCCTGTGTTGCTGCTTCTGCCCAGTTCCCCTCCTGTGCCTGTTTCTGCCCTGGAGCCGCTCTTCACCCAACCCCCTTCCTCACCCCCGTGGCCTGTGTGTGTGCTGATCCCGGGGCTGGACGTGTAGCCTGGCTTCCTTCTTGAGGTGCCCGTATTCCTCCTGCCTGCTGGGCACTGGGCACCTCAAGCCACCAGGCCAGTTTGCCCCTGGCCCCTCGTCCCTCACACTCCCCATCTTGGTAAATAGCGCCACTTGCCACCCCCGCCAGCACCCTGGCACCCAAGCCAGAGGGACTCGGCCCTGCATCCTTCCGCCTGAATGGTGCCTCCAGGGAGCTCCCACCTGTGGGCCCGCCCTGTGCCTCTCCCGCCACGCCACCTGATCCAGGCTTTGCCTGGTTTCTGCTGTTGCCCTGGATTCCTGTCAGGCCGTTCTTCAGACTCTCACCCAGGCTGTTTGAAAAATGTAAATATAATCCAATCACACCCCACCTGACATCTCCCACCACACCTCTGTCCTGCAGGATTAGCCCCAGGCCCCTGCCTTGGTTCAGCAGGCCTCCCGGCACCAGCCCTTCCGCCCAGCCTGATTCTGTTTCACTGTCCCTGTCCTGGCTCCAGCAGTACCGCACTTTCAGATCCTCAGAAGAGCCGATCTCTTTTATCCACCAGGGTCTTGCGTGAGCTGGCAGATCTGGTGGCCTGGCCGGCTTCTGTAACCCTGGGAGTCCAAGTCGAGTGTCGCCCTCGAGGAGGCCTTTTTTTGATCCTTGGGTTAAATCCCTTTCTCCATGCGTCTCTAGTGCCTTCCACGTATTTTTCTCACATTCCTTTGCCTGTGGCAAATGGAATATTTGGGTGACCGCCCAAGGGGTTCACCTTGCCCGCTGCCTAGGCAGAGCCGATTCATCAAGATGGGAATTGCAGTAGAGAAAGTAATTCATGCAGAGCTGGCCATGCGGGAGGCTGGAGTTTTACTACTACTCAAATCAGTCTGTCTGAGCATTCAGGGAGCAGAGTTTTTAAGGATAACTTGGGTGGGGAGAAGCCAGTGAGCCAGGAGGGCTGACTGGTCAGAGATGAAATGTTAGGGAGTCGGAGCTGTCTTCTTGCACTCAGTGAGTTCCTGGCTGGGGGCCACAAGATCAGATGAGCCAGTTCATTGATCTGTGTGGGGCCGCCGGATCCATCAAGTGCAGGGTCTGCAAAATACCATAAGCAAACTTTCTCCCAAAGTTAATTCAGCCTATGCCCGGGGAGGAACAAGGACGGCTTGGAGATGACAAGCAAGATGGAGTCAGCAAAGCTAGATCTCGTTCACCGTCTCAGTCATAATTTTGCAAAGGCGGTTTCGTTTGCACCTCCCTGACCCCACCCCCATCGCTGGATGCTGCATTAAGGCGAGAACATTCCTAATTCATACACATGGTCAACACTGACTCCAGGAAAACCCCTTGCTATTACGGACAGGGCTAAAAGTATCTTGTATTTCTAGGGTTATGAAGAAATTCACATGAATTTAGTGGCTTTGGGATGCCGATTGATTTTTAAGACACACTGGAGCCACTTTCCCTGTTGAAAGTTTTGCTCTGTCTTTTTTTTTTTTTAAATAATTGAGACAGAGTCTCACTCTGTCGCCCAGGCTGGAGTGCAGTGGTGCGATCTCAGCTCACTGCAACCTCTGCCTCCCAGGTTCAAGCAATTCTCCTGCCTCAGCCTCCCGAGTAGCTGGGACTACAGGCACCCGCCACCACGCCCAGCTAATTTTTGTAATTTTAGTAGAGACGGGGGGTTTCACCATGTTGGCCAGGATGGTCTCGATATCTTGACCTCATGATCCGCCCACCTTGGCCTCCCAAAGTGCTGGGATTACAAGCTTGAGCCACCGTGCCCGGCCCTTTGCTCTGTTCTTAAACTTTACTGAGGTTGCCGATTTACCCTCTGGTGTGGAAAGAATGGCTGTAACTTAAATTACTGAGTTTTCTTTTACTCACCTTAGGACTATAAATCCATCCTACTTCAGCTAAAAGTGGTTTAGTGAAATCCTACTCCTTTTGTCATGTGGAAGCTTGCAGCTGTGTTAACGAATTGTTCTTAGTATTTCCTTTTGAACATTTTCCTCTCTCAAGGAAAATGTTTGAGAAGGTGGCTAGAGGGGAATAAAACTTACCAGCAGGCCCAAGTGTGCCCGTGACAGGAACTCTTCTCCGCCACTTGAGTTGAACCCCTGGGGCAGCTGCTGGCTCCGGTGGCCCGCCCCAACCTGTGCGTCTCCCCAGGTGCGTGAGCATCTGCTCCCTGGCCTTCAGCATGGACGGCATGTTCCTCTCCGCCTCCAGCAACACTGAGACCGTGCACATCTTCAAACTCGAGACTGTGAAAGAAAAGTGAGTTGCAAATATACGTTTCTTTAAAAATGATGCAAAACCCTTTGTCCCCACTTGCTGCCGGGATGAGAGGTAAGCACGGACCCGCCCACCCTCTGACATCGTTAGCCAGTGAAGACCCCGGAGCTGGCCATGGAGCGAGCACCTCCGCATCCAGGCTCGGCAGTGAGGAGGATGGGCCCCAGCAGATGAGCTTCTCCCACAGGCAGCACGCAGGGTAGACAGAGCCCTCGCGTAGGGCATGGAGGGCCCAGGTGGACATCCTTTTGTCAGTGAAGATGGCCTCTCCTCAGGTTCCCCTCACGACAAAAGCGTTTGTGATCAGACAGCCCACTAGGGTGAATGGCTCGTCTCTTACCTTCCCACGGGTAAGCAGAGACATGGACGGCTTCCACAAGAATTTATTATCGCAATGAATGTGTAGCATGAGGGGGGTCTTATCTTTTAAGAGGGGCTTACTCTGTTGCCCAGGCTGCAGTGCAGTGGTACAGTCATTACTTATTGTAGCCTCTAGCTGCTGGGCTCAAGCGATCCTCCTGCCTCAGCCTCCTGAGTACCTGGGACTATAGGCGTGCACCATGCCTGGCTAATTTTTAAAATTTTGTAGAGACAGAATTTCGCTGTGTTGCCCAGGCTGGTCTGGAATTCCTGGGCTCAAGTGATCTGCCGGTGAGCCACCGCGCCCAGCCTGTCTTTAAAAATTTTAAAAAGAACATCCCACTCAGACCAGCGTTAACAATAACATACTTTAGGTGGTCAAAAATAATAAATTTTGTTGGGTATATTTCATCACAATTTTTAAAAAGACAAATGGAGCATGCCCCGCCCTCCCCCCCAAAAAAGATGAATAGCAACACAAACAGGATACGGGAAAATAACATTTTGGGGTCTATACTCAAGGTTTTTGGAGACTTCTATTACAGAGACCTAGCAGGGGTCATCAGTTAGGCCCTAGACGTCCTCACACCCTTGCAAAGGGGATGTGTGGTCAGCTGCCACGTCTTGTCCGTGGCCAAAGGCTGTAGCTCCTCCCTGAAGCCTGAGCACCCCTCCCCCGACACCTCCCAGAGGAAGCTCCGTGATGCCCCTGGGGCCCTGAGTGTCTGCTTATAACCAACCCTGTTTAATTTTCCTGTGAAGAATGGAGACTTTTGCTGTCGGCTCCAGAGCTGTGCGTCTGTGTGAGTAGGGGGTGGCCGTCCCCCCAGGGAGGGTGCAGCTTCATGTGTCTGGTGGCCTTTCCTTCCAGACCCCCAGAGGAGCCCACCACCTGGACCGGGTACTTCGGGAAAGTGCTCATGGCCTCCACCAGCTACCTGCCTTCCCAAGTGACAGAAATGTTCAACCAGGGCAGAGCCTTCGCCACGGTCCGCCTGCCATTCTGCGGCCACAAAAACATCTGCTCGCTAGCCACGTGAGTAGAGCCGGCGCCTCCGTCCCCCACCCCGTGTGCCTCAGGCCGAGGGGCCCAGTCCTGGCGGCTTGTGGCCCCTTCCGTGCTTCTGAACAGGAGCAGCTTCTTAGAGCCGACACTCCATCGAGAGTTGTCGGGGATGGGAGGTCCCCTGGCAGGCACTAGGCTTGCCGCTCTGTGCGGGGGTCCATTTCCAGACGGGCTCCCGTTCTGTTTTTGTGGATAGTCTGCGGTATTAATGAAAGACGTTAAGTCAAACCTCGTGAGTGTGCCGTAGTTAACCCTTTGGGGCCACAGAAACCGCACTTGCCGAGTCTCAGGCATCCGTCCGGCTCCAGGGTCTGGCCTCAGAACACACACAGGGCCTGTGGAGGTTCTGTGCTGCGTGCGGGAAAGATTGTCATTACACCCAGTGATGGCAGGGCTTTGGGCTTCCGTGCGTCTTTAAACATCATTTTCCAGTTTTGTTATCTGACTAGCATCCTGGAAAACTTCTCTGACGATGACTACCTATAATAATCCCAGAAGCCACAAAACTGGTTTCATCCCGCTCTCGTCTCCCGTGGGCTTCAGGGCTCAGCACACGAGTGCAGCCTTGGCCGTGTGAGCCGAGGTCAGTGGGGCGCCAGACACCTGCAGCTGCCCTTGTGCTCATCTTGCTGGGGTCTCTTTCCTCGCCTGCCAAAAGTGAGGCCGCCATGTAGTAAGACCGTTTCTGTGACAGTTGTCTAGAATTTGGCTGCTCTTTATTCTCCCTAGAATTCAGAAGATCCCGCGGTTGTTGGTGGGTGCCGCCGACGGGTACCTGTACATGTACAACCTGGACCCCCAGGAGGGCGGCGAGTGTGCCCTGATGAAGCAGCACCGGTGAGTCTGCTCCGGCCGCTTCACGGAGCTGCTCCGTGCTGGCGGGGGGCTTTCGGGGCACCTGGCGAACGTTTGTTTATTTCCTTGCAAACCAGTGACATAGAGGGGCAGATTCCAGCACAGCGGCCCATGCCGCGCAGGTCGGGAGCTTCGCTTTCCCAGGTGAAATCAATGCCGCCGCAAGACAGGGAGCCCCGGGCTGCGGCTGGTGGCGTCAGGGCTCCCTCAGGGACTGGGCACAGAGGCGACGCAGGGGTGGCGGGAGCCGCATTTGTTCTTAGGTGGGGGAGAGGTGCTGGGAGGCCAGGCCTTCCTCCCCAGGGTGGAGTTTCGCATTTGGAAAGGAAGGGCGCAGCGTGGTGGCCTCCACAATTCAGTGCACGTGGCTGAGAGCCTCTTGTCTCACTGTGAGGTACAGGTTTGTTCTTGGAAAACAGGGAGTTAACATTTGTTCATTGGGAAGTAATGCATTTTCATTCTGTCTTACATGTTTTTTAATGATCAAAAAGTTCTAACAACATATAATTTTTTATTTTAGAGATAGGGTCTCACCCTCGCCCAGGCTGGAGAGCAGTGGTGCAGTCACAGCTCACTGCAGCCTTGACCTCCCAGGTTCAAGGGATCCTTCCACCTCAGCCTCCCTAGTAGCTGGGACTACAGGCACACAGCACATCCAGCTAATTACTTTCTTGTGCAGGGTCTTGCTAGGTTGTCCAGGCTGGTCTGGAACTCCTAGGCTCAAGTGAGCCTCCTGCCTTGGCCTCCCCAAGTGTTGGGGTAACAGGAGTGAGCCGCTGCACCTAGCTTTTTGTGTGTGTGTGTGAAATGGAGTCTCACTCTGTCACCCAGGCTGGAGTACAGTGGCGCGATCTCGGCTCACTGCAATCTCCGCCTCCCAGGTTCAAGCGATTCTCCTGCCTCAGCCTCCCGAGTAGCTGGGATGACAGGTGCATGCCACCATGCCCTGCTAATTTTTTGTATTTTTAGTAGAGACGGGGTTTCACTGTGTTAGCCAGGATGGTCTCCGTCTCCTGACCTCGTGATCCGCCCGCCTCAGCCTCCCAAAGTGCTGGGATTACAGGCGTGAGCCACTGCACCCGGGCTAGCCTGACTTTTTTTGTAAATAGTGAATCCTCGTTATTAGTTAGTTCTTCCATTGTAAAAGTGAAATATTGTCTTGTTAGGTATAACTCCCTCTTTAGACTTTCCATGTAAAACTCTTCATGTAAAAACGTGTGCAGATAGACGAGATTAAAGTTGCCACGGCGTGATGAATGCCTGGCGTCCTGTGTGGTGAGTGGTGTGCTGGCTCTGTTGCCGCAGGGCAGCCAGTGTGTACTGCCCGCAGGGCTGCCCTGTGTGGAGACGCTGAGCTGTGTCGCTTTCTTCCCTCCAGGCTGGACGGCAGTCTGGAAACGACCAATGAGATCTTGGACTCTGCCTCTCACGACTGCCCCTTAGTCACTCAGACATACGGCGCAGCTGCAGGAAAAGGTACTTACGTGCCTTCATCCCCAACGAGACTTGGTAAGGGGCGTGACGCAAACCTGGAAGGTAATTAGCCCCACAGCCCCGAGTGCTACTGCCTTCTGCTGGCTCCGGAGCCACCCCACCAGCTCCTCACTGGGAAAGATGGGGACTGGTTCTGAGAACATAAGCGAGGTTGGTAAATGGGTGTTCCCAAGGCCTCTCTCAAGGCTGAATTCAGTTTCGTTTCCTTTTTTTTTTTTTTTTTTAAAGGAGAGATGGGGTTTCCCTATGTTGCCCAGGGTGGTCTCAAACTCCTCCTGGGCTCAAGTGATTCTCCCGCCTCAGCCTCCCACAGTGCTGGGATTATAGGCATGAGCCACCGTACCAGGCTCATTTTCTCCGTTTTTAAAGAAAATGTCATCCTGGCTCAGGTGACTCTGGGGTCACGTGACTTGGGCCCAGACTGGCCACCTCTCAGCCAAGATACCACCCTGAAAAGTACTGCCAAGGGTTTTGCCTCAGTCTTTTCCCTCCCACCTTTTTCGTCCTTCAGCAAATCTGCATCGAGTACTGCCTTCATGCTGGGCCTGTGAAGTGCAGAAGCTGTAGGGGAATGAGGCCAATGGGCTCCCCTCCGGCGGCAGCACTAAGACCCATGCATGAGATCCTCCAGCCACAGCCTTGGCTATGTGAGCCACCTTCTTAAAAAAGCCAACTCGCACTCCAGTGGGAGAGCCTGTGGTTTTGCACCCACGCAGGGCTGTGCCTGCTCGCTGCCACTCCCATCTGTGAACCGGCACTTCCAGTTCATGAGCCCACCCTGAGAGTCTCCTAGTGTCATTTTTTTTCCTGGTGTTATTTTTGAGCTCTTAACCAGCTTGAGAGAGTTTGTGGCCCGTCCATGAGGGAGCCTCTGTTTACTGTGCAGGCATCATTTTGACATTTATGAATGTCAGAGAACAAATGACTTCATCTCGAGCTGCCTAAGGCTGCAAAGAGTTCATTAGAAAGCAATCAGAATTCAGAACGTCTTAGTACAGGCTTCAGTTTATAAATATACACCAGTGTTTCCAAAACACAGTCCTCAGTGTGTGTCATGGGGTCTGTGGTGTGTCCCCAGCCTTTGAAGGGTGACTTCGTCGTCTCTTTGCAGCCTACACAGACGACCTGGGTGCTGTGGGTGGCGCCTGCCTGGAGGACGAGGCCAGCGCCCTGCGCCTGGATGAGGACAGCGAGCACCCGCCCATGATTCTTCGGACTGACTGAACTTGACCTGTGACCTCTGACCCGGGGAGCAGAGAACACTGGCTTCACAGAGGACTTTGTGCATTGCTGCTATGAACTTTGACCTGAGTCGGGGGAGAGGATGGCAGAGACTTTATTAAAAAAAAAAAAAGATTGTAGTGGTAGTCTAACTCCATAACGCTGAGGAAATACATCATTTTCACTTCAGTGGCTTTTAAATCCTGCTTATGAATTTTAGCTTTTTGTTTGTTTGTTTTCTCTTTTTGCCAAAATTAACTGTTTGGTGAAGCCCGCAAAACCTCCTCGCTTTGCATGCATGAACGTGCCAAGCCAGCATAGGGGAGCTAGAAGCCACTTTCCAGCCACCTGCCGTTGGGTTTTTTCATATCTGTACATAATGCCGAGTGCGTAAGGAAACCGTGGCGTCGCGCACAGTGGGTCTGCTTGTCAAGGCCAGTTCTGCAGTGACAGGCCCAGGGGCTGCCCACCAGGTGTGCTGGGCAGACTTCAGCTGGGACAGAAGTCCGATCTCCCTAGGGCCCCACCTGGACCATTTTCCCTCCGTTTTATTTTGTTAATTAAATTCTTTCCAAATTGGATCGCTCTGGGATTTCTTCCATGGTGGACTTTTGTTTCTGATCTTGTTTTCCCTGTGGATATTGGAGGACAGCGAGGTTCTTTCTGATACTAAAAACCTTTCTTTCAGGCAGCAAATGAACTTGAAAGGTTGCCTGGACTCGCTGGAGCAAAGGAAAGCGATTTTGTTTGTATAATTAAATGATCTGTTCTTCTACTTCACTCTTCCTGTTGAAAAACTGTGTGATTTTTTTTTTTTTTTAAGTAAAGTTTGTAGCTCCTCCCATGCCCAGGAAAGCACAGAACTCAAGTGTGGTGGCCGTCTGAGCTGTCCTTTCGCTGGCCCCGCTGTCCGCAGGGGCTTCCTACCTGTGTGAGAGGTCGTAGCGGGAGACAGCAACAGAGAGTAGGCGGCTGGGCCACGTCCTTCACAGGGCGTCATGTGCCTTTCTATTTTCATCTTAGAAAATTTCCTCAGCAAACCGATGAGAGATTGTGGTTGCAAGCTTCAGTATTTGCCTCGCTTCCCTTCCCTTTTCATATTTACAGAATTAAAACAACCTCAAGTACCTCAGACTCTGCATTCCAAACCAAGGCACCCAGCAGCCAAAGTGTCGAGGGCATTTAAGTGGCATTAATGGCAGGAGAGATGGTTTTAGAATCTATGGAGTGGTGGAAGTTACGGATAGAAGGGAAAAGGCAAAAACTATTTACCCTGCCTTTGCAGGCTGGGGTTTTTGAACCGAGGAAGGCTGGGACGCCTGTTTCCAGATGGTTGTCATGGTCACGCTGGGCGAAGAGCTGGAGGGGAGTTGTCCCCTCAGCTGAGCGGCTGCGGTGAAATGCCCCAGTGTTCCTGGGTTGGCTTTACGGCAAACTAAATGCAGGGGACGCTGGAGTCCGACTCACCTACACCGGCTTCCTCCCAGCCGCTGGTGTGCGGCACACACAACATCTGCATTAGGCAGAGGTGCAAGTGGGCTGATTGAACTTTTCCTTCAAAACCTGCTTGTCTGTCCTGGACCTTTGATGAAATGGGATCCCGGTCACGCAGGCTGAGACAGTGGGGACCGCCGAGGCCAGAGTGGGCTATGCTTGAGCAGGGATGAGAAGGGCCGCGGCAGCACGCAGCCTTGACCCACGCCTGCGTCTTGTGGTGCAAGGCCAGAGGGCTCTCTCTAGAACCTGACCGTGCACTCCATCTCCTGGGAGCCACTTTTGGCAAGAGTGAGTGTGGGGGGAAAAAGTGTGCACAAGAGATACGGAACCCTGAGCTAGGGTTTCCTGTCACCAAAGAGTGAGCTGCATTTCCAGTTCTGCGTTAAAGTATCGTTTGTTCTGGTGCCTGCCTGTGGTGGTGATTTGGAGACTCAAATTTCCTTTGCCAGGTCTCTTTTGTCTTTCTTTGGGATTGGTAGTATAGAAGATGCTGGGAATTGTCTTCCTCGCTCAGCCTCGGCTTCCCGCACTGTAAGATGAGGCAGTTGCAGAGGAGGCCTCGGACGTCCTGTGACCCTCGGCCCACACTCCCCCTTGGGTGGCCCTGGCAGGGCTGGCTAGGTGCGTTCCCTGCAGACCACGGGAAGCCCTGTGCTTGCCTGGGTCAGGGCTAAGCTGTGCGCCCTAGAGGAGGGAGGAGGACTGCAGATTCTTGGTCGAGAAGAATGAAGAGGATTTCTGTGTTTGCTGAGCAGCCATTGTGGAGGGTTACCCGCCTCCACTTTCCCGTTGCCCATTTCACTGCCACCAGCTCCTCTTCCTCTGCTCGAACCTATGAGTCCCAGCCTCACTGGCGGCCTCAGACATGCTCAGGAGTGACGGGGACAGAGGGAGGCCGCTGAGTTGCCCGTTAGAACTCTTACTGCTGCGCCAGTGACCCAGGTGGAGAGGGACCCTGAACCAAACAGAACGTGTGCTAATTTTCCGAACTCCAAACTGTACACTCATATTCATTTTTAAATTGTATTTTTCCAAACTTCAAAAAGGACGATGAGCGTGGGGGATAGGAAACAAAACCTGTAAACGTTGTGAATGGGCTCAGTGGACTCTGGGACCAAACCTTCTGTAATCTCTAAAACAATGGGACCAAGAGCTGGATGGAACCTGGAGTCAAAAAGAACTGCTTCAGTCCCCGCTGTACCGCCTGCCTAGCTGTGGGAGCAGGCAGGGCGCCTGGGAGCCTGCGTTTTCTGGACCGTTCCATGGGACTCATCCCTACCTCACAGGGCTGTTGTGAGGTGTTGTGTGACTGCGTGTCCTGCAAACGCCCAGCTCGGTGCCCAGCCAGCGGTGGGCACCCAATAAACGCTACAACATAAATGTGTCTTCTGCAATTAAACACGATTTTTATTCAGTTCTGGTTTTTGAATAAGCCAGGCGGGAGGGAGGTGACAATACGGGTAAGAAGTGTAATTCAGAGGCTAGGCACGGTGGCTCACACCTGTAATCCCAGCACTTTGGGAGGCCAAGGTGGGCGGATCACTTGAGGTTAGGAATTCGAGACCAGCCTGGCCAACATGGTGAAACGACATTTCTACTAAAAATACAAAAATTAGCTGGGGGGGTGGGGCGGGGGATGGTGCACGTCTGTAATCCCAGCTACTTGGGAGGCTGAAGCAGGAGAATCGCTTGAACCTGGGAGGCAGAGGTTGCCAGGAGCCAAGATTGCATCAGTGCACTGCAGCCTAGGCGACAGAGCAAGACTCTGTCTCAAAAAAAAAAAGTGTAATTCACATGGAGGTTACACGTGGGTCTCTTTCATCCCCGCCTTTTCTCAACACCAAGCTTAACGGGCAGGTGGTGCGAGCTGGTCTGGGAGGTGGTGGGCGCCCTGGAACAGCAGGCCCTGCCCCTGTCAGGGGACCCAGGAGCTCCATGGCTGCCGTTCCCTGCCACAGAGAGAACTGGGTGATTCTTCCCACGCACGGTTTCATTTGGAGAGGGGAGAGAGGGAGTCTTCCTACCTCCACAACCAGCAGTGGGCTCCATGTGTAAAAGGCCGGGAGTGCTTTGGCCACAGCTTAGCCAAGGAAACGGGACAAGGGGTGGCAGAAAACATGCTCATCCCTGTTGCTCGTCTGGTTTTTTTGGTTTAGTTTTTTGTTTGGGGGTTTTTGTGGTTTTTTTTTTTTGAGACTGAGTCTCGCTCTGTCGCCCAGGCTGGAGTGCAGTGGCACGATCTCGGCTCACTGCAACGTGCACCTCCTGGGTTCAAGCAATTCTCCCTCAGCCTCCTAAGTAGCTGGGACTATAGGCACGCACCACCACGTCCGGCTAATTTTTGTATTTTTAGTAGAGACCGGGTTTCACCATGTTGGCCAGGCTGGTCTCGAACTCCTGACCTCAAGTGATCCACCCGCCTCGGCCTCCCAAAGTGCTGAGATTATAGCCATGAGCCACCTCGCCCCGCTGCTCGTGGTTTTCATAACCACATTGGCAAAGGGTGGGGATGGGCCAGGCTTGTTGTTTCGTGTGTCCCCTGCCCTACATCTTTGTAGACCAGACCTTTGCATGCAGGGAATGACCGAGTCACTTGTTTGAAATGTACATGAGGTGGCTCATGCCTGTAATCCCAACCCTTTGGGAGGCAGAAGCGGGCGGATCATCTAAGGTCAGGAGTTCGAGGCCAGCCTGGCCAACATGGCAAAACCTGTCTCTACTAAAAATACAAAAAGTAACCAGGCGTGGTGGTGGGTGCCTGTAATCCCAGCTACTCTGGAGGCTGAGGCAGGACAGTTGCTTGAAACCGGGAGGTGGAGGTTGCAGTGAGCTGAGTCATGCCACTGCACTCTCACCTGGGCAACAGAGTGAGACTGTCTCAAAAAAGAAAAAGAAAAAGAAACGGACATGTGACACCATGGCCAGCAAGCAGGAAATCCAAATGCGTTATTTTACAAGCGTACTTAAGAGAGAGGCGGGACCGTTCGGCTTCAGCTCTGTGGTGTTGGAGATGTAAAAAGAACGTGCAGGGAAACCGTGGGACTTCTGTTTGGGTCGCCTCCCTGCTTTACATAGAATTCTCTTTTTTATGACTTATTTCTTACTGAAAATATATCATGATAATCATTGGCCAAGCAGATAGGGTTTTTCTGACGTATCTTTTAGTTCTGACCCAGGTCATAACCCTTCACCTATGTCATACCTTTTCAATCTGTGGGTTTTTCTGAAGCACAAAAACAAAACAAAACCAATCTCAGGGTTTTGAGATGTGACCAGTTCTTACCCTTCCCTAATAACCAGCTAGGAAAGTCTCTAATTTAGAAAAATGAGGCCGGGCGCGGTGGCTCATGCCTATTGTAATCCCAGCACTTTGGGAGGCCAAGGCGGGTGGATCACAAGGTCAGGCGTTTGAGACCAGCTTGACCAACATGGTGAAACCCCGTCTCTACTAAAAATACATGGGCATGGTGGCATGTGCCTGTAATCCCAGCAACTCAGGAGGCTGAGGCAGGAGAATCGCTTGAACCCGGGAGGCAGAGTTTGCAGTGAACAGAGATCATGCCACTGCACTCCAGCCTGGGTGACAGAGCACAGCTCTGTCTCAAAAAAAAAAAAAAGAAAAAAGAAAAATGAAATCTTTCTAAAGTTCAGAATGTGAAGAGACTGTCTTGATTCCTCACCTCTACATCGTTTCTTTCTATAGTTAGTTATAATGTAAATAGATTCCTCTTAACACTTCATTTTAGGTGAAGCTGTTTTTGGTGCTGCCAGTGTGCGTGCATGTGTGTGTGTGTGTGTGTCTGTGAGTGTGTGTGTGTGTGCCTGCCTGAGCTTCAGGTGAACATACTGATTACATTCCCCCACCAAATCTGACTGAAAGCCCATTGCTATCAGCATTTTATAACACGCTAAAGAATTGGACGTGGTGGCTCACACCTATAATCCCAGCTTCTTGGGAGGCCAAGGCAGGAGGATCGCTTGAGACCAGCAATTTGAGGCAAGGCCAGTCTGGACCACATAGCAAGACCCCCTCTCTTAAAATTAAAACCTGTGTTCTATTTTTTTGTTGCCTACTCACAGGCTGAACATCTCATTTGTTTTTGTTTGTTTGGTTTGTTTTTGAGACAGTCTCACTCTGTCACCCAGGCTGGAGTGCAGTGGTGCGATCTCAGCTCACTGCAACCTCTGCCTCCCAAGTTCAAGCGATTCTCCTGCCTCAGCCTCCTGAGTAGCTGGGATTACAGGTGCCCACCACCACGCAAGGCTAATTTTTGTACTTTTAGTAGAGACGGGGTTTCACCACGTTGGTCAGACTGGTCTCGAATTCCTGACTTCGTGATCCACCCACCTCGGCCTCCCGAAGTACTGGGATTACAGGCATGAGCCACCGAGCCCAGCCTTAAACATCTAATTTGTACCAAATTGCCCTATAATTCTACCTAGAATATTATAGCAAAATGCCAGAAGCCTGACTAAAATCTTTTAAAGAAACCCAACTCGGCCAGGCGTGGTGGCTCACACCTGTAATCCCAGCACTTTGGGAGGCCGAGGCGGGTGGATCACGAGGTCAGGAGATCGAGATAGTCCTGGCTAACACGGTGAAACCCCGTCTCTACTAAAAATACAAAAAAGTAGCCGGGCGTGGTTGCAGGCGCCTGTAGTTTCAGCTACTCGGGAGGCTGAGGCAGGAGAATGGCCTGAACCCGGGAGGTGGAGCTTGCAGTAAGCCGAGATCGCCCACTGCACTCCAGCCTGGCGACAGAGTGAGCCTCCGTCTCAAAAAAAAAAAAAAGAAAAAGAAAAAAGAAAACAAAAAGAAACCCAGCTCTCCCAGGGTGGGGGGCATTACACAGGGGAGCCCCTCCGGGTGTCGCCGCAGCTGAATGATTGCGTTGGTGGAACAGCTGGCCCGCTTGTGCGTGGGCCAGGACACGGTGGACCTGTTCCGCCTGCGTTCTTGCCGGTCCATGTTTGGATTAGCATGTGAGTTTAAACATAGTGCTGATGCGGCGATTCTTCTAGAAGCACATCCTTCTCTGAGCTGAATTGCTTCATCACACACTTCCTTCTGGCTTGGGGAGTTCCTTTTCATCAAAGGCCAAGCCTTGTGTGTTTCGGTCCTGCCCATCTCCGTGCGGCCTGCGGGACGTTGGTTGGCGTGGAGTCTTCACAGCCGGCTGTCCAGGCTGGCAGCTCTCCCATCAGGGCTTCTCACAGCCACCGTCTGTCTGAGCAGACGCTGAGCATCGTGTCATCCCTCGGACACACACAAGACTCCACTATTCCCTGTGCTGATTTCTGTTTCTGTTACAGCTTCTGCTTCTGATTTTATTTTTTTTTTCTTTGAGATGGGAGTCTCGCTCTGTAGCCCAGGCTGGAGTGCAATGACATGATCTTGGGTCACTGCAACCTCCACCTCTCAGGTTCAAGCAGTTCTCCTGCCTCAGCCTCTGGAGTAGCTGGGATTACAGGTGCGCACCACCAAGCCTGGATAATTTTGCATGTTTCTGTAGAGACGAGGTTCCACCATGTTTCCAAGGCTGTTCTCAAACTCCTGGCCTCGGCCGGGCGCGGTGGCTCACGCCTGTAATCCCAGCACTTTGGGAGGCTGAAGTGGGCGGATCACCTGAGGTCAGGAGTTCGAGACCAGCCTGGCCAATATGGTGAAACCCCGTCTCTACTAAAAAAGAAAAAAAAATTAGCCTGGCTTGGTGGTGCGCCCCTGTAGTCCCAGCTACTCGGGAGGCTGAGGCAGAAGAATCACTTGAACCTGCGAGACGGAGGTTGCAGTGAGCCAAGATCACGCCACTGCACTCCAGGCTGGGCGACAGAGCAAGACTCTGTCACAAAAAACAAACAAACAAACAAACAAAAAAACCTCCTGACCTCAGGTGATCCACCCGACTCGACCTCCCAAAGTGTTGAGATTACGGGCGTGAGCCACTGCGCCCGGCCCTGTTGCTGCTTTTAGAAGTGGCTTTTTCTTCCTGTGCGACATTACTTTTTAGTGGGTCAGCGCAGAAATGTGCTTGGGCTCCCTGCGACGGCGAAGCACCTTTCCTCAAGGGAATCTGAAGACTTTTCCCTGCCTTTCCTCTCCCTCGGGGAGGTCCCCTCAGCGCCCTCCTCTTGACCTTCCCTGGTGCGTTTAGTGCTGAGCCTGTGCCTGAGCCTGGGGACCTGGGAGAGTTCGGACCGAAGTCCACCGAGGGCCGCAGAACGGCAGGGTTGGGGAACTGGCTCCCTGGCGCGCACAGCTCTGTCTGCAGGGCGCGGATCTGCGCTCGGTGTGAGGAGGCACGGTGCATGTTAAGTCGAGAAACTTCTAAACTCCGCCACCAGCTTTGGAAATAACAGCTGGGATTTTCTGCTTAAACCAGCATCCCAGAGCACACGGGTACTAACTAGCAGAAGCCCTAAGTAAAATGAAACGGGCTCTGAAGGAAGTCCTGGAGCCTCCTGCCCGCCTGCCCTCGCCATTCATTCAGTCCTGCAGTGACTCTGAGGAATGGCGTGGGCGGGAGGACAAGTCACCTTTAAAGCCAAGCACCCGGTGGGCGCAGAGGGTCCCGCCTGGAATCCCAGCACTTCGGGAGGCTGATGCGGGCGGATCACGAGGTCAGGAGTTCGAGACCAGCCTGGCCAAAATGGTGAAACCCCGTCTCTACTAAAAATACAAAAAATTGCCTGAGCGCGGTGGCTCACGCCTGGAATCGCAGCACTTTGGTAGGCCGAGGCAGGCAGATCACAAGGTCAGGAGTTCGAGACCAGCCTGGCCAACGTGGTGAAACCCCATCTCTACTAAAAATATAAAAAAATTGGCTGAGCGTGGTGGCGCGTGCCTGTAATCCCAGCAACTCGGGAGGCCGAGGCAGGAGAATCGCTTGAACCCGGGAGGCGGAGGTTGCAGTGAGCCGAGATGGCGCCACCGCACTCCAGCCTGGACGACAGAGTGAGACTCTGTCTCAAAAATAAATAAATAAATAAATAAATAATGCAGATATCTTTAGAAATATAAAATAGTATCCTAGGGGCCAGGCACAGTGGCTCACACCTGTAATCCCAGCACTTTGAGAGCCCGAGGTGAGAGGATTGCTTGAGGCTGGGAGTTGAAGACCAGCCTGGGCAACAGAGCAAGACCCCCGTCTTTACGAAAAATTAAAAAATTAGCCAGGTGTGGCCGGGCATGGTGGGTCACGCCTGTAATCCCAGCACTTTGGAGGCCGAGGCAGGAGAATCACAAGGTCAGGAGATCAAGACCATCCCAGCTAACACGGTAAAACCCCCTCTCTACTAAAAATACAAAAACTTAGGCGGGCGTGGTGGCGGGCGCCTGTAGTCCCAGCTACTCGGGAGGCTGAGCCAGGAGAATGGCGTGAACCCGGGAGGCGGAGCTTGCAGTGAGCCGAGATCGCGCCACTGCACTCCAGCCTGGGCGACAGAGCGAGACTCCAGCTCAAAAAAAAAAAAAAAAAAAAAAAAAAAAATTAGCCAGGTGGGCTGATATGCCCAGCTACTCAGGAGGCTGAGACAGGAAGATCACTTGAGGCCAGGAGTTCGAGACCAGCCTGGGCAACAGTTTGAGACCCGCCGCAGCCTCTACCAAAAAAAAAAATAATAATATTCTAGTTTACAAGCATGCTACAGTTACAAACTCTTCCTTGGTAAGATTTTCCTCCCCAGAGCGCTGTTGTCAGACTCCTGGAGCTGCTGAGGCCCTGCAAGCTGGGTAGACAAGGGAGGCAGGCCGGGCCAGGTGAGCTCCCCTGCACCCCTCCCCGCCCCCGCCCTGCCTTTCCTG